>NC_000007.14:75006779-77506779 GCF_000001405.40 Homo sapiens
GCCTGTTGCCATGTAAGACATGCCTTAGCTCCTTCTTTGCCTTCTGTCATGATTGTGAGCACCCCCGCCCCCCCAGCCCCGCCAACCACCAACCAGCCATGTGGAACTATGAGTCCATTAAACCTTTTCCCTTTATAAATTACCCAGTCTCGGGTATGTGTTTATTAGCAGCATGAGAACAGACAAATACACCTGGGTTACTCATGGGCTTCTTTCTGTCCCAGCTCCCCTCAATGGGTGGGGGTGCAGAGCCCATGCCCGGCTTTGTGCTGGAGAGCCGGAACACCAGATAAGTGGCCAGGGGTCAGTTTCCTGCAAGCCTCTGCCTGTGCACACTTGGACTTGCCATCTCTGCCTGCAATACTCTCTAGGGTGCAGTGGGGGTGCGGTTCTGGCTAAATGGGGAACAGGGACATGGGTGTTGAGGGGATGATGACCCCCATCACCCAAGGACCAAAAGCCTAGAAGCTCAGCCCAAGGGCCACCTGGACACAGACCTGGGCACCAAAACCATGCCCAGGACCGAGGCCAGCAGGGTCAGGGTTCTGGTCCCTGTTTTTGGAGAATAGATGGTTTTGTTTTGCGGGTAGATGAGCAACATACCTCCCAGGCTGAGTGGTGCTATCAGAGATGATGTGAGGTGGGGCAGAGATCCATGTCCCAAAAATGTCACGGATGGCTGCATTCCTCTCTCTTTAGGGATGGAAAATAAACCGAGGGCTGGGCTGTCAGTCAGCTGGTGGGAATTAGGCATTTTTATGACTTGGAGCTCCAGAGTTGCTGAGGAGGAGGCCAAGTCAATGGGAGGGGAGATGGGAACAGACACCTAGAGGTTACAGTGGCAGAGCCATGGAAAAGACAGCTCCTCTGCCTGACCCACACTGGAGCCACCCTTCGGCCACTTCTTCCCTCCGAGAAAACTTGGGATCTTGGGCCCTCAGGCCTGGACACAGTCATAGGGGCTGACTGGCTCCGAGGTCCCCAAAGATTGCGGGGGTATAGTGGGGACAATCAGCATCTCTGTGCCTCTCCTGAGTGAGAACTGAGTAGGGGGACATGAAGGGAGAGATAAACAACTTACCCGCGGTCACCCCAGCAGCCTGGGGCCGGAACTCTGGGTGAACTGAGTCATCATCCCCAGGGCACGGGTGGGCAGCTGCCCCAGGGGACCTGCCTGGACTAATGAGATATTCTGTGTCTGTCCATCCATCCAGGTGCAAGTTCTTCAGTCTGACTGAGACGCCAGAGGATTACACTATCATTGTCGATGAGGAAGGATTCCTAGGTAAGTGCTTCTCTCCCTAGGGGCTCGGCTGGACCATGCCCCGAAGTCAGGGCTGGCTGCCCACCTCCTTATTTCTGTCCCCCGCCCACCTCCTTATTTCTGCCCCCACCTACCTCCTTACTTCTGCCCTCATCTGCTGGTCAGCTGGAAAAACAGCAGAGTGTATTTCCTTCTCTCCCTGGCTTCTGGAGGGTCCCCTCCCTGGGTTCTGGAGGGTCCCCTCCCCTCCTGCTCTTGAGATTGCCCTAGGAAAGACTCCTGAGTAGTAAGTAGGTACGGCGCTACCCAGCTGAGAATTAGATCAACCCAGAAGAAAAGGAACATGTTTCACTGAAACCTACAAAGTGCTTTAGAACATCTTCAGTCGGGCGCAGTGGCTCACGCTTTTAGTCTCAACACTGTGGGAGGATCACTTGAGCCCAGGAGTTTGAGACCAGCCTGGGCATAGTGAGACCCCGTCTCTACTAAAACGTTACTTTAAATTAACTGGACATGATGGCATGTTCCTGTGGTCCCAGCTACTTGAGAGACCGAGGCAGGAGGATCGTTTGAGCCCAGGAGTTGGAGGCTGCAGTGAGCTGTTATTGAACCACTGCTTTCCAGGCTGGAAGACAGAGCGAAACTCTATCTCTTAAAAATAAAAAAAATAAAGAAAAGTGTCTAGCTGGCAAGGGCACAGTTTAAGAGGACTTCCCAGAATTCAAGCAACACTTGAAGTGAACCCAGCTAAGAGTAAAGAGCCAGGCATGGTGGTGTATGCCTCTACTACCAGCTACTTGGGAGGCTGAGGTGGGAGGATTGCTTAAACCCAGGAGTTTGAGACTGTAGTGTGCCATGATCACGTCTGTGAATAGCCACTGCACTCCAGCCTGGGCAACATGATGAGAACCTGTTTTTTGTTTTTTGTTTTGAGATGGAGTCTCACTCTGTCACCCAGGCTGGAGTGCAATGGCACGATCTCGGCTCACTGCAACCTCCACCTCCCAGGTTCAAGCCATTCTCCTGCCTCAGCCTCCCAAGTAGCTGGGATTACAGGTGCCCGCCGCCACGCCCGGCTAATGTTTGTATTTTTTAGTAGAGATGGAGATTCACCCTGTTGGCCAGGATCGTCTTGATCTCCTGACCTCATGATCCACCCGCCTCGTCCTCCCAAAGTGCTGAGATTACAGGCATGAGCCACCTTGCCTGGCCTGAGAACTTTTTTTTTTTTTTTTTTTTTTTTTGAGACGGAGTCTCGCTCTATGGCCCAGGCTGGAGTGCAGTGGTGTGATCTCAGCACTGCAAGCTCCGCCTCCCAGGTTCACACCATTCTCCTGCCTCAGTCTCCCGAGTAGCTGGGACTACAGGCGCCCGCCACCACGCCCGGCTAATTTTTTGTATTTTTTAGTAGAGATGGGGTTTCACCGTGTTAACCAGGATGGTCTCGATCTCCTGACCTCGTGATCCACCCACCTCGGCCTCCCAAAATGCTGGGATTACAGGCGTGAGCCACCGCGCCCGGCCCTGAGAACCTATTTCTGAAAAAAAATTAAAATTAAAATTAAGTGGCCCCCCCCGCCCCCACCAGGTGGAAAACATTAATGGAGGGGCACTTTCCAGGCAGAGAGAACCCCATGTGTGTACAGCCACAGCTTCTAGTACTGGGGACACACTTGGCATCCCCAGGGAACTAGAGTGTGAGAAGAGAGACAGGAGGACAGGGCTTGCCTGGAAGAGGAGGGATCAGGAAAGATTCCTCCATGTGGCTGCACACACATGCGCTTCTCTGCCTGGAAAGCACCCCTCCCTTCATGGTTTCTACCTGGCATGCAGGCACTTAATTTTTTTTTTTTTTTTTTTTTTTAAGAAACAGGTTCTTGCTATGTTGCCCAGGCTGGAGTACAGTGGCTAATCACAGGTATGATCGTAGTGCATAGCAGCCTTAGACTCCTGGGCTCAAGCAATCCTCCCACCTCAGCCTCCCGAGTAGCTGAGAGTAGAGGCGTGTACTGCTGTGCCTGGCTCTAGGCTTTTTCCTGAACTCCCCTCCTATACTTTATTTGGGTTAGAAGCAGCATGGGGAGACTTCTGCAGCATGGTCCTTTCTGGGGGCTCAAAAGCGGAAGTTCCTGGTGAGCTCATGTGGTCATGGAGGACTTCCTGGAGGAGGTGATATTTTTGCTGGCCTTGTGGGGAAGGAAGAAAACATGTCAGAGGAGAGTTGAATGAGAAAGTACAGGAGCAGAAGCAAGGGCCAGGTCCAGCCTCTAAAAAAGGGGAAGACAGAGGTAGGCAGGGTAAGTTTGGATCTTATTCTTCAGGCACTGGGGAGCCACTGAAGGTTGTTGGGCTGGGTTAGGGCTGAGTTGGGGTAGAGTCTCCTGGGGTGTGTGTGTGCAGGAGAGGGAACAAGGAGTGAAGTAGGAAATTCCTGGGGGTGAGTAAGCTCTCTTCAAATAGAGGTCCTTGGGCCCAGGCTGAGACCCTCGGCTGGCCCAGGGAAGGAATTGCCCACAATCCCTCGACCCTGCCATTCCCCAGAGCCTTGTGACTTTTGAAACTGTCTTGCCCTGCCCCTCCCTGAGCCTTTCCCAGCCGCAGGTGCAGCACTGAGGAACACAGGGACCACTGGGAAAGCAGGTTTCAATTAGCCCAGCAAGGCCAGAGGCTAGCCAGCCAGCCTTACCTCTGTGACTTCAGGGTAAGGGCTTCCCTTCCAGGGTGCGTTTCCTGGTCAGCAAACCAGGCTGCTTAGAAATCTATTATTGCCCAAGAAAAAAAAAATTGAGTGGATTTGTTTTTTTGTCTCTCTCTTTTTTTTTTCTTTGAGACAGAGTCTCACTCTGTCACCCAGGCTGGAGTGCAGTGGCGTGATCTTGGCTCACTGCAACCTCCATCTCCCAGGTTCAAGCGATTCTCCTGCCTCAGCCTTCTGAGTAGTTGGGATTATAGGCACCCACCACCATGCCCGGCTAATTTTTTTGTATTTTTAGTAGAGGTGGGGTTTGGTTTCACCATGTTGGCCAGGCTGGTCTCAAACTCCTGAACTCAAGTGATCCACCTGCCTTGACCTCCCAAAGTGCTGCCAAAATATTAGCATTTTGGCCAGGCACAGTGGTTCACATCTACAATCCCAGCACTTTGTGAGGCTGAGGCAGGCAGATCACCTGAGGTCAGGAGTTCGAGACAAGCCTGGTCAACATGGTGAAACCCCGTCTCTACTAAAAATACAAAAATTACCCGGGCATGGGGACACATGCCTGTAGCTCCAGCTACTCAGGAGGCTGAGGAAGGAGAATCACCTGAACCCACGAGGCAGAGGCTGCAATGAGCCAAGATCATGCCACTGCACTCCAGCCTGGGCGATGGAGCAAGACTCCATCTCAAAAAAAAAAAAAAAAAAGTTTGAGGCCGGGCGCGGTGGCTCACGCCTATAATCCCAGCACTTTGGGAGGCCGAGGTGGGTGGATCACGAGGTCAGGAGATTGAGACCATCCTGGCTAACATGGTGAAACCCCATATCTACTAAAAATACAAAAAAAATTTGCCAGGCGTGGTGGTGGGCGCCTGTGGTCCCAGCTACTTGGGAGGCTGAGGCAGGAGAATGTCGTGAACCCGGGAGGCGGGCTTGCAGTGAGCCGAGATCACGCCACTGCACTCCAGCCTGGGCAACAGAGCTGTCTCAAAAAAAAAAAAAAAAAAACCAAAAAAAAAAGGAGTTCGAGACCAGCCTGACCAACATGGAGGAACCCCGTCTCTACTAAAAATACAAAATTAGCTGGGCGTGGTGGCGCATGCCTGTAATCCCAGCTACTCGGGAGGCCAAGGCAGGAGAATCGCTTGAACCCGGGAGGTGGAGGTTGCAGTGAGCCGAGATCGCGCCATTGCACTCCAGCCTGGGGGACAGAGTGAGACTCCGTCTTAAAAGAAAGAAAAAAAAAAAACAAGAGTAAAGACCCATTTTACAAGCGAGAAAGCAAGCAGACATTAACTTGCCCAGAGTTAGTGAGTGACAACCAAGCCAGGACGGAAAGTAGGAAATGCTCTCAAGGCGCCTCTAGCCTAAATAAGGAGAAAGTGCTGCCGGAAAGTAATGTGAGAAGATGGTATACCACCATGTGTGGCCTAGGACAGTCTGAGAAGACTCTCAGGGGGCTGTGGCAGGATTTGGGGTGGGCCTAGGGGCTGCAGTATGAGGCTAGGAGGACAACTGTACCCCTCATCTCCTTGGACGCTCTGCTTCAGAAAGAGAGTTTAGTTTTTGTTTGCTTGCTTTTCTCGAGGTAGTCTCGCTCTGTCCCCAGACTGGAGTGCAGTGGCGCGATCTCAGCTCACTGCATCCTCCACCTCCCAGGTTCAAGCGATTCTCCTGCCTCAGCCTCCTGAGTAGCTGGGATTACAGGCATGCACCACCACACCCGGCTAATTTTTTTTTGTATTTTTAGTAGAGACAGGGTTTCACCATGTTGG
Source organism: Homo sapiens (assembly GCF_000001405.40). Lineage (NCBI taxonomy): Eukaryota > Metazoa > Chordata > Mammalia > Primates > Hominidae > Homo > Homo sapiens. The sequence goes on from NC_000007.14 coordinate 75,012,514, forward strand.
CAAGGCTGGTCTTGAACTCCTGACCTCAGATGATCCTCTTGCCTTGACCTCCCAAAGTGCTGGGATTACAGGCATGAACTACTGCACCTAGCCCACTGGCTAGTTTTTGGGATTTTTTGTTTTTTGTTTTTTTGTTTTGTTTTGAGATGGAGTCTCGCTCTGTTGTCCAGACTGGAGTGTAGTGGCATGATCTCAGCTCACTGCAACCTCCACCTCCTGGGTTCAAGCGATTCTCCTGCCTCAGCCTCCTGAGTAGTTGAGACTACAGGCATGCACCGCTATGCCCAGCTAATTTTTGTATTTTTAGTAGAGACAGGGTTTCACCATGTTGGCCAGGCTGGTCTCGAACTCCTGACCTCAAGTGATCCACCCGCCTCAGCCTTCCAAATTTCCAAAGTGCTGGGATTATAGGCGTGAACCACCGTGCACAGCCCACTGGCTAGTTTTTGTGTTTTTTTGTAGAGGATTCTCACTATGTTGCCTATGCTGGTCTGGAACTCCTGGCCTTAAGCAGTCCTCCCACCTTGGCCTCCCAAAGTGTTGGGATTACAGGCATGACCCCAGGAAGAAGGATGCTGGCTCTGGCATGGGGAATGAAGGCCGGTGCCCTGTCACCCCGTTCTGCAAACCTCCAGCGCTGCAAACATTGCTTCCCACCAAAGGGCCTCTTCTGCCACTCTTAACATGAGCCAGGGTGTGTGTTCACTGGCAGCTTTGATAGTTAGAAGCTAGCAGCTGGCCATGGTTCAGTGGATGCTGGGTCTTTCCTGGGAGGGCAGGGGATGGCTTGTAAATGACATGAGCCAGCAGAGTTCCTTGTTCAATGTGAACGTTCTTAAGAGATTCTTGGTCTGAGCACAGTGGCTCATGCCTGTAATCCCAGCCCTTTGGGAGGCTGAGGCAGGTAGATCGCTTGAGCCCAGGAGTTCAAGCAGGTTGGGCAACATGGCAAAGCCCCGTCTCTACAAACAATACAAAAATTAATCTGTTGTGGTGGCACATGGCTGTGGTCCCAGCTACTCGGTGGGCTGCGGTGGGAGGATCACTTGAGCCTGGGAGGTTGAGGCTGCAGTGAGCCATGATTGTACCACTGCACTCCAGCCTGGGTGATAGAGCAACACCCTGTCTCAAAAAAAGAAAAAAAGAAGGTCTTGGCTCAAATGGATGCAGTATGTCTGTGTGGCAGACAGAGGGGTTGTATATGTGTATATTCCGATTTTTTACGTGTGTGTGTGACTGAGTCTCGCTCTGTCACCCCGGTTGGAGTCCAGTGACACAATCTCTGCTCACTGCAACCTCCACCTCCCGGGTTCAAGCGATTCTCATGCCTCAGCCTCCTGAGTTGCTGGGATTACAGGCACGCACCACCACACCCGGCTACTTTTTATATTTTTAGTACAGACAAGGTTTCCCCCATGTTGGTCAGGCTGGTCTTGAACTCCTGACCTCAAGTGATCTGCCTGCCTTGGCCTCCCAAAGCACTGGGATTACAGGCATGAGCCACCGTACCCGGCCTCTTTTAAGTATTTCGTGAGCACTGTGTGCAGTGCTAGGTGTCCTGACAGATTCAGAATAACGTTAGAAGCCTCTGGGTAATGGGTAGAAGCTTAGACTTGCAGTTAGAGGGGCCCAGTGCTTATCTAGGCTCCACATCACTAGCCCTCACCCATCACAGTCCCCTTGTCTGTGAACTGGGGACAGCGGTACATCATTGTGGTCCATGCCACGCATGGCAAGGCATGGTCAGGAGGCAGTGACCGATCAAAAGGTGGAGAGGTGGCCGGGCAAGGTGGCTGACACCTGTAATCCCAGCACTTTGGGAGGCCGAGGCGGGCAGATCACTTGAGGTAAGGAGTTCGAGACCAGCCTGCCCAACATGGTGAAACCCCTTCTCTACTAAAAATACAAAAAAAAAAAAAAAAAAAAAGTAGAGCCAGGCATGGTAGTATGCACCTGTAGTCCCAGCTACTCAGGAGGCTGAGACATGAGAATCGCTTGAACCCGGGAGGCAGAGGTTGCAGTGAGCCGAGATCGCGCCGCTGCACTCCAGCCTGGGCGACAGAGTAAGACACTCTCGCTCAAAAAAAAAGGAAGCAACAGCTCTGGGTTCTTTCCCAGGCTGAGGCCGTGAGCAGGGCGGGTAGACCAATCCATCAGACAGGCTGCCTGCTCCTGGCCAGCTGCTGATTGACCTGAAATCCTCCAGCCAGCAGCAGCCGCCTCTTCCCCCACACCCACGTTTCCAGCTGGTCTCAGGCCTGGGCTTCTCCCCAAGACCACTCTGGGTCTCATCCAAACCTGCCAAGAGACTCCTAGTGGCAGAGTCTTGGTTATGTCAGCACCCCCTCAAGGTGTACACTTCACCACCTCGGAGGCTATATCAGCAGCCGCTTCCGCTGGGGAGGACAGAGCCAGGATTGGCCCCTCGGAGCCCGAAGCCTGCGGCTTTGATAAGAGACAGGCCTCCCACTGCTCAAGACTGGGGCCGCCCTTTCCCATTTCTGTGCAGCCGCCTGCCTCTCTAGCCACCCACTGGCTGACCACTGGTCCTTCTCAGCCAGCGGGACCAATGGGCTCCTTGGGCTGTGGTCACCATGGTGACCGGAGCTGGGCAGGTAGGAACAGGCATGGGCCTCACTCAATTTCCCTCCTCTCAGGCCATCTTGCCTGCCAGCAGAGCCCAGCTCGTCTTTCCCCAGGAATCTTCATCATCACAGCTGCCTTGGCTCACCCATCTTTGAGCCCCTCTCTCCCTTTTTATCGATTTATTTTTTGAGACAGGGTCTGGCTGTGTCACCTAGGCTGGAGTGCAGTGGTGCGGTCATAGCTCACTGCAGCCTTGAAATCTCAGACTCAAGCGATCCTCCCACCTCAACCTCCCAAGTGGCTGGGACCACAGGCATGTGCCACCATGCTTGGCTCATTTATTTTTTATTTTTATTTTTTTAGAGATGGGGTCTCGCTACGTTCTCCAGGCTGGTCTCAAATTCCTGGCCTCAAGCGATCCTCCTACCTTGGCCTCCCAAAGCAGTGGGAGTACGGGCATGAGCCACCGCCTCCAGCCTCAGCACCTCTCTTTTTAGCCCCCTATTTTCTTAGGGACTTGGTACTTTTCATTTAGTGCCCAAGATAGAGCCTGGGTTCTTGAGCCAGACCCGCACTGGAATCCTGGCTCTGTTACTTCCTAAGTGATCTTCGGCAAATCACTGAGCCTTCCAGGTCCAGGGTTTCTGGACCGTTGAGTGTACGGTGAGCAAAATAACCCTGCCTCGGCCAGGCGCGGTGGCTCACGATTGTAATCCCAGCCCTTTGAGAGGCCAAGGCGGGTGGATCACTTGAGGCCAGGAGTTTGAGACCAGCCGGGCCAACATGGTGAAACCCCATCTTTACTAAAAATATAAAAATTAGCCGGGCATGATGTTGGGTGCCTCTAATCCCAGCTACTCGGGAGGCCGAGGCAGGAGAATTGCTTGAACCAGGAGGCAGAGGTTGCAGTGAGCCAAGATCATGCCAATGTACTCCAGCCTGGGTGACAGAGTGAGGCTCCATCTCAAAAAAAAAAATCCTGCCTCCTTGTGGGATGCAGTGTCAGAGTTCACCTCCCTGTGCCGTGCCCCCTCCCCACTCAGGGCCTGGCACTAGGTGGGTTTATGCAGGTGCCTGGTGTTGTATGAAGAGCCCCGAATGCAGCCTGGGCTCGAGTCTGCAGCTGTGTGTGGTCACACATAGTGTGTGCCTGTGTCCCACATTCAGGGCTACTCAGGGTCTCTGTCTGCAGGACAGGGTGGAAGGGATGGCTCCAGCGTTTGGATTCTGGGTTTTCATGAGCTAGGTAAGGAGGCTTAGCAGTTGCTGCTGCTGTGGACTCCCCACCCTGCCAAAGCCAATGCCAGCCCCTGGGACTTCCAGGCTCTCAGGAGGGACATGGGTGACAGTCACTGCCCCCCATGATGCAGCCTCTTCAGGGGCCCTCCTGGAGTTGCCTCTTCTTCCAGAGAAGCCCAATGTGCAGGGCTGGCTGAAGGGGGAAGAGAAACCCCAAAGCCCCACCCAGCCTTTTCCTGGCCTCCCCTCCACCCAGAGCCTCCCTGAGAGGTATCCAGGAACCCAGTTTGAAAGCCAGTTACACATGGGACAATGGGTGTGATGGCAGCATCAGACCCACAAAAGGGTTGTAAGAACTAAAGGACATTACCCACTACTGATGCCATCGTTTTACGGCTGAGCAAACTGAGGCTCGGTGCAGATCAACCACTTGCCCACATGGCTCCTACTCTGCTAAGCTGCCGGGGATGTCCTGTGTCATCTGAGGGCCTTCCCTGCCCAGTCCTCCCAGGAAGCAGCCTTTGATTCAAATCCCATCCTGTTGAAGGCTGGGCGCAGTGGCTCACGCCTGTAATCCTAGCGCTTTGGGAGGCCAAGGCAGGAGGATCCCTTGAGATCAGGAGTTCGAGACCAGCCAGACCAACATGGGAAAATGCCATCTCTACTAAAAATACAAAAATTAGCTGGGTGTGATGGTGCATACCTATAATCTCCGCTACTCAAGAATCACTTGAACCCAGGAGGTGGAGGTTGCAATGAGCCGAGATCGCGCCACTGCACTCCAGCCTGGGTGACAGAGCAAGACTCTCTCAAAAAACAATCCCATCCGGCTGGGTGCGGTGGCTCACGCCTGTAATCCCAGCACTTGGGGAGGCTGATGCGGGCGGATCACGAGGTCAAGAGATTGAGACCATCCTGGCCAACATGGTGAAACCCTGTCTCTACTAAAAATACAAAAATTAGCTGGGCGTGGTGGCATGTGCCTGTAATCCCAGCTACTCGGGAGGCTGATGCAGGAGAATCACTTGAACCAGGAAGTCAGAGGTTGCAGTGAGCCGAGATCGCGCTACTCCAGGCACTCCAGCCGGGCGACAGAGCAAGACTGTCTCAAAAAAAAAAAATCCTGTTGGAAAGTGAGGCAAGGCACAGGGTGGAGCTGGCCCCAGAGCATCACTCTCCACCTCTGGCCTGCCTTGCCCTGCCCTTGGGTCATCTGGAACCTCAGCAGTCACAGGACTGCCTTCTGTGTCTCCCTCCAGAGCTGCCCTCCTCGGAGCACCTGAGTGTGGCAGATGCCACCTGGCTGGCCCTGAACGTGGTGTCCGGCGGTGGCAGCTTCTCCAGCTCCCAGCCCATCGGCGTGACCAAGATCGCCAAGTCAGTCATCGCCCCACTGGCTGACCAGAACATATCCGTGTTCATGCTGTCCACGTATCAGACAGACTTCATCCTGGTGAGCTGACCATCACAGACACGCCTTGCACACTCATGCCCGCCTCTGACACACTCACTCCCATCTCCCACCCCTTGCAGCCTTGCCCTTCCACGCTATTCCAGGGTGGGGGCAGAGTCTCAGGGTGAGAGGTCGGTGCCCCAGACCCACATCCCCCAGGGCCACCAGGCACACACGGCCTCAACTTCTTGCCCCTAGGTGCGCGAGCGGGACCTGCCCTTTGTCACCCACACATTGTCATCAGAGTTCACCATCCTGCGGGTCGTCAATGGCGAGACCGTGGCAGCCGAGAACCTCGGCATCACCAATGGCTTCGTGAAGCCCAAGCTGGGTGAGCTGGGGGCGGGGGTTTGTGCAGGGGAAACCTCACGAAGTTACCAGGCCCAGCCGCAGACCAGCCTTACTCTCAGCACGGGCTTCTGCCCACTGAGCATGAATGGAGTGCCAGGCAGAACGGGATGCAAAGGGCCCAGTGTGGTGGCTCATGCTTGTAATCCCAGCACTTTGGGAGGCCGAGGCAGGCAATTCACCTGAGGTCAGGAGTTTGAGACCAGCCTGACCAACATGGAGAAACCCCGTCTCTACTAAAAATACAAAATTAGCTGGGTGTGGTGGTGCATACTTGTAATTCCAGCTACTGAGGAGGCCGAGGCAGGAGAATCACTTGAACCCAGGAGGCGGAGGTTGTGGTGAGCCGAGATTGTGCCATTGCACTCCAGTCTGGGCAACAAGAACAAAACTCCATCTCAAAAAAAAAAAAATGTGATGGAAAGGTCCTAGGCAGGCCTTGCTGCCGTGTCTAGCAAGGGTGGTGGACGTGCATGCAGACAGCAATGGCCAGAGGCCACTCCTGCTGCAGCCCAGGTGTCAGGGTGGATTTCCCTGGGCAGGGACTGTGGTGCTGAAGCCTGGAACACAGGTAGGAACGGAGCCAGGTGGTGCCGGTTGGGAAGGGCATCCCAGGCAGCCAGCACAGCATGTGCAAAGGCCCAGGGGCCTGAGGGTGAGATGGAGAATCAGGACGGTGGTAATTGGTGGTAGAGGCTGGAGAAGCAGCGGTGAATGAGTCTCTTGGGGCCTGCAGCTGAGCCCTCCCCAGCCCTCTTCCCAGGCCCTGCACCCACCAGAGCTGCTGCTTTCAGTCCCAGCCTCAGTGCCTGACATCTTTGTGCTCTTACAGTCCAGAGGCCAGTCATCCACCCACTGTCCAGCCCGAGCAACAGGTTCTGTGTCACCAGCCTGGACCCTGACACGCTGCCTGCTGTTGCCACACTCCTCATGGATGTCATGTTCTACTCCAATGGGTAGGGCTGCCTTGGGCATGAGGGGTTGCAGGGTGGGCCAGGGAGAGGCATGGCTCCGCCTAGGAGTCTTAGTCTGACGGGGGAGGCTTTGCTAGGAGCTCATCTGAGGGAAGAGACACAGACCTTCCCTGGAGCTAGTCTGAGCAGAGAGACATGGACCCACCCTGGAACTAGTCTGAGGTGGGAGACATGGACCTGCCCCGGAGCTAGTCTGAGGTAGGAGACACAGACCCGCCCCAGAGCTAGTCTGATGGGGGACACATGGACCCTCCCCAGAGCTAGTCTGAGTGGGGAGACACAGACCTGTCCTGGAGCTAGTCTGAGGTAGGAGACACAGACCCACCCCGGAACTAGTTTGGGGTGGGAGACATGGACCCGCCCTGGAACTAGGCTGAGGGGGAGACACAGCTCTACCTAAAAGCCCCAGTCTCAGGGGTGAGACATCCTACCCTGGGAACCCCAAAATTTGGTGACGCCCCAAAGACTCATTGGGAGCTGTAACAAACTCCCCACTCCCCACTGAGCTCCGAGGACAGGCCCAGTCTGTTGAGGAGCTGAGAACTCAGATTTTTTTCATTTGGTGAACAACAGACATTGTGTCACTTCCTCAGCAGATTTTGTAAAGTTTAGGCCAACACGAGGTGGGGCGGGGCAGGGTCCAGCATGCTGACAGTCACCACAGCCTGTGCCCTGAGATGCAGGCAGGGGCCGGTGTAACCTGCGTGGGAGGCCGGCCGGGCCTCCAGTACTGCAAAGTGTAGCACCCGCCTTTGTGAATGCGGTGAAATCATCCCCGTGGCATAGCGAGCAGGATGAGAAGGACACTGGCCCAGGGTCACCCAGGTGGCATCAAAGCCTGGGCAGGGCCCAGCTTCCCTGGGCTGGTGTGAATGGGGCAGGGGCCACAGGGGCCCCATCTTTACCAGCTGCCTCTGGTCCCCAGAGTGAAGGACCCCATGGCCACTGGGGATGACTGCGGCCACATCCGCTTCTTCTCCTTCTCCCTCATCGAGGGCTACATCTCCCTGGTGATGGACGTGCAGACGCAGCAGAGGTGAGCCAGGCCCTGGGGTGGACGTTCAACCCAGGGTGGGCCCCAGGGTCTGGGGGGACTATGTGATGGCACATCACCCACTTTGTCTTTTATTTGTTGTTGTTTTTTTTTGATACGGGGTCTCGCTCTGTCGCCCAGGCTGGGGTGCAGTGGTGCGATCTCGGCTCAAGGCAACCTCCACCTCTCAGGTTCAAGCAATTCTCCTGCCTCAGCTGGGACTACAGGCATGTGCCACCATGCCCAGCTAATTTTTGTATTTTTAGTAAAGACAGGGTTTTGCCATGTTGGTGAGGCTGGTCTCAAGCTCCTGACCTCAGGCAATCCGCCCGCCTCAGGCGTGATTTTTTTTTTTTTTTTTTTAGACGGAGTCTCGCTCTGTCGCCCAGGCTGGAGTGCAGTGGCACTATCTCGGCTCACTGCAAGCTCCACCTCCCGGGTTCATGCCATTCTCCTGCCTCAGCCTCCCAAGTAGCTGGGACTACAGGCGCCGCCACCACGCCTGGCTAATTTTTTGTATTTTTAGTAGAGACCAGGTTTCACCATGTTAGCCAAGATGGTCTGGATCTCCTGACCTTGTGATCTGCCCGCCCCGGCCTCCCAAAGTGCTGGGATTACTGGCATGAGCCACCGCAACCAGCCTGATTTTTTTTATTTTTATTTTTGTTGAGACAGGATCTCTCTCTGTCACCCATGCTGGAGTGCAGTGGTGCAGTCTTGGCTCACTGCCACCTCTGCCTCCCAGGTTCAAGTGATCCACATGTCTCAGCCTCCTGAATAGTTGGGACTACAGGTGCCTGCCACCACACCTGGCTAATTTTTGTATTTTTATTTTATTTTTTTTTAATATTTATTTACTTTTTGAGACAGGGTCTCACTCTGTTGCCCAGGCTGGAGTGCAGTGGCGCGATCTCAGCTCACTGCAACCTCCACCTCCCAGGTTCAAGTGATTCTCCTGCCTCAGCCTCCCGAGTAGCTGGAACTACAGGCGCACACCACCATACCCTGTTTATTTTTGTATTTTTTGTAGAGACAGGGTTTTGCCATGTTGGCCAGGCTGCTCGTGAACTCCTGACCTCAAGTGATTCACCCACTTTGGCCTCCCAAAGTGCTGGGATTACCGGCGTGAGCCACCGCACCTGGCCAATTTTTGTATTTTTCGTAGAGATGGGGCTTCGCCATGCTGACCAGGCTGGTCTCCAACTCCTGACTGCATGTGATCTGCCAGTCTCGGCCTCCCAAAGTGCTGGGATTACGGGTGTGAGCCACCACGCCCTGCCACTTTGTCTCTAATAAACCCTCACCATAGCACTTCATCATAAGTAAGCTGGTCCCCCAGCTCAGAGAGGTGCAGGGGTTGTCCGAGGTCCACTGTGGGGTGGTGGCAAAGTGGGGATTTGAACCGCAGCCCCGGTGCTATTTCTCCCTCAGCTTGTGCTCTGGACCTGGGAAGAGGTGTCTAGACCAGCCTTAGCAAGGGTTTGGGGAGGGGCTTGTTACAAAGCCCAGCCTGACATCACCCTCCCCATCCGCCTCCCCTCAAGACGAGGAGGCCGCCGGGCGAATGGGTCCAGGGTGTCTGGAAGGGATTGTTTTTGGGGGGCCCTGAGGTCTGCCCAACCCTGCCTGGCCAGCCCCATGCCTCGCTCTGGCTGGTGCACCAGCACACCAAGGAGGGAGTGCAATTCACATCAGCCTCGGGGATTCTTCTCTCGCTCCTTTTGAAGGTTTCCTAGTAACTTGCTGTTCACAAGCGCATCCGGAGAGCTCTGGAAGATGGTCCGGATTGGAGGACAGCCCCTGGGGTTTGGTGAGTCCTGGGGGGATTACATGGGGAATTGAGGGAGCTGGCATTGCTGAGCCCATTCACATACGTTGTCCGCAGTGACTCGGCCCCTGCTGGGGGGTACAGATGGGGAGACTGAGGCTTGGGGAGCCTGAAATTTCTGTTGCTCACTGGTGTGTGGCAGCTGTACACAGGCCTCTTGGGGAAGTGCGGAGCAGGCTTCAATCGGAGTGCTTTTATTTTGCCCCCTCTTGAAATTTAATATGTTGCTTATTATTAGAAAATTAAGCAGCTGGGCGCGGTGGCTCGTGCTTGTAATCCCAGCACTTTGGGAGGCCGAGGTGGAAAGATCCATTGAGCCCAGGAGTTCTGTACCAGCCTGGGAAACATAGCGAGGCCCTGTCTCTACCAAAATTTTTAAAATTAGCTGGGCATGGTGGCTGGCGCCTGTAATCCCAGCTACTCAGGAGGCTGAGGCAGGAGGATTACTTGAGCCTAAGAGTTCAAGGCTACAGTGAGCCATGATCATGCCATTGTACTCCAACCTGGGTGACAGAGCAAATCTTTGCCTCTAAAAATAAAAAAAGAGGCTGGGCGAGTTAGCTCGTGCCTGTAATCCCAGGTCTTTGGGAGGCCGATGCAGGTGGATCACCTGAGGTCAGGAGTACCAGCCTGGCCAATATGACGAAACCCCATGTCTACTAACAATACAAAAAATTGGCCAGGCACAGTGGCGTGCGCCTGTAATCCCAGCTACTCAGGAGGCTGAGATGGGAGAATCGCTTGAACCCAGGAAGCAGAGGTTGCGATGAGCCAAGATCGCTCCATTGCACTCCTGCCTGGGCAACAGAGCAAGACTCTGTCTCAAAAAATAATAATAAATTTAATTTAAAAAAGAATAAATTGGGGCTGTGATAAAAATTAAAGAGAAAAAAAATCACTCCTTATTTCCACAGCTCAAAGATAATAACTGCTGGCAATTTTTTAACATGTTTTCTTCACGTAAATACATGTAATTGTCACATATCTCCCAGAGAGTCTGACACCCAACACTTTACTCCTAAATGCCTCGCCTTTTCCATCCTGGGAAGAAGCACCGGGCAAGGTGGCTTACGCCTGTAATCCCAGCACTTTGGGAGGCCGAGGCAGGAGGATCACAAGGTCAGGAGATCGAGATCATCCTGGCTAACACAGCAAAACCCTGTCTCTACTAAAAATACAAAAAATTAGCCGGTCGTGGTGGCAGGCGCCTGTAGTCCCAGCTACTTGGGAGGCTGAGGCAGGAGAATGGCATGAACCTGGGAGGCGGAGCTTGCAGCAAGCCGAGATGGCGCCACTGCACTCCAGCCTGGGCGACAGAGCGAGAGTCCACCTCAAAAAAAGAAAAAAAAAAGAAGAAACACTTTCTCCTATATAACCACAATGACAGGATTCCACAGGAGAAAATTTTCAGTCATTCCCTAAGACTTAGTCTTTCCTCTGTTTCCACAGTTGTCCAGACAACGTCTTTGGTGGATAGCATTTTTTTTTTCTTTTTGTTTTTTGTTTTTTTTTTTTTTGAGACCGGATCTTGCTCTGTTGCCCAGGCTGAAGTGCAATGGCGCAGTCTTCGCCTCCTGGGTTCAGCCTCCCAAGTAGCTGGGACTATAGGCACGTGCCACCACGCCCGGCTAATTCTTGTAGTTTTAGTAGAGATGGGGTTTCACCATGTTGGCCAGGCTGGTCTCGAACTCCTGACCTCAAGTGATCCACCCGCCTCGGCCTCCCAAAGTGCTGGGATTACAGGCGTGAGCCACCACTCCCAGCCAAGGTGCCACACTTTTAAATAGCCAGATCTCGTGAGGACTTACTGTCACGAGAACAGTACCAAGAGGATGAGGCTAAACCATTCATGAGGAATCCACCCTCATAATCCAGTCATCTTGCACCAGGCCCCACCTCCAATACTTGAGATTACAATTGGAGGATTTGGGCAGGAACACAAAGCCAAACTATTTCACTGGCCAGCGACCAGAGAAGGCTCCTGGTTGGGGGACATCTGGGTTAAGCCTTCAAGAGGGATGGCCAGTGGGAGGCCAGGCACGGTGGCTCACGCCTGTAATTCCAGCACTTTGGGATGTGGAGGTGGGTGGATCATTTGAGTACAGCAGTTCGATACCAGCCTGGCCAACATGGTGAAACCCCATCTCTACTAAAAATACAAAAAAATTAGCTGGGCATGGTGGTACACGCCTATAATCCCAGCTATTTGGGAGGCTGAGGCACGAGGATTGCTTGAACTCAGGAGGTGGAGGTTGTAGTGAAGTGAGCTCACGCCAGTGCACTCCAGCCTGGGCGATGGAGCGAGACTCCATCTCAAAAAAAATAAAAGGGATAGCAGATGGGAATTCTCTAGGAGGATGGTGGGTGCAGGGTAGGCATTGCCCACAGAGGGTAGAGGCTGAAGAGCCACACAGGCAAGGGTAGCCAGGTTACACAGAGGCTAAGGACGGTCTCTCCTGTTCTAGATGAGTGTGGCATCGTGGCCCAGATCTCAGAGCCCTTGGCTGCTGCAGACATCCCAGCCTACTACATCAGTACTTTCAAGTTTGATCATGCACTTGTGAGTGTCCAGCGCCAGACCCCTCCAGGGCAGGGCCGGGGTGGGGAAGCAGGTTCCTGGGCTCACGGGCAGGCATCTGCCTCCTCTACCCCTGCACAGGTCCCCGAAGAGAACATCAATGGTGTCATCAGTGCCCTGAAGGTCAGCCAAGCAGAGAAGCACTAGAAGGGTCTCTTCTGCTCCTCCCTGCCGCCGCCCGGGCCCAGCCCTAACCCTGAAGATTGATCTTGCAGTATTTCTCTACAGACTGGAAAATCAGCCTGGGGACCCTGAGGAAGGGGCCTCTGTGGGAGACTCCCTCGATTGCCAATCCCTCCAGGGCAGGGGCCCACGCCAAGGCCTCTCCATGCCCTCCTGCCTTCCCGGAGCCCCCCGACCCTCCAGAGAACGACCTTTCTCTTCCCTACCTCCCCCACCCCGGAAAATGCTTTCGGAGGCCCAGGGAGCTTGTGAGCTGATCCGCCTTCTCATCCGGCCTCACCCACGGCCAGGGGCAGATGCCGAGGGAAGCCGGTCCCTCCTGCGAGACACCGGTGTGCCAGCTGTCATGTCACCTTGCAGGGCTGGGGCTGGCGGGGTGGGGCCGAGTTTGGGGTGCCCTGGAGGGTTTGGGGGTGAGTACTGTGGTCACTGGTCTCTGCTTCCATCAGCTCAGGGCTGGTTCCCTCGGAGTGGAGGCCAGCGTGGCCCCCTCAGGTCATCGGGGCTGGTGAGGCTCAGACAGGAACCCAGGTGGGATCCCCGAGCTGGGAAGGACCCAGACTCCCCCTGTACCTCGCCTGCCAACCACAGGGCCTGGGCCCGACTCCCAGCAAGACTGCCAAGAGGGCCCTGTCCAGACCCTCCCCCACAAGCACTCAGTCCTTGGGGGAGGAGGGAGGGTCCCAGGAGACCCACCAGCCTGGAGCACCAGCTCCTGTCCCCTCGGCTCTCCCTGGACCCGACTTGGGCAGGTAGAGCCTCAGCTTCCCCCAGTAGGGACATCCCTGGCTTTCCAGGCCTGAGGTTTCTTAGGTGGTGTCCCACCTCCCCAACAGACAACTAGACCAGCATAGGACTCCCCGCCGTCCTCCTCCCTCCTCTGCCCCCAAGTCACCTGCCTGCCCACCCGCCCCTTGGCTGGGGGCTGTGGCATTCATGAGTACTTGACCCAGGAGGCAGCTTAACTGAGCCTTAATAGAGAAAACCATACTTTGTTTTAGTTTTTTATTTAATGTATTTGCACCCAGGGTGCTCTTGGCGGTAGTTTCTGTTTGGCAGGGATAGGACCTGTTTGAGTTCTGTCAAGGGAGCCTGGAGGCTCTGTGTCACTAAGCTGGTGCTCTGTGGCTCCAGGGACAGGCAGTGGGAATCGGGAGATGTCACAGGAGCCTGGGCCCTCTCTTCTGAAGGGAAGCTAGGAGCAGAGATCTGTTACAAGACGCTGGAGCCGCTGGCACCCCACATGGGAACTCCCACCAACCAGCTGTAGTTCTATCTGAGCACCGGAGGGGGTGAGGGAACCCGAGGGCCATGGGGAGGTGGACAGCCAGGTGGCAGGCCAGCTGAGTGGTCATGTCCAGGAGGCATGGGGTTAGCCGTGGTGTCCCTTCCAGTGGGGTGGTTTTCTGAATGAGCAGGACCAAGGGCCCCTGTGGTTTTGGCTCTGGCGGGGGTTTTTTTTTTTTTTTTTGAGATGGGAGTCTGGCTCTGTTGCCTAGGCTGGAATGCAGTGGCACGATCTTGGCTCACTACACCCTCCTCCTCCCAGGTTCAAGTGATTCTCCTGCCTCGGCCTCCCAAGTAGCTGGGATTACAGGCACGCACCACCACGTCTGGCTAGTTATTGTATTTTTTAATAGAGACGGGATTTCGTAACATTGCTCAGGCTGGTCTTGAACTCCTGAGTTAAGTGATCCGCCTGCCTCGGCCTCCCAAAATGCCGGGATTACAGGCGTGAGCCACCACACCCAGCCGAGTTGTGCTGTTTCTGTGGTCAGAGGAGAAGGGATATTTTCTAGTCCTGACAAAGTGTTCCCTGCTTCTCTGAGTGGGACCCTCTGAGCCCTGGAAGCCCACCAGAAGGAGAAGCTGTTCTTTAAAATCCTTGTGGGTGTTGAAGGCCCACCACATTAATTAGAAACCAACTTTTTTTTTTTTAAGTTAATTTGTTTTGCACAAAACTCCAGAACAAAACTCGTACATTGCTGGTCCCAAAAGGGAGGTGGCCAAGTGGGGCAGGGCTGTGGTGGAAGCCCTGAGTCCCCTTTCTGACCTTGCAAGGCCTTGATTTTCCTTTCTGTCATTTCCCCCTGACGGTGTCACTTCTCTGCCTTTCCTTCCCGCCGTGCAAGTGTGTCGGCCCCGTGACCCCAGAGTCGTGTGTCCCCTAGACTTCCTAGGACGTATCTATTGTACACACCTATAAATACCTGTGTTTTATGTTGATAGAGATATATACTGTAAATAGCATATATACTTGAGCAATATATATGTTAATATATACTGTGTGCGCAGTCCGTGGACACAGCCCCCCGCTGTGTGTGCACACGTGTATGGGCGTGATGGCCTCCACCCCGCACCGTCTGCCATACACGCGGGCACATTTGAGCCACCATATATTTTTAATTCAAGTATATAGGCAATACGATTATTACAGAAGCCGATGGGTTCCCTCAGACCTGACTTGAGAGAACAAAGCCAGCAGCTCAAAGAGCCTGTGACATGGGACGTGGGAAGGGTGCTGAGAGCCCGCTGTGGCGTGGGTCATGCCTTCTGCACCCCACTTTCCCCAGGCAAGATCCCTGGGCGCCCTTATTTGGGGGGATGTTGATCCCGAGGGAGGAGTATTTGGAATTTCTTGCTTTTAACCAGAATGCCCCCTCTCCCCTGCCCTCGCCAGCAGCCTCACCCTGAAGACCTGGGCCTGCTGAATGGGCCACACGCTGCCTGTGTCCTGCCTCCGTGGGTGGCACTTTTTACGCAGGCAGCTTCTCTGTTTTTTTTGTTTTTTGTAACCTGCAAGCTTAGAAATCTCAGGTTGTGCTCCTGGGGCTGCTCCTGGGGACTGGCCTCGTGTCATGGAGAAAAGCATGTGTGTCGGGGCGCGCTGGGGCCAGGGTATGGCTCTCCGCCCTGGCTGGCTCTGCAGGGGTGGTCCCTGTTCAAGCCCGCTCCGTGGGAGCTGCCCCCTGGGGACCCTGCTCCTCGGTCACAGGGGGCCCCTTTAGTTTTCCCATCCCCATCCTGCTCGTGTAAAGCTTGGTTTATCTTCTCGGCGTTCTGTGTGTAGCGTAGTCTTGGTTTGGTCTCCACAGCTCTTCGGGGTGGGGTGTGAGTGTGGTTTTTCCCAGGCAGGGGCCGTCTGCCCTTGTCCCCCAGCTATCTCCTGGTCTGCTGGGTGGGAGGGTCTCTCCAGGCCCCAGACCCCACTTGGAGGGGCATGTGTTTCTCAGAGGGGCTCCATCCGCAGTTGCATGGAACTCCTTACCTGTTTGCCGTCCATCCCCCGGAGGTAATCAGAGGAGTGGGCCTGTTGTCTTGGCGCTGGCGGATGGGGCAGGTGCCTGGCGGGGGAGGAAGAGGGCTCTCTATGATGTGGAATTTTTTTTTTTTTTTTTTTGAGACGGAGTCTTGCTCTGTCGCCCAGGCTGGAGTGCTGTGGCATGATCTCAGCTCACTGCAGCAACCTCCACTTCCTGGGTTCAAGCGAGTCTCCTACATTGGCCTCCCAAGTAGGTGAGATTACAGGCACTCACCACCACACGCGGCTAATTTTTGTATTTTTGGTAGAGACGGGGTTTCACCATGTTGGCCACGCTGGTCTTGAACTCCTGACCTCAAGTGATCCACCCACCTTGGCCTCCCGAAGTGCTGGGATTACAGGCATGAGCCACCGTGCCCGGCCTCATGGAATTTCTAGGGGTGAGCAGGTGACCCTGGGGCTGCCACTTGAGCTCCTGGAGTGTGTGTCTTGGCCCCTGTGTGGTTCTCCATTAAGAAAAGCTCAGATAGTCTCAACCCCACCCTCTCCCCTTGCTGCACTCAGAGTACCAGTGGGAGCTGAAGGATGGGGAGGAACAGAGCAGTGACCACCCCTCCCTGCCACTGATAAGTTCTGCCTCGTCGTGGGGCTCCCCTGGTTCCCAAGACACCCCTTCCTCCCTCAGCCCGTCGTCCTAACCCAGCAAAGATCTGGGCATTGCTGACTCTGCACCTCCTTCCTCCATGGGCATCTCCAGGACCGCCCTCCTTCAAGGGGCACTGCCCACACCACTGTCCTCAGCCCGAGGCATGCATCTGAGCTGGAGAGGCTTGCAGGCCTGACCCTGGTAGCTTCCCCTCCCCAAGATTCAGAGGCGGGGACCCAAAGCCTCACTCCAAACCACTGGCATTCTCACCTCCTCTCACCTCCAGGCACCAGGCTGCTGGTGGGAAAGGAAGGAGCTGGGGGATCAGAGGCTTCCAGTGTGGCCTCCGGAAGCAGCAGCGTAGCCAGGGTGACATTTGTTCAGCAGGAGGAGGCTTGGTCTGGAGGGGCTTGCCCCTCTGAGGTGACAGAGGATGCCCTGGAGGTCAGGAGAGAAGACTGGGAAGACAGGAAGGGCCAGGCCCCTGTTAAAGCCCAGGGCACTATTTGGTGATCTTCAAAGGTGAACACAGGCCACCTCCCACTGGCCCCCTCCTCCTGGCCACATTTTCCAGGGATACCCTGGGGAGTCCTAAGGCCACCCTGGGCCCCTTTCTGAGCCTAGAGATCTGGATGTGGTGACAACCAGGGCTTTTCCCAGCCCCAGCTAAGAGAGGGGGCTTTAGGGCAAGAGCACCTCAGCCCTGCAATGGGGGGATCTTTTTTTTTTTTTTTTTTTGAGACAGGCTGGAGTGCAGTGGTGCGATCTCGGTTCGCTGCAACCTCTGCTTCCCAGGTTCAAGTGATTCTCCTGCCTCAGCCTCCCAAGTAGCTGGGATTACAGGCACCCACCACCACGCTCGGCTAATTTTTGTATTTTTAGTAGAGACAGGGTTTCACTATGTTGGCCAGGCTGTTCTTGAACTCCTGACCTCAGGTGATCCGCCCACCTTGGCCTCCCAAAGTGCTGGGATTACAGGCATGAGATACCCCGCCTGGCCAATGGGATTTTTGACGCCACTTCCTGAGTGAAGCGCTTTGCATGGGGATGGGAAGAAGCACCCCCAACCTTCTAGTCCGCTCCGAGCAGGGCCTGGAGCATTGGAGACATTGGTTAGTGTAATAGGCAGAGCCTGAGTGAGGCCGGGGGGCTTCTCCAACAGAGAAAAGACATTGGCTTTGGGTACCATGCTGAGGGAGGGGGTTAGGCCTGGTGGGGGCCCATTCAAAGGAGGCCGGGCTCGGTGGCTTAGGCCTGTCATCCCAGCACTTTGGGAGACCAAGGTGGGAGGATAGCTTGAGGCCAAGATAGCAAGACCAACCTGGTCAACATAGCAAGACCCTGCCTCTACAAGAAAATAACGAAAGAGGCCCCAGGGAAGGAAGCCAGCCAGGAGCAGCCTGGAGCAGAGGCAGGAGCCTGAGGCCTGAGCCATGGCATCCAGGGACAGCCTGGTGGCCGAGAGAGCTTGTGGCTGTCACTATAAGGGAAGAGGAGCTATGGAAATTGGAAGTGCAGGGTGGCCTGTGTGCTAGGAGTGGGGGTGCAGGCCTAGGTGTGTTTATGCACACGTTTGTGCATGTACCTGTGAGCGTGGATGTGTTCCTATGCATTAGAGTGTGTGCGTGCACGTGTGCAGAGCCCACACCTGAGATATGGGACTGGCTCTTGGAGTATTTTGAGTTCTCAGTAGCAGTCTTGTTGTCAGGCCTTGAGTGCAGAAATGATTAGGTGAGTGAGGGCAGGACTCGAATGCAGACCCTGGCTCCAGGGGAGAGGGTGGGGCGTCTCTGGTAGGACGGCCTCACCCCACTTGTCAGAACTACTCTGGAGGGGGGCAAAGGTGTCAGGAACAGTTTGAGCAGTTCTGGCTCAGGGTCATTCATGAGGTTGCTGTTGTCTGAAATCTTAGCTAAGGATTGGAGGATGCACTTCTAAGTGAGGCCTGGCTGTAGGCAGGAGGCCTCAGTCCTTCCCCAGGTGGGCCAACCCACAGGGCTGCTTGAGTGTCTTCACAATATGGCGCTCGGCTTCCCCCCAGAGCAAGAGATTCAAGGGCCCAGGGTAAAAGCCAACGTGTTATTTTTATCCCTAGCCTCAGAATTCACACGCCGTTGCCTCCACCATGCTCTGGTTTGATACAGCCCAGCTCTGATTGGAAGGGGCTGGGGCTGCCCGTGCTGACTCTTCAAAGGCATCCCATCCTGCAGATGGTGTTCACAGGGAGAGTTTGTGGGGGCCGGCACTCCCTCATCTACTGGGGCTCATTCTGGAAGAAGGTCCAGAAGAATTGGAGACCCCTGCCCCTCACCCAAACTTTGGAGGTGGCAGGGTGAACAGCAGGCCAAGTTCAGGTCCCAAGACAGGCCAAGGCCAGTGCGGTTTCCCTTCCACTGCCTCAGTTTACCTGTATTCAGAAGACAGTCTAGGAAGAGTTGAGCAGAGTTCCCTCTAAAAGAGTAGGGAGCTGATAACAGTCCCAAGCCCTCCTCTTTCTCTATGCCAAAATCATTTCCGTTATCCTGAGATGGGGGTGAGTGGATGGATGGTGTACTGAGGGGCCTCTGCCCTGCCCAGAGCCCCCACCATCGTAGTGGGGGCAGGGGACTTCCTGCCCACAACCCCCTCCAACCCTCACCTGGCGTGCCCGGGTCACCAGCAGCAGCAGCGGCGTTCCATCGCTCCCAAGATCTGGGTGAAGGGGAGAACCTGCCATCTTATCCCTACCCCCCCGGGGCCCTCAAGCTTATTTTCTTGTTGAAGAAACACAAAACCCTCGAGATTCATGTACTGTATGTTGGAGAAAAAAAATTACCTAATGTTCCCCCAAAAAAGACAGTATATTTTGTACTTTGTAAAGTGTTAATTAAAATGAAAAAAAAAAACGATGCTGGCTGGTGGCCGTCTGGTTTTTTGCTGATCTAGCCAGAACCTGGTCTCATCTCTTTCTCCTCCACACTGTGGTCGGGGGAACACAGGCCAGGGGCTAGAGGCGGGTAGAAAAACACCCAGAATTTGAGGAAGGGCCCCCAGAGCCGGAGGGGTTGTATTAGTTACCTGGTGCTGTATAACAAGTTGCCCCCAAACTTAGCGGCTTAACATGATCATTATTTATAGGTCACATTTTCTGTGGGTCAGGAATTCAGGAAGTTTGGCTGAGTGATTCTGGCTCAGAGTCACTCATGAGGTTGCCGTTGTCTGAAATCAGCTAAGGACTGAAGGATGCACTTCTAAGTGAGGCCTGGCTGTAGGCAGGAGGCCTCAGTCCTTCCCCATGTGGGCCAACCCACGGGGCTGCTTGAGTGTCCTCACAATATGGCGCCCAGCTTCCCCCAGAGCAAGAGATTCAAGGGTCCAGGTTAGAAACCAAAGTGTTATTTTTATTCCTAGCCACATAATTCACACGCCGTTGCCTCTACCATGCTCTGGTGTGATACGGCCCAACTCTGATTTGACATGGGAGGGAACTACATAAGTGGGTGGAAACCAGGAGGTAAAGATGACTGGGGGCCATCTTGGAGGCCAGCTACTATGCCCAGCATCCCCACCCAGACCTTGGGCAGAGCCAGGCCTGGGAGTGGGGACGGTGGGGGGAAGGAGTTGGACGGGGCCTTTCTGATGGCAAGGGAAGGGTCAGGGGCTGGTTGCCTGGCCGAAGGGTCTCTGACCCAAACCTAGAGCCTTGCCATGGACATCACAGCTCCAGGTAAGTTCCAGAAGCCCAGAAGCTGATACCTCCAGATTAGATATCCTGCAGGCAGGAAAGAGGAGCACCGTGCTTCTGGCTACTGCCCTCTTGGTAGGCGGGACACTGGGGCTGTGCCAGCAAGAAAAGATGGGCTTGAGACCGGCAGGTTCTAGACTGACACCCTTCCCCTTCTCCTCTCTGAGATTTTCCATGGGGGGGTAGCTGTGAGCAGGGCAGAGCTGAAGACCCATCCCTGCCCTAGGCCCCATCAGCCCCCATCCCAACCCTGCCTCACCCTTGGCCCACAGGAAGAGAACCTGGAGACCGGGAGTGAAAATGGAAGCTGAATATTCTTCCATCACCCTGAGCCCAAGAGAGTTCTAGCTGCTGAGAAGCTTTTATGCCTGGGGTCTGAAGACAAGTCCTGTCGCTCGGGCCTTCAGATAATACCACAGGAGGGCTGGGTGCGGTGGCTCACACCTGTAATCCCAGCACTTTTGGAGGTGGAGGCGGGAGGATTACCTGAGGTCAGGAGTTCAAGACCACCCTGGTCAACATAGTGTAACCCTATCTCTACTAAAAATATAAAAATTAGTTGGGCGTGGTGGCGGGTGCCTGTAATCCCAGCTACTTGGGAGGCTGAGGCAGGAGAATGGCTTGAATCCGGGAGGTGGAGGTTGCAGTGAGCCGAGATTGTGCCACTGCACTCCAGGCTGGGCAACAGAGTGAGACTTTGTCTCAAAAAAAAAAAAAAAAAAAAAAAGATAATTCCACTGGAGCCGGAACATCCATGGGCGATCCTGACTGCCCCAAAACTCTCAAAATCATCCCCTTATGCTGGTGCTGGGGACCCACTATAGCCCCTGCACCAGGGGTCCTTCCCGGAGCATTACAAGGGATGCAGTGCTAGGATGGACCACAAAGGGGTGCTGTGCTTGGACCAGGAAATGACCAGCTGCCGGCCAATAGTAGAGGGAAGACAGAGAAGCAGGGAGGGACGGGAGAGTTAGACTTAGACAAGAAACAGCAGGTAGAATGCAAAGGCAAAGAAGGACCCGTAGTGGTAATTAAGAAGTGGGGTGGGCCAGGTGCAGTGACTCAACGCCTGTCATCCCAGCACTTTGGGAGGCCGAGGCAGGCAGGTCACAAGGTCAGGGGTTCGAGACCAGCCTGGCCAAAATGGTGAATCCCCGTCTCTACTAAAAATATAAAAATTAGCCAGGCATGGTGGCAGCCACCTGTAATCCCAGCTACTCGGGAGGCTAAGGCAGAAGAATCGCTTGAACCTGGGAGACAGAGGTTGCAGTGAGCCGAGACCACGCCATTGCACTCCAGCCTGGGCAACAGGGCGAGTCTCTATCAAAAAAAAAAAAAAAAATTAGCCGGGTGTGGTGGTGCATACCTGTAATCCCAACTACTCAGAGGCTGAGGCCAGAGGATCACTTGAGCCCAGGAGTTGGAGGCTCCAGTGAGCTATGATGACACCACTGCACTCCAGCCTGAGCAACAGAACAAGACCCTGTCTCTAAAAAGCAATAAATTAAAAAAAATTAAATTAAAAAATAAAGCAAAGGCCACAAAAGGAAAGGGCGTCATCTTTGGTCACTTTGCCGACCCTGGTTTTGTCATGTGAATTTCAGCTGACTCGGGCAGGGGAGGGAGTGTCAGATCAGCTCACATGGTGAAGAAAGCGGAAAGAAAATATGCACCGAAAGGGAATGTGTGCAATGAAATCATGGTGACAGCTGCACAACACAGTTTGCGAAAAACCACTGAGCTGTGTGCTGTAAATGGTTTTATGTTATGTGACTTATATCTTGATGTTTTAAAGAAGGAATGCGGTAGAAAAAGCAACAGGTCTGGATGCACATTGGAGGACAGCCGAGAAAGAAAGGTGATTGCAGCTGGGCGTGGTGGCTTACACCTGTGGTCCTAGCACTTTAGGAGTCCAAGGTGGGCGGATTGTCTGAGCTCAGAGGTTCAAGACCAGTCTGGGCAACACAGTGAAATCCCGTCTCTACGAAAATACAAAAAATTAGCCAAGCATGGCGGTGTGTGCCTGTAATTTCAGCTACTTGGGAGGCTGAGGCAGGAGAATCGCTTGAACCAGGGAGGCGGAGGTTGCAGTGAGCTGAGATCGCGCCACTGCACTCCAGCCTGGGCGACAGAGCGAGACTCCATCTCCAAAAACAAAACAAAACAAAAAAGGTGATTGCTCTGACGGTTCTTGGCAACTGAATGTGGAGGTCTTCGCCTTGTAAAGGTTGATAGCAGAACATCACATTTGGGATGTTTTTCCAACAGATGTCTACCCGAGCTGAGTGGGAAACTCAGGCAGCATCAGCTAGACCCAGGGCCTGGTTTGTTTGTTTTTTTCTTTAAATTTATTTGCTCACTGCAGCCTCGAACTCCTGGTCTCAAGCACTCCTCCAATCTCAGCCTCCAGAGTGGCTGTTAACTATAGGCGTGCACCACCATGTTTGGCTAATTTTTTTATTTTTTGTAGAGATAGGGGTCTTGCTATATTGCCCAGGCTGCCCTTGAACTCCTGAGCTCAAGTGATCCTCCCACCCCAGCCTCCCAAAGTGTTGGGATCACAGGCATCAGCCACTATGGGTGGGGCCCATTTCTACGTACTTGGTCATTATAAGCTCTGATGACTACTGGGCACCAAGAGGGTTCCCTAATTTATTTATTTACATTTATGTATTTATTTAGAGATGGAGTCTCGCTCTGTCACCCAGGCTGGAGTGCAGTGGAGCAATCCAAGCTCACTGCAGCCCCCAACTCCCAGTTTCAAGTGATTCTCGTGCCTCAGCCTCCCCAGTAGCTAGGACTATAGGCACACACTGCCACACCCAGCTAATTTTTATATTTTTAGTAGAGATGGGGTTTTGCCATATTGGCCAGGCTGGTCTCGAACTCATGACCTCAAGTGATCCGCCCGCCTCGGCCTCCCAAAGTACTGGGATTACAGGCATGAGCCACCGCGCCCGGCCTGGGTCCCTACTTTAGCAGCAGAAACACAAGAAAAGCAGGCAGAAAGCCTGCCATGAGCCTGCAAGGAACAGCCCAAGTTGTATGCAGGGAAATAAATATTCAGTATCTTGGAATTTACAGAGTGTGTTGTAGATTAAATGACGCAAATGTCAAAACTCAAAAAAATTAAATGAATGAGCAGCAACTCCACTCCTAGGTATACATCCATGAAAATTGAAAACTTATGTTCACACAAAAACATTCCAGAAACAAAACGCTGGGCCAATGTGAAACTTATACATGAATGTTTTGACATTATTTATAATGGTCAAAAAGTGAAACCAACCCAAATGTCCAGCAACTGATGAATAAATATGCAAAATGTTATATTATATATTAAAAAAAAAAAGCCTGGGCGAGGTGGCTCATGCCTGTAATCCCAACACTTTGGAAGGCTGAGGCAAGAGAATCATTTGAGCCCAGGAGTTCAATACCACCCTGGGCAACACAGTGAGGTCCCCCCATCTCTACAAAAAATTTTAAAAATTAGCCGGGCATGGCTTGCGTGCCTGTAATCCCAGCCACTTAGGAGGCTGAGACAGGAGGATTGCTTGAGCTCAGGAGTTCAAGGCCGCAAGGAGCTATGATCGCACCACTGTACTCCAGCCTGGGCAACAGAGCAAGACCGTCTCAAAAACTAAAAGTTTCCAGATGATTCTATGGTATAGTGTTGTACAAGCAGGGTTGAGAATGAGAACCCCAGGTTTGAGGGGTAGAATCTGCTCCAAGGAATCCCAAAGTCACTCTTTTTTTTTTTTTTTTTTTGAGATGGAGTTTTGCTCGTTTCCCAAGCTGGAGTGCAATGGTGTAATCTTGGCTCACTGCAACCTCTGCCTCCCGGGTTCAAGCAATTCTCCTGCCTCAGCCTCCCGGGTAGCTGGGATTACAGGCATGTGCCACCATGCCCGGCTAATTTTGTATTTTTAGTAGAGACGGGGTTTCTCCATGTCCATGTTGGTCAGGCTGGTCTCGAACTCCCGACCTCAGGTGACCTGCCCGCTTAGCCTCCCAAAGTGCTGAGATTTACAGGCGTGAGCCACCACACCCTGCCCAAAGTCCCTCTTATGAACATCATTGCCTTGGCTGCTCTGCAGGGCAGGTGGCAGACCAGCCACAAGACACACACCCTTGAAAGCAGGCATCCTTCTCACCACCCCATCTGCAGCTCCTGGCATACAGTACGTGCTGAGGAGCACGTGGTTTATCAATCATCTTCTTCATCTTCAATATTTTTCTCCCGGGGCCAGGTGCGGTAGCTCACGCCTGTAATCCCAGCACTTTGGGAGGCCGAGGTGGGCGGATTACATGAAGCCAGGAGTTTGAGACCAGCCTGGCCAACATGGTGAAACCCCGTCTCTACTAAAAATATTAAGACAAAAATTAGCTGGAGTTG
Source organism: Homo sapiens (assembly GCF_000001405.40). Classification (NCBI taxonomy): domain Eukaryota; kingdom Metazoa; phylum Chordata; class Mammalia; order Primates; family Hominidae; genus Homo; species Homo sapiens. The sequence continues at coordinate 75,036,764 of NC_000007.14, forward strand.
GTGGTGCACGTCTGTAGTCCCAGCTATTCGGGAGGCTGAGGCAGGAGAATCACTTGAACCACCCAAAAGGCAGAGCTTGCAGTGAGCTGAGATCGCACCACTGCATTCCAGCCTTGGTGACAGAGTGAGACTCTGTCTCAAAAATATATATATGTAATTTTCCTCCTGGAATGCACATCAACTGCTGGAGTTGTGGAACCAGCTACCACCGTTAGCCTGAGCCTATCCAGTCTGAGGCCCCAAGGAGGGAACTCAAACGGGGCATCCTTCCGACTGGCGTGACTTCATGTGCTCCACTCTGGCCTCCTGGGATTCAGCTGCCACTTGCTACCAGAGCAAGAGTAAGATGTTTCTCCGGAAAAACAAGTGCCTCCTGGTTGGAGGTGACAACAGTATCTAGGTTTATCCATTTATTTATTTACGTATTTATTTATTTATTGAGACAGAGTCTCAATCTGTCACCCCGGCTGGAGTGCCGTGGTGTGATCTCGACTCACTGCAAACTCTGCCTCCCTGGTTCAAGCGATTCTCCTGCCTCAGCCTCCCAAGCAGCTGGGATTACAGGCATGTGCCAACATACCCAGCTAATTTTTGTATTTTTAAAAAGTAGAGACGGTGTTTCACCATGTTGGCCAAGCTGGTCTTGAACTCCTGACCTCAGGTGATCCGTCCGCCTCGGCCTCCCAAAGTGCTGGGATTACAGGCGTGAGCTACCACCACCCCTGGCCATGGTTTATATCTTTTTTTTTTTTTTTTTGGGAGACGGAGTCTCGGTCTGTCTCCCAGGCTGGAGTGCAGTGGCTCAATCTTGGCTCACTGCAACCTCCGCTTCCTGGATTCCAGCAATTCTCCTGCCTCAGCCTCCCAAGTAGCTGGGACTACAGGCACGTGCCATCACACCCAGCTAATTTTTGTAGTTTTAGTACAGATGGGGTTTCACCAGTCTCAGACTGGTCAGACTGGTCTTCAACTCCTGACCTCGTGATCAGCCCACGTCAGCCTCCCAAAGTGCTGGGATTACAGGCGTGAGCCACCACACCTGGCCATGGTTTATCCTCTTAAACATGACCACAGAGGATGCACCTCATGGTGGCCCCAAATCCAAGAAAAGCACAGCTATCAGGACTCCTAACACTGTCTCCAGCTCAGGCTTAACCCAGGCTGCTGCTGTCTCCCATGTTAAATATCGGGGCTGGTGTTTAATGAATTCGGAACCCTTGGTTGGTGCAGCAGGAGCGTCTCGGGTAGCTGCATAGTGTCCCCTGGGAGGGAGAAAGCAAGTGTGGGGTCCTGGAGGCAGGGACAGGTGCCTGGTGCACGATCACAGGCAGGACAGAGCCTGGAGCAGATGCTGCCTGGGGCGGGGCTGGGCCAGTGCCGGGTGCTGCCCTCATGGCCATCTCTGAAAGGGTCTGTCCCATCAGGTGGTTAAGCTGGGCCACTAGGTCAGTCCTGGTGCCATGGATTGCATAGAGAAGACCCCAGAACAGTTGTTTGTTTGTTTTTGAGACAGAGTCTCGCTCTGTCACCCAGACTGGAGTACAGTGGTGCAATCTTGGCTCACTGCAACCTCCGCCTCCCCAGTTCAAGCAATTCTCCCGCCTCAGCCTCCTGAGTAGCTGGGATTCCAGGCACACGCCACCATGCACGGTTAATTTTTGTATTTGTGTTTTTATTTATTTATTTTTGAGCCAGAGTCTTGCTCTGTCACCCAGGCTGGAGTGCAGTGGTGTGATCTTGGCTCACTGCAACCTCCGCTTCCCGCCTTTTTTTTTTTTTTTGGCGCGCAGACCAGTGTTCATTCCTACTCCATGGGTGGGGGCAGGAGTGCCTAGATGGGAAGTCAGACCAGGCAGGGGTGGAGGAAGTCAGACCAGGCAGGGGTGGATGGACGACAGCCTGTGAGCTGGGGCTAACTGGATCAGGGCCTGTGGGTAGTCTGGTGACTGCATCCTCAGATGCTGCAGTGGTTAGACTGGCACCCACCAGGGGGCCCTTGAGGAGCTCAGAACATGGCTGCGTGGCAAGGGAGGGTCCCTGGGAGGCAGCTCACTGAGCCTTGTGAAGCCACCTGTGCCAGTGGCAGATGACATCCTCCTGCCTCCGGGGGGAAACCCAGTCTCGGGAGAGGAATGCCTCTCCCCAAGGTCAAAGAGTGGAGTAGGGCAGGGAAGCGAAGCGATTCTCCTGCTTAAGCCTCCCGGGTAGCTGGGACAACAGGCGCGCGTCACCACGTCCGGCTAATTTTTGTATTTTCAGTGGAGATGGGGTTTTGCCATGTTGGCCAGGCGGTCTCAAACTCCTGACCTCAAGTGCTCTGCCTGTCTCGGACCCCCGAAGTGCTGGGATTACAGATGTGAGCCACTGCACCTGGCCTCCCATAACAGGTTAAGCAGCTCCCACTGCCGTCCAGGTGAAGGCCAGGCCTCCTTTAGATGCTAGTACCGGGTGGAAGGCGAGAGAAATGTGGGATTTCATAAGCGCATCCTGAGTTTTGATTCTGGCCCAGGCACGGCACTGGGCACTTGGCCTCAGAATGCAACCTGCTGGGCCGTGCCCGAGCCTTCTCTTTAGGGCATTATTTGTCAGGATTTGACTTTGTCATGCAGAGCACAGTCAGCGCAGAAGTATTTCCTGAATTAATGAAAATGTGGGCTGACCATGTATTCAAGAAACAAGTCATGACAGCATCCTATTGAGGTTGACAACCTGAGCTTGGATTAGCTGTGAAGGGTTTTCATGCCAGTGAGACCCATCTCTTCCCCGAAGAAATTAGTGTGGAGTGGCGGTCTGCATACCTGCAGGGGCGAAGAGGATGGAAAACTGGACCTACGACCCCTGCAAACTGTCCGAGGGAGATGGGGGGGAGGCCTCCTCAAGGCTGACAACCTGGACACGCTACGTCTTCCACCCGGGTGCCTCTCTGACCTTGGTTACTGACCCCATCAGAGAGAAAGGGACAGAGTTGGTGTGTATGGAGAATGGCCTGGGGACACATGGGGTTGGTACAAGGCTCACTCCATCGCGGGTGCCATTCACGTGCTCACTAAAGCGAGAGGAGACGGGAGCTTGCAAACACTGATTTTTTGCAGGAACACGATGATCAAGCCTAGCAACCGAGCTAATGGCATAGTAGGGTTTCTATGGACGTGTGTGTCAAATGCTGGGGTTGGGGGAGGGGCGGCATTAGGGAAAGAGAGGACAGACGCTGAGATGCAGGCACAGGTGACAGCTGGGGAGAAGGCTTGGTCCACAGCAGAAGAGCTCCAACCAGGAGCCCTCGTGACCCACAGAAGGCACAGCCAAGCAGCCCTCCTGGGCAGACAGAGCCCAGCTGGAAGAAAGAAAAGACAAACCGAAGGACGTCCCTGCTTCTACACTGCTTGCTATGTCCAAAGTCAAGATCATTACTGGGGCTGGACCTGGTGGCTCACGCCTGTCATCCCAGCACTTTTGGAGGCCGAGGTGGGCGGATCTCTGGAGGTCAGGAGTTCGAGACCAGCCTGGCCAACATAACAAAATTCCGTCTCTACTAAAAATACAAAAATTAGCCGGGCGTGGTAGTGCATGCCTCTAGGCCCGGCTACTCGGGAGGCTAAGGCAAGAGAATTGCTTGAACCCAGGAGGCGGAGGTTGCAGTGAGCTGAGATCATGCCACTGCACTCCAGCCTGGGCAACAGAGAGAGACTCTGTCTCAAACAAACAAACAAAAAAGATCATTACTAGATCTGTATCTTGGTTGCCATTAGGGTGGGAGGTTTATTAAAAACTCACCTTCTCCAGAGACCCTCCATCCCCCATCCTCACCTGCCATCCCGAACCCCGCCCAGTGTGACCCGGGTCTGACCTCCAGGGGCACTTACCATCTCTAGATCAATACGTGAGTTTGATCTAGGCTTGAGTTTCACTGAGGTCGGATTACCCTGCTTCACTGCAGAGGCGACTTTAGACCCAGCCCCAGTAACGGTTTCAGGAAGGAAAAATGACACACGGTTTTCAATTTCTATTTCAAGTTTATGAGAAAATTTGACTGTAATAAACCTAAGAATGGGGTTCGCAGCCCAGGTGAAGGGCCCCTCCCCTAGATATCTGAGTGGCTGGTTCTCATGGCCGCAGGTCACAGCAAGGACACTGCTGGCTGGGTGACCATTCCACTTTAAAGTGCAGCTCTAGGCCGGGCACGGTGGCTCACGCCTGTAATCCCAGCACTTTGGGAGGCCAAGGTGAGCGGATCACCTGAGGTCAGGAGTTCGAGAACAGCCTGGCCAACACGGCAAAACCCCATCTCTACTAAAAATACAAAAATTAACTGGGTGTGGTGGCAGGCACCTATAATCCCAGCTACTCGGGAGGCTGAGATAGAATTGCTTGAACCGGGAGGCGGAGGTTGCAGTGAGCCGAGATCGCGCCACTGCACTCCAGCCTGGGCGACAGAGCGAGACTCCATCTCATAACTAACTAACTAACTAACTAACTAAATAAATAAAGGGTAGCCCTCCCGAGATCCCATCCTCTCCTCCTGCTTTCTCTCAACGGCCCACAGAACCACTTCATATGCTGCTTCTCATTTTTCCCGTTTCCCTCCCTAGAATGTAAGCTTCACGGTGCGGGGATTTTTGTCACCACATGCCCCAGCATGAGGACAGTACTGGGCACCGATGGGGCACATGACAAGTATCTGTTGTGAACGCATTAAAGGAACGAGGTAAAGGCAGACAGGGCATGGGAGTCCAGCCTGTGACATGAGTACCAAGTATTTTCTCCCAACTGAACTGCGGGAGTAGAATCTGTTCAGAAAATATTTGTCAAGTATGGCTGGGTGCGGTGGCTCACACCTGTAATCCCAGCACTTTGGGGGACCGAGGCAGGCAGATCGTCTGAGGTCAGGAGTTCAAGACCAGCCTGGCCAACGTGGTGAAACCCCATCTCTACTAAAAATACAGAAAACAAATTAGCTGGGTGTGGTGGCGCACACTTGTAGTCGCAGCTACTCGGGAGGCTGAGGCAGGAGAATAATTTGAACCCAGGGGGTGGAGGTTGCAGTGAGCTGAGATCATGTTGCTGCACTCCAGCCTGGGCAACAAAGCAAGACTCTGTCTCAAAAAAAAAAAAAAAAAAAGAAAAGAAAAAGAAAATATTTGTCGAGTAGGACTGTCTTCTAAACTATTTTTCAGTTGAGCACGGTAGCTCACACCTATAATCCTAGCACTCTGGGAGGCCTAAGCAGGAGGATGGCTTGAGGCCAGGGGTTGGAGCCTAAGCAACATAGCAAGACCTTGTCTCTATAAAAAAATAAAATAAAAAGACCTCATCTCTATAAAAGTATTTTTCACTGGCTTCTGCCTCTGTATCAAAAGGCTTGTTTATAAAAGCAAAACTCTAAATGATCAAGTAAGATTTAAGAAGATCTCTTCAGAGCTTAAAAACCAAAAGGCAGAAAATAGACTTTATTCCAAGACAGATTTGTAAAAGATGTTTTTAAAGGGAAAGGCAAGTCACGCTACTAAATCAAACATTGTTCACAATTTCTGGATCTTCCTCCTCCGCCTGGCACTGCAGCTGAGCCTTGGCGGATATGCTCGGGGCCCTCGGCGCAGAGGAACTTGGCCTCGATTCTCTTCCTGAGGGGCTTCTTAACTTTTCCAAGCCAGGCAGTGAGCGTGGTGGGAGGCTGGGGCTGGTGCCTGCGGACAGCTCCAGATGGAATCCCAGGCCACGGTGCTTCTAGTGTCCCCCCAGCGAGCTTGCGGTGTGGCAGGCGGCCAGGAAGGGCCATGAGCAGGGTGGCCTGAATGAAAACCGAGGGCCGAAGCCAGCCTGACTCCCTCGCCTAAGCTGGGGCTCGGTCCGAGGCACACGCATGGCCTTGGCCAGACACAAACCAAGAGACTGCCATGACAGACAGAGCAGAAACCTCCCGAGCACTGTGTTCAAGCTAAGCTTTCCTAAGACGGGCTTCTCAGGCGAGACGTGACACCAGACACCGTCGCATGTTACTTGGAGAGAACAGAGACGTGCGGGCCACAGCGGCCCACCAAAGGCTGCCATCCAAGCTGAGTTCCGCAGGCCTCACCTGCAGCTGGAGAGGGACCTTGCCCTGATCCTCCTGGTAGGTACCCGCTAAGGGATTCAGGACAGAGCGTCACACTGCACGCAGGGTCCTCCGCCACCACCATCCAAGAACCCCGGGGGGCTGGCCACGCGCTGGCCTCTGCCAAGGAGTGCCAGTGGTTCCCGGGACGGGGCCGCCCAAGCAGGTGAGGGAGGTTTAGATGAATGACTTGGCCAGGGTCACCATGTGGTCCACGCCACATGCCACGTCCACAGGCTCCCCAGGCATCGTCACCTGAAAAATAAGATCCAGCATACCATGGGTGGGGGTGGCGCACCCGGAGGAGACAGGCGCTGGTGTTGGCCGACCCGGCCCTGCCTCTCAGTAGGAGACTCAGTAGGAGACAGCTTGTCTCAGCAGGAGACAGCTTGTCTCAGTAGGAGACAGCTTCTCTGAGCCTCGGCTCCCTACCCTCTGGGAATGGGGGCACTTAGGCCTCCCCAGCAGGTCCATCAGGACAACTGCGTGTGGTCATGAGGACAAGGCCATCCCAACTCCCTCCAGTCAATGGCAGCCATCACCATTCACATCAGCCTGAGAGGGCATGTCGGGCAGGAACATGGGCCTGTGTGCATCCCTGGAACCTGCACGCCCTACAGGGGCTGCTCCCCTCTGACCCTAACCCCACTAGGCTCCATGCCCCCAGGCCAGGTGTTCAGAGATCTCTCCTGGGAGCCACTGCTATGGCTCACTAAGAAGCTCCAGGGGCTGGGCGCTGTAGCTCACGCCCATAATCTCAGCACTTTGGGAGGCCAAGGCAGGCGGATCACGTGAGGTCAGAAGTTTGAGACCAGCCAGGCGTGGTGGCAGGCGCCTGTAATCCCAGCTACTCGGGAGGCTGAGGTGGGAGAATTGCTTGAACCCAGGAGGTAGAGGCTGCAGTGAGCCAAGATTGCACCACTACACTCCAGCCTGGGTGACAGAGCGAGACTCTGTCTCAAAAACAAGCTCCAGAAACCCTGTCTCTTGCCTTGCAGGTCCAGTCTGGGAATCAGGCCCCACTGGCCCAACATCTCCACTCATCTTACCCGTCACCCCCAGCTCCAGTCACAGGCAGGCTGCGTCCCAAGTCACGACCACCAAGCAGGGGCAGTGGCTGTGTCTCAAAGACCCTTGCCAGGAGCCCTGATCACACTGCCTGTCTGGGCTGACAACATGGCATCAGAGGACAGCCCAAGCTTCAAGGGAGCAAGAAGATGGCCTCACTGAGACATGGAGGCTCTAGCCTGTTGGAAGGGCGCCCACTGTTCTATAGCCTCGCCATGGAAACGGACACCCTCAACAACTCCAGGTGTGCCCAGGGCCATAGCCAATCCAGCTATCCAGGAAAGGGGCACTCTGCTTTCTCTTTCTTGTTTATTATGACTAGGCAGTGCATTCACATAGCTGCAAGATAAAAGGACATTCAGTGAAAAAGAAGAAAAAGCTATTAAATGATTTTTATGCCGGGCGCAGTGGCTCACACCTGTAATCCCAGCACTTTGGGAGGCTGAGGTGGACTCCACTTGAGGTCAGGAGTTCAAGACCAGCCTGGCCAACATGGTGAAACCCTGTCTCTACTAAAAATACAAAAATTATCTGGGTGTGGTGGCGCACGCCTATAACCCCAGCTACTCGGGAGGCTGAGGCAGGAGAATCGCTTGAACCTGGGAGGTGGAGGTTGCAGTGAGCTGAGATCGCACCACTGCACTCCAGCCTGGGCGACAGAGCAAGACTCTGTCTCGAAAAAAAAAAAAAAAAAAAAAAAAGTCTTTCATTACCACACCTATCACCAGCTGCCCCAGTCCCCATCTGCCTCTGAACTGAAAACTACTTTTAACTGATTTCTTATTAACTTTCCAGAGGTTTGTTTTGTTTTTGTTTTAAGAGACAGGGTCTAGGCCAGGCGCAGTGGCTCACGCCTGTAATCCCAGCACTTTGGGAGGCCGCGGTGGGCAGGAGTTTGAGACCAGCCTGGCCAACATGGTGAAACCCCGTCTCTACTAAAAATGCAAAAATTAGCTGGGCATGGTGGCAGGCGCCTGTAATCCCAGCTACTCAGGAGGCTAAAGTAGGAGAATTGCTTGAACTCAGGAGACAGAGGTTGCAGTGAGCCGAGATCACGCCATTGCACTCCAGCCTGAGCAACAGAGCAAGACTCTGGCTCAGAAACAAAAAAGAGGCAGAGTCTCACTTTGTTGCCCAGGCTGGAGTCTAGTGGTGCAATCACTGCAGGCTTAACCTCCTGGGCTCAAGTGATTTTCCCGCCTTAGCCTCCCAAGTAGCTGGGACTACAGGCACGTGCCACCATGCCTGGCTAATTTTGTTTGTTTGTTTGTAGAGACAGAGGTCTCACTATGTTGCCGAGGCTGGATTATAGAGACACAATCATAGCTCGCACTACAATGTCGAACTCCTGGGCTCAAGCTATCCTCCCACCTCACCCTCCCAAGTAGCTAGGACTACTGGCATGCACCACTATGCTCAGCTTATTTTTGTATTTTTTGTAGAGACAGGGTCTTGCCATGTTGCCCAGGCTGGTCTCGAACTCCTGGGCTCAAGTGATTCTCCTGCTTCAGCCTCCCGAAGTGCTGGGATTCCAGGTGTGATCCCCAGGCCTGGCCTTCCAGAGGTTCTTTATGCAAAGAAGCAGATATGCATCTCTCTTTTTTTTTTTTTTGAGACGGAGTCTCGCTCTGTCACCAGGCTAGAGTGCAGTGGCGCAATCTCAGTTCACTGCAACCTCCGACTCCCTGGTTCAAGCGATTCTCCTGCCTCAGCCTCCCAAGTAGCTGGGATTACAGGCATGCAGTACCATGCCCAGCTAATTTTTGTATTTTTCGTAGAGATGGGGTTTCACCATGTTGGCTAGGATGGTCTTGATCTTCTGACCTCGTGAGCCACCTGCCTTGGCCTCCCAAAGCGCTGGGATTACAGGCGTGAGCCGCTGCACCTGGCCTTCTCTTCCTTTCTTAAGTGCCAACTGCAAAGAAAGTGACCCTGCCTGGCTTGGCCGGAAGACCCCTGCCAGGATGCTGGCACTTGATCTACTGACCAGATCCGAATTCGACCACCCTCCCCTGGTGGCAGCATGCAGCCAGGTGGTGTGACAGCTGGAAAGGGGATCTGTCACAGTCTGTGGAGTTTACCGAGCTTAAGAGGGAAACCGCCTAATCCAGATGGCCTGGCCCTAAAAGCCGAGAGGCGGCAGGCGCCGACCCCGGAGCTTTGCACCTACGCCAGGAGACAAGACCATTAGGGACTCCTGGCCACAGCAGATGGATGCTAGAAACCAAGTCATGCTGTCATCCCCCAGCCCTGTCCCTAAACAAATGAATGTCTTTAGCAGAACCTATTACAGGAATCACTAAACAAACAAGAACGGGGCCCAGTGAATCGCAAAGGCACGTCGATGCAGAAAGCCTGAGAGGCTGGCCGGAGAAGAAAACAGGCTGCCTCTGCAGGGACTGGGCCCCGACCGCCTCTTAGCAACCTCCCCAGCCATTAGGGAGCACTTTATTTACCTTTCCCGGGACAGTGCGCTTCCTCACGGCTGCACTTAAGCCCCCAGGTCCTTGCTCCCCGAGGGCTCTGGCCATTCAAGCCCAAAGCAAAGGAAGCCACGATGGTCTCTGCTGCGGGTGGCCTGGGCAGCAAGGGCCCGGCTCCTGGGAGCCAGCCCTAGGGACCAGCGGGAGGCTCCCCAAGGTTCCAGCTCCCCCTGGCGGACAATCTCACACGGTCTCTGAACTGAGTCCAAGAGGAGACTGCCCTCAGCCATGTTTTATTTTTGTCCTAGGCAAGGTTAAATGGCGTTTTTCTTCTAAGCCAATTTACACTCACAACTCCGCTGCTGAGGGAAACAGTTCCAAAAACCAGAACCATATTTAGCCTTGGTGACTCTCTTAAAAGTCTCAGCAGAATCCATTTAGGAACATCCCTATCCACAATTACAAGTTGCTAAAACGAACGCCCACCAGGTGAAAGACGGGGGTGCGGGAAGAAGGAACCCTGGGCGGTGAGTCCTTCGTGGGGACAAGAGAGCCAGAGAAAGGGAGACTACTCCGGCGCCCAGCTCTGCAGTTCAATGGCACCAGCTTTTCTATTTTTTTTTTTTCAATGAGACGGAGTCTCGCTCTGTCACCCAGGCTGGAGTGCAGTGGCACGATCTCGGCTCACTGCAACCTCCGCCTCCCAAGTTCAAGCAATTCTCCTGCCTCAGCCCCCCAAGTAGCTGGGATTACAGGCATGCGCCACCACACCTGGCTAATATTTGTATTTTTAGTGGAGACAGGGTTTCACCATGTTGGCCAAGCTGGTCCCAAACTCCTGACCTCGTGATCCGCCCGCCTCGGCACCCCCAAAGTGCTGGGATTACAGGCGTGAGCCACTGCGCCCGGCCGCTTTTGTATTTTTAAATTTTTGTTTAGAGACAAGGTCTTGTTCTGTTGCCCCCGGCTGGAGCGCAGTGGTGTGATCATAGCTCACTGCAGCTTCCAACTCCTGGGCTCAAGTGATCCTCCTGCCTCAGCCTCCCAGGGAGCTGGGATTACAGGCACACGCCACTGCACCTGGGTCATTTGTTTTTTGTAGAGATGGAGTCTCACTATGTTGCCCAGGCTGGTCTTGAACTCCTGGCCTCAAGCAATCCTTTCGCGTCAGCCTCTCAAAGCGCTGGGATTATAGGCGTTGAGTTACCATGCCTGGCCTGTGCCCGGCTTTTAACTTGTACTCCTCTCCTGCATTGTGAGAACCACCTAGGTGGGTACATACACAGATGAATAAATAAAATTATATATATATATTTTTTGGAGACAGAGTATCACTCTGTCGCCCAGGCTGGAGTGCAGTGGCGCAATCTCGGCTCACTGCAACCTCCGCCTCCTAGGTTCAAGTGATTCTCCTGCTCAGACTTCTGAGTAGCTGGGATTACAGGCGTGCACCCCCACGCCTGGCTAATTTTTGTATTTTTAGTAGAGACGGGGTTTCGCCATGTTGGTCAGGCTGGTATCGAACTCCTGACCCCATGATCTGCCCATCTTGGCCTCCCAAAGTGCTGGGATTATAGAGATGAGCCATAGCGCCTGGCCAATAATTAAAAAAAAAAAAAAAAAAAAAAAAAGAACCACCGGCCAGGAGCAGTGGCTCACACCTGTAATCCCAGCACTTTGGGAGGCCGAGGCAGGTGGATCACCTGAGGTGAGGAGTTTGAGACCAGCCTGGGCAACATGGTGAAACCTCATCTCTACTAAAAATACAAAAATTAGCCAGGCATGGTGGCACATGCCTGTAATCCCAGCTACTGGGGAGGCTGAGGCAAGAGAATCGCTTGAACCCGGGAGGCGGAGGTTGCAGTGAGCCCAGATTGTGCCACTGTACTCCAACCTGGGTGACAAAGCAGGACATCGCCTCAAAAAAAAAAAAAAAAAAAAAGAACCACCACCTAAGACCCAGGGCTATGGAAGGAGTCGTATAAGCGAGGCTAGAAGTCAGCGAGCTCCCCAGCTTGTGTCTCCAGACCCCACCGGTCCTGACCTGCAGGGCCCACGGGGAGGGGAAGCACCGTCTACAGGCAGAGTCGCAAGTTCAAATTATACCCAATGAGCTCAGGGGCCGTGAGACCTGGGGCAAGCCCCTTCGCTCCTGACTTCCGTGTCCCCGTGTGCACACTGTGGAGGGAGAAACCCCACCCTCAAGGTGTCTGGAGGATGAGAGAGAATGGACATCACGTGCCCAGCACGCTGTCCATGCCCTGCCCTCCCCCGAAGCCAGGCTGGAATGTTTGTCTGTGGAAAGCCAGGGCGCTCCCTGGGGGATGAGGGGTGAAGGCCACTCCACACCCCCTCGCTGCCTGCTGTAGGTCTGTGGCACTCCCCCTTAGGTCAGAGGGTCTTGGAAGGCCAGACAACGCCTGGTCAAATGTTCCGTGCCACTGCGTGCTGCCTTCTCTCCACACCAGCTTCAGGCTCGCCCAGGGAGGTGGGTGGCCGTGGAAAGACCATTGTCTTAAAAGTCAGATGTAACTGAGTCCAAATCCTGGCTCTGACTCCAACTTAGATATGTGACCCTGGGAAACCACTGAACCTCTCTGAGGGATGAGTCTCAACGTGTAGCAAAAAAACATGTCCTGGAAAGTTTCTGGAAGCAGAGGTTTGAATCAGGTGGCTCAGATGTCACCTCCCGGGCCCACATACTCAGAAAAGGCCAAATTCTGCAAGTCTAAGAATAACTAGTTGGTACCAGTGTATGAGCTACAAGTAAAGTTTTACTCTTTTTTTCTCTTCTTTTCTGGAATACTTTTTAAATGATGTAATATATCCCCTACGGAAGATTAATTTGAACATAGTTGTTTTAAAGAATAAAGATCACCCAAGCCAGTGACTCACCCCTGTAGTTCCAACATTTTGTGAGGCCAAGGTGGGAAGACCACTTGAGGCAGAAGTTTGAGACCAGCCTGGGCAACATAGGAAGACCTCATCTCTCAAATAAATAAAATAAAACAAATAAATATAAATAATAAAATAAGCCGTGTGTGGTGGCACATGCCTGTAATCTCAGCTATTCCAGAGGCTGAAGCAAGAGGATCACTTGAGACCAGGAGGTTGAGATCAACACATAAGACCCCGTCTCTTAAAAAAAAAACGAAAAAAAAATTATTTGGGTGTGGTGCTGGCACATGCCTGTCATCCCATCCCACATCTCAGTTACTTGTGGGGCTGAGGCAGGAGGATAGCTTGAGCCTGGGAGTTTGAGGCTGCAGTGAGTGTGATCACACCATACTCCAGCCTGGGCGACAAAGCAAGACCCTGTTTTCAAAAAAAAAAAAAAATCCTGGGCAACACGGCAAGACCCCATCTCTACAAAAAATACAAAAATTAGCAAGGTGTGGTTGTGCAAGCCTGTAATCCCAGCTACTCGGGAGGCTGAGATAGGAGGATCACTTGAACCTGGGAGACAGAGGCTGCAGTGAGCCGAGATCCTGTCACCACACTCCAGCTTGGGTGACAGAGCAAGACCCTGTCTAAAAGAACAAACAAACAAAACAAAGAAAAGAAAAATCACTTGTAATTTTTTTTTTAAGTGAGTCATCAGAAGGGACTGGACTCTCCCACCCCAATCCAAAGAGGACAGGGGTCGAGGCCACTCCGTGCACAAACCCTTAGGGGCTCCCTGAATGTGCAAGAGGAAGGACAATGGTTTGGCGCCAAATGCCGCCGTCACGGGGACAGGCTGGGGTGCTCTTTTCCCAAAGGCACAAATGTGTTTAAAAAGCAAATGATAGCCAGGCGTCGTGGCATGCACCTGTAATCCCAGCTACCAGGGAGGCTGAGGAAGGAGAATCACTTGAACCCGGAAGGTGGAGGTTTCAGTGAGCTGAGATCATGCCACTGCACTCAAGCCTGGGCAACAGAGCAAGACTCCATCTCAAAACAATAATAATAAAATAAAAATAAAAATAAAAAGCAAATGACCAGAAGGACACTTGGTGTGTGGCGAGCCAGGGCAAGTGACCCAGATGGAATGTCAACGGGATCGGGCTCCGGCCACTCCCTGCCCGCACAGGGACCAGCGCTTTGCACATGCCCTTATGGCAGGGGCAACGTGACCTGAGTCAAATCTCAGGCTGATCACTCTGATTTGAAGGAAATGAGGGCGGGGGGCAGACCCTCGTCAGCGTTCTTTCACCCAAAACCCGGCTGCTTTAACTGTTTCCCAAGTTCCCCCCTCAGAAGGAAGTCCTTTTCGAAAGAAAGGGCAAAGTGAGAGAAGAGAGGAGTCAGTGAGAAAGCAAGTGGGCATGTAGATGACTGATGCTCACATTATCTGAGCCACACCCACTGCCCGACTCTCTGTTCCTCACACCGGCAGTTTCCAGGCTCAGGAGAAAGCCGGCAAGCCCCACCACCTTGGGAACAACTCTATTATACAAACAGCTTTCCAACAAGGCTAAAGTCGCCCGGGCGTGATGGGTCATGCCTGTAATCCCAGCACTTTGGGAAGCTGAGGGAGGCAGATTGCTTGAAGCCGGAAGTTTGAGACCAGCCTGGGCAACATAGTGAGACTCCCATCTCTACTAAAAATAAAAAAATTTGTCAGGTGTGGTGGTGTACGCCTGTGGTCCCAGCTATTCAGGAGGCTGAGGTGGGAGGATCACCTGAGCCCAGGAAGGTCAAGGCTGCAGTGAGCTGTGATCACATCACTGCAATCCAGCCTGAGTGATAAAAGTGAGACCCTGTCTCATAATAAGCAAAAACAAAAAAACAAAGTTAAAGTCTCCATTTCAACTTGCTTTCTCAGAGCCTCCACCGATAGTCTTGGAAAAAATATATATATATATATATTTAATATATATAAACGTATAATATAAATGTATTATATATGTATATATATTTATATGTGTGTGTGTATATATACACACATATATACACACACATATAAATACATACATATATATATACACACATATATACACACACACACACATATATATACACACACACATATATATACACACATATATATATACACACATATATATATACACATTTCTTTTGCAAGTCCTTTGTTTTTTTTTGAGACACAGTCTCCCTCTGTTGCCCAGGCTGGAGTGCAGCAGCGTCTGATCTTGGCTCACTGCAACCTCTGCCTCCCGGGTTCAAGTGATTTCCTGCCTCAGCCTCCCAAGTAGCTGGGATTACAGGCGTGTGCCACCATGCCTGGCTAATTTTTGTATTTTTAATAGACATGGGGTTTCATCATGTTGGTCAGACTGGTCTCGAACTCCTGACCTTGTGATCCACCCACCTGGGCCTCCCCAAGCGCTGGGATTACAGGTGTGAGACACCACACCTGGTGCAAGTCCTTTTTAAAAACGCTTTTCACAATTTCAAAACAAATTAAAATCCAACCTTCTGATAAAATACACCCATATGCACACTGCACACACATGTATGTACTCACAGGCACACACACACAAAGCACGCATGCACACCAGTCTCTATGCAGAGACTATCTCTGGAAAGGAACATAAAGAAATCAGGACCAGTGGCTGCCTCTGGAACAAAAACTGGGTGGTGGGAGACTCATTTTCCATAGTGCATTTTTTTGTACCATGAACATATGTTTCATGTTCAAAAAACCCCAAAAACCTCCTTTTTTAGAATGCCTTAAAGAACTGACTTAGTAAACAACACTAAGGTAAACTACAATTTTAGAATGAGCGTCTCTTCCCCTGTAATTCTGGAAGGAGCCTTTTTGTCTAATTGCATACTACCGCCCCTAAGGAAGCGACTTTATTTTTTCACTTCATAGCTGCGGTTGGGCCATCTAAATATTAAACATCCTGCTTTCTTTTAAATTCATTGTGAAGCATTCCCCCACATGGGCTTCTGTAAACAGCTTCTAGCGTGCCAACTTCATCCAATATCTCCCCCTCTCCGGAGCCTCATGGCACCCTACCAGAGCCTTTGCACCATCGTGCCTCTGTTTCCCCGATCCACCCCAAGGATGGCCTCCGACAGGGCTTCTTATAGGACTGGATGCTTGAGTGGGCTACTCCCTCCAACCTCCCAGTCAGTGGGCCGGGATGGGTTGACCCAGCTCCTGCACCCCAAGAAGCCTGGTGTCACTCCCCCACGCATCACACCATGCAGATGCACCACGGGTATCTCATGGGTGTCACCACAGAGTGTGCAATGACATAGCATGCCGCGCTGCAGGAGTGCAGCCAGGACCCGGAAGGGGGAGCAGGTCCCATGGCCCTCGTCCTGGCCCATCTGCACGCGAGGTGTCTGCAGTGACGTCAGGTGACTCTACTCTTAGCATCCATTCTCAAGACCTCCCCGGCCAGCCTTACCCTCCATGGGAAATACTGGTCCTCCAGGCGACCGATTCCCAGGCACCCTCGGATGTTCTTGCCCCATACAAACAGCTCTCCTTTGTCTGCAAAGGGAGGAAAACAGGGGTTGGTTGGGACTGTGTGAAGAACAAGTCTCCAAGGAGAGGATGGGTCATGAGAACAGGCTTTCTAGAACCAGATACCTACAGAGCCCACTGTTCAGCTTTTACCAGGCGTTCATGCTTTCTTTGAAGGCAAAAGTAAGGGTCTGAGATGCTGTCCCCATATCGAAAACACATCCACGGCCAGGACTTCTGCTGCATCCACCCACGTGGGAGATGAGCACTCAAATGAAGATGGGGCAGGGGGCAGTGCACGGGGCTGGGGGTGATGCATGGAGCTGGGGTCTGGGGGTGGTGCACGGGGCTGGGGGTGGTGCATGGAGCTGGGGTCTGGGGGTGGTGGACAGGGCTGGGGGTGGTGCATGGAGCTGGGGTCTGGGGGTGGTGGACAGGGCTGGGGGTAGTGCATGGAGTTGGGGTCTGGGGGTGGTGGACAGGTCTGGGGGTGGTGCATGGAGCTGGGGTCTGGGGGTGGTGCACGGGGCTGGAGGTCACTGATGCACACGGCCCACTCTGCTCACCCCTTGTGCCCCGCCCACAATCGTGTGCCACCAAACTCTGCCTTCCACAAATCCTGGCGACACCCTGGGCTTCCTGATTTGACAGTGAAAAGTAAGACAATTTGTCATTCCTGGATTGATTGTCCATATCTTGGGAGCATTCAGCCACAGGGCATCTAATGACCAAGTGCCTGCTTGTGCTGGGTCTAGGTCTGTGTTCCAGGAGCTGGGGACTGGCCAGAGACGGAACAGACAGATGATTTTAATATATGTTTACAAACTGTAAAAACTGTCATGAAGAAAAAGTACAAGATGCTGTTTAAGAGGTCAACCCAGGAGATGGCCTCTCCTAGCCCGGCCTTCAGGTGGGACTCTGTCTGCACCAGCTGGGGCACTCCTGGGCCCATGTCACCATCAGCTGTTGGGCAAAAGGCTTGGGTCATGGGAGGCAGAGGAAGTGACATGGAAAAGCCAGGACTACAAGACCTGGGGCTGATGAAGTACGGAATAATTACAAGCTGTCTTAGGCCCCTGATCTAAGCATGCCCCTTGTTCTCCACACTCAGACCTTAGATAGTTTTTGTGTGTGTGTGTTTGTTTGCTTTTGAGACAGGGTCTCACTCTGCTGCCCAGGCTGCGACGCAGTGGCACAAACATAGCTCACTGCAGCCTTGAACTCTCAAACTCAAGCAGTCCTTCCACCTCAGCCTCCAGAGTAGCTGGGACTACAGGCGCACACCACCACACCCAGCTAATTTCTGTATTTTTTGTAGAAAAGGGATCTCACTATGTTGCCTAGGCTAGTCTCGAACTCCTGGGCTTTGAGGGATCCTCTCATCTTGGCCTCCCAAAGTGCTGGGATTACAAGCATGAGCCACTGCACCCAGCTAGCCCTTAGGTGTTTAATAGAACAATTCGGCCTGGCTCCCCAAAATGCTAGCAGACCACAGGATAAACCAACCAACTCTAATTCCCAGATGGCTATCTGCAAATGCCAGGCACACAGGCAGGAAGACAGCTAGGCTCTGTCTACCAACAGGCAGTAACTCACCCTTAGAAGGAGGCCTGTTAAGTCTCGGGGAGAAATCCAGAAAGGAATTTCATTTCGCTGTGACCTGAAATGGCTACATGGCATGAGGGCAAATAGAAAAGCCTCTGCTCTAGTCAAATGCTTCACACAGATTTCTAAACATGTGTCTCTGCCCATAGTTGAGGCCTTAAGAACTTTCTGGAAAGTAGATATTTGTTTCCCCCAAAATTAGTCCATACGACTCTTATTTATCAAATCAAAATAGCTTTAAGAATTCATGACACTGAATTAGCCGGGCGTGGTGGTGTGT
The DNA here is from genome assembly GCF_000001405.40 of Homo sapiens. Lineage (NCBI taxonomy): Eukaryota > Metazoa > Chordata > Mammalia > Primates > Hominidae > Homo > Homo sapiens. The sequence continues at coordinate 75,054,655 of NC_000007.14, forward strand.
GCCTGTAATCCCAGCTACTTGGGAGGCTGAGGCAGGAGAATCGTTTGAACTCGGGAGGCGGAGGTTGCAGTGAGCCAAGATCGCGCCATTGCACTCCAGCCTGGGCAACAAGAGTGAGACTCCAACTCAAAAAAAAAGAATTCATGAGACCTACACTCAGCTGCAAATGCAAGTGGCCACTCTGGCTGGGCAGTGGCCAGGAATTCTCTGGCTTAGTCATGACCACTGCCACTTCAGTGCTTCAGCCTAGAGCCAGATAAAACTCCAGCTGGCAGCCATAACAACCCAGGCCTGCCTGTTTGACGGCCTCTGGAGCCTGGAATTCAGACAATAAGTGAATAGCAGTTAGGACCCTGGTACAGAGGGTGAGCATCTGGGACAGGCCCCACGTGGGAATGAGGCCAGAGAACTCAACCAAAGATGACACCAACTGACTGTCCCGGCCTGGATGTTTAAAAAGAAAACAATTACTTGCCATGAGATGAAAAGATTCTTTTAATTGCAAGGAAATAACTAATTTACTTGAGAATCACAGAATGAAATTAATTCAGGACAGTTTTACTATTCGAGTCAACTAAAGAGCAGCAAATTGAACCCACGGTAACTGTGGTGGAGTAAGAGATGTAACCAAGAAAAGGACACATTCCTTACCCTTACCCTGCAGGGTAAGCGGATATTCTGTGGCTTTGTAATCTGGCAGGCCTTTGGGAAAAACCTCCATTTTGCTCTCCCCTTTCATCATTCTCTACCCCGGCACTTTGGAGAAATCGGTAGATTTACCTCCGTGAAACCACGGGACAGTCTGACAAATCGGCCTTTTGCCATCCCATATCCTGGGTCAGATCAGGGTCTGGGCTCGGCCAGGGAATGGGATTAAGCCCCACACATTCACTTCCTAATCACCCACCCATGGATCCGCCAAGCCTCTGCTGGTTTCCTCCAGCACCCGACGTACTAGCAATGCCCCTTCCTACCACCGACGGGTGCTCTCTTGAGAAAATGCACGTTCACGTTAGCCTACCCACAAACCAAACGAACCAAAATTAAAACTCCAGGGGGGGAAAACAAGACATTATACAACCTCGAGGCAAACAACTTCTGGCTTAGCCCTTGCTTGAGTTATCAGTACAAAGGCGCCGTTCTGTTGGATGGGTGGAACCTGAGAGCTGCCCGCAGTTTGGGGTTGAACTGGAGACAGAGAACCTCTGCTGGGCTCACACCAGGGCCACCGGGCTTGGTAACTTACTGGTCAGTGCAGCAAAGTGGCTGAGTCCACATCGGATGCGGGAAACCTGGATTTCTGGGTTGAACTCCGTCAAGCCAAAGAGAGTGGGTGGAATCATTTCAGGGACGGCACTTTCCACTAGGTTTGGACCTTTCCCAAGAATTCCATAGCCCCAGACAAAAACATGTCCTTCTCCTACATTACAGTAAAAACAAGGGTCAGTAAGTCCATCCAAGTAAGAACCTCCCTCACCAGAAACTCAAACTACACCACCAAGGTTTATGACATCCACACGGTTTTTTTTTGTTTTTTTTTTGTTTTGTTTTTTTCCTCCTTGCTTGGCAAGAACATGCAGACAGAGATTTAGAATAATAATTCTCTCTCCCCTGCTTAAATTCTTGCTGGGGGAGTCTGTCTCGCCAGCTCTCCTGGCTCAGAACACAAACTTCCCACATCTTGAGGGTTAGTAACCTGGAAGGGACGAGCGTATAAATCATCCAGAAAACCCATACGAATACCAGAGAATTGGAGGATGTTTTCTCCCCCTAATGACAGCTCTGTGTTTCACACTGATCAGAAGGCCAAACACATCAACAATGTCTGGCCAGATTCTTAAAACTCTTAGAAATGATGTTTTGGTTATAGAAAGTTTAATATTCATCAGTGGTGCCAGATATTTCATCGTTATCCAAAGCTGAAGGCTGTTCTCCCATCTGCCTTTGATTTTTTGGCTGGAGAAGGCAGAGCTGGAGTCTCTCTGGCCCAGGCTAAGGGAGGGGAATGAAGTAGTTCGCTCTCCACTCCAGAGGTTTGCTCTAGGATGACTCAGCTCTGTGGCCATGTATCTACAGATAAATCGCAGACTATTCGCTTTTTGTTAAGAACTTCATTCACACCCTGTAATGCCATCTTCTAATCCAATGCCATCTTCCCATGGCCATAGTCCCTTCCTTTTTTGAAACAGGGTCTCACCGTGTTGCCCAGTGCAGTGGCATGATCATAGCTCACTGCAGCTCGAACTCCTGGGCTCAAGGGACCTTTCTGCCTCAGCCTTCTGAGTAGCTGGGACTACAGGTGTGCACCACCATGCCCAGCTAATTTTTCATTTTTTCTTTTTCTATTGAGACAGAGTCATCCAGGCTGGAGTGCAGTGGCGCAATCTCGGCTCACTACAACCTCTGCCTCCTGGGTCCAAGCAATCCTCCCACCTTAGCCTTCCAAGTACTAGGATTACAAGCATGTACCACCATGTCTGGCTAATTTTTCTATTTTTAGTAGAGTCAGGGTTTCACCACGTTGGCCAGGCTGGTCTTGAACTCCTGACCTCAGGTGATCTGCCTGCCTTGGCCTCCCAAAGTGCTGAGATTACAGGTGTGAGCCACCACACCCAGCCTTCCAGCTAATTTCTCCATTTTTTGGTAGAGACAGGGTCTCGTTATGTTGTCCAGGCTGGTCTGGAACTCCTGGCCTCAAGCAATCCTCCTGCATCAGTTCCCCAAAGTGCTGGGATTACAGATGTGAGCCACCGCGCCCAGCCATGTTACCCTCCTAAGGCTAAGGTCTACGGCCTGCAAATCCAATGGACACTGACCACTCCCTATGTAATCTACCTACAGCTTCCCAATGAGCCACCGGAAAGAAGGTCTCACCGTTTAACACTGCACAGCCCGTGCCACCGCATGCAGCCTGTCGCACCTTCCCCACTCCTGAGAAGTGTAAGCAGCGGGGCACATTCACCTGAACCAAAGAAAGGAGCCACACTGTTAGGAAAGCAAGCCAGTAAGGACCGGGAAGTGTTCTGGTCTTAGGTACAGAGTAGCTGAGTCCTAGTTCATTCATTCACTCCACAGATACTTCCTGAACATCACATGCCAAGCATCATACTAGGTGCTGGGGTAGAATGGGAAGCAAAAGAGGCCCAGTTTCCACCCTCAGAGAGTTCTAGTCTAGTGGACGAGGCAGATGTCAACCAAAATTAACATAAAATGACATTTGTGGCCGGGTGTGGTGGCTCACGCCTGTAATCCTAGCACTCTGGGAGGCGGAGGCAGGTGGATCACTTGAGGTCAGGAGTTCGAGACCAGCCTGGCCAACATGGTGAAACCCTGTCTCTATTAAAAATACAAAAGTTAGCTGGGCGTGGTGGCAAGTGCCTGTAGTCCCAGCTACTCGGGGGGCTGAGCCAGGAGAATTGCTTGTACCCAGGAGGTGGAGGTGGTATTTTTGTATTTTTTTTTAGTAGAGACGGGGTTTCACCAGGTTGGCCAGGCTGGTCTCGAACTCCTGACCTCAGGTGATCTGCCTGCCTTGGCCTCCCAAAGCGCTGGGATTACAGGCGTGAGCCACCACGCCCAGCCTATTTGCTCTTTTTTTTCGAGACAGAGTCTTGCTCTGTCACCCAGGCTGGAATGTGGTGGCACGATCTCAGCTCACTGCAATCTGCAAGCGATTCAATTCTCATGCCTCAGCCTCCCCAGTACCTGGGATTACAGGCATGCACCACCACACCTGGCTAATTTTTGTATTTTTTTGGTAGAGATGGGGTTTTGCCATGTTGCCCAGGCTGGTCCTGAACTCCTGACCTCAAGCCATCTGCCTGTCTCGGCCTTCCAAAGTGCTGGGATTACAGGTGTGAGCCACCACACCCGGCCCCTTAACACTTTAATGTTTCCAAACCTCCCAGCACCACGCTGTCGGCGACTGCATACCTGTGTGGAGTCAGTGACAGAGGCCAGCTGCAGGTACTCCGAGTTTCCCCAACCAAAAAGTCCTCCGTCGGCGGACACGGCCAGGCAGCAATCACCGTAGGTGGCAACTTGGATAACGTTCACTCCCGCCAGGTCTCCACCCAGCTTGGTGGGCGAGCTGGTGATATTGTAGTGACCCAGACCTAACACAGTGGAAAATACAGATTTTTAATTATTCGCTCTTTTAACAAACACATAGGCAGACTTACTATATGCCAAGTGCAGTTTTAAGCACTTAACAAGTATCAGCTCAGAAATCCCAGTCTGGGGCTGGGTGCAGTGGCTCACGCCTGTAATCCCACCACTTTCAGAGGCTGAGATGGGCAGATCACTTGAGGTCAGGAGTTCGAGATCAGCCTGGTCAACATGGCGAAACCCTGTCTCTACTTAAAAAAAAAAAAAAAAATTACAAAAAAATTATTAGGGCATAATGGTACATGCCTGTAATCTCAGCTACTCAGAAGGCTGAGGCACAAGAATCACTTGAACCTAGGAGGTGGAGGTTCCAGTTAAGCCAAGATCACACCACTGCACTCCAGCCTTGGCAAGAATGAGACTCTCAAAAAAAAAAAAAAAAGAAAAAAAAAGAAAAGAAAGAAAGAAAAGAAACCCTAATCTGCTTAGTTGCATGCTCATACAACTTTTTTTTTTTTTTTGAGACGGTCTCACTCTGTTCCTCTGGCTGCAGCGCAGTGGTGCGATCTCGGCTCACTGCAATCTCCAGCTCCTGGGTTCAAGCAGTTCTTTAATTCTTGTGCCTCAGCCTCCCAAGTAGCTGAGATTACAGGCACGCACCACCACAGCCGGCTAATTTTTGTATTTTTCACAGAGATGCGGTTTCGTCATGTTGGCAAGGCTGGCCTCAAAACCCCTGACCTCAGGTGATCCGCCTGCCTCAGCTTCCCAAAGTGCTGGGATTATAGGCGTGAGCCACTGCGCCTGGTCTAAAATTTTTTTATATTGAAATAGAGACAGCATCTCACTATGTTGCCCAGGCTGGTATCGAACTCCTGGGCTCAAGCAATCCTCCTGCCTCAGCCTCCCAAAGTGCTTAGATTACAGGTGTGAGCCACCTGCCTGATCACAACAAGCAATTTCTAATGCACTGGTGGTCTTGCTAAAAGTAAAGAAAATCTCTAAGAGCCCATGCCATCCCCAACACCACTCCCAAAAAACAGGGAACTTAAAATGGCATGGTTAACAATAAGCAGAGAGGCTGGGCACAGTGGGTTCATGCCATTCTCCCGCCTCAGCCTCCTGAGTAGCTGGGACTACAGGCGCCCGCCACCATGCCCAGCCAATTTTTTTTGTATTTTTTAGTAGAGATGGGTTTTACCGTGTCAGCCAGGATGGTCTCGATCTCTTGACCTCGTGATCCACCTGCCTAGGCCTCCCAAAGTGCTGGGATTACAGGCATGAGCCACCGCGCCCGGCCCCGATCTTTTTACTGTCTCCATAGTTTGTCTTTTTCAGAATGCCATATAGCTAGAATCCTATAGTATGTAGCCTTTTCAGATAGGCTTCTTTTAATCAGTATCATGCATTTAAGTTTCCTCCATGCCTTTCCATGGGTTGGCAGCTTATTGCTTTTTAGTGCTAAATAACAAACTTTACATTGTCTGGATGCACCACGGTTGATCCATTCACCTGCTGAGGAATAGGCCCCTTTAAGGACCCTGGATGAAGGCAAGAGTCTACAGTTCAGTGCTCTGCCTTGGGCTGCTGGCCAGGGGTTACCCCCATACCAAGTGCCAATAATGACATTTGCCTTTGGGCAGGTCCTGCCTGTCCTTTTCTCTGCAGTTTGTGTTTGTTTGTTTTTGAGACAGAGTCTTGCTCTGTTGTCCAGGCTGGAGTGCAATGGCGCGATCTTGGCTCACAGCAACCTCCGCCTCCCGGGTTCAAGCCATTCTCCTGCCTCAGCCTTCCTAGTAGCTGGGATTACAGCCGTGTGCCACCACACCCAGCTAATTTTTGTATTTTTAGTAGAGATGGGGTTTCGCCATGGTGGCCAAGCTGGTCTCAAACTCCTGACCTCAAGTGATCCGCCCACCTCGGCCTCCCAAAGTGCTGGGATTACAGGTGTGAGCCACTGCACCCAGCCTTCTCTCAGTTCATTTCTATGGGAGCCAGGGCTGAGGGGAATGGAAGGGATGCAAAAAAAAAGTATTACAGCAGGGCACAGTGGCTCCTGCCTGGAATCCCAGCCCACCAAGAGGCCACAGCAGGCAGACTGCTTAAGGTCAGGAGTTCAAGACCAGCCTGGGCAACATGGCGAAACCCTGTTGTTACAAAAAATTAGCTGGGCTTGGTGGCTCACACCTGTTGTCCCAGCTACTCTGGAGACTGTGGTGGGAGGATCACCTGAGCCTGGGAGTTTGAGACTGCAGTGAGATGTGATCGCGCCACTGCACTCCAGCTTGGGCGATGGAGCCAAGAATAGTGTTCCTCAGAAAGTGATAAGAGGTAAGAGCTGAATTAAGGAAGAAGGGTTCTAGCCCATAAATGCCCTACAGCTCACAGCTCCACATGACACGGGCTGAGAAGTTTCACGACCCCAGTGCATGAAAAGAACTCTACCTGTTTGCCCATCAGCACCCCATCCACAAGAATAGACTTCTCCTTTATCCGTCAGGAACAGACTATGATCCTGACCACAGGCGACCTAGCAGACAAACAGAGGTAAGGGGGATGAGAGGAAATACTTAGAACCCTGGTGTCCTCATCCAAAGAAGGACCAGCACCATCGCCTGCCGCTCCTGGGCACCTGGAGCATGGTCCAGGCAGACTGCTCCATGCTCATCTTACTCCTTCTCAATCTACCAGTCTCCCACTGCATTGAAACTGCTCTTGTTAAAGTAAAATGCAGATCTCCAAAGGGGCAAATCCAAGAGCTCTGCCATCCATCCCACGCCATCTCCAAAGAACCACCCCTTCTCCATAACCCTTCTCCTCCCAGCCCTCTCTTCTACTTTCACAGCTTCCAGCCTTGCTCACACACTCAGCCTCTACTTCAGACCCTTTGCTGTTGGGATCTCTCTCCAGGGTGTGTCTCCTGCCCTCCTCTCTCCTCACTCCTCATGCTACCCTGGGAGATGGGAGCCATTCTCAATGCTTAACTGTGGCCTCTGCACTGTGATCTCTGGTCTCAACAACTCTCCTCAGTTCCAAACTCATTTTTCTAACTGCCTAAAGAAAAGCACCATCTATTGAACAATTTTTACACCAGGCATTGTGTTAAGTCAATAACCAAAACCACCTAGTAAGAAACTGAATCTCAGCTGGGCACAGTGACTCACTCCTGTAATCCCAACACGTTGAGAGGCCAAGGCAGGTGGATCACTTGAGGTCAGGAGTTCAAGACCAGCCTGGCCAACATGGTGAAACCCCATCTCTACTAAAAATACAAAAATTAGCCAGGTATGGTGGCACATGCCTGTAATCCCAGCAACTCGGGAGTCTGAGGCACGAGAATCGCTTGAACCCAGGAGGCAGAGGTTGCTCTGAGCTGAGATTGTGCCACTGCACTAAAATAAAAAAAAAGAAAAAGAAACTATCTTGGAGATGTCTGGTAACTTGCACAAAGTCACTCAGTCTAATAGGTGAAGGAGGCCTGACATGGTGGCTTAACCCATAATCCCAACAGTTTGGGCAGCCAAGGCGGGAGGATGGCTTGAGGCCAAGAGTTTGAGACCAGCCTGGCCAGCACAGTGAGAATCTGTCTCTTTAAAATAATTAGCCGAGGATGGTGATGCACACCTGTAGACCCAGCTACACAGGGGGCTGAGGCAAGATCACTTGAGCCCAAGAGTTCAAGGCTGCAGTGAGCTATGATCGTGCCACTGCATTCCAGCCTAGGCAACAGAATGAGACCCTGCCTCTAAAAAATTTCCAAATAAAACCAAAAAGCCAGCCGTATCACAGTATGATTAGTGCTGTGGTGTTCTAAGCCAGCTGTATTTTGCTCTCCATTTTATTCTCATCCCCAGAATAGTGCCTGGCTCATGGTAGGTACCTATCATAAATATTTCAATGCACATATGCATGAATACAGCAAGTGCTGTGATACTTTTGCCTCAGCCTCCCCAGAGGCTGACGTTACAGGTGTGAGCCACCACATCCGGCCTCAGTTAGCTTTTTAACTTGTTCACTCACTAGAGTGTCATCCCCAAAAATCTGTTTTTTTTTGAGACAGAGTCTTGCTCTGTCATCCAGGCTGGAGTGCAGTGGTGCAATCTCTCAGCTCATTGCAGCCTCCACCTCCCAGGTTCAAGCAATTCCTGTGCCTCAGCCTCCTGAGTAGCTGGGATTACAGGCATGTGCCACCACACCCGGCTAATTTTTGTATTTTTAGTAAAGACGGGGTTTCACCATGTTGGCCAGGGTGGTCTGGAACTCCTGACTTCAGGTGATCCACCTGTCTCGGCCTCCCAAAGTGCTGGCATTACAGGTATAGCCACCACACCCGGCCCCAAAATCTTATTAAACTTTGTATCCCTAGAATCTAGCATAAATCCTGGCCTATAGTAAGTAGGCTACAATTTTTACTAAAATAATTTAATTCAGAAAATCCCCCTAACAAATTTGCCATCACCCTACCCAAATCTCAACTTTTCAAAAGCACCCCAGGAACACAACAAGCAGCTCTCGGCCCATCTCTCTTACCTGGACCACCTGGCCATCGAAGTCCTGCATCCTGTGGACTCTGTGACTTTCACTACAGCCAGGAACAAATTGGGAAGAAGCAAGGGATGCGGTCATGACAAGCACTGTGCAGCCCTTTCCCTGTCACCCCAACTGATGGCCCGTCCCCTCCGCTCACACAGTAACTGTTGGGGTAACTCTCAAGGTCAAATCTTAGGTCGAGTCAGGCCTGGTCATGAAAGTAAAGCCAAACAAAATCCTAGGTGATTTTAACACATGGCCAAAGTTGAGAGTGGTGTTAAGGCCCTCCAACAACATACAAGGAACTAGAGGGAAGTGTTTTTAAACACTAAAATGAAAAGAACTCACCGGGCGCGGTGGGTCACGCCTGTAATTCCAGCACTTTTAGAGGCCGAGGTGGGCGGATCACTTGAGGTCAGGAGTTTGAAACCAGCCTGGCCAACATGAAGAAACCCCATCTCTACTAAAAATACAAAAAATTAGCCAAGTGCGGTGGCGGACGCCTGTAATCCCAGCTATTCGGGAGGCTGATACATGAGAATCGCTTGAACTTGGGAGGCGGAGGTTGCAGTGAGCCTAGATCTCACCACTGCACTCCAGCCTGTGTAACACAGTGAGACTCCACCTCAAACAAACAAACAAAAAATAAATAAAAATAAAATGAAAAAAATGAAATAAAAATAAAATGAATAAAGGGGAATGTTTAAAAATCAATTTGGTAAAATAAAAACTTAATTTGTAAAAATTCATCCTAAGAGGGCAGGACGTGGGGGCTCATGCCTGTAATCCCAGCACTTTGGGAGGCCAAGGCAGGCAGATCATGAGGTCAAGAGATGGAAACCATTCTGGCCAATATGGTGAAACCCCCTCTCTACTAAAACTACAAAAATTAGCCGGGCCTGCTGGCACGTGCCTATAGTCCCAGCTACTCAGGAGGCTGAGGCAGGAGAATCACTTGAACCTGGGAGGCAGAGGTTGCAGTGAGCCGAGATTGCGCCTCTGCACTCTGGCCTGGCGACAGAGCAAGAGTCCATCTCAAAAAAAAAAAAAAAAAATTTATCCGGAGGTTTTACACATTAAAACCAATGCTCATGCCCCCTCTTCTCCCACCAAGCTAACACATGGCGCTCAACCTGAAACAGACAGCACTCCCCCAGCTTTCTGCTGAGTTCTCACGGCCCCCTCTCAGGCATGCCTCTGACCGCCCCGCGGGTTTACCACAGTCATCTCCCTAGAAATGTTTTGACACTTAACTCAACATGGGGAAGGGTAGGCCTTTTAGGAACTCACCTGTAAATTTCATTTTCGACCACCTTTCTTCCACATTGCCCATAAGAATTGTTTCCCATGCTGAAGACTAAAAATAACACCACCAATCAAATCAGTTCTGCAGGTTTGTGGGATCCTAGAATGTGAGGACTGGAAGGGGTCTCGCTGGTGGTCCCGTCCTGGTTACTCACCCCCACCCCCCAACTGCCCCTGGGTTTCCTTCTCCAACTTTCTCAGGCTCTGCAGAAACTCACAAGGGGCATGGGGGAATCTAGACCCGCCTTCCCCTCCTGGCCCTAGATCCACTTCTTGGGAATTCCACCTTCTGAGGCTAGAACCGGACTCCCCACACCTGTCACCAGGCTGCCCTTAACACCAATCCCCTCTAGAAAGAGCCCCTAAATGCAGCGCCTCTGCCCTGTCTGGGAAGTGAGGAGCGCCTCTGCCCAGTCGTCAACTGTCTGGGAAGTGGGGAGCACTTCTGCCTGGCCACTGCCCCATCTGGGAAGTGAGAAGCACCTCTGCCCAGCCGCTGTGCAACCTTCCAAGTGTGAAGTGACAGCCTTGTGTGTGATCTTTCCCATCTTCCCCAAGTTTGCATTTTCGACATTAACGTTTACTTTTTAATTAAAAAAAAAAAAAAAGAAAGAGCTCCTAAATGCCACCTCCGCCTTCTCCTACAGAGCACACTCAGCCAGAAAATGAAATTTGAGGCTAGGCACAGTGGCTCATGACTGTAATCTCAGCTTTTTGGGAGGCCAAGGCAGGTGGATCACTTGAGGTCAGGAGTTCGAGGCCAGACTGGCAAACATGGTGAAACCCTGTCTCTACTAAAAATACAAAAATTAGCCAAGCACAGTGGTGGGTGCCTGTAGTCCCAGCTACTCGGGAAACTGAGGCAGGAGAATCACCTGAACCCAGGAGGTAGAGGCTGCAGTGAGCTGAGATCGTGCCACTGCACTCCAGCCTGGGTGGCAGAGCAAGACTCCGTCTCAGATAAAAAAAAAGAAAAATGAAATGTGAAAAATGTGATCACATTGACCTTTCCCTGGAAAAACCCCGTTTCTAAAAAGAGGCCATGTTACCCAGGGGCCCGGACTCTGAAAGCCCCCAACTACTTAGAGTATGTGTTAGCAAATAGGCTTCTTTCAATTCCAATAGAAAAAGCCACTTCCGGCCGGGCATAGTGGGTCACGTCTATAATCCCAGCACTTTGGGAGACCGAGGTGGGCGGATCACCTGAGGTCAGGTGTTCAAGACCAGCCTGGCCAATGTGGTGAAACCCCGTCTCTACAAAAAATACAAAAATTAGCCAGGCGTGGTGGCAGGCACCTGTAATCCCAGCTACTCGGGAGGCTGAGGCAGGAGAATTGCTTGAACCTGGGAGGCAGAGGTTGCAGTGAGCCAAAATCACACCAGTGCACTCCAGCCTGGGCAGCACAGCGAGACTCTGTCTCAAAAAAAAAAAAAAGAAAAAGCCACGTCTACACACCACCCAGCTCAGGGACTTCATAGCAAATGGATCAGGCTGCCTTGTGTGCAGTTACATTTATAAATACATGTGATTTTCCAAGAACCAGAGAGCAGAGCACATAAGAATCAACAAGGTGGCCAGGTGCAGTGGCTCACGCCTGTAATCCCAGCACTTTGGGAGGCTAAGGCGGGCGGATCACGAGGTCAGGAGATTGAGACCATCCTGGCTAACATGGTGAAACCCCGTCTCTACTAAAAATACAAAAAATTAGCTGGATGTGGTGGCGGGCACCTGTAGTCCCAGCTACTACTCAGGAGGCTGAGGCAGGAGAATGGCGTGAACCCAGGAGGTGGAGCTTGCAGTGAGCCGAGATTACACCACTGCACTCCAGCCTGGGCGACAGAGCGAGACTTCATCTCAAAAAAATAATAAATAAATAAAAATAAATAAAGAATCAACAAGGTTTGTCCAGCTGTCTTGAGCAATCCCACTGATCTGCTCAGGAAATACCACATTTCACTCATTAGATGTGGCTCAATCGATCAAGCCACTCAGGCCTGATTTGAGGCTCCAGTTCACAGTGAAATGGTCCCTGCACTCTTCCATCACCCTTCAATAGGTCAACTCACCTCCTTCCCTGTCAGTCAACACAAGAGAGTGAGCTCGGCCGCAGGAGACCTGCAGCACCCGTGTCTCCTGAGGTCTGTCCAGAGGCAGGGAGACGGGTGAGGGCTCCAACACATACTCGTAGCCCCTCGCTGGAAAAGACACAGGACACTGATTGAGGCATGCATTTCTACCACTGGAAATCATACTGTCCAACTCCACGCTACTACACTGGAAAAAAGAGAGTCGGAGGTAGGAAAGACTCATCAAGACAGGTAAGTTAGGCGCAGAGCAAGGACCAGAAGCCCAACTCCCAGCCCATGGCATGGGCTGTCTCTATTACATAATGCGGGTTCCAGAAAAGCATACTTGGTCTTCTGGCTGGGCGCAGTGGCTCATGCCTGTAATCCCAGCACTTTGGGAGGCCGAAGCGGGCAGATCACCTGAGGTCAGGAGTTCGAGACTAGCCTGGCCAAAATGGTGAACCCCATCTCTATTTAAAATACAAAAATTAGCCGGGCATGGTGGCGGGCGCCTCTAATCCCAGCTACTCGGGAGGCTGAGGCAGAAGAACTGCTTGAACCCGGAAGGCGGAGGTTGCAGTGAGCTGAGATTGCGCCATTGCACTTCAGCCTGGGGGACAAGAGCGAGACTTCATCTGGAAAAAAAAAAAAAATGCATACTTCGTCTTCTTATTAAAGAAATCTTGGCCGGGCAGTGGCTCATGCCTGTAATCCCAGCGCTTTGGGAGGCCAAGGCAGGCGGATCACTTGAGGTCAGGAGTTTGATACCCACCTGGCCAACAAGGTGAAACCCCCGTCTCTACTAAAAATACAAAATTAGCCAGACGTGATGGTGGACGCCTGTAGTCCCAGCTACTTAGGAGGCTGAGGCAGGAGAACTGCTTGAACCCAGGAGGCGGAGGTTGCCAGTGAGCCAAGATTGCACCACTGCACTCCAGCCTTCTGGGAGACAGAGCGAGACACTGTTTTAAAAAAAAAATACAAAAATACAAAAATCAGCCAAGCATCATGGTGCATGCCTGTTGGTCCCAGCTACTTGGGAGGCTGAGGTGGGAGGATCACTTCCAGCTACTTTGGAGGCTGAGATGGGAGGATCACTTGGGCCAGGGAGGTTAAGGCTGCAGTGAGCAGTGATCATGACACTGCACTCCAGCATGGGTGACAGGGCAAGACCCTGTCTCCCCTTACCCCCCCAAAAAATTAAACTGTTGGAATTTGCTTCAAATTTATTGAGGGGGAAGGTGGGAAAAATGAAGAAAACGAGACTGGCATGAGTTGATGATGCCTGAAGCTGGTGATGCCACATCATACTACTCTGCACACTTCTGTAAGTCTAAAATTGCTCTGAATAAAAGGTATAAAAAATGTAACGCGGGCCGGGCACGGTGGGTCACGCCTGTAATCCCACCACTTTGGGAGGCCGAGGCAGGTGGATCACCTGAGGTCGGGAGCTTGAGACCAGCCTGACCAACGTGGAGAAACCCCATCTCTACTAAAAATACAAAATTAGCCAGGCATGGTGGCACATGCCTGTAAATCCCAGCTACCTGGAAAGCTGAGGCAAGCGAATTGCTTAAATCCAGGAGGAGGAGGCTGCGGTCAGCCAAGATCACGCCATTGCACTCCAGCCTGGGCAACGAGAGTGAAACTCTGACTCAAAAAAAAAAAAAAAAAAGTAATGTAACATCTTACAGCTAATAAAGACTTCTATACTGACTTATAAAAGACATCTGATATATAGGTCGGGCATGGTGGCTCACACCTGTAATCCCAGCACTCTGGGAGGCCAAGGCAGGTGGACCACTTGAGGTCAGGAGTTCAACACCAACCTGGCCAACGTGGTGAAACCCCCGTCTCTACTAAAATCCCCAAATTAGCCAGGTGTGATGGCGGGCGCCTGTAGTACCAGCTACTCAGGAGGCCGAGGCAACAGAATCACCTGAACCCAGGAGGTGGAGGTTGCAGTGAGCTGAGATCATGCCACTGCACTCCAGCCTGGGCGACAGCAAGACTCCATCTCAAACAAACAAACAAAAAAGATATCTGATACAAAATAAATGAAAAAAGACAGAAAACAAAATATATGCTATGTATGTAAAAATGTATTTGTCTGTGAACAAGGGAACAGGAAAAAACAAAAATGAAAGGTTTGTCCAGTATGTACTTCTGGGTAATTTCCTATGTTATTTTATATTTATTTATTTATTTATCTTTTATTTATTTTGAGACGGAGTCTTGCCCTGTCGCCCAGGCTGGAGGGCAGTGGTGCGATCTCGGCTCACTGCAACCTCTGCCTCCCAGTTCAAGCGATTCTCCTGCCCCAGCCTCCCGAATAGCTGGGATTACAGGCGCGCGCCTCCATGCCCAGCTAATTTTTGCATTTTTAGTAGAGACGGGGTTTCACCATGTTGGTCAGGCTGGTCTCAAACTTCTGATCTCGTGATCCACCCGCCTCGGCCTCCCAAAGTGCTGGGATTACAGGCGTGAGCCACTGCGCCTGGCATTTCCTCTCTATTTTAGGAACTCTTTCTTTTTTCTTTTTTTTAAGAGACATGATCTTGCTCTGTTGCCCAGGCTGGAGTGCGGTGGCGCAATCACCGCTCACTGCAGCCTCAAACTCCTGGGCTCAAGCAATCCTCCTACCTCAGCCTCTGGAGTAACTAGGATTATAGGTGCATGCCACCATGCTCAGCTAATTCTTTTTCGTTTTTCATTTCTTTTTTTTAGAGACAGAGTCTCGCTATGTTGCCCAGCGTGGTCTGGAACTCCAGGCCTCAAGCAATCCCTCCCATCTCGGCCTCCCAAAGTGCTGGGATTACAGGCGTGAGCCCCTGTGCCTGGCCAAGGAAATATTTCTTACTGTTCTCACAGTAATTTTTAGCTAATGTCTACTTTTCTGTTTGTTTGTTTGTTTGTTTAGGACAGTCTCACTCTGTCACCCAAGCTGGAGTGTAGTGGCATGATCTCGACTCACTGCAACCTCCACCTCCCAGGTTCAAGAGATTCTTGTGCCTCAGCCTCCGAAGTAGCTGGGACTATACAGGTGCGTGCCACCATGCCCGGCTAATTTTTTATATTTTTAGTAGAGACGGGGTTTCACCATGTTGGCCAGGCTGGTCTCGAACTCCTGGCCTCAAGTGATCTGCCCTCCTCGGCTTCCCAAAGTGCTGGGATTACAGGCTGCCCTCCTCGGCTTCCCAAAGTGCTGGGACTACAGGCGTGAGGCACCACGCCCAGCCAGGCTAATGTCTACTTTTTAAAATGCCATTATAAGTTATTTCTAACATTTTTACAATCCAAGGCTCAAACATTTGGAATAAAGCCTCCATGTTAACGATTTCAATGCTTTTTCCCTCCAAAACATATTCTAGGCACTGCAGAGTACTTCACGCTGTCTGTCTCCAAGCCAGGAAAAAAAGGTCATCTCTTTTAGGCCACAAAAGAACATCTTTACTTATCTGCAAATGCCAGGTGCTTGCCTTTTGCCTGAGGGTTCAACATTGTTAC
Organism: Homo sapiens; assembly: GCF_000001405.40. Lineage (NCBI taxonomy): Eukaryota > Metazoa > Chordata > Mammalia > Primates > Hominidae > Homo > Homo sapiens. Next base: position 75,070,171 of record NC_000007.14, read on the forward strand.
CAAAGAGGCTAAAAAATAACCTAGCCCAGATGGTTTCAAACAACATCCCTTTAAGTCTTCCTCTATTTCTTTGCTATTTCTTTGTTTATGTAACCATGTTCTTGAACACCAAAGGGAGGGCTGGGCGCTGTGCCTCATGCCTGTAATCACAGCACTTTGGGAGGCTGAGGAGGGTGGATCACCTGAGCTCAGGAGTTCGAGACCAGCCTGGTGAACATAGTGAAACCCCAACTCTACTAAAAATGCAAAAATTAGGCAGGCATGGTGGCATGTGCCTGTAATCCCAGCTACTCGGGAGGCTGAGGCAGGAGAATCACTTGAACCCGGGAGGTGGAGGTTGCAGTGAGCCAGGATCTCGCCACTGCACTCTAGCCTGGCAACAGACTGAGACTCTGTCTCAAAAAAAATACAAAAAAAGAGCTTTCTCAGACCAATCCCGGCAAAGAGGAGACAAGGTAGGGATGCTCACTTTTATCTTTCCGGCTCCTGTGAAATCCAAGCTGAGAATCTTTGTTGAGTCCCATCCCCCAGACTTTCGTAACATCCGCAGTCTTAGAGGACAGCAGTGTGAATCCATAGCCGCAAGCAGCAGATGAAATCTGAAAAGCAGTTCCCACAAAGCATGAACTGATTTATAATGTCAAGTTTGTTCAGTAGTAAATGACAGGTTATTTATCAAATCCAAGAACACATACTATTTACGGGGGTTTTGTTTTTGTTTTTGAGACAGTCTCACTCTGTTGCCCAGGCTGGAGTGCAGTGGCGCAATCTCGGCTCACTGCAATCTCCATCTCCCAGGTTCAAGCCTCCCAAGTAGCTGGGACTACAGGTGTGCACACCACGTCTGGCTAACTTCTGTATTTTTAGTAGAGACAGAATTTCACTATGTTGGCCCAGGTGATCTCAAATTCCCGGCCTCAAGTGATCTGTCCGCCTTGGCTTCCCAAGGTGCTGGGACTATATGCGTCAGCCACCGTGCCTGGCCCAAGAACACATATTATTAAGACAGCAACTAGCATTTATTGAGCATTTACTATATGTTTGATAAGTATTATCTCATTTAATCTTTATAATCACTCTATGAAGGGTGATTTACACATAGACCATAAATATAGTCTATTTATGGTCTATGTCAGCTTACCACTAGGTATTACCATCCCCATTCACCAAGATCAAGACACTATCTAGCAGCAGCCGAGTACGGTGGCTCACACCTGTAATCCCAGCACTTTGGGAGGCTGAGGCAGGCAGATCACTTGAGGTCAGGAGTTTGAGACCCGCTTTGGCCAACATGGTGAAACCCCATCTCTACTAAAAATACAAAAATTAGCTAGGCATGGTGGCGTGCGCCTGTAATCTCAGCTACTCGGGAGGCAGGAGAAGTGCTTGAACCTGGGAGGCAGAGGTTGCAGTGAGCCAAGATGGCGCCACTGCATTCCAGCCTGGGTGACAGAATAAGACTCTGTCTCAAAAACAAAACAAAACAAAACAAAACAAAAAACACCACCATCTCTTAGCGCGGTAGGTAAGTTGACAGATCTCCTTAGTTTTGAATCCTGGCCCCATCCTTACCAACTGTGTGATCTGAGATAGATTACTTTACCTCTATATCTGTTTCTCCTTCTCTAAAAAGTAAAGATGATAATAGTACCATCTCTCTCACTAAGCTGTTGTGAAGACTAAACGAGTTAATATAGCTAAAGCCCTTATAGGGAATAGTACCCATCTCAAGGTAAGAGCTATATTTTGAGCCTAGGCAACAAAGTGACAACCTGTCTCTATGAAAAAATCAAAATTTAAGCTTGGTCCCAGCTACATGGGAGGCTGAAGCAGGAGGATCACTTGAATCCAGGAGGTCGAGGCTGCAGTGACCCATGATCACGCCACTGTACTCCAGCCTGGGCAACAGAGCCAGATCAAAAAAAAAAAACAAACCTATATTTTGTACTCTATTTTGTATTTTAAATTTATACATATACATATACATATACATATATATATATATATATATATATATATATGGAGAGAGAGAGAGACAGAGAGATGAGTTCTCACTGTGTTACCCAGGCTGGTCTCAAACTCTTGAACTCAAATGATCCTCCTGCCTTGGCCTCCCAAAGTGCTGAAATTACAGGCATGAGCTACCGCACCTGGCCTATATTGTATGCTTTTTGTTGTTGTTGTTTAGTTTTTGTTATTGCTTTTGTTATTATATTTTCTATTTCTTATTGCTGTTAGCAGTAGTATAAGGCAGATGAGAAAGTGTGGCTTCTAAAGGTTGAGTAACTTGACTGCATGCTTTTCACTGACACTACACCGTTACGTACTCAGGCTATTACCATGAAAAGGAAAACTCAGTACTACAGCTACTGTGAATTTAACACAGTGACAACCCCAAGGTCTTTGTTGGGTGTTTTAACTACACTCTCATCAATCCTCCCTTCACTGACCCGATGAGAAAACCGGGGCTTCCAGTGAGGTTGGATATAGACCAAAGATGGTTTGATTTTAAAATCAATCCTCTTTCAGCCAGGCACAGTGGCTCACGCCTGTAATCCCAGCACTTTGGGAGGCCAAGGCGGGCGGATCGCTTGAGTTCAGTTCAAGACCAGTCTAGCAAACATGGCGAAACCCCATCTCTACTAAAAATACAAAAATTTGCCGGGCTAGGTGGCAGGACGATCTCTTGAGCCCAGGAGGTCGAGGCTGCAGTGAGCTATGATGACACCACTGCACTCCAGCCTGAGCGACAGAGCGAGACCCTGTCTCTAAAAAATAAATTAAAACAAAAAAATCCCCTTTCTGAGTTGTTCATTGAAACACCTCAGCTGGTATACATTTTCAATGGACTTTTGAATTTTGCTTTCCTAACATCAGAACTCCTGCAGTCACGCTGGCCTGAGTGAGAATTCCACCGCATATAAACAGCTAGCAGCGGTGGGGCCTCGGGCCTCAACCTCTCTGGGCCTCCCCTTCCTTCCCTGTAATTGGGAATAACTGTCGACTCACTGGGTGCTAAGCGAATGACACGACCCGGCACAACATCTGGCACTGCCACCCAATAAATGTTGATGGCCACCCCTAACGCCTTCCCCTCCTGGGCTTGCAGCCAGCTCGAGGGTCGTCCTGCCGGAAGTCTGTCCACCCAGAGGAGCCAACTTCTTGAAGAGAGCCGAACAGGTCGAGGGAGGCCGGGAGCGCGGAAGAGAGAGAAGGAGAGAAGGAGGAAGCCGCGGCCTGCACCTTTTGGTCCAGCTCCAGGCGATAGGGCACGGGCTGGATCCTGCGGCGCGGTCGGGCGCCGGCGCGGGGCCCGGGCCCGGAGCTGGGCACCACAAAGGAAGGCACGCCCAGCGCCCCCGAGAAGCTGAAGCCCCACACGAAGACGCGATCGGCGCGGGCAGCGCGCTCGCCCACGTACTGGACCACGGGCACCTCCGCCTCGGCTTCTGCCGCTTCGCGCCGGCTCCGGGAGCGCCCGGCCGCCGTCCAGTGCCCTCGCCCCAGCCCCGGCCCGCTCAGCCGCCGCCCCAGCCGAGCCCCAGCCACCAACGCCACCAGCGCCATCCTCCGTTCCGCGCCTCAGCAGCCTCTGGGCGCCGCCATCTTGCGTGACCCTTAACACCAGTCCTCGCCGGAAGAGGCTACGGCCACTTTTACTCCTGGTTGAAGGCAAAGGCGCTGACGGCAGCCCAAGGCTCAGGGAGGCGTGGCGTGGCGATGGTGAGGGGCGGGGTTAGGGGCGGGATTAGGATTCTTGTCCCTTAGCGAAACTGCGTGTCCTGTTTTGCTCCCTTGCTATTGCCCCGCGACATTTCTTACCTGGCCTTGCTGCAGCCGTCTCCGCTCCGGTCTGCTCCCACGCCGCCCCAGGCCGTCCTCCAGCGACAGCGAGCTGGAGTGGACGATTCCCTGCTGCCTTCGCATCCCCTGCCCAGGTCCCCTCAAACCTATCGACAGGCTCACTGCAACCTCCCCCTCCTGGGTTCAAGTGACTCTCGTGTCTCAGCCTCCCGAGTAGCTGGGACCACAGGCGTACGCCACCACGCCCGGCTAATTTTTGTATTTTTAGTAGAGACAGGGTTTCACGATGTTGGCCAGGTTGGTTTTGAACTCCTGACCTCCAGTGATCCACCCACCTCGGCCTCCCAAAGTGCTGGGATTACAGGCATAAGCCACCGCCCCCAGCCTGTGCAGGCCTGTTTTATGGAAGATGACTGGGGAAAACCCACTAATAAAATGTGGTGACCACAAGACTGCTCATGGAAAGCCTCTTACTACAGGGAGTAAAATTCATGAAGGCACTGAAACCACCAGTCTCCCGGGCTATGAAATGTATTCTCTGCGGCGGACCCAGTCTTCCAGCACTTTGGAAGACAAAGGTGGGAGAATCACTTGAGAGTTCGAGACCAGCCTGGGCAAATAGTGGGACCCTTTCTCTACAAAAAAATTTAAAAATTAGCTCGGCGTGATGGTGTGCACCTGTGGTGCCAGCTACTTAGGAGACTGAGGCAGGTGGATGGCTTAAGCCCAGGAGTTCGAGGCTGCAGTGAGCCATGATTGCACCACTGCACTCCAGCCAGGACAGCAGAGTGAGACCCTGTCTCTGAAAAAAAAAAAAATTAAATTAAATGTAAATATAAAAGTAAAAATAAATGTGTCTATGGACCCGCCTGGTAGTAAGTTCCCTGCCACCATTTGGGATAGATAAACTTAGCCATTCACATCGGTCCCCTTACCCTGTCTCGACCCAGCCAGTATTCAATCAGAACACACACTGTTTGCCACATGGAATTGTAGATGCTAGTGCCACCTTCAAAGATGTAAAAGATTCAGAGGGGTGGTGATTCCTATCCAATGGGTAGCTCCCCATTGAGTTCACCTGTTTGGCTCCTAAAAAAACTGATGGATTGGCCAGGCATAGTGGCTCACACCTGTAATCCCAGCATTTTGGGAGGGCAAGGCAGGCACATCACGAGGTCAAGAGATGGAGACCATCCTGGCCAACATAGTAAAACCCCATTTCTACTGAAAATACAAAAATTAGCTGGGCGTGGTGGAACGCACTGTAGTCTCAGCTACTTGGGAGGCTGAGGCAGGAGAATAGCTTGAACCCGGGAGGCGGAGGTTGCAGTGAGCCGAGATCGCACCACTGCACTCCAGCCTGGCGACAGAGCGAGGCTCCGTCTCAAAAAATAAAAAAAGATGGACTGTGGTAGGGGACAGGGGACCACCATACATTTAGGCAAGTGCATGGTCCAACTCATAGCTGCTGTGTCAAGCGTGCCGTCTGTTTTTTTGTTCGTTTGTTTGTTTTTTGAGACAGAGTCTCAGTCTATCACCCAGGCTTGAGTACGGTGACATGATCTCGACTCACTGCAACCTCCGCCTCCTGGGTTCAAGCAATTCTCCTGCCTCAGCCTCCCAAGTAGTTGGGATTACAGGCGTGCACAACCACACCCGGTTAATTTTTTGTATTTTTAGTAGAGACGGAATTTCACCATGGTGGCCATGACTGGTCCCCAACTCCTGACCTCAGGTGATCTGCCCGCCTCCACCTCCCAAAGTGCTGAGATTACAGGCCTGAGCCACCGCGCCCAGCCATGGCATCTGTTTTACCAGAAGAGATCAACACACCCTCTGAAACATGATACAGGACACTGATCTGGTGAGTGGGTTCTTTTCAATCCCTAACAGAAAAGAGGACCAAAAACAGTTTGCCTCTGCGTGAAGGAAAGCATTACTCATGAACTCTCCCACTGTCTCACTCCCGACACCACCCACATTAAGTATCTGTTACAAGACCTTGTCTCCAGCCGGGCGCGGTGGCTCATGCCTGTAATCCCAGCACTTTGGAAGGCTGAGGTGGGCGGATCACGAGGTCAGAAGTTTGAGACCAGTCTGGCCAACATAGTGAAACCCTGTCTCTACTAGAAATATGCAAAAAATTAGCTGGGTGTGGTGGTGTGTGCCTGTAATCCCAGCTACTCAGGAGGCTGAGGCAGGAAAATCATGTGAAACCGGGAGGCGGAGGTTGCAGTGAGCCGAGATCGTGCCCCTGCACTCCAGCCTGGGCGACAGAACGAGACTCCATCTCAAAACAAAAAAACAAAAAAAACTTATCTCCGTCTCTATTCCTTTATTCCTTATCTCTGTCTTTATTCCTTTATTTTTTATTTTTTTGAGACGGAGTTTCACTTTTGTTGCCCAGGCTGGAGTACAGTGGCGTGACCTCAGCTCACTGCATCCTCCACCTCCTGGCTCAAGCGATTCTCCTGCCTCAGCCTCCTGAGTAGCTGGAATTACAGGCGCCCACCACCACGCCCGGCTAATTTTGTTTTGTATTTTTAGTAGAGACGGGGCTCCACCCTATTGGCCAGGCTGGTCTCGAACTCCTGAACTCAGGTGATCCACCCGCCTCGGCCTCCCAAAGTGCTGGGATTACAGGCATGAGCCACCGTGCCCGGCCTATTTATTCATTTATTTACTCATTTTTTAGAGACAGAATTTGGCTGCACTTGAGTTGATAAATCTGAGACATATATTGATAAAGGACAATTATGTAAATATTATAAATATAGTTAATATTAATAGTTAATATAGGGAATATTTATATATTTACGAAATGCATACACAGTTCAGCTGGGTGGAGTGGCTCATGCCTATAATCCCAGCACTTTGGGAGGCTAAGGCAGGAGGACTGCTTGAGCCCAGGAGTTCGAGACCAGCCTGGGCAACATAACAAGACCTTGTCTGTATACAAAATTTAAGAATTAGCCTGGCATGTTGGAGCCCACCTGTGGTCCCAGCTACTTGGGAGACTGAGGTGGGAGGATTCTTGAGCCTGGGAGGTCGAGGCTGTAGTGAGCTGCATTTGCACCACTGCACTCCGGCCTGGGTGACAGAACAAACCCTGTCTCAAAAAAAAAAAAAAAAAGAAAGAAAGAAAAGAAAAATTTTGAACTGAACTTTCATAAGCAGGACTGTCCTTTTATCTGAGTTTGTGTCCTTTCTAGTTTTTTGGTTTTCAACATCTGATTTTTTTGTTTTTTCAAAGTCTGGCTTTTTCATCAAGGCTGGAGTGCAGTGGCACAGTCTCGGCTCACTACAACCTCCGCCTCCTGGGTTCTAAGTGATTCTCCTACCTCAGCCTCCCAAATAGCTAGGATTACAGGCACCCACCACAATGCCTGGCTAATTTTTGTATTTTTAGTAGAGACGGGGTTTCACTATATTGGCCCGGCTGGTCTCGAACTCCTGACCTCAGGTGATCCACCTCCTGACCTCAGGTGATCCACCTCCTGACCTCAGGTGATCCACCTGCCTTGGCCTCTGTAAGTGCTGGAATTACAGGCGTGAGCCATCCCACCTGGCTCAACGTCTGGTCTTTTACAAACTCATAATGACAATAGGATAGTAGGTTTTAAAATTTTTTTTACTTGTCAATATTTTAATAACCCTATGTGAGTTTCTCAAATTTCTAAAACATTTTACTATTAGGGGATATCCAAAGGACACAAGCCTTGGTTTAGTATTTTGAAGATAAAAGGACAAACTGCAATGTGAACCGCAGCCACGGGGTGGCAATACTTACCCACCAATTCTGTCTCCTATGAAAGGCTAAAACATCCTAAACGTCTATTTGGCCAATAAAGAGCTGGATTTGTAGCCACAACTGGGCTTTTCTATTTTGCTATCAAAACTTGGTTGGTTTTGTAGACTGCTTCTGTGCTAGAAAATACTTACTTTTCTGGCTTGGCGTGGTGGCTCACGCCTGTAATCCCAGCACTTTGGGAGGTCGAGGCAGGTAGATCACCTGAGGTCAGGAGTTCAAGACAAGCCTGGCCAACATGGTGAAATGCTATCTCTACTAAAAATACAAAAAAAAAATTAGCCGGTCGTGGTGGCAGGTGCCTTTAATCCTAGGTACACAGGAGGCTGAGGCATGAGAAATGCTTGAACCCAGGAGACAGAGGTTGCAGTGAGCCCAGATTGCGCCACTGCTCTCCAGCCTGGGCGACAGAGAGAGACTCTGGCTCAAAAACAAACAAACAAACAAACAAACATGAAAAAAACTTGGCTGGTTTTGTAGACTGGTTCTATGCTAGAAAATACTTACATTTCTGTCCAAATTTTTGCTTGGAAAAGATGGTACTACTGTCAAACTATCAGCTATCTCAGAGTATCCAAATGTCTGCTAACGTTAGCCAAGCTAATTTCTTCACCACCTATGATGACATTTTCCTGTACACATTCTAATTATTTTGACGTTTGATGTAGCTGAAATTCTCTAGTCTGGGAAAGAGTGAACTTAACTAACCTTACATTTGTTTGTTTGTCTGTTTTTGAGACAGAGTCTCACTCTGTTGCCAGGCTGGAGTGCGGTGGCAGGATCTTGGCTTACTGCAACTTCCTCCTCCCGGATTCAAGCAATTCTCCTGCCTCAGCCTCCCGAGTAGCTAGGATTACAGTGACCTGCCACCACGACCGGCTAATTTTTGTATTTTTAGTAGAGTCGGGGTTTCACCATGTTGGCCAGGGTAGTCTTGAACTCTTGACCTCAAGTGATCTACCCGCCTTGGCCTCCCAAAGTGCTGGGATAACAGGCATGAGCCACGGTGCCCAGACTAAACTTACATGTTTTTATTTGTATTATTATTAACTTTAATTATACAATTAATGTATCATGCAGTTCCTTGTTAAAAAATAATAATAAATCGGCCGGGAGCAGTGGCTTATGTCTGTAATCCCAACACTCTGGGAGGCTGAGGCGGGCAGATCACCCTACATCAGGAGTTCGAGACCCGCCTGGCCAACATGGTGAAACCCAGTCTCTAATAAAAATACAATAATTAGCTGGGCGTGGCGGTGGGCGCCTATAATCTCAGCTACTTGGGAGGCTGAGGCAGGAGAGTCACTTGAACCTGGGAGGTGGAGGTTGCAGTGAGCCAAGATTGTGCCACTGCACTCCAGCCTGGGTGACAGAGCAAGACTCCATCTCAAAAAATAATAATAATAAATTTAAAAATATTATATATGGGTATGGCTAAAGGCTCCTTTAACTACAGTCTCACATATACATCTTGCCATATAAAAAACATTATTTTGGCCAGGTGTCATGGCTCACATCTGTAATCCCAACACTTTGGGAGGTCAAGGCCGGAGGATTGCTTGAGGCCAGGAGTTTGAAACCAACCTGGGCAATAGTGAAACTCTGTCCCTAAAAAATTTTTTTAAAAATCAGCCGAGTGTGATGGTGTGTGCCAGTAGCTACTTGGGAAGCCCAGGCAGGAGGATTGCTTGAGCCTAGGAGTTCAAGACCAGCTTGGGCAACATAGCAAGACACCCATCTCAAAAAATAAAGTAAAATAAATAAAAAATTTTAAAAAATAATAATAAATAAACATGTTAATATACATATTCTAAGAGATGACCAAAAAATAAAAATAATTTTTAAAATGTTAATAGATGTTTTCCATTTGTTTTTCATAAGTTGTGCTTCAATATTATGAGTGGGATTTGCTTTTACGTATCCCCCTGCTACACGACTTGGTTTTTTTTTTCCCAGACAAGGTCTCACTCTATCAACCAGGCTGGAGTACAGTGGTGCCATCGTAGCTCACTGCAGCCTCTGCAGATTCAATCTTGCCAGCTCTCGTGATACTCCTACCTCAGCCTCCCAAGTAGCTAGGACTACAGGCACACCTCACCACACCTGGACATTTTTAAAATTTTTTGCAGAGACGGGGGTCTCTCTATGTTGCTCAGGCTGGACTCCAGCTCCTGGGCTCAAGCAATCCTCCTGCCTCAGCTTCCCCAAGTGCTGGGATTATAGGCATAAGCCACTGTGCCCCGCCCACGTTTTTTAAATGTTTGCCAATCTGCTACTTGAAACATATCTCATTTTTTATTTACTTTATATTTCTGTAATCTCTGGAAAAGTTGAACATCTTACAGTTTCACGTCTCCTCTACTGAGAATTGCAAATCTACTCATATCCTTGGTGACGTTTCTATTGGGTTGTCTCTTTTTTTTTTTTTTTTGAGACAGAGTCTCACTCTGTGGCCCAGCGCCCAGGCTGAAGTGCAGTGGTCCGATCTCGGCTCACCACAACCTCTGCCTGATGGGTTCAAGTGATTCTCATGTCCCAGTCTCCCAAGTACCTGAGACTGCAGGCGTGCACCACCATGCCTGGCTAATTTTAGTATTTTTAGCAGAGACGGGGTTTCACCATGTTGGCCAGGCTGGTCTCGAACTCCTGACCTCAGGTGATCCGCCCGTCTCAGCCTCCCAAAGTGCTGGGATTACAGGTGTGAGCCACCACCGCACCCATACTGGATTGTTTGTCTCTTATTACTTTGTAGGAGTACTTGATATATTTGCATAAAACCCTTCGTTACCTGTCTAAATATTTTCTCTTGTCTTTTTTTTTTTTTTTTTGAGACTGAGTTTTGCTCTTGTCCAGGCTGGAGTGCAATGGCGCGATCTTGGCCCACTGCAACCTCCACCTCCCAGATTGAAGCAATTCTCCTGCCTCAGCCTCCCGAGTAGCTGGGACCACAGGTATGCACCACCACGCCTAGCTAATTTTTTTTTTTTTTTTTTTTTTGTATTTTCAGTAGAGACGGGGTTTCTCCATGTTGAGGCTGGTCTTGAACTCCTGATCCCAGGTGATCCGCCCACCTTGGCCTCCCAAAGTGCTGGGACCACAGGCATGAGCCACTGCACCTGGCCTCTTGTCTTTTTTCTTAATTTTTTTTTTTTTTTTTGAGATGGAGTCTCACTCTGTTGCCCAGACTAGAGTGCAGTGGCTCAACCTCGGCTCACTGCAACCTCCGCCTTCCAGGTTCAAGTGATTCTCCTGCTTCAGCCTTCCAAGTAGCTGGGTTCACAGGCGCCTGCCACCACACCTGGCTAATTTTTTTGGTATTTTTAGTAGAGATGGGGTTTCACCATGTTGGCCAGGCTGGTTTTGAACTCCTGACCTCAAGTGATCTGCCCACCTTGGCCTCCCAAAGTGCTGGGATTACAGATGTAAGCCACTACGCCCAGCCCCTTTTACTTAATTCATGGTGTCTCTTGTCATAGAAAATTTTATCTTGATGTAGTCAGCGTTATTAATCCTATTCATTAGCGTTTTGGTTTTCTGTATCATGTTAACGAAGAATGTCTATTACCCAAGGTATAAAGATAATTTTTGTATTTTTTGTAGAGACAGGGTTTTGTCATGTTGTTCAGTCTGGTCTCAAACTCCTGGGCTCAAGCAATCCTCCCATCTTGGCCACCCAAAGTGTACAGGCCTGAGCCACTGTGGCTGACCTACTTTCATTTTTTATATTCAGGGTTTCATTTGTTTGTTTATTTTGAGACAGAGTCTCGCTTTGTCACCCAGGCTAGAGCACAATGGCGCGATCTTGGCTCACTGCAACCTCCGACGCCTGGGTTCAAGTGATTCTCATGCCTTAGCCTCCCGAGTAGCTGGAACTACAGGCGCCCACCACCACACCCAGCTAATTTTTGTAGTTTTAGTAGAGAAGGGGTTTCACCATGTTGGCCAGGCTGGTCTCGAACTCCTGACCTTGTGATCTGCCCGCGTCGGCTTCCCAAAGTGCTGGGATTACAGGCGTGAGCCACTGCACCCGGCTATATTCAGGTTTAGAGTTGACTTTTATGAATGGCATGATGCCAGGCAGCATACTTATTAATATTTTTTCCAAAGGCATGTCTGATTGTCCAAAATAATTTATTGGCTAGTAAGGGCTTTATCTGAAGATTCAAGATGCCATTTATAACATATGGTTAATTTCCAAAAATACATAGGTCAATTTTATGGAAACTATTTATTTCTACTGCTTTATTCTTATATTAATGTGACGAGGTTTCAATGGCTGCAACTTTATAATATGTTCTGGTTTTTATTTAGTCAAATGTCTTCTTTGTTCTTGTCTATTCTTTTACAAAAATGCCTTTGCTATTCATAACATTTACTTTCATATAAATTTTAAAATCATCTTGACAAGCTACATTAAAAATCCCACTAGGATTTTGGTTGAAATTACATTAAATTCCCAGGCTCATTGCGATAAATTAACTAGGAGATATCTCATTTTACAATCTTCAGTCTTCCTGTTCAGAAATGTGGTATCTACTGGCCCAGCGTGGTGGCTCTGCCTGTAATCCCAGCACTTTGGGAGGCCGAGGTGGGTGGACAACTTGAGATCAGGAGTTCGAGACCAGCCTGGCCAACATGGTGAAACCCTGTTTCTACTAAAAATACAAAAAAATTAGCCAGGCGTGGTGGGGCGCACCTGTAATCACAGCCACTCGGCAGGCTGAGGCAGGAGAATCACTTGAACCCGGAAGGAGGAGATTGCATGAGCCAAGATTGCGCCACTGCACTACAGCCTGGGTGACAGAGAGAGACTCTGACTCAAAAAAAAAAAAAAAAAAGAAAAGAAAAAAGAAACGTAACGTGGTACTACTCATGTTACGATTGGCTTCAGTCATCTACTTCAGTGGATTCAACTCTCTGCTTGTAGATAAATTACTTCCATTTCCTGAGAACATAATCTGCCTATTTTTTAGGCCAGTGGTCTCCAAATTATTTTGATTACACATTCCTGGCCAGGCGTGGTGGCTCACACTTGTAATCCCAGCACTTTGGGAGGCCAAGGCAGGTGGATACCTTGAACCCTGGAGTTTGAGGCTAGCCTGGGCAGCATAGCAAAATCCTGTCTCTACAGAAAAATACAAAAATTAGCCTATAATCCCAGGTACTCGGAAGGCTGAGGTGGGAGGATCGCTTGAGCCCAGGATGTGGAGGTTGCAGTGAGCCAAGATTGTGCCACTGCACTCCAGCCTGAGCAACAGAATGAGACCCTGTCTCAAAAAAAAAAAAAAAAAAAAAAGGAGCTTAAATTGATTTTTTTTTTCTTGAGATGGCGTCTCACTCTGTCACCCAGGCTGGAGTGCAGTGGTGCGATCTCCGCTCACTGCCACCTCTGCCTCCTGGGTTCAAGCAATTCTCCTGCCTCAACCTCCCAAGTAGCTGGGATTACAGGCACCTGCCACCACACCCAGCTAATTTTTTGTATTTGTAGTGGAGACAGCGTTTCACTATGTTGGCCAGGCTGGTCTTGAACTCCTGACCTTGTGATCCGCCTACCTCGGCCTCCCAAAGTGTTAGGATTACAGGCGTGAACCACTGTGCCTGGCCAAATTGATTCTTATGAGTAAAATTTGTGAGCATGAAAAAATACATATAAATTATTTACATATACTATTATACTAATATATACTTTATAAAATATACAAAGGAATATTTTAAATAAGATAAAGATTAAATAAATAATAGTTTTATTTTTTCTTTTAAAAGTATTTTTATTTTAAATGTTTATAGGAAACAACAGTTTTAAAGCAAATATTTTATTTTCATTTTTAATCCATTTGCTCTCATTAAGAACAGTAGCGGTGGCCGGGCATGGTGGCTCACGCCTGTAATCCCAGCACTTTGGAAGGCCAAGGCAGGTGGATCACCTGAGGTCAGGAGTTTGAGACCAGCCTGGCCAACATGGTGAAACCCTGTCTCTACTGAAAATATAGAACTATCTGAGTGTGGTGGCACATGCCTGTGGTCCCAGCTACTCAGGAGACTGAGACAGGAGAATGGCTTGAACCCAGGATGCAAAGGCTGCAGTGAGCCGAGTTCACGCCACTGCCCTCCAGCCTGAGCAAGACAGAGTGAGACTCCATCTCAGAAAAAAAGAAAAGAAAAGAAAACAATAGTTATAAAGCAAATATTTTCTTGTGGTTTTTAATCCATTTGCTCTCATTAAAAACAGTAGTGGTGGCCAGGTGCAGTGGCTCACACCTGTAATCTCAGCACTTTGGGAGGCTGAGGTGAGTGGATCTCTCGAGCCCAGGAGTTCGAGACCAGTTGGGGAAAAAAACCAAGCTAAAACTTTACTCCTAATAGAAACTCTGTATTCATTGAGCAACAATTCCCTTTCTCCTCTTCTACCCAGCTTTTGGTAACCTCTAATCTACTTTTTGTCTCTATGAATTTGCCTATTCTAAGTACTTCATATAAGTAAAATAACACTTTTTTTCTTTTTTTTTTTAAGAGGCAGGGTCTTGCTCTGTTGCTCAGGCAGTACAGTGGCACGATCATAGCTCACTGCAGTCTCAAATTCCTGGTCTCAAGGGATCCTCCCACCTCAGCCTCTCAAGTAGCTAGGACTATAGGCACACACCACTACACCCAGTTAACTTTAAAACTAAATTTTTTTGACTGGGCACAGTGGCTCACATCTGTAATCCCAGCACTTTGGGAGGCCAAGGAGAGCAGATCACCTGAGGTCAGGAGTTTGAGACTAGCCTGGCTGACATGGTGAAACCCCACGTCTACTAAAAATACAAACAATTATCCAGGCATGGTGGCGGGTGCCTGTAATCCCAGCTACTCGGGAGGCTGAGGCAGGAGAATTGCTTGAACCTGGGAAGTGGAGGCCTCAGTGAGCTGAAATCATGTTATTGCACTCCAGCCTGGGTAATAAAAGCGAAACTCCATCTCAAAAATATAAATAAATAGGGGCCGGGCGCAGTGGCTCATGCCTGTAATCCCAGCACTTTGGGAGGCCAAGGCAGGCAGATCACAAGGTCAGGAGATCGAGACCACTCTGGCTAACACGGTGAAACCCCATCTCTACTAAAAATACAAAAAATTAGCCGGGCGTGGTGGTGGGCGCCTGTAGTCCCAACTACTCGGGAGGCTGAGGCAGGAGAATGGTGTGAACCCAGGAGGCAGAGCTTGCAGTGAGCTGAGATCGCGCCACTGCACTCTAGCCTGGGTGACAGAGTGAGATTCTGCCTCAAAAAAAAAAAAAAAAGATAGATAGATAGATAGATAGAGATATATATGTAAATAAATAAACAAATACATAAATTTTGAGGGGAGTAAAGATGTTATCTCGCTATGTTGCCCACACTGATCTCAAACTCCTGGCCTCAAGCAATCCTCCCATCTCAGCCTCCCAAAGCAACATTTGTCCTTTTGTGTCTGTATTATTTCATGTGGCATAATGCTGTCAAGGCCCTTTCATGTTGTAAGATGTAGCAGAACTTCATTCCTTTTTTTTTTTTTAATTTCAGCTCACTGCAACTTCTGCCTCCCGGTCTCCTGCCACCACTCCCGGCCATCCTCCCACCTCAGCCTCCTGAGTAGCTGGGACTACAGGCACGCACCCCCATGCTAGGCTAATTTTGTATTTTTAAATAGAAACAGGATTTTGCCATGTTGCCCAGGCTGGTCTCGAATTCCTGAGCTCAGGTGATTCACCTGCCTCAAACTCCTGGGCTCAAGTGGTCTGCTCACCTCAGCTTCCCAAAGTGTGGGGATTACAGGAGTGAACCACCATGCCTGGCCCTTTGCCTATTTTATTTTATTTTATTTGAGACGGAATCTCGCTCTGTCATCCAGGCTGGAATGCAGTGGTGCAATTTCAGCTCGCTGCAACTTCCAACTTCCGCCTCCTGGGTTCAAGCGATTCTCCAGCCTCAGCCTCCCGAGTAGCTGGGATTACAGATGTGAGCCACCACACCAGGCTAATTTTTGTATTTTTAGTAGAGATGGGGTTTCACCATGTTGGCCAGGCTGGCCTTGAATTCCTGACCTCAGGTGACCCTCCTGCCTTGTCCTCCCAAAGTGTTGGGATTACAGGCATGAGCCACCGTGCCCAGCCCCTTTTCCCATTTTAGAATTGGGTCTTGTGGGGTATTGTTGTTTCTGCTATTGTTGTTGAGTTATAGGAGTTCTTTATATATACTAGATATTAATCCCTTATCAGATATATAATTGGCAGGTATTTTCTCACATCCTGTGGGACTCTGTTGATGGTGTCCTTTGATGCCTAAAAATTTTCCATTTTAATGAAGTTCAATATACCTGTACCAAATCTAATGTCATAAAATTTTCCCCCATTTGCTTTTAAGAGTTTTATAGTCTGGGCACGGTGGCTCAAGCTTGTAATTCCAGCACTTTGGGAGGCCAAGGTGGGCAGATCACTTGAGCCCAGGAGTTCAAGACCAATGTGGGCAACATGGTGAGATGCCATCTCTACAAAAAACAAAAACAAAAGTTAGCTGGGCATGGTGGCACACATCTATAGTCTCAGCTACTCAGGAGGCTGAGGTGGAAGGATTACTTGAACCTGGGAAATTGAGGCTGCAGTGAGCCATGATGGTGCCACTGTATTCCAGCCTGGGTGACAGAACAATACTTTGTCTCAAAAAAAAAAAAAAGAAAGAAAGAAAGAAAGAGGAAAAAAAGAATTTTGTAATTTTGGCTAATACATTTAGCTCTTTCATTCAGTTTGATTAATTTTTGTATATCATGCAAGGTAAGGTAAGGATGCCACTTCATTTTTTTGCATATGGCTATCCAGTTTTCCCAGCACCATTTATTGAAAAGACTGTCCTTTCCCTGTCGAATGGTCTTGGTACCCTTGTCAAAAATCATCTGACCATATGTGTGAGGGTTTATATCTGGGATTTCTATTCTATTCCATATGTCTGTCTTTATGCCAGTACCAAACTGTTTTGATTACAGTAACTTTGTAATAAGTTTTGAAATCAGGAACTGTGAATCATCCAATTTTGTTTTTCCTTTTAGAAATTATTTTGGCTATTCATCATCCCTTGAGATTCCATACACATTTTTTTATGAGACAGAGTCTCGCTCTTTCGCCCAGGCTGAAGTGCAGTGGCATGATCTTGGCTAACTGCAACCTCCGCCTTTTGGGTTCAAGCAATTCTTGTGCCTCAGCCTCCTGAGTAGCTGGGATTACAGGCAGCTGCCATGATGCCCGGCTAATTTTTGTTTTTGTGTTTTGTAGAGATGGGGGTCTCACCACATTGGCCAGTTTGGCCTCAAACTCCTGGCCTCAAGTGATCTGCCCAGCTTGGCCTCCCAAAAGTGCTGGGATTACAGGCATGAACCACGGCGCCTGACCTGTAGAAAGGTTTTAAACTATAATTTCAATGTCTTTAATAGTTATAGGGCTATTCAAGTTATCCTTTTCTTCTTGAGTGAGCTTTGGTAATTGGTGTCTTTCAAGAAATATGTCCGTTTCATCTAAGTTGTTGAATTTAGTGCCATAATCTTGCTTATAGTTTTCCCTTATTATCCTTTTAATGTCTGTAAAATCTGTATTGATTTCATCTCTTTAATTCCTAATATTGTTAAGTTGTGTCTTCATTTTTTTTCTGTCCAGTCTAGCTAGAAGTTTGTCAATTTCATACACCATCCCACAAAAGCAGCTTTGGGCTCACTGATTTTCTCTATTGTTTTTCTGTTTTCTGTTTCATTGATTTCAGATTTTACCCTTATTAGTCCTTCTCCTCTCTTCTGCTTAATTTGTATTTAATTTTCTCTTAATTTTCTTGTTTCTTAAGTAGTTGAATTTATTAATTCAAGGCATTTTCTTTTTCCTAATATAGGTGTTCTGTGCGGCATCTCACCAATTCTGATGTGGGTGTGTGTTTTTATTTTCATTTAGTTCAAAAGACTAATATCCCTTTTCATTTCTCCTTTATTCCATAGCTTATTTAGAAGTGTGTTATTTGGTCTCCAAATATTTGGGGATTTGTCAAGCATCTTTCTGTTATTAATGTCTTTTCTTTTCTTCTTTTTTTTTTGAGACAGGGTCTCACTCTGTTCCCCAGGCTGGAGTACAGTGGCGTGATCTTGGCTCATTGCAACCTCCACCTCCTGGGTTTCACAGCGATTCTCCCACCTCAGTCTCCCAAGTAGCTGGCACTATAGGCGCACGCCACCATGCCTGGTTTATTTTTTGTATTTTTAGTAGAGATGGGGTTTCACCATGTTGGCCAGGCTCGTCTCCAACTCCTGATCTCAAGTGATCTGCCTGCCTCGGCCCCCCAAGGTGCTGGGATTACAGGCGTGAGTCACTGCACCCGGCCTGGTTTATAGTTTTTATTTGTTCGGACAATTGTCTTTCCTCTCCTTTACAGATTTCAATTATTTGTATATTAGATTACTTGAAGTTGTCCCAAAGCTCATTAATGTTTCTTTTTCTAATTCTTTTTTCTCTGTGTGTTTTTCTCGTTGTGGTAGTTACTATTGCTGTGCCTTCAAATTCACTAACCTTTTCTTCTGCAATGTCTAATTTGTCATTAATCCCATCCAGTGTACTTTTTAGAAAAAAATCTCATTGTAGGCTGGGTGCAGTGGCTCACGCCTATTAATTCCAACACTTTGGGAGGCTGAGGTGGGAGGATCACTTGAGGTCAGGAGTTCGAAACCAGTCTAGCCAACATGGTGACATCCCATCTCTACTAAAAATACAAAAATTAGTTGGGCGTGGTGGCGTGACCTGTAATCCCAGCTACTTGGGAGGCTGAGGCAGGAGAATCACTTGAGCCTGGGAGACAGAGGATGCAGTGAGCCGAGACTGCATCACTGCACTCCACCCTGGGCAACAGAGCGAGACTCTGTTGCAAAAAAAAAACCTCATGTAGGTTTTATCTATAGAAGTTCAATTTGGAGGCCGGGCGCGGGTGGCTCACACCTGTAATCCCAATACTTTGGGAGGCCGAGGCAGGTGGATCATGAGGTCAGGAGATCGAGACCATCCTGGCTAACATGGTGAAACCCTGTCTCTACTAAAAAATACAAAAAAATTAACCGGGCATGGTGGCGGGCACCTGTAGTCCCAACTACTCGGGAGGCTGAGGCAGGAGAATGGCGTGAACCCAGGAGGCAGAGCTTGCAGTGAGCGGAGATCACGCCACTACACTCCAGCCTGGGTGACAGAGCGAGACTCCATCTCAAAAAAAAAAAAAAGAAGTTCAATTTGGGTCTTCTTAATATTTCCCACATCTCTAGTTAACGTCTGAGCATTTGAAATAGTTATAATAACTGTTTTAATGTCCTTTTCTGCTAATACTAATATCTGGGTGAGTTCTGGGTTGATTTACATTGTTTACTCTCCTCATTACCGGTCACATGTTCCTGTTTCTTTGTATGTCAGTAATCCTTGCTTGGACACCATACACTGTGAATTTTACCTTTCTTGAAGCTGGATATATTTGTATTACCAGAACTCTTCTTGAGCTGTGTTCTGGAATACAGTTAAGTTACTTGGAAACCACGCCGAGCACAGTGGCTCACGCCTGTAATCCCAGCACTTTGGGAGGCCAAGGCAGAAGGATCATTTGAGGTCAGGAGTTTGAGACCAGCCTGGCCAACATGGTGAAACCTCGTCTCTACTAAAAATACAAAAAAGTTAGCTGGCTTTGGGAGGCTAAGGCGGGCAGATCATGAGGTCAGGAGTTCGAGACCAGTCTGGCCAACATAGTGAAACCCCGTCTCTACTAAAAATACAAAAAATTAGCCGGGTGTGGTGGTGTGAGCCTGTAATCCCAGCTACTAGGGAGGCTGAGGCAGGAGAATCGCGTGAACCCAGGAGGCGGAGGTTGCAGTGAGCTGAGATTGAGCCACTGCACTCCAGCCCAGGCAACAGTGTAAGACTCTGTCTCCAAAAAAAAAATTAGCTGGGTATGGTGGTGCACACCTGTAATCCCAGCTACTAGGGAGGCTGAGGCAGGAGAATCATTTGAACCTGGGAAACAATGGTTGCAGTGAGCCGAGATTGTGCCACTGCACTCCAGCCCGGGAGACAGAGTGAGATTCCATCTCAAAAAAATAAAAAAAAAAAAAGCTACTTGGGAACCATTTGATGCATTCAAGTCTTGCTGTTATGCCCTGTTAGGTGGGTATTAGGCAGTGTGCAATCTAAGGCTAATTTTCCCCTCTAATGAGGCAAGACCTTGCTTAGTCCTCTACCCAATGACCTGTGAATTCTGAACAGGCATTGTTCTTGGCCCTGTCTGAGTGTCAAGCACTATTCCAATGCATTCAGATGGTTCTTTCCCTAGAAGCAAGTGATTATGTCACACGTGTATGCTGATGTACTCTGCTACATACTCCAGGGGTTCCTCTGCAGATCTCCGGGGTTCTCTCTCTGTGCAAAACTCTCTCTCTGGTACCCTTCCTTATAAGCTGCAGTTACCTTGTTCTTTCTGGACTTAGCTCTGTTACAACCAAGGAAGTCAGCTGGTCTCTTGTCTTAGTTCTCCTTCCCTGTGTGATGACCTGATAAACTCTCAAGTCTGTAAGCTAAGCAATTGCAGGGCTCACCTCACGTTTACCATCTCTCGAACACTATCTTTTGTCACCTGATGTCTAGTGTCTTGAAAAAAACATTGTTTCATGCATTTTTTTGTTTATTGTTGCAGCTGGGAGGGTATATCTGGTCTTTGTCACTTCGTCGTGGACAGAAGCGTAAATTAGGACCTTTACTCTGAAATGGACATTTTTGAGAAGAGTGAAATGAGTTACACTTTACAAGATTCTTTTTGTTGCTGTGTTAAGAATGGAAGAGGGTTAAGGGCAGAATTAGGGAGACAAATTAGGAGTCTACAGCAAGAGACAGTGTTGGCTTGGTAGTAGTGGGGGCCATTAGAAATTGGTAGAGGCCAGGCTCGGCTCGTGCCTGTATCCCAACAGTTTGGGAGGCTGAGGAAGGAGGCAGGAGGATCCCTTGAGAACAGCAATTTGAGACCAGCCTGGGCAACACAGGGAGACCTTGTCTCTACAAATAATTTTTTTTTTTTTTTTTTTTTTGGAGAGAGAGAGTCTTGCTCTGTCGTGCAGGCTGGAGTACAGTGGTGCGATATCGGCTCACTGCAACCTCCGCCTCCTGGGTTCAAGCAATTCTCCCGCCTTAGCCTCCCAAGTACCTGGGAATACAGGCGCGTGCCACCACTAATTTCTTTTGTATTTTAGTAGAGACGGGGTTTCACCGTGTTGCCCAGGCTGGTCTCGAACTCCTTAGCTCAGGCAATCCGACCGCCTTGGCCTCCCAAAGTTCTAGGAATATAGGCGTGAGCCACCGCACCCAGCCTCTACAAATAATTTTTTTTTTTTTTTTTGAGATGGAGTCTCGCTCTATCGCCCAGGCTGGAGTGCAGTGGCGTGATCTCGGCTCACTGCAACCTTCGCCTCCCAGGTTCCAGAGATTCTCCTGTCTCAGGCTCCCAAGTAGCTGGGATTACAGGAGTCCGCCACCACGCCCAGCTAATTTTTGTATTTTTAGTAGAGATGGGGTTTCATCATGTTGGCCAAGCTGGTCTTGAACTCCTGACCTTGTGATCTGCCCACCTTGGCCTCTCAAAGTGCTGGGATTACAAGCGTGAGCCACTGCGCCTGGCCAAATAATTTTTAAAATTTGCCGGGTGAGGTGATGTGCGCCTGTGATCCCACCTACTCGGGAGGCTGACGTGGGAGGCTTGCTTGAGTGCAGGAGGTTGAGGCTGCAGTGAGCTATGACTGTACCACTGCACTCCAACCTGGGTGACAGAGCAAGTCCATCTCCCCTCAACACACATAGCAAAAAAAAAAAAAAAAAAAAAAAAGAGAGAGAGAAAGTGGTAGAATCTGGGCAAAGTTAGAGCTGCCGGAGGAATCTGAAGGAATGGTGTGGAGCGTGGGAGGAATAAGATGCTTCCAAGGCTTCTGGCTTGAGTAAGTGGAGGAATGGAGTTTCATTCATTGAGCTGGAGAAGACTGCAGGAGAAGTGTGGGGAGCATGAGACATGTTCTTCTTGGGATGCCTATTCATTCTCCAAGATAAAAATTTTTTTTCTTAAGTCGCTGTACAAGTGGAGATTTCAAAGCAGGCAGTTGGCTATATAGATGTGGAGTTTAGGGGAATGGTCTGGGCTGGAGATGAATATTTGGGAGTCATAACCATATGAAAATGTAACCTGGCCGGCCGCGGTGGCTCACACCTGTAATCCCAGCACTTTGGGAGGCCGAGGCGGGCGGATCACGAGGTCAGGAGATCGAGACCATCCTGGCCAACACGGTGAAACCCCATCTCTACTAAAAAAAAAAATACAAAAAATTAGCCAGGCATGGTGGCGGGCGCCTGTAGTCCCAGCTACTCCGGAGGCTGAGGCAGGAGAATCGCTTGAACCTGGGAGGCTGAGGTTGCAGTGAGCCAAGATCGCGCCATTGCACTCCAGCCTCGACAACAAGAGCCAAACTCCGTCTCAAAAAAAAAAATTAAATAACAGCAAGCAACTGCATGCACGTCTGGGGGCGGTGTCCGGGGTGAGAAAGGCCCCGCCAGCAATCCATCCCACAATCAGCGATGGCTGAGGGGGTCTGGACCTCGCGGGACGGGGCTGCACGCCCCCAAGCAAATGCACAGCGCGGCTAAATTGGATTCGACAGCACCGGAAACGGCGACTCCCACTTGGGGCGCTGCGGACACACGAGTCGAGGCTGCCTTCCAGGAAGCAAACAAAAAAAGGGGGGAAAAGGGGGGGAAAGAAAGAAAGAGAAAAAGGAGGGCGAGTGGCGAGCAGGGGCCTCGGCCGCCACCCACACGCCCCGAAGCGTGCTCGTCCCCCGCGCGGGGCTCCCGGCCGCCGCCCTCGGCCATCGGCTGCTCCCCGGTGGCCCAGGCCTCGGACTCCGCGGCCGGCCCGGCGCGGCCCAGCGCCCTCAGGTGCGTACCCCGCCCCCGCCGCCGACGCCGCCGACGCCGCCATTAAGGGCGGGTTGCCTTTCGGAACGTCCTCCTCCTGAGGGCCTGGGGAAGGGAGGCCGCCCGGCCGCAGCGGGAGGTGGCCCCCCGGGACACCCCGGCGCCCCGAGGCGAGGCACCCCCGAACCCCGATCCCTGCTGGCAGGACCAGAGGTGTGAGGGTGGGGGCGGGGAAGCCTTGCCGCGGGGGCAATGGTCGTACGCACGGAGCGCACATCCCTCTCCTTCCTGATTGGCCGAGCGGGGGTGTGCGTGATGCCACGCTCCGCCCGTCGTACGTGGGGCGCTCGCGCTGCGTGCAGACGCGCTTGATTGGTTAGATAAGGGGGCGGGGGCCGCCGCTGTTACCAGGCAACTGCGCCCCGGATCCGCCCCCTGACGTCACGCGTTGCCTAGAGGCCCAGGTTGTGGGTTTTGTCCGTGGGTATGGTCCTCGCGACGGCCTCCGGGGATCTGTTTGTTGGCGGAAAACCAATCCAGACTCCCAAGGAAAAAGGCCGAGGCCCGGGAATTTCCCGTTGCAATTCTGGTTTCGAGTTCTAGGGGGAAAAAGGCTCGCAAGGCTGTATTCTCCATCCCTCAAGCCCAAGCTTTCTTGTTTCTTAATAACAGCTTCGTTGAGATCCATTGTAAAATTCACGTTTTAAGAGTGAATAATTCAGTGCACAGAGCTGTGCAACCTTTGCCACTAATTGCAGAACGCTTTCAGCACCCGAGGAGAAGAAACCCCAACCCCATTAGGCCGTCATTCCCCGGTCCCCACCCCGTCCCTATCCCCAGCCCCTGGCAATCACTTTTGTCTCCGTGGATTTGCCTATTCTGGACATTTCGTGTGGATAGAATCATCCCAAGAAGTTTTTTGTGTGTCTGGCTTCTTTCCTTCTTTATGGCTGAATAAAAATCCATGATATGAATACACAGCATTTTGATTTTCCATCCATTGATGGCTATTTGGGTAATTTCCACCTTTTGGCTGTTATGAATAATACTGCTATGAACATTGGTGTACACGTTTTTGTGCGGACATTTGTTTTCAATTCTCATAGGTGTATACCAAGGACTGGAATTGATGGGCCAAGCTTTGTGTTTTAAGGAAAAAAAAATCATGTTTTAGTTTCGTGCTGGTAATTTGAAGTAAGCAGATGTCTAGATATAAGCTTGGAAACTGGCCAGTTGGAGATTGCTCACGGCTGCAATTGAAGACTCCAGCAGCCTCTTCTCCTCTTTGCTTCCATTTGGAGAGGAAGGCGTCATAGGCTGTGTGACTTCCGTGGACGCGGGGCTTGGCACCGGCTTGCAGTTGGGATCAATCTTCAGTGGCGGTTTGGAGTGGGTCACGGTTCTTCCTGCTTGCCTTCCAGTTTAGTCCCTGACGTCTGCTCCCCAGGGCCCTGGCTCTTCCCCCACGCCTTCAGCCTGCACAGTCCCTTCTCTCATTCTCAGGCTGCAGAACCTGGAAGTACAGTTGTCCCCCCTTACCCGCTGTTTCAGTTACCTGAGGTCAACCGTGGTCTGAAAATACTACATGGAAAATTCCGGAAATAAACAATTCGTAAGTTTTAAATTGCACGCTGTGATGAAATCTCGCGCTGTGCAGCCTGGGCAGTGAATCGTCCCCTTTGTTCAGCGTCCCCACGCTGTGGACGCTCCACACCCATAGTCACTTAGTAGCTGGCTCGGTTATCAGATCGACCGTCACAGTGTCCCAGTGTATGTGTTCAAGTCACCCTTATTTTCCGTCATAATGGCCCCAAAGCACAAGAGTAGTGATGCTGGGAATTTGGATAGGCCAAAGAGAAGCCGTAAAGTGCTTCCTCTAAGTGAAAAGGTGAAAGTTCTCGACTTAATCAGGAAAGACAAAAAATCCTATGCTGAGGTTGCTAAGATCTACGGGAAGAATGAATCTTCCATCCGTGAAATTGTGAAGAAGGAAAAAGAAATTCGTGCTAGTTTTGCTGTCTCACCTCCAACTGCTAAAGTGACGGCCACAGTGCGTGATAAGTGCTTAGTTAAGATGGAACAGGCACTGCATTTGTGGGTGGAAGAGATGAACAGAAAACGTGTTCCCATTGACAGCAACATGTTGCGCCAGAAAGCTTTGAGCCTATACCAAGACTTCTGCAAGGGATGCTCTGAAACTGACACCAAGCCATTTACTGCGAGTAAGGGATGGTTACACAGATTCAGGCATAGATTCTCACATCATTACAAGAAGAAGAAGAAGGGTAAGTACGTTACAACAAGTTATACTGAGAGAGAGAGAGATCACATTCACATAACATTACAGTACTTGATATTCTATTTTATTATTGTTGTTGTTAATTTCTTACTGTGCCTAATTTATAAATTAAAATTCATCGTAGGTATGTATGTACAGGTTGAACATCTCTAATCCAAAAATCCAAAATTTGAACCGTTCCAAAATCCAAAACTTATTGAATGCCGCTGACCTGATGCAAGTTGAAAATTCCATACCTGTCACCTTTGCCTTTATTTTTTTTTTAAGACAGTCTCGCCCTGTCGCCCAGGCTGGAGTGCAGTGTTGCGATCTCGGCTCACTGTAAGCTCCATCTCCCGGATTCAAGCCATGCTTCTGCCTCAGCCTGCAGAGTAGCTGGGATGACAGGCGTGTACCACCACGCCCGGCTAATTTTTACGTTTTTAGTAGAGACGGGGTTTCACCATGTTGGCCAGGCTGGTCTCGAAATCTTGACGTCAGTTGATTCACCCATCTCAGCCTCCCAAAGTGCTGTGATTACAGGCATGAGTCACCACGCCCGGCAGGCCTTCTTTGTTTTTCTCTTGAGACAGAGTCCTACCCAGGGCCTCGCCCTGTTGAAATGGTGGGATCACAGCTCACTGCAGCCTTGACCTCCTGGGCTCAAGCAATCCTCCCATCTCAGCCTCCTGAGTAGCTGGGACCACAGGCATACACCCCCACACCTGGCTAATTTTTAATTTTTTTGTAGAGGTGAAGTCCCATTATGTTGCCAGGCTGGTCCCACTATGTTGCCCGGACTGGCCAACATGGCGAAACCCTGTCTCTACTAAAAATACAAAAATTAGCCAGACATGGTAGTGCACACCTGTAACCCCCAGCTACTTGGGAGGCTGAGGCAGGAAAATCACTTGAACCTGGGAGGCGGAGGTTGCAGTGAGCCAAGATCGCGTCACTGCACTCCAGCCTGGGCGACAGAGCGAGACTCCATCTCAAAAAAGAAAAAGAACATAATAGATTTAGGGTTTGGCACTATCTGCAGTTCCAGGCATCCGCTGAGGGTCTTGGAATGAGTCTGCTGAAGATAAGGGGGAGAATCCTGGCCCTTCATTTCTCTTGTCCTCCCAGTGGATTCATCTGCGTTCCTACATGCCCTGAGGCCATTTCATGGGTGTCTGGCTCCTTTTACTGTATTGCTTGTGATTCCCCTCCACTCCTTGCCATCAGTATACGTTTTTTTTTGGGGGGAAGGATACAGAGTCTTGCTCTGTCACCTAGGCTGAAGTGCAGTGGCACAATCACGTCCTGCTGCAACCTCCGCCTCCTGAGTTCAAGAGATTCTCCTGCCTCAGCCTCCTGAGTAGTTGGGATTACAGGTGCGTGCCACCATGCCCAGCTAATTTTTTTTTTTTTTTTTGAGATGGAGTTTCGTTCTTGTTGCCCAGGCTGGAGTGCAATGGCATGATCTTGGCTCACTGCAACCTCCGCCTCCCGGGTTCAAGCAATTCTCCCCGCCTCAGCCTCCCGAGTAGCTGGGATTACAGGCACCCACCACCACGCCTGTCCTTTTTTTTTGGATTTTTAGTAGAGACAGGGTTTCACCATGTTGGCCAGGCTGATATGGAACTCCTGACCTCAGGTGATCCACCTGCCTCAGCCTCCCAGAGTGCTGGGATTACAGGTGTGAGCCACCTCGCCTGGCTACTAGTATACATTTTTACATCGCAGGTGATCATTACATTTTTGTTGAATGGTGAAACATGTACTCTTGTGTTTGTACTTGTAGGCTGAGCTGTGAAGAAGGTAGAATTTATTAATTAAAACCAAGCCCTGCGGCTCAGTGTGGTGGCTCACGCCTATAATCCCAGCACTTTGGGAGGCTGAGGTGGGAGGATTGCTTGAGTCTAGGAGTTCAAGACTGGCCTGGGCAACATGGCAAAACTCTGTCTCTACAAAACAAACAAAAAACAACAACAAAAAATTAGCTGGGTACAGTGGTGTGCGCCTGTGCTCCCAGCTACTTGGGAGGCTAAGGTGGGAGGATCACTTAAGCTTGGGAGTCCCAGGCTGCAGGGAGCTATGATCATGCCACTACACTCCAGTCTGGGTGATAGAGCAAGACCCTATCTCAAAAGAAAAAAAGCAAAACAAAACAGAAAACAAGTCCCAGGTCTGGGCACAGTGTCTCATTCCTATAATTCCAGTATTTTGAGAGACTGAGGCAGGAGAATCGCTTGAGCCTAGGAGTTCAAGATCAGCCTGGGCAACATAGTGAAACTTTGTCTCTACAAAAAAAAAAAAAAAAAAAAAAGTCAAAATTAGCCAGGCGCATGGTAAGCTGTGATGATACCACTGCACTTCAATCTGGAGGACAGAGCAGACTCTGTCTCAAAACCAAACCAAAACAAAAAAACTAAGCCCTTTAAAACCTGAAAAATTAATCTTTGGAAGGGAAAATCTAGAAACAGTTTTTAAAAATAAACCAGTCCTCTATTTCAAGATTTCAGAGTTTTCATAAAGGAAGTGGATGACATTCCAAATGATGAAAGGTTGTAAGGGATAGATACAGATTCTAGATCAGTGATGGGCAAACTTTGTTTGTAAGGATAGTAAATATTTTTGGCTTTGGGGACATGGGGTCTTTGTCACATGCATGCAAACCTTCCTTTGCAGGAAAGCAGCTGTAGACAAGATGTCAACAAGTGAATGTGACTGTGTTCTGACAAAGCTTAATTTACAAAACTAGGCTGCGGTCTGGATTTGACCTGTAGGCTGGAGATTGTTCTAGGTATTTGCTTTTCGTTAGTAAAATATTACACTAGAAGGACAGAAACGCCTCCAGCATTGCTGGGAAGACAAAATGAGATTTGGAAGTTTTTGGAGTTTACATCTACAGTTTTAAAAGAGCAAAAAGGGCCAGGCACGGTGGCTCATGCCTGTAATCCCAGCACTTTGGGAGGCTGAGCGGGGCGGATCACCTTAGGTCAGGAGTTCGAGACCAGCCTGGCCAACATGGTGAAACCCAGTCTCTACTAAAAATACAAAAATTAGCCAGATGTGGTGGCACGCACCTGTAATTTCAACTACTCGGGAGGCAGAGTTTGCAGTGAGCTGAGATTGCACCACTGCGCTCCAGCCTGAGCCACAGAGCAAGACTCCATCTCAAAATAAAAGAGTAAAAAGTTAAGTACTATGTAAAAATCTGTGATCTCAGTAAATGGTGCTGGCACTTCAGATGTGAGTAAAAAAAGGGTTAATAACTATATCGGCTTTGGGAGATTTTATTCTGTGGTACAAGTTCTTATGGTGAAGGATTTTTGAGCTTTATTAGAGTGCAGTGAAATTTTCTCAGGAAAATGTACTTGGGACAGGAAACACAGTGTTGGCTTATAGTCACGTTTCATTATTTTCAATTTTCTATTAATGCATGCTGTGTTCCAAATCATAAAATATAAAAGACAACATTCCTGCCTCCATTTGTTGTTATGTACAAAATGCAAAGAAAGCACAATAATTATGAGACACTCAGCCCAGCGCGGTGGCTCACACCTGTAATCCCAGCACTTTGGGAGGATGAGGCAGGCAGATCACTTAAGCCCAGGAGTTCGAGACCAGCCTGGGCAACATGGCGAAACCCCCTCTCTACAAAAAATACAAAAATTAGCTGAACATGGTGGCGCATGCCTGGTATTCCAGCTACTCAGGAGGCTGAGGTGGGAAGATCATCCGAGCCCAGGGAGGCAGAGGCTGCAGTGAGCTGTGATTGCACCACTGCATTCCAGCCTGGGTGACGGAGTGAGACCCTGCCTCAAAAAAATGATAATAATTATTATGAAACACTTGTGTTTTAAATGATTACTGGTAGCATAGTTGACGCCAACTGATAGTATCTTTTTTTGAATTCCACGTGGTATCATCCTGCCTATTATTTTATTCTTCGGTTTTTTCAATTTTTTTATTTCTATTTTTGTTTGTGTTTTTATTTTTATTTTCTTTTTTGTAAAAAAGCAGACTTTTGACATCAGAGCTTGTTTAGGGATTATTGTGGTATAATATTCTGGGGATGACAGAACTGTTTTATACCTTAATTTTACCTATGTAACTTTATATATGTCAGAATTCACAGGGGCCAGGCAGGTGACTGACACCTGTAATCCCAACACTTTGGGAGGCCAAGGTGGCAGATCACCTGAGGTCAGGAGTTTGAGACCAGCCTGGGCAACATGGTGAAACCTCCTATTAAAAAAAAAAAAAATGCAGAAAATGAGCTGGGCATGATGGCACGTGCCTGTGGTCCCAGCTACTCAGGAGGCTGAGGCACGAGGATTGCTTGAGCCCGGGATGGGGAAGTTGCAGTGAGCTGAGAGTGCACCACTGCACTCCAGCCTGGGTGACAGAGTGAGACCTTGTCTCAAAAAAGAAAAAAAAAAAAATCGGCCAGGCACGGTGGCTAACGCCTGTGATCCCAGCACTTTGGGAGGCTGAGGCGGGTGGATCAGGAGGTCAAGAGATCGAGACCAGCCTGGCCAACATGGCAAAATCCCATCTCTACTAAAAATACAAAAATTAGTTGGGCGTGGTGGCGGGCGCCTGTAGTCCCAACTACTCAGGAGGCTGAGGCAGGATAGTCGCTTGACCAGGGAGGTGGAGATTGTAGTGAGCTGAGATCACGCCATTGCACTCCAGCCTGGGCAACAGAGCGAGACTCCGTCTCAAAATAAATAAATAAATAAATAAATAAATAAATAAATAAATAAATAAAACATAATCCTCATCTAGTCTAGTTTACATCAGGTAAAAGAATTTTCGGCCAGGCGTGGTAGATCATGCCTGTAATCCCAGCACTTTGGGAGGCTGAGGCAGGTGGATCACCTGAGGTCAGGGGTTCAAGACCAGCCTGACCAATATGGGGAAACCTCGTCTCTACTAAAAGTACAAAAATTCGCTGGGCATGCCAGGAGTGGTGGCTCACGCCTGTAATCCCAGCACTTTGGGTGACCAAGGCGGGTGGATCACAAGGTCAGGATATTAAGACCATCCTGGCTAACACGGTGAAACCCTGTCTCTACTAAAAATACAAAGAATTAGCTGGGCATGGTGGCACGGGCCTGTAGTCCCAGCTACTCAGGAGGCTGAGGCAGCAGAATCGCTTGAACCCGGGAGGCAGAGGTTGCAGTGAGCCAAGATCAAGCCACTGCACTCCAGCCTGGGCAGCAAGAGCAAAACTCTGTCTCAAAAAAAAAAAAAGAAGAATTTTTATTTAAAACTTTTTTTTTTATTTCACAGGAAATGGATTGCATGATTGTTTTGACCATTTTTCTTCATGCTAAATAAAGTATGCAGACTTAAGCATTGAGTTAAGAGATCGGTGTTTTGATTGCCTTTTGGTCGGCGTCAGGGAGAGACCTCTCTGAGTTTGGAGGTTGTTTTAAGGACGCGGGGTGCCATGATTCTAGTAATTTTGTGTGTGCATTTCACACACAACAACCCATACATAAATATCTTATAATTCATCTTCCAGGCACTTGAGAATGAAGGGAGCATTGTTAATAATTTCACTGGCAGGGTGGGTGTGGACTAGGACTGTCCCACCTGGGACATGTGGGTCACCCATCTTATTTTCCCCTCATGGGGCCTTTCTTCTGTTTGCCTTTCTGCTCCTCCACTGCGGTTGCAGCCTCTGCCATTCCTTAAACCATCTGCACACCCACCAGCAGGCTCCCATGCTCTCTGTGTCCTTTCACGGAAAATAATATTTCCCTTGGAGGGTGTGTAGGTTTTAAATTGGGTGATCGTAAAAGCATCGGCGCATAGAGTGTAGTTCAGTACATGTTAATTTTCTTTTTTTCCATCCAACCTCTCTTTGATTTTATTTGATTTTTAAAAATCTCTTTAGCTGGGCGCGGTGGCTCACGCCTGTCACCCACCACTTTGGGAGGCCAAGGAGGCCAGATCACTTGAGGTCAGGAGTTTGAGACTGGCCTGGCCAACGTGATGAAACCCTGTGTCTACTAAAAATACAAAAATTAGCCAGGCATGTTGACCCAAGCCTGTAATCTCAGCTACTTGGGAGGCTGAGGCAGGAGAATTGCTTGAACCCGGGAGGCGGAGGTTGCAGTGAGCTGAGATCGTGCCACTGCATTCCAGCCTGGGCCACAGAGTGAGACTCCGTCTCAAAAACAAATAAATAAATATGATAAAAACTGTTTTATTGAGATACAATTCATATACTTATACAGTTCACCCATTTGAAGTGTACAGTTCAGGCTGTACACGGAGGCTCATGCCTGTAATCCCAACACTCTGGGAGGCTGAGGTGGAAGGATTGTTTGAGCCCAGGAGTTTGAGACCAGCGTGGGCAACATAGTGAGACCTCTCTACAAAAATAGAAAATTAGCTGAGTGTCGTGGCACATGCCTGTCATCTTAGCTACTCTGGAGGCTGAGGCAGGAGCATTGCTTGAGCCCAGGAGGTCAAGGCTACAGTGATTGCACCACTGCACTCCAACTATGATCATGGCACTGCACTTCAGCCTGGGTGACAGAATGAGACCCTGTCAGAAAAAATAAATAAAAATTTAAAAAATAGGGGTGGGCATAGTGCCTCACACCTATAATCCCAGCACTTTGGGAGGCCAAGGAGGGTGGATCACCTGAGGTCAGGAGTTCAAGACCAGCCTGGGCAACATGGCAAAACCCCATCTCTACTACAAATACAAAAAATTAGCTGGGCATGGTGGTGCACGCCTGTAATCCTAGCTACTCAGGAGGCTGAGGCAGGAGAATCGCTTGAGCCCAGAAGGCAGAGGTTGCAGTGAACTGTGATTGTGCCACTGCACTCCAGCCTGGGAGACAGAGCAAGACCCCATCTCAAAAAAAAAAAAAAAAAAAAGAAAATTAAAAAAAATAAAGTGTACTGTTCAGTGGTTTCTTGAAATATATTCACAGAGTTGTACAACTATCATCACAGTCAATTTTTGTTTTGTTTTGTTTTTTTGTGAGACGGAGTCTCACTCTGTTGCCCAGGCTGGAGTGCAGTGGTGGGATCTCGGCTCACTGCAACCTCCGCCTCCCGGGTTCAAGAGATTCTCCTGCCTCAGCCTCCCGAGTAGCTGGGACTACAGGCGTGCGCCACCATGCCCGGCTAATTTTTGTATTTTTAGTAGAGACAAAGTTTCACCAAGTTGGCCAGGATGGTCTCGATCTCTTGACCTTGTGATCCGTCCGCCTCGGCCTCCCAAAGTGCTGGGATTACAGGCGTGAGCCACTGTGCCCGGCCATCACAGTCAATTTTTGAACATTTTCATCACTCTGAAACCTTTTACCCTTTAGCTATCAACCTGAAATAACCACTAATCTATTCTCAGTTCCTATAGATTTCCCTATTCTAGAAATTTAATATGAATGGAATTACATAATATGTGACTCCTTTGGATTTTAAGTTGAGGGGATTCATAAAAGGTCAGAAGTGAAACATTCATAGGAAGTAGTTGATTGAGCCAGGTGTAGTGGCTCGCAGCTGTAATCCCAGTGTGGATGAGGGGGAAGGATGGCTTGAGTCCAGGAGTTGGAGGCTGCAGGGAGCCATGATCGAGCCACTGCACTCCAGCCTGGGTGACATTGTGAGACTCTGACTCTTAGAAATAAAAAAGCTGACCAGGCTCAGTGGCTCATGGCTGTAATCACAGGGCTTCGGGAGGCCAAGGCAGGTAGATCACTTGAGGTCGGGAGTTCGAGACCAGCCTGGCCAACATGATGAAACCCCATCTCTACTAAAAACACAAAAAATTAGCCGGCCATGGTGGGAGCTGCCTGTAATCCCAGCTACTTGGGAGGCTGAGGCAGAAGAACTGCTTGAACCCCAGAGGCAGGGGTTGCAGTGAGCCAAGATCATGCCATTTCACTCCAGCCTGGGCAACAGAGTGAGACTCCATGTCAAAAAAAAAAAACAATACATACATATATATAAAATAAGGCTGGGCATGGTGGCTCACGCCTGTAGTCCCAGCACTCTGGGAGGCTGAGGCGTGTGGATCAACTGAGGTTAGGAGTTCAAGACCGGCCTGGCCAACATGGTGAAACCCCGTCTCTACTAAAAAAGAGAAAACTTAGCTGGGCCCGGTGGCGGGTGCCTATAATCCCGGCTACTCGGGAGGCTGAGGCAGGAGAATTGCTTGAACCTGGGAGGTAGAGGTTGCAGTGAGCCGAGATCGCACCACTGCACTCCAGCCTGGGTGACAGAGTAAGACCTTGTCTCAAAAAATACATATAAAAATAAATAAATAAGCAGTTGATTTAGTATCTTCTTCAATAGACAAGATGCCTGAGTACAGCCCGTGGTTCTCCTGGCATGTGGTCCCGTGGGGACCAGTGCATCAGGTGCTTCCTAAGCTGGCGTCACCTGCCTGGCCCGATGCCTCCTCTGGTGTTCATTGTTAATTAATGCCACCTCCTGATGGCAGTTTCTTTCTGGGAAGAGGAGAGAAGAGAGGGAGCCGTCCCCAAGTGAAGGGTGCAGGGAAGGCTCCATGAATAGTCTCAACTAAGGACTGTCCCAGGAAGGAACCTCGGGACAAGCAAAGAACAGTGAACTTCTGATGTGACCCGGATGCACCCATTTCCAGAGAGCAGGAAGCACAGAGAAGGCCCGTGGGTCGCCGTCCCCAGGGTGCCTTCCATCCTGCAAGGCTTGCTGCATGCCCTGAAAGTTATGATAAAGACATAGGACCGGCCGGGTGCGGTGGCTCACGCCTGTAATCCCAGCACTTTGGGAGGCCGAGGTGGGCAGATCACGAGGTCAGGAGATCGAGACCATCCTGGCTAACATGGTGAAACCCCGTCTCTACTAAAAATACAAAAAATTAGCTGGGCATGGTGGCACACGCGTATAGTCCCAGCTACTCGGGAGGCTGAGGCAGGAGAATGGCGTGAACCTGGGAGGCAGAGCTTGCAGTGCGCAGAGATCATGCCACTGGGTGCAGTGCGCAGAGATCATGCACTCCAGTCTGGGCGACAGAGCGAGACTCCGTCTCAAAAAAAAAAAAAAAAAAAGACATAGGACCTTCATCACCAGGGGTGCCCCTTGGGCTGTTGCTGTGGCATCTCCCTTTTTTTGTTTTTAGATGGAATCTTACTCTGTTGCCCCACCTGGAGGGCAGTGGCACAATCTTGGCTCACTGCAACCTCCGCCTCCTGGGTTCAAGCAATTCTCCTGCCTCAGCCTCCGGAGTAGCTGGGATTACAGGTGTCTGCCACCATGCCCAGCTAATTTTTAGTAGAGAAGGGGGGGGTCTCACCATGTTGGCCAGGCTGGTCTCGAACTCCTGACCTCAAGTGATCCGCTCGCCTCAGCCTCCAAAAGTGTTGGGATTATAGGCGTGAGCCACCACGCCGGCCCCATTTCTTAATACACATTGAGTGTGATGACATCATAGATCAATGGCAATTGGAGGTGTGAAGAAGTGGAAATAGCACTAGGCAAAAATTGTCCTGGTGTATGTTCTAGCTTTGCTTGGACAACTTGCTAAGTTGTAAAATGAGAATACTTCTACGCCCTTTTCTCTCCCGGGGATGCTAAAGACAAAATAAAGATTACGAATGGAAATTCTCTGAGCTTCCAAAAGAATCAGGATGGAGCATGATCTAAGGGAGTGTTCTGGTGAATGGGAACTTAACACGTCTTTGCCGTTACATATTCTTTGATGTGCATTTGCTTGGTGAGTGGAATCTAGAATGCTCAAGAAAAGACTTTCTAGGACCTACGCGTCTCATGGCTGGATGCCGCTTTTGCTACTCTTCATCTTAGCCAAAAAGCGGAGAGGCAATTGAGGCTGCTTTTTCTGACTCCAGCTCTGTTGCCAGAACAGAGTCTTTGCTATGAAAAACAATACCGGCTGGGCGCGGTGGCTCACACCTGTAATCCCAGCACTGGTGTGGGAGGCAGAAGCAGGAAGATCGCTTGAGCCCAGGAGTTGGAGACCAGTCTGGGCAACATAGTGAAACCCCGTCTCTACTAAAATGCAAAAGTTAGCCAGGTGTGGTGGCATGCACCTGTAGTCCCAGCCACCCGGGGGCTGAAATGGGAGGATCAACTGAGCCCAGAAGGTCGAGGCTACACTGAACTGTGGTAACACTCCAACCTGGGTGACAGAGCAAGATGCTGTCTCAAAACAAAAAACAAAAAACAAAAAAAAAACAACAGACCAGGCATGGTGGCTCTCACCTGTAATCCCAGCACTTTAGGAGGCCGAGGCGGGCGGATCACTTGAGGTCAAGGGTTCGAGACCAGCCTGGCCAACATGGTGTAACCCCGTCTCCACCAAAAATACAAAAATTAGCTGGGTGTGGTGGCTCACGCCTGCAATCCCAACTACTCGGGGGGTTGAGGCAGGAGAATCGCTCGAACCCAGGAGGCAGAGTTTGCAATGAGCTGAGATCGTGCCACTGCACTCTAGCCTGGGTGACAGAGTGATATTCCACCTCAAAAAACAAACAAACAGACAACCAAATCTTTCCCTATCCCTCCCTTCCCCCTACCATTCTGTTTAATAATAATAGAGATATAGAGATTTATAAAAATTTTTAACGATAACAATTTGCATCCTACTGGTTCAGCATAGCTAATGTTCTCAGAAAGATGATAACTCTAAGGGATCCTCGAGTGTCTTCAAAGAATTTTGGTAGATAGTTGCATTTTTAGAATTTCTTTTCAACCTTCTGTAACTGTCCAGACTGGCTAGGGTGTGCTGGGTTGCAAACGACACCAGACTTTGGAGGATTAAAGGAGCAAAGACTTATTTCTTGGTTGCACTAAAAGTCTGTTATGCGTTGGCTGTGAGTCTGTTTCACGTTGTCTGCGATCTGGAACCCAGGCTGCTGTGGTGGTTCCATATGGAAAGTTCCCGGTGACCACCGAGGAGGAAGAGAGTGTGGCAAAATGAAGTTACTTCCCTGACGTCCTCAGTCCACGAAAGTCATGTGGCCACACCACATTCAAGTGGGCAAGAAATCAAACCACATGATCTGAAAGAGACCTTTGTGAATATTTCCAAATAACCGCATGTGACCTCCACACTTAGCTCCCTTACATCTTCAGTTTTGGTCGGGCTCAGTGGCTCACGCCTGTAATCCCAGCACTTTGGGAGGCTGAGGCGGGCAGATCACCTGAGGTCAGGAGTTTGAGACCAGCCTGACCAATATGATGAAACCCCTTCTCTACTAAAAATACAAAAATTAGCCGAGCATGGTGGCGCCTGCCTGTAATCCCAGCTACTTGGGAGGCTGAGGCAGGAGAATCGCTTGAACCCGGGAGGCAGAGGTTGCAGTGAGCAGAGATCACACCACTTCACTCCAGCCTGGGTGACAAGAGTGAAACTCAATAGAAAAATCTTCTGTCTTCCTTCCGCATGCACACTCATGTTGATCTGTGTATCTTTTGCTTACAAATAGAATTAAGCCAAATATTGGAGGGATATGATGGTAGCTGACAGGTACTTAATTTGCATGTTCCATTTCAAAAAGTTGTTTTTAAGATTTCAGAGAATTTTTTTCAAAGAAATTTCTTAAAGCTAACTTCATTTAGAGCTTGGCAAAATGTATCAGCCAGGCACAGTAGCTCATGCCTGTCATCCCGGCACTTAAGGAGGCCGACACAGGAGGATGGCTTAAGCCCAGGAATTTGAGATCAGCCTTGGCGATAGAGCAAGACCCCATCTTTACAAAAAAATGTTTAAAAATTAGCTGAGCCTGGTAATACATGCCTGCAGTCCCATATGCAAAACATAGCTGGGGCTACACGGGAGGGTGAGGCAGGAAGATCACTTGAGCCTGAGAGTTGGAGGATGCAGTGAGCCATGATTGTGCCACTGCACTCCAGACTGGGTGACAGAGTGAGATCCTGTCTCTAAAAACAAAACAAACAAAAAGCTAAAAAAAAAAAAAAATCTTGGCAAAATTTAGAGTGAGCTTTTAGGAGACAGAAGTCCGAAGGGAAGTGGGAAAGAAGGAATTTTCTCTTCCTATCTTTAGCACACAAACCCATTATATCCTTTCTATGTGTAAGTGAAATAGTGTGGTAGCTGTCACAACCATGCTGAAATCTGACTAAACATCATTGGATCAATAAGGTACAAATCCTCCTCTCCTCATCTGGGAAACAGCATGCTCCTCTCACATAATACCTGAGTTTGTTTTACGGGGAGGCCATGTGTAGGTTTAGTGGAAAATATATTCTATAAAGTTAGCATAAAAATAAATGTAAAAGGCTGGGTGCGGGCCGGGCGCGGTGGCTCACGCCTGTAATCCCAGCACTTTGGGAGGCTGAGGTGGGCGGATCACGAGGTCAGGAGATCGAGACCATCCTGGCTAACATGGTGAAACCCCGTCTCTATTAAAAATACAAAAAATTAGCCAGGCGTGGTGGCAGGCGCCTGTAGTCCCAGCTACTCGGGAGGCTGAGGCAGGAGAATGGCGTGAACCTGGGAGGTGGAGCTTGCCGTGAGCGGAGATCGTGCCACTGCACTCCAGCCTGGGCGACAGAATGAGACTCTGTCTTAAAAAAAAAAAAGACTGGGTGCAGTGGCTCACGCCTGTAATCACAGCATTTTGGGAGGCCTAGGCAAGTGGATCACTTGAGGTCAGCAATTCGAGACTGGCCTGGTCCAACATGGTGAAACCCCATCTCTACTAAAAATACAAAAAGTAACCAGGCGTGGTGGTGGGAGCCTATAATCCCAGCTACTTGGGAGGCTGAGGCAGGAGAATCGCTTGAACCTGGGAGGCAGAGGTTGCAGTGAGCCAAGATCGCACCATTGCACTCCAGCCTGGGCGACAGAGCAAGACTCTGTTCCAGAAAAAAAGGCTGGGCATGGTGGCTCATGCCTATAATCCCAGCACTTTGGGAAGCCGAGGCAGGTGGATCACGTGAGACCAGGAGTTCAAGACCAGTATGGGCAACATGGCAAAACCCTGTTTCTACAAAATAAATAAATAAATAAATAAATCCAGGTTTGCTGGAGTGTGCTTGTAGTCCCAGCTGCTTCGGACCCTACAGTGAGTTGAGATTGCCCCACTGCACTCCAGCCTGAGTGACAGAGCAAGACCCTGTGTCTAAATAAATAAATAGTTTTTAAAAAAGAAAGTTGACTGGGCACGGTGGCTTACGCCTGTAATCCCAGCACTTTGGGAGGCCAAGGCGGACGGATCGCCTCAGGTCAGGAGTTCGAGACCAGCCTGGCCAACATGGCAAAACCTCATCTCCACTAAAAATACAAAAATTTGCTGGGTGTGGTGGCAGACACCTGTAATCCCAGCTACTCGGGAGACTGAGGCAGGAGAATCACTTGAACCCAGGAGGTGGTGGTTGCAGTGAGCTGAGATCGTGCCATTGCACCAGCCTGGGTAACAAGAGTGAAACTCAGTCTCAAAAAAAAAAGAAAGAAAGAAAGAGAGTTAGCAGGGTTGGGTGTGGTGGCTCACACCTATAATCCCAGCACTCTGGGAGGCCAAGGAAGGCAGATTGCTTGAGCTCAGGAGTTTGAGACCAGCCTAGGTAACGTGGCGAAACCCCGTCTTTACAAAAAATACAAAAATCAGCCAGGCGTGATGGCGCTCACTTGTAGTCCCAGCTGCTGGGGAGGCTGAGATGGGAGGACTGATTGAATCCAGGGGGCAGAGGTTACAGTAAGCTGTGATTGCGCCACTGCACTCCAGCCTGGGTGACAGAGCAAGATCCTGTCTCAAAATAAAACAAAATAAAATAAAATAAGTTAGCATTACTATTCAGGAGCTCATGGGCAAGTCACTAAATGCCTTTAAATTTCAGTTTCTTCATCTCAAGAGGAAAGTTTGAACTAGATCTTTGGTGAGCACCCTCACATCTCTAAATGTGGGTTTCAGACTCTGAATTTTTGCCACTTTCTTATTGCTTCTCTTGCACAGGGATCATGGCCCAGGTAGCAGTGTCCACCCTGCCTGTTGAAGAAGAGTCCTCCTCAGAGACCAGGATGGTGGTGACATTCCTCGTGTCTGCCCTCGAATCCATGGTGAGACAGCCGGACACTTGTCTGACATTCCATAGATGGATCATTGTCGAAATGACAGAATCATGAAACACTTCAGTATGCCTTTTGTTTTTTTTCTTTTCTTTTTTTTAAGACAGAGTCTCACTCTGTCGCCCAGGCTGGAGTGCAGTGGCACAATCTCAGCTCACGGCAACCTCTGCCTCCTGGGTTCAAGCAATTCTCCTGCGTTCAAGCAATTCTCCTGCCTC
Source organism: Homo sapiens (assembly GCF_000001405.40). Lineage (NCBI taxonomy): Eukaryota > Metazoa > Chordata > Mammalia > Primates > Hominidae > Homo > Homo sapiens. Next base: position 75,109,291 of record NC_000007.14, read on the forward strand.
AGCCTCCTGGGTAGCTGGGATTATAGGCACCAGCCACCACATCCAGCTAATTTTTGTTTTTTTTTTGAGACAGAGTCTTGCTCTGCTGCCCAGGCTGGAGTGCAGTGGCATGATGTCGGCTCACTGCAACCTCCGCCTCCCGGGTTCAAGCAATTCTCCTGCCTCAGCCTCCCAAGTAGCTGGGATTACAGGCGCCGGCCACTACGCCCGGCTTATTTTTTGTATTTTTAATAGAGACGGGGTTTCACCACGTTGGCCAGGCTGGTCTCGAACTCCTTACTCTCAGGTGATCTGCCCACCTCGGCCTCCCAAAGTGGTGGGATTACAGGCGTGAGCCACCGTGTCTGGCTGCTTCAGTATCACTTTTGATGTTTGCCTGCTGCCTGACATCTATATAAGGGTATCCTTTATAGAGGGTAATGGGCTTGTCAGATTATTTATGTATTTGTATATTACATTATGGATGCAATTATATAAACTTAAGCTTCCCAGATCTGAAATGTAATGAATGGTAACCTTTGTTACCATGTTTGAGAATATTTTAAAAATCTAATTTCAAAAGTAAATAGGCCAGGTGCAGTGGCTCACGCCTGTAATCCCAGCACTTTGGGAGGCCAAGGTGTGTGGATGACTTGAGGTCAGGAGTTGGAGACCAGCCTGGCCAACATGGTGAAACCCCATTTCTACTAAAAATAGAAACATTAGCTGGACGTGGTGGCGGGCATCTGTATTCCCAGCTACTCAGGAGGCTGAGACACGAGAATCACTTGAACCCGGGAGGCGGAGGTTGTAGTGAGCTGAGATTGTGCCATTGCACTCCAGCCTGTGCAACAGAGCGAGACTCTGTCTCAAGAAAAAAAAAGTAAACAGCCTATTTATATATATCTATTTACATCCAAAAGGTAAACTTTACCTGGTGGGTGAAAATTTGATGAGAAATTTACATAACTCCAAAGTACCTGATCAGAAGATATTTATTGATTAAAAATGGAAAATCAGTAACTTTACAGTGCAGAAACCTGACAGACACCACCTCATTCAAGTGATCAAAATTAGCATAGTCAGACTGTAATCCCAGCGGTTTGGGAGTCGAGGTGGGAGGATGGCTTGAGGCCAGGAGTTGGAGACCAGCCTGGGCAGCATAGTGAGACCTTGTCTCTACAAGACTATTTTTAAAAAATTAGCTGGAGGGGATGGTGCTATAGTTCCAGCTAGTTGGGGTGCTGAGATGGAAAGATTGCTTGAGCCCAGGAGTTCAAGTCTGCAGTAAGCTATCATGAGCTATCATGACACTGCACTCCAGCCTGCACAGCACAAGACCCTGACTCTTAAAAAAAAAAAAAAAATAAGTTGGAATTAATTTTAGAAGAAAGCATTAGGGGTAGGCAGGGTGGCTCACGCCCGTAATCCCACCACTTCATGAGGCCAAGGCCAGAGGATCACTTGAGCTCAGGAGTTTTGAGACCAGCCTGGGTAACATAGCAAGACCTTCTGTCTACTAAAAACAATTTTTAGGCCGGGCGCGGTGGCTCACACCTGTAATCCCAGCACTTTGGGAGTTTGGGAGGCCGAGGCAGGCAGATCACAAGGTCAGGAGTTCGAGACCAGCCTGGCTAACATGGTGAAACCTCGTCTCTATTAAAGATACAAAAAATTAGCCAGGAGTGGTGACACATGCCTGTAATCCCAGCTACTTGGGAGGCTGAAGCAGGAGAATCGCTTGAACCTGGGAGGCAGAGGTTGCACTGAGTCGAGGTCACGCCATTGCACTCCAGCCTGGGCAACAGGGCAAGGCTCCGTCTCAAAAAAAAAAAAAAAGGAAAAATAAAAAATTTTAAAAATTAGCCAGGCGTGGTGACACATGCCTATAGTCCCAGCTACTAGAGAAGCTGAGGCAAGAGGATTGCTCCAGCCTAGGAGATCAAGGCTGCAGTGAGCTAGGATTGCACCACTGTACTTCAGCCTGGGTAACAGAACAAGACCCTCTCTCAAATAATAATAATAATAAAGCATTAGGATCTGTTTGAAGAAAACTCGAAATATCTTCCCCAGGGACATTGTTTAAGAACTGATCACATTCCTTTCATTTGACAAATATCCATGAAGCACTTCCTAAGCCAAGGCCCTCTTCTAGGAACTGGAGTCACAAGACCTGAGAAGGTCCGCCTTACAGAGATCTTATATCCTACTCGGGAGATAAACAATAAACAAATTCGGCTGGGCATGGGGACTCAACGCCTGTAATCCCAGCACTTTGGGAGGCCGAGGAGGGTGGATCACCTGAGGTCAGGAGTTGAAACCAGCCTGGTCAACTTGGTGAAACCCCGTCTTTACTAAAAATACAAATATATTAGCTGGGTGTGGTGGCAGGCACCTTTAATCCCAGCTAACATGGGAGGCTGAGGCGGAGGTTGTAATGAGGCGAAATCGCACCACTGCCCTCCAGTCTGGGTGACAGAGCAAGACTCCATCTCAAAAAAAAAGGTATATATGAAGAGGTAACCAGAAAGTCTGCAGCCAAAAATGTAGGGAAAAGGCATATTGGAAGATCCATGTCAGGCAGTCAATAAAAATATGTTCTTTGGGTTTTATGATGTTTATGGTGTTTGCTTGATAAATTTCTTTTGATTTCCTTTCTCAGTGATTTTTCTCATTCTAAATAAATATTCCTGGCCGGGCGCAGTGGCTCACACCTGTAATCCCAGCACTTTGGGAGGCCAAGGTGGGCGGATCACAAGGTCAGGAGATCGAGACCATCCTGGCTAACACGGTGAAACCCCGTCTCTACTAAAAATACACACACACACACACACACACACACACACACAAATTAGCCAGGCGTGGTTGCAGGCGCCTGTAGTCCCAGCTACTCAGGAGGCTGAGGCCGGAGAATGACATGAACCCGGGAGGCGGAGCTTGCAGTGAGCCGAGATTGCGCCACTGCACTCCAGCCTGGGTGACAGAGCGAGACTCCGTCTCAAAAATAAATAAATAAATAAATATTCCTTTTGCTACCTAATTTTGTATTCTTAAATCAGGCCTCCCAGGCCCCACAAACTTGGATCTGCCCTTGTAGATAATACATCGCTTTTTGTTTCTGTTTCAGTGTAAAGAACTGGCCAAGTCCAAGGCAGAAGTGGCCTGCATCGCAGTGTACGAAACAGACGTGTTTGTCGTCGGAACCGAGAGAGGATGCGCTTTTGTTAATGCCAGGACGGATTTTCAGAAAGATTTTGCAAAATACTGTAGGTGTTTTAATTTTATCCTTTGTATTCCCAATCTCAAAAGGATCGCAGGCAAGACTTCCACAGTATTTTCTTCTAAGCTATCATAAGCATTCTCCTAGAAACGATCCTAACACATCTTCTTGGATTCAGCTTACCAAATAAATACTGCCTAACACTGCAGAGTCCAAGACAAATGGTCATTTTATTTTATACTAGGTCCTCAGCGGTACTCTGGTTTATTAGAATAAATTTCAAGGACATAGAACAAATTATCTTTAATTCCTAAAATAAACACCATTTTACAAAATACTCTTTAGTCCTTTCCAAAGGAAGGGGGAAAAACTTTTTCAGAGCTTGTTGTGTATTACTGCCTATTAATAGCCATTATACAATTACTCCTTTTTTCTTTTTTTCTTTATTTTTTTGAGACAGAGTCTCACTGTGTCACCCAGGCTGGAGTGCAGTGGTGCGATCTTGGCTCACCGCAACCTCCGCCTCCCAGGTTTAAGCGATTCTCCTGCCTCAGCCTCCCGAGTAGCTGGGATTACAGGCACCTTCCACCATGCCCAGCTAATTTTTATATTTTTGGTAGAGAAAGGGTTTCACCCTGTTGGCCAGGCTGGTCTCAAACTCCTGACCACAAGTGATCTGCCCACCTCTGCCTCCCAAAGTACTGGAAAACTGCACCTGGCCGTTTTTTCCTTTTCTTAGTATGGCAATTTCAGAGCCTTCAATATGCCACGGTGTGCTGCAAGCATCCAGTGTGAGTGAGTATATGTGGCCATATGTCAAGGAACTACTCTACAGTGTTAAAAACTACACCTTCTGCCGGGCTCGGTGGCTCACTCCTGTAATCCCAAAATTTTGGGAGGCCAAGGCAGATGGATCACTTGAGCTCAGGAGTTTGAGGCCAAGCTGGGCAACATGGCAAGACTCCATCTCTACTAAAAAATACAAAAAAAAATTAGATGGGCGTGGTGGCACTCGCCTGTTGTCTTAGCTACTCAGGAGGCTCAGGTGAGAGGATCTCTTGAGCCCGGGAGGTCAAGGCTGCAGTGAGCCGTGATCACACCACTGCACTCCAGTCTGGACCATAGAGCGAGACCCGGTCTCAAGACAAAACAAAACTAGACAAAAAACTACACCTTTTATGGTGGTAATCTCTAACACTGTAGGTTATTTACCAAGTATTGATATAGCAATTTAATATTCCTTGTAACCATGAAAGGATAAAAATCAGAAAGGTTCGTCAGAGGGTATAAGGGTGTGTGTGTGTGTGTGTGTGTGTGTGTGTGTGTGTATGTACAGAGAGAGGGGTCTCTATGGATTGGCAGAGGGTATATAAAGTGTGTGTGTGTGTGTGTGTCTGTGTGTGTATAAGTAGATTAGATAGGTAGATAGATAAGAGAGAGGAATTATATACATATGTATATAGACAGATTAGATAAATGGATAGATGATAGATAAGAGAGAGGAATTATATATATATATGTATGTAGATAGCTTAGATGGATGGATAGATAAGGGAGACAGGAATTATATATATATATGTATATAGATAGATTAGATGAATGGATAGAGAGAGAGAGAGAGAGAGAGATGAGAGAGGGGAGAATTGAGTGATAGATTGATTCAAATTTACTTCCGAGATCCCAAATTAAGGTCTCCACTATCAAGAAGACAGATTAAAAAATGAAGCCATCTTTAAATAATACAGTATGTAACTGATACACAAGAAGGGTATTCTCAATTCATTAATGTCAGATGCCAGTTGAATTTCTAATCACTGGAATTTACTTGTAGATTTTTTTAAGATTCATAGTTGCATGTTAATTTTGTTGTCGCAAATATTTTCTCTAGTATTCATCTTGTAATGAAACTGTTCTGAAATTGGTGTGATAATCTTTTTATATTTTCTTTTCTTTTAATAATGTCAACTTTTAGTTTAGATTCGGGGGGCACACGTGTAGATTTGTTACATGGGTATATCGTGTGATGCTGTGGTTTGGGGTACAGTAGTGAGCATAGTACCCCGTAGTTCATTTTGCAACCCTTGCCCCCACTTCCCTCTTTCCTCTAGGAGCCACCAGTGTCTATTGTTCCCATCCCCATCTTTATGTCCATGTGTATCCAAGGTTTGGCTCCCACTTACAAGTGAGAACATGTGGTATTCAGTTTTCTGTCCCTGCATTAATTTACATAGGATAATGGCCTCCAGCTGCCTCCACATTGCTGCAAAGGATATGATTTCTTTCTTTTTTATGGCCGCAGGTTTTTCGTTTTTGTTTTTGTTTTTTGAGACAGAGTTTTGCCCTTTCGGACAGGCTGGAGTGCAATGGCATGATCTTGGCTCACTGAAACCTCCACCTTCTGAGTTCAAGCCATTCTCCTGCCTCAGCCTCCCAAATAGCTGAGATTACAGGCATCTGCTACCACAGCCGGCTAATTTTTGTATTTTTTAGTAGAGACAGGGTTTCCCCATGCTGTCCAGCCTGGTCTTAGACTCCTGACCTCAGGTGATCCGCCTGCCTCTGGCTCCCAAAGTGCTGGGATTACAGGCGTGAGTCATCGTGCCCAGCTTTTTTTTTTTTTTTTTTTTTTTTGAGACAGGGTTTTACTATATTACCCAGTCTGGTCATAAATTCCTGGGCTCAAGTGATCCTCCTGTCTTGGCCTCCCAAGTAGCTGAGATCTGCACCTGGCATGCATGCTAAATATTTGGTCAAGTGTTTATTTCTGGACTCCCTACTCTATTCCGTAGATCTATTTGTCTTTATGCCAGTATCATGCTGTTTTGATTACTTTATAATATGTTTTGAAATCAGGAAGTATGAGACCTCCAAATTTGCTCTTCTTCAAGATTATTTCTGTTATTCAGAGTCCCTTGGTGTTCCATATGAATTTTTTTTTATTTTTTTTTTTTTGAGACAGAATCTCGCTCTATCGCCCAGGCTGGAGTGCAGTGGAGAGATCTTGGCTGACCACAACCTCTGCCTCCTCGGTTCAAGCCATTCTCCTGCCTCAGCATCCCAAGTAGCTGGGATTACAGGCACATGCCACCATGCCCAGCTAATTTTTTTTTTTTTTTTTTTTTGTATTTTGAGATAGGGTTTCACCATGTTGGCCAGGATGGTCTTGAATTCCTGACCTCGTGATCCACCCTCCTCAGCCTCCCAAAAGTTCTGGGATTACAGGGTGAGCCACCGCGCCCAGCCCCATGTGAATTTTAGAGTGGATTTCTTAATTTGTACGAGAAATGCCCTTGAGATTTTGATGGGGATTGCAATAATTCTGTAGATGGCTTTTGGTAGTACAGATATCTTAGCAATATTAAGCCTGCCAATCCATGAACATGAGATGTCTTTCCATTTGTTTGTGTCTTCTTTAATTTCTTTTCTTTCTTTTTTTTTTTTTTTTTGAGAGACAGAGTCTTGCTCTGTTGCCCAGGCTGGAGTGCAGTGGCTTGATCTCGGATCACTGCAACCTCTGCCTCCCAGGTTCAAGCGATTCTACTGCCTCAGCTTCCCAAGTAGCTGGGACTACAGGCATGCACCACCACACCCAGCTAATTTTTGTATTTTTAGTAGAGACAGGGCTTCGCCATGTTGCCCAGGCTGATCTTGAACACCTAACCTCAAGTGATCTGCCTGCCTTGGCCTCCCAAAGTGCTGGGATTATAGGATTATAGGCGTGAGCCACCACGCCCAGCCTGTCTTCTTTAATTTTTTTCAGCAGTGTTTTATTGTTTTAGTATACAGATTTTTCCCTTCCTTGATTAGGTCTATCCCTAAGGATTTTATTCTTTTTGATGCTATTGTAAATGGAATTGTTTTATTTCCTTTGCAGATTGTTCATTGTTACTGTATAGAAATGCAGTTGATTTGGTGTGTTGATGTAGTATCCTGCAACTTTGCTGAATATGTTGGAGTTCGAATAGATTTTTGTGTGGAATTTTTAGGATTTTCTACATACAAAATCATGTATCATCTATGAACAGAGATAATTTTACTTCTTTCTTTCAAATTTGGAGGCCTTTTTTTTTCTTACCTAGTTTAATTGCTCGGCTAGGACTTCCAAAACTGTGTTGAACAGAAGTGGGGAGAGAGGGCATCTTTGCCATTTCTTTTTTTTTTTTTTTTCTTTGAGATGGAGTCTTGCTCTGTTGCCCAGGCTGGAGTGCACTGGCTTGATCTCTGCTCACTGCAACCTCCGGATCCCAGGTTCAAGTGATTCTCGTGCCTCAGCCTCCTGAGTAACTGGGATTACAGGTGCGTGCCACCACACCTGGCTAATTTTTGTATTTTTTTAGTAGAGGTGGGGTTTCACCACATTGGCCAGCATAGTCTCAAACTCCTGACCTCAAGTGATCTGCCTGCCTCCGCCTCCCAAAGTGCTGGGATTACAGGGGTGAGCCACTGCACCTGGCCCATCTTTGCTATTTCTGATCTTAGCTATCAGTCTTTCATTGTTGAGTGATATTAGCCATGGACTTTTTATAAATGGCCTTTATTACATTGGTCATTTCCTACCACTTCTAGTTGGTAGAGTGCTTTTATCATGAAAGGATGTTCAATCTTGTCAAATGCTTTTTCTGTGGCAATTGAGATGATCATGTGGCTTTTGTCCTTTATTCTGTCAATGTGGTATGTTACATTGATTGATTTAAATATGTTGAACCATCCTTGTATTTGAGGAATAAATTCCACTTGGGGCCAGGCACGCCTGTAATCCCAGCATTTTGGGAGGCCAAGGCGGGCAGATCACTTGAGGTTGGGAGTTCGAGACCAGCCTGGTCAACATGGGAAAACCCCGTCTCTACTAAAAATACAAAAATTTTAGTGGTGGCAGGAGCCTGTAATCCCAGCTACTCGGGAGGGAGAGGCAGGAGAATCGCTTGAACCCGGGAGGCGGAGGTTGCAGTGAGCTCTCACCTGCCTGTGATGACCAACAGCATTTGGGATACCCAGTGTGGCACTCATTCCAGTGAGTTTTAGTGACACCCCCACCACACACAGCTTCCCAGTCACTTCCACTAATACTCCAGCTGGCTTCCCAGCAAGTCTTATCGAAGTCCCAGAAAATTCCAGAAGGGGCCAGGTGCAGTGGCTCACATATGTAATCCCAGCACTTTGGGAGGCTGAGGTGGGAGGATCGCTGGAGCCCAGGCGTTTGAGACCTGCCTGGGCAACATGGCAAGACCCTGTCTCTACAAAATACATATATATATACATTTTTACATTGGCCTTTTTTCTTTTTTATTATTATTTTAAAAATATATATATCAGCTGGGTGTGGTGGCTCACACCTGTAATTCCAGCACTCTGGTAGGCTGAGGCTGGCGGATCACCTGAGGCCAGGAGTTTGAAACCAGCCTGGCCAACATGGCGAAACCCCATCTGTACTAAAAATACAAAAATTAGCTGGGTGTGGTGGCATGCACCTGTAATCCCAGCTACTCGGGAGGCTGAGGCAGGAGAATCACTTGAACCCAGGAGGTGGAGGTTGCAGTGAGCCAAGATCGTGCCATTGCACTCCAGCCTGGGTGACAGAGCAAGACAAAAAAAAAAAAAAAAAAGGGAAAGGAAAAAGGAAGAAAGAAAATTGCAGAAGGAGGTTTCGCAGTGAATTTCAGTGGCACCATACCCACAGGCAGTTTCCTAGGGAGTTCCACCAGTTCCCCAGAGCATGGCTTCCCAGCAAATTCTCTTGGCATCACCCTCCAGGTAGCTTCCAGAGAGTTCCACTAGCACACTAGAGGCCATCTTCCTTATAACGCCCAGAAAGTGTTGCAGGCACCCACAGGGTAACTGTCTAGTGATTTCCACCAGCACCCCCAGAAAGCAGGCCCCTGCTTGCCAGCCACCACATGGACAACCCCACAGGCTTCCCCACTATCCAGTGGGCCGTGACCAAATCCTGTTTAATGAGGTCTGGATCTCGGCCCTGGGGAGCCACCCCATTCCTGGATTTGCTCCCTCCTGGGTCCCCTGCCTTAGCCCAGCAGTTACAGATGCTCTTGCAATTTGCTGCTTATGTTCTCTTTAGAGTCCTCAGTCCCTCTAGCAGCTAATCCCATGTTACCAGTTGACGACTCTTCTAGGAAACTTCACCTGTTGGTGTAAATTAGTACAAGCTCTATGGAAAACAGTATGGAGATTTCTCAAAGAACTAAACATAAACCCCCATTCAATCCAGCAAGCCCACTACTTGGCATCTACCCAAAGGAAAATAAATCATTCTATCAAAAAGACACCTGCCTTGAACGTTTATCACAGCACTATTCACAATAGCAAAGATGTGCAAATCAAGCTAAGCATCCATCACCAGATGATGGGACAAAGAAAATGTGGTACGTACACTATGGGATACTATTCAGCCATAAAAAAGAATGAAATGGCCGGGCATGGTAGTGCATGCCTATAATCCAAGCACTTTGGGAGGCTGAGGCGATGGATCACTTGAGATCAGTAGTTCTAGACCAGCCTGGCCAACATGACGAAACCTCGTCTCTACTAAAATTATAAAAGTTAGCCGGGGGCGGTGGTGCATGCCTGTAATCCCAGCTACTCAGGTGGCTGAGGCACAAGAATTGCTTGAACCCGGGAGGCAGAGGTTGCAGTGAGCCGAGATCATGCCATTGCACTCCAGCTTAGGCGACAGAGTAAGACTCTCTCAAAAAAAAAAAAAAAAAAAAAAAAAAAAAAAAAAAAAAAAGAATGAAATGATGTCTTTTGCAGCAACATGGATGGGATTGGGGGCTATTGTCTTTATCATTTGACGTAAAAAGGCAAATGCGGCATGTCCTAACTTACAAGAGGGGCTAAATAATAGGTACACATGGACATAGAATGTGAGGCTAGGTGCAGTGGCTCACTCCTATAATCCCAGCACTTTGGAAGGCCGAGGTGGGCAGATCACTTGAGGCCAGGAGTTCGAGACCAGCCTGGCCAACATGGTGAAACCCTGTCTCTACTAAAAATACAAAAATGAGCCTGGTGTAGTGGCGGGTGCCTGTAATCCCAGTTACTAGGGAGGCTGAGGCACGAAAATCTCCTGAACCCAGGAGGCAGAGATTACTGTGAGCTGAGATTGCGCCACTGCACTCCAGCCTAGGTGACAGAGTGAGACTCTGTCTCAAAACAAACAAACAAAAACATGGTCATAGAGTGTGAAATAACAGACACTGGAGACTCAGGGGTGGGAGGCAGGAGGTGGGTAAGGGATGATAAATTACTTCATGGGTACAATGTACATTATTTGGGTGATGAGTACACTAAAACCCCAGACTTCACCAACAACACCGTATATCCATGCAAGAAAACTATACTTGGCGGGGTGTGGTGGCTCAGGCCTGTAATCCCAGCACTTTGGGAGGCCGAGGCAGGCGGATCACGAGGTCAGGAGATCGAGACCATTCTGGCTAACGTGGTGAAACCCCATCTCTACTAAAAAATACAAAAACTTAGCCGGGCGTGGTGGCAGGCACCTGTAGTCCCAGCTACTCAGGAGGCTGAGGCAGGAGAATGGCGTGAACCCGGGAGGCAGAACTTGCAGTGAGTGGAGAACATGCCACTGCACTCCAGCCTGGGTGTCACAGCGAGACTCTGTCTCAAAAAAAAAAAAGAAGAAAGAAAGAAAACTATACTTGTGCCCCTTACATTGATACAAAAAAAAAAAACAAAAACCTTTCTGTGTTCAAATTACTATGTGGTTTCTCTCTTCTGACTAGACTGATGAAAACAATCAGTTTTAAAACTTTTGGAGGAGCAATTGATTCTGGGGCTGGTCTTGAATGGGTTCAGGGGTATAGTCTTCCTATACAATTATTGCCACGTTTCAACTGTATAGCAAATCAAATTTCTGTTATAAAGATAATTTCTGGATGGGTGCAGTGCCTCACACCTGTAATCCCAACACTTTGGGAGGCTAAGATGGGAGGATCACTTGAGGCCAGGAGTTAGAGGCCAGCCTGGGCAACATAGTGAGATCCCATCTCTAAAAAAAATTTAAAAGTTAGCCAGGTGTGATGGGGCACTCCTGGAGGCTGAGGTGGGAGGACCGCTTAAGCCCAGAAATTTGAGGCTGCCGGGAACTTCGATCATCCCACTGCACTCCAGCCTGGGCAGCAGAGTGAAACCCTGTCTCTAAAAATAATAATTTCCTTAAACTACTACTATTTCTTTATATGTTGATTTTTTTATAGTTCATTAACCTGTTTATCATAAATACAATTTTTTCTTGTTTTTCTTTAAAAGATCTTGTTTTATATTTATTCACTTTTTTCCCTTTTTTCTTTCAATACCAGAAACAAAGTACGGAAGTGTACAGCACAAATGCTTAGAAACTGACCTAATGCCAATCATCCATTTGCAGGCGTTGCAGAGGGACTGTGTGAGGTGAAACCTCCCTGCCCTGTGAACGGGATGCAGGTCCACTCGGGCGAAACGGAAATACTCAGGAAGGCAGTGGAGGACTATTTCTGCTTTTGTTATGGTAACGTTCACTTTAAGCATTAATTCTATTTTTTTTTTTTTTTTGAGATGGAGTCTTGCTCTGCCACCCAGGCTAGAGTGCAGTGGTGCGATCTCGGCTCACTGCAACCTCCGCCTCCTGGGTTCAAGCAATTCTCCTGCCTTAGCCTCCCAAGTAGCTGGGATTACAGGCGCCCACCACCACACCCAGCTAATTTTTGTATTTTTAGTAGAGATGGGGTTTCACCATGTTGGCCAGGCTGGTCTCAAACTCCTCACCTTGTGATCCGCCTGCCTTGGCCTCCCAAAATGCTGGGATTATAGGCGTGAACCACCGCGCCCAGCCAAGCATGAATTCTCTAAGTGGTTCACCCAGGAGTAGGACAGTGTCACAGACAGTCTTATTGCCATGACTACTTAGAATGTTTGAACATTTCAAAACCCATATGCTTATCAAGCGAGGAGCTAGTTCTTTTTTTTTTTTTTTCTGAGAGGAGTCTTGCTCTGACACCCAGGCTGAAGTGCATTGGCACAATCTCAGCTCACTGTAAACTCTGCCTCCTGGGTTCAAGCGATTCTCCCACCCCAGCCTCCTAAGTAGCTGGGATTACAGGTGCCCACCACCTTGCCCAGCTAATTTTTGTATGTTTAGTAGAGATGGGGTTTTGCCATGTTGGCCAGGTTGGTCTCGAACTCCTGACCTCAGGTGATCCTCCTGCCTTGGCCTCCCAAAATGCTGAGATTACAGGTGTGAGCCGCCGTGCCTGGCCACCAGTTCTTTTTTTTTTTTGAGGCAGAGTCTCGCTCTGTTGCCCGGGCTGGAGTGCAGTGGCTCAATCTCGGCTCACTGCAAGCTCCGCCTCTCGGGTTCCTGCCATTTTCCTGCCTCAGTCTCCTGAGTAGCTGGGACTACAGGCACCCGCCACCGTGCCCGGCTAACTTTTTTTGTATTTTTTGGTAGAGACGGGGTTTCATTGTGTTAGCCAGAATGGTCTCGATCTCCTGACCTCGTGATCCGCCCACCTTGGCCTCCCAAAGTGCTGGGATTACAGGCGTGAGCCACCGCGCCCGGCCCACCAGTTCTTAATTACCAGATTAAGTGTTCTTATAGAAGATGATGTGGATCTTGGATCTTCTGCTCTGTGGAAACTTCTGTATTGATCACTCTTTCTTCCTTGATCCCATTTTAGAGAGCCCCGCATCAAGGCCAGTGTATTGCTAAAGACAGTCAATGTTGGCTCAGTCACCTCCCTCACCCCTCAGTTGTCACTCCACCTACCCATGTCTTTCCATAGGCATGAAGATGGGAATTTAAAAAAAAAATACGCTGGGCATGGTGGCTTGAGCCTGTAATCCCAGCTACTTGGGAGGCTAAGGTGGGAGGATCATTTGAGCCCAGGAGTTTGAGACCAGACTGAGCAACATAGTAAGACCCTGTCTCTACAAAATAAAATAAAAATAATTTTCAAAAATCCTTTGCAGTGTTTTAAAAAGCTAGATAACAGGCTGGGCACGGTGACTCACACCAGCTACTTGGGAGGCTGAGGTGGGTGGATCACCTGAGATCAAGAGTTCGAGACCAGCCTGGCCAACATAGTGAAACTCCGTCTCTACTAAAACTACAAAAATTAGTCGGGCATGGTGGCAGGCGGCTGTAATGCCAGCTACTCAGGAGGCAGAGGCAGGAGAATTGCTTGAACCCAGGAGGCAGAGGTTGCAGTGAGCCCAGTCGAGACCCTGTCTCTTAATTAAAAACAAAAACAAAAACAAAAAAAACTAGGCTGGGCTCAGTGGCTCGCCTGTTATCCTAGCACTTTGGCAGGCTAAGGTGGGTAGATCGCCTGAGCTCAGCCGTTCGAGACCAGTCTGGACAACATGGTGAAACCTCATCTCTACTAAAATACAAAAGAAATTAGCTGGGCATGGTGGTGTGTGCCTGTAGTCCCAGCTACTCGGGAGGCTGAGGCAGGAGAATTGTTTGAACCCAGGAGGTGGAGGTTGCAGCGAGCCGAGATCTTGCCATTGCACTCCAGCCGGGGTGGCAGAGCGAGACTCTGTTTCTACAAAACAAAAAACAAAAAACAAAAAAAAAAAACTGGTAGAACGTTAGGTTCACACCATCCAAAGACGTTTGCGTCTTCTTGTAGGTAAAGCCTTAGGGACAACAGTGATGGTGCCTGTTCCCTATGAGAAGATGCTGCGAGACCAGTCGGCTGTGGTAGTGCAGGGGCTTCCGGAAGGCGTTGCCTTTCAACACCCTGAGAATTACGACCTTGCAACCCTGAAATGGATTTTGGAGAACAAAGCAGGGATTTCATTCATCATAAATAGGTGACACACTCTGCACCCCCGCCCCTTCAGTTCATTTAAAGATGAAACCAATAGCCTAATTTTAATTCACTCGTGCATCCCGCCTGCTGCGTTTCAGAGCTGACTGTTCAGATGTGTCATGCTTTTTTCATTGGTCCGTGCTGGGTAATGGTGTTGCTTTTCTTGCAGACCCTTCCTAGGACCAGAGAGTCAGCTGGGTAAGTGACAGCTTCTCAGGTTTGGTGGCTCTTCTGAGCTGCTGAACCACTTCTTCTTCATTAAAACTTGAATTGGGGGCCGGGCGTGATGGCTCACACCTGTAATCCCAGCACTTTGGGAGGCTGAGGCAGGTGGATCACAAGGTCAGGAGATCGCGACCATCCTGGCTAACACGGTGAAGCCCAGTCTGTACTAAAAATACGAAAAAAAATTAGCCGGGCGTGGTGGCGGGCGCCTGTAGTCCCAGCTACTCGGGAGTCTGAGGCAGGAGAATGGCGTGAACCCGGGAGGTGGAGCTTGCAGTGAGCGGAGATCGCGCCACTGCACTCCAGCCTGGGCGACTGAGCAAGACTCCGTCTCAAAAAAAAAAACAAAACTTGAATTTGGGTGAGGGGAGGGAACTTAGAGGACGGGCCAATAGGTGCAGCAAGCCATCGTGGCACACATGTGCCTAGGAAACAAACCTGCACATTCTGCAGATGTATCCCCCCCCCTTTTTTTTTTAGAAGAAATAAAGAATATTTTTTAAAAAAAGAAAAATACATTTGTAGCTATTAAAAAAAAAATTGGCCGGACGCAGTGGCTCACACCTGTAATCCCAGCACTTTGGGAGGCAGAGGTGGGCAGATCACTTGAGGTCAGGAGTTCGAGACCAGCCTAGTCAACATGGTGAAACCCCATCCCTACTAAAAATACCAAAGTTAGCCAGGCATGGTGGCGGGTGCGTGTAATCCCAGTTACTCAGGAGGCTGAGGCAGGAGAATCACTTGAACCCGAGATGTAGAGTTTGCAGTGAGCCAAGATTGTGCCACCGCACTCCAGCCTGGGTGACAAAATGAGACTGTGCCTCAAAAATAAATAAATAAAGAAGAATAAAAGAAGATGTCTTGCTGAGACTGCCTAAGTGGAGTAAGGAGACGGCAGGGGTGGGGGGTGGCACAGTTCACAAGGCACCTGCTGGGTGTATGACATGCTTCAGTTCTTCTTAGCCGGGGACTAAACACAGTGGAAAGTCTGTTTCGGGAGGGATGGTGAGTTCCTGTCATCCTCTAACTCACATTAAAGGACAAATGAGAGGGGCAGGGTGGCAGGTGGCCATGGATTGTTGTCCCAACTGACTTGTATCATCATCATAGAAAAACAATAATACAGTGGTCCCCCCTTATCCTCGGGGAATATGCTCCAAGACCCCCAGTAGATGCCTGGACCCATGGGTAGTACAGAACCCTTCATATACTATGTTTTTCCCTAGCCATACCTACCTAAGAGAAAGTTTAATTTATAAATCAAGCACAGGCCAGGTGTGGTGGCTCACGCCTGTAATCCCAACACTTTGGGAGGCCGAGGCGGGTGGATCATCTGAGGTTAGGAGTTTGAGACCAGCCTGGCCAACATGGTGAAACCCTGTCTCTACTGAAAATACAAAAATTAGCCGGGCGTGGTGGTGCGTGCCTGTAGTCCCAGCTACTCGGGAGGCTGAGGCGGGAGAATTGCTTAAACCCGGGAGGCAGACGTTGCAGTGAGCCGAGATCGTGCCACTGCACTCCAGCCCAGGCAACAGAGCAAGATCCATCTCAGTAAATAAATCAATAAATCAAGCAAAGTAGGAGATTAACAGCAATAACTAAAGATAAAATAAAATGATTATAACAATATGCCTTCATTACTACTCTTGCACTTTGGGGCTATTATGAAGTCAAATAAAGGTGACTTGAGCACAAGCACCCTGGCCTTCCCAGGACTGTCAGTCTGATAACAGAGCCAGCTACTCAGTGACTAGTGGGAGAGTAGTGTAGACAGCGTGGATTGCAGGACAAAGGGATGAGTCACGTCCCAGGCGGGACGGCACGACACTTCATCACGCTGCTCAGAACAACGTGTGATTTCAAACTTCTGAATTATTTCTGGAATTTTCCGTTTACTCTTTGCAGACTTTGGTTGACCTTGGGGAGCAAACCGAGGACCGCGAAACCACAGATCAAGGGGGAGCTCGTGTCATAGCAGCTCTAACTTAGTGCTTACAACATGCAGGCACTGTTCTAGTCATTTTGCGTATATTCATGAATCCTCCCACAACCACCGTGTTCACGAGGAAGCGGAGGCAGAGGGAGGTTTAGTGAGTTGCTGGAGGCAGCCCAGCTGGTGAGCTGAGGCTCAGCCGCACGACCGTGCTCTGGCCCCAAAACACTCCTCGGTAACCCCCATCCTGCCCACACAAATGGCCCCGGAACACAGCGGCTGCTTTGAGTCAGTTTCTCTCTCGATGACTTTTCCACGTTGGCTTCGATCTGGGAGTTCCGTTTTCTGTGTATTTGCTGTCAATTTCTATGCCTTTGGATGTTAGTCATTTTCCGAGGTGCTAAAAGGGGCTGGTGTGTGTTTTTTCATTCCTCTACAGGTGGCCCTGGGATGGTAACAGATGCGGAGAGATCCATAGTATCACCAAGTGAAAGGTAAAAGATAAATCACAGCAACCAAAATCCACAACTATGCACAGTGTTCGTTTTTGGATGACAGAAAGGCCTCCTTACAGCATTTAAGTGGAGTGTAAAGGGTTAATGTGCTTCTTCCCTTCCTTATTTTCTATCCTATTCTTTGTCCAAAAGGACCTTTGGAATTAGAAGACTATTTTCGGTAGACACGTTTAATTTGGGAACAACTTATTAAGACATTAATGTTAAAATGGAGGCATTGTTGCATTTGATTGAGGGGAGGAGGGGGATTTGGTGCTGCGGAGATCCAGGGCATTTGAGCTCATCGTGTCCAGGCGGCTGTGCCTGGTCCTCACCCTGCCCATCTGACCAGGGTTCCCTTCTCCTTGCAGCTGCGGCCCCATCAATGTGAAAACTGAACCCATGGAAGATTCTGGTGGGTACCAAGATGCTTTTAGAATCAAGTATCGGCCAAGCGTGGTAGCTCACGCCTGTAATCCCAGCAATTTGGGAGGCCGAGGCAGGCGGATCACTTGAGGTCAGGAGTTCAAGACCAGCCTGGCCAACATGGTGAAACCCTGTCTCTCCTAAAAATACAAAAATTAGCCAGGCGTGGCTGTGCGTGCCTGTAATCCCAGCTACCAGGGAGGCTGAGGCAGGAGAATTGCTTGGACCTGGGAGGCTGAGGCTGCAGTGAGCTGAGATGGCGCCACTGCACTCCAGCCTGGGTGACAGAGCAAGACCCTGTCTCAAAAAAACAAACAAGGCTGCGCACGGTGGATCACGCCTGTAATCCCAGCACTTTGGGAGGCTGAGGCGGACAGATCGCCTGAGCTCAGGAGTTCAAGACCATCCTGGCCAACGTAGTAAAACCCTGTCTCTACTAAAATACAAAAAATTAGCTGGGCATGGTCGTGTGCGCCTGTAGTCCCAGCTACTTGGGAGGCTGAGGCATAAGAATTGCTTGAGCCCGGGAGGTGGAGGTTGCAGTGAGCCAAGATCACACCACTGCACTCCACCTTGGGCTACAGAGTGAGATTCTGTGTCAAAAAAAAACAAAAACAAAAACAAAAACAAAAAAAACAAAAAAAAGAACCAAGTATCTAGCAGGTTATCATTTGACACCTTTCTTTTGTTTTATCAAATAAATAAATAAATAAATAAAGACCAGGGCGTGAATTAACCTCAGTGGAGCCTCATTTGCAGAAGAACCATTATTTTACTCAAATATCTAGAAAACAAGCCTTGGCAGGGTGTGGGGGCTCACGACTGTAACTCCAACACCTTGGGAGGCCGAGGCAGGCAAATTGCTTGAACCCCGGAGTTCAAGACCAGCCTGGGCAACATGGCGAGACTTCATCTCTGCAAAACATATAAAAAATGGTGGTGCATGCCTGTGATCCTAGCTACTCAGGAGGCTGAGGTGGGAGGATCGCTTAAGCCCAGGAGGTTGAGGCTGCAGTGAGCTGTAATGGTACCACTGCACTCCGGCCTGGGTGACAGAGAGAGACGTTGTCTCAAAAAAAAAAAAAAAAAAAAAAAAGAGAGAGAGAGAGAGAGAGGGAGCCTTCTAATTCAGTACATAATGGGGACTAAGATGTTATTAAATACACATACTTTTGGACAGAATATTATTTTATTTATAGTTGAATGAGAACCTGAATTTGAAATGAGTAAAACATTTTGAATATAAATTTGGAATTATTACTTGACTCACAAATAGAGCAGTGTTTTCATTTTTGGACATATACTACTGCTTTTTTGGACTTTTCTGTCATTTCTAAATGTTTTACAATATAGGTACATTACTATGACAGTGTATACTGGAAAAAAAATCCCTCTTCAATGGGGTTGACCCCATTCTTGCTTCTCCTCACTCCTCAATAAAAGAAAACCAGCATTAATTAGAGGAAAAATGTTAACAGGTTAAGATTAAAAAAAAAAAAGCTTAGGCCGGGTGTAGTGGCTCACACCTGTAATCCCAGCAATTTGGGAGGCCAAGGTGGGCGGATCACTTGAGGTCAGGAGTTTGAGACCAGCCTGGCCAACATGGTGAAACACTGTCTCTACTAAAAATACAAAAAATTAGTTGGGCATCATGGCAGGCGCCTGTAATCCCAGCTACTCAGGAGGCTGAGGCACAAGAATCGCTTGAACGCAGGAGGCAGAGGTTGCAGTGAGCCGAGATCACACCCCTGCATTCTAGCCTGGGTGACAGAGCAAGACTCTGTCTCAAAAAGAAACAACAACAACAAAAATAATTTAAAACCCAAATGTTCAATCAAGGGATGGGAAAATACTGAAAGCATTAAAAGTTGAAAGGTTCACGCCTGTAATCTCAGCACTTTGGGAGGCTGAAGCAGGAGGATCGCCTGAGTCCAGGAATTTGAGACCAGCCTGGGCAACAAAGCGAGACCCTGTCTCTACAAAAAATATTTATAAATAAAAAATTAGCCAGACATCGTAGCACGCACTTATAATCCCAGCTACTTGGGAGGCTGAGGTTGGAGGATCACTTGGGCCCAGGAGATAAAGGCTGGAGTGAGCCATGATTGCACCACTGCACTCCGGCCTGGGTGACAGAGCGAGACCCTGGCTTCAAAGAATAATAATCATAATCCAAAAGAAAAACAATATTCTGTGTTAAGAAACAAAGACCTGGCTGGGTCTAGTGGCTCACGCCTGTAATCCCAGCACTTTGGGAAGCGGAGGCAGGCAGATCACCTGAGGTCAGGAGTTTGAGACCAGTCTAGCCAACATGGTGAAACCCTGTCTTTACTAAAAATACAAAAATTAGGCGCCACCACGCACGCCTGTAATCCCAGCTACTTGGGAGGCTGAGACAGGAGAATCGCTTGAACCCAGGAGGCAGAGTTTGCTGTGAGCCGAGACTGCGCCATTGCACTCCAGCCTGGGTGACAGAGTGAAACTCCGTCTCAGAAAAAAGGAAAGAAAGAAAGTTCTAGAGAAAAGAAAAATAGAGCCTTTAGCATGAGTAAAATGAAGGAAGGACAGCAGCGTCTCTAAGACAGTGAAGATGTGGTTTATGCTTCGCAGTTCCTGGGATTCCTTGGGAGGGTCCAGGGACACAGTGGATGGGTCTCCTTGGCCCGCCTCCTCCTTTGTCACACCCAAGGATCTTTTCGCCACAACTGTGGGTGCACATGTCCCCTTCCACTCCCATGCAAACAAGTGCTTAGCAGAAGCTTCAGCTTCAGATGAGAGTCTGAACAAAAAATGGTGCTTCTCCTGTGCAGTGTGGTTCTAGGTCAAACCAAGACAAGTTGAATGGAAAGAAACGGGCGCAGTATTTCAGCTCAGCACAATTCAGCTGTGAGCACAGGTCAGCTGTGGAATCTTGGTCTCGTTTCTGACGTGACAGGCCTCAAACTCTTGCCCACTCAATATTAGCCTTGGATGTTTTCAGAGCTCAGATATCTTCTGCCTGTGTCTTACCTGGTCACAGAGAATTAAAAGAATACCCCAAGCCACAGGCTCCACATACAAACTGGGAAGATGAGGCCAGGCACGGTGGCTCACGCCCATAATCCCAGCAATTTGGGAGGCCAAGGTGGGCGGATCACCTGAAGTCAGGAGTTCGAGACCAGCCTGGCCAACATGGTGAAACCCCATGTCTACTGAAAATACAAAAATGAGCTGGGCGTGGTGGTGCATGCCTGTAATCCCAGCTACTCAGGAGGCTGAGGCAGGACAGTTGCTTGAACCCAGGAGGCGGAGGTTGCAGTGAGCCAAGATGGCACCACTGCACTCCAGCCTGGGTGACAGAGCAAGACTGTCTCAAAAAGAAAAGAAAAAAAGAAAAAAGAAAGAACCTGGGAAGATGAAGGGGGTGAGAGTGAGAAGTGATCAGTGTCCCCAGGGGCCGAGTTTCCTTCCTCACCAGCTGTTGGGCTAGATCTGTGGTTCTCACGTGCCTTTGTTGGAGATGTGGTTTCATTTGAACAAAAATATGCTTCCTTATTCACAAAACTTCCTACTGTAGACTTTATAAAGCGATATGGATTGCTACCAGCTGCCAGCAGGCTCCTGAGAGCTGGTCCTCAATTGGTCCTTATTTCTTGTGATATGTGTGTAGCATTTGCTACAAAAACAAACCATCTCCCTGGTTTTAATTTATTTTCTCTTTCTTTCTTTCTTTCTTTCTTTCTTTCTTTCTTTCTTTCTTTCTTTCTTTCTTTCCTTCTTTCTTTCTTTCCTTCTTTCTTTCTTTCTCTCCTTCCTTCCTTCCTTTCTTTCTTTCTTGTCTTGCCAGGCTGGAGTGCAGTGGCACGACCTCAGCTCACTGCAACCTCTGCCTCCCAGGTTCAAGTGATTCTCCTGTCTCAGCCTCCTGAGTAGCTGGAATCATAGGTGCACGCCGTCACACCTGGCTAATTTTTTTGTATTTTAGTAGAGGCAGGGTTTCACCGTGTTGCCCAGGCTGGTCTCAAACTCCTGAACTCAGGTAATCCACCCTCCTCGGCCTCCCAAAGTGCTAGGATTACAGACATGAGCCACCGCACCAGGCCAATTTTTTTTTCTTTTCTTGAGACAGAGTCTCGCTGTCGCCCAGACTGGAGTACAGTGGTGTGATCTCAGCTCACTGCAACTTCCGCCCCCCGGGTTCAAGTGATTCTCCTGCTTCAGCCTTCTGAGTAGCTGGGATTACAGGTGCCCACCACCACACCTGGCTGGTTTTTGTATTTTTAATAGAGACGGGGTTTCACCCTGTTGTTCAGGCTAGTCTCGAACTCCTGACCTTAAATGATCTGCCTACCTTAGCCTCCCAAAGTGCTGGGATTACAGGTCTGAGCCACTGTCCCCAGCTGAAAATCAGATTTTTAAATGTTTAGCTTCACTGTCCTTATACCAACAGAGCTGTTAAAGGTTTTCAGACGACCCCTCAGAACTTATAAATTATGTTAAACAATGAACCCCAAGCTATGCCACAGTTTTTTTGTTTTGCTATTACAAACATTCATGGTTAAATTACATGTACATTTTAGTATCAGTCATCTATTGCTGTATTTAAAAGTACCCCTGAAATGAGGCTGGGTGTGGTGGCTCACGCCTGCAATCCCAGCACTTTGGGAGGCCAAGGCAGGCGGATCACCTGAGGTCAGGAGTTGGAGACCAGCCTGGCCAACGTGGTGAAACCTTGTCTCCACTAAACATACAAAAATTAGCCAGGCGTAGTGGTGCGCATCTGTAGTCCCAGCTACTTGGGAGGCTGAGGCAGGAGAATCACTTGAACCTGGGAGGTGGAGGCTGCAGTGAGCCAAGATCATGCCATTGCACTCCAGCCTGGGCTGGAAAGAGAAGGGGAAGGGCTCCAATGGAATGGAATGGAATATTTAGTCTTTCCTACATTTCTGTGTGTTGGCTGGACTGGCTCAGCAAGGGCCGGATGGCTGTGTGTCTGAGGCCCCGGCTGGGACATCAGGGTCTCTCTCCTTGTGGCCTCATACCCTTTGGAGGCACCCTAGGCTGGCTCCCATGGTGATGAGGTTCTAGAAGCAGCAGGCACAGATGATCAAGCTCTTCTCAAGCCTCTCTTTGCATCCCATCGGCTGATGTCCCATTGACCAAAGCAAGTCACACAGCCAGGGCCAGATTTAAAGGGCAGAGAATGGCCTGGCGCCGTGGTTTACAGCTGTAATCCCAACATTTTGGGAGGCCAAGGCAGGCAAATTGCTTGAGTCCAGGAGTTCGAGACCAGCCTGAGTAACATGGTGAAACCTCATGTCTACAAAAAATACAAAAATTAGGCAGGCGTGGTGATGCATGCCTATAGTCAGCTACTCAGGAGGCTGAGACAGGAGGATCGCTTGAGCCCAGGAGACAGAGGTTGCAGTGAGCCATGATCATGCCACTGCACTCCACTGGGCAACAGAGCAAGACTCTGTCTCAAAAAATAATAACAAAATGGCAGAGAAACAGACTTTACTTCTAGAAAAGAAGCATGGGATAGTCACATTGCAAAGGGATGTACATCCTGGGATGGGAGAGGTCTTGAGCTAATTTTTGCAGCCAACCGCACCCTTCTCTGATAAAGGCGTTAGGTTGTACTGATATAGCTTCTCCAGGTTTTGAAATCCATTCCATTATAGTGAGTAAGTTAAGATTATAAGTGCCTAGCCGGGCACGGTGGCTTATGCCTGTAATCCCAGCACTTTGAGAGACCAAGGTGGGTGGGTGGATCACCTGAGGTCAGGAGTTTGAGACCAGCCCGGCCTACATGGTGAAACCCCGTCTTTACTGAAAATACAAAAATTAGCCAGGCATGGTGGCGTGGGCCACTTGGGAGGCTGAGGCAGGAGGGTCACTTGAACCTGGGAGGTGGATGTTGCAGTGAGCCGAGATCATGCCACTGCACTCCAGCCTGGGCAACAGAGTGAGACTCTGTCTCAAAAAAAAAAAAAAATGGTTATATATGTCAGTTCAGGCTTCATGACAGAAGAATCTTCACAGCATTTCATGTAAATGCACGTGGATATTCAGCCACCCTGAAGGGGAAAATCTCCCAAAACTAGGACTAGAATCAGAACTAAGCTCTCCCGCCTTCACGATGCCTTCCTTCATCCTCCTCTCCTTCCTTCTTTTTTTTTTTTTTTTTTTTTTTTTGAGATGGAGTCTCGCTTTGTCAACCAGCTGGAGTGCAGTGGCTCGATCTCAGCTCACTGCAACCTCCACCTCCTGGGTTCAAGCAATTCTCCTGCCTCAGCCTCCCATGTGGCTGGCTACAGGCGTCCGCCACCACTCCCAGCTAATTTTTGTAGTTTTAGTAGAGACAGGGTTTCACCATGTTAGCCAGGTTGGTCTCAAACTCCTGACCTCAAGTGATCTGCCCGCCTCAGCCTTCCAAAGTACTGGTATTGGAGGCATGAGTCACCGTGCCCGGTCCCCTCCTTCCTTCTTTCCTTTTCTATTGATTTTACAATTGATATTATTTTTATATAAACATACATAAATACACAAATGTATGTTTTCTATATGTATATTATTTTAATTTATAGTATTTCTATTTTTGTATCAAGAGGTCAAATTTGTTCATAGTGAGTGAGCTACAAGTTCTTTTGCTGATTGTAACATTGCTGTATTAATCAACTTATATTAGCTAGTCGTATTTCTTTGTTGGCAAACTTAACCTAACATACAATTTTATCATTTCCATTACATTCCAAGGCATTTCACTGAAAGCAGAAGCTGTCTCAGTCAAGAAAGAATCAGAAGATCCTAATTACTATCAATATAATATGCAAGGTAATACTGTTTGATAATAATTTTCTTCCCCAAAAGTTATTTGGGATGGAAGATTTTAATTACTACCTGTCTGAAAAACTGGCGAGCACCCATGTGTGTTTACCTAGGATCAAGCATGCTGCCATTTAGAGTAAATAATCCTACAGTTATAAAATAGATTCTATTTAGCCTAAATCCATGTACTCTTTTG
Organism: Homo sapiens; assembly: GCF_000001405.40. Taxonomy (NCBI): domain Eukaryota; kingdom Metazoa; phylum Chordata; class Mammalia; order Primates; family Hominidae; genus Homo; species Homo sapiens. The sequence continues at coordinate 75,133,403 of NC_000007.14, forward strand.
TTTGTTTTTTTACAGAGATGAGGTCTCACCTTGTTGCCCAAGCTGTTCTCTAACTCCTGGGCTTAAGTAGTCCTCCAGCCTTGGCCTCCAGAAGTGCTGAGATTATAGGCGTGAGCCACCATGCCTGGGCTAAATCCACATACTCTTTTTTTTTTTTTGAGACAGAATCTCACTCTGTTGCCCAAGCTGGAGTTCAGTGGCACTATTTCCACTTACTGCAAACTCTGCCTCCTGGGTTCAAATGATTCTTGTGCCTCAGCCTCCCAAGGAGGTGGGATTACAGGCGTGTGCCACCACGCCTGGCTAATTTTTTGTATTATTAGTAGAGACGGGGTTTCGCCATGTTGGCCAGGCTGGTCTCGAACTCCTGACCTCAGGTGATCCACTCACCTTGGCCTCCCAAAATGCTGGGATTACAGGCATGAGCCGCCACACCTGACCCATAAGGCTTTTAAAAAGAAGTCATAAATTGTCACGACTGTCATGATTTTGCACCACCTAATGAAGCAGTGCATCTTGGCAATAATTGTCAGTGGTCATTAAAACCATTTTATAAAAGTCTGATGGGGACTTTATCATGGGCAGACCTGACTGACAGTTCCTGAACTGACTGGTCACTGGTCTCCTGACGGTATCCAGTAGGAAGTACACCACACCACCTTTGTCAAGGATTCTTCCAAAAAAAAAAAAAAAAATCAAACCTGGCCAGGTGTAGTGTCTCATACCTGTAATCCCAGCACTTTGGGAGGCCAAGGCAGGTGTATGACTTGAGCCCAGGAGTTCAAAACCAGCCTGGGCAACATGGTGAGACGCCGTCTCTACAAAAAATACAAAAAGTAGCCGGGCATGGTGGCACACACCTGTAGCCCCAGCTACTTGGGAGGCTGAGGTGGGAAGATCGCTTGAGTCTGGGAGGTCAAGGCTGCAGCGAGCTGTGATCACACCACTGCACTCCAGCCTGGGTGCTGGAGTGAAACTCTCTCTCAAAACAACAACAAAACAAAACAAAACAATCAGACCTAAGTCTGATCCAGCCTTTAGATCTAACCAGCAGTTTTTAGGAGATGCATGGAATACAGGCACATATGAAAACATCACCACAAGGATGTAGTCAATAAAATCCAGAATGTGAGAAACTCAGAGAAATTAATTGGTTTATGTTTTTTTTGTTTGTTTTTTTTTAGACAGAGTCTCGCTCTGTCGCCCAGGCTGGAATGCAGTGGCGTGATCATGGCTCACTGCAACCTTCACCTCCCAGGTTCAAGTGATTCTCCTGGCTCGGCCTCAAGAATAGCTGAGATTACAGGCATGTGCCACCACACTCGGTTGATTTTTGTATTTTTTTGTAGAGAAGGGGTCTCACCATGTTGGCCAGGCTGGTCTCGAACTCCTGACCTCAGGTGATCTGCCCGCCTCCACCTCCCAGAGTGCTGAGATTACAGGCGTGAGTTACCGCGCGCAGCCAGTTTTATTTCAAGGGGTAGAAGTATTTCAGGTGTATTCCTGCGTGGGTATTGACTTGTTTGCATTGTATTCAGTGATTTCTTTTTACATTTTTGTATTTCTCCTTTGTTATATATTATTTATTTTTCTTTCAGGAAGCCACCCTTCTTCCACAAGCAATGAAGTAATAGAAATGGAATTACCAATGGAAGGTTAGAAAAATGCAGCATTTTTTCTCTCTCTTTTAAGAAAAGTTTATAGAAGTTTATAGTATTTTACAAAGAACATACTTTTTTTTTCTTTTTTGAGACAGAGTCTCGCTCTGTCACCCAGGCTGGAGTGCAGTGGCGCAATCTCGGCTCACTACAACCTCTGCCTCCTGGGTTCAAGCGATTCATGTGCCTCAGCCTCCTGAGTAGCTGCGATTACAGGCGCGTACCACCACGCCCGGCTAATTTTTGTATTTTTAGTAGAGACGGGATTTCACCATGTTGTCCAGGCTGGTCTCGAACTCCTGACCTCAAGTGATCCGTCCACCTCTGCCTCCCATAGTGCTGGGATTACAGGCGTAAGCCACCATGCCCAGCTGAAAGTTTATAGTATTTTACAGAGAACATACTCTTTTATACATGTAAGTTGGAAAATAAGGAAGGTGACTTTCTGGCATGCCTGTCTTCTCAGAAAACTATGAATAGTTGAGCTCTTGCCCTAAGATATAACATGAAGGGCTCTATCACTTCTTGTGCTTCTGATCTGTGAGTGATTCTACTTAAAGCACCCGAATATGGAAGTTAACTTTGCAGTGGTGCTGTTTCTTGCTTTGTCTTTTGGATGGCATGACATAATTCTTTTGGACAGAGTCGAATAGTATTTTAGGAAATCCTTGCATTAGAAGTAAAATTTGATAATACTTCCCTCCATTCATATATAAATCTTGAGCATCATATGAATAAAGCCTAAATTCCTACGGTGGTTTGTGTATGTCCAAGATAAAATTAATAATTTTAAAAAAGGGCCAGGCATGGTGGCTTATGCCTGTAATCTCAGCACTTTGGGAGGCTGAGGTGGGCAGATCACCTGAGGTCAGGAGTTCAAGACCAGCCCGGCCAACATGGTGATACCCTGTCTCTACTAAAAATACAAAAATTAGCCAGGCGTGGTGGCAGGCACCTGTAATCCCAGCTACTCGGGAGGCTGAGGCACGAGGATTGCTTGAAACTAGGAGGCGGAGGCTGCAGTGAGCCGAAATCGCACCATTCCACTCCAGCCTGGGTGACAGAGTGAGACTGTCTCAATAATGATAATAATAATAATAATAATAATAATAAAGATTTCCTTTCCAAACCTAGAGGCGTGGGACATCTTTGCCATTTACAGGCAATGTGATCTTACTTTTAGTTGTATATATCTGCCTTAGAGAGATAGTGACACATGGACTACCAAAATGATTCTGTTTTTTTTTTTTTTTTTTGAGACAGAATCTCACCCTGTCACCCAGGCTGGAGTGCAGTGTGTCACGACCTTGGCTCACTGCAGCCTCCACCTCCCGGGCTGAAGCAATTCTCCCTCCTCAGCCTCCTGAGTAGCTGGGATTACAGGCGTGCGCCACCACGCCTGGATAATTTTTGTATTTTTAATAGAGTTGGGGTTTCACCATGTTGCCCAGGCTGGTCTTCAACTCCTGACCTCAAGTGATGCGCCCACCTCGGCCTCCCAAAAGTGCTGGGATTACAGGTGCGAGCCACCGTGCCCGGCCCAGTTACTGTTTATTATCCTATTATTATTGCTTATAAAATTAAAATTATGTTTATATTATTTATATATGAAATATATTTAAAATGCCAGGATAAGCTACTTTTTTGGTATAGGAGCATTAATGTGTTGGAATATGAGGAGAATACTTAATAATGAATGTCATTTTAGACATTTTTTTTTCAAGATTCCACTCCGCTGGTCCCTTCAGAAGAACCAAATGAGGACCCTGAAGCCGAGGTGAAAATCGAAGGTTAGTTGCCCAAAGCCCCATTGCCAAGTATGGTTTTCATTCTTTCTAACAGGATTAATTGCAGGGAGGATGGCAGAGCTCAGTGGCTCAAGCCTGTAATCCCAGCACCTTGGGAGGCCAAGGCAGGTGTATTGCTTGAGCCCAGGAGTTTGAGACCAGCCTGGGAAACATGGCGAAACCCTGTCTCTACTAAAAATACAAAATTAGCCAGGCGTGGTGGTGCATGTCTGTATTTCCAGCTACCTGGGAGGCTGAGACAGGAGGATCGCTTGAACCTGAGAGGCGGAGGTTGCAGTGAGCTGAGATCTCACCACTGTACTGCAGCCTGGGTGACAGAGCGAGATTCCATCTAAAAAAAAAAAAAAAAAAATTGTGGGGAAGAGATTGAAATCTCTAATGTAGTATAATGTGTATATATAATAGAGCAGCCATTCCCATTAGGGCCCAATGCTTTGAGGTGTTGTAGACAACATAATTAGCTGTGCAAAAAAAAATTAGAAAGAAAAGAAAAATAATAACTAGGCATGATGGTGCATGCTTGTATTCCCAGCACTTTGTGAGGCCAAGGCAAGAAGATCATTTGAACCCTGGAGTTCTAGATCAGACTGGGCAACATAGTGAGACTATCTCTGCAAAAAGTAAACATTAAGAAAAAGTTAGGCAAGGCACAGTGGTTCACGCCTGTAATCCCAGCATTTTGGGAGGCTGAGGTGGGCAGATCACTTGATCCCAGGTGTTTGAGACCAAATTGGGCATAGTGAAACCCTGTCTCTACTAAAAATACAAAAAGTTAGCAGGGCATGGTGGCACACACCTGTAGTCCCAGCTATTCGGGAGACTGAGGTGGGCCAATCACCTGAGCCCAGGGAAGTCGAGGCTGCAGTGAGCCGTAATTGTGCCACAATACTCCAGCCTGGGTGATGGGAGTGAGCTCCTGCCTCGAAACAAACTAACAAAAATATCAGCCATGCATGGTGGCATGCATCTGTAGTCTCAGCTACTTGGGAGGCTGAGGTGGGAGGATCGCTTGAGCCCAGGATTTTGAGGCTGCAGTGAGCTGTGATTATGCCCCTGCATTCCAGCATGGTCAACAGAGCAAGACTCCATCTCTAAAAATAAAAATTAAAAAAAAATTTTTTTTTAAGTCTTGCACGTTAGCACTGACCCACAACTGGGCCTCAACTGTGCTGTGTTCACGTGAGGAAAGAATGAAGGGTTGAGGGTACATGAGGGGGGAGAATGGAAAGAAAAGGACGATTCACTCAGACATAGCCCCTTTGCTACTGGAGTGGACAGATAAATATCAAAGGTAACTCCGCAGGCCTGCAGCCGGTGAACTCAGTTGAAGTGCAAGTATCTAAAGGAAGTGAAGTTGAAAGTGTGATTTAAGGCTGGCGTGGTGGGTGGCTCACACCTGTAATCCCAGCACTTTGGGAGACCCAGGTGGGTGAATCCCTTGAGGCCAGGAGTTCAAGACCAGCCTGGCCAACATGGCGAAACTCTGTCTCTACTAAAAATACAAAAATTAGAGCCGGGCGTGGTGGCTCACGCCTGTAATCCCAGCACTTTGGGAGGCCCAGGTAGGTGAATCACTTGAGGTCAGGAGTTCTCAACCAGCATGACCAACATGGTGAAACTCCGTCTCTACTAAAAAAAAAATACAATTATTAACTGGGCATGGTGGTGGGTGTCTGTAATCCCAGCTACTCAGGAGGCTGAGGCACGAGAATCACTTGAACCTGGGAGGCAAAGGTTGCAGTGAGCCGAGATCGCACCACTGCACTCCAGCCTGGGTGATAGACTCAGTCTCAAAAAAAAAAAAAAAATTAGCCAAGCATGATGGTGCATGTCTGTGGTCCCAGCTACTCACAAGGCTGAGGTGGGAGGATCACTTGACCGTGGGAGGTCGAGGATGCAGTGAGCTAGGATCACACCACTGCACTCCAGCCTGAATGACAGAGTAAGAACCTGTCTCAAAAAAAAAAAAAAAAAGAAAAAAAAATTCAGTCTGGGCTTCTGATCAAAGCAGCACTTAGACATATTTAAAGGAGAATTGGTCTTATTCTTGGTAAATTCTAAACTTCAACTTCTGTTTTAAGGAAACACAAATTCATCCAGTGTTACAAATTCTGCAGCAGGTGTTGAAGATCTTAACATCGTTCAAGTGACTGTTCCAGGTATGGACTAATGTTACATTTTTCCTTTTGTCTTAATTATTTTTTGACATAGGCTGGTCTCTTGGACCTGTCATTTTTCACTTAGTTCACCCTGATAGCTAAGAAATGACATTTCGGGAATATAAAATATTCTGCAAGTTGCTACACAACGAGCATCTTGCTCACATCAGACATTATTAATCGGATATTTTGCTTCTCCTGGACAAGCCCGGGCATTACCTGGAAAATGCATCTCAGAGCAGGCAGCACGGAGCACCAGCTATGGTTGAATTGGAATTGGCCACAGAGGTGAAATGTTTTGTTGCTCATCATTAACAATCTTCTGGCCGGGCACGGTGGCTTACGCCTGTAATCCCAGCACTTTGGGAGGCTAAGACGGGCAGATCACGAGGTCAGGAGATCAAGACCATCCTGGATAACACGGTGAAACCCTGTCTCTACTAAAAATACAAAAAAATTAGCCGGGTGTGGTGGCGAGCACCTGTAGTCCCAGCTACTCGGGAGGCTGAGGCTGAAGAATGGCGTGAACCTGGGAGGTGGAGCTTGCAGTGAGCGGAGATCACACCACTGCACTCCAGCCTGGGCGACAGAGTGAGACTCTGTCTCAAAAAAATAAATAATAATAATAATAATAATCTTCTTTTCTGAATATGTGTATGTAAAATATATCTGGAAAGATACAAGAGAATCTAATTACATAGTTCCTCCAGGGAAGGAAACTGACCGCTGAGATAGGGATAGGAGAGAGACGTTTGAGATGTTTCTGTATATTACTCCTCTTGAATGTTGAGCCATGTGATTGCTTTAGTTATTCAAAAGTAAATAAAGTTTTAAAGTGTTGAAAAATATCTAAAAAATAAAAGCAAAAAAAAAAAGGACCAGGCATGGTGGCATGTGCCTGTAATCTCAGCACTTTGGGAAGCTGAGGCAGGAGGATCACTTGAGCCCAGGAGTTTGAGACCAGCCTGCACAGCACAGTGAGACTCTGTCTCTAAAAAACAAAAAGAAAAGAAAAACAGACCGGGTGCGGTGGCTCACACCTGTAATCCCAGCACTTTGGGAGGCTGAGGCAGGTGGATCACCTGAGGTCAGGAGTTCGAGACCAGCCTGGCCAACATGGTGAAACCCCATCTTTACTAAAAATACAAAAATCAGCTGGTGTGGTGGTGGGTGCCTGTAATCCCAGCTACTTGGGAGGCTGAGGCAGGAGAATTGCTTGAACCCAGGAGGGGTGCAGTGAATTGCTTGAACCCAGGAGTTTGCAGTGAGCCAAGATTGTACCATTGTACTCCAGCCTGGGTGACAAGAGCAAAACTCAGCCTCAAAACAAAACAAAACAAAACAAACAAACAAAAAAAGAGAGGAAAAAAAGGAAAGAAAATAAAAATATACCTTACCTTCTAATCCTAGTACCTCTTATTCCTTTTACTTGTCATATTTCATTGGCTAAGATTTCTATTTTAAGGCCGAAAAGTGGTGGTGAAAGTAAACATCCTTGTCTTTTTTTTTTTTTTTTTTTTTTTGAGACGGAGTCTTGCTCTGTCACCCAGGCTGGAGTGCAGTGGCGCGATCTCGGCTCACTGCAAGCTCCGCCTCCTGGGTTCACGCCATTCTCCTGCCTCAGCCTCCCGAGTAGCTGGGACTACAGGCGCCTGCCACCATGCCCGGCTAAATTTTTGTATTTTTAGTAGAAACGGGGTTTCACCGTGTTAGCCAGGATGGTCTCAATCTCCTGACCTCGTGATCCACCTGCCTCGGCCTCCCAAAGTGCTGGGATTACAGGCGTGAGCCACCGCGCCTGGCCCTAAACATCCTTGTCTTGTATGATATTGAAAATATTCCTTAAAAGTAGTATGTAGTATGTTTATATAGGGTTATAATTTGGAAAATTCTCTATTGTCTGTAATGGCTTCCATTTCCAAATTTCCAAGATGCTTAATTATTGCTAAAAGTAGACTGAATAACAATCCAGGTAAAGCACTTTCTCGGGTGCTAACAGGCATTTCTCCCAACAGCTTTCTTGGGAGAAAATACATTAATAACCTTGGTTTGTTTATTTGTTTAATTATTTTTAGATAATGAGAAGGAAAGATTATCAAGCATTGAAAAGATTAAACAGCTAAGAGAACAAGTTAATGACCTCTTTAGCCGAAAATTTGGTAAGTTTTTATATCTTTTTATATCCAGAATTCATATACCTAAAATACTTCTTTTTAAAAGAATACTTGGCCAGGTGCATTGGCTCATACCTGTAATCCTAGCACTTTAGGAGGCTAAGGCTAGAGAATCACTTGAGCCCAGGAGTTTGAGACCAGCCTGGGCAGCAAAGTGACACCCCAGGTCTACAAAAGGAAAAAAACAAAACTTTATCTTATAAGAATTTGATCTTGGCTGGGCGCAGTGGTTCACACTTTTAATCCCAGCACTTTGGGAGGCCAAGGTGTGTGGATCACTTGAGGCCAGGAGTTCAAGTCCAGCCTGGCCAACATGGCAAAATCCCATCTCTACTAAAAATACAAAAAAATTAGCCGGGTGTGGTGGCGCACACCTGTAATCCCAGCTACTCAGGAGGCTGAGGCACGAGAATCGGTTGTAACTGGGAGGCAGAGGTTGCAGTGAGCTTAGATCGCGCTATTGCACTCCAGCCTGGGCGACAGAGTGAGACCCTGTCTCAAAAAAAAAAAAAAAAAAAGAAATTGATCTTTTTGTGAAAGAGCTATGATAAAAATTAGTCAATATGTCTTTTTACAGAAGAGCTTTTGCATGGTATCATTGACTAATTACAATAATAATAATAATAGCTATCTTTGTTTTACTGAGTGCTTACCTTGTATATTATTTTTTGTGCTCAACATGTGTTTGATCATTTAATCCTCACATAAAACCTTTCAGGTAGGCGCCATGATAACCCTGTGTAATGGATGGAGGAACTGAGTTTGCCTACTACCCATGCTAATTCCAAACTTTTAAAATTATATTCACACATCATAGTAGCACTGGAAAATAAAATGACTGATCATAAGTATTGTCATTTGATGCTTCTAAATCCTGACATTAAAGATAAATCCTGGTTTAGGAAACGTAAGGAACAAACTCAGCTAGTTTTATTTGTGTTGTTGTTTTTTTAATTTGTTGTTTTGTTTTGTGTTTTGTTTTGAGGCAGGGTCTCGCTCTGTCTCTCAGGCTGGAGTGCAGTGGGGCGATCTCGGCTCACTGCAACTTCTGCCTCCTGGGTCCCTCCCATGTGGCTGGGATTACAGGCATGCGCCACCACGCCCAGCTAATTTTTGTATTTTTAGTAGAGACAGGGTTTCACCATGTTAGCCAGGCTGGTCTCGAACTCCTGGCCTCAAGTGATTCACCCGCCTCAGTCTCCCAGAGGGCTGGGATTACAGGTGTGAGCCACCGTGCCCAGCCAAACTCAGCTGGTTTTATGCTGCTCATCCCGTCACAGGTGAAGCAATTGGCGTGGATTTCCCTGTGAAAGTTCCCTACAGGAAGATCACATTCAACCCTGGCTGTGTGGTGATTGATGGCATGCCCCCGGGGGTGGTATTCAAGGCCCCCGGCTATCTGGAAATCAGTTCCATGAGGAGGATCTTGGAGGCAGCTGAGTTTATCAAATTCACAGTCATCAGGTAAGTGAGTCAAGAGAAGGAATCTGGAGACTCTGACTTGCCCGAGGTGGGCATGTGGCTGCCCAGGAATGTCTGTCCCATGACTTGGGCTGGGGGTTTGTTCCCGCAGCTGACCGCTGGGCCATGCTGCCTCTCACACTGACTTCATCATCTTCTGCTTCCTTGAGATGTGTCCATGTCCCTGTTCCTCGGTGATCATGGGCAGCCCGTCCCAGTTTTAGCTCACACAGCACCTAGCGTAGAGTTAATACTCTGCAAAAATTTGTCCAATAAAACTAAGTGGGGCCAGGCACGGTGGCTCACGCCTGTAATCCCAGCACTTTGGGAGGCTGAGGCGGGCCAGATCGCCTGAGGTCAGGAGTATGAGGCAAGCCTGGCCAACATGGTGAAACCCCGTTGCTACTGAAAATACAAACATTAGTCGGGTGTGGTGGCGTGCGCCTCTAATACCAGCTACTCAGGAGGCTGAGGCGTGAGAATCACTTAACCTGGGAGGTGGAGGTTGCAGTGACCTGAGATGGCACCACTGCACTCCAGCCTGGGCAGCAGAATGAGCCTCCATCTCAAAACATAAATAAATAGGCCGGGCATGGTGGCTCAGGCCTGTAATCCCAGCATTTTAGGAGGCTGAGGCAGGTGGATCATTTGAGGTCAGGAGTTTGAGACCAGCCTGGCCAACATGGTGAAACTCCATCTCTACTAAAAATAAACATTAGCTGGGTGTAGTGGTACGTGCCTGTAATCCCAGCTACTCAGGAGAATCACTTGAACCTGGAATGTGGAGGTTGCAGTGAGCCCAGATGACACCACTGCACTCCAGCCTGGGTGATGGAGTGAGACTCCGTCTCAAAAAAAACAAAAACAAAAGGCTCAACGCAGTGGCTCATGCCTGTAATCCCAGCACTTTGGGAGGCCAAGGTAGGTAGATCTCCTGATGTCAGGAGTTCAAGAGTAGCCTGGCCAACATGGTGAAACTAAAAATACAAAAAATTAGCTGGGCGTGGTGGCGGGCACCTGTAATCCCAGCTACTCAGGCGGCTGAGGCAGGAGAATGGCTTGAACCCAGGAGGCGGAGGTTGCACTAAGCCGAGATCGCGCCACTGCACTCCAGCCTGGGTGACGCGGCGAGACTCTTGTCTCAAAAAAAACAAAAACAAAACAAACAAATAAATAAATATTCTTCTGTAAAAAAATAAATAAGTAAAAATTAAAAAAAAATAAAACTAAGTGGGCAAAAGAGGAAATGTGAGCTTGTCACATTTATCAATGTGTCTTTCTCTTCAGGCCGCTTCCAGGGCTTGAGCTCAGTAATGGTGAGTATTCTACAGGTGAGAAGAACGTTCCGGCAATGTTGGGCCATGGGAAGTGTCTTGGTGGGCGCTCACCACGGGGTTTTTGCTTCCGTGAGCCTGGGACCCAAGTATGCAGCCTTCGATGCATGCTTTATTTTTCCTGCATGTGATAAAGTTAGATAACTCTGTTACTTGAGTTTGATTAACCAGTCTGAAGGAGAGTGATCTATATCACACCATGAGTGTGACGTGTGATGTGGCGCACTCTTTTTTTTTTTTTTGGAGACGGAGTCTCGCTCTGTCACCCAGGCTAGAGTGCAATGGCACAATCTCGGCTCACCACACAACCTCCGCCTCCCGGGTTCAAGTGATTCTCCTGCCTCAGCCTCCCGAGTAGCTGGGACTATAGGCGTGTGCCACCACGCCTGGCTAATTTTTGTATTTTTAGTAGAGATGGGGTTTTGCCATGTTGGCCAGGCTGGTCTTGAACTTCTGACCTCAAGGGATCTGCCCGCCTCCACCTTCCAAAGTGCTGGGATTACGGGCATGAGCCACCACGCATGGCTGATGTGGCACACTATTCAAGTGTGCTTTGTGGTGGGGGCTCCCCTGAGGCCACCCGCACAGCTGCACTCAGGATCACAGTACCGATCTCCTCTGTGTTAGTTGGTAAATAGTGCCTGCCTGGCCATGCAGTCCCACCCTAGTACCCTCCGACCGTGGCTTGACCTCCCTACAGTGCTGAAGCAAAAGGGGTTCCACCTGGCACAGCAGAGGCCCCTAGAACCCTTCCAGTGCTGAGACTAGCATCTGTTCTTTTTTTTTTCTTTTTTTTTTTTTTTGAGACAGAGTCTCGCTCTCTCACCCAGGCTGGAGTGCAGTGGCAAGATCTCGGCTCACTGCAACCTCCGCCTCCCGGGTTCAAGCGATTCTCTGCCTCAGCCTTCCGATTAGCTGGGATTACAGGTGCGTGCCGCCACATCCAGCTACTTTTTGTATTTTTTAGTAGAGACAGGGTTTAGCCATGTTGGCCAGGCTGGTCTCAAACTCGTGACCTCAAGTGATCCACCCGCCTTGGTCTCCCAAACTGCTGGGATTACAGATGTAAGCCACTGCACCTGGCTCAGCATCTGTTCTGATTGAGCAATGCCCAGGCACTCTGCTTCTGAAATATTCTCTTTTTTTTCCCCTTCAACTTTTATTTTAAGTTCCAGGGTCCATGTGCAGGATGTGCAGGTTTGTTACACAGGTAAACGTGTGCCATGGTGGTTTGCTGCACCTATCAACCCATCACCTAGGTATTAAGCCCAGCATGCATTAGCTATTCTTCCTGATGCTCTCCCTCCCCCCGCCCCCACCCTGTTAAATATTCTTAATGTCTTCCCCGGAGCCCTTGCAAGTGAGTCAGTATCCTGTCAAGTAGAATACGGAGAGGTGTTCTCACGAGCATGAGTCACCAGGGAACCTCCTAATGTAACATTTGAAAACCAAAGTAGGCTGGGCGCGGTGACTCACACCTGTAATCCCAGCACTTTGGGAGGCCGAGGCGGGCGGATCATGAGGTCAGGAGATGGAGACCCTTCTGTACAACGTGGTGAAACTCCGTCTCTACTAGAAATACAAAAATTAGCCGGGCATGGTGGCGCGTGCCTATAATCCCAGCTACTCGGGAGGCTGAGGCAGGAAAATCACTTGAACCAGGGAGTCGGGGGTTGCAGTGAGCTGAGATCGTGCCACTGCACTCCAGTTTGGTGACAGAGCAAGACTCTGTCTCAAAAAAAAAAAAAAAAAGAAAAGAAAACCAAAGTATCCTATTAAAATGCTCCATTTTTATTCCCAAACGCATCTGATTGCTAAATGATTTTTTGATCTTTTATAATATCTTTATTTATTTATTGTATTATTATTGGGGTTTTTTAGAGACAAGGTCTCACTCTGTCACCCAGGCTGGAGTGCAGTGGCATGATCATAGCTCACTGCAGCCTGGAACTCCTGCCCTCAGGTGATTCTCCCACCTTCACCTCCCGAGTAACTGGGACAGCACTGCCATGCCCAGATAATTTTTTTTTTTTTTTTTTTTTTGTAGAGACAGGGTCTCACTATGTTTCCCAGGCTGGCCTTGAGCTTCTGGCTTCAAGCGATCCTCCTGCCTCAGCCTCCCAAAGTGCTGGGATTATAGGCATGAGCCGCTGTACATGGCCTACATTTTCTTAAGGTGCACTTTTATGTGTGTGTACTCTGGAAATACCTTGATTACCTGCAGGGTGGCCAGGTTCTTTAAATCTAAAACACTAGTCCCTGTACACTCGAACACACTTATACGAATGAGTTTTGTGTGGTTCTGTGGCCGTCACCCTTGTCATTTGAGACTCACAGTAGGTAAAAATCATATGCCTTTCTGTGCTCATTCCCATCTCTGTTATTACAAAGTTTTCTTGGGAATCAAATGAGAAAATATATTAAAATGCTCACACCTATAATCCCAGGACTTTTGGAGGCCAAGGCAAGAGGATTGCTTGAGGCCAGGAGTTTGAGACCAGCCTGGGCAACATAGCAAGACCCCATCTCTACAAAAAATTTAAAAATTAGCTGGAAACAGTGGCTCACACCTGTAGCCCCAGCTACTTGGCAGGCTAAAGCAGGAGGATCACTTAAACTCAGGAGTTTGAGACAGCAGAGAACCATAATTGCAATACTACACTCCAGCCTGGGTGACAGAACAAGACCCTGTCTCTAAAAAGAAAATGCAAACATATTATCAAATAATTCCTGTTTAAACTGGACATAACAAGCACAGCTACATGCTGAACCTCATCAAAGGTGTCTTTTGTTTGGCTCATGTACTTTTGAAAATAAGGATGAGGCCTGGCACGGTGGCTCCTGTAATCCCAGCACTTTGGGAGGCCAAGGCGGGTGGATCGCTTGAGCCTGGGGTTTCAGACCAGCCTGGGCAACAAGGTAAGACTCCAGCTCTACAAAAAAAAGAAAAAGAAAAAGAAAAAAAGAAAAGAAAGAAAGAAAGAAAAGATAGCTCGGTGTGGTGCATGCCTGTAGTCCCAGCAACTGGGAGCTGAAGTGGGAGGATCACCTGAGCCCAGGGAGTTCCAGGCTGCAATGAGCCATTATCACCACAAACCAGGCACTCTTTCATAAAGGTCAATCTTCAGGTTTTCTTTAGAAAACCTGAAGATCTGGCTGGGTGCAGTGGCTCATGCCTGTAATCCCAGCACTTTGGGAGGCTGAGGTGGGCGGATCACCTGAGGTCAGGAGTTCGAGACCAGCCTGGACAACATGGTGAAATCTCATCTCTACTAAAAATACAAAAATTAGCTGGGCGTGGTGGCAGGCACCTGTCATAACAGCTACTCAGGAGGCTGAGGCAGAAGAATCGCTTGAACCCAGGAGGCAGAAGTTGCAGTGAGCCGAGATTGCGCCACTGCACTGCAGCCTGGGCGACAGAGCAAAACTCCGTCTCAAAAACAACGACAACAAAAATTCAGTCTTCAGGTTTTCTTTAGAAAACTTGAAGATCTGGCCACAGCTGGCGTCCTGGCAGCGGTTTGCTGGAGTTGAGGGTCAGCCGTCCCTCTGCAGGGTGGGTCACCCTCCTGTTAACCACGCCCTGCCCCGCCCCGCTTCCTCCCTCTCGTGCGTCATCAAGCATTTGCTGTTGTTTTCCTCATAGTAGTGATAAGAGAAAAGTGAAATATCTTTGTCTCCCTGTCTCTGTCAAAAGTGGGAAAACGCAAGATAGACCAGGAGGGCCGTGTGTTTCAAGAAAAGTGGGAGAGAGCGTATTTCTTCGTGGAAGTACAGAATATTCCAACATGTCTCATATGCAAACAAAGCATGTCTGTGTCCAAAGAATATAACCTAAGACGCCACTATCAAACCAATCACAGCAAGCATTATGACCAGTATACGGAAAGAATGCGTGACGAGAAGCTTCACGAGCTGAAAAAAGGGCTCAGGAAGTATCTCTTAGGCTCGTCAGACACCGAGTGTCCCGAGCAAAAACAAGTGTTTGCAAACCCAAGTCCAACCCAGAAATCCCCCGTGCAGCCTGTAGAGGACCTAGCTGGGAACTTATGGGAGAAGTTACGTGAAAAAATCAGGTCTTTTGTGGCATATTCTATCGCAATCGATGAGATCACGGATATAAATAATACCACCCAGTTGGCCATATTCATCCGTGGTGTCGATGAGAATTTCGATGTGTCCGAAGAACTTCTGGACACGGTGCCCATGACGGGTACAAAATCTGGCAACGAGATCTTTTTGCGTGTTGAGAAGAGCCTGAAAAAGTTCTGTATCAACTGGTCGAGATTAGTAAGCGTGGCCTCCACTGGCACCCCAGCGATGGTGGATGCCAATAACGGGCTTGTCACAAAACTGAAGTCCAGGGTGGCGACGTTCTGCAAGGGTGCGGAACTGAAGTCCATCTGTTGTATAATTCATCCGGAATCACTCTGTGCTCAGAAGTTGAAGATGGACCACGTCATGGACGTGGTAGTGAAGTCCGTGAACTGGATATGCTCCCGGGGACTGAACCACAGCGAGTTCACAACCTTGCTCTATGAGCTGGACAGCCAGTATGGTAGCCTCCTGTACTACACGGAGATTAAGTGGCTCAGTCGCGGGCTCGTGCTAAAGAGATTTTTCGAATCCTTGGAAGAAATCGACTCCTTCATGTCATCCAGAGGGAAACCCCTGCCTCAACTGAGCTCCATAGATTGGATCCGAGACCTGGCCTTCTTGGTTGACATGACGATGCATCTGAACGCTTTGAACATCTCTCTCCAAGGACACTCCCAAATCGTCACGCAGATGTATGACCTGATCCGGGCGTTCCTAGCAAAACTGTGCCTCTGGGAGACTCATTTGACGAGGAATAATCTGGCCCACTTTCCCACCCTGAAATTGGTTTCCAGAAATGAAAGCGATGGCCTGAACTACATTCCCAAAATCGCGGAACTCAAGACCGAATTCCAGAAAAGGCTGTCTGATTTCAAACTCTACGAAAGCGAACTGACTCTGTTCAGCTCCCCGTTCTCCACGAAGATCGACAGTGTGCACGAGGAGCTCCAGATGGAGGTTATCGACCTGCAATGCAACACGGTCCTGAAGACGAAATACGACAAGGTGGGAATACCAGAATTCTACAAGTACCTCTGGGGTAGCTACCCGAAATACAAGCACCATTGCGCAAAGATTCTTTCCATGTTCGGGAGCACCTACATCTGCGAACAGCTGTTCTCCATTATGAAACTGAGCAAAACAAAATACTGCTCCCAGTTAAAGGATTCCCAGTGGGATTCTGTACTCCACATCGCAACGTGATGGAGAGAAAACTCCTGGCAGGGCCCTATGGTGGGAAAGGCTGGAGTCTTCTAGTCCCAAGGGATTGGGAGATGACAAAATGAATTTTTTTTTTCTTTTTTGAGATGGAGTCTTGCTCTGTCGCCCAGGTTGGAGTGCAGTGGCGTGATCTCGGCTTACTGCAACTTCCAGCTCCTGGGTTCGAACGATTCTCCTGCCTCAGCCTCCCGAGCAGCTGGGACTACAGGCATGCGCCACCATGCCCGGCTAATTTTTGTATTAGTAGAGATGAGGTTTCACCATGTTGGCCAGGCTGGTCTCCAACTCCTGACCTCAGGTGATCCACCTGCCTCGACCTCACAAAGTGCTGGGATTACAGGCATGAACCACTGTGCCCAGCTGACAAAATGAGTTCTTAAACTTTTTTTTTTTTTCAGTTTTTTTTCCACTTTGAATCAGAAATATAATCTGCAGTATCATACTTGTTTATATTACATTGTATGCCTCACTATTCATTAAAAATCAAGAAAGTTTTATTGTATTATTGGTAGTTGACTTTTCTTATGCCTGGCTTGTTTCATTCATTCACATTACCTGCCTGCCACCCTGATAGGCACTGTAGTTGGCATCTTGAAGTTTAAATCAATCAACAGAGAAATAGGGAGAGAGACGTGTATATTTGCTTTTTGGTTTTGGGGGTTCTTTTTTTGAGACGGAGTCTCACTCTGTTACCCAGGCTGGAGTGCAATGGGGCGATCTGGGCTCACTGCAGCCTCTGCCTCCCGGGTTCAAGTGATTCCCCTGCCTCAGCCTCCCGAGTAGCCGGGGTTACAGGTGCCCACCACCACGCCCGGCTCATTTTTGTATTTTTAGTAAAGATAGGGTTTCACCATGTTGGCCAGGCTGGTCACAAACTCCTGACCTCAAGTGATCTGCCGGCCTTGGCCTCCCAAAGTGCTGGAATTACAGGCGTGAGCCACTGCGCCCAGCCTGAGACATGTATATTTGTGGAGGAGTATATATGAACACACATTTATCCCCCGTTCCCGTCCGCGTGGTATCCCACATGGTCTAATATGTTTCCAAGTTTCAGGAGAAATAGTTGAAAACATACTGACATACAATAATCCTATGTTATCTGTCTCTGCCTTCACCTGGAACCAGAAAGGTCAGGTTTAAAATGGAAAAACCCAGAGCCAGAAAGGTCAGGTTTAAAATGGAAAACCCCAGAGCAAATAACGTAGACTTTGTCTATAAAAGTTAGACAAAGTAAGTTAAGGTTTAGAGGGGTTTTTTTGTTTGCTTTTTACTATGAATAGTTACCGAAAAGTTGTGGCCAAGCATGTGGCTCACACCTGTAATCCCAGCACTTTGGGAGGCCAAGGTGGGTGGATCACTTGAGGTCAGGAATTCGAGACCAGCCTGGGTAACATGGTGAAACCCTGTCTCTACTAAAAACACAAAAATTTGCCGGGTATGGTGGCACGTGCCTGTAATCCCAGCTACTCAGGAGGCTGAGGCAGGAGAATCACTTGAACCCAGGAGACAGAGGTTGCAGTGAGCCGAGATTGTGCCATTGCACTCCAGCCTGGGCGACAGAGTGAGACTTTGTCTCAAAAAAAAAAAAAGAAAAGTTGCAAAAATAAAAATAGTATGGAAAATACTCACATGCCCTTTAGCCAGACTCTCAATTGTTAACATTTCACCCTTGTTTCATTATTGGATCACTTTGTCTCCCTACCCCCTTCCCTCCTTCTCCCTCTCACTCATATGTGTGTATGTGTATCTATAATCAGTACCTATGGTAAGTGTGTATAAGCAAATGTCTATGAGTATCTATGATATGTGTATAAATGGATGTGCATTTTTTTCCTGGACCGTTCAAGGGAAAGTTACGTATATCATTTACCCCTAAATACTTCAGTGAGTATTTTCAGAGAACAGGGATATTCTCTTACACAATAACGTTTCCTTTACCAACTTCAGTAAACTGAACGTTGTTGCAATTATTTTATCCAGTTTACTGTTCATACTCTAGTTTTCTCTGTTGACCCAATAATATCTTTCCCTTTTTTATTTTTGGAAACAAGGAAATCGGCTCGCTCTGTCACCCAGGCTGGAGTGCAGTGGTGCGACCTTGGCTTACTGCAACCTCTGCTTCCTGGGTTCAAGTGATCCTCCCACCTCAGCCTTCCAAGTAGCTGGGACTACAGGTGCATGCTACCATGCCCAGCTAATTTTTGTGGAGTTTTTTTTTTTTTTTTTTTGTAGAGACAGGGTCTCCCTTTGTTGCCCAGGCTGGTCTCAAACTTCCAGGCTCAAGCGATCTACTCGCCTCAGCTTCCCAAAGTGATATCTTTCCCTTTATAGCATTTTTCTCCTGGCAGGTTGTCATTTGAAGGTGTGTGTGTGTGTAATCTCTATTAGTCACTGGAATTAGTGACACAAAATTGTGAATACTTTCCAGATTGGGGGAATTCACGCGACCAGCGTGGAGGAAGGCTGTGGATCTCCACCTAATGACCCACTCAGGAAGCAATGGAGAAAAGGACTTTGATAAAAATGACAGGGGGTGCAGGAGGGAGAGAGCAACCCCCAGGCCAGGAGCCCAGTTGGAGCCCAGGTGCCTATCCTTAGACACAGGGAAATGACCCCACTCCAGGCAGTTCCTGTCGTTGACTTCAGGTACAGCTGGCTCTGGCAAGCTCAGCGCTCTTTTGGAGAAGGAATCCCAGATAGGCTGGTTTATAATGGGAGTTGGAGGGGAGTCCAGGTCTTGGTGGAAGTGAGCACTCGTTCACACCACATATCAGAGGTGTGGCCGAGCAGCAGGACCAGAGCAGCCCCCTTTCATAGACGGGAAGCTGAAGCTCAGAGTGGCTAAGTGGCTCGCTCCAGGTCACGCAGCCATTATAGGAGTTGTCAGGATTCAAACCAGGGTCCATGTGACTCCAAAGTCCATGTGCTTCACTTTTTGTTTTTGAGATGGAGTGTCGCTCTGTCGCCCAGGCTGGAGTGCAGTGGTGTGATCTTGGCCCAGTGCAACCTCCGCCTCTCGGGTTCTAGTGATTCTCATGCCTCAGCCTCCCGAGTAGCTGGGACTACAGGCATGCGCCACCACAACCGAATAATTTTTGTATTTTTTAGTAGAGACGGGGTTTCACCATGTTGGCCAGGCTGATCTTGAACCCCTGACCTCAAGTGATCCACCCGCCTTGGCCTCCCAAAGTGCTGGGATCACAGGTGTGAGCCACGACACCTGGCCCATGTGCTTCATTCCTAAGCAGCCACTGTGCCTGACATGGAGACCCAGCAGGTATCTGTCATGCAGCCTCTGCCCTCATCATCTGTCATGTGTGTGGCTCCCTGGTGGTCCACCAATCAGATGATAGGGAGGGGACAGTAGGGCTCAGCCTAAGCTGCCTCCTGTTGGCCGGACCATTCATGAAGCTGTTCTGCTTTGAATCAATTCCCAAGGCCCCAGGAATGTGTGTTGGGACCAGGATGGCTTGAGATATGATGGCCACTGACATGCACTGTCACTCATAGGACTGAGTTGAGACTGTGGGAATGACTGAATGGCTGGGAAAGGTTTTTCGTTTGTTTTTTTGAGACGGAGTCTTGCTTGGTTGCCCAGGCTGGAGCGCAGTGGCACGATCTCAGCTCACTGTAACCTCTGCCTCCCGAGTTCAAGCAATTCTCCTACCTCAGCCTCCCGAGAAGCTGGGATTACAGGCGCCCCCCACCACACCCAGCTAATTTTTGTATTTTTAGTAGAGACGGGGTTTCACCATGTTGGCCAGGCTGATCTGGAACTCCTGACCTCAGGTGATCCACCCAACTCAGCCTCCCAAAGTGCTAGGATTACAGGCGTGAGCCACCAAGCCTGGCCAGGAGAGGTTTTTAGTAGGGCAATGGGGTGTCTGCAAACGAGAGCCCTTGAGAGTGGTGTGGTCCAGGGAGATGGGCAGGGGCCCAGCCTAGGAGTAGGGGCTAGATTTGGTGGGTCTTTGTCAATTTTCAGGGGCAGGGATTGCACTGCATCTATCCCAAGTCCCCGACTTCTCATCCCAGGATGGGCAGAGGAAAGAGCCAATCTCTCCTCCAACACAGGCCCTGGGACTAGGGGTCTGCAGAGGGCCCTGGAAGCCAGACCCCCTCACACTTGGCCTGGCACGTGCCTGTGTGCCGTATTCCCTCCTCTGAGCCACAGGCCTGAACCACAGATCCTGAGCTCTGCAGGGTCAGGATAAAGTACTGGATCTGGAAGGCCTTAGAATCAAAAAGAAAAGCCTGGGCCAGCCGCAGTGGCTCATGCCTGTAATCCCACCACTTTGGAAGGCCAAGGCAGGCGGATTACCTGAGGTCAGGAGTTCAAGACCAGCCTGGCCAACATGGTGAAACCTCATCTCTACTAAAAATACAAAAAATTAGCCGGGCAGGGTGGCGGGCACCTGTAATCCCAGCTACTCGGGAGGCTGAGGCAGGAGAATCACTTGAACCCGGGAGGCAGAGGTTGCAGTGAGCTGAGGTCGCTCCATTGTACTCCACCTGGGTGACAAGAGCGAAACTCCATCAAAAAAAAAAAGAAGAAAAGAAAAACCCAGTTCCACCTCCCAGCACTGTTGCTTTCTTGCATTATTTCATAAGCAAACCACTTAATTAATTTTATGAGCTTTGGTTTCCTCATCCATAAAACACCTACCAGACAGTGTTGGTCTCAGAACTGGAGATGATGGAATGAGCCCAGCACTATGACTGGCCTCAAGAAAATTGTTGGCTAAACAGAGGTGCAGCCCTTAGAGCAGGCAACTTTAGTTTTTTTCTCCCTTCCCTGTGGGCGTGGCTTCCCAATCACCCACCCACCGAGAGGCCTCCTCCCCAGCACGCTGCAAGGGCCACTTTAAGGGGATCAGAAATATACAAAAACCACGGGGAAACATTTGGTCAGGACCTCAGCTTGGAAAAAAATGAAACAATCATGAAAATAAGTATTTTCTCTTCTTTTTTATATGTATGTATTTTTTTATTTTTATTTATTTATTTATTTATTTTTGAGACAGAGTCATGCTCTGTCACCCAGGCTGGAGTGTGGTGGCATGATCTCGGCTCACTGTAACCTCTGCCTCCCGGGTTCAAGTGATTCTTCCGCCTCAGCCTCCTGAGTACCTGGGATTACAGACGTGTACCACCACACCCGGCTAATTTTGTTGTTGTTGTTGTATTTTTAGCAGAGACAAGCTTTCACCATGTTGGCCAAGCTGGTCTCGAACTCCTGGCCTCAAGTCATCCGCCTGCCTCAGCCTCCCAAAGTGCTGGGATTACAGGCGTGAAACATTGTGGCTGGCCTTAATTTGTTTTTTTTTTAGAGACAGGGTCTTGCTCTGTCACCCAGGCTGAAGTACAGTGGCACGATCACAGCTTACTGCAGCCTCAAACTCCTGGGCTCAAGCGATCCTCCCACCCAGCCTGGGACTACAGGTGCACACCACCACACCTGTCTAATTTTTTAAAATGTTTGTCTAGACGGGTCTCACCGTGTGGCCCAGGCTGGTCTTGAACTCCCTGCCCCAAGCAATCCTTCCACCTTGGCCTCCCAGAGCACTCGGATTAGAGGCGTGGTATTTTATACTGTATTTAATAACTTGTTGTTAATAACAGTTGTTATAACTGCAACTGAACAAGCAGAAGGGGTGAGGTTGGTGATTCAATTTCCCACAGCTTTGTATGATAGCCTTTGGTGCTGGGCTTTTCCAGCAAACCAGGTTCGGCAAAAATGCAGAACTAGTTTAGAGCTGCAGTGGTTTTCTTTTTTTTTCTTTTTTCTTTTTTTTTGAAGGAGTCTTGCACTGTCACCCAGGCTGGAGTGCAGTGGAACAATCTCGACTCACTGCAGCCTCTGACTCCTGGGTTCAAGCCATTCGCCTGCCTCAGCCTCCCGAGTAGCTGGGATTCTAGGCTTGTGCCACCACGCCTGGCTAATTTTTATATTTTCTGTAGAGATGGGGTTTCACCATGTTGGCCAGGCTGGTCTGGAACTCCTGACCTCAAGTGATTCACCCGCGTCAGCCTCCCAAAGTGCTGGGATTACAGGCCTAAGCCACTGTGCCCAGCCGTCCAGTGGTTTTCTGAAAGCTTCTGCCAGTCCTTCGATGGTCAGCCTATTCTCTTGACAACCATCTGCTCCCCTTATGATTTTCTCTGATATCTCCCCTTATGATTGTCTCTTATCTCTAAGGGACCCACCTCCCCCGTCCTCACATAGCCACTTCCGCAAATGTGGGACAGCTCTCCCTGCCACTCGTGGCCTTCGTGACAAGTTACATCTTTTGCAAGACTGGCAGCTTCACTTTGCACCTTCGTGTCTGCATTTTGGGGAAAGACCTGCCCTCAAAGCAAAGGCTTTCAGGCTACAGGCTGGCTTCAATGCTAGGGTGAGCGGTGAATAGTGTGCATAGTGAATACTTGCTTTCTGGTACAACCTCATAACCGGGGCACGGTCTCAGTGAATAACAGAGGACACCCTGCACCTAAGTTACTTTTTTTTTTTTTTTTTTTTTTTGAGATAGAGTCTCGCTCTGTAGTCCAGGCTGGAGTGCAGTGGCGCCGTCTCGGCTCACTGCAACATCTGCCTCCCCGGTTCAAGCGATTCTCATGCCTCAGCCTCCCCAGTAGCTGGGATTGTGGATGCATGCCACCACGCCCAGCTAATTTTTATATTTTTGGTACAGATGGGGTTTCACCATGTTGTCCAGGCTGGAGTCCAGTGGCGCCGTCTCGGCTCACTGCAACATCTGCCTCCCCGGTTCAAGCGATTCTCATGCCTCAGCCTCCCCAGTAGCTGGGATTATGGATGCATGCCACCACGCCCAGCTAATTTTTATATTTTTGGTAGAGATGGGGTTTCACCATGTTGGCCAGGCTGGTCTCGAACTCCTGAGCTCAACGGATCCTCCCACCTCGGTCTCCCAAAGTGCTGGGTTACAGGCGTGAGCCACCGCGCCCGAACCTAAGTTATAATATATTTTTTATCCCAGCTATGAGGTCACTCCTACACCCTGGACGGCAGCCTGTCTCCTGTCATGAGACAGGGCTGCCCTGCTGCACTGTGTGCACCCATCTTCAGCACTCTTCCGCCAGAGTCCAAGCAGGTGGTTTCTGACCAAACGGTCAGCAGGAATCCGGAAGTTCCTCTTGAACTTGGCCTTGTGCAAACCTGTTCTTGGCCAAGACCAGGGCAACATGCAACCAGACCTCGGCTCTTGCAACTTCCCCCCAGCAGAACTCACAACCTCCTGTCCTCAACTTAGAAATAACCCTGGGGCGGAGCCCGGCCCTCCCTGCATTCCTGCAGAGCCTCGGTCCACTCCAAGCAACATTTATTGAGGGTGGCGGGAGCCGCGCTGGACAGGGGTCGGGGCTGCCCTCGGCGTCCAGACGCCAGGCTCTATAGAACACGTATGTACAGGCACGGGGCGGCAAGGGCCGAGACGCTAGCTGGGGACTGCGCTCCAGCCTCAGACGGCAGACGCCAGCTTCCGCTTGGTGCTCTCGCTGCAGCGGTTCAGGATGAGGTCGGCGCTCGGCCGCGGGGGCACCGCCGGCTGCGGTTTAGAGCGCTGCGTCTGCCGCTCCTCCTCTGCGGGCAGAGAGCGGGGCCGAGTCAGACGCCCCGCCCCGCACACTGGCCCCGCCCACAGCGCTCTCTGGCCTCGCCCCGCCGCGTTCTCCAACTCCTGCTCCGCGCTCTGGCCTCGCCTCCCGCTTGTGCCTCTCCCTCTGACTCCGCCTCTTAGGGATCGCTCCGCCCCCTAGCGCTGGCTCCTCCTCTGCCCCCGCCTCCAGTCCCCGCCTCTCCCTCTGATTCCGCCCTCTGGTCCCGCCCCGCTACTCTGGCCCTGCCTCTGGCCCCGCCTCTCCCGCTGACTCCGCCCCTAGGGCTTGCCCTTCCTGCCCTCTCCCGCTGCACTCACCGAGCGGGCTCCCGGGGCTCTGCGGTCCCGGCCGCGCCTGGCGGCGTCGCTGCTGCAGAAAACGGACGCTGTTGCGGCGATAGGCGTCCTGGCTGAGGCGCTTCCGCGACCGCTGATGGATGCTGTGCGCGTTGCGGATGGACGACCTGGCCCAGCGGGACGGGGCGTCGTCAAAGCCCGAGGGCGCCCCTGCCCCCAGGGACTCAGATGGGCACCCCTGGTCCGAGGAAGTGGGGGGCAGTAGGGGGCCGGTAGTCTGCACGACCCCGGCGGGACAAGAGGCGGCTGCCCCCGTCACGACAAGGACCCTTGCCCTGCAGCAGAGCCTGGGCGGTTTTCCACGCCCCTCACCAGCCTTCGGTCTGTCGTCCCCCTCTCCGGGGAGCCCCCCTGGACTGCCCATCCCCAAAGCCCCCGGGCATCGCCGCTTTCCTTCCGCCCCCGTGCCAGCCCCACACCGCGGCCAGGCGCGTCCAGCCCCTTTCCCCCGTAAGGGTCCTGCCTCTCCTGCCAGGCTGAGAGCCCCCGCCCCGGCACTGCCAAGCTATGGCCTAGACAGAGCGAACCCGTGGTGCGCCCCGCTCGACCCCGCCCAGCCCCGGGGACCCCCGCTTACCTGCGGGGCGGCGCCCCCCGCTTGATCTGGCGTTGGGCCTGGGACACGTCTTGCCCCGACTTTTGCAGGTACATGGACGGAAAGTAGCCTGTGACGTCGTCTTTCCTGCAACAGAGGCAGCCCTTGAGGCTGGGGCAGTCACCTGGGGGCGCCCAGAGGAGAGGGTTTCAGGGCTCTCTCTGAACAATTGGGGTTAGCACAGGCTGAGAGGTTGCAAACAACCGGACACCTGCCTCTGTGGGCCTCAGTTTCCTGGTCTGTGCAACTGAGACCCTTCCAGCAATCCTTCCACAGTCTAGGCAGGGGTGGAGGTTAGCAGATCCAGGTCACCGCAGGGGACAGGTATTTGCTATAAGACATTGGCAAGAATGGGCAGGGCACGGTCGCTCACGCCTGTAATCCCAGTACTTTGAGGGATCTAGGTGGGAGGATCGCTTGAGGCCAGGAGTTGGAGATCAGCCTGGGTAACATAGCAAGACCCCTATCTCTACCTCCCGAAAAAATTAAAGAAAAAAGAAGACACTGGCAGATTATATTTGCCAATTTTTCTTTTATGTTAACTGCCTTCTGTCTCCTACGAACCTTTGCCTACCTCCAAGCCACCAAATTCTATGCTTTCTTCCAAATGCTTTTCCCCCACCCAACCCCAAGACAGAGTTTTGCTCTTGTTGCCTAGGCTGGAGTGCAATGGCATGATGTCGACTCATTGCAACCTCTGCTTCCCAAGTTCAAGCAATTCTCCTGCCTCAGCTTCCCAAGTAGCTGGGATTACAGGCATGCACCACCACACTTGGTTAATTTTGTATTTTTTTAGTAGAGACAGGATTTCACCATGTTGGTCATGGCTGGTCTCAAACTCCTGACCTCAAGTGATCCACCTGCCTCAGCCTCCCAAAGTGCTGAGATTACAGGCGTGAGCTCCCTGTCCAGCCCCAAATGGTTTTTAGTTTCAGGTTTTACTCTGGGATAAACCTGTGATCCATCTGAAGTAAACATATGTGTACAGTGTGAGGAAGGGGTCTAGGTTTGTTTTTTGCTCTTTTTTTTTTTTTCCAGTATGGAAATCCATCTGTTCCAGCACCATTTGTTGAAAAGACTTTCTTTCTATTCTCAATATTATATTTGGGAGTGAAAAAAAAAAACAAAAGAAAACTTTGCATAATACAAGGTTCACATAAAACCCAATTCTTGGCTGGTGGGAGGATCACAAGAAGATTATCAGAGACACAGGATGGGGGTTAACAGAGTGTGTGTCTAAAAGGCTGAGAAATGCTGCCTCAAAGCCCTCTGGCCCCGGGCCCGGCTGCAGGTATGCATGTTGTGGTCCCAGCTTTAAGATAAGCTTGCGGCAGGGCGCCAGGCTGGCCCTGTGACCTAGGGCTCTGAAGACGCCAGCAAAGGCCCAGCATGGAGGCTCATTCCTGTAATCCCAGTGCTTTGGGAGGCCAAGGCAGGAGGAACTCTTGAGGCCAGGAGTTTAAGACTAGTCTTGGCACCATAGTGAGACCCCACCCCTACAAAAAAATTAAAAAACATTAGCCAGATGTGGTGGTGCTCACCTGTAGTCCCAGCTACGTGGGAGCCTGAGGTGGGAGGATCGCTTGAGTGAGCGATGATTGTGCTCCAGCCTGGGAGTCAGAGCAAGATCCTGTCTCAAAAAATGAAAAAATTCGTAAAAAATGAAGACACAGGAAAGGACCTGGGAGGCCCCATGGCTCCAGGGAAATGGCTCCACAAGCCGCTAGAATTCTGTGTTCCCCAGAACCAGAAAAAAGATAATTAGTATTTCTGCATTCATTTGGAGGATAAACAGATGGGAATTGCAATGGAAGCTTTTTTTTTTTTTTTTTTTTTTTTGAGACAGGGTCTTGCTCCATTACCCAGGCTGGGGTGCAGTGGTGCAGTCATAGCTCACTGCAGCCTCCAACTCCTGGGGTCAAGTGATCCTTTCACCTCAGCCTCCTGAGTAGCTGGGGCTACAGGTGTGTGCTACCACATCCAGCTATTTTTAAATTTTTTTTGTAGAGACAGAGGTCTCCCTACATTGCCCAGGTTGGTCTTGAACTTGTAGCCTTGAGTGATCCTCCCACCTCAGCTTCCCAAAGTGTTGGGATTACAGGCATGAGACACTGCACCTGACTGCAAGAAAGCTTTAAAAGATAAAGGAATGATAAAAAGAAAGTAATCTTTTTTTTTTTTTTTTTTTTTTGAGACGGAGTTTCGCTCTCGTTGCCCAGGCTGGAGTGCAATGGCGCGATCTTGGCTCACTGTAACCTCCGCCTCCCGGGTTGAAGCGATTCTCTTGTCTCAGACTCCCGAGTAGCTGGGATTACAGGCTCCCACCACAACACCCGGCTCATGTTTGTGTTTTTAGTAGAGATAGGGTTTTGCCATGTTGGCCAGGGTGGTCTCGAACTCCTGACCTCACGTGATCGTCCTGTCCTGGGCTCCCAAAGTGCTGGGATTACAGGCCTGGGCCATTGCGCCTAGCTAGGAATGTAATTATTTATACAACAGTTCACCATGTTGCCAGAGAAGGAATAATAATAGATGGTTGGGAAGAGACCCTAAATCACAAAGGAGAAATGCACCCACTTGGACAAGGACATTGGATCCCCACAAGACAGGCAAGGGTGGGCTCATCCCTCCCTGCTACTGAGATGGAAACTAAGCCCAGAGAGGGGCAGTGGCTTACCCAGAGTCCCAGGGACAAGTCACCCCAGATCCCTAAACACCCCGTCCTGGCTGGGGCTGACTCAGATGGGTGCTCTGGATGGAGAGGGGCCCTCCTACCTGATGACCCACCAGCCGTCCAGGAGCTTGTGAATGACCTCAACAGCTTCACCCTCGAGCAGGGACACCTCGTCCCCCTCCACAGCAGTGTAGGCCTTGATGGCGACGTATGGCTCACCTGGTCCACGGCAGGGGCACAGAGCACAGTGTGAGGTCGGCCCAGCCTGGGGCTCGCCACCCATCCCATCTTCTCCTCTCTGCGCCTGGGCTTCCTCCAGGCACTCCAGACCCACCCAGGGCCCACAGTTCCCCCTCTTCTGGGTCTCCTCCCTCCACCCTCCTGCTCCATCCCAGATCCCTCGGCAAGCTCCTGCTGGCACCCACTCTGGGGGTACACTCTGGACTTCGGCCCTCTGCCCCCTACACCCAGGTGAGCTTGTCCACTCCCATTCATTGCCACCCACTCTGGGGACCAGAGATCCCATAACGATGAAGGTCTGTCCAGACACTTCACTATGACAAGAGATCAGCCATGAGTAGGTGGGTGGAGCATCCGTCTACCTGGCACTGGGAACTGCTCAGCTGCAGCTAACTGTCGGCCTGGGGGCTGCAGGCCTTCCCAGTGTTTAAACGATAGCCACAGGCTGGGCAAGGTGGTTCCCACCTGTAATCCTAGCACTTTGGGAGGCCAAGGCGGGCGGATCACCTGAGGTCAGGAGTTCGAGACCAGCCTGGCCAACATGGCGAAACCCCATCTCTACTAAAAATACAAAAAATTAGCCTGGCGTGGTGGTGCATGCCTGTAATCCCAGCTACTCAGGTGGCTGAGGCAGGAGAATTGCTTGAACCCAGGAGGCTAAGGTTGCAGTGAGCTGAGATTGCATTACTGCACTCCAGCCTGGGTGACAGAGCCAGACTTTGTCTCAAAAAAAAAAAAAAAAGCTGTAAATCCACATAAAAGGGTGAAATCACTCCATTTTAAAATGTGGGTAACCAGGCCAGGGACAGTGGCTCACATCTGTAATTCCAGCACTTTGGGAGGCCAAGGCAGGCAGATCACCTGAGGTCAGAAGTTCGAGACCAGTCTGGCCAACCTGGTGAAACCCCGTCTCAACTAAAAATACAAAAATTATCCAGGCATGGTGGTGCATGCTTGTAATCCCAGCTACCTGGGGAGGCTGAGGCTGGAGAATCACTTGATCCTGGGAGGCAGAGGTTGCAGTGAGCTGAGATAGCACCACCGCACTCCAGCCTTAGCAAGGGAGTGAGACTCTATCTCAAAAAAGTAAAATAAATAAATAAATAATAAAATAAAATGGTAACCAATTCTATTATAGTTTTTTTCAAGCTCAATGCAGGCCCCATCCAGCCCTGGCACTGCCAGTTTTCCCTTTCTGGTCAGTGATGATGCCCCCACTTCCAGGCAGCCCTCCTTCCTGAGCCTAAGGTCTGCTCATCCTTCAGCTTCCCACTGAACCTGGCCACATATCCACAGACACCACTGGCCTCCCACTCTCCCGAGTCGTCTGCTCCTCCTCCTGGTTCCCTGTCCAGACCAAGGGCATCACAACCTGCCAGGGCCCCCAAGCCAGAGCCGATGAGATCTTAGCCCTGACTTTTCTGCCAAGCCAGCAACCAGCCCAGACTCCAAAGCAGTCACTCAATATCCCTGAGCCCTGCCTGCCCCTTTCTCCCACACCCCTACAGCCTCGGAGGGCAGGGGGCACC
Organism: Homo sapiens; assembly: GCF_000001405.40. Lineage (NCBI taxonomy): Eukaryota > Metazoa > Chordata > Mammalia > Primates > Hominidae > Homo > Homo sapiens. The sequence goes on from NC_000007.14 coordinate 75,162,327, forward strand.
TGCATAGTTGGGCTCAGGGTCTTCCGTCTCGTCAGGACTGTCCAGGGGCTCGAGGAAGGATGCTGGGATCCAGCCTCGCTTTGCTTTCATCTGACAGAACCACCAACCTGTGCCAGAGGTGCGGGAATGTGACTGAGGGGCAGGGCCCAGCGGCTCCCTGCAGCCATCAGGGATGGTGAGGACACAGGGACACAGACACACTGATGTCCAATGCTCAGATTTGGAAATGTCACCTTCACCACACTGGACAATGAGGTCACATGCATGCATGCACACATGCTCACAGAATCACAGCTCTGAGCCCACTTCATAATGAACAGACGGTCCCATACCCATCCAGACAGAACACGCAGACATGCCCCGCCCCGGCCTGCCATGCACAGATGCCCACAGCCACCACAGGGTGCACACTAAGAGAGAAGGCGACCCACAGTGTGGGGAGGACATTTAGGGCCCCTAACAGAGCTGGAGTCCTCCCAGGGGCCAGGCTGCCTGAGCCTTGGCAGGGGGCTTGTGGCTGTGGGTTCCTGAGCACCAGGGGAAGGAGCCCCGTAAGGTGGGAGGTCTGACCGCTCTCGCTCTTCTCCACGACCTCCACCACGTCCCCCGTGGACAGAGCCATCTCGGAGCCCGAGGTCTTCTCGTAGTCGGCAATGGCGCGGTACGTCTGCAGGATGATGGGGCCGGTGATGTCTGGGGCAAGAGGGAGGGCAGGGTGAGTGGGCATTGCAGGGCCCATCTGGGCCTCCAGAACAGGCGCTGGCATCTTGAGTCTCTGCTGCCCTGCATTTCCTGGGCGCATAGCGTTCTCCAGGCTTCGGCCTCACACTTCAAACATGTCCTTGTTCTCATCTGATGAAGTTAGTGAGCCTTTCCCAACTTTATTTTCTTTTTTGGAGACAGAGTCTTGCTCTGTTGCCCAGGCTAGAGTACAGTGATGTGATCACAGCTCACTACAGCCCTAGACTCCTAGGCTCAAGCAATCTCCCTGCCTCAGCCTCCCGAATAGCTGGGACCACAGACGTATGCCACCACACCCGGCTAATTTTTTGTAAAGACAAGGTCTTGGGACAATGCCCAGGCTGGTCTCGAACTCCTGGGCTCAAAGGATTCTCCCACCTCAGCCTCTTAAAGTGTTGGGATTACAGGTGTGGAGCCACTGCACCTGGCCTTTTCCCAACTTTTTTTTTTTTTTTTTTTTTTTGAGATGGAGTCTCGCTCTGTCACTGGAGTGCAGTGGTGCAATCTTGGCTCATTGCAACCTCCACCTCCCAGGTTCAAGTAATTCACCTGCCTCAGCCTCCCAAGTAGCTGGGACTACAAGCACCCGCCACCACACCTGGCTAATTTTTGTATTTTTAGTAGAGATGGAGTTTCACGATATTGGTCAGGCTGGTCTCGAACTCCTGACCTCAGGTGATTCAACCGCCTCGGCCTCCCAAAGTGCTGGGATTACAGGCATGAGCCACAGTGCCTGACCTTTTCCTAACTTTAAGGTGCACCCGAATACCTGGGATTTTGCTAAAATGCCTATCCTGTTCAGTAGGTCCACTGTGGGACCTGAGTGTGCATTTCTGACCAGCCCTTCATCCAACCGTGGAGGTGCTGATGCTGTTTGGTATTGGCTGACATCTGCCTTCTCAAAATTCATATGTTGAAGTCCTAACCACCCAGTACCTTACAGCGTGGGTATATTAAGAGAAAGGTACTCTTAAGTACGTTTCAAGAGGTAATTAAGTTAAAATGAGGTCAGTAGAGTGGGCCCTAACCCAACAGGCCTCGTGTCCTTATAAGAAGAAGAAAAAGCCGGGCACAGTGGCTCATGTCTATAATCTCAGCACTTTGGGAGGCTGAGGCAGGAGGGTTGCTTGAGGCCAAGAGCTTAAGACCAGCCTGGGCAATGTAGTGAGACCCCATCTCTATCAGAAAATTAAAAATTAGCTGGACATGGTGGCACACACCTGTAATCCCAGCTACTTGGAAGGCTGAGGTGGGAGGATCGCTTCAGCCCAGGAGGTCGAGGCTGTAGTGAGCTATGATCACACCACTTCACTCTGGCCTGGGCAACAGAGCGAGACCCTGTCACTGAAAACAACAAAAACAAAATAGTGGCTGGCACAGAGTAAGCACTCCATTAATGTTAGGTATTATTATTATTATTGTTATTAGCAGCGACTGTGCAATAAGTATTAGAAACTGCCACAGCCCTGCATCGCCTCTGAAGGCCACGCTGCCCTCCAAAACCTGTTCATTCATTCAGCCGCAAACACTCCCCCGGCTGCCAGTAGCAAGGGTCTGCGCTGGTCTCTGCACTGCCACCTGCAAAGGGCTCCTTTCAGTCTCCAGGGACCTTCCAAAGACCCAATTCTTCTTTTTTTTTTTTTTTTTGAGATGGAGTCTGGCTCTGCTGCCCAGGCTGGAGTGCAGTGGCACGATCTCGGCTCACTGCAAACTCCGTCTTCCGGGTTCAAGCAATTCTCCTGCCTCAGCCTCCCAAGTGGCTGGGACTACAGGCACCTGTCACCACGCCTGGCTAATTTGGATTTTTAGTAGAGACAGGGTTTCTCCATGTTGGCCAGGCTGGTCTCAAACTCCTGACCTCAAGTGATCCACCTGCCTCGGCCTCCCAAACTGCTGGGATTACAGGCATGAGCAACCGCACCCGGCCCAAAGACCCAATTCTTCAGCAGGGTAGCTGTGAGCCCTCCCAGCCTGCTCCCAGCCCCTGCTCCATTCCCTGAACACTCTGGGTCTCCTCAGGGTGTCCCCCCCCGCCGGCTGCCCCCCGTCCTCTCACCTGTCGCGGTACTCTTGCCATCTTTGGGCATCAAGTATGTCTCTGGCTTTTTTGTCCTGAGGAGAGAACAGTCTGGGTGAGACCCTTGGCTTCCCATGGAGGAAGAAGAGGCACTGGGTAGACCTGCAGAAGAACTTCCCAAGAGAAGAGGGACCCGGGAAAGGGAAGGGGCACTGCGGAGAGAAGACAGCAACTGGACTGGCTGAGGAAGGGCTTCAGGAAGTGATGGGGGCGGGCGGATCTGCTCGGGCAGCCCAAGGGAGGGACATGAGGAGGACACTGCATAGCCTTCTGCAGACCCAAAGGATGCCCTAAGCCTGGAAAATGCTCTTGCGGGCTCCCAGGCCATCTTCTTTCTTCTTTTCTTTTTTTTTTCTTAGACAGAGTCTCGCTCTGTCACCCAGGCTGGAGTGCAGTGGCGCAGTCTCAGCTCACTGCAACCTCTGCCTCCCGGGTTCAAGCGATTCTCCTGCCTCGGCCTCCCAAGTAGCTGGGATTACAAGCGCACACCACCATGCCTGACTAAATTTTTATATTTTTGGTAGAGATGGGGTTTCACCATGTTGGCCAGGCTGGTCTCAAACTCCCAACCTCAGGTGATCTGCCCACCTCGACCTTCCAAAGTGCTGGGATTATAGGTGTGAGCCACTGTGCCCGGCCTCTTCCTCCTTCTGGAGCCCTGAGAGAGCAGGCAATGAGGAGCGGACCCCACTGCAGAGTCCATCCTTCCCCCGCCTCCCGGGCTGATGATAACTGCCCTTCCTTGGGCCAGGGGACACCTTCAAGCGTCAATAAGTGCTGGCCGGAGCAATGCTGCTTGTCTCTGTCTTGGCAGCCTGGGTGCCTTGACAAGGGGTAACGTCCTGTCCTCATGCTCCCCACTTCGAGCTTCAGTGACCAGAGAGGAGTGGAGAAGGGGACTTCCCCAGCCTGCCTGGAGCTCCCTCAGCCTCTCAGGTGCCTTCCACACAGGGTCCTGGGTACAGGAGACCCCAGACATGCTCAGCACTTAGCAGAGGCATCAACCCCACATCCTTCTGGGGGGCTCCGCAAGACACCCAATGCTTCATCTGATCCTCACTGCCCATTATAGAAATGGAGAACCTGCATTCAGAGAGCAGTGGTGACTGGCTCCAGGTCCCATGGCCAGGTGGCCATAATGTCAGGATGAGGACCCAGGACTTTGAACCTCCAGCCCCGAGTGCTTCCCCCAGTGCCCTGAGGTGTGAAAGATTAAGGTGGAGGCTTGGCGGGGTCACAGGGGCCGGAGGTGGAATTTGCCTCCTCTTTCTGGCTGTGTGGCTCTGGGAAGGTGGCTTTCCCTCTCTGAGCCTTGGTTTCCTCATCTGCAAAACACAGAAAGTCCCACCCCTCCTTCCCTCTCCCACCTGGCAGGGTGAAAAGTTCACTCACTGGTTGTCCGTGGGGAGCTTGAGGTCATCAGGGCGCACCTTGAAGAAGTCGAGGAGGTGGGGACAGCGGGAGATCTTGGTGGGCAGGCTCATGAGCGTGCTGCAGTACTCGGTAAGTGTGCCCTGGTGGTTCTCGGCGGCCCGCTGCCCGTCAAACCACTTGGGAGCTGGCACCAGAGAACATGAGGTCAAGCCCGAGAGGGGCTGGGAGGGCAGGTGAGCCCCCACCAATGACCCCCTGACAGGCGGCTCAGCCCCGTGCTCACCTGGGAGGTGGGGGATGATCCTGTTCTCTGGATTGATCGCCCCTGCCTCAATAGGGAACATTTCTTTTAAGGTTTTCTAAACATTAAAAAGACAAGAAGACGTGAAGGAATATTTGTAGTTTACAACACTTGGAAAAGCACGAGATTGGAAGTGACCTAAATACCTCTCAAAACCACCTAAAAGGCCGAGCATGGTGGCTCACGCCTGTAATCCCAGCACTTTGGGAGGCTGTCGTGGGTGGATCACTTGAGGTCAGGAGTTCAAGACCAGCCTGGCCAACGTGGTGAAACCCCGTCTCTACTAAAAATACAAAAATTAGCCGGGAGTGGTGGCACATGCCTGTAATCCCAGCTACTCAGGAGGCTGAGGTGGGAGAATCGTTTAAACCTGGGAGGCGGAGGTTACAGTGAGCCGAGATGGCGCCACTGCACTCCATCCTGGGTGACAGAGTGAGACACTACCTAAATATCTCGGGCCTAGAAATTTCGGTGGCAATCTGGATTCCTTGATTAACAGAGGCACTGACCTCTCTCCCTCCCATGTGCAAGTCACCAGCAAATCTTTTTGCTTCCAATCCCCAAATCTCTTTGGGATCTGACTGCTTCCCACCAACCCCACCCTCCTGGCCCTAGCCACTACCAGGCCTGGATAACGAAAATGGCCTCCTTGTGTCCCCCGTCCACTCTTGTCTGTCCTCAATCCAGTCGCCAAAGGGATCCTCTTAAAACTCAGGTTGACCAGGTGCAGGGGCTCAAACCTGTAATCCTAGCAATTTGGGAAGCTGAGGCGGGAGGATCACTTGAGTCCAGGAGTTAGAGACCAGCCTGGGCAACATAGCGAAATCCCATCTCTACAAAAAACAAATCAGGAAAAGGAGCCAGGTGTGGTGGTGCACACCTGTGATCTCAACATGGGAGGCTGAGATGGGAGAATCGCTTCAGCCCTGGAGGTTGAGGCTGCAGTGAGCCGTGATTGCACCACTGCACCCCAGCCTGGGTGACAGAGCAAGACCCCATCTCAAAAGAAAAGCAAATATAAAAAAACTGATAACTCATTCTTAAAAAGGTACAAATGTAAAATTTAGGAAAATAACTAACATAGGGACGAGAACCACAAGGAGAATGTTCACCAGCAGGTGCATTTATTTGGGATCTAGAACTTGGCTTTGTTTTTCAAAAGCGACAAGAATGGTTCCATTCTAGGAAGGTTCTGGGAGATCCTGTCTGTTTTACTTTAAAATGAGAATCTGGTGTTTCTGTGTTTTATTGTTTTCAGTAAGACTACTTAAATGTTTCAGGGGGAAAAATGTTTTTTTCTTTTAATGCCCCCTTAGCTTTGGGAGGCCAAGGCAGGAGGATCACTTGAGGTCTGGAGTTCAAGACCAGCCTGGGCAACATAGTGAGATCCCCATCTTTATAAAAAATACAAAAATTAGCCACACATGGTGATGCGCACCTATAGTCCCAGCTACTCAGGAGGCTGAGGCAGGAGGATCGCTTGAGCCCCAGAGGTTGAGGCTGCAGTGAGCTATGATTGCGCCCCTGCACTGCAAACCTAAATACCTCTCAAAACCACCTAAAAGGCCGACCGTGGGGGCTCATGCCTGTAATCAGAGAACATGAGGTGTTCAGAGTGGTGACAGAGCAAGACCCTGGGTGACAGAGCAAGACCCTGTCACAAAAATTTATATAAATAAATAAATCCCCTTTAACTGTGGTCTGGGAGGGGATTCTGGGTTCTGCAGTTTCCCCATCACCTGGGCTAAGGTCCTTCCCAAAGGGTGGAGCTGGAACGGTGGGTCCCTGTCCCTCCTCCGTCCCCACACTCACATGGAACTCGTAGATCTCGGTGAAGCGCCGGTAGACCACCTTCTCCGACAGGTCCTGCCATTTCACCAGGAACATGTACCTGGGGGAAAGCCAGAGTCGGGGGACCCCATTCAGCCTCCAAAGAGGCTTTGCTGTGTGCACCCAGGATCCCACTACCCACTGGAGGAAGCCCAGAGGATTGGGGTGAGGACCATCTTTGCAGTTGTCCTGGATTGCAGAAAGGGCACAAACGTGGACCCAAGTGCTGCCACGCCCCAGCCTTGAGACCCAGGGCAAGAGGGTCAGCTTCTCTCAAATGGACTCATCTGTAAATTGGAGATAAAAGTAGGACCTAGGCTGGGCACGGTGGCTCACACCTGGAATCCCAGCACTTTTTAGTACCGAGGTGGGAAGATCGCTTGAGTCCAAGAGTTTGAGACCAGCCTGGGCAACATAGCGAGACCCCCATATCTACTAAAAACACAAAAATTGTCCGGGTGTGGTGCCGCACACCTGTGGCCCCAGGTGAGGCAGGAGAATTGCTTGAGACTTGGAGGTCAAGGCTTTAGTGAGCTATGATTGCACCACTGCACTCCAGCTTGGGTGGGGAGGGGAGGGGAAGGGAGGGGACAGGAGGAGAGGGGAGGGGACGGGAGGGGCAGGAAGGCTGGGCATGTTGGCTCCCGTCTGTAATCCCAGCACTTTGGGAGGCCAAGGCAGGTGGATCACCTGAGGTCAGGCGTTCAAGACCAGCCTGACCAATATGGTGAAACCCTGTCTCTACTAAAAACACAAAAATTACCCGGTAGTGGTGATGGGCACCTGTGATCCCAGCTACTTGGGAGGCTGGGACAGGAGAATTGCTTGAACCCGGGAGGCGGAGGCTGCAGTGAGCTGAGGTTGTGCCACTGCACTCCAGCCTGGGTGACAGAGCGAGACTCCCTCTCAAAAAAATTAAAAAGAAGACAGAATTGCATCTAAGATCCACTGCCCTGGATACACAAACTGAATCTAATGAAGATAAACCCAAACTAAGGGACATTCTACAAGGTAACTGGTCTGCTCTCTGCAAAACATCAAAGTTGCAAAAGACAAAGACTGATTAAGACCGATCCAGAATCCGCTGGCACGGTGGCTCACGCCTGTAATCCCAGCACTTTGGGAGGTCGAGGCGGGCAGATCACCTGACGTCAGGAGTTCGAGATCAGCCTGGCTAACATGGTGAAACCCTGTCTCTACTAAAAATACAAAAAGTAGCCGGGCATGGTGGCGCATGCCTGTAATCCCAGCTACTCGGGAGGCTGAGGCACGAGAATTGCTTGAACCTGGGAGGCGGAGGATGCAGTGAGTGGAGATTGTGCCATTGCACTCCAGCCTGGGTGACAGAGTAAGACTCCATCTCATAAAAAAAAAAAAAAAGACTGATCCAGAATCAATATGGCAAAACCCTGTCTCTACCAAAAACGAGCTGGGCGTGGTGGCGCGCACCTGTATTCCCAGCTACTCAGGAGGCTGAGGCAGGAGAATCTCTTGAACCCAGGAGGCAGAGGTTGCAATGAGCCGAGATTGCACCACTGCACTCCAGTCTGGCGACAGAGTGAGATTCCGTGTCCAAAAAAAGAAAAAGAAAAAGAAAAAAGACTGATCCAGATTAAAGAAGGTTAAAGGCTATGACATTGATCCTTGACTGGATCCTAGACCTGAAAAAAGTTTTCACTGCAGAGGACAAGCAGGATAATCGGGGAAACCTCAGTAAAGTCTGTGGGTGGATAATGGTGTTTTGTCCATGTTAATTTCCTGATTTTGACACGTGTGTTGTGATTATGTAAGAGAATGCCTTGATTTTAAGAAATGCCCAACAACTAGTATTTAGAGGTAAAGAAACACGTCTTCAACTCACTCTCAAATAATTCAGAAAATATCCCCAGAAAGAGAGGTGTGGATGAAGGTGAGTGAAAGACTATTGGAGTGACTGGTACCGTTTTGACACCCAGTAGCCTTTCTGTAAATTTGAAATTTCAAAACTGAAAGTTACAAAGAAAAGGAGAAAAGTGACTAGGCACGGTAGCTCACGCTTGTAATCCTAGCACTGTGGGAGGCTGAGACCAGAGGGTTGCTTAAGCCGAGGAGTTCAAGATTAGCCTGGACAACATAGTGAAACCTCATCTCCACAAAAATTTTAAAAACTAGCCAGGCATGGTGGTGTGCGCCTGTAGCCCCAGCTACTCAAGGGGCTGAGGCAGGAGGATCACTTGGGCCTGGGAGGTTGAGGCTGCAGTGAACTATGATCGCACCACTGCACTCCAGACCTCATTTCAAAAAAACAGGCCAGGCACGGTGGCTCATGCCTGTAATCCCAGCACTTTGGGAGGCCCAGGTGGGTGGATCACTTGAGGTCAGGAGTTTGAGACCAGTCTGGCCAACATGGTGAAACCCTGTCTCTACTAAAAATACAAAAATTAGCCAGGCGTGGTGGTGGGCACCTGTAATCCCAACTACTCTGGAGGCTGAGGCAGGAGAACCAGTTGAACCTGGAAGGCGGAGGTTGCAGTGAGCTGAGATCGTGCCACTGCACTCTGGCCTGGGCAACAGATCAAGACTCTGTCTCAAAAAACAAAAAAATAACAAAAAAGAGAAAGGTCTTGGCACATAGGACTAAATGTTCCATACAAGCTTCAATTTCCTAAATGTAGTTCCTCCCTGGCCTTCCTATGGGATTAGGGGACCCAGTGGACTTGTGTGTCTGAGCAGGCATTTGTCCAGCCTCCTTGGGGACAGATGGGAGGACTCTATTGGCCCCTGTCATGGTGTCACCCTACTGGAGAGGATAAGACTCTAACTGACACTACAGGCAGCTGGGGAGAGAGAGAGCTTTAGTTTCCAGGCCTCCCTCTTGGGAGGGCCACTCTCTGATAGCTGGGCTAGTCAGGGAAGGCTTCCTGGAGGAGTGGGCCTCGGACCTGAGAGAGCGCTGGGCTGCCTGGCCATGGCAGGGGAGCAGAAAGAGGACTCCTGGCTAAGGCTGAGGGCCTGGCTGGGGACACAGGCGGGGACAGTAAAGGGCTGGGGCCCAGGGCGGGTCCAAGGGAACTGTCTTCCCAGGGATCAGAGGGGTAGATCCAGGCTCAAAGACCAGGGACCAGGTGCCCAAGACCCTGCCCCGTTAGTCCTCACTGGAGCTGGTTGGCCCTGGGACTGCAAGGGTGGCCGTGCTGTCCCTCCCGTATTCCCCCCACGGGATGCCCTCCACCAGCTACTCACATAGTGCTGGCTGGGTACGAAGCGCTTCTCAAAGCCCAGCAGGGCGATGTGACGGATGAAGGTGTCCCCCATGACTGGGTGGCCTCCAGTGCTCCCTGGCACTTCCAGGCTGCGCCTTAAATGCACTGGAAAGAGGAAGTCGCTTTTGTCGCGGTCGGGACAGGGGGCAGGGAGGGTACAGAAAGGGCTTTGCTTCTTCTTTCAGTTTCTGGGGACTCTTCAGGCTTGCAGGGTGTAAACATGGGCAGACTCATGTTCACACACACCTGCAGGGACAAGGAAAAGGGTTTACACTTGTCCTTCCCGTCGCCTGCACGGGCCCCACGGGTTTTGGGGGTGAATCAAGCTGCTCCTGCCTCAGGGCCTTTGCATTTGCTGCGTCCCCTTGACCATCTTTCCCCCCTTGACCATATTCCTGGTCTTGACCATGTTCCCCCCATTCACCATCTTCCCTCCATAACTCTCCTCCATTTCTCTGCTCAAATGTCACCTCTTCCGAGAAGCCTTCCTTGATAACTTCACATTGCATAGCAAACCTCATACCTTTCTCAGCCTCTTCCTGCCTCCTTTTTCTGCAGAGCACTTATCACTGATGCATCGCAAATTGCATTTAATTTTTCTTTATTATTATTGCTATTGTTATTTGAGACAGGGTCTTGCTTTGTTATCCAGGCTTAAGCGCAGTGGTGGGATCACAGTTCACTGCAGCCTCCAACTCCTGGGCTCCAGCGATCCTCCTGCCTCAGCCTCTGGAGTAGCTGGGACTACGGGTGTGTGCCACCATGCCCGGTTAAATTTTTTTTAATTTTTTTGTACAGACAGGGTCCTGCTATGTTGCCCAGGATGGTCTCAAACTACTGGCCTCTAGTGATCCTCCTGCCTCTGCCTCCCACTTTTTTTTTTTTTGAGATGGAGTCTCGCTCTTGTTTCCCAGGCTGGAGTGCAATGGCGCGATCTCGGCTCACCGCAACCTCTGCCTCCTGGGTTCAAGCAATTCTCTTGCGTTAGTCTCCTGAGTAGCTGGGATTACAGGCATGTGCCACCACACCTGGCTAATTTTTTTTTTTTTTTAATTAGAGACTGGGTTTCTCCATGTTGGCCAGGCTGGTCTTGAACTCCTGACCTCAGGTAATTCACTCGCCTCGGCCTCCCAAAGTGCTGGGATTCAGGCATGAGCCACCGTGCCTGGCCTGACTTAATTTTTTTAGTCTCCCCTTACCACAATGTGTGTCCCAGGAAAGCTAGGGCATGACCGGGTTATCAGGGGCTCTAGCCCCAGCCCCTCCATCTAGTGCCTGGCACACAGAGGCCATAAATATTTGGATCGTGACTGCAACATTCACTGAGTGAATGAATGAGTGAGTGAATGAATGAATGAGTCAATGAATGAGTGAATGAATGAATGAATGAGTGAATGAACGCGGGCATGGGAGTGTGCATGCAAGCGTTAGATGCTCATCCTTGGGTGTGTGTGGATGAGGGCCAGTGACAGCTGGGACGAAAATGGCACAGACTTTGAGTGAGACTTGAGTTCCAATCCTCAAGTAAGCAAATGGTTCATTGAATTGTTCCTTAGGGCTGACTCAGTTTTCTCCAGAGTGATATTAAGACTGTCAGCTTTGCCAGGAAGGGGATTTGGGACAAAGAGGTGAGGAGGGGGCAGCATGCCCAGGGACAGGCTGAGGCCTCTCTCTCCCACTCCCCCTAGAGCCTGGGAGGCCCAGAGCTTTTGGAGCTCATTCAAGGTCATGAGTTCATGAGTGGTGGGCCTCAGCCCCAGGCAGCCTGCTGCAGCCTGTGCCTCCCAGCAGGCCAGGGCTGCACCAACTCACCCTTGCCTGAGTCCAGGGTCAGCTCGTGGTCCGGACCTGATCTCCTGGGGGTGAGGGTTGAGGTCTGGCAGATGAAAGCCAAGACATGCTGGGCGTTAATTTATTTGTTTGAAGCGAAGTTTCGCTCTTGTTGCCCAGGCTGGAGTGCAGTGGCACAATCTCGGCTCACTGCAACCTCTGCCTTCCAGGTTCAAGCGATTCTCCTGCCTCAGCTTCCCAAGTAGCTGGGATTACAGGTGTGCGCCACCACGCCTGGCTAATTTTGTATTTTTAGTAGAGAAGGGGTATCACCCTGTTGGCCAGGCTGGTCTTGAACTCCTGAGCTCAGGAGATCCACCCGCCTCAGCCTCCCAAAGTGTTGGGATTACAGGCATGAGCCACTGTGCCTGGCCCTTTTTTTTTTTTTTTTTTTTTTTTAAAGACAGGGTCTCTATCTGTCACCCAGGCTGGAGTGCAGTTGCCTGGTCATAACTCACTGCAGCCTCCAACTCCTGGGCTCAAGCAGTCCTCCTGCCTTGGCCTCCCCAGTAGGTTGGGACTACAGGCACATGCCACCACACCTGGCCTGTTCCTGCTTTTATTATCCAGTGCATTTATTATCCAAGAGGTGTAGGGTCCACTCCACCTGCTCTGAAAGATTTGCTTGGCAAGTGCTTCACTTCTTTTTTTCTTTTTTTTTTTTTTGAGACAGAGTCTCTTTCTGTCCCCCAGGCTGGTATGCAGTGGCATGATCTCGGCTCACTGCAACCTTCACCTTCCGGGTACAAGCAATTCTCCTGCCTCAGCCTCCCAAATAGCTGGGATTACAGGCGTGCACCACCACGTCCGGCTAATTTTTTGTATTTTTATAGTGATGGGGTTTCACCAAATTGCCCAGGCTGGTCTCGAACTCCTGACCTCAAGTGATCTGCCCGCCTCGACCTCCCAAAGCGCTGGGATTACAGGAGTGAGCCACTGCACCCGGCCTTCACTTCTCTATAGAGAAGAAAGCTCACATCACCCGCCGGCACCTGCTCCTTCTGGTCCTTACTGTCCCCCACCTCCACCCTGAGGTCCCCAGCCCTGGGTGTGAACGGCCTTGCCAGCCCTTCCTATGATGATTTCCATCTGTATATCTTGGATCTTTCCATGAAGAGAGATAGGCATTTGCAACAGGATCTACTCAGCAATGACAAGGACCTGTCCCACAGGGCGACACAGTGGAATCTTCCAGATACATCACTGACGGAAGGAAGGCAGGCACAGAGCACATGTTCTGGAGGATGTCATTTATACGAGGCTTGAAAACTGCCCAAGCCAGGCTGTGGTGTTGGAAGCCAGGGTGACCTCTGGAATGATGGTGGGGACAGTGGTGACAGGAGAGAGCGGGAGGTGGTGGGCGATGTTTGCCTCCTCTCCAGATAGATGCTAGTTCCACAAGTGGGGCCAGGTGCGGTGGCTCATGCCTGTAATCTCAGTACTTTGGGAGGCCGAGGCAGGTGGATCACCTGAGGTCAGGGGTTCGAGACCAGCGTGGCCAACATGGTGAAACCCCGTCTCTACTAAAAATACAAAATTAGCCAGGCGTGGTGGCACATGCCTGTAATCCCAGCTACTCAGGAGGCTGAGGCAGGAGAATTCGCTTGAACCTGGGAGGCAGAAGTTGCGGCGAGCTGAGATTGCACCATTGCACTCCAGCCTGGGCAACAAGGACAAAACTCCATCTCAAAATAAAATAAAATAAAATAAAATAAAATAAAATAAAATAAAATAAAATAAAATAAATAAAATAAAATAAAATAAAATAAAATAAAATAAAATAAAATAAAATAAAATAAAAAAAATAATTAGCTGGGCATGGTGGCATGTGCCAGTAGTCCCAGCTACTTGGGAGGAGGCTGAGGCAGAAGGACTCCTTGAGCTCAGGAGTTCAAGGCTGCAGTCAGATAAGTTCAAGGTCATTGGTAGGGTGGTCCCGCAGCTCAGGCACTGGGCTCACCCGCTGAAAGTTGTGTGCTCTCCTGTAATTTTTCTATCAACACCCCTTCCCTGACACTCAATTTGTCTCTCATCTTCCCTGTCAAATGCCTCCTCGAAAGGCCCAGCATGGTAGCCAGGCATGGTGGCTCATAGCTCTAATCCCAGAACTTTGGGAGGCTACGGTGGGCGGATCACCTGAGGTCAGGAGTTCAAGACCAGCTGGCCCAACATGGTGAAACCCAGTCTCCACTAAAAATACAAAAATTAGCTGGGCATGGTGGCACACACCTGTAATCCCAGCTACTCCGGAGGGTAAGACAGGAGAATCACTTGAACCAGGGAGGTGGAGGTTGCAGTGAGCCGAGATCCTGCCACTGCACTCCAGCCTGGGAAGCAGAGTGAGATTCTGTCTCAGGAAAAAAAAAAAAAAAAGGCTCAGCACAGAGGCCAGACCTGCAGCGATGCTCTCCTGGGCATGTCGAGGCAGGGCAGAGGAAGGTTCTAGTGGGGCTGGTTGTAAGCAGAGAATTTTGTGGGCTCTCGGCACTTCCTTCCCTTCCTCTAGCGGTCTTTCCACACTTGCGTAACTGCCTGGCCAAGGGTACTTGTCCTGTGGACACCCTGAGCCCCTGGCTGTGATCTTTCAACTCTCCTCCTGTGGCCTCCCAAGACCCTGTTATGTTCCCTCAAAGTGCTCTGCAGACAGGAGGTATCCAGCAAGTTTGTTGGATGAGCAGAGGCAGGAAGCGCTCCGAACTTGAGTTTGACCTTGTAATGACCTCTGTAAGCAGGCTTACAGCCTTTTTTCAGGATGACATAGGATTTTTTCCACTTTTTATTTATTATTATTATTATTATTATTTTTTTTTTTGTAGAGACGGGGTCTCGAGATGCTGCTCGGCCTGGTCTCAAGCTCCAGTATCAAGTGGTCCTCCCACCTCAGCCTCCCAAAATGCTGGGATTACAGGCATAAGCCACTGTGTCTGGCCAGGATTTAATTTAATGCATGGATGAAACAAGGTACCAAATAATTTTTTTAATTAAAAAAAAAAAGATAGGTGCAGTGGCTCATGCCTGTAATTCCAGCACTTTGGGAGGCCAAGGTGGGTGGGTCATCTGAGGTCAGGAGTTCGGGACCAGCTTGGCCAACACGGTGAAACCGGGTCTCTACTAAAAATAAAAAAATTAGCCAGGCATGGCATTGCAAGCCTATAATCCCAGCTACTTGGGAGGCTGAGGCAGAAGAATCGCTTGAACCTGGGAGGCAGAGGTTGCAGTGAGCCGAGATCACACCACTGCACTCCAGGCTGGGTAACAGAGTAGACTTGGTTTCAAAAAATAAATAAATAAAATAAAATAAAATAAAGTTAAGGAAGGAAGTAATAAAGAGATAAGAGAGTTTTTTCAGGGGAAGGAAATAGAATTTCTAAAAATGTTTGTATTGTGAAATATGTAGAAAACCACATCTCTTACCTAATTATTATAAAGGAGACAGCTGGTGAACCATCACTGGGTGTTAGAACAATACCAGGGCCCCAAGAATTCCCCCACGTCCCGAGTGCTAATAGGAAGGGCCCCCCGCACCCCGCCGCCCTGCCCTACGTCAGGCACTATTCTAGGTGCTTTCTATTTATGACCGTATCTTCTCCTCACAAGGAGGCTGTCAGGGAGTGGGTACAATTTTCCCCACTTCACAGATGGGAAAACAGAGAGGAAAACAGATTGCCACAGCTGGTATATGCAGAACTGGGATTTGTTTTGTTTTTGTTTTGAGACAGAGTCTTGCTGTGTCACCCAGGCTGGAGTGCAGTGGCGCAATCCTGCCTCACTGTAACCTCCGCCTCCCTGGTTCAAGAAATTCTGTGCCAGCCTCCCGAGTAGCTGGGATTACAGGCTCGTGCCACCACGCCCGGCTAATTTTTGTATTTTTTGTAGAGATGGGGTTTCACCATGTTGCCCAGGCTGGTCTCGAACTCCTGACCTCAAGTGATCTGCCTGCCTCGGCCTCCCAAAGTGCTGGGATTACAGGCATGAGCCATCGCGCCAGGCTAGAACCGCGATTGAACTTGGGCAGTCTGGACCCAGGCCCATGATTTAACTGTTGCACTCTCATGCCTTGCCCTTGAACAATGTGAATGAATGAATGAATGAATGAGTGGGGGTAGGGGGCTCATGAGGAAGGCTCTCACCTCAAGCCAGGCTGGCAGGGAGTGGGGGCTTCCAGGTCTGAGCTGCCAGTCCTGGCCTTTTTCCAAATGTCACCGTCTCCGCCCTCAGGCCACTTGGCTTTCCCCAGATGGGCTGAGCTCGCTATTTCTTTAACCAGGAAATCCCCAAGGCCAGGCCAGTGGGTACCATATCAGGAGAAAGGCGACTTGGCGTCAGGGCATGGGACCCACGCAGTGCCCTCTGGGACATTTTATCAGGAGAGGGAATCTAGCAGTTCCCAGGACTGGAGCAAATCAGCCTTTGGGTGGGACAGTTCTTTCCCAGATCTAACCTAAGCCTCTCCTGCTGCCTCTTCTTGAGCGAGTGACAGCCAGGATCCATCCCCTTGGACAGCCCTGGGTGACCGTCTCCTGGGCCAGCCCACAGGACCAGCTCTCCCTCCTGCCTAGGGCAGCAGGATGGGCCCCAAGGTACCTATGACGCTGGCTCTGTGTGACCGACCCTGTATTGGCAGGCAGGTGTCAATAGGCAGAAACGCTGGCCACTCCAGCCTTGGCCAACATGGTGAACCCCATCTCTACAAAAAATACAAAAATTAGCTGGGCATGGTGGCAGGTGCTTGTAATCCCAGCTACTCAGGAGGCCGAGGCAGGAGACTCTCTTGAACCCGGGAGGCGGAGGTTGCAGTGACCCGAGATCGTGCCACTGCATTCCAGCCTGGGAGACAGAGTGAGTGAGACTCCATCTCAAAAAAAAAAAGCAAAGAAGAAAGTGGGCCACTCGCTGCCTCCCCAGAGACCCATCTTCCTTTATCAGCCAAATCACCTGCGCTGGGCTCTGCTTGGCAGGGGTGGACCCTGAGGCCTCGGCAGAGGGGAATCAGGGACCTGCCCTTGGGAGACTGTCCCAGGACACACCTGAACCACACCCCTGGGAATTCCCTTCTCCCCTAGACCTGATCTCCAGCCCTTGGCCTAGGGACACAAGAGAATGGGCTCCAGGCCCCAGGCATTCAACTCAGGGGAGTCAGACGGAGACCCAGGCCCCGTGGGGAGACGTGCAGGCTGACGGCTGAGCTGTGCACGTGGCTGAAGCTCCCTGAGCCTCTGTCTTTTCATCTGTGAAATGGCACTGACCACTGTACCCACTTCATGGGCTGCCGTGAGGATTAAATAGGGTCAAGTACTAGGGTGGCAAACGTTGGCCATCACCAGATGCAAACTGCGCAGGGGCTGCCTCCAAGGTGCGGGGCAGGGAAATTGCCAGGTAGGAGGCAGGGAGGCTTCTTGCTGTTTAAATTGAGCTTTGAATGAAGAAAATGTCACATGAAGGACAGCAGGCACCCCAAGTTGCTGGGACCACCGGCCCGGGGCTCTGACAGTGGAGCAGTCTCATGATGTCCCTTGGAGAGCTTGTCTGGGTGTGGTGCAGCTGTGTGGGTGGCCTGGAAGCCTTCCCTGACACGGCCAGGCTGACAGTAACCAAGCCCATGGACAGGCTGGGTCTGTCCCCACTGCACTGCACTGTGGCTTCTGGCCCAGCTCCAGGCACGACATGGGCCCTCATCAAATATGCACCACAGGAATGGGGACCTTCCAAGCCAGCCCCACCCCCGCGGGAGCCCCACTTCTGTGCTCAGGGGCCCAGTTGCCCTCTGCCACCCAGGAAGGCTATAAACTCCGCAGTGCACCACCACCCCCAGGGGCTTTGGTGAAATTTTTTTTTTTTTTTTTTGAGGCAAAGTCTCACTCCGTTGCCCAGGCTGCAGTGCAATGGCGCAGTCTCGGCTCACTGCAACCTCCAACCTCCTGGGTTCAAGCAATTCTCCTGCCTCAGCCTCCTGAGTAGCTGGGATTACAGGTTTCCGCTACCACACCCGGCTAATTTTTGTATTTTTAGTACAGACAGGATTTCTCCATATTGGCCAGGCTGGTCTCGAACTCCTGACCTCAGGTGATCCGCCCGCCTCGGCCTCCCAAAGTGCTGGGATTATAGGCGTGAGCCACTGCACGTGGCCGATGGTGATTTCTGTACACTTGAAACAAATTTCAGTAATGAGGAAATCACATCCTAAGCACCAGCCAGTCACTGGGTCTGGAGTGGCCGTTTCCACATCTCCCCAGCTCCAAGCAGCACAGTGAAGTCAATGGTGGTGCGGTCCCTCTGGGACTCACTGAGGGCCAGGCCCCTGCGCCACTTCCCAGGAGAGATCTGGGACAGTCGCTAAGTCACACAGGCCTGGAGTTGGGGGCGGCACACCTGCAGACAGGTGGGACCTGTAGACGTGGCTTTCTCGGTGAGGGGTTACCCAGGCGCAGAGGCACCGCAGAGCCCCATCATGCAGGAGGACAACCTTGTCACCTCCATGGGACTGAAGCTCATCTTCGGCGGGCCAGAAAAAGAAACTTGGGGCTGTGGTGTCAACACTTGCCACAGCTTCCTGAACATGCACCCCAGGTTCCCTGTTCCGGCCTTGTCTTTTTGGAGACCTGCAGTGACTGCTGTTTATCCAGGGGTTTCCCCTGAAGGGTGTGGGCACCATACAGGAGGGGACAGTTTTAGTGTCAATCGGGACAGGAGTTCAACAGGTCCTTTGGATGCAGCTAGAGCTAGACCTTCTCAGCCTGTGGCATTTGGGGCTCTGGGAGGTGTGCCCTCTGCTCTGTCGCTGGCCCTACCTGTGTCCACCAAATCGCCCTCACACCTCTGGAGGGGTCCTCCTGGGTGGGTCCTTACTGCTTTATGTAGCCTGAGGAACGAGCAACCTTGAGCCCCCGCAGGAAGCGGATGCCACAGCAAGCCCTGCTATTGCTTCTGGGGAGGAAGTCAGGCAGGAAACACCTTCCCCAGCTGGGCTTGCCTCACAAGAGATGTCAGAGCCAGCTTTCCCAACACTTCCTCAAAATTAAGGTGCGGTGCCAGGCGCAGTGGCTCACGCACGCCTGTAATCCCAGAACTCTGGGAGGCCAAGGCAGGCGGATCACTTGAGGTCAGGAGTTCGAGACCAACCTGGCCAACATGGGGAAACCCGTCTCTACTAAAAATACAAAAATTAGCTGGGTGTGGTGGTGGACACCTGTAATCCCAGCTACTCGGGAGGCTGAGGCAGGAGAATAGCTTGAACCTGGTAGGCAGAGGTTGCAGGGGACAGAGATTGCACCACTGCACTCCAGCCTGGGCCACAGAGCGAGACTCCATCTTGGAAAAAAAAAAAAAGAGTTAAGATGGGGTAGGGGTGCAGGGGGCAGGTAAGGAGGGACCTCGAGGCGGCTGGGGGGACAAAAGCATGGGCCTCAGTCTGGGCTTGGTTTTTAGCCCAGTTCCCAGGATGAGAAGGCCCCTCTGGTGCAGCCACACCAGGTCCACCTGCCCTTTGTCACCGATGGGCCACTAGGCCCCTAGGGACCTGTGATTTCTTTTTTTTTGAGACGGAGTCTCGCTCTGTCACCCAGGCTAGAGTGCAGTGGTGCGATCTCGGCTCACTGCCAGCTTGGCCTCCCAGGTTCACGCCATTCTGCCTCAGCCTCCCGAGTAGCTGGGACTATAGGCGCCCAGCACCATGCCCGGCTAATTTTTTGTATTTTTAGTAGAGACGGGGTTTCACCGTGCTAGCCAGGATGGTCTCGATCTCCTGACCTCATGATCCGCCCGCCTCGGCCTCCCAAAGTGCTGGGATTACAGGCCTGAGTCACCGTTCCCGGCCAGGGACCTGTGATTTCTACAACTGGCTGAAAGCTGCATCCAGTCTGCCCTGTGAGCCAGGTGAGTGGGCAGCCGTGGGTGAAGTACAGAGAGCCAGAGCTCCCTTCCCACCGTGGATCCAGGCAGGATCTGAACTCCAGGCAGGGGAAGTGATGCTTTTGAGAGTAAAGAAAGGCCCCACAGCCCTGTTTGCGGTCATCCCCCTGGACTCGCAGGTCTAAGGACAGGGACAGCGGCCTCCAGGTCACCTCCATTCCTAAAATCCGTCCCCTTCCTCTTTCCCCATCATAGGGAAACTGAGGCACTTTGGGAGAACATCAGATCCTCAAAACACATCCAAGTCCAGAAACTGGGGCTTCCATTTAGGAAGATGAGCAGCGACCTTCCAGAAGATGGAAGTGGTTACTGGGCAGTGACTTTCCAAAAGATGCCCCTTTGGTGTGTAACAATTATCTGCCCCCGAATGGTCAAGCCCACCAGGTGCCTTGAATTTACTAAGACCAGCACTTAGAGTGTAATGTGGAAACTAGAAAGGCCTGGTCCCTCGATCTTCCTCTCTGGTGGAACTTTTGGTCTTTGGAGAAAAAACAAAAACAAAAACAAAAAAACAGAAATGGGAACCAGGAGGAGGCTCAGAAAAACCAAACTACAGCCAGGCACAGGGGCTCATGCCTGTTATCCCAGCACTTTGGGAGGCTGGGGCGGGCGGATTGCTTGAGGTCAGGAGTTCCAGACCAGCCTGACCAACATGGAGAAACCCCATCTCTACTAAAAATACAAAACTAGCCAGGTGTGGTGGCACATGCCTGTAATCCCAGCTACTCGGGAGGCTGAAGCAGGAGAATCGCTTGAACTGGGAGGTGGAGGTTGCGGTGAGCTGAGATCGTGCCATTGCACTCCAGCCTGGGCAACAAGAGCGAAACTCTGTCTCAAAAAATAAAAAGAGAGAGAGAGACCAACCTACTTCAAAATGGAACTGGCGGCTGGCTCTATATGAGTTTCAGGTCCTAGGGGACCACAGACCCAGGTCCAAGTTGCATCCTCAAGCTTCTGAATAAGACTGGGGCAACAACGTCCTCATCTATACAGTTCCAGAACAGTCTCCCAGACCTCACTTTACATGTCAGCTGACTTAAACCAATTAGAAGATTAAGGCATCATGTAATGTGCTAACTCTGATGTGCGCTGATGGCCTGGGAGGGACGGGGGTGGGGACAGGCAAAGGCGAAACCTTCTCACGAGCAGATGACAACTGCCAGCTCTAGCATTTGAGAGCGGATGCGTCCCTGGCCATTCCCGCAGGACCTCCCTCCAGGGACAAAGCTTTGGTTTCCTCCCCACTGAGGACCAGGGGCTTGGAATGGGAGTTGTCACTTGGCAATCAGCAGGCAGGGTTTAATTCATACAGTCCTGGGAGGGAGACATTTCCTTGCTTTTACTGTTTTTCTGATAAAAATGTCCCCTATATAATGGCTGTCCAGAAGTGGATTTGTTCTTAGTCACTCTACTGCCTTACCTGGGAAGTAATTATGTTTGTCCCTTGAATTATTATGAAATCAGGAGGCGGCCGGGTGTGGCGGCTCATGCCTGTAATCCCAACACTTTCGGAGGCCGAGGTGGGCAAATCACGAGGTCAGGAGATCGAGACCATCCAGGCTAACATGGTGAAACCCCATCTCTACTAAAAATACAAAAAATTAGCTGGGCGTGGTGGCAGGCACCTGTAGTTCCAGATACTCTGGAGGCTGAGGCAGGAGAATCGTTTGAATCCAGAAGGCAGAGGTTGCAGTGAGCCGAGATCGCACCATTGCGCTCCAGCCTGGGCGACAGAGCCAGACTCCATCTCAAAAAAAAAAAAAAAAAAAAAAAAAAAAAAAAAAATCAGGAGGTTTTTGTTTTTTTGAGACAGAGTTTCACTCTGTCACGCAGGCTGTAGTGCAGTGGTGTGATCTTGGCTCACTGCAGCCTCCGCCTCCCAGGTTCAAGCAATTCTCTCCTACCTCAGCCTCCCGAGTAGCTGGGATTACAGGTGTGCACTACCACAGTCGGCTAATTTTTGTATTTTCACTAGAGACGAGGTTTCACCATGTTGACCAGGCTGGTCTTGAGCTCCCGACCTCAAGTGATCTGCCCTCCTTGGCCTCCCAAAGTGCTGGAATTACAGGCGTGAGCCACCGCGCCCGGCCAAGGAATCAGTTGTTTCAGAAACAAGAGCTTATTAGATACACTGAAGAGACCTACTTGAACTATATTTTGCTTTTTCAATCCAGAATACCGGGCTAACGAAGATTTTACTGGACAAGTTTAACTTCCCCTTCACCCTCTGAACAATCACACTATCTGCCTTTTAGAAATGCACTGCCTGAGGCTGGGTTTGGTGGCTCACACCTGTCATCCCAGCACTTTGGGAGGCCGAGGCAGGTGGATCACTTGAGGTTGGGAGTTTGAGACCAGCTTGGCCGACATGGGGAAACCCCGTCTCTACTAAAAATACAAAAATTAGCCGGGCATGGTGGCAGGTGGCCATAATCACAGTTACTGGGGTGGCTGAGACAGGAGAATCTCGAACTCAGGAGGCGGAGGTTACAGTGAGCCAAGATTGCACCACTGCACTCCAGCCTGGGCAACAGAGTGAGACTCCGTCTTCAAAAAAAAAAAAAAAAAAAGAACAGAAATACACTGCCTGTTCATTAATTAATGCAGGCAGCTAAGGCCTCTTCTTTTTTCTTTTAAGAGACAGGGTCTCACTGTCACCCAGTCTGGAGTGCAGTGGTGTAATCACTGCAGTGGCTCAAGTGATCCTCCCACCTCAGCCTCCCTAGTAGCTGGGACTACAGTTGTACACCACAGCACCTGGCTTAAATCCTTTATGTGTGTGTGTGTGTGTGTGTGTGTGTGTGTGTGTAAAAATATGTGTATATACCTGAGGCCAGGATTTTGAGACCAGCCTGGCCAACATGCTGAAACCCCGTCTCTACTAAAAATACAAAAATTAGTCAGGTGTGTTGGTGGGTGCCTGCAATCCCAGCTACTCGGGAGGCTGAGGCAGGAGAATTGCTTGAACCTGTGAGGTGGAGGATGCAGTGAGCTGAGACTGCACCACTGTGCTCTAGCCTGGGCAACAGAGCAAGACTGTCTCAGGAAAAAAAAAAAAAAAAAGAAAGGAAAAAATGTGTTATGTACACACAGAATTGTTGTAATGGATTGAATCATGAATATCCTTGGCAAGTCTGTGACCTCACAAATGAGTGTGAAACCAGTAACTGAACGGAGATTCATGGCAGAGCTGGGCTTTTGCCAACGGCAGCCTTGCCATGGCCCTGATTCTCCAGGATGGGTGCTGGGAGGTGTGGCTGAGGGTGGCGCGGCAGGACACATTTTAAGAACATGTTAAAAGAACTGTGAGATGCTATCAGAGAAGCAGTCTCCTCCCAGGTTAGCAGGCAGGTGAATCGTGAGATCAGTTTCCCTTTCTGGCACACGCGGATAGGGCACGGCAGAGGCAGGGACCACGCTGAGAACAGAAGAGCCTCAGAGTCAGTGTGTGGGCTCAGGCAGGAGGGACTGCTGCATGAGCTCTCGATGGCAGGGGCTTTTGGCACCCAATGTCGTATGTGAGCGGCTCTCCATACACAGCTGGCATGGCCCAGATGGAAGGGTGGGGGCCCTGGCCCGCTCAGAGGAGATGGGCAGCAGCGGTCTGAGAAACACCGCAAGTGGCGCTGTCCCCGGGAGGCCCGGCGGGCTCTGCCCAGCGCCAGCCTCGGCCTTGGTCTGCGTCCCACCTACGCCGAGCCACCCCCAAGCTTCCCCAGACAGGACCATGAAAACAGCCGAGAGAGCAATGACTTAGTGTGTGAAAGGCATGGATGGATTTTATTGATTACCCTATATCTACAATTTGAGGTAAAATAGAAGCAACACATAAAAGGGCCTATTTCTGCTACCATGTCATATAATTCTCCATTGTGAATATTGTGATAAAGCTACTGAAAACTATGCCGTCACAGAGCCTAGCTTCTTGTAGAGCTGGTATTTTACAACTCGCATTGCTTGTGAAATCTCAACACATGTAAGACTCTCCTAGGAAGGCGCAGAACGTCAGAGGTTGCATCCTTAGCCCCCTGACCCCTCCTCACTCCCCGCGCTGGCACCTCAGGGTTACAAGAAGAACTAGGAAATAATGCCGGCCACGGCGACCCCTGGAGAGGGGGCCGGCTAGAACAGCGTTCCTAAGAATCCGCGCCACAGCAGGTCCCGCGATGTTGGGGCCTTAGTGTCATCGAGCTAGCCCCAATCCTCAACCCGATCTTCAACTTCTGGTACACCATGCATTTTATTTGGACGAAAAGTAAAAGTGGAAGAGGTTCTCTCTGTATTTCCTCTATAATTCACACGCTGAGATACTGACCTCTGACTGTTAGGTGATCCAGATGGTTTTGCTTTTAATTATGATAAAAAAACATAGGAACCATGAGAGATAGCTTAGGAAAAGGTTTAGTCAAATATACAGATAGGAACTGTTCACTCAGTCATTAAGGAGAGCCGTGAACAAAGGATCATTTAAATGATTTTTTTTTTTCAAATAGAAAAACTAAAGAACTGAACTATCACAGGAATTTTTCTTCACTGCAGAAGCTGAGATGTTCCAGTAGGAGAAGTAGGAGATATCTTCACTTGATTGGAAAATAAACACCGTAACTCAAGGCTCTGCTGAGTACATAAAAAATCTGGTGAGATTCATTCCTGTCATTTTCCCTGTCATTTCCCAGCATTGCTGTAAAATCCTGATAGTACATTCCCAAGTACACCAGCCATTCCAGACCCACAGTCACTCTGCTCTTTAATTCACAGAACTGCTGAAAAAGTAGACATTTCTATCTAAAAGTAGAAAAAAAGGTTTGTATAGAAGGTATTTCTGTTATACAAGTATATTACACAGCTTGGGGTAGTAACAGGTCCGAAAAGCTCTTCTCAACCACTGATACTTTAAGCTAAAATAGGAGAGAAAACAAACAAGCAAGCAAAGAGGTTAATCTAATTACAGGAATTTAACAGTCACGAATATCACAACTTAATTTGCAAATTCAGGTAACAATGACTTGGATTCAGAAGCACTCATAAAGCGGGATGAAACCTTAAGTCCATGAGCTGACAGGGTAAGGCAAATTCCAGTACAAGTCTCTGGATTAAAAAAAAAAATCCATTGTCAAAGTTTCCTGACTTCGGGTCTCAAGCTACTGCTCCTATTATAACTTGGCCAAATTTAAGAAATCTGGACTAACAGGATCAGACTTGTTAACTCTGCAAGATGAACAAAAGATCTGCAGCTCTGTGAGACTCTGCAAAATACTATTACTATGGAAAAAAAAAAGTCAGTCTAATGATTCTGACTCATAGTGAATTCCAATGAGGAGGACAACGTTGACTCTATTTAGAAACAGAACATTCTTTTTAAGGCAAAAGTGCTTTTACATCTTTGACTGAGAGACATATATTGATCCAAGGAGAATCTCCCTGTAGAATCTTCTAGCTTAAATATCCGGGAAGGCTCCCACCTGGCTCCCACATTCCCTGAAGGCAGGGCCACCATCTTATGTGAAAGTGGGGAGATCACATTAGCTACGCGTATGCAGGGGGTTCAGATGGACGCCACACAGCATCCCTGACACAGAAGCTGATTTACCCTAGGAGGGAAGAGGTCTACCACGTGGGGTCTGGTTCTTGCTTGATCTGAGAGCTTCCATCAGTCTCTTTTATTTCTATCAACAGAAACAAAACGGTACCGATTAATTATTTTGCAGACCTGCTCAGTGATAAATCCATTCGTACCAAACTATTTACTAAGATATGGTTTAATAAGAAGGACAAGACACCAAACATCAAAAGAGCTTCAGAGAGACATCTCTTTAGCAATACATTCAAAATTTTGTTACTTATGTTTTCAAAGTAACATACATCTTCTGGCTTACATGCATTTAAAGGACACACGTTAGGTTATCTAGGTTATGTAGCAGAGTCATTCACGGAGAATTTACCAAGTCATCTGGGGGAAATGGAGCAAAAGCAGCTATGCGTCATCACTCAACAGCATAACCTGCAAATCCAATTCACCCAGAAGAAAGAGAGCAAAACCACCACCCAGTTCTAGTGAAATAGTTTAAATGCACAATCCTTTGTCCTGATAAAAAAGTCTTGGCTGGGCAAGGTGGCTCGCGCCTGTAATCCGAGCACTTTGGAGGCCAAGGCTGGCGGATCACTTGAGGTCAGAAGTCTGAGACTAGCCTGGCCAACATGGTGAAACCCCGTTTCTACTAAAAATACAAAAATTAGCCAAGCATGGTGGTGCAGGCCTGTAATCCCAGCTACTCGGGAGGCTGAGGCAGGAGAACTGCTTGAGCCCGGGAGGCGGAGGTTGCAGAGATCGCACAACCTCACTCCACCCTGGGTGACAGAGCAAGTCTCTGTCTTTAAAAAAAAAAAAAAGAAGAAGAAGAAAGAAGAAGTCTTAAGGACTTGCAGGACCACCCCACCCTTTTACCTTCTGTGGCTGGAACTTCCAACTGGCTTGGTTCAGCTGATTCTAAAGAGAAACACAGAGACTGATTTCCACATTGTTCAACAGCTGCTTTATACTATGTAAAGAACCCAGGAGGAGGAAGAGGAGAAAAGCCCTCTAGACTCTGTACAAACACAGGTGCATGATGAAACAATGCTCACGGTCTTGAGATGGAGCACACGATTATCCAAGTGTACTTTCAAATTTCTGTTTTTCAAATGTGGTCCTAAGTTCACATATACAACTGAAGTTTGAAAGAGCAGAGTCTTAACATAGCTCTACCATGAAAACAAGCTCCTTAGTTATGCTTTCTCCCTTATCCTTCTGTTTACTCCCTTTAATAAAAGCTTTTCATTACTTTTTTTGTTTTTCTTCGTATGTTTGTTTTTTTGAGACAGAATCTCCTTTCTGTTGCCCAGGCTGGAGTGCAGTGGCACGATCTTGGCTCACTGCGACCTCCGCCTCCCAGGCTCAAGCGGTTCTCCTGCCTCAGCCTCCTGAGTAGCCGGCACACGCCACCACGTCTGGCTAGTTTTTGTATTCTTAGTAGAGACGGGGTTGCACCATGTTGGCCAGGCTGGTCTCGAACTCCTGATCTCAAGTGATCTACCCTTCTCAGCCTTCCAAAGTGCTGGGATAACAGGCGTGAGCCACCGCGCCCAGTCTCATTACTTTCAATGACTCACACAGCACCAGGCCATTCCACTTGTTTTTTAAGGAATTTTTTAAGAGCACAATCTGTACATTTCTACTGAAGAACATTTTGCTCACTGACTTATGGCAGACATTAGAAATGGATGGCAGAGTCAGGTTAAAGTGACGGCCCTCTTGCTCTGCCATTTCATCCTACCCATTAATCCTGGGGTTCCTGATGTTAGGCCTGAGCTGGGATAGGGGGTGCAAATGGTCTGCAGCCCCCAGTTCTCAATCAGGACCCACAGCTTGAATTTATGTTTTGATCAGCTGTCAAACCCAGGAGTGAAAACCACAGAGAAGCATGTGTGTGCTGTGTAACTGAGTCCCCTCAGGGCAGGTGACTGAGAGCCGAAGCCACACGCAGGCACGCCATGTGTGCCACTGTGCAGGCAGGAGTAGCTCCGGGCCCTCCCCTGCCTCGCTCACCTTGTATCACGGGGCCTTCTGACTCACTCTGATCAACCAGCTCTGAAAATGAAGCAGATTGGTTTAAATAATGTAAGGATGTGTTGTTCCCTTGGAAAAGCATTTTAACATACATTTGCTGTTTCCCTCAAGATGAGAAGGAAACAAACCTCAGAGTTCTGATATGTCCCTCAGAATCACTAATTCACAGTAATTACCATAAAACTCTATACCACACTACCGCACAAGAACAGGAACAAAAGAGAACATTTTATTTATTTATTTATTGGGACAGAGTTTTGCTCTTGTTGCCCAGGCTGGAGTGCAATGGCACGATCTCAGCTCACTGCAACCTCCACCTCTAGGATTCAAGCAACTCTCCTGCCTCAGCCTCCTGAGTAGCTGGGATTACAGGCACGCGCCACCACACCCAGCTGATTTTTGTATTTTTAGTAGAGACAGGCTTTCACCATGTTGGACGGGCTGGTCTCCAACTCCCAACCTCAACTGATCCGCCTGCCTCAGCCTCCCAAACTGCTGGGATTACAGGCGTGAGCCACCACGCCTGGCCTCACTTTTATACATTTTTAATAATAAAGTTAAGAAAACAAAACACACTCGCAAAATTAAGTTTGGCTCAAAATACTATTGAAAATGACATCAACGTTAAGGAATTGAAAGGACATTTGTTCACTCGCTCAGCAATATTTGAGAGCCCCATGTGTGCCAGGCACTGTGCTGAAATACTAACAGAAGCAGGCACATTGTGACTTACTTTGTAACGAAATCCAAGCACAGTAATTATAACAGTCATAAAAGCAGTAATAAATATAGATTGTATTCGCTGAGCACATACTGTAGGCTAAACACATACTAGAGGCTAGACACTGTTCTAGGTTAGGGGGATGCAAACTCTTTTCTTGCAGAGCCAATTAGTAAATATTTTAGGTTTTGCAGGCACACACTTGCTGCTGCCATCTCTCAGTTCTGCCATAAACAAATGGACACGATGGTGGTTTCAATAAAACTTTATGCATACACGTCGGCAGGAGCTTGCTGACACCTGTTCCAGATGCTTTCCATCTACTGGAACGACTCCCCCAAAATCGGTGCTATTATTACCATTTTATGATTAAGTGCATCGAGGATAGGAAGTTAAGAAGCTTGAATAATTTTACAACTAGGAAGTGCCTGGTGTTTTTACTGAGGGCTAAAACAAGTATTTGGCCTGGTTACTGACATAGGTGAAGTAACGTGATATACGTTAAGCATGTATACACACTCACACGCACACACGTCAGACCCCAGGAAAAAACAAAAACAAAACACTTCACAAAATACTCACGGTTATTAATCACAAGTCCTGGAAATGGTCTAAAGAGAGAAACAAATTGTAAAGTATAACAATTTATTTTCACTCTGTAAGAATTTACAGGTATAACTGTTTATTCAACTCATATCTAGCCCACGTCATTTACGTACTACAATGAGAAGTATTATCCGTGACCTTATAAGCTTATGGAAGAGATAGATACGTATCAATAATAAGAACACTGTTAGAAAGTGTTAAGCTACTAGTAAATGGAGGAAAAACAAAAAATAGAAACGCAGAGCAGGGAACAGAGTGATTCTAAGTTTAACATACGGAAGAACGGAAGGGGCTTTTTGCCTAACTCCTGGGAGTGATATGGAGAATGACGGTGGGTGAAGTGGAACCAAAATATGAGATTTTGAGGGAAAGAAGATTGGAAGAAGACGAGTGTATGAGAAGCCTCAAGAGGATTTATTATGAGATTTCTGAGTGCCAGTCCCAAGAGACCTGAACTAGAGACAGTGGCAATCTGATGATGAAATGATTGGGTAGGTTGAGTCGTAGCTGTTTCTGGGGGGCTGGAAGACAAAGGGGAAGATAACCTGGGGTTGGTGCTCAGGTGGGCATCTCTTACAGTGACAAGGACGTGGGAAGGAATGTGGCACTCACAATGGTGTCAGAGGTGAGTACAATCATCATGCCTGCTCTACGGGAAGGAGCTGACACTCTCAGTGGGAACAACGATCAATCTCATTTACAGACAAAGAACAGAGTGACCTGGCTAACAAATGGCTGATGCAAGGTTGAATCCGTCTGACCCGAAGCCTGTGACAAGGCGCCCTAAGACAGAGGTTGACAAAGTTCTTTTTTTCTTGTGATGGAGTCTCACTCTGTCGTCCAGGCTGGAGTGCAGTGGCATGATCTTGGCTCATTGCAACCTCCACCTCCTGGGTTCAAGCGACTATCCTGCCTCAGCCTCCCGAGTAGCTGGGATTACAGGCACCCGCCATCATGCCCAGCTAACTGTTTTATTTTTGTAGAGATGGGATTTCACCATGTTGGCCAGGCTGGTCTGGAACTCCTGACCTCAGGTGATCTGCCTGCCTTGGCCTCCCAAAATGCTGGGATTACAGGCGTTAGCCACTGTGCCTAGCTAAGGTTTTTCTACAAAGTGCTAGAGAGTAAATATTTTAGACTTTGGAGGCCATGCCTTCTCAGTCCCAGCTACTTACTCACTGTGACAGGAAAGCAGCCATGGATAATACGGGTGTAGCTGTGTTTCAGGAAGACTCTAAAAATAGGAGGCAGGCTGAATTTGGCAAACAGTCCTAGTTTGCCAACCCTTTGCCAAAGAATTAAAAGAGTCAGCTTAGTTCGTAGAAGCACATCTGACATTCTAATGATGACACAAGTTATTTTGATTTGTTGATTGCACAGCATAGGAAGCCGGATTCGATGACTACCTGTGGCTGCATTTTAGAAGAGTCAGCCTCATGAGCTCCAGATTCGCTCCTGTGACTAAGCAGGAAACTCTCACTTACCTAATGACCGTGAATTTGATAAACTCGGCAGAGTCTAAGATCCTTCTCATGGAGCTGATTTCCAGGTAGCTGG
Source organism: Homo sapiens (assembly GCF_000001405.40). Lineage (NCBI taxonomy): Eukaryota > Metazoa > Chordata > Mammalia > Primates > Hominidae > Homo > Homo sapiens. The sequence continues at coordinate 75,192,120 of NC_000007.14, forward strand.
GGGCTTTGAAGGACACCCCCGGGGGCATGCCATCAACCACCACACAGCCAGGGTTAATTGTGATTTTCCTGTAGGGAACTTTCACAGGAAAACCCATACCAATAGCTTCACCTACAGGGACAGTGAGACAAACAGCACAACAGCACAGATTAACCCACCGCCTTAAACAGCCTGTCAAAAGCACAAGATCAACATTTATTTTAAAGACTGTCTCTGCTGTTAACTAAGGTCTTTGTACACTTCAAACAAATTTAAATATGAACCTTAAATTTTTTTTTTTTTTGAGACAGAGTCTTGCTCTGTCACCCAGGTTGGAGTGTGGTGGCTTGATCTCAGCTCACTGCAATCTCTGCCTCCCAGGTTCAAGCAATTCTCGTGCCACAGCCTCCTGAGTAGCTGGGATTACAGGTGTGCACCACCATACCCGGCTAATTTTTTGAATTTTTTAGTAGAGACAGGGTTTCACTATGTTGGCCAGGCTGGTCTCGAACTCCTGGCCTCAACTGATCCACCTGCCTCGGGCTCCCAAAATGCTGGGATTACAAGTGTGAGCCACACTGCCAGATGGTGAACCTTAAATTCATTAACTTTCATACTGACAATCAATAGTGTAACACTAATGGTATCTTATTAAATAAATTTAGCACAAACAACTCACTTTTAAATTTTAACTCCTTTTATATAGGATTACAACCATCTAACCATCATCTGCTGAAAAGATCTTATTAAAACAAATCTCTTTGCTTATAGCAACTGTACTTTGCAAATGCAAAACTTACCAAATTTCCGACTAAAGAGGTCATTCACTTGTTCTCTTAGCGACAGCTTTTTCAACTTTCGAGAGTCTTTCATTATCATCATCTGAAACAGTTCAGAGAAAACCCAAAACTTAAATACTGCTTTTTTTTTTTTTATGGTAAAGAGATGGTATCTCACGATGTTGCCCAGACTGGCCTTGAACTCTTGGGCTCAAGCGATCCTCCTGCCTAAGCCTCCCAAGTAGCCGAGACTACAGGTACAAGCCGCTGCTCAATGATGCACTTTTAATCCCAATTTTTAGGAGCTCTGTGTAATGTTTTCAAGCATTTTCCATTTTTTAATGATTTAAGTATTTGAGCACTTTGAGCTAATTAAATTTGAAATTGTTTAAAATAATGCCTAACTAAAAATGCTACAAATTTATTCTTGTTATAAAGACCTTTACCTGCTGTTTTATATAGATTTTTTTTTTTTCCCAGATGGAGTATGGCTCTGTCACCAAGGCTGGAGTGCACTGGCCCCATCTCGGCTCACTGCGACCTCCACCTCCCGGGTTCAAGCACTTCTCCTGCCTCAGCCTCCCAAGTAGCTGGGATTACAGCCACACACAACCAGGCCTGGCTAATTTTTCTTGTATGTTTAGTAGAGTCAGGGTTTCACCACGTTGGCTAGGCTGGTTTTGAATTCCTGACCTCAAGCGATCCTCCTGCCTCAGCCTCCCAAAGTGCTGGGATTACAGGCGTGAGCCACCGTGCCCGGTCTCATATAGACTTTTTTTAAGGAACAGACTAGACATTTGGGTGGTTAACAGGATTTAGCTCATGCCAAGTGCCAAAACTTGCCGTTGCTGTTTGGAGAGCAACTGTATTTGGAAGGCAACTGCTATAGGAGTCTGGGAGGAGCACCAGGCAACGTGTAATGTATCCGAGTCCCCGGATGAGCTGAGCAAACCTCTCTAGTTGGGAAAGTCCAAGAGGCCCTGAAGAGACCCCCAAAAACTCTGATGGAAGCAGAGAAATCATACCTGGAATTGTCACCTGAATGATGTTAAGGTCTTCAACACCTGATGCAGTAGTATTAACATTGGGTGATGAATTTATTTTTCCTGAAAATATACATTTAAAATCAGAATTTGTAGAAAACACGGTCAACATCTCTAATAATCATGCTGTCTGAGACTGTTTTATCTCAGTCCTGTTCAAGGTTCTTTCTTTCCATGGTAGATCATTTCAAGAAGACATGATGCCCCCTGAAGGGCTGCCTTTCACTGTTTTTCTCTTCCTGGGGGTACTTAGGAGATCATCACACACTCACAGAGCCACCCAATTATTAAATAACTAAAAATTGTGAAATAGCCTGAACTACAACTTTGAATGGGTTTTCTTTTTTCTTTTTGAGATGAGTCTTGCTCTGTTGTCCAGGCTGGAGTGCAGTGGTGCGATCTCGGCTCACTGCAACTTCCGCCTCCCGGGTTCAAGTGATTCTGCTGTCTCAGCCTCCTGAGTAGCTGGGATTATAGGCGCCTGCCACCACGCCTGGCTAATTTTTTATATTTTTAGTAGAGACAGGGTTTTGCCGTGTTGGCCAGGCTGGTCTCAAACTCCTGACCTCAGGTGATCCACCCACCTCAGCCTCCCAAAGTGCTGGGATTACAGGCGTGAACCACCATGCCTGGCCTCAATGGCTATTCTTTAAACAATGTTTGTAAACCACAGCTGCACAATGCATGCCTAAGAGCGTGTGTTCTATAGCAATGAAAATACAGAAAATACACTCACTGGGAGGGCTCTTAGAGGAGGTGCTCTCCTTAATCGCCGTCTCAAACATTTCGGGCCTATAGACAAAAGAGAAAAAAAATGTGCTGATCAAACAGTAAAACTCTAACATTAAAATTTAAACAACTCAAAGATTTACAAACCAGTAACTCTGTAAAGTCTAAATTCAATTCTTAGTCATGAAGAACAGAAATCACATGCTTATCTAAAGAACCACAGCCAAAAAGACAAACCACAATTGTAAATTTAACATCCATTGCTGCCTCTCATTGGCTGCCCTTCCCCTACACTGGTTTTATTGGCATCTTCTTTCCAAGGTTAGAATGTATCCTGAAAAGAATCAGCGCCAGAATTGAGGATGCAAAGAGAAAACGCCCCACAAACGCAGCATGGAAACACAAGATGGGCTGTGAAAACAGGAGCACTTGAGGCTCTCACTCCGGAAGCAGAAGCAGAGGGCTTAGAGGCTGCCAAACCTCTGCAGACCTGGCCAAAAGCATAAAAGGTGGCCATTGGCCGGGCGCGGTGGCTCACGCCTGTAATCCCAGCACTTTGGGAGGCCGAGGCAGGCGGATCATGAGGTCAGGGGTTTGAGACTAGCCTGACCAACATGGTGAAACCCCTTCTCTACTAAAAATACAAAAATTAGCTGGGCATGGTGGCACATGCCTGTAATCCCAGCTACTTTGGAGGCTGAGGCAGGAGAATCGCTTGAACCCAGGAGGCGGAATTTGCAGTAAGCCGATATCACACACCACTGCACTCCAGTCTTGGGTACAGAGCGAGATTCTGTCTCACAAAAAAAAAAAAAAAAAAAAGTGGCCAGCTTTGCTTGAGAGCATCCCTGGGTGACTCAAAATTAAGCCTGACACCAAGCAAATGAAACCTAAAATTCATTTCAATTGATTTCAAATAATTCATGTGCATTAGCATGTACTATAAAATTCCAATTATTCTTATTTCTTTTTTTAATTTTTTTTGAGACAGAGTCTTACTCTGTCATCCAGGCTGGAGTGCAATGGCACGATCTCCTCCGCCTCCTGGGTTCAAGTGATTCTCCTGTCTCAGCCTCCCTGAGTAGCTGAGATTATAGGTGCCAGCTACCACCCCTGGCTATTTTTTTTTTTTTTTTTTTGTATTTTAAGTAGAGATGGGGCTTCACCATGTTGGCCAGGCTGGTCTCGAACTCCTGACCTCAAGTGATCTGCCTGCCTTAGCCTCCCACAGTGCTGGGATTTATGGCCGCACCCGGCCCATTCCTATCTATTTCAATTATGTTAGCCTAATCCACAGATGTTCAAGCAAACAGGAGAAATTGAAAATATTCTATTAAGTTGGAGAAATAAAAGGACTTGAAAAACTAAACAGCTGCTCAGATTCCAGCAGCATCAAATAGTAACAACATAGCTGTGTAGATTTAGCAACCAAAAGTCGTTATCTCTCTAGTATGGTGGAGTCCTCCTTCCCTTCTACCAGCAGCATAAGGAAAATTTCTTCTTCTTTTTTTTTTTTTTTTGTTTTTGAGATGGAGTTTTGCTCTTGCTGCCCAGGCTGGAGTGCAGTGGCACGATCTTGGCTCATTGCAACCTCTGCCTGCTGGGTTCAAGTGATTCTCCTGCCTCAGTCTCCCAAGTAGCTGGGATTACAGGCACGTGCCACCACGCCCAGCTAATTTTTGTACTTTTAGTAGAGATGGGTTTCATCATGTTGGCCAGGTTGGTCCTGAACTTCTGACCTCAGGTAATCCACCTGCTTTGGCCTCCCAAAGTGCTGGGATTACAGGTGTGAGCCATCGCACCTGGCCAGAAGTTTTAAACATATACAAGAGTGCAGCTTAAAAAGCAGTTTTTCTGACTCCAGAGCTAATTCAGCCCTGCCACAAACACAAACCCACATACCCATCTCCCAGTGTCAAACACAATCAACTCATGCTAATCCCACTTCATCCAGTTTCCTTACTTTTTAATGATGAACTTAATTTTGGCTTTGTTTCTGAGTATCTTCTCCAGCCTCGGAATGCCAAAAGTCGATGGTCTTCGGAATGGCACACCCTCAGGTAAGCCTTCCACATAAAAGTCTTCCGGGAAAGACTCAAATAACGCGAACGGCACCTTCACAGCTTGTTTAAGGCCAAGAGCTTCCCCTGCAAAACAGCCGCGTACACGAAACAGAACATGGGCGAAATGACGCCATTCAATCCCGAAAAACCCACACGTTGCCAATGACAGGGATACTCCAACGCTCAGTATCCCACTCTGCTCCCTCCTACTCCCATGAAGGCACCCTGCGTGGCAGTAAGAAAGTTTCAAAATAGACTTACCACATTTCTCATTGAAGAGATTTTCAACTTTCTGTTTTAGGTCCGTGATTTTGGCATTCCAGGCCTCTGCATATAAAACATAAGAGAGTTAAATTGCAATACTTATCACAGTACTTATCAATACACATTCACAGGCAGGAGTGTTTCATCTTATTTGTGCATCTTATTTTTTTTTTGTTGAGACAGAGTTTCGCTCTTGTTACCCAGGCTGGAGGGCAATGGTGCGATCTCTGCTCACTGCAACCTCCACCTCCTGAGTTCAAGCAGTTCTCCTGCCTCAGCCTCCTGAGTAGCTGGGATTACAGGCATGTGCCACCATGCCTGGCTAATTTTGTATTTTTGGTAGACACGGGGTTTCTCCATGTTGGTCAGGCTGGTCTCGAACTCCCAACCTCAGGTGATCCGCCCACCTCGGCCTCCCAAAGTGTTGGGATTACAGGCGTGAGCCACTGCGCCTGGCCTTATTTGTGCATCTTTAAGAAGAAATAAAAAATGCATAATCTTTTACCATGATATGACTTGACAACTACTCCCATCCTGATACATAAGCAAACTGTTTTAGTACATTGTTTTTATGTTGACTACAAATAAGTGAACAAATGCTAAAATAAAGAAAAAACAAATGAAAACCCCCAAAATGCCCCCACAAATTATAGTCTCTACTACATGCGAGGTATGGTTCTAAGTACTTTAAATGACAGTATTTATAATCCTCACCATAACCTCATGAGAAAGAAAGTAATGTTATTACCATTTTGCACAAAGGGAAACTGAGGCAGGGTGTATTCGCCTGCCCAAGTGGCATCGGATTTGAACTCAGATCTGAACTCAGGCAGCCTGGCTCTACGGGCTATTCCTTTAACCTTTGATATATACTGACTCACCAATAGGAACAATTCACCTGGTAAAATGAAACATAATGAACGTATTCTATTTAAAACTATGAAAGAAAGAAAAATAAAACGCTTACTTACCAAAGGAAAACTCTCTCCCTCGTGGCTTGAAGGGAACGTTAGAACCGTTAGTCTGGGTCGGGGTTCGAACAGCTGAGGTTTGAGGATTGTTGTTATTAGGGCCTAAAAGACAGAAAAAATAATGATAATCAACACACATTTAATGACGTAAGTGTCTCTAGGTTACAATCTTCAAGTCCAGCCTGTGCCAGAAAACAAAGCTAGGTTCAAATTGAAATGGGTATTCTTGTCATTCCGGCGAGTTCCACAGAAACCATTTTTCTATTTCTACAGAAACCCATTTTTCTTCTCTTCTTCTTCTTCTTCTTCTTCTTTTTTTTTTTTTTTTGAGACAAAGTTTCGCTCTTGTTGCCCAGGCTGGAGTGCAATGGCGCAATCTCGGCTCACCACAACCTCTGCCTCCTGGTTTCAAGCGATTGTCTTGCCTCAGCCTCCTGAGTAGCTGGGATTACAGGCATGCGCCACCAGGCCCAGATAATTTTGTATTTTCAGTAGAGATGGGGTTTCTCCATGTTGGTCAGGCTGGTCTCGATCTCCCAACCTCAGGTGATCCGCCTGCCTCGGCCTCCCAAAGTGCTGGGATTACAGGCGTGAGCCTCCACGCCTGGCCCTAATTTTGTATTCTTAAAGCAGGCCTCCCAGGCCCCGTGAACTTGGCTCTGCCCTTTAGGAAAGGCTGGCATCTTGTATATAAGAGAGATCTTCCTCTGATCTCTTCCGGAAGGAGGAAAGTCAAGGGTTCAATATATTTTTAATTCTTGGCATTTTTGAACAGAAATAATTAATCAGGTGTAAGTTGTCCATGGATGCCTGTTGGCTATCTTATGAGAAAGCAGGCTCTCTGAAAGTGTGCCACATGACTAAATAGGGACTTCTGCGCCACTCAACACCAGTACGGCAAACTCTTATTTAAAAACTTGACACCTGGGATGTAGAGAATGATCCTAATGCAGTGATTTCCTTCTGCATTTATGAAGAGATGGAAGAAATATCCATACTTGACAGTTGGTTGGAGATTGTCTTTAGTATTGTATGCAGTATTTTAACACTGTGAGCCTGAAAAGACAAGAACCAGCTGGGCGTGGTGGCTCACTTGAGGTCAGGGGTTCGAGACCAGCCTGGCCAACGTGGTAAAACCCCGTCTCTACTAAAGATATAAAAATTAGCTGGAGTTGGTGGTGGACGCCTGTAATCCCAGCTACCTGGGAGGCTGAGGCAGGAGAATCACTTGACCCGGGAGGCGGAGGCTGCAGTGAGCCGAGATTGTGCCACTGCACTCCACCCTGGGCAAGAGAGCCAGACTCTGTCTCAAAAAAGAAAAAGAAAATAATTCAAGGCACTGCTGTTTAAACCACCCTAAACTTTCTTTCCTTAAAAGAATAGAAAAAAATGAAGAGGAAAAAAAAGATAAAACATTCCACATGACTCTGCACCCTTATTTGTTATGATAAAGGAAAAGCATTTTAGGACTTTTCTTGGGGGAAGTTTATGATGTGATCCATGTTATCTGTTTTCTATTAAGGATTTAAAAATTTTCAATTAGAAGCATTCAGAAATTTAGCTTTATCACAGGCAGCTGTTCACAGTTAAAAGCTAGTTTGGTTAACGTCATCTGTATAAACCTGTATAAACACATAGCTAGTGAACTGACATAATTAGTAAACTAGAGAATGAACAGAAACATACCGAGGACTGGCCCTTACCTTCCACGGTGACCTCAATTTCAGGAACCTTTGAATTACTCCCAGGACTTCGTGGTCTTTTGGGGGACTGCAAAGCTGTAAAATAAGCAGAGTTCCTTTTGTATATTGTAGGGAAAAAAAAATACAGAAGGAGATGCTTTATAAGAGCAGAGTATTAAAATTCATACAGTTTGGTTCTTTTCAAAGAAACCTGCAGAATTAAACTTGTAGTGTAATCCTCCACAGGGGCTCAACAAAGCTGTGAAAACATGAATGAACTGGGATTGCAAATGTGACATTTCCAATGAAATGTTTTGTTTTTTTAAAAAAAAAAAAGAAAAATAGTTCCATTAAATAAAATACCTTAGAAAGCAAAGTAAACAACTCCAAGCCCCACAGAGATATTGGCCGATTCCGTATGATTTAAGGAATGCGGATAAAGAGTGTCTTAATGCGCTCAAATAGGATACGGAGTACACGTCGTCTCTTACCTTTAGTGTTTATTTTACTAGCCATCCCAGGAGGCAAGTAGGAAATAACTAGTTCAGGTCTAGAAAGAAAACCAAGAAGTGTTACAGTAGCCAGTACAGTGGTGGCCTCACAGCTAGTAAAACGGTCGTGATGTGATCAGGGTTTTTTTTCTAAAGGCATTCACAGAATCATCCTGTAACACAATAATTCCTAGTGTTGTGGACAAAAGACCCTGACTTTTCCTTCCCATGACTGGTAAGCCATTTTATGAAGAGTAAATAAGTGACTATTTTCATTAAAAAAGAAAAAAAAAACACTAGTGTACTTTCTTTAGCCACTAAAATTCTGCAGAAATGTAGATAAGAAAATCAATCATTAGGCCGTGCACGGTGGCTCATGCCTGTAATCCCAGCATTCTGGGAGGCTGAGGCGGGTGGATCACCTGAGGTCAGGAATTCCAGACCAGCCTAGCCAACACGGTGAAGCTCCATCTATTCTAAAAATACAAAAATTAGCCAGGCGTGGCGGTGCAAGTCTGTAATCCCAGCTACTCGGGAGGCTGAGGCACGAGAATTGCTCGAACCCAGGAGGCGGAGGTTGCAGTGAGCTCAGATTGCGCCACCGCACTCAAGCCTGGGCGACAGAGCAAGAGTCCGTCTCAAAAAAAAGAAAGAAACTCAATCATCAATATTTAGTCGCTCTCAAGATTGACCAGGAATAACAGAGCAGATAAAAACCAGCAAATTAAACTTCCATTCAAGTACTCAGGCATACTGCGAGTCACCACGGGGCCTCACGGTGACTCCGCGGAGGCGATTGTCACTATTTTCCTTGCACGGATGAAGATGATTGAGTATGGGCAGGGGCAATGGACAGTACCCGGACTGCAGCTCACAGCCAGGCTTTGCCATCAAGGACTTACAGCCACGCCTGTCACCTCTAGCTTGAAAAACATCTTAACAGAAATGTCATTTTATTGTTTTGATTCCAGAAACGACTACAGTGGCAAAAAGAACTTACTTTTTAACAACGAACTTGATTTTATTACTCCCGCGGACGATCCTTTCAAGTCGTGGAATTCCAAACCAGGTAGGGCTTCGGAAGGGAATCCCCTCTGGCAAGCCTTCCACATACAAGAACTCCGGGTTTGATTCAAACACAGGATATGGTACTTTTACTGCCTCGGTGAGTCCAAGAGCTTGAGCTGAAAGTGCAAGAGAACGTTAAGTTGCGGAGGATAACATTTGACACAGACATTCTTTCTTTGTGTCTACATTCTCGAGTACAGTATGGACAAGCTCCCTACGGTCAAGCAATATCCACTTCATATTGAAGGCATTTTGCTTAGGATATGGGGCAAATCTGAAGAACGAGCCTAAAAAATAAGTGCTTTTAGGAGGAACATTTTAACACTTTCAATCAAAAGGAGAGTTATGTTATTAGTGAAAATGACCTCTATGCTCTGGGCAGAAATGACCGAAGGCCATTCCACACAGCAGTGGACCCTGCTGGCCTTTGTGTTATCATCAAGAAGCAGGGTGTCTGTTCACAAACAGGCGGTGTCTACGATACAGCTAAGCAGCACTCAGTTCGAGTGGTCAGAGGCAGGGTAGTCAGGACTCCTGATCTGAGACAGGAAATGTCAACCCCAGGTATTGAGATAATGGACAGAAGTGCCCCGGGAATTTTGCTAGCACTGCCCACTCCTTACTTCCTTCTCCATGACAGACACACCCAATCAACTGAAACACTCTTTCTTGCTGAGCCTCCTCAGAATCGTTCTCAAGACAGCACTCCAGGAAACCGCTGTCAACAAATCTAAGCTGAAACAAATGATGAAACCTATTTGCCACATGGGTGTTAGCCAGACGAGAAGTACAAACAGTGGAACTGAAACTTATCCCAACACCTCCCTTCCTCTCCCATTCTGACACGTGAGAAAGTGGAATCCAAGAGAAATGAAGTCATCTGCTTGGTTTCAGTAGCAAGTGTAGTGGTAGAAAGAAACAGAAACCCAGTTTCTGGGACCTTCCTTCTTTAGGTCCTGAACTTTTTTTCCTTCTTTTTTTTTTTTTTTTGAGACAGAGTCTCACTCTGTCGCCCAGGCTGGAGTGCAGTGGTGCGATTTTGGCTCACTGCAAGCTCCGCCTCTGGGGTTCAAGCCATTCCCCTGCCTCAGCCTCCCGAGTAGCTGGGACTACAGGCGCCCGCCACCACGCCCGGCTAATTTTCCTGTATTTTTAGTAGAGACGGGGTTTCATCGTGTTCGCCAGGATGGTCTCGATCTCCTGACCTCCCGATCCGCCCGCCTTGGCCTCCCAAAGTGCTGCGATTACAGGCGTGAGCCACTGCACCCGGCTGGTCCCGAACTTCTATACTTCATTCAGACATGGCCCTTTGTTGATATGTTATTAAAGACATAAATACTGGCTTTTACTTACCAAATTTCAAATTAAAAATCTCTTCCACTTGCTTCCGTAGCTTGGTAATTCTGACATTCCAATCTTCTTTGACTGGAAAACAAAAAGAAACCCAATAACCATGTTATTTATCAGTGCTGTTGCAAATCAGAATGGATTTTGCTAGAAAGTACTCTTGTTTGCAGTGATTCTTTTTTGTTTGTTTTGTTTTATTTTTTTGAGACAGAGTCTTGCTCTGTCGCCCAGGCTGGAGCGCAGTGGCGCGATCTCGGCTCACTGCAAGCTTCGCCTCCCAGGTTCACGCCATTCTCCTGCCTCAGCCTCCTGAGTAGCTGGGACTACAGGCACCCGCCACCATGCCCAGCTAATTTCTTTTTGTATTTTTAGTAGAGATGGGGTTTCACGGTGTTAGCCAGGAAGGTCTTGATCTCCTGACCTCGTGATCTGCCCGCCTCGGCCTCCCAAAGTGCTGGGATTACAGGCGTGAGCCACCACGCCCGGCCTGCAGTGATTCTCTTAATTCAGTTTTGTTAAAAGCAAACATTTGGGGTCTTTTTTTTTAAATTAATTAATTTATTTATTTTTTATCATACTTTAAGTTCTAGGGTACATGTGCACAACGTGCAGGTTTGTTACATATGTATACATGTGCCATGTTGGTGTGAAAATTTGGGGTCTTAAGGAAAATAATAATTTCCAGTACTTGCCAAATATCAGAAAAACTGCAGAAAGACAGAATTAATTTATTTATTTAGAGAAAGAGTCTTGCTATGACGCCCAGGCTGGAGTGCAGTGGCGTGATCTCAGCTCACAGCAACCTCCGCCTCCTGGGTTCAAGCGATTCTCCTGCCTCAGCCTCCCGAGTAGCTGGGATTACAGGTAGCCGCCACCACGCCCGGCTAATTTTTATATTTTTAGTAGAGACAGGGTTTCACCATGTTGGCCAAGCTGGTCTTGAATGCCTGACCTCAAGTGATCTGCCCGCCTCGGCCTCCCAAAGTGTTGGGATTACAGGCGTGAGCCACCGTGCCCAGCCTAGAAAGACAGAATTTAAATTTAAGTTTACATTGTAAATAAAGTGAAATTTGTCCACATGAAAGAGTGCTCAAAATCAGTGCTTCTCACACATTCCTCCTTGGAGAAGTCCCTCAGGGAACTCGGTCAGAGCAGGGAGGCCAGCTGCATGAGGTTCAAGGGCTCCCACACCAGTTTCAACAAGAGGGACTTTGCTTTTATTTGCTTTCTCTACAGGCAATCCTCGTTTTATCTAACAGATGTGTGCCTAAAAATCTACATAAAGCAACACTTCACTAATCAAAGTGACTTTTCGCATCAGAAATCAATGATAAAGGGACGGAATTCATGTGGGGGGTTGGAGTGGACGCAGGCGTGAGTGGGTCCAGCAGATGGAAACACAGCTGCCAAGTCTGCCCTGTCCTTAGCTTCTGCAGGAGGTGTGGGGAACTCTGCCTTCTACAATGTGATGCTGCACAGAGAGCTGTCTGTCATCTTCGACCAATTCCATGGCATTCAGGACACTGTGATAGGGGAAGGAACGCACTTTCTCATCCCATGGGAAAAGAAACCAATTATTTTTGACTGCTGCTCTTGACCACATTATGCACCAATCATCACTGTGAGCAAAGATTGTCACCATCACACTGGGCGTCCTCTTCCCACCTTGTTGCTGGCCAGGTCCTTGCATCTTCCAATTACTGGAGAAGCCAATGAAGAATGTGCTGCCATCCATCACTGCGGAGCTCCTCAAGCTGGGGGCGGCTCAGGCTGACGCTGGAGAACTGATCACGCAGGGAGAGCTGGGCTCCAGACAGGTGAGCAATTAACTTCGGAGCAAGCAGCAACCTTTGGGCTCCTCCTGGATGCTGTGACCTTGGATCTGACCTTCGGGAAGGAATTTGCAGAAGCAGTGGAACCAAAGAGGTGGCTCAGCAGGAAGAAGAGAGGGCCAGATCTGTGGTGGCAAGGGCTGAGCAGCAGAAGACGGCGGCCATCATCTCTGCCGAGGGCGACTCCAAGGCCACGGAGTTCATCGCCAGCTCAGTGGCCACCGCAGGTGACGGCCTGATCAAGCCCACAAGCTGGAACCATGGAGGACACTGTACCGGCCCTCCAGCTCTCAGAACTCATCCACCTGCCCGTGGGGACATCTGTGCTCCTCCAGCTGCCCCAGCGCAGGCCGCCCTGCCCTGCACCTCCTCCAGCCAACTGGGCCACAGCACCAATGACTTTTACTACCGCCTTCCTTCTGTCCCCACTCCAGAAATCACTGTGCAATTTCACGAATGGCTTAAAGCAATGGACATAAAAGGAAAAATCACTTCAGAAAAAAAAGAAAGCAATGGTAAAAGACCTAGAGACGTTATTCAGCTTCACTCACAGTGACAGTGGGGTGTGTTTTCCTATCCCTAAGACAACCATTGCCTTTTAAGCATCAAAATTTAAAAAACAAACAAACAAACAAACAAAAAAGCTATTATAAAGACATGTAGAATATCACTGATGTGGACAGAGTATTCAGGTGTGGACGAGGTGCGGATGAGGATGGAGGTCAACTTGGAGACAATGCAGGATGACTGAAGTGTTTCTGGATGAGCAAAGGAGGGAAAGAGAGAAAGAGGAAACGGGTCGGGGGGTGGAGGGTTCGCCTCGGTGTGGAGGTCATCTCTGATTGCTGACAAATGCAGTGGAAAATGTTGGAGAAGGTCTGACAATATCGCTAAAGGTTGGTGGTTTCAGAAAATCTTATAACATTTCCTTTACTTTAAAAGAAAACTTAGCATCTCAAGGGTTGAATGTGAGTTGTTTTTTCCCTGTGGATTTCAGAGTAGGCCATTCAGCCACAGAAAATAACTCTGGATGAACCACATTTGAATACTACCAATAAAGACCTCGGACTCTCCTCCTCTAAGGTCGAGCGCCTCTATTAACTGCTCAGCCTCCTCTTCTGCCCCACCCCCACCCCCTCCTCCCCCACCTTGCTCCTCCCATGCAGGACTTCACAGCCTCCTCACAGAGCCAGGTGCCACCTCCCACTCCATCACATGCCTGGCTCCGCTGCCTTCTCGCGTGTGACATCTCCCTTTCACCAAGCTGAGGACACTGTGCACCCGTGGTGTGTTTAAGCAGACAATTCTGATGGCCACAAAATTCTTTTCTCTTGTGGTCTGTGACTCGAGTTGTCCTGTCCAAAGACTAACGCATGTTCCACGGGCAGGCCAAGTAAGGTGTTGTTGGAATGAGGAACCACCAAGCACCTTTAATTCCTTCCAAGATCTTTTATGAATGGGACAAAGTCAAGTGCTGTTAGTGACGACAAGAGTGGAGATTCTCCTTCTGGTGAATCTGCTGCACTCTGGTGACGATGGCAGGTCCGGCACTGCTCCAGCACCCAATCCTTGCAGTGACTTCTATGGCACTTGCACATTCTTTTTACAATAGAGGCTTCGCATTCTCAGTTTTTGCAGTCACTCACTGTCACAACTGCCCCTAACAAAAGTGGTGACTGCATTCCTCACAACCTTGAATTTGAGCTTTGTCTTGAGAAATGAAGGTTTCTACAGGTTTCATCATGTTCAGACTAATCCAAACTGAAGATCTACCTCCAGGAAGATTTTTCTTTCTCCATTACTTCCCTGAGCAAAAAATGTGTCACTTCCAATCTTCAATTCTTCACCAGTACTTTGATTGCTTGACCAAATCAAAAGCATGCTGAGGTTAACCTATGAGTTAAGCATTGACTTTTATCTTCTCCACTACAGGACTCCTGGACCAAGATAATTTTGTTACCCTGCTACAGAATTTCTCAGCCACTTTCCATGCCATAATCCACACAAAATCTATTTGGCACACTGACTGACCTTCACTCATGTCCACAAGGTGCTGTGAGAGCTGAAGGAGAAGTATTTTAGGGCACACCCAGGAACCCAACTTGAAACATTTGTTCACCTTAGTAGTCGTGAGCATGATTAACTGCACCAATCTGTATACACCTAGTACACACACAAATTTCATACTTGATTCCTAACACTTATTTCTAACAACAGAAAACTTCACACTACAGGGTATGGGCATTTACACACTACAGGGTATGGGCATTTATTGGTTCTTGGCAACAGAAGTTCCTAAGGTGGCTGATGATCTACAGAGTGTGGTCACTTCCTCTGACATTACACAACGGCAAACAAAAAGAAAGAGGTCAGGTGCAGTGGCTCATGCCTATAATCCCAACACTTTGGGAGGCCAGGGCAGGTGGATCACCTGAGGTCAGGAGTTCAAGACCAGCCAGACTGACATGGTGAAACCCCATCTCTACTAAAAATACAAAAATTAGCCCAGGTGTGGTGGCGTGCAGCTGTAGTCCCATCTACTCGGGAGGCTGAGGCGGGAGAGCTGCTTGAACCCGGGAGGCGGAGGCCCCAGTGAGCCGAGATTGCACCACTGCACTCCAGCCTGGATGACAGAGTGAGGCTCCGTCTCAAAAAAAAAAAAAAAAAAAGATAGGAAAGAAATAAAGGCACACTTAGAGCTCTAATAAAGAAAATAACATCATTCATTGAACAGAGACTTCTTAGATCTTCCCTATTAGGCTGTGATATTTGTGTGCAGGTCAGAGTTACAGTCTGCCATTTTAGGAACACGATACATATGAATAAACATTAAGGTCTAAATGCATATAGCAGGTACTATCCCCGAGCAGTTGAAATGTTTGAAATGTGGCTACTTGGAACTGAAATATGCTGTGAGTATGAAAGACGCGCCAACTGTCAAATAAAGAACATGGGATAAAGACCGTGAAATACTTCCCTGTGTATTTCTTTATAATGATTACAGGCTGAACTAGAACGTGGACGATTACACATGTGGCTTGCATTTGTGGGGCACACTGCCTTTCTCATGGATAGCAGTGGTCTACGGTCAAAGCTTGAGTTATCTGTGCACTGCAGGTGTTCACATTGATAAATCAAGGAGTGGCTGGATTGAGCTTCTGCAAATGATTTTTTGGGGAGGCAGGGGAAGGGGGACTTCCATAATTTTAAAAGATTAACTTTTAAAAGCTTAAAAAGTATTGATCTGTGCTTTTTTTTTTTTTTTTTTCTGAGAGAGTCTTGCTCTGCTGCCCAGGCTGGAGTACAATGGCGTGATCTCGGCTCACTGCAAGCTCCGCCTCCTGGGTTCATGCCATTCTCCTGCCTCAGCCTCCCGAGTAGCTGGGACTACAGGTGCCCGCCACCAGGCCCGGCTAATTTTTTTGTATTTTAGTAGACATGGGGTTTCACCATGTTAGCCAGGATGGTCTTGATCTCCTGACCTTGTGATCTGCCCGCCTCAGCCTCCTAAAGTGCTGGGATTACAGGTGTGAGCCACCGAGCCTGGCTGATCTGTGTTTTTAAAAAAGGATTTCACAACTAGTTTACCTGGTGTATTCGTTCTTGGCTGAGTAACTTCAGTGGTACTGTGAGTCAGAAGTTCTGGTCTGTAGAAACAGAGTTGATATTAGTAATAAAGCATTTAGAAGCAACTCACAGGCCTTTCTCACACAGCTGTTCATTGCCAATTAGTTATAAATATGGTTCATCCTGCCTTCATTTTATAGTGAAAAAAAAATCATTTTGGTGACGAGTTTATTTTGAAAATGGCAATTTTCAGATATTCGGGTGAGACCTTCAAAATCATCCTATATTTAAGATAAACAGGCGAAAGTCACTTTTCCCCCAAACCAGCTCAATTCTGTTTCTGAATCTTAGATGAACTGTCCCACAGCACAGCCAGAAGCAGCTCGCTGTAGCATCTTAAACGTTTCCTATCCCTTATAACTCAGTCCCAACAAACACACAGAGGCATGACCCCAATCAGTAAGGAAGGTTTACCCTTCCACATCCCGTCAATGAGTGGAGAGAGGCCTTCTGTTCCTAACCCCGCACCCAAACTAACCATTGTGTTATCCTTCAAAATCAAGCCAGAATTACCTTTCTAAAGGGCGGATCCACATTATTTTCAGAGGCATCTGCCTCGAGACCACTTCGTGACTGCCTGTGTTCGTAGGATCTCAGGCCTTCCTCCACTTGCCCACCCAAGTCGATCCATGCAACCCCACCACGCCCACGTGGCAGTCCTCACTCCACACACGGTGGGTGAGTTCTGTGGATACGCAGGCATATTTGCCACCTCCTCCCCCTACTCATATGATTTCCTTCACTTGAAACACCTTCCATCTCTTCTGGATGCACAAGTGACCGAGCTAGGTGTGCCATCCTTGCCTTCTCCCTTAAAAACGCTCAATAACACTTCGTTGCATTTTTCTATTTTTTTTTTTTTTAATTATTTTGAGATGGAGTCTCGCTCTGTTGCCCAGGCTGGAGTGCAGTGGCACGATCTCGGCTCACTGCAACCTCCGCCTCTAGGGTTCAAGTGATTCTCCAACCTCAGCCTCCCGAGTAGCTGGGACTACAGGCTCGCACCACCGCTTCCAGCTAATTTTTGTATTTTTACTAGAGATGGGGCTTCATCATGTTGGCCAGGCTAGTCTTGAACTCCTGACCTCAAGTGATCCACCTGCCTTGGCCTCCCAAAGTGCTGCGATTACAGGCGTGAGCTGCCGCGCCCGGCCTTCAGTGCATTTTTCTTTGTATGAAGGCCCCAAGGACAGTGTTCTTGTTAGACCCAATTTTGCACATCTGATGCTTATACTAATATTTGTTCACTAAGTGAATCTAAATATTAATGCCTTCATTGTCAATAGAAATAAGTCATAAGGTAAACAAAAGGCCCTTCTTCATCAAATTAACCTCTTCTCAGGGAAGACACTGAAACTATTTCTACAGATTATCATCTTACCTTTTAATAACAAATTTAATTCGATTGCCCACTTGAATGATTTTTTCCAGCCTTGGGATTCCATACCATGAGGGACTTCGGAAAGGAATGTTTTCTGGCAGTCCTTCCACGTACAGATCATTCGGGTGTGCCTCAAATTTTTGGTACGGTACAGCCTTGGCTTCAGTGCTCCCCAAGGCTTCCGCTGGACAAAAATCAAAGCAATTCGGGAGACTACATTTGTATTGAAATCAGATTTTAGTACAATCCAAAGAAAGGCACAGGTCAATTTTGTTTTACTTGAAAAAAACTCTTTCTAGAAACATATTTATTAACTATTGAATAGACTTAATACAGCAAAGACAAGTAGAGATGACCGATCATCAACAGCCAGATTTGGGCAGATTTAAGTGTCCTGGTCCTAAGACAATCTTAATAGCTCTGAGATCTTTAAAAGATTAAAGTTTGTTTTTCAATATCCTTAGGAAGAAAAGAGAGAAAGAAAATCATCATGGACAATAGAGGACACAACCTAAATACTATCTGGAAGCAGCCTTTTGCTACTAACTGTTCAGGACCGTAATTACCCTCCTCCATCGGCTATGGCAAACTGGTAACACATTTCCGACTACACTTTCATCTGCGTGGCAACCAGATCAATGTTCTTTACCCCTTCAACCTCACGAGCATGCCATTTTAAAGGAAATAACTTTCCACAGATAATTCATAGAATGGGGGCCGGGCGCGGTGGCTCACGCCTATAATCCCAGCACTTTAGGAGGCTGAGGCGGGTGGATCACCTGAATTCAGGAGTTTGAGACCAGCCTGGCCAACATGGCGAAACCCCATCTCTACTAAAAATACAAAAGTTAGCCAGGCGTGGTGGCGGGCACCTGTAATCCCAGCTACTTGGGACGCTGAGGCAGGAGAATTGCTTGAACCCGGGAGGAGGAGGTTGCAGTGAGCTGAGATCGTACCACTGCACTCCAGCCTGGGCAACAGAGCAAGACTCCTTCTCAAGAAAAAAAAAAAAAAACCCAAAAAAAAAACCAGGGAAAACTAAAGCTGAGTCCTATTCACTGTATTTACTTTCCTAAAATAAAACAACATTTAAAAAAATGTTACTCAGTAATACATTTTAGTTGAAGGGGTAATTAAAAAAAACAGACTTACCAAATTTTTTGCAGAAAAGCTGATCCACCATCTTTCTTAATTTAGTGATTCTGGCATACCATTCTTCCTTTACTGTCAAAATAACAGTAATACAAGTGTTCTCAATTTAATGGGTTTAATAACTTGATTATTAAACATTATTACTATAAAATAAGAGGTATAACTTTTCCTTTTCCTATGGCCAAAATTATTTCTAAGATTCGTGGCCAGGTGCAATGGCTCACACCTGTAATCCCAACACTTTGGGAAGCCGAGGCAGGCGGGTCACTTGAGGTCAGGAGTTTGAGACCAGCCTGGCCAACATGGTGAAACCCCATCTCTACTAAAAATACAAAAATTAGCCAGGCGTGATGGCGCACGCCTGTAGTCCCAGCTACTCATGAGGCTGAGGCAGGAGAATCGCTTGAACCCAGGAGGCAGCGGTTGCAGTGAGCTGAGATTGCGCCATTGCACTCCAGCCTGGGCAACAGAATGAGATTCCGTCTCAAAAAAAAAAAAAGACAATAATAAAATTATTCCTAAGATTCTAGAATGTATTTATTTCTAAAACAATGCTGACACTGTACAAAAAGAGGAAGAACGAAACATTCATTAGAGCTAGGAAAAAGCAAAACTCAGTGTATTCAGGAACAGCTAGCAGGTAACACTTGCTACAGGAAGATTAGGGCTATGATCTTGCTGCAGTCCTTCTATCTTAGTAAATATCAACAGGGTGATTCCATTCTGTTTTATCCTCACTCCACTCCACTCCAGAGCAAAAGCAAGCAAGAAAATCAATTATATTTCTATTTATTTTAAAACACATCTAACAGGCTGGGCGCGGTGGCTCATGCCTGTAATCCTAGCACTCTGGGAGGCCGAGGTGGGCAGATCACCTGAGGTCAGCAGTTTGAGATCAGCCTGGCCAACATAGTGAAACCCTGTCTCTACGAAAAATACAAAAATTAGCTGGGCATGGTGGCAGGCACCTGTAATCCCAGCTACAGGGAGGCTGAGGCAGGAGAATTGCTTGAACCCAGGAGGCGGGAGGTTGCAGTGAGCGGAGATCGCACCACTGCACTCCAGCCTGGGCAACAGAGCAAGACTCCCTCTCAAAAAACAAAACAAAACAAAACAAAATACATCTAACAATTAAGAGATGATATAAATGGCTCCATGCTCTAAAAGGAAACCTTCTTATGTCCTGCATATCATGGACATTCAATGAATGCTTGTTCCATTGACTCGTGTAGACTTCAATAATAAACTGTTCAATGCATTATGCCAGATAAATCTTGCATCAAAAGTAGAACAAATATTGTTCTTTTACTTCTGTCTACCCATAAATGCAATATTTATAAGTATTTACAATGGGTTAATAAAAAGAAGATGCGTTTATTCTTCTAGAAATTATTAGAATTTTGACAACATGAATTCTCCTGTAATGGCACATAATTAATAGTTAGAGACATATTATTTCATGTGGAAGGTAACATAAAGAAGAAATCAATGTTAAGCGTGAAATAATTATTGCACATAATCTTCTGATCTGCCTCGAGATTGAAGACCTACCTCCTGAAGCTGGCTTATCAAGCTGTAAATCTTCACGTGTTGAACTCAGAAGCTCATGTCTGAAAGGTGAGAATAAATACTCAATAATCACTAGGTAATATTCAGCAAACTAATAACGACTAGTACATATTTAACATTTAGTCAGTAAGGCTGGTTTTGAAAAGAAAAGATAATCTGGATGCTTGAGCACAACTAAATCTTTTTTTTTTTTTTTTTTTTTCCTGAGACGGAGTTTTGCTCTTGTTCCCAGGCTGGAGTGCAATGGCGCAGTCTCGACTCACTGCAACCTCCACCTCCCGGGTTCAAGCAATCCTCCTGCCTCAGCCTCCCAAGTAGCTGGGATTCCAGGCGCCCACCACCACACCTGGTCAATTTTTGTATTTTTAGTAGAGACAGTGTTTCACCATTGTTGGCCTGGCTTGTCTCGAACTCCTGACCTCGGGTGATCCAGCCGCCTTGGCCTCCCAAAGTGCTGGGATTACAGGTGTGAGCCACTACACCCAGCCCACAACTAAATCTTAATTTGAGGTTTCTACAGAGTAAAAAGCAAACTAATAATTGCAAGTTGTCTCATAAGGTGCTTCATGGAGCATGTATCCTCACAAGTAAAGAGGTAACTTTGCAACCCACAGGTCTTTGAAGCATATTACAAAAATCTTAAATGGGATCCTTTAATGTCATATTGCATTCAAGACTATCTTCCTCTGCACATCTATAAAAACAATCATATATTCCCACGCATGCTTTAAAAATCTCAGGCCTATGAGGGCGAGGTTGGCAGATCATCTGAGGTCAGGAGTTCAAGACCAGCCTGGCCAACATGGTGAATCACCGTCTCTACTAAAAATACAAAAATTAGCCAGGCATGGTGGCGCACGCCTGTAATCTCAGCTACTCGGGAGTCTGAGGCATGAGAATCGCTTGAACCTGGAAGGCAGAGGTTGCAGTGAGCTGAGATTGCGACACTGCACTCAAGCCTGGGTTCCAGTGTGAGACTCCATCTCGAAAAAATATATATATATATATATCAGGCCTAAAAACAAGGCGTGGATTCTATGTTCTTTAGCAAAAGTAGCAGAAAATTGTGAAAGAAAATGTGAGTTGCATGCCAATCCAGTGCGGGCACTGTTCATGCTTCGAATGCCAACACTGCATGACTGATGCAATGCTGGACCCAGATAAATTAAAAAGTGCAAGATAAAAATACATAAAATAACTCAAACTTCATCACATAGAACCCTAGTGGTGAATGAATATTGGTCAACAATAAAAAAGACGTATTACTCAGAAAAGAGACAAGAGTTCAACAGGAATCCAAGAGTCTTACTTCTTAATCACAAAACGAATCCTTTCCTTTGCAAGTAATATCCTCTCCAGGCGAGGAATTCCGTAAGTAGATGGCCTTCTAAAAGGAATTCCTTCAGGAAGTCCTTCTACATAAAGATCTTCAACATGAGACTAGAAAAGAGGGTACGGGATCGTCACCGGACCTTTGGCTTTTATGGCTTGAGCTATAAGGACAAAAAGAGAAAGAGATATCATTTAAACACAATTTGTAGAAAAGAATAATAAATCATTGAATCTGTAGTGCTCTTTAACTTTTTTTTTATTTTTTTGAGATGGAGTCTTGCTGTGTCTCCCAGGCTGCAGTGCAGTGGCGTGATCTCGGTTCACTGCAAGCTCTGCCTCCCGGGCTCACGCCATTCTCCTGCCTCAGCCTCCCGAGTAGCTGGGACTACAGGTGCCCGCCACCACGCCCAGCTAATTCTTTGTATTTTTAGTAGAGACGGGGGTTTCACTGTGTTATATATATATGTATATGTGTTTATGTATATATATATATATGTATATGTGTATATGTACATATACATATATATGTATATGTGTGTATATATATACACACAGGAAGCATTTATTACATGTATGCCAGGTATTACGTGAAGCACTTTACTATCTTATCAATCTCCAGGATAGATCTTCAGTTCTCATGACCACAAAAGAGGATACTAAGACTCAGACAGGAGAAGAGACGTGGCAAGGCACTGTGTCCCCAGAGCCTATGATCTTACCACTAGGTCACAGTGCTTCCAGGTAGCACATGCTATGAAGTTTTTGCTTCATAATGAACCAATAGAAAACATGAGGCCGGGCGCAGCGGCTCACGCCTGTAATCCCAGCACTCTGGGAGGCCGAGGTGGGTGGATCACCTGAGGTTAGGAGTTCAAGACCAGCCTGGCCAACATGGTGAAACCTTGTCTCTACTAAAAATACAAAAATTAGCTGGGCATGGTGGCGGGCACCTGTAATCTTAACTACTCAGGAGGCTCAGACAGGAGAATTGCTTGAACCTGGGAGGCAGAGGTTGCAGTGAGCCGAGATCGTGCCACTCCAGACTAGGCAACAAGAGCAAAACTCTATCTCAAAAAAAAAAAAAAAAAAAAAACAAAAAACAAAAAACAAAAAACCACGGGCAAAAAAGGTGTAAGCTATTAAAAACTGGGAGAAACACTAAGAGAACCTTAAGTAAACCACTAAAAATATGGAAAAGTTACTGAATTCACTAGCAAATTTACTCTAATTGTAGATTTTCATTGAGGGGTAGGTTATATTACTCATGATGAAGAAAAAATGCTCATTTTAAGTTTGTTAACACAAATACCATCAATATGGTTTATTGCATTTAAATTTTCACTTATAGCAATTCAGTTAAAACTGCATATCATACAATTTTACCGCTTGCTAGTTAATGGCAAAGTAAATAGTCATCCAAATAAAAATGATAACAGATGATAATAAATATGATAAAAATAAAATGATTTTTATTTTAAATCATTTTAAATATTTTATAAAAAATAAAAATGATAAATTGTGAATTTCTTTGATCATTATATAAAGGTGGCTATAGGACAGAATAGTAAAAGGACAAAGAAGGAATTGAAATCTAGCATCAACTCAGTTATACATCAAGATAAAAGCAGTGGCCGGGAAGGGTGGCTCACGCCTGTAATGCCAGCACTTTGGGAGGCCAAGGCGGGAGGATCACTTGAGGTCAGGAGTTTGAGACAAGCCTGGCCAACATGGTGAAACCCTGTCTCTACTAAAAATACAAAAATTAGCAGGGCATGGTGGCGGGCACCTGTAGTCCCAGCTGCTTGGGAGACTGAGCCAGGAGAATTGCTTGAACCCGGGAGGCGGAGGTTGCAATGAGCCGAGATCGTACTACTGCAATGCAGAGACTCCGTCTCAAAAAAAAAAAAAGATAAAAGTAGAGACAATAGGGGGATCTCAGCAAATACTGGATTTAACAAAGTAGATTAACAGAAACTATCAGTTAAAAAAATAATTTTTAATGAAACCCCCAAGATCCAGAGCTTTGTAATAAATATGTAAATAAATTCCCAAATATCCATGCTGGAAGTTTAAAAGAAATGTTAGCTGATAACTACAGAAATACAACTTTTCCTTAGCTTTACTGTAATCTAGAAACAAAGACTGTTTCTAATATTTAGACAGACACTACTAAGGACCTTACAATGAGAGACGTGTAAGAAAGTGTGGCACGGTTCACTGGCAGCCCTGGGCTGGGCTTGTCCACATCACCCCCATGATGAACAGTAACGCCATTGTGTAAATGCTCATGAACAAAGTATTACAGGAATTTTCCTATTTAGACATACCATATTTCCTTTCAAACAATTCTTCAACTTGTTTACGTAGATCAGTGATGCGAGCATTCCATTTCTCTGAAAATTGAGCAAAAGTTAATTCTCATTAAGAAGTCCCTACCATCGGGGCAGCACTAGGGTCTTGGGATGACTGAACATACAATGACATATTTTCTACATTTTTACATCCCAACTGTCCATATCATTTTACTGCTTTCCAAGAACTTTCCCCTTTTTGGTGGTTCTTAGAATTAGTAGGTTGGTGCAAAAGTAACTGTGGCTTTTGCCATTACTTTTAATAGTCTCATGGGAGACTACACGAGAAGTTTTAACATTTAGCACCTCTTTTTAGCCTTTTAATTTCTGAAAAGCAGGAGGGCAGAAAAGATCAAGCAAATGAAACACGACAAAAGGGAGACCACGATAAAGGTCTCCAGGGGTCTTTTAGCAAACTTCCTAAAACATGTGTTAGTTGTGTGGAAATAAGACTTTACGGATATATAGTTGCAACTTAAAATGCTAAAGAACAGGCCAAGTGCAGTGGCTCATGCCTGTAATCCCAGCACTTTGGGAGGCTGAGGCATGCGGATCACCTGAGGTCAGGAGTTCGATTCCAGCCTGGCCAACATGGTGAAATCCCATCTCTACTAAAAATACAACAATTAGCTGGGCATGGTGGTGGGCGCCTGTAATCCCAGCTACTCAGGAGGCTGAGGCAGAAGAATCACTTGAACCCGGGAGGCGGAGGTTGCTGTGAGCTGAGATCGTGCCTCTGCACTCCAACCTGGGTGACAGAGCAAGACTCTGTCTCAAAAAAATAATAATAAAAATTAAAAATAAAGAACAAAAACATATTTAAAAAGTACAAAAATTCAATTCATATCCAATCATTGTGACTATGACACAGTAGAATATTAAAGTACTATTTTCAAGATGTATACAAGCTCAATATTCCATTTATTCAAAATATGAATCATCAACATAATTTGCCGCTAATATCTCATTCAGTCCCTTGCTAGGATACATCATCCATTGAGAGCTCACAGATTAGCAGCTGCAGTAACACAGAGCAAAAAAAAAAAAAAAGAAAACCAAGAGGTGAAATAGTTCTGAAATAAAGATTTTAAAGCTAAGAGAAATAACTAAATTACTAAGTCTTTAGCACTAATCTTGAGCTGACTAATTAACATCAGACAAGACAATGTCCTATGCTTTGGTAAATCCAAACTATGTTTAAACAATGTCTGTAATGTAATTTTCAAAATGCTCCTGGCTTTCCAAAGATGAGATTATGATGCAGTAATAGACGCTAAAGCATTTTCCCCCTGCAGAGCATGTTGCAACATTTATCAGTCACACTGAGAATCCAGAAGATGAAGGAAAAGGTCACGTCGTTCGCTGAGAACTTACCGAAGTTGAACTCCCTCACTTTCCGCTTCCCAGCATTGGCGGGTTCCGGGACTGGTGGCTGCGGTAGCTCATTGGCCTTTGGTCTCTTAGACGGTGGAGAATAATCATCATCTTGAAAAAGAAAATGGTCATTACTGGAAGAACCATCTTACAGTTACAGTCACCTCCTGGTCAATTCCCAACATTCAAAAGGTGAGCAGGGCTTTAAAGCTATTTTGAGTATCAATAGTTATTTCTGTATTGTGAGCTTTAGCAGGCTTTTTCCTTGTTACATTTGAAATTTTATTTGTTTGGGATGTGTTCAAGTGAATACTGCTTTTTCCTCTGTCTTTCTTCATTATTTTTTAGTTTGCTTCATTTGAATTGTCATTATAAATTTCCCCTTCTCAAATAACTTTCAAATTGCCAAGAACTATATTGTTTTAAGACTTTCAAGAAAAAACTTTTAATAAAGACAGCCACCTAAAGTTATAAAAGGGGATAGAGTACAGCTTAGATGGAAAAGATATTTAAGCTTATACAAAATTTAAGCATGCATAAGCAAGGGAAATTGGGTAAATAGTTTTTTTTTGTTTTTTTGTTTTTGTTTTTGTTTTTGAGACAGAGAATTGTTCTGTTGCCCAGGCTGGAGTTCAGTGATGCAATCTTGGCTCACTGCAACCTCTACCTCCTAGGCTCAAGCAATCCTCCCACCTCAGCCTCCTGAGTAGTTGGGATCACAGGCAGGTGCCCAGGCAACTCTCCCAGGCAACCATGGTTGGCAGGTCCCAATTTCTACTGAGATCACCCCACGTAGGTCACATGGCGAGGGTCCCACACCCCAGCCTCACCACTTCCAACGAGCCAAACGCTTCCCATTTCCAGCCCGACGATGGTACTAACTTCCCTGCCCCTCCTTGGAGATCCCCAACCCCAAATAACCTCTCCTGATCTCCAGGGTCTCTTGGTGACAATACCTGCCTGCCTGCCTTAGCTAAGGGGGTCAGTTGCTTCTATCAGTCTCAATGCCCCAGAAACTGAGCGAAAACCCAAGTATTCATGGCCTACTGAACGCAAAGTCTGAGTCTGACCCTGGTATTCTATTCCTTGGTTTTTAGAATGCCCCCAGACAAAGATGAGGGCTGAAGGCTCAGAAAGGCCGGGTCAGGCCAGGTGAGGTGGCTCACGTCTGAAATCACAGCACTTTTGGAGGCCGAGGCAGGAGGATCGTTTGAGGCCAGGAGTTTGAGGCCAGCCTGGGCAACAAAGTGAAACCCTGTCTCTACAAAATATTGTAAAAATTAGCCAGGTGTGGTGGCACACACCTGCGGCCCCAGCTATTCAGGAGGCTGAGGCGGGAGGATCCCTTGAGTCCAGGAGCTGCAGTGAGCTATGATTTTGCCACTGAACTCTGGCCTGGGTGACCGAGCGAGACCCTGTCTTCAAAAGAAAACAAGAAAGGTAGGGTGACCTGCCTGGGAATATGTGGTAGGAACAGCAGAGTGGAGAGAGAGCGCTTGATAAGGTGTCTTGTTGGGAGACATTCCCCACACCATGGTGCCATGGGAATCACATAAGCAGGTCAAGTGTGCCTCACTCAAGCACTCAGGAACCAAGCTTGCAGAGGGGGTCAGGGCAGGAAATGCACACGACTCACAGCCAACCCCACACTCTGGACCTGGGGCACCTGCTAAGCACTTTCTCTGTAAGATCTCACTTCAACCTCCCGTGAACAGCCCTATAACGTGGGTGCTATCACCTTCTTCATTCTTCTACAGAAACTGACAAACGCAGTTAAACCAGGCTAATTTGGACTGACGGGCTGGGTGGGGACGTCATCAGAGAGAAGCTGCAGGAGGGAAATTGTAGACTAGAACAAAGTCTGAAGAGGGTGGAGAAAAGCACAGATTAAAAAAAAAAAAAGAAGAAAGAAAGAAATGTGGCCGGGCATAGTGGCTCACGCCTGTAATCCCAGCACTTTGGGAGGCTGAGGCAGGTTGATCACCCAAGGTCAGGAGTTTGAGACCAGCCTGGCCAACATGGCGAAACCCTGTCTCTACTAAAAACGCCAAAATTAGCTGAGTGTGGTGGTGCACACCTGTAATCCCAGCTACTCGGGAGGCTGAGGCAGGAGAATCGCTCAAACCCAGGAGTCAAGAGTTTGCAGTGAGCTGAGATTGCGCCACTGCACTCCAGCCTGGGCGGCAGGGTGAGACTCTGTCCCCGCCACCAAAAAAAAAAAAAAAAAATGCATTTTACTGCCTGCAAGCTCGAGTTCTCCCTCCAGCACCCTACCCACCAGGGCTCCTCAGAGGCCTGGCTTGAGGAATGGATACGGTAGCCTTGTCATCTGCAGGTGACACCAGGCCTGCAGCTTGTTCTCTGAGGTGTCACCCCCTTATTCTTTTTTTTTTTGAGACAGAGTCTCACTCTGTTGCCCAGGCTGGAGTGCAGTGGTGTGATCTCTGCTCACTGCAACCTCCGCTTCCCGGGTTCAAGCAATTCTCCTGCCTCAGCCTCCCGAGTAGCTGGGACTACAGGCATGCACCACCACACCCGGCTAATTTTGTATTTTTAGTAGAGACAGGGTTTTACCATATTAGCCAGGCTGGTCTTGAACTCCTGACTTTGTGATCCGCCTGCCTCAGCCTCCCAAAGTGCTGGGATTACAGGCGTGAGCCACCACGCCCAGCCCATACACCCCCTCATTCTTGACTGTGCTGCTCTAGTGGACGAAACAGCCCCAAAGCATTGCTCAGTTGGGAGGGGGTGGAGGGAGTCCAGCCTGGGTGTGTGCAAAGGAGTCACCCAGGAAATTCGCCGCGGGATCTGCCCTTACAGATGCACTCGCCTGGGGCCAAGCCCTCGGTGGCTGGGGCAGGTTACCCAGAGGCCCAGGGGCCAAATGCAGGAGCAAGTTCCCATCAGGAAAGGGGAAGAGTGAAGCAGAGATCCAGCTCCTGCATGCAGGGGAGTGGGCACGGGCAACCCCTTACCCCAGGGTCGTTCCCCAGCCTCACCTCTAAGGCAATGAAGGAGGGTAGAGTCTGAGGGCGCCCCTGACACCTCCACCTGTCCCCATCCCCTATCAGCGTTCCACATTCCAGTGCAGGCCCAAAATTCTAACCCCAAAGAAGAAGTGTGGTGGGGTATGCTTCTTCCCACTTTTTTTTTTTTTTCTTGAGACTGGGTCTCACTTTGTCAACCAGGCTGGAGTGCAATGGTGTGAGCATAGCTCACTGCAGCCTCCAACTCCTGGGCTCCAGTGATCCTCCTGTCTCAGCCTCCAGAGTAGCTGGGGCTACAGGTGTGCACTACCACGTCTGGCTAATTTTTAAAATTTCTTGTAGAGACGGGGTCTGGCTATGTTGCCCCAAATGGTCTTGAATTCCTGGCCTCAAGCGATCCTCTTGCCTCCACCTCCCAAAGTGCTGGGATTATAGGCGTGAGCCACCGCACCGGGCCTTGATTTCACATTTGAACTCTCCCACATTAAAAAAAAAATTATTAAAAAAAAAATAGGCCCGGCATGGTAGCTCATACTTGTAATCCCAGCACCTTAGGAGGCCAAGGTAGGAGAATTGTCTGAGCCCAGGAGTTCAAGACCAGCCTGGGGAACATGGTAAAACCCCAACAGGATGGATTTGATTCCTATACAAATTGAAGCTGCCCTGCCAAGGAGGGCCTGCCTGGAGGGGATGAGACCTTCGTCCTGAGGCCTCAGGGTCAGGGGATCAGGAGTCGGGGAGCTAGAATAGAAGCACACAGCCTGGGCACGGTGGCTCACGCCTGTAATCCCAGCACTTTGGGAGGCCGAGGCGGGTGGATCACCTGAGGTTAGGAGTTCGAGACCAGCCTGGCCAACATGGTGAAACCCTGACTCTACTGAAAATATAAAAATTAGCCAGGCATGGTGGTGTACCCCTGTAGTCCCAGGGAGGACTGAGGCAGGAGAATCACTTGAACACGGGAGGCGGAGGTTGCAGTGAGCCAAGATTGCGCCATTGCACTCCAGCAGCCGGGATGACAGAGCAAGACTCTGTCTCAAAAAAAAAGAAAAAGAGGACAAGACATGGCGGTCAGCGTGCAGAGGAGGTGCGACTGGAGAAAGACTGGGGGTCACGTGGGCAGGACCTGGGTGGGCTGGGTGGGAGGGGGGCTGGATGTGGTGCTGTGCACCAGGGAGGGGACACAGAAGCAGGGGGCAGTCTGGGAGGAAGACTTGCAAGCACCATATGGGGACACAGTAGACACCCAGAGTGTCCAGGCACCCTGCAGGCAGAGCTGGTGTGCAGGGCAGAGAAGGGTGCCCAAGACATTGCTGGGAGCAGAGAAGTCACACCTTCCTCAAGGCCGGCTGGAGGACGCAACGGCTCTTTGTGTTCCAAGAAGCAGCTCTTACCAGGGGGCTGCCTGCCTGGCCCCCAGAGTTTCTCCAGTCTCCTTACTATAGACCCCTCCCCTCCTGCCAGCCTCCCGCATCCCCACAGCTCAGCCAATCTGAAACAAATAAACAGCTTCCCTTCCTCCAATAAAAACCAGCCATCCTGCAATTGTCAGATGTGCCCTTCCAGTGCTTCCAAAGCAGAACAGACCATCCGTGCCATGGGGACAGAGGCCACCACTGCCACCTCGCCGAGGCTTGCATCAAGTAGAGGGCACCTCAAAACATCC
The DNA here is from genome assembly GCF_000001405.40 of Homo sapiens. NCBI lineage: Eukaryota > Metazoa > Chordata > Mammalia > Primates > Hominidae > Homo > Homo sapiens. The sequence continues at coordinate 75,221,807 of NC_000007.14, forward strand.
ATTGAATTTCTGTGAATAATAGGTTCACTATGTAATCAACACCTCACTAAGTCCCTAACATAAAATTCCCCATTTAATTCTCACAACCACCCAAGATGTTGATAGTGTTATCTCCAGTTATTTTTTGGTAGAGATGGGGTCTCACTATGCTGTCCAGGCTGATCTCAAACTCCTGAGCTCAGGCAATCCTCCCGCTTCGACCTGCCAAAGTGATGGGATTACAAGTGTGAGCCACCATGCTTCACCTTATCCCTATTTTAAAGATGAAACCAGGCCACGGTGTGGTGGCTTACGCCTATAATTCTACCACGTTGGAAGGTCAAGGCAGGAGAATTGTCTGAGCTCAAGAGTTTGAGACTGGCCTGGGCAACATAGTAAGACCCTGTTGCTACTAAAAATCTTTTTTAAAAATTAGCTGGGCATGACGGTGCACACCTGTAGTCCCAGCTACTTGGAAGGCTGAGGCAGGAGGATTGCTTATGCCTGGAAGGTTGAGGCTGCAGTGAGCTATGCTCATGCCACTGCACTCTAGCATAGATAACAGAGCCAGCCCCTCCTTGGAGGTTCTAAGTTGCCCAAGATCACATGGCTGGTGGGTTGTGGGAATTTGGATAAAAACACATTTTCCTGTTATGTGCATATCCTGAGAAATGACCCTTGGCATAAGCTTTTCCATCTTGGGTTAACAGTGGAAAGGAGTGGAGGGCATAGGCGGCGAGGAGTTCGGAGTGGGGGGGCCAAGGCTGACCCCCAAACTGCTGTTGTCCACTGTGTGACTTGGGGGCAGACAGCTCCTTCCTGTAGAGCTGCTATGAGGGTGAATGATGGGAACTCCCAGCGGAGGCCTCATGCATAGTGGGTGTTCAAGAAGGATCTGCCATGGCCGGGAGCAGCGGCTCACGCGTATGATCTCAGCCCTTTGGGAGGCCGAGGCAGGCGAATCACCTGAGGTCAGGAGTTTGAGACCAGCCTGGCCTACATGGTGAAACCCCATCTCTACTAAAAAATACAAAAATTAGCTGGGTGTGGTGGCACATGCCTGTAGTCCCAGCTACTCGGGAGGCTGAGGCAGGAGGATCACTTGAACCCAGGTGGCAGAGGCTGTACTGAGCCGAGATTGCACTGCACTCCAGCCTGGGCAATAGAGTAAGACTCCGTCTCAAAAAAAAAAAAAATATGGGAACATCAGACACTGGGGATTCCAATAGAGGGGAGGTTGGGAAGGGGAGGAAGGTTAAAAAAATTACTTATCGGGTACAATGTTCACTATTTGGGTAATGGGCGTACTAGAGGCCCAGTCCCTACCAGTATGCCATATATCCATGTAACAAACATCCACATGTACCTCTTAAATCTAAAATAAAATAAAATCTTAAACATTAATTTTTATTTTTATTTTTTTGAGACAAGGTCTGGCTCTACTGCCTGGCTGGAGTACAGTGGCACAATCTCGGCTCACTGCAGCCTCTACCTCCCGGGGTCAAGCGATCCTTCCACCTCAGCCTCCTGAGTAGCTAAGACCACAGGTGCACGCCACTAAGCCCAGCTACATTTTGTATATTTTGTAGAGATGAGGTTTCACCATGTTGCCCAGGCTGGTCTCCGACTTGTGAGCTCAACCAATCTACTCACCTCAGCCTCCCAAAGTGCTGGGATTACAGGCATGAGCCACCACACCTGGCCTCAAATTTTATTAATTGTGGTAAAATACACACAACAAAACCTACCATCTTAACTATCTTTAAGTGTGCAATTCAATCGTGTTAAGCACATTTTCAATACGGACAGCAATTGCCACCATCCATCTCTAGAACTCTTCATCTTACCCAACAGGAACTCCATACCCACTAAACACCAACTCCCCAGCTCTTGGCAACCACCATTCTTTCTGTCTCTATGACTCCGGCTACACCAGGTATTTCATACAAGTGGGATCTCATGCAGTATTTGTTCTTTTGTGACTAGTTTATTTCACTCAGCATGATGTCTTCAAGGTTCATTCATGTTGTAGCATGTGTCAGAATTTCCTTCCTTTTCCCCCCTGAATAATATTCCTTTGTGTGAATACATCCCACTTTGTTGATCTGTTCATCCATCAGTAGACACCTGGGTCACTTCCATCTTTAGGCCTTAGTGAATAAGGTTGCTGTAAATGTGGGTGCATGGCCAGGCGCGGTGGCTCATGCCTGTTATCCCAGCACTCTGGGAGGCCGAGGCTGGTGGATCACTTGAGGTCAGGAGTTCAAGACCAGCCTGGGCAACATGATGAAACCCCGTCTCTACTAAAAATGCAAAAATTAGCCAGGCGTGGTGGCGTGCACCTGTAATCCCAGCTACTCGGGAGGCTGAGGGACCAGAATTGCTTGAACCCAGGAGATGGAAGTTGCAATGAGCCAAGATCGCACCATTGCACTCCAGCCTGGGTGACAGCAAGACCCTGTCTCCAAAAAAAAAAAAAAAATTGGGGTGTGCAAGCAAAACCTCAGGCTTTTAAGCAGAGATGCAGAGATCTAGCTCAGAGGTTGGAGTATGTTCAATGTGTTATGGTGAGGGCAAGCCTGAGAATATGGCACCTAGACACCAGTTTTCCATTTAGGCCAGGCGCTGTAGCTCACACCTGTAATCCCAGCACTTTGGAAGGCTGAGGCAGGAGGATTACTTGGGCCCGGGAGTTCGAGACCAGCCTGGGCAACATAGCGAGACCCCATCTCTACAAAAAAAACAAAAATTATCTGGGTGTAGTGGCGAGTGCTTGCAGTCCCAGCTACTCAGTGGGGCTGAGGCAGGGAGGATTGCTGGAGCCTGAGAAATCGAGGCTGGAGTGAGCTGAGATTGCATCACTGCACTCCAGCTTGGGTGACACAGTGAGACCCTGTCTCAAGAATTTTTTTCAGGCCAGGTGCGGTGGCTCATGCCTGTAATCCTAGCACTTCGGGAAGCTGAGGCGGGTAGATCACAAGGTCAGGAGATCGAGACCATCCTGGCTCACACAGTGAAACTCTGTCTCTACTAAAAATACAAAAAAATTAGCCAGGCGTGGTGGCAGGTGCCTGTAGTCCCAGCTACTCGGGAGGCTGAGGCAGGAGAATGGCGTGAACCCGGGAGGCAGAGTTTGCAGTGAGCCAAGATCTCACCACTCCACTCCAGCCTGGGTGACAGAGCCAGACTCCATCTCAAAAAAAAAATGCTTTTCAAAAAGTTTCAATTTAGCACCGTAGATGGCCCACAGGGACCTTGGACACCCAGAATCCCACTGGCCCAGAACGGATGCAACTGGGCTGGTTTTTCATACTGCAGATCTGTTATAAGAGAAAACCTTTCCAGCCGTGTGCAGGCTCAGAAGAGAGACCAATTAAACCTTTTACAAGGTGTTTTTTTGTTTTTTTTTTTGAGATGGAGTTTCACTCTTGTCACCCAGGCTGGAGTGTAGTGGCACGATTTCGGCTCACTGCAACCTCTGCCTTCCAGGTTCAAGCGATTCTCCTGCCTCAGCCTCCCCAGTAGCTGGGATTACAGGCGCCCACCACCACATCGGCTAATTTTTGTATTTTTGGTAGAGTCAGGGCTTCACCTTGTTGGCCGGGCTGGTCTCGAACTACTGACCTCAGGCGATGTACCCGCTTGGCCCTCCCACAGGTGCTGGGATTACAGGCGTGAGCCACTGCGCCCAGCTACAACTGACTTTTTTGATCCCTGGGAGATGAGTCAACACCAAGGGACGACCAGTCCTAAGCCCTGGACATGGACCTGGGGGTGAGGACAGAAGGGGATCAGGACCAGCCCTCTCATCCTGCACACTGAGGCATGGGTGATCCCAGGAAGCCACTCACCAGGCACCAGGGTGGCTTCCTGGAGGAGAGGATGCTGAAGCCGACCTCAAGAAGTGTCTGTGTTAGGTTTAAGGACTCACAAGACTTCTCTGGCTGGACTAAAGGTAGGGTGATCACATGGTCAGGTTTGCCCTATTGTCTGCAGGTTGTTGTTGTTATTATTGTGATGATGGTGATGAGGAGGAGGAGGAGGAGGAGGAGGAGGAGGAGGAGACAGGGTCTCATTATGTTGTCCAGGCTGGAGTACAGTGGTGCAATCTCGGCTCACTGCAACCTCTACCTCCTAGGCTCAAGCAATCCTCCCACCTCAGCCTCCTGAGTAGTTGGGATCACAGGCAGGCGCCATCATGCCTAGCTAATTTTTCTGTATTTTTTGCAGAGTCGGGGTCCCACCATGTTGCCTCCGCTGGTCTCCAATTCCTGAGCTCAAGCGATCAGCCTGAAGTGCTGGGATTACAGGCGTGCTGGGATTACAGGCGTGAGCCACTGTGCTTGGCCAATCTAGTAATTATTTAAAGTACTTCCTGCTATTCTAAAAAAAGTTTATTCCCATCTCAATGATAAATGGCAGGGTCATTTCATTCCTTATCTGTTGCTACATAACAAATTACCCCAGATCTTAGTGGCTTGAAACAACAACAAACTTTTATTATCTCTCACAGTTCCTATGGGTTAGGAATTTAGGTGTGGCTGAACTTGGCAGTTCAAGGCATTGGCTGGGGCTGCAATCCATTGGAAGGCTTGCCTGGGGCGGAAGGATCTGTTTTCAAAGCCCCGAGCTGCCGGTTGGGGGTGGGATGCCTCAGTTCCTCTCCATATGGGCCTCTCCATGGGGCTGCTTGGGTGTCTTCAGGCCTTGGGGGTTGGTTTCCTACAGAGCAAGGGATCTGGGAGAGAGGGAGCACCACGCAGAAGCCATCCTTTCGTGCCCTAGCCTCGGAAGTCTCATGGTATTGCTTTTACCATCTCCTAGTGACTTAGAAGAAAGTAGCCAAGACAGACATTTAAAGGAGACGGGGGTGGAGGGATCCCAGGTTTTTTTTTTTTTTTTTTGACATGGAGTCTGGCTCTGTCGCCCAGGCTGGAATGCAGTGGCGCGATCTCGGCTTCACGCCATTCTCCTGCCTCAGCCTCCTGAGTAGCTGGGAATACAGGCGCCCGCCACCACGCCTGGCTAATTTTTCTATTTTTAGTAGAGACGGGGTTTCACCGTGTTAGCCAGGATGGTCTCGATCTCCTGACCTTGTGATCCGCCCGCCTCGGTCTCCCAAAGTGCTGGGATTACAGGCGTGAGCCACTGCGCCCAGCCAATCCTAGCTTTTAAAACCACCAGCAGCTGGGAGCAGTGGCTCATGCCTGTAATCCCAGCACTTTGGGAAACCAAGACGGGAGGATCACTTAAGGTCAGGAGTTTGAGACCGGCATGGACAACAGAGTGAGACCCCCTCTGTACAAAAAATCTAAAAACTACCACGGTTGGCCAGGCGCAGTGCTCATGCCTGTAATCCCAGCACGTTGGGAGGCCAAGGCGCGCAGATCACTTGAGGTCAGGAGTTCAAGACCAGCCTGTCCAACCTGGGAAAACCCATCTAAATTAAAAATACAAAAAATTAGCTGAGCATGGTGGTGGTACCTGTAACCCCAGCTACTCAGGAGGCTGAGGCAGGAGCATCACTTCAACCCAGGAGGCAGAGGTTGCAGTGAGCCGAGATCGTGCCACTGCACTCCATCCTGGGCAACAGAGTGTAACTCCATCTCCAAAAACAAAAGCAAAACAAAACAAAACAAAACTACCATGGTTACCTAAAACAGGGCATGTGTTGGGAAGGGAGTAGACAGAGCCAGAGTGGATAGACAGAAGACATCTGATCAAGAAAGATTCAGGCCGGGAGTGGTGGCTCACGCCTGTAATCCCAGCACTTTGGAAGGCCAAGGTGGGTGGATCACCTGAGGTCAGGAGTTCGAGACCACCCTGGCCAACAAGGCAAAACCCCGTCTCTATTAAAATACACAAAATTAGCCAGGCATGGTGGTGCACGCCTGTAATCCCAGCTACTCAGGAGGCTGAGGCACAAGAGTCACTTGAACCCAGGAAGCAGAGGTTGCAGTGAGCTGAGATCACGCCATTGCATTCCCGCTTGGGTGACAGAGTGAGACCCTGTCTCAAAAAACAAACAAAACCAACAAGGCAGAGATGTGGCCAGGGCTTCTGAAGGAATGCATGAAGTCCACCCAGCACCCACTCCAGTTGTGTCCCTCCATCCTCCCAGACTACCCCCTGCCCCTGCACTCCCAGCCATGCCCCCTGTGTGGGCCTCTGGTCCTCTCACCCTCTACCTTTGCTGGAGAACATACAGGACTCACGTCTTTTCCTCCCATGGGACAGAAACTCCTTTCGCGCTTCCTATCAGGCCCTGCCTACCGCAGGTATACACTGCGGGGTTTCTCAGTGAACAGAGCATACCAATTTGCACCCGCCACAGGACAGTGGCTTGTTCCCTGCAGACAACTTACTCTTTCAGCCTCCAGGCGTTTGCTCCTCCAGCCCAGAGGGATGGGGCAGCAATGAGCATTTGAGCCGCCCTAGAAGCAGGAGGCAGGAGGCAGGAAGATATCTGGATAGTTCAGGAAAGAGATGAGGAAAAAGGAAAAAGGCATAGGAAAAAGATTTGGGAGCTAGGGTTGAGCCAGCCCCTTTCTCTGGGCAGCAGCAGACTATGGCTGTCCTGAGTGGGCACACGCAAGGCTCTGGGGCTCACCCCGTACCCTCTTCACCTATACCCCTCCCCTGATCCATCTGTAGCCACCCACTCCTGTTCCCTGCTTGCTCATCTTGCTTTAACCCCAGCACCTCCTGACATTTTCTCATGCCAGCCATCACCCCATTCTTGGCTCAGATGGTGCTGCCTCCTCTAGGAAGCCTTACTGGCTTGCAGCTCTGTGGTCCTAGAGCATTTTGGCTGCCCCTGCCAGAGGCCTGACACCTAAATGACAGGTGAGGTCCTTGGCTTAATTCTGCGAGAGCAGTGACAGCATCTCCACTTTCCAGAATCAGGATGCGATTATGTGTGTGTGTAGTCTTCTAAGCCTGGGCTTTTCTGGCTCTGCCCTCACAAACTGGTGCTGGCCAGTGGACCCAGGGCCTTCCCAGTTAATGCTTAATGGCTGGGTACAGTGGCTCACACTTGTAATCCAGCACTTTTGGAGTTCCAGGTGTCTTTATTAAAAATACAAAAATTAGCCAGGCATGGTGGTAGAGACCTGTAATCCCAGCTACTTGGGAGACTAAAGCAGGAGAATCGCTTGAACCTGGGAGACAGAGGTTGCAGTGAGCTGAGATCATGCCACTGCACTCCAGCCGGGGCAACAGAGCAAGACTCTGTCTCAAAAAAAAAAAAAAAAAAAAAAGCTTACTGGAGCTTCTAGTGGACCAGATACTCTTGAGAGTGCTTGACGTGGTTTATCTCATCAAGCCCTCACAACCACTTACGTTACAGGCATGATCATCATCTCTGTTTTACAGGTAAGAAACATAGCACAGAGAGGTCAAGCAACTTGCCCAAGGTCACACAGCCAGGATGAGCAGTGCTGGGATTCCAGCCCAGGTGTCCCAGGGCTCTAACTCCCTTGGGATAGCCTGTCTTTCCCTAAACTGCAATTAGACAGTGGCCTCAGCCCAATGTGTTGCGAGGAATGAGGGCTCTGCATGGACTTTTTGCAATTTTAAGCTTTTCTCTCATAAATACCTCGTAAGACGTTAGTGTTCACTGGCCGGGCATGGTGGCTCACGCCTCCCAGCACTTTGGGAGGCCCAGACGGGCAGATCACAAGGTCAGGAGTTCGAGACCAGCCTGACCAACATGGTGAAACCCCGTCTCTACTAAAAATACAAAAATTAGCTGGGTGTGGTGGCATGCGCCTGTAATCCCAGCTACTCGGAAGGCTGAGGCAGGAGAATTGCTTGAACCTGGGAGGGGAAGGTTGCAGTGAGCCGAGATTGCGCCATTGCACTCCAGGCTGGGCGACAGAGCAAGACTCTGTCTCAAAAACAAACAAACAAAAAAAAAAAAACAAAAGACTTTAGTGTTCACCATGGCTCGTTTGCAAGATTTCCTGCATGTAGGAACACGAATGACCCAGTGCAGGCCAAAACAAACCAGAGACCTGCATTCAGCAGATCCGGCCCAGGAAGGCAGCAGGAAGTTTCCATGGGCCCATGCTTACTGCATACTTGCCTGTGTAGTTTTTGCCAATCCAATGGACTTTCTAGAATGGAATTTAAAGATAACAGCATTTCATGGGCAAAAAGGAGAGTGCTGCTTGGCTGAGCATGGTGGCTCACACCTGTAATCTCAGCACTTTGGGGAGGCCAAGGCAGGTGGAGCGTCTGAGGTCAGGAGTTCGAGACCAGCCTGGCCAACATGTTGAAACCCCATCTCTACTAAAAATACAAAAATTAGCCAGGCATGGTAGCTCACACCTGTAATCCTAGCACTTTGGGAGGCCGAGGTGAGAGGATTGCTTGAGGCCAGGAGTTCAAGACCAGTCTGGACAACACAGTGAGACCTTGTCTCTACTAAAAACAGAGTAAAATAAATTAACCAGGTGTGGTGCTGCATGCCTGTAGTCCCAGCTATTCGGGCGGCTGAGGCAGGAGGATACCTTGAGCCCAGGAATTTGAGGCTGCAGTGAGCTATGATGGTGCCACTGCACTCCAGCCTGGGCAATAGAGCTTGTCTCCAAAATAAATAAATAAAGAGATGTCTCCATAATAATATTAATAAAAAAACAGAGGGGACTCTGGGAGTAGGTTCAGGTTCCAGAGGGGTTGGGGTAAGCCAGGCAGATGGGGCACACCGGGATCCCACCTAGATCTGGGGTCACACAGCGGTCTGTGCACAGTAATCTCTCTGCCCCTCACACCTAAGTCAGCCTCCAGGCCTGTCCCAGGTAGGTCAGCTACGGGACTGAGTGCCTCAGTCCTACTGTGCACATGGCCATTGCCCACAGCTTCTGGGTCCCCCACCTCCCTGTGGCGGAGAGCATCCATCCGGATGGCAGGCCCCACCTTGAGTGGTGAATCCTGATTGGTCCATGATGGTCTCATTCCCTGTGCCTGTGATAGGCTGAGGCATGTTCATGTGACCCAGTTCTGACCAATGAGATGAGGAAGTCTGTGCTGGGATAGGGGTACCCCCAGAAAGGTTAGCTCCTTCCTTCATGGAGTTTCCTCCTGACTGCCCAGGATGCCCGGAGCCACCCCAGCCATCACAGTGGGGCTATGCTTCTGTGCCATGGGTAGCCAAGCATAAATTGATGACCTCATCAAGCCTTTAAGTTATCCAAGCCTGGGGCAGCCCAACCCATAAACTCTGATCACACAAAGTTCAAACTTCTTATTGGTTATGTCCTGGCTTTCTGTTGTTTGTAGCTCAAAGCATCCTTGCTGGCTGGGCGCAGTGGTTCACGCCTGTTATCTCAGCACTCTCGGAGGCCAAGGAGGGAGGATTACCTGAGGTCAGGAGTTCGAGACCAGCCTGAGTAACACGGCTAAACCCCGTCTCTACTAAAAATACAAAATTAGCCGGGCATGGTGGTGGGTGCCTGTAATCCTAGCTACTCCAGAGGCTGAGGCAGGAGAATTGCTTGAACCAGGGAGGCGGAGGTTGCAGTGAGCCGAGATTGTACCACTATACTCCAGCCTGGGCGACCAAGTGAGACTCCATCTCAAACAAACAAACAAAAACCACAAAGCATCCTTGTTGATAGCCCCTGGTTACATTTCTTCTTCTTTTTTTATTATTTTTCAGAGACAGGGTCTCTGTCGCTCAGGCTGGAGTGCAGTGGCACCATCATAGCTCACTGCAGCCTCAAATTCCCGGGCTCAAGTGATCCTCCCACCCAAACCTCCTGAGACAGGTGTGCACCGCCATGCCTGGCTATTTTTTAAAAAGTTATTTTAAAAAATTTTTTTTTGTGGAGATGGGGTCTTGCTTTGTTGCCCAGGCTGGTCTCAACCTCCTAGCTTCAAGGGATCCTCCAACCTCAGCCTCCCAAAATGCTGGGATTATAGGCAGGAGCCACTGGGTCTGGCCTTATCGTTTTGAGTTAAGCCCGTCCTACCAGAAGAAGAGTGAGCCCAACGTGCCCTCAGGGAAGCTGAAATGGAATCTAGAAGGATGCACGGGGAAGAAAGGGGTAAGGCAAGAAGTAATACTCTGGGCAGAAAGAACAAAGGCCTGAAGGCTGGAGGCACGCTAGGGTGTGGCTGGAAGCTTCGAGGTGAGGCTGGAGAGACAAGGTGAGGTGGGCCACAGAGGGCCCTCAGCTAGGTCACAGAGCCTCAGGGTTACCACAGAGGACAAGGGAAGCTCATCGGACAGACCTACCCAGGGTCTTGCCTTCTGGCTTTATGCTGAGAATAAGTAAGCACATTCCTCGCCTAGTCCAGCCACACCCAGATGCTCCTCCAAAGGTCCTGGGCAGAGGCCTGGTTCAGCAGACCCGGGACAGGGTCGCTGGGCTCTGCTTCTAGCAGGTGTGATCCTGCCTTCTACAACGACATATCTTCCAGCCCCAGGGCACTCCTATGAGACTCTGGCAAATACTTGGGTTGAAATCTGGGTCACTCTGATGGTCAGAAATCCATCAAACAGACGTTTACTAAGTGCCTACAAAGCAGGGTGCTACACGCAGCGGAGACGGGACCTAGTTCAAATCCCAATTCTGTTTCTTTCCAGCTGTGCGACCTTGCCATTGTACTTCTCCAAAGCTAGTGTCTTCACCGCTCTGCAAAATATGGCAAAGTCAACGGTAGCTCTCATCACCACTGGTAGGTACTGTGGTGATGTGGTGGGAAGGGGTGGATCAAATCATGCACAAAAAACTTGAAGGTTGATAATCTAGGTAAGAGAAAAAGACAAGCCAATAACATGTTGTTATCGGCAAAAGTTGAGAAATACGCAAGGTGCCCGGAAGAAAGTATCTGAGATAGGCTCTAAGGCTCTAACGAAGTAGAATGTCTAAGCAGGTCGCGGTGGCTCTCGCCTGTAATCCCAGCATTTTGGGAGGCCGAGGTGGGTGGATCACTTGAGGTCAGGAGTTCGACACCAGCCTGGCAAACATGGCGAAACCCAGTCTTTACTAAACATACAAAAATTTACCGGGCGTGGTGGCGCACGCCTGTGATCCCAGCTTCTTGGGGTGGAGGTTGCAGGGAGCTGAGAACACACCACTGCACTCCAGCCTGGGTGACAGAGCAAGACTCCGTTTCAAAAAAAAAAGGAAGTAACCGTCTAGATGGGAGTGATAAGGACCAAGTATCCCTGGGAGAAGAAAACAGCTCTGGTAGCAGATCACTCAAGCCCGGGAGGTGTAGGCTGCAGTGAGCCGTGATCACGCCACTGCACTCCGGCCTGGGTGACAGAAGAAGACCCTATCTCCAAAAAAAAAAAAAAAAAAAGAAAAGGCCCACCAAAGCCAAATAGGCAGGAATACAGAAAGGCCAGCATTTCAGTTCTGTGCTCCTAAGCCTTTCAGAACACTGTGCTGTAGACAGAAGGGCTGGACATAACCATTCAATGGGGGCATCTCTTGCAACCTGCAATAGCAAAATCTCAGAGCTTGTGCCAGAAAGGTGCAGATTGGCACATTTAAATCCCGGATCTATCACTTCTTGCCTGACCTTGAGCAAGTCACTTAATCTTTGAACCCCAGCTTCCTGGTTTGCAAAGCAGGTTTAATACCTAATACACAGAACGTACCTGGGGGTCCTGGGGTCTAGATCCTCTCTTCCAACTAGTTAACTCCAAATGTGAGCCACTGGCTTTCCTACTTCAAAAGCCCTAAGGGCCAATGGCTCATGCCTGTAAGCTCATGCCTGTAACAGTTTAAATGTTATGTCCGCACGCACCTCTGACAGGCTGAGGTGGGAGGATCATGTGAGGCCAGGAGTTCAAGGCCAGCCCGGGCAACACAGTGAGACCCCCATCGCTACAAGAAATTTAAAAATTAGCTGAGTGTGGTGGTGCGCACCCGCAGTCCCAGGTGCTTGGGAGGCCGAGGTGAGAGGATTGCTTGAGCCTAGGAGTTCGAGGCTGCAGTGAGCTATGATGGTGCCACTGTACTTCAGCCTGGGCAACAGAGACCCCATCTCTTAAAAACAAACAAAAAAAAGCTCTAAGATCTAGTGCCACCTCCTACAGGTAGGCACCCGGCGTTCTAGGTACCCTGCTAGACCAGCCCTTCCCTGACTCCACCCTGCTGTAGAATGATGGCCTCTTTCTTTCTCTTCCACCAGGCTCTAGGGCTTGGCAGAGGAAGGGGCAAGGTATCTCTGCATCCCTTGGACCCAGCCACACCCCAACACAGAGTGAATGTTTCCTAATGCCATTCCCTTTCCACAACTCCACTCCACGAGAGAGAAGTGACTTAAGCCTGCTAAGGAGCGGAGGGAAAAGTTCAGGAAGGTTTCAGCATGCTATCATTAGCGCTATCATTAGCTCTTGAGGACTGAATAGGAATTTACTAGGGGTGGGTGGGGGAGAATATTCCAGGCAAATGGAAGAGAGGTAGATACAAAGGCACAGAGGTATGTAGGGAACAATAAGGGAAATTGTGTATTTGCTGGGGGAGGGCTAAAGATGAGGATTCAAGGCCAGGAGCAGTAATCCCAGGACTTTGGGAGGTCGAGGTGGGAGGATTGCTTGAGCCCAGGAGTTGGAGGCTGTATTGATCTATGATGGCGCCACTGTACTCCAGCCTGTACGACAGAGCAAGACTCTGTCTCTAAAAGAGAAAAATAAAAAATAAAAAAAATAAAGATGAGGATTCAGGATCTAGATCCCAAAGGGCCTCGAATGCCATGTCAATGATTTGATGCTATAGAGTGACTGACAAAACTGTAAACGGGCCGGGCGCGGTGGCTCACGCCTGTAATCCCAGCACTTTGGGAGGTCGAGGCCAGTGGATCACCTGAGGTCGGGAGTTCAAGACCAGCCTGACCAACATGGAGAAGCCCCGTCTCCACACCAAATTAGCCAGGTGTGGTGGCGCATGCCTGTAATCCCAGCTACTCGGGAGGCTGAGGCAGGAGAATCACTTGAACCCAGGAGGTGGAGGCTGCAGTGAGCCGAGATGGCGCCATTGCACTCCAGCCCGGACAAGAGCAAAACTCAGTCTCAAAAAAAAAAAAAAAAAAAAAAGTAAACAGGTGGCACAGGGACCCTCAGGGCATGCTGTGCTAGTCTGGGCTAAACTTAGGTTTTGGAGAGGGAGGTGACAGAGCTATGGGTCACCACCTAGGGGCAGGTATTGCAGGAACAATCTAAGGGGTTCTACCTGGATGGCTGATTATTGAAAACAGTTTAAATGCTATGTCGGCAGGCTGCGACCCATTAACACTTGCTAAAAAGCCATTTCCCACAATCGTCCCACACCATCCACACAGCAGTTCTGTGTCCATGAGGGGGCCAAATAGTGCTATCTCTATTTTACAGACGGACGAAGTGTGAGCCAGAGGAGACAGACTTCGCCTCAGCCAGGCAGGCAGGGGGCTGTGGTCACACATGACCTGAAGCCATGATCTGGGCTCAGAGTGCATGGGGTGGCAGGTCCTCAGGCATTTGACGAATGTTCCGCACCTTCTGAGGCCGGACCATGGAAACACAGCGATGGCCTTTGGCCTCTGAGTCATCTTGAAACTGGACTAGTCAGCTGGGTCACCTGGGCCTGGGACAGGACAGGCTGCTTTCTGCAGGAGGGAGGAAGGGGGACCCACTGAGGGACAGGTCTTCTTGTGTTCCCAGAGGCCAGCAGGGGGGCTTGACCCCAGAGACACGCCTATCCATGAGTACCCAAAGGGGATCCTGAGTTGGGGGCTGGAAGAAGGCCAGTCTCTCCACCAAGGGAAAGGGGCTGAGGGACCCTGCCCTTTGCTGCCTTTCTAAGAAGCCCCCAAATGCCCCCCGCTTCCAGCACCCAGGCCCTGTGCACAGCCGCAGCCTGAGTCATCATTCTCATTTGAATGGTGGCCGAGAAATCAGCCAGGGGGCTGCCCAGGGCTGAGGGCCAAGGCTAGGAAAAACAAGGCTGTTCTGTTACCTCCAAGCTTTGGAACGTCAAGCCCGGCTAGGGAGTGGGGGGCAGAGGGCAGGCAGAAGCAGGATCTGAAGGTGTCAACAGCCAGAGGGGGCTTTGTGTGAGGGGTGGGGGCGCGGTTCAGAATCCGAGCTGTTGGCTTTTGTTTTCAAATGACCTGTTTAATCATTACCCTTTGCAATCAACGGGGAGCACAGGCTCCGTGGCAGAGGCTTGGCGACTATTTCAAATCTCCATCCCCTACTGAGCAGCCGGAGAAGAAAGTAAACAAGATGCCACCGGCAGGTCTGGCTCCATCTCGCAAACAATAGCCGGACTGAGCACCCGGCTCAGACACACACATCAAAGTGAGATTTCCAAGCAAGAACTTTTCACAGGCAGATAACAGGCTGGAATTATTTCCCTGTGTCCCTAGAGCTCAGTGCCAAAGGGGGCAGCCTAAGGGGGCTGTCATTTTCACGCTAACCTTGACCCGAAAAGTATTCATTCATTTTGCAGTGAGGGAGAGCCACCACCGCCCCAAACCGCGAAAAACCAACCAGTAACAACTTTATCATTCCTTTTTAACAGTCACAATGGTGGGCAAATGAGACTTAAGTTACAGCAGCTAGCTGGCACTCACACTCCCCTCGGCTCAGGCTCCTTAAACAACAACAACAAAACCCTAATGCAAGCACCCACCGGGGCTCACAATGTCAAACCCTTACCTGGCATAGGGAAAATCCAAGTGAGAGAGAGAGAGAGAGAGAGAGAGAGAGAGAGAGAGAGAGTGTGTGTGTGTGTGTGTGTGTGTGTGTGTGTGTGTGATTCCCTCTTTTACCTTCCAAGGCCTTCAACTATTTTTCCCCCTGCAGCATCCAAGCCCAGCCTCAAGGCAGATGCATAAACATGCCTGCTCCTCCCCTTCTACGGTTGGGCAAAACACCCCCCCACCCCCTTTCCAGGACCCCAAGGAGAAAGAATCACGTCCTCTGCAGCCCCTCCCTGGCCCTCGCCCACCCCCCGTTTCCCCCCCGCAATTCCAGGCCGTCCGCAGCAAGCCTCGTAGGCACCTTGAGATAAACACCCACTAATGATTTTATGATTTTCTGCTCTGGGTAACCGCGCTCAGCGGAATCCCTCCCCCCGCCGTGGCGACGGGGCCGGCCCAACCGAGGGATGGGGGGATGGGGGCGTTTGTTTTTTCCACGGCCTCGTCCCCACACCTGTTTTTCATTCATTCATTCGTTCGTTCCTTCATCCATTCACGGATCCGTCACTGCAGCCGCCCCAGCCCCCCGGATTTCGGGGAGGGGGCTGCGATGGGGGAGGGGGTGGGAGATGGGGGGGACGACAGAGGTGGGGGGTGGCGCACCGGGGGGTGGAAGGTTGCGAGGGGTCCGGGAGCCAGGACCCTGCGGCTCCGGCTTTGTCAGACGCGAGCGAAGCGGCGGCGGGGGCGGGGCGGGGGCGCTCCCGGGGCCCGAAGTTGTTTTCCGAGGCGCGGCGGCGAGGACAGCGGCCCGGGGTGCGCCCCCTTTGTCTGTCCCCGGCCGGCGCCGCGTCCCCGCGCGCTTACCTGGTCTTGGAGGACAGGAAGGCAAGTTTGATCAGGCCGTAGGTGAACAGCGGGATACTCTCCTTGGCGACGCTGGCAACTTGCAGCCGGTGCTCCAGGATGTGGAGTTCCATCGTCCGCCCGCGCCCCGTCCGCGGCGGCTCATCCGCGGGGGGACGAGCCGCGGCCCCCGCCCCCTCCGCGCCCTGCCGGCACCGACAGCCGGCCCGGAGACCCGGGAGCTCGGCGCCGGGCGCGGGGGGCGGCGGCGGCCGGGCCGGGCCGGACAAAAGGGAGGAGGCCCGCCAAGTTGCAAGGGGGAGCCGCGGGGCGAGGGAGGCAGCGCCGGCGGAGCAGCAGCCGAGGGGCCGAGCGGCGGAGCAGCGGCGCGCGGCGCCCGGCGCGGGGAGCAGCTGGTGTTCGCTGTAACAAACAACTTGCCACTCAAACGCCGGTCCCCGCTGCGCATGCGCGGCCCGCGCGCGGCCTGCCGGGACTTGTAGTCCGCCTGGGGGGGCTCCCCCGGTGCTGCTGCTGCTGTTGCTGCTGTTGCTGCCGCGGGGGCTGGGCGGCCGGAGCTACCGGCAGCCCGGTGCACGGGAAATGCAGGAGCGCGGGCACCCTCAGGACTAAGGGGAAGGCCGAGGGGAGGCACGGGGCGGGTGGAGCCAGCCTGAGCCTAGGCGCGCCCTCTGGCACCCAGTCAGGCTCGGTACTAGGTGCTTGGAGTGTAAAGCGAGCAAACCAGACGACTCCGGTGCTGGAGAAGGCCCGAGTCTGGGAGCGCCAAGATGTAGGGCAATCGGTCATGAGAGTGCGGAGAAGCCAAACCGAAAAGCTTGCTGGGGACCCGGAGGGAGGGGATTGACAGGTCAAAGGGGGTGACCCGGGGGAGGGGACACTCAGGCTGGGTTTTGAAGGATGAATGGGAGTTCGTAGCAAGAGAGTGAGGGCGCGCGGATGGAGGACAGAGGCCTTCCAAGCTGCAGGAACAGCGTGTCCTAGGGCACAGAAGCGTGAAAGCCCCCACGGTGCTGTGTTTGGCTTTGTTGCAGCGGAAAATGTGAGGGAGGAGAGAAAAGAGATAAGGCAGGCATAGTCACCAGGAGTCAGGTCGGGAGGGTCATGTGTGCAGAGCTAATGAGGTGGCCATTTATCCCACTGGAGAGGGGGTGATGGGGACTGCGAAGGGTGAATTCGGGGAAAATGTAAAGTGCGTCTGAGGCACTTCCAACCCCAGGGCCCACGCGCCCGGACCACAGAGGTTCCTCCTTCATGGCTGTCTGGTTTTGAAATGTTCTGGGTTAAAGTGATTGGTGCTTCCACCTTTGGCAGAGTAATCTGGGGACGCGATGGGTGAGATCTATCTGCCAGGGCAGGCTGAGAACTCTCTTTCAGGGGAAAATTGCAGTTGTGCTCCCTCACCTTCCCTCAGCCCTCCTCTGTTAGGTAGGAACATACTAGGTTTTGTCATTTCCACAAAAGGGTGAAAAGCCTGTAATCTGTGGTAGATAGATCTTAGAGCATGCATATCCCCCTCCCACTTTATTTTCTTTTACTCTTTTTCTTTTATTTATTTATTTTTTAGAGACAGGGTCTTGCTCTGTTGGCCAGGATGGAGTGCAGGGGCGCAATCATAGCTCACTACAGCCTCGAACTCCTGGGCTTAAAAGATCCTCCCACCCCAGCTTCCCCAGCAGTTGGGACTACAGTTATGCCTGGCTAATTTTTTTTTTTTTTTAACTTTCTTTTTTCCCCCCCGAGATGGAGTCTTGCTCTGTCGCCCAGGCTAGAGTGCCATGGCGCGATCTTGGCTTACTGCAACCTCCTCCCCCTTGGTTCAGCGATTCTCGTGCCTTGGCCTCCCAGCTAGCTGGGATTACAGGTGCTGGCCACCACGGCTGGCTAATATTTGTATTTTTCGCAATGTTGCCTAGGCTGGTCTTGAACTCCTGACCTCAGGTGATCCACCCACTTCGGCCTCCCAAACTGCTGGGATTACAGGCATAAGCCACCATGCCTGGCCTTTTTTTTTTTTTTTTTTTTTTTGAGTCGGAATCTTGCTCCATCACCCAGGCTGAAGTGCAGTGGCACGATCTCGGCTCACTGCAACCTCCCCCTCCGAGGTTCACGCCATTCTCCTGCCTCAGCCTCTCGAGTAGCTGGGACTACAGGTGCCCGCCACCACACCCGGCTAATTTTTTTGTATTTTTAATAGAGACAGGGTTTCACTGTGTTAGCCAGGATGGTCTCGATCTCCTGACCTCATGATCCGCCCGCCTCGGCCTCCCAAATTGCTGGGATTACAGGCGTGAGCCACCACACCCGGCCTTTTTTTTTACTTTTTGTAGAGAGGGGTGTCTCACTATGTTGTTCAGGCTAGTCTCGAACTCCCAGCCTCAAGTGATCCTCCAGCCTCAGCATTTTTTTTTTAAAGCTTATCTGTCTCTCCCCTACACAATCTCAACTCCACAAAGGCAGTGATTTTTGTCTGTTCTCCGCTGTGTTCCCATTGTCAGCAATAGTGACTGGCCTATGAGAGACACTCATTCAATATTTGTGGAATGCATCAATGCACCTATCTATGCCTTTAGAATCTAGAGATCCAGAAATCCCAAACAGAAATGCATTCAGGGGCCAGACAGATTACACAGATGTGTGAAGCAGTTGGCTATCAGATAGTTGGAAATGTGGCTGGGCGCGGTGACTCACGCCTGTAATCCCAGCACTTTGGGAGGCCAAGGAGGGTAGATCATTTGAGGTCAGGAGTTTGAGACCAGCCTGACAAACATGGTGAAACCTCGTCTCTACTAAAAACACAAAAAAATTAGCTGGGCATGGTGGTGCCTTCTCCTGAGGCAGGAGAATCGCTTGAACCCAGGAGGTGGAGGCTGCAGTAAGCTGAGATCGCGCCACTGCACTCCAGCCTGGGTGATAGAGTGAGCCTCCATCTCAAAAAAAAAAAAATGTTGGAAATGGTACAGGTGAAGGGAAGTCTGCCTGAAGGCATAAAATTCAGTTTCTTAAGAAAAAAAAAAACAACTGGCAGGGTGCAGTGGCTCACAACTATAATCCCAGCATTTTGGGAAGCCAAAGCAGGCAGATCACAAGGACAGGAGTTCAAGACCAGCCTGGCCAGCATGGTGAAACCCCGTCTCCACTGAAAATACAAAAATTAGCCAGGCATGGTGGTGTGCATCTGTAATCCCAGCTACCTGGGAGGCTGAGGTAGGAGAATCACTTGAACCTGGGAGGCAGAGGTTGCAGTGAGCCAAGATTGCACTACTGCACTCCAGCCTGGGCGACAGAATGAGATTCTGCCTCAAAAAAAAAAAAACACAAAAAACAAAACAACAACAATAAAAAAAAAAAAGCAGGTGAAACAAAACAAGGCTAAAGGCAAGATTTGGCTAGTTTTCTGACTTCTGCTCTGGATGGCCTAAGGTAGCATTTTTCAATCTGCAGACTGTGTATGACCCATGTAGTGGATGGTGAAATCAATTTAGCAGGGCATGGCAATTATTTAAAAAAATAATTAAACAGGCTGGGTACAGTGGCTGATGCCTGTAATCTCAGCATTTTGGGAGGCCAAGGCAAGAGGATCTCTTGAGGCCGGGAGTTTGAGACCAGCCTGGGCAACATAGCAAGACTGCTCATCTCTACAAAAATAAAAATATAAGAAACTAGCTAGATGTGGTGGCGTGCACCTGTAGTCCTAGTTACTCAGGAGGCTGAGGTGGGAGGATCCCTTGGGCCCAGGAGTTCGGAGCTGCAGTGAACTATTATTGTTTTTTTTTTTCTTTCTTTCTTTTTTTTTTTTTTTTTTTTGAGATGGAGTCTCACGCTGTTCCCCGGGCTGGAGTGCAGTGGCACAATCTCGGCTCACTGCAACCTCTGCCTCCCAGGTTCAAGCATTTCTCCTGCCTCAGCCTCCCAAGTAGGTGGGATTACAGGTGCCTGCCACCATGCCCAGCTAATTATTTTTATTTTTATTTTAGTAGAGACGGGGTTTCACTATGTTGGCCAGGCTGGTCTTGAACGCCTGACCTCTTGATCCACCTGCCTCGGCCTCCCAAAGTGCTGGGATTATAGGCGTGAACCACTGTGCCCGGCCGCTGTGAACTATTATTGTACCACTGGACTCTAGCCTGAGTAACAGAGTGACATCGTCTCTTCAACAAAATGGAAAAATTCCCGGCAAAAAAAAACACAAAAAAAATTTTAAATAGACTAGAAAATGACACAGTGTTGCATATAAAATGGGTAGGTTACTATCATCTTTTCTATACCCCAGGGCACTTTAATCTTGTCCATGTGTGTAAGGGGTGCGTGCCTGTGTGTGTCTGCCTATGTGCACTAGAACTTGATATAAAGGTATGTTTTACTGTGGGTCTTGGTAAAAAAAAAAAATATATATATATATATTTTTTTTTTTTTTTTTGAGACAGGGTCTTGCTCTGTCACCCAGGGTAGAGTGCAATGGCATGATCTCAGCTCACTGCAACTTCTGCCTCTTGGGTTTAAGCAATTCTCCTGCCTCAGCCTCTCGAGTAGCTGGGATTACAGGCGCGCGCCACCACCCACGGCTAATTTTTGTATTTTTTTGTTTGTTTTTGAGACAGAGTCTCACTCTGTAGCCAGACTGGAGTGCAGCATCATGATCTCAGCTCACTGCAACCTCCTCCTACCAGGGTCAAGTGATTCTTCTGCCTCAGCCTCCCGAGGAGTTGGGACTAGAGGCATGTGCCACCATGCCAGCTGATTTTTGTATTTTTAGTAGAGGCAAGGTTTCACCATGTTGGCCAGGATGGTCTTGATCTCTTGACCTCGTGATCCACCCACCTTGGCCTCTCAAAGTGCTGGGATTACAGGTGTGAGCCACCACGCCCAGCCAATTTTTGTATTTTTAGTAGAGACGGGGTTTTACCATGTTGGCAAGGCTGGTCTCAAACTCCTGGCCTCAGGTGATCTGCCCGCCTCAGCCTCCCAAAATGCTGGGATTACAGGCGTGAGCCACTGTGCCTGGCCAAAACTGTTTAAAAGCATTGTGGGCTTTATATTTCATCAAGCCAGACTGCCATAAAGTTTGCAAATTTAGACCACCTTGTTTTTGACTTGCAGAATTGCTTTCGCTCAGTTGTATTTGGTGCTTAAGATTTCTGTGAAACTAACTTCCGAAATTCATGTTGGGGTGTTAAGGAAATTGACCTCTGAGTTGCCAAGTCCTGAGGATTCAGGCTGGAATTGGGGTGAAGCAAGTTGAGGCACTTTGGGCCCTGAATTTAAGGAGGTACTGGCTCCCAAGGTAACACAAGTGTTGGATGGGCACCGTCCTGGTAGAATTCCCTCCTCTTTGGGTTCCTTAGCACTGCCCTTTTCTGGTCTTTCACTGATTGACTCTAGGTCTGGCTATGTGATTTTCACGGCTTTGGCCAATGGGGTATTGGCAAATCTGCTCCCTAAGTCCTGTGCATTGGGACTTGCCCTCTCGGAAAGAATGCTGCCCTGAGACCATCACGCTGTAAAGAAGCTTGCAAGAAAGATCACATGAAGAGGTCCAGGTGTTCCAGCTGTGTCAGGCCTCTGCCAACAGCTAGCACCAACTACTAGAGCATGCTAAGATGTGAACGAGACCATCTTGGACTTTGCATCTGACTGTCTAACTGAGTGCAGCCACACACATGAGCCCAGGTGAAACCAGAACTATCCAGCCAACCAATAGAAACACGATGAATAAAAAATAGCTGTTGGCTGGGCACAATGGCTCACGCCTGTAATCCCAGCACTTTGGGAGGCCAAGGCAGGTGAATCACAAGGTTAGGAGATTGAGACCATCCTGGCTAACATGGTGAAACCCCGTCTCTACTGAAAATACAAAAAATTAGCCGGGCATGGTGACGGGCACCTGTAGTCCCAGCTACTTGGGAGGCTGAGGCAGGAGAATGGCATGAACCCAGGAGGTGGAGCTTGCAGTGAGCTGAGATTGCGCCACTGCACTCCAGCCTGGGTGACAGAGCGAGACTCTGTCCCCCGCCCCCCCAAAAAAAATAGCTGTTGTCTGGGCACAGTGGCTCACACCTGTAATCCCAGCACTTTGGGAGGCCAAGGCGGGTGGAGCCCTTGAGGTCAGGACTTCAAGACCAGGCGGGGCAACATGGCAAAACCCCTTCTCTACAAAAAAATACAAAAATTACCTGGGCATGGTGACGCACGCCTGTAGTTCCAGCTACTTCGGAGGCTGACGTGGGAGGATCACTTGAGCCCAGGAGGTTGAGACTGCAGTGAGCCGTGTTTGCACCATTGCATTCCAGCCTGGGTGACAGAGTGAGAACCTGCCTCTGACAAAAAAAAAAAAAAAGTTATTTTTCGTCATTAAGACTTGGAATGGTTTGTTGGGTAGCAATGGATATAGCTGACACATCCCCGCAGCCCTCACCTTCTCTCACTATGTGGGTGTACCCAGTCTCTGGCTTCTAATGTCAAGGGCCTCCAACTTGACACTTCCAGCTCAGAGTATGTTCTTAAGGCCCTCCCTCACTTATAGAACTTCCTAGTGGTTAGCTATGATGCATGGCAAACACATCTGGCAACAGTAACATCAGCATACCTTGAAAATGACCCCATGGTCTAAGAAGAGTATGTGTTGAAAGTTCTAAGCTAAGGAATCCAGGAGTGGCCAACCCGGAGATTCATTTCTTATCTATGAGGAACATCTGAACCCCTGGACCATCTAGGGGATGGTGGCCTTTGTTTGGGGTTAAATGAAGGTTGCCAGAGGGAGGGTGCTAGGGGGAGGGTGCTAAGTGGAAATGCTCTATAAACTGCATGCTTTTTTTTTGTGTGTGAGATGGAGTCTTGCTTTGTCACCCAGGCTGGAGTGCAGTGGCGCCATCTCGGCTCACTGCAAGCTCCGCCTCCCAGGTTCATGCCATTCTCCTGCCTCAGCCTCCTGAGTAGCTGGGACTACAGGTGCCCGCCACCACGCCCAGCTAATTTTTTGTATTTTTAGTAGAGACGGGGTTTCACTGTGTTAGCCGGGATGATCTCGATCTCCTGACCTTGTGATCCACCCGCCTTGGCCTCCCAGAGTGCTGGGATTACAGGCATGAGCCACCGTGCTGGGCCCAACTGCATGCTTTTTATAAGCAGGTGTGGTTCTCCTGTTCCACCTGCCATGTCTGGACTACCCTGTAAGTCCCCTCAATAAACCCTATGTCTTGCTTGCTGGCCAGGCATGATGGCTCATGCCTGTAATCCCAGCACTTTGGGAGGCCAAGACAGGCAGATCACTTGAGGTCAGGAGTTTGAGACCAGCTAGGCCAACATGGTGAAAACCCCATCTCTACTAAAAATACAAAAAAAAAATTAGTTGGGTATGGTGGCATGCACCTGTAATCCCAGCTACTTGAGGGGCTGAGGCAGGAGAATCGCTTGAACCGGGGAAGCGGAGGTGGCAGTGAGCCAAGATCACGCCATTGCACTCCAGCCTGGGCAACTAGACTCTGTCTCAAAAAACAAACAAACAAACAAACAAAAAACAGGCCAGGTATGGTGGCTTATGCCTGTAATCCCAGCACTTCGGGAGGCTGAGGCAGGTGGATCGCCTGATGTCAGAAATTTGAGACCAGCCTGGTCCATGTGGTGAAACCCTGCCTCTACTAAAAATACAAAAGTTAGCAGGGCATGGTGGTGAGTGACTGTAATCTCAGCTACTCGGGAGGCTGAGGCAGGAGAATCGCTTGAACCTGGGAGGCGGAGGTTACAGTGAGCTGAGATTGCACCACTGACTCCAGCCTGGGCAATAGAGTGAGATTCCATCTCAAAAAAACAAAACAAACACAGTACAAACCAAAAAACAAAACCCAGCTGGGTGCAGTGGCTCACGCCTGTCATCCCAGCATGTTGAGGGGCTTGAGTTGGGCAGATCACTTGAGGTCAAGAGTTCGAGACTAACCTGGTCAATATGGTGAGATCCCGTCTCTACTAAAATTACAAAAAAATTAGCTGGGAATGGTCGCATGTGCCTGTAATCCCAGCTACTAGGGAGGCTGAGGCAGGAGAATCACCTCAACCTGAGAGATGGCGGTTGCAGTGAGCCAAGATGGCGCCACTGCACTCCAGCCTGGGTGACAGAGTGAGTGAGACTATGTCTCAAAGAAAAAAAAAAAAAAAAAAAGAAAAATCTCCAAGTATGTTTGGAAGAGGTTGACCAACTGCCCTGATTTTCCTGGGACCAAGGAGAATTTCAAGATGTAAGACTTTCATTTTTGAAACCAGGACATTCTCCAGGAAGACAAATTGGTCACAGGACTTTGAAACAATTTACTTATGTAAATCTATGAACTCTAAATACAGATCGAGTATTGTGAATGAAAATTAAGCATCCAAACTGAGATGTGCTATCATGTGTAAAATGAACCCTGGATTGCAAAGATTATTATGAAAAAACTTCAAAGTATTTTATTAATAATTTAAAAATATTGATTATATGTTGAAACACTTTTTTTTTTTTTTCTGAGATGGAGTCTCACTCTGTCACCCAGGCTGGAGTACAGTGGTGCAATCTTGGCTCACTGCCACCTCTGCCTCCTGTGTTCAAGTGATTCTCCTGCCTCAGCCTCCTGAGTAGCTGAGATTACAGGCATGCACTACCACGCCCAGCTAATTTTTTTTTACAGCAGAGACAGGGTTTCACTGTGTTGGCCAGGCTAGTCTGGAACCCCTGACCTCAAGTGATCTGCCCGCCTCGGCCTCCAAAGTGCTGGGATTACAGGCGTGAGCCCCCGCACCAACTTTTTTTTTTTTTTTTTTTGAGATGGAGTCTTGCTCCCTCGCCCAGGCTGGAGTGCAGCAGCACCATCTTGGCTCATTGCAACCTCTGCCTCCCGGGTTCAAGCGATTCTCCTGCCTCAGGCTCCTGAGTAGCTGGAGCTACAGGCGCGCGTCATCATGCCCAGCTAATTTTTGTATTTTTGGTAGAGACGGGGTTTCACCATGTTGACCAGGCTTGTCTCGAACTCCTGACCTCAGGTGATCTGCCTGCCTCAGCCTCACAAAGTGCTGGGATTACAGATGTGAACCACTGTGCCTGGTCAAAATGCTAATATTTTGGCAGCACTTTGGGAGGTCGAGGCAGGCGGATCACTTGAGTTCAGGAGTTTGAGACCAGCCTGGCCAACATGGTGAAACCAAACCCCATCTCCACTAAAAATACAAAAAAATTAACTTGGTGTTGTGGCGGGCGCCTATAATCCCAGCTACTCAGGAGGCTGAGCCAGGAGAATTGCTGAAACCTGGGAGGCAGAGGTTGCAGTGAGCCGAGATCATGCCACTGCACTCCAGCCTGGGCGACAGAGTGAGACTCTGTCTCAAAAAAAAAAAAAAAAAAAAAAATAGCAGAGTGAAGTCAGCACCCAATTCAACATGGCAGGTTCTAGAGAGGTTCAAATCATGATGGGGCTGGGTGCGATGAGGGGAGGTCTCTTCTGTTACAGGCTACCGTTAGTCCACACTTGGTCTGACCTAGTGGCCTTCTGTGCATGGCGGCCGCCCGGCATAGATTTTGATGATTTCCCATGTCACAAGCCTTGTCTTCACAAGGTGAGCTTCTGCAGCCTCCCTGTGGCTAAGATGCAGGCACATCAGACCTGTGTATGGCTCAGGTTCAGAAGTGAGCACAAGGTTCATGGATGGGATTTCAGAGAAGGCAGCAGGGATTTGTCTGGTAACAATTACTGTATACTACATAGCTCACACTTAGTGGAGAAAAATGACAAAATAGCCCGGTGCAGTGGCTTATGCCTCTAAGCACGGTGGCTCATGCCTGTAATCCCAACAACTTGGGAGGCTGAGATGGGAGGATTGCTTGAGACCAGGAGTTTGAGACTAGCAAGATCCTGTCTTAAAACATTTTTTAAAAAAAATAGCTGGGGATGGTGGCACACGTCTGTTGTCCCAACTACTTGGGAGGCCGAGGCAGGAGAATCACTGGAACTGAGGAGTTCAAGGCTGCAGTGAGCTGTGATTGCACCACTGCACTGTTGTCTGGGCAGCCAGGCAAGACCCTGTCAAAAAGAAAGAATGAAAGAAAAGAAAGACAAAAGAAAGAAATGAAAGGCCAAAGAAAGAAAAGAAAGACGAAAGAAAGAAAAGATGAAAGAGAGAGAGAAAGAGAAAGAAAGAAAGAAAGAAAAAGAGAAAGAAAGAAAGAAAAGAAAGAAAGAAAGAAAGAAAGAGGAAAGAAAGAAAGAAAGAAGAAAGAAAAAGCAGGAAGGAAGGAAAATAGGACATGACATTATATTAACTCATTAATTCTTCTTTTTTTTTTTTTTTTTGAGACGAAGCCTCACTCCATCACCCAGGCTGGAGTGCCGTAGCACAATCTCAGTCACTGCAACCTCTGCCTCAAGCAATTCTCATGCCTCAGCCTCCCGAGTAGCTGGGATTACAGGTGCACACCACAATGCCCAGTTAATTTTTTTTTTGTATTTTTAGTAGAGACGGGGTTTCACCATGTTGGCCAGGCTGGTCTGGAAGTCCTGATCTCAGGTGATCCTCCCGCCTCGGCCTCCCAAAGTGCTGGGAGAATTCTTTTTTTTTTTTGAGACAGGGTCTCACTCTTACCCAGGCTGGAGTGCAGTGGCGTCATCACGGTTCCCTGCAGCCTCAAACGATCCTCCCACCTCAGCCTCACAAGTAGCTGGGTCTACAGGCACACACCACCACACCTGGCTAATATTTGTATTTTTTGGTAGAGATGGAGTTTCATCATGTTGCCCAGACTGGTCTCAAACTCCTGATCTCAAGTGATTCTCCCACGTCTGCCTCCCAAAGTGTTAGAATTACAGGTGTGGGCCACCGTGCCTGGCCTGAACTCACAAATTCTATAGGTTGCTAATTCAGACAGGGCCTGTGAGAACAGTTTGTCTTTGCTCTGTGGTATCTGGCCTTTACTTGGAAAGACCTGAATGCTGGCGGTGATTTGGATGCCTGGGGGCTGGGGTCGCCTGGAAGCTTCTTTACTCTGTGTCTGAAGCCTGGTTGACGGGTGCCTCTCTCCATGGGGCTAGGGCTTCTCACAGCTTGGCAGCTGGATTCCCAGAGAGGATATCGCAGGGAGAGTCTGGAGAGCAAATGTGCCAAGAAAGTCAGCTGGAAGCCACATGGCCTTTTATGACCTAACCTCAGAAATCAAGCTGGGTGCGGTGGCTGCTGGACGCGGTGGCTCAAGCCTGTAATCCCACCACTTTGAGAGGCTGAGGTGGGTGGATCATTTGAGACCAGGAGTTTGACACCAGCCTGGCCAACATGGTGAAACTCCGTCTCTACTAAAAATACAAAAATTAGCTGGGTGTGGTGGTGCGTGCCTATAATCCCAGCACTTTGCGAGGCTGAGGTGGGCAGATCACTTGAGGCCAGGAGTTTGACACCAGCCTGGTCAAGATGGTGAAACTCTGTCTCTACTGAAAATACAAAAATTAGCCAGGCGTGGTGGTGCATGTCTACAGTCTCAGCTACTCGGGAGCTGAAGCATGAGAATTGCTTGAACCCAGGAGGCAGAGGTTGCAGTGAGCCGAGGTTGCGCCCCTGCACTCCAGCCTGGGCAACGGAGCAAGACTCCATCTCAAAACAACACACAAAAAAAGAAATCATAGGGATGTCACCTGCATGGTATTCTCTGGGTTGAAACAGGTACAACCCCAGCTTGAGTTAGGGGAGGGGGCTGATATAGTCTGAATATTTGTCCCCTCTAAATCTCGTGTTGAAATGTGATCCCCAGTATTGGAGATGAGGCCAAGTGGGAGGTGTTTGGGTCATGGGGGCAGATGCCTCATGAATGGCTTGGTGCCCTCCCTGTGGTAATGAGTGAATTCTTGCTCTATTCACTCATTCTTTCAAAGAGCTGGATCTTTGAAAGAACCTGGCATGTCTGTTGCTCACCACGTGATCTTGTCGGCCCCCCTTCATCTTCCACTATGATAGGAAGCTTCCTGCGGTCCTCACTAGCAGCAGATGCTGGCACCATGCTTCTTGTACAGCCTGCAGAACCACGAGCCAAATACACCTCTTTCCTTTATAAATCACCCAGCCTCAGGTATTCCTTTATAGCAACAAAAACAGACTAAGACAGGGTCATAGACCCTGCTTCTTGATGGAGGAGGACAAAGTTACTTTGCAGAAGAGCATGTTGGATGAAGTTACTTTTGTAGCCATTTTGGGAAAATACAACTTGACATTTAGAAAGGTGAAGTCCTGGAGAAGGTGTGGCTGTGGAAGCTGCCACAGCTTCATTTTCTTCCTTCCTTCTTTCCTTCCTTCCTTCCTTCCTTCCTTCCTTCCTTCCTTCCTTCCTTCCTTCCTTCCTTCCTCCCTCCCTCCCTCCCTCTCTCCTTCCCTCCCTCCCTCTCTCTCTTTTTTTTTGAGACAGAGTCTTGCTCTGTTGCCCAGGCTGGAGTTCAGTGGTGTGATCTCAGCTCACTGCAATCTCCGCCTCCTAGATTCAAGTGATTTTCATGCCTTAGACTCCCAAGTAGCTGGGACTACAGGCGCCCACCACCACACCCGGCTAATTTTTGTATAGCGGAGATGGGGGTTCACCATGTTGGCTAGGCTGGTCTCGAACTCCTGACCTTAAGTGATCCACCCACCTCAGCCTCCCAAAGTGCTGGGATTACAGGCATCAGCCACTGTGCCTGGCCCACAGCTTCATTTTCTTATCAGGACAGTTCTGCCCCATGGTGCTGGGTAAGGGTCCTATAACTTTAAGCCTAGACTTTATTTCTGCAGCTTTCCAAAAGATCCTGTTCTCTGTTCAATGTTTTAAAATTAAGCTTTTTGGCCGGGTACTATATAGCTCATGTCTGTAATCTCCGCACTTTGGGAGGCCAAGGTGGGAGGATCGCTCGAGGCCAGGAGTTTGAGACAAGTTTGGCCAATACAGTGAAAGCCTGTCTCTATAAAATAAATAAATAAAATTAGGCTTGTTATCTTAAGATAATTGTAGATTCACTTGCAATTGTAAGACATTAATACCCAGAGAGCCCTCGTGCCCTTCATGCAATTTCCCCCAATGGTAACAGCTTGCAAAACTGTAGTACAATCTCACAACCAGGAAATTGCCTTTGATACCATCCACTGAACTTATCCAGGTTCTACCAGTTTTACATGTAATTGTGCGTGTGTGTTTAGTTCCATACAATTTACTCAGTACTCTAAAAATAGACTCTTCATCTTACAATGGTTTTAAATTTACAGAAAAATTGTTAAGACAGTAGGATTCGCATATATCCTGTACCATTTCCCCCTTTTATTAACATCTTGCACTGGTATAGTATATTTGTTACCGTTAATGAACTGAAATTAATACATTGTAATTAACTTAAGTCCATACTTTAGTTAGATCTCCTTAATTTTTACCAATTTCCTTTTTCTTTTCTTTTTTTTTTCTTTCTTTCTTTTTTTTTTTTGAGACGGAGTTTCACTCTTGTTGCCCAGGCTGGAGTGCAATGGCGCGATCTTGGCTCACCGCAACTTCCGTCTCCCGGGTTCAAGTGATTCTCCTGCCTCAGCCTCC
Source organism: Homo sapiens (assembly GCF_000001405.40). Classification (NCBI taxonomy): domain Eukaryota; kingdom Metazoa; phylum Chordata; class Mammalia; order Primates; family Hominidae; genus Homo; species Homo sapiens. The sequence continues at coordinate 75,250,845 of NC_000007.14, forward strand.
CGAGCAGCTGGGATTACAGGCATGCGCCACCACCCTGGCCAATTTTGTATTTTTAGTAGAGACGGGGTTTTCTCCATGTTGGTCAGGCTGGTCTTGAACTCCCGACCTCAGGTGATCCACCCACCTCAGCCTCCCAAAGTGATGGGATTATAGGCGTGAGCCACCGCGCCTGGCCCAATTTCCTTTTTCTGTCTGAAGATCCCATCCGTGACACCATGTGACAGTTAGTAGTAATGTCTTCTTGGGCTCTTCTTGGCTGTGATAGTGTACAAAAAAAAATTAATTTTCTTTGAGACAGTCTCACTCTGTCACTCAGGCTGGAGAGTAGTGGTGTGATCATAGCTCACTGCAGCCTCAATCTCCTGGGCTCAAGTGATCCTCCCTCCTCAGCCTCCCATATTTTTAATACAGACAGGGTTTCACCATGTTGGCTAGGCTGGTCTTGAACTCCTGACCGCAGGTGATCTGACCTCAGGTGATCTGCCCGCCTCAGACTCCCAAAGTGCTGGGATTACTGGTAGGAGCCATCACACTTGGCCAGTTTACTTGATGTTTTAAAAATAAATTCTCTGCTATGTAAACTGACCAGAATGGATTCTGTTGATTGCAACTAAGACCCATAACTGATGCAGTTGGCATTCAAGCCTCACGCCGGCTAATTTTGTCTGTGTGTGTGTGTGTGTGTGTGTGTGTGTGTGGTAGAAATGGAGTCTTGCTATGTTGCCCAGGCTGGTCTCAAACTCCTGGCCTCAAGTGATCCTCCTGCCTTGGCTTCCCAAAGAGCTGGGATGACGGTTGTGAGCCACCACACCTGGTCAGTTTACTTGACATATTAAAAATAAATTTCTGGCCAGGTGAGGTGGCTCACACCTGTAATCCCAGCACTTTGGGAGGCCAAGGGGGGGTGGATCACTTGAGGTCAGGAGTTCGAGACCAGCCTGGCCAATATGGTGAAACCCCATCTCTACTAAAAATACAAAAATTAGCTGGATATGGTGGCACATGCCTGTAATTTCAGCTACTCGGGAGGCTGAGGCGGGAGAATGGCTTGTACCCTGGAGGCAGAGGTTGCGGTGAGCCAAGATCGTGCCACTGCACTCCAGCCTGGGCGATAGAGCAAGAATTCATCTCAATAAATAAATAAATTCATTCATTCATTTCTTTGCTATGTAGACTGACCAGAATGGATTCTGTTGCTTGCAGCTAAGACCCATAACTGATGTACTTGGCATTCAAGGCTCACTGTGGTGTGGTCTTTGCTTATATCTCTGGTCCCATCTGCCACCATTCCCAGCCTAGTACTTTACCCTCCAGTGAAAGATCTCTCTCCCTCTTCCATACTCTCTCATGGCCTCTGACCCTTGTACAGGCTGACAGATCCATATTTATTTCACCTCTGTCATCACCTCCTCCGGGAAGCTTTCTGTGATTTTTCCCAGCAGTGTGGGGTACCTGCCTCTCATCTGTATGTCCACAGTTCTTTGGGGCAGGGCCATATGCTCGTTAAGATCATGGTCTCTGGCCAGGTATGGTGGCTCATGCCTGTAATCTCAGCACTTTGGGAGGCCAAGCTGGCGGATCACTTTGAAGCCAGGAGTTCAAGACCAGACTGGCCAATATGGCAAAACCCCTCTACTAAAAATACAAAAATTAGCTGGGTGTGGTGGTGTATGCTTGTAATCCCAGCTACTTGGGAGGCTGAGGCAGGAAAATCACTTGATCACTTGAACCTAGGTGGCGGAGGTTGCAGTGAGTGGAGATTGTACCACTACACTACAGCCTGGGCGACAGAGACTGTCTCAAAAAAAAAAAAGGCCGGGCGCTGTAGCTCACGCCTGTAATCCCAGCACTTTGGGAGGCCTAGGCGAGCAGATCACAAGGTCAGGAGATCGAGACCATCCTGGCTAACACGGTGAAACCCCGTCTCTACTAAAAAATACAAAAAATTAGCTGGGCATGGTGGTGGGTGCCTGTAGTTCCAGCTACTCTGGAGGCTGAGGCAGGAGAATGGCGTGAACCCAGGAGATGGAGCTTGCAGTGAGCCGAGATCGCGCCACTGCACTCCAGCCTGGGCAACAGAGGGAGACTCCACCTCAAAAGAAAAAAAAAACCACAAAAAACAAACAAACAAACAAAAACAAAAAAAGGCCGGGGGGCGTGGTGGCTCATGCCTGTAATCTCAGCACTTTGGGAGGCTGAGGTGGACAGATCATGAGGTCAGGAGTTCGAGACCAGCCTGGCCAACATGGTGAAACCTTGTCTCTACTAAAAATACAAAAATTAGCCAGGTGTGGTGGCGGGCGCCTGTAATCCCAGCTACTTGGGAGGCTGAGGCAGGAGAATTGCTTGAACCTGGGAGGCGCAGGTTGCAGTGAGCTGAGATCGTCCCATTACACTCCAGCCTGGGTGACAAGAGCAAGACTCCATTTCAAAAAAAAAAAAAAAATCGTGGTCTCTGATGTCAGACATAGCTGAGTTCTGACACTGCCTTCTTCTAGCTGCGTGGTTTTAGGCATGTTGTTTATTTTTTATTTATATTTTTATCTTATTTTATGATTATTTTTATTATTATTTTTTGACAGAGTCTCGCTCTGTCACCCAGGCTGGAGTGCAGTGGCGTGATCTCAGCTCACTGCAACCTCTGCCTCCCAGGTTCAAGCAATTCTCCTGCCTCAGCCTCCTGAGTAGCTGGGACTACAGGCGCATGCCACCACACCCAGCTAATTTTTGTATTTATAGTAGAGACGGGGTTTCACCATGTTGGCCAGGCTGATCTTGAACTCCTGACCTCAAGTGATCTGCCTGCCTTGGCCTCCTAAAGTATTTTATTATTTATTTTTTTACAAAAGAGATGGAGGTTTTACTAAGTTGCCCAGGCTGGTCTTGAATTCCTGGACTCAAGCAATCCTCCCGCTTTGGCCTCCCAAAGTGCTGGGATTACGGTCATGGATGTGATTACCACCACACCCGGCCTGAACACACTGTTTAATCTCTGTGAATGCTCTTTTCCTCCTAGGTAAAATAGCATAATAAGAGTTCCTGACTCATAGGTTGCAACAAAAACTGAAGAAAATGCTAAAAAGCACACAGCATGGCTGGGCGCAGTGGCTCAGGCCTGTAATCTCAGCACTTTGGGAGGGTGAGGTGGGTGGATCACGAGGTCAAGAGATTGAGACCATCCTGGCCAACATGGTGAAACCCCGTCTCTACTAAAAATACAAAAATTAGCTGGGCGTGGTGGTGCGCGCCTGTAATCCCAGCTACTCGGGAGGCTGAGGCAGGAGAATCGCTTGAACCTGGGAGGCGGAGGTTGCAGTGAGCTGAGATTGCACCACTGCACTCCATCCAGCCTGGTGACTTGAGTGAGACTCTGTCTCAAAAAAAAAAAAGCAAACAGCACACAAATTAGGCCCATGGTCAATGTTAGCTGTGGTCATTCCTATGGTCATGCCCAGAAGCCCTGACCTGTCATTCATCGCATGAAGTTGAAATGGTCCGATTCCATGGGGGCTGTCACTTCCCTTATACCAGTTGCTTAGCTCCAGGATGGCAGAGGCCACTCCTTTTTCATCTTTCTATTCTCAGAGTTGACCTAAAAATAGGTGTTTGTCAAGTGGCCTAAATGGATTACCCACCCCAGCTCCTGTAGTTCCTGCCACATGAGACACCATGAGAATCTTCTTTTCTAGCTCTGTGCCAGGAAAGCTTTTGCTGCCTCCGAAGACCTGGGAAGTTTTCTCCTTGGGGACAATTAGGCAACATGGCTCAAGGGCTGCTGCTGGTATCTGGAGTCTGTTAGCCTGGGTCCCTTCCCTTCCCCTTCCCTTCCCCTTCCCTTCCCCTCCCCTTCCCCTCCCCTTCCCCTCCCCTTCCCCTCTCCTTCCCCTCCCCTTCCCCTCTCCTTCCCCTCCCCTTCTCCTCTCCTTCCCCTCCCCTTCTCCTCTCCTTCCCCTCCCCTTCCCCTCTCCTTCCCCTCCCCTTCTCCTCTCCTTCCCCTCCCCTTCTCCTCTCCTTCCCCTCCCCTTCTCCTCTCCTTCCCCTCCCCTTCTCCTCTCCTTCCCCTCCCCTTCCCCTCTCCTTCCCCTCCCCTTCCCCTCTCCTTCCCCTCCCCTTTCCCTCGCCCTCCACTCCCCCTTCCCCTCTCCCTCCCCTCCCCCTTCCCCTCCCCCTCCCTTTCCCTTCCCCTCTCCCTCCCCTCCCCTCCTCTTTCTTTCTTTCTCTTTTCTTTCTTTCTCCTTTCTTTCTTTCTTTCTTTCATCTCTTCTTTCTTTCTCTTTCTTTCTTTCTTTCTTTCTTTCATCTCTTCTTTCTTTCTCTTTCTTTCTCTCTCTCTTTCTTTCCTTTTTTTTTTGGAGTCTCACTCTGTTGCCCAGGCTGGAGTGCAGCAGCACGATCTTGGCTTACTGCAACCTCTGCCTTCCAGGTTCAAGCGATTCTCCTGCCTCAGCCTCCCAAGTAGCTTGGAGCTTGGACTACAGGCGCCTGCCACCTCGCCCGGCTAATTTTTTGTATTTTTAGTAGAGACGGGGTTTCACCGTGTTAGCCAGGATGGTCTCAATCTCCTGACCTCGTGATCCACCCGCCTCGGCCTCCCAAAATGCTGGGATTACAGGCGTGAGACACCACACCCAGCTAATTTTTGTATTTTTAGTAGAGATGGAGTTTTACCGTGTTGGTCAGGCTGGTCTTGAACTCCTGACTTTAGATGATCCATCCACCTTGGCCTCCCAAAGTACTGGGATTACAGGCATGAGCCAGTGCACCCAGTCTAACCTGGGTTTCAATCCCAGCTGTGTGGCTTGCATCCTGTGTGAACCTTGGTGGAGTTATTTCCCTCTCTGTGCCTCATTTCCTTATCTGCTAGTTTGGCCTGACACACAGGACCGGCTACATAATTTGCAGGGCCCGTTCCAAAATGAAACTTGAGGGCTCTTGTTGAAAAATTATTAAGGATTTCAAAATGGCCACCGTACAGCATGAAACCGAGTGTGTAATTGCATGGCTCATGCCCCCTGAGACCGGCTCTGCTGACACTCACCCAGAGTGCATGCTGGTTTTTTCCTATCTTGCTCAGTGCTCTGTCCACAGTCCCTAGAACAGTAGGTACAGACTGAATACATGTTTATTGAATAGGCCGGGTGCAGTGGCTCATGCCTGTAATCCCAGCACTTTGGGAGGCCGAGGTGGGAGGATCACTTGAAACCAGTAGTTCAGGACCAGCCTGGGCAACAAAGCAAGACCCCATCTCTACAAAATGTAATAATAAAAAAAGAAATCAGCTGGTTGTGATGACAGGTGCCTCAACAACTCAAGAGGCTGAGGCAGGAGGATTGCTTAAGCATAGGAATTTGAGGTTGCAGCGAGCTATGCTCCTGCCACTGCACTGGAGCGTGAGTGAAACAGCCAGACTCTATCTCTAAAAGAAAATATTAAAATTTAAAAAAAATTAGTTGGGTGTGGCAGCACACACCTGCATCCCAGCTACTCAGGAGGCTAAGGCAGGAGGATCACTTGAGGCCAGGAATTGGAGGTTGCAGTGAGCTGTGATCACACCACTGCACTCCACCCTGGGTGACAGAATGAGACCCTATCTCTAAAAAAAAAAACCAATACAACAAAAACAAACAGATGTCAAAGGAGGGGCTCAAACAAATATAAATTAAAAACAGAAAGAAAGAAAGAAAGACATAGGCCAGGCACAGTGGCTCACTCCTGTAATCCTAGCACTTTGGGAGGCCAAGACAGGTGGATCACATGAGGTCAGGAGTTCAAGACCAGCCTGGCCAACATGGTAAAACCCCATCTCTACTAAAAATACAAAAATTAGCTGGGTGTGGTGGCGCATGCCTATAATCCCAGCTACTTGGGAGGCTGAGTCAGAATTGCTTGAACCCGGGAGGTGGAGGTTGAAGTGAGCCGAGATCACGCCATTGCATTCCAGCCTGGGCAACAAGAACAAAACTCTATCTCAAAGAAAAAAAAAAAAAAAAAAAAAGACCGGGTGCGGTGGTGGCTCATGCCTGTAATCTCAGCACTTTGGGAGGCCGAGGTGGGGGGATCACGAAGTCAGGAGATTGAGTCCATGCTTGCTAATTTGGTGAAAACCCGTCTCTACTAAAAATACAAAAAATTAGCCCGGCATGGTGGCAGGTGCCTGTAGTCCCAGCTACAAAAATTAGCCAAGCATGGCAATGCATGCCTGTAATCCTAGCTACTCGAGTGGTGGGGCACAAGAATCTCTTGAACCCAGGAAGCGGAGGTTGCAGTGAGTCAAGATTGCACCGCTGCACTCCAGTCTGGCCAACAGAGTGGGATTCTGTCTCAAAAAAAAAAAAAAGAAAAGAAAGAAAAGAGAATGCCTTTAGGAAAGGAAAGCCTCAATGCTCTTCCTGGCACACAGTAGATGCTCAGGAAGTATCTGTTGAATGAATGAATGAATGAATGAATGAATGAATGCATGGACAAAGCAATTCTTTGGCAGTCTTGCTTAAGGGCAGGCTCCCTTTGTGGCTTGTATTCTGTACTCTTTCCTGACTTATGAAGGAGGAAAGGAAGGAAACGGGTGTGTGTCCAGGGCTTCTCCTTGGTGCCCGTGGGTACATTGTTGCGTCTGATCCTCTGGAGAGGTAGGGATTCATGTGCCCTTTCTACAGATGGGGAGACTGAGGCTAGAGGAGGTTAGGAGGAAAGGTGCACGTGGACCCAGCTTTCCTTGGGTCTCCCCAGGGCTGCCCCAGGGCTGAGCAGGCAGAGGTGGTGAAGGAACACCTATGAGTCAGATCAGTGAGGGAACACTAGGCACCATGGTGAGGATGACAGCTCCAGGCTGTCCATAGGAAAGGCTGCAGCAGGACAAGAGGCCACTCAGTCTTTCCCTCCTATCTCTCTCTGCACCTGGGCTCACTTCCATCTGCCTCTTCTCCTCTCCTCCCCACTCCTCAGCTTGTGCCCTTTCAGCATTTTTTTTTCTTTCTTTTTGGTCTTAATCCATGGCTGAGGACTTGCCTGTGCGGTTTCTGTTGCCCAGGCTGCAGTGCAGTGGCATGATCCTGGCTCCCTGCAACCTCCGCCTCCTGGGTTCAAGCAATTCTCCTGCCTCAGCCTCTCAACTAGCTGGAAATACAGGTGCATGCCACCAAGCCTGGGTAATTCTTGTATTTTTAGTAGAGACGGGGTTTCGCCATGTCAGCCAGGCTGGTCTTGAACTCCTGACCTCAAGTGAGCTGCCCGCCTCAGCCTCCCAAAATTCTGGGATTACAGGTATGAGCCATTATGCCTGTCCTGCCTGCACAGTTTCTTTCTTTCTTTCTTTTTTATTATACTTTAAGTTGTAGGGTACATGTGCACAATGTGAAGATTTGTTACATATGTATACATGTGCCATGCTGGTGTGCTACACCCATTAACTCATCATTTACATTGGGTATATCTCCTAATGCTATCCCTCCCCACTCCCTCCACCGCACAACAGGCCCTGGTGTGTGATGTTCCCCACCCTGTGTCCAAGTGTTTTCATTGTTCAATTCCCACCTATGAGTGAGAACATGCGGTGTTTGGTTTTCTGTCCTTGCGATAGTTTGCTCAGAATGATGGTTTCCAGCTTCATCCATGTCCCTACAAAGGACATGAACTCATCCTTTTTTATGGCTGCATAATCCATAAATGGATTTCTTAATCCAGTCTATTATTGATGGACATTTGGGTTGGTTCCAAGTCTTTGCTATTGTGAATAGTGCCGCAATAAACATACGTGCCTGCCTGCACAGTTTCTAAGAACCAAAAGGTTGACCTGGTGGAAGATAGAGGTTGCAGGCCCTCCACACCCCTGCTACTCATACCTCCATGCTTCGACTTTTCCATCTATAAATTGGGGTTGTTATAAGGATTCTGGGTGATGTGTGTTGGTTCTGAGTACAGTTCTGGCCAATGGGAAGTGCCCAACAGAGGAAAATTGTTGTTGTTATTATTTTGCCTGTTCCTAAGCCTAACCCAACAGAAGCTCTTTAATATTCTGGAAACTGGGATGGCACAGTGGCTCATACCTATAACCCCAGCATTTTGGGAGGCCAAGGTGGGAGGCTCACTTCAGCCCAGGAGTTTGAGACCAGCCTGGGCAACCTAGCAAGACCTTCTCCCTATGAAAAAATAAAAAAGTAGCCAGGCACAGTGGTGAGCACCTGTCGTCCCCCAGTGGCTTGGGAGGCTGAAGTGGGAGGATCACCTGAGCCTGGAAGTTTGAGGCTGCTGTGAGCTATGATGGCACCACTGCACTCCAGCCTGGGTGACAGAGCAAGAAATTATTATTATTATTATTTTTAAGTGGCCAGGCATGGTGGCTCATGCTTGTAATCTCAGCACTTTGGAAGGCTGAGATGGGAGGATTGCTTGAGCCCAGCAGTTCAAGAACAGCCTGGGCAACATAGTGAGACCCCTTCTCTAAAAATAAAATTAAATGTTTAAAAATCTGGAAACTAATTCTGGAGAGGACTGGAGTCTGAGATTCTGAAGGTTTATTTTGGATACATTGTACCTCAATTTTATGATCACGAAAATGCAAGTCTCTGCATGTCTGACCCCCAGGAAGGTGTTGAGATGTTGGTCATTTGAGTCAGTGGACAGGAAAACCAGGGGTGAATCCTGTAGAATTTACACAGGGCCAAGTTTGGATGGTAAGCCCAGGGAGGGCAGGGCTGAGACGAAGCATGGCCTTCCCCAACATGATGTTCATTTAAGGTTTGTGGAGTGACTCACGATGCATAGGTGGTGACTGACCACTGGTGAGTATACTGGAGCTAGAGAATGACCCCATGTCCTAAGCAGCCCCAAAATTTCTTGGCAGGTCACAGCAGAGGGAGCTGTGCCCAGGGAATCTTTTTGGACATTGCAAAGATGATTTTTCTCTCTTGGGAACGAGTCTGATCTCTTTAACTCCTTTGTGAAGATGCCAAAAACATCTGCAGTGGACACTGCTGGAATTGCTCATGAGATGTAAGCCACGTTTCAGAGAAAAGAGCAATCTATCAGAGGATATTCCTTCCAGCAACTGAGAACCTTTCAGAGCTTGATTGCTGTGAATGCTCCAGCCTTTCCAGTGTTTTACGCCACTCTCAAATGAGATAACGAAGCACTTTAATTTACTGTTCAACTCCCAAACAGAGTGAGTGGGTAAGGCGTCATCCGCACCCCAGGCCTAAGGAGATAGAAGGCTGGAACCAGGCTCAGGAGGCCACACTGAACCCAGCATGTTGTCAATGGTCCTCAGATCTATTTTTTTTTTTTTTTTTTTGAGACAGGGTCTTGCCCTGTCACCCAGGCTAGAGTGCAGTGATGTGATCATAGTTCACTGCAGCCTCAAAATCCTGGATTCAAGGGACCCTGCTGCCTCAGCCTCCCGAGTAGCTGGGACTACAGGCACATACCACCATGCCTGGCTAGTTTTTTTCATTTTCTTTAGAGATGGAGTCTTGCTATGTTGCCCAGGCTAATCTTGAATTCCTGATCTTAAGCAATCCACCCACCCTGGCCTCTCAAAGTGCTGGGATTGCAGGTGTGAGCCACTGTGCCCAGCCTCTTCCTAGCTCTTGGGTCCCTCTTGCAAACTGACCCATGGGAACAACTTTGCTGGGCCTCTGAATTTGACTAAATGTCCTTAAATTCTGTGGACAGGATCAGAGTTTAGATTAAAGTGAGGACATCTCCTTCCCTTCCTTTTTTATCCTCCACTACAATCACAATCTCTGTCATTTTATGAGAGGGAAACTGAGGCTCAGAGGAGTTGAGTCACTCCCTTCGGAGTGCAGAGTTAGGTCACAAAAGATTAAAATTAGATCCAGGTCTGCCTGGCCTTCCACTACTCTAGAGGCTGCTCCAGAGGGGTTCCCTTTTGTCTCACGAAGGCCTGGAGCCACTTGGTCACCCTCTCTAGAACTTCCCTCCAAGAATATGAAAAGGCATTCTTCCTCATTCATGGCAGATGCAGATGAAAACACAAAGCGTAAGGCTAGGTGTGGTGGCTCGTGACTGTAATCCCAGCACTTTGGGAAGCTGAGGTGGGGGGATCACTTGAGGTCAGGAGTTTGAGACCAGCCTGACCAACATGATGAAACCTCGTCTCTACTAAAAATACAAAAATTAGCTAGATGTGGTGGTGCACACCTGTAGTCCCAGCTACTGGGGAGGCTGAGGCAGGAGAATCACTTGAACCTGGGAGGTGGAGGTTGCAGTGAGCCGAGATCGCACCATTGCACTCCAGCCTGGGTGACGAGTGAGATTCTGTCTCAAAAAGGAAAAAGAAAAATAAAAAGAAAGCACAAAGTACAGCCCTACTGTGGCAGAGTGCAGAGGCACATGGTTCACACCACCTTCCATGAAGGGTTTGTGGCCCCTCTGTGAATGCTGTCCACAGGAACTGTCTCAACTACAGGGAACTCCTTCTCCCAATATCCCATGGCTGTGGAAGGGTGGAGGTCCAACCACCTTGGCCAAGCCTGGACAAGTGTGAATGGCTGTTTCAGCTCCTGTTCTCCTGGGCTCAGTGGAAGCTTACCTTCTCACCATTTCTCCATTGCTTGCTCCTGCTTCCTTCTGGCCTCTTGCTCTCAAGAACACCTTTTTTTTTTTTTTTTTTTTTTTTAAAGAGACAGTGTCTTGCTCTGTCACCCAGGTTGGAGGTGCGGTGGTGCAATCATGGCTCACTGCAGCCTCTTAACTCCTGGGTTCAAGTGATCCTCCTGCCTCATCCTCCTGAGTAGCTAGGACTACAGGTATGCACCATCATGCCCAGCTTTTTTATTTTTTGTGGAGGTGGGGGTCTTGCTATGTTGCCCAGGCTGGTCTTGAATTCCAATTCCTGGGCTCAAGCAATCCTCAGCTTCCCAAAGTGCTGGGATTACAGCCATAAACCACTGTGCCTGGCCTTCAAGGGCACTGCTTAATAAATATCCTGCTTGCTCAATCCATCTCAGAGCGTTTCATGGGGAACGTCATCTGTGAGGTTGCACATACAACCTGTGCATATGTATCAAAACATCCCTAGGTACCCCATAAATATGTGCAATTCTTATTTGCAATTGAAACAAAACAGGCTGGGTGCAGTGGCTTATGCCTGTAATCCCAGCACTTTGGAAGGCTGAGGCAGGCAGATCACTTGAGGTCAGGAGTTTGAGACCAGACTGGCCAATGTAGTGAAACCTTGTCTCTACTAAAAATACAAAAATTATCCAGGTGTGGTGGCACATGCCTGTAATCCCAGCTACTCAGGAGGCTGAGGCAGAACTGCCTGAACTCAGGAGATGGAGGTTGCAATGAGCCAAGATTGTGCCACTGCATTCCACCCTGAGCAGCAGAGTGAGACTCCATCTCAAAAACTAAACTAAACTAACTAAATAAATAAAACAAACAAAATCTTGAAAAAATTAAAGAATTTTATCTATCTAAATTCCCCTTTCCTTCTCCCTAACACAAAAAGCTCTATCCTGTTAACCATGTTTTGAAACTCCATAAACCAACACATACATGGTTAGTTGATTTTTTTTTTTTTTTTTAATAATAGAGATAGGGTTTCAACATGTTGCCCAGGCTGGTCTTGAACTCTTGGGCTCAAGCAATCTGCCCACCTCAGGGTCAGCTGGTTTTTACAAAATGGCAAAGACAATCAAATGGATAAATGGTAGTCATGTCAACAAATGGTGTTGCAGCTGGGCATGGCTGCTCACGCCTGTAATCCCAACACTTTGGGAGGCTGAGGCAGGAGGATGGCTTGAGGCCAGGAGTTCATGACCAGCCTGGACAACATAGCAAGACCCTGTCACTAAAAAAAAAGAAGCAGCAGCTGTGTGTGGTGCTATGTGCCTGTAGTCCCAGCTACTTGGGAGCCTGAGGTGGGAGGATTGCTTGAGTTTGAGGCTGCAGTGACCTGTGATTGTACCACTGCACTCTATTCAGCCTGGTTGACGGAGGAAGACTCTGTCTCAACAACAAACAAACAAACAACAAATGATATTGGAATAACTAGTCGTGCATATGTTTTTTTAAAAAAGAGAGAACCTTGACCACCTCTACCTTACAACTTAACAAAAGTTATTTCAAAATGGATCATAGACCTAAATCCAACCTCAAAATTAAAATACTTCCCGAAGGAAACATAGCAGAAAATCTTTGTGAGCTTAGATTAGGAAAAAAGTTTCTTAGATATAGCTTCTATATCCATGAAGCATAAACAAAAACATATGCTAAACTAGATTTCATAAAAATTAAAAACATCTGATTTTCAAAAGACACTCTTATGAAAATGGAAAAACAAACCACAAACCGGGAAAAAATGTTTGCAAGGCACATAAATGATAAAGGACTTTTATTGAGAATGTAAAGAATCCTCAAAAGTCAGTAGTAAGAAAATAACTAAATTTAAAATGACCAAAAAGTCCAACACAGTGGCTTATGGCTGTAATCCCAGCACTTTGGGAGGCCAAAGCAGGAGGATCGCGTGAGTCCAGAAGTTCAAGACCAGCCCGGGCAACACAGTAAGACCTTGTCTCTACAAAATATATATAGCTGGGTATGGTGGTGTGTTCCTGTGGTCCCAGCTACTCAGGAGGCTGAAGTAGGAGGATCACTTGAGCCTGTGAGGTTGAGGCTGCAGCAAACTGTGATTGTGCCACTGCACTCTAGCCTCAGCAAAAAATAAATAAATAAAAATAATTTTAAATTAAAAAGAAGAAGAAAAAAATTTAAAGTGAACATACAGCCGGGCATGGTGGCCCACGCCTGTAATCCCAGCACTTTGGGTGGCTTAGGCAGGTGGATCACCTGAGGTCAGGAGTTTGAGACCAGCCTGGCCAACATGGTGAAACCCCATCTCTACTAAAAATACAAAAATTAGCCCGGCATGGTGGCTGGTGTCTGTAATCCCACCTACTTGGGAGGCTGAGGCAGAAGAATCACTTGAACCTGGGAGGCAGAAGCTATAGTGAGCCGAGAAGGTGCCACTGCACTCCAGCCTGGGCGACAGAGTGAGACTTGGTCTCAATAAATAAATAAATAAATAAATGTAACATACACTTACCACATGACCCAGCAATCCCATTTTTAGGTGTTTAACCAGGAGAAATGAAAATTTGTATTCAAACAAAAGTCGGTTCACAAATATTTATGGTCAGTTTATTTATAATTGCCCCAAAGTACAAACAAGTCAAATGCACTTCAACTATAGAATGGATAAATTGGTACATCCATACAGTAGACTACTATTCAGCAGTTAAAAAAAAAGCCGTTGAGATACTCAACAACATGAATGAATCTCAAAGGCATTATGCTAAGTGGAAGAAGACAGACTCAAAATGCTATGTGCTCCATGATTACAGGAGATGTGAGGTGGGGGTAAGACTTGACTACAATAGGGCAGTGTGCAATTTTGGGGAATGATGGAACCCTTTTATATCTTGATTGTGATGATGTCTACCTAAAGGTATGCATTCTGCCAGACTCACAAAACTGTACACAAAGACTAGTCAATTTCACTGTATGCAAATTGTAGCTCAATAAACCAGACTGGAAAAGTTGAACCATAAACATTGTATATAACTGGTATCATATTGTATGTATCCTTCTGCAACCTGCTTTTTTTGCTCACTACTAATGACTTTTGAGGTTTATCCAAGTTGATACTACGTAGACTATAATGATATATGTAGCTTTTCTTTATTTTAACTGCTACAACATATTCCATTATACATTATACTTTGTTTATCCAGTCTCCTGTTGGTGAACATTTACTTTGTTTCTGTTTTTTTCTCTTGTTTTAAACAATGTTGCAATAAACATTCCTGTAAATGTATTCTATAGCACTAGTGCTGGAATCTCTCTGCAAGATATTTACGTAGAATAGTATGTGGAATGGTTGGGATAAGAGGGTGGTGAATATCTCTGTTTTGCTCTCCAAGGGCTTATACCAACTGACACTCTACCAGCATGTGTCAGAATCTCCTTTTTCTACACACCCATCAATAATTGGGATTATCAGACTTTAGCTTTTGCTTAGCTGATAAATGTAAAATGATATATTGTTGCTGCTTTATTTTTACAATTTCTCTGATTGTCATTGTGGTTGAACATCTATTCATGTTTGTGGGTCATTTGGGTTTTCCTTCTGTGAATTGCCTGTTCATATTCTTTGCCTGTTTTTTTTTTTTTTTTAATTGTCTTCCCTTCCATTCCCTTCCCCTTCCCCTTCCTCTCCCCCTTCCCCTCCCCTCCCCTTCCCTTCTCTTCTCTTTTTTCCTTCTTCACAGATTGTTGCCCAGGCTGGTGAGCAGTGGCGTGATCTTGGCTCACTGCAACCTTGGCCTCCAAGGTTCAAGTGATTATCCTGCCTCAGCCTCCCAAGCAGCTGGGATTACAAGCGCACACCACCATGCCTGGCTAATTTTTTTTTTTTTTTCATTTTTAGTAGAGGCAGGGTTTCATGATGTTGGTCAGGATAATCTCAAACTCCTGACCTCTGCTGATCTGCCCACATCGGCCTCCCAAAGTGCTGGGATTATAGGCATGAGCCACCACACCTGGCCTAGTAACTTTTAAGATTTCCATCCTGAGGTTGGGCGCAGTAGCTCAGGCCTGTAGTCCCAGCACTCCAGGAGGCCGAGGCAGGCTGATCACTTCACTTCGGGAGTTTGAGACCAGCCTGACCAACATGGAGAAACCCTGTCTCTACTAAAAAAATACAAAAAAAAAAAAAAAAAAAAAAAAAAAAAAAGCCAGGCGTGGTGGTGCATGCCTGTAATCCCAACTACTCGGGAGGCTGAGGCAGGAGAACTACTTGAACCCGGGAGGTGGAGGTTGTAGTGAGCTGAGATGGCGCCATTGCACTCCAGCCTGGGCAACAAGAGTGAAACTCCATCTCCAAAAAAAAAAAAAAAAAAAAAAAAACCACCAACAACAATAAAGATTTCCATCCTGGGCAACATAGCAAGATCCCATCTCTAAAAACATACAAATATTAGCTAGGCATGGTGGTGCCTGCTTGCAGGCTTGTAGTCCCAGTTACTTGGGAGAATTGCTTGAGCCCAGGAGTTTGAGGCTACAGTGAGCTATGATTGCACCACTGCACTCCAGCCTGGGTGACAGAGTGAGACCCTATCTCAAAAAAAGAAAAAAAAAGAAAAAAAATTCCTCTTTATCCTTGATTTTAAGTGGTTTAATAATGATAGAACCCTATATAGACATATTAATTTATGCTGTTTGTTCTTAGAGTATGTTTTTGATTTGAGGACTTGTATGACTCTTTAGTTCTTTTTTCTTTCTTTTCCTTTTTTTTTTTTTTTTTTTTTTTTTGAGATGGAGTCTTGCTCTGTCATCCAGTCTGGAGTGCAGTGGCACAATATTGGCTCACTGTAACCTCTGCCTCCCGGGTTCAAGTGATTCTCCTGCCTTAGCCTCCTGAGTAGGTGGGACTACAGGTGCACGCCACCACGCCAGGCTAATTTTTGTATTTTTAGTAGAGACGAGGTTTCACCATATTGGCCAGGCTGGTCTGGAACTCCTGACCTCAGTTGATCCACTTGCTTCAGCCTCCCAAAGTGCTGGGTTTATAGGCATGAGCCAAAACGCCCAGCCTAGTTTTTGAAAATTCTCATTGATTGTCCATCATATATTGCTTCTCTGTGATTTTCTGCTGTTTTTCTAAAACTTCCATTAGCCCTATGTTGCAGTCCCTCCATCTTTCTCCCATTTCTCATAATTGCTCTTTTGTGAATTTCATCTTTGGCTCCTAGTGCTCTTGTGTTGGTCTGGACCCTTCTAGTAACAGAACGGCCATATGAATGGAGGTCCATGCAGGGTTTCTCTCTCTCTCTTTTTAGAGACAAGGTCTTTTCTTTTTTTTCTTGCTTCATTGTCTATGCTGGAGTGCAGTGGTGCAATCTTGGCTCACTGCAACCTCTGCCTCCCAGGTTCAAGCAATTCTCCCGCCTCAGCCTCCCAAGTAGCTGGGATTACAGGTGCATGCCACCACACCCGGCTAATTTTTGTATTTTTAGTAAAGATGGAGTTTCACAATGTTGGCCAGGCTGGTCTCGAACTTCTGACCTCAGGTGATCTGTCTGCCTTAGCCTCCCAAAGTGCTGGGATTACAGGTGTGAGCCACTGCACCTGGCCTAGAGACAGGGTCTTGCTCTGTTGTCCAGGTTGGAGTGCAGTGGTGCAATCCTAGCTCACTGCAACCCCCAACTCCTGACTTCAAGAGATCATTTCTCCTCAGTCTTCAGAGTAGCTGGGACCACAGGTGTGTGCTACCATGCCTGGCTAAGGTTTCTGTCAAAAGTGACATTGAGATCTGAAGGGTGGTGAAATGTCATTTAGGAACAGGGGAAGTTAGGGCTGGGGGAGTCCTCCAGGCAATAGAAACAGGATTTATGAAGATGAGATGGTGCCTGACACAAAGGGCTTGGATGGGTGCAGATTGGAAGCCACCAGAAGGCTCTAGCCCAAGAGAAGACTGGATACATTGGCAGATTCTTCTGGCTGCCTTGTGGAGTAGAGGACAGGAGGTCAAGGGCAGGGGTGGGGAATCCAGCCTGGAAGTGACTGCAGCCTAGCTGAGAGAGCCGTGGTGGCCAGGACCAGTGAGGCAGCAGCGTGGATGGAGAGAGAGGAGGGATGCAGAGATGTTTAGGACATGAGCTGGCCGGTGATGGATAGCATGGGGTAGGCTGGTGGTGGTGAGGGGGTCCAGGGTCCAGCTGCCACTAGGAGGGTGGGTAGGTTTGGGGACAACCCCTTGTCTTTCTGATCCTTGTTCAGGTGAGATCCCCCTGCACAAATTTCACCTGCTGTTTTTTTTTTCCTGAGCCATTTCAGACTGCCTCCTGGGGATGAGGTCTGCATGATTTTATTTATTTATTTATTTATTTATTTAGACAGAGTCTTGCTCTGTTACCCAGGCTGCAGTGCAGTGGTGTGATCTCGGCTCACTGCAACCTCCGCCTCCTGGGTTCAAGCGATCCTCCTGATTCAGCCTCCTGAGTAGCTGGGATTACAGGCATGCGCCACCACATCTGGTTAATTTTTGTATTTTTAGTAGAGACAGGGTTTCACCATGTTGGCCAGGCTGGTCTTGAACTCCTGGCCTCAAGTGATCCACCTGCCTTGGCCTCCTAAAGTGCTGGGATTATAGGCATGAGCCTCTGTCTACGGAATCTTGTAGCCTACAAAATCTTCTGGCCTCTGTCTGCAGAATCTTGTCTGTACCCCGTGCTAGCCTCTCCTCTGACCCACTGGGAGTGTTAAGTCCATTCTTCTGGACTTTTGCTCCAGCTGTGATGAACACTATGCTTCTACCTCAGTCCTGAGCCTGGACCCAGCTGTGCAAGCCTGGCCAGACCCCTCTCCCAGGGCTGAACACCAATTTCAAGTCTTCAGGTCCTACTGCAATCTAAACAGGCTATCCAGAAGAGAATCCTGCACCAGTCCAAGTGTGAGCAGGCCTGGAGACTCTGCTGCTGAACTGCACCCCCTGATGGCCAGCCTGGATGTCACTTCTATCCTGCTTGAGCCAGGCTCCCCGGATCCCTGGACCACCTCCACTCCAGACCAGACAATGGGGAAGCTGCTGGTCCCACACCATTTCTGAGTTTTCTCCTCTATCCTTCTGCTTAAAGTTCCCTCCAAGGACTTAAGTGCAAGTCATCCCAGAAACCCAGGTAGGGGAGTAGAGAGGCCAGATATGGACAGGAAGGCTGCCAAGAAAGGGGTGTTAGGCACAATGGCTCAGGTCTGTAAGCCCAGAACTTTGGGAGGCTGAGGCCGGAAGATTGCTTGAACCTAGGAGGACTGCTTGAGACCAGCCTGGGCAACACGGCGAAACCCTATCTCTACAAAAAAACAAAAAAACAAAAAAACCCCACAAAAATTAGCTGGACGTGGTGGTGTGCACCTGTAGTCCCAGCAGAGGGACTCTTGAGGCAGAGGTTGTAGTAAGCCCAGATCGCACCATTGCACTCCAGCCAGAGAGAGAGAGAGAGAGAGAGAGAGAGAGAGAGAGAGAGAGAGAGAGAAAGGAAATGGCCAGGCGCAGTGGCTTATGCCTGTAATCCCAGCACTTTGGGAAGCTGAGGTGGGCAGATCACTTGAGGTCAGGAGTTCAAAACCAGCCTGGCCAACATGGGGAAACTCCCTCTCTACTAAAAACATAAAATTAGCCAGGTGTGGTGGCACATGCCTGTAATCCCAGGAGGGTGAGGCAGGAGAATTGCTTGAATCTGGGAGGCGGAGGTTGCAGTGAGCTGAGATCGCACCACTGCACTCCAGCTTGGGCGACAAGAGCAAAACTCCATCTAAAAAAACACCAAAAGAATGAAAAAAGAAATGAGTGGTATCAAGGAAGTTACCAGTTACCAGTGTGGGCAATTGAGCTTAAACCTGGTGGGGACCTCTGGGAGGCAGTACAGAATGTGGAAACCCATGGTTGTCCCACCTGTGTGGGGTCATGTGGCTAAGCTGTTTACACACCCATTTTCATCAGTCACTGGCTAAGAGCAGCCCCTGGGGGAGGGGCCTTCATGCATTTGCTTCTGCTCTGCCCTGGCAGGCTCAGAGGCTCAGGCAAGAGCTACAGATGCTCATGACCGAATGTCTCACCTGGGCCCGGAATGGCAGCAGCAAGCACCCTCTCAGCCTAGCCCAGAAGCCAGAGTTCCTATTTCATCAGTTGCAAAGCAGAGACAATGCCATCTGCCCGATAGCAGAGCAAAAGGCAGGTGGGAGCAGGGTCCTCTGAGAGCTGGGGAGGGGCTGGAGTGGCCCTCAGTGCTGTGCACATGTGCCCTAGATACATGGGAATTGGACCTGGATACCCCCTTCCCCCAAGCTCTGGCCACCGGCTCCTCCTGATGTGATGTTCTTGTTCTAAAAACAGATATGTCACACCTCAAGCAGATTTGCAGTCCCTTGACAGCAGCCTCATCTGGCACATAAAGGACCTCTGCCTCTCTGCATGGCTTCCCAGGGCCCCGGAGAACAGTGAGGCTGCCTTGGCCTCCACCTGCTGCTCCAGAGGGCAGCACAGCCCCGGACTCCATCTCCCCAGCCCCTGTGGGAAGGGGGACGTTCCTGGAGTGGGAGCCCATTTGGTCTTAGAGCTCTGCTAACAGACGGTTGGTACCTCCAAAGGCTGAACTGGGGAACCATTTTATTTTGCTGTCCAGCCTCTTTCTTTTTTTTTTCTTTTTCTTTTTTTTCAGATGGAGTCTCACTCTGTTGCCCGGGCTGGAGTGCAGTGGCGCTATCTCAGCTCACTGCAACCTGTGCCTCCCAGGTTCAAGCGATTCTCCTGCCTCAGCCTCCCGAGTAGCTGGGATTACAGGTGCCTGCCACCACCGCACCCAGCTAATTTTTGTATTTTTAGTAGAGACGGGGTTTCACCATATTAGCCAGGATGGTCTCAATCTCTTGACCTCGTGATCTGCCTGTCTTGGCCTCCCAAAGTGTTGAGGTTACAGGCATGAGCCACTGCACTGGGCTACCACCCAGCCACTTGGTTCCTCTGGGTGACAAGATTCAACATGTCCCTGAGGCTAGGGAATTTCTGTCCAGAGCAGGGTGGCCCCATCAGAGCCTCCTACTTCAGGAATCCTGAGGCCCATGGAGCCTGGATACCCTCTCTACTCTTCTCCCAGAAGGTATTTGCCCCAGGCACTTTGCAGACCAACCAGGAAGCATGGCAGAAGGCCAGGAATGGCTGGGGGCTGGTGGGAAGGATCAGGCCCGGCCCAGGCATTGCTGCTCTAGGGTCTCAAGGGTTCCCTGTCACTTTGGCCATTCTTCTGTTGCTAGTGTTCCTGGGCCCCTGGCAGCTGGGATCATTGAGGCCTCCCCACTGGGGGTGCTGGGGCCAGTCCTAGCCAGGGCAGAGAGTGGGTCAGCCGTCTCAGCTCCTTGAGTGGTTGGTGCTGGTACTGGTCTCATGGTTTTAGACCTGGCACCCAGTGGGTATGGGGAGCCCTGGGCACCTGTGGGCCTACTTATGGAAGTCATCCTCTTCCCTTATCAGGTACCGCCAACCCTGTGGTGCAGCTGCTGCCCCAGTTTCCCCTTGTGCTCCAGGTCCCCACTGTGGCAGTTGCTCTTCTCTGAGATCCAGCCAGTGTAGCTGAGTCCCTGGTGTCTTGCTAACTTCCTGCCAGCCCCTGAACCCAGAACTCTCTCTTTCCCTTGGCCACTGGCTAGGAGCCTCTACCACTGAAAAAACTCAGTTTCCTAGCCAGGTGCAGTGGCTCACGCCTGTAACCTCAGCACTTTGGGAGGCTGAGGCAGGAGGATCGCTTGAGAACAGGAGTTTGAGACCAGCCTGGGCAACATAGTGAGACTCCACCTCTAAAAAAAAAAAAAAAAAAAAAAAGCCAGGCATGGTGGTGCATGCCTGTAGTCCCAGCTACTTTGGGGGATTACTTGAGCCTGGGAGGTTGAGGCTGCAGTGAGCTATGAGGCTTGCCACTGTACTCCAGCCTGGGAGACAGAGTATGACCCTGTCTCAGTAACCAAAACCAAAACCAACCAACCAAACAAAAAAGGAAAAAACCCTCATTTTCCTTCTCTGTTAATATGGGTGATAATGCCCACCCTATAGAGTTGTTGGAAGGCATACTGATAGCATTTTTACACATTTGACACTCCCTGGTAGATAGCAGGTGCTCAGTAAAAAGTGACAATGGGCTGGACACCGTGACTCACGCCTGTAATCCCAGCACTTTGGGAGGCTGAGGCGGGTGGATCACCTGAGGTCAGGAGTTCGAGACCAGCCTGGCCAACATGGTGAAACCCCGTCTCTACTAAAAATACAAAAATTAGCTGGGTGTGGTTGTGGGCACCTGTAGCTACACAGGAAGCTGAGGCAGGAGAACAACTTGAACCCAGGAGGTGGAGGTTGCAGTGGGCCATTGCACTCCAGCCTGGGCAACAACAGTGAAACTCTGTCTCAAAAAAAAGTGACAATGATCATTCCTGGTGTTAATAACAGACTTCCTTTTTTTTTTTTTTTTTTTTTTTTTTTTGAGACAGAATCTCCCTCTGTTGCCCAGGCTGGAGTGCAGAGACACGATCTTGGCTCACTGCAAGCTCCGCCTCCTGGGTTCACGCCATTCTCCTGCCTCAGCCTCCTGAATAGCTGGGACTACAGGTGCCTGCCACCACGTCCAGCTAATTTTTTGTATTTTTAGTAGAGACAGGGTTTCACCATGTTAGCCAGGATGGTCTCGATCTCCTGACCTTGTGATCTGCCCGCCTCGGCCTCCCAGAGTGCTGGGATTATAGGTGTGAACCACCGCACCCAGCCAATAACAGACTTACCTTTTTGCCTCTCACCTGACTCTGAGAGACTTTTGCTGCCATGATCTCTACATCTGAACTCCTCCCGAGAGCAGAGCTGCCCAGAAGGACCATCTGTGGTGATGGAAATGTTCTATGAATGCACCATCCAATATGCTGGCCACTTGAACACATGTGGTCCTGGCCCTTGTAGGCACTGGAATTGTGAGCAGCGTGACTGAGTATCTTAGTCTACTTGGGCTTCCGTTACAGAAAACCATAGGCTGGGTGGCTTAAACAACATACATTTCTCTCTCACAATTCCAAGATTGAGGAACCAGCAGATTGGTGTCTGGTGAGGGCCCACTTCCTGGTTTGTGGATGGCTGTCTTCTCCCTGTATCCTCACATGATGGGGAGTGATATAGTTTGGCTCTGTGTCCCCTGCTTAAATCTCATGCCGAGACCAGGCACAGTGGCTCACACCTGTAATCCCAGCACTTTGAGAGGCCAAGGCGGGCGGATCACCTGAGGCCAGGAGTTCAAGATTAGCCTGGACCACATGGTGAAACCCTGTCTCCACTAAAAATACAAAATTAGCTGGGTGTGGTGGTGGGCGCCTGTAATCCCAGTTACTCGGGAGGCTGAAGCAGGAGAATCATTTGAACCTGGGAGGCAGAAGTTGCAGTGAGCCCAGATGGCACCACTGCACTCCAGCCTGGGCGACAGAGTGAAACTGTGTCTCAAAAAAAAAAAAACAAAAAAAGAAAAAAAAAGAGGTTTCATGTCAAATTGTAATCCCCAGTGTTGGAGGTGGGGCCTGGTAGGAGGTGATTAAATCACGGGGCGGATTTCTCATGAATGGGCTGGCACCATCCCCTCCGTGCTGTTTTCATGGTAGAAGGTTATCATGAGCTCTGCTTGTTTAAAAGTGAGTAGCACCTCCCCACCTCTCTCTCATCCTCTTGCTCTGACCATGTGAGATGTGCGTGCTTCCCCTTCACCTTCTGCCATGATTGTAAGTTTCCTAAGACCTCCCCAGAAGCTGAGCAGATGTCAGAATCATGCGTCCTGTACAGCCCATGGAATGTAAGCCAATTAAAACTCTTTTCTTGGCTGGGTGTGGTGGCTCGCACCTGTAATCCCAGCACTTTGGGAGGCCAAGGTGGGTGGATAACCTGAGGTCATGAGTTCGAGACCAGCCTGGGCAACATGGTGAAACCCCGTCTCCACTAAAAATACAAAAATTTGCTGGGCGTGGTGGCAGACGCCTGTAATCCAGCTACTCAGGAGGCTGAGGCAGGAGAATGGCTTGAACCCAGGAGATGGAGGTGGCAGTGAGCCAAGATCGTGCCATTGCACTCTTGCCTGGGTGATGACAGCGAAACTCCATCTCCAAAAACAAAACAAAACAAAACACCCCTCTTTTCTTTATAAATTACCCAGTCTCAGGTTTTTCTTTATAGCAGTGCCAGAATGGACCAAGACAGGGAGAGAGGAAGCAAGCTCTCTGATGACTCTTCTCGAAAGGCTGCTAATCCCATCAAGTGAATTCCACCCTTATAACCTCATCTCAACGTGATCACCTCCCAAACTTCTTGCCTCCAAATACCAACACATTGGGAGTTAGGAGTTTGACATATGAATTTTGGAGAGTCCACAAACATTCTGCCTGTAACACTAGAAAAGAAATTTTGATTTCATTTTATCTATTTGTTTGAGACAGAGTCTTGCTCTGTTGCCCAGGCTGCAGTGCAGTGGCGTGATCTCGGCTCACTGCAACCTCCACCTCCCAGGTTCAAATGATTCTCCTGACTCAGCCTCCTGAATAGTTGGGACTATGGGCACCCACCACCATGCCTGGCTAATGTTTTTTGTATTTTTAGTAGAGACAAGGTTTCACCATGTTGGCCAGGCTGGTCTCGAACTCCTGACCTCAAGTGATCCTCCCACCTCGGCCTCCCAAAGTGCTGGGATTACAGGGTGAGCCAGCGAACTTGGCCTTCCTTTAATTTTAATCAATTTAAATGTAAAGAGCTGCATGTAGCTAGGAGCTACTGAATTGGACAGCACAGCCTTAAGGAGAGTGGAAATCAGCTGAATCCAGTTGAAACAGGAGTTAAACCAGTTGGAGCCAGCCAACATTGGATGACTTTGGCTGAAACCACCTGAAACTGGTTGAAAGGAGCCACAAACTGTTCACAACCAGCTGAAGCTGAATTAACCTGGCTGAAACTGGATGAAGTCATTTGAAACCAGCTGAAACTGGATCAAACCAGCTGGCAGTGGTTGAAACCAGATGAAATCATTTAAGTAGGGTTTGTCATATTATTTTGCTTCTTGATGAACTAGTCCTGGCTTTTTTTTTTTTTTTTTTTTTTTTGACAGAGAGTCTTGCTGTGTCGCCCAGGCTGGAGTGCAGTGGTGCGATTTCAGCTCACTGCAACCTTCTCCTCCCGGGTTAAAGTGATCTTCCTGCCTCAGCCTCCTGAGCAGCTGGGATTACAGGAGTGCACCACCACTCCCGACTAATTTTTGTATTTTCAGTACAGACAGGGGTTTCACCATGCTGGCCAGGTTGGTCTCGAACTCCTGACCTCAGGTGATCCACCTGTCTTGGCCTCCCAAAGTGCTGGTATTACAGGCATGAGCCCTGGTGCCCAGCAGCATACACATTTAGTTTTATTCTAACAAGGTAGCTTGTACATTTTAAGATATAAAACTGAACATCTTTTTTCCTCTCTGGAGAAACATAAGGAAAACCAAGGAACTTTTTACAACAAACATTTTTAAACATTTACAAAAGTAGACAGAAGACCCCGTCCGGGAGGTGAGGGGCGCCTCTGCCCGGCCGCCCCTACTGGGAAGTGAGGAGCCCCTCTGCCCAGCCAGCCGCCCCGTCCGGGAGGGAGGTGGGGGGGTCAGCCCCCCGCCCGGCCAGCCGCCCCCTCCGGGAGGGAGGTGGGGGGGTCAGCCCCCCTGCCCGGCCAGCCGCCCCGTCCGGGAGGTGAGGGGCGCCTCTGCCCGGCCGCCCCTACTGGGAAGTGAGGAGCCCCTCTGCCTGGCCACCACCCCGTCTGGGAGGTGTGCCCAACAGCTCATTGAGAACGGGCCAGGATGACAATGGCGGCTTTGTGGAATAGAAAGGCGGGAAAGGTGGGGAAAAGATTGAGAAATCGGATGGTTGCCGTGTCTGTGTAGAAAGAAGTAGACATGGGAGACTTTTCATTTTGTTCTGCACTAAGAAAAATTCCTCTGCCTTGGGAATCCTG
Source organism: Homo sapiens (assembly GCF_000001405.40). Lineage (NCBI taxonomy): Eukaryota > Metazoa > Chordata > Mammalia > Primates > Hominidae > Homo > Homo sapiens. The sequence continues at coordinate 75,275,413 of NC_000007.14, forward strand.
TTGATCTGTGACCTTACCCCCAACCCTGTGCTCCCTGAAACATGTGCTGTGTCCACTCAGGGTTAAATGGATTAAGGGCGGTGCAAGATGTGCTTTGTTAAACAGATGCTTGAAGGCAGCATGCTCGTTAAGAGTCATCACCACTCCCTAATCTCAAGTACCCAGGGACACAAACACTGCGGAAGGCCGCAGGGTCCTCTGCCTAGGAAAACCAGAGACCTTTGTTCACTTGTTTATCTGCTGACCTTCCCTCCACTATTGTCCCATGACCCTGCCAAATCCCCCTCTGTGAGAAACACCCAAGAATTATCAATAAAAAAATAAATTAAAAAAAAAAAAAAAAAAAAAAAAGTAGACAGAAGAGTACAGTGAACCCCCATGGACCCACTGCCCAGCTTAAATAGCAATCAGGATTTTGCCAATGTGCTCCAAACTGTCCTCCCCTTCCCCTCTTTTTCTTGGCTGGGATGTTTTAAAGCAAATCCTAGATATGTCATAAAAAGAAAATGTAAAAATAAAACAGAACAAAAATTACAATGCAGAATACCATTTCCAAATAAGATCTGGCCAGGCATGGTGGCTCATGCCTGTAATCCCAGCACTTTGGGAGGCTAAGCAGGGGCAGATCACATGAGGTCAGGAGTTCAAGACCAGCCTGGCCAACATGGTGAAACCCTGTCTCTATTAAAAATACAAAAATTAGGCCGGGCGCAGTGGCTCACACCTGTAATCCCAGCACTTTGGGAGGCCGAGGCGGGTGGATCAAGAGGTCAGGAGATTGAGACCATCCTGGCTAACATGGTGAAACCCCGTCTCTACTAAAAATACAAAAAATTAGCCGGGCGTGGTGGCGGGCGCCTGTAGTCCCAGCTACTCGGGAGGCTGAGGCAGGAGAATGGCATGAACCCGGGAGGCGGAGCTTGCAGTGAGCTGAGATCGTGCCACTGCACTCCAGCCTGGGCGACAGAGCAAGACTCAATCTTAAAAAACAACAACAACAAAAAAAAAAACCCAAAAATTAGTCGAGAATGGTGGCATGCCCTGTACTCTCAGCTACTTGGGAGGCTGAGGCACAAGAATCACTTGAACCTGGGAGGTGGAGGTTATAGTGAGACGAGATTGCACCACTGCACTCCAGCCTGGGCAACACAGCGAGACTCTGTCTCAAAAAAAAAAAAAAAAAAACAAATCTGTTAGGCTGAGGCTGGGTGCAGTGGCTCATGCCTGTAATTGCAGCACTTTGGGAGGCTGAAGCGGGAGGAATGCTTGAGCCCAGGAGCTTGAGATCAGCCTGGGCAACGTAGCAAGATCCCCCAACTCTACAAAAATATAGAAGCCAGGCGTGGTGGTACATGCCTGTGGTCCCAGCTACTTGGAAGGCTGAAGCAGGAGGATCATGTGAGCCCAGAAGCTTGAAACCAGCCTGGGCAGTATCAGAGACCCCATCTCTACAAAAAAATTTTAAAATTTAGCCTGGCATGGTGATGTGCACCTATGGTTCCAGCTACTTGGGAGGCTGAGACTGGAGGATCATTTGAGCCCAGGAGTTTAAGGCTGCAGTGAGCTATGATGGCACCACTCAACTCCAGCCTGGCTGAGCAACAGAGGAGACTCTGTCTCTAAGAAATAAATAAATAACAAAAACTAGGTGTAGTGTGTAGTGGGTCATGCCTATAATTCCAGCACTTTGGGAGGCTGAGGTGGGAGGCTAGATTGAGCCTAGGAGTTTAAGACTAGCCTGGGCAACATGGCAAAACTCGTCCCTAAAAAAAATAACAAAATTTAGCCAGGCATGGCAGTGCACACCTATGATCCCAGCTACTTGGGAGGCTGAGGCAGGAGGATCATCTGAGCCCAGGAGTTCGAGGCTGCAGTGAGCTGTGATTGTGCCACCACACTCCAGCCTGGGTGAAAGGGCAAAACCCTGCCTCAAAACAAACAAATATACAACAACAACACAACAACACAAACCCTCAAACAAGATCCTTTACGTTCTTCAGTTTCTCCATCAAGCAGCAGGGCCCCAGGTAGCATTAGAAGTGGATTTTCTTTCTTTTTTCTTTTTTTTTTTTTGAGACAGAGTCTCGCTCTGTCGCCCAGGCTGAAGTGCAGTGGCATGACCTTGGCTCACTGCAAGCTCCGCCTCCTGGGTTCATGCCATTCTTCTGCCTCAGCCTCCCCAGTAGCGGGGACTTCAGGTGCCCACCACTATGCCTGGCTAATTTTTTTTAATTATTATTTTAGTAGAGATGGGGTTTCACCGTGTTAGCCAGGATGGTCTCGATCTGCTGATCTTGATCTCGTGATCTGCCTACCTCAGCCTCCCAGAGTGCTGGGATTACAGGCGTCAGCCACCGCACCTGACCAGGAGTGGATTTTATATCTAAAGCTACAGTTTAAACCACAAGGGCATCTGCTAAATACCACCCAAGGAGAAGCTAAGTTGTCAAAATGCCCACTCAACCCTCCCAAACATCGCAAACCCACCCTTTTCTGATCTCTACTCCAACGTCTTTTGTTTTTGTTCTGTCTTACACCAGGAGAAGAGAGAGATTCGTGTTGACAAGTCCTTGTTGTCCAGACTCACACGGATACAGCTGTGGGGAAGGAAGGAAGGCTGCAATGCTGCTGTTTCCATGAACATGCCTGGCACCCTCCAGGTGTCAGCAGGGCCAGGGGAGTGGAGAACTGGTCTCCCTCTCCGCTCCTCTATAGAACACAGTAGCGTGAGGATTCTGTACAGGTTTTGTTGGGAAAGAAAGGAGTAAAAAGGGACTTGGGACGGAAAATGTTTCCTCCTTTTCAAATAAATTGTGCATCAGGATGTAGAGAGAGTGGAAGAGGGAGTTCAGAGGTACCAGGTGACCAAACGTAAGAGAAAAGAACAGTCCAGGTGTGGTGGCTCACACCTGTAATCCCAGCACTTTAGGAGGCTGAGGCGGGTGGTTCATCTGAGGTCAGGAGTTCAAGACCAGCTTGGTCAACATGGTGAAACCCCATCTCTACAAAAATACAGAAATTAGTCATACGTGGTGGTGGGTGCCTGTAATCCCAGCTACTCGGGAGGCTGAGGTGGGGGAATCGCTTGAACCTGGGAGGCGGAGGTTGCAGTGAGCCCAGTGCACTCCAGCCTGGATGACAGAGCGAGACTCCGTCTCAAAAAAAAAAAAAAAAAAAAAAATCAGATGACCCGCTGTGGAGCTGACTCTGTTCCCAAACCAGGATTTTCATCAAGCTAAAAATCTAGGCTGGGCTGGGTGGCTCCAACCTGTAACCCCAGCACTTTGGGAGGCCGAGGTGGGCAGACTGTTTGAGCTTGGGAGTTCAAGACCATCCTGGACGACAGGGTGAAACATCGTCTCTACCAAAAATACAAAAAATTAGACACCCGTGGTGGCGTGCGCCAATAGTCCCAGATACTTGGGAGGCTGAGATCAGAGAATCGCTCGAACCCGGGAGGCGGAGGTTGCAGTGAGCCGAGATCATGCCACTGTACTCTAGCCTGGGTGACAGAGTGAGACTCTGTTTCCAAAAAAAAAAAAAAAAAATAGGGCTTAAATCGGGAGAGTGACATGATCTGATTTACACTTGCAAAAAGATCAGTGTCATGAATACTCAGTGTTGGCAGAGATTTGAAACAAAGTATTCTCTCATATGTGCTGGTGGGAATGCAAGGTGTACAAACACCAAGGAAACCCCAGCACCAGCAATGGACTCAGCCACACCCCATGACCCAGCAGCTCCGCTCCTGGTGACTGTTCTAGAGAGGTGTGTGTGCAGGAACGTTCATCACAATGTTCACAGTGGTGCTGGAAGGACCCAAGTGTCCACCAGCAGGAGAAATGAACAAATGCACTGCGGCATATTCTTTTTTTTTCTTTTTCTTTCTTTTGAGACAGAGTCTCACTCTGTCACCCAGGCTGGAGTGCGATGGCGCGATCTCGGCTCACTGCAACCTCCGCCTCCTGGATTCAAGCGATTCTCTCACCTCAGCCTCCCGAGTAGCTGAGACTACAGGTGCGTGCCACCACACCCAGCTATTTTTTTTTTTTTTTGAGACGGAGTCTCACTCTTGTAGCCCAGGCTACAGTGCAAATGGTATGATCTTGGCTCACTGCAAGTGCCGCCTCCTGGATTCACGCCATTCTCCTGCCTCAGCCTCCTGAGTAGCTGGGAATACAGGTGCCCGCAACCATGCCTGGCTACTTTTTGTATTTTTAGCAGAGATGGGGTGTTAGCCAGGATGGTCTCGATCTCCTGATCTCGTGATCCACCCTCCTTGGCCTCCCAAAGTGCTGGGATTACAGGCATGAGCCATGGCACCTGGCCCCGTCTAATTTTTTGTATTTTTACTAGAGATGGGGTTTCACCATGTTGGCCAGGCTGCTCTTAAACTCCTGACCTCAAGCGATCCACCTGCTATGGCCTCCCAAAGCGCTGGGATTACAGGCGTGAGCCACTGTGCCTGGCCGGAACCCACAGGTTCTTTGGATGGTCTCTGAATGTCATGAAACTCTTTTATATTTAATTAAAAAATTTTTTTTGACACAAGGTCTTGCTGTGTTGCCCAGACTGGAGTGCGGTGTCACGATCACAGCTCACTGCAGCCCCTAACTCCTAGGCTCAAGCAATCCTCCTGCCACCTCAGTCTCTCAAGTTGTTGGAACACAGGTGCCAGCCACGACACCTGGCTAATTTTGTTTTGTTTTGTTTTGTTTTGTTTTAGAGATGGGCTCTTGCTATGTTGCCTATACTGGTCTTGAACTGCTGGCCTCAGGCAGTCTTCCTCCCTTGGCCACCCAAAGAGATGGGATTACAAGCATGAGCCACTGTGCACAGCTGAGATTTTTCGACTTAGTCTTTTTGTACACCCAGTATCTTATAGAATATCCGTAATATAGATTCATAAATAAACCATTTCCTTCAATGGTATAAATAAATAAACCACTGCTATAAATGGTGGAATTTTCTGAGTTAAGAGCAATACATATGATACAAAACTTGATATATAGAGTTTCTTAGCCAAACTGGAGGGGCTGGCTTTAGGTGATCCGTGGACTCCCTGAAATTGGGGACACCATTGGAAATATGTGTGAACTCATGGGCAGTTTCCTATGATTTCCAGTCCTCAAAGTATCTCTTGGACTCAAAGATGCCTTAGGGCAGAGGACGCGTGTACCCCCAGTACAGAATCTCGGACAGTGAATGTCAGTAGACATTCGGCAGAAAACCTCTGCCAAATTGAGTGCTCTGATGTGACTTTTTCATCAAGTCAATGTTCCTGGGATCTCTTGTACATGATAATCTCACTCTTGTAAGGTTTCATCGTTTCTGCTTACCCTACTTTTCTTTCCCATCCTGATCCCTCTCCCACCAGACTGGACTCTGAAACGGGCATGTACAGAGAAGAGGAGACCCCAACACGCTTCAAGCTTTGAGTGGAGAGGACACAGCCTCTGCTGGGACAGGGAACAGAGGGATGCGGAGACCCTGAAGATGCTTTTGGACAGTGGTCTGAGGTTGGGACAGTGGCAGGAGATACCATTCACCCAGGATCTCCAGGACAAGAGATCAGCCTGGCAGTTACATGTGTTTTTTTTCAAACTGGTTGCCAGGTTGGCATGAGCGATGACATCAGAGATTCCGACCTTCCTGATTGGAGGGACCGGACTCTGTCGGCATCTGGGAGTTCAGTTGGACAACAGTAACTTCTCAGAGCTGTTCTCCACTCCTGACTTCTCCCAGCCTCGAGAATTGATAACACACTCTTCTGGATCCCAGCAGTGTCCAGAAGAAGACCAAGGACAGAACAGAGACTAGGTTTGGTGAGATGGGACAGATTTTGGGAAAGATCATGATGAGCCATCAACCGCAGCCCCAGGAAGAGCGGAGCCCCCAGCGGAGCACCTCAGGGTACCCCCTCCAGGAGGTGGTGGATGATGAAGTGTTGGGACCATCAGGTGAGGGGACTGGAGAAAGAAGAGGTGGCATAGGATTGACTAAGATGAAGGAAGGGGGCCAGGCGTGGTGGCTCACCCCTGTAACCCCAACACTTTGGGAGGCTGAGGCGGGCAGATCACCTGAGGTCAGGAGTTCAAGACCAGCCTGGCCAACATGGTGAAACCCCATCTCTACTAAAAGTACAAAAATTAGCCAGGCGGTAGTGGTGTGTGCCTATAATCCCAGCTACTTGGGAGGCTAAGACAGGAGAATCACTTGAGCCTGGGAGGAAGAGGTTGCAGTGAGCCGAGATCGTGCTACTGCACTCCAGTCTGGGTGACAGAGTGAGATGCTATCTCAAAAAAAAAAAAGAAGAAAAAAAAAAAAAGAAGAAAAAAAAGAAGGGTCAGAGGTCAGGAAGGAGAACCTGGGGAGGGTGTGTGGGAAGAATGGAGAAATTCAGGCTGGGTGCAGTGGCTCACACTTGTAATCCCAGCACTTTGGGAAGCCAAGGCAGGCGGATCACTTGAGGCCAGGAGTTTGAGACCAGCCTGGCCAACATGGTGAAACCCTGTCTCTATTAAAAGTACAAAATGGAGCTGGGCATTATGGCAGGCACCTGTAATCCCAGCTACCTGAGAGGCTGAGGCAGGAGAATAACTGGAATCCGGGAGATGCATGTTGCAGTGAGCTGAGATTGCACCACTACACTCCAGCCTGGGTGACAAAGCAAGATTCTGTCTCGAAACAAAAAAAAAAAAAAAAAAAGAGGGACTCAGAGAGCCAGGGACCAGGGAAGGATATGAGGCAGTGTTCTGAGGACAGAGAGAGGGAAGAATGGGGAGGGGAAGGAGTGGCACATGGGGTTGAGCAGAGGAGAAAGTCAGAAAGGTGGCTTGGAGAAGCCAGCAGTCTGCGAGGCTGGGGAGGATGGAGAGTGGTTTGGGGTTTGGGGTCGGGGTCTAACGTGATCAGTTGCAGAAGCATTACACGGTGGCCTGGTTTCTTTACTCAGCCCCTGGGGTAGATCCCAGCCCCCCACGTAGGTCCCTTGGCTGGAAAAGGAAGAGGGAATGTTTGGATGAATCTGATGATGAGCCAGAGAAGGAGCTCGCCCCTGAGCCTGAGGAGACCTGGGTGGCGGAGACGCTGTGTGGCCTCAAGATGAAGGCGAAGCGACGGCGAGTGTCGCTCGTGCTCCCTGAGTACTACGAGGCCTTCAACAGGCTGCTTGGTAGGAGGACACCCCAGAGAGCACCTCCAATCCTGTTCTTTCTAAAGAGGAAACTTCCAATAACCACACTTTTCCAATGGGAAAAATATGCCCCAGTGGGTGAGCTCTCCATGCGGGAGGACTCTGAAGTGATCACTCATGAGGGACACTTAGGAGACAACAGAGGATTAGGTAGACTTGATAAAGGTCGGTGCTTGGGATAAGAAAGCTTGGTTTTGGGCCAGGCGCTGTGGCTCCCGCCTGAGATCCCAGCACGTTGGGAGGCTGAGGCAAGAGGATTGCTTGAACTCAGGACTTTGAGGCTGCAGTGAGCTATGACTGCACCACTGCACTCCAGCCTGGGTGACAGAGCAAAACTCTGCGTCAAAAGAAAAACCAAGGCTGGGCACAGTAGCTCATCCCTGTAGTTCCAGCTACTCGGGAGGCTGAGACAGGAGAACTGCTTAAACCCAGGAGGCAGAGGTTGCAGTGAGCCAAGATCAGGCCAATGCATTCCAGCCTGGCCCACAGAGCAAGACTCTGTCTCAAAATAAATTAATAAATAAATAAAAATAAAAATCAAATAAAGAAAAACAAAATCAAAAATCAAAAAAGTGGTTTCAGCTGTGCCCTCTGAAACTTAATGTTTCTTACTGACTTTTCTAAACCTAAGTGTTTCCATCCATAGTGAGGGATACCAAGGCCATGGTCACACCCTGATGTGTGACTGTCTCATGAGGAAATGATGGGAATTCCTTTATGACTCTGCAGTGGTCCCTCCGTGTCTGCTGGAGGGGGTCCTGGCTGATTCCCAGCTCTACATCCTGTAGATTCTCACACCCAGGGCCTCCTTCGGCCTCTTCTCAGGGGAGTCTCAGAGCAGGAGCCTCTCTCCCTTGCCCAGTGAAAGTCATTCTCCCCTCTCTCATCCACCTCACCCGCGGCCACAATCCTGAGACTTTCCCCCGGGAGGCACACTTCTCCTCGCTGCCCTGCTGCTCTCACGGAAACCCTGTCCTGCTTCTCACACTGACATCTGCTCTCTAATCACAGAGGATCCTGTCATTAAAAGACTCCTGGCCTGGGACAAAGATCTGAGGGTGTCGGACAAGGTAAGGTTGTTCTCTATGTAACTGTGTTCCTGTTCTAACGCACGGCCAGGGGGAGGGCGCAGCTTCCAAACCCACAGTTCTCCGTCCACCACCTCCCACCAGATGCTCCTACAGTTTTTTTTTGTTTTTGTTTTTGTTTTTTTTTGTGAGACACAGTCTTGCTCTGCTGCCCAGGCTGGAGGGCAGTGTCTCGATCTTGACTCACTGCAGCTGATGCCTCCTGGGTTCAAGCGATTCTCCCACCTCAGCCTCCAAGCAGCTGGGATTACAAACATGAACCACCACGCCTGGCTAATTTTTGTGTTTTTAGTAGAGACGGGGTTTTGCCATGTTGGCCAGATTGGTCCCGAACACCTGACCTCAGGTGATCCACCCGCCTTGGCCTCCCAAAGTGCTGAGATTACAGACGTCAGCACTGTGTCTGACCAGCTCCCATGGTCTTGAGTCTTGGCACCCACACATTTTTTTTTCTGAGACAGAATCCAGCTCTGCTCCCCAGGATGGAGTACAGTGGCATGATCATAGCTCACTCTAATTCCTGGGCTCAAGCAATCCTCTTTCCTTAGCCTCCTGAGGAGCTGGGACTAGGCACATGCTACCATGCTCAACTAATTTTTGAAATCTTCTTAGAAACAGGGTCTCGCTGTGTTGCCCAGGTTGTTCTCCAACTGTTGGGCTCACATGATCCTCCTGTCTCCACCTCTCAAAAAGTACTGGGATCACAGGCTTGAGCTGCCACTCCCGGCTATTCTTTGTCTTTTTATGATTTGTCAGCATCTCCGTCAGGATTCTGCTGGTCTCTTGCAGAGTGAATGAGTGGCCCCTGCCTCTCCTATGGGTCCTTTGGGATCTGAGCCCTGGGCCACAGTCTGGCTGCAGCCCTGAAGCTCCTGGGCCCTCTACTCTCAGCTCCTTGGGACAGTTCTCTGCCTGGCACACAAAAGACCCTCCTGACACCAGCCGACCTAGACACACCCCCTCCAAAGATCCCATCGGAGCCCACCATCCTGGGAGCATCACCAAAAACCCTTCCTCCGGCTTCTCGGATTTGCATCCGACCTTCGAATACCCCTCCACCCCGCAATTTCCACATGAGCACAGTCACCCCAACACTGAGGTCCCTTCTCTGATGGGCAACCCCTCCCCAGACCCCCATTCCACTATATCCACAATCTTCCTCTCCCAAGATGTGACCTCTCCCTCTCTGTGTTCCTTTCTCTCCATCAGTATCTCCTGGCTATGGTCATAGCGTATTTCAGCCGGGCCGGCCTCCCCTCCTGGCAATACCAACGCATTCATTTCTTCCTGGCTCTGTGAGTGGTTTGCTGCCTCCTATCCGTCAATATCCAATGCCCTGGGACAGCGGGGGAAGTGGGATTCCAGCCTTTCATTTATTCTTTCACCTATTTGTCCTCTTTACTCTGTGTACAAAAAAGACAGGATTATAGTCTCAAAAAAAAAAAAAAAAAAAGAACAAAAAACAAAAGGAACCATGAACCGCTCCTAAGGGGAGAAGAAAAGGAGCGGAGGAGCGGACATGACACTTCCCCCAGCAAGCAGACGTTTCCGGTTGTTCTCTCTCCTTCCCACATCAACCGCAAAAGCCATCAGCCTCCTCCGGGTTCCCGTGACAGAGGTCACAGTCCAGGTCCCCCTTGCATCACTCGAATCCACTGTCAAATGCTCCCTGCTGGGGTTTCCTGGAGTCTCTCCCCAAGCCAGGGGGCTTCCTAGTGCAGCCTGAACATCTTTCCAAAGCACGACAACCTCACTGCCCACCTGAACAACTTCCTTAGCTGATGTCTTTCTCTATCGAGGCCAGGGTCCACAGTGCCAATTCCACCCTCTCTACAATCTCTACAACCACACTGGCTCGCCATCTTGGTGTTTCCTGGCTTGGCTTCACTGCTCCTTCCAAATGCCCTCCACTTGACTTTGCATTTGTGTTTTCTGTCTGGGTGTCCCGCACACATGTGGTTCTGAAGGGAAGGACCCATTCCTTGAAGTCGGTTCACCCCACAGCCTCTGTGATGCCTTCCCTCGTCTTCCAACTTCTGCATGCCCGTAGCTCTCCAGTTACATCCTATTATAATGTGACATTGGGATTAGGTCATCTCCCCTGATTACTCCCAGTCCCATTAGACTAGATGCCTGTAGAAGGCAGGGTCCTGGCAAAATATCAGTGTATTCAATTGCTTTTTTTTTTTTTTGAGACAGACTTGCCCTGTCCCCTAAGCTGGAGTGCAGTGGTGAGATCATAGCTCACCGCAGCCTCCATATCCTGGGCTCAAGCGATCCTCCCACCTCAGCCTCTTGATTAGCTCCGACTACAGGGCTGTACCACCACACCTGGACAGTTATTTATTTATTTATTTATTTATCAAGACAAGAGTGTTGCTGTGTCTCTCAGGCTGGAATGGAGGGGCCCAATCTTGGCTCACTGCAACCTCCGCCTCCTGGGTTCACACAATTCTTATGCTTCAGCCTCCTGAGTAGCTAGGACTAATGGGTGTGCCACCGCACCAGGCTGATTTTTGTATTTTTAGTATAGATGGGGTTTCTCTGTGTTGACCAGGCTGGTCTCAAACTCCTGGTCTCAAGCAATCCACCTGCTTCAGCCTTCCAAAGCGCTGGGATTACAGGCATGAGCCACCACGTCTGGCGTATTTTTTATATTTTTAATAGAGACGAGGGTCTTGCTATGTTGCCCAGGCCTGTCTCAAACTCCTGGCCTCAAGTGATCCTCCTGCTTCGGCCTCCCAGTGTGCTGGGATTCCAGGCATAAGCCACCACTCTTGGTCACCAGTTGGGTTTTTGTCTCCATCCTGAAGGAGTGGGAGACGCCCTTGATCAGGTCTCTGTCCAGCAGAGCCCTCCTGAGGAAGGCGTGGCTCTCTGCAGGGTGGGTGCCAGTCCTGAGCTAGGGACGGTCCCTTACCTTCCTCTCTGAGAAGCTGACCTCAGCCGGAGGTCTCTCCTGGTGGTGCCCCTGAGCAGCAACCTGATTTCTGTCCTCAGCTATCTGGCCAATGACATGGAGGAGGACGACGAGGCCCCCAAACAAAACATCTTCTACTTCCTGTACGAGGAGACCCGCTCTCATATACCCTTGCTCAGTGAGCTTTGGTTCCAGTTATGCCGTTACATGAACCCGAGGGCCAGGAAGAACTGCTCTCAGATAGCCTTGTTCCGGAAGTATCGGTTCCACTTCTTTTGTTCCATGCGCTGCAGGGCTTGGGTTTCCCTGGAGGAGTTGGAAGAGGTGGGTGGGGCCTGGGGACGTGGAGGATGTGGAGAGGAATCGGGTGGGCTGGAGGCTGGACGAGGGGAGAGAGGGGTATCCTGGGGAGTCCCCGTCTTCTCAAAGCGCGTTTGTTTTTCCAGATCCAGGCTTATGACCCAGAGCACTGGGTGTGGGCGCGAGATCGCGCCCACCTTTCCTAGAGCTCCAGGGACCGTGGAGGCCTGAGGTCATCGGCCTGAGAGAAGGTACATCTGCATCCTCCGGGGTAAAGGCAGAATATTGGGGTCTATTTCGGAAATCCAAGGAACCCAATTGCTTGATCTGGCTTCAAGCCTGGGCAACGTGGCGAGATCCCCTCTCCACAAAAATACAAAAATTAGCCAGGCGATGTGGGAGGCATCTCTACTCCCAACTACTCAGGAGGCTGAGGCGGGAGGATCGCTGGAGCCTGGGAGGTCGGGGCTGCAGGGAGCCCTGATCCTGCCACTGCACTCCAGCCCGGGCGACAGAGTGAGACCCTGCCTCAAAAATAATCATAAATACTGAGTTCGGGGAGGTTCATTATGATTGATGCACTTGAGTTACCGATTTGGGTCGAGGGTTCAGTGAAGCTTTGGTTTACATCTTGTGCAGCTAACCATGTTGAGCACAGAGCATGAGACTTCGTCATGAGGAGGGAGGATTATGGATTAGGCTTCTGGACTCGTGGTTCGTGATGTTGTCACGTTAGAAACAGATCTAGCACGGTTACAAGTTTAGATCTGAAGTGACACAAAAGGCCCCAGCTGTGATGAAGTCCAAAGCCACATTCTCTGAGGGTGCCCTACTCCCTGGGAAGACCCACCCAAAGTCCTGGCTATGAAGCAGATCACTGGGGCTGACCTTGGGTGTATTAAGTTTTGGAGTCAGGGTCACCAAAGTGTGAGTTTCACAGTTGAACACGATGGTTCAGAAGCAGGGTATAGAATGAAAGGCAGGAGATAAAATTGCACTTCTCAATTGCTCTGAACTCTAGCTAGACTTGACATGGGACGTGAATAACCTTCCTGTCTAGAGAGCTGCCTCCTTCAAGTGTGACATTGTCTCTCTCACTTCCAGAACACCGGACCCAGGGGAGATGTGGATTTTCAGCAGGAACTTTATTCCAATGCTAATGGCAGACATCAGGAAGGAGGAGAGGAACCATTTGTGCAGATCATCTAGAAGAACCTGGACCATTCTTGACAGAGCTGAATACAGTGATCACGTTGTCCTCCAAGGAGCAGGGGTGGGGTGGGGTACTTCTAGGAGTCCTTGGAGAAAAGTAAGAAACCAGGAGTGTTTCCAGTTCCACCCTTTCCTGCGGCACCACCTCCCTTTTTATATTGCTGAATGCCAACCTCCCTGGGGCGGAACCTGGAGGTCCTGTTTCTTATGGACTTGGTTGCCACAGTCCAGGAGCATTTGAAGGCACAGTGCAGGGGCTCAGATTGGCACAGAATTCTTTGTGAAATATGAGTGCCACAGACTGTAACAGATAGCTTCATGCACACTATGCATTTTATTGGTTTGTTTGGAAAATGTTGGCCATTGAATTATTAATAGGTTTATTTCAAATAGTTTGGAAATTGTTGTACTTTTGAAAACATGCTGTTCCTGTAGAGTTTTTTGATGAGAGTTATAGTTGTTATATATACCTAAAGATAATTTTCTTTTCATTTTTAAGTGAGAATTCTTTTTATCCTAAATCTTTTATTATCTTTAATTTTTTTTCTGTATTATTATATGTGCTCCTGAAGCGAGCACTCTTTTTATCTATGATACTTCCATAATAATCTCTTCTATTTATAGCTATTGGTAGTTCCCCACCAGAAAAAAACATAATTCTGGTGATAGAAATTTTTATTTGCTGTTTAGGTTTGTGACTGACTTGTGAGAATTCAGTTGTGATTTTTAACATGTCTCAGATATATATACTAACACGTCTAATATATACTATCTATTTTATTGGTTTATTTTGAAAAACATGGGTATAGAATTATTTAAATATTATTTTATTTACTGAAATATTTATTAAATATATTTATTTATTTAAATATTATTATTACTTTAAATATTATTTTAAATATTTTGGAAATACTGGTATTTTTGAATAGATGCTGTTTCTATAAAGCTGTGTGATGGGTATTATAACTGTTGTATACACATACATATAATTTTGTTTTCCTTTTTAAGAGAGGATTCTTTTCATCCTAAATCTTTTACCTTTCAATCTTTGTATCTATTATTACACGTGCTGCTGAAGGGAGCATGGTTTTTATCTATGATACTTAGTTAACATATATATTACATTTATAGCTATGTGGTAGTTCCCCTAAATTCTTGTAAAAATAAATTTTTATTTGATATTTAGTGTATGTTTGAAATGTGAGAATTCAGATGGAATTTTTTATCTTGTTTTGGCATGTTTGTATGTTACTTTAAAGAGGATGTGTGTTCTAAAGGAGGACATGAGCTGTGTGTTTTCAAGAGAACAGTGCAGTGCATCTCTTGGGGAAACATAATAAAGATGAACTTTTCTCACCTTCACAGTGAGTGTGATCATATTGTGGTCTGGATTGATTATTTGCTGTCAAGTGACATTTTTCCTTAATGGGGTTGTGGTTATTTGAACATATTTATTAGCTTTGGAAGATAATCCTGTGCTGTTTTTTATGTAGAAAAAAACATACGGCTGGGTGCAGTGCTCACACCTACAATCCCAGCAGTTTTGGAGGTCATGGCGGGAGGATCACTTGAAGCCTATTTTTAATTTTTATTTTTTAAAGAAAAACAACAGAAGAGAAGGCTGATCCCAAGCTACAGGGTTTTTTTGTTTGTTTGTTTGTTTGTTTGTTTTGGAGACAGTCTCGCTCTGTCTCCCAGGCTGGAGTGCAGTGGCACAACCTCGGCTCCCTGCAACTTTCACCTCCGCGTTCAAGCAAATTCTCCTGCCTCAGCCTCCCAAGTAGCTGGGACTACAGGCATCCGCCTGTACGTCTGACTAACTTTTGTAAAAATAGTAGAGACAAGGTTTCACCATGTTGGCCAGGCTGGTCTCAAACTCCTGACCTCAAGTGATCCACCCGCCTCAGTCTCCCAAAGTGCTGGGATTATAGGCATGAGCTACTGTGCCCAGACCCCAAGCTAGAGTTTTAAAGCAGGAAATGAGAGAAAGATATTGAGAGAGGAAAACCAGGTGGTAAGAAAACTCTAAAGGTGGCTGGGCGTGGTGGCTCACGCCTGTGATCCCAGCAGGAGTTCGAGACCAGGCAGGAGAATCACTAGCAGAGAATATGTCTCCCCAACCCCTCTCAAAAAAAAAAAAAAAGTCCAGGCGCGGTGGCTCAGGACTGTAATCCCAGCACTTTGGGAGGCTGAGGTGGGTGGATCATGAGGTCAGGAGATCAAGACCATCCTGGCTAATACGGTGAAACCCCATCTCTGCTAAAAATACAAAAAATTAGCTGGGCGCGGTGGCAGGCGCCTGTAGTCCCAGCTACTCCGGAGGCTGAGGCAGGAGAATGGTGTGAACCCAGGAGGCGGAGCCTGCAGTGAGCAGAGATCGCGCCACTGCACTCCAGCCTGGGTGAAAGCGCGAGACTCCATCACAAAAGAAAAAAAAAAAAAGAAAGTTCCTGCAACAGTTCAAGCTGTGAAAGACAGGCACTCTGCCATGCAATTCTTTGTGATTTTTCTTTTTTATTTTTGGAGTCGGGGTCTTGTGCTGTCACCCAGACTGGGGTGCAGTGGTGCGGTCATAGCTCACTGTGGGCTCAGACTCAAGCTCAAGCAATCTTCTTATCTTGCCTTTCTAATTGCTGGGATTATAAGCATGAGCCACTGCACCTGGCCTGTGTGACGTAATTCTGATGTCAACTCCCTGATGTTACATCAAATGCCACAGGTTAAGGCCACCAGCCCCCGCTAGGCTGCCCTCGCTTCAGATGCAGCTGCAAGCTTGGGTGTCCACAGACCGCATGTACTTCTCACCAACTGGCTGCAAATTTGGAGGTTCCCACCACGTCCTCAGGTTTGATAATTCACCATAACAACCCACAGAACTCTGAAAAGCATGATACTTTCTCTTTCTTTATTTGAGACAGAGTCTTGCTCTGTCACCCAGGCTGGAGTGCAGTGGCCACCATGCTTGGCTAATTTTAGTATTTGTATTAGAGACAGGGTTTCGCCATGTGGGCCAGGCTGGTCTTGAACTCCTGACCTCAGGTGATCCACCCACCTTGGCCTCCCAAAGTGCTGGGATTACAGGCATAGCCACTGTGCCTGGCTGACTTCTAGAGTTTCAATAACAGAGATGTGGTTCAAGAAGAAAAGGGAGACATGTTTTGTAGACAGCAGGAGCTTCATGAAAAGAAGCCAATGAAGGGCAGGATGTGTAGCTGTCTACCTACAGGAAACCAGCCAGGAGCCTCCCCACAGGGACTTCAGCACAGATGGCCGGGAAAATCTGCATTCACCTGAGCTCTGGACCTAAGAGAGGACAAGGCCTTGACTGTTTCTACAGACTCACAAGATGCAATCTCTGCGGTCCATGCCCGTGGTGTGATCTGGGAAACAGGGGGCCTTCTAAATGCCAACAACAAGGAAATCAAATGTGCAACAGACAGAAATATCGGCATTGACACGGGCCATGGAGAGGCCTAAACAGATGACTGCAGTCCACTGCCAAGGTCATCAAAGGGGTGACTCTGAAATAAGAAATTTCAGACGCCACGGCCCAAATAGCTGCACGAGGTGGGGAAGTCCTCCACATGCCTCTGCTTCCTTCAGTACCTCTTCATGAAATAAGCCGAGGTACTTCCCTGGGGAATTTCCTTTCTCTTTCTTTCTTTCGAGACGGAGTCTTGCTCTGTCGCCCAGGCTAGAGTGCAGTGGCGCGATCTCGGCTCACTGCAACCTCTCCCTCCCGGGTTTTGGCAATTCTTCTGTCTCAGACTTCTGAGTAGCTGAGATTACAGGTGTGTGCCACCATGCCCAGCTAATATTTGTATTTTTACTCGAGACAGGGTTTCACCATCTAGGCCAGGCTGGTCTTGAACTCCTGACCTCATGATCCACCCATCTTGGCCTCCCAAAGTCCTGGGATTACAGGCACGAGCCACCACACCCAGACTTCTTTTTTTATTTTTTGAGATGAAGTTTCGCTCTTGTTGCCCAGGCTGGAGTGCAATGGCGAGATCTCAGCTCACTGCCACCTCCTCCTCCTCCCAGGTTCAAGTGATTATCCTGCCTCAGCCTCCCGAGTAGCTGGGATTACAGGCACCCAACACCAAACCCCGCTGACTTTTTGTATTTTTAGTAGAGATGGAATGTCACCATGTTGGCCAGGATGGTCTTGAACCCCTGACCTCTAATGATCTACCCGAATTGGTCTCCCAAAATGCTGGGATTACAGGCGTGAGCCACTGTGCCCAGCCCCTCCCATACCTCTTTTGGCCAAGGCAGTACAATTCAGAGAATCTTGCCAGGGAAGACTGGTAAATGGACATCAACATGATGCCTATGGCTCCTGGTGGATTTAGATACCTCCTGGTGCTTACTGATACCTTTACCAGTTACATGGGGGCTTTTCCATGCCAGACTGAAAATGCTGGAGATCACTGATCAACCTTCAACTATTTACTAGCAGAACACTGAGGGGACTCTGCAGTCACCAATATCTCCTATTGCACTTGGATAAACACCTCCCGGGAAATAGAGATGAATAGAAAGGAAATACTTAAACAAGCAGAATGGCTACATTCCTTCAACCAGAAGGGTCCATTAGTCTGTTTTCACACTGCTATAAAGAACTACTGGAAACTGGGGAATTTATGAAGAAAAGAGGTTTAATTGACTCACAGTTTTGCAGGCTGTACAGGAAGCATGGCTGGGGAGCCCTCAAGAAACTGACAATCACGGCAGAAGGCGAAGGGGAAGCAGGCACGTTTCTGGCCATGGTGGAGCAGGAGAGACAGAGAGAGTGAAGCAGGAGGTGCTGCATGCTTCTAAACAACCAGATCCCATGAGCGCTCACTCACTATCACGAGACCAGCAAGGGGGACGTCAGCCGCCATGAGCCAATCATCTCCCACCAGGTCCCTCCCTCAACACTGGGAATTGCAATTGGACATGAGATTTGGTTGGGGATACAGAGCTGAACCATATCAAGGGTAGTTCAACCACTGAGATTGATTGATTGACTGAGATGGGGTCCTGCTCTGTTACCTAGGCTGGAGTGCAGTGGCACAATCTCGGCTCACTGCAACCTCCGCCTCCCAGGTTCAAGCAATTCTCCTGCCTCAGCCTCCCTAGTAGCTGGGACTACAGCACACGCCACCACACCTGGCTAATTTTTGTATTTTCAGTAGAGACGGGGTTTCACCATGTTTGCCCGGCTGGTCTTGAACTCCTGACCTCGTGATCACCCTGCCTCGGCTCTTCTTTTGCTGGAATTACAGGCGTGAGCCACCGCACCCGGACAACCACTGAGATTTAGAAGGCAGTCGAGTCCACTATACCACACCTCACCTGGTTTCTTCCTCTGTTGGGGCCCCTCGTGGCCACTGTTCTGTTACTTTTTGGTCCTATTTATTTAAATGGATGGTGAGCTGTTTGTCCTCCAGGATCCAACACTTCCACCTTCAGCTTGTATTACAACAATACCAGCCTTTCAAGCTACTCCGGGTGACCCCAGAACTCATCTGAACTCAGAAGCCCAAGAGTTTCATTCCTCTCACTTTAGGGGACTAAGTGCCCCTGGTCAGCATGAAGTCGATACAGAAGCATGACCTCCATCCCTAATCCCTCAAGAATGAGGAGTGGAAGGTGTTGGCAGGAGGGTGGGACGCGGTTTGTAAATCTGTAACTGCATCAGACCAAATCTAGTTCAACTTTTTTTTTTTTTGATGGAGTTTCACTCTTGTCACCCAGGCTGGAGTGCAATGGCACGATCTCAGCTCACTGCAACCTCCACGTCCTAGGTTCAAGCATTCTGCTGCCTCAGCCTCTGGGGTAGCTGGGATTACAAGGGTGCGCCACCACGCCTGGCTAATATTTATATTTTTAGTAGAGACGGGGTTTCACCATTTTGGCCAGGCTGGTCTTGAACTCCTCGACCTCAGGTGATCCACCTGCCTTGGCCTCCCAAAGTGCTGGGATTACAGGCGTGAGTCACCGCACCCGAATCAGTTCAACTTTTATGTAATGAAGTTGTCAGTTGTTTTCCAATTGCCATCGACCTGCAGGTTGAAGGTCATGTACCCTGTGCATGCCCAGGTTAACCACGCGTGCCACCGTGGAGTGGAACCTAAGAGCTCAGCCTGAAGAGCCCGGACCGATTTAAGAACCAGACACCCCCAGGCAGGAGCCAGGATCCAATCAGATTGAGTTTTGGTGTCACCCCATGGCAGGATCCAGTCAGATCACACCTCCCAGCATTACTTTATTGCAAGATCCAATCAAATCACACCTCATTACCCTATGCTTATAAAACCTGACACAGCCCCCAGCTGTGTAAGGGAGATTTGAGTACTTCCTCCTGTGTTCTTGCTGGCTGACTTACAAAAAAGCTTTAAAAAAAAAAGCCAGGCGTGGTGGCTCACGCCTGTAATCCCAGCACTTTGGGAGGCTGAGGTGGGCAGATCACTTGAGGTCAGGGGTGCAAGACCAGCCTGGCCAACATGGTGAAACCCCATCTCTACTAAAAATACAAAAATTAGCTGGGTGTGGTGACACACACCTATAATCCCAGCTACTTGGGAGGCTGAGGTAGGAGAATCACTTGAACCCAGGAGGCGGAGGTTGCAGTGAGCCAAGATCACACCACTGCACTCCAGCCTGGGCGACAGAGTGAGAAGACTCCGTCTAAAAAAAAAAGTTAAAATTAGCACCAAACGCTTTACAAGTAAAAAAAGTTTTTAGCTGCATATGTTTAAGTAACTTTTTAGATTATAAGAAATACGCATGCAAAATGGAAAGGCACAAAGAAGAGAGCAAAAAGTGCATGAGATCTCACATCCAAGGATAACCGCTGAGAACATGGAAGTGCTGACTCTTCAGTCTTTATACTATACACATTTAGGCCTGTTTTGTTTTTATAAAACTGTAATCATATAATACAGACAGTTTTATAATCTGCTTTTTAAACACAACAATTATATAACATTTAGCTGTTTCATTTGCATTCAAATTCATAAGGGTTCCAGTAACTCATTTATCAGAAAACCAAGAGAAATATTCTCATAAAAATATAAGTACATAAGGTCAGGCATGGTGGCTCACGCCTGTAATCCCAGCACTTTGAGAGGCCGAGGTGGGCGGATCACCTGAGGGCAGGAATTCGAGACCAGCCTGGCCAGCCTGGACAACATGGTGGAACCCCGTCTCCACTGAAAATACAAAAATTAGCCGGGCGTGGTGGCGCGCGCCTGTAATGGTAGCTACTCAGAAGGCTGAAGCAGGAGAATCGCTTGAACTTGGCAGGTGGAGGTTGCAGTGAACTGAGATCGCGCCACTGCACTGCAGCCAGGGCGCCAAAGTGAGACTCCATCTCAAAAAAAGATAAAAATAAAAAATAAAAAAAATGTATATATATGTATATATATTTTTCCAGACAGGGTCTTACTCTGTCTCACAGTCTGAAGTGTAGTGACGCAATCGTAGCTCACTGCAGTCTCAAGTTCCTGGGCTCAGGTGATCCTCCCACTTCAGCCTCCCAAGTAGCTGGAACTACAGGTGCATGCCACCATGCCCAGTCAATTTTTTTTTTAATTTTTCATAGAGACAGACTCTCACTATGTTTCCCAGTCCTAATAAACATTATGTGATAAAAAGAAAAAAGTAAATCATCCTGAAGTTAAGTCTTTAATGAGAAATGCAAATAAAGCATTTCTCAATAAATTATGGGAAGAGAATCAACTGAAGAATAAACATCTTTAGTAAATCTTTTGCTCATGTGCATTAACCAATACTCTTGAAAACCAGGATTAATTTACTGTACCTTCTTAATATTCCTTTGAAATTCCTTATGGCGCACAGGTAGCGTAGAAAATAACTGCTTCACGCTGACTGTGGTCCCTCTGGGGTGGGGGTAGGGGGTTTTCTGGATGATTTTCCCATCGTGATCAAAAACACCAGTCGAGTCCCAACCTTCGCCGATACGTGGCAGGTAGAAATGGTGACATCACTGTGAGAGAATACCAGGCATGGTGTGTTCAGTGAGAGATCCATGATGTTGGGCACTGACTACTCTTTTCTTCACTTGCTTTTCTCTCAAAATTTTCTTAAAAAGCTGATGATCCCTCTGAGATAACCGAGATCTAAACGGTTGAGGAGTCATCACAAAATCTAAGGTCTGGCATCTAAAAGACAGTGAGACAGAGAGCACTAAACATGCTTTGTTTTGATAAAAGCTTTGACTTCATTTTTCAGGTTGAATTGCAAAACCATAAATGATCTCAAGATTTATTGATTCTCAAATAGAGATTTGTTTTGTTATTACTCTTCAAACAAAATTTTTTAAAAGAATTTTTTTAAAGAATTTTTTAAAATTTTTAAAATTTTTTTTAAAGAATCCAAAAGATATTATAATTAAAATGTATATGTAGGGCAGGGTACGGTGGCTCATGCCTGTAATTCCAGCACTTTGGGAGGCCAAGGAGGGCAGATCACTTGAGGCCTGGAGTTCCAGACCAGCCTGGGTAACATGGCAAAACCCCATCTCTACTAAAAATACAAAAATTAGCCAGGAGTGGTGGTGCACGCTATAGTCCCAGCTCTTCAGGAGGCTGAGTCACGAAAGTCACTTGAACCTGGGAGGCAGAGACTGCAGTGAGCTGAGACTGTGCCACTGCACTCCAGCCTGGGTGACAGAGTGCGACTCTGTCTAAAAAAAAAAAAAAATATATATATATATATATATATATATATGTATATATATGTATATATATATGTATATATATGTATATATGTATATATGTATATATATGTATATATGTATATATATGTATATATATATGTATATATGTATATATGTATATATATATGTATATATGTATATATATGTATATATATGTGTGTGTGCATGTAATTATTTATAAAAATTTAGTATCTGTGCTGTAATTAAATAGTGCTTTGGTGAAATGTTTCCCTAAAAATTGATAATGAAAACCAATGGTAACTATCATTTATTATCTATATGTTATGTTCAAATTGAGAAGTTACTGTTTTAATAAGGGTAACCAATTTTTTAAACAATACTATTTGCTTCATTTCATTCATTTATTGCTCACATTTCAGAAGTACTAGGACTTAGATTGGCAGTGAGACAAAACAGAATTCAGAAGCTAGAAGCTGAGATATTGAGATAGAAAATTGTAAATAATAATGATTCCAATTAATTTTCAGAGAGGTTTTTCTAAGGGGTCAAGTGAATGGATAAAAATATTTTATCACCTCAGTGCACAAAGTGAGCTCAGAGCTTTCCCCCGAAAGCCAAAAGTTTCAACCCGAGTTAGGTCGGCAAACTCTTGAATCTTAGATGTGTGATGTTTCAGAGCTGAAAGAGACTGTAAAGTAAGGACTAAGATATCTCAAGTGCTATAACAACAAATATACATGATATCTAGTAACTGGCTTTAAAAAACTGTTTTTGTGTTTCCCAAGACAGTGTTACTCAAAATTCTAAGACATGTGGCCCAATTATTTTGTAATAGGATTAGAAAGTTAACTTACTTAAGCCTTCGAAGTTTTCTTCTTCTACCCCACATCCATTGCCTGAAACTTCAATGAGATCCATTCCATAGTCCTTAAGCTTTAGATCTAGAAAGTTTAAAATATTTATATATTTATTAAAAATGGACCCACGCTATCAGTTTTTATATTGATATTATTTATAACGTGCAAATTTAAGTGTCGTAACTATACCTTTAGTTAAACATACTAGTGTCATTTTGTATATTTCATTTTTATAAAGTTCTTTCTGGCCATTTACTAGCCCAGATTAAATAGTTTAGCATTTTCTTTCTTTCCTCTTTTTTTTTTTTTTTTCCTTACACTAGTCAAGTGAAGCAGTTGGAGTGGAGAAGGAACAAAAAAATCTGTAACTGGTTGTGATCAATTAGTTGTAAAGACCGTTGCACTTTGACCAGCCTTTTCCTTTGAAAGAAATAATTTTAACATACCCAGTAAGGAGAACGGGGGCCGGGCGCAGTGGTTCATGCCTGTAATCCCAGCACTTTGGGAGACCAAAGCGAGCGGATCACCTGAGGTCAGTAGTTCGAGACCAGCCTGACCAACGTAGAGAAACTCTATCTCTACTAAAAATACAAAATTAGCCAGGCGTGGTGGTGCATGCCTGTAATCCCAGCTACTTGTGAGGCTGAGGCAGGAGAATCGCTTGAACCTGGGAGGTGGAGGTTGCAGTGAGTTGAGATCGTGCCATTGCACCGCAGCCTCGGCAACAAGAGCAAAACTCTATCTCAAAAAAAAAAAAAAAGAAAAAAAAAACAGAACTGGTTCTGGAATCAGACTTCCTAGATTCTATTTTATTAGCTTTATAATCTCAAAAAAAGGAAATTTACTGTCCCTTAATTTCCTCAACTGTAAAATGGAGGTAATAAGTTCTATCTCATAAAGTTATTTGGCAGATTAATAATTTTTTTTTAATTTTGTCATTTTCTTTTTTTTCTTTCCTTTTTTTTTTTTTTTTTTTAATTTTTTGAGATGGACTTTTGCTCTTGTCACCCAGGCTGGAATGCAGTGGCACAATCGATCTTGGCTCACTGCAACCTCCACCTCCCAGGTTTAAGCAATTCTCCTCCCTCAGCCTTCTGAGGAGCTGAGATTACAGCCATGCACCATCACATCTGGCTAATTTTTGTATTTTTAGTAGAGACAGGGTTTTACCACGTTGGTTAGGCTGGTCTTGAACTCCTGACCTCAAAGCATCAGCCCCCCTCAGCCTCCCAAAGTGCTGGGATTACAGATGTGAGCCACTACTCCAGGATTTATTTTATTTTATTTTATTTTATTTTTTTGAGACAGAGTCTTGCTCTGTCCCCAGGCTGGCGTGCAGTGGCACAATCTCGGTTCACTGCAACCTCCACCTCCCAAATTTAAACAATTCTCATTCCTGAGCCTCCCCAGTAGCTGGGATTACAGGCTTCTGCCACCAGGTCTGGCTAATTTTTGTATTTTTAGTAGAGACAGAGTTTCACCATTTTGGACAGGCTGGTCTCGAATTCCTGACCTCAGGTATCCACCCGCCTTGGCCTCCCAAAGTGCTGGGATTACAGGCGTGAGCCACCACACCCGGCCTGCTTTATTTTTTAATAGAGACGAGGTCTCCCCATGTTGGCCAGGTTGGTCTTGAACTCTTGGCTTCAAGCAATCCCCCCACCTCAGCCTCTCAAAGGGCTAGGATTACAGGCGTCAGACACCACGCCCAGCTATTCTGCAAATTAAATGAGATATTTCTGTGCAATTCTTAGCATAACACCTGCCTGGCACACCATAAGAACACAAGAAAAGCTGTCGTTATTATTATTACTACCTAGCTAAGTACTAGGCACATAATAGGTGCTAACTTTAACTTAAAAATAATAGTTTATTACTACATCAACACTTGATAGTCTTATTTCAATAACAAATGTTTCTTGACTACAACAACATTCACTGATCATTTCTTGTGGCTTAAAACTCTCCCAAACTTACCAATATTAGTGGCACCAGCATCCAGACTGTTTCCTACTATCTTCTTCACCGCAGTGCTTAGACTCAGTACCACCGGCCCAGAGCAAATCTGATGGACTGACTTCCGATCAATAGGTTTGATGGCCTTAGCAGGTTCTGTACTAAAGAAATCAGTTACAAGAAACAAAGCAAGTATTCAGCTATATATTTTCATCCTGATTTTAACTGTGGGAAATGACTCAACACTGCAAATAGTTTATGGGTCTAATCTATTCATTTATTATATTAACAAATACATTTATTATATCCAGAAATGGAAACATTGTTTTACAATCCTTAAACAAGTACCCAAAATACTTCTGGATAGACACTTCAAATTCAACACATCCTTACTATCTAGTATCCACATGGAGAAAACATACATTGTATCTCTCAAATTACCAAAATCTTTGGCAATAATGGTGTCTTCTTTCTTGAAAACTGAAAGCATGGCCGGTGCGGTGGCTCATGCCTGTAATCCCAGCAATTTGGGACACAGAGGCAGGTGGATCACTTGAGATCAGGAGTTTGAGACCAGCCTGGCCAACGTCGTGAAACCCTGTCTCTACCAAAAATACAAAAAATTAGCCAGGCATGGTGGTGGGCGCCTGTAATCCCAGCTACTTGGGAGGCTGAGGCAGAAGAATCACTTAAACCTGGGAGGCGGAGGTTGCAGTGAGCTGAGATTGCAGCATTGCACCCTAGGCTGGGCAATGAGCAAAAAAAAAAAGTAAAAGCAACATAATTTCCCACATAATTAGAAAAACCAACAGTATGCTGGGAAATACACAATGTTTAAGTCAAAATCATCTCAGAAATTGGATACCAGTTATATAACTATTCCTTATACACAGTTGCCTTTGATACCCTACTCCAAATTGAAGCTGCCAGCTGCTGTCTTAGCAAAGACCCTCAAAGTTCTTGCTGTACTTGTTTTAAGAGGTTTTTTTTTTTTTTTTTTTTTGAGACGGATTCTTGCTCTGTCGCCCTGTCGCCCAGGCTGGAGTGCAGTGGCACGATCTTAGCTCACTGCAAGCTCTGCCTCCCGGGTTCACACCATTCTCCTGCCTCAGCCTCCTGAGTGGCTGGGACTACAGGCGCCCACCACCATGCCCAGCTAATTTTTTGTATTTTTAGTAGAGACAGGGTTCCACCGTTTTAGCCAGGATGGTCTCGATCTCCTGACTTCGTGATCCGCCCGCCTCAGCCTCCCAAAGTGCTGGGATTACAGGCGTGAGCCACCATGCCCAGCCCACTTTAAGAGTTTTATAACGGTTTCATTTCCCCTTATTCCCTGCTCCAACCCATCCTCCACTCTATCACCAGAGCTATTTTTGAAATCACGAATCTGGTCAAATAATTTTTCTGCTTGAAAAATTACTAGTGCCCCACTTCCTACTATATGAAACTTAAAATCTAGTCATCACTGGGCCCCAAACTACCTTCTTTTCAGAATCTCTCTGATCCTTTCCCTTCATCAAGTCCCCTACATTATTATTATTATTATTATTATTATTATTATTATTATTATTATTATTATTTGAGACAGAGTCTCACCCTGTCACCTGGGCTAGAGTGCAATGGCATGATCTCGGCTCACTGCAACCTCCACCTCCCAAGTTCAAGTGATTCTCCTGTCTCAGCCTCCCAAGTTGCTGGGATTATAGGCATCCACCATTACACTCAGCTAATTTTTGTGTTTTTAGTAGAGATGGGGTTTCACCATGTTGGCCAGGCTGGTTTCTAACTCCTGACCTCAGGTGATCTGCCCGCCTTGGCCTTCCAAAGCACTAGGATTACAGGTGTGAGCCACCGCAACTGGCCGTCCCCTATATTGCAGCACAGTGAACAACTGTTTCCTGAACATCACAAGCTCTCTTAGACACTACAGTGTATAAGCAGGTCTCTGTCTAAACTGCTCTCCTCTTGCCCCTCTGCCCAACCAATGTCTGCTCATCCAAAGAATGTATCCCGTGTGTTCATTAACTTAGCAAGTTCCCAGTAAACAGTTTAATTGATCACTCGTTAAGAGAAGGCGGGAAACCTCCATGAAAAGAGAAATCAGTGGGTATTTCCTACAGCATTTAACACATCGTAGGCCTTCAATAAACCCTTGTGAAATAAACAAACCTCTTTACTCTTCATTCTATGTTGCTAAGAATCTCACCTAAGTCTGTCTACCATGTGAAACTGCAGATGACCTCACAGAAAATGGAAAGAAGTATCTCTAAAAATAAGTTTATTTGGCAACACACTACAGGCTACAGGTTCACTTCTGATTTTTTTTCTTTTTTTTTTTGAGATGGAGTCTTGCTGTGTTTACCCAAGACATGTTTTAGACTGTAAATTGGAGGCTGAAAAACATCATAACATCACTTTTGCCCTACTCAATGACTATCCTGTTACTAAGGTTGGGCCAAAATTAAAGGGGGGGTCATAGGCCCCCACCTCTTTTTTTATTTTCAGACAGGGTCTCCCTCCGCTGTCCAGGCTGGAGTGCAGGGGCGCAATCATAGCTCACTGCAGCCTTGACCTCCCAGGCTCAAGCAATCCTCCTGCTTCAGCCTCCCAAGTAGCTGGGACATGGGCATGCATCATCACAGCTGGCTAATTAAAAACATTTTTTTTGTTGAGACGGAGTCTCGCTCTGTTGTCCAGGCTGGAGTGGAGTGGTGCGCTCTCGGCTCACTGCAACCTCTGCCTCCTGGGTTCAAGCAATTCTCCTGCCTCAGCCTCCTGAGTACCTGGGATTACAGGTGCCCAACACCACACCTGGCTAATTTTTTGTATTTTAGTAGAGACAGGATTTCACCATGTTGCCCAGGCTGGTCTCAAACTCCTCAGCTCAGGCAACCCGCCTGCCTTGGCCTCCCAAAGTGCTAGGATTACAGGCATGAGTGACCATGCCCAGCCTAAAAACTTTTTTTTAAGGGATGGGATCTTGCTAGGCTGCCCAGGCTGGTCTTGAAGTCCTGGCCTCAAGCAATCCTCCCACCTTGGCCTCCCAAAGTTCTAGGATTACAGGCGTGAGCCACCATGCCTGGCTGATCCTCACCTATTTTTTTGTTGTTGTTTGAGACAGGGTCTATCTCCATCTCCTCGGCTGGAGTGCAGTGGCTTGATCATGGCTCACTCCAGCCTCAACCTCCTGGGCTCAAGCAATGCTACCACTTCAGCCTCCCGAGTGGCTGCGACTACAGGTGTGCACCACCACACCCTGCTAATTTGTGTATTTTTTGTAGAGATGAGGTCTTGCTATGTTGCCCAGGCTAGTTTCAAACTCCTGGCCTCAGTCAATCCTCCCACCTTGGCCTCCCAAAGTGCTGGGATTATAGGTGTGAGCCACCACCTCTGGCCAGCTCCCACCTGTTGATCAAAGGAGCATCAAAGAATTTGCAGCCTCCAGAAGGAGGTCATTTCCTGCCTCTGAGTCTCAGTTTCCACATCTATGAAATAAAGTTAATGATCCTTCACTCCAGGGTTGTCGTGAAGGCTAAATTAAGTTGTATTTGGAAAAATATGTGGGGCACAGTAGGTGTGTTTCTCACACCCAGAGTCAGAGTGTTTAGCAGAGGGTTAGTAGTTGCCTCCAGGGCATGAAGGGCTCTTCCTGACCCTAAGTGTGAGGAACGCTTTGGGTTAAAAGATTGTACTTTTCTGCGTTCAGCTGAAAGGTGGAGGGCTCAGTGAGGTGGCTCACACCTGTAATTCCAATGCTTTGGGAGGCCAAGGTGGGAGGATCACTTGAGCCCAGGAGTTTGAGAGCAGCTTAAACAACACAGTAAGACCTTGTTTCTACACACACACACACACACACACACACACACACACACACACAATTAGCCAGGCGTGGTGGCATGCGCCTGTAGTTCCAGCTACTTGGGAGGCTGAGGTGGGTGGATTGCTTGAGGCAAGGAGTTTGAGACAAGCCTGGTCAACATAGTGACACCCCATCATCCCCCAAAATCATTTTTCTTTGTTTTAAGGCAGAGCCTCACTCTATTGCCCAGGCTGGAGTGCAGTGGTGTGATCTCACCTCCTTGCAACCTCTGCCTCCCGGGTTCAAGCGATTCTTGTGTCTCAGCCTCCTGAGTAGCTAGGATTACAGGTGTGCACCACCATGCCTGGATAATTTTTGTATTTTTAGCGGAGATGGGGTTTCGCCGTGTTGGTCAGGCTGGTCTTCAACTCCTGGCCTCAAGTGATCCGTCTGCCTTGGCCTCCCAAAGTGCTGGGATTACAGGTGTGAGCCACTGTGCCCAGCCACAATAAATCATTTTTTAAAGGTTAAATTTAACCTCATTTAAGTAATACATATAAGTCTCATCGAATAATTGAAGCCAGTTTGTGAGGTAAAGTCTATTATTATGTGCATTTTAATTCTTAGCGTTTAACTAAAGCCTCATAAGTACAAATAAAAACAGGACTTGCTATAACAGGTTGCCACCTATTTTCTTTAAAGATGACGAGCAGCATCTTATTTGCGTTAACACAAGTCATCCACATAACAAATATAGATAAGAAAAGTGGCCAGGTGTGGTGGCTCATGCCTCTAATCCTAGTACTTTGGGAGGCCGAGGCAGACAGATCACTTGAGGTCAGGAGTTCGAGACCAGCCTGGGCAATATGGTGAAACCCCATCTCTATCAAAAATACAAATATTAGCCCGGCATGGTGGTGGGCGCCTGTAATCCCAGCTACTTGGGAGGCTGAGGCAGGAGAATTGCTTGAACCTGGAAGGCGAAGTTTGCAGTGAGCCAAGATCATGCCACTGCACTCCAGCCTGGGTGACAGAGCGAGACTCTGTCTCGAAAAAAGAAAAAAGAAAAGAAAAGAAAAGTAAGGCACTTAGAGGGTAAGTGGCTTCACTCGGTACTAAGTAGGGGAGTGTGGATTTGAGCCAAGCTGTGGGTTCAAACCACATCAACACCTGCTATGCCTGACTGCGTCTCCACGCTGCTGGGAAGGTTGACTGAATCTGCCACTACCTCCCTGGGGTGCATGTGCTTACCAAACCATTGCATTATGTAAAAGGCGGTACTGTAGGTTTTTAGTTTTTTAATTTTTATTTTTTTGAGATAGAGTCTCACTCTGTCACCCAGGCTGGAGTGTAGTGGCATGATCTTGGCTGACTGCAATCTCTGCCTTCCGGGTTCAAGCGATTCTCTTGCCTCAGCCTCCTGAGTAGCTGGGACTACAGGCCCACACCACCACGCCTGGCTAATTTTTGTATTTTTAGTAGAGACAGGGTTTCACCATGTTGGACATCATGGTCTCGGTCTCTTGGGCTCATTATCTGCCTGCCTCGGCCTCCCGAAGTGCTGGGATTACAGGTGTGAGCCACCGTGCCTGGCCTCTAGTGACCTCATTTTAACTTGATCACCTCTGTAAAGACTCTGGTTCCAATAAGGTCACCTCTAAGGTCTGGAGGGTCATGGCTTCAATACATGAATTAGGGGTGGGGGGCACACCATGCAGCCCATAATACTAGCGTATCTGGTTATGTTAAACTTGCTATAGCCACAGTCTCGCTGACTTGGATTATGGTGCCATGGGAAGGGCCCTTAAAGATCATCTTATCTGGTTGGGCTCAATGGCTCACGCGTGTAATTCCAGCACTTTGAGAGGCCAAGGCAAGAGGATCGCTTGTGACCAAGAGTTCAAGACCAGTCTGGGCAACAGAGCAAGATGCTATATCTACTACAGGCATGCACCTGTAGTCTCAGCTACTTGGGAGGCTGAGAGAAGAGGATTGCTTGAGCCCAGGAGGCAACAGAGAGCTGATTGTACCACTGCACCCCAGCCAAGGCAACAGAGACCTTGTCTCTAAAAAACAAAAACAGGCCGGGTGCAGTGTCTTATGCCTGTATTCCCAGCACTTTGAGAGGCAGAGGCGGGTGGATCATTTGAAGTCAGGTGTTCAAGACCAGCCTGGCAAACATGACGAAACCCTAAAATACAAAAATTAGCCGGGAGTGGTGGTGGGTGCCTGTAATCTCAGCTACTCGGGAGGCTGAGGCAGGAGAATCGCTTGAACCTGGGAGGCAGAGGTTGCAGTGAGCCGAGATGGAGCCACTGCACTGCAGCCTGGGTGACAAGAGCGAAACTCTGTCTCAAAATATTAGGAAAAAAAAAGAGAGAGAGCCTCTTTTCCATCTCCCCGCCACAGAGTTGTCTTCAGTAATTTCATTCCCTTTTTTCCTGAGGATTCACTGGGTTTCTGGGTCCCAGAGGGGAAGTTCTCTTCAAGGTACAGAAACCACGACTCCGCAGAGAACCGCAGAGAACCGCAGAGATGGCAGCATGACCAGACCACGGACAGGTGTGTAGAAGCTGCTGGGCTGAAACTTGGGCTGAACTTCCGCTGCAGGTTGACTTATTCCCATCAGCACCAAAGCCGCTGGAGGGGGTCATCCACTAGCAAATGAAGTGGGGGCACGGATTGGAGGCTGTTTCAGAAGGTCCCACTGAGCCACGGACTCAAGGCCTGGCCACAGCCCTCCCAAGCGAGGCCCAGATCATATTTCACCACGCTCAGAAAACCTTGCCAGCTCATTTCAGTCCACAGTGACTTTGCTTTCTTTAGGATCTCTCTTGCACTGCCCAACTCAGAGAATTTCAAATCTGAATGGATTCCAATGATGGAGCTAAATCAGGCCTCACCTCAGTTTTTTAATTACAATCAATAGGGCTGGGTCCCAGCATCTGTGTCTTAATGTTCCTCCATGTGATCCTCATGCTGAAAGGCTGGTATTTGAAAATCCCTTTTTTTGGGGAGTGAAGGGTTTTTTTAGAGACAGGCCTCACTCTGATGCCCAGCCTGGAATGCAGTGGTGGATCACAGCTCACTGCAGCCTCGAACTCCTGGCCGCAAGAAATCCTCCCACCTTAGCCAACCAAAGTGTTGGGATTGCAGGAGTGACCACTGTGTCCAGCCAGGAAAGCCCTTCTGTTTCACTTGAATGATATTTCTGCCGCAGACCTACAGCCATTGTTGTATTAAACGGCATCATTGCAGGAAAAGAAAAGGTGAGAGGTGACTGTTTTGCTTTTTTCTGAACATATCAGACCAAACCTGGGCTGTCTGGCACTTTTTTTTTTTTTTTTTTTTTGAGTCGGAGTCTCACTCTGTCGCCCAGGCTGGAGTGTAGTGTCGTGATCTCGGCTCACTGGAACCTCCACCTTCCCGGTTCAAGTGATTCTCCTGCCTCAGCCCCACAAGTAGCTGGGATTACAGAAGTGCACTCCCACGCCCAGCTCATTGTTTCTGTATTTTTACAGAAAAACAGACAGGTTTCACCATGTTGGCCAGGCTGATCTCAACCTCCTCACCTCTGGTTATCTGTCGGCATCAGCTTCCAAAAGTGCTGGGATTACAAGTGTGAGCCGCCGCACCTGGTTTGCCCATTTTTTGACAATGTATCAACATCATCTAAGATGGGCACTGCCTCAGTGTAGTGTGTCTAGACAAGGTGGCCGGAACAGAGAGGAATATGCATACCAGGCTTAAAGACGGGTTAAATCAGAGCTTTTCATTCCACAAAAGAGCAATTTTAATGAGGTCAGAACATGGATGTTCTAATATTTGAAAGCCTGTTAACTAGGAGAGAGAGTAAAGTGATTTGTTGTAGGAGGACACACCCAGCTCTGACGGTTTAAAGCGTCATGAATGCAAATTTGAACTCCAGAAAAGCAGAGCTTCCTAACAATGGGACTTCCACAGCAATGGGATTTCCTTCCGCATTCAGTTTGTGCCTTTCCCATGAGCGAGAGACTCCTAGGAGAGCCGCAGCCCGTTAGGAAGCCATGTGGGAACTCATCCACAGGTTCTTTTTGTTTGTTTGTTTGTTTTTTTTGAGATGTAGTTTTGCTCTTGTTGCCCAGGCTGGAGTGCAATGGTGTGACCTTGGCTCACTGCAACCTCCGCCTCCCAAGTTTAAGCCATTCTGCTGTCCCCGCCTCCTGAGTGGCTGGGATTACAGGCACCCACCACCATGCCTGACTAATTTTTTGTATTTTTAGAAGAGATGGGGTTTCACCATGTTGGCCAGGCTGCTCTTAAACTCCTGACCTCAAGCGATCCACCTGCTATGGCCTCCCAAAGCGCTGGGATTACAGGCGTGAGCCACTGTGCCTGGCCGGAACCCACAGGTTCTTTGGATGGTCTCTGAATGTCATGAAACTCTTTTATATTTAATTAAAAAATTTTTTTTGACACAAGGTCTTGCTGTGTTGCCCAGACTGGAGTGCGGTGTCACGATCACAGCTCACTGCAGCCCCTAACTCCTAGGCTCAAGCAATCCTCCTGCCACCTCAGTCTCTCAAGTTGTTGGAACACAGGTGCCAGCCACGACACCTGGCTAATTTTGTTTTGTTTTGTTTTGTTTTGTTTTAGAGATGGGCTCTTGCTATGTTGCCTATACTGGTCTTGAACTGCTGGCCTCAGGCAGTCTTCCTCCCTTGGCCACCCAAAGAGATGGGATTACAAGCATGAGCCACTGTGCACAGCTGAGATTTTTCGACTTAGTCTTTTTGTACACCCAGTATCTTATAGAATATCCGTAATATAGATTCATAAATAAACCATTTCCTTCAATGGTATAAATAAATAAACCACTGCTATAAATGGTGGAATTTTCTGAGTTAAGAGCAATACATATGATACAAAACTTGATATATAGAGTTTCTTAGCCAAACTGGAGGGGCTGGCTTTAGGTGATCCGTGGACTCCCTGAAATTGGGGACACCATTGGAAATATGTGTGAACTCATGGGCAGTTTCCTATGATTTCCAGTCCTCAAAGTATCTCTTGGACTCAAAGATGCCTTAGGGCAGAGGACGCGTGTACCCCCAGTACAGAATCTCGGACAGTGAATGTCAGTAGACATTCGGCAGAAAACCTCTGCCAAATTGAGTGCTCTGATGTGACTTTTTCATCAAGTCAATGTTCCTGGGATCTCTTGTACATGATAATCTCACTCTTGTAAGGTTTCATCGTTTCTGCTTACCCTACTTTTCTTTCCCATCCTGATCCCTCTCCCACCAGACTGGACTCTGAAACGGGCATGTACAGAGAAGAGGAGACCCCAACACGCTTCAAGCTTTGAGTGGAGAGGACACAGCCTCTGCTGGGACAGGGAACAGAGGGATGCGGAGACCCTGAAGATGCTTTTGGACAGTGGTCTGAGGTTGGGACAGTGGCAGGAGATACCATTCACCCAGGATCTCCAGGACAAGAGATCAGCCTGGCAGTTACATGTGTTTTTTTTCAAACTGGTTGCCAGGTTGGCATGAGCGATGACATCAGAGATTCCGACCTTCCTGATTGGAGGGACCGGACTCTGTCGGCACCTGGGAGTTCAGTTGGACAACAGTAACTTCTCAGAGCTGTTCTCCACTCCTGACTTCTCCCAGCCTCGAGAATTGATAACACACTCTTCTGGATCCCAGCAGTGTCCAGAAGAAGACCAAGGACAGAACAGAGACTAGGTTTGGTGAGATGGGACAGATTTTGGGAAAGATCATGATGAGCCATCAACCGCAGCCCCAGGAAGAGCGGAGCCCCCAGCGGAGCACCTCAGGGTACCCCCTCCAGGAGGTGGTGGATGATGAAGTGTTGGGACCATCAGGTGAGGGGACTGGAGAAAGAAGAGGTGGCATAGGATTGACTAAGATGAAGGAAGGGGGCCAGGCGTGGTGGCTCACCCCTGTAACCCCAACACTTTGGGAGGCTGAGGCGGGCAGATCACCTGAGGTCAGGAGTTCAAGACCAGCCTGGCCAACATGGTGAAACCCCATCTCTACTAAAAGTACAAAAATTAGCCAGGCGGTAGTGGTGTGTGCCTATAATCCCAGCTACTTGGGAGGCTAAGACAGGAGAATCACTTGAGCCTGGGAGGAAGAGGTTGCAGTGAGCCGAGATCGTGCTACTGCACTCCAGTCTGGGTGACAGAGTGAGATGCTATCTCAAAAAAAAAAAAGAAGAAAAAAAAAAAAAGAAGAAAAAAAAGAAGGGTCAGAGGTCAGGAAGGAGAACCTGGGGAGGGTGTGTGGGAAGAATGGAGAAATTCAGGCTGGGTGCAGTGGCTCACACTTGTAATCCCAGCACTTTGGGAAGCCAAGGCAGGCGGA
Organism: Homo sapiens; assembly: GCF_000001405.40. Lineage (NCBI taxonomy): Eukaryota > Metazoa > Chordata > Mammalia > Primates > Hominidae > Homo > Homo sapiens. The sequence goes on from NC_000007.14 coordinate 75,309,803, forward strand.
TCACTTGAGGCCAGGAGTTTGAGACCAGCCTGGCCAACATGGTGAAACCCTGTCTCTATTAAAAGTACAAAATGGAGCTGGGCATTATGGCAGGCACCTGTAATCCCAGCTACCTGAGAGGCTGAGGCAGGAGAATAACTGGAATCCGGGAGATGCATGTTGCAGTGAGCTGAGATTGCACCACTACACTCCAGCCTGGGTGACAAAGCAAGATTCTGTCTCGAAACAAAAAAAAAAAAAAAAAAAGAGGGACTCAGAGAGCCAGGGACCAGGGAAGGATATGAGGCAGTGTTCTGAGGACAGAGAGAGGGAAGAATGGGGAGGGGAAGGAGTGGCACATGGGGTTGAGCAGAGGAGAAAGTCAGAAAGGTGGCTTGGAGAAGCCAGCAGTCTGCGAGGCTGGGGAGGATGGAGAGTGGTTTGGGGTTTGGGGTCGGGGTCTAACGTGATCAGTTGCAGAAGCATTACACGGTGGCCTGGTTTCTTTACTCAGCCCCTGGGGTAGATCCCAGCCCCCCACGTAGGTCCCTTGGCTGGAAAAGGAAGAGGGAATGTTTGGATGAATCTGATGATGAGCCAGAGAAGGAGCTCGCCCCTGAGCCTGAGGAGACCTGGGTGGCGGAGACGCTGTGTGGCCTCAAGATGAAGGCGAAGCGACGGCGAGTGTCGCTCGTGCTCCCTGAGTACTACGAGGCCTTCAACAGGCTGCTTGGTAGGAGGACACCCCAGAGAGCACCTCCAATCCTGTTCTTTCTAAAGAGGAAACTTCCAATAACCACACTTTTCCAATGGGAAAAATATGCCCCAGTGGGTGAGCTCTCCATGCGGGAGGACTCTGAAGTGATCACTCATGAGGGACACTTAGGAGACAACAGAGGATTAGGTAGACTTGATAAAGGTCGGTGCTTGGGATAAGAAAGCTTGGTTTTGGGCCAGGCGCTGTGGCTCCCGCCTGAGATCCCAGCACGTTGGGAGGCTGAGGCAAGAGGATTGCTTGAACTCAGGACTTTGAGGCTGCAGTGAGCTATGACTGCACCACTGCACTCCAGCCTGGGTGACAGAGCAAAACTCTGCGTCAAAAGAAAAACCAAGGCTGGGCACAGTAGCTCATCCCTGTAGTTCCAGCTACTCGGGAGGCTGAGACAGGAGAACTGCTTAAACCCAGGAGGCAGAGGTTGCAGTGAGCCAAGATCAGGCCAATGCATTCCAGCCTGGCCCACAGAGCAAGACTCTGTCTCAAAATAAATTAATAAATAAATAAAAATAAAAATCAAATAAAGAAAAACAAAATCAAAAATCAAAAAAGTGGTTTCAGCTGTGCCCTCTGAAACTTAATGTTTCTTACTGACTTTTCTAAACCTAAGTGTTTCCATCCATAGTGAGGGATACCAAGGCCATGGTCACACCCTGATGTGTGACTGTCTCATGAGGAAATGATGGGAATTCCTTTATGACTCTGCAGTGGTCCCTCCGTGTCTGCTGGAGGGGGTCCTGGCTGATTCCCAGCTCTACATCCTGTAGATTCTCACACCCAGGGCCTCCTTCGGCCTCTTCTCAGGGGAGTCTCAGAGCAGGAGCCTCTCTCCCTTGCCCAGTGAAAGTCATTCTCCCCTCTCTCATCCACCTCACCCGCGGCCACAATCCTGAGACTTTCCCCCGGGAGGCACACTTCTCCTCGCTGCCCTGCTGCTCTCACGGAAACCCTGTCCTGCTTCTCACACTGACATCTGCTCTCTAATCACAGAGGATCCTGTCATTAAAAGACTCCTGGCCTGGGACAAAGATCTGAGGGTGTCGGACAAGGTAAGGTTGTTCTCTATGTAACTGTGTTCCTGTTCTAACGCACGGCCAGGGGGAGGGCGCAGCTTCCAAACCCACAGTTCTCCGTCCACCACCTCCCACCAGATGCTCCTACAGTTTTTTTTTGTTTTTGTTTTTGTTTTTTTTTGTGAGACACAGTCTTGCTCTGCTGCCCAGGCTGGAGGGCAGTGTCTCGATCTTGACTCACTGCAGCTGATGCCTCCTGGGTTCAAGCGATTCTCCCACCTCAGCCTCCAAGCAGCTGGGATTACAAACATGAACCACCACGCCTGGCTAATTTTTGTGTTTTTAGTAGAGACGGGGTTTTGCCATGTTGGCCAGATTGGTCCCGAACACCTGACCTCAGGTGATCCACCCGCCTTGGCCTCCCAAAGTGCTGAGATTACAGACGTCAGCACTGTGTCTGACCAGCTCCCATGGTCTTGAGTCTTGGCACCCACACATTTTTTTTTCTGAGACAGAATCCAGCTCTGCTCCCCAGGATGGAGTACAGTGGCATGATCATAGCTCACTCTAATTCCTGGGCTCAAGCAATCCTCTTTCCTTAGCCTCCTGAGGAGCTGGGACTAGGCACATGCTACCATGCTCAACTAATTTTTGAAATCTTCTTAGAAACAGGGTCTCGCTGTGTTGCCCAGGTTGTTCTCCAACTGTTGGGCTCACATGATCCTCCTGTCTCCACCTCTCAAAAAGTACTGGGATCACAGGCTTGAGCTGCCACTCCCGGCTATTCTTTGTCTTTTTATGATTTGTCAGCATCTCCGTCAGGATTCTGCTGGTCTCTTGCAGAGTGAATGAGTGGCCCCTGCCTCTCCTATGGGTCCTTTGGGATCTGAGCCCTGGGCCACAGTCTGGCTGCAGCCCTGAAGCTCCTGGGCCCTCTACTCTCAGCTCCTTGGGACAGTTCTCTGCCTGGCACACAAAAGACCCTCCTGACACCAGCCGACCTAGACACACCCCCTCCAAAGATCCCATCGGAGCCCACCATCCTGGGAGCATCACCAAAAACCCTTCCTCCGGCTTCTCGGATTTGCATCCGACCTTCGAATACCCCTCCACCCCGCAATTTCCACATGAGCACAGTCACCCCAACACTGAGGTCCCTTCTCTGATGGGCAACCCCTCCCCAGACCCCCATTCCACTATATCCACAATCTTCCTCTCCCAAGATGTGACCTCTCCCTCTCTGTGTTCCTTTCTCTCCATCAGTATCTCCTGGCTATGGTCATAGCGTATTTCAGCCGGGCCGGCCTCCCCTCCTGGCAATACCAACGCATTCATTTCTTCCTGGCTCTGTGAGTGGTTTGCTGCCTCCTATCCGTCAATATCCAATGCCCTGGGACAGCGGGGGAAGTGGGATTCCAGCCTTTCATTTATTCTTTCACCTATTTGTCCTCTTTACTCTGTGTACAAAAAAGACAGGATTATAGTCTCAAAAAAAAAAAAAAAAAAAGAACAAAAAACAAAAGGAACCATGAACCGCTCCTAAGGGGAGAAGAAAAGGAGCGGAGGAGCGGACATGACACTTCCCCCAGCAAGCAGACGTTTCCGGTTGTTCTCTCTCCTTCCCACATCAACCGCAAAAGCCATCAGCCTCCTCCGGGTTCCCGTGACAGAGGTCACAGTCCAGGTCCCCCTTGCATCACTCGAATCCACTGTCAAATGCTCCCTGCTGGGGTTTCCTGGAGTCTCTCCCCAAGCCAGGGGGCTTCCTAGTGCAGCCTGAACATCTTTCCAAAGCACGACAACCTCACTGCCCACCTGAACAACTTCCTTAGCTGATGTCTTTCTCTATCGAGGCCAGGGTCCACAGTGCCAATTCCACCCTCTCTACAATCTCTACAACCACACTGGCTCGCCATCTTGGTGTTTCCTGGCTTGGCTTCACTGCTCCTTCCAAATGCCCTCCACTTGACTTTGCATTTGTGTTTTCTGTCTGGGTGTCCCGCACACATGTGGTTCTGAAGGGAAGGACCCATTCCTTGAAGTCGGTTCACCCCACAGCCTCTGTGATGCCTTCCCTCGTCTTCCAACTTCTGCATGCCCGTAGCTCTCCAGTTACATCCTATTATAATGTGACATTGGGATTAGGTCATCTCCCCTGATTACTCCCAGTCCCATTAGACTAGATGCCTGTAGAAGGCAGGGTCCTGGCAAAATATCAGTGTATTCAATTGCTTTTTTTTTTTTTTGAGACAGACTTGCCCTGTCCCCTAAGCTGGAGTGCAGTGGTGAGATCATAGCTCACCGCAGCCTCCATATCCTGGGCTCAAGCGATCCTCCCACCTCAGCCTCTTGATTAGCTCCGACTACAGGGCTGTACCACCACACCTGGACAGTTATTTATTTATTTATTTATTTATCAAGACAAGAGTGTTGCTGTGTCTCTCAGGCTGGAATGGAGGGGCCCAATCTTGGCTCACTGCAACCTCCGCCTCCTGGGTTCACACAATTCTTATGCTTCAGCCTCCTGAGTAGCTAGGACTAATGGGTGTGCCACCGCACCAGGCTGATTTTTGTATTTTTAGTATAGATGGGGTTTCTCTGTGTTGACCAGGCTGGTCTCAAACTCCTGGTCTCAAGCAATCCACCTGCTTCAGCCTTCCAAAGCGCTGGGATTACAGGCATGAGCCACCACGTCTGGCGTATTTTTTATATTTTTAATAGAGACGAGGGTCTTGCTATGTTGCCCAGGCCTGTCTCAAACTCCTGGCCTCAAGTGATCCTCCTGCTTCGGCCTCCCAGTGTGCTGGGATTCCAGGCATAAGCCACCACTCTTGGTCACCAGTTGGGTTTTTGTCTCCATCCTGAAGGAGTGGGAGACGCCCTTGATCAGGTCTCTGTCCAGCAGAGCCCTCCTGAGGAAGGCGTGGCTCTCTGCAGGGTGGGTGCCAGTCCTGAGCTAGGGACGGTCCCTTACCTTCCTCTCTGAGAAGCTGACCTCAGCCGGAGGTCTCTCCTGGTGGTGCCCCTGAGCAGCAACCTGATTTCTGTCCTCAGCTATCTGGCCAATGACATGGAGGAGGACGACGAGGCCCCCAAACAAAACATCTTCTACTTCCTGTACGAGGAGACCCGCTCTCATATACCCTTGCTCAGTGAGCTTTGGTTCCAGTTATGCCGTTACATGAACCCGAGGGCCAGGAAGAACTGCTCTCAGATAGCCTTGTTCCGGAAGTATCGGTTCCACTTCTTTTGTTCCATGCGCTGCAGGGCTTGGGTTTCCCTGGAGGAGTTGGAAGAGGTGGGTGGGGCCTGGGGACGTGGAGGATGTGGGGAGGAATCGGGTGGGCTGGAGGCTGGACGAGGGGAGAGAGGGGTATCCTGGGGAGTCCCCGTCTTCTCAAAGCGCGTTTGTTTTTCCAGATCCAGGCTTATGACCCAGAGCACTGGGTGTGGGCGCGAGATCGCGCCCACCTTTCCTAGAGCTCCAGGGACCGTGGAGGCCTGAGGTCATCGGCCTGAGAGAAGGTACATCTGCATCCTCCGGGGTAAAGGCAGAATATTGGGGTCTATTTCGGAAATCCAAGGAACCCAATTGCTTGATCTGGCTTCAAGCCTGGGCAACGTGGCGAGATCCCCTCTCCACAAAAATACAAAAATTAGCCAGGCGATGTGGGAGGCATCTCTACTCCCAACTACTCAGGAGGCTGAGGCGGGAGGATCGCTGGAGCCTGGGAGGTCGGGGCTGCAGGGAGCCCTGATCCTGCCACTGCACTCCAGCCCGGGCGACAGAGTGAGACCCTGCCTCAAAAATAATCATAAATACTGAGTTCGGGGAGGTTCATTATGATTGATGCACTTGAGTTACCGATTTGGGTCGAGGGTTCAGTGAAGCTTTGGTTTACATCTTGTGCAGCTAACCATGTTGAGCACAGAGCATGAGACTTCGTCATGAGGAGGGAGGATTATGGATTAGGCTTCTGGACTCGTGGTTCGTGATGTTGTCACGTTAGAAACAGATCTAGCACGGTTACAAGTTTAGATCTGAAGTGACACAAAAGGCCCCAGCTGTGATGAAGTCCAAAGCCACATTCTCTGAGGGTGCCCTACTCCCTGGGAAGACCCACCCAAAGTCCTGGCTATGAAGCAGATCACTGGGGCTGACCTTGGGTGTATTAAGTTTTGGAGTCAGGGTCACCAAAGTGTGAGTTTCACAGTTGAACACGATGGTTCAGAAGCAGGGTATAGAATGAAAGGCAGGAGATAAAATTGCACTTCTCAATTGCTCTGAACTCTAGCTAGACTTGACATGGGACGTGAATAACCTTCCTGTCTAGAGAGCTGCCTCCTTCAAGTGTGACATTGTCTCTCTCACTTCCAGAACACCGGACCCAGGGGAGATGTGGATTTTCAGCAGGAACTTTATTCCAATGCTAATGGCAGACATCAGGAAGGAGGAGAGGAACCATTTGTGCAGATCATCTAGAAGAACCTGGACCATTCTTGACAGAGCTGAATACAGTGATCACGTTGTCCTCCAAGGAGCAGGGGTGGGGTGGGGTACTTCTAGGAGTCCTTGGAGAAAAGTAAGAAACCAGGAGTGTTTCCAGTTCCACCCTTTCCTGCGGCACCACCTCCCTTTTTATATTGCTGAATGCCAACCTCCCTGGGGCGGAACCTGGAGGTCCTGTTTCTTATGGACTTGGTTGCCACAGTCCAGGAGCATTTGAAGGCACAGTGCAGGGGCTCAGATTGGCACAGAATTCTTTGTGAAATATGAGTGCCACAGACTGTAACAGATAGCTTCATGCACACTATGCATTTTATTGGTTTGTTTGGAAAATGTTGGCCATTGAATTATTAATAGGTTTATTTCAAATAGTTTGGAAATTGTTGTACTTTTGAAAACATGCTGTTCCTGTAGAGTTTTTTGATGAGAGTTATAGTTGTTATATATACCTAAAGATAATTTTCTTTTCATTTTTAAGTGAGAATTCTTTTTATCCTAAATCTTTTATTATCTTTAATTTTTTTTCTGTATTATTATATGTGCTCCTGAAGCGAGCACTCTTTTTATCTATGATACTTCCATAATAATCTCTTCTATTTATAGCTATTGGTAGTTCCCCACCAGAAAAAAACATAATTCTGGTGATAGAAATTTTTATTTGCTGTTTAGGTTTGTGACTGACTTGTGAGAATTCAGTTGTGATTTTTAACATGTCTCAGATATATATACTAACACGTCTAATATATACTATCTATTTTATTGGTTTATTTTGAAAAACATGGGTATAGAATTATTTAAATATTATTTTATTTACTGAAATATTTATTAAATATATTTATTTATTTAAATATTATTATTACTTTAAATATTATTTTAAATATTTTGGAAATACTGGTATTTTTGAATAGATGCTGTTTCTATAAAGCTGTGTGATGGGTATTATAACTGTTGTATACACATACATATAATTTTGTTTTCCTTTTTAAGAGAGGATTCTTTTCATCCTAAATCTTTTACCTTTCAATCTTTGTATCTATTATTACACGTGCTGCTGAAGGGAGCATGGTTTTTATCTATGATACTTAGTTAACATATATATTACATTTATAGCTATGTGGTAGTTCCCCTAAATTCTTGTAAAAATAAATTTTTATTTGATATTTAGTGTATGTTTGAAATGTGAGAATTCAGATGGAATTTTTTATCTTGTTTTGGCATGTTTGTATGTTACTTTAAAGAGGATGTGTGTTCTAAAGGAGGACATGAGCTGTGTGTTTTCAAGAGAACAGTGCAGTGCATCTCTTGGGGAAACATAATAAAGATGAACTTTTCTCACCTTCACAGTGAGTGTGATCATATTGTGGTCTGGATTGATTATTTGCTGTCAAGTGACATTTTTCCTTAATGGGGTTGTGGTTATTTGAACATATTTATTAGCTTTGGAAGATAATCCTGTGCTGTTTTTTATGTAGAAAAAAACATACGGCTGGGTGCAGTGCTCACACCTACAATCCCAGCAGTTTTGGAGGTCATGGCGGGAGGATCACTTGAAGCCTATTTTTAATTTTTATTTTTTAAAGAAAAACAACAGAAGAGAAGGCTGATCCCAAGCTACAGGGTTTTTTTGTTTGTTTGTTTGTTTGTTTGTTTTGGAGACAGTCTCGCTCTGTCTCCCAGGCTGGAGTGCAGTGGCACAACCTCGGCTCCCTGCAACTTTCACCTCCGCGTTCAAGCAAATTCTCCTGCCTCAGCCTCCCAAGTAGCTGGGACTACAGGCATCCGCCTGTACGTCTGACTAACTTTTGTAAAAATAGTAGAGACAAGGTTTCACCATGTTGGCCAGGCTGGTCTCAAACTCCTGACCTCAAGTGATCCACCCGCCTCAGTCTCCCAAAGTGCTGGGATTATAGGCATGAGCTACTGTGCCCAGACCCCAAGCTAGAGTTTTAAAGCAGGAAATGAGAGAAAGATATTGAGAGAGGAAAACCAGGTGGTAAGAAAACTCTAAAGGTGGCTGGGCGTGGTGGCTCACGCCTGTGATCCCAGCAGGAGTTCGAGACCAGGCAGGAGAATCACTAGCAGAGAATATGTCTCCCCAACCCCTCTCAAAAAAAAAAAAAAAGTCCAGGCGCGGTGGCTCAGGACTGTAATCCCAGCACTTTGGGAGGCTGAGGTGGGTGGATCATGAGGTCAGGAGATCAAGACCATCCTGGCTAATACGGTGAAACCCCATCTCTGCTAAAAATACAAAAAATTAGCTGGGCGCGGTGGCAGGCGCCTGTAGTCCCAGCTACTCCGGAGGCTGAGGCAGGAGAATGGTGTGAACCCAGGAGGCGGAGCCTGCAGTGAGCAGAGATCGCGCCACTGCACTCCAGCCTGGGTGAAAGCGCGAGACTCCATCACAAAAGAAAAAAAAAAAAAGAAAGTTCCTGCAACAGTTCAAGCTGTGAAAGACAGGCACTCTGCCATGCAATTCTTTGTGATTTTTCTTTTTTATTTTTGGAGTCGGGGTCTTGTGCTGTCACCCAGACTGGGGTGCAGTGGTGCGGTCATAGCTCACTGTGGGCTCAGACTCAAGCTCAAGCAATCTTCTTATCTTGCCTTTCTAATTGCTGGGATTATAAGCATGAGCCACTGCACCTGGCCTGTGTGACGTAATTCTGATGTCAACTCCCTGATGTTACATCAAATGCCACAGGTTAAGGCCACCAGCCCCCGCTAGGCTGCCCTCGCTTCAGATGCAGCTGCAAGCTTGGGTGTCCACAGACCGCATGTACTTCTCACCAACTGGCTGCAAATTTGGAGGTTCCCACCACGTCCTCAGGTTTGATAATTCACCATAACAACCCACAGAACTCTGAAAAGCATGATACTTTCTCTTTCTTTATTTGAGACAGAGTCTTGCTCTGTCACCCAGGCTGGAGTGCAGTGGCCACCATGCTTGGCTAATTTTAGTATTTGTATTAGAGACAGGGTTTCGCCATGTGGGCCAGGCTGGTCTTGAACTCCTGACCTCAGGTGATCCACCCACCTTGGCCTCCCAAAGTGCTGGGATTACAGGCATAGCCACTGTGCCTGGCTGACTTCTAGAGTTTCAATAACAGAGATGTGGTTCAAGAAGAAAAGGGAGACATGTTTTGTAGACAGCAGGAGCTTCATGAAAAGAAGCCAATGAAGGGCAGGATGTGTAGCTGTCTACCTACAGGAAACCAGCCAGGAGCCTCCCCACAGGGACTTCAGCACAGATGGCCGGGAAAATCTGCATTCACCTGAGCTCTGGACCTAAGAGAGGACAAGGCCTTGACTGTTTCTACAGACTCACAAGATGCAATCTCTGCGGTCCATGCCCGTGGTGTGATCTGGGAAACAGGGGGCCTTCTAAATGCCAACAACAAGGAAATCAAATGTGCAACAGACAGAAATATCGGCATTGACACGGGCCATGGAGAGGCCTAAACAGATGACTGCAGTCCACTGCCAAGGTCATCAAAGGGGTGACTCTGAAATAAGAAATTTCAGACGCCACGGCCCAAATAGCTGCACGAGGTGGGGAAGTCCTCCACATGCCTCTGCTTCCTTCAGTACCTCTTCATGAAATAAGCCGAGGTACTTCCCTGGGGAATTTCCTTTCTCTTTCTTTCTTTCGAGACGGAGTCTTGCTCTGTCGCCCAGGCTAGAGTGCAGTGGCGCGATCTCGGCTCACTGCAACCTCTCCCTCCCGGGTTTTGGCAATTCTTCTGTCTCAGACTTCTGAGTAGCTGAGATTACAGGTGTGTGCCACCATGCCCAGCTAATATTTGTATTTTTACTCGAGACAGGGTTTCACCATCTAGGCCAGGCTGGTCTTGAACTCCTGACCTCATGATCCACCCATCTTGGCCTCCCAAAGTCCTGGGATTACAGGCACGAGCCACCACACCCAGACTTCTTTTTTTATTTTTTGAGATGAAGTTTCGCTCTTGTTGCCCAGGCTGGAGTGCAATGGCGAGATCTCAGCTCACTGCCACCTCCTCCTCCTCCCAGGTTCAAGTGATTATCCTGCCTCAGCCTCCCGAGTAGCTGGGATTACAGGCACCCAACACCAAACCCCGCTGACTTTTTGTATTTTTAGTAGAGATGGAATGTCACCATGTTGGCCAGGATGGTCTTGAACCCCTGACCTCTAATGATCTACCCGAATTGGTCTCCCAAAATGCTGGGATTACAGGCGTGAGCCACTGTGCCCAGCCCCTCCCATACCTCTTTTGGCCAAGGCAGTACAATTCAGAGAATCTTGCCAGGGAAGACTGGTAAATGGACATCAACATGATGCCTATGGCTCCTGGTGGATTTAGATACCTCCTGGTGCTTACTGATACCTTTACCAGTTACATGGGGGCTTTTCCATGCCAGACTGAAAATGCTGGAGATCACTGATCAACCTTCAACTATTTACTAGCAGAACACTGAGGGGACTCTGCAGTCACCAATATCTCCTATTGCACTTGGATAAACACCTCCCGGGAAATAGAGATGAATAGAAAGGAAATACTTAAACAAGCAGAATGGCTACATTCCTTCAACCAGAAGGGTCCATTAGTCTGTTTTCACACTGCTATAAAGAACTACTGGAAACTGGGGAATTTATGAAGAAAAGAGGTTTAATTGACTCACAGTTTTGCAGGCTGTACAGGAAGCATGGCTGGGGAGCCCTCAAGAAACTGACAATCACGGCAGAAGGCGAAGGGGAAGCAGGCACGTTTCTGGCCATGGTGGAGCAGGAGAGACAGAGAGAGTGAAGCAGGAGGTGCTGCATGCTTCTAAACAACCAGATCCCATGAGCGCTCACTCACTATCACGAGACCAGCAAGGGGGACGTCAGCCGCCATGAGCCAATCATCTCCCACCAGGTCCCTCCCTCAACACTGGGAATTGCAATTGGACATGAGATTTGGTTGGGGATACAGAGCTGAACCATATCAAGGGTAGTTCAACCACTGAGATTGATTGATTGACTGAGATGGGGTCCTGCTCTGTTACCTAGGCTGGAGTGCAGTGGCACAATCTCGGCTCACTGCAACCTCCGCCTCCCAGGTTCAAGCAATTCTCCTGCCTCAGCCTCCCTAGTAGCTGGGACTACAGCACACGCCACCACACCTGGCTAATTTTTGTATTTTCAGTAGAGACGGGGTTTCACCATGTTTGCCCGGCTGGTCTTGAACTCCTGACCTCGTGATCACCCTGCCTCGGCTCTTCTTTTGCTGGAATTACAGGCGTGAGCCACCGCACCCGGACAACCACTGAGATTTAGAAGGCAGTCGAGTCCACTATACCACACCTCACCTGGTTTCTTCCTCTGTTGGGGCCCCTCGTGGCCACTGTTCTGTTACTTTTTGGTCCTATTTATTTAAATGGATGGTGAGCTGTTTGTCCTCCAGGATCCAACACTTCCACCTTCAGCTTGTATTACAACAATACCAGCCTTTCAAGCTACTCCGGGTGACCCCAGAACTCATCTGAACTCAGAAGCCCAAGAGTTTCATTCCTCTCACTTTAGGGGACTAAGTGCCCCTGGTCAGCATGAAGTCGATACAGAAGCATGACCTCCATCCCTAATCCCTCAAGAATGAGGAGTGGAAGGTGTTGGCAGGAGGGTGGGACGCGGTTTGTAAATCTGTAACTGCATCAGACCAAATCTAGTTCAACTTTTTTTTTTTTTGATGGAGTTTCACTCTTGTCACCCAGGCTGGAGTGCAATGGCACGATCTCAGCTCACTGCAACCTCCACGTCCTAGGTTCAAGCATTCTGCTGCCTCAGCCTCTGGGGTAGCTGGGATTACAAGGGTGCGCCACCACGCCTGGCTAATATTTATATTTTTAGTAGAGACGGGGTTTCACCATTTTGGCCAGGCTGGTCTTGAACTCCTCGACCTCAGGTGATCCACCTGCCTTGGCCTCCCAAAGTGCTGGGATTACAGGCGTGAGTCACCGCACCCGAATCAGTTCAACTTTTATGTAATGAAGTTGTCAGTTGTTTTCCAATTGCCATCGACCTGCAGGTTGAAGGTCATGTACCCTGTGCATGCCCAGGTTAACCACGCGTGCCACCGTGGAGTGGAACCTAAGAGCTCAGCCTGAAGAGCCCGGACCGATTTAAGAACCAGACACCCCCAGGCAGGAGCCAGGATCCAATCAGATTGAGTTTTGGTGTCACCCCATGGCAGGATCCAGTCAGATCACACCTCCCAGCATTACTTTATTGCAAGATCCAATCAAATCACACCTCATTACCCTATGCTTATAAAACCTGACACAGCCCCCAGCTGTGTAAGGGAGATTTGAGTACTTCCTCCTGTGTTCTTGCTGGCTGACTTACAAAAAAGCTTTAAAAAAAAAAGCCAGGCGTGGTGGCTCACGCCTGTAATCCCAGCACTTTGGGAGGCTGAGGTGGGCAGATCACTTGAGGTCAGGGGTGCAAGACCAGCCTGGCCAACATGGTGAAACCCCATCTCTACTAAAAATACAAAAATTAGCTGGGTGTGGTGACACACACCTATAATCCCAGCTACTTGGGAGGCTGAGGTAGGAGAATCACTTGAACCCAGGAGGCGGAGGTTGCAGTGAGCCAAGATCACACCACTGCACTCCAGCCTGGGCGACAGAGTGAGAAGACTCCGTCTAAAAAAAAAAGTTAAAATTAGCACCAAACGCTTTACAAGTAAAAAAAGTTTTTAGCTGCATATGTTTAAGTAACTTTTTAGATTATAAGAAATACGCATGCAAAATGGAAAGGCACAAAGAAGAGAGCAAAAAGTGCATGAGATCTCACATCCAAGGATAACCGCTGAGAACATGGAAGTGCTGACTCTTCAGTCTTTATACTATACACATTTAGGCCTGTTTTGTTTTTATAAAACTGTAATCATATAATACAGACAGTTTTATAATCTGCTTTTTAAACACAACAATTATATAACATTTAGCTGTTTCATTTGCATTCAAATTCATAAGGGTTCCAGTAACTCATTTATCAGAAAACCAAGAGAAATATTCTCATAAAAATATAAGTACATAAGGTCAGGCATGGTGGCTCACGCCTGTAATCCCAGCACTTTGAGAGGCCGAGGTGGGCGGATCACCTGAGGGCAGGAATTCGAGACCAGCCTGGCCAGCCTGGACAACATGGTGGAACCCCGTCTCCACTGAAAATACAAAAATTAGCCGGGCGTGGTGGCGCGCGCCTGTAATGGTAGCTACTCAGAAGGCTGAAGCAGGAGAATCGCTTGAACTTGGCAGGTGGAGGTTGCAGTGAACTGAGATCGCGCCACTGCACTGCAGCCAGGGCGCCAAAGTGAGACTCCATCTCAAAAAAAGATAAAAATAAAAAATAAAAAAAATGTATATATATGTATATATATTTTTCCAGACAGGGTCTTACTCTGTCTCACAGTCTGAAGTGTAGTGACGCAATCATAGCTCACTGCAGTCTCAAGTTCCTGGGCTCAGGTGATCCTCCCACTTCAGCCTCCCAAGTAGCTGGAACTACAGGTGCATGCCACCATGCCCAGTCAATTTTTTTTTTAATTTTTCATAGAGACAGACTCTCACTATGTTTCCCAGTCCTAATAAACATTATGTGATAAAAAGAAAAAAGTAAATCATCCTGAAGTTAAGTCTTTAATGAGAAATGCAAATAAAGCATTTCTCAATAAATTATGGGAAGAGAATCAACTGAAGAATAAACATCTTTAGTAAATCTTTTGCTCATGTGCATTAACCAATACTCTTGAAAACCAGGATTAATTTACTGTACCTTCTTAATATTCCTTTGAAATTCCTTATGGCGCACAGGTAGCGTAGAAAATAACTGCTTCACGCTGACTGTGGTCCCTCTGGGGTGGGGGTAGGGGGTTTTCTGGATGATTTTCCCATCGTGATCAAAAACACCAGTCGAGTCCCAACCTTCGCCGATACGTGGCAGGTAGAAATGGTGACATCACTGTGAGAGAATACCAGGCATGGTGTGTTCAGTGAGAGATCCATGATGTTGGGCACTGACTACTCTTTTCTTCACTTGCTTTTCTCTCAAAATTTTCTTAAAAAGCTGATGATCCCTCTGAGATAACCGAGATCTAAACGGTTGAGGAGTCATCACAAAATCTAAGGTCTGGCATCTAAAAGACAGTGAGACAGAGAGCACTAAACATGCTTTGTTTTGATAAAAGCTTTGACTTCATTTTTCAGGTTGAATTGCAAAACCATAAATGATCTCAAGATTTATTGATTCTCAAATAGAGATTTGTTTTGTTATTACTCTTCAAACAAAATTTTTTAAAAGAATTTTTTTAAAGAATTTTTTAAAATTTTTAAAATTTTTTTTAAAGAATCCAAAAGATATTATAATTAAAATGTATATGTAGGGCAGGGTACGGTGGCTCGTGCCTGTAATTCCAGCACTTTGGGAGGCCAAGGAGGGCAGATCACTTGAGGCCTGGAGTTCCAGACCAGCCTGGGCAACATGGCAAAACCCCATCTCTACTAAAAATACAAAAATTAGCCAGGAGTGGTGGTGCACGCTATAGTCCCAGCTCTTCAGGAGGCTGAGTCACGAAAGTCACTTGAACCTGGGAGGCAGAGACTGCAGTGAGCTGAGACTGTGCCACTGCACTCCAGCCTGGGTGACAGAGTGCGACTCTGTCTAAAAAAAAAAAAAATATATATATATACATATATATATATATATATGTATATATATGTATATATGTGTATATATATGTATATATGTATATATGTATATATGTATATATGTATATATGTATATATGTATATATGTATATATATGTATATATGTATATATATGTATATATATATGTATATATGTATATATATGTATATATATGTATATATGTATATATATGTATATATATGTGTGTGTGCATGTAATTATTTATAAAAATTTAGTATCTGTGCTGTAATTAAATAGTGCTTTGGTGAAATGTTTCCCTAAAAATTGATAATGAAAACCAATGGTAACTATCATTTATTATCTATATGTTATGTTCAAATTGAGAAGTTACTGTTTTAATAAGGGTAACCAATTTTTTAAACAATACTATTTGCTTCATTTCATTCATTTATTGCTCACATTTCAGAAGTACTAGGACTTAGATTGGCAGTGAGACAAAACAGAATTCAGAAGCTAGAAGCTGAGATATTGAGATAGAAAATTGTAAATAATAATGATTCCAATTAATTTTCAGAGAGGTTTTTCTAAGGGGTCAAGTGAATGGATAAAAATATTTTCTCACCTCAGTGCACAAAGTGAGCTCAGAGCTTTCCCCCGAAAGCCAAAAGTTTCAACCCGAGTTAGGTCGGCAAACTCTTGAATCTTAGATGTGTGATGTTTCAGAGCTGAAAGAGACTGTAAAGTAAGGACTAAGATATCTCAAGTGCTATAACAACAAATATACATGATATCTAGTAACTGGCTTTAAAAAACTGTTTTTGTGTTTCCCAAGACAGTGTTACTCAAAATTCTAAGACATGTGGCCCAATTATTTTGTAATAGGATTAGAAAGTTAACTTACTTAAGCCTTCGAAGTTTTCTTCTTCTACCCCACATCCATTGCCTGAAACTTCAATGAGATCCATTCCATAGTCCTTAAGCTTTAGATCTAGAAAGTTTAAAATATTTATATATTTATTAAAAATGGACCCACGCTATCAGTTTTTATATTGATATTATTTATAACGTGCAAATTTAAGTGTCGTAACTATACCTTTAGTTAAACATACTAGTGTCATTTTGTATATTTCATTTTTATAAAGTTCTTTCTGGCCATTTACTAGCCCAGATTAAATAGTTTAGCATTTTCTTTCTTTCCTCTTTTTTTTTTTTTTTTCCTTACACTAGTCAAGTGAAGCAGTTGGAGTGGAGAAGGAACAAAAAAATCTGTAACTGGTTGTGATCAATTAGTTGTAAAGACCGTTGCACTTTGACCAGCCTTTTCCTTTGAAAGAAATAATTTTAACATACCCAGTAAGGAGAACGGGGGCCGGGCGCAGTGGTTCATGCCTGTAATCCCAGCACTTTGGGAGACCAAAGCGAGCGGATCACCTGAGGTCAGTAGTTCGAGACCAGCCTGACCAACGTAGAGAAACTCTATCTCTACTAAAAATACAAAATTAGCCAGGCGTGGTGGTGCATGCCTGTAATCCCAGCTACTTGTGAGGCTGAGGCAGGAGAATCGCTTGAACCTGGGAGGTGGAGGTTGCAGTGAGTTGATGATCGTGCCATTGCACCGCAGCCTCGGCAACAAGAGCAAAACTCTATCTCAAAAAAAAAAAAAAAGAAAAAAAAAACAGAACTGGTTCTGGAATCAGACTTCCTAGATTCTATTTTATTAGCTTTATAATCTCAAAAAAAGGAAATTTACTGTCCCTTAATTTCCTCAACTGTAAAATGGAGGTAATAAGTTCTATCTCATAAAGTTATTTGGCAGATTAATAATTTTTTTTTAATTTTGTCATTTTCTTTTTTTTCTTTCCTTTTTTTTTTTTTTTTTTTAATTTTTTGAGATGGACTTTTGCTCTTGTCACCCAGGCTGGAATGCAGTGGCACAATCGATCTTGGCTCACTGCAACCTCCACCTCCCAGGTTTAAGCAATTCTCCTCCCTCAGCCTTCTGAGGAGCTGAGATTACAGCCATGCACCATCACATCTGGCTAATTTTTGTATTTTTAGTAGAGACAGGGTTTTACCACGTTGGTTAGGCTGGTCTTGAACTCCTGACCTCAAAGCATCAGCCCCCCTCAGCCTCCCAAAGTGCTGGGATTACAGATGTGAGCCACTACTCCAGGATTTATTTTATTTTATTTTATTTTATTTTTTTGAGACAGAGTCTTGCTCTGTCCCCAGGCTGGCGTGCAGTGGCACAATCTCGGTTCACTGCAACCTCCACCTCCCAAATTTAAACAATTCTCATTCCTGAGCCTCCCCAGTAGCTGGGATTACAGGCTTCTGCCACCAGGTCTGGCTAATTTTTGTATTTTTAGTAGAGACAGAGTTTCACCATTTTGGACAGGCTGGTCTCGAATTCCTGACCTCAGGTATCCACCCGCCTTGGCCTCCCAAAGTGCTGGGATTACAGGCGTGAGCCACCACACCCGGCCTGCTTTATTTTTTAATAGAGACGAGGTCTCCCCATGTTGGCCAGGTTGGTCTTGAACTCTTGGCTTCAAGCAATCCCCCCACCTCAGCCTCTCAAAGGGCTAGGATTACAGGCGTCAGACACCACGCCCAGCTATTCTGCAAATTAAATGAGATATTTCTGTGCAATTCTTAGCATAACACCTGCCTGGCACACCATAAGAACACAAGAAAAGCTGTCGTTATTATTATTACTACCTAGCTAAGTACTAGGCACATAATAGGTGCTAACTTTAACTTAAAAATAATAGTTTATTACTACATCAACACTTGATAGTCTTATTTCAATAACAAATGTTTCTTGACTACAACAACATTCACTGATCATTTCTTGTGGCTTAAAACTCTCCCAAACTTACCAATATTAGTGGCACCAGCATCCAGACTGTTTCCTACTATCTTCTTCACCGCAGTGCTTAGACTCAGTACCACCGGCCCAGAGCAAATCTGATGGACTGACTTCCGATCAATAGGTTTGATGGCCTTAGCAGGTTCTGTACTAAAGAAATCAGTTACAAGAAACAAAGCAAGTATTCAGCTATATATTTTCATCCTGATTTTAACTGTGGGAAATGACTCAACACTGCAAATAGTTTATGGGTCTAATCTATTCATTTATTATATTAACAAATACATTTATTATATCCAGAAATGGAAACATTGTTTTACAATCCTTAAACAAGTACCCAAAATACTTCTGGATAGACACTTCAAATTCAACACATCCTTACTATCTAGTATCCACATGGAGAAAACATACATTGTATCTCTCAAATTACCAAAATCTTTGGCAATAATGGTGTCTTCTTTCTTGAAAACTGAAAGCATGGCCGGTGCGGTGGCTCATGCCTGTAATCCCAGCAATTTGGGACACAGAGGCAGGTGGATCACTTGAGATCAGGAGTTTGAGACCAGCCTGGCCAACGTCGTGAAACCCTGTCTCTACCAAAAATACAAAAAATTAGCCAGGCATGGTGGTGGGCGCCTGTAATCCCAGCTACTTGGGAGGCTGAGGCAGAAGAATCACTTAAACCTGGGAGGCGGAGGTTGCAGTGAGCTGAGATTGCAGCATTGCACCCTAGGCTGGGCAATGAGCAAAAAAAAAAAGTAAAAGCAACATAATTTCCCACATAATTAGAAAAACCAACAGTATGCTGGGAAATACACAATGTTTAAGTCAAAATCATCTCAGAAATTGGATACCAGTTATATAACTATTCCTTATACACAGTTGCCTTTGATACCCTACTCCAAATTGAAGCTGCCAGCTGCTGTCTTAGCAAAGACCCTCAAAGTTCTTGCTGTACTTGTTTTAAGAGGTTTTTTTTTTTTTTTTTTTTTTTGAGACGGATTCTTGCTCTGTCGCCCTGTCGCCCAGGCTGGAGTGCAGTGGCACGATCTTAGCTCACTGCAAGCTCTGCCTCCCGGGTTCACACCATTCTCCTGCCTCAGCCTCCTGAGTGGCTGGGACTACAGGCGCCCACCACCATGCCCAGCTAATTTTTTGTATTTTTAGTAGAGACAGGGTTCCACCGTTTTAGCCAGGATGGTCTCGATCTCCTGACTTCGTGATCCGCCCGCCTCAGCCTCCCAAAGTGCTGGGATTACAGGCGTGAGCCACCATGCCCAGCCCACTTTAAGAGTTTTATAACGGTTTCATTTCCCCTTATTCCCTGCTCCAACCCATCCTCCACTCTATCACCAGAGCTATTTTTGAAATCACGAATCTGGTCAAATAATTTTTCTGCTTGAAAAATTACTAGTGCCCCACTTCCTACTATATGAAACTTAAAATCTAGTCATCACTGGGCCCCAAACTACCTTCTTTTCAGAATCTCTCTGATCCTTTCCCTTCATCAAGTCCCCTACATTATTATTATTATTATTATTATTATTATTATTATTATTATTATTATTATTTGAGACAGAGTCTCACCCTGTCACCTGGGCTAGAGTGCAATGGCATGATCTCGGCTCACTGCAACCTCCACCTCCCAAGTTCAAGTGATTCTCCTGTCTCAGCCTCCCAAGTTGCTGGGATTATAGGCATCCACCATTACACTCAGCTAATTTTTGTGTTTTTAGTAGAGATGGGGTTTCACCATGTTGGCCAGGCTGGTTTCTAACTCCTGACCTCAGGTGATCTGCCCGCCTTGGCCTTCCAAAGCACTAGGATTACAGGTGTGAGCCACCGCAACTGGCCGTCCCCTATATTGCAGCACAGTGAACAACTGTTTCCTGAACATCACAAGCTCTCTTAGACACTACAGTGTATAAGCAGGTCTCTGTCTAAACTGCTCTCCTCTTGCCCCTCTGCCCAACCAATGTCTGCTCATCCAAAGAATGTATCCCGTGTGTTCATTAACTTAGCAAGTTCCCAGTAAACAGTTTAATTGATCACTCGTTAAGAGAAGGCGGGAAACCTCCATGAAAAGAGAAATCAGTGGGTATTTCCTACAGCATTTAACACATCGTAGGCCTTCAATAAACCCTTGTGAAATAAACAAACCTCTTTACTCTTCATTCTATGTTGCTAAGAATCTCACCTAAGTCTGTCTACCATGTGAAACTGCAGATGACCTCACAGAAAATGGAAAGAAGTATCTCTAAAAATAAGTTTATTTGGCAACACACTACAGGCTACAGGTTCACTTCTGATTTTTTTTCTTTTTTTTTTTTGAGATGGAGTCTTGCTGTGTTTACCCAAGACATGTTTTAGACTGTAAATTGGAGGCTGAAAAACATCATAACATCACTTTTGCCCTACTCAATGACTATCCTGTTACTAAGGTTGGGCCAAAATTAAAGGGGGGGTCATAGGCCCCCACCTCTTTTTTTATTTTCAGACAGGGTCTCCCTCCGCTGTCCAGGCTGGAGTGCAGGGGCGCAATCATAGCTCACTGCAGCCTTGACCTCCCAGGCTCAAGCAATCCTCCTGCTTCAGCCTCCCAAGTAGCTGGGACATGGGCATGCATCATCACAGCTGGCTAATTAAAAACATTTTTTTTGTTGAGACGGAGTCTCGCTCTGTTGTCCAGGCTGGAGTGGAGTGGTGCGCTCTCGGCTCACTGCAACCTCTGCCTCCTGGGTTCAAGCAATTCTCCTGCCTCAGCCTCCTGAGTACCTGGGATTACAGGTGCCCAACACCACACCTGGCTAATTTTTTGTATTTTAGTAGAGACAGGATTTCACCATGTTGCCCAGGCTGGTCTCAAACTCCTCAGCTCAGGCAACCCGCCTGCCTTGGCCTCCCAAAGTGCTAGGATTACAGGCATGAGTGACCATGCCCAGCCTAAAAACTTTTTTTTAAGGGATGGGATCTTGCTAGGCTGCCCAGGCTGGTCTTGAAGTCCTGGCCTCAAGCAATCCTCCCACCTTGGCCTCCCAAAGTTCTAGGATTACAGGCGTGAGCCACCATGCCTGGCTGATCCTCACCTATTTTTTTGTTGTTGTTTGAGACAGGGTCTATCTCCATCTCCTCGGCTGGAGTGCAGTGGCTTGATCATGGCTCACTCCAGCCTCAACCTCCTGGGCTCAAGCAATGCTACCACTTCAGCCTCCCGAGTGGCTGCGACTACAGGTGTGCACCAGCACACCCTGCTAATTTGTGTATTTTTTGTAGAGATGAGGTCTTGCTATGTTGCCCAGGCTAGTTTCAAACTCCTGGCCTCAGTCAATCCTCCCACCTTGGCCTCCCAAAGTGCTGGGATTATAGGTGTGAGCCACCACCTCTGGCCAGCTCCCACCTGTTGATCAAAGGAGCATCAAAGAATTTGCAGCCTCCAGAAGGAGGTCATTTCCTGCCTCTGAGTCTCAGTTTCCACATCTATGAAATAAAGTTAATGATCCTTCACTCCAGGGTTGTCGTGAAGGCTAAATTAAGTTGTATTTGGAAAAATATGTGGGGCACAGTAGGTGTGTTTCTCACACCCAGAGTCAGAGTGTTTAGCAGAGGGTTAGTAGTTGCCTCCAGGGCATGAAGGGCTCTTCCTGACCCTAAGTGTGAGGAACGCTTTGGGTTAAAAGATTGTACTTTTCTGCGTTCAGCTGAAAGGTGGAGGGCTCAGTGAGGTGGCTCACACCTGTAATTCCAATGCTTTGGGAGGCCGAGGTGGGAGGATCACTTGAGCCCAGGAGTTTGAGAGCAGCTTAAACAACACAGTAAGACCTTGTTTCTACACACACACACACACACACACACACACACACACACACAATTAGCCAGGCGTGGTGGCATGCGCCTGTAGTTCCAGCTACTTGGGAGGCTGAGGTGGGTGGATTGCTTGAGGCAAGGAGTTTGAGACAAGCCTGGTCAACATAGTGACACCCCATCATCCCCCAAAATCATTTTTCTTTGTTTTAAGGCAGAGCCTCACTCTATTGCCCAGGCTGGAGTGCAGTGGTGTGATCTCACCTCCTTGCAACCTCTGCCTCCCGGGTTCAAGCGATTCTTGTGTCTCAGCCTCCTGAGTAGCTAGGATTACAGGTGTGCACCACCATGCCTGGCTAATTTTTGTATTTTTAGCGGAGATGGGGTTTCGCCGTGTTGGTCAGGCTGGTCTTCAACTCCTGGCCTCAAGTGATCCGTCTGCCTTGGCCTCCCAAAGTGCTGGGATTACAGGTGTGAGCCACTGTGCCCAGCCACAATAAATCATTTTTTAAAGGTTAAATTTAACCTCATTTAAGTAATACATATAAGTCTCATCGAATAATTGAAGCCAGTTTGTGAGGTAAAGTCTATTATTATGTGCATTTTAATTCTTAGCGTTTAACTAAAGCCTCATAAGTACAAATAAAAACAGGACTTGCTATAACAGGTTGCCACCTATTTTCTTTAAAGATGACGAGCAGCATCTTATTTGCGTTAACACAAGTCATCCACATAACAAATATAGATAAGAAAAGTGGCCAGGTGTGGTGGCTCATGCCTCTAATCCTAGTACTTTGGGAGGCCGAGGCAGACAGATCACTTGAGGTCAGGAGTTCGAGACCAGCCTGGGCAATATGGTGAAACCCCATCTCTATCAAAAATACAAATATTAGCCCGGCATGGTGGTGGGCGCCTGTAATCCCAGCTACTTGGGAGGCTGAGGCAGGAGAATTGCTTGAACCTGGAAGGCGAAGTTTGCAGTGAGCCAAGATCATGCCACTGCACTCCAGCCTGGGTGACAGAGCGAGACTCTGTCTCGAAAAAAGAAAAAAGAAAAGAAAAGTAAGGCACTTAGAGGGTAAGTGGCTTCACTCGGTATTAAGTAGGGGAGTGTGGATTTGAGCCAAGCTGTGGGTTCAAACCACATCAACACCTGCTATGCCTGACTGCGTCTCCACGCTGCTGGGAAGGTTGACTGAATCTGCCACTACCTCCCTGGGGTGCATGTGCTTACCAAACCATTGCATTATGTAAAAGGCGGTACTGTAGGTTTTTAGTTTTTTAATTTTTATTTTTTTGAGATAGAGTCTCACTCTGTCACCCAGGCTGGAGTGTAGTGGCATGATCTTGGCTGACTGCAATCTCTGCCTTCCGGGTTCAAGCGATTCTCTTGCCTCAGCCTCCTGAGTAGCTGGGACTACAGGCCCACACCACCACGCCTGGCTAATTTTTGTATTTTTAGTAGAGACAGGGTTTCACCATGTTGGACATCATGGTCTCGGTCTCTTGGGCTCATTATCTGCCTGCCTCGGCCTCCCGAAGTGCTGGCATTACAGGTGTGAGCCACCGTGCCTGGCCTCTAGTGACCTCATTTTAACTTGATCACCTCTGTAAAGACTCTGGTTCCAATAAGGTCACCTCTAAGGTCTGGAGGGTCATGGCTTCAATACATGAATTAGGGGTGGGGGGCACACCATGCAGCCCATAATACTAGCGTATCTGGTTATGTTAAACTTGCTATAGCCACAGTCTCGCTGACTTGGATTATGGTGCCATGGGAAGGGCCCTTAAAGATCATCTTATCTGGTTGGGCTCAATGGCTCACGCGTGTAATTCCAGCACTTTGAGAGGCCAAGGCAAGAGGATCGCTTGTGACCAAGAGTTCAAGACCAGTCTGGGCAACAGAGCAAGATGCTATATCTACTACAGGCATGCACCTGTAGTCTCAGCTACTTGGGAGGCTGAGAGAAGAGGATTGCTTGAGCCCAGGAGGCAACAGAGAGCTGATTGTACCACTGCACCCCAGCCAAGGCAACAGAGACCTTGTCTCTAAAAAACAAAAACAGGCCGGGTGCAGTGTCTTATGCCTGTATTCCCAGCACTTTGAGAGGCAGAGGCGGGTGGATCATTTGAAGTCAGGTGTTCAAGACCAGCCTGGCAAACATGACGAAACCCTAAAATACAAAAATTAGCCGGGAGTGGTGGTGGGTGCCTGTAATCTCAGCTACTCGGGAGGCTGAGGCAGGAGAATCGCTTGAACCTGGGAGGCAGAGGTTGCAGTGAGCCGAGATGGAGCCACTGCACTGCAGCCTGGGTGACAAGAGCGAAACTCTGTCTCAAAATATTAGGAAAAAAAAAGAGAGAGAGCCTCTTTTCCATCTCCCCGCCACAGAGTTGTCTTCAGTAATTTCATTCCCTTTTTTCCTGAGGATTCACTGGGTTTCTGGGTCCCAGAGGGGAAGTTCTCTTCAAGGTACAGAAACCACGACTCCGCAGAGAACCGCAGAGAACCGCAGAGATGGCAGCATGACCAGACCACGGACAGGTGTGTAGAAGCTGCTGGGCTGAAACTTGGGCTGAACTTCCGCTGCAGGTTGACTTATTCCCATCAGCACCAAAGCCGCTGGAGGGGGTCATCCACTAGCAAATGAAGTGGGGGCACGGATTGGAGGCTGTTTCAGAAGGTCCCACTGAGCCACGGACTCAAGGCCTGGCCACAGCCCTCCCAAGCGAGGCCCAGATCATATTTCACCACGCTCAGAAAACCTTGCCAGCTCATTTCAGTCCACAGTGACTTTGCTTTCTTTAGGATCTCTCTTGCACTGCCCAACTCAGAGAATTTCAAATCTGAATGGATTCCAATGATGGAGCTAAATCAGGCCTCACCTCAGTTTTTTAATTACAATCAATAGGGCTGGGTCCCAGCATCTGTGTCTTAATGTTCCTCCATGTGATCCTCATGCTGAAAGGCTGGTATTTGAAAATCCCTTTTTTTGGGGAGTGAAGGGTTTTTTTAGAGACAGGCCTCACTCTGATGCCCAGCCTGGAATGCAGTGGTGGATCACAGCTCACTGCAGCCTCGAACTCCTGGCCGCAAGAAATCCTCCCACCTTAGCCAACCAAAGTGTTGGGATTGCAGGAGTGACCACTGTGTCCAGCCAGGAAAGCCCTTCTGTTTCACTTGAATGATATTTCTGCCGCAGACCTACAGCCATTGTTGTATTAAACGGCATCATTGCAGGAAAAGAAAAGGTGAGAGGTGACTGTTTTGCTTTTTTCTGAACATATCAGACCAAACCTGGGCTGTCTGGCACTTTTTTTTTTTTTTTTTTTTTTGAGTCGGAGTCTCACTCTGTCGCCCAGGCTGGAGTGTAGTGTCGTGATCTCGGCTCACTGGAACCTCCACCTTCCCGGTTCAAGTGATTCTCCTGCCTCAGCCCCACAAGTAGCTGGGATTACAGAAGTGCACTCCCACGCCCAGCTCATTGTTTCTGTATTTTTACAGAAAAACAGACAGGTTTCACCATGTTGGCCAGGCTGATCTCAACCTCCTCACCTCTGGTTATCTGTCGGCATCAGCTTCCAAAAGTGCTGGGATTACAAGTGTGAGCCGCCGCACCTGGTTTGCCCATTTTTTGACAATGTATCAACATCATCTAAGATGGGCACTGCCTCAGTGTAGTGTGTCTAGACAAGGTGGCCGGAACAGAGAGGAATATGCATACCAGGCTTAAAGACGGGTTAAATCAGAGCTTTTCATTCCACAAAAGAGCAATTTTAATGAGGTCAGAACATGGATGTTCTAATATTTGAAAGCCTGTTAACTAGGAGAGAGAGTAAAGTGATTTGTTGTAGGAGGACACACCCAGCTCTGACGGTTTAAAGCGTCATGAATGCAAATTTGAACTCCAGAAAAGCAGAGCTTCCTAACAATGGGACTTCCACAGCAATGGGATTTCCTTCCGCATTCAGTTTGTGCCTTTCCCATGAGCGAGAGACTCCTAGGAGAGCCGCAGCCCGTTAGGAAGCCATGTGGGAACTCATCCACAGGTTCTTTTTGTTTGTTTGTTTGTTTTTTTTGAGATGTAGTTTTGCTCTTGTTGCCCAGGCTGGAGTGCAATGGTGTGACCTTGGCTCACTGCAACCTCCGCCTCCCAAGTTTAAGCCATTCTGCTGTCCCCGCCTCCTGAGTGGCTGGGATTACAGGCACCCACCACCATGCCTGACTAATTTTTTGTATTTTTAGAAGAGATGGGGTTTCACCATGTTGGCCAGGCTGCTCTTAAACTCCTGACCTCAAGCGATCCACCTGCTATGGCCTCCCAAAGCGCTGGGATTACAGGCGTGAGCCACTGTGCCTGGCCGGAACCCACAGGTTCTTTGGATGGTCTCTGAATGTCATGAAACTCTTTTATATTTAATTAAAAAATTTTTTTTGACACAAGGTCTTGCTGTGTTGCCCAGACTGGAGTGCGGTGTCACGATCACAGCTCACTGCAGCCCCTAACTCCTAGGCTCAAGCAATCCTCCTGCCACCTCAGTCTCTCAAGTTGTTGGAACACAGGTGCCAGCCACGACACCTGGCTAATTTTGTTTTGTTTTGTTTTGTTTTGTTTTAGAGATGGGCTCTTGCTATGTTGCCTATACTGGTCTTGAACTGCTGGCCTCAGGCAGTCTTCCTCCCTTGGCCACCCAAAGAGATGGGATTACAAGCATGAGCCACTGTGCACAGCTGAGATTTTTCGACTTAGTCTTTTTGTACACCCAGTATCTTATAGAATATCCGTAATATAGATTCATAAATAAACCATTTCCTTCAATGGTATAAATAAATAAACCACTGCTATAAATGGTGGAATTTTCTGAGTTAAGAGCAATACATATGATACAAAACTTGATATATAGAGTTTCTTAGCCAAACTGGAGGGGCTGGCTTTAGGTGATCCGTGGACTCCCTGAAATTGGGGACACCATTGGAAATATGTGTGAACTCATGGGCAGTTTCCTATGATTTCCAGTCCTCAAAGTATCTCTTGGACTCAAAGATGCCTTAGGGCAGAGGACGCGTGTACCCCCAGTACAGAATCTCGGACAGTGAATGTCAGTAGACATTCGGCAGAAAACCTCTGCCAAATTGAGTGCTCTGATGTGACTTTTTCATCAAGTCAATGTTCCTGGGATCTCTTGTACATGATAATCTCACTCTTGTAAGGTTTCATCGTTTCTGCTTACCCTACTTTTCTTTCCCATCCTGATCCCTCTCCCACCAGACTGGACTCTGAAACGGGCATGTACAGAGAAGAGGAGACCCCAACACGCTTCAAGCTTTGAGTGGAGAGGACACAGCCTCTGCTGGGACAGGGAACAGAGGGATGCGGAGACCCTGAAGATGCTTTTGGACAGTGGTCTGAGGTTGGGACAGTGGCAGGAGATACCATTCACCCAGGATCTCCAGGACAAGAGATCAGCCTGGCAGTTACATGTGTTTTTTTTCAAACTGGTTGCCAGGTTGGCATGAGCGATGACATCAGAGATTCCGACCTTCCTGATTGGAGGGACCGGACTCTGTCGGCACCTGGGAGTTCAGTTGGACAACAGTAACTTCTCAGAGCTGTTCTCCACTCCTGACTTCTCCCAGCCTCGAGAATTGATAACACACTCTTCTGGATCCCAGCAGTGTCCAGAAGAAGACCAAGGACAGAACAGAGACTAGGTTTGGTGAGATGGGACAGATTTTGGGAAAGATCATGATGAGCCATCAACCGCAGCCCCAGGAAGAGCGGAGCCCCCAGCGGAGCACCTCAGGGTACCCCCTCCAGGAGGTGGTGGATGATGAAGTGTTGGGACCATCAGGTGAGGGGACTGGAGAAAGAAGAGGTGGCATAGGATTGACTAAGATGAAGGAAGGGGGCCAGGCGTGGTGGCTCACCCCTGTAACCCCAACACTTTGGGAGGCTGAGGCGGGCAGATCACCTGAGGTCAGGAGTTCAAGACCAGCCTGGCCAACATGGTGAAACCCCATCTCTACTAAAAGTACAAAAATTAGCCAGGCGGTAGTGGTGTGTGCCTATAATCCCAGCTACTTGGGAGGCTAAGACAGGAGAATCACTTGAGCCTGGGAGGAAGAGGTTGCAGTGAGCCGAGATCGTGCTACTGCACTCCAGTCTGGGTGACAGAGTGAGATGCTATCTCAAAAAAAAAAAAGAAGAAAAAAAAAAAAAGAAGAAAAAAAAGAAGGGTCAGAGGTCAGGAAGGAGAACCTGGGGAGGGTGTGTGGGAAGAATGGAGAAATTCAGGCTGGGTGCAGTGGCTCACACTTGTAATCCCAGCACTTTGGGAAGCCAAGGCAGGCGGATCACTTGAGGCCAGGAGTTTGAGACCAGCCTGGCCAACATGGTGAAACCCTGTCTCTATTAAAAGTACAAAATGGAGCTGGGCATTATGGCAGGCACCTGTAATCCCAGCTACCTGAGAGGCTGAGGCAGGAGAATAACTGGAATCCGGGAGATGCATGTTGCAGTGAGCTGAGATTGCACCACTACACTCCAGCCTGGGTGACAAAGCAAGATTCTGTCTCGAAACAAAAAAAAAAAAAAAAAAAGAGGGACTCAGAGAGCCAGGGACCAGGGAAGGATATGAGGCAGTGTTCTGAGGACAGAGAGAGGGAAGAATGGGGAGGGGAAGGAGTGGCACATGGGGTTGAGCAGAGGAGAAAGTCAGAAAGGTGGCTTGGAGAAGCCAGCAGTCTGCGAGGCTGGGGAGGATGGAGAGTGGTTTGGGGTTTGGGGTCGGGGTCTAACGTGATCAGTTGCAGAAGCATTACACGGTGGCCTGGTTTCTTTACTCAGCCCCTGGGGTAGATCCCAGCCCCCCACGTAGGTCCCTTGGCTGGAAAAGGAAGAGGGAATGTTTGGATGAATCTGATGATGAGCCAGAGAAGGAGCTCGCCCCTGAGCCTGAGGAGACCTGGGTGGCGGAGACGCTGTGTGGCCTCAAGATGAAGGCGAAGCGACGGCGAGTGTCGCTCGTGCTCCCTGAGTACTACGAGGCCTTCAACAGGCTGCTTGGTAGGAGGACACCCCAGAGAGCACCTCCAATCCTGTTCTTTCTAAAGAGGAAACTTCCAATAACCACACTTTTCCAATGGGAAAAATATGCCCCAGTGGGTGAGCTCTCCATGCGGGAGGACTCTGAAGTGATCACTCATGAGGGACACTTAGGAGACAACAGAGGATTAGGTAGACTTGATAAAGGTCGGTGCTTGGGATAAGAAAGCTTGGTTTTGGGCCAGGCGCTGTGGCTCCCGCCTGAGATCCCAGCACGTTGGGAGGCTGAGGCAAGAGGATTGCTTGAACTCAGGACTTTGAGGCTGCAGTGAGCTATGACTGCACCACTGCACTCCAGCCTGGGTGACAGAGCAAAACTCTGCGTCAAAAGAAAAACCAAGGCTGGGCACAGTAGCTCATCCCTGTAGTTCCAGCTACTCGGGAGGCTGAGACAGGAGAACTGCTTAAACCCAGGAGGCAGAGGTTGCAGTGAGCCAAGATCAGGCCAATGCATTCCAGCCTGGCCCACAGAGCAAGACTCTGTCTCAAAATAAATTAATAAATAAATAAAAATAAAAATCAAATAAAGAAAAACAAAATCAAAAATCAAAAAAGTGGTTTCAGCTGTGCCCTCTGAAACTTAATGTTTCTTACTGACTTTTCTAAACCTAAGTGTTTCCATCCATAGTGAGGGATACCAAGGCCATGGTCACACCCTGATGTGTGACTGTCTCATGAGGAAATGATGGGAATTCCTTTATGACTCTGCAGTGGTCCCTCCGTGTCTGCTGGAGGGGGTCCTGGCTGATTCCCAGCTCTACATCCTGTAGATTCTCACACCCAGGGCCTCCTTCGGCCTCTTCTCAGGGGAGTCTCAGAGCAGGAGCCTCTCTCCCTTGCCCAGTGAAAGTCATTCTCCCCTCTCTCATCCACCTCACCCGCGGCCACAATCCTGAGACTTTCCCCCGGGAGGCACACTTCTCCTCGCTG
Organism: Homo sapiens; assembly: GCF_000001405.40. Lineage (NCBI taxonomy): Eukaryota > Metazoa > Chordata > Mammalia > Primates > Hominidae > Homo > Homo sapiens. Next base: position 75,339,451 of record NC_000007.14, read on the forward strand.
CCCTGCTGCTCTCACGGAAACCCTGTCCTGCTTCTCACACTGACATCTGCTCTCTAATCACAGAGGATCCTGTCATTAAAAGACTCCTGGCCTGGGACAAAGATCTGAGGGTGTCGGACAAGGTAAGGTTGTTCTCTATGTAACTGTGTTCCTGTTCTAACGCACGGCCAGGGGGAGGGCGCAGCTTCCAAACCCACAGTTCTCCGTCCACCACCTCCCACCAGATGCTCCTACAGTTTTTTTTTGTTTTTGTTTTTGTTTTTTTTTGTGAGACACAGTCTTGCTCTGCTGCCCAGGCTGGAGGGCAGTGTCTCGATCTTGACTCACTGCAGCTGATGCCTCCTGGGTTCAAGCGATTCTCCCACCTCAGCCTCCAAGCAGCTGGGATTACAAACATGAACCACCACGCCTGGCTAATTTTTGTGTTTTTAGTAGAGACGGGGTTTTGCCATGTTGGCCAGATTGGTCCCGAACACCTGACCTCAGGTGATCCACCCGCCTTGGCCTCCCAAAGTGCTGAGATTACAGACGTCAGCACTGTGTCTGACCAGCTCCCATGGTCTTGAGTCTTGGCACCCACACATTTTTTTTTCTGAGACAGAATCCAGCTCTGCTCCCCAGGATGGAGTACAGTGGCATGATCATAGCTCACTCTAATTCCTGGGCTCAAGCAATCCTCTTTCCTTAGCCTCCTGAGGAGCTGGGACTAGGCACATGCTACCATGCTCAACTAATTTTTGAAATCTTCTTAGAAACAGGGTCTCGCTGTGTTGCCCAGGTTGTTCTCCAACTGTTGGGCTCACATGATCCTCCTGTCTCCACCTCTCAAAAAGTACTGGGATCACAGGCTTGAGCTGCCACTCCCGGCTATTCTTTGTCTTTTTATGATTTGTCAGCATCTCCGTCAGGATTCTGCTGGTCTCTTGCAGAGTGAATGAGTGGCCCCTGCCTCTCCTATGGGTCCTTTGGGATCTGAGCCCTGGGCCACAGTCTGGCTGCAGCCCTGAAGCTCCTGGGCCCTCTACTCTCAGCTCCTTGGGACAGTTCTCTGCCTGGCACACAAAAGACCCTCCTGACACCAGCCGACCTAGACACACCCCCTCCAAAGATCCCATCGGAGCCCACCATCCTGGGAGCATCACCAAAAACCCTTCCTCCGGCTTCTCGGATTTGCATCCGACCTTCGAATACCCCTCCACCCCGCAATTTCCACATGAGCACAGTCACCCCAACACTGAGGTCCCTTCTCTGATGGGCAACCCCTCCCCAGACCCCCATTCCACTATATCCACAATCTTCCTCTCCCAAGATGTGACCTCTCCCTCTCTGTGTTCCTTTCTCTCCATCAGTATCTCCTGGCTATGGTCATAGCGTATTTCAGCCGGGCCGGCCTCCCCTCCTGGCAATACCAACGCATTCATTTCTTCCTGGCTCTGTGAGTGGTTTGCTGCCTCCTATCCGTCAATATCCAATGCCCTGGGACAGCGGGGGAAGTGGGATTCCAGCCTTTCATTTATTCTTTCACCTATTTGTCCTCTTTACTCTGTGTACAAAAAAGACAGGATTATAGTCTCAAAAAAAAAAAAAAAAAAAGAACAAAAAACAAAAGGAACCATGAACCGCTCCTAAGGGGAGAAGAAAAGGAGCGGAGGAGCGGACATGACACTTCCCCCAGCAAGCAGACGTTTCCGGTTGTTCTCTCTCCTTCCCACATCAACCGCAAAAGCCATCAGCCTCCTCCGGGTTCCCGTGACAGAGGTCACAGTCCAGGTCCCCCTTGCATCACTCGAATCCACTGTCAAATGCTCCCTGCTGGGGTTTCCTGGAGTCTCTCCCCAAGCCAGGGGGCTTCCTAGTGCAGCCTGAACATCTTTCCAAAGCACGACAACCTCACTGCCCACCTGAACAACTTCCTTAGCTGATGTCTTTCTCTATCGAGGCCAGGGTCCACAGTGCCAATTCCACCCTCTCTACAATCTCTACAACCACACTGGCTCGCCATCTTGGTGTTTCCTGGCTTGGCTTCACTGCTCCTTCCAAATGCCCTCCACTTGACTTTGCATTTGTGTTTTCTGTCTGGGTGTCCCGCACACATGTGGTTCTGAAGGGAAGGACCCATTCCTTGAAGTCGGTTCACCCCACAGCCTCTGTGATGCCTTCCCTCGTCTTCCAACTTCTGCATGCCCGTAGCTCTCCAGTTACATCCTATTATAATGTGACATTGGGATTAGGTCATCTCCCCTGATTACTCCCAGTCCCATTAGACTAGATGCCTGTAGAAGGCAGGGTCCTGGCAAAATATCAGTGTATTCAATTGCTTTTTTTTTTTTTTGAGACAGACTTGCCCTGTCCCCTAAGCTGGAGTGCAGTGGTGAGATCATAGCTCACCGCAGCCTCCATATCCTGGGCTCAAGCGATCCTCCCACCTCAGCCTCTTGATTAGCTCCGACTACAGGGCTGTACCACCACACCTGGACAGTTATTTATTTATTTATTTATTTATCAAGACAAGAGTGTTGCTGTGTCTCTCAGGCTGGAATGGAGGGGCCCAATCTTGGCTCACTGCAACCTCCGCCTCCTGGGTTCACACAATTCTTATGCTTCAGCCTCCTGAGTAGCTAGGACTAATGGGTGTGCCACCGCACCAGGCTGATTTTTGTATTTTTAGTATAGATGGGGTTTCTCTGTGTTGACCAGGCTGGTCTCAAACTCCTGGTCTCAAGCAATCCACCTGCTTCAGCCTTCCAAAGCGCTGGGATTACAGGCATGAGCCACCACGTCTGGCGTATTTTTTATATTTTTAATAGAGACGAGGGTCTTGCTATGTTGCCCAGGCCTGTCTCAAACTCCTGGCCTCAAGTGATCCTCCTGCTTCGGCCTCCCAGTGTGCTGGGATTCCAGGCATAAGCCACCACTCTTGGTCACCAGTTGGGTTTTTGTCTCCATCCTGAAGGAGTGGGAGACGCCCTTGATCAGGTCTCTGTCCAGCAGAGCCCTCCTGAGGAAGGCGTGGCTCTCTGCAGGGTGGGTGCCAGTCCTGAGCTAGGGACGGTCCCTTACCTTCCTCTCTGAGAAGCTGACCTCAGCCGGAGGTCTCTCCTGGTGGTGCCCCTGAGCAGCAACCTGATTTCTGTCCTCAGCTATCTGGCCAATGACATGGAGGAGGACGACGAGGCCCCCAAACAAAACATCTTCTACTTCCTGTACGAGGAGACCCGCTCTCATATACCCTTGCTCAGTGAGCTTTGGTTCCAGTTATGCCGTTACATGAACCCGAGGGCCAGGAAGAACTGCTCTCAGATAGCCTTGTTCCGGAAGTATCGGTTCCACTTCTTTTGTTCCATGCGCTGCAGGGCTTGGGTTTCCCTGGAGGAGTTGGAAGAGGTGGGTGGGGCCTGGGGACGTGGAGGATGTGGGGAGGAATCGGGTGGGCTGGAGGCTGGACGAGGGGAGAGAGGGGTATCCTGGGGAGTCCCCGTCTTCTCAAAGCGCGTTTGTTTTTCCAGATCCAGGCTTATGACCCAGAGCACTGGGTGTGGGCGCGAGATCGCGCCCACCTTTCCTAGAGCTCCAGGGACCGTGGAGGCCTGAGGTCATCGGCCTGAGAGAAGGTACATCTGCATCCTCCGGGGTAAAGGCAGAATATTGGGGTCTATTTCGGAAATCCAAGGAACCCAATTGCTTGATCTGGCTTCAAGCCTGGGCAACGTGGCGAGATCCCCTCTCCACAAAAATACAAAAATTAGCCAGGCGATGTGGGAGGCATCTCTACTCCCAACTACTCAGGAGGCTGAGGCGGGAGGATCGCTGGAGCCTGGGAGGTCGGGGCTGCAGGGAGCCCTGATCCTGCCACTGCACTCCAGCCCGGGCGACAGAGTGAGACCCTGCCTCAAAAATAATCATAAATACTGAGTTCGGGGAGGTTCATTATGATTGATGCACTTGAGTTACCGATTTGGGTCGAGGGTTCAGTGAAGCTTTGGTTTACATCTTGTGCAGCTAACCATGTTGAGCACAGAGCATGAGACTTCGTCATGAGGAGGGAGGATTATGGATTAGGCTTCTGGACTCGTGGTTCGTGATGTTGTCACGTTAGAAACAGATCTAGCACGGTTACAAGTTTAGATCTGAAGTGACACAAAAGGCCCCAGCTGTGATGAAGTCCAAAGCCACATTCTCTGAGGGTGCCCTACTCCCTGGGAAGACCCACCCAAAGTCCTGGCTATGAAGCAGATCACTGGGGCTGACCTTGGGTGTATTAAGTTTTGGAGTCAGGGTCACCAAAGTGTGAGTTTCACAGTTGAACACGATGGTTCAGAAGCAGGGTATAGAATGAAAGGCAGGAGATAAAATTGCACTTCTCAATTGCTCTGAACTCTAGCTAGACTTGACATGGGACGTGAATAACCTTCCTGTCTAGAGAGCTGCCTCCTTCAAGTGTGACATTGTCTCTCTCACTTCCAGAACACCGGACCCAGGGGAGATGTGGATTTTCAGCAGGAACTTTATTCCAATGCTAATGGCAGACATCAGGAAGGAGGAGAGGAACCATTTGTGCAGATCATCTAGAAGAACCTGGACCATTCTTGACAGAGCTGAATACAGTGATCACGTTGTCCTCCAAGGAGCAGGGGTGGGGTGGGGTACTTCTAGGAGTCCTTGGAGAAAAGTAAGAAACCAGGAGTGTTTCCAGTTCCACCCTTTCCTGCGGCACCACCTCCCTTTTTATATTGCTGAATGCCAACCTCCCTGGGGCGGAACCTGGAGGTCCTGTTTCTTATGGACTTGGTTGCCACAGTCCAGGAGCATTTGAAGGCACAGTGCAGGGGCTCAGATTGGCACAGAATTCTTTGTGAAATATGAGTGCCACAGACTGTAACAGATAGCTTCATGCACACTATGCATTTTATTGGTTTGTTTGGAAAATGTTGGCCATTGAATTATTAATAGGTTTATTTCAAATAGTTTGGAAATTGTTGTACTTTTGAAAACATGCTGTTCCTGTAGAGTTTTTTGATGAGAGTTATAGTTGTTATATATACCTAAAGATAATTTTCTTTTCATTTTTAAGTGAGAATTCTTTTTATCCTAAATCTTTTATTATCTTTAATTTTTTTTCTGTATTATTATATGTGCTCCTGAAGCGAGCACTCTTTTTATCTATGATACTTCCATAATAATCTCTTCTATTTATAGCTATTGGTAGTTCCCCACCAGAAAAAAACATAATTCTGGTGATAGAAATTTTTATTTGCTGTTTAGGTTTGTGACTGACTTGTGAGAATTCAGTTGTGATTTTTAACATGTCTCAGATATATATACTAACACGTCTAATATATACTATCTATTTTATTGGTTTATTTTGAAAAACATGGGTATAGAATTATTTAAATATTATTTTATTTACTGAAATATTTATTAAATATATTTATTTATTTAAATATTATTATTACTTTAAATATTATTTTAAATATTTTGGAAATACTGGTATTTTTGAATAGATGCTGTTTCTATAAAGCTGTGTGATGGGTATTATAACTGTTGTATACACATACATATAATTTTGTTTTCCTTTTTAAGAGAGGATTCTTTTCATCCTAAATCTTTTACCTTTCAATCTTTGTATCTATTATTACACGTGCTGCTGAAGGGAGCATGGTTTTTATCTATGATACTTAGTTAACATATATATTACATTTATAGCTATGTGGTAGTTCCCCTAAATTCTTGTAAAAATAAATTTTTATTTGATATTTAGTGTATGTTTGAAATGTGAGAATTCAGATGGAATTTTTTATCTTGTTTTGGCATGTTTGTATGTTACTTTAAAGAGGATGTGTGTTCTAAAGGAGGACATGAGCTGTGTGTTTTCAAGAGAACAGTGCAGTGCATCTCTTGGGGAAACATAATAAAGATGAACTTTTCTCACCTTCACAGTGAGTGTGATCATATTGTGGTCTGGATTGATTATTTGCTGTCAAGTGACATTTTTCCTTAATGGGGTTGTGGTTATTTGAACATATTTATTAGCTTTGGAAGATAATCCTGTGCTGTTTTTTATGTAGAAAAAAACATACGGCTGGGTGCAGTGCTCACACCTACAATCCCAGCAGTTTTGGAGGTCATGGCGGGAGGATCACTTGAAGCCTATTTTTAATTTTTATTTTTTAAAGAAAAACAACAGAAGAGAAGGCTGATCCCAAGCTACAGGGTTTTTTTGTTTGTTTGTTTGTTTGTTTGTTTTGGAGACAGTCTCGCTCTGTCTCCCAGGCTGGAGTGCAGTGGCACAACCTCGGCTCCCTGCAACTTTCACCTCCGCGTTCAAGCAAATTCTCCTGCCTCAGCCTCCCAAGTAGCTGGGACTACAGGCATCCGCCTGTACGTCTGACTAACTTTTGTAAAAATAGTAGAGACAAGGTTTCACCATGTTGGCCAGGCTGGTCTCAAACTCCTGACCTCAAGTGATCCACCCGCCTCAGTCTCCCAAAGTGCTGGGATTATAGGCATGAGCTACTGTGCCCAGACCCCAAGCTAGAGTTTTAAAGCAGGAAATGAGAGAAAGATATTGAGAGAGGAAAACCAGGTGGTAAGAAAACTCTAAAGGTGGCTGGGCGTGGTGGCTCACGCCTGTGATCCCAGCAGGAGTTCGAGACCAGGCAGGAGAATCACTAGCAGAGAATATGTCTCCCCAACCCCTCTCAAAAAAAAAAAAAAAGTCCAGGCGCGGTGGCTCAGGACTGTAATCCCAGCACTTTGGGAGGCTGAGGTGGGTGGATCATGAGGTCAGGAGATCAAGACCATCCTGGCTAATACGGTGAAACCCCATCTCTGCTAAAAATACAAAAAATTAGCTGGGCGCGGTGGCAGGCGCCTGTAGTCCCAGCTACTCCGGAGGCTGAGGCAGGAGAATGGTGTGAACCCAGGAGGCGGAGCCTGCAGTGAGCAGAGATCGCGCCACTGCACTCCAGCCTGGGTGAAAGCGCGAGACTCCATCACAAAAGAAAAAAAAAAAAAGAAAGTTCCTGCAACAGTTCAAGCTGTGAAAGACAGGCACTCTGCCATGCAATTCTTTGTGATTTTTCTTTTTTATTTTTGGAGTCGGGGTCTTGTGCTGTCACCCAGACTGGGGTGCAGTGGTGCGGTCATAGCTCACTGTGGGCTCAGACTCAAGCTCAAGCAATCTTCTTATCTTGCCTTTCTAATTGCTGGGATTATAAGCATGAGCCACTGCACCTGGCCTGTGTGACGTAATTCTGATGTCAACTCCCTGATGTTACATCAAATGCCACAGGTTAAGGCCACCAGCCCCCGCTAGGCTGCCCTCGCTTCAGATGCAGCTGCAAGCTTGGGTGTCCACAGACCGCATGTACTTCTCACCAACTGGCTGCAAATTTGGAGGTTCCCACCACGTCCTCAGGTTTGATAATTCACCATAACAACCCACAGAACTCTGAAAAGCATGATACTTTCTCTTTCTTTATTTGAGACAGAGTCTTGCTCTGTCACCCAGGCTGGAGTGCAGTGGCCACCATGCTTGGCTAATTTTAGTATTTGTATTAGAGACAGGGTTTCGCCATGTGGGCCAGGCTGGTCTTGAACTCCTGACCTCAGGTGATCCACCCACCTTGGCCTCCCAAAGTGCTGGGATTACAGGCATAGCCACTGTGCCTGGCTGACTTCTAGAGTTTCAATAACAGAGATGTGGTTCAAGAAGAAAAGGGAGACATGTTTTGTAGACAGCAGGAGCTTCATGAAAAGAAGCCAATGAAGGGCAGGATGTGTAGCTGTCTACCTACAGGAAACCAGCCAGGAGCCTCCCCACAGGGACTTCAGCACAGATGGCCGGGAAAATCTGCATTCACCTGAGCTCTGGACCTAAGAGAGGACAAGGCCTTGACTGTTTCTACAGACTCACAAGATGCAATCTCTGCGGTCCATGCCCGTGGTGTGATCTGGGAAACAGGGGGCCTTCTAAATGCCAACAACAAGGAAATCAAATGTGCAACAGACAGAAATATCGGCATTGACACGGGCCATGGAGAGGCCTAAACAGATGACTGCAGTCCACTGCCAAGGTCATCAAAGGGGTGACTCTGAAATAAGAAATTTCAGACGCCACGGCCCAAATAGCTGCACGAGGTGGGGAAGTCCTCCACATGCCTCTGCTTCCTTCAGTACCTCTTCATGAAATAAGCCGAGGTACTTCCCTGGGGAATTTCCTTTCTCTTTCTTTCTTTCGAGACGGAGTCTTGCTCTGTCGCCCAGGCTAGAGTGCAGTGGCGCGATCTCGGCTCACTGCAACCTCTCCCTCCCGGGTTTTGGCAATTCTTCTGTCTCAGACTTCTGAGTAGCTGAGATTACAGGTGTGTGCCACCATGCCCAGCTAATATTTGTATTTTTACTCGAGACAGGGTTTCACCATCTAGGCCAGGCTGGTCTTGAACTCCTGACCTCATGATCCACCCATCTTGGCCTCCCAAAGTCCTGGGATTACAGGCACGAGCCACCACACCCAGACTTCTTTTTTTATTTTTTGAGATGAAGTTTCGCTCTTGTTGCCCAGGCTGGAGTGCAATGGCGAGATCTCAGCTCACTGCCACCTCCTCCTCCTCCCAGGTTCAAGTGATTATCCTGCCTCAGCCTCCCGAGTAGCTGGGATTACAGGCACCCAACACCAAACCCCGCTGACTTTTTGTATTTTTAGTAGAGATGGAATGTCACCATGTTGGCCAGGATGGTCTTGAACCCCTGACCTCTAATGATCTACCCGAATTGGTCTCCCAAAATGCTGGGATTACAGGCGTGAGCCACTGTGCCCAGCCCCTCCCATACCTCTTTTGGCCAAGGCAGTACAATTCAGAGAATCTTGCCAGGGAAGACTGGTAAATGGACATCAACATGATGCCTATGGCTCCTGGTGGATTTAGATACCTCCTGGTGCTTACTGATACCTTTACCAGTTACATGGGGGCTTTTCCATGCCAGACTGAAAATGCTGGAGATCACTGATCAACCTTCAACTATTTACTAGCAGAACACTGAGGGGACTCTGCAGTCACCAATATCTCCTATTGCACTTGGATAAACACCTCCCGGGAAATAGAGATGAATAGAAAGGAAATACTTAAACAAGCAGAATGGCTACATTCCTTCAACCAGAAGGGTCCATTAGTCTGTTTTCACACTGCTATAAAGAACTACTGGAAACTGGGGAATTTATGAAGAAAAGAGGTTTAATTGACTCACAGTTTTGCAGGCTGTACAGGAAGCATGGCTGGGGAGCCCTCAAGAAACTGACAATCACGGCAGAAGGCGAAGGGGAAGCAGGCACGTTTCTGGCCATGGTGGAGCAGGAGAGACAGAGAGAGTGAAGCAGGAGGTGCTGCATGCTTCTAAACAACCAGATCCCATGAGCGCTCACTCACTATCACGAGACCAGCAAGGGGGACGTCAGCCGCCATGAGCCAATCATCTCCCACCAGGTCCCTCCCTCAACACTGGGAATTGCAATTGGACATGAGATTTGGTTGGGGATACAGAGCTGAACCATATCAAGGGTAGTTCAACCACTGAGATTGATTGATTGACTGAGATGGGGTCCTGCTCTGTTACCTAGGCTGGAGTGCAGTGGCACAATCTCGGCTCACTGCAACCTCCGCCTCCCAGGTTCAAGCAATTCTCCTGCCTCAGCCTCCCTAGTAGCTGGGACTACAGCACACGCCACCACACCTGGCTAATTTTTGTATTTTCAGTAGAGACGGGGTTTCACCATGTTTGCCCGGCTGGTCTTGAACTCCTGACCTCGTGATCACCCTGCCTCGGCTCTTCTTTTGCTGGAATTACAGGCGTGAGCCACCGCACCCGGACAACCACTGAGATTTAGAAGGCAGTCGAGTCCACTATACCACACCTCACCTGGTTTCTTCCTCTGTTGGGGCCCCTCGTGGCCACTGTTCTGTTACTTTTTGGTCCTATTTATTTAAATGGATGGTGAGCTGTTTGTCCTCCAGGATCCAACACTTCCACCTTCAGCTTGTATTACAACAATACCAGCCTTTCAAGCTACTCCGGGTGACCCCAGAACTCATCTGAACTCAGAAGCCCAAGAGTTTCATTCCTCTCACTTTAGGGGACTAAGTGCCCCTGGTCAGCATGAAGTCGATACAGAAGCATGACCTCCATCCCTAATCCCTCAAGAATGAGGAGTGGAAGGTGTTGGCAGGAGGGTGGGACGCGGTTTGTAAATCTGTAACTGCATCAGACCAAATCTAGTTCAACTTTTTTTTTTTTTGATGGAGTTTCACTCTTGTCACCCAGGCTGGAGTGCAATGGCACGATCTCAGCTCACTGCAACCTCCACGTCCTAGGTTCAAGCATTCTGCTGCCTCAGCCTCTGGGGTAGCTGGGATTACAAGGGTGCGCCACCACGCCTGGCTAATATTTATATTTTTAGTAGAGACGGGGTTTCACCATTTTGGCCAGGCTGGTCTTGAACTCCTCGACCTCAGGTGATCCACCTGCCTTGGCCTCCCAAAGTGCTGGGATTACAGGCGTGAGTCACCGCACCCGAATCAGTTCAACTTTTATGTAATGAAGTTGTCAGTTGTTTTCCAATTGCCATCGACCTGCAGGTTGAAGGTCATGTACCCTGTGCATGCCCAGGTTAACCACGCGTGCCACCGTGGAGTGGAACCTAAGAGCTCAGCCTGAAGAGCCCGGACCGATTTAAGAACCAGACACCCCCAGGCAGGAGCCAGGATCCAATCAGATTGAGTTTTGGTGTCACCCCATGGCAGGATCCAGTCAGATCACACCTCCCAGCATTACTTTATTGCAAGATCCAATCAAATCACACCTCATTACCCTATGCTTATAAAACCTGACACAGCCCCCAGCTGTGTAAGGGAGATTTGAGTACTTCCTCCTGTGTTCTTGCTGGCTGACTTACAAAAAAGCTTTAAAAAAAAAAGCCAGGCGTGGTGGCTCACGCCTGTAATCCCAGCACTTTGGGAGGCTGAGGTGGGCAGATCACTTGAGGTCAGGGGTGCAAGACCAGCCTGGCCAACATGGTGAAACCCCATCTCTACTAAAAATACAAAAATTAGCTGGGTGTGGTGACACACACCTATAATCCCAGCTACTTGGGAGGCTGAGGTAGGAGAATCACTTGAACCCAGGAGGCGGAGGTTGCAGTGAGCCAAGATCACACCACTGCACTCCAGCCTGGGCGACAGAGTGAGAAGACTCCGTCTAAAAAAAAAAGTTAAAATTAGCACCAAACGCTTTACAAGTAAAAAAAGTTTTTAGCTGCATATGTTTAAGTAACTTTTTAGATTATAAGAAATACGCATGCAAAATGGAAAGGCACAAAGAAGAGAGCAAAAAGTGCATGAGATCTCACATCCAAGGATAACCGCTGAGAACATGGAAGTGCTGACTCTTCAGTCTTTATACTATACACATTTAGGCCTGTTTTGTTTTTATAAAACTGTAATCATATAATACAGACAGTTTTATAATCTGCTTTTTAAACACAACAATTATATAACATTTAGCTGTTTCATTTGCATTCAAATTCATAAGGGTTCCAGTAACTCATTTATCAGAAAACCAAGAGAAATATTCTCATAAAAATATAAGTACATAAGGTCAGGCATGGTGGCTCACGCCTGTAATCCCAGCACTTTGAGAGGCCGAGGTGGGCGGATCACCTGAGGGCAGGAATTCGAGACCAGCCTGGCCAGCCTGGACAACATGGTGGAACCCCGTCTCCACTGAAAATACAAAAATTAGCCGGGCGTGGTGGCGCGCGCCTGTAATGGTAGCTACTCAGAAGGCTGAAGCAGGAGAATCGCTTGAACTTGGCAGGTGGAGGTTGCAGTGAACTGAGATCGCGCCACTGCACTGCAGCCAGGGCGCCAAAGTGAGACTCCATCTCAAAAAAAGATAAAAATAAAAAATAAAAAAAATGTATATATATGTATATATATTTTTCCAGACAGGGTCTTACTCTGTCTCACAGTCTGAAGTGTAGTGACGCAATCGTAGCTCACTGCAGTCTCAAGTTCCTGGGCTCAGGTGATCCTCCCACTTCAGCCTCCCAAGTAGCTGGAACTACAGGTGCATGCCACCATGCCCAGTCAATTTTTTTTTTAATTTTTCATAGAGACAGACTCTCACTATGTTTCCCAGTCCTAATAAACATTATGTGATAAAAAGAAAAAAGTAAATCATCCTGAAGTTAAGTCTTTAATGAGAAATGCAAATAAAGCATTTCTCAATAAATTATGGGAAGAGAATCAACTGAAGAATAAACATCTTTAGTAAATCTTTTGCTCATGTGCATTAACCAATACTCTTGAAAACCAGGATTAATTTACTGTACCTTCTTAATATTCCTTTGAAATTCCTTATGGCGCACAGGTAGCGTAGAAAATAACTGCTTCACGCTGACTGTGGTCCCTCTGGGGTGGGGGTAGGGGGTTTTCTGGATGATTTTCCCATCGTGATCAAAAACACCAGTCGAGTCCCAACCTTCGCCGATACGTGGCAGGTAGAAATGGTGACATCACTGTGAGAGAATACCAGGCATGGTGTGTTCAGTGAGAGATCCATGATGTTGGGCACTGACTACTCTTTTCTTCACTTGCTTTTCTCTCAAAATTTTCTTAAAAAGCTGATGATCCCTCTGAGATAACCGAGATCTAAACGGTTGAGGAGTCATCACAAAATCTAAGGTCTGGCATCTAAAAGACAGTGAGACAGAGAGCACTAAACATGCTTTGTTTTGATAAAAGCTTTGACTTCATTTTTCAGGTTGAATTGCAAAACCATAAATGATCTCAAGATTTATTGATTCTCAAATAGAGATTTGTTTTGTTATTACTCTTCAAACAAAATTTTTTAAAAGAATTTTTTTAAAGAATTTTTTAAAATTTTTAAAATTTTTTTTAAAGAATCCAAAAGATATTATAATTAAAATGTATATGTAGGGCAGGGTACGGTGGCTCATGCCTGTAATTCCAGCACTTTGGGAGGCCAAGGAGGGCAGATCACTTGAGGCCTGGAGTTCCAGACCAGCCTGGGTAACATGGCAAAACCCCATCTCTACTAAAAATACAAAAATTAGCCAGGAGTGGTGGTGCACGCTATAGTCCCAGCTCTTCAGGAGGCTGAGTCACGAAAGTCACTTGAACCTGGGAGGCAGAGACTGCAGTGAGCTGAGACTGTGCCACTGCACTCCAGCCTGGGTGACAGAGTGCGACTCTGTCTAAAAAAAAAAAAAAATATATATATATATATATATATATATATGTATATATATGTATATATATATGTATATATATGTATATATGTATATATGTATATATATGTATATATGTATATATATGTATATATATATGTATATATGTATATATGTATATATATATGTATATATGTATATATATGTATATATATGTGTGTGTGCATGTAATTATTTATAAAAATTTAGTATCTGTGCTGTAATTAAATAGTGCTTTGGTGAAATGTTTCCCTAAAAATTGATAATGAAAACCAATGGTAACTATCATTTATTATCTATATGTTATGTTCAAATTGAGAAGTTACTGTTTTAATAAGGGTAACCAATTTTTTAAACAATACTATTTGCTTCATTTCATTCATTTATTGCTCACATTTCAGAAGTACTAGGACTTAGATTGGCAGTGAGACAAAACAGAATTCAGAAGCTAGAAGCTGAGATATTGAGATAGAAAATTGTAAATAATAATGATTCCAATTAATTTTCAGAGAGGTTTTTCTAAGGGGTCAAGTGAATGGATAAAAATATTTTATCACCTCAGTGCACAAAGTGAGCTCAGAGCTTTCCCCCGAAAGCCAAAAGTTTCAACCCGAGTTAGGTCGGCAAACTCTTGAATCTTAGATGTGTGATGTTTCAGAGCTGAAAGAGACTGTAAAGTAAGGACTAAGATATCTCAAGTGCTATAACAACAAATATACATGATATCTAGTAACTGGCTTTAGAAAACTGTTTTTGTGTTTCCCAAGACAGTGTTACTCAAAATTCTAAGACATGTGGCCCAATTATTTTGTAATAGGATTAGAAAGTTAACTTACTTAAGCCTTCGAAGTTTTCTTCTTCTACCCCACATCCATTGCCTGAAACTTCAATGAGATCCATTCCATAGTCCTTAAGCTTTAGATCTAGAAAGTTTAAAATATTTATATATTTATTAAAAATGGACCCACGCTATCAGTTTTTATATTGATATTATTTATAACGTGCAAATTTAAGTGTCGTAACTATACCTTTAGTTAAACATACTAGTGTCATTTTGTATATTTCATTTTTATAAAGTTCTTTCTGGCCATTTACTAGCCCAGATTAAATAGTTTAGCATTTTCTTTCTTTCCTCTTTTTTTTTTTTTTTTCCTTACACTAGTCAAGTGAAGCAGTTGGAGTGGAGAAGGAACAAAAAAATCTGTAACTGGTTGTGATCAATTAGTTGTAAAGACCGTTGCACTTTGACCAGCCTTTTCCTTTGAAAGAAATAATTTTAACATACCCAGTAAGGAGAACGGGGGCCGGGCGCAGTGGTTCATGCCTGTAATCCCAGCACTTTGGGAGACCAAAGCGAGCGGATCACCTGAGGTCAGTAGTTCGAGACCAGCCTGACCAACGTAGAGAAACTCTATCTCTACTAAAAATACAAAATTAGCCAGGCGTGGTGGTGCATGCCTGTAATCCCAGCTACTTGTGAGGCTGAGGCAGGAGAATCGCTTGAACCTGGGAGGTGGAGGTTGCAGTGAGTTGAGATCGTGCCATTGCACCGCAGCCTCGGCAACAAGAGCAAAACTCTATCTCAAAAAAAAAAAAAAAGAAAAAAAAAACAGAACTGGTTCTGGAATCAGACTTCCTAGATTCTATTTTATTAGCTTTATAATCTCAAAAAAAGGAAATTTACTGTCCCTTAATTTCCTCAACTGTAAAATGGAGGTAATAAGTTCTATCTCATAAAGTTATTTGGCAGATTAATAATTTTTTTTTAATTTTGTCATTTTCTTTTTTTTCTTTCCTTTTTTTTTTTTTTTTTTTAATTTTTTGAGATGGACTTTTGCTCTTGTCACCCAGGCTGGAATGCAGTGGCACAATCGATCTTGGCTCACTGCAACCTCCACCTCCCAGGTTTAAGCAATTCTCCTCCCTCAGCCTTCTGAGGAGCTGAGATTACAGCCATGCACCATCACATCTGGCTAATTTTTGTATTTTTAGTAGAGACAGGGTTTTACCACGTTGGTTAGGCTGGTCTTGAACTCCTGACCTCAAAGCATCAGCCCCCCTCAGCCTCCCAAAGTGCTGGGATTACAGATGTGAGCCACTACTCCAGGATTTATTTTATTTTATTTTATTTTATTTTTTTGAGACAGAGTCTTGCTCTGTCCCCAGGCTGGCGTGCAGTGGCACAATCTCGGTTCACTGCAACCTCCACCTCCCAAATTTAAACAATTCTCATTCCTGAGCCTCCCCAGTAGCTGGGATTACAGGCTTCTGCCACCAGGTCTGGCTAATTTTTGTATTTTTAGTAGAGACAGAGTTTCACCATTTTGGACAGGCTGGTCTCGAATTCCTGACCTCAGGTATCCACCCGCCTTGGCCTCCCAAAGTGCTGGGATTACAGGCGTGAGCCACCACACCCGGCCTGCTTTATTTTTTAATAGAGACGAGGTCTCCCCATGTTGGCCAGGTTGGTCTTGAACTCTTGGCTTCAAGCAATCCCCCCACCTCAGCCTCTCAAAGGGCTAGGATTACAGGCGTCAGACACCACGCCCAGCTATTCTGCAAATTAAATGAGATATTTCTGTGCAATTCTTAGCATAACACCTGCCTGGCACACCATAAGAACACAAGAAAAGCTGTCGTTATTATTATTACTACCTAGCTAAGTACTAGGCACATAATAGGTGCTAACTTTAACTTAAAAATAATAGTTTATTACTACATCAACACTTGATAGTCTTATTTCAATAACAAATGTTTCTTGACTACAACAACATTCACTGATCATTTCTTGTGGCTTAAAACTCTCCCAAACTTACCAATATTAGCGGCACCAGCATCCAGACTGTTTTCTACTATCTTCTTCACCGCAGTGCTTAGACTCAGTACCACCGGCCCAGAGCAAATCTGATGGACTGACTTCCGATCAATAGGTTTGATGGCCTTAGCAGGTTCTGTACTAAAGAAATCAGTTACAAGAAACAAAGCAAGTATTCAGCTATATATTTTCATCCTGATTTTAACTGTGGGAAATGACTCAACACTGCAAATAGTTTATGGGTCTAATCTATTCATTTATTATATTAACAAATACATTTATTATATCCAGAAATGGAAACATTGTTTTACAATCCTTAAACAAGTACCCAAAATACTTCTGGATAGACACTTCAAATTCAACACATCCTTACTATCTAGTATCCACATGGAGAAAACATACATTGTATCTCTCAAATTACCAAAATCTTTAGCAATAATGGTGTCTTCTTTCTTGAAAACTGAAAGCATGGCCGGTGCGGTGGCTCATGCCTGTAATCCCAGCAATTTGGGACACAGAGGCAGGTGGATCACTTGAGATCAGGAGTTTGAGACCAGCCTGGCCAACGTCGTGAAACCCTGTCTCTACCAAAAATACAAAAAATTAGCCAGGCATGGTGGTGGGCGCCTGTAATCCCAGCTACTTGGGAGGCTGAGGCAGAAGAATCACTTAAACCTGGGAGGCGGAGGTTGCAGTGAGCTGAGATTGCAGCATTGCACCCTAGGCTGGGCAATGAGCAAAAAAAAAAGTAAAAGCAACATAATTTCCCACATAATTAGAAAAACCAACAGTATGCTGGGAAATACACAATGTTTAAGTCAAAATCATCTCAGAAATTGGATACCAGTTATATAACTATTCCTTATACACAGTTGCCTTTGATACCCTACTCCAAATTGAAGCTGCCAGCTGCTGTCTTAGCAAAGACCCTCAAAGTTCTTGCTGTACTTGTTTTAAGAGGTTTTTTTTTTTTTTTTTTTTTTTTTTGAGACGGATTCTTGCTCTGTCGCCCTGTCGCCCAGGCTGGAGTGCAGTGGCACGATCTTAGCTCGCTGCAAGCTCTGCCTCCCGGGTTCACACCATTCTCCTGCCTCAGCCTCCTGAGTGGCTGGGACTACAGGCGCCCACCACCATGCCCAGCTAATTTTTTGTATTTTTAGTAGAGACAGGGTTCCACCGTTTTAGCCAGGATGGTCTCGATCTCCTGACTTCGTGATCCGCCCGCCTCAGCCTCCCAAAGTGCTGGGATTACAGGCGTGAGCCACCATGCCCAGCCCACTTTAAGAGTTTTATAACGGTTTCATTTCCCCTTATTCCCTGCTCCAACCCATCCTCCACTCTATCACCAGAGCTATTTTTGAAATCACGAATCTGGTCAAATAATTTTTCTGCTTGAAAAATTACTAGTGCCCCACTTCCTACTATATGAAACTTAAAATCTAGTCATCACTGGGCCCCAAACTACCTTCTTTTCAGAATCTCTCTGATCCTTTCCCTTCATCAAGTCCCCTACATTATTATTATTATTATTATTATTATTATTTGAGACAGAGTCTCACCCTGTCACCTGGGCTAGAGTGCAATGGCATGATCTCGGCTCACTGCAACCTCCACCTCCCAAGTTCAAGTGATTCTCCTGTCTCAGCCTCCCAAGTTGCTGGGATTATAGGCATCCACCATTACACTCAGCTAATTTTTGTGTTTTTAGTAGAGATGGGGTTTCACCATGTTGGCCAGGCTGGTTTCTAACTCCTGACCTCAGGTGATCTGCCCGCCTTGGCCTTCCAAAGCACTAGGATTACAGGTGTGAGCCACCGCAACTGGCCGTCCCCTATATTGCAGCACAGTGAACAACTGTTTCCTGAACATCACAAGCTCTCTTAGACACTACAGTGTATAAGCAGGTCTCTGTCTAAACTGCTCTCCTCTTGCCCCTCTGCCCAACCAATGTCTGCTCATCCAAAGAATGTATCCCGTGTGTTCATTAACTTAGCAAGTTCCCAGTAAACAGTTTAATTGATCACTCGTTAAGAGAAGGCGGGAAACCTCCATGAAAAGAGAAATCAGTGGGTATTTCCTACAGCATTTAACACATCGTAGGCCTTCAATAAACCCTTGTGAAATAAACAAACCTCTTTACTCTTCATTCTATGTTGCTAAGAATCTCACCTAAGTCTGTCTACCATGTGAAACTGCAGATGACCTCACAGAAAATGGAAAGAAGTATCTCTAAAAATAAGTTTATTTGGCAACACACTACAGGCTACAGGTTCACTTCTGATTTTTTTTCTTTTTTTTTTTGAGATGGAGTCTTGCTGTGTCACCCAGGCTAGACTGCAGTGGTGCAATCTCAGCTCACTGCAACCTCTGTCTCCTGGGTTCCAGCGATTCTCCTGCCTCAGCCTCCCAAGTAGCTAGGATTACAGGCGCCTGCCACCACGCCCAGCTAATTTTTGTATTTTTAGTAGAAATGGGATTTCACCATGTTGGCCAGGCTGGTCGTGAACTCCTGACCTCATGATCCACTTGCCTTGGCCTCCCAAAGTGATGGGATTATAGGTGTGAGCCACCGCACCTGGTCCACTTCAGATATTTAGATACAGACGGCAAATTTATTTAAATGTCTCAATACATTTAAATGTAGTTACCTAAATATATCTAATATATTTAAATGCAGAGAGCAAATTTGCGTTTACAAATCTGACATGGAATTCAACTGTGCTAGCCAAGATTCGGTGTAGCTTACCAGCCAGAAATCACATACCCTAACAGGTAAAAATGCATTGCATTTTTTAAAACTGAGCAGCTACGCAAATTAGGATGTGTCTGGACGCTCTACTGTCCCCAAAATAACCTCAATTTTTTTTTAAAAGGCCAGGCACAGTGCATTACGCCTGTAATTCCAGCGCTTTGGGGGGCCAAGGCGGGCGGACTGCTTGAGCTCCGGAGTTCCAGACCAGCTTGGGCAACATAGCGAAATCCCCGTCTCTACAAAAAAATAAAATAAAAATTAAAAATAAAATAATATAAAAATAAAAATAAAAGGGGAGAGAGAACAGGTAGAAAGGAAATGCATTCAGTCTATGGGGATTTCACGTTCCGGCTTCAAGTCCACGGCCCTGTGATGGGATGTGGGCAGGGCCTGAGACAGGCCGAACCCAACTCTTCACAGGGCCGAATTCTTTGCCCGCAGCCCAGCACCCCGAAGGAGCTTGCCTCGGCTTCAAGGCGCACCTAATGGGCACCGGATCGCTGGGGCGCTGAGGATGCCGCTCCGGGGCCTCCACGAGGCGGCCTCCCACGCGCCTCGGCCATGTTCCCCCCATTTCCAGGGAGGTTGGAAGCCGTGGTTCTCAAAGAGGGCGCGCGAGAGGGGCGACCGCGAGCCCAGCTCACCTCGAGCTCTCAGCTCTCTCCAAGGATGCAACACCGGATCCGCCTCGGGGACTGGGAAAGTGCCCTCAACGGCTCCCACAGGCGCCCCGCCTCCTGGGCTCCCATTGGCTGCTTTCGACGTTGTGCTCCACCCTTTCCGGGCGGGGCGGAAAAAATACTTCCCGTCTCTCCTTTTCGCCTAGTGGCTCTGTCAAAGGTCGAGTCCGTGACGTCAAAGAGCCTGGACCAATCAGAGCACACCGGACTGCGTTTTTTTTTTTTTTTTTCCGAACGCCCGCAGCAGGGTCAGAAGGGAGGTGGTCGCCCTCCGTCGTGGTCTGGCGTGTATTCCGAGCCTTGGTGTCTGGCGGTTTCCAAGCGTTGGTGTCTGGCGGTTTCCGACCGTTGGTGTCTGGCGGTTTCCGACCGTTGGTGTCTGGCACGCGCCACCCTCTCTTGCTTTGGTTGCGCCATGCCGATGTACCAGGTAAAGCCCTATCACCGGGTCTGCGCCCCTCTCCGTGTGGAGCCCACCTGCATGTACTGGCTCCCCAACATGCACGGCAGGAGCGGCGGCCCAGCACTTGGCACTGGCCACTTGCAGGTAGGAGCGCGGGGCCCCCCGCCCACTGCGCACGCGCGGCGGCCGGGTGCTGGCCCGGGTGCCCCTAGGCCGGATAGAGTGCGTCCCAACCGATTCGCGGCCCCACCCCGGCATCTGTGCCGGCCGGCCAGGGGCTTACCCAGATTTTTATGTTTTAAAAGATTTATTCAGGCCGGGCGCCGTGGCTCACGCCTGTAATCCCGGCACTTTGGGAGGCCGAGGCGGGCGGATCACCTGAGATCAGGAGTTCGAGACCAGTCTGGCCAACATGGTGAAACCCCGTGTCTACTAAAAATGCAAAAATTAGCCGGGCGTGTGTCGGGCGCCTGTAATCGCAGCTACTCGGGAGGCTGAGGCAGGAGAATGGTTTGAACCCTGGAGGCGGAGCTTGCAGTGAGCTGAGATCGAGCCATTGCACTCGAGCCTGGGCAGCAAGAGTGAAACTCCGTCTCAAAAAAAAAAATTATTATATACATATATATCTTTATATATATTAAATATACCTTTATTATGCGTATTATACATATTGTATATTATGTGTAATATATGACATAATATATTATAAAATATATTGTATATTATATATATATATATTTTTTTCCTGGTCGAGCGCGGTGGTTCACGCCTGGAATCTCAGCGCTTTGGGAGACCGAAGCGGGAGGATTGCTTGAGCCCGGAGAGTTTGAGACCACCCTGAGCAACATAGCAAGACCCTTGTCTCTATGTTTTTTTTTTTTTTTGAGTTGGAGTCTTGCTCTGTTGCCCAGGCTGGAATGCAGTGGCCTGATCTCGACTCACTGCAAGCTCCACCTCCCGGGTTCACGCCATTCTCCTGCCTCAGCCTCCCCAGTAGCTGGGACTACAGGCGCCCGCCACCACGCCTGGCTAACTTTATTTTGTATTTTTAGTAGAGACATGGTTTCACCGTGTTAGCCAGGATGGTCTCGATCTCTTGACCTCGTGATTCGCCTGCCTCGGCCTCCCAAATTGCTGGGATTACAGGCGTGAGCCACCACGCCCAGCTGCCTTGTCTCTATTTTTTAAATGTTTTAATTAAAATAAAAATCTATCCATATTTTTTCTTTTTTTTTTGCGTATGGCTGCTTAAACATTTTAGTTCAGAATTCTATCCTCTGAAAAGTGAATAGCACATAAATGCTCATTTTGAGGAATTACAAAGCGAACCCCAGGGTCACCACCTCCCAGGTTGACACACATTGTCACCGCTCCATTCTTTCCACTTAAACCTTCCCCACCAGCACCCCAGGGCCTGATTTTTATGGTAATTATGTCATGCTTGTCTCTATTATTTTGTCAGCTAAGTATCCCTAAACAATGTGGTCTGGTTTTTTGTTTGTTTGTTTGTTTTGTTTTTTTCAGACGGAGTTTCACTCTGTCACCCAGGCTGGAGTGCAGTGGCATGATCTCAGCTCACTGCCACCTTGGCCTCCTGGGTTCAAGCAATTCTCAGGCCTCAGCCTCATGAGTAGCTGAGATTACAGGCACTGTCCACTGCACCTGGCTAATTTTTGTATTTTTAGTAGAGACGGGGTTTTGCCATGTTGACCAGGCTGGTCTTGAACTCCTGACCTCAGGCGATCCGCCCGCCTTGAACTCCCAAAGTGCTGGATTACAGGTGTGAGCCACTGTGCCCGGCACCTAAACAACATAGTTTTGATATAGGTAAGCATACAGCATATATTTTGATGTATTTCAGGTAATTTAGTCTAAGAACAGGAAAGGACAGAAAATGAACACAATTTGTAGTTCTTTGTTCTTAACAAACTAAGAATACTTTGCTTAAATAAGTAGCAATGAGAATGTAACTCAGTAATTCATACAAATAGACAAGAAGACAAGAAAATGATTTGAGGACAGCTTCAATCGCGGTGTGAAGAAGAAAGCAGCAAAACGACCACTGAAAACAACGCCGGTGAGTCAGCCAGTTTTCTTTTGTTTTTGAATCTTGTGGGGGAAGCAGCCCAGCTATTCGGGAGGCTGAGGCAGGAGAATGGCACGAACCCCGGGGGCAGAGCTGGCAGTGAGCCGAGATCACGCCACTGCACGCCAGCCTGGGCGACAGAGCGAGACTCCGTCTCAAAAAAAAGAGAAAACCTAAGAGGTTCAGGTGATATGGTTCAAAAAAGGACAAGATTTACAAAGTATTAAGGGACGGAAATAGGAAGAAGAGAAATTTCGAAGAGAAAAGAAAAGAAAAGGATGTTTGGTTATAGAGATACGGGAAGGAGACTCAAGGAATTTTTTTTTTAAAGGGAAAAAAGTTAATAAACTTCATAATATAAAAATCAATTATTTCAGGACTGAGTCTAACTCAGACTGCTGTGGAATTGGCAGCGTAAGCCTACTTGTGTGATAATGATGAAACCAAGTGTTAATGTCACTGTTACCTTTTTTTCATATTTCTGATCTTTTTATGTGTATCAGGTGGCAAAATATCCAAAGAAAGGGTCCCAAGCGGTACATCGTCATAGCCGGAAACAGTCAGAGCCACCAGCCAATGATCTTTTCAATGCTGCGAAAGCTGCCAAAAGTGACATGCAGGTAAAAGCAGTGTCTTACCTCTGTTGATACCATCTCACTTTTTGTAAGGTGGTAAGGACAAGTGTCTACAAACTTGATTTGATGTGAACATTTTAGTGAGTGTAACATATCAAGAAAGATAAGATTATGGGGTGAATCCTTGGAGTGATAGAAGGGTAACCTTGAATAAGAGAGCATGTTCTTTTTTTTTTTTTTTTTTTTTTGAGACAGTCTCTTTCTGTTGCCCAGGCTGGAGTGCAGTGGCACAGTCTCAGCTCACTGCAGCCTCTGCCTCCTGGGTTCAAGCGATTCTCATGGTCTTGGGAGGCTGAGGCCTCCCAAGTAGCTGGGCTTACAGGCATGTGCCACCATGCCTAGCTAATTTTTGTATTTTTAGTAGAGATGGGGTTTCGCCATGTCGGCCAGGCTGGTCTCCAACTCCTGACCTCAGGTGATCCGCCTGCCTCGGCCTCCCAAAGTGCTGGGATTACAGGTGTGAGCCACCGCACTCGGCTTCGAGAGAGCGTTTCTTTTCTTAAAGCGTGTTCTTTTCTTAAAGGTATCACAGGAGTGATTATGCCTTTATTGATTGATGGAGCAGATGAGGAGAGGCATTGCATGACATGGGAAGGAAGCTTAGATGTGGGTGGCACCTTGTTCACCCGTGTTATTTTTTAGCTCCATCTTGACAATTATACTTAATTATTTTTTCCCTCTCTGTTTCTTTTTTTATAATTTTATTGAAGTTCTAATATCTGAAAGTGTACAAAGCGTATATGTAGTTTAAAAAATAAAAATGAGATATCACCCAGATCTCTAGCCCCAGCTCAAGAAATGAAACATTAATAGTGCTGTAGAGATCCTTTGTGTACCTTCTTTCTACCCTACCTCACAGTCCCCTTATTACCCATAGGTAAACACTAGGGTGAACTTTGTGTTAATCTTTCTCATCTTTCATTATAGTGTTACCACTATGAATGTGTTCTTTAATTATGTAAATGAATCCATTATTCAGGCTTCTGTGATTTAATTATTTCAGTTAAGATTGTTTGAGATTTATCCACATTAACATGTAGTTTTATAGTTTCTGGGAAAATATTTAAAATTTTCAAACATACAGAATTTTGCTAGTTATATTTTCGTTATTTGATTTCTAACTTTATTGTGTTGTAGTCAGGGAATGTGGTGTTTGAAATTTATGTAGGGGCTGGGCACAGTGGCTCACATCTGTGATCCCAGCACTTGGGGAGGCTGAGGCAGGCAGATCACTTGAGGCCAGGAGTTCGAGACCAGCCTGGCCAACATGGCGAAACCCCATCTCTATTAAAAATACACAAATTAGCTGCATGTGGTGGCATTTGTCTGTAATCCCAGCCACTTGGGAGGCTGAGGCATGAGAATTGCTTGAACCCAGGAGGTGGAGGTTGCAGTGAGCTGAGATTGTGCCACGGCACTCCAGCCTGGGTGACAGAGTGATACTCTGTCTCAAAAAAAAAAAAAAAAAAAAAAAGACATTTATGGAGACTTAGCCTTATGGCCTAGTATTGAGTTGGTACAATCATTTTATCTTTTCTGTTTCTTTTTCCCCCTTTGCTTGCTTTCCTCTGGATTTCTTATCTTCTACAAGGACCTGAGCACATTTTAATTCCAGTTGTCTTTTCCACCTTACATGCAGTTGTACAGTGTGTTAGTTTTTTATTTGAAACGGAGTCTTGCTCTGTCACCAGGCTGGAGTGCAGTGACGCGATCTTGGCTCACTGCACCTCCGCCTCCCGGGTTCAGGCGATTCTCCTGCCTCAGCCTGCCAAGTAGCTGGGACTACAGGCACCCGCCACCATGCTTGGCTAATTTTTGGCCACCATGCCCAGCCTGAATGAACTTTCAAAATTGGTTTTTAAAAGAGGTATGGAGGCCGGGTGCAGTGGCTCACACCTGTAACTCCAGCACTTTGGGAGGCCAAGACGGGCAGATCACTTGAGGTCAGAAGTTCGAGACCAGCCTGGCCAACATGGTGAAACCCCATCTCTACTAAAAATACAAAAAGGTAGCTGGGCGTGGTGGTGCACCTGTAATCCCAGCTACTCAGGAGGCTGAAGCAGGAGAATCACTTGAACCCGAGAGGTAGAGGTTGCAGTGAGCTGAGATTGTGCCGCTGCACTCCAGCCTGGGCAACAGGTGGAGTGGAGAATTAGGCTGTACAAGGCTGGTGTTTAACTATTTTATGGTTTGGTAACAGAAAGAAAATATTTACTAACTGGGTATGGCACATTTTTGTAGTCCTAGCTACTTGAGAGGCCAAAGTGGGAAGATGACTTGAACCCAGGAGTTCAAGGCCAGCTTGGGCAACACAGCAAGAGACCCCATCCCTTAAAAAAAAGAGAAAAAATATTTACATGTATTTTACTATATATATAGTATTTACATCGGGAGGAAGAAATGAAAGGCATGGGGTACATGGCATTTCAAGAAAATAAATTCTTCCATGAGAGGGAGTTAACTGGTAGGATGGAAAGTGAGTTTGGAGAGAGGGTGGCTCTAAGAGTCAACTTATCTGTCTGTGTCTAGGGATGTCCTTCCTGAGATCCGTGCTATCTGCATTGAGGAAATTGGGTGTTGGATGCAAAGCTACAGCACGTCTTTCCTCACCGACAGCTATTTAAAATATATTGGTTGGACTCTGCATGATAAGGTGGGATTCGAGTCAGTTTCCCTTTCCGTTTCCTTCATCTTTTTCCTGTCCTAGGACACTTCACCTTTTCCTGGGCCTGCCACTGAGATATTTTACCTAGTGACCAATGATTAACCCATCAAGGCGCTGAACCTTGAAACTCCGCTAGCACTGGGGAGGGTAGGATAAGGTAGAGAGAGACATACCCAGGAGATGAAATGACTCAAAACATGAGGTACGGGGAGAGAGACTTTACAATGGAAGACAGTTATTGATGGATGGTAATGCAGGTGCTAAGGGGCAGCCAAAGGATCCTTCTCATCATGAGTACTGCTGTGATCCTTTTTTTTTTTTAAGTATGAAGACAGCTGTTCATTGTTTCTGACATCTCAGAGTCCTCAGTAGAGGGGACACCCAAGCTAGAATGAGGGATCGGAGAGGGGAGTCTGGACGCTCAGTAGGGGCGAGTAGAGTGTGGTTGGTCTTATTTCCATTCTCTTGGTTTTCCCTCCTCACCAGCACCGAGAAGTCCGCGTGAAGTGCGTGAAGGCTCTGAAAGGGCTGTACGGTAACCGGGACCTGACCGCACGCCTGGAGCTCTTCACTGGCCGCTTCAAGGTGAGACGGGTGGTGCTCCTTGGCTTGGCTCTTTGTCGTGGTTCCCGTTTCCCCACCTTGTATCTTTCTACCCTTCATGCTCTAAGATGTCTTGGCTATCCCAGCATCTGCCTCTACGTAGGCACTCTCTTTAGGAGGCTCTGATTCTAAGAGAACAGAATATTTGGAATGGGCGTAATGAGATATTGAGTGACTTTCTCCTTTCTGCAGGACTGGATGGTTTCCATGATCATGGACAGAGAGTACAGTGTGGCAGTGGAGGCCGTCAGATTACTGATACTTATCCTTAAGTGAGTCCTGGGAAGAGGGGAGGCCAGTGTCTCAGACCTTTGCCCTTCCAGGGTCATCTCCCTCCACCTGTCACAGCTGACTCTTCCATCTGTGCAGGTTGACTGAGGTCATTCCTGAGTTGCAGTATGTTGAGAGGGTAATATTTCTGTCTTCTCTAACTCCCCATACTCCCTTGTCTTCCACTCTCCATTTAGGAGTTTTTTGTGAGTTATGTCCTTGTTGCTTTTGCCTCTTTTTCTTTCTAGCCTTGATTGTGCCAGAAGACAATGTCCCTATTCACACACTCTTTCTGCTTTTCTGTGGGCAGGAACATGGAAGGGGTGCTGATGGACGTGGACTGTGAGAGCGTCTACCCCATTGTGTAGGCCTCTAATTGAGGCCTGGCCTCTGCTGTGGGTGAATTTCTGTACTGGAAGTGAGTGGGGCTCCTTTTACGTTTCTTTAACACCACCCTCTCGGTTTCTCTCCCACATGTGCTGCTGCCCTACTTAAGGCCTCCCCATCTCCGTGGAAGTCTCTCTGCTGTCTCTTTTCCTCTCTCAGCTCCTTGGGGCTTTCCTTAGCTCTGCACCTCCTTTTCCTTTATCATCTCCTTGGGCCATCTCCTCCCTCTGTGGTCATCATTACACCTCCTTGTTTCCTCCTGTGCTGAGCCCTTTCCTTGTGTCCATTCCACCAGACTTTTCTACCCTGAGTGCGAGATAAGAACGATGGGTGGAAGAGAGCAACGCCAGAGCCCAGGTGCCCAGAGGACTTTCTTCCAGCTTCTGCTGTCCTTCTTTGTGGAGAGCAAGGTGACATACACAGAGATAACTCTGGCTGTTGTGCATAGGACCTACAAGTGGGCTGGGGTTGGTGGTTCACGCCTGTAAGCCCAACACTTTGGGAGGCTGAGGTGGGAGGATCCTTTGAGCCCAGGAGTTTGAGACCAGCTTGGGCAACATAGTGAGACCCTGTCTCTACCAAAAAAAAAAAAAAAAAAAAAAGACAGATGGAGAAGGATGGGGGTGTACACTGTAGGAAGGAGAGCGATATTTAATCAGTAACCACTTCCTAGGGTATTTTAACATGCCATCACTAAATCCCCATGCACCTCCTTCCCCAGCTCCACGACCACGCTGCTTACTTAGTAGACAACCTGTGGGACTGTGCAGGGACTCAGCTGAAGGACTGGGAGGGTCTGACAAGCCTGCTGCTGGAGAAGGACCAGAGCACGTGCCACATGGAGCCAGGGCCAGGGACCTTCCACCTCCTAGGGTGAAACCAGGAGAGATTGCTTGCTTCACTTGTACAAGGCAGGAACGGTGGCATGGGGTGGGGGAAACTTGGAGTTGGAAGGTGGCTAATCTTTGATTCTATGTTTTTGATCCTCCTGGCACTCCAGACCTGGGTGATGTGCAGGAGAGCACACTGATAGAAATCCTTGTGTCCAGTGCCCAGCAACTCCTGCCTCAGCCTCCCGAGCAGCTGGGACTACAGGCGCCCGCCACCACGCCTGGCTAACTTTTTTGTATTTTTAGTAGAGACGGGTTTTCACCGTGTTAGCCAGGATGGTCTTGATCTCTTGACCTTGTGATCCACCTGCCTCATCATCCCAAAGTGCTGGGATTACAGGCGTGAGCCACTGCGCCCAGCATGTTAGACAATTTTTAATTCATCCTCTCTGTGCTGTTGTTTTCTCAGCTGTGAAAGGAATATTTTGGTGGGGACAAGGTTACAGAGTTGCTGAGAGGGTCTCATGACATGAAGGTACTGGCCTTGGCACAGTGCCTGGGGGGGCGGGGACTCCGCACATGCCTGTGATGTCACAGTTACTGTCAGTTCACAGCGAACCTTCCCTCCTTTTCCTGTTGACTTTCCCACACTCCTGTAACCCTCCCTCCCTCCCTTCTTCCTCTCTCTCTCTCTCACTCACGCACACGCACACACACACACACACACACACTCCATTCACTGTCTCCATGACTCTGGAGTAAACTAACGTCTCGAGTTGCCATTGGAAGCCCCATTGTCCTCATTTTGTTTTGTTTTGTTTGTTTGAGACGGGGTCTCGCTCTGTCCCCCAGGCTGGAGTGCAGTGGTGCGATCTCAGCCCACTGCAGCCTCCGCCTCCTAGGTTCAAGCGATTCTCCTGCCTCACCCTCCTGAGTAGCTGTGATCATAGGTGCCCGCCACCACACCCGACTAATTTTTGTGTTTTTTAGTAGAGACAGGGTTTCACTATGTTGGCCAGGCTGGTCTCAAACTCCTGACCTCAGGTGATCCGCCCACCTTGGCCTCCCAAAGTGCTGGGATTACAGGAGTGAGCCACCATGCCCAGCCTCCGTTGTCCTCATTTAGACTTTCATGGGTTATAGGCACTTTTGACTTCCTGGGGTCCTTCTTCAGTTAAAAAAAAAAATTAGAAAATTAGGCCGGGCGTGGTGGCACATGCCTGTAATCCCAGCACTTTATGAGGCCGAGGTGGGAGGATCACCTGAGGTCGGGAGTTCAAGACCAGCCTGACCAATGTGGAGAAACCCTGTCCCTACTAAAAATAGAAAATTATTTGGGTGTGGTGGTGCATGCCTGTAATCCCAGCTACTCAGGAGGCTGAGGCAGGAGAATCGCTTGAACCCGGGAGGTGGAGGTTGCGGTCAGCCGAGATCATGCCACTGCACTCCAGCCTAGGCAACAAGAGTGAAACTCTGTCTTAAAAAAAAAAATTAAAAATTATATTCGGGCCGGGCTTGGTGGCTCAATCCTATAATACCAGCACCTTAGGAGGCCAAGGCAGGAGGATCACTTGAGGCCAGGAGTTCAAGACTGGCCTGGGCAACATAATGAGAACCCATCTTTACCAAAAAAATAAAATTACATTAAAAATTAGCTGGGCACGGTGACGTCTGCCTGAGGTCACATTCAAGAAGCTGATGTGGGAGGATCGCTTGAGCCCAGGAATTGGAGGCTGCAGTGAGCTAAGATCATACCACTGCACTTCAGCCTGGGCGTCAGAGTGAGACCCTGTTTCTAAAATAATAATAATTTTAAAAAATGATATTTATGGTTGCATTGGGAAAAGATCAATCTATTAATATACGTGAAGACATTTTTGGCCTAAAAGTTATATATATTTTTTCCTTCTGATTTTAAAAGAAATGGGGCCAGGCATGATAGCTCATACCTGTAATCCCAGCACTTTGGGAGGCCCAGGTTGGTGGATCACCTGAGGTCAGGAGTTCGAGACCAGCCTGGCCAACATGGTGAAACCCCATCTCTACTAAAAATACAAAAATTACCCGGGCGTGGTGTCACACGCCTCTAATCCCAGCTACTCAGGAGACTAAGGCAGAAGAATCGCTTGAACCCAGGAAGCGAAGGTTGCAGTGAGACCAGATCGCATCATTGTACTCCAGCCTGGGCGACAAGAACAAAACTCTGTCTCCAAAACAATAACAACAGCAAAACAAATGAATAAAACTCATTATATTCATTTGCTTTTATTTATTTATATTTAACTTTATTATTATTATTATTATTTTGAGACAGAGTCTCATTCTATCACCCAGGCTGGAGTGCAATGAGGCGATCTCGCCTCATGCAACCTCCATCTCCCGGGTTCAAGCAATTCTCCTGTCTCCTCCAGGTAGCTGGGGTTACAGGTGTGCAGCACCACACCTGGCTAATTTTTTTATTTTTAGTGGAGATTGGGTTTCATCATGTTGGCCAGGCTGATCTCGAAAGCCTGACCTCAAGTGATCCGCCCACCTTAGGCTCCCAAAGTGTGGGGAGCCACCGTCCCGGTGTATTATTACTTTTAGAGACGAGGTCTTGCTTTGTTTTCCAGGCTGGAGTACAGTGGCTCAATCATAGCTCACTGCAGCCTCAAACTCCTGGCCTTAAGCAATCCTCCTACTTCAGCCTCCCAAAGTGCTGAGATTATAGGTGTGAGCCACTGCACCTGGCCTCTCTATTCTCTACTTCCTCTTTCTAGAATTTCTATTAGGCGGATGTTGAATCTCCTGAATTAATCTCTAATTTTCTTCCCTTCCCTTTCCCTTCTCCTTCCCTTCCCTTCCCCTTCTCTCCCCTCCCCTCCCCTCCCTTCCCCTCTCCTCCCCTCCCTTCCCTTCTCTCCTTCCTTTCTCTCTCTCTTTCTCTCTTTCTTTCTTTTATAGTCTCATTCTGTCACCCAGGCTGGAGTGCAGTGGCAGTTCTCAGCTCACCGAAACCTCTGCCTCCCGGGCTCAAGCAATTCTCATGTCTCAGCCTCCCAAGTAGCTGGGATTACGGGTGCACACCACCACACCTGGCTGATTTATGTATTTTTTTCGTAGAGACAGGGTTTTGCCATGTTGGCCGGGCTGGTCTCGAACTCCTGACCTCGGGTGATCCACCCACCTCAGCCTCCCAAAGTGCTGGGATTACAGGTGTGAGCCACCGTGCCCGGCCTTGACTACCATATTTTAAATTTACTGGAGGACTTTTTTGTTCTCTTCTTTTTTCTTTTTTTAATAGCATCCCGCTCTTATTTCAGAATAAAAAAAATTTTAAGGTATGTTGAGTAAGAATCTATAGAGCAATGAAAATGCAAGAGCAATAGCTATGGGCACCAAATGGTCAATCTTCTTATCATAATGTTGAGTGGAAGAAGCCAGGTCCACCAGACACATGCTGCTCATTTATGCAAAGTTTGGACACAGGCAAAACAAAACTAGTTTGATCGTGATGGGAAACATTAGAGAAATGCAAAGACATGACCATCATAATTGTCAGGAGAAGGCATTGGTTAGGATTGGGAAGCGGCAAGCAGAAGCATTTAGGGATTGGCTGGCAATGTTTTACTTCTCGGCTGAGTGAGGGTTGCATCGGTGTTTATTTGATAACACGTTCTAGGGGCTGGGCAAGATGGCTCATGTTTGTAGTCTCAGTACTTTGGGAGGCCAAAGATGGGAGGATTGCTTGAGCCCGTGAGTTTGAGACCAGCGTGGGTGACATAGTGAGACCCTGTCTCTACAAAAAATTAAAAAAAAAAAAAAAAACCCAGCTGCGTGTGGTGGCACAGCCTCAAACTCCTGGGCTCAAGCGATCCTCCCTTGGCCTTCCAGCCACTCAGGAGGCTGGGGTGGGAGGATCGCTTGAACCCAGGAGTTTGAGGCTGCAGTGAGCTATGAATGAGCCACTGCACTCCAGCCTGGGCAACAGGGCAAGACCCTGTCTCAAAAAAAAAAAATTTAATTTGAACACTTCTGTTTTGTGCAGTTTTCTCTGTTATATTTTACTTTTTAAAAAGAAAAAGCGGCTGGGCGCGGTGGCTCACGCCTGTAATCCCAGCACTTTGGGAGGCCAAGGTGGGCGGATCACCTGATGTCAGGAGTTCGAGACCAGCCTGACCAACATGGAGAAACCTCGTCTCTACTAAAAACACAAAAAATTAGCTGGGCGTGGTGGCGCATGCCTGTAATCCCAGCTACTCGGGAGGCTGAGGCAGGAGAATCGCTTGAACCTAGGAGGCAGAGGTTGCAGTGAGCTGAGATTGCACCACTGCACCCCAGCCTGGGCAATAAGAGTGAAACTCCATCTCAAAAAAAAAAAAAAAAAAAGGTGCATGAAACATATGAAGCAAAAAGTGAAAGTCCCCATTCTTTTCCTTTTTCCAGAGGTGATTTTTGTGGCCAATCTGGTTTCATTCCCTCCCAGACACTTTTCTAGGCATCTATGCGCCTCTATTCACATATAAACAAAATAGGAGTTTTCCTGTGCTTCCCTTAAATGGCATATGTATCTTTCACTCTTTTTTTTCACCTAGTGGATCTTTAATACCTTAAAAGCTCAACCTGGGCTTGGTGCGGTGGCTCATACGTGTAATCCCAGGCCTTTGGGAGGCCAAGGTGGGAGGATCACTTGAGCTCAGGAGTTCCAGACCATTCCAAAGCAAAAACAAAAGGATTTTGAGATCAGTGTGGGCAACTTAGCAAAACACCATCTCTTAAAAAAAAAAAAAAATTAGCCAAGCTTGGTGGTGTAAGCCTGTAGTCCCAGCTACTTGAGAGGCTGAGGTGGGAGGATTGTTTGAACCCAGGAGGTTGAGGCTACAGTGAGCTGTGATTGTGCCACTGCACTCCAGGTTGGGTAATGCAGCGAGACTGCGTCTCAAAAAATAAATAAAATAAAAAATAAATAAAAGCTCCACCTGTCTTCCTTTTAGATGTTGCATAGCATTTCACACAGTATTGATGTATTACAGCTCAACTAAATTAATCCCAGTATCTAGCACTTGGGGTGGTGGGAAGGATTAAGGGAGATAATATAAGCCAAGTGCCCAGAACAAGGGCTTGGCACACCAGGCTCGCCTTGAACAATTTGTTTTTTTGTTGTTTTGTGTGTGTGTGTGTTTTTTTTTTGAGACAGCATCTCATTGCATCACCGAGGTTGTAGTGCAGTGGTGCAGTCGTAGCTCACTACTGTCTCAGACACCTGGGATCAAGCGATCCTCCCACCTCAGCCTCCGGAGTAGCTGGGACTACACATGCATCACCACACCCCACTAATTTTTAAATTTTTTGTAGAGACAGAGTCTCATTATGTTGCCTAGGCTGGTCTCAAACTCCTGGCCTCAATTAATCCTCCTCCCTTGGCCTCCCAAAGTGCTGGGATTACAGGGATGAGCCACTGTACCTGGCAGCCTTGAGCGATTTCTCACCTCCTCATTGGCCCAGTTTCCTTATCTGTAAATGAGAGTAGCTGTAAAATATGGTTAATGTGAGGACCAAACGGGTCAATTAGGGAAAAGCAGTGTCTCTGCCAGCACCTGACACTTCTTTTTTTTTTTTTTTTGTGAGACAGTCTCACTCTGCTGCCCAGGCTGGAGTGCAGTGGTGCAATCTTGGCTCACTGCAACCTCCACCTCCCAGGTTCAAGCAATTCCCCTGCCTCAGCCTTCTGATTAGCTGGGACTACAGGTGCCTGCCACCACGCCTGGCTAATTTTGGAATTTTTAGTAGAGATGTGGTTTCACCATCTTGGCCTGGCTGGTCTTGAACACCTGAACTCAGGTGATCTGCCCACCTCAGCCTCCCAAAGGGCTGGGATTACAGGTGTAATGGTTAAGGAGGCAAATCTTAAATAAAGGCCGGGCACAGTGGCTCACGCCTGTAATCCCAGCTACTCGGGAGGCTGAGGCAGGAGAATTGCTTGAACCCGGGATTGCAGTGAGCCAAGATCGCACCACTACACTTCAGCCTGGGTGACAGAATGAGACTCCGTCTTAAAAAAAAAAAAAAAAAAATTTAAATAAAATGCATGCAATGTGGTCCAGGCGTGGTGGTGCATGCCTGTAACCCCAGCACTTTGGGAGATAGAGGCAGGTGGATCCCTTGAGCTTAGGAATTTGAGACTAGGCTGGGCAACATAGTGAGACCTCATCTCTAAAATTAAAAAAATAAAAGCCACCAGAAAAAAACCTAAAAACATGCCAAGTGACATCAGTCTTTGATGAAAATGGCAGCAGAAGAGTGATGCCATGGGTGGGGGTGGGAAATGCTATTTCAGCAGAGAGGGAGCTGTCATGGAAGACACCATGTGGCTGGGCACGGTGGCTCACACCTGTAATCCCAACACGTTGGGAGGCCAAGGTGGGCAGATCACTTGAGGTCAGGAGTTCAAGACCAGCCTGGCCAACATGGCAAAACCCCATCTCTACTAAAATCCAAAAATTAGTCGGGTATGGCAGTGCACGCCTGTAATCCCAGATACTCGGAAGGCTGAGGCAGGAGAATCATTTGAACCTGGGAAGTGGAGGTTGCAGTGAGCCAAGATCGTGTCACTGCACTCTAGCCTAGGTGATAAAGCGAGACTCAGTCTCAAAAAATAAAGGAAGAAAAAGAAACCAGGTGACTGTTGTGCCCGTCTCTTGTCCCCGATCTTTCTCCCAATCCTGAGGTCCATCAGCTGGAAGGACATATCCATCCGGAGGCCTCCCCAAGTGTGGTGGGAGAAATCCATCCCCTCTCTGACACTCCCCCCGCCTTTCCCTCCCGACACCCAGTCCCCGGGAGATCAAAATTTAACCTGGTGTTATCTAGGCTGGAGCCTGAAGAGCCCGGTGGGAAGTGGAGGACGGAGAGGAGGGGCATGGACCCAGAAAGTAGCAGGAAGTCTTCAGAGACCCTTATTTTTAAATTATTTATTTTTGTTTGTTTTGTTTTTTGTTTTTTTGTTTCCCTCTTGTTGCCCAGGCTGGAGTGCAGTGGTGTGATCTTGGCTCACTGCAACCTCTGCCTCCCAGGTTCAAGTGATTCTCCTGCCTCAGCCTCCTGAGTAGCTGGGATTACAGGCGCCCACCACCAAGTCCGGCTAATTTTTGTGTTTTTAGTAGAGATGGGGTTTCACCTTGTTGGCCAGGCTGGTCTCGAACTCCTTACCTCAGGTGATCCACCCACCTCGGCCTCCCAAAGTGCTAGGATTATAGGCTTGAGCCACCGCACCTGGCCCTTCAGAGACCTTTGGAGCCAGAGGTGACATATCGATCTACATTTAACCCTCTGGGAACCAAGGAATGAAGGATTAGAGGAAACGGGGCCAGAAGTGGAGAGAAGGGGAGTGTGCATCGAACAGACAGGGAGTGTATTAAATAAATGAATGAGTGAATGAATGATCCATCCATATGGACACTAGCCTGTCAGTAAAGAAGAGTCTAGGGTCAGGGAGAGCTCAGCCCTCCTCAGGCCGCCCCCATGATGACATAGCCTTGGGCTAGGGGAAATCTGAGGTCAGGCCAGCTGCCTGGCAGGAGTTGAGACCCCAGAAGGAAGGTGGAGGGCAGGAACATTCCCCAGCCCCAGGGTGGGATCTCAGCCCAAGGAGATGGGGTTCCCAGGCCAGGGTCTGCCTTGGGCAGGCAGATGGGTGCCAGGTGGGCCCTGGGTCACCACTGGGGGCCAGCCCCAGCCCAGCGTCTGCCTCCCCCACTGCCCAGCCTCTGTTCATTCCCAGGTGGGACAGGGAGCCACAGCCCCCATCCCACCCCCTGCACAGAAGCCTTTTGACAGGCCGGCCGGCTGGCTGGGAGCACTGGCAGCCCCTCAGCCCCACGCCTCCTTCCCGCCCGGTCCCCATGCAGACCCCCCCACCTTCTGGGCTCCCAGTAGGCCCGGGTGGGGAGCCACCGCCCGAGCACAGTGTAGCTCCTTGTTCCCCGCCTTGGCCTCCTGGAATTGGCCCATTTCCTGCCTGGGCCGTGGGGCCTTTTCCAAGGTAAATAAACAAATACAGAGAAGTTGGGGCCTGGGGTGGAAAGGGGGATGCTGGGCTTTTCCTCCCTGCATCCCAACCCCATAGCAATAGCTGCTGTGTGACCACAGGGACCGGGACACCAAGGCTGAGCTCCCACACCCTGGGCTTCATTGATCCCTGGGAGAAGAGAACAGGATCCACTGGAGGGTTTGTGCCGCTCTGCCTCAGGGGCTGTGGTTCCCCATCCAGGACGCCCAGGGGCCACCGATTCCTGCAGGAATTGCCTGAGTGCAGGGCTGGGACAGCCGCTGAGAGACAGAAAGGGCTCCAGGGTGGATGACAATTCCCTAGGCTCCCGTCCTGGCTGTGCCACCTTGGAGCACTATGACATCAGGAAGGAAATGAACCTCCAGCTGCAGAATGGCTCCAGAGGTGCTGCCTGCTTAGGGGGTGCATGGCCCTCGCCTCCAGTGTCATAAATGGGCCATTGCCTTCTCCCAGGTCGGTAGTGAGAGTGACAGCAGGTGCCTAGCAGGACCCCTGAGTTTGGGAGCCGGCCTGGCCAGGGCTTCTTCGGCTTCCCAGGGGCTGGGGAGAAGCCTCTCCCTGTGACTCAGGCTTTCTTTCTTTCTTTCTTTTTTTTTTTTTTTTTTGAGACAGGGTCTCACTCTGTCACCCAGGCTGGAGTGCAGTGGCATGACCCTGACTCACTGCAATCTCCACCTCCTGGATTCAAGCGATTCTTCTGCCTCAGCCTCCTGAGTAGCTGTGATTACAGGCATGTGCCACTATGCCCAGCTAATTTTTGAATTTTTAGTAGAGACAGGGTTTCACCATGTTGGCCAGGCTGGTCTCGAACTCCTGGCCTCAAGTGATCAGCCTGCCTCAGCTTCCCAAGGTATTGAGATTATAGGCATGAGCCACCGTGCCTGGCCAGGTTTCTTGTTTTTAAAAGGAGGAAAGAGCTGGGTGCAGTGGCTCATACCTGTAATCACAGCACTTTGTGAGGCTGAGGTGAAAGGATTTCCTGAGCCCAGGAGTTCAAGACCAGCCTGGGCAACATAGTGAGACCCTATCTCTATAAAACTAATAAAGACAAGATTAAGTTAAAATAAGGAAAGAGAGCAAGATAAAGCCCCAGCTCCAGCTCCCTCCAGGGCTGAAGTTTCGGACTGACCTCTGCCCAGACCATTCCACCCTCCAAGCCCAGCCCTGCCTGCCCTGGGCTGTGGGTATGAGAGAGCTCAGGGCAGACAAAACGCCCCTCACACTTCTCCCTTTCTTTCTTCCACCTCCCTGTCCTCTATCCCGTAGAACAGTGGTCCCCATTTTTTTTTTTCTTTTTTTTTTTTTTTAGATGGAGTCGTGCTGTCTTGCCTAGGCTGGAGTGCAGTGGCGCAGTCTCAACTAACTGCAGCCTCTGCCTCTGAGGTTCAAGTGATTCTCCTGCCTCAGCCTCCTGAGTAGCCGGAATTACAGGCATGTGCCACCACGCCCAGCTAATTTTATTATTATTATTATTATTTTTTTTTATTTTGAGATGGAGTCTTGCTGTCTCCCAGGCTGGAGTGCAGTGGCGAGATCTCGGCTCACTGCAAGCTCCGCCTCCCAGGTTCACGCCATTCTCCTGCCTCAGCCTCCCGAGTAGCTGGGACTACAGGCACCCGCTGCCACGCCTGGCTAATTTTTTGTATTTTTAGTAGAGACAGGGCTTCACCGTGTTAGCCAGGATGGTCTCGATCTCCTGACCTCGTGATCCGCCTGCCTCGGCCTCCCAAAGTGCTGGGATTACAAGCGTGAGCCACCATGCCCGGCCAATTTTTGTATTTTTAGTAGAGACAGGGTTTTGCCATATTTGCCAGGCTAATCTTGAACTCCTGACCTCAAGTGATCTACCCACCTCAGCCTCCCAAAGTGCTGGGATTACAGGTGTGAGCCACTGTGCCCAGCACCCCCAACCTTTTTGACACCAGGGATCAGTTTCAAAAAAGACAATTTTTCAACGAATGGGGGTGGGGTTGGGGGTAGGAGTTAGCCAGATGGTCTGGGGATGAAACTGTTCCATGTCAGATCATCAGGCATTAGATTCTCATTAGGAACATGCAACCTAGATCCCTTACGTGCGCAGTTCACAATAGAGTTCACGCTCCCATGAGAATCTGATGCCACCGCTGATCTGACAAGAGACGGAGCTCCGGCGGTAATGCTCCCTCACCTGCCACTCACCTCCTGCTGCACAACCTGATTCCTAACAAGTCACGGACCAGCTGGGGACCATGGACCCCTGCCTTGGAGATTCCTCCACTCCACTGTGGGA
Organism: Homo sapiens; assembly: GCF_000001405.40. Lineage (NCBI taxonomy): Eukaryota > Metazoa > Chordata > Mammalia > Primates > Hominidae > Homo > Homo sapiens. The sequence goes on from NC_000007.14 coordinate 75,377,175, forward strand.
AGGGGCACCTTCTGAACCAACGTTTTGCATGTGTCTTCATCCCCTGCTTGCACTCCAGATCTTTCCTTCCTTCACTTAATCACCTGTTAGCATTTACCAAGTGCTTGCTCTGTCCTGGACGTTATACAATGAGGTGGCCCTGGACCCTGGGGTCTTGCTGTGTGTGGGCGGGGGTGATTTCCCAGGGATGGCTCTCAAAACAGGGACGTGAAAATGCATTTGGAGAGATCTTCAAATTCCTTGAGGATTTGAAATTTTCATTTTTATTTCAACAATAACTTGTTCAGCCAGGCGCGGTGGCTCATGCCTGTAATCCCAGCACTTTGAGAGGCCGAGGCAGGTGGATCTCCTGAGGTCAGGAGTTCGAGACCAGCCTGGCTAACATGGTGAACCCCCCGCCAACCCCCCCACTGCCTACCCCGCTGCTCCTTTTTCTTTTCTTTCATTATATATATATATATGTATATATGTGTATATATATACATATGTGTGTGTATATGTGTGTGTGTATATATATATATATATATTTTTTTTTTTTTTTTTTTTGATACAGAGTCTCGCTCTGTCGCCAGGCTGGAGTGCAGTGGCATAATCTCGGCTCACTGCAACATCTGCCTCCCAGGTTCAAGTGATTCTTCTGCCTCAGCCTCCGAGGTAGCTGGGATTACAGGTACCAGCCACCACGCCCAGCTAATTTTTGTATTTTTAGTAGAGAGGGGGTTTCACCATGTTGGTCAGGCTGGTCTCCAATTCCTGACCTCAAGTGATCCGCCCACCTCGGCCTCCAAAAGTGCTGGGGTTACAGGCGTGAGCCACTGCGCCCAGCCTCCTTTCCTTTTTCTTTCCTCCCACTCTGTCATCTTTTATCAATGACAACTTTTAAAGATCCCATGACTGGTCACAGTGAGAACTCTCTTTTGCAGTCATCCTTTGCAATGATAATATATGCCTGTAAACTAAGGCTTTAATTTTTTTTTTTTTTTGAGATGAGGTCTCACTCTGTTGCCCAGTCTAGAGTGCAGCAGTTTAGTCATAGCTCACTGCAGCCCGAACTTCTGGGCTCAAGCGATCCTCCTTCCATGCCTGAGTAGCTGGGACTACAGGCATGTGCCATCATGCCTAGCTAGTTTATCGTTATTATTTTTTGTAGAGACAGGGTCTCACTATGTTGCCCAGGCTGGTCTCAGACTCTTGGCCTCAAGGGATTCTCCCTCGTCAGCCTCCCAAAGTGCTGGGATTACAAGCATGAGCCACCAAGCCAGGCCTATTTATGGTTTCTGATCATTTTTATTTCTTTAAAAGAAGTGTATAGCTGGGCACAGTGGCTCACTCCTGTAATCCCAGCACTTTGGGAGGCCAAGGCAGGTGGATCATTTGAGGTCAGGAGTTTGAGACCAGCCTGACCAACATGGTGAAACCCCATCTCTACTAAAAATACAAAAAGTTAGCCGAGCGTGGTGGTGGACGCCTGTAATCCCTCCTGCTACTCGGGAGGCTGAGGCAGGAGAACCACTTGAACCTGGGTGGCAGAGGTGGCAGTGAGATGAGATTGTGCCACTGCACTCAAGCCTGGGGGACAGAGCCAGGCTCTGTCTCAAAAAAAAAAAAAAGAAAAAGAAAAAAGAAGTGTACACTACAGCAAAGCATGTCTGATGCCAGTGGGCTATGTTGGGGTGGGGGTAAGGGTGTCAATTTGACCTGGGGGTTCTGAAAGTCTCAGGAAAGGCAGATGGGGGAGGGCCCGAGGCATCCACAGCTTTGAGTGTCCTGGTGTCTAAGCAGGAGCCATGGAGAAGGTGGGAGGTGTGAGTTAGGATCAGCTGGAGATCGGTGCTCTTTTGTCCAAGAGAATGAAGTTGTCTTCAGGTATGATTTGGTTTGGAAACAAGATAAAAGAGATTGGCCGGGCACGGTGGCTCAGGCCCGTAATCTGAGTACTTTGGGAGACCAAGGTGGGTGGATCACGAGGTCAAGAGATCAAGACCATTCTGGCCAACATGGTGAAACCCCGTCTCTACTAAAAGTACAAAAATTAGCTGAGCATGGTGGCGCATGCCTTTAGTCCCAGCTACTTGGGAGGCTGAGGCAGGAGAATTGCTTGAACCTGGGAGGTGGAGGTTGCAGTGAGCCGAGATCGTGCCACTGTACTCCAGCCTGGTGACAGAGCAAGACTCTGTCTCAAAAAAAAAAAAAAAGAAAAGGAAAAAGGTGGCCAGGTGCAGTGGCTCACACCTGTAATCCCAGCACGTTGGGAGGCCGAGGCGGGCAGATCGCCAGAGGTTGGGAGTTCGCAACCAGCCTGACCAACATGGTGAAACCCTGTCTCTACTAAAAATACAAAATTAGTCAGGCATGGTGGCGCATACCTGTCATCCCAGCTACTTGGGAGGCTGAAGCAGGAGAATTGCTTGAACCCGGGAGGCAGAGGTTGCGGTGACTGGAGATTGCGCCATTGCACTCCAGCCTGGGCAACAAAAGTGAAACTTCGTCTCCAAAAAAAAAAACACCAAAAAACAAAAATTAGCTGGGCGTGGTGGTGCATGCCTGTAATCTCAGCTACTCAGGGAGGCTGAGGCAGGAGAATCGCCTGAACCCGGGAGGTGGAGGTTGCAGTGAGCCGAGATCGTGCCACTGCGCTCCAGCCTGGGCAACAGAGCAAGACTCCATTTCAAAAACAAACAAACAAACAAACCAACAAACAAACCGAAATTTTAGGGACAGATGGATTTTTTCTCTGGAATATTGACTTCAACCCAGCCACATGTGGATATGCTTAGAACAGCAGGGCTCAGTCTGAAGTTGGGACCATATCTGTTCTCAAAACATGTGGATCCCTGAGGCCAGACACCAGGTGCCCGCCATTGGTGTCAGGGCCCTACTCCTCTCCCTGCAGTGCAAGGGGCCAGTCCTCAAGGCAGGGGTTCCTCCTCTCTGGACACACAGAGAAAGAGGAGGCGGGGAAACAGCAAGTGCCCAGGAAGGGTGAGGCCCCAGGGACTTGAAGCCAGCCCTCTGATAGCATCGCTGTTTCAGAGGAACACTAGCTACGAACGGGGCTCCCTTGCCAGTCAGTGCTCAGAGAGATGAGCTTACCTAGCAGGTCCTTCCTACAGCTGCAGCAATGATGCCTGGACTGTGTCTGCCCAGGGGTGGGTGGTGGAAGGTTCTAGGGAGAGGAGTTGGCACTTCCCTGGTGCAGCCCTTCCCTCTCCTCCCCAGCCCTGACACCACCACAGCCCCTTCGTCTTCTCTGTCCAGAACCTCTTCCCAGAGGCTCCCTAAGGAGACCGCGGAGTCTCCGCCTGGGGCTCTCACAGCCCCACACCATGTGGCACAGCCTAGGGTGTGACCCCCTTGCCTGCCCTGCGTTTGCTTGGCTGGAGGGACAGGCCTTTCAATGACTCTGACAGTGGAGTAGGGGACCCACAATGGGGAGCAGCTAGCTCTGTCTATGAGAGTTTGGGGAGCGGGGCCTTGCAGAAAAGATGTCTGAAGAGTTTTTTTTTATTATTTTTGTTTTGAGACAGAGTTTCACTCTTTCGCCCAGGCTGGAGTGCAGTGGCTGGATCTCTGCTCACAGCAACCTCGGCCTTCCAGTTTCAAGCAATTCTCCTGCCTCAGCCTCCCAAGTAGCTGGGATTACAGGCGCCTGCCACCACACCTGGCTAATTTTTGTATTTTTAGTAGAAACGGGGTTTCACCATGTTGGCCAGGCTGGTCTTGAACTCCTGACCTCGTGATCCGCCTGACTCAGCCTCCCAAAGTGCTGGGATTACAGGCGTGAGCCACCACACCCAGCCAGGTCTGATGAGTTTTTAAGGTGAAATGGGAGTTTTTCAGGCTGTTGGGAAGTGGTGTCCCCGCTGTAAGCATGCTGGCCCCACATCTGCTTTGATGCTTCTCAGCCCAGGATGGTGCAGCAGCCTGCAAGGGTCTCCTCCATGGGTCCCCAGGGCAGCAGGGCCAGAGAATCCTGCCCCTCTTAAGAGAACAACTGGCTAGGCGCAGTGGCTCACGCCTGTAATTCCAGCATTTTGGGAGGCCAAGGCGGGCGGATCACTTAAGGTCAGGAGTTCGAGACCAGCCTGGTCAACATGGTGAAACCCCATCTCTATTAAAAATACAAACATTAGCTGGGCTTGGTGGTGGGCACCTGTAGTCCCAGCTACTCAGGAGGCTGAGGCAGGAGAATCGCTTGAACCTGGGAGGCGGAGGTTGCAGTGAGTTGAGATCATGCCACTGCACTCCAGCCTGGGTGACAGAGCAAAAAAACTCCGTCTAAAAAAGAAAAAAAAGAGAACAACTGCCCCTTCTAGCAGCAGCCCAGATGGAGACACCCATAGCAGGGCGCCGGATCCAATCTCTTCCTCTCCTCCCTCGGCCTTCCTCTCCCCACAAACCCCAGGGTCTAGAAAGTAGAAGGTTCTCCCCTCTTCTCTCCTTCCTCATAATGAACTCGATGGAGCTGGCCCGAGTGCAGTGGTGGTTACAGTTAATTGATCACAACGACTTACAGATTTTTTTGTTCCTTCTCCACTCCCACTGCTTCACTGGACGAGCCAAACACAAATTAAATAAATAGGCAGGTCACAGTGGCTCATGCCTCTAGTCCCAGTGCTGTAGGAGGCCAAGGTGGGCGGATCACTCGAGCCCAGGAGTTCGAGACCAGCCTGGGCAATATGGTGAAATCCCATCTCTACCAAAAAAAAAAAAAAAAAGAAGCAAAAATTAGCCAGGCATGGAGGTACAACCTGTAGTCCCAGCTACTTGGGAGGCTGAGGTAGGAGGATCTCTTGAGCCTGGAAGGTTTTTTTTTTTTTGGTGTTTTTTTGTTTGTCTGTTTTTTTAAACGGAGTTTTGCTCTTGTTGCCCAGGCTGGAGTGCAATGGTGAGATCTCAGCTCACCACAACCTCCTCCTCCCGGGTTCAGGCGATTCTCCCGCTTCAGCCCCCCGAGTAGCTGGGATTACAGGCATGTGCCACCATGCCCAGCTAATTTTGTATTTTTAGTAGAGACAGGGTTTCTCCATGTTGGTCAGGCTGGTCTCGATCTCCTGACCTCAGGTGATCCTGCCACCTTGGCCTCTCAAAGTGCTGGGATTACAGGCATAAGCCACCGCGCCTGGCCTGAGCCTGGAAGGTTGAGGCTGCAGTGAGCCAAGATCACGCCACTGCACTCTAGCCTGGGTGACAAACTGACTAAATAAACAAATAAATAAATAAATAAATAAACTCTGGAAAACCCTATGGTCTACTCCAGTTCATGAAGCCTGGACCTGAGTCAAAGTGTGAGATACTGGCCCAGGCACAGTGGCTCATGCCTGTAAGCCTAGCACTTTGGGAGGCTGAGGCAGGAGGATCGCTTGAGGCCAGGAGTCTGAGACCAGCCTGGGCAACATAGCGAGACCCTGTCTTTATGAAAGAATTTAAAAAGGAAAAGAAAGAAAGTGGGAGGTATTGGTGTTAAGTCCATTCTTTATCAAGGAGGCGAAATTGTACATTTGAATGTCAGAAATCCACAATTGTCTCTTTTTCTTTGTGTTCCCTCTGTAGCAAATCGCAGTCTTCTCCAGGCTGACAAGGCGAAGGGCATGGCTTCGAAGTGCAAAAGAGTCATCATGAAACATCATGAATCATGAATCATTAGGCGTCTTCCCTTCGCTCCCCACTTTTTTTTTTTTTTTTTTTTGAGACTGAGTCTCGCTCTGTTGCCCAGGCTGGAGTACAGTGGTGCGATCTTGGCTCACTGCAACCTCTGCCTCCTGGGTTCAAGCGATTCTCCTGCCGTAGCCTCCTGAGTAGCTGGGATTACAGGTCCCCGCCACCACACCTGGCTAATTTTCTTATTTATTTATTTATTTTTAGTAGAGATGGGGTTTTGCCATGTTGGCCAGGCTGGTCTCGAACTCCTGACCTCAAGTGATCCACCGCTTTGGCCTCCCAAAGTGCTGGGATTACAGGCGTAAGCCATTGCACCCAACTCACTCCCCACCTTAAAACCAAAAGCGCTCTGGCTCTCAATGGAGACATCAAGCCCTCCCTGCCCCTTCTCCCTCCCCTTTCAGAGAATCTCCAGGAATTTCTGCCATTGTGCAGGGAGCAATTGAAAAATCAGTTAGTTCAGCTGGGTGCAGTGGCTCATGTCTGTAATCCCAGCACTTTGGGAGGCTGAGGCGGGCAGATCACCTGAGGCCAGGAGTTGGAGACCAGCCTGGCCAGCACAGTGAAACCCCGTCTCTACTAAAAATACAAAAAATTAGCCGGGCGTGGTGATGGGCACCTGTAATCCCAGCTACTCTGGAGGCTGAGGCAGGAGAATGGCGTGAACCTGGGAGGTGGAGCTTGCAGTGAGCCGAGACTGCAGCATTGCACTCCAGCCTGCGCAACAAGAGTGAAACTGTCTCAAAAAACAAAACAAAACAAAACACAAAAAGAAAGAAAAAAGGAAAAATCAGTTAGTTCGATTATTAGAAGACTAGATTATTGCTCAGCAGTAACCACTCCTTTCCCACAAACTCCCCTCTCTAGGAGGAATGTACCTCCCCACCCATTCCTGTTAGGCTTGGCCAGGTGAATCGCTTTGGCCAACAGAATGTAACTGACAAGGTGAGCAGAGATTTGCAGTGGGCTTGTGCTTGGTGCTGGTCCTCCGGGGCTCCTGCCTTTAGCCAGGGGAAGCACACTCCCCAGCCCCTCCTTAGCCCTCTGGCCCTGGGGAGAATGAGAGGCATGTGGCACAGTCCTGGACCCAGCCGTGGCTGGGAGCAAGCCTGGAAGCTTGAGCGAGAGATAAATGCTTGGTCTTTTTGTTTGAGACTAAGTCTCGCTCTATCGCCCAGGCTGGAGTGCAGTGTGGCACAATCTCAGCTCATTGCAACCTCCACCTCCCAGGTTCAAGCTATTCTCCTGCTTCAGCCTCCCAAGTAGCTGGGACTACAGGTGCGAACCACCACGACCAGGTAATTTTTGTATTTTTAGTAGAGATGAGGTTTCACCACGTTGGCCAGGCTGGTCTCAAACTGCTGACCTCAAGTGATCCACCCGGCTCGGCCTCCCAAAGTACAGGCATGAGCCAATTCGCCCAGTGATAAATGCTTGTTTTAAGCTTCTGGGTTTTGGGGTGGTGTGTTAGGCAGCCTCACTGGGGCAGTGGCTGACGGGTACAATCAGATGAACCCTGAGGCCCCTGGAAGCTTCGAGTGTCTATGAGGGACCTTTCCCGGCCTTTCAGCCAAATTGGAAGACCCACTTCTCTGGACTGGATGCTGCATTGAATTGAGCAAAGGAACTGAGTGCCCGGGGAGCTCAAAGGGAAGCAGCCCAGCCTTCCTTCTGGGGCAGAGCAGTGGTGGGGACCTGTTTCCAGCTGCTTGTGCCCCCCACTTCATGGAGGAGGGACCAGGGATCCTCAGAGGAGAGGGTGATGTTTGACAGTGGCTGCCTGCCCTGAAAATCGCCCTTGTCTGTCCAGCCTGGCCTGAATTTCACCCACATCAACCCACATGGGATACTTTATTTATTTATTTATCTATTTATTTATTTATTTATTTATTTTAGAGCCAGGGTCTCACCCTGTGGCCCAGGCTGGAGTGCCGTGGTGCTATCATAGCTCACTGCAGCCTCAAACTCCTGGGCTCAAGTGATCCTCCCGCCTCAGCCTCCAGAGTAGCTGGGACTACAGGAACACACCACTGTGCCTGGCTTATTTTTCTTTTTTTTTTTGGTAGAGATGGGGGTCTCTCTATGTTGCCCAGGCTGGTCTCAAACTCCTGGCCTCAAGTGATCCTCCTGCCTCGGCCTCCCAAAGTACTGGGATTACAGGTATACCATTATGTCCAGCTAAACCTGTTCCTTGAAGAAAGTGTGAACCTCAAATTCAAAGCCCCTCTCTTTCTCTTCCCTCATCAGAATCGGCTCCCAGACACCTGCCACTCGTGAATGCATCTGATAAACTCACTCACACTGAGGCCTTGGGGACTGAGGTGAGCAGGGCCCAGCAGTGGGGAGATATATGGGGGAAGTGTTAGTGGTGGTGAATCCATATGGATTCACCTCAGTCCTTGCCTCCTCAGAAGAAAGAATTCCACCAAGGGGCATGAGGCAGAGTGAGGGACCGAGGCAAGTTTTAGAGCAGGAGTGAAAGTTTATTAAAATGTTTTGGGGCAGGTGCTGGGCACGGTAGCTCACGCCTGTAATCCCAGCACTTTGGGAGGCCGAGGTGGTTGGATCAGTTGAGGTCAGGAGTTTGAGACCAGCCTGGCCAACATGGCCAAACCCTGTCTCTACTAAAAATACAAAAATTAGCCAGACATAGTGGCACATGCCTATAATCCCAGCTACTGGGGAGGCTGAGGTGGGAGAATTGCTTGAACCCGGGAGGTGGAGGTTGCAGTCAGCCGAGATCACAACACTGCACTCCAACCTGGGCAACAGAGCAAGACTCCATCTCAAAACAAAAACAAAACCAACCAAACAAAGAAAAAGTTTTAGGGCAGTAAGGAAAGGAGGTAAAGTACACTTGGAAGAGGGTCAAGCAGGTGACTTGAGAGAGTCAAGTGCACTGTTTGATCTTGGACTTGGGGTTTGATAGGTTGGCATCCTTCCGGGGCTTGCGTTAACTTTCCCCTGGTTCTTCCCTTGGGGTGGTCTGTCCGCATGCGCAGTGGCCTGCCAGCGCTCCGGAGGGGCCTCATGCGCAGCGTGTTTACTGAAGTGCGCATGCTCACTTGAGGCATTCTTCCTTTACCAGTCAAATGCTCCCAGGTCATATGCCAGTTAAACTCCACCATGTTGCCTCTTAGTGCACATGCTTGAGCCCACTCGCCCAGCTCCTGAGATCTTATCGGGAAGCTGCTGATCACCAGTTCCAGGTGCTTTCTATCTATTGGGAAACGGCCTTTCCCTGGTGTTGATTGCAACCAATTATTATTTTAAGAGAGACAGTTACCAACCACCTGACTGCTGGGTGAGGTGGCTCATGCCTGTAATCCCAGCACTTTAGGAGCCTGAGGTGGGTGGATTACCTGAAGTCAGGAGTTTGAGACCAGCCTGGCTAACATGGTGAAACCCCATCTCTACTAAAAATACTAAATAAATAAATAAATAAATAAATAAATAAGCTGGGTGTGGTGGTGGAGGCTGTAGTCCCAGCTACTCAGGAGGCTGAGGTGGGAGGATCACGAGCTGGGGAGACGGAGGCTGCAGTGAGCTGAGATGGCTCCACTGCACTCCAGCCTGGGCAACAGAGCAAGACTCTGTGTCAACAAACAATAACAGGCCGGGTGCGGTGGCTCACGCCTGTAATCCTAGCACTTTGGGAGGCGGAGGTGGGCGATCACCTGAGGTCAGGAGTTCGAGACCAGCCTGGCCAACATGGTGAAACCCCATCTCTACTAAAAATACAAAAATTAGCCGGGCGTGGTGGCAGGCGCCTGTAATCCCAGCTACTCGGGAGGCTGAGGCAGGAGAATGGCGTGAACCCGGGAGGCAGAGCTTGCAGTGAGCCGAGTTCGCGCCACTGCATTCCAGCCTGGGCGACAGAGCGAGACTTCGTCTCAAAAAAAAAAAAAAAGGTTGGAGACCAGCCTGGGTAACAGACCAAGACCCCGACTCTGGAATTAAAACAAAAAACAGGATGTGGTTGGTGTTTTGTAACCAAGACGTTTAGAGTAGGATGGTTTTCAGGCTATCAAATTTACTACTATATTGCTCACACCAGAAGTCCAAATATACACACAAATTAGATATATTTTTTTGAGATGGAGTCTTGCTTTGTCACCCAGGATGGAGTGCAGTGGCACAATCATAGCTCACTGCCTCCTCCAATTTCTGGGCTCAAGGGATCCTCTTGCCTCAGTCTCCCGAGTAGCTGGGACTACAAGCATGTGCCACCATGGCCATGCCCAGCTATTTTTTTTTTTTTAAATAAGTCTTTTTTTTTTTTTTTTTCTGAGACCAAGTCTCACTCTGTTACCCAGACTGCTGTGCCGATCTCAGCTACTGCAACCTCCTCTTCCCAGGTTCAAGTGATTCTCCTGCCTCACACTCCTGAGTAGTTGTGATTACAGGTGTGCCACCACGCCAGGCTAATTTTTGTATTTTTAGTAGAGATGGGGTTTCACCATGTTGGCCAGGCTGGTCTCAAACTCCTGACCTCAGGTGATCTGGCTGCCTGAGTCTCCCAAAGTGCTGGCATTACAGGTGTGAGCCACTGCACTCGGCAGAAGGTTACTTTTGTAGATGGGGTCTCACTATGTTGCCAGGCTGGTCTCAAACTCCTGGGCTCGAGCAGTCCTCCCACCTGGACCTCCCAAAGTGCTGGGATTACCAGCATGAGCCACTGTGTCTGGCCTAAATATATATATTTAAATAATTAGAATCATACATTTCCAAGACCCCCAATATGAACAGAAGCTCTGCAGAAAACAGTTTGAAAACCAGGCATCCAGCAGGGAGAACCTGGGCTTCCCATCACCCGCTTTTTCATTCCCACCCTAGCTCCCTCATGCTCCACAACTTGGGGACAAGTTAGTTGTTTTCTCTGAGCCTTCTTTTTCCCTTCTGCGGGGATAATCTTACTTGACTTCCCTGACCACAAGAGACTTGCCTGGGAACATGCATGGAAAGCTCTGTGATGAGCCCTGAGATGTTTGAAGTGAGAACTCTCCAAACAGCCACTGTGGGCATAATCTGGAAAATTCCCTCAGGTGTAACGCTCCTCTGCCCAGCAAGTGAACAAAGGGCTGACTGGTGACAGTTTCTGGACACTGTCGCAGGCTATTTAAGCCTGCAAGCAAGCATCAACACAGAGTAGGGTCTAGGGCTGGGCACAGTGGCTCATGCCTGTAATCCCAGCAATTTGGGAGGCCAAGGCAGGAGGATTGCTTAAGGCTGGGAGTTCAAGACCAGCCTGGGCAACATAGTGAGACCCCATCTCTAAAAAAAAAAAAAAAAAAAAATTAGCTGGGCATGGTGGCACTGCCTGGAGTCCTAGTTACTTGGGAGGCTGAGGCAGGAGGATCATCTGAGCCTAGGAGGTAGAGGCTGCAGTGAGCTATGATTGCACCACTGCACTCCAGCGTGGGTGACAGACCAAGACCCTGTCTCAGAGAAAAAAAATAAAAATAAAAAAGAGTAGGGTCTTTCCTAGCAGGACTGATGTCCTGTCTCCCTTCCTACCCGCTCTGGGAGGACAGCCCCCGCTGGCCACACCTGGTGACACCATTCTCTGACCAGCTCCAGGGAGGGACCCCTGGAGGAGGCGCCCACCCCTCCCTGCTGACCCCAATTTCCAAAAAGCCCATTCATTCATCCCGGGGTTGGGGGTGTGGGGGTGGTCGGAGGAGGACCCCCCCATCCTGTCCTGCACCCCCAGTCCCCGGGGGGGCGCAGGATGGGGGACCCTTAGCAGCGGTGGCGACCCCGAGGAGGCCTGGGCACAGGAAGAAAGAAAGATATTTCTGTCTCCCTCCCCGCCTCAGGTTTCGCCCTTCCCTTCCCTTCCCGGGGACAATCCCGACCTTCACCGTCAAGGCCTTTTGCAAACACACACGCACGCACATGTATTTTTGGAAGAAGGGGAAAAATTCCAAGAGAACCTCCGCTGGGTTAAAAATGAAGATTATATTAAGAGTGAAAGGCAAGCGGGGCGGCTGGGGCGCAGACAGAGGCCCCTTTCATGCGCCCGGCCGCGAGCCGCGGGCCGCTGCCAACACAAACGCGGGCGGAACCGAACCCGCGGAGCGCCGGCCGCGCTGCCAGGCCCCATCCAGCCCGCCCCGGCTGGCGCTGCTCCGCGTTTCCACTCTGCTGACGTGCAGGAATCGCGGGGCGGCCGGGTGGGCGGCGGGGACCCCTGTGCGCCCCGAGCCCCCGGGTGGGGGCCGCACCACTGCCCGTCTCCCCTCCCTCTGCTCCTGCTCCGTCCGTTTTCTTCCAGGCCCTGGCGGATCACGGGTGCCCAGGGGCTCGGAGGCCGCCTCCTCTGGGAAGCCTGCCCAGGTTCCGATGGACTCCCACAGGCAATACCCCTGGGCCTTCCTCGCGGCCCCTGTTGGCCCCAATTCCCCCACCCCCGCAAGGTCTGTGCCTCTCCTGCAGTCCCGCCACCAACTAGGGCGAGAGGAGCTCGCCCCCACCCAAACGTATTGGTTCGATGAAGGAAGGGCCCATGGTTCTGCCACTGGCCCTGGACACCCAGTGCTGGTTTCCCGTGGAAGTCCCCCTGGACTGAGTGGCGGCTGGGTGCTCTAGTGATTTGCGACCTGGGGCCTCTGACTCCCATCATGTTGGGAAAGTCGTTGAACCTCACCGGTGAAACGGGCACAGTGAAGTCATTTCCCCGAAGTCTCAGGACTCTGTGTAAGGCTGGGGACAGGGGCTTGTTGGGGCCTAAGGGCACCTTGGGAACTGCAGGAGCCCGTTCTGCCTCCATAAGACACTCACTCCTGGCAGGGTCCCCTCTCCGGGCACAGCCCAGATCCACCCCCATCATCCCTCTCCATCTGTGGCTCCCTGCCCCTCACAGAGGATTCATCACTCTGTTCAGAATCCCCAGGACTCCCTAGGGAAGGAGGTCCCAGCCTGGCCTCCCAAGACCGTGCTTGCCCAATTCCAGGACTTCCTCACATGGCTCCTACCTCCAGCACAGAAGCGGCACTAAACCAGGTGGTCAATCAGGGAGCACCACCGAGGTTCTGAATGGTCCAGGGATGAGCAGTGATGCCTCAAGCTAAGCCAATCAAAGCCTTCCCTGGGATTGTCTCAAGGAGTCCGCAGTGAGATTCTGGGTCTCAGTACTGGGAAAGGGTGAGGCTGAGGCTGCCTGCTGTCCTGGGGGCCTCACCCTGCCACCAACAGGAAGCCACACAGAGGGAAGCAGAAATGAGACGCAGCCAGTGAGGGCAGGGTACAAAGGTGAGATCCCGGAGAGACAGATGCTGGGACATCATCCTTGGGTACTGGTTCCAACAGTGCCTGCAGATGGAGCCACCCTCGGAGAGTCCACAACAGCAGCCAATCCATTCTATGCGTGTCTGAGCTACTTTAAGTCGGGTTTTTGACTGTTTGAATGAGAGTCCCATCTTGGCTAGGCACCATGGCGCAACAACTGGGGAGGTGGAGGTAGGAAGATTGCTTGAGGCCAAGAGTCCCAGAGCAGCCTGGGCAACCTATCAAGACGCTGTCTTTACGAAAAGAAAAAAAACTAGCTAGGTGTGGTGGTGCGTGCCTGTGGTCCCAGCTACTGGGGAGGCTGAGGTGGGAGGATTGCTTGAGCCCAGGAAGTGGAGGCTGCAGTGACCTATGATGGCACCACTGTACTCCAGCCTGGGTGACAGAGCAAGACCCTGTCTAAAAAAAAAAAAAAAAAAAAGAAGTCCCACCGAATACCTTCATGCAGTGAAGGTCACCCCATCTGAAAAATAAAGCCTGGGCACTTGGGCTTGGTATTGGTGGCCTTTGCAAGGTGTAAGATGCGTTCCCCTCCTTGGGCCCCCCTTAAGCTTGTCCTGTACATTTCATTTACAAAGGACTTTCACAAGCATGAATGGAGGTGACCCCACCACACCCCAGGTTTCGGATAAGGAAACCGAGGCTTCAGTAGGAAGTACTGTACCCCACGTCACGCAGGCAGTGGGGGATGAGAATGAACTTGAGCCCCTCATCTGACTCCACCCCCCACTCTCACCTTCACTCCCCTGCTCTCCCTCTTCCCCCGAGGACTGACTGTTCCTGACCTCTGCACTTGGGCATCTTCACCGTGCAGTGTGACTCAAATGCTTCCTTCTCTCCTCTGCTGATTCAGACCAGCTCAGTGTGTGCCACCTCCCCTAGGCGCTTTCTGTAGAAGCCCCTTCTCCTGCCCTGGTCCTGCACCTGCCTCAGGTGTTGACACCTGAGCTCCCGATGCTTAGGGCTGGGTGGCTGCCACCCATCTTGTTACCCAGTGTGCAGAATTGGGTGCTGGAGGCACGAGCCTGCTCTATACCTATTTTTAAAATTTTTAAATTATTATTATTATTTGAGACGGAGTTTTGTTCTTGTTGCTCAGGCTGGAGTGCAATGGCACGATCTCGGCTCACCGCAACCTCTGCCTCCCAGGTTCAAGCGATTGTCCTGCCTCAGCCTCCCGAGTAACTTGGATTACAGGCATGTGCCACCACGCCTGGCTAATTTTGTATTTTTAATAGAGACGGGGTTTCTCCATGTTGGTCAGGCTGCTCTCCAACTCCTGACCTCAGGTGATCTGCCCGCCTTGGCCTCCCAAAGTGCTGGGATTACAGGCATGAGCCACTGCGCCTGGCCAATTATTATTATTTTTTGAGACGGAGTCTCAAATCTGTTGCCCAGGCTGGAATGCAGTGGCACGATCTTGGCTCACTGCAACCTCTGCCTCCTGGGTTCAAGCGATTCTCCCTGCCTCAGCCTCCCGAGTAGCTGGGGTTACAGGAATCCACCACCACGCCTGGCTAATTTTTGTATTTTTTAGTAGAGATGGGGTTTCACCATGTTGGCCAGGTTGGTCTTGAACTCCTGACCTCAGGTGATTCGCCCGCCTTGTCCTCCCAAAGTGCTGGAATTACAGGCGTGAGCCACCACGCCAGGCCCCTCTTTAGATCTGCTTTTTTTTTTTTTTTAAACAGGATCTTGCTCTGTTGCCCAGACTGGAGTGAAGTGGCACGACTATAGCCCACTGCAGCCTTGAACTCCGGGCTCAAGTGATCCTCCCGCTTCAGCCTCTCCAGTAGCTGAAACTACAGGCACACGCCACCACGCCCAGCTAATTTTTATTTTTATTTTGTAGAGATGGGGTTTCACTATGTTGCCCCGGCTGGTCTAAAATTCCTGGCCTCAAGCGATCCTCCTGCCTCCGCCTTCCGAAGTGCTGGGATTATAGGCTTGAGTCACCACCGTGCCCAGCATACATCTGCTTTCTGAATATTTGAGAGGCGGAAGGCACAAGGCGTGACAATTGATGGGATTTGGGATGTAAAGAGCAAGAGAGGACTCAAGCACAGTCGCCTCGAGGTTTCTAGCCCCGGCTGCTGTCACCAACCACTCTCAGGAAGGTAGGCAGAAGGTTACGCAGGAGAAACCGTAGGGGTAGTTCTGAGGCCCTGGAAGGGGTAGTTCTGAGGCCCCCGGGGGTGCGGAGCTGCAGGTCCAGGGAGGAGTGGTGAGGCTGGAGGAAGGTGAGGCTGGAGGAGGAGGTTCAGGAGGCTCTGAGGTAAAGATGGAGGCTGGGGCCTTGGGAGTCGAGGAGTTTACCCAAGACGAAGCATCTGTGTGGAAGAAAAGATAAGGCTGGGCGCAGTGGCTCACGCCTGTAAACCAAGCGCTTTGGGAGGCCGAGGTGGGCGGATCATCTGTGGTCAGGAGTTCGAGACCAGCCTGGTCAATATGGTGAAACCCCTTCTCTACTAAAAATACAAATATTAGCCGGGTACAGTGCACCTGTAATCCCAGCTACTCGGGAGGCTGAGGCACAAGGATCACTTGAACCCGAGAGGCAGAGGTTACAGTGAGCCGAGATCATGCCACTGCACTCCAGCCTGGGTGACAGAGCAAGACTCCATCTCCAAAAGAAAAAGAAACTATAAACATCATTGAAAGAAACTAAAGAAGACCTAAATAAATGGAAGGAAATCATGTTCATGGATTAAAAGACTTAATATTATTAAAATTTCATTACTTCAGAAGTGATCTACAGATTCAACACAATCCCTATCAAAATCCCAGCTGTGGCTGGGTGTGGCGGCTCACTTCTGTAATCCTGGCACTTCAAGAGCCAAGGTGGGAGGATTGTTTGAGCCGAGAAATTTGAGACCAGCCTGGCAACATGATCTCTACAAAAAATATAGAAATTAGCCAGGCGTTGTGGTGCCAGCCTGTAGTCCCAGCTACCCAGGAGGCTGAGGAAGGAGGATCGCTTGAGTCCAGGAGTTTGAGGCTGCAGTGGGCTATGATCACATCACTGCTCTCCGGCCTGGGCAACAGTGCAAGGTCATGTCTCAAAAAAAAAATCCCAGCTGGCTTTTTTTTTTTTTTTGAGATGGAGTCTTGCTCTGTTGCCCATGCTGGAGTGCAGTGGCGGACGATCAGCCTCAGGGCAGGCCATCTAGAAGAATTACCAAAAACACCAACCCATTTGTCTCTCTATAAAGTGCTGACATTTGTGCTCTGCAACGTACAGCTGAGAGAGCACAAAACTTGTCTGACTCAGCACAGTCTAGGAAGTCAAGCAGCTCAATCTTGAACAGGACAGTGGTGTTTGGGGGGATCAAGGGAGGGGAGCCCAGCGTTCCATAGGCGTAGTTCGGTTTGAACAGAAACCTGGCCAGCTCTCCTCTCTGCATGCTCAGAAGGCCCAGCTCCATGCCCCACAATGTAATATCTGTAAGAAGGGACAAAGAAGGTGGGTGAAGCTTGCTCAGTATCCTGCTTAATGCTATCAGTTTCTTCCCCCTCTAAGTCAGCAGTACTCTGGCCTCCATGTCTCCCTCACACAGTTCCCTCTTCCTGCAATGTCTTCCTCCTGAGCCTGTGCCCAGCTTCTAGTGATAGAAATTTTATTCAAACTTCCGGGCTCAGTTCAAATGCCCCCTCTTCCAGGAAGCCTTCCCTGAACTTCCCAGCTAGAATTAATCATGCCTTCATTAAGCACACCCACAACACTGCTTTCACCTCCCAGGCACTCATCCGATTCTACCAAGTGAGCTGAGTGCAGGTCAGTCTCCTCTACTACATTGTGAGGTCCTTAAGGGTGGAGATGTTCTAATCTTCTGAGTACAACCTCTCTTTTCACCATGTATTGTGGGAAGTAAGCATTCGTCGATTTTTACTTAATAAATGAACAAAGAAACATTCCCAGTGGTGAGTTAAGTCAGAGTGCAAAGATTATACCTTGCCCATTAAGCCATCTCCCAAATGCCTAGGTCTCAAGGGGAGAGAACATGGCTGTTTTACCAAAACCCAGCCTCAGCAAAGTCAATTCAAAGAACCTGCGCTCTGAGCAGTCTTCCCAGCCTGAGGCATGGTGCCTCATCTCGCTCCTAAACAATCCCTTCTTCTCCAGCTCCTACTCTGAATTTACCCTCTCCAAGTTTCATTAGCCGAGGAGTTTTCCTAAAGTAATTAGAATCGAAGGGTCTGTCCAAGTGTTCCAGGTATCCATAGTATTTCACTAGAATAGAGGAAAGAATGTAAGGAAAATGGACCCAAAACACCCACGCCACCATAATATCGAGTCTCTCATGATCACACAGAAACAATGCGATCAGATGAGCTTAAGCTGCCCGACACCACGAGGTACAGGAATAAATCTCTCTGCATTTTAGGAGCCTACCCTTCGGCTCAGAGGTTCAAGAGCTTCATGGAAGCATCACGCAAAGGGGACATAGGGTTCCTTAGCTTTCCTCTTAAAAAAACTAATTCATGGCAGAAGCAGCGGCTCACGCTTGTAATCCCAGCTACTGGGGAGGCTGAGGTGGGAGGATCACTTGGGACCAGGAGTCTGAGACCAGCCTGGGCAACATAGAAAGTGCCCCATCTCTACAAAAATATTAAAAATTAGCCGGGCATGGTGGATTGCGCCTGTAAATCTCTTATTTGGGAGGCTGAGGCTGGAGAATCACTTGAGCCCAGGAAGCAGAGGCTGCAGTGAGCTATGTTCGCACCACTGCACTCCAGCCTGGGGAACTGAGCGAGACCCCGTTTCAAAAACAAAAATCCACTTCAAACAAAGCATTTCCAACCCCATTAAATGCTTTTTGAAAATGAGGCCTCTCTCTTCCCAACAGAGTGCGATGACATGGATCCTGCGGACAAACCGCCCCAGGGCGTACCTAGCACCGAAGCATCAGGCGCCACTAGGTCTCCAGCTCCTTCTCGGATGACGTCCTTCAGCACGCCCCGGTCCCCCGAGATGTCCAGCATCCTCTGACTTAACCGCTCGTACAGGGACTGATGGAGAATGAAAGCCAGGCCTCAGAGCCGCAGACCCACCCGGCCACCCCTCAGCGTCTACGCCCCCGAAACGTCTGGGCCCTCACCTGGCCGGGGGCGTCGTCCCCTTCCAGGACTCCCTGGTTTAACGCGCTTCCCCCCATGTCCTAGCTGCCCTCCCTGTGGCGTGAGCCTTCGGCCTGGTGCGCCCCGCTGCCCTTCCTGGCTGTGACTCTGGTGGGGTTCCGAAGGCCCCTTTATGCCCGGCAGACCCCTACCGACGGCGGCATTACATTCTGGGGCCACGAGGAGGCACTCATCGTTTCGTTCCAACCGCCGCCAACGGCCCTGGCCCTCGCGAGCTCTGGAACTACAGAGGTCGCACGGTGAGTTGCCAGGTGTGGCCCGTAATCGGAGCGCACAAAACATGATGGGACACGTAACGGGACCACACAGGGCACATTGGGCACTTGCAGGGGCGCGAGGTGGCGGCACGTAATGGGAGCGCGCTGAGCATGATGGGGCATGTGCGGGAGCGCCAGGCGGGGCATGTAACCAGAGCGTGCGGGGCATGATGGGGCACGGACATGGGGGGTTAGGTGGGGCACGTAATTGGAGCTCGCGGGGCAGGATGGGGCATCTAACTGGAGCGACAGAGAGCACGATGGGGCACTTACAGGGGCCGGAGGCTGGGTACGTAATGAGAGCGAGCGGGAAATGATGGGGCACCTAACGAGCACGCAGAGCATGATGGGGCACGGGTGCGAGGTGGGGCGCACAGTGGGAGCGCGTGGGGCGTGATGGGACACATGGCGAGGCCGTCAGGGCACAGGGGAAGCACTTTTGGAACACGTGAGTGACAGGGCTGCCGCCCTTGAAGGAGCCCTCGGAGTGGCTGCGTGGTGGGGCACGTGGGGCAGGTTCAGGAAAAAGGATGCAGCATGTGATTGCAGGGCAACCTGGTGAGGACACGAGAGCCACCTGCCACCAGCAGGGTTCAGGGCTCCCAGCTGTGGGTTACTTCCACCTTCTTTCACTTTCCCTCTTCCATTGTATTCTAGAGAATTTAGGCCCAGACAAGACACTGATTGATTGATTGATTGATTGATTGACAGAGGCTCGCTCTGAGCCCAGGCTGGAGTTCAGTGATGGATCTCAGCTCACTGCAGCCGCCACCTCCTGGGCTCAAGAGATCCTCCTGCCTCGGCCTCCCAAGTAGCTGGGATTACAGACGTGCACCACCAGGCCCAGCTAATTTATTTTTTAGTTTTTAATTTGCTGGTAAGATGGTTTGTAGCTTTGTTGCCTAGGCTGGTCTTGAACTCCTGGCTTCAAGCGATCCTCCAGTCTTGACCTCCCAAAGTGCTGGGATTATAGGCGTAGGCTACAGCCAACTTTCAATACTGCCCCATTGGGGGTTACGTTTCCAACACATGAAATTAGGAGGATACATTCAAACCACAGCAGTATATTATGACCATAATATTCATTAACTGTGTAACAGGCTGGGCGCGGTGGCTCACACCTGTAATCCCAGCACTTTGGGAGACCAGAGTGGGTAGATCACTCGAGGTCAGGAGTTTGAGACCAGCCTGGCCCACATGATGAAACCGCCTCTCTACTAAAAATACAAAAAATTAGCCGGTGTGGTGGCAGGCGCCTGTAACCTCAGCTACTTGGGAGGCTGAGGCAGGAGAATCACTTGAATCCGGGAGGTGGAGGTGGCAGTGAGCCTGATTGCACCACTGCACTCCAGCCTGGGCAACAAGAGCAAAACTCTGTCTCAATAAACAAACAAACAAACAAAACCTGTATAACAGAGTGTCATTGAATTTCTAAACGTTGAAAGACTTCACATTAAAAAAAAACTCACAATTTAATATTATTGAGTGAAAGAAACCAGACACAAAAGGGTACATTCTATATGATGCTGTTTATGTGACATTCAAAAACAGGCCACATGACAACATGGTAATAAGGACAGTGGCTGTCCTTGTTAGGAGTTATGACTGGAAGGAGGCAGGAGGGAGCTTTCTGGAAACACTGTACATCTTGCTCTTGAGAGTGCACGTATATACATCAAGTGTTTATCAAGCTGTGTGGTTAAGATTTGCACACTTGTATATGTTATACCTCGATTTAAAAAATCTAAATAAGTAAATAAAGATACCTTCAAATCTTTAAAAAAAAAAAAAAAAAGAGGCCAGGTTCGGCGGCTCACACCTGTAATCCCAGCACTTTGGGAGGCTGAGGTAGGAGGATTGCTTGAGGCCAGGAGTTCAAAACCAGCCCAGGCAACAAAGTGAGACCCCTGTCTCTACTAAAGTAAATAAAACAATAAAATAAAAAAAAAAATTCGAGAGATCGAACCATCATCTGCCAGTTTGTATTAGAAAAAAAGAGAGAGAGAAGGAAGACTGCGTGCAATAAGGCTCATGCCTGTAATCCCAGCACTTTGGGAGGCCAAGGTGGGAGGATTGCTTGAGCCCAGAAGTTGAAGACCAGCCTGGGCAACAAAGCAAGACCCGGTATCTACAAAAAAAATTTTAAAAATTAGCTTGGCATGGTGGCATGTGCCTGTAGTCCCAGCTACTCAGGCAGCTAAGGTAGGAGGATGGCTTGAGCCTAGGAGTTGGAGGCTGCAGTGAGCTGTGACCACGCCACTGCACTCCAGCCTGGGCAACAGAGCAAGACACTGTCTTCCCCTGCCCCCCAGCCCCCCACCCCCCCCAAAAAAGGATATAAGAGCAAGAGATTGAGATTCAGAAAGAACTGTTTCCCAGCACCTATCTGCTCCTGTTGGGGTCATGAGGTGTGGACGGTGTACCCAGTCCCTCTGTTTCTGCCCCTCCTCCACAGTGGCCAAGGCCAGCACTTGAATGTTATCAGAGCAGGCCCAACAAAGGCTGCCTCCCCAGTCCTGTGATGTAACCCAGTTTCCACCTGATTCTGGTGACCTTGGGGACACAGGGGTGTTGCTGGGGAAGGGGAGGAGAGAAGGGGCAGAGACCAGGCAGTGGTGCAGGCGTCCAGCTGCACTTCCCACTTCTGACTCTGTGCCTGCTGTTCCCTGCTGGGAAGAAGAAAAGCCAGTGATGCTGGCTTGAGGCCATAGTGGGAGGCCCAGTGGATCCTGAGAAGCTAGGTATTCCAATGTCGGGCTCTCGCTGGGGGCTTCTGGTGCTTCTTCTGTCTCACTGACAAGCTTTCATAGGGGAGCAGGTGGGAGATCAGGGTAGAGGCCTTGTAGGTTCCAGGCTCTCTAGAATTACCTGGGAGTGTCACCTATAAGTGTAGAGTTCTGGGTCTCACTGGAGACCCCCTGAAGCAGATCCTTTGAAGGTGGGCCTCTAGAATCTCTATTACACCTATGCTTTCAACAGTTTCCTGAAAGTTTGGGAACTGATCTAGAAGGTGGGGAGCTTGCCTAGGTTTTGCTGTTCAGTTCTAGGTCCGGATGCATGCTGGGGCTGGACCTTGCATTATTAGTGTCACTGCAAATGACCCTGCAGATGGCCCCTTTCATGCTTGTCTCCAAATTTGAGTAAAAAATGTAGACACACACACACACACACACACACACACACACGTATCTTCAAGGGACCAGTTTTTTCACTGCAGTCTTTTGTTTTACAGCTGTGGAAACTGAGGCCCAAGGTCATGTGGGTTAGGACTGGGATCCAGGACTCAAAGTGTTTCTTATAAAATTCTGGTGCTCCTTAGGGTTGAGGGTGGTGGGTGAGTGCTGGACAGGGGGAGGGGAGTGGACAGGACTGAGGTCGGATGCCTGTGTTTCAGCCCGGGCAGTGAGTGTGGATGGCTTGGCAGGTGAGCCTGCTGGAGCTGGAGGACCGGCTTCAGTGTCCCATCTGCCTGGAGGTCTTCAAGGAGTCCCTAATGCTACAGTGCGGCCACTCCTACTGCAAGGGCTGCCTGGTTTCCCTGTCCTACCACCTGGACACCAAGGTGCGCTGCCCCATGTGCTGGCAGGTGGTGGACGGCAGCAGCTCCTTGCCCAACGTCTCCCTGGCCTGGGTGATCGAAGCCCTGAGGCTCCCTGGGGACCCGGAGCCCAAGGTCTGCGTGCACCACCGGAACCCGCTCAGCCTTTTCTGCGAGAAGGACCAGGAGCTCATCTGTGGCCTCTGCGGTCTGCTGGGCTCCCACCAACACCACCCGGTCACGCCCGTCTCCACCGTCTGCAGCCGCATGAAGGTGGGGAGTGAGGGTGCAGGCGGGGCGGCGGGGCCCGCGGGGACTGGATCCTGTGCTCTCTGGCGCTATCAACTGGCACCAAAACGGATCCAGCTATCCTCGATTTCCCTGCAGCCCTGCCCTGGCGCATTCATTCCTTAGTGTTTGAGCGGCAGCTAAACCCAGGTGCTGGGGATTGAAGCTACACGCACAGGATGGGAGCTCCCTGGTGTCACGTGCTCACCCCTTCCTGTTTTTTGTTTGCAGTTCTGGTTTGTTTCTTTTTCTTTTTTTCTTTCTCTCTCTCCCGCCCCCTTCCCTTCCTCTCTCTCTCTCTCCCCCTCCCTCGCCCGCCCCCCCTTTCTTTTTCTTCTTTCTTTTTGGAGACAGCGTCTCACTCTGTTGCCCAGGCTGGAGTGCAGTGGTGTGATCATGGCTCACTGCAGCCTCCAACTCCTAGGCTCAAGCAATCCACCCACCTCAGCCTCCCGAGCAGCTGGGACTACAGGTGCACACCACCATGCCCAGCTCATTTTTTATATTTTGTAGAAATGGGGTCTGGTTATGTTGCCCAGGCTGGTGTTGAATTCCTTGGCCTCCAACGATCTTCCTGCCTGGGCCTCCCAAAGTGCTGGAATTATAGGCATGCACCACTGCCCTACGCCCCTTGTTTGTGTCTGGACACTCCCCTGTTTGCACTCTCTGGTGCATGAGAGTGGGGACTTCATTTTGTCCCCTGGTGTATTTCAGTGCCTGGAGCCATGCCTGGCACATTGTAAATGTCCAAAATGCTGAATCAGTGAATTCCTGCCTTTATAGGCCATCACCAAACCTAGCAGATCATTCTTTAAGATGAGTAATAATAATACCTGACTGGGTGTTATATATATAAAACACCTGTTATAAAACACGTGACTGGGTGGCTTATGCCTATAATAACAGCACTTTGGGAGGCCGAGGTGGGTGGATCACTTGAGTCCAGGAGTTTGAGACCAGCCTGGGCAACATAGTGAGACCCTGCCTCTACAAAAGTTTCAAAATTAGCCTGGTTGGCCAGGCGCAGTGGCCACTCCTGTAATCCCAGCATAAAGCTGGAGGGAGCATGGGTGGGGGCGAGATAGGGCCAGCGAGGTAAGCTGCGGCTGGGGCATGGAGAGGCCAGTGTGACCCGGGAATGGATTTGGAGTTTATTCACAGGATGAGGGAGAAAGGCGGGGGCTGGAGTGTTTTAAGCCAGTGATGACATGCTCAGATCTCTCTGGCAGAGGGGAGCTTTGAGGGTGAGGCAAAAGGACAGTGAGAGATGAAGGTGCCAGGACCTAAGTTGGTGGGAACTGGGACAAAGGCCTGGGGCAGACCAAAGACAAATTTCAAACAGAAAAAAACCCTGACAACTGTGTGTGGCAAGGAGGGTGAGGGATGGGGAGGTTGACTCCAGCTCTGTAATTCCCCCTTGCACAGAGGAAGTGATCGCAGGGGAGGATCCGGCGTGGGCAGGTGGAGCGGGAGGTGCCTGGGGATGTGCAGTCGGGTTGAGGGGTGTGCAGACCAGGACAGCGGTGGGGCTCAGGGCAAGAGGTGTGGAGGGTCCTTCCTCTTGGTGGTCACTGAAGTCCCCTTTGGTGGAGAAGACCAACCCAGGAGAGTCTACATAGTGATAAGGGAAGACACTGATGATGACCCCAAGGGGTACCAGGCTTAAAATCTGGATTGAGAGAGAGAGAGCCCTGAAAAAGGAATAGAAAGAATCCTCAGAGCAGGAACACCGGCTGAGTGTGGCCTCCCGGAAATCAGAGAGACAGACTGAAGGAGGAGATCACGTGTGTGAAATGTCTCTGAGGACTGAAAAGTGTTAAATGTAGCAGTAAGAACTGATTATCTTGGCAAGAGCAGGTTTAGGGGAGTATGGAAGGTGGAAGCCAACTGCAGGTGAGGAAGCCGAGTTTATGTTTTATTAGTTGATGGGAAGGAGGGAGGGAACAGGCTGGGAGATTGTCTGTCCTTTGTAGTTAGGATCCAGCAGCTCAGCTTGGGTCCCTGTTTTAGATTTGGGCTTAATTTTTTTTTTTTTTGGTAGAGACAGGGTCTCACTATTTTGTCCAGGCTGGACTCAAACTCCTGGCCTCAAGTGATCCTCCCGTCTCGGCCTCCCAAAGTGCTGGGATTCCAGGCATGAGCCACTGTTCCCGGCCAGATTTGGGTTTTGATGATCCCGAGGCTCTTCTCTGTTGCAACACAGAATACAACTAAATTGCACTCCTTTATTGCCCTCTTTAAGGTGTTCCCGTTGCCTCCTGTTTATTGAGATCTTGAGATGCTCGATTGATGGGTGCATTGATTTGCATAACTTAGTTCTTCTCACGGGGAAGGAATGAGTCCCGTCTGTCTGCCTGGGGAGGGTGACATTGGAATGCTGTTCTTAGGCCTCTGTGAGATGTTCTGATGCCTCATTCTCCAGAGCAAGGACTCTGTCCGTTTATGCCAGCAAGTGCTTGATTCTTTACCCAACTCCCTTCCTGAAAGCCCCTTACAGCTCTCTGGTGCTTGGGCACGATCCAAGCCAAAAATTCTGTACATTGCATGGGTATAAACCGACGGGGGCTCTGGTCAAGTCATGGAGTAGATGGTGGTCCAGGAGTCCTGGTTGGCACCCCCAAGGCTAGGTCAGATTTGGGGCCCGGGCAGTCCAGGAGAAGTGCATTTATGTCAGCTTGGGGAGGTCGCAAATCCGTGCTGTGTCCAAGCCCACCAGGAATGGATTCAGGTGTTTATAGGTGTGGGGATTCACCAGGTTAAACCCAGGCCCGTGTGAGCACCACTGGCCCTAGAATTAGCCTCACCTGGCGCCGGCCTTTTTGTGATGGCTCCTGATTAAATACCCACTAATTCTGGATCTGCTGGTGACCACAGAGTTCACCTGATGGGTCCCCTACAGGCAGCATTCAATCCAGGAAGTGCCAGCATCACATGGTGACTTCTGGTAGCTGTAACATTTAGTGACTGTCTCCATGTCATGCACAGGGGTGACATCGAGACCCTCTTATGCCTGGGAAGTTCCTGCTGTCAATGCAGAATATTCTCTTTTTTTTTTTTTTTTTGAGACGGAGTCTCGCTCTGTCGCCCAGGCTGGAGTGCAGTGGGCGATCTCGGCTCACTGCAAGCTCCGCCTCCCAGGTTCACGCCATTCTCCTGCCTCAGCCTCCCGAGTAGCTGGGACTACAGGCGCCCGCTACCACGCCCGGCTAATTTTTTGTATTTTTAGTAGAGACAGGGTTTCACTGTGTTAGCCAGGATGGTTTCGATCTCCTGACCTCGTGATCCGCCCGCCTCAGCCTCCCAGAGTGTTGGGATTACAGGCGTGAGCCACCGCGCCCGGCCCAGAATATTCTTTGAAGAAAAAAAAAACATTAGAGATGGGATTTCACTGTGTTGCCCAGTCTGGTCTCAAATTCCTAGCCTCAAGTGATCCTCCCATCTTGGCCTCCTAAAGTGCTGGGATTACAGGCATGAGCCACTGTGCCCAGCCTAGAATATTCTTTTTTTTTTTTCTTGAGATGGAGTCTTGCTCTGTTGCCCAGGCTGGAGTGCTGTGGCGCAATCTCGGCTCACTGCAACCTCCTCCTCCCAAGTTCATGCCATTCTCCTGACTCAGCCTCCGGAGTAGCTGGGACTACAGGTGCCCGCCACCATGCCCGGCTAATTTTTTTTGTATTTTTAGTAGAGACAGGGTTTCACTGTGTTAGCCAGGATGGTCTCGATCTCCTGACCTCGTGATCAGCCAGCCTCGGCCTCCCAAAGTGCTGGGATTACAGGCGTGAGCCACCGCGCCCGGCCCTTAGAATATTCTTGAATTATCTTATTTTTTATTTTTATTTTTTGAGACAGAGTCTCACTGTGACACCCAGGCTGGAGTGCAATGGCATGATCTCAGCTCACTGCAACATCAATCTCCCAGGTTCAAGCGATTCTCGTGCCTCAGCCTCCCAAGTAGCTGGGACTACAGGTGTGTGCCACCACACCTGGCTAATTTTTGTATTTTCAATAGAAATGGGGTTTCACCATGTTGGCCAGGCTAGTCTCAAACTCCTGACCTCAAGTGAAGTCCCACCTCAGTCTCCCAAAGTGCTGGAATTACAGGCGTGAGCTACTGCGCCCAGACTATTCTTGAACAATTTAACCTGTTTTGGACTCAAGGGTACCTGGGTGGCTCTGGTTCCCGCCCTGGTTTCCCTGGGAGTGCTTGTGGCCATTGGGATACTCCCAAGAAGGTGATCCAAGGAGCTGAGAAGGGGAGGGATCAGCTGCTCATGGGGCCATGGCCTGTTGCCTCCAGGAGGAGCTCGCAGCCCTCTTCTCTGAGCTGAAGCAGGAGCAGAAGAAGGTGGATGAGCTCATCGCCAAACTGGTGAAAAACCGGACCCGAATCGTCGTGAGTGCCCCTTCCCTCTGCCCCTGCCTGGGACCGGCCACCTTCACTTTCCTGTAGAGCTCAGTTCTCATTGGTCCTTTACAGAAAACCATGCCTTCCATATAAAGCCAGAACTCAAAGCATTCCGGGGCGGGGTGGGGAAAGCGCAAATCCTCTCAGGGGAATTCAACCCAGTTGTCGTTAGGACTGGCTCCAAGTTGGCTTTTGCCCTCTGTGTCCTTGAGACTGAGATAACCCAGGACTTGAGTCTCGGGGGTAAACAGCTGAAAGCATGGGCGTGACTCCTCCGCCCCTGTGCCACCTGTGTCTGCTTGACCTTGCCAGCCTGTCATGGTGCCCTCCCAGTACCTGGGTGCGCAGGCGTGGAGAGGCTGGCAGCCCTGGGCCCTGGCTGATCTCCTGAACTGAGAGGCACATGGGGCTGGGACGCATAGTGCCCCGGCCCTGGAGGTGGCTGTGAAACAGAAACAGGAGCCGAGCAAGATCCAGAAGCACTTGGCCTCCCTCATTTACCCTCCTCACCCTTGCGCGGCAGGCGGTATCAGCCCTGCCTGGTGGAGGCGGAGCTCAGGGTTCTGCAGGGAGTTCTGGCTCCCTCACAGCAAAGCCCGCTCGCCCAGGGCCTTCCTGCTTTCCTTCAGTTGTGGAACTCTGGGATATGCACATTTAATAGCTGAAATAGGCAAAGTGGGGTGTGGTGGCGTGCATCTGTAATCCCAGCAACTCGGGAGGCTGAGGCGGGAGGATTGCTTGAGGCTGGGAGGTCAAGGCTACAGTGAGCTATGATCGTGCCACTGCGCTCCAGCCTGGGCAACAGAGTGAGACCCTGTCTGTTAAAAAAAAAATTAAAAATTAAAACAGGCCAAAGCAGAGCCTCTCCATTTGAAATGGGAGCTGGGGCCACCCTCCCCACGGCCACCGCCAGGGCTCCCCATGCATGGGGTGAACTCCCTGCCCGGCGCCAGGCCATGCAGCCTCCCCTGAGACTCAGGTCCCAGGACCAACCCGGTCAGGAAGGCCCTGGGGACACCGAGGCCAGCCAGACAGAGCCTGGCAGCTCGGCTGTGACTCTGCAGTGAGCAGCCCTCCCTGTCCCAGAATGAGTCGGATGTCTTCAGCTGGGTGATCCGCCGCGAGTTCCAGGAGCTGCGCCACCCGGTGGACGAGGAGAAGGCCCGCTGCCTGGAGGGGATAGGGGGTCACACCCGTGGCCTGGTGGCCTCCCTGGACATGCAGCTGGAGCAGGCCCAGGGAACCCGGGAGCGGCTGGCCCAAGCCGAGTGTGTGCTGGAACAGTTCGGCAATGAGGACCACCATGAGTTCATCTGGGTGAGTGGACAGGGAGGCGTCCCATCCCCATACCCGCCAGGGCCTTCCCCTTCCCAACAGTGCCCTGGCTTCCCACCTTCTAGCCTTAACCTCCCTCTCTCTTGCCTTCCAGAAGTTCCACTCCATGGCCTCCAGGTAATAACCTTGGAGAGAGCTCAGCCAGGGTCTGGTGGCTGCGGGCACGGGCATCTCAGCTCCACTGGTTCCTCCATTCAGCTTAACCAGCGCCTCCCAAGCAGCTGCCTATAGCTGGCTCTATAACTGAGCCTGGGGAAGATAGAGGAAAGTCACGTCCCTGCCTTCAAGGGTCTCGCAGACAGGTGGGGAGGCAGATGGTGAACTGTGGGTACCTAGAACAGCAGAAGTTCACTCAAGCTACAGAAATACTAGAGGAGGGTAGCTCATGCCTGCAATCCCAGTACTTTGGGAGGCCAAGGCAGGAGTATTGCTGGAGGCCGGGAGTTCGAGACCAGCCTGGCCAATGTAGTAACACCCCCGTCTCTACAAAAAATACAAAAATAAAAAAATTAGTTGGGCATGGTGGCATGCGCCTATAGTCCCTGCTACTCATAAGGCTGAGATGGGAGGATTGCTTGAGCCCAAAGTTTGATGCTGCAGTGAGTCATGATCATGCTACTGCATGATCCAGCCTGGGTGACAGAGCGAGACCCTGTCTCAGAAAACAAAACACTAGAGGAGGAGCAGGTGTCTGGGAGGCCTGGCAGAGGGGCACACGCCTGATGGCTGAGAAGGGCCCAGGACCCGAGTTTGCCAGGCAAGCCGAGGGAACAGTCCTGTAAAAGGGGGAGTGGCGTGCGGACTCTGGTTATGAGAAGTTCAGGGTGGCTGGATGTAAGGCAGGATATCAGGAGGAGTGGGAGCTGGGAGAGGTGGGAAATGGCCAGAAGCAACATCCAGGAGCACCAGGCATCCCTTGCTTACCGTCCTCACCCTTGCGCAGCAGGCAGTATCAGCCCTGCCTGAAACTTGCTCTGCAGATTGTGGGAAGAGAGCGGATCCATGTTCTAGACCCAACAAACGAACACGTGCAGTTCCCAAGCCTTCCTCACTCCCTGTTTATGGGAGACTCCTTGTTTCTCACATTTCTTTTAGTCTTAGAGACAATTTGGTCAGGAGACATGGGTTTAAATGAAGGCACAGAGCCTGGGCACAGCAGCTTACACCTGTAATCCCAGCACTTTGGAAGGCCAAGGCAGAAGGATGACTTGAGGTCAGGAGATCAAGACCAGCCTGGCCAACATGGTGAAACCCTGTCTCTATGAAAAATACAAAAATTAGCTGGGTGTGGTGGCACATACCTGTAATCCCAGCTACTCGGGAGGCTGAGGCACGAGAATCTCTTGAACCTGGGAGGTGGAGGTTGCAGTGAGCTGAGATTGCTCCACTGCACTCCAGCCTGGGTGACAGAGCAAGACTCCATCTCAAAAAAAAAAGAAAAGAAAACAAGAAAAAAAAAAGTCCGGGCATGGTGGCTCATGCCTATAATCCCAGCACTTTATGCTCAAGTCTGCTTTTTTTTTTTTTTTTTTTGAGATGGAGTCTCGCTCTGTCACCCAGGCTGGAGTGCAGTGGCACGATCTCAGCTCACTGCAACCTACACCTCTCAGGTTCAAGTGATCTCCTGCCTCAGCCTCCCGAGTAGCTGGGATTACAGGTGTGCACCCCATGCTCAGCTAATTTTTTTATTTTTAATATAGATGGGGTTTTGCCATGTTGACCATGCTGGTCTCGAACTCCTGACCTCAAATGATTCGCCTGCCTCGGCCTCCCAAAGTGCTGGGATTACAGGCGTGAGCCACCGTGCCCAGCCTTGAGTCTTTATTTTTAGAGACAGGATCTTGCTCTGTCACCCAGGCTGGAGCGCAGTGGTGCAACTGTAGCTCACTGCAGCCTTGACCTCCCAGGCTCAAGTGATCCTCCTGCCTCAGCCTCCTGAGTAGCTGGGACGACAAGTGTCTGCTACCATACCCAGCTAATATTTAAATTTTTAGTAGAGATGGGATCTTGCTATGTTACCCAGGCTGGTCTGGGCCTCAAGCAATCCTCCCACCTTGGCCTCCCAAAGTGTTGGGATTATAGGTGTGAGCCACTGTGCTTAGCCTCCCATAACCCTTTGATTCACGATACTCATAGGCTAAGTGGGTCCTGGAAGCTCCGGGGTAGCCTTCTAACCAAGATGCTGGCTCTGGCCACTGGAAGTCAAACTGGGTGCACAGACCAGTGAGAGGGCATGAGGGAGCCTAGCAGGGGTGAACAGCAACCCTCAGCCTCCCCACAGCCCTGCCTCTCCTCCTGCCTCTCCTCGGTCTCCTTTGAGGATTCAGCCTCTCGTCCTCACCACTTATGGTCTGAGGGCCTCCAGGCTCCTCTTCTGGCTGTCTACCCCTCCACACCCATAGCTCCAGTCATCACTTCCACAGGGATGACTCAGAAGTTCCCTCTCCGGGAGACCCGTCCCTTACAGGCCACATCCAGTAGCGCTCCAGCCATTCAGCAGCTCCGCCTGGACGTCAAGGGCATGTCCAAAACCGCGCTCATGATCTTCCTACTCCCCCATCCCTGAGATTTATCCTGTGGCTGTGGTGTCCTGTGGCTACTGTAACAAATGACCACAAACTTGGTGGCTTCAAACAAATTTAATCTCTCATGGTTCTGAAGGCCAGATGTCCAAGATCACGATGACGGCAAGGCCGCGCTCCCTCTGGAGACTGTCGGGGAAAACCTGCCCCTTTCCTCTTCAGCTTCAGGTGGTGGCTGCCATGCCCTGGTGTTTCCTGGCCTGTGACCGCATCATTCCAATCTCTGCCTCCATCTTCACGTGGCCTTTTCTGTATGTGCCGGTCTAATCTTCCTCTGCTTCTCTCTTATTTTTTGTTTTTTGAGACAGAGTCTCACTCTGTTGCCCAGGCTGGAGTGCAGTGGTGTGATCTCGGCTCACTGCAACCGCCACTTCCCAGGTTCAAGCAATTCCCTTAACTTAGCCCCCTGAGTAGCTGGGATTACAGGCGTGCACTCAGCAAATTTTTGTGTTTTTAGTAGAGACGTGGTTTCACCATGTTGGCTAGGCTGGTTGTGAACTCCTGGGCTCAAGGGATCCACCAGCCTCAGTCTCCCAAAGTGCTGGGATTACAGGTGTGACCCACTGCGCTTCTCCCTATAAGAGAGGCCTTCCTCTGCCTCTCTCTTATAGGGATACTTGTGATGCCATGCAGGACCTGCCCAGATAATCCAGGATAACCTTCTCTCCAAATCCTTCCCCTGATCACTCCTACAGATCTCTTCCATAGAAGGTGACATTTCCAGGCTCTAGGAATTAGGACCTGCTCTCTCTGGGTGGCCGTTGTTCACTCCACCACCCCAGGTTTCCCCATCCTACCAAAAGACACAGCAGCATTGTGTCAACTGCCCAAACTGAAAACCTATGAGTTATTCTCGACCTGACCTTTTTCCTGAGCAAGTTCTGTGGATTTAACTTAGCGGTCACACTGCCAACTTCAACCGAACTCCACTGCCACCAACTCAGTCCAGGCCACCAGTTCTTGTTTAGGTGACTGCCATGACCCCCATTGGTCTCTCCCTGCCTCAACTCTGTCCCCTCCATCCTATATCCCCACACTGTAACCAGACTGATTATTTATTTATTTATTTATTTTTTGGGGAAAGAAGCTTGCTCTATCCCCCAGGCTGGAGTGCGGTGGCACAATCTCAGCTTACTGCAACCTCCGCCTCCCAGGTTCAAACGATTCTGCCTCAGCCTCCCAAGTAGCTGAGATTACAGGTGTCTGCCACAATGCCTGGCTAATCTTTGTATTTTTAGTAGAGACGGGTTTTGTCATGTTGGCCAGGCTGGTCTCAAACTCCTGACCTCAAGTGATCCACCTGCCTTGGCCTCCCAAAGTGCTAGGATTACAGGTGTGAGCCACCGCACCTGGCCAGACTGATCTTTAAAGAAGTATACATGAACACAGCACTCCATGACTTAAAACCCTTAAGAGGACTACCATTTATCTCAAGATAAAAGAACAAAATCCTCGCTGGGCACAGTGGTTCATGCCTGTAATCACTGCTTTGGGAAGCCGAGGTGGGAAGATCACTTTAGGCCAGGAGTTCGAGACCATCCATGGGCAACATGGTGAGACCGCATTTCTACAAAAGATAAAATTAGCTGGGTGTGGTGGTGCACGTCTGTAGTCCCAGCTACTTGGAGGGTGAAGTGGGAGGATCACTTGAGCCCTGGAGTTCGAGGCTGCAGTGAGCTATGACGGTGCCACTGCACTCCAGCCTGGGTGACGGAGTGGGACCTCATCAAAAGCAAAAACAAAACCGTTATTGTGGCTTTGAGGCCTGGATCATAACTACATCATTTAATTTGGCCAAACCGGCCCATTTCAGGTACCCAAATACCCCACGTGCTTTCTTGCTTGGCTCTGGGACTAATGTGGTTACTGGTGCAGGGTGAGTGGCAGGTATCATGAACCACATTGTGGACCTGGAGTTGCTAGGACCTTTTCTGCCATTACACAGAAAAATCCTCCCTGAGAACACAGCCATTGGAGGACACATGGCAGAGGAAGATAAGACAATAAACAGAGACACATAATTATGGCCAGCGTGGGGGCTCACGCCTGTAATCCCAAAACTTTGGGAGGCCGAGGTGGGCAGATCACCTAAGGTCAGGAGTTCGAGGCCAGCCTGGCCAACATGGTGAAACCCCGTCTCTACTAAAAATACAAAAATTAGCCGGGCGTGGTGGCACGGGCCTGTAGTCCTAGCTACTCCAGAGGGTGAGGCAGGAGAATTGCTTGAACCTGGGAGGCGGAGGTTGCAGTGAGCCAAGATCGCGACACTGCGCGACAGAGTGAGTCTTTTTGTCTGAAAAAAAAAAATATATATATATATATACACACACATACACACATATATATATACACACACATATATATATGAAATGACCAATACACATGTGAACATATTCAACGCAATAACTGCGGTTAAACAGCAGTAAAATCCCATTATTTATCCATCAGATTGACAAAGACTGAAGAACTGGAGAAGAAGTGGCGAAACGGGCTCGCAGCGTCGCATTCCCTACCCCAGCAGGTGCGCCCGCAGCGTCGCACTCCCTAGCCCGGCAGGTGCGCGATCACACACACACCCTGCAGGGGGACTTCGACCGGCACTTCCGGTCCCGGAAGGGCATGCCCTTGGACCCCGGAAGTCCGGGCGGGGGCAGAGCCGGGTGCGCTTTGCGACAGAGCCGTAAAGGCGCGCGGGAACATGGGGCTGTACGCTGCGGTGGCAGGCGTGCTGGCCGGCGTGGAGAGCCGCCAGGGCTCTATCAAGGGGCTGGTGTACTCCAGCAACTTCCAGGTAGCGGGCCCGGGCGCCACAAGTAGGGGTGGGGGGTGAGGAACCCGGGGTGGGGTGGGACGGGCCCGGATGGGGTCGGGAGGTGGGGCCCGGCGAGGAGGGCCGGGGGAGCCCCCGACCCAGCTTGTCTCCCTCGGCCACACAGAACGTGAAGCAGCTGTACGCGCTGGTGTGCGAAACGCAGCGCTACTCCGCCGTGCTGGATGCCGTGATCTCCAGCGCCGGCCTCCTCAGTGCGAAGAAGCTGCAGCCGCACCTGGCCAAGGGTAGGGGCGGGGCGGGGAAGTGAACCCCGACGGTCAGCGCTTTGTCATCTGGTTTCAGCCCCGCTGCCGTGCACGGCGGGACTGGAGCAAGTCGCTCACCTGAAATGAGTATGAGCAGACCTTCCCTGGGTTACGAATTGAGATGGGATGAAAATGCTTTAACTTCGAGTGTTTTGAAGGATTAAATAACCGAAGTACAAAGTAGTAGTAGCGGAGACAGTAAGGAAGTCGGGCGTGGCGGCGCGCACCTGTGGTCCCAGCTACTCGGAAGGCTGAGGGGGGAGGATCACTTGAGCCCAGGAGTTCGAAGCTGCAGTGAGCTGTGATGTGGCCACTGCACTTCAGCCTGGGCGACAGATCTAGACCCCATTCTAAAAAAAAACAAAAACCCCAAACCCACACCCACGAAAGGGTAATGTTGGCAAGAAGCTGGGTGCAGAGGTCTACTGGTGAACATCTGTGGGGAAAGGGTCTAAGGCTGGGAAGCGAGACGCCAGGTTCCGATCCTGTTGTGTAGTTAATTTCTGGTGTGGTCTTGAGTAAGGTACCCCACCTTTATCTGTAACCATCTAGTCAGGTGATCTCTTTAGCCATTCCAGTGCCCGGGCTCTATTAGAGTTAGTTCTAAGGCATTCATACTTCTTGCTTAGGGCGTTTCTGTCTTTGATCCCTCATCCCCAGGTGCTAGTGTATGAGTTGTTGGGAAAGGGCTTTCGAGGGGGTGGGGGCCAATGGAAGGCTCTGTTGGGACGGCACCAGGCGAGGTGTTGAGTTGGCTCGGCTCAAGGTTCTTCGGGGTGTGAGCTGGCATGAGGACCTGTTGGAAGTGGGATCCAGGCCTGGTCCAGGTGAGCTGGAAGGAGTTGAGGGGCGGGGGAGGTGGGGAACTTTGCTCCTGCCTACTCACTGCTCATTGCGTCCTACCTAGCCTCCCAGCTGCCTCGATTTGTGCGTGTGAACACTCTCAAGACCTGCTCCGTTTATGTAGTTATTTCAAGAGACAAGGTTTCTCCTATCAGGGTCGGGCTTCCAGGTGAGAGCTTAGAGCCCTGGCTGTCCTCATCTAGGGAGGTGTCTGGGGTACTGGGAAGAGAAGTGGTTGGATAGTTGTGACTTTGCTCTCTGGGCTTTGTTCCTACCTTTCCAGCAGTTTCTCCATCTCCAAGGTTTGTTTTCCTCGCATCCCTTAAACATCGAACTCCTAGGAGCCCCATCCTACATTCTTCCGGAGCTCTCCGTTTTTTCTCTAACTTTAGCTCCTGCCTCCCACCTGGTGATTCTCACCGCCCAGTGTAGACTTCCCTTTTGCATTCTTCCCTCCTTAGGTTCACATGAATGCACCACAGATGCCACAGTCGCTGCATTCATCTTTCCTCTCAGACTTTACACTTAGTACATCCCCAGTTTAATCTAACAGATGTCACCGTTTTCCACCCATTTGGTCAAGCCAGAAACCGAGTCATCCTAGGTGCTTCCTTCCCCTCCCTCCAATCATTTACTCCTCCACCTTGAGCATCTTTCTCAGCTCCACTCCTTTTTTTTTTTTTTTTTTAGGACTGAGTCTCGCTCTGTCACTCTCACCGAGGCTGGAGTGCAGTGGCATGATCTTGGTTCACTACCTCCAAGGTTCATGCAATGCTCCTTCCTCAGCCTCCTGCGTAGCTGGGATTAGAGGCTCCCACCACCATGTCCAGCTAATTATTGTATTTTTAGTAGAGATGAGGTTTCACCATGTTGACCAGGCTGGTCTCAAACTCCTGACGTCAGGTGATCTGCCCATCTTGGCCTCCCACAGTGCTGGGATTACAGGCGTGAGCCACAGTGCCCGGCCTCCACTCCTTTCTCTTAATTCCCCCGGACACTGCCTAGGTTAAGCACTCATTTCTTATTGGGATGACCACAAGAACTTCCCAGACTGGTCTCTCTGCTTCCAGACTGTCTCACTGCATTTTCCTTGAGGTTGACTGTAGGAAGCTCTAAAGGCAGATCTGATGCATTACTCCTCTGCTAAGCCTTTTTTTTTTTTTTTTTTTTTTGAGAGAGTTTTGCTCTTGTTTCCCAGGCTGGATGGAGTGCCCTGGCGCGATCTCGGCTCACCGCAACCTCTGCCTCCTGGGTTCAAGCGATTCTCCTGCTTCAGCCTTCTGAGTAGCTGGGATTATGAAGGGGTGGCCTGCCCCTCCACATCTGTGGGATATCTCATCAGGTGGGACAAGAGACTGAGAAAAGAAATAAGACACAGAGACAAAGTATAGAGAAACAACAGTGGGCCCAGGAGACTGGCACTTAGCATACCAAGGACCTGCACCAGCACTGGTCTCCGAGTTCCCTCAGTTTTTATTGATTATTATTTTCATTATCTCAGCACAAGGAATGCGGTAGGAGAGCAGGGTGATAATAAGGAGAAGGTCAGCAAAAAAACATGTGAGCAAAGGAATCTGTGTCATAATTAAGTTCAAAGGGAGGTACTATGCCTGGATGTGCACGTAGGCCAGATTTATGTTTCCCTCCGCCCAAACATCTGTGGAGTAAAGCATAACAAGGCAGCATTGCTGCCAACATGTCTCGCCTCCCGCCATAGGGTGGTTTTTCTCCTATCTCAGAATTGAACAAATGTACAATCGGGTTTTATACCGAGACATTCAGTTCCCAGGGGCAGGCAGGAGACAGTGCCCTTCCTCTATCTCAACTGCAAGGCTTTCCTCTTTTACTAATCCACCTCAGCACAGACCCTTTACGGGTGTCGGGCTGGGGCACAGCCTCTCATCCCATGAGGCTATATTTCAGACTATCACATGGGGAGAACCTTGGACAATACCTGGCTTTCCAGGGCAGAGGTCCCTGCAGCTTTTCACAGTACATTGTGCCTCTGGTTTATTGAGACTAGAGAACGGCGAAGACTTTTACCAAGCATACTGCTTGTAAACGTTTTATTAACAAGGCATGTCCTGCACAGCCCTAGATCCTTTAAACCTTGATTCCATACAACACATGTTTTTGTGAGCTCAAATTTGGGGCAAAGTCACAAATTAACAGCATCTCAGCCAACCAATTGTTCAAGGTACAGGTCAAAATGGAATTTCTTATGTCTTCCCTTTCTACACAGACACAGTAACAGTCTGATCTCTCTTTCTTTTCCCTACAGGATTGCAGGCATGCAGCACCATGCCTGGCTAATTTTGTATTTTTAGTAGAGACGGGATTTCTCCATGTTGGCCAGGCTGGTCTCAAACTCCTGACCTCAGGTGATCTGCCCACCTTGGCCTCCCAAAATGCTGGGATTACAGGCATGAACCACCGCGCCCGGCCATGCTAAGTCCTTTCTTGGCTCCATTGTGCTGTCCCTCCTGCTTCCTCTCCAGGTCCATCTGCCACAGTGCTACGTGCACCAGCGTGCCAGCAACAGTGGCTGGTCTCTGCCCCGTGCCTCCTCCACTGGGCTCACACCTGTCTTATTTTGTCCTTTGGTGGCTCTGAGAAGCAGCCTCTGCCCCTCTCCCTTTCCCTTACTCTTTGTAAGATCCTCTTCCTTCTGCCCTACCATGTTGCTTGGACACCAGGGTGGAATAGCAGAGAACGGCTGCTTGTGTTTGAATTCCAGCTCTGCCACTTCGATAGATTTCTGAACTGAGACATGTGACTCTCTAGGCCTATTTCTGCATGGGTCGGAGAGTGGGCGGGACTGCTTTACTGAGTTATAGTGAATGTAGTTTTAACCTAAGCGCCTCACATGACTAACTCCTCATCCATCAAGAATGAGCTCAGCTCTCACTTCCCCACTCCTCACCCCCCTGTAAAGTAACCTTTCTCCAAGGTTATGCTTCAACAGGAATAGCTAACATTTATTAAATTGTGGCACGTAAGTATCTTGGATATATTGGCTCATTGAATCCTCACACCTACTATTTTACAGAGATGCCAGTGGGGCTTGAGATTGAATCACTTGCCCAGGCTCCCACTGCTGGTAAACAGTAGAGGGGGCTCCTGACCCATCAGTCTGGCTTGACAACCCATTCCCTCAACTGCGGATCCCGGATTCCCTTATCACCCTGTTGATTTCTCCATAGCTGTGGTAACATTTGTTGCATGAATGGACCGTTGAAATAGGGCCTGGCAGGGAGAAATTCAGGAAATGAATGAATGGTTCTTCCCTGGCAGCCTTGATGACTTACAAGCCCTCAAGGGGAAGCATTTTCTCCTGGACTCCTTGATGCCGGAGCTGCTGGTGTTTCCCGCCCAGACAGATCTGCATGAACACCCACTGTACCGGGCCGGACACCTCATTCTGCAGGACAGGGTAGGCAAGAGGAATAGAAAAGGGAAGAATGTGTAGGCACGGGAAGGGCCTAGCCTGGGGTCTCTGTTTACCCGGCCCCTGTGTTCTGCCTGCCAGGCCAGCTGTCTCCCAGCCATGCTGCTGGACCCCTGCCAGGCTCCCATGTCATCGATGCCTGTGCCGCCCCAGGCAATAAGACCAGTCACTTGGCTGCTCTTCTGAAGAACCAAGGGTGAGTGCCACAGGAGGAGGAGGAGGAGGACATGGGGTTTGATTTTGTGCCTTTCAGTGGGTAATAAAGGCTGAAAGGATGACTTTCGCTTAACTCTTTCCTGCTGTACCAAAGTAGTTCACGGTATTTGCCCCAAGCTAAGCTTTCCCCACTGCAGGTGTGAGATGTGGATCCCTTAGCCCTTGGGGCAGAGACCCCAGGCCAGTTACCTCTGACCCTGGGCCCTTTAAATATAGGCCGTTTCAATATTGTGTGTCCTGGCTTAACCTGCATGTTCTGGTTGTCTGTGTCAGCTGTGACAGGCCCTTAGCTGCTCCATGCATGCTCAGCTCACCCCTGCTCTGCCCTCTGCCCTAGGAAGATCTTTGCCTTTGACCTGGATGCCAAGCGGCTGGCATCCATGGCCACGCTGCTGGCCTGGGTTGGCGTCTCCTGCTGTGAGCTGGCTGAGGAGGACTTCCTGGCGGTCTCCCCCTTAGATCCGCGCTATCGTGAGGTCCACTATGTCCTGCTGGATCCTTCCTGCAGTGGCTCGGGTGAGATGGTGAGAAGGCGTGGCTGAGGGACTCGGAGGTCCACAGCAGCTTAGACCTGGAGTCATCTGTTTTGGTCTTAGTTCTGACACTTTAATGGGCTTGGGACCCTGGAGCAAAAGTTCTCCTCTGTGAGGCAAGGATTTCAGGAGCGAGGATTTCAGGACTGAGGCAGCCTGTGAAGCTGTGTAACCGAGACACGCTTTTCCTTAGGTATGCCGAGCAGACAGCTGGAGGATCCCGGGGCAGGGACACCTAGCCCGGTGCGTCTGCATGCCCTGGCAGGGTTCCAGCAGCGAGCCCTGTGCCACGCGCTCACTTTCCCTTCCCTGCAGCGGCTCGTCTACTCCATGTGCTCCCTCTGCCAGGAGGAGAATGAAGACATGGTACCAGATGCGCTGCAGCAGAACCCGGGCGCCTTCAGGTACAGGGCGGGCGCCAGGGTCGTGGAGGGGGGGATGGGGTGAACTGCTCTC
Organism: Homo sapiens; assembly: GCF_000001405.40. Lineage (NCBI taxonomy): Eukaryota > Metazoa > Chordata > Mammalia > Primates > Hominidae > Homo > Homo sapiens. Next base: position 75,416,244 of record NC_000007.14, read on the forward strand.
TTACCCAGCATTGGGGCTGTTTCTCTTGCAGGCTAGCTCCCGCCCTGCCTGCCCGGCCCCACCGAGGCCTGAGCACGTTCCCGGGTGCCGAGCACTGCCTCCGGGCTTCCCCCAAGACCACGCTTAGCGGTGGCTTCTTCGTTGCTGTAATTGAACGGGTCGAGATGCCGATGTGAGTGAGTGGGGGCATGCTTGGGAGGCGCAGGATGGTACTGGCACATCTAACATCTACACTTCTCTAGCTCAGCCTCACAGGCCAAAGCATCAGCACCAGAACGCACACCCAGCCCAGCCCCAAAGAGAAAGAAGAGACAGCAAAGAGCCGCAGCCGGTGCTTGCACACCGCCTTGCACATAGCAGAGGCTCCAGGCTGACTCCTTCCTGGTGGGAAAGGAAGATGCCTGTCCTCTCCGTGGAGGACCCTGGGCCCTCACCGCAGGCAGCAGTTTGCATTTTGAAAGGTTATTGGGTCCCTTCCTCGGGCTGTGTTCTTGCTGGTGAGCAAAAGTGTTGCCTGCAGAAATAAAATGCAGAACGTACTCTACGATAGATCACAGTTTTTTATTCTTAATGTCACAAGCAGGAGAAAAATCTCACATTCATACTAAAAATTCCAACTAGACTCAACAGGAATGAAGTCTCTATTTGTAATGGAAAGTCCCAGCCTCCCGCTGCCGTCCAGTGTGTGTACTGTACACATCCACACTCACTCTCACTCAGGGTTCCCGGACCGGCTGTCCTGCCTGCGGAACTGAGGTAAACAAGCTCAGGTACTGACACTAGGAGGGTCTACCTTACATAAGGTACAGGTAGAAGCTTGATTGCTAGGCCCAGGCCCACCCAGACCCTCCAATCCTAACAGGTATTTAGGCTTGAGGTTCACTCCCTCCTCAGCTGCACACGCAGCCAGGTATAACACTCGCCCTCAGTCACAACGGGGAGGGGGCACCGGTTACATCTACATCACATTATTTATAAAATAAGAATTACATTTCATATAACATGGCCAGAAGGAGCTCTAGTCCCCCAGGAAAGCTGCCGGGGACAGCATTTGAGCCTCTTCTTTGCACAGGCATAACTTAACTATACAGCTAATTCCTAGTTAATAGCATTTATACTTAACCACCTCAATGAACCAAGCTTGAAGGAATTTAAAAGGCAATTTAGCTTAAATACAAAAATAAATTTTTGTTAAAAAACGTTTAAATATTTTTTTCTTTTAATTTAGACACACGCATTCATACTTCTCCCAAAGAGGTTGGGCGTGACAGCAAGGCGCTTGGGCCTGGGGTATGTGGTTTCAGAAGGACGGAAGGAAAGGATGGGCTGCAGAGGGCCCTGTTTGGGAAAAATAGGATTTTAAAAATATGGTTCATTAATTTAGGTTTTCTAACATCTACTTTGGGTGACGTAGCCTCCAGTGAGGTCAGTTAAGTGGGACAGAAACCGCAGAGGGAAGAGGTCTTTGCTTCCCCTGGGCCCATTCTCCCTGGCTGCCAGCCCTTGAAGTCAGAACACCATGGGAAAATTCAGGAGTCGGCACTTGTAGCCGTCAAGTGGTGCTACTTTCCACATTCAATTAGCGAGGCCCCAGAAAACTTGAAACAGGAAGTCCGGCACTACCAACATGCCGCCACTCATACAACTCAACTCTTCCTCCAAACTCGATTCAAAGAGCAATACACAGAGCGTCAGACAAAGGAACACAGGACAAGGCTTGAAACATACAATCCTGGAGAGGCAGACGAGGGCCCAATGGGGCCAAAGGGTAGCTGGGCGAGGAGGCAGCTGAAGCAGCAGTGGGCATCCTGCCTGCTCCAAGAGCTTCTCCCTTCACCCCTGGCTCTGCCAGGCTAACAGTCTTGAGCCACCAAGCTCTGAGGGGCCAAACTGGCAGAGGGTTGGAGATGAAACATTGATTCAGGCTTGGCAGGAAGAAAACGGCAGGAGCAGCACCCACTGGGGTCTCCAAGGCAAAGCTAGATTCAAGGGCATTTAAAAAGGAGGGAATCCTGCAAGGAACCGGTGAGGGACACAGCAGCAAGAAATGGGGAAACAGAGTCCCCAGAAGGGACCAGAGGAAGAGAACCACTTCTCACAGCTAAGCCAAGCAAGATAAAGCTTTAGGGATAACCCATTTCCCAAATCCCATCAGGTGCACACCACCGATCCAGGCGGGCTGGACCCTGCCCCCTCCAGCGACGACGGCTCTCGGGGAAAGGTGGAAGGGGCGCCTGCCTAAGGGTGCGCTAAGCGGGAGTCAGGGCAGCGGACACTATGTACAGGTCCTTAGTTCTCCAGCCTCCCCAGTGGAACTGTTCAAGTAGAGGTCCCGGGCTTTGGCCCTCCGCATCCTGCTTCCCCTTCCCTGAGGCTTGTGCTTCCTCCAGAAGGGAAAGGGCCCCAGGGCTGCCACTGCCCCCTGGCGGCTGAAGCCAGAGATCCGGGGTAGGTTTGCTTTACGCAGCTGGAAGGGTCCAAGGCTCTTTCTAGCACGTGCCAAGGTCCAGATTTAGGGAAGGGGTGGGGGGAACAGGGACAGGGGACAAAGGCTACTTTTTGCGGGTGTGCTGCCTTCGGGCCTGCAGTCGCTGTCGAGCCCCTGGGGTCTTGGATCCCGCACCAATGGAAAATGAAGGGGCCGCCGATCCTGGAAAGATTCAACAAGACCTCATCAGGGCAGCTGCTACCTGAGACTCTGGCTCTGGGTGCCCAAATCTCTGGAAGGCCAGGCCAGTAATAAAACACAGGGTGCCTCAATAGGGCTTTCCCCGCTGCGTCAGAAACACTGTACGGGAGGAGCCTCCTGAAATGCAAACTCCCAGAGTCTCAGAGCGAGGCCCACGAATCCATTTTTACCTGGCTTCCCATGGGAGGCAAACTTCCACCCCGGACAGCTCCTCTCTGATCTCTGCCATCCAACTCCCATCCCTGGGCTGTGCTGTACTCCTAACCCGAAATGTCTTTCCTGTGCTGAACCTGATCTTCACGGGGCCTCAGAGGGCCAGGAGCCTGCCACCCCACCCAACCTCTCCTCAGACAGACGAGCAGGGCCACAGGGTGGCTTGCTGCTTACCGAACGGTCCAACACCAACAAAGCCTTGGGCGGGTGCTGAAGATGCCCCAAAGGAGAGGCTGCTGCCCGATGTGCCCACTCCAGGCGCAGGGGTGTTCTGACCAAAGGTGGGGGTGGCGGTGCCTGGAATGAAGAGAACAGAGAGCTAGCCAGTGAGCAGAGGGCGGAGGCAGGCGAGGAGCCGGGCAGGAGCCTGTGCTCTGCAGGGCACTTCCCACGGGACCCTCAGCCCCACTTCTGCTTCTGGGGCACTCCTCCATCAGCAGCTGAGCCAGACAACCGAGTCTTCATGCCTGGTGCCCCAGCTCAGCCTGCTTCTCCCACCCGCTAATGGCCACGCCAGGGCAGAGAAAAAGCCCCCCTGCCCCGCAGCCACCTCGTGGGCCTCCTGACCATCGCTGCAGAGGGGAGTACTCTGGGGCCCCCGCCTCCTAGCGTACCTGGGTTGGCTACCTCCTCTGTTCAGGCCTTTTCCCCCTAGCCACCGTCCCCTCCCCTCTGAAGCCTGGTTTGTCCGTCCTGTGTCTTTTGTGATGCCCCGTGGTCCCCTCCCTTCCCCGGCCTTGCCCTGACTGGCTCTGGCTGCCTGCCCGATGCCCTCTCTGGCAGCCCCTCTGCAGGGATGGCTGCTCTCAGGGCTTGGCCTCCGGCCCGGACAAGGGGAAGCTCCCTGTGCTCCCACGCTGCTTCCACACAGTTTCTCTTCCTTCCCTAAATACCGTAACTCAGGTTCAAATCACTTTAATCTGCCATGTCCTCATGTCACCTGTCAACTGCCAGGTCACTCCCTGATTCACAGAGGACCCTTGGCTCACTGGCTTCCTCCCCATCACCACTCACGGTGACTTCGCCCTGTGGGGCTGACTGATGGTCCTCTCAGCCCCTCGGCCCTGCCACCCCCATGACCTCCTCTCCCCGACCCCTGCCACCACTCCTGCAGCCACACTGTCACCACAACTGCTCCGGCTCCCGAATCTCCTGCAGGCACCACCCCTCCTGCAGCTGACTTCACCCGCTCTCCACTCCTGCACCCCCTGAGCTGCATCGGGGCACTGACCCGCTGCCCCTCCTGCTGTGCTTGCTGGGGTCTCCACAGCCGGGTGGCACCAGCTGTCCGCTGACCTTAGATCTATACCCAGTGTCGCTGGGAAACACACGCCATGCTAACTGGCCTCACTTTAACTTCACAATCACAATTTTCCAGCCCACAAACTGCCTGGAAACTGATCACACTTTTTAATATGATGTTCCTTTCCCCCACTGTCCAAAATGACTATTTCAAAAGACCCCTTTTTTATACACTTTATCCCGACCTTCCCTCTCCCAGATTTTCTCTCCTACTTCACGAAGCAAACAGAAGCCATGGGATCTACATTCATCTTCCACACGGGAGGAACCATCACTGCATCCTTCTGCCTGATTCTGCAATGGTTTTCCTGAACACTTAAGACCCAAACACCCAACCCTGGCCACAAACAATCCTCGCCTCTTGGCCTCCTTCCACACCACTGCTTTAGCTCCTGCCCTCCTGCCATGCTTGTCTTTGTTCTGCTCTTCAACATACCAAACATGTTTCTGCCTCTGGGCCTTTGCATGCGCCATCCTGGGCCTGAAAGGCATGTCCACTTGTGCTGTGCCCACCCCCACCCCACCCCCATATTCAGCTTACGCTTGAGACAGTCTTGCTCTGTCACCTAGGCCAGAGTACAGTGTGGCATGATCTTCGCTCACTGCCACCTCCACCTCCTGGGTTGAAACATTCTTCTGCCTCAGCCTCCCGAGCAGCTGGGATTACAGGTGGGTACCACCATGCCCGGCTAATTTTTTGGTATTTTTAGTAGAGACAGGGTTTCGCCAAGTTGCCCAGGCTGGTCTTGAACTCCTGTCCTCAAGTGATCCACCCTCCTTGGCCTCCCAAAATATTGGGATTACAAGCATGAGCCACTGCGCCCAACCTTCAGCTTACAATTGTTAAGTACTCAGAAGGCCTTTGACCAGTTAAATCCACAATGGCTCCTCCAGTCATTACTACGTTAGCAAAACATGTATCATGCCCTGGCATCTCACTGAGTTCTATATTCAGTGCCTGTCTCTTCACTGCCACAGCATAAGCTCCCCGAGACCACAGGCTTCACAGGCACAGCTTTTCAGTGTCCGGCCCGGTAGCCCAAGTCCACGCCCCTCCTTACCTCCAAACACAGGTTTGCTCTCAGTTGTGCTGCCCACGTTGAAGGCAAACGGTGTGCTCTGGCCGGTGGTGCCCAGGGCGTTCTGACCTAAGCCCCCTGTGAAGGGGGTGGAGGTGGCTGTGCTCCCACTCTGTCCTGCTCCAAAGCTGAAAGCTCCGGTGGTGGCGCTGGAGCCTGGGGTGGCCACGTTGATCCCAAAGCTCCCACTGCCAGCGGGGGCTGCCGAACCCCCAAACGTGAAGGGTGATGGTGTTGTGCTGCCAAACACCGAGCTGCTGCTCCCGCTGCTGGCGGTCTGGGTGGTGGCTCCAAAGCCGGAGCTGGTGGCTGCACCGAAGGAGAAGACAGCAGTGGAGCCGCCAAAGGCGGGCTGTGAGCTGGCGGGAGCGCCGAAGGCGGAAGCCGTGGCTTTCAATCCAAACGCCGAGTGCGTGGCACCGCCAAAGGTAGGCTGGATGGGCGTAGGCACGTGCGCAGGCACGATCTTGATCGTGGACGCAGGTGCAGGTGTGGGTGCAGTAGCCGGGGCCGGGGCTGCAGAGTTTCCAAAAGTGAAAGAGCTGCCAAAGCTGGGGGTAAGGGCTGGCTTGGCGGCCCCCGGTGGCTGCCCCTCAGCGGCCCCAAATGCGGGCTGGGGGTTGGCTCCCGGATATGATGGGAGCGGGGACTTGGCGCTTGAGCCAAAGGGAATGTTGAACGTGGGGGTGCTCGTGTTACTGAACGTCAGAGTGGGCTGGCTGCTGGTGGCCGGGGCGGAGGTGGCGAGGGTGCTGCCAAAACCACTAAAGTCGGCAGCGCTGCTGCTGGTGGCCGTTGGCACGGCAGTGGGCAGGGACTGGCTGAAGGTGGTGACTGTGGTGGTTGTGGGCAAGGCAGGAGGTTTGCCAAACTGGAATATGGAGCCCATGGCCGGGGTGAAGCTGGCAGCAGAGGCCTGGGGCGCCCCGAAGAGGAAAGGCTGTGAGGCGGCAGTGGCGGTGCTGGTCGTGGTACTCACACTGCTGCTGCTCACACTGTTTATGCCAAAGCCAAACGCAGGCTTCGAAGCAGAGTCTGTGGATGGACTGGCAGAGGTGATGGGAGCCACAGCAGAGGTGGCGCTGGCCAGGCCAGTGAAGAGCGGGGCAGTTGTGGTGGGAGCAGTGGCGGGAGTAGTTGTCTGCTTGAAGAAGGGAGCAGGCAAGGGCACAGATGCAGGTGGCCCCATGCTGCTAAAGACAGGCTGGAAGGTCGGGGCTGTGGTGCTGGTGGTCGTGGGGAGGGAGGAGCTGGAGGGCGCTGTGGCTGAGACTGAAGGGCCAGGCGGTGTGAGGCCTTCCTTCTCACTCTTGGGTGGAGCCGTGAAAATGGGCTTGAACATGGGAGATGCTGAAGATGCAGCAGGGGCGGCAGGGCTGGAAGGTGAGGTGTTCTGTGTTCCAAACAGGAAGCTTTGCTTGGGGGCGGGGGACGGGGCAGATGTGGCTTGGGGTTTGGTAGCCGTCTCTGCCTGAAGGGTTGGAGGTGCCTTGGTGTCAGTGGCTGGTACCATGGATGGAGCAGGGATCAGCCCCAGCAAAGTGGTCGGGGGTTTGGAGTCAAAGGAGGGGCTGGGGAGCAGCCCTGGCGGCCCTGACTGTGATAAACCCAGCGGGGGTAGGAGGCTGGGTGTCTTTGGAGGTGAGAGGGCCTCAGTGGTTGCTGCTCCAGCAGATTCTGGAAGAAGAATAGAAAATGTGAAATTGGAATAAACACTTCAAAGATGATGGTATTCAGTATTTCAGCGTCCTCCCCACGCCTACCACAGAGCCTGGGATCCAAGAGTCAGTCAATAAACTCAGCTAAGTCTACACTACAGGCCTGTACAGTAAATCAAGGAAGTGTTCATTATTTCCACCTCACAGATCATCAGACAGAAGGGGATAAAATGGGGCCTAAATGGGGGCCTAATGTGTAGAGACTAAGACAGTCCAATTGTCTGAACTCTGAAGTTCACGTATGAATCTAGATATACTTTATTTGCCTACTAAGCTCACCTGCCAGGCGCTAAGAGCACACAACTATGAATGGGGAAGTCTCTGCCCTTGAGCAGGGAGGGTGCGTACGAACCCCAGGTTACCGTCTGATAAAGAGGTGTGCGCGCGCAGTGCCGTGAAGGCCTGGGCCGGGAACACCAGCAGCCCTCAAAGTGCTGGAGGGAAAGGAAGCAGTGTTGTTCTGGACCAGTAGTTCTGACAGGCAAGGATATCCTGACCACGCCACCACATTCACACTTCAGAGGTGCTGCACCGGGAAGATCATTCTCATCTGACAAATGAGGAAGGCGAGGCTCAGGGCAGCTAAGCCAGGCTTCAGATCCTGAGCGTCGCAGCACCCCTTCTCTAACACTTCCTGATGTGGGCTCCGGCGCTGTTAAACGTAGGCCCGCTCCGGTGTGCTGAGCCAGGGTGCGTTCGGCCTGCAGAGCAATCTCCAGCGACTGACAGGCACGACGCCCTTATTCCAACCCAAGCCGGGGATGCTGCTCAGAAGGCTGGATCCACGGCCCCACTCCAGCTCACCTGGGCAGGGTGGCAGGCTCGGGGGAGTCTGCATCTTCTTCAAGCTCTCTAACAGTGGGTTGGTGCTTGGGGCCAGGAGGGAGGTGGGTGGGGAGGCAGTTGCAGCAGCAGGCAGGGTAAAGGTAAATGAAGGCTGAGTGGTAGGTGGGGTCTCAGTGACAGAGTTCGAGGCAGCATCTAAGAAAGAAAGAAAGGTGAAGCAGTCCTGGCTTGTCTGGGACTTCTTTCCACATGCCTGTCGGAGAGCAGGCTCTCAGCACAGCTCATGGAGGAATGTCTGCCCTAAATTGCAGTAGTCCCTGCTGTCCAGTTCCCGTGAAGACCAACACGGATATCTCAGGTGAGAAAGACCACAAGAAAACATGGAACTCTACTTCGGATTTTCCCAGAGAAACCCATTTTTCCAAACACCAAAATAAAACCAAAGAAAACAGACACCTGAAACCTCTCGAGAGTGCAACGATCTGTGCTCCTTACCACTCTTGTCCTCCAAGGCCTGGTTGAACCACTGTAATGAAGCCTTCTTCTCTAAGTCTAGGTCCTCGGCAGTGATCGAATAGCCAAGCTGGGGAGGTGGAGGCTACCAAAGAGAAAAAGAAGAAGTCAGGCCAATCAGAAAAAACGGGAAGGCTGGGCGTGGTGGCTAACGCCGGTAATCTCAGCACTCTGGGAGGCCAAGCCAGCTGGATCACTTGAGGTCAGGAGTTTGAGGCTGGCCTGGCCAACATGGTGAAACCCCATCTCTACTAAAAATACAAAAAATTAGTCAGGCGTGGTAGCAAGCGCCTGTAATCCCAGCTACTTGGGAGGCTGAGGCAGGAGAATTGCTTGAACTCAGGAGGCAGAGGTTACGGTTAGCCAAAATCGAGCCACTGAACTCCAGCCTGGGTGACAGAGGGATGTTGTCTCAAAAAACAAAAACAAAAATAAGTTAGAAAAAAAAACAGAAGAAACTTGTCCTTAGCGTTCCTAAGACTTAGGAGAGCTAAGCCGGGGAGGGCAGGAGTAGATGGACAAGACCATACCAAGGTCAGCTGTTCCCCTCGCCGAGAAGGCAGCAGCTGAACTTTCCGCTTACGCTGCCCAGAGCTGCCAGGTGTAGACTGAGAATTCGAGTTTTGTTTCTTCCTTGGGGTTGTATCTGCAGCTAAAGAAAGAAATCAAGACTCGTTTGCTTCCTTCCCTCTTCCAGAAATGGATGGTTGTGTCTACCCACTTCGCATTTCACACTGAGTTTTCAATGATGGTATCTCTGAAAAGATTCAATCTTCTATGGTTTGGTTGCTTGGATGGTGTTTGTAAGATTAAGGCGCGCACACAAACCGCTTACTGTGCAGTAATTACTGGGATCACCCACAGGTGACTCAAACTGAGCTTACCTCTATCCAATCGTTAGCCCCCATCTGTAGCCTTTCTCCCTCATCAGACTATAAACTTCTGAAGGAGAGGAAATCTCTCTCTTTGTATCTAACATGCCTTAGACATAGCAATGCTCAAGACCTTTTTTCAATAGGTATTAATCTCTACATCCTCCACAAATACCTCCACCACCAACAGCAGCCCCTCCTCCTGGCTCAGCAACCTACCCTTTTCTCCCTGGGACTCCTTGTCTGCTGCCAATGGAGTTGAAGAACTGGAATGATGACACAGCTCTTCTTCTCTGTTGGGAAAAAAGGAACAATTTAGTCTAGAAAGACTTCTTGGCTGAAGTATTAAATAATTTCTCACACCCTCCTAACTACCAAGTGGCCAACATCTAAAACAACCATCATTTAAGATCTCAGTATGCCAGGATAAAAAAAGTCAACAGGAAATTCCAACAGAATGAAGGGAGGCTGTTCACAGAGGCCATGAAGACAGTTTTTGTCTTAAAACAAGCACAAAACAATAATCTTCAAACCTTACTTACAACCTACCAAGTCCCTGGGAGTTCTAGACACAGATGTGATCCCTGAGGGAGTGGCATTCCAGCCAACTGCAAGCACCTAGGGGATCAGCTCGAGTCAAGAACCTGAAGGCGACTGCCCGCTGACTTGACTCTCTCTGCTCTCCACTCTGCATGGCCTCTGTGCTTGCACCCGATCCCTCATGCTGGAGTGGGAGGCGACAGCCAGAGGCCACTGGAGTCAGTATCCAAGACTGTAGGGATGATAGTTGTTCAGGTGGGTGCTGCATTGTCCCTCTCAGGGACTTAGTTTCTTTGATTCTCCAAGTCACAGCAGCACAAAGCCTAAGAGCCAGGTTCGTTTCCCACCTTTCCTCACCCCCTTCTGTCCACGTAGCAAATGAAAACTGCAGGAGAATGCCGAATACCTTATTTTCTTTGCTGGCCTCTCCGGTGTCTGGGAGCGGGATGAGGCTGGGCTAGAGAAGGGTGATGAACTGGGGCCATTTCTCTTCCACAGCTAAAAATCAAGAGGGACATGACTGAGCCTGCTGATAACTTAGCATCTGACCCTCAACATGACAAAGTCTCTTTTTAAGTGACTAAAAAAATATTTTTTATGGTTAAATGGTTAGTCATGCCTGTAATCCCAGCATGCTGGGAGGCCAAGGTGGGAGGATTGCTTGAGCCCAGGAGTTTGAGACCAGCCTGGGTAACATAGCGAGACCCCCGTCTCTACAAAAAATTGAAAAATCAGTTGGGTGTGGTGGTTTGCATCTGTGGTCCCAACTACTCAGGAGGCTGCAGTGAGCTGAGATTGCCCCACTGCACTCCAGCCTGGGTGACAGAGTGAGACCCTGTCTCAAAAAAAAAAAAAAAAAAAAAAAAATAGAAAATGAAAATGAAAAAAATTTGTTTGTGAAGAAAGACCCCTGAAAAGAAAGTCAACTGCCAGTATTAATTATGAAAGCAAAAAAAGAAAAGTCTATAAAAGTAATGGAATGTGAATAAAGGTAGAAGGGATGGACACACTTTTGCATATATTAGCCTCAGTAATGAAGAGCCAGGACACATTCAAACCTGTGCCAGACTGTCTACGGAAAGGATACAAGTAAATTAAAGAAGACAACCCAGTAAACTAATTTAGTCTTGCTTCCATTAAATTTTCGATTTTTCATTTAGTAACTTCATTTTAAAAATACGCTGTCATGGCCAGGCGTGGTGGCTCACGCCTGTAATCCCAGCACTTTGGGAGGCCAAGGGGGGTGGATCACGAGGTCAGGAGATGGAGACCATCTTGGCTAACACAGTGAAATCCCATCTCTACTAAAAATACAAAAAAATACAAAAAATTAGCTGGGCGTGGTGGCGGGTGCTTGTAGTCCCAGCTACTCGGGAGGCTGAGGCAGGAGAATGGCGTAAACCTGGGGGGCGGAGCTTGAAGTGAGCCAAGATCGTGCCACTGCACTCCAGCCTGGGTGACAGAGTGAGACTCTGTCTCAAAAAGAAACAAAAAACAAAAACAAAAACAAAAAAAGCACTGTCATAATATTTATGACTTTTGCAACAACGATGGCATTTATCATCATGTGATGATTATCCATACATCTGCCTCTTCCACCAGGTGAGTTCTTGACAGCAAAGATGGTGTTTTCATCTCTGCTTCCTCCACAGACCAGCAGCAAAGTAGATGGCACAGAGCGGACACTGCAAATAGTCTCGTAAGTGCTGAGCCTAATTACAAAGCCACTAAACTGTCACCTCAGACCGTCTTTCCTACTTGAAAAGCTGCTAGTGATTTCTTACCCAGTACCAGCTACATCATATAAGTACAAACAGGAAGCCAACAAGCTTAATAAGTACAAACAGGAAGCCAAGCTTAATAAGAGTTCAAAAAGGGAAAAGAGGAAGCTTCAGACAAGTGGTAAGCAGCAGAACAGTTCAGTGAGGCCATCATCAGGAAGCCGGGCCCAGGAGGAGCTTGAGAAGACTGCTCACGGCAATAACAGTTGAAGTTACGCTCAAACAGCAAGAAAGGCCAGAGCACAATGGTTTAAAAAACATGGGATTACAGGCATATAAAAGAGCAGAATACAAAAACTCATCAAAGGGATCCAAGGATTGAATATATAAGCGGCATTTTCAATCACTTCAGATCCCTGACACTACCTCGCTGGTTCTCACACGACGGCTCATCAGTCACCTGTGGAACTTTTTTTTTTTTTGAGACGGAGCCTTGCTCTGTCACCAGGCTGGAGTGCAGTGGCACGATCTCACCTCACTGCAACCTCCGCCTCCCTGGTTCAAGCGATTCTCCTGCCTCAGCCTCCTGAGTAGCTGGGACTACAGGAGCATGCCACCACAGCCGGCTAATTTTTGTATCTTTAGTAGAGATGGGGTTTCACCATGTTGGCCAGGATGGTCTTGATCTCTTGACCTCGTGATCTGCCCGCCTTGGCCTCCCAAAGCACTAGGATTACAGGTGTGAGCCACCACGCTTAGCCACCTGTGGAACTTTAAAAGCACATAGATGGCCAAGTGCAGTGGCTCATGCCTGTAATCCTAGCACTTTGGGAGACTGAGGCAGGAGAACTGCTTGAGCCCAGGAGTTTCAGACCAGCCTGGGCAACACAGAAAGACCCTATCTGTAGTTAAAGTAATAAAATTAAAACAAAACCATAAACCTTGCATTTTTGTTCACAATGTGCTCCAGACACTGAGGGATACACATCACTGAGCAAGCAAGGGTCAGAAATGCCAAAGGGGCCGGATGAGGTGGCTCATGCCTGTAATCCCAGCACTTCAGGAGGCTGAGGCAGGAGGATCACCTGAGGTCAGGAGTTCGAGAACAGTGTGGCCAACATGGTGAAACCTCATCTCTACTAGAAATACAAAAATTAGCCAGGTGTGGTGGTGCATGCCTGTAATCCCAACACTTTGGGAGGCCAAGGTGGGAGGATCACTTGAGCCCAAGAGTTTTGAGACCAGCCTAGGCAATATAGTGAGGTCTCTTCAAGGAAAAAAAAAAAAAAAAGCCAAAGGTGACTGTAATGATTAGCTAGGACTGGAAGACAACTGGTCAACTGGTTTAACAATTAGGGGAAAAAAGTTATTACTCCTCTACTTCATTGACTGTACGTACACACTCATTTCAGATATAACAAGACAAGGATGTTTATTATTATGTCTATTCAACTCAAAGTCCTAGCCAAGTGCAGTAAGACATAAACAGAATAAGACTGCAGAGGGAAGGAAAAACTCATTATCATAGACATGAGTGTATGTACTAAAATCCTAAAGAACATACAGATTTAGCAAACTTTCTGAATACAAAATCAGTTGTATTTCTAGACACCAGCACAGCCAATCACATTTTGAAGACACTATTTATAATAGCATCAAAACCATATACCTAGGGCCAGGCACTGTGGCTCATGCCTATAATCCCAGCACTCTGGGAAGCAGAGGCAGGTGGATCACTTGAGGTCAGGAGTTTGAGACCAGCCTGGCCAACAAGGTGAAATCCTGTCTCTACTAAAACTCCAAAATTAGCCAGGTGTGGTGGCGCATGCCTGTAATCTCGGCTACTTGGAACGCTGAGGCAGGAGAATCACTTGAACCCGGGAGGTGGAGGGTGCAGTGAGCCGAGATTGTGCCACTGCACTCCAGCCTGGGCGACAGAGCGAGACTCCATCTCACAAAACAAAACAAAAACCAGATACCTAGAAATAAATCTAATACAAGAGAAGTAAAACTTCTACAGAGATGAATTAGAGATAATGTAAATAAATGAAAGAGGTGGGACATGGTGGTTCATGCCTATAATTCCAGCACTCAGAGAGGCCAAGGTGGGAAGACTGCTTGAGCTCAAAAGTTTGAGACCAGCCTAGGCAACACAGTGAGACCTTGTCTCTACTATAAGTTTTTTAAAATTAGCTAGGTGTGGTGATGCATGCCTGTACTCAAAAGGCTGAGGCAGGAGGATTGCTTGAGCCTGGGATTTCAAGGCAGTAGTGAGCTATGATCATGCCACTGCACTCCAGCCTGGGCCACAGAGCAAGACCCCTTGTCTCAAAAGTTAAATAAAGAAATGAATGACATTCCATGTTCATAGATTAGAAGTAAACAAGGTCAATATTATAACAATGTTAACTCCATCCAAAGTAATCAGTAGATGAAAGGCAATCCCAATCAGTATCTCAAAACTTTTTTTTGTGTGTGTGGAAATTGACAAGTTGATCTAAAAATTATATGAAAATGCAAAAGGCCAAGAAACAAGACAGTCCTGAAAAGAAATGAGAAAGGGGGACGACTGACTCTATCAAGACTTAAAGTATAAGGGTAGGGGTAAAACAAAGACTGGTACAAGGGTAGTAAGAAAAATAGTCCAATGGAACAAAAGAAAGTCTAGAAATGGACCCACATATATACGGACACTTAAATTAGACAAAGGCAGTGCTGCAGAGAAATAAGGATGGTCCTTTCAATAAATGTTGCTGAGAGAAATGGGTATTTCTATAGTAAAAAACAAACAAACAAACAAAAAAAACTAATTTTGATCCCAACCTCACACCACACACAAAAATCAATTTCAGGTGGATTATGGATTTACATATGAAAATATTAATAAAATAATAAAGCTTCTAGAAGGTAGCATAGAAGAAAATTATCATGACCTTAGGTTGGACAGGCAAAGATTTCCTAAATACTACACAAACTATGCTAACTACAAGGAAGTAGAATGGCAAGAGCAGGACACTTTTGTTGTAACACATACATGACAGAGAGCTTGTATCTAGAATATATAAAAAGCATATTCAAATCTCTGAGAAAAAGACAACTTAGTAGAAAAGAGCCAAGAGGCCAGGCGCGGTGGCTCATGCCTGTAATCCCAGAACTTTGGGAGACTGAGGTGGGCAGATCATGAGGTCAGGAGATTGAGACCATCCTGGCTAACATGGTGAAACCCTGTCTTTACTAAAAATACAAAAAATTAGCTGGGTGTGGTGGCAGGTGCCCGCAGTCCCAGCTACTCGGGAGGCTGAGGCAGGAGAATGGCGTGAACCCGGGAGGCGGAGCTTGCAGTGAGCCCAGATCGCATCACTGCACTCCAGCCTGGTGACAGAGCGAGACTCTGTCTCAAAAAAAAAAAAAAAAAAAAAAAAAAAGAGCCAAGAAATTTGAACAGGCATCTCACAAAAGAGGCTATACAAATAGCCAATAAACAGTTGGTATTTCAGTAATCAGGGAAATGCAAATTAAAACCACAATGAAATATTACTTCACACTTAGCAGAATGGCTAAAGAGACTGGCAATACCAAGTGTTGGTGAGGATATGGAACAACATAAATAAAAATCTCATATACTGCTGGTAAGAATATAAACCGGGCTGGGTGCAGTGGCTCACGCCTGTAATCCCAGCACTTTGGGAGGCCAAGGCAGTTGGATCACCTGAGGTTGGGAGTTTGAGACCAGCCTGACCAACATGCAGAAACCCCATCTCCACTAAAAATACAAAATTTGCTGGGCGTGGTGGTGCATGCGTGTGGTCCCAGCTACTCGGGAGGCTGAGGCAGAAGAATCACTTGAACCCAGGAGGTGGAGGTTGCCATGAGCCAAGATTGTGCCATTGCATTCCAGCCTGGGCAACAAGAGTGAAACTCCGTCTCAAAAAAAAAAAAAAAAAAAAAAAAAGAATATAAACTGAAACACTCCCTTTAATACATTGCTTAGCAGCTGGGCGCAGTGGCTCATGCCTGTAATCCCAGCATTTTGGAAGGCTAAAGTGGGCAGGTTACTTAAGGTCAGGAGTTTGAGACCAGCCTGGCCAACATGGTAAAACTCCATCTCTATTAAAAGTTTTAAAATGTAGCTCAGTGTGGTGGTGCATGCCTGTAATCTCAGCTATTTGGGAGGCTGAGGCATGAGAATCACTTGAACCCAGGAGGCAGAGGTTGCAGTGAGTGCCAATACGGTGCCACTGCACTGTAGCTGTAATCCCAGCACTTTGGGAGGCAGAGGCCTCACCTGAGGTTAGGAGTTCGAGACCAGACTGACCAATATAGTGAAACCTTGTCTCTACTAAAAATACAAAAATTTGTTGGGCACAGTGGCATGCGCCTGCACCTATAGTCCCAGCTACTAGGGAGGCTGAGGCAGCAGAATAGCTGAACCCAGGAGGTGGAGGTTGCAGTGAGCCGAGATCGCGCCACTACACTCCAGCCTGGGTGACAGAGCGAGAATCTGTCTCAAAAAAAAAAAAAAAAAAAAGGTTAGCAATATCTACTAAAAGTGAACGTACAAATACTTTATGTATACCGAAAGACTTAGACAATTATCTATAGCAATATTATGTATAATAGCTCCAAACTGGAAACCCAAATGTCCAATGGCAGAATGGATAAATTAACTGTGGTTATATTCCCAGTGCGGAACAGTATATACATCAATGACAATGAATTACCTACTGCTATGTGCATGAATGTGGACACATCTCACAAGTAAAATGTTAAGTCAAACACCAAAGAATGCATACTCTATTTCCATCTATATAAAATTGAAAAACAGGGTACACTATAAAAGGTGCTAATAAGAAGGAAAGGAGAAGCATGATGGGGAGTGGGCAGGAGGGAGGTTTCTGGTGATGAAAATGTTTTATTACTTGACCTGAGTGGTGGTTACAATTTGTTTTTCTGTGTATTATACTCTAGTAAAAAAGGCCATCTAAAGAATGAGGCAAATTACACGATACAAAATGCTATGCAAGATGTAATGGATAAAAGAGAAAAGAAGATGCTTTTTAAAAAGCAAATATGCTGTGACCCTGCTATGTAGAACAGTCAAAAAATTCTGGGTATTATCTGTGTTTGCACACAGTAAAAATGTTAACAATGGGTACCTACTGGATGGAGACTCGGATCGCTGGGACAGAGGAATTTTACTTTTTTACTTAAAAAAGCCAAAACCAGGAAAGGTAATATTTGCACGTTACCGATTCTAACAATAAGAATGTACAGTAGACTGGGCACGGTGGCTCACAGCTGTAATCCCAGCACTTTGGGAGGCCAGGGCGGGTGGAATCACGAGGTGAAGAGTTCAAGACCAGCATGGCCAACATGATGAAACCCTGTCTCTACTAAAAATACAAAAAATTAGCTGGGCGTGGTGGCCAGAGCCTGTAATCCCAACTACTTGGGAGGCTGAGGCAAGAGAATCGCTTGAACCCAGGAGGCGGAGATTGCAGTGAGCTGAGATCGCACCGCTGCACTCTAGCCCCAGCGACAGTGTGAGACTCTGTCTCAAAAAAAAAAAAAAAAAAAAAAAAAAGAATGTACAGTAAAAATTTCCTTTTTATCTCAATAACAATTACCAGTTTCTAATATATCCTGTAAGAATTATTTTATGCATATTAAAATATATTTATTTATTTATCTATTTTTGAGATGGAGTCTCGCTCTGTCGCCCAGGCTGGAGTGTAGTGGCGCGGTCTCTGCTTACTGCAAGCTCCGCCTCCCGGGTTCACGCCATTCTCCTGCCTCAGCCTCCCTAGTAGCTGGGACTACAGGTGCCCGCCACCACGCCCAGCTAATTTTTAAAAAATATTCCTAATAGAGGCGGGGTTTCACCATGTTAGCCAGGATAGTCTTAATCACCTGACCTGGTGATCTGCCCACCTCAGTCTCCCAAAGTGCTGGGATTACAGGCGTGAGCCACTGTGCCTGGCCAAAAGATTTTTAAAAGCCCAAATAATAGAGGATACTATACAATTCTGACCCTTGTTTTTTATATAATTCCTTTGAGATCATTCTCATGAGTACGTCTTCAGTTGCCTTATTCTTTTTCATAGTTACATAGTATATTTCAACTTACACCAATACTGTAAGTTATTCAACCAGCTCCCTGAAAAGATAACATGTAGATTGTTTCCAAGCTGCTGTTATTAAAACAATGTTACATTAAATCCTTGTATCCATTTCCCAGTATGTGTGTAGGATAACTTCCTAAAGGTAAAGCTGCTTGATCAAAGGGTGCGTGTATCTCTTATGTAGACAATTCCTGCCACGCAGCCCTCTAGAGAGCTGTACCAACTGACACTCCCACTAGCAACGTGTGAGGAGACTGTTTCTTGTAACACTGCACTTCTATTTTACATTCAAAACTTTGCTTCATTTGGAATAGGTTTCTCTACTATAGGAAAAACTCTTGAACGTGAGATTTGGCTGGTAGCCCTTCAGAAAAATGGGTAAAGGATATGAACTAAGACTCACGGAAACAGAACTGAAAATAATCATTCAACATGTGAACAGATGATCAAACTACTCATAAGAGACAAAAATTAAATACTATTTTTTTTTTTTTTAAGATGGAGTCTCACTCTGTTGTCCAGGCTGGAGGGCAGTGGCATGAGGTCGGCTCACTTGACCTCCGCCTTCCAGGGTCGAGCAGTTCTCCTGCCTCAGCCTCCTAAGTAGCTGGGATTATAGGCACACGCCACCACACCTGGTTAAATTTTTTGTATTTTTAGTAGAGATGGGGTTTTGCCATGTTGGTCAGGCTGGTCTCAAACTCCTGATCGCAGGTGATCCACCTGCCTTGGCTTCCCAAAGTGCTGGGATTACAAGAGTGAGCCACGGTGGCGCTCAGCTAGCTTTTTTTTTTTTTTTTTTGAGACAGAGTCTCACTATGTTGCCCAGGCTGGAGTGCAGTGGCGCTATCTCTGCTCACTGCAGCCTGTGCCTCCTGGGTTCCTGAGATTCTCCTGCCTCAGCGTCCCGAGTAGCTGGGATTACAGGCGTGCACCACCATGCCCAGCTAATTTTTATATTTTTAGTAGAGACAGGATTTCACCATGTTGGCCAGGATGGTCTCGAACTCAGGTGATCTGCCTGCCTCGGACTCTCAAAGTGCTGGGATTACAGGCGTGAGCCTCCATGCCCATCCTAGATACTATTTTTTACCTGTCAAATTGGTAAAAGCCCAGAGCTACAATAACCAAATCTGCTGGTGAGGCCAGGGAGAAATGGTCCCTTTCATTCAATACTGAGGGGAATGCTGAGTGGTACATGCCCTGTAGGGGGATTTAACAATACCCAGCAAAATCACATGCGCATTTAACCCTTGACCGGAATCTGACTTCTAGAAATTTTTCCAGAGGCAAAACTGCCAAGGGTGAAAGGACATATGAACAAATGTATTCTTTGCAGCATTATTTGTGATAGCAGAAGACTGAAACAACCCAACGTTTGTCAATAGAGGACTAGAGTACCTATGCAGTTGTAAGACCAAAGATGAGTTTCTGTGTACTGCTATGGAATGACGTCAACTGTCTATTATGTGAAAAAGCAAGGTTCAAATCTATATATACTGTCTACTACCTTAAATGTTAGAAGGTGGCAGTTTTCAGATACACTGATACGCATACCGTTTAAAAAAGAACAACAAAGGATAATCAAAAAATAATAAAAATGGAGAGGAAGGAAAAATGTAGAGTGGAAAGGGATGGAAATTGAATTTTTGAGTGTATCTTGTTTTAGCGTATTTTTTTCAAACAACAAGTATTTTATGTAATTTAAAATAGAACTATTTCAAAAAGGAAAACATAGAAATCCCTGTAACTTTCAAACATACTGAACAAACGAACCTCACTGTATATAAAGTTGGTGTACCCAAAGGACAATTAACATTACTTTAAAACATGATATATTGATTACATGTCCCTAGGATTCACAGAGGGATATAAAGACCAAATGAATCACAATTCTTAAACTGACTTCAGCAGTCTTAATAATGACAGTGTTAATAATGACACTGATATTGCTATTTTGAAATTGCATGGCCAGGCATGGTGGCTCACACCTGTAATCCCAGCACTTTGGGAGGCCAAGGTGGGTGGATCACCTGAGGTCATGAGTTCCAGGCCAGCCTGGCCAACATGTTGAAACCTTGTGTCAAACTAAAAATACAAAAATTAGCTGGGCGTGGTGGCCAGAGCCTGTAATCCCAGCTACTTGGGAGGCTGAGGCAGGAGAATCGCTTGAATTCAGGAAGCAGAGATTGCAGTGAGCCAAGGTCGCACCACTGCGCTCCAGCGTGGGGAACAGAGTAAGACTCCGTCTCAAAAAAAAAAAAAGAAATTGCATGTACTAGGATCAAAGTAATTATAAACCAACATTTTTGGTGTAATACATAAAAATATAAAATCAAATAGATTACATAAAAAATCCTGCCACCATAAATTTGAATTTGGAATATTATGAATTAATTCTTTACATTCCTCTTTCTAGAGGATCTGTCTATCTTATCTCTCCTAAAACTTAGACTGTAGTCTCTACAGTTCTAACTGGAAGAAACCAAAGCTTTTTGAAGAAACAACCAACTTCAGTATAGGCTAAAAATGGACTTTGGGAAGGTGGGCAAAAAGCAATGAAGCTATCTGTCGAAGACTGCTGGGATCAAAATAAAGGATACAGGAGCCAGTTTGGCTCCCATAGTCCAAAGCTGGAAAAGTTTGCTTATCAAAAATAATAACTAGATATTAAATAATATTAAGGTTAATAATTTAAGAGGGGTAATGGTATTATGGTTATTAATGTTCATTTATATGACTCAGAGCCTTCTGGGCTGATGAACTCATCTCAAAATTTTCCTTGTCTCAAAAACGTTTCTCCTTACATGCTTTACATCTTTTTGTCTGGCTGCTGTATACTGGATACCCACTTACTGACAGCCACTGTAATAGGTGCTTTTTAAATATTACCCTCAATCATTGCAACAGCACTTCAGAGATAAGAAAAAGAGATGTTATGTGATTGTCTGCCCAAGACCTTATAGCTACTAGATGTCAGAGCCAAGCATTTTTTTCCTTTTCTTTGAGACACAGTCTCGCTCTGTTGCACAGGCTAGTCTTGAACTCCTGGGCTCAAGAGGTTCTCCCACCTTGATCTCCCAAAGTGATGGGATTACAGGCATGAGCCATCCCGCCCAGCCTCAGAGCCAAGATTTGAATCTAAGTCTGTCCAGCAGCAAAGCCTGCTCTGTTCCTTATACTATGCAATAATCCCCTTTCCAAAAAATCATGACCACTTGTTTAAAAACCCTGCGCTCAATTCTAAATGCCTATAAATCTCTTTTATGACCCAATACAAGCTGGACTCAGTCTACCTTTCGAATCACCCTCTGTCCGTTTATCTACATCACAGCTCTGTCTCGAATCAGCTCGCACACATGCACTGCTTTACATTCCGGGCTTTCTACTCCGTTCTGCTGGCCTATATTGATCACTCAATGATCTGTATTTTCTATTAGTTAGAGACAATCCTAATGTCCAACAGATAGAAGGTGATTAGTAAACTTTTGCTAACCAATTACTTTATTTAAAAAAATTTCTTTAAAGATTCTTTTGTACAGACAAGGTCTCACTATATTGCCCAGGCTGGTTTTGAACTCCTGGGCTCAAGCAATCCTCCCGCTTTGGCCTTCCAAAGTGCTGGGATTACATGGCTAAGCTACCATGTCTGGCCCTAATCAATGAATGAACGCTGGGAATTCATGCCCCCCACATTACAAGAGCTGTACTTGTACCTGTGAGATGCCTCGAGTGGAGCTGTAGGAACTGGTAATGGCATTGCGGCTGGAGCTAGGGATGCCACTTGTGTAAGCGCCTGTCAAGGAGCTCATGGAAGAGCTTCGGGATCTCTTATTCAAGTGGTCATCTGAGCTCTGAGAATTGAGGCCTCTCTTCAGAGACCCAGGCCTAATAAAAGAGAAGACAGTTAGATGCTTTATTGAAGGCAACATTCTTTTACGATTTCATCCACGGTCATGACATCTTTCTTAATAACATGAAGGGAAGAGAATAATGCTTTTAATTTTTACTGCTAACAATCTGGCCAAATCTATCTGACAAAGTCAGTAAGAAAAGCCAAATATTTAAAACTTAAATGTATGATTTATAGAATATTCTGGAAAATGCATACCTATCTACAGTGACAGAAGACAGATCAGTGGATGCCTGGGGACACGGGTGGAACTAAAGAGAGGGATTACAGGCATGTGGGAACTTTTGGAGGTCATGGATGTTCATTATCTTAGTGGTGGGATGGTTCCACAGGTGTATGCGTGTCAAAATGTCACATGCTTTAAACAAGTACAGTTATGTCAATTATACCTCAACAAAGCTGTTAAAAAAAAATCAGAGTTAAGAGGAACCCATCATTTTTCTAAACCTCCAATGGAAACAGAAATCTCCTATGCATCTTTCCTGTAGGACAGTCATCCAACCTGTTACAATATAGACAACGCTCTCCTAGAGTGACCCACGTCAACCATGAACCAGTTTATTCTCACAGTGGATTACAATGTATTTCCTCTAACTTTCACCCACGGATCCTATTTGAAGTCAAACAGAGCAAGTTATTTCGCTTCTTTCAAGGGACAGTCCTTTGGTTTTTTGGAGACCATTGTCCTTCCCTCACTTATTTCTTTATTCCTCCTGAGATTTTTCTCCTCTGGGTTAATACTTCCATACCTCCAAAACCCCATCATCCACCACCACCCCTCTGGGCTGTTGCAAATCTCCTTAACATCTTCGTTGCTTCACTGGGAATGAATTTCCGTTTGTGTACATCCTCCCTCGCAGTGCAGTACGCTGATCTGACCACAGTGCTCCACGGACAGTGAGCAGAACTACGGAAGGCAGGAATACCTGCCTCATTCTAGTCTTTCTTCTAACAGCACAGACCAGGAGCACTTTAGCTTTCCTGGTGGCCACATCACACTGCTGACTCAGATGAGGTATCTAAGTTATCCTAAGTCTTTCCACACAGACTTTTGAGCCACTTTCCTTTCCACCCAATTCTTCCTCCAATTTGTTTTTAAACTGACATGTAGAAATTAAACATTTAAGTTTCATACTGTCTTATCCGCTGCACAAACTTTGCAATCCTTCTGTGTATGTGCTTGGTTATTAAATATATTTATAAAACCTCTAGTCTCAGCATATTTCATCCATATTAATGCAAGAACATTAAAAGGAATTAGACAGAAGGCAGTTAATTGTGACAAGTTACTCAGAATATTCCTAATTTCAAAGACATGAACCTGAACTAATTAAGCAATGCAAAAAACAAAGAGGAAAATCTATAGGGCAACAGCTCTGATCAGGCCTTTTTCCAAACAGTTGGTATTTCATCTGGATGGACTCGCACTTACTTAGGCACAAAAGAAGCGGGGACTCCACTGGCCACCAGGGGCTCAAATGCTGAATGTCCACTGCCACTGCTATCATGGCGCCTGCGACAAATCAAAAAAGTCTCAAATGAAATGACATGACTTTGTTTGTCCCTTTAAAGTGTATTCTCACATTTCTGGGACCTTATACTATCTCTATGGAGCACAGATTCCATGCTAGACCAGAAAATGGTTGTTTAAAATCCCTAAGTTTCTGAAAGGTAAATTTTTTTTTTTCAGACAGAGTTTCACTCTTGTTGCCCAGGCTGGAGTGCAATAGCACAATCTTGGCTCACTGCAACAAACCTCTGCCTCCCGGGTTCAACCAATTCTCCTGCCTCAGCCTCCAGCGCAGCTGGGACTACAAGTATGCACCACCACACCTGGCTAATTTCTTAATTTTTTGTACAGGCGAGGGCTCCCTATGTTGCCCAGGCTGGTCTTGAGCTCCTGGGTTCCAGCGATCCTCCCACCTTGGCCTGTCAAAGTGTTAGGAGTACAGGCATGCACCACCATACCCAGCCTTATAAAATGGTGTTTCCCTCAAGAGTCCCATGAGAGCAGAGATTTTGTCTTGTCCACTGCTCTATCCACAGTACTTGCAGTAGGGTCTCATACACAGTGGGTGCTCAGTAAATGCTCACCCACTTCAACTTCTTTTCTTTCTGTAATTAGAAAACTATTCCATTTTCATTAGGTTATTTTACAAACCACATAAGGAATTTTTTTTTTTTTTTTTGAGACAGTCTCGCTCTGTCACCCAGGCTAGAGTGCACTGGCATGGTCTCGGCTCGCTGCAACCTCCGCCTCCTGGGTTCAAGCAGTTCTCCTGTCTCAGCCTCTGGAGTAGCTGGGACTACAGGCACCCACCACCACATCCAGCTAATTTTTGTATTTTTAGTAGAGACGGGGTTTCACCATGTTGGCCAGGCTGGTCTCGAACTCCTGACCTCAGGTGATCCACCCGCCTCGGCCTCTCAAGGTGCTGGGATTATAGGCGTGAGCCACCTTGCCCTGCCAGGAAATTGGTTTTAATCTCATTATTGATAAAACTACCAAACTCTAGTTTTCATTTTTCTTTCCCAAGCATTTCCTTCAGCACAATTAAGACACTAGAACTGGTGGGCCGGGCGCCATGGCTCAAGCCTGTAATCCCAGCACTTTGGGAGGCCAAGGTGGGCGGATCACGAGGTCAGGAGTTTGAGACCATCCTGGCCAATATGGTGAGACCCTGTCTCTACTAAAAATACAAAAAAATTAGCTGGGCATGGTGGCGGGCGCCTGTAGTCCCAGCTACTCGGGGGGCTGAGGCAGGAGAATGGCATGAACCTGGGAGGCTGAGCTTGCAGTGAGCTGAGATCGGGCCACTGCACTCCAGCCTGGGGGACAGAGACAGACTCCAACTCAAAAAAAAAAAAAAAAAGACACTAGAACTGGTGGTTACCCAAATAACTGAACACCACAAAATTCCGACCGGAAGACTTAGAGCCTTCTTTCTTGAAAATAAACTTTTAACACGTTTCTACAGAAGCATGAGGCTAACATGGCTAATAGCTGTCAGCTTATCTCTGCTA
The DNA here is from genome assembly GCF_000001405.40 of Homo sapiens. Classification (NCBI taxonomy): domain Eukaryota; kingdom Metazoa; phylum Chordata; class Mammalia; order Primates; family Hominidae; genus Homo; species Homo sapiens. Next base: position 75,440,736 of record NC_000007.14, read on the forward strand.
CTCACAGAAAAGGTAAATTATGACATCGATCTAACCTGTGCCTTGAAATGAACAGCATTAAAACCCTTGTTATTAGGTTCTCTCATGAAAGCCAAAGAAGGAGGCCTATGAAGGCTCACAAACTGGACGTGGCCTCTGTATCTTTACGGGAATGTCTACATCTCATCCCATAGGGGTCCAAGCGGGAAACTGGCTTAGTACTCTCCTGAGCCTGTTACCTTCTTTTATTTTCCTGGCCATCAAGGAATATTTGGTCTTCTTCCTCCACTGTCCTTTTCTTCTTCTTCTCTTTGAGGGCACTCAGTACAGTCTCCTTTGCACATGGGTCTGGGGCATTACTTGATGGTGACGACAGTGTTGAGCTGATTATCTGCTCTGGTCTATAATGAAAGACAAGATTCTAGCCGTAAGATATTTTAATTCCCATGCCACATCAGAAACGGAAATCAGAAGCTAACCAACAGGCCAAAGTATAATTTATACACTCACAACAGTTCCCCTTAGCAAGTAAAGCTACTTTTTCGTTAACGGCAAAAAGTGAAAAACAAACGGTTTTACTAGAATTTGGTATTTCTCATTCAAACAAGCAGATTCGTCCTTTCTTTTTTGCGTTGTAGTCATGTTGTCACAGGAACAACTGGAGAAGAATAAAGTGGACACGAAAAGGGAGAGTATTCTTCCAACGATAATACTCACATCGCAGAACGTGAAAATCTTCTGTCAGGAGGGGCGATCCTCACAGTCACTGGGCTACACACCATCCTGGAGTTGCGAGGGGACAGCACAGCCTTCTTGTGATAACCATTCCAGCACACTGTGGGAAGTACCCCCGGACAGGAATACTGGGTCTGATGGATCGGATAGCGTCTTCGAGGTGTTATTACAAACCGATCTGGTAAAGTCCCACGATCCCTGCAGAGAATGCGAGACAAATCATGGAAACAAAGTATAAAAGAATGTCAAAATTTTAGACGGTTAAAAACCCACCAGTTAAGACATTTTCCAAAGAACTTAAATCTCTTTCTACGCAACACAGAACACGTTGTTTTTATGGCAACTTTCCCCTATTCCATCTAAGAGCAGAGAGTGACAGCTGCTTAACAGCTGTCTCAACAATGGATTGCAACAATTTGAGAGGGAAAATCTAAATCTAGACTAAATCTAGACTGCACTAAAATTCGGGGAGTTTTTAGAACTGGAAAGAAGGGAATCGTTTTGGCAACACATCTCACACCAAGCAAGAGTCAGAGGCCAGGAGACGGCTGGCACACACCAAGGTGTTAAGGAGGGCAAAACCACACACAATTCCCTTCGGATTTGATGAAAATGCAAATCGGATTTAAAAGTCAAGTCCTCGATTTCAAGCCAGCCGAGCCAGAGGATGATCTGGGAAAATCAGCGCATCTCACCGTGGGGAAGGCCTCCCGGAGGGTCGGAGAAGAGGAGTGGGGAGAGAGGGGTAAAAGTGGTGAACGCGATGGGTCGGCTGGGAGGGCGGTGTGGAGCGCGGCGCCGGGCGGGCGGGTGGGCGGCGGCCAGGCCTATTCCGCAGGTCCTGGCCCTCCGGAGCGGGGGCGGGCTGCGGCGGCCCGGGCTTGCCCAGGTAACTGCCCATGAGGAGCAGTTCGGCAGGGTCAGGTCCTTCGAGCAGGGTCCGCGGCTCTAGGAGGTTTCCGTTGGCTGTCGACTTGGCCGGAGGCGAAGCGAACAGTGTTCGCCGATGTCGCGCCTTCTGAACGAAGGAGGACAAGGGGCGCGAACCTCGGGGCTCGCGGCTCAGTCCCCACCAGGCCGCGGTAGTCCCCACGGCCAGCCAGGCCAGCGCAGCCGCAGCAGGCACGAGGTACAGTAGGAGGCCGACCAGCGACAGGCCGAGAAGCGCCGCCCCGGCCGGCCCGCCGCAGCCCCGGCCCCGGCCGTCCCTGACACTCGCTATCGGCCGCCGCCGCTCGCCTGCTCCAGCCGCCGCAGCCGCCGGAGACATCGCGGCTCCGCGCCGCGGAGGAGACTTAAATATCCCAGCGTGCACCGCGCCACGCGTCGCGTCATCGCGCGCCCGCCACGTCATGCGCGCGCGACTCGGGGAGACGCTACAGCCCGGCAGCTCCCGAGACACAGCTGTTTTGGAAAATGCTGCCTGCCTTCAACGCCTGTTTCTGACTCTTGCGGTTTCCTGCATGGCTCCCAGCGAGACGATCCCGTCCGGGATCCCATCCGGCTCCCATCCGGAGGCGATCCCGTGAAAGGATCGCGTCCAAAATAAAAGGACCCGAGACCTATGCTTATGTAATTCCTAATCCGTGATCTTTTCTAGGGGCTGAACTCCCCTCCAGCACAGCCTGTTACCAGGTGCTTTTCACAAACGCCACTGGCGGCTGAGTTTTCCCCCCCACTTCCATTTCTACTTTACAAGTTGATAACGTGGGACGATTACCTACCAAATTTCACATCATGGCCCAGATATCGGGTGGATTTTGAGGCTCTGTGATCGATTTATACCTATGCTAAAGTTATCGGTCTGAGAAAGTAGATTAGTGGTTGCCTAGGGCTAAGGAGTGGGTTTGGGGGTGGGGAATAGAAAATGACTGCTTATGGGTATAGGCTTTCTCGTAGCAGCATAAACATAGTTTAAAATTAGATTGTGTTGGCGGTTGCACCACCCTATGAACTGTATGGTTTGTGAATTATATCTTAATAAAGCTGTTTAAAAAGTCTGGTAGTCTGCCAATACACTTTGGTGTAGTTAAGTTTCCTCAGACATTCATTCATTGATTTATTCATTCCATTGTTTATATACATTAAAGAGATTAAGGGGGAAAATAGAGGATCTCTGATCTTTATAAGCTCTGTTTAGTAAGGAAGATGTGTAAGTAAAAGATTGCAATTCAATGTTATCAGTGTGATAACGGGAACAAAAAAAGAGGCCAGACGCAGTGGCTCATGCCTGTATTCCCAGCACTTCGAAGGCGGAGGCGGGCGGATCACCTGAGGTCAGGAGTTCAAGACCGGCCTGACCAATATGGTGAAACCCCGTCTCTACTAAAAATACAAAAATTAGCTGGGCATGGTGGCGCGTGCCTGTAGTCCCAGCTACTCGGGAGGCTGAGACAGGAGAATTGCTTGAGTCCGGGAGGTGGAGGTTGCAGTGAGCCGAGATCATGCCACTGCACACTCCAGCCTGGACGACAGAGCGAGTCCATCTCAAAAAAAAAAAAAAAAAAAAAAAGTTGTGATAAAGGGGAAGGAAGGCAGGGAAGTGCTCCTGGAGCTGAGAGGTCTGGCAGGTTCAAGGAAGATGAAGGAGCACTGTGCAGAAGTCCAGAGATGGAATTGTTCAGTATCGCTGGAGATTAGGGTGTTTTGGGGATAGAAAAGTTGGAAAGGTATAGATGCCTCTGGGGCAACTCAGAGAGATGAGAAGAAGGTGCAGTTTGGGTTCCAGATCCTCCCCAACCCAGTGCCAAAGTAATTCTTCTATTTAATATACTGTGACTTCACATAAGACTTAATTTGAAAAAAAAAGGGGGGGGGGGGCGGAGGGGGGACTGTGTTGCTTAAGAAAAAAATCTCAGTATCAGTAGACTAGTGGGACAAAAGCCAGGCTGCCCTGGGTTGAACAGTGACTGGAAGGTGAAGAAATGGAGGCAGTGACTGCAGACTCCCTACTCAAGAAACCTGGGTAACAGGGGAAGAAGAAACATAGTGTCTAGGTCAGTAGGGGCTCTTTGAACTATTGTGTGTGGCTGGAGTTAAGTGGAGGAGCTACACATAAAAGCCGTCAGGGTACAGATCTCCTGAAACCAAGCAAGATGACTGAGAATTAATGTAAATAGAGAGGTCCATAGCCTGAGCCCTCGGGGCACTCCTGTGTTTAGAGGTAAAGAGATGAATACACAAAGGGCACAAGTCATGTAGGAAATATAGATAAATATGACTACATTAAAAGTTAGTACTTCTGGGCCGGGAGTGATGGCTTACACATAATCTAGCACATTTGGAGACGAGGCTGGTGGATTGCTTTGAGCTCAGGAGTTCGAGACCAGCCTAGGCAACATGGTAAAACCCAGTCTCTACTAAAAAAAAACACAAAAATTTGCCTGGTGTGGTGGCATGTGCCTGTAGTACTACTCAGGAGGCTGAGGCTGGAGAATCGCTTGAACCCAGAAGGCAGAGGTTGCACTGAGCTGAGATCGCACCACTGCACTCCAGCCTGGGCAACAGAGTGAGATCACACACACACAAAAAGTTAACACTTCTGTATGGGAAAAGACAAGATACACATCTAAAAGACAAGCCAAGACTGGGAAAAACAACGTAACACATATAACCAAAAGAGGATTCATAAGTAGAATTTATAAAGAACTCCAAAGAATCAATAACAAAAAGATGACCCAATTTTTAAAAAGGACAATTGATATAAAAAAGCTATCGAATGGGAAACACAAATACCTAATAATATATACATATGTGCATATACGTACATACACATATACATTTAACCTCACTAGTAATCTAGGAAAGACTAACAATATTTTGCACTCATTTATACACTAGAAAAATTAATTTAACAAGATCAAGTCTTAGCATGGATGTGAAACAAACAGAACTCATGCCGTTGTGGATATATGAAACAGTACAATTTGGAAAGCAATTTGGCAATAACTAGTAAAAAATAAGGGTGAAGAAGTATGTATCCTATAAACCCGCAATCCCATTCTGGGTAGATAGTCACTGAAGCATTATTTGTATCACAGACAATGTGAACACACTTCATGGGTAATGTCTATCAACACAAGGATGGGCAAACTGGTATAATTCATATAATAAAATACTATAAAGCAGCTGAAAATTAATCCTTCCAGCTGCAGGTTAGTCCTCCCACCATAAACAACTGTAGACATGGACAAAATGTATTGATTAATAAATTTGTTAAAAAAAAATCTGGCAGTCTGCTGATCCAGACTTTGGTTTAACTCATGCTGTGGTGGATATATAAAACAGTACAACTTGGCAACTACTTTCAGGCAGAGGACAACAGGAAGCAAAAGACTGATCCCTAAGTGTAAGGAAACTTGTGAGATGAGCCCCAAAGTCACCTAGTTCCTCTACCTGGGGATCGTTTCCCAACTGCAGTGCAGAGAGCTGGAGTCTGAGCACAGTAGGGAGATCCCGCTGGGCTGAAGAGGCAGAGATGAGGAGGCAGAGATCAGGCTGAGACAGCTGAAATGGCAGAGAAATGGGGCAGAAAAAAGAAAGGAGGGCACTATGCAAAGAGGGAGTTCTAGAAATCTATGCATGACGCAAACCCACGGCTGAAGGCTGGAGTGATGGGTAATTTCATGTGTCAACTTGAAGGGACCATGGGGTGCACAGATACTTGGTTAAACATTTATTTATGGGTGTATCTATAAAGGCATTTCTGGATGAGATGGTCTTTTATTTATTTACTTATTTTTATTTTTTGAGATGGCGTGTTGCTCTTGTCGCCCAGGTTGGAGTGTAGTGGTGCGATCTCAGCTCACTGCAACCTCTGCCTCCCAGGTTCAAGCGATTCTCCTGCCTCAGCCTCAGTGGAGTAGCTGGGATTATAGGCACCCACCACCACACCTGGCTACATTTTTGTATTTTTAGTAGAGACTGGGTTTCACCATGTTGGACAGGCTGGTCTCAAACTGCTGACCTCAGGTGATCTGCCTGCCTCAGCCTCTCAAAGTACTGGGATTATAGGCATGAGCCACTGTGCCCAGCCTCTTTATTTTTTTGTAGAGATGGGGGTCGCCACAAATCAGACTGGAAAAACTCACAATTTATAGGGCTCTGTGTGGAGTACTCAAGCACCCCAGGAATGGGAAAGAATCAGTCTTAGATTGAGCATTGCTTTGGACCCACCTAATGAATCATCAAAACAAGACCTGAAAGGATCCAACTTTCCAATGATCTTAAATACATCCCAAAACAAAGCTCAAGAAAATGTATATAGGAATAAAAAATTGGCTGGGCGCGGTGGCTCACGCCTGTAATCCCAGCACTTTGGGGGGCCGAGGTGGGTGGATCATGAGGTCAGGAGATCGAGACCATCCTGGCTACCACGGTGAAACGCCATCTCTATTAAAATACAAAAAATTAGCCAGGCATGGTGGCGGGCGCCTGTAGTCCCAGCTACTCGGGAGGCTGAGGCAAGAGAATGGCGTGAACCCGGGAGGCGGAGCTTGCAGTTAGCCGATATGGCGCCACTGCACTCCAGCCTGGGCAACAGAGCGAGACTCCGTCTCAAAAAAAAAAAAAAAAAAAAAAAAAAAAAAATGACCATTACTCAACAAGGTAAAATCTCCAATGTCTGGCATCCTGGCATCCTATTACTAGGCATATAAATAAGCAAGAAAACACAGCCCATAATAACAACCAATCAATCCTTATTTTGATCCAAACCAACCCCAAACTGACACATATTAAAATGAACAGAGAAAGACATTAACATTAATTTTAACTATATCCCATATGTTTACAAAGTTGAGATATGGAAAAATATTAGAAGAAATAATGGCCAAAAATTTTCCAAATGTAATGAAAAATATAAACCCACAGACCTGAAGCTCAATGTCAAGTACAAGAAATACAAAGAAAACTGTAACAAATCACATAATCAAATTGCTCAAAACCAATGATATAGATCAAATCCTGAAGGCAGCTGGGAAAATAGTACATGTTATTTTACACAGGAACAAAGATAAGAATGATACCAAATTTCTTGCCAGAAATAGTGCAAGTGAGAGACAACAGCAGTGCAACTTGATCTTTAAAGTGCTGAAGGCAAAAACTGCAAACCTAGAATTTTATGCCCAATGAAAATATATTTTAAGAAAGTTAAATAAACATATTTTCAGACACATAAAAGCTGGGAGACACTTTGAGAGGCTGAGCTGGGCAGATTGCTTGAGCCCCAGAGTTCGAGAACAGCCTGGGCAACATAGTGAGACCCTGTCTCTAAAAAAAAAAACAAAAATTAGGCCAGGAGCAGTGGCTCACGCCTGTAATCCCAGCACTTTGGGAGGCCGAGGCAGGCGGATCACGAGGTCAGGAGATCGAGACCATCCTGGCTAACACGGTGAAACCCCGTCTCTACTAAAAATACAAAAAAATTAACCAGGCGTGGTGGCAGGCGCCTGTAGTCCCAGCTGCTCGGGAGGCTGAGGCAGGAGAATGGTGTGAACCCAGGAGGTGGAGCTTGCAGTGAGCCGAGATCGCGCCACTGCACTCCAGCCTGGGCGACAGAGCTAGACTCCGTCTCAAAAAAAAAAAAAAAACCAACCAAACAAACAAACAAAACACAAAAATTAGCTAAGCGTAGTGGCACATGCCTGGAGTCTCAGTTACTTGGGAGGCTGAGCTGGGAGGTTCACTTGAGCCTGGGGGTTTCCTTGAGCCTGGGAGGTCGAGGCTCCAGTGAGCCATAATTGTGCCACTGCATTCCAGCCTGGGTAACAGAGCGAGACTCTGTCTCAAACAAATAAATAAAAAGCTGAAAGAATTCATCACCAACAAACACAGTAAGAAATGTTAACGGATGTCCTTCAGGCAGAAGAAAAATACCAAATGGAAATCTGGATCTACACAAAGGAATGAAAGGCATTGAAAATGGTAACTACATATATTTATATGTGCCTGTTTTTCCTTATTATTTAAATCTCTTTAAAATATAATTGAGGACTGATATCAGCAAAAGGGCAGAGTAGACAGCTCCAAGCTCCCATCACCCAACAGAAACAGAAAAAAAAAAAAAAAAAGGCCAGGCGCAGTGGTTCACACCTATAATCCCAGCACTTTGGGAGGCCGAGGCAGGTGGATCACCTGAGGTCAGGAGTTTGAGACCAGACTGACCAACATGGTGAAACCCCATCTCTACTAAAAATACAAAATTAGCCAAGTGTGGTGGCACATGCCTGTAATCCCAGCTACTCGGGAGGGTGAGGCAGGAGAATCGCTTGAACGGGGAGGCGGAGGTTGCAGTGAGCCGAGATGGCGCCACTGCACTCCAGCCTGGGCAACAAGAGTGAAACTCTGTCTCAAAAAAAAAAAACCAAATAATTATTAGAAACAACTCTGAAAAACAGCCAAAGCCTTACAACAACCAAATGAATGCTGAATCAAGAAAAAGGCAACTTAAAAAGGAAAGGTAGAAAACCTTTGTGGCAATGTTTTTTAAGAGACAGGATCTTGCTCTGTTGCCCAGGCTGGAATGCAGTGGTGTGATTGTGGCTCACTCTACCCTTGAACTCCTGGGCTCAAGTGATTCTCTCACCTCAGCCTTCCAAGCAGCTGGGACTGCAGGCGTGAGCCACCGCACCTGGCTTCTACGGGAGTCTTGAAGACAGAAGGCTGCATTCGCAGTGTGGGGCCTCTTGGCATTCCACAGGGACGGGGCGGACCTTACCTTCAAATTACTGGTAAATCTGCTATCGCACGTCTGAGGGCTACTGAGGGAATGATGTAGACGCCTGTCTATTTGCTGGAAACTCACTGAGGCTGGAAAAGTGGTGAGCATTGCTCAAAAACATTGCAAGGCAAACAATCTACACAGGACTGGGGCAAAACCTGACAGTTGAGACTCACAACACTCCACTGTTCTCTCTCTTTTTTTTTTTTTTTTGAGACTGAGTCTCACTCTGTCACCCAGGCTGGAGTGCAGTGGCACAATCTCGGCTCACTGCAAGCTCCACCTCCCGGGTTCATGCCATTCTCCTGCCTCAGCCTCCCGAGTAGCTGAGACTATAGGCGCCCGCTGCCACGCCTGGCTAATTTTTTTGTATTTTTTAATAGAGACAGGGTTTCACCGTGTTAGCCAGGATGGTCTCGATCTCCTGACCTCGTGTTCCACCCACCCGCAGCCTCCCAAAGTGCTGGGATTACAGGTGTGAGCTACCATGCCCGGCAACAGTAGGGGAAAGAGCTGAGTTCCATTCTCTGGTGTCCTTAAAGAACAGGAAGAAATGCCAGGGATGGCCAGGCACGGTGGCTCATGCCTATAATCCCAGCACTTTGGGAGGCTGAGGCAGGCAGATCGCCTGAAGTTAGGAGTTCGAGACCAGCCTGGCCAACATGGCCAGGCCCGTCTCTACTAAAAATACAAAAATTAGCCAGGCGTGGTGGCAGGTGCCTGTAATCCCAGCTATTAGGAAGGCTGAGGCAGGAGAATCGCTTGAACCCAGGAGGTGGAGGTTGAGTGAGCCGAGATCGTGCCACTGCACTCTAGCCTGGAGACAGAGCATGACTCCATCTCAAAAAAACACAAAAGAAACAAGCAGAAATGCCAGAGACGTGCAGAGAAAAGGTCACATGAAGACACAGCAAGAAGGCAGCTATCTGCAAGCCAATGAGAGAACACTCTGAAGAAGTCAGCCCTGCTGGCACCTTGATCTTTGACTTCTGGCTTCTAGAACTGTGAGAAAATAACTTCCAGCTGTTGAAGCCATGGTCTGTGGCATTTTGCTATGGTAGCCCGAGCAAACTAATAGAGACTTCCTAAATCCGAGAAGGAAAGCTGGGGAGAATTCCTCTGAGAAAGCAGGAAAGCTGGGGAGAATTCCTCTGAGAAAGCAGGAAAGCTGGGGAGAATTCCTCTGAGAAAGCAGGAAAGCTGGGGAGAATTCCTCTAGGAAAGCAGGGCAGTCACAAGCACTCAGTTGTTACACGGGCTTTGCCCAGGGCAGGATGCTTGCTCAGAAACACCTGACAAAGACCTAAGTTTTCACCTTGGCCTGATCACGAGGGTCAGTGCAGGCCTAGCTAAGTGCTGAAGGAAAGCTGTGGTGCAAAGGCAAACTTCAAAGACTGGGAGAGGTACTTTCTTCCATTTTTAGCTCCTAGTATTCAAGGAAATCTCTTATCAAAATGTGAGCTGAACACATGCTAAAAGAATCAGAGACTTCAGTGACCACACATGAAAATGATAAATCTTTGCACAAATAGTTTGGAAGTCACTAAACGTATGTACTACTACAGCCTTCAATGATTAAAAACAGACACACTCACAAATACATAGCAAATAAAATGAGAAGAATCATCTAAATGCCAGAGTTACTACCTTGCAATATTCAAATGTCCGTGTTTCAATGACAATCACAAATCATGCAAAGACAAGGGAACGTATTCAAAGTAACAAAATAAATTGATGGAAATCAGCCCTTAGGAAGCCCAGATATTGGACTTAGCAGACAAAGACTTTTTAAAAACTCTATAAATCGTGAAGGACCTCTTCAAGGAGAACTACAAACCACTGCTCAAGGAAATAAGAGAGTACACAAACAAATGGAAACACATTCCATGCTCATGGATAGGAAGAATCAGTATTGTGAAAATGGCTATACTACCCAAAGTAATTTACAGATTCAATGCTATTCCCAACAAGCTACTGACTGTCTTCACAGAATTAGAAAAAACTACCTTAAATTTCATATGAAACCAAAAACGAGCCCATATAGCCAAGACGATACTAAGCAAAAAGAACAAAGGTGGAGGCATAACGCTACCTGACTTCAAACTACACTACAAGGCTACTGTAACCAAAACAGCATGGTACTGGTACCAAAACAGATATATAGCAATGGAACAGAACAGAGACCTCAGAAATAACACCACACATCTACAACCATCTGATCTTCGACAAACCTGACAAAAACAAGCAATGGGGAAAGGATTCTCTATTTAATGGTGCTGGGAAGACTGGCTAGCCATATACAGAAAACTGAAACTGGACCCCTTCCTTAACACCTTATAAAAAATTAACTCAAGATGGATTAAAGACTTAAATGTAAAATCCAAAACCATAAAAATCCTAGAAGAAAACCTACGCAATACCATTCAGGACATAGGCATGGGCAAAGTCTTCATGACTAGAACACCAAAAGCAATTGCAACAAAAGCCAAAATTGACAAATGGGATCTAATTAAACTAAAGAGCTTCTGCATAGCAAAAGAAACTAGCATCCAAGTGAACAGGCAGCCTACAGAACGAGAGAAAATTTTTGCAATCTACCCATCTGACAAAGGTCAGATCCAGAATCTTGTATATTCTTGTAGATCCAGAAACGACAAGGAACTTAAACAAATTTACCAGAAAAAACCAATTAACCCCATCAAAAAGTGGGCAAAGCGCCAGGCACGATGGCTCACGTCTGTAATCACAGCACTTTGGGAGGCCAAGGCAGGTGGATCACCTGAGCTCAGGAGTTCAAGACTAAAAATACAAAAATTACTGAATTACTCTACTAAAAATATAAAAATTAGCCTGGCATGGTGGTGGGCACCTATAATCTCAGCTACTTGGGAGGCTGAGGCAGGAGAATCTCTTGAACCCAGGAGGAGGAGGTTGTAGTAGGCCGAGATCGCGCTGCTGCATTCCAGCCTGGGTGACAGAGTGAGACTCCGCCTCAAAAAACAAAAAGGCTGGGTGCAGTGGCTCACACCTGTAATCCCAGTGCTTTGGGAGGCCAAGGCAGGCGGATCACCTGAGGTCAGGAGTTCAAGACCAGCCTGGCCAACATGGGGAAATCCCATCTCTACTAAAAATACAAAAAATTTAGCTGGGTGTAGTGGTGCACACCTGTAATCCCAGCTACTAGGGAGGATGAGGCAGAAGAATCACTTGAACCTGGGAGGTGGGAGGCAGAGGAGGAGCCGAGATCGCGCCACTTGCCTAGGCGAGTGAGACTCATCTCAAAAACAAACAAAAAAACAGTGCATGTTGGCTAGTTTGTTAATCAATATTAGTTAGTTATTAGCTCCGAATAGATGTCAGTTAATATGGTAGGCACTGATGACGTATTCATGACACAAAGCTGGTCCCAATGCTAGAATGATCTTTGTTCGAGATCCAGGTTGCTGCTGCCACTAGAGGGCAGCCGAAGCTCATCTGTAATGGCACAGTAATGGTTAACCCCAACAATCTAACATTACCAGGGAAGAACTGTCCTGAAGGGCAAAGTACCAAGCTACCTAAAGTTTGTATTGATTCTCTCAAGACTGTTGCTAACAAAATGGTAAAATGGGTCAAGTTTGTGTTTGGAACCCCTAGCCTCTCATCTCTTCACCCTCTTCCCTGAAGAGGTGGAGGGAATAATACAGGTACCACCTGTAAGTAAAAAGTGTGGCAGAAACAGTCAGTTGCATCTCTCACCAACAGGTGGGTCAGGGTGGGGAGGGAGAGGAGATTCCTGGAGAGGAACGGATCAAGCTAGGAAGCACAGAACTGCAGGCCAGAGACAACTCTGGAAGCAGAAACAGGTGTGTGCTTCCAGGCGCACAGACACCAACTGTATGACACCCACACCTTCTACTCACAAACTCACTATTGACGGTGCACCACCACCTGCTTTGTGCAACACAGGAAACACCAATAAACACTGGAGACAGTGTCAGGCCAGGCATGGTGGCTCACACCTGTGCTCCCAGCACTTTGGGAGGCTGAGGTAGGAGGATCGCTTGAGGCCAGAAGTTCAAGACCATCCTCAGCAATACAGAGAGACCCTATCTCTACAAAAAGTTAAAAAAAAAAAAAAAAAAAGATACAGGCCAGGCGTGGTGGTTCACGCCTATAATCTCAGCACTTTGGGAGGCTGAGGCAGGCGGATCACCTGAGGTCCGGAGTTTGAGACCAGCCTAACCAACATGGAGAAACCCCAACTCTGCTAAAAATACAAAATTAGCTGGGCATAGTGGCGCATGCCTGTAATCTCAGCTGCTTGGGAGGCTGAGGCAGGAGAATCGCTTGAACCTGGGAGGCAGAGGTTGTGGTGAGCCGAGATCATGCCATCGCACTCCAGCCTGGGCAACAAGAGCAAAACTCGGACTCAAAAAAAAAAAAAAAAGACACAGTCTCATTCCTTAATGAGTATAAAGAAGTAAAGTGTTTCAGTTACTAATTGCATAAGAAACCAATCTAAAACATAGTGGCAAAAAACAATCATTATCATCAGGGATTCTGTGATTCCAACAGGCCTGGCTTGTCTCTGGTCCACACGACATGTGGGGCCTCAGCTGGGAAGACATGGAGTCTTAAGTGTGATCAATGGGAGGGGGCTGGAATCATTTAGAGGCATCTTCATTCACAAAACCAGGAGCTGATACTGGCTGTCAGCCAGGACTTCAACTGACCTGTGGGCTGGAACCTGTCCATGTGGCCCCTCGCAGTCTCCCCATTTGGGCTGGTTTGGGCTTCATCACAGTCCGGCAGCTTACTTCTAAGGGCAAGCATTCCATGACAACACAGCAGAAAGGCATGACATTTTTACAGTGCAGCCTGGCTATCTCATAGCGTCGCTTCTGTCCTACTTTATTTATTGGTCAGGGCAATCACAAAGATGTGCACAGGCTCAAGGAAAAGAGACATACCCCCGACCACGCGATGGAAGAAGTGACAAGGTCATGTTATGAGAGGAGTGTGTGGGATGGGAGATAGGGCTGTGGCCACCTGCAGAAAATAGCATCTGCCACAGGCTGTCATGGAAGCGCAGGATGGGGATTTAGCCTACCTGAGGGGTCAGTCAGCAAAGGCCTCTGGGACGAAGTGAGATCTTCGGCTGAGGATGTGAGGGGCTAAAAGGAGACTGAGGAAGAGTCTCAGGGAGAGGAATCAATGAGACTGGATTCCAGAGAGAGGCTGGTGAGTTGGATGGTTTGCTTCAGTATGATGACAATACAGAGGGCAAGGAGACTGGTGCAGGAGGAGAGAGAAGGTGCCATGTGCTCTGGGTGGCGCTCTGTGCCGGACCCCCTTAGAAGAGGAGCAGCCTCCAGTCAGCGGTGTCCCAGGAACACAGAGGCTGGAGAGGACAATGGCAGCCAATCCCTGCTCCCAATCTGGTGACAGTAGGGAAAAGCTGCATGGTCTAGATCCACTCTGCTCCCTGGCCCCAGTATAGAAGATCAAATTCAATCTGCCCAATCTTATCCAGATAAAGTAAAGGAAGACTGGAAAAAAGAACTAATCCAAAGCTCCATCTGCCCATGACTTTCTCTGCTGATGCCGGAGGCAGCTATGGATAAAGAGATGGCACACGGCATGTCCCGACGCAGTGGAGGTGGGGAGACCCTGCAACTCCACAGGGAAAGAGTGAAGTTGCTGCCACCTGGGCATCAGCTATTCTCTGCTCTTCTGCCTCATCCTCAATTCAGACCATGATGGAGCTGATTTTCCTCCATTTTATACCTTGGATTGAATGGTCTCGAGCTGCTGGTCTTGTCTCCATAGTCACATCCAAGAGGTCTGTCTTTCAAATAAATGCTGTGTATCAATGTACAGTGTATATAATTAATGTATGATATCAGACTAAATTATAGATAAGACAAGAGATGAAATTAGAGTTAAGTAGGGACCCGATGACGAAGAGCCTTGTAAATCAGGGAGAGTCTGGTTCATGTGCTTCTCCAGACACAATTTCAACACGGCTGTAGGCATGTACCACTGATGACACGGACACTGAATTACCCGCCGTGCTGGTCTGTGGCTCTCAAGTTTTGCTCATTCTGCTTCTGCGGGAAATGCCTTGACGCACCTTGGGAAAACTCACTTAGATCTTTTTTTGAGATGGAGTCTCGCTCTGTCGCCAGGCTGGAGTACAGTGGCGCGATCTCGGCTCACTGCAACTTCTGCCTCCCAGGTTCAAGCGATTCCCCTGCCTCAGTCTCCCAAGTAGCTGGGACTACAGGCATGCACCACCATGCCCGGCTAATTTTGTGTGTGTATTTTAGTGGAGATGGGGTTTCACCATGTTGGCCAGGATGGTCTCGATCTCCTGACTTCATGATCCGCCCGCTTTGGCCTCCCAAAGTGCTGGGATTACAGGTGCGAGCCACCGCACCGGGCCAGAAAACCCACTTATCTTTTAAGATTCAGCCCAACTGTCACCACCTCTGGGAACCTGTCCTCAGCCCCAAACATATGGCCACCCTCCCTTTGGGGTCCCCGCTCGCCCGTGTCTATTTTCATTACATTCCTATCAGTTTACTGCACTGTGCTGCGTATCTACCGTGTCTATTTTCATTGCATTCCTATCAGTTTACTGCACTGTGCTGTGTGTCTATTTCTCCCACTCTGGCCTGTGGGCTCTTTGAAGACATGGGCTGTATCTCGCCTATCTTTTGATCCCTCACATAGGATATGGTGCATGGCGAGCACTCACTAAAGGTGTGCAGAGTACTGCATGAGGAAAAACTTCATCCAGGCCAGGCGCAGTGGCTCATGCCTGTACTCCCAGCACTTTGGGAGGCCAAAGAGGGAGGACAGCTTGAGCCCAAGAGTTCAAGATTAGCCTGGGCAACATAGCAGAGATCTCGTCTGTACCAAAACAACAACAACAACTAGCTGGGCATGGTGGCGTGAACCTGTAGTCCCAGCTACTCAGGAGGCTGAGGCAGGAGGATCCCTTGAACCCAGGAAGTCAACGCTGCAGTGAGGTATGATCGCTCCACTGCACTCCAGCCTGGGTGACAGAGTACAACCCTGCTCTTAAAAAAATAGAAAGTTCATTTATAAACAGAAGTGAACAGGAATCTGACTCTTGTACTTTGGTGGGAGTTTGGGTTATCTTTTACTTGAGGCTGAGGCTATGTCAAAACTAGGGATATAACAACAAGCACCATGTACCGAGTGCTGCTTCTGTGCCACAGGCTCTCCTACATGCTTGCCACACATTCGTCTATTTCATCCTCCCAATAGTCCTACTCCATGTCCAGCAAGGAGTGAAAAGGCTGAGGCGAGTCACAGGGAGAAGAGGGCCCCAGTGAACAGACGAAATGAGGAAGAAGATCTGGAGAGGTCGCACGAGCCAGAGCGCAAAGGCACAGTGGCTGCGGTGCAGGCTCTTTAGCAAGGTGCTTTGGGCTGGAAATGGGGTTTTACTGCCTGTTGCGAGATGGGACATGAGACACAATCAACATGCAAATGGGTAGGATGTTTCATCACACGGAAGCAAAATGTATTGCCGCTAAAATGAGAAGTAACACCCTAAAAGTTATCAAGACAACAATTTTCAATGCCAAATGTTGTTTCCAGTTCCATAGGAGATGGAATAAGCACACCCATTACATTTCTCTTCTAATTACAACTAAAACCCCTGTTCAAAATACATGAAGCAGCTGGGCACAGTGGCTCATGCCTGTAATCCCAGCACTCTGGGAGGCCGAGGCAGGTGAATCACCTGAGGTCAGGAGTTTGAGACCAGCCTGGCCAACATGGTGAAACCCGACCTCTACTGCTAATACAAACATGAGCTGGGCATGGTGGCAGGCGCCTGTAATCCCAGCTACTCAGGAGGCTGAGGCAGGAGAACTGCTTGAACCCAGGAGGTGGAGACTGTATTGAGCTAAGATTGCACCACTGCACTCCAGCCTGGGCAACAGAGCCAGACTATTTCAATTAAAAATAAATAAATAAATAAATAAATAAATAAATAAATAAATAAATAAATAAATAAATACATGAAGCAACGATCCAATCAATCAAACCAACAAATTCTGGAAAGGTAGAGAAGAGAAGGGCTGACCCAGTGGTGAGTTCCCAGGGTGGTTTGATGGTTTGTTCTTTGGCCTCCTATATACCCTGTCTTATCTGTTAGAGCGGAGTCTACAACCAGGAAATCCCAGTGCCCCCTTCATCCCCCAACCCCCACAAAAGGAGCCTCATCTTTCGAGCCAAATGACAGCGAAGAGGGCGGCCCTGCGGGACAGTGCCCTTTTGACTACACACACCCTACTCTAGGAAAACAGCCTGAAAAAAGCTGCACCTTCCCCTGCCCCAGATACTGTAGACACTGTGGAACAAAGACCTGTTGACCCTCCCCACCTTGGGCCAACACAAGCAGAGGTGGCATCTCTCCCCTCTCCACCAAGCACTGGCAAGACTGTGTGGAAGGGCCCTGCTGACCATCCACAACCTGCACAAGACTGAACCACAGTAACAAGGTGGCACCCCATCCTCTCTCAAAGACAGTGAGGAGCTAGAAGCAAGGACTCTCCAACCCATTTCCCGTTCCCCGTCCCACCCACCGCAGAATACTCCTCTCTAATCCTAATATAACGTCGTGTACATTTCTGTTACATTCGGATTAAAGACAAGTTCTGTTTAATAATAACTCCAAGAACAGTTGATATATATATTTTTTCTTTTAGAACAGGAGTGAAAGTTTATTAAAAAGCTTTAAAGCAGTAAAGAAAGGAAGGAAGGGAAGGAAAGTACACTTGGAAGAAGGCCAAACCCAGTTTTCATATTTTATTTTCGCATTGAAAATCAGTCAGATTTACTTCAGCCTCAAAAGTGTGTTTATGTAAAATTAAATGAGCACTAGCAGCAAGCTGCACTTTTTTTTTCCCAAATGGGAAACGGGTTAAATATGTGTAGGAAGTCCTGGGCCATGCCCTCCAAGTGCCCATGTGTGAAAACAACCAGGATCAACACAGCAAAAGCTCTGAGAGCTCAACGGCAATGTGGAATACTCTGAGGTTTCAAACTGGCCTCCAGGGCTGGGTGCGGTGGCTCATGCCTGTAATCCCAACACTGTGGGAGGCCGAGATGGGAGGAACACTTGAGCCCAGGAGTTCAAGATCAGCCTGGGCAACAGAGTGAGACCTTGTCTCTACTAAATATAAAAAATCAGCTGGGCGTGGTAGTGTGTACCTCTGGTCCCAGCTACTCAAGAGGCTGAGGAGGAGGAGTGATTGAGTCTGGGAGATTACAGCTGCAGTGAGCTATGACTGGGCCATTGCACTCCAGCCAGGGCAACAGAGCAAGACCCTGTCTCCAAACAACAACAAAAACAAAAACAAATTGGCCTCTGGGTTGCACAAAGGTGGGGGAGGCCAGAGGAGCTCTGCAAAAGCTTTGAAAACTAAATTGATCTTAGAACCAGAGCCCTGCTGGCCACAGAAAGTGCATCCTGAATCTAAACAGGTTGAGTGCCTGCTAATACAGAATATTTAAACAGGAACTACAGTCTCATAACATAACACTCAAAGTGTCCAGGATAAAATTAAAACTTACTCCTCATACTAAGAACCAGAA
Source organism: Homo sapiens (assembly GCF_000001405.40). NCBI lineage: Eukaryota > Metazoa > Chordata > Mammalia > Primates > Hominidae > Homo > Homo sapiens. The sequence continues at coordinate 75,458,788 of NC_000007.14, forward strand.
AAATCCGAACCCAGAAAAATTACTCCTCATACTAAAAACCAGAAAAAATCTGAATGAGGAAAGACAATTAACACTAAGATGACAAAGATATTGGAATTATTGCATAGGGATTTTAGATGAGCTATCTTATAAATGGCCCAAGAAGTAATTATGAACACTCTCGAAACACACTGAAAAATATAACGTCTCATTGAAGATATACGGAAGAACTACATTGTAATTTTAGAACTAGAAATTACAATAACTAAGTAAAAAACTCAATGGGTGAACTCAATAGCAGAATGGAGATACAACAGAGAAAAAAATTAGTGACCTTGATGATAGAGCAGCAGAAATGATTCAATCTGTATCGTGACAATCTTGCCATAAGAAAAAAAATTACGTAGAAATAATCCCATTTGACCAACAGAGAGAAAACAAATAGAAAAAAAAACTGAACAATGAGACAACAGCAAAAGCTCTAACATTCATGTCACTGAATTCCCAGAAGGAGAGGAAAAAGAGTGCAGTGCCCAAAAAACATCTGAAGAGGCCGGGCGCGGTGGCTCATGCCTGTAATCCCAGCACTTTGGGAAGCTGAGGCAGGAGGATCACTTGAGGTCAGGAGCTCAAGACCAGCCTGGTCAACATGGTGAAACCCCATCTCTACTAAAAATATAAAAATTAGCCAGGCATGGTGGTGCATGCCTGCAATCCCAGCTACTCGGGAGGCTGAGGCAGGAGAATCACTTGAACCAGGGAGGTGGAGGTTGCAGTGAGCTGAGATCACACCAGTGCACTCCAGCCTGGGCGATGGAGTGAGACTCTGTCTCAAAAAAAAAAAAAAAAAAAAAGAAAGAAATGAAGAAAAATCCAGAGAGATTTTTTTTCAGAAGAAAAAGTATAAAAATTAAATTAAAAAAGAGAAATTTAAAAAAGCAGTAAGAGGGTAAATATCTGGGTGAATATAATCTCGAGTTTAAAAATTATATTTGATGGGCAAAAGCAAAACCATAACATTATCTCAGTGGTTCTCAATGAATGTAGAGGTGATATTCAAGACAACAATACCATAAAGAAGGGCAGAGGGGCCTAGAAAGCAGTAGAGTTTCTACATTCCACTTGAATTGGCAAAAGGTTGATACTAGCCAATGATCATAAGTATGTATAATATAATCTCTACAGCCACCTATAAAATCCTATACAAAAATATATACTAAATGGCATACTGAATTGATTTAGCATGGCATATGAAGTTAAATGGCATACTAAGAAATGTCTAAGTACCCCATAAAAAGGCAAGAAAAGGGAAACAGGTATAAAAAAACCCAGAGGGAACAAGTAGAAAATAGATAATAAAAACCCGTCCAAAATTAAATATAAATCTTCTAAACACAGCAATCAAAAAGGTTGTTGGAATCTGTTTTTTTAAAAATGACTCATGGCCAAGTGTGGTAGCTTATGCCTATAATCCCAGCACATTAGGGGGCCGAGGCGGAGGGAATCACTTGAGCTCAGGAGTTTGAGACCAGCCTGGGCATGATAGCGAGACCCCATCTCCACAAAAAGAATAAGAAAAAAAAAGATTAGCCAGGCATGGTGGCACATACCTATAGTCCCAGCTACTCGGGAGGCTGAGGTGAGAGAATCACTCAAGCCCAGGAGGTCAAGGCTGCAGTGGGCCGTGACTGCACCACTGCACTCCAGCCAACAGAGTAAGACTCTGTCTCAATAAATAAATAAATATCAATAGTCACATAAGATGGCAGAGTAGGAAGCTGTAGTGTAGAGATCAGTCCCTTCACTAAAGCAACCACTGAGCTAGAAAGAGTGATTGGAATCAGCTCTTTTGGAATTCTGAAACATGACCAGGAACTCCTAACAACCAGAGACATACTTAAACAATGAAGAGAGAGGCTGCTGATCTTCACGAGTGAGTGGCATGTGCCAACCAGCCAACACTCCCCCATTCCTGAGCCTGAGTTCCCGAAGCAGCTGGCTGATGCCAGGGCGAGCAGCGGAACTCTGTCCTCCAAAACCATGGGTTCTGCACCTTGGTGGGTCCAATGGGTCTCTGAGGACCAGCCCGGATGCTTGCCTTGGTTTATTTGGCCCTCTCAGCAACAGTGGCTTCCCCAGGGACATCCTTCAGAAGATTTTATCAAAGAGACAAAATCCTCCTCTGCCCCACCCCATTTAAAGCCATCTATTTAAGGAAATCCATGTTAGGTGGCTGGCTGACTGCAGAGATAATGAAACAAATTTCAGTGACCACACAAGCACAAGGAAGAAACACTTTGCAAAAATAGTTTGGAAAAGTAACAAAAGGGGAGCTTCAGACCTCAACAAGCAAAACCCAGCAATCCCAGGTGACTGAGAGAATCACATTTTGAGGGTCATTACATTGTAACACTTAAAATGCAACGTTCTCAACAAAAAACCACAAAATATACAAAGAAACAGGAAATAGGAAGCTTAGACCATTCACAGGAAAAAAACAGCAAAGAAAATCAGCAAACAATACAATAACTGAACACCATCATCGACCAATGGAACCTAACTGACATTTACAGGAGACTTCACACACTAACAGCAGGGTACACATTCTTTGCCCATGGAAGATTCAGCAAGATTTACCAGAACCTGGGTCATAAAACAAATGTTTTTCTGAGATGGAGTCTCTTTCTGTCGCCCAGGCTGGAGTGCAGAGGTGCAATCGGCTTACTGCAACCTCCGCCTCCTGGGTTCAAGCAATTTTCCTGCCTCAGCTTCCAAGTAGCTGGGATTACAGGCATGCACCACCACGCCTGGCTAATTTTTGTGTTTTTCAGACAGGGTTTTGCCATGTTGGCCAGGCTGGTCTCAAACTCCTGACCTCAGGTGATCTACCTGCCTCGGCCTCCCAAAGTGATGGGATTACAGGTGTGAGCCACCATGCCCGGCCAAAACAAATCTTAAGAAATGTAAAATAACTGAAATCATACAAAATACGTTCTGTGACTGTAAAATAATTAAACTAAATCAATTTTAAAAAGAAACCAGAAAATCTCTAAACACATGGAAATTAAATACACTTCTAAATAATTCATGGGTCAAAGAGTGAGTCGCAAGGGAAACTGGAAAACATATTGAATTATGTAAAAGTGAAAATATAACATGTTGACTGGTATCAGCAAAAATGGCAGAGTAGGTATCTCCAAGTCCCCATCCCCCCACAGAAACATTGATAAACCAAGCAAAACTGTCTGAATCAACTTCATGAGAACTGTAGAAAAATAATCAAAGGTTTACAATAACCAGATCATCTGATGTGGCTCTTTGTCCCCAAGCACATCTCATCCTGAATTGTAATCCCCAGGGGTCAAGGAGGGACCTGGTGGAAGGTGACTGGATCACGGGCGCGGTTTGCCCTATGCTGTTCTCGTGATAGTGAGGGAGTTCTCACGAGATCTGATGGTTTTTAAGTGGCAGTTTCCCCTGCACTCTCCCCTCTCTCCTGCCAGCCAGTGAAGAGGGTACTTGCTTCTTGTTAGCTTTCCACCATGATTGTAAGTCTCCTGAGGCCTCCCCAGCCAAGTGGAACTGTGAGTCAATTAAACCTCCTTTCTTTATAAATTACCCAGGCTCAGGCAGTTCTTTCCAGCAGTGTGAAAACTGACTAATACTCCAAATGAACACTGAATCAAGAAAAAAGCAACTTCAAAATGGTAGGAAAACTGGGTTATTTTACTTGCCCTTGCCCCACAACCTTCCATGGTTCAGTGGGAACCTTGAAGATGGCAGCCCACATTCCCAGTGTGGTTTCTGGTATTGAAGGCAGCAGAGCAGACCTTATTCTCAAAGCATTTTGTTTTCCCGTTCTCAGCTGCCTGAGGGCTGCCAAAAGAACTGATACAGGGCAGCTGCCTTTGTTTCACCTAACCCAGAACTCACACAGGGCAGAAAAGTGGCTACACAGAGGGTATTCCTTGAAAACACTGTAAATCAAATGCATACCCTGCTGATGCCTAGGCAAAAGATTACAGTTGAGGCAAACTATAGGTGTGCTGACAGCATGGGAGAAGAAGCTGTGGAGAGTTTCTATGGGAAATTTGGGTACTGAAATTCAGACCTGCCCTTGTGTACTATGGAATTTCAGTAGCCATGCACATGCTGAGTGCAGAGCACATTCTCAGAATAGACCTGAGAAAGGATGCTGAGCTTTCATCTGTGGCTCCTCTCCATCCTCCCTGCAGGCAGGGAGTAAAGCCTAGGGCAAAGCTGTACACAGACTGGGCCGGGTGCGGTGGCTCACGCCTGTAATCCCAGCACTTTGGGAGGCTGAGGCGGGTAGATCACTTGAGGCCAGGAGTTTGAGACCAGCCTGGCCAACATAGTGAAACCCCGTCTCTACTAAAAAATACAAAAGTAAGCCGGGTGTGGTGGAAAATTAGCCAGGTGTGGTGACACAAGCCTGTAATCCCTGCTACTCAGGATGCTCAGGCAGAGAATCACTTGAACCTGGGAGGCAGAGGCTGCAGTGAGCCAAGATCGTGCCATTGTACTTCAGCCTAGGCGACAGGGCAAGACTCCACCTCAAAAAAATAAATAAAAAGTTGTACACAGACTGGCTAAGCCCTGAAGGACTGCTCCAGTGCCCCAGCACAGTGGCAATCCACAAAGATGGAAAGAGCTGGGTTTTTCTTTTTTTTTTTTTTTTTTTTACCTTTGGCATCTGGCATTCAAGGAAATCTCTGTTAAAACACTAGTTGAACACAAGCTAACGGCAGAGAGACTTTCAGAGACCGCACATGTAAAAGAAGACACACTTTGCAAAAATGTTTAGAAAGTCACTGAACAAACAGCTACAGCCCACAGCAAAAGCAAACCCAGGGGTGGTGGGGAGGATAAAATAATTTCCAGTTACCCCATTATAATACTCAAAATGTCTGATTTCCTTTTTTGAGACGGAGTCTTAGCTCTGTCATCCAGACTGGAGGGCAGTGGTGCGATCTCGGCTCACTGCAACCTCCACCTCCCTGGTTCAAGCAATTCCCCTGCCTCAACCTCCTGAGTAGCTGGGATTATAGGGGCATGCTACCATGTCTGACTGTTTTTGGATTTTTAGTAGAGATGGGATTTCACCATGTTGGCCAGACTGGTCCTGAACTTCTGACCTCAGGCAATCTGCCCACCTCGGCCTCCCAAAAGTGCTGGGATTACAGGCGTGAGGCACCACGCCTGGACTCTTTTTTTCTTTTTAATTTTACTTTTTCTTTTTTTGGGGAAAAGGGATTAGAGGTGTGAGTCACTGTGCCTGACTCCAATTTTCAAAAAAAAATTACAAACCATGCAGTGACATTAAGAGAGTACAGCCCATTCACAAAAGAAACAAATTGTCTTTAAGGAAGCACAGACATTGAAAGTACTAGACAAAGACTTTAAATCAGCTGTCTGAAATCTGCTCAAAAAGCTAAAAGAAACGATGAATAAAGAGTTAAAGGATACAAGGAGAACAATGTCTCAACAAATGCAGAACATCAATAAAGAAATAGAAAATATTATAGACAGGTGAGGGGCAGTGGCTCATGCCTGTAATTCCAGCACTTTGGGAGGCTGAGGCGGGCAGATCACCTGGGGCCAGGATTTGAAGACCAGCCTCAGCAACATGGCGAAACCCCCTCTCTACAAAAAATGCAAACAATCAGCCAAGTGTGGTGGCATGCGCCTGTAGTCCCAGCCACTTGGGAGGCTGAGGTGGGAGAATTGCCTGAGCATGAGAAGTCAAGGCTGCAGTGAGCCAAGATTGCACCACTGCACTCCAGCCTGGGTGACAGAGTGAGACCCTGTCTCAATAAAAGAATTTATTATAGACAAACTAAAGCTTAGAGAAAAAAAGAAAGGAAAAAAATAGAAATTATTGAAAGGAATCAAAGTCTGAAGCTGAAAAGTATACAAAAATTAGCCAGGCATGGTGGCGGGCACCTGTAATCCCAGCTACTCGAGAGGCTGAGACAGGAGAATTGCTTGAACCCAGGAGACAGAGGTTGCAGTGAGCCAAGATCGCACCATTGCACTCCAGTCTGGGTGACAAGAACGAAACTCCATCTCAAAAAAAAAAAAAAAAAAAAAAAAAAGTATAGAAATGGAAATGAAAAATTCACCAGACTATTTCGAATTCATTAGAGCAGATGGAAGAGAGAGTCATTGAACACATGAAGACAGGTAGATGAAACTATCCTGTCTACAGTTCTTTTTTTTTTTTTTGGATGGAGTTTCACTCTTGTTGTCTAAGCTGGGGTGCAATGGCGTGATCTCAGCTCATTGAAACCTCTGCCTACCGGGTTCAAGCAATTCTCCTGCCTCAGCCTCCCAAGTAGCTGGGATTACAGGCATGCGCCACCATGCCCGGCTATTTTTGTATTTTTAGTAGAGATTGGGGTTTCACCATGTTGGCCAGACTGGTCTTGAACTCCTGACCTCAGGTGATCTGCTCGCCTTGGCCTCCCAAAGTGCTGGGATTATAAGCGTGAGCCACCGTGCCCAGCCTGAATTGTAACACTTTAAAATGGTATGTGGACTGGGTGTGGTGGCTCATGCCTATAATCCCAGCACCTTGGGAGGCTGAGGTAGGAGGATCGCTTGAGACCTGGAGTTCAAGACCAGTCTGGCAACACAGTGAGATCCCATCTCTACAAAAAAAAAAATAAAAAAGTAGCCTGAGTCCGGCCTGGCACAGTGGCTCACACCTGTAATCCCAGCACTTTGGGAGGCTGAGGCGGGTGGATCATGCGGTCAGGAGTTCGAGACCAGCCTGGCCAAGATGGTGAAACCCCGTCTCTACTGAAAAGACAAAAATTAGCCGGGCATGGTGGCAGGCACTTGTAATCCCAGCTACTCTGGAGGCTGAGGCAGGAGAGTCGCTTGTACCTGGGAGGTGGAGGTTGCAGTGAGCCAAGATTGTGCCACTGCACTCCAGCCTGGGCCACAGAGCAAGACTCCATCTCAAAAAAAAAAAAAAAAATTAGCCTGAGTCCTAGCTACTCAGGATGAGGTGGGAGGATTGCTTGAGCCCAGGAATTCAAGGCTGCAGAGAGCTATACTCACACCACTGCACTCCAGCACAGGCAACAGAGTGACACCCTGTCTCAAAAAAAAAAAAAAAAAAAAAAAAAAAAAGGTGTGTGACTTTCGCCTCAATTAAAAAAAATAAAACATATAAAAACCTGTCAGCTGGGCATGGTGGTGCATACCTGTAGTCCCAAGTATTTGAGAGACTGTGGTGGGAGGATTCCTGGAGCCCAGGAGTTTGAGGCTTCAATGAGCTGTGATTGCACCACTGCAGTCTGACCTGGGCAACAAAGGGAGATGCCATCTCTTAAAAAAAAAACGTCAAATCCTGTGAGATGCAGCCAAAGTAAACTTTAGGTAAATTCATAGCCCTAAATGCTTAGAGAAGAAGCAATAAAAAAAAAAAAATCTTAAGAATCTGAGCTTCCATTTTAAGAAACTAGAAAAAGAAGAGCAAAATAACCACAAAACAAGCAGAAAGAAGGAAATAGAATTAATATAAGAGCAGGCTGGGAGGGGTGGCTCACACCTCTAGTCCCAACACTTTGGGAGGCTGAGGTGGGCAGATCTCTTAAGGCCAGGAGTTCAACACCAGCCTGGCCAACATGGTAAACCTCCATCTCTACTAAAAATACAAAAATTAGCCAGGCGTGATTGCATGTGCCTATAATCCTAGTTACTCCCAAGCTGAGGTAGGAGAATCGCTTGAACCCAGGAGGTGGAGGTTGCAGTGAGCCAAGATTGTGCCACTGCACTCCAGCCTGGGTGACAGAGCAAGACTCCATCTCAAAAAATAAAAATTAAAAAAAAAAAAATGTAAGAGTAGAAATCAGTGAAGTTAAAATAGAAACATTTAAAAAATCAATTAAACCAAATGTTGGCTCTTCGAAAAGATCAATTAAAAATAAGAAATCCCTAGCCAGACTAATCAAAGAAAAAAAAAAAGCAAAGAGAGAGGATGCAAATGACCAGCATCAGGAATAAAAGGGAGGCTATTAGCACAGACCCTGCATGCATCAAAATGAGATTAAATATTACAAACAAATCTAGGCACCCAGCTCTCACCCTCATTTTTTATAAGTGGGAAAAAGACCCAGAGATCAAATGACTCACTCAAAATGACAGTCAATGACAGAGCAGGGCCTGGGGCCTTAGGACTGATTATCCAAATGCCATCAGAGAACGAGCTAAATCAGAAGCACCTAGTGAGCTTTTAAAAAATAATTCTCCAGGGCACAACCCCTGAGATTCTGATTCAGTAGGTTTTGGAGTGATGCCTAATATTCTGAAAATGCCAAAAGCTCAACAGATGGTTCTCTTGCTTGGCCAGTTTTAGAAAATGCAGTGTCCCATATTACCACCTTCACTCATATGACGACTGTAGAGAAAATCAAAAAATCTGGTGCTCAAGTATGTTTAAATTTAATGTAAAGCACCGGGCGTGGTGGCTCACGCCTGTAATCCCAGCACTTTGGGAGGCTGAGGTGGGTGGATCACGAGGTCAGGAGATTGAGACCATCCTGGCTAACACAGTGAAACCCCATCACTACTAAAAATACAAAAAAATTAGCCGGGTGTGGTGGCACATGCCTGTAGTCCCAGCTACTTGGGAGGCTGAGGCAGGAGAATGGTGTGAACCCTGGAGGCGGAGCTTGCAGTGAGCCGAGAATGCGCCACTGCACTCCAGCCTGGGCGACAGAGCGAGATTCTGTCTCAAAAAAAAAAAAAAAAAAAAAAAATGTAATATAAAGCAGGCGGAATAAATCCTGTGATGGTGACCGGGTGAATGCTCTTGAGAGAAATCATAATCTGGAATACCCGTCTCTGACATTTCCCATGGCAGTTAACATTTTTCCACTTTATTCAAATACACATTTATTTGTCAAATATTTGCTGGGTACCACTCTGTGCTAGGTATTGGGGATACAGTCATTTGCATCACAAAGTCCCTGCTCAGTGTAATAAGCACTCATTGAGCACCTACCTATGTGTGAGGAACTGTGCTAGGGGGTATCAGAAACACACAAAATAGGCCGGGCACTGTGGCTCATGCCTGTAATCCCAGCACTTTGGGAGGCCAAGGTGGGCAGATCACCTGGGGTCAGGAGTTTGAGACCAGCCTGACCAACATGATGAAACCCCATCACTACTAAAAATACAAAAAAATTAGCCAGGTGTAGTGGTGGGTGCCTATAATCCCCAGCTACTCAGGGGCTGAGGCCGGAGAATTGCTTGAACTGAGGAGGCAGAAGTTGCAGTGAGCTGAGATGGCACAACTGCACCCCAACCTGGGCAACAGAGACTCTGTCTAAAAAAAAAAAAAAAAAAAAAAAAAAGAAAAGAAAAGAAAAAGAAACGCAGAAACACAAAATAAAACTGAGCCTCTCCTCTCAAAGAACTCACCCGCTCCAGTCGGAGACAAACTATACAACGCCTTCCCAGGTATCTCATCCCGTTTCTTAAGTCCAAATTCTGTTTCCACATTGAAGACTCCAGCTTTTTTTTTTTTTTTTTTTTTTTTGAGACAGTCTCACTCTGTCGCCCAGGCTGGAGTGCAGTGGTGCAATCTCGGCTCACTGCAACCTCTACCTCCCAGGTTCAAGTGATTCTCCTGCCTCAGCCTCCTGAGTACCTGGGATTACATGCGCCCACCACCACACCTGGCTAATTTTTTGTATTTTTAGTAGAGACAGGATTTCGCCATGTTGGCCAGGCTGGGCTCACACTCCCAACCTCAGGTGATCCACCCACCTTGGCCTCCCAAAGTGTTGGGATTACAGGCGTGAGCCAACACGCCTGACTGACTCCAGCATTTTTATCTTCATCTCAATCTCATCCCTAAACTCAAAACCAACATATGCAACTGCCTACTTGATGTTTCCATTTGGATATCTAACTAACACCTCAAACTTAACATGTGCAAAGCCAGGTGCAGTGGGTCATGCCTATAATCCCAACACTTTGGGAGGTCAAGACGGGAGGATCGCTTGAGCCCAGGAGTTTGAGACCAGCCTGGGCAACTTAGTGAGACCCCATCTGTCTATTTATTTTTAAAACATTAAAAATTGTTTTCAAAGAAAAAAATAAACCTAACACGTGCAAGACCAAATTCCCAATTTCGCACTCTCCCACCAAACTGGTTTCTCCCGCAGTCTTTGCCAACTCAATAAATAACAACTCCATTCTTAAAGTTCACGTAACAAAAATCCTGGAGTCATCCTTGACTCCTCTCTTTCTCTTACACACTGCATGCAAAGCATCTGCAAATCTTTTGGGTCTACTTTCTTTTTTTTTTTTTTCCTAGACAGGGTCTTGCTCTGTTGCCCAGGCTGGAGTGCAGTGGCGTGATCACAGCTCACTGCAGCCATGACTTCCCAGGCTAAAGCGATTCTCTCACCTCAGCCTCCCAAGTCCCTGGGACTACAGGCATGCACTACCAAACCCAGCTAATTTTTTATTTTTTTAGAGACAGGGTCTTGCTATGTTTCCCAGGCTAGCCTTGATCTCCTGGGCTCAAGTGATCCTCCTGCCTTGGCCTCCCAAAGTGCTCAGATTACAGGCCTGAGCCACCACACCTGGCCAGGTCTACTTTCAAAATACATCCTGCATGTGACCACTTCTATCTGCAGCTGCCTCTCTCATCCATACCTCTGGCTTGTTTTGCCTGGAGTGCTGCCTTATAACCAGGACCCCTGTTTTGACCAGAGTTCTCCTATGAACTGTTCTCAACAGAGAGGCCAGAGAGATCTTTTTAAAAACACTAAGTTGAATCTCATTAGTCCTCTGTTCAACCTGCAAAGATTCCCATTTTATTCAGAGTAAAAGACAATCCTTATGATCCTCACCAAGGCATGACATGACTCCCTACTCCCTCTTGGATCTCAACTCTCTCCACCTTTGCCTTTGCTGAACTTCGCTCCAGCCTCATTGGCTTTTTCTGCTGTTCTAAACATGCCATGCATACTCCTCTCTGGAATGCTGTTCCTTTGGAGGTAAGCATGGCTGTCTCTCCACCTCCTTCAGCTCTCTAAGTATCTTATCAGTGAGTCCTTTCTCAACCACCTTATAAAAAGTAATCACTTCCCACTCCCAAGGAACTTTTTTCCCCTCACAGTAATTGTCACCATTTGACACATATATTTTATTTGGTTTATTATTGTTACTTTTTGAGACAGTGTCTTGCTCTGTTGCCCAGGATGGAGTACAGTGGCACAATCTCGGCTCACTGCAACCTTAGCCTCCCAGGTTCAAGCTATTTCTGGCTAATTTTTGTATTTTTAGTAGAGACGGGGTTTCGCCATGTTACCCAGGCTGGTCTCGAACTCCTGAACTCGGCCTCCCAAAGTGCTAGGGTTACAGGCATGAGCCACCACGCCCGGCCTTGACACATATATTTTAGTGTCCATCTTTTCCTGCAATAAAGTGTTAAATTATTAGGGTAACGTGTTCAGTTCACTATCTTATTCCCAGTGCTTAACAGTGGCAGGCAAATAGTTAATGATCAGTACATATTTTGTGAATGAATGTGACATGTTCTAATAGAAGTAGGAAATGAACACTTCGTGGGATGGGTAAACAGTGGGAGTCATGGCCAAAAATAGTTTAGAATGGATCATTTACTGCAATGGTTTTCAAGCACTTTTCTTTCTTTCTTTTTTTACAGAATCAGGGTATCACTCTTGCCCAGGCTGGAGTGCAGTGGTACAATCATAGCTCACTGCAACCTGAGAACTCTGAGCTCAAGCAATCCTCTTTTACCTCAACATTCCCAAGTAGCTGGGACTACAGGTGCGTGCCACCATGCCCAGCTAATTTAACTTTTTTTCTTTTTTTTGAGAAAGGGTCTCACCCTGTCACCCAGGCTGGAGTGCAGTGGCACTATCACAGCCCACTGCAGCCTTGACCTCCTGGGCTCAAGCAATCCTCCCACCTCAGCCTCCTGAATAGCTGGGACTACAAGTGCATGCCACCACTTCTGGCTAATTTTTAAATTTTTTTATAGAAATGGGGTCTCCCTATGTTGCCCAGGCTGACCTCGAACCCCTGGGCTCAAGTGATCTGCCCACCTCGACCACTCAAAGTGCTGGGATTACAGGCATAAGCCACCATGCCCAGTCCAGCATATATATATATTTTTAAACTGGAACTCATTTTTTTAAATGGAAGCACAATCTGAAAAAGGAATAAAACCCAAAGATTGACAACGGGCTAGAAAACCAGAAATCCCCAATTCAGCTTCTTCCCCTCACTCTCCCCTTTGAACTCATGATGCGTCTCAAAGCCCAGCTTGAAAGCCACAGATCTAGAGCTTGGATGGCATTCTAATGAGCTAAGCATCTAAACCGACCACAGTTGGGAGCCACTGAAAGTTTTTGAGCAGGTAAATGATAGATTGATTGATTTATTCATTTTGAGACAGTCTTGCTCTGTCACCCAGGCTGGAGTATAGTGGCGCGATCTCAGCTCACTGCAGCCTCTGCCTCCTGGGTTCAAGTGATTCTCCTGCCTCAGCCTCTGGAGTAGCTGGGATTACAGGCGTGCACCACCACGCCTGGCTAATTTTTCTATATTTAGTAGAGACGGGTTGGCCAGGGTGGTCTCGAACTCCTGACCTCAGGTAATCCACCTGCCTCCACCTCCCACAGTGCTGGGATTACAGGTGTGAGCCACCATGCCCGGCCGAGACCTTGACTCTTAAAAAACACAAAACGGGGGCAGGGGGAGGGGGCAGCACAGAACAGAAACAGAACTTTGGGGAACAGAGACACGGCGCCGAGTTGAGCAGAAACCAGGGCAGAAGCACCAGGCAGAGATGGAAGACTGACTTTCATCGAAGGAGTGGGATCCTGGGACCCAAGGGAGTGGGAGCACAGTAAGTAGGGATGAAGATGGCGAAAGCACGACCTGCCAGAGCGCTTGCTGACGAGCCACACTCCACACCTACTACGCGCTGTCACGTGCTTGACAAAACCCGACACACAACGCACAACGCTAAAGTTTATTGCTCAACAATGCAAATACAGTTAACATTACCGTACACTTAAAAATGGTTAAGATGGTAAATTGTATGTTACGTTTTTGTTTTTTGAGATGGAGTCTGGCTCTGTCGCCCAGGCTGGAGTGCAGCGGTGTGATCTCCGCTCACTGCAAGCTCTGCCTCCCGGGTTCAGGCCATTCTCTTGCCTCAGCCTCCCAAGTAGCTGGGACTGCAGGCGCCCACCACCACGCCCGGCTAATTTTTTTGTATTTTTAGTAGAGACGGGGTTTCACCGTGTTTGCCAGGATGGTCTCGATCTCCTGACCTCGTGATCCGCCCACCTCGGCCTCCCAAAGTGCTGGGATTACAGGCATGAGCCACCGTGCCTGGCCATGTTACGTGTTTTTTTAACCACAATTTAAAATTAAATGAAGGGGGCTGGGTGCAGTGGCTCACGCCTGTAATCCCAGCACTTTGGGAAGCTGAGGTGGGCAGATCACAAGGCCAAGAGTTCAACAGAGAACTCCTGGCCAACAGACTGAAACCCCGTCTCTACTAAAAATACAAAAATAGGCCGGGCGTGATGGTGCATGCCTGTAATCTCAGCTACTCGGGAGGCTGAGGCACAAGAATCACTTGAATCTGGGAGGCAGAGGTTATCGTGAGCCAAGATTGTGCCACTGCACTCCAGCCTCAGTGACAGAGTGAGACTCTGTCTCAATAAATAAGTAGGCTGGGCACAGTGGCTCAGGCCTGTAATCCTAGCACTTTGAGAGGCTGAGGCAGGTGGATCACAAGGTCAGGAGTTAGAGACCAGCCTGACCAATATGGTGAAACCCCGTCTCTACTAAAAATATAAAAATTAGCCAGGCATGGTGGTGTGCACCTGTAATCCCAGCTACTTTGGGAGGCTGAGGCAGGAGAATCGCTTGAACCTGGGAGACAGAGGCTGCAGTGAGCCGAGATCATGCCATTGCACTCCAGCCTGGGTGACAAGAGCGAGACACTATCTCAAAATGGAAGGAAGGAAGGGAGGGAGGGAGGAAGGGAGGGAGGGAAGAGAGGAAGAAAGGAAGGGAAAATATGTATTATCTCAGCAAGTAAAATGCAGATGAAGGAAAAGGACAATGATCATTTGAATGGAAGATGGATCCACTGTAATCCAGGTATGGGAGAATACTGAACACGAATGTCAAAAGAAACAGAATGTGCTGACGATCTGCAAGGCATTTCACAGAAGACAAAGAACACAAACCATGGAGAGAAGACTAGCACAATCAAATAGTGGGAGGTGAGGAAGGTAGACAGAATTCATGATTTTGGAATCTGCACAGTTTATCATCAGACATTCTGAGAAAGAAGGAAGTGAACTATCTCACTGGTACTGCTATATTGTCAAGTAAAATATTCAACTAGGTTAAAAGTGTCAGACATATCAATTTGGAGGCAAGCTGCAAAAATACACAGGAAAAAAGGTCTTAGAAGTTGAGATTAGATAAACTCTTTTACGGGATACAAAGAAAACCAAAAAAGTGGAAAATGGGTTCTAAGAGGACACTCCTGAAAAGGCAAGAAAAGGAACCAACATTCACTTATGAAATTCACACTTCCTGAATGTCTACTATGGACAGAGCATGATTCCAGTTATGGGGAAGGGGAAATGAACACACAGACAGGTCACAAATGAGCATTGGGGAAAGAGGGGAAAGCTGAGGGAGCGCTACATCATCACATCAACTGAGCATGGACTTGGGGAAATAAGGTACACCACAAGCTGTGACTCAATTCACAAGCACAGGTGGAGGACGAGGTTTTGGTATCTGAATGCCTAAAGAAATAAATAAAATCGAGGGCAGAAAATAAGTCCAAGGTTTTTTTTTGTTTGTTTGTTTGTTTGTTTTTTTGTTTTTTTTGAGACGGAGTCTCGCTCTGTCGCCCAGGCTGGAGTGCAGTGGCGGGATCTCGGCTCACTGCAAGCTCCGCCTCCCGTGTTCACGCCATTCTCCTGCCTCAGCCTCCCAAGTAGCTGGGACTACAGGCGCCCGCCACTACGTCCGGCTAATTTTTTGTATTTTTAGTAGAGACGGGGTTTCACCGTTTTAGCCGGGATGGTCTCGATCTCCTGACCTTGTGATCCGCCCGCCTCGGCCTCCTAAAGTGCTGGGATTACAGGCGTTAGCCACCGCGCCCGGCCAAGTCCAAGGTATTTTTAAAGCAAGGAAGGAAAGAAAATGGAAGATAAAAAGAATGAACATAAAAGTCTCAAGTTAATTTTTATGTCAGACTTCTGAATGCCCCAAAATGAAACAATTCTGTAAGGCCGGGAGCAGTGGCTCAGGACTGTAATCTCAGCACTTGGGGAGGCTGAGGTGGGTGGATCACTTGAGGCCAGGAGTTCAAGACCAGCATGGCCAACATGGTGAAACCCTGTCTCTACTAAAAATACAAAAATTAGCCAGGCTTGGTGGCATGTGCCTGAAATCCCAGCTACTCAGGAGGCTGAGGAAGGAGAATCGCTTGAACCTGGGAGGTGATGGTTGCAGTGAGCTGAGATCATACCAGTGCACATCAGCCTGGGTGACAGAACAAGACTCCGTCTCCAAAAACCAAACAAAAAAACAAACAGCCCACAACAATTCTCTAATGGCGAGGGAGTAAATAAGTGACCGATAATGCTGGAGGAAGAGGAAGTGAATGGGTCCCCAGTATAGGTTAGAATGAAAAAATCCCTACCAATGTAAATCAAATATAAAATAAACAAAAGAGTTCATGTATGTGTGCGGGAAGGAAAGTGATATTTGGGGGTTGGGAGGTGTTACTGAGGGTACCGAATACATATAAACAACTCTTTAGTCACTCCCAAAGGTCTGGGATGAGCATTTTTTAACATTTGATACTCTACTAACTTACCAGGACTATGTTGACATGGAAATTCACCTCCCGTTATCCACAGCTCCTCTCCCTGCTCCAACTTAATGATGACGTTTGGCTTGGTGATATCATATCTTGTTAATGGGAAAAGAAGAAGGACTTGGGCAAGTTGCTCGGCTTCAGAATCTCCGAAGTACAAGATGTTGCCACCTCATAAGCTGCATAACAGAAATGCTCCATTTTTTACCTTATCAAAGTTAGAACCTTTCAATGAAGAATAATATAAACACTGCAGCTAGTGCCCACAAGGAATTAAATGGTGTTGCCACTTATTTCTTCAAACTCAAGCATAAAACCCCATTCAACTGAGAGCATTCAGAAAGCAAGCTATCCTCACCCAAGGAAACTAGATGGCTGTAGTTCTCCAACATCACATCCCCGTATGTTATCTTCTCATCAGGGTCCAGTTGCCGCCACTCCTCCTGGGTGAAATCCACAGCCACATCTTTGAATGACACTGGCCCCTGTAATGGCAACATGATCAGAATTGGGAGATATGGAAAAGGGATAGGGGGATAACATTTTACAAAGCTCACTGGTGAAGTTAACCATGAACATTGTATACCTTATTTTATGTTACAGATTATGGAAGGGAAATCATATTGGAAACACATATCCTTTGGGGTCCTTTATATATATACAAAAATAAAAAGCCAAAACACAACTGAGCTCCTATTTTGCAACTGAACTGAGTTTTGGGGATATGAGATGAGTGAAACACCATGCCTGCTCTCAGAAAGCAGACAACCTAATAAGGAGATAAACATGTAAACAAACACAAGCATTTTACTTCTTGTCACTTCTTTTAGTCTTCTTTGCTGCCAGGCCCTCCCCTTCTCCGGGACCTCTTCATGTTGGAGTGCCCACCACTCAGTTCCTGGTCTTCTTCTTCCTAACTCACTGCTCTGGGGCTCTCACCTAGTTTCAGCTCCTTGTTCTTTTGGCTCTTTTATTCTCATAGCCAGTGGCCTCTGGCTATCTGCATGACTGATTTTATCTCAAACATCTCAATCTCACAGCAATAAATATTCGTTAAATGAATGAATGCCCAAAGCTGTTATTAGAGTAATGCAGACAAGGTGCAGAATGATTTAACAAAAGAGGATCAAATTATTTTAACTTTATGCCATCAGATTAGGCTTCACAGACTCAGTTAACTTGAAGTCCTTAAAGATGAATTGTGTATTCTATGGGATGAAGGGGAGGAAGAATATGATGAGGTGTAAAAGTACCAATGGCAAACATGAAGCAGCTTCAATTTTTAAGAGGTTGGGGCTGGGCATGGTGGCTCATGCCTATAATCCTAGCACTTTGGGAGGACGAGATGGGAAGATCGTTTGAGCTCAGGAGTTCGAGACCAGGTTGGGCAACATAGTAAGAACCTTATCTCTGCTAAAAATAAAATTTTTTTAAAAAATTGGCTGGGCATCATGGCACATGCCTGTAGTTCCAGCTACTTGGGAGGCTAAGGCAGGAGGATGGCTTGAGCCTGGGAGGTCAAGGCTACAGTGAGCTGTGAATGCAACACTGCACTCCAGCCTAGGCAACAGAGCGAGACCTTGTCTCAAAAAAAAAAAAAAAAGAAAAATGCAAAGCTCCTGGGCTCCAGCAATCCACCTGCCTTGGCCTCCCAAAGTATTGGGATTACAGGCTTGAGCCAGCATGCCCTGCCCAAACTTGCAGTTTAGAAAAAGGAAGTGCCCAGTAAGCATGTTGCATTATCCTGTTATTTATAAAGAACATATCAACAAGGGGTTCAAACCCAGTGATACAGCTAGGACCATGTAGATCCCAAGAGATAGCAGAGGCAGAGCTGCTAGGCTGGTGGGCTGAGAAACTAAAGCAGAACATCCAAGCTTATCCACAGGCAGGCCAAAGGAGCTGATAAAATCACCGAGAGAGAGTAATAACTTTCTGGGTTAACTTAGTCCAGAAGGCAAGGAGGTGGTGGGGGTTAGAAGACTGATCGACCAATAAATAACATAAAATTACATGTCAATACCACTTACATCAATACAAATACCCAAAATGAAACATAACCAAACAAAATCCAGTACCAGATTAAAAACATAATATACAACAGACAAATAGGACTTATTCCAACAATATAGACTAGTTTAATATTTGGAAATCTATTAATATGATAAGCCACTATAACACAGCAAAGAAGAAAAATCTTGTATCCATGAAGATACTTGAAAAAGCTTGACAGAAAAAGCTGATTTAAAAAAACAAACTAAAGAAAATAGAAACTGATGGATACTTCATTAACATCAATATTATATACACAAATATAAATATTACACCCTAATATGCCATAGTACGTATGATATGTGACATATGTATTTCAATTACACACAAGCACATATATACAGTTTGCGTGTATACACACACACACACACACACACACTCTTATGCCTCAGTCTTCTCGGTCCGAAAGTCAGGATTTTACTTAACAGGGAAAAACTACATATCTTCCCACTAAGATCAAGAACAAGGTATTAATAAAATGCTCATTATCTACAATTAGAGAAGAGAAAACAATTAGAGGAATATAACTAAGAAAAAGTAAAAGTGCTTGGGCACGGTGGCTCACGCCTGTAATCCCAACACTTTAGAAGGCCGAGGCGGGCAGATCACCTGAGGTCAGGAGTTCAAGACCAGCCTGGTCAACATGGTGAAACCCTATCTCTACTAAAAATCCAAAAACAACAACAAAATTAGTTGTAGTATTAAGGTCAACTTAATAATACAGAGATACCAGTTTCCCTAAATTACTTTATAAATATGCAATCCCAATAAAAATACCAAAAAGCTTTTTCCTGGAACTAGATAAGCTGACACTACAGTTCATATGAGGTGGAAGAAAATCAAAAATAGCTCAGGGAAAAAAAAATTTGGACATGGATAAAACTGGACCCAGGCCAGGTGTGGTGGCTCATGCCTGTAATCCCAGCACTCTGGAAAGCTGAGGCAGAAGGATTGCTTGAGGCCAGGAGCTTGAGACCAGCCTTGGCAACATAGCAAGACCCTGTCTCTACAAAGAAAATAATATATATATTAGAAAAAACATATAGACAGAGACATGAGGACTTCTGCCCTCAGGTGTGATAAATTAACAAGTACTGGATATACCCTCCAACCTGAAACAGCACACACCAAAGAACAACAAAATCAAAAACAGAAAGAAAAATAAAACAAGAACATATACGAAAGCAATGATTTGTTTTTTTGTTTTTGTTTTTGTTTTTTGTTTTTTGAGATGAAGTCTCGCTCTTGTCTTCCAGGCTGGGGTGCAATGGCACAATCTTGGCTCACTGCAACCTCTGTCTCCCGGGTTCCAGCAATTCTTCTGCCTCAGCCTCCCGAGTAGCTGGGATTACAGGCGTGCACCAGCATGCCCGGCTAATTTTTATATTTTTAGTAGAGATGGGGTTTCACCATGTTGGCCAGGCTGGTCTTGAACTCCTGACCTCGTGATCCGCCCACCTTAGCCTTGTTGTTGTTGCTGTGATTACAGGTATGAGCCACCACGCCTGGGCTGAAGCAGTGGTTTTCAAGGCACTGATTATCAGGCAGTAGAGTTATCTATGAGTGATGGGAAATAAACAAGGTGAACCAATCAACTTCTGCCTTGAGCGTTTCCAGGCCATGGAGCAGGGAAGAAGAACCGAGGCAGATGTGAGGAGAAAGAGTTGTGGGATGGGAAAATGGGCAGGAAATTACAACCCATAAGGAAGAAAAGAATCAGTCCATCAAAACTGGCCCAGAATTGACACAGAGTTCACAACCGGCACAGAGCACTGAGAGAGTTCATCGTTCTATTCCAAATGTTCAAAAAAATCAAGACAGGCAAGATGTAAAAAAGACCCACGCTAACCTTCTACAGATAGTACAATATCTGAGATGAAAATTATACTGGAAAAGATGAACAGCATCATGGAAAAAAGAGATTAGTGAATATAAAGACAGCAACAGAAGTTACATAAAATGAAACAGAGAAAGAAGAATTAAAAGCAAATAAAGAGCAACAGTGTGTTGTGGGAAAATTTCAAGTGGCCTAATATACAGGCAACAAGAATCAATGGAGGGGAGGTGGCGGGTACTTGAAGAGATAATGATAAAAATGTTCCCCAAGTGATGACACCATAAACCCAAGATCCAAGAAGTTCAATGATCCCCAAAACAGAAACATGAAAAAAATGATACCATGACATATTGCAATCAAATTGTCCAAAACTAGTGATAAAAAGTTTAAAACAATAAGGGGGGAAGAAAAAAAGACATGTTATATATAGGGGAACAAACATGAGTATGAGATCAGATTTCTCTTAGAAAAAAATGTAAGCAGGAAGACAACAGAGAAACATATTTAAAGCACTGTGGAGAAAAATCCAGCAAAAACACCTTTAAAAGCAAAGACACAATGAAGACATTTGCAGACATATAATAATTCATCATCAACTAGAAGAAATGTTACAGAAAGTCCTTCAGGCAGAAGTAAAATGACAGCAAATAAAAATTTAGATTTACACAAAGGAATGAAGAGTACCAGAAATGGTAACTGTGTATTTTCTCTCATTACTTAAATCTCTTTAAAAGATACCTGGGCCAAGTGTGGTGGCTCACACCTGTAATCCCAGCACTTTGGGCGGCTGAGGCAGATGGGTGACCTGAGGTCAGGAGTTCGAGACCAGCCTGGCCAACATGGCGAAACCTCGTCTCTACTAAAAATACAAAAATTAGCCGGGCGTGATGGTGGGTGTCTGTAATCCCAGCTACCCAGGAGGCTGAGGCAGGAGAATCACTTGAACCCAGGAGGCAGAGGTTGCAGTGGGCCAAGATAGCACCCCTGCACTCCAGCCTGGGGGACAGAGTGAGACTCTGTCTCTAAATAAATAAATAAATAAATAAATAAATAAATAAATACAGTTTAATTAACAACAACGTAATAGATAGTGTGTGGCACTGATACCACCTGTAAAAATAAAATGAACAACGGTGTAAAGACCAAGAGGAGAGAAATGGAAGTGTCCTATTGTAAGCTTCTCTTATTCTAGGAAAAATGGATATTACTTAAGAATAAACTATGACAATTAAAGTTGCATACTATAAATTCTAACTCACTAAAATAACAAAACAGTGTGATAGCTAAAAACCCAACAAAAGACATAAAGTAGAATCATAAAAAATTCTCAACTAATCAAAAGGAAGGAAGACAAACAGAGACATTTTAAAAAGAAACAAAGAAGATGAGACTAAAAGAAAGCAAAGACAACGGACTATAACCTAACTCGTTTTATCAATAATCACATTACATGTAAACGGTTTATACATCCCCAATTATGAGACAGAAATAGACTGATGAAAACAAGCAAGATCCAAATTTTGCTGCCTGTAAGAAATAATACTTTAGATATAAAGATGCAAATAGGTTAAAAGTAAAAGGATGGAATAAGATATACCATGCATGTATTACTCAAAAGAATGCTACATAAATAACAAAGTACATTTCACAGCCTGGAATATTAGCAGGGATAAGGAAGGCCATTTTACAAAGTGGTTAATTAATCAACAGGACGTAATAACCTTGAACATTTATGTATCTAATATAACACATAAAGCAAAAAGTGGTAAAATTGCAAAGAGAAACAGAACCACAACTGCAGCAGATTTCAATCCCCTCTCCCCCACAATTGATACAAGTGGGCACACAATCAACAAGGATATAGTACACCTGAACAACACAACCAACCAACTTGATCTCATTAACATTTATCAATCACTCCACCCAACCAGAGCAGAACAAGCCATCTTCTCAGGCATGCACAGAATTTTCCCAAGACAGATCCTGTTCTGAGCCATAAATTTAAGAGGTTCCATGTAGCATTCCAGACAAAAATTCACAGTCTAAATCTAATCATGAAGAAAGATCAGGGAAACCTAAATTTAAAGACTTCTATAAAATCATTGGCCTGTATTCTTCAAATGTTATAATGGCACTGTGGAACAAATCCGTATTAAACAGACTTAAAAAGCATGAAAACTAAAGGCAATTAACAGTCCTAGACTGAATCTTCTACCAAAAATTAAAAATTGCTATAAAGGAAATTATTGGGAAATTGGCAAAACTGGAAAATGAACTATAGTTTAGATAAAAGTATTAAATCAATGATAAATTTCCTGAATTCAATTACTGTGCTATGGATATTTAATATAATATTCTTGATTTTATGAGCTGTAATCTAAAACTTTATAGGGTAAAGAGGCATGACACGTTATACCCACTCTCAAATAGTTCAAAAAATATATATATATATATAAATATATATATATACACATACGTATATAGGCATATAAATGATTAATGTGGGAAAATGTTAAGAATGAAGTATCTGAACAAAAGGAAGTATCTGGGATTTCTTTGTAAAATCCTTGCAATTTTTCTGAAAATCTGAAATGATTTCAAAATAAAATGCTAAATAGAAAATAATGCTATCAAATATATATGTATATATTTGCTATCAAACATATATTATATGTATATATTTGCTATCATATATATCAAATATATTTCAAAAGGACTCAGAAACCAACTTAAAGGGATTCCGTCTGGCCAAAGATGGAACCACTTAATTTTCAAAAAGAATCACAACTTCTATGTACTGAAATATTTACTATCTGTTTAAACCCATGAGCTCATGATGGTAACAAAACAAAATACCCTCCTGCTTAAAAGCCTACTCAATATTTTAGAAACTGTCTTTCCTGCATGAATTACATAAACAAATAGAGAATAGAAATTTATCTTTAGAAAAGTATTCTAGGCCAGCCGTGGTGGCTCATGCCTATAATCCCAACACTGGGAGGTTAAAGAAGAGGATCACTTGAGCCCAGTTCAAGACCAGCCTGGGCAACATAGAGAAACCTGTCTCTACTAAAAATTAAAAAATCAGCTGGGCATTGTGGCATATGACTATACTCCCAGCTACTTGGGAGGCTGAAGTGGGAGGATCACTTGAGCACAGGAGTTTGAGGCTGCAGTGAGCCATAAACGTGCCAGCCTAGGCGACAGAGTGAGACTCTGTCTCCAAAAAAAGAAAAGAAAAGTATTTTGGCTAGTAAATAAAGAAGAAATGGTAGAATTAGCAGATCACCATTTTGCCTCCCCTAATGAAGGCAAATCACAGCAATAGTAAATCACAGCAATAATCAAGTCAATAGTTCTTAACTTCACAAAAACAAAGAAGGTAACACGTGCCTCCAGAAGTAGACAAATGCCACGTATGGTATAGTTGTGTGAAAAGAACTGAACATAAACCTGATTAGACTTCCAGATCAAACTACCAATTTTACCAAGGCATACAAGATATTTTTAAAAAATGTGCTAAAGGTGAAACAAGGGTAACATAATCCAAACTGAGGATAACCAACCCAGTTTCTTCAAAACAATGAGCACGCAGGAGACATACTATGGGAACTATTAAAAGATTTAACCCAACTGCCACATGTATTAAGAAAGACAGTATTATGGGTTATTCCTAGCCCCTTTTAAAAAGATTCCTTATTGGTCAGGTGTGGTGGCTTACACCTGTAATCCTACCACTTTGGGAGGCTAAAGTGAAAGGACTGCTTGAGGCCAGGAGTTTGAGACCAGCCTGAGCAATACAGTGAGAATACATTTCTAGGCCGGGAGCAGTGGCTCACGCCTATAATCCTAGCACTTTGGGACACCGAGGCGGGCAGACTGCCTGAGCTCAGGAGTTCGACATGCATGACACGGTGAAAGCCAGTCTCTACTAAAATACAAAAAAAATTAGCGAGGTGTGGCAGCGTGCACCTGTAGTCCCAGCTAGGCGGGAGGCTGAGGCAAGAGGATCGTGTGGGCCCGGGAGATTGAGGTTGCAGTGAGTTGTGATCACGTCTCTACACTCCAACCTGGGTGACAGAGCAAGACCCTATCTCAAAAAAAGAAAAAAAGAAACAAAACAAAACAGACTTCACCATTTAAAGACAAACAAATACTTACAGATGAATCTTTTTAAAAGCCAAGAAAAGAGAGACTCCATGGAGAAAATATCAGTTTGGAAGTAACGGATGTCAAAGGCAGACAAAGGGTACTGTGAGGAAGGGGCTAGGAAATGCCCACTGGATTTGACTGCAATTAAATCACTGGTCACCTTTACTGACTGACTTAGCAAAGTGAAAAGGACAAAACGAAAACACGGAGAAGTGAAATGAGAAACAGAAATGAGGAAATCTTCACAAGAGAGTAACTGTTTGTATTGTTTGCTGTGCAACCCGAACAAAAAGACGAACAAATATTTGACGGATGATCACGTCATTCATTCCCCCCATGATCTAGGACTCAACAGTAAAAACAGAATTGTTTACTTGGATCACGATATTTCCGTCCCTGGAAAAATTATATGCACCAAGTTCTCCTTGGGCAGCAGGCCCTCTGCTTACATAAGCACCAAGAATAAGCCATAAGTTACAGTAATTTAATGGTTGTTGTTAGGAAAGCTATCCACAATTATATCAACTTGAATGAAGAAATTTTTCCAAGTCCCAGAAAATCTTTTAAGTCCACAAGTAACAAAACTGGTTTCTCCTTATAATCAATGCAAACGATGTCATGGATGGTGATATGGTTTCGGTGTGTGTCGCCTCCCAAATCTCATGTTCAATTGTAATCCCCAATGTTCCCTCTTCCTCCTGCTCTGGTGATGGAAGATGCACCCACTTTCCCTTCACCTTTCACTTGACTGTAAGTTTCCTGAGGACTCCTCAGCCACGCTTCCTATGATAGAGCCTGCAGACGTGAGCCAATTAAACCTCTTTTCTTTATAAATTACCCAGTCTTGGTTATTTCTCTATAGCAGTGTGAGAATGGACTAATACAGATGGCATTTTCCTTTTGTGATGACTGCCAAGAGTATCAGTCCTAGGTGCGGCTCAATTTCAACAGCCTTAAAATATACTACCCATACATACAAGCTTCACAAATCATTTTTGGTGCTGATCTGCCACACTAACTATATTTTACAGGATAATGTCTATTTCCACATTCCCATTTTAAAGTATGAATCCTGGCTGGGCTCGGTGGCTCATGCCTGTAATCCCAGCACTTTGGGAGGCTGAGGCGGGAGGATCACCTGAGGTCAGGAGTTTGAGACCAACCTGGCCAACATAGTGAAACCCCATCTCTTCTAAAAATACAAAAAATTAGCTGGGCATGGTGGCCCACGCCTGTAATCCCTGCTACTCAGGAGGCTGAGGCAGGAGAATCACTTGAACCCAGGAGGTGGAGGTTGCAGTGAAGCGAGATCATGCCACTGCACTGCAGCCTGGGCAACAGAGCAAGACTCCATCTCAAAAAAAAGAAAAAAAAAAGTATGAATCCTTACAAACCTCTTAAAATGCATCATAAAATAAAGTTGAGGAACATATACACAAGCAGGAAAACTCACCTGCAATGTGTTCATTTTCTGCTGCTCTTGGAAACATGCAGAGACTGTGGCTGATAGACCTAGAGGGGCAGAAGCAGGTCACTGAAGTCATGAGGGCTCCGGCCTGCAAAGGCAGAAATCACCTGCATAAGAACCGCAAAAGAAAGCTCAATAGGCTAACACCCTGTGAACACTCAACCTGCAAACACTCAGAAGGGTCTAAAAGAGTGATACAGGGTTTCACCATGTTGGCCAGGCTGGTCTCAAATTCTGGCCTCAAGTGATCCGCCTGCCTGGGCCAACATGGCAAAACCCCGTCTCTACTTAAAAATAACAAAAAAAATTAGCCAGGCATAGAGTCACATGCCTGTAGTCCCAGCTACTCAGGAGGCTGAGGCACGAGAATCCTTTGAACCTGGGAGGTGGAAGTTGCAGTGAGCCGAGACCACGCTGTTGCATTCCAGACTGGGTGAGAGACACTGTCTCAAAAAAAAAAAAAAAAAAAAAAAGAGTGATAGGGGAAGCATGCGCCTGTAACTCTAAGATAATCAGGTAGTAATTAGATGAGTTAGACTCTCATGGGTAACATGACTCCTTTTACAAATAGTCTGCCATCATCATCAAATACAAGGCGCAAAAAGAAAAAAAATTCCCATTATACGGCTCATGTTTTTTGTGGTTTGTTGGTTGAGACAGGGTCTCAATCTGCCACCCAGGCTGGAGTGCAGTGGTGCATTCACGGCTCTCTGCAGCCTCGACCTCCTGGGCTCCATCCATCCTCCCACTTCAGCCTCCTGAGTAGCTGGGACCACAGATGCATCCCAGCATGCCTGGCGACTTTTGTATTTTTTGTAGTCAGGGTGTCCCCATGTTGTCTAGGCTGGTCTCTAACTCCTGGTCTCAAGGGATACTCTTGCCCTAGCCCCGCAAAATGCTCGGATTACAGGTGTGAGCCACTGCATCCCGCCCGCATTTTCTTATTGTCTCTTTAAACTGCTTAAAATAAAATAAGCCATAGGAATTGAGTATGTGAGCTCTCAGAAATGAAATGAATGTGTATAAAATATGGTTTTGTTTCTAAATTATCTAACTGAACTTGGTTATTGCTGCACCTAATAATCTTCTATTAAGAAAACTAGGATACGGGAGAAAGAACACTGGCCTGGGAGATAAGTCTCCTGGGTTCTACTATGAGCAGCTCTACCCACAAAGCCGGTGACCTGGTCAAGTCACCCACCTAAGGCCCAGTCTCTTCCCCTAGCAACTGAGGCAGCAGCAGAGAATCCCTGCAGACTGTTCCTGCATTACTACGATTCTCCCAGGGCAGGTCTAAGGGGGGGGATCAGCAGACACTTAAGTGAGAGAATAGAAGTGCTGACGGACGTTTAGAGGCGGTCGAAATCTGGAGCACGGAGAGGAGGAGGAAGGACTGTTAGGGGTTAGCGGGGAGTGGAGACGACGTCCGCAGCTGAGGGTGGTGACACCCTCCACGCCTCCGTAAGCCTCGTCCTCCCAGATCTTCCCATGCAGCACCTGTTCGGTGCAGCCGGACCCTGCCCTCAAACCCAACACATGTCTCTCCGGCAAGCAATCGGGACCCTCCCTCTGCCCCACACTCAAAGGTCCCCAACACAAGGTGACTTCACCCAGGCCCTTCTCGCTCCGGGCCCAAAAACCCAAGACTTACCCTCCTGGGGCTCCGCAGCCTCTGCCCCACGGCTCCCGAGAGGCCGGGGCGGGCTGCTGTCGCTGGCGCGCGCGTCTGCTCGCGAGGTCCCCTCCTGTCCACCTCACCAAGGCTGTTCTGCTCCCGAGGGGCCCGGGCCGGGCCTACGGGGCAAATCCAGGCGGGTGTCCTTCTCGGGGCCCAGATCCGCCTCCCTGGGGCTCCCGGCCCCTCTGGCCCCAGCGCCGCCGGCTCCGGGGTTCACGCTCGGGGGTCCCAGCTCGAGCCTCTACCCGGCCCGCGCGAACCCTGGGCCGCACAGCTCCCGCCCGCCTAGGTGCTGGTCCGGGCGGTCAGCATCCAGCCCCGCAGACTCGGTGATTCTCGTCCACTAGAAGCCAAAGCCTGGGAACGAGAGCAAGCGATGACCTGAAGAGGCACAGGAAGCGAGGGCAGTGCGGAGGTGGCGCGCATGTGCGAACACGCACGCAGGGAGAGGTGCACAAGCGCAGGAGTGCACCGGAAGTCCGCCTCCCGGGACACCCACCGCGGGTCCCAGGACAAGTAACGGACTCTATTTCCCAGGAGCCTACGCGCTCCCCCAGTTTTGGGGCCGTCTTAAATGTCTCTACCCTGCCTAAAGGTTAAGAAGCTCCAGGCTATGAGCTTTGGCAGCCCTGAACCCCGGACTGAACTTCACCTTTGTCTTTACTCCCTTTTAGGGTCAAATCCAGGGCTCCGTTACTGGGTCCTGGAGCCCAAGTCCTCTGGGTTAGAACGGAGTTTCCCATAAGGAGAAGGAAAGGAAAGGGTGTATCATGGTCACTGCTCTGAAATGCTGAGAAGTTTCACTCAAATACTGGGACAGGATAAATGCCCAGCGATGCTTTCCAAGGAACAAAAAGAAAATAGAATTTGTAGCTGGGCGCAGTGGCTCAAGCCTGTAATCCCAGCACTTTGGGAGGCCGAGGCGGGCAGATCGCGAGGTCAAGAGATAGAGATCATCCTGGCCAACATGATGAAACCCTGTCTCTACTAAAAATACAAAAATTAGCTGGGCGTGGTGGCGCGTGCCTGTAATCCCAGCTACTCGGGAGGCTAAGGCAGGAGAATCACTTGAACCTGGGAGGTGGAGGTTGCAGTGAGCCGAGATCACGCCACTGCACTCCATCCTGGCGACAAAGCGAGACTCCATAGCTTTTCTAGATCACACAGCGAATGCCTAAAAACCGTAGAGAAATAAGGACATACACACACAAACTGAACGAGGAAGAGATACCTGTGATCCTACCTTCCCCAGGAGGATTATGTTTAGGGTTAGGTTATGTTGACCAAAAAGAGTCAAAGTCTATAAAGAGTTTTATTCTGGGCCTCCTATTTGAGTGACCATGGCTGGTGACACAGCCTCAGGGGGTCCTGAGAACGTGAGCCCAAAGTAGTTGGGTTACAGCTTGGTTTTATGCATCTTAGGGAGACAGTAGTTACAGGCAAAGACATAAATCAATACATGGGAAGTATATGTTGGGTCAGCCAGGAAAGGCTTTCAGGTCACTAGTAGATTGAAAGACTGGCAGTTGGTTCAGAGTTAAGTGTTGGCTGAACAGCTGGAAGACTACATAAAGAAATGGGCCATTGCGGTGGCTCATGCCTGTATTCCCAGCATTTTGGGAGGGTGAGCTGGGAGGATCCCTTGAGGCCAGGAGTTCAAGGACAGCCTGGGCAACACAGCGAGACCCCCACTTCTACAAAAAAAAAAATAATTATCCAGGTGTGGTGGTGCATGCCTGTAGACTCAGCTACTCAGGAGGCTGAGATGGGAGGATCGCTTGAGCCTGGGAAGTTGAGGCTACAGTGAGCCATGATGGCACCACTGCATTCCAGCTTGGGCAACAGAGAAGAAAAGAAAGAGAGAGAGAGAAAAAGAGAGAGAGGAAGGAAGGAAAAAGAGGGAGGGAAAAAAAAGAAGGAAAAGTTTGAGTTAAGATAAGGGGGATTGTGGAAACCAAGGTTCTTGTTATGTAGGTGAAGCCTCAGAACAGGCTTCAGAGAGAATAGATGATAAATATCTCTTATTGGATCTTAAAAGGTGTCAGACTCTCCAGAAAAGACCTGGAGTCTTTTCTGTAAGGCAAAGAGATTCTCTACAGAATGCAAATTTCCCCCAAAGAGATGGCTTTGCAGGACTATTTTAAAGTTTGTCAAAGAAAATATGTTATGGGGTAAAATACTGTGATTTACTTCAGGGACTGCTATCTGTCATGTGATGCTATATCAGAGTCTGGTTGGAGATGGGTATCTTACTGATAAAAAGAGCCTGTTTTGTCAGTCCTATGATGTCTATTCTAATAGAGATCATAATGTTGGTCAGCTGTGCCTAAACTCTGACGGGAGGAGAATTATGACAAGGCATATCCAACCCCCTCCTTCCCATCATGACCTAAATTAGTTTTCCATGTTTATTTTGGATCCTGTTGGCCAACAGGGGAGTCCACTGAGTCAGTTGTGGGGGCTTAGAATTTTATTTTTGGTTTACAATTAAAATGTCAATTTTCAAAAATGGGATCATAAAGACAATGATTCATCACAATTTTTTGGTGAAATCTAACAGTGTTCTTGCCCAGTTGTTTCATAAAAACTGGTAAGGAAAAGACTAAAAATAAATTCTTCTGAAGCCAGGTGCAGTGGCTCACGCCTGTAATCCCAGCACTTTGGGAGGCCGAGGCCGGCGGATCATGAGGTCAGGAAATCAAGACCATCCTGGCCAACATGGTGAAACCCCGTCTCTACTAAAACACAAAAAATTAGCCGGGTGCGGTGGTGCGTGCCTGTAGTCCCAGATACTTGGGAGGCTGAGGCAGGGGAATCACTTGAACCTGGGAGGCAGAGATTGCAGTGAGCCGAGATCAGGCCACTGCACTCCAGCCTGGGAGACAGAGCAAGACTCCATCTCAAGATAAATAAGTAAATAAATAGATTATTCTGTTAACCTAGAATATTCTCTCCACAAATTCAGAAAATAAAGAAAACAATTTTATTATTGAATAAGCATTAAACCAGACTGTGATGCCCATCACAGGTGATCCATTAATGAGATGCAAAGAGAAATAAACCCTCCTTTTTTTTTTTTTTTTTTTTTTTTGAGACAAAATCTTGTTCTGTCGCCCAGGCTGGAGTGCAGTGGTGCGATCTCGACTCACTGCAACCTCTGCCTCCCCAGTTTAAGGGATTCTCCTGCCTCAGCCTCCCAAGTAACTGAGACTACAGGCGCGAGCCACCACACCTGGCTAATTTTTTGTATTTTTAGTAGAGATGGGGTTTCGTTATGTTAGCTAGGATGGTCTCGAAATCCTGACCTCGTAATTCGCCCGCCTAGGCCTCCCAAAGTGCTGGGATTATAGGCGTGAGCTATGGCGCCCGGCCAAAGCGTCCTTTTTATATAGCCTGGCAGATACAATCCATTGCATACACGCTCTCAAGATAAATAGTAACTCATCCTCATGCAAAAGGACTTGCTATGCAGTTTTTTTTGTTTTGTTTTTTTTGAGACAGGGTCTCATTCTGTCATCCAGGCTGGAGTGTAGTGGTGTGATCTTCTTGGCTCACTGTAACCTCCACCTCCTGGGTTCAAGTGATTCTCGTGCCTAAGCCTCCCAAGTAGCTGGAATTACAGACATGTGCCATCATGCCCAGCTAATATTTGTATTTTAGTAGAGACAGAGTTTCGCCATACTGGCCAGGCTGGACTCAAACTCCTTCTTTCGATTTCTGTGTGGCTTCAAGTGATCCGCCCGTCTCGGCCTCCCCCAGAGTGCTGGGATTACAGGTGTGAGCCACCGCGCCTGGCCTGCTATACATTCTTAAACACTCATCCTAAATTCACCTGGAAATCAACGTGGCCATCCATGCTAGTTAATTACCTGTATTCAATGAAAAAATAAAACTTCTCACATCTCCTTGACAAGCAGGTAGTAACAGCTCAAGTTGCCTAGGCTAAACTCCCTAGGCAACAGGAAGATAGGGACACTATTTTCCTCCAGGTTTACATTTCAAAGACAAGACTCTTAGGCTCTTAAGAAAAAAATTCCTGGATTGTGACCAGGCACGGTGGCTCACGCCCATAATCCCACACATTGGGAGGCCGTGGCTGGTGGATCACCTGAGGTCAGGAGTTCAAGACCAGCCAGACCAACAAGGTGAAACCCTGTCTCTACTAAAAATACAAAAATTAGCCAGGCGTGGTGGCAGACGCCTGTAGTCTCAGCTACTCAGGAGGTTGAGATGGGAGAATTGCTTGAACCCGGGAAGTGGAGGTTGCAGTGAGCCGAGATTATACCCCTGCACTCCAGCCTGGGTGACAGCGAGATTCTGTCTCCAAAAAAAAAAAAAAAAAAAAATTCCTGGGTTGTAATGTCGGCAAGAAGTTCATTTACCTTTTTAAAAGATTTAGGTACATATCAAAGGCACAAAAGAAGTTATTTATATTACAAGGTTTATCAAGGAAATACTCTTTAAAAAGGAGAGGAGATAAGGTTAATTTCCCTTTTGGCAAGTAAGACAAATGTAATCTTTTTTTTTTTTTTTTTAGAAAATCCATACAGTGAGGGCTGGGCACGGTGGCCCACATCTGTAGTCCCAGCACTTTGGGAGGCCAAGGCAGGTGGATTTGAGGCCAGGAGTTCGAGACCAGCCTGGGCAACATGGCGAAACCCCATCTCTACCACAAATACGAAAATTAGCTGGGTGTGGTGGTGTGTGCCTATTGTCCCAGCTACTCTGGAGGCGGAGGCACGAGAAGTGCTTGAACATGGGAGGCAGAGGTTGCAGTGAGCCGAGATTGAGCCATTACAATCCAGTCTGGGCAACAAGAGTGAAGCTCTGTCTCAAAAAATAAAAAAATAAAAAATAAAAAACAAAAACAAAGAGCCTCTTTTCCCTCTCCCTGCCACAGAGTTGTCTTCAGTAATTTCATTCCCTTTTTTCCTGAGGGTTCACTGGGTTTCTGGGTCCCAGAAGGGGAAGTTCTCTTCAAGGTACAGAAACCACAACTCCACAGAGAACCGCAGAGACGGCAGCATGACCAGACCCTGGCCAGGTTTGGGGAGGCTGCTGGGCTGAGACTTGGGCTGAACTTCCGCTGCAGGTCGACTTATTCCCATCAGCACCAAAGCTGCTGGAGGGGGTCATCCAAAAGCAAAGGAAGCAGGGGTGCAGCTTGGAGGCTGTTTCAGAAGGTCCCACTGAGCCAAGGACTCAAGGCCTGGCCACAGCCCTCCCAAGCGAGGCCCAGATCATATTTCACCATGCTCAGAAAACCTTGTCTACTCATTTCAGTCCACAGTGATTTTGCTTTCTTTAGGATCTCTCTTGAACTGTCCAACCCAGAGAGTTTCAAATCGGAATGGATTCCAATGATGGAGCTAAATCAGGCCCCACCTCAGTTTTTGAATTACAATCAATAGGGCTGGGTCCCAGCAACTGTATCTTAATGTTCCTCCATGTGATCCTCATGCTGAAAGGCTGGTATTTGCAAATCCCTTTTTTTGGGGAGTGGTTTTTTTTTTAGAGAGAGGCCTCACTCTGATGCCCAGCCTGGAATGCAGTGGTGGATCACAGCTCACTGCAGCCTTGAACCCCTGGCCGCAAGAAATCCTCCCACCTTAGCCAACCAAAGTGTTGGGATTGCAGGAGTGGCCACTGTGTCTGGCCAGGAAAGCCCTTCTGTTTCACTTGAATGATATTTCTGCAGCATACCTACAGCCATTGTTGTATTCAACTGCATCACTGCGGAGAAAAAAAAGGTGAGAGGTGACTGTTTTGCTTTTTTCTGAACATATCAGACCAAACCTGGGCTGTTTAGCCATTTTTTTTTTTTTTTTTTTTTTTTTTTTGCGATGGTGTCTCGCTCTGTCACCCAGGCTGGAGTGCAGTGATGCAATCTCGGCTCACTGCAACCTCTGCCTTCCAGGTTCAAGCGATTCTCCTGCCTCGGCCTCCTAAGTAGCTGGGATTACAGATGTGCACCCCCACGCCCAGCTCATTTTTTCTGTATTTTTAGTAGAGACGGATTTAAACATGTTGGACAGGCTGGTCTCGAACTTCTGACCTCTGGTGATCTGTCTGCCTCTGCTTCTTAAAGTGGTAGGATTACAGGCATGAGCCACCGCGCCTGGTTTGCCAATTTTTTGACAACATATCAACATCATTTACGATGGGCATGGCCTCAGTGTAGTGTGTCTAGACAAGGTGGCCGGAAGAGAGAGGAATATGCAAACCAGGCTTGAAGATGGGTTAAATCAGAGATTTTCATTCCACAAAAGAGAAATTTTAATGGGGTCAGAACATTGATCTTCTAATATTTGAAAGCCTGTTAACTAGGAGAGAGAGAGCAAACGATTTTGTTGTAGAAGGACCCACCCAGCTCTGACGGTTTAAAGCATCATGAATGCGAATTTGAACTCCAGAAAAGCAGAGCTTCCTAACAATGGGACTTCCACAGCAATGGGATCTGCTTCCTCTTTCAGTGTGTGCCTTTTCTATGAGCGAGAGACTCCTAGGAAAGCAGCAGCCCATTAGGAAAACGTGTGGGAACTCACTCGCAGGTTCTTTATTTTTTTTGAGATGGAGTTTTGCTCGTTGCCCAGACTGGAGCACAATGGTGCGATCTTGGCTCCCTGCAACCTGCGCACCATGAGTTCAAGTGATTCTCCAGCTCCCTCTCCTGAGTAGCTGCGATTACAGGCATCCACCACCATGCCTGGCTAATTTTTTGTATTTTTAGTAGAGATGGGGTTTCACCATGTTGTCCAAGCTGGTCTCAAACTCCTGACGTCAAGTGATCCACCCACTTTGGCCTCCCAAAGTGCTGGGATTACAGGCATGAGCCACTGAGCCCAGCCGGGAACCCACAGGTTTTTTGGATGGTCTCTGAATGTCATGTAACTCTTTTATTTTTTATCAAAAAAAATTTTTTTGACACAATATCTTGCTGTGTTGCCCAGACGGGAGTGCAGTGGCAAGATCATGGCTCACTGCAGCTTCTAACTCCTGGGCTCAAGTGATCTTCCTGTCACGAGTCTCCCAAGTAGTTGGAACACAGGTGCCAGCCACCACACCTGGCTAATTTGGTTTGGTTTTGTTTTTTTAGAGATGGGCTCTTACTATGTTGCCTATACTGGTCTTGAACTGCTGGCCTCAGGCAATCTTCCTCCCTTGGCCACCCAAAGTGCTGGGATTACAAGCATGAGCCACTGTGCACAGCTGAAATTTTCGACTTAGTCTTTTTGTACATGTGATATTTTATTCATAGAATCCATAAATGGAAGGGAAATTTCTGAGTTCAGAGCAATACATATGATACAAAACTTGATATATAGACTAGAGTTTCTTAGCCGAACTGGAGGGGCTGGCTTAGGTAATCCATGGATTCCCTGAAATTGGGGACACCATTGGAAATATGTGTGAGCTCAGGGGCAGTTTCCTATGATTTTTAGGCCTCAAAATGTCTCTTGGACTCAAAATTGCCTTAGGGCAGAGGACGTGTGTACCCCCAGTATAGAATCTCGGACAGTGAATGTGAGTAAACATTCGGCAGAAAAGCTCTGCCAAACTGAGTGCTCTGATGTGACTTTTTCATCAAGTCAGTATTCCTGGGATCTCTTGTACATGATAATCTCACTCTTGTACATGATAATCTCACTCTTGTACATGATAATCTCACTCTTATAAGGTTTCATCGTTTCTGCTTACCCTAGTTTTCTTTCCCACTCTGTTCCCTCTCCCACCAGACTGGACTCTGAAATGGGCATGTACAGAGACAAAGAGACCCCAACATGCTTCAGGCTTTGAGTGGAGAGGACACAGCCTCTGCTGGGACAGGGAACAGAGGGATGTGGAGTCCCTGAAGATGCTTTTGGACAATGGTCTGAGGTTGGGACAGTGGCAGGAGATACCATTCACCCAGGATCTCCAGGACAAGAGATCAGCCTGGCAGTTACATGTGTTTTTTTTCAAACTGGTTGCCAGGTTGGCATGAGCGATGACATCAGAGATTCCGACCATCCTGATTGGAGGGACCGGACTCCGTGGTGCCTGGAGATCAGTTGGACAACAGTATCTTCTCAGAGCTGTTCTCCACTCCTGACTTCTCCTAGGCTTGAGAATTGATAACATACTCTTCTGGATCCTAGCAGTGATCAGAAGAAGGCCATGGACAGAACGGAGACTAGGTTCCGTAAGAGGGGACAGATTACGGAAAAGATCACGACCAGCCGTCAACCGCAACCCCAGAATGAGCAGAGTCCCCAGCGGAGCACCTCGGGGTACCCCCTCCAGGAGGTGGTGGATGATGAAGTGTTGGGACCATCAGGTGAGGGGACTGGTGGAAGAAGAGGTGGGATAGGATTGACTAAGACGAAGGAAGGGGGCCAGGTGCGGTGGCTCACGCCTGTAACCCCAGCACTTTGGGAGGCCGAGGCGGGCGGATCACCTGAGGTCAGGAGTTCAAGGCCAGCCTGGCCAATATGGTGAAACCCTATCTCTACTAAAAGTATAAAAATTAGCCAAGTGGTAGTGGTGCACACCTGTAATCCCAGCTACTCAGGAGGCTGAGACAGGCGAATCACTTGAGACTGGGAGGAAGAGGTTGCAGTGAGCTGAGATCACGCTACTGCACTCCAAAAAAAAAAAAAAAAGAAAAGAAAAGAAGGGTCAGCGGTCAGGAAGGAGAACCTGAGGAGGGTGTGTGGGAAGAATGGAGAAATTCAGGCTGGGTGTGGTGGCTTACACCTGTAACCCCAGAACTTTGGGAGGCCAAGGCAGGCGGATCACTTGAGGCCAGGAGTTTGAGACCAGCCTGGCCAACATGGTGAAACCCTGTCTCTACTAAAAGTACAAAATGGAGCTGGGCATTATGGCAGGCACCTGTAATCCCAGCTACCTGAGAGGCTGAGGCAGAAGAATAAATGGAATCCAGGAGATGGATGTTGCAGTGAGCTGAGATTGCACCACTACACTCCAGCCTGGGTGACAAAGCAAGATTCTGTGTCAAAACAAAACAAAACAAAAAAGGAGGGACTCAGAGAGCCAGAGACCAGGGAAGGACATGAAGCAGTGTTCGGAGGACAGAGAGAGAGAAGAATGGGGAGGGGAAGGAGCGGCACATGGGGTTGAGCAGAGGAGAAAATCAGAAAGATGGCTTAGAGAAGCCAGCAGTCTGCGAGTCTGGGGAGGATGGAGAGTGGTTTGGGGTTTTGGGTCGGGGTCTAAGGTGATCAGATGCAGAAGCATTACACGGTGGCCTGGTTTCTTTACTCAGCCCCTGGGGTAGATCCCAGCCCCCCATGTAGGTCCCTTGGCTGGAAAAGGAAGAGGGAGTGGTCAGATGAATCTGCGGAGGAGCCGGAGAAGGAGCTCGCCCCTGAACCTGAGGAGACCTGGGTAGTGGAGATGCTGTGTGGGCTCAAGATGAAGCTGAAGCAACAGCGAGTGTCACCCATCCTCCCTGAGCACCACAAGGGCTTCAACAGTCAGCTTGGTAGGAGGACACCCCAGAGAGCACCTCCAATCCTGTTCTTTCTAAAAAGAGGAAACTTCCAATAACCACACTTTTCCAATGGGAAAGATACGCCCCCCGTGGGTGAGCTCTCCACGCAGGAGGACTCAGAAGTGATCACTCATGAGGGACACTTAGGAGACGATAGAGGACTAGGCTAGACTTGATAAAGGTTGGCGCTTGGGATGAGAAAGCTTGGTTTCGGGCCAGGTGCAGTGGCTCACGCCTGAGATCCTAGCACGTTGGGAGGCTGAGGCAAGAGGATTGCTTGAACTCAGGACTTTGAGGCTGCAGTGAGCTATGACTGCACCACTGCACTCCAGCCTGGGTGACACAGCAAAACCCTGTGTCAAAAGAAAAACGAAGGCCGGGTGTGGTAGCTCATGCCTGTAATCCCATTACTTTGGGAGGCTAAGATGGGTGGATCACTTGAGGTCAGTTGTTCGAGACCAACCAGACCAATATAGCGAAACCTCATTTATACTAACAATACAAAAATTAGCCAGGCATGCCTGTTATCCCAGCTACTCGGGAGGCTGAGACAGGATAATTGCTTGAACCCAGGTGGAAGAGGTTGCTTTGAGCCAAGATAGCGCCACTGCATTTTTTTGAGACGCTGTGTCAAAAAAAAAAAAAAAAAAAGAAGGAAGGAAGGGCCCAGAAGTCAGGAAGGAGCACGTGAGGAGGGTGTGTGGGAAGAATGGAGGTACTGAGGCAGGGTGCACTGGCTCACACCTGTAATCCCAGCACTTTGGGAGGCCAGGCAGGCAGATCACTTGAGGCCAGGAGTTGGAGACCAGCCTGGCCAACATGGTGAAACCCTGTCTCTTCTAGAAGCACAAAAATGAGCTGGGCGTTCTGGTGGGCACCTGTAATCCCAGCTACTTGGGAGGCTTAGGCAGGAGAATCACTGGAACCCAGGAGGCGGAGGTTGCAGTGAGCCAAGATCGCACCACTACACTCCAGCCTAGGCCACAAAGCAAGACTGTTTCTCAACAACAACAACAACAACAAAAAAAAAAAAAAAAAAAAGGGACTCAGAGAGCCAGGGACCAGGGAAGGATATGAGGAAGTGTTCTGAGGACAGAGAAACGGGAGAATGGGGAGGAGAAGGAGCAGCACATGGAGCTCAGCAGAGGAGACAGACAGAAGGAAAGATGGCTTGGAGAAGCCAGCAGTCTGCGAGGCTGGGGAGGATGGAGAGTGGTTTGGGGTTTTGGGTTGGGCTCTAGTGTGATCAACTGCAGAAGCATTACACCATGGCCTGGTTTCTTTACTCAGCCCCTGGGGTAGATCCCAGCCCCCCGCATAGGTCCTTTTGCTGGAAAAGGAAGATGGAGTGGTGGGACGAATCTGAGGAGTCGTTGGAGGAGGAGCCACGGAAGGTGCTCGCCCCTGAGCCTGAGGAGATCTGGGTGGCGGAGATGCTGTGTGGCCTCAAGATGAAGCTGAAGCGACGGCGAGTGTCGCTCGTGCTCCCTGAGCACCACGAGGCCTTCAACAGGCTGCTTGGTAGGAGGACACCCCAGAGAGCACCTCCAATCCTGTTCTTTCCAAAAACAGGAAACTTCCAATAACCACACTTTTCCAATGGGAAAAATATGCCCCAGTGGGTGAGCTCTCCATGTGGGAGGAATGTGAAGTGATCACTCATGAGGGACACTTAGGAGATGATAAAGGATTAGGTCAACTTGATAAAGGTCAGCGCTTGGGATAAGAAAGCTTGGTTTCGGGCCAGGTGCAGTGGCTCCTGCCTGAGATCCCAGCATGTTGGGAGGCTGAGGCAAGAGGATTGCTTGAACTCAGGACTTTGAGGCTGCAGTGAGCTATGACTACACCACTGCACTCCAGCCTGGGTGACAGAGCAAAACACTGTCTCAAAAGAAAAACCAAGGCTGGGCACAGTAGCTCATGCATGTAATCCCAGCTACTCGGGAGGCTGAGACAGGAGAATCGCTTAAACCCGGGAGGCAGAGGTTGCAGCGAGCCAAGATCAGGCCACTGCATTCCAGCCTGGCCCACAGAGCAAGACTCTGTCTCAAAATAAATTAATAAATAAATAAAAATAAAAATCAAATAAAGAAAAACAAAATCAATAAACAAAGAAAGTGGTTTCAGCTGTGCCCTCTGAAACTTAATGTCTCTTACTGACTTTTCTAAACCTAAGTGTTTCCATCCATAGTGAGGGATACCAAGGCCATGGTCACACCCTGATGTGACTGTCTCATGAGGAAATGATGGGAATTCCTTTATGACTCTGCAGTGGTCCCTCCGTGTCTGCTGGAGGGGGTCCTGGTTGATTCCCAGCTCTACATCCTGTAGATTCTCACACCCAGGGCCTCCTTCGGCCTCTTCTCAGGGGAGTCTCAGAGCAGGAGCCTCTCTCCCTTGCCCAGTGAAAGTCATTCTCCCCTCTCCCATCCACCTCACCCGCGGCCACAATCCTGAGACTTCCCCCCGGGAGGCACACTTCTCCTCGCTGCCCTGCTGCTCCCACGGAAACCCTGTCCTGCTTCTCACACTGACATCTGCTCTCTAATCACAGAGGATCCTGTCATTAAAAGATTCCTGGCCTGGGACAAAGATCTGAGGGTGTCGGACAAGGTAAGGTTGTTCTCCATGTAACTGTTCCTGTTCCAACGCATGGCTCGGGGGAGGGCGCAGCTTCCAAACCCACAGTTCTCCCTCCACCACCTCCCACCAGATGCTCCTACAGTCTTTTTTTTTTTTTTTTTTTTTTTTTTTTTTGTGAGACAGAATCTTGCTCTGTTGCCCATGCTGGAGGGCAGTGTCTCAATCTTGACTCACTGCAGCCGATGCCTCCCGGGTTCAAGCGATTCTTCTGCCTCAGCCTCCAAGCAGCTGGGATTACAGACATGAACCACCACGCCTGGCTAATTTTTGTGTTTTTAGTAGAAACGGGGTTTTGCCATGTTGGCCAGGTTGGTCCTGAACACCTGACCTCAGGCGATCCACCTGCCTTGGCCTCCCAAAGTGCTGAGATTATAGACGTCAGCCACTGTGCCCGACCAGCTCCCATGGTCTTGAGTCTTGGCACCCACAAATTTTTTTTTTGTGAGACAGAGTCTAGCTCTGCTCCCCAGGATGGAGTGCAGTGGCATGATCATAGCTCATTGCAGCCTCTAATTCCTGGGCTCAAGCAATCTTCTTTCCTCAGCCTCCTGAGGAGCTGGGACTAGGCACATGCCACCATGCTCAACTAATTTTTGAAATGTTTGTAGAAACAGGGTCTCACTATGTTGCCCAGGTTGTTCTAGAACTGTTGGGCTCACATGATCCTCCTGTCTCCACCTCTCAAAAAGTACTGGGATCACAGGCTTGAGCCGCCACTCCCGGCTATTCTTGGTCTTTTTATGATTTGTCAGCATCTCCCTCAGGATTCTGCTGGTCTCTTGCAGAGTGAATGAGTGGCCCCTGCCTCTCCTATGGGTCCTTTGGGATCTGAGCTCTGGGCCACAGTCTGGCCGCAGCCCTGAAGCTCCTGGCCCCTCTACTCTCAGCTCTTCAGGACAGTTCTCTGCCTGGCACACAAAAGACCCTCCTTACACCAGCCGACCTAGACACACCCCCTCCAAAGATCCCATCGGAGCCCACCATCCTGGGAGCATCACCCAAAACCCTTCCTCTGGCTTCTCGGATTTGCATCCGACCTTCGAATACCCCTCCATCCCGCAATTTCCAAATGAGTACAGTCACCCCAACACTGAGGTCCCTTCTCTGATGGGCAGCCCCTCCCCAGACCCTCATTCCCCCTCTCCACAATCTTCCTCTTCCAAGATGTGACCTCTCCCTCTCTGTGTTCCTTTCTCTCCATCAGTATCTCCTGGCTATGGTCATAGCGTATTTCAGCCGGGCCGGCTTCCCCTCCTGGCAATACCAACGCATTCATTTCTTCCTGGCTCTGTGAGTGGTTTGCTGCCTCCTATCCATCAATATCCAATGCCCTGGGACAGCGGGGGAAGTGGGATTCCAGCCTTTCATTTATTCTTTCACCTATTTGTCCTCTTTACTCTGTGTACAAAAAAGAGAGGATTATACTATCATAGACTGTTGTTTCTAAACAGAAACTCAGGCTGGGCACAGTGGCATACGCCTGTAATCCCAGCACTTTGGGAGGCCGAGGCAGGCGGATCACCTGAGGTCAGCAGTTCGAGACCAGCCTGGCCAACATGGCCAAACCCCGTCTCTACGAAAAATAGAAAAATTAGCTGGGCGTGGTGGTGTGCATCTGTAATCCCAGCTACTCGAGAGGCTGAGGCAAGAGAACCCTTTGAACCCAGGAGGTGGAGGTTGCAGTAAGCTAAGGTCGAGCCACCGCACTCCAGCCTGGGTGACAGAGTGAGACTTTTTCTCAAAAAAAAAAAAAAAAAAAAAAAAAAAGCCAAAAAAACAAACTCCAATGCCAGTGTACAAATAAAAGAATAAAACAAAAGGAACCATAAACC
Source organism: Homo sapiens (assembly GCF_000001405.40). NCBI lineage: Eukaryota > Metazoa > Chordata > Mammalia > Primates > Hominidae > Homo > Homo sapiens. The sequence continues at coordinate 75,499,859 of NC_000007.14, forward strand.
GCTCCTAAGGGGAAAAGAAAAGGAGTGGAGGAGCGGACATGCCGCTTCCTCCAGCAAGCAGACGTTTCTGGTTCTTCTCTCTCTCTCCTTCCCACATCAACCACAAACGCCATCGACCTCCTCTGGGTTCCCATGACAGAGGCCACAGTTCAGGTCCCCCTCGCATCACTCGAATCCACTGTCAAATGCTCCCTGCTGGGGTCTCCTGGAGTCTCTCCCCAAGCCAGGGGGCTTCCTAGTGCAGCCTGAACATCTTTCCAAAGCACGACAACCTCACTGCCCACCTGAACAACTTCCTTAGCTGATGCCTTTCTCTATCGAGGCCAGGGTCCACAGTGTCAATTCTACAATCTCTACAAGCACACTGGCTCGCCATCTTGGTATTTCCTGGCTCGGCTTCACTGCTTCTTCCAAATGCCCTCCACTCGACTTTGTGTTTGTGTTTTCTGTCTGGGTGTCCCGCACACATGTGGCTCTGAAGGGAAGGACCCATTCCTTGAAGTCAGTTCACCCCACAGCCTCTGTGATGCCTTCCCTCATCTTCCAACTTCTGCATGCCCGTAGCTCTCTAGTTACATCCTGGACACTGGGATTAGGTCATCTGCCTTGATTACTCCCAGTCCCATTAGACTAGATGCCTGTAGAAGGCAGGGTCCTGGCAAAATATCAATGTATTCAATTTCTTTTATTTTTTTGAGACAGACTTCCCCTGTCCCCCAAGCTGGAGTGCAGTGGTGAGATCATAGCTCATCGCAGCCTCCATATCCTGGGCTCAAGCGATCCTCCCACCTCAGCTTCTTTATTAGCTCCGACTACAGGGCTGTGCCACCACACCTGGACTGTTTGTTTGTTTGTTTGTTTGATTATTGAGATAGAGTCTTGCTCTGCCTCTCAGGCTGGAATGGAGTGGCCCAATCTCAACTCACTGCAACCTCCGCCTCCTGGGTTCACACAATTCTTATGCTTCAGCCTCCTGAGTAGCTAGGCCTAACGGGTGTGCCACCGCACCAGGCTGATTTTTGTATTTTTAGTAGAGATGGGGTTTCTCCGTGTTGACCAGGCTGGTCTCCAACTCCTGGTCTCAAGCGATCCACCTGCTTCATTCTTCTAAAGTGCTGGGATTACAGGCATGAGCCACCGCGTCTGGCATATTTCTTATATTTTTAATAGAGACGAGGGTCTTGCTATGTTGCCCAGGCCCGTCTCAAACTCCTGGCCTCAAGTGATCCTCCTGCTTTGGCCTCCCAGTGTGCTGGGATTCCAGGCATAAGCCACCACTCTCGGCCACCAGTTGGGTTTTTGTCTCCATCCTGAAGGAGTGGGAGACGCCCTTGATCAGGTCTCTGTCCAGCAGAGCCCTCCTGAGGAAGGCGTGGCTCTCTGCAGGGTGGGTGCCAGTCCTGAGCTAGGGACGGTCCCTTACCTTCCTCTCTGGGAAGCTGACCTCAGCCGGAGGCCTCTCTTGGTGGTGCCCCTGAGCAGCAACCTGATTTCTGTCCTCAGCTACCTGGCCAATGACATGGAGGAGGACGACGAGGACTCCAAACAAAACATCTTCCACTTCCTGTATGGGAAGAACCGCTCTCGCATACCCTTGCTCCGTAAGCGTTGGTTCCAGTTAGGCCGTTCCATGAACCCGAGGGCCAGGAAGAAGCGCTCTCGCATACCCTTGCTCCGTAAGCGTCGGTTCCAGTTAGGCCGTTCCATGAACCCGAGGGCCAGGAAGAACCGCTCTCGCATACCCTTGCTCCGTAAGCGTCGGTTCCAGTTAGGCCGTTCCATGAACCTGAGGGCCAGGAAGAACCGCTCTCAGATAGTCCTGTTCCAGAAACGTCGGTTCCAGTTCTTCTGTTCCATGAGCGGCAGGGCTTGGGTTTCCCCGGAGGAGTTGGAGGAGGTAGGTGGGGCCTGGGGAGGTGGAGGAGGTGGGGAGGAATCGGGTGGGCTGGAGGCTGGATGAGGGGAGAGAGGGGTATCCTGGCGAGTCCCCGTCTTCTCAAAGGGCGTTTGTTTTTCCAGATCCAGGCTTATGACCCAGAGCACTGGGTGTGGGCGCGAGATCGCGCTCACCTTTCCTAGAGCTCCAGGGACCGTGGAGGCCTGAGGTCATCGGCCTGAGAGAAGGTACATCTGCATCCTCCGGGGTAAAGGCAGAATATTGGGGTCTATTTCGGAAATCCGAAGAACCCAATTGCTTGATCCGGCTTCAAGCCTGGGCAACGTGGCGAGATCCCCTCTCCACAAAAATACAAAAATTAGCCAGGCGATGTGGGAGGCATCTCTACTCCCAACTACTCAGGAGGCTGAGGCGGGAGGATCGCTGGAGCCTGGAAGGTCGGGGCTGCACGGAGCCCTGATCCTGCCACTGCACTCCAGCCCGGGCGACAGAGTGAGACCCTGCCTCAAAAATAATCATAAATACTGAGTTGGGGGAGGTTCATTATGATTGATGCACTTGAGTTACCGATTTGGGTCGAGGGTTCAGTGAAGCTTTGGTTTACATCTTGTGCAGCTAACCACGGTGAGCACAGAGCATAAGACTTCATCATGAGGAGGTAGGATTAAGGATTAGGCTTCTGGACTCGTGGTTCGTGATGTTGTCACATTAGAAACACATCTAGCATGGTTACAAGTCTGGATCTTAAGAGACACAAAAGGCCCCAGCTGTGATGAAGTCCAAAGCCACATTCTCTGAGGGTGCCCTACTCCCTGGGCAGACCCACCCAAAGTCCTTGCTATGAAGCAGATCACTGGGGCTGACCTTGGGTGTATTAAGTGAGTTTTGGAGTCGTCACCAAAGTGTGAGTTTCACAGTTGAACACCAAGGTTCAGAAGCAGGGTATAGAATGAAAGGCAGCAGATAAAATTGCATTTCTCAATTGCTCTGAACTCTAGACTTGACATGGGACGTGAATAACCTTCCTGTCTAGAGAGCTGCCTCCTTGAAGTGTGACATTGTCTCTCTCACTTCCAGAACACCGGACCCAGGGGAGATGTGGATTTTCAGCAGGAACTTTATTCCAATGCTAATGGCAGACACCAGGAAGGAGGAGAGGAACCATTTGTGCAGATCATCTAGAAGAACCTGGACCATTCTTGATGGAGCTGAATACAGTGATCACGTTGTCCTCCTAGGAGCAGGGGTGGGGGGAGGGGGGTGGGGTCCTTCTAGGAGTCCTTGGAGAAAAGTAAGAAACCAGGAGTGTTTCCAGTTCCACCCTTTCCTGCAGCACCACCACCCTTTCTATATTGCTGAATTCCAACCTCCCTGGGGCGGAACCTGGAGGTCCTGTTTCTTATGGACTTGGTTACCACAGTCCAGAAGCATTTGAAGGCACAATGCAGGGGCTCAGATTGGCACAGATTTCTTCTGTGAAATATCAGTGCCACAGATTGTAACAGATAGCTTCATGCACACTCTGCATTTTATTGGTTTGTTTGGAAAATGTTGGCCATTGAATTATTCATAGATTTATTTCAAATAGTTTGGAAATTGTTGTACTTTTGAAAACATGCTGTTCCTGTAGTTTTTTGATGAGAGTTATAGTTGTTATATATACATAAAGATAATTTTCTTTTCATTTTTAAGAGACAATTCTTTTTATCCTAAATATTTTATTATCTTTAAATTTCTTTCTGTATTATTATATGTGCTCCTGAAGCGAGCACTCTTTTTATCTATGATACTTCCATAATAATCTCTTCTATTTATAGCTATTGGTAGTTCCCCACCACAAAAAAAACATAATTCTGGTGATAGAAATTTTTATTTGCTGTTTAGGTTTGTGACTGAATTGTGAGAATTCAGTTGTGATTTTTAACATGTCTCAGATATATATACTAACACGTCTAATATATACTATCTATTTTATTGGTTTATTTTGAAAAACATGGGTATAGAATTATTTAAATATTATTTTATTTATTGAAATATTTATTAAATATATTTATTTAAATATTATTACTTGAAATATTATTTTAAATATTTTTGAAATACTGCTATTTTTGAATAGATGCTGTTTCTATAAAGCTGTGTGATGGGTGTTATAACTGTTATATACACATACGTATAATTTTGCTTTCCTTTTTAAGAGAGGATTCTTTTCATCCTAAATCTTTTACCTTTCAATCTTTGTATCTATTATTACACGTGTTGCTGAAGGGAGCATGGTTTTTATCTGTGATACTTAGTTAACATATATATTACATTTATAGCTATGTAGTAGTTCCCCTAAATTCTTGTAAAAATAAATTTTTATTTGATATTTCATATATGTTTGAAATGTGAGAATTCAGGTGTAATTTTTTACCTTGTTTTGGCATGTTTGTATGTTACTTTAAAGAGGATGTGTGTTCTAAAGGAGGACATGAGCTGTGTGTTTTCAAGAGAACAATAGAGTGCGTCTCTTGGGGAAACATAATAAAAATGAACTTTTCTCACCTTCACAGCAATTGTGATCATATTGGTCTGGATTGATTATTTGCTGCCCAGTGATATTTTTCCTTAATGGGGTTGTGGTTATTTGAACATATTTATTAGCTCTGGAAGATAATCCTGTGCTGTTTTTTATGTAGAAAAAAACATAAGGCTGGGTGCAGTGCTCACACCTACAATCCCTGCAGTTTTGGAGGTCATGGCAGGAGGATCACCTGAGGCCAGGAGTTTGAGGCCAGCCTCAGCAACATAGCATCTACATCTATTTTTAATTTTTATTTTTTAAAGAAAAACAATAGAAGAGAAGGCTGATCCCAAGCTACAGGGTTTTTTTGTTTGTTTGTTTGTTTTGGAGACAGAGTCTTGCTCTGTCTCCCAGGCTGGAGTGCAGTGGCACAACCTCGGCTCCCTGCAACTTTCACCTCTGGGTTCAAACAAATTCTCCTGCCTCAGCCTCCCAAGTAGCTGGGACTACAGGCACCCGTCTGTACGTCCGACTAACTTTTGTAAAAATAGTAGAGACAAGGTTTCACCATGTTGGCCAGGCTGGTCTCGAACTCCTGACTTCAAGTGATCCACCCACCTCGGCCTCCCAAAGTGCTGGGATTACAGGCATGAGCTACTGCGCCCAGATGCCAAGCTAGAGTTTTAAGGCAGGAAATGAGAGAAAAATATTGAGAGAGGAAAACCAGGTGGTAAGAAAACTCTAAAGGTGGCCGGGCGTGGTGGCTCACACCCATGATCCCAGCAGGAGTTTGAGACCAGCCTGGCCAACATGGTGAAACCCTGTCTCTACTAAAAATACAAAAATTAGGCAGGCGTGGTGGTGCACGCCTATAATCCCAGCTATTTGGGAGGCTGAGGCAGGAGAATCACTAGCAGAGATTGTGTCTCCTCGCCCCCTCTCAAAAAAAAAAAAAAAAAAAGAAAGTTCCTGCAGCAGTTAAAGCTGTGAAAGACAGGCACTCTGCCATGCAATTCTTTGTGATTTTTCTCTTTTCTTTTTGGAGTTGGGGTCTTGCACTGTCACCCAGACTGGGGTGCAGTGGTGTGGTCATAGCTCACTGCGGCCTCAGACTCAAGCTCAAGCGATCCTGTTACCTTGCCTTTCAAATTGCTGGGATTATAAGCATGAGCCACTGCATCTGGCCTGTGACACAATTCTGTTTTTTATCTTTTTTTTTGTGGGGGGGGGATGGAGTCTCGCTCTGTCACCCAGGCTGGAGTGCGGTGGCGTGATCTTGGCTCAATGCAAGCTCCGCCTCCTGGGTTCATGCCATTCTCCTGCCTCAGCCTCCCGAGTAGCTGGGACTACAGGCGCCCGCCACCATGCCTGGCTAATTTTTTGTATTTTTAGTAGAGACGGGGTTTCACTGTGTTAGCCAGGATGGTCTCGATCTCCTGACCTCGTGATCTGCCCGCCTTGGCCTCCCAAAGTGCTAGGATTACAGGCGTGAGCCACCGCGCCCAGCCTATGTGATGCAATTCTGATGTCAACTCCCTGATGTTACCTCAAATGCCACAGGTTAAGGCCACCAGCCCCCACTAGGCTGCCCTCGCTTTAGACACACCTGCAGGTTTGGGTGTCTTCAGACCACATATACTTCTCACCAACTGGCTGCAAATTTGGAGGTTCCCACCATGCCCTCAAGTTCGATAACTCACTAAAACAATTCACAGAATGCAGAAAAGCATGATACTTTCTTTCTCTTTTATTTTATTTTTTTTTTTTTGAGACGGAGTCTTGCTCTGTCGCCAAGGCTGGAGTACAGTGGCCACCATGCTTGGCTAATTTTTGTATTTGTATTAGAGACGGGGTTTCGCCATGTTGGCCAGGCTGGTCTTGAACTCCTGACCTCAGGTGATCCACCCGCCTTGGCATCCCAAAATGCTGGGATTATAGGCATAGCCACCATGCCCGGTCGACTTCTAGAGTTTCAATAACAGAGATGTGATTCAAGAAGGGAGACATGTTTTGTAGATGGCAGGAGCTTCATGAAAAGAAGCCAATGAAGGGCAGGACGTGTAGCTGTCTACCTACAGGAAACCAGCCAGGAGCCTCCCCAAAGGGACTTCAGCACAGATGGCCGGGAAAATCTGCATTAACCTGAGCTCTGGACCTAAGAGAGGACAAGGCCTTGACTGTTTCTACAGACTCACAAGATGCAATCTCTGCGGTCCATGCCCGTGGTGTGATCTGGGAAACGGGGGGCCTTCTAAATGCCAACAACAAGGAAATCAAATGTGCAACAAACAGAAATACCGGCATTGACGTGGGCCATGGAAAGGCCTAAACAGATGACTGCAGTTCACTGCCAAGGTCATCAAAGGGGTGACTCTGAAATAAGAAATTTCAGATGCCACGGCCCAAATAGCTGCACGAGGTGGGGAAGTCCTCCACATGCCTCTGCTTCCTTCAGTACCTGTTTATGAAATAAGCCGAGGTACTTCCCTGGGGAATTTCCTTTCTCTTTCTTTCTTTCGAGACGGAGTCTTGCTCTGTCGCCCAGGCTAGAGTGCAGTGGCGCAATCTCGGCTCAATGTAACCTCTCCCTCCTGGGTTTTAGCAATTCTCCTGCATCAGACTTCTGAGTAGCTGAGATTACAGGTGCATGCCACCATGCCCAGCTAATATTTGCATTTTTAGTAGAGACAGGGTTTCACCATCTAGGCCAGGCTGGTCTTGAACTCCTGACCTCGTGATCCACCCGTCTTGGCCTCCCAAAGTGCTGGGATTACAGGTGTGAGCCATCACGCCCGGACTTTTGTTTTATTTTTTGAGACGACGTTTCACTCTTGTTGCCCACGCTGGAGTGCAATGGCACGATCTCAGCTCACTGCCACCTCCTCCTCCCAGGTTCAAGCGATTATCCTGCCTCAGCCTCTCGAGTAGCTGGGATTACAGGCACCCAACACCAAACCCAGCTAACTTATTGTATTTTTAGTAGAGATGGGATGTCACCATGTTGGCCAGGATGGTCTTGAACCCCTGACCTCTAATGATCCACCTGAATTGGTTTCCCAAAATGTTGGGATTACAGGCACAAGCCACTGCGCCCAGCCCCTCCCATACCTCTTTTGGTCAAGGCAGCACAATTCAGAAGAATCTTGCCAGGGAAGACTGGTAAATGGACGTCAATGTGATGCCTATGGCTCCTGGTGGATTTAGATACCTCCTGGTGCTTATTGATATCTTTACCAGTTGCACGGGGGCTTTTCCATGCCAGACTGAAAACGCAGGAGATCAATGATCAACCTTCAACTATTTACTAGCAGAACACTGAGGGGACTGTGCGGTCACCAATACCTCCTATTGCACTTGGATAAACACCTCCCAGGAAATAGAGATGAATAGAAAGGACATAGTCAAACAAGCAGAATGGCTGCATTCCTTCAACCAGAAGGGCCATTAGTCTGTTTTCACACTGCTATAAAGAACTATGAGAAACTGGGTAATTTATGAAGAAAAGAGGTTTAATTGACTCACAGTTCTGCAGGCTGTACAGGAAGCATGGCTGGGGAGGCCTCAGGAAACTGACAATCACGGCAGAAGGCGAAGGGGAAGCAGGCACGTCTGGCCATGTTGGAGCAGGAGAGACAGAGAGAGTGAAGTGGGAGGGCTGCACGCTTTTAAACAACCAGATCCCACAAGCGCTCACTCAATATCACGAGAACAGCAAGGGGGAAGTCGGCCCCCATGAGCCAATCACCTCCCACCAGGTCCCTCCCACAACACTGGGAATTACAATTTGACATGAGATTTGGGTGTGGATACAGAGCTGAACCATGTCAAGGGTAGTTCAACCGCTGAGATTGATTGATTGATTGACTGAGATGGAGTCCTGCTCTGTTACCTAGGCTGGAGTGCAGTGGCACAATCTCGGCTCACTGCAACCTCCGCCTCCCAGGTTCAAGCAATTCTCCTGCCTCAGCCTCCCTAGTAGCTGGGACTACAGCACACGCCACCACACCTGGCTAATTTTTGTATTTTCAGTAGAGACGGGGTTTCACCATGTTTGCCCGGCTGGTCTTGAACTCCTGACCTCGTGATCACCCTGCCTCGGCTCTTCTTTTGCTGGAATTACAGGCGTGAGCCACCGCACCCGGACAACCACTGAGATTTAGAAGGCAGTCGAGTCCACTATACCGCACCTCACCTGGTTTCTTCCTCTGTTGGGGCCCCTCGTGGCCACTGTTCTGTTACTTTTTGGTCCTATTTATTTAAATGGATGGTGAGCTGTTTGTCCTCCAGGCTCCAACACTTCCACCTTCAGCTTGTATTACAACAATACCAGCCTTTCAAGCTACTCTGGGTGACCCCAGAACTCATCTGAACTCAGAAGCCCAAGAGTTTCATTCCTTTCACTTTAGGGGACTCAGTGCCCTGCTCAGCATGAAGTCGAAGCAGAAGCATGACCTCCATCCCTAATCCCTCAAGAATGAGGAGTGGAAGGTGTTGGCAGGAGGGTGGGGGTGAGGTTTGTAGATCTGTAACTGCATCAGACCAAATCTGGTTCAACTTTTTTTTTTTTTTTTGACGGAGTTTCACTCTTGTCACCCAGGCTGGAGTGCAATGGTATGAACTCAGCTCACTGCAACCTCCACCTCCTAGGTTCAAGTGATTCTGCTGCCTCAGCCTCCAGATAGCTGGGATTATAAGGGTGCACCACCACACCTGGCTAATATTTATATTTTTAGTAGAGACGGGGTTTTACCATTTTGGCCAGGCTGGTCTTGAAGTCCTGACCTCCACCTGCCTTGGCCTCCCAAAGTGCTGGGATTACAGGCGTGAGTCACTGCACCCGGCTCAGTTCAACTTTTATGTAATGAGGTTGTCAGTTGTTTTTCAATTGCCATGGACCCACAGGTTGAAGGGCATGTACCCTGTGCATGCCCAGGTTAACCAAGCATGCAACCACGGAGTGGAAACTAAAAGCTCGGCCTGAAGAGCTGAGACTGATTTAAGAACTGGACACTCCATGGCAGGAGCCAGGATCCAATCAGATTGAGTTTTGCTGTCACCCCATGGCAGGATCCAGTCAGATCACACCTCCCAGCATTACTTTATTGCAAGATCCAATCAAATCACAACTCATTACCCTATGCTTATAAAACCTGACATAGCCCCCAGCTGGGTAAGGGAGATTTGAGTATTTCTTCCTGTGTTCTTGCTAGCTGACTTTCAAAAAAGCTTTAAAAAAAAAAGCCAGGCGTGGTGGCTCACGCCTGTAATCCCAGCACTTTGGGAGGCTGAGGTGGGCAGATCACTTGAGGTCAGGGGTGCAAGACCAGCCTGGCCAACATGGTGAAACCCCATCTCTACTAAAAATACAAAAATTAGCTGGGTGTGGTGACACACACCTATAATCCCAGCTACTTGGGAGGCTGAGGTAGGAGAATCACTTGAACCCAGGAGGCGGAGGTTGCAGTGAGCCAAGATCACACCACTGCACTCCAGCCTGGGCGACAGAGTGAGAAGACTCCGTCTAAAAAAAAAAGTTAAAATTAGCACCAAACGCTTTACAAGTAAAAAAAGTTTGTAGCTGCATATGTTTAAGTAACTTTTTAGATTGTAAAAAATACACATACAAAATGGAAAGGCACAAAGAAGAGAGCAAAAAGTGCATGAGATCTCACATCCAAGGATAACCGCTGAGAACATGAAAGTGCTGACTCTTCCAGCCTTTATACTATACACATTTAGGCCGTTGTTTTGTTTTTATAAAACCGTAATCATATAATACAGATAGTTTTATAATCTGGTTTTTAAACACAACAATTACATAACATTTAGCTGTTTCTTTTGCATTCAGATTCATAAGGGTTCCAGTAACTCATTTATCAGAAAACCAAGAGAAATAGTCTCATTAAAATATAAGTACATAAGGCAGGCATGGTGGCTCACGCCTATAATCCCAGCACTTTGAGAGGCCGAGGTGGGCGGATCACCTGAGGTCAGGAATTTGAGACCAGCCTGGCCAGCCTGGACAACGTGGTGAAACCCCGTCTCTGCTAAAAATACAAAAATGAGCCAGGTGTGGTGGTGCGCGCCTGTAATCCCAGCTATTCAGAAGGCTGAGGCAGGTGAATCGCTTAAACTCGGGAGGTGGAGGTTGCAGTGAATCGAGATCGTGCCACTGCACTCCAGCCAGGGCGCCAAAGTGAGACTCCATCTCAAAAAAAGATAAAAATAAAAAATAAAAATAAAATATATATATGTATATATATTTTTCCAGACAGAGTCTTACTCTGTCTCCCAGTCTGAAATACAGTGGCACAATCATAGCTCACTGCAGCCTCAAGTTTCTGGGCTCAAGTGAATCTCCCACTTCAGCTTCCCAAGTAGCTGGAACTACAGGTGGATGCCACCATGCCCAGTCAATTTTTTTTTTAATTTTTCATAGAAACAGAGTCTCACTATGTTGCCCAGTCCTAATAAACACTATGTGATGAAAAGAAAAAAGTAAATCACCCTAAAGTTAAGTCTTTAATGTTAAGTCTTTAACGAGAAATGCAAATAAAGCATTTCTCAATAGATTATGGCAAGAGAATCAACTGAAGAATAAACATCTTTAGTAAATCTTTTGCTCATGTGCATTAACCAATACTCTTGAAAACCAAGATTAATTTACTGTACCTTCTTAATATTCCTTTGAAATTCCTTATGGCGCACAGGTAGCGTAGAAAATAACTGCTTCACGCTGACTGTGGTCCCTCTGGGGTGGGGGTAGGGGGTTTCCTGGATGATTTTCCCATCGTGATCAAACACCAGTCGAGTCCCAACCTTCACCGACGCGTGGCAGGTAGAAATGGTGACATCGCTGTGAGAGAATACCAGGCGTGGTGTGTTCAGTGAGAGACCCGTGATGTTGAGCATTGACTATGCTTTTCTTCACTTGCTTTTCTCTCAAAACTTTCTTAAAAAGCTGATGATCCCTCTGAGATAACCAAGATCTAAACGGTTGAGGAGTCATTATAAAATCTAAGGTTTGGCATCTAAAAGACAGTGAGACAGAGAGCACTAAACATGCTTTGTTTTGATAAAAGCTTTGATTTCATTTTTCAGGTTGAATTGCAAAACCATAAATGATCTCAAGGTTTATTTATTCACAAATAGAGATTTGTTTTGTTATTACTCTTCAAATAAAATTGTTTTAAAGAATTTTTTAAAGAATTAAAAAATTTTTTTAAATTTTTAAAGAATCCAAGAGATATTATAATTAAAATGTATATGTAGGGCAGGGTACGGTGGCTCATGCCTGTAATTCCAGCACTTTGGGAGGCCGAGGAGCGCAGATCACTTGAGGCCTGGAGTTCCAGACCAGCCTGGGCAACATGGCAAAACCCCATCTCTACTAAAAATACAAAAATTAGCCAGGAGTGGTGGTGCACGCTATAGTCCCAGCTCTTCAGGAGGCTGAGGCATGAGAATCACTTGAACCTGGGAGGCAGAGATTGCAGTGAGCTGAGACTGTGCCACTGCACTCCAGCCTGGGTGACAGAGTGAGACTCTGTCTAAAAAAACAAACAAACAAACAAAAATTATATATATACACATACATATATACACACACACATATATGTGTATATATATATACACACATATATATGTATATATATACACACATATATATGTATATATATATTTAAATATAATTATAAAAATTTAGTATCTGTTCTATAATTAAATAGTGCTTTGGTGAAATGTTTCCCTAAAATTTGATGATGAAAAGCAGTGGTAACTATCATTTATTACCTATATGTTATGTTAAAATTGAGAAGTTACTGTTCTAATAAGGGTAACCATTTTTTTTTAACAATACTATTTGCTTCATTTCATTCATTTATTTCCCACATTTCAGAAGTACTAGGACTTAGATTGGCAGTGAGACAAAACAGAATTCAGAAGCTAGAAGCTGAGATACCGAGATAGAAAATTGTAAATAACGATTCCAATTAACTTTCTGAGAGGTTTTTCTAAGGGGTCAAGTGAATGGATAAAAACATTGTATCACCTCAGTGCACACAGTGAGCTCAGAGCTTCCCCCTGAAAACCGAAAGTTTCAACTTCAGTTAGGTCGGCAAACTCTTGAATCTTACATGTGTGATGTTTCAGAGCTGAAAGAGACTGTAAAGTAAGGACTAAGATACCTCAAGTGCCAAAACAACGGATATACATGATATCTAGTAACTGGCTTAAAAAACTGTTTTTGCGTTTCCCAAGACAGTGTTACTCAAAATTCTGAGACATGTGGCCCAATTATTTTATAATAGGATTAGAAAAAGTCAACTTACTTAAGCCTTCAAAGTTTTCTTCTTCTACCCCACATCCATTGTCTGAAACTTCAATGAGATCCACTCCATAGTCCTTAAGCTTTAGATCTAGAAAGTTTAAATATTTATGTATTTATTAAAAATGGACCCATGCTAGAATGGCATGAACCCGGGGGGCGGAGCTTGCAGTGAGCCGAGATCGCGCCACTGCACTCCAGCCTGGGAGACAGTGAGACTCCGTCTCAAAAAGAAAAAAAAAAAAAATGGACCCATGCTATAAGCTTTTATATTGATATTATTTATAACATGTGCAAATTGAAGAGTCATAACTATACCTTTAGTTAAAAGTACGAGTATCATTTTGTATATTTCATTTTTATAAAGCCCTTTCTGGCCATTTACTAGCCCAGATTAAATAGTTTAGCTTTTTCTTTCCTCTTTTTTTTTTTTTTTTGTCCATAGGCTAGTCAAATGAAGCAGTTGGAGTGGAGAAGGTACAAAAAAATCTGTAACTGGTTGTGATCAATTAGTGGTTAACACCGTTGCACTTTGACCAGCCTTTTCTTTTGAAAGAAATAATTTTAACATACCCAGTAAGGAGAAAGGGGGGCAGGCGCGGTTGTTCATGCCTGTAATCCCAGCACTTTGGGAGGCCAAAGTGAGCAGATCACCTGAGGTCAGGAGTTCCAGACTAGCCTGACCAACGTGGAGAAACCCTGTCTCTACTAAAAATACAAAATTAGCCAGGTGTGGTGGTGCATGCCTGTAATCCCAGCTGCTCATAAGGCTGAGGCAGAATTGCTTGAACCCGGGAGGCGGAGGTTGCGGTGAGCCGAGATCGTGCCGTTGCACTATACCCTGGGCAACAAGAGTGAAACTCCATCTCAAAAAAAAAAAAAAAGGCAACTGCTTCTGGAATCAGACTTCCTGGATCCTATTTTATTAGCTTTATAATCTCAAAAAAAGGAAATTTCCTGTTCCTTAATTTCCTCATCTGTAAAATGAAGATAATAAGTTCTATCTCATAAAGTTACTCAGCTGATTAATAATTTTTCAGGTTTATTTTATTTTGTTATTTTTTTTTTTCTTGTTTTTTTTTGAGATGGAGTTTTGCTCTTGTCACCGAGGCTGGAATGCAGTGGCATGATCTGATCTTGGCTCACTGCAACCTCCACCTCCGAGGTTCAAGCAATTCTCCTCCCTCAGCCTCCCGAGGAGCTGAGATTACAGCCATGCACCATCACATCTGGCTAATTTTTGTATTTTTAGTAGAGACAGGGTTTTACCATGTTGGTTAGGCTGGTCTTGAACTCCTGACCTCAAATGATCAGCCCTGCTCTGCCTCCCAAAGTGCTGGGATTATAGATGTGAGCCACTACTCCATGCCTATTTTATTTTTATTGAGACAGAGTCTTGCTCTGTCCCAGGCTGGTGTGCAGTGGCACGATCTCGGCTCACTGCAACCTCTGCCTCCCGGGTTCAAGCCATTCTCATGCCTCAGCCTCCCAAGTAGCTGGGATTACAGGCTTCTGCCACCAAGTCTGGCTAATTTTTATATTTTTAGTAGAGACAGAGTTTCACCATTTTGGACAGGCTGGTCTCAAACTGCTGACCTCAGGTATCCACCCACCTTGGCCTCCCAAAGTGCTGGGATTACAGGTGTGAGCCACCACACCCGGCCTGCTTTATTTTTTTAATAGAGATGAGGTCTCACCATGTTGGCCAGGTTGGTCTTGAACTCTGGCCTCAAGCAATCCCCCCACCTTGGCCTCTCAAAGGGCTAGGATTACAGGCGTGAAACACCACGCCCAGCTATTCTGCAAATTAAATGAGATATTTCTGTGCAATTCTTAGCATAACACCTGCCTGGCACACCATAAGAACACAAGAAAAGCTGTCGTTATTATTATTACTACCTAGCTAAGTACTAGGCACATAATAGGTGCTAACTTTAACTTAAAAATAATAATTTATTACTACATCAACACTTGATAGTCTTATTTCAATAACAAATGTTTCTTGACTACAACAACACACACTAATCATTTCTTGTGGCTTAAAACTCTCCCAAACTTACCAATATTAGTGGCACCAGCATCCAGACTGTTTTCTACTAACTCCTTCACTGCAGTGCTTAGACTCAGTACCACTGGCCCAGAGCAAATCTGATGGACTGACTTCCGATCAATAGGTTTGATGGCCTTAGCAGGTTCTGTACTAAAGAAATGTTACAAGAAACAAAGCAAGTATTCAGCTATATATTTTCATCCTGATTTTAACTGTGGGAAATGACTCAACACTGTAAATAGTTTATGGGTCTAATCTGTTCAGTTATTATATTAACAAATACATTTATTATATCCAGAAATAGAAACACTGTTTTACAATCCTTAAACATGTACCCAAAATACTTCTGGATAGATACTTCAAATTCAACAGATCCTTACTATCTAGGATCCACATGGAGAAAACTACATTGTATCTCTCAAATTACCAAAATCTTTGGCAACAATGGTGTCTTCTTTCTTGAAAACTGAAAGCATGGCCTGGTGGGGTGGCTCATGCCTGTAATCCCAGCACTTTGGGAGGCAGAGGCAGGCGGATCACTTGAGGTCAGGAGTTGGAGACCATCCTGGCCAACATGGTGAAACCCTGTCTCTACTAAAAATACAAAAAATTAGGCAGGCATCATGGTGGGCGCCTATAAACCCAGCTACTCAGGAGGCTGAGGAAGGAGAATCGCTTGAACCTGAGAGATAGTGGTTGCAGTGAGCGAGAGCATACCAGTGCACACCAGCCTGGGTGATAGAACAAGACTCTGTCTCCAAAAAACAAACAAACAAACAAACAAACAAAAAACTCACAACAATTCTCTAATGGCGAGGGAGTAAGTAAGTGACCGATAATGCTGGAGAAAGAGGAAGTGACTGGGTCCCCAGTACAGGTTAGAATGAAAAAATCCCTACCAATGTAAATCAAATGTAAAATCAACAAAAGAGTTCATGTATGTGGTATGTGTGTGGGAAGGAAAGTGATATTTGGGGGTTGGGAGGTGTTACTGAGGGTACCGAGTACATATAAACAACTCTTTAGTCACTCCCAAAGGTCTGGGATGAGTGTTTTTTAACATGTGATAATCTACTAACTTACCTGGACTATGTTGACATGGAAATTCACCTTCCATTATCCACGGCTCCTCTCCCTGCTCCACTTCCTTCACCTCCACTCCATGATGATGTTTGGCTTGGTGATAATCATACCCTGTTAATGGGAAAAGAAGAAGGACTTGGGCAAGCTGCTTGGCTTCAGAATCTCCAAAGTACAAGATGTTGCCACCTCATTAGCTGCATAACAGAAGTGCTCCATTTTTTTTTACCTTATCAAAGTTAGAACCTTTCAATGAAGAATAATATAAACACTCCAGCTAGTGCCCACAAGGAATTAAATGGTGTCATCACTTATTTCTTCAAACTCAAGGATAAAACCCCATTCAACTGAGAGCATTCAGAAAGCAAGCCATCCTCACCCACAGAAACTAGATGGCTGTAGTTCTCCAACATCACATCCCCGTATGCTATCTTCTCATCAGGGTCCAGTTGCCGCCACTCCTCCTGGGTGAAATCCACAGCCACATCTTTGAATGACACTGGCCCCTGTAATGGCAACATGATCAGAATTGGGAGATATGGAAAAGGGATAGGGGGATATCATTTTACAAAGTTCACTCGTAAAGTTAACCATGAACATTGTATACCTTATTTTATGTTACAGATTATGGAAGGGAAATCATATTGGAAATCATAGAGGAAACATATATCCTTTGGGGATATATATATATAAAATATATATTACCCCACAAAAATAAAAACCCAAAACACAACTGAACTCCTATTTTGCAACTGAACTGAGTTTTGGGGATATGAGATGAGTGAAACACCATGCCTGCTCTCAGAAAGCAGACAACCTAATAAGGAGATAAACATGTAAACAAACACAAGCATTTTACTCCTTGTCACTTCTTTGCTGCCAGGCCCTCCCCTTCTCCTGGACCTCTTCATGTTGGAGTGCCCACCACTCAGTTCCTGGTCTTCTTCTTCCTAACTCACTGCTCTGGGGCTCTCACCTAGTTTCAGCTCCTTGTTCTTTTGTCTTTTTTATTCTCATAGTCAGTGGCCTCTGGCTATCTGCATGGCTGAGTTTTATCTCAAACATCTCAATCTCACAGCAATAAATATTCGTTAAATGAATGAATGCCCAAAGCTGTTATTAGAGTAATGCAGACAAGGTGCAGAATGATTTAACAAAAGAGGATCAAATTATTTTAACTTTATGCCATCAGTTAGGCTTCACAGACTCAGTTAACTTGAAGTCCTTAAAGATGAATTGTGTATTCTATGGGATGAAGGGGAAGAAGAATATGATGAGGTGTAAAAAGTACCAATGGCAAACATGAAGCAGCTTCAATTTTTAAGAGGTTGGGGCTGGGCATGGTGGCTCATGCCTATAGTCCTAGCACTTTGGGAGGCCGAGATGGGAGGATCATTTGAGCTCAGGAGTTCGAGACCAGGTTGGGCAACATAGTAAGAACCTCATCTCTACTAAAAATAAAAATTTTTTAAAAAATTGGCTGGGCATCATGGCACATGCCTGTAGTTCCAGCTACCTGGGAGGCTAAGGCAGGAGGATGGCTTGAGCCTGGGAGGTCAAGGCTGCAGTGAGCTGTGAATGCAACACTGCACTCCAGCCTAGGCAACAGAGCGAGACCTTGTCTCAAGAAAAAGAAAAGAAAAATGCAAAACTCCTGGGCTCCAGCAATCCACCTGCTTTGGCCTCCCAAAGTGTTGGGATTACAGTCTTGGGCCAGCATACCCCGCCCAAACTTGTAGTTTAGAAAAAGGAAGTGCCCAGTAAGCAAGTTACATTATCCTGTTATTTATAAAGAAGATATCAACAAGGGGTTCAAACCCAGTGATATAGCTAGGACCATGTAGATCCCAAGAGATAGCAGAGTCAGAGCCGCTAGGCTGGTGGGCTGAGAAACTAAAGCAGAACATCCAAGCTTATCCACAGGCAGGCCAAAGGAGCTGATAAAATCACCGAGAGAGAGTAATAACCTTCTAGGTTAAGTTAGTCCAAAAGGCAAGGAGGTGGAGGGGTTAGAAGATGGATCAGCCAATAAATAACATAAAATTACATGCCACTACAATACCACTTATATCAATACAAATACCCAAAATGAAACATAACCAAACAAAATCCAGTACCAGATTAAAAACATAATATACAACAGACAAATAGGACTTATTCCAATAATATAGACTAGTTTAGTATTTGGAAATCTATTAATATGATAGGCCACTATAACACAGCAAAGAAGAAAAATCTTGTATCCATGAAGATACTTGAAAAAGCTTGACAGAAAAACCTGATTTAAAAAAACTAAAGAAAACAGAAACTGATGGATGCTTCATTAACATCAATATTATGTATATATACAAATATAAATATTACACCCTAATATGCAGTAGTACATATGATATATATGTGACATATGTATTTCAATTACACACAAGCATATATATAGTTTGTGTGTATACACACACAGACACATGTACGTGCACACACACGGACACACATAAACTCTTATGCCTCAGTCTTCTTGGTCCAAAAGTCAGGATTTTACTTAACAGGGAAAAACTACATACCTTCCCACTAAGATCAAGAACAAGGTATTAATAAAATGCTCATTATCTACAACTAGAGAAGAGAAAACAATTAGAGGAATATAACTAAGGAAAAGTAAAAGTGCTCGGGCGGCCAGGCGCGGTGGCTCACGCCTGTAATCCCAGCACTTTGGGAGGCCAAGGCGGGCGGATCACAAGGTCAGGAGATCGAGACCATCCTGGCTAACATGGTGAAACCCCGTCTCTACTAAAAATACAAAACATTAGCCGGGCATGGCGGCGGGTGCCTGTGGTCCCAGCTACTCGGGAAGCTGAGGCAGGAGAATGACGTGAACCCAGGAGGCGGAGTTTGCAGTAAGCTGAGATTGTGCCACTGCACTCCAGCCTGGGCGACAAGTGAGACGCCATCTCAAAAAAAAAAAAAAAAGTGCTCGGGCACGGTGGCTCACGCCTGTAATCCCAACACTTTGGGAGGCTGAGGCGGGCAGATCACCTGAGGTCAGGAGTTTAAGACCAGCCTGGTCAACATGGTGAAACCCCATCTCTACTAAAAATCCAAAAAAAAAAAATTAGTTGTATTATTAAGGTCAACGTAATAATACAAAGATATCAGTTACCCTAAATTACTTTATAAATATACAATCCCAATAAAAATACCAAAAAGCTTTTTCCTGGAACTAGATAAGCCGACACTACAGTTCATATGAGGTGGAAGAAAATCAAAAACAGCTCAGGGAAAAAAAATATTTGGACATGGATAAAACTGGACCCAGGCCAGGTGTGGTGGCTCATGCCTGTAATCCCAGCACTCTGGAAAGCTGAGCCAGAAGGACTGCTTGAGGCCAGGAGCTTGAGACCAGCCTTGGCAACATAGCAAGACCCTGTCTCTACAAAGAAAAAAATATATATATTAGAAAAAATAGAGAGAGAGAGACATGAGGACTTCTGCCCTCAGGTGTGATAAACTAACAGGTACTGCATATACCCTCCAACCTGAAACAGCACACACCAAAGAACAACAACAAAATCAAAAACAGAAAGAAAAATAAAATGGAGAACATATATGAAGCAATGGTTTGTTTGTTTTTGTTTTTGTTTTTTATGAGACAAAGTCTCACTCTTGTCTTCCAGGCTGGAGTGCGATGGCACAATCTTGGCTCACTGCAACCTCCGTCTCCCGAGTTCCAGCGATTCACCTGCCTCAGCCTCCCAAGTAGCTGGGATTACAAGCATGCACCAGCACGCCCGGCTAATTTTTGTATTTTTAGTAGAGACGGGGTTTCACCATGTTGGCCAGGCTGGTCTTGAACTCCTGACCTCATGATCCGCCTGCCTTGGCCTCCCAAAGTGCTGTGATTACAGGTATGAGCCACCACGCCTGGGCTGAAGCAATGGCTTTCAAGGCACTGATTATCAGGCAGTAGAGTTATCTATGAGTGATGGGAAATAAACAAGGTGAACCAATCAACTTCTGCCTTGAGTGACTCCAGGCCACGGAGCAGGGAAGAAGAACAGAGGCAGATGTGAGGAGAAAGAGCTGCGAGTCGGGAAAATGGGCAGGAAACTACAACCCATAAGGAAAACAATCAGTCCATCAAAACTGGCCCAGAATTGACACAGAGTTTACAACTGGCACAGAGCACTGAGAGAGTTCATCATTCTATTCCAAATGTTCAAAAAAATTGAGACAGGCAAGATGTGAAAAAGACCCATGCTAACCTTCTACAGATAGAAACTACAATATCTGAGATGAAAATTATACTGGACAAGATGAACAGCATCGTGGAAAAAAGAGATTAGTGAATATAAAGACAGCAACAGAAGTTACATAAAATGAAACAGAGAAAGAAGAATTAAAAGCAAATAAAGAGCAACAGTATGTTGTGGGAAAATTTCAAGTGGCCTAATATACAGGCAACAAGAATCAATGGAGGGGAGGTGGTGGGTACTTGAAGAAATAATGATAAAAATGTTCCCCAAGTGATGACACCATAAACCCAAGATCCAAGAAGTTCAATGATCCCCAAAACAGAAACATGAAAAAAAGATACCATGACATATTGCAATCAAATTGTCCAAAACTAGTGATAAAAAGTTTAAAACAATAAGGGGGGAAGAAAAAAAGACATGTTATATATAGGGGAACAAACATGAGTATGAGATCAGATTTCTCTTAGAAAAAAATGTAAGCAGGAAGACAACAGAGAAACATATTTAAAGCACTGTGGAGAAAAATCCAGCAAAAACACCTTTAAAAGCAAAGACACAATGAAGACATTTGCAGACCTACAAGAATTCATCATCAACTAGAAGAAATGTTAAAGAAAGTCCTTCAGGCAGAAGTAAAATGACAGAAAATAAAAATTTAGATTTACATAAAGGAATGAAGAGTACCAGAAATGGTAACTGTGTATTTTCTCTCATTACTTAAATCTCTTTAAAAGATACCTGGGCCAAGTGTGGTGGCTCACACCTGTAATCCCAGCACTTTGGGAGGCTGAGGCAGACAGGTCACCTGAGGTCAGGAGTTCGAAACCAGCCTGGCCAACATGGCGAAACCTCATCTCTACTAAAAATACAAAAATTAGCCGGGCGTGGTGGTAGGTGTCTGTAATCCCAGCTGAGGGAGGCTGAGGCAGGAGAATCACTTGAACCCAGGAGGTAGAGGTTGCAGTGAGCCGAGATCGCACCCCTGCACTCCAGCCTGGGGGACAGAGTGAGACTCTGTCTCTAAATAAATAAATAAATAAATAAACAAATAAAAGATAACTGTTTAATTAACAACAACGTAATAGATAGTGTGTGGCACTGATACCACCTGTAAAAATGAAATGAACAACGGTGTAAAGACCAAGAGGAGAGAAATGGAAGTGTCCTATTGTAAGCTTCTCTTACTCTAAGAAAAATGGTATATTACTTAAGAATAAACTATGATAATTAAGGCTGCATACTATAAATTCTAACTCACTAAAATAATAACAGTGTGATAGCCAAAAACCCAACAAAAGATATAAAGTAGAATCATAAAAAATTCTCAACTAATCAAAAGGAAGGAAGACAAACAGAGACATTTTAAAAAGAAACAAAGAAGATGAGACTAAAAGAAAGCAAAGACAGTGGACTATAACCTAACTCGTTTTATCAATAATCACATTACATGTAAACGGTTTATACATCCCCAATTATGAGACAGAAACAGACTGATGAAAACAAGCAAGATCCAAATCTTGCTGCCTACAAGAAATAATACTTTAGATATAAAGATGCAAATAGGTTAAAAGTAAAAGGATGGAATAAGATATAGCATGCATGCATTACTCAAAAGAATGCTTCATAAATAACAAAGTACATTTCACAGCCTGGAATATTAGCAGGGATAAGGAAGGCCATTTTACAAAGTGGTTAATTAATCAACAGGACGTAATAACCTTGAACATTTATGTATCTAATATAACACATAAAGCAAAAAGTGGTAAAATTGCAAAGAGAAACAGAACCACAACTGCAGCAGATTTCAATCCCCTCTCCCCCACAATTGATACAAGTGGGCACACAATCAACAAGGATATAGTACACCTGAACAACACAACCAACCAACTTGATCTCATTAACATTTATCAAACACTCCACCCAACCAGAGCAGAACAAGCCATCTTCTCAGGCATGCACAGAATTTTCCCAAGACAGATCCTATTATGAGCCATAAATTTAAGAGGTTCCATGTAGTATTCCAGACAAAAATTCAGTCTAAATCTAATCATGAAGAAAGATCAGGGAAACCTAAATTTAAAGACTTCTATAAAATCACTGGCCTGTATTCTTCAAATATTATAATGGCACTGAGGAACAAATCCATATTAAACAGACTTAAAAAGCATGAAAACTAAAGGCAATTAACAGTCCTAGACTGAATCTTCTACCAAAAATTAAAAATTGCTATAAGGGAAATTATTGGGAAATTGGCCAAACTGGAAAATGAACTACAGATAAAAGTATTAAATCAATGATAAATTTCCTGAATTCAATTACTGTGCTATGGATATTTAACAGAATGTTCTTGATTTTATGAGATATAATCTAAAACTTTATAGGGTAAAGAGGCATGACATACCCACTCTCAAATAGTTCAGAAAATATATATAGACACATATGTATATATGCATATAAATGATTAATGTGGGAAAATGTTAAGAATGAAGTGTCTGAACAAAAGGAAGTGTCTGGGATTTCTTTGTAAAATCCTTGCAATTTTTCTGAAAATTTGAAATGATTTCAAAATAAAATGCTAAATAGAAAATAATGCTATCAAATATATATTATATGTATACATTTGCTATCAAATATATCAAATATATTTCAAAAGGACTCAGAAACCAACTTAAAGGGATTCCGTCTGGCCAAAGATGGAACCACTTAATTTTCAAAAAGAATCACAACTTCTATGTACTGAAATATTTACTATCTGTTTAAACCCATGAGCTCATGATGGTAACAAAACAAAAAAACCTTCCTGCTTAGAAGCCTACTCAATATTATAGAAACTGTCTTTCCTGCATGAATTACATAAACAAATAAAGAATAGAAATTTATCTTTAGAAAAGTATTCTAGGCCAGCTGTGGTGGCTCATGCCTATTATCCCAACACTGGGAGGTCAAAGAAGAGGATCACTTGAGCCCAGTTCAAGACCAGCCTGGGCAACAAAGAGAAACCTGTCTCTACTAAAAATTAAAAAATCAGCTGGGCATTGTGGCATATGACTATACTCCCAGCTACTTGGGAGGCTGAAGTGGGAGGATCACTTGAGCACAGGAGTTTGAGGCTGCAGTGAGCCATAAATGCGCCAGCCTGGGCGACAGAGTGAGACTCTGTCTCCAAAAAGAGAAAAGAAAAGAAACGTATTTTGGCTAGTAAATAAAGAATAAATGGTAGAATTAGCAGATCACCATTTTGCCTCCCCTAATGAACTAGTAAATCACAGCAATAATCAACAGTCAATAGTTCTTAACTTCACAAAAACAAAGAAGGTAACACGTGCCTCCAGAAGTAGACAAATGCCACATATGGTATAGTTGTGTGAAAAGAACTGAACATAAACTTGATTAGACTTCTAGATCAAACTACCAATTTTACAAGGCATATGAGATATTTTTTAAAAATTTGCTAAAGGTGAAACAAGGGTAACACAATCCAAACTGAGGATAACCAACACAGTTTCTTCAAAACAATGAGCACGCAAGAGACATACTATGGGAACTATTAAAAGATTTAACGCAACTGCCACATGTATTAAGAGAGTATTATGGGTTATTCCTAGCCCCTTTAAAAAAATTCTTTATTGGCCACGTGTGGTGGCTTACACCTGTAATCCTAGCACTTTGGGAGGCCAAAGTGAAAGGATAACTTGAGGCCAGGAGTTTGAGACCAGCCTGAGCAATACAGTGAGAATACATCTCTAGGCCAGGAGCAGTGGCTCACGCCTGTAATCCTAGCACTTTGGGAGGCCGAGGCAGGCAGACTGCCTGAGCTCAGGAGTTCGACACCAGCCTGTGTGACACAGTGAAAGCCAGTCTCTACTAAAATACAAAAAAAATTAGCCAGGTGTGGCAGCGTGCATCTGTAGTCCCAGCTACGTGGGAGGCTGAGGCAGGAGGATCGCATGAGCCCAGGAGATTGAGGCTGCAGTGAGTTTTGATCACATCTACACTCCAGCCTGGATGACACAGCAAGACCCTATCTCAAAAAAAGAAAAAAAGAAACAAAACAAAAGACTTCACCATTTAAAGACAAACAGAAATACTTACAGATGAATCTTTTTAAGAGCCAAGAAAAGAGAGACTCCATGGAGAAAATATCAGTTTCGAAGTAACGGATGTCAAAGGCAGACAAAGGGTCCTGTGAGGAAGGGGCTAGGAATTGCCCGCTGGATTTGACTGCAATTAAATCACTGGTCATCTTTACTGACTGACTCAGCAAAGTGAAAAGGACAAAACGAAAACACTGAGAACTGAAATGAGAAACAGAAATGAGGAAATCTTCACAAGAGAGTAACTGTTTGTATTGTTTGCTGTGCAACCCAAACAAAAAGACGAACAAATATCTGAAGGATGATCATGTCATTCATTCCCCCCATGATCTAGGACTCAACAGTAAAAACAGAATTCTGTTTACTTGGATCACGATATTTCCGTCCCTGGAAAAATTATATGCACCAAGTTCTCCTTGGGCAGCAGGCCCTCTGCTTACATAAGCACCAAGAATAAGCCATAAGTCAGTAATTTAATGGTTGTTGTTAGGAAAGCTATCCACAATTATATCAACTTGAATGAAGAAATTTTTCCAAGTCCTAGAAAATCTTTTAAATCCACAAGTAACAAAATTGGTTTCTCCTTATAATCAATGCAAATCATGTCATGGATGGTGATATGGTTTCAGTTTGTGTCGCCTCCCAAATCTCATATTCAATTGTAATCCCCAATGTTGGAGGTGGGACCTGGTGGGAGGTGATTGGATCATGGGGACAATTTCCCTTTTGGTGCTGATACTGAGTGAGTTATCACAAGATGTGGTTGTTTAAAAGTGTGTAGCGCCTCCCCCTCCTTCTTCCTTCTCCTCTGGTGATGAAGATGTACCCGCTTTTCCTTCGCCTTCCACCATGACTGTAAGTTTCCTGAGGCCTCCCCAGCCATGCTTCCCATGATAGAGCCTGCAGGTGTGAGCCAATTAAACCTCTTTTCTTTATAAATTACCCAGTCTTGGTTATTTCTCTATAGCAGTGTGAGAATGGACTAATACAGATGGCATTTTCCTTTTGTGATGACTGCCAAGAATGTCAGTCCTGGGTGCGGCTCAATTTCAACAGCCTTAAAATATACTACCCATACATACAAGCTTCACAAATCATTTTTGGTGCTGATCTGCCACACTAACTATATTTTACAGGATAATGTCTATTTCCACATTCCCATTTTAAAGTATGAATCCTGGCTGGGCGTGGTGGCTCATGCCTGTAATCCCAGAACTTTGGGAGGCTGAGGTGGGAGGATCACCTGAGGTCAGGAGTTTGAGACCAGCCTGGCCAACACGGTGAAACCCCGTCTCTTCTAAAAATACAAAAAATTGGCTGCGCACGGTGGCTCACGCCTGTAATCCCAGCACTTTGGGAGGCCGAGGCGGGTGGATCACAAGGTCAGCAGATCAAGACCACGATGAAACCCCGTCTCTACTAAAAATACAAAAAAAAAAAAAATTAGCCAGGCGCAGTGGCGGGCACCTATAGTCCCAGCTGCTCAGGAGGCTGAGGCAGGAGAATGGCGTGAACCCAGGAGGCGGAGCTTGCAGTGAGCCGAGATCACGCCACTGCACTCCAGCCTGGGCAACAGAGTGAGACTCCGTCTCAAAAAAAAAAAAAAATTAGCTGGGCATGGTGGCGCATGCCTGTAATCCCAGCTACTCTGGAGGCTGAGACCGGAGAATCGCTTGAACCCAGGAGGTGGAGGTGGCAGTGAAGCAAGATCATGCCACTGCACTGCAGGCTGGGCAATAGAGCAAGACTGCATCTCAAGAAAAAAAAAAAAAGTATGAATCCTTACAAGCCTCTTAAAATGCATCATAAAATAAAGTTGAGGAACATATATACAAGCAGGAAAACTCACCTGCAATGTGTTCATTTCCTGTTGCTCTTGGAAACATGCAGAGACTGTGGCTGATAGACCTAGAGGGGCAGAAGCAGGTCACTGAAGTCATGAGGGCTCCGGCCTGCAAAGGCAGAAATCTCCTGCATTACGAACCACAAAAGAAAGCTCAAATAGGTTAACACCCTGTGAACACTCAGCTGCAAACACTCAGAAGGGCCTAAAAGAGTGATACAGGGTTTCACCACATTGGCCAGGCTGGTCTCGAATTCTGGCCTCAAGTGATCCACCTGCCTCGGGCCAACATGGCAAAACCCCGTCTCTACTTAAAAATAGCAAAAAAATTAGCCAGGCATAGTGTCACATGCCTGTAGTCCCAGCTACTCAGGAGGCTGAGGCACAAGAATCATTTGAATCTGGGAGGTGGAGGTTGCAGTGAGCGGAGACCACGCTGTTGCACTCCAGACTGGGTGAGAGATACTGTCTCAAAAAAAAAAAAAAAAAAAAAAAAAAGTGATAGGGGAAGCATGCACTTGTAACTTTGTAACTCTAAGATAATCAGATAGTAATTAGGTGAGTTAAGACTCTCATGGGTAACATGGTCTGCCATCAAGTACAACGTGCAAAAAGAAAAAAATTTCCCATTATACAGCTCATGATTTTTGTGGTTTGTTTGCTGAGACAGGGTCTCAATCTGCCACCCAGGCTGGAGTGCAGTGGTGCATTCACGGCTCTCTGCAGCCTCGACCTCCTGGGCTCCATCCATCCTCCCACTTCAGCCTCCTGAGTAGTTAGGACCACAGGTGCATCCCAGCATGCCTGGCTGCTTTTGTATTTTTTGTAGAGTCAGGGTCTCCCTATGTTGCCTAGGCTGGTCTCTAACTCCTGGTCTCAAGGGATACTCCTGCTCTAGGCCCGCAAAGTGCTGGGATTACAGGTATGAGCCACTGCATCCGGCCCGCGTTTTCTTATTGTCTCTCTAAACTGCTTAAAATCAAAGAAGCCATAGGAATTGAATATGTGAGCTCTCAGAAATGAAATGAATGTGTATAAAATATGGTTTTGTTTCTAAATTATCTAACTGAACTTGGTTATTGCTGCACCTAATAATCTTCTATTAAGAAAACTAGGATACGGGAGAAAGAGCACTGGCCTGGGAGATAAGACTCCTGAGTTCTACTATGAGTAATTCCATCCACAAAGCCAGTGACCTGGTCAAGTCACCCACCTGCTAAGGCCCAGTCTCTTCCCCTAGCAACTGAGGCAGCAGGAGAGAATCCCTGCAGGCTGTTCCTGCATTACTACGATTCTCCCAGGGCAGATCTAAGGGGCGAATCAGCAGACACTTAAATGAGAGAACAGAGGTGCTGAGGGACGTTTAGAGGCGGTCGAAATCTGGAGCACGGAGAGGAGGAGGAAGGGCTGTTAGGGGTTAGCGGGGAGTGGAGACGACGTCCGCAGCTGAGGGTGGTGACACCCTCCACGCCCCCGTAAGCCTCGTCCTCCCAGATCTTCCCATGCAGCGCCTGTTCCGTGCAGCCGGACCCTGCCCTCGAACCCAAACACACGTCTCTCCTGCAAGCGATCGGGACCCTCCCCCTGCCCCACACTCAAAGGTCCCCAACACACGGTGACTTCACCCAGGCCCTTCTCGCTCTGGGCCCGAAAATCCCAGACTTACCCTCCTGGGGCTCCGCAGCCTCTGCCCCCCGGCTCCCGAGAGGCCGGGGCGGGGCTGCTGTCGCTGGCGCGCGCGTCTGCTCGCGAGGTCCCCTCCTGTCCACCTCACCAAGGCTGTTCTGCTCCCGAGGGGCCCGGGCCGGGCCTACGGGGCAAATCCAGGCGGGTGTCCTTCTGGGGGCCCAGATCCGCCTCCCTGGGGCTCACCATACAGCGACGGCCTAGTCTAGGCCGCCAAGGACACATACGGGCCAGGCCCGGGTCCCGCCGCCCCTTCGCCTCCGCCGCCACTTCGCCTCCGCCGCCACCTCAGCCGACTCCCTCCCGGCCCCTCTGGCCCCAGCGCCGCCGACTCCGGGGCTCACGCTCCGGGGTCCCCGCTTGAGCCTCCACCCGGCCCGCGCGAACCCTGGTCTGCACAGCTCCGCGTCCGCCTAGGTGCTGGCCCGGGCGGTCAGCATCCAGCCCCGCAGGCTATGCGATGCTCGTCCACTGCAGGCCAAACCCTAGGAACGAGAGCAAGCGGCGACCTGAAGACTCACAGGAAGCGAGGGCAGTGCGGCGGCAGCGCGCATGCCCGAACACGCACGCCGGGAGAGGTGCACACGCGCAGGAGTGCACCGGAAGTCCGCCTCCCAGGGCCCACTGCTGGTCTCCGGACAAGTACTGGACTCTATTTCCCATGAGCCTATGCGCCTCACAAGTTTAGGGGCGGTTTTAAATGTCTCTACCCCGCCTAGAGGATAAGAAACTCCAGGCTATGAGCTTTGGCAGCCCTGAACACCGGACTGAACTTCACGTTTGTCTTTACTCCCTTTTAGTCCAGGGCTGCCTTACTGGGTCCTGGAGCCCAAGTCCTCTGGGTTAGAACCGAGTTTCCCATAAGGAGAAGGAAAGGAAAGGGTGTCTCTTGGTCACTGCGCTGAAATGCTAAGAGAAGTTTCACTCAAATACTAGGACAGGATAAATGCCCAGCGATGCTTTCCAAGGAACAAAAAGAAAAAAGAACTTGTAGCCGGGCGCGGTGGCTCACGCCTGTAATCCCAGCACTTTGGGAGGCCGAGGCGGGCGGATTGCGAGGTCAAGAGATAGAGACCATCCTGGCCAACATGATGAAACCCTGTCTCTACTAAAAATACAAAATTTAGCTGGGCTAAATTCGAGTTCTCTCGAATTCCACTTTTGCTCAGTTTTTCTTTGTCAGCACTCATTGTCAGGAGTGTTTAAGTGCTGTACCTGGATCCACTCACCTCAGCCTCCCATGTTGCTGGGACTACAGGTGTGCACCACCACACCTGGCTATTTATTATTATTATTTTTTGTAGAGATGGGGTCTCCCTATGTTGCCCAGAGTGGTCTTGAACTCCTGGACTCAAGTGATCCACTCACCTGAGCCTCCCAAAGTGCTGAGATTATAGGTGTGAGCCACTGTGCCCGGCCAACTACTGTTCTTTTTAAATTACCAGGTCTCAGGTACTGTTAAAGCAGTACAAATGAACTAAGAAACTGACTGTAGTAAAAATACATTAAACTTGGTTATTTTATTTTTTATTTATTTATTTTTATTATTATCATTTTTTTGATATGGAGTCTCACTCTCTCACCCAGGCTGGAGTGCAGTGGCGCGATCTCAGTTCACTGCAACCTCCACCGCCTGGGTTGAAGCAGTTCTTCTTCTGTCTCAGCCTCCCGAGTAGCTGGGTTTACAGGCGCCCACCACCACGCCCAGCTAATTTTTGTATTTTTAGTAGAGACGGGGTTTCGCCATGTTGGCCAGGCTGGTCTTGAACTCCTGACCTCAGGTGATCCGCCCACCTCGGCCTCCCAAAGTGCTGAGATTACAGGCGTGAGCCACTGCACCCATCCTAAAGTTGGTTATTTTATTTATTTATTTATTTATTTATTTATTTATTTTGAGACAGAGTTTCGTTCTTGTTGCCCAGGTTGGAGTGCAATGGCGCGTTCTTGGCTCATAGCAACCTCTGCCTCCCGGGTTCAAGCAATTCTCCTGCCTCAGCCTTCCGAGTAGCTGGTATTACAGGCATGCGCCACCACGCCCGGCTAATTTTGTATTTTTAGTGGGGGGGTGGGGTGGTTTCTCCATGTTAGGCTGGTCTTGAACTCCTGACCTCAGGTGATCCACCTGCCTCGGCCTTCCGAAGTGCTGGGATTACAGGCGTGAGCCACCGTGCCTGGCCTCAGTTATTTTAAATAGAGAAAATCCTCAAGGCTCCATTATGGACCCTTTTCTTTTCTTGTACTCTTTCCTTCTGTTATGGCTTTAGGTACGATTCAATTCCCATGACCTCTGACTTCTCTGAGTTAAACTTTGCATCTTCATGGGAATGTTTCAAAGGCAACTCAGCTGAGGCCAGGTGTGGTAGCTCACACCTATAATTCCAGCACTTTGGGAGGCAGAGGCAGGATGATTGCTTGAGGCCAGGATCTGGAGGCTGCAGTGAGTTATGACTGGGCCACTGCACTCCGGCCTGTGTGACAGCGCAAAATCTCCTGTCCCGGACTTTTTTTTTTTAAAAAAAAAAAGGCAATTCAGACCGGATGCCGTGGCTCACGCCTGTGATCCCAGCACTTTGGGAGGCTGAGGTGGGACGATCACTTGAGGTCAGGAATTCGAAACCAGCCTGGCCAACATGGTGAAACCTGGTCTCTACTAAAAATACAAAAAGTTAGCCGGGTGTGGTGTCGGGCGCTTGTAATCCCAGCTCCTTGGGAGGCTGAGGCAGGAGAATTGCTTGAACCCTGGAGGTGGAGGTTGCAGTGAGCTGAGATTGTGCCACTGTACTCCAGCCTGGGCAACAGAGTGTAGATTCTGTCTCAAAAAAAAAAAAAAAAAAGCAATTCAGCTCAAAACATAGTATCATAATATCTATGCTGAGCCTGGCCTTCTTCCAGGTAGATGGCACCACTAATTTCACAATCCAGAAACCCAGGACCCCTCCCTAAAAGCTCCTTCCCTAGCCCCCTTCTATGTAACCCAACTCCTGTCTGTCCATGTCCATTTTACCTGCCATGTGTCTCTCTGGCCTGCCATTTCTCCTGTCTCTCCTGCTACTATCCTGTCTCACATGCCATCACCCTTTGCCTGGACTATGACAATAACTTCCTTGTCGGTTTCCCCTGTCTACTCCAGCTCCACGCCACTCTGTCCTCCATACTGCAACCAGAATGGTCTTTTCAGAATGCAAATCTCATCATGTCACCCCTTTGCCTAAAGCCAATCAACCGCTTTCCCTTGTCTGCACAATTGAATAGACCTTTTATTTTTTATTTTTTTGAGAGGGAGGCTTGCTCTGTTGCCCAGGTTGGAGTGCAGTGGCGTGATCTTGGCTCGCTGCAACCTCTGCCTCCCAGGTTCAAGCGATTCTCGTGCCTCAGCTTCCCGAGTAGCTGGGATTACAGGCGCATGTCGCCACACCCAGCTAATTTTTGTATTTTTAGTAGAGATGGGGTTTCACCACGTTGGCCAGGCCGGTCTCGAACTCCTGACCTCGAGTGATCCTCCGCCTTGGCCTCCCAAAGTGCTGGGATTACAGGCATGAGCCACTGTGCCCAGCCTAGTAGAGCTTTTAAAGGACAGTTCAAGATGGTTTTTTTTTTTTTTTTGAGACAATGTCTGACTCTGTCGCCCAGGCTGGAGTGTGCAGTGGCACCATCATAGCTCACTGCAACCTCTGCCTCCCGGGCTCAAGCAATCCTCCTGCCTCAGTCTCCCAAGTAGCTGTGACTACAGGCATGTGCCACCACACCCAGCTAGTTTTTTGTATTTTTTGTAGAGATAGGGTTTCTTCATGTTGCCCAGGCTGGTCTTGAATTCTTGGACTCAAGTGATCCACCTGCTTGGGCCTCCTAAAGTGCTGGGATTACAGGCATGAGTCATTGCGCCCGGCCTATGCTTTAAATGGAGCAGGCTCACTTTGGCATTCTGTCACTGGGAGCAGAAAAGCCCAGCTGCAGGCAAGTGTCCCCGTCTTTGGTATTTATCCAGATCACCTTCCCACTGAGCAAGGTGATCCCACTGGTTCTTTGATCTCCTTAGTTAGAGATGCTAGCTTCTGATTACCTGCCTCATTCTCTCCTTATGTGATGAGTCATTTGGGCCAATTCTCCTGCTTACCAAGCCCAGCCTTTCCCAATCTGTGTCTCCCCTGTAGGTCCCCTGGCTTAACACACTGTATTAGGTTGCAGCGTGCTGTGGAAAGGTCGCTCTGCAGCCCAGCCCGGCTCTGTTAGCTCCCTCTGTAAATCCTCTGGTAGCTGTGACTGGTTTGCTCTGAATCCCTTTGACCAGTAGCTTCTGTCTCTGAGCAGAATTGGTCACATCTCATTTTAAGGTAATAGGTTAATTTGCATCGCAAGGGTGCAGAGGGAGGAGCCACAGCCTGAACCCCCAGATTTTATGACACCTGATCTATATGATAAGTTTTTTTTTTTTTTTAAATATTATGTTTTTTTAGACAGGGTCTCTGTCATCCAGGTTGGAGTGCAGTAGCGCAGTCATGGCTTACCGCAGCCTCGACCTCTCCAGGGGCTCACATGATTCTCCCATCTCGCCCTCCCTAGAAGCTGGGGGTACAGGTGCACACCACCATGCCCAGCTATTTTTTTTTTTTTTTGTATTTTTTATAGAGACAGGGTTTTGCCATGTTGCCCGGGCTGGTCTCAAATGCCTTGGCCTCCCAAAGTGCTGGGATTACAGGCATGAATCACCATGCCCAGCCTAAATGGCAGTGTTAACCACTTCGGGACTTTTTTTTTTTTTTTTTTTTGAGACCGAGTTTTGCTCTTGTTGCCCAGACTGGAATGCAGTGGCGTGATCTCGGCTTACCACAACCTCCGCCTCCTGGGTTCAAGTGATTCTCCTGCCTCAGCCTCCCGAGTAGCTGGGACTACAGACATATGTCACCACACTTGGCTAATTTTGTATTTTTAGTAGAGATGGGGGTTTCTCCATGTTGGTTAGGCTGGTCTTGAACTCCCGACCTCAGGTGATCTGCCCGCATCGGTCTCCCAAACTGCTGGGATTACAGGTGTGAGCCACAGTCCTTGGCCCACTTCGGGACTTTCTATTTGATCATTCCCATGGACAGGAGAGCGTACAGGGAGGATGGAACATGTTTAAGAAGTGCAAACAAATGTCTTTTTTTTTTTTTCAAGAGACAGGGTCTTGCTCTGTTGCCCAGGGTGGAGTGCAATGGCGTGATCACTGCAGCCTCAACCTCCTGGGCTGAACTGAGCCTCCTGACTCAGCCTCCCAAGTAGCTGGGACTACAGGCATATGCTACCATTCCCAGTTAATTTTGTTGTAGACGGGGTCTTGCTGTGTTGCCCAGGTTGCTCTCAAACTCCTGCACTCAAGTGATCCTCCCACTGCAGCCTCCCAAATTGCTGGGATTACAGGCATGAGCCACCATGCCCAATATCAAACTAATATTTCTTTTTTTTTTTTCCTTTTTGTGGAGAACAGCTTCTCACTATATTTTCCAGGCAGGTCTCTTAACTCCTGGGCTCAAGCTATCCTCCTGCCTCTGCCTCCCTAAGAGCTGGGATTACTGGTGTGAGCCACCACACCCGGCTCAAAACTAATATTTCTAAGATATATTCCCAGAGGTGTGGGGCTAAGTGGATTCCATGAACCCCAGGATACAAATGCAGGCTTCTCACTGGAGCCTATACCTCAGAGCCACGCTGGCTGGTCAATCACCACCACGCTCCATTGCCAGGCGGAAATATTTATTTGAAAAATTGAAAACACAGATGCAATGTATTATACAAAGAAAGGTCTTAATACCATAATAAAAGTATTGTTGGAGGGAAACAGAAGCCAGTGGCCACCTGCCCTGGGAAGGTAGGCACTCAGTGAAAAATGAAATTCATTTCAAGGAACTACCCTAATGGAAACCCAGGGGAAAGGTTAAAAACAGAAGAAAAACAAACCCAACCCTATCCCTGCAAACTGAAATGTGAAAGAGTCTGTTATAAGTTTGAGACAACTGCATTATCACCAAGATGTAACCGAACCCCCTCGGTTTGTCCCTATGAGTGGTAATCAGTTTCATTTAGGGCCTTCAAACCTGAGGTAGTTGAGGGTCACCTGAAAGACATGTCTGGAAAAATCTACTCTCAGAATCGAACCCAACAGCATTGAATTGTTTCCTGTTGCTTTGGCTCCTGACAACACCACGGTGTGGTGCTGATCTTGTATTTGGTCTGGACCTGGGAGAGGAAGGAATTTGGCAGCAAACAGCTGGCTGGTTTGCTGCGCCGATGGCTGGCAGGTCCGTGGTGGTGGTTTTCTATGCTACAGGTGGTGCAGTCTCTGGAGGACAAGGATGGCAGAGAGAGGGCAAAGCCAGTTTGCTTGGAAAGCCAATGTTGGAACTGGAGGCTTTCCCTGGCAGGATTTCCAGAGATTTGGAAAGGTGGTAGAAGGTAGCAAGATGCTGACCGGTTATTAAAGACCAGGGTCAAATGGAGCCAGGAGACCCC
Source organism: Homo sapiens (assembly GCF_000001405.40). NCBI lineage: Eukaryota > Metazoa > Chordata > Mammalia > Primates > Hominidae > Homo > Homo sapiens. The sequence goes on from NC_000007.14 coordinate 75,534,071, forward strand.
TCTAGACTAAGGAGCTAAGAGGGAACTTCCAGCTGCAAGCTGAGAACTAGCTCCTGCACAGGGTCGAGGGGCCAAAGCCAACTAATCTGACCGGAGCGACATGTACCTGTGATTCCCGTGTTACCTGGTGGCATAAACCTTGGTGTCTGACTTGGTAGCTGGGACAGTTCCAAGAAAAGTTGCTCTAGACAGTGGTTCTTCCAGCCACTGGGTTAGAGGGACCCGTATTCTGGTGGGATTTTAGGGGTACTGCTATGGACGGCTGCATCAGCAGACAATCTAAACTAGTCTCATTTAAACTCCTTGCTCAGATATAAAATAACCCTGCCAAGATGGCTCTTCTCTTCTATTTCTTTCTCTCTCTCTCTCTTTTTTTTTTTTGAGATGGAGTCTCACTCTGTGACCCAGGCTGGAGTGCAGTGGTGCGATCTTGGCTCACTACAACCTCTGTCCCCCGGGTTCAAGTGATTCTCCTGCCTCAGCCTCCCCAGTAGCTGGGATTATAGGCGCCTGCCACCATGCCCGGCTAATTTTTGTATTTTTAGTAGAGACGGGGTTTCACCATGTTGGCCAGGCTAGTCTTGAACTCCTGACCTCAGGTGATCCACCCGCCCCTGCCTCCCAAAGTGCTGGGATTAAACGTGTGAGACACCATGTCTGGCCTCTTTCTCTTATGTAAACAAACATCTTTTCTCTAGAGGTCTCAGGGCACTGTCTTACAAACTTAAGTAACAGATGCAGCTGTTTTTTAACTTCTTGTCGATCCTAAGCCATGATTTTGTTGCTGTCCCATCTTGTCATGACCCATTTACGCTCACCCGAGACTTGTCACTAGTGATGCTCAGTGACTCATTTAGAAGGCTTGCAGGTTCATTTTTAGCTTTAAGATGTGATTCCCGTTTTAATCCAAGGTGTGTCATTAAATAGCTCTTCATCTTCATTTTTAGAAGAGTCACAATAGGACAATTTGATTTTGTCTAGAGAATGGGGTAGCCATTCTAATCTGAGCTATTACGAAAGTAATTATGTGACATCTGACAGCTACTTCCTCATGTGACACTGAATTAGCCTCTGCTTCTGTTTAAGTGCTTTCTTAACCGTTATGACTCAGGCTAAGTCGATGAAGTTTTTAAACATTTCTGTGGCTTCTTTTTAGAGACAGGATCATTCAGATAATTTTTTGTTTGTTTTTAAAGAGATGGAGTCTCGCTCTGTCACTCAGGCTGGAGTGCAGTGGGAAATCATGGCTCATTGCAGCCTCAAACTCCTGGGCTGGGCTCTGACACAGAATCTTTTTTTTTTTGAGACAGGGTCTCACTCTGTCACCCAGGCCGGAGTGCACTGGCACAATCAGGGCTGACTGCAGCCTCGACTTCCCAAGCTCAAGCAATTCTCCCACCTTAGCTCCCCAACTAGCTGAGACTACAGGCATGCACCATCATGCCCGGCTAATTTTGTTTTTGAATTTTAGTAGAGATGAGGTCTTGCTATGATGCCCAGCCTGGTCTCAAACTCCTGAGCTCAAGCAATCATCCCGTCTTGGCCTCCCAAAGTTCTGGGATTACAGGCATGCGCCACTGTGCCCGGCTGGGCAGAGAATCTTAATTTGATCCATTACACTAGACTGTTTGCCCCATTTGTAATTTTTTTTTTTTTTTGAGACGGAGTTTTGCTCTTGTTGCCCAGGCTGGAGTACAATGGCGTGATCTCAGCTCACTGCAACCTCTGCCTCTGGGGTTCAGGTGATTCTCCTGTCTCAGCCTCCTGAGTAGCTGGGATTACGGGCACCCGTCACTACGCTCGGCTAATTTTTGGTATTTTTAGTAGAGATGGGGGTTTCACCATGTTGGACAGGCTGGTCTTGAACTCCTGACCTCAGGTGATCCTACCACCTCAGCCTCTCAAAGTGCTGGGATTACAGGCGTGAGCCACTGTGCCCGGCCACCCCTTGGTAATTGGGAACATATGAGTTAGAATGGCTGAGATCTAGAAGTGAGGACTAGCCACTTTTGGAAATGTTGACCCGCATCAAGAACACACCGATTGGTTTAGTTGCCACAACTGGGACAGGGAAGCCACGCACCATTCCTTCTGAGCCTTGAATCAAAAAAATACTAAGCAGAAAGCAGCATTCAACATTAAGACTGCCCAATTTCTAGTGCTGATACTTCCTTAGCCCAGTATGGAGGTCACACGTCTGAGTATGGTCATCCGAGGTCCTGGGAGAGAGTTTTTTGAATGTCCCACTTAGAAAATGCACAGAGAGGGAGTTGGGGAGGGGGGTGGGCTAGGGAGATGGGGGTTGGTTCACAGTGATCAAACAGAAGTCTCACAACCCGTCATGTAGCAAAACCTAGCAATATTCTGTTGGAGCAGATCCTGGGAAGTGCTTGATGGCTACCACCAATGAGTTGCTATAGATAAAGAAGGAAGACGCTGTTTTTCCAAGATCAGAAGGTCACTTAAATGCTGGGGTCCATCTAGAAGAGGAAAAGTGCTGTTGGGCTGCCCATCCCTGGCAAGCTGTTCATGTGCCCTCTGTCCTCATCCTGTCCACAGGGCAGCGAGAGCCTGGGGCATGTGGCTGAAAGGAGTTGGAGCCGCTGGCTCTGTCCTTTCTCATTTTCTCTGACCCAAGAGCTCCAAATGATCTCCTTGCTTTGGGATCCAAGTCAGTAACAGTCCAGCACCTTGGCCTTTCTTCTGATTCTTGAAGGCTGATGTAGCCGGGCAGAAAGATGAGCCTTGCTAGAGTCACACCTGAAGTTCTGATTGCTCCAAGCATCTCTTTGTAGGCTGTTGCTGCTTAAGGGAGGTTAGTAATAAATACTAAGGGTAGCAAACCAAGTATAGGGTTCTTCCCTGATGGGAGCAATTGCATCTGATCTTCCGGGTTTGTCAATTGCGTAGAAGGTGGAACGATCTTCCTATTCAAGAGGATGCCAAGGCAGACGTCTGCAGAAAGGAGTTGGGAATCACTCCCACACTCCGTCTCTGGGCCAAGGGAGACGGCCCGCTTGACAGAGACCATTCACGGACAGTTCATTCCGGCAGGGAAGTAGTGTTGTTGATCTCACCAGCTCCATTCAAGCATGTGATCAAGTTTTTGAGCCTCGTCACGGGAACTGGGCTGTGTGAACCCTCTTGTCCCTCTTTCTGTTGTCTTCTCCCTTGTAAAGGCGGACAGAGGCTTTCCGCCGGGATTCAGCTTTAGGAGGGAAAGGCACTCACTCTCCTTCTGCTTTTTGAGGAAAGCTGTCACTCAGCAGCTCCGCCTGACCCTGGAGCATGGACTGGGTGGGCCAGCACTTGGTCAGTGTGGAGGCGGAGATGGAGCACCGAGAGGCCTGGGCAGCACCATCGCTGGAGCTACCACAGTTGGGGGGCCCTGGAGACTCAGCCCCAGGGGTGTGCCCTTTGGGAGAGTTGGCTATGTGAGTGAAACTTAAAAAAAAAAACAAAACCAAAAAACCCAACCAACCACCATAAGAAGCAGTGGAAATCCATGGCACTGCCCAAAGAGGGGGAGAATGGCTTTGGCATTCACAGCCAGGACACTCCTGCCGTCCTTCTGACTGTGCAGATCTCAGGGTAGTGTCCTGGTTTGGAATCCATCAGCCCTCTGATGCTCACAAGTTTGTGCAAATGATGAAACTGAAAAGACTGAGAAGAAAACAGAAAAGAAAAGGCATAAGATCTTCCCTTTCCAAGCTGTCAACAAACAACAAGCAGCTCCTCTATTAAGGATACCCATTGTTGTGGGGGTCAAATAGTCAGCAGGACTGGATGTTGGTCCTCTCTGTTGAGTGGCCCTGCCCCCCACCACCCCTCTTCGTACCTAGGCTTGCTCATGGGCAGCACTGGCCAGCCTGGATGCTAACTAGGGAGGCGGGAAAAGAACAGAGATGACCATGGGTCCAAACAGAAAGGGTGTCGCTATGGAGGGAGTCTTTGGAAGTGTCATGCATGTCCTCGGCACTGGGTAATGGCAGTGGTGTGGCTGCCCCTGGGACTCCAAGGATTTGGCCTGTGGCTGGGGAAATAACACACACGAGATAGGTAACAAGGATTTACACTGACATATGGGGTGTTGGTTTGGCTCTATTCTTTTTCGGTTACCACTTCTTGCAGTGTAGGTGGAGATGCCTCTGTTCCTAAAAGACAATGATAATTTATGTTGCAAAGCACTCATGAATGCATTCATTCACTTAACCAACAAAACCTGCCACCATGGGGGCTCAAAAATACATTATAATTATAACCATGGTGTAATCACATAGTCCCCAAGTTTCGTGTCTAGGAATGACTAGGATCTGTCTATGGTTGGTGCCCAGAGTCAGTCAAGTCCACTAAGAGTGAACAGTCTTGGCTGTGATCAAGTTGACTGCTTTCGACATGCAGACAACAACATATAGACTCGAGGTGATGGATGGCAAGTCTCTGGGCTGGCAGCCTGAATGTGACTCCATGCCACTCCATTTCTCAGCACCTGATCCCTTCTTTTTTTTTTTTTTTTTTTTTTGAGATGGAGTCTCGCTCTGTTGCCCAGGCTGGAGTGCAGTGGCGCGATCTCGGCTCACTGCAAGCTCCGCCTCCCGGGTTCACGCCATTCTCCTGCCTCAGCCTCCTGAGTAGCTGGGACTACAGGCGCCCACCACCACGCCAGGCTAATTTTTTGTATTTTTAGTAGAGACGGGGTTTCACCGTGTTAGCCAGGATGGTCTCGATCTCCTGACCTCGTGATCCGCCCGCCTCGGCCTCCCAAAGTGCTGGGATTATAGGCGTGAGCCACCACGCCCGGCCTAGCACCTGATCCCTTCTGTCTTTTGGCAATTGTTGCCCTTCACTGGCTCTAGATAGACAGAACCTTGTAATTCACTTGTCCCTGTCTGCCAGATCTCGACTGACCACTATTTATTCATTTTTCAACTCTCTGCTGGCCAGAAACTAAATTCCCAGGGAGTTGGCAAGGCTAGCTGGGCCTGGGAGGGAATGGCAGTGAGTGAGTTATGATCAATGTTTAGGTCTTAAAAGGTGACAACAAAAGCTTTCAAATCACCATAACTTCACCCAAAGTTAGGCTTAAAGGTTATTTACAACGGAAGAGAAAACAGGTTCCATGAGGAGAGAAGAGAAGGAAGAAGCCACCGATCTGGTGGGTTCCTTGTTCTGTTCCATTCTAGGGGAAGGCCCTGGCCACACAGCTTCCCCTCCCTGCTGCGGGTTAGTGCCCATCCTTGGAGTCAGCTTACCTTCTTCCCAGCCCTCAGCAACACCAGCAAGCTCGTAGTGCTTTTTCCGAAGCTCTCCCAGTTTTTGACGCTCCTTCTGCAATTCATTTTCTAGCTCTAGCACCCTAACCTGTAAGGGAAATTAAGTGGGATTTTCTCTTAATCATCTCTCAGAGATTTAATTTTTATTTATTTTTTTATAGAGATGGGGTCTTGTTCTGCTGCCCAGGCTGGTAGTGAACTCCTGGCCTCAAGAGATCCTCCTGTCTTGGCCTCCCAAAGTGCTGAGATTACAGGCATGAAACACCATGCCCAGCCTACATCTATCTTATTTTGATTACTCCCTTTCTGCTGCATTGTGAATTCCTCTTCTTCCATATTATTCACCGTTTCCATACTTTATCTGGCCCTCAATTTCAATTCTCTTCTTTGCTCTAATTTTTCCATTCTCCCATTCATTTATCTATCCCAGTAGCTCTTATGCTTTACTCACTGTGATCTTCTACTGGAAGTGAATGATGCTTTACAAATGCCTAAATGGTAGGTGGGCTTATCTTCTGTTCCTCTGAGAAATCACTATCTAAAAACAACTCTAATGTTTAGCCTAACTGTATGGTGAGTACCAATCTAGTTGTAACCCTTCTTCAATCCCAGTTCCCTAGAAACCCAGGTAGGAAGCAAATATGATGGTTCTGATATCTTTCAGGTATTTGTGCAACTTACACTTATTACTGCTACAGGAAAAAGCCTGGAAAATCTTACTATAAAGGAAAGGGTGATCTTGTCTAGCTCTACTTCTCATTAATGTAATTTATTTTATTTCTTAATTCAAGGAATATTTGCTGGCCGGGCATGGTGGCTTATGCCCGTAATCCCAGCACTTTGGGAGGCCAACGTGGGTGGATCACCTGGGGTCAGGAGTTAGAGACTAGCCTGACAAACATGATGAAACCCCGTCTCTACTAAAAATATACAAAATTAGCCAGGTGTGGTGGTGCATGTCTGTAATCCCAGCTACTTTGGAGGCTGAGGTAGGAGAATCGCTTGAACCTGGAAGGCGGAGGTTGCAGTGAACCAAGATCGTGCCATTGTACTCACTCCAGCCTAGGCAACAGAGCAAGACTCGGTCTCAAAAAAAAAAAAAAAAAAGAAGGAAAAATTAGCTGGGCATGGTGGTGTGTATCTGTAGTCCCAGCTACTCAGGAGGCTGAGGTGGGAGGATCCGCCTGAGCCCAGGAGTTTGAGGCTGCAGTGAGCTGTGATCACACCAATGCACTCCAGCCTGGGGAACAGAGCAAGGCCCTGACTCAAAAAAAGAAAAAAAAATGCTGAGTGACACATCTTGGAGTACTTTAACAATTCCAATTTGAAATTCACCCCAAGACTGATGACCAGTTATTCTAGAAAAACTATGTCAATTTTTTTTTAAAGGATCTCGCTGATACCTATTTTACATAATATGACTTTATAGAACAACAGAGAGAAATAATGGCATTGCCTTTGATGAGTTAAAAGGATTTTCTCTTTTAAAACTAAAAGTCATACGCAAATAATTCATACCAGAAGTCTAAAACAGTGTTTATAGTAAGACTATTAAGTTTGTGGATACTAAGAGATCCTGGATAACATGTAAAGGAACGTTAGTCCAAGAATAGTGGGCAAGAGTTAAGAGTCTGATCTTGGCTGGGTGTGGTGGCTCACACCTGTAATCCCAGCCCTTTGGGAGGCTGAGGCAGGAGGGTTGTGTGAGGCCAGGAGTTGAGACCAGCCTGGGCAACATAGTAAGACCCCGTCTCTATCTTATTTAAAAAAAAAAAAGGGCCGGTGGCTCACGCCTGTAATCCCAGCACTTTGGAAGGCCCAGGTGGGCAGATCACAAGGTCAGGAGTTTGAGACCAGCCTGGCCAGCATGGTGAAACCTTATCTCTATTAAAAATAAAAAATTAAGGCTGGGCACGGTGGCTCACGCTTGTAATCCCAGCAGTTTGGGAGGCCAAGGCAGGCAGATCACGAGGTCAGGAGATCGAGACCATCCTGGCTAACACGGTGAAACCCTGTCTCTACTAAAAATACAAAAAATTAGCCAGGCATGGTGGTGGGCGCCTGTAGTTCCAGCTACTCAGAGAGGCTGAGGCAGGAGAATGGCGTGAACCTGAGAGAGGGAGCTTGCAGTGAGCCGAGATCACACCACTGCACTCCAGCCTGGGCGACAGAGCAAGACTCCGTCTCAAAAAAAAAAAAAAAATTAGCTAGGTGTGGTGACGCACGTCTGTAATCCCAGCTACTTGGGAGGTTGAAGTAGAAGAATTGCTTGAACCTGGGAGGTGGAGAGTGCGGTGAGCCAAGATCACGCCACTGCACTCCAGTCTGGGCGACAGGACGAGACTCCGTCTCAAAAAAGAAAAAAAACAAAACAAGACAAACAAAAAAAAAAAACAAGGTGATTCACTAATCACCTTCTCTACCTCCACTGTTTCTTCCGGCAAGATTTACATTCAGTCTTGGGTTAGTAGGTGCACCTGTGTTCATTTCCCTCTGGCTTTTCTCCATGGGAATAATATTCAGAGTCCATGTCTAGGCAATAGAGGCTATCTAGACTTACAGATGGAGCTCTCACCTGAGAATCCATCTCTTGGCGTTTGATCTGTGTCAGCGTCATGCTTGAGAAGTCCATGTTGTCTGCAAGGATGGAAACAAGAAGGTCTCATCAAATTCTACCCTGGCTGACTGGCACCTGAGAGGCAGCCAATGCCAATGCTCTGTGGAAACGCCTGGCTTGCCATTTGTCAACACTGCATGAAAGTAAGTGAGGGGGCCAGACAACGGTGGCTCACTCCTGTAATCCTAGCTCTTTGGGAGGCTGAGGTGGGTGGATCATGAGGTCAGGAGTTTGAGACCAGCCTGGCCAACATGGTGAAACCCCGTCTTTACTAAAAATACAAAAATTAGCTGGGTGCAGTGGTGGGCGCCTGTAATTCCAGCTACTTGGGAGGCTAAGGCAAGAGAATCACTTGAACCCTGGAGGCGGAGGTTGCAGTGAGCCAAGATTGCGCCATTGCACTCCAGCCTGGGCAACAAGAGAAAGACTCCATCTAAAAAAAAGAAAAAAAAATGGCAGGGCGCGGTGGCTCACACCTATAATCCCAGCAAACTTTGGGAGGCCAAGGTGGGCAGATCACCTGAGGTGAGGAGTTCGAGACCAGCTTGGCTAACATAGTGAAACCCCGTCTCTACTAAAAATACAAAAATTAGCCAGGCATGGTGGCGGGCGCCTGTAATCCTAGCTACTCGGGAAGCTGAGGCAGGAGAATCGTGTGAACCAGGGAGGTGGAGGTTGCAGTGAGCAGAGATGGTACCACTGCACTCCAGCCTGGGCGACAGAGTGAGACCCTGTCTCAAAAACAGAAATAAAGAAAAAATAAAATAAAAAGATGAAAAATATGAAAGAATTTAGACACAGTCCTGTGGGATTTGGTTGGGATCACAGGGAAGGATGCAGAGAAGAGCTCAACAGGGTGGGTAAGAAAAGGGTCCCTTTGGAAAGGCTACCTGTCTCTTCGATCTGTGATTTGCCGGAAATGGTTGAGGCCACAACGCCGGCAGTGGCCTGGTTCACTCCCCGAGAGGCCTGCTGCAGCTGGGCTAGGTTGGGGCTGTCCTTATCAGCTTTCACCTACCAGGACAAAGCAGATTTAGGTTCATACAACACCTAGAGCAACAAGGACTGAATCAGATAATTGCTCTGATGGTTCTTAGCAAACATATGTGGGCCAAACGGCAATCACCAATCAGCTTCTCAAAATCTGCTGACTATAGTCAGCTCCTGACATATCTATCATATAAAAAGTTATTCCTGGCTTCTTTGCTTGGTGGATCCCAAACTCTAAGCATTATCACTTATTTGGACAATGTGCCCAGTTGTGGAAACCAATTTGGGATGACAAGAAATAAGGACAAATAAAGAACACTCTGGGATACTGTGAAACTCTTAAAAAGGATTTGGGGCACACTTTACATGAGAATCAGTTGGGGGCATTGATGATATTGATTCAAAAAATAATTTTTTTTTAGACAGAGTTTGCTCTTGTTGCTCAGGCTGGAGTGCAATGGCATGATCTTAGCTCACTGCAACCTCCACCTCCCAGGTTCAAGCAATTCTCCTGCCTCAGCCTCCCAAGCAGCTGGGATTACAAGTGCCCGCCACCACACCCGGCTAATTTTTTGTATTTTTAGTAGAAACTGGATTTCACCATGTTGGCCAGGCTGGTCTTGAACTCCCGACCTCAGGCCTCCTAAAAGTGCTGGGATTACAGGAGCGAGCCATCGTGCCCGGCCTGATTCAAATTTGAACACTAATAAAGAGGGGTTGTAGAATCTCACAGCCAAGCCAGGTAACCTGTTCATGATGCCAACCTATTCCTTATTCGAGTGTTTCTTGAATGCCAGGACTGCTAATCGGAAGTTGGCATTGCTGGGACTCTCTAAGGCCACTTGTAACAGATGTGAGGAAAGCCACGAGGGACATGTGTGGCACACCTGGGTACAGACTGGGTACAGACGTTCCTTGCTGTCACATGAAAGGCCTCTAAGGCCAGGTGTGGTGGCTCACGCCTGTAATCCCAGCACTTTGGGAGGCTGAGGTGGGTGGATCACAAGGTCAGGAGATCGAGGCCATCCTGGCTAACGCGGTGAAACCCCGTCTCCACTAAAAATACAAAAAATTAGCTGGGCGTGGTGGCACGTGTCTGTAGTCCCAGCTACTCGGGAGGCTGAGTCAGGAGAATCACTTGAACCCGGGAGGCAGAGGTTGCAGTGAGCTGAGATCACGCCACTGCACTCCAGCCTGGGTGACAGAGCAAGGCTCTGTCTCCAAAAAAAAAAAAAAAAAAGCCTCTGTAAGAGGATAGTATGGGACCCTTAACAGGGTGAATTTTTATTTGGAATCGAATCCACCTGAGCCCTGGATAGATCATTTGTTCTCAAGGCCAGTTCCATCCCATCATCCAAGTACTATCTAACCTAGCCAAGTACTCTCTAACTCCTAAGTAGTCTCTAACCTAGCCAAGTACCATCTAACCTAACCAAGTACCATCTAACCTAGCCAAGTACTCTCTAACCTAGCCAAGTACTATCTAACGTAGCCAAGTATTCTCTAATCCTTTAGTATTCTCTAACCCAGCCAAGTACCATCTAACCTAGCCAAGTACTCTCTAACCCCTTAGTACTCTTTAACCTAGCCAAGTACAGTCTAACCTAGCCAAGTGCCATCTAACCTGGCCAAGTACTCTCTAACTCAGCCAAGTACTGCCTAACGCAGCCAAGTACTCTTTAACCTAGCCTAGTACTCTCTAACCAGGCCTTCCAGCGTCCTAGGAGGTCCAGCCAGGTCCTACCTTGGATGCAGCCACAAGCTGGGCTGTGCTAGCAGCAATTTCATGAGAACACACCATTAGCTCCTCAAATTTCCCTCTGCCTTGTACCACCAGATCAGCTGCATCCCTGATGGAAAACGACAAGAGGGACTAGGTTACGGGCAAATGAGCTGCAACTCCTCCACAATCCCACCTCCAGACCACCCCATCGCCCTTGGCTAAACAGGGAGGGGAGGCTGCCTGCCCTGTGTCCCCTGGGAGAGCCAGGCTCCCTTGTAAACTCGGTCCTATTGACTTCCTGATCAATAGTTTATTTCTAAGGGACAGATTTTTTTTTCCCTCCTTAGCTATTGTTTGGAGTGGATCAATGGAAGAGGGGTCATGGGAGGACCCTTGGTACCAATAGATACTTACACCATGACAGTGGCTCCCCAGCCCACAGCCTTGGAGGCTGAGATAAGTCCTTCTGTCCATCGAGAGTTCTTGGCATAAAACTCTTTAGGGGATGCTGTACCCTAGGGAAATAAAAAATAGTAATAGCCACCTTTTATTGAGCATGTACTATATGGCAGGTGCTTTTATACATATATTATCCCAAATCATCCTCATAGTAACTCTGAGACATAAGCATTAGTATTCCCATTTTACAAAAAAGAAGAAGATTCAGAGACCAAAATGGCTTTTCCAGCTGGGTGCAGTGGCGCTCGCCTGTAATCCCAGCACTTTGGGAGGCTGAGGCAGGTGGATCACTTGAGGTCAGGAGTTCAAGACCAGCTTGGGCAACATGGTGAAACCCTGTCTCTATTAAAAATACAAAAATTAGCTAGGTGTGGTGGTGGGTGCCTGTGATCCCAGCTACTCAGGAGGCTGAGGCAGGACAATCACTTGAACCTAGGAGGCGGAGGTTGCAGTGAGCCGAGATCGCGTCACTGCACTCTAGCCTGAGCAACAGAGCGAGATTCTGTCTCAAACAAAACAAAACAAAACCCTGGCTAGGCGCGGTGGTTCACGCCTGTAATCCCAGCACTTTGCGAGGCCAAGGCGGGCAGATCACGAGGTCAAGAGATTGAGACCATCCTGTCTAACATGGTGAAACTCCGTCTCTACTAAAAATACAAAAATTAGCTGGGCGTGGTGTGTGCCTGGAATCCCAGCTACTCGGGAGGCTGAGGCAGGAGAATCGCTTGAACCCAGGAGGCAGAGGTTGCAGTGAGCCGAGATTGCACCACTGCATTCTAGCCTGGCGACAGAGCGAGACTCAGTCTCAAAAACAAACAAACAAGCAAACAAAAAACCCAAAACAACAAAACAACAAACAAAAAGACTTTTCCCAAGGTCATGCAGGAAATAAATGGAAGTAAATCTTGGGCTTTTCTGACTCCAAAGCCTGTAGCATTTCTACCATACCATGACATTTCTGTATTGTATATATAAGAATAAATATTCTCATATGAATAAGTTATGATCTGAAAAGAGTCTAGCCACTCTCTGCGATTTGCCAAAAAAAGGAGACTACACAGTGAATACATTAAAAAAAAATATTTCTACTTGGATTTGAAAAATGTTTTTATGCTTTGGAAGTGTCTGATAGTCTGAGAATCTGCAGATAATCCTTGTCCAGTCCATCTTTCTATTTTAGAAACAGAAAACATCAGCTCTCAGGAAGATAAAAGGCACCAGCAAAGCAGGCCTGGCTGCTTGCTTTATGGCACCGTTCTCAGGCTCATTAACCCCTCCCCTGGACTTACGCCTCCCGAGCTGCGGCGGCATATGGGGAAATGGGAAAAAAACAAGATGATGATAATCCCAGCAAAGGTGTGAGACCACGAAGTGGTGCGTTGATAAGAGGCTGACAGCAGAGTCTATTTGTAAGGGTGAGTTGACTCTGCTGTTAGAAACAGATTAGGCCGAACTCCCTGTGAAAAGCCAGTCTCAAGCTGGCATTCAGGATCTGCTTCTTTTGCAAAAGTCCTCATGTCCCCCTCAGAGTACCCAGGTTTGCAATGTAAAAAGGGCTCCCACAGCAAGTTCCAACAATGTCTGCCTGTGCGAAGGGAGCTGGAGTTGGGACACATGCCTGGCCACCCTCTGGGGAGGTCCTGGAGCTCTGACTTCTCCCCAGGGCCTCTGCTGATATCTACAGGAGTGGCTGCTCTGTACTCAGGTGGACACACAGAGTAAGACGGCAGCATCACAGAGTCCGTTGGAGCGGGAGTCTGTCACCAATGCCTCCTCTTCCTGCCCAGGGCCCACACCCACGCTCACCCTGCCGCTCTCCACAATCTCTCTCTGGAGGTCCTTAGAGGCCACGATGAGCACCTGAATAGCTTGCATGAGGCTGGTACAGCAACCAAGGATCCTGCCAAACAAACAAGTCGAGGATACACTGAGATCAAGATCCAAGATCAATGAACACGACGGTTCTCTTCCCCACTCCTAGCCAAAGGCAAGCTTGGAATGGGAAAGGGAGGTAAGAAGGGTGCTGAGGTTGCTGGAACATTCTGCGGGGAGGCACCGAAGGAGAGGCTGGGGAGTGAGAGAGATCTAATTGTGGGTCTCCATCGTAAGGAATAGTGAAATTGTGATTCCTAGGACTTCTTTTCTTCTTTTTTGAGACAGAGTCTTGCTCTGTCGCCCAGGCTAGAGTGCAGAGGCACGATCTTGGCTCACTGCAACCTCCACCTCCCAGGTTCAAGTGATTCTCCTGCCTCAGCCTCCAAAGTAGCTGGGATTACATGCATGCACCACCACGCCTGGCTAATTTTTGTATTTTTAGTAAAGATGACTTTTCACCACATTGGGCAGGCTGGTCTCGAACTCCCGACCTCAGGTGATCCTCCCTCCTCAGCCTCCCAAAGTGCTGGGATTACAGGCGGGAGCTACCGCGCGGGTTTCTTTTCTATAGTGAAACAGCAATATTGCTGTCATCATTAATACTGTTATTGATGATTACATCAACTCAGCCCTTCCCCGTGGCTGCTACTGCTCTCCTCTAATTCCCTAATAAGTATGCAAAGTATAGACCAATGTCAGGAAGACAGATCCTGCTCCCCTAGGTCCCACCATGCCGCTCAGACCGACCTTTCATTCACCTCCAATTTGACTCCTGTGTCTCCTGCTCGGGATTTGCTGAGCATCTCCTGTGAAAAAGAAGCATGGTTTCTAAATGTGCCTTGAATATTAAGGATCCACTAATGTCTTACTATACTTTCAGTCCAACATCGTGTGGTAGCTGGGAAACCTGAATCTGGAAGTCCCCAAGTCCCTGCCCACATTCTTGAGAGAGTCAGAAAAGAATCCAGACTCTAACCTATTCAGGGGGAGTGCAGCTGCAGTGGGCTGGCTCTGTGATCCGTGTCATTTTGTTTTGTTTTGAGATGGAGTCTCACTCTGTCACCCAGGCTGGAGTGAGCGGTACGATCTCGGCTCACTGCAACCTCCGCCTCCTGGGTTCAAGTGATTCTTCTGCCTCAGCCTTCTGAGTGGCTGGGATTACAGGCACGCGCCACCACGCCCAGCTAATTTTTGTATGTTTAGTAGAGACCAGGTTTCACCATGTTGTCCAGGCTGGTCTCAAACTCCTGACCTCATGATCTGCCTGCCTCGGCCTCCCAAAGTGCTGGGAATACAGGCGTGAGCCACCACGCCTGGCCAGAACCCAGGATGTTCTGACACCAAAGTATCTGATTCTTGAGGAAACTAATCACCTTCTCTCATGAGGACCTTCTCTCATGAGGACCTTCTCATTTTCTATCACTCAGAAAAACTAGCGAGTTCAGATTTTGGTCTCTCTTTTTTTTTTTTATAATTTAAAAACATTTTTACAGACAGGGTCTCACTCTCTCACCCAGGCTAGAGTGCAGTGGTGCAATCATGGCTCACTGTAGCCTCCAATTCCTGGGCTCAAGTGATCCTCCTGCAGCCTCTGGAGTAGCTGGGACTATAAGCATGCACCACCATGCCCAGCTAATTATTTTATCTTTTGTAGAGATGGGGTCTTGCTATGATGTCCAGGCTGGTCTCAAACTCCTGGACTCAAGTGATCCTCCCAAGGTGCTGGGGTTACAGGCATGAGCCACTGTGCCTGGCAAATTCTGGTTTCTGTCTTAGGGGGTTGCCATGGCCTTAATGAACGACTGTGACATGTTTAATGAGCAGTGTTGCAGAAGGGCAGCTGCAAAGGCATCGTTTCAGGAGATCCTGCAGGAACCTCCTACCTCTATTCTGGCCGTGGCAGTTTCAATAGCAGCTGAAGTGGCCGCCATCTCCTTGTCCACCAGGTCCCCCAGCTCCTCCTGCTTGATGTCCAGTCCCCTGGGCAGGAGCTCCTGTGAACACATCACAAAGGCTGAACTGACCTTGGGGCCTCCTGTCTCTTCTCCTCTGCCATCTGTAACCCTTACAAGATGGCAAGGCAGGAGGCCACCCAGCAAACACCTTCTGCAAGCCACAGGGGTTGTGGGGGGGTCTTTTGCAGACCCCATCTTGTCCTCTCTGTGACACAAACTCTGGAACCTCATGCTCCTCCTCACTCAGGATCCACCTCCTTCCAGAATGCCATCGCTGCCTCCCCCTGCAAGGCCATTCCGCCACCACTAAGACCCCAGTCCCTTAGTTGTGCAGTGTCAATTGTACTAGCTACACAGGAGGTATTTTTTTACAATTTTTCTTTTTCTTTTGCTTTCTTTCTTTTCTTTTCTTTTTTTTTTTTTTTTGAGACAGAGTCTCAATCTGTTGCCCAGGCTGGAGTACAGTGGCACAATCTCGGCTCACTGCAGCCTCCGCCTCCCGGGCTCAAGGGATTATCCTGCCTCAGCCTCCCAAGTAGCTGGGATTGCAGGTTTGCACCACCATGCCCAGCTAATTTTTATATTTTTAGTAGAGATGGGTTTCACTATTTTGCCCAGGCTGGTCTCAAACTCCTGACCTCAGGTAATCCTCCTGCCTCAGCCTCCCAAAGTGCTGGGATTACAGGTGTAAGCCACCACACCTGGCCCTAATTTTTTATTTTTTTGAGACACAGTCTTGCCCTGTCACCAGAGATGGAGTGCAGTGGCATGATCATAGCTCACTGCAGCCTCGACCTTCCATGCTCAAGCAATTCTCCCACCTCTACCACCAGAGTATCTGGGAGTACAGAGGTGCACCACCAAGCCCGGATAATTGTTTTTTTTTTTTTTTTAATAGAGATGGGGTCTCACTATGTTGCCCAGGCTGGTCTTGAATTCCTGGGCTCAAGTGATCCTCCTGTCTTGGCTTCCCAATGTGCTGGGATTGAATTACTATACCTGGCCTACAACTTTTTCAAATACAGATGATATCTTCCACTTTGACCCTGACTTAACTTTGCTTCCACAGTGATCATATGAGGCGGGTATTATTCCTACTGTGCAGATAGGAAGCCAGGGATCAGAGGTAGAACGTCTTGACCACAGTTATGGTAACAAATGGCAGGGCAGGGATTTGAACTAAGGTCTGACAAACAGCAAAGCCTATGATTTTTAAAACATGATGTGTTATACATACTAAGGTATAAAATATATATGAATGGTTCAAAGGATAAGAATAAAGACGCATGTTATC
Source organism: Homo sapiens (assembly GCF_000001405.40). Classification (NCBI taxonomy): domain Eukaryota; kingdom Metazoa; phylum Chordata; class Mammalia; order Primates; family Hominidae; genus Homo; species Homo sapiens. Next base: position 75,550,257 of record NC_000007.14, read on the forward strand.
CACCACCCAACTTAAAACTTAAGGAATGCTGTAAGAAACATCAATACCTTTGGAATCCTATTTGAACTTGTATGTGCCCTGATTCTATCTCCCTTACTCCCTGCCTTCTACCCCAAGAGACACAGAATTCAAGAGCGTGGTTGTTGTGTCTTATTTTATTTTTATTTTTTAAAGACAAAACATAAAAGCCTGTTGCCCAGGCTAGAGTGCAGTGGTGCGATCATAGCTCACTGCAGCCTCCCACTCCTGGGCTCAAGTGATCCTCCCTGCCTCAGCCTCCTGAGTAGCTGGGACAACGGGCACACACCACTAGGCTCTGCTAACTTTTAAACTTTTTTGTAGAGTCAGAGTCTTGCTTTGTAGCCCAGGCTGTATCAAACTCCTGGCCTCAAGTGATCCTCCCGCTTCGGCCTCCCAAAGTGCTGGGATTTTCAGACATGTGCCACTATGCCTGGCCTGTCTTATTATTATTATTTTTTAATTCCACATAGATGCATCCCTATTAAGTTTGAATGTTTGAGTCTTTATATAAAAGGAATCCTACTGTATATATTTTTCCATGACTTGATTTTTCACTCAACATTCTATGTGTGAGATTCATCCTAATACCTAGTAATTCTGATTCTATGTATATACTCTAGAGAAACTGACATGTGTGCATATATGATCATAGGGGCAAATTAATAACAACCCAAACTGGAAATAACCCAAGTGTCCATCACCAAGAGAACAGACGGATGAATTAAGCGATATTCACACAATAGATAATGAGAGAGCAGTGAAAATGAATTTATCTTCTTGGATTAATCTCACAGAATGTGGAGTGAAAAAGCCAGTTGTAGAAGAATATATACAGTAGGACTCCATTTACCTGTAGTCTATATCATGTGAAACTAACTCTATTATTTAGGGAGGCAAAGATGTAGATGATAATTTTTTTTTTTTTTTTTTTTTTTTTTGAGGCAGTGTCTCACTCTGTCGCCCAGGCTGGAGTGCAGTGGTGCAATCTCGGCTCACTGCAGCCTCCGCCTCCCAGGCTCAAAGGATTATCCTGCCTCAGCCTCTCAAGTAGCTGGGATTACAGGTATGTGCTGGGATTACAAAATTAGCCACCACAACTGGCTAATTTTGTATTTTTAATAGAGATGGAGTTTCACTATATTGGCCAGGCTGGTCTCAAACTCCTGGCCTCAAGTGATCCACCCACCTCAGCCTCCCAAAGTGCTGGGATTACAGGCGTGAGCCACCACACCTGGCCCTGATCTTTTTATTTTTTCTTTTTAGAGACAGGGTCTTACTCTCTCACCCAGGCTGGAGTACAGTGGTTCACTGCAGGTGAACCACTCTGCAGAGTACACTCTGCAATTCACTGCAGAGTACACGGTTCACTGCAGTCTTGAGCTCCCAGGCTTAGGTGATCCTCCTGCCTCAGCCTCCTGAGTAGCTGGGACCAAAAGTGCTCACCATCACACCCGGCCAATTTTTAAATTTGTTGTAGAGACAGGGCGCCACTAAGTTGCCCAGGCTGGTCTCAAATTCCTGGCCTCAATTGATCCACCCACCTTGGCTGGATGTGGTCTTTTTATTATCTTCTTCTGGAACTCCAATTAGACAGTCTATCCTCATGGCTTTTATTTTTTATTTATTTTTTGAGTGGAGTTTCGCTCCTGTTGCCCAGGTTGGAGTGCAAAGGCACGATCTTAGCTCACTGCAACCTCAGCCTCCCAGGTTCAAGTGATTCTCCTGCCTCAGCCTCCTAAGTAGCTGGGATTACAGGCGCCTACCATCACGCCTGGCTAATTTTTTGTACTTTTAGTAGAGATGGGGTTTTGCCATGTTGGCCAGGCTGGTCTAGAACTCCTGACCTCAGGTGATCCACCTGCCTCGGCCTCCCAAAATGTTGGGATTACAGGCGTGAGCCACCGTGCCTGGCCCTATCCTTGTATCTTAACCAATATATTCCAATTCATAACACTGGGGAAAAAATGAAAAAAAACTGTACTGCATAGAAATGGTTTTCTTATTTTTCTTTTCCATAGAGTCCATGTCTTCTCTGTCCCTATATATACTTAACCCAATTTCTGGTATACAGGACATATTTATTTATAGCAGAGGCAGGGTCTCACTCTGTTGCCTAGGCTGGAGTGCAGTGGCACAATCATAGCTCACTGTGGCCTCCAAATCCTGGGCTCAAGCGATCCTCCTGCCTCAGCCTCCCGAGTAGCTGGGACTACAGGTGCGTGACATCACACCTGTCTAATTAAAAAAAAAATTTTATTTTGTAGAGACAGGGTCTCACTATGTTGCCTAGGCTGATATTGAACTCCTGGCCTCAAGTGATCCTCCTGCCTCGGCCTCCCAAAGTGCAGGGATTACAGGTGTGAGCCACCATGCTCGGCACTACATCTTTAGTAAATGAATGAACACAGTGTTATTTCCATTTTGGGTATTACCTGCCCACCTAGATAAAAATCCTCAGAGACAGGGGAGCTGCCTATACTTCTTTGATATTGCCTAGTGTAATGATGACAACATAGTAGATTCTCAGCTAACAGCCAGTGAATTAAATATAGCTGGAAAGTCCTTCAGGAGGTTTTTCCTTTTTAAATTTTTTTTTTTTTAATTTTTAAAGAGACAGGGTCTCATTTTGTTGCCTAGGCCTGTCTCAAACTTCTGGGATCAAGTGATCCTTTTTTTTTTCGAGATAGATCTCACTCTTATGCCCAGGCTGGAGTGCAATGGCATGATCTCGGTGCACTGCAACCTCCACCTCCTGGGTTCAAGCAATTCTCTTGACTCCACCTCCCAGTACCTGGGATTATAGGCATGCACCACTATGCTGGGTTGATTTTTGTATTTTTAGTAGAGACAGGGTTTCACCCTGTTGGCCAGGCTGGTCTCTAGCTCTTGACCTCAAGTGATCTGCCCACCTCAGCCTCCCAAAGTGCTGGGATTACAGGCGTGAGCCATCCCGTCTAGCCTCAAGTGATCCTCCTGACTCGGCCTCCCAAAGTGCTGGGATTACACGCATAAATCACTGCACCCGGCCAGATTTTCCAATTTTAACAATCTCTTTCTAGAATCAAGTTCTAAGTGCAGAAAGAACTAGCTCAGAACATCACCGATTCCCTGGCCATTCACCAGCACGCACACCCAGAAGAATAACAATGCTCCTCAATGATACTACTCCAAGTACCTCGCCGATGGCCTTGATCTTGCTCAGGCAGTTCCTCATGGCTGTGCTGTCGGCATTCTCAAGGCTTCCCTCTTCCTCCAGGGAGGCCAGGTAGGCGAGGGTTTCCCTGCCATACTGCTTACAGGCCTCGGTCAGTGCTGGAGATACAAGGCAATAGACACTTTTTTTTTGAGATGGAGTCTCGCTCTTGTTGCCCAGGCTGGAGTGCAGTGGCGCCATCTCGGCTCACTGCAAACTCCGCCTCCTGAGTTCAAGCGATTCTCCTGCCTCGGCCTCCCAAGTAGCTGGGATTACGGGTGCGCCACCATGCCCGGCTAATTTTTGTATTTTTAGTAGAGACGGGGTTTCGCCATGTTGGCCAGGCTGGTCTCGAACTCCTGACCTCAGGTGATCTGCCCACCTCGTCCTCCCAAAGTGTTACGGCGATTACAGGCGTGAACCATTGCATCTGGCCCATCGTTTTTGTATCTTTAGTAGAGATGGGGTTTTGCCATGTTGGCCAGGCTGTTCTTGAACTCCCGACCTCAAGTGATCTGCCCGCCTCAGCCTCCCAAAGTGCTGGAGTTACAGGCATGAGCCACTGCGCCCGGCCCAACAGAGACTTTTAAAGGCCCCCTGCTCCCCTGGTCCATGAACAGCCCCTCATGCCCCGGTACTCACAGTCGGCAGGCTCAGGTGGGGCTCTGAGGCAGGTGGTGGCACCATGAGCAATGGCGTCGCTGGTCAAGTGGGCCAGCAGGGTTATGGAATGGAGAAGTCCACTGATGTCTGCCAGGATTGGAAAGAGAAGTTTCTCAGGTCTGGTTGATGGTGACACTTTCATACCCTCTCCTCCCGTTTTATGAGTTGCCTACATGCCTTTCTTGTATGAGTTGCCTACATGCCTTTCTTGATGCAGAGGGACCTGTCACTATCCCCGCATTCAGGTGCTTCTGAACCCTGTCTGGCCATCACTAGCCGACAGAGACTGTCCTTGGCCATTCTTACCTTCTGGGCAGGCCAGATACTGGCTCCAGCTTTTCTCCAGTTGCTCGATGCAGCTGGAAATGGATGTGACCGTGGAGAGGAGGTGATCTGTGAGAGGGAACACAGGGCAAGGTCAGAGCAAGTTCTCATAGCTGGCTTCATCCTCGTTAATTAAGCACTGAATGGAGGAGCTTACCTAGTGGGTAAGCTTCCTGCCTAGACGTGAAGTTCATGAGTAATCACCTCTTGATTCAGACCATAGTTTTTTCCTTAGAGAAACAGAATTGTCTGCTCCTGGTGGGTGTTTTATCAGTGTGACCCACTGTCTAAAGCAGTAGCTATCACACCTGGGGGCTTTAGAAAATACTACTGCTGGGCCTGGCGTGGTGTCTCATGCCTGTAATTCCAGCACTTTGAGAGGCCAAGGTGGGAGTTCAGAAGTTTGGGACCATCCTGGGCAATAGAGTGAGACCTCGTCTCTACCAAAAATTAAAAAATTAGCCAAGGCCAGGCATGGTGGCTCATGCCTGTAATCCCAGCACTTTGGGAGGCCAAGGTGGGTGGATAGCCTGAGCCCAGGTCTTCAAGACCAGTCTGAGCAACAAACCGAAACCAAAAATTAGCTGGGCGTGGTGTTGCGTGCCTGTAGTCCCAGCTACTTGGGAGAATGAGTGGGGAGGATTGTGTGAGCCCAGGAAGCGGAGGTTGCAGTGAGCCACGGCACTGCACTCTAGCCTGAGCAACAGAGTAAGACCCTATCTCAAAAAGCGGGGGGGCGGGGGGGGGGAAGAAAATACTAAAATACTAGTGTATAGGCACTAATGCACAGAGTTTCCACATGTAACTGATCTAGGATGGGGCCTGGGCGCCCCTAAGGTAATGCTGACATGCTGCTGGGCTGAGAGCCCCTGAGCTAAGTCTCACATGAGATTCAACATCAACAGAGTCTCAGGCTGTAAGGACCTGGCCCCTGCCAGCTGGGCAATTGCAAGTGTACCTGCAGACCCAGCGCAGCTGATGAGAGGAGGTTCTTCAAGCTGGTTCAGGGCGTCTTGTATCACCTGCTCCGCAGCCTTCCTGGACCCCACCAGAAGCATTTTTCGTTGGTCTTTGGCAAGCTGGCACATAGATTCCTAAAAATGGTCCAGGGAGGTGAGAGTCTGCCCTAGACTCCATAATGAACCTGAGCAGGATGACCTGGCTGGGGCTCTTAGCATCTTAGCTCAAGTCATGGCCAATGAGGTCCAAGCCAGTAAGCCTGAGACAGAGAAAGGCGCTTTAACTGTGTGCACAGGATGTGCGGCTGCCCACGATGTGCGGCTGCCCACAGAGGCTGTGGGGATGGATCACTGCGCCCGCTTCTCATGGCTGGGAGGAGATGCCAAACTTCTCTTCTCATACAAAAAAGACAGCAGTTTGCTTTCCCTCATGGACTCTGCAGGCAATGCAGGGCCTGCTGGCATTACACCTACAGAATGTCTGCACAATCAGGCCAAGGCCCCAAACCCCTTCTCAGCAGCCCCGGGGTCCTCCCAGCCTCCGTGCATGCGCAGAGGCCCTCGGTGGGAATTCACAGGTGCTCGCTCGTGTCCATGTCCGTGACTTGCCTCTGTGCTGGCCAGTTTGAGCTGAGTGTCCTGCAGTTCTTTCCGAAGAGCAGATAATTCCTCCTCCCTATGAGCTGCGCCACTCACCAGGCTGTCCCGCTCCTTCTCTAGCTCGGCGAACTCGGCTGCCCAGTTTGCTTCTGACTGCAAAGGTGACCACAAGGAAAGAGGGAGACGCTGGTTGAGTTAAACAGTCCCTACTTCCCAGAGGTCCAACCCACCACCGGGTTGCAAGGACTGGGAAGGTGATGGCTCTTTAACCTGCCACTCTGATTCCCTCCCGGGGACACACTGATTGCAGTGGGGGCTGACTTGGCCAGGCCAAGGATGGTGGATGACAGCAACGCCAAAGCCAGGGGTGGGGCAAGAAAGGAGGCCGGGCATGAAGGCTCATGTCTGTAATCCCAGCACTTTAGGAGGCTGAGGTGGGAGGATCACTTGAGCCCTGGAGTTCGAGACCAGCCTGGGCAACATAGTGAAACCCCGTCTCTACCAAAGAAAATACAAAAACTAGCCAGGTGTAGGGGTGTGTGCCTGTAGTCCCAGTTACTCGGGGGGCTAAGTGGGGAGGATCACCTGAGCCCAGGGAGGTGGAGGCTGCAGTGAGCTGCGATCGCACCACTGCATTCCAACCTGAGTGACAGAAGAAGACTCTATCTCCAAAAAAAAAAAGGAGGTATTTACCTGGGCAGAAGTTTCCAGGCTGCCTTGCAGAACCTGAAGCTCCCGTTGGCTTGTGGCAAGTTCCTGCTTCAAGCTCTCTAGAACTTCCAGCTGTTCTTGAGTCTGAAAGAGAAGAAAAACAGAGGGACTCTGATCTGGGTGACAGTGACAAAGAATATAAAAATGTAAAAACGTCCCAAGCGATCAACAAGAGATCTGTAAACTCTACTGTATGTAAGTTACACCCCCCCAAAAAAGTGCAGGGTGTGGGAGGAGGAGGCAAGACCCCAGAGTGTACTGAAAATGTGGAATGTCAAGGAAGGATTTTTTATTATTTATTTATTTATTTATTTATTTATTTATTTTTGAGACGGAGTCTCGCTGTTGTTGCCCAGGCTGGAGTGCAGTGGTGCAGTCTCAGCTCACTGCAACCTCCACCTCCAAGGTTCAAGAGATTCTTGTGCCTCAGCCTCCCAAGCAGCTGGGACTACGGGCACACGCCATCACACCTGGCTAACTTTTGTATTTTTAGTAGAGATGGGGTTTCACCATATTGGCCAGGCTGGTCTCGAACTCCTGACTTGGTGATCCACACCCCCCTCAGCCTCCCAAAGTCCTGGGATTACTGCCGTCTCAAAAAACAAACAAACAAAACAAACAAACAAAAAAAAACGCTCATCCCTCTCTCTCTGCCACCCATGTGTTTTCCTTTCCTCAAACTCTCCACCAGCCTCATCCTTGGAAAGCCTTTGTTGATTAACCCCAGGCAACTTGGGTCCTTCCATTACTTCGTGTATGCACTGGTGACGGTGTTTTGCTGTTCTGTGTGGCCACCATGGTGTGCTCCCTGCTGTGTGATGCCAACCGACCCACAGAACTGCCCATGGAGCAGAAGGCCACAAAGCCCCCGCCACCAACTCAACAGCCCCCTCCCTCATTTCCCGAGTGCTCCTCGTCCCACTCACCTTCCGCTGGCCCTGGTCACTGATGCGCTCCAACGAATCCTCCAGCTCTTTTTTCTCTCGTTCCAAATCTACCTGGGCTTGTCTGGCCATGGACACCTGTTTGGTCACCTCTGCATTCTGCAAAAGAAGAACAGTGTCTTGAACCAGGAGATCCCAGGCTTAGAGGACATCCTCCTTCTAGGACAATCATACTCAGGCTGTGCGTGCCCTAGAGTCAGACACAGGAATCACTTTCCTACCCACAGCCGGAACAGAGCCATCACCTTCAGATGCTTGATGCTCAAATATTTACAAAATAATAAAGAAGGTGGGTGACCTACATGGGATTGGCACCCAGGACACAGCCCAAGACACAGAGGCAAGGAAGCCTGAAAAGGTGTGGTTCCCGAGATGACGGCAATGCCTTAGAGATCAATGTAGGGGTTGCTGGCCCCGGGGAAGCCACAGGCCTGAGCCGCTCTCTCCCTAGAGGTGCAGGGCCTGCAGGATGGTGACAGGGGCTGAGGGTCTTACCTTCCGCAGCAGGTCAGCGTGGTTCTGAACCAGCTCGCTGTACTTCTCCTTTAGCTTGCTATATCGCTGTTCATTGGCTTGAGCTTTCCCTGTATTGTAAAGGACCAAGGTGAGGAGTCTAACCTAGCAGGGACCCTTGCCTTCCTTGCAATGAGCCAGGGTCCCTAGAAGGTCCTCCTTGTTTTGTTTTGAGACAGTCTTGCTCTGTCACCCAGGCTGGGGTGCAGTGGCACAATCACTGTTCACTGCAGCCTTGACCTCCTTGGGCTCAAGTCATCCTCCCACCCCAGTCTCCTGAGTAGCTGGGTTCATGGGCACACGCCACCACACCCGGCTAATTTTTGTAGAGACAGGGTCTCACTATGTTTTCCAGGCTGGTTTCAAACTCCTGGGCTCAGGTGATCCTCCCATCTCAGTGGGATTATAGGCATGAGCCACTGTGCCCGGCCAAAGATCTTCCTTTGATTTAGGAATGCATATATGCTTTTCTCCCTTGAAAGTCCTACTTACAGAAACTTCTCCAGGAAGTCATCTTTAAAAAGAATTCAACTAGTTAAAAATCAAGCCAGGGGCCAAGCGAGGTGGCTCATGCCTATAATCCCAGCACTTTGGGAGGCCAAGGTGGGTGGATCACCTGAGGTCAGGAGTTCAAGACCAGCCTGACCAACATGGTGAAACCCCATCTCTACTATAAATACAAAAATCAGCTGGACATGGTGGTGTGTGCCTGTAATCCCAGCTACTCGGGAGGCTGAGGCAGGACAATCCCTTAAACCTGGGAGGTAGAGGTTGCAGTGAGCCCAGATCACACCACTGCATTCCAGCCTGGGCGACAGAGTGAGACTCCACCTCAAAAAAATAAAACAAATAAATAATCAAGCCAGGGATTCATGCCTCTTCAGCACTTACATACATGGCATTTATTCTATGGGGGCTTTCAGCTTTTTAACAAATTTATTTGAAATTTTTTAGAGACAAGGCTCTCTGTTGCAGAGGCCGGAGTGCAGTGGTGCAATCAGCTCACTGCAGCCTTGAATTCCTGGGCTCAAGCGATCCTCCTGTCTCAGCCTCAAGAGTAGCTGGGACTACAGGCACGTGCCACCATGCCCGGCTAGTCTTTTTTATTTTTTCTAGAGATGGGGTCTTGCTATGTTGCCCGGGTTGGTCTTGAACTCCTGGCCTCAAGCAGTCCTTCCATCCTGGCCTCCCAGAGTGCTAGGATTACAGGCATGTGCCACTGTGCCCTCAGCTTTTATGTCAATTTCTTTGTTAGGACCTCAATCCTCTCTCCTTCTCCCTTAGTATCCACTGCCCAGGGCAAGCACTTCAGTGCTGTCTTCTGTATTTCCCATCTCTGTGCTCAGCGGTGCCTCGCACACAGCTTTGTGCCTGCAGGACTCAAACCCGCCCTCTGGACTGAGGCTAAGAGCTGGCATTCCTAGCTGTTTCTAGAAAGACAGTCTGGGTCTCCCCCACCCAGCCTCTGTGCCGCATCCTGAGTCCAGCTGGGCTCTGCTGCCCGCGCCTGCCCCCGGGGCCCGCCCCCGCCCCCACCCACCGCTCACTTTCTATCTCAGACAGGCTCCGCTGAGCCTTCTCGGTGTCCTCCCGCTGCCTCCTGAGCTCGTCCAGTTCTGCCCGCAGGAATTCACAGTCGTCGGCCGCCTGCTGCCGCAGGTGCTGCTGCTCGGCCAGATCTGCTTCCAGCTCGCTGACGTGGCCCTTCAGCTGCAGCACAACCCGCTGGCTCTGTGGGGGGACTCCGGTCATGAGGCCAACCGCCCACTGCCACGGGTCACGGGCATGGGCCGGAGAAGCGGGTCCTACCATGCTTCCAAGTAAATACCTGATTCCCCTAAGTCAACTCTCCACGTCCCAGGAGGGTTGGACCATCTGGTCATTAGGAGCCCCTCAATCAACAACAATAACAGGGGATGATGGCCGGGGAATTGTGGTCCTCTTTAGAGTGGCTGGGGGTAGCAGTGGCTGTCCCTGTGGGTGAAGTCACCTGACCAGCCACTGTGAGGGGCGGTTGTTAATATAGCACCAACATTGCTCACAGCTGTCTCTTCTCTTTTTTTTTTGGCGGTTGGGGGAGGGGAGGGACAGGGTATCACTATCACCTAGACTGGAGTGCAGTGAGGTGATTATGGCTCACTGCAGCCTCAACCTCCTAGGCTCAAGAGATCCTCTAGCTTCAGCCTCCCAAGTAGCTGGCATTACAGGTATGCACCACCATGCCCAGCTAATTTTTAAAAAGTTTTTTGTAGAGATGGGGTCTTGCTATGTTGCCCAAGCTAGTCTTGAACTGCTGGGCTCAAGTGATCCTTCTGCCTGAGCCTTCCAAAGTGCTGGGGTTACAGGCGTGAGCCACTGTGCCCGGCAAACCAATCTCTCCTTATCGCCATGTGAGAAGGTCTGGTCTTGTTCTCCACAGCTTCTCAGCCTCGTGGGGACCAAGGTCATCTCTGGGTATCAATCACATGGATACTGTGCCTGGCCTAAATGCTGTCCTCATGGCATGTAAAATGGAAATGCATTATGACAGAGAACACGGGAAGACCTGGTTCTTTTGGATTTAGCATTTCTACCAGTTTTTATTTGGTTTTAGAGACACAGGTCTCGCTATGTTGCCCAGGCTGGATTCAAAACTCCTGGGCTTGAGTGATCCTCCTACCTCAGCCTCCTGAGTAGCTGGGATCACAGGTGCACACCACCACGCCTGGCTTGTTTCTACTAATTAACCTACCCTAAGGATGTGGTCCAAAAACTGTCTAGGTGATGCAATTTTTTTTTTTTTTTTTGAGACAGAGTCTTGTTCTATCGCCCAGGCTGGAGTGCAGTGACACGATCTCAGTTCACTGCAACCTCTGCCTCCCAAGTTCAAGCAATTCTCATGCCTCAGCTTCCCGAGTAGCTGGGATTACAGGTGCCTGCCAACACACCCGGCTAATTATTGCATTTTTATTGAAGACGGGGGTTTCACCCTGTTGCCCAGGCTGGTCTCGAACTCCCGACCTCAGGTAATCCTCCTGCCTTGGCCTCCCAAAGTGCTAGGATTACAGGTGTGAGCCACTGTGCCTGGCTAGTGTGATGCAAATTTAACATTCAAATCTACCGTGTTTTGGTGAAGCGCAAAGGCAGAGCAGATCCAAGTTATACCTCAGTCTTCATGTTTTCTAGCTGTGCCTTCAATCCACTGATCTCTCTGTATAGTCGCTCAATTAAGTGGTCCCTGGGAAGAGAAGGGGAATGAGTTTGCTTTCATAGTGCTTCTATCCCTCTGTTTTTAATTGTGAGCTCAGGGGAGGAAATTAAAAGCTGGTATTAATTTGGGGACAATTCTTTGAAATGCCATAAATTATACTCTAAATGTTACCAGATACTAATCTAATACTCATAAATCCATGGTTATTGATTTTCTTCTGAGATTAAAGGGGCCAATATTTGAGGGTCAAGACATTCCTTTTTTGTGTGTGTTTTCGGTTTTGTTTTAGAGACAGTCTGGCTTTGTCGCCCAGGCTGAAGTGTAGTGGCACGATCATAGCTCACTGCAGCCTTGATATCCCAGGCTCAAATGATCTTCCCACTTCAGCCTCCTGAGTTACTGGGACTACAGGTGTGTACCACCTGCCCAGCTAATTTTTTTACTTTTATTTAATAAAGATGGGATCTTGCTATGTTGCCCAAGCTTGGTCTTAAACTCCTGGCCTTAAAAAATCCTCCTACCTCATCCTCCCCACATGTTGGGATTACAGGCATAAGCCATTGCCCCCAACCCTTCAAGATGTTCTGTATCTAAGAAGCCCCAGTATCATTAAGAATTCCTCTTTGGTTAGTGTTTTGAGGCAGACCATGGCTTAACTTAGCTCCTGAACCATCTGCTTGAACCCAGCTTGGACTCACTTCTCATCCTTGTTCACACCATTTTGACTGTTGAAATTGAAGGGATCACTGCTGAATGAACTGCCAAAGATGTCATCAAACTTGTTGTCAAATAAATTCTGTGGTTGACCAAAAAGGAGTGAGAATAAGTCAGAGAGCCAGAGAATTCTGTGTGTGGGTCAGTTGAGTGATATGGGAGAATGCCCCCTTTCTCGAATTAAACGGTTCAGACCTGTTTAATTTTTTTAATTTTTTTGAGACAGGTTCTCGCTCTACTGCCCAGGCTAGAGTACAGTGGTGCAATCATAGCTCACTGCAGCCTCCAACTCCTGGCTCAAGTGATCCTCCTGTTTCAGCCTCCTGAGTAGCTGGAAGTATAGGTGTGTGCCACCATACCTGGATAATTTTTTTATTTTAATTTTATGTATTTATATTTTTAGGGCCTGGTTCTTGTTCTCTTGCCTAGGCTGGAGTGCAGTGGCATGATAACAGCTCACTGTAGCCTTGGCCTCCCAGGCTCAAGTGATCCTCCCATCTCAGCTTCCCACATAGCTGGGACCACAGGTATGTGCCACCACATCTGGCTAATTTTGTAAAGATGGGGCCTTACTATGTTGCCCAGGCTGGTCTTGAACTGGCCTCAAGCAGTCTTCCCACCTTGGCCTTGCAAAGTGTTGGGATTACAGCTGTGAGCCACTGCACCCATTTATGACCCTTCTGGGAGCCACAGAGCAGGATGCTCAGCCTAGGTTGGTGCTAGGTGAATGAAGAGAAGCCTGAACCTGGTTAGAGTCAATGGGCTTTGGCCAGGGTCTCCCCCAGCCTCTCCCCTGTACTTGCAGGTGAGAGGAAAGGCCAAGTTTCTCTCCCAAGTGGTCCTCACCTGCTGAGAGGCATCCATGTCCATGAGGTCATCCTTCTCTAGGACTGGCTCGCTGTCGGGGGATGAGGCCTCTGCAGGGATCACCACCACAGGGCTGATATGTTCTGACAGGGCTGAGGCTCGCAGGAAGTTGGGTGGGTTCTGAAGACGGAGACACATCCTCAAATAGTGCTTGCTTGCCAGGCCCCGCCGGCCCTTAAGAGAGTACCTGGGGCCTCTGCAGTGCCGAGGGTGTGTGGTTGGGCATGCTTACCTCAGGCAGCTGGGGGATCTGAATGAGCCGCTTGAAGTACTGCAGGTTGCTGGAGCGGTAGAACAGATCTTTCAACCTAGGGGTGGAGAAGGACCTGAGGGGTGCTGGGTGTCTTCATCAGCCCCATGTAGGGGACAGAGCAGCCACCTGGCTTTCCTGCCCCCTCCCCAGCCCAAAGGCACAGGCTGTCAAGGAGATAAACTCCATGGTGCTGGGATTCAATTATGATGCTGCAGAGGATTATTTAAAGCTGGTCCTCAGTGACCTGCTGGTGAGGAAAGAGTAATTCATGCTACAAATCCTTTGGAAGAGTAGATAATCAAAAAGCTAATTTCTTCATTGCTGTAGAACACATGTTGTTATTTTGCAGATTTAACTTCCGAGGAGTGTTTGGTTTAGAGTAACATTAAAAGAAATTGACTTTCTCTGAGGATAAGCCATCTAACCATAGGAAAAGGGAAGGGAATTTTACTACAAAGGTAGCTCTCTTCTTTCATTACTTCTCTTTGTTTTTGGACTATTTGTTCTCTCCACAATTAAGACTATAAGTTCCTGGGAAGTGGGGACTGAGCTCCGCTGAGCTGTTTCCCATAATGCCAGGGACAGGGCAGCCGTTCAATAAACACTTGGAGAATTACAATCGTTTGGTACTATGTCCTAATCTTGGGTGGATATGCACATGAAGAAACCAATATTTTTTTTCTCTCTCTCTCTCTTTTTGTAGAGGCAGGGTCTTGCTCTGTCACCCAGGCTAGAGTGCAGTGGTGCAATCAGAGCTCATTGCAGCCTTGAATTCCTGGGCTCAAGCAGTCTTCTGCCTCAGCCTCCTGAGTAGCTAGAATTACAGGGATGCACCACCATGCCTGGCTAATTTTTAATTTTTTGGTAGAAACAGGCTCTTGCTGTGTTGCCCAGGCTGGTCTCAAACTCCTGGCTTCAAGCAATCCTACTGCCTTGGCCTCCCAAAGTGCTGGGATTACAGGCATGAGCCACCACATCTGGCAAAATCAACATCTTTTTCTCATTCTCAAATCTCTATTTTGAATCTAAACACTGAAGACCAAGAAACCTAAGAGAATCCAGACTTATATATTCTTCATTTTTATTTTGTTTGTTTATTTTTTGAGATGGAGTGTCGCTCTTATTGCCCAGGCTGGAGTGCAATGGCGCGATCTCGGCTCACTGCAAGCTCCACCTTCCAGGTTCAAGGGATTCTCCTGCCTCAGCCTGCTGAGTTGCTGGGATTACAAGCATGTGCCATCATGCCTGGGTAATTTTGTATCTTTAGTAGAGATGGGGTTTCTCCATGTTGGTCAGGCTGGTTTCGAACTCCCGACCTCAGGTGATCCGCCCGTCTCGGCCTCCCAAAATGTTGGGGTTATAGGCGTGAGCCAATGTGCCCTGCCTATTTGTAAATATTTTTTTGAGATTGGGTCTTAGTCTGTCGCCCAGGCTGGAGTATAGTGGCAAAATCATAGCTCACTGCAGCCTTGACCTCCCTGGGCCCAAGGGATCCTCTCACCTCAGCCTCCAAGTAGCTGGGAGTACAGGTGTGTGCCACCACACCTGGCTAATTTTTTGTGTGTTTTTGATAAAGATGGGGTCTCTCTATGTTGTCCAGGCTGGTCTCAAACTCCTGGGCTCAAGCCATCTACCCACCTTGGCCTTCCAAAGTGCTGGGATTATAGGTGAGAGCCACCATGCTTGGCCTGTTTTAATTTTTTTAGAGACAAGGTCTTGCTGTGTCACCCAGGCTGAAGTGCAGTGGAACGATCAAGGCTTGCTGCAATCTCAACCTCCTGGGCTCAAGCGATCCTCCCACCTCAGCCTCCTGAGTAGCTGGAGTTAACTACATCTATTCTGAGATGAAAGGGGTACATGGGCCTTAAATCCTTTGGCCTGCAACAATGAACTTTCTCCAGCTTAGTCCAATAAACGAAACCCCCAGGGTCTCGTTACAGCCTGTCAGATCCCAAGACTTAGGCCTGTCTCTGTCTCTGTGACATCACTGCTGCTTCCCCTGAATTCAAGGACAGTGAGGTCTCAGACAGCAGCCGTGTCTGTGTGGAACAGCAAAGTGGCTACTCAGGGGAGATGTTTTTCTAAGCTAGAAGCAAATGAAAGGAAATGAAATCACCTGACCACACATCCCCATCTTGCTGGTTTGGAGCCAACAGTAACAGGCTCAACTGCTTTCACAAGCTACCGGAATTTGACATTCCAGGAAATCAGCCTCAGGGCCTGTCTCCTTGGACTAAAGAAGCCATTTATCACAGAATATGTACTCGGCTTCTCAAATGGAACAGGGGTACCAGGAGGTGGGTACAACCACACACTTGTCCTTCGCTTGCTCCTGGGGAACCAGGCAGAGAAGCTGAAACTTGGCATTTGGGAGTTATGGTCAAGGGTGAGGAAATTAACAGGAAAAACAAGAGAGTGCACTTTTACACAGCTAAGTCAGGAGGCCCTTCTCAGCCCCCTCTGTCCTCCCAACTCTCACTCTATTATCCTTCCCTTTTGCCTGGTTTCGCCTCCCCTCCCCTCCTTTCCTTTTTTTTTTTTTGGATGGAGTCTTGCTCTGTTGCCCAAGCTGTAGTGCAGTGGCATGATCTCAGCTCATTGCAACCTCTGCCACCTGAGTTCAAGCAATTCTCCTGCCTCAGCCTCCTGAGTAGCTGGGATTACAGGGCTAATTTTTGTATTTACAGTAGAGACAGGGTTTCATCATGTTAGCCAGGCTGCTCTCAAACTCCTGACCTCAAGCGATCCACTTGCTTCGGCCTCCCAAAGTGCTGGGATTACAGGTGTGAGCCACTGCACCCAGCCTAAGTAAAGATCTTTTGTTTTTGTTTTTGTTTTGAGATGGAATCTCATTCTGACGCCCAGGCCTGAGTGCAGTGATGTGATCTTGGCTCACTGCAACCTCCACCTCCTGGGTTCAAGCGATTCTTCTGCCTCAGCCTCCCGAGTAGCTGGGATTACAGGTGTGCACCACCATGCCCTGCTAATTTTTTAGTAGAGACGGGGTTTCACCATGTTGGCCAGGCTGGTCTTGAACTCCTGACCTCAAGTGATCTGCCCACCTCGGCCTCCCAAAGTGCTGGGATTACAGGCATGAGCCACTGCACCCGGCTGGTGTTAGCAACTTTTATTGAGGCGGCAGTGCACAGCCAGCAGCGGAGGTCCTGTTCCTTGCAGCGCAGGGCTACTCCATACGCAGTGAGCCCAGAATAGCAGCTGTTACATTTATACCCACTTTTAATTATATGTAAATTAAGGGGCAGATTATGCAGAAATTTCTAGAAAAAAAGTGGTAAATTCCAGATTGTCAGGTTATTGCCATGGAAAGGGGCGCTAACTTCCGGATGTTGCCATAGCAATGGTAAACTGTCACTGCACACTGGTAGGTGTGTCTTATGCAGAGGTGCTTCCGCCCTTTCCCTGTTTTACTTGTCCTTAATTTGGTCCGATGCCCAAGCCCTGCCTCCAGAGTCCAGTCTCCCATCCCACCTCAGAAGCAGGTCATATTTGTAGGGTATCAACCAAACCTGCTAGTGGATTGGACATGGGGGATGAGGAAAATGGTGACTTCCAGATCTCTGGCCTAAATGGATGATGGCAGTATTTGTTGAGATAGAAAAGAATGGGGAGGGGCTGGGCACAGTGACTCGCGCCGGTAATCCCATCACTTTGGGAGGCAGATCACTTGAGGTCAGGAGTTCCAGACCAGCCCGGCCAACATGGTGAAATCCTGTCTCTACTAAAAATACAAAAATTAGTCGGGCATGGTGGTGGGCGCCTGTAATCCTAGCTACTGAAGAGGCTGAGGCAGGAGAATCACTGGAGATGGGGAGGCTGAGGTTGCAGTAAGCCAAGATCACACCACCGCACTCAAGCCTGGGTGACAGAGCGAGACTCTGTCTCAAAAACAAAAACAAAAACAAACAAACAAAAACAGAATGGAGAGAGAAAGGTTTTTTTTTGTTTTTTTTTTTTGAGAAAACCTAAAGTACAGTTTGAGATTTAAGTATGCTATACAGATGTCAAATTGGGGACAAGAGGCTGGCATTCAGAAGTAAGGTCTGGCTAGAGATGCATATTTAGGGGTTATCAGTCTATAAATGCTATAAGACCAGAACTTAGGGAGACAGAAAAGAGAAGAGGATGAAGTCTGGGGCATAAGCAGGCAACTAATGAATGGATGAAATCTCTTTCTTCTATATGCTTCTATGGGATTTATTAGATAACCAATAGTTACCCTAGCTATAGGTAGATTTGCCTCTGTCTGAGCTATTTTCTGTCACTTTATCACCTTAGAATGAAGATAACCTCAGGTCGGGTGCAGTGGCTCACGCCTGTAATCCCAACACTTTGGGAGGCTGAGGTGGGCAGATCACAAGGTCAAGAGATCGAGACCATCCTGGCCAACATGGTGAAACCCTATCTCTACTAAAAATACAAAAATTAGCTGGGCATGGTGGTGTGTGCCTGTAGTCTCAGCTACTCGAGAGGCTGATGCAGGAGAATCACTTGAACCCAGGAGGCGGAGGTTGCAGTGAGCCGAGATCGTGCCATTGCCATTGCACTCCAGCCCGAAGATAACCTCACGCCCACAAGTATTTAAAAAAAATTTTTTTTTAGAGACAGGGTCTCACTTTGTCACATAGACTGAAGTCCAGTGGCACAATCTAGCTCACTGCAGCCTCGGACTCCTAGGCTCAGGCCATCCTCCTGCCTCAGCCTCTCAAGTGGCTGGGATCACAGGTGCATACCACCGTGCCCAGCTAATTTGTTTTACATTTTTTTTCTGTAGAGATGGGGTCTCGCTATGTTGCCCAGCCTGGTGTCAAACTCTTGGCCTCAAGTGATCCTCCCGCCTCAGCCTCCCAAAGAGTTGGGGTTACAGGCATGAACCACTGTGTCCAGCCACCTCTCACAGTGCACTTGCATGGCTTAATGATTTTATAGCGCTCTTGAATTCACCTCCATTCCTGTTACTTGAACCACTTACTTTGTAAACTGCTCCATGAAGCGGTCCCGGTGGCCTTGCAGGGTGTCAGCTGGGAGGCCTGGAAGAAATTGGAAAGAGTGTGAGAGGGGAGGGGGACCAGAGGGCAGGGAAGCCACAGCGGGGCTCTCGAGGGGGAGGGGCCCAGCTACCCTGGGGCATGTGGCCAGCACTGCCAGGGGCCACGACTGGCCTAGAGCTGTCCCGAGGTCTGGTAACCAAGGGAGCCCAGCAGGAACCAGCAGGAGTGTGGAGACGCTTATCCTCCAAATCCTTTCACTTCAATTAGTTCCTGAAGGACAAGCCATGCCGGGCACAATAGGGTGGAAATTGTGTCCTGGACTAGAGAAGAAATGGTGACCTGACCCAGTAGCAGGCTGGACCATGGCAGGCCCAGGAGGGAGCAGTTCTTTCTCAGCTATTGCCTGCATTTGTTTTAGGTTGAGGCTCAGGGCTGATATTAGTCTGGAAGAGATCCGCAGAACCTGCCCAAGAGGATGGCTGTCAGAAGGCAAAGAACAAGGGATTGAAGGCCAGGTGCAGTGGCTCACGCATGTAATCCCAGCACTTTGGGAGGCTGAGGCAGGAGAATCACTTGAGGTCAGGAGTTCGAGACCAGCCTGACCAATATGGTGAAACCATGTCTCTACTAAAAATACAGAAATTAGCCGGGCGCGGTGGCATGCGCCTGTAATCCCAGCTACTTGGGAGGCTGAGGCAGGAGAATTGCTTGAACCCAGCAGGCGGAAGTTGCAGTGAGCTGAGATTGCACCACTGCACTCCAGCCTGGGCGACAGTGAGACTCTGTCAAAAAAAAGAACAAGGGATTGAGGCTTGGGATCTGAGTTCCAGTCCCGGCTTGGTTGGTAGCTAACTCTATGACACTGCACACACCAGTAACCTCTTAGGACAGCCTCCTCCCCTACAGAGCCAGTTCTCTGAGGTTCTGTAACCTCTCAGATGTGCGAACCTGCATATTGCAGCTGTAGATCACAGCTCAGCAATCCTTTTAGTGTTTGCTTTATTTGTTTAAATTTAAATTTGTTATTTGGAAATGGGTCATACATTCACTGGATAAAATCAGGGAACACATGTATAAAACATGATTATTGAAATGGCAAAAGATGGCTGGGCGCAGTGGCTCCCATGTGTAATCCCAGCACTTTGGGAGGCTGAGTGGGGAGCATCGCTTGTACCCAGGAGTTTGAGACCAGCCTGGGCAACATAGTGAGACCCCCATCTCTACAAAAATTAAGAAATAAAAATTAGCCAGGTGTGGTGATGTGCACTGTAGTCTTAGCTACTCAAGAGGTTGAGGTGGGAGGATCTTTTAAGCCCAGGAGTTTGAGGCTGCAGTGAGCTACAATCGCACCACTGCACTCCAGCCTGGGTGACAGAGCGAGACCCTGTCTTGAAACAAAACAAAACAAAACAAAACAAAAATGGCAGAAGTGGACAGTGAATGAATATGGCACTTGACCTAAATGATCTTTCTCCCAAGAACCCTTAACCCCAGTTAAATCAGGAGAAAAACATCAGGCAAACAGAATTCAGGAACATTCTACAAAAAACTCAGAACTGTCAAAGTCATCAAAAATAAGGGAAGTTTGAGAAGTGAAACGTCATAGCCAAGAGGAACCTAAGGAGACATCACAACTAAATGTCACATGCATGTACCGGGTGAGATTCTGGGGCAGAAAAGGACATTCGGTAAAAACTGTGACAATCTGAATAAAGTACGAACTTTTTTTTTTTTTTGAGACAGAATCTCACTCTGTTGCCAGGCTGGAGGGCAGTGGCACAATCTCAGCTCACCACAACCTCCGCCTCCCGGGTTCAAGCAATTCTCCTGCCTCAGCTCCCAAGCAGCTGGGACTACAGGCGCGCGCCACCACACCCCGCTAATTTTTGTATTTTTAGCAGATACAGGGTTTCGCCGTGTTGGCCAGGATGGTTTCAATCTCTTGACCTCGTGATCCGCCTGCCTTGACCTCCCAAAGTGCTGGGATTACAGGTGTGAGTCACCGTGCCCTGCCTTAAGTACGAACTTTAATTAATAATAAGGTATCAACACTGGTTAATTAGTTGTGACACGTTTCTTTTTTTTTTTTTTCGAGACGATGTCTCGCTCTGTCACCCAGGCTGGAGTGCAGTGGCACGATCTCGGCTCACTGCAAGCTCCACCTCCAGGGCTCACACCATTCTGCTGCCTCAGCCTCCTGAGCAGCTGGGACTACAGGCGCCCGCCACCACGCCCGGCTAATTTTTTGTATTTTTAGTAGAGACAGGGTTTCACCATGTTGGCCAGGATGGTCTCGATCTCCTGACCTCATGATCCGCCCACCTCGGCCTCCCAAAGTGCTGGGATTACAGGCGTGAGCCACCGTGCCCGGCCAGTTGTGGCAAATGTTTCATACTAATATACGAACAAAGGGAAAATGGAACTGGGTATACGAGAACTCTCGGTACTATTTTTATAACTTTTCTGTAGATCTAAAACAAAAATAAATGTTTATTTTTAGAAAAGAGGGCCAGCTGCAGTGGCTCACAATTGCAATCCCAGCACTTTGGGAGGCCGAGGCAGGAGGATCACTTGAGCTCAGGAGTTCGAGACAAGCCTGGCCAACAGGATGAAACCCTGTCTCTACTAAAAACAATACAAAAATTAGCCAGGCATGGTGGCGGGCACCTATAATCTCAGCTACTTGGGAGGCTGAGGTAGGAGAATTGCTTGAACCTGGGAGATGGAGGTTGCAGTGGGATGAGATTGTGCCACTGCACTCCAGCCTGGGCAACAGAGCGAGACCCTGTTTCAGAAAAATAAATAAATAAATAAAGTAAATTAAAAAACTATGTATTGTAAAGAGTATCCCTCCTACCCCTTCCTCAGCCCAGAGGCAGTGTGGGTCTTGGGTATTGCCCTGCCTTCAAAGAAGGCCTTTAAACCCAAACACTTATACCTGTCTCTTCTCATAACTCCCTCAGCCTCCAGAGTAACTGGGACTGCAGGTGTGCACCACCATGCCCAGCTTAACTCCCCATTTTACAAAAAGGCAGTGGTGATGTTCTACTGAGCAACAGAATACTTGGAAACAATGAAAAGTTTCCAGGGGAAACAATGAAAAGTTCATCTGTATTCAGCACTCTAAGCAGCTGGTCCCTTCTCTTGGGGGCCCACTCCACCCTCTCAGCTCCCTTCAGGCAGGCCTACTTGCCGCAAAGCCCTTCTAATCCCTGGGCAGCTAATTCCAATCTCCCTTCCACAAAACCATCCTAGGTTAGCATCTAGGCGATGCTACACCCTTCCCTTGTACTGTCTAAATAAAGAGATTCATTACTTGTCAATAACCGCAGTTACAGAGTATACTGTCTTATACTACTTTATTTTATTTATTTTATTTTTTTTAGGCACGGTCTCGTTCTGTTGCCCAGGCTGGAGTGCAGTGGCACAAACACAGCTCACTGTAGCCTTGACCTTCTGGGCTCAAGCGATCCTCTCGCCTTAGCCTCCCAGGTAGCTGGGACTACAGGCGCATGTCACCATGCCTGGCTAATTTTTGTATTTTTTGTACAGACAGGGATTTCACTATGTTGCTCAGGCTGGTCTCCAACCCCTGAGCTCAAGCGATCTGCCTGCATCAGCCTCCCAAAGTGATGGGATTCCATGCGTGAACCACTGTGCCCACCCCAGACACATCATTTTAAACCAGAAGGACACAAAAGTATAAGAACTGGCGGGTGTGGTGGGTCATACCTGTAATCCTAGCACTTTAGGAGGCTGAGGTGGGCGGATCACTTGAGGCCAGGAGTTCGAGACCAGCCTGGCCAACATGGGGAAACCCCATCTCTACTAAAAATTCAAACAACAACAACAAAAAATTAGCTGGGTGTGCCAGCACAGACCTGTGGTCCCAGCTACTTGGGAGGCTAAGGCACAAGAATTGCTTGAACCTGGTAGGCAGAGGTTGCAGTGAGCCGAGATCATGCCATTGCACTCTAGCCTGGGTGAGAGAGTGAGACTCTGTCTCAGAAAAAAAAAAAAAAAAAAGTGTAAGAACTTCTGTAAGACCAGAACTTCCAAACTATATATATTCTGCTAAGGGCACCCCAGGGAACTGAAGCTAGGTAAGGGATAGGTCTCCATTTAATGAGCAGCTGTGTTTTATAATTTATATTTCTCCATAAAATTCCATTTGCACAAAGGGATTGTGTAGATAAATGGTCTGGAAATCATTATGTTAGCTCATGTAGGTCTAGGCCAGGTCTGCTGATATTTGTGCTGTTCGTAGGATGCACGACATACTTGTTGAATGGTGACGTGCTCAAGCTAGAGGCAGACAGAGAGGACCATCCTGGTGATGGCAGCTGCCAGTCCAGATGGCCTGCCACTGCCATCATGCCAGCTGCAGCAGGGAGGCATGGCCAGGGCTGCACACTCCATGGAACAGGCAGAAGCCTCACCCTGCTGGATGGGGCTGTAGCCGCCCAAGTTGTGACTGCAGATCTGAGCCTCCCTGTGCTCTTGAGGGTCCGGAGCAGGCAGGAACCCTACCTTCCCAGGTGCAGCTGCAGCCACCCAAAACACAGCTGCAGACTTGGGCCTCCCACTCCATGGAGTGGGTGGCAGCCCTGCTGCCCCGCACCCGCCCCCAGCCCCAGCTGCAGACTCAGGCATCCCTGTACTCTTCAGGGCCTGAGAAGGCTCTCCCTCCCCTCTTCTGAACCTGTTCCCGCTGCCTGGCTTCTCCCTGCTGTCGGCACCCACTCTGATCTTAGAGCAAAGTTGGGGCTGAGCCCTGTTGCCATGCATGGCAGCGGGAGGCAGACAGATTCCTGGGTGAAAGGGCGGGTCCCCGGTGGGGGCCGGGCTGCCAATCCCACAGACCGGAGTGGGAACTTGGGGTGCCCTTTCTGGGCCTGCCCATGGACCAATCGTGGTGCATTTCCTCCCCTCTGAGGCCCATAAAAGGCCTGAGCTCAGCCAGAGCTGAGCAGAGATGGGACGACCAGCTACAGAGAGGAGCTACCCTCTCTGCTGAGGCTTCAGAGACCTGCAGAGATGCTAGGATAATCAGCTGCAGAGAGGAGCTACCCACTCCATGGCCTCTTTTCTGCTGAGAGCTGAACACTCGACAGGACAACCTGCCTACAGACAGAGAGCGGTACCCACTGCAGTCTCCTCTGAGCTGTTCTAATACTCAATAAAGCTCCTCTTCATCTTGTCCACCCTCCACTTGTCTGCATACCTCATTCTTCCTGGATGCCGAACAAGAACTCGGGCAAAGGCACCACTGGCCCCAGAGGTTTCCAGCCAGAAAACGGACACCCCAAAGATCCTGTAACACTGGGACGCAAGAGTGGCAAGCCAGGGGCTTTACTGGGGTCACCAAAGCCTGGGCCCTGCTCTTTTATCCTCACAATGGTCAGAAGCTCCGGGGCCTTTTGGAACAGAAGCAGACAGCCAAAGGCACTGAGAAGGACTGCGTTTCTCTGGGGACATCCTCAGGCTGGGATCCTCCCTCTGGCCTGAATCTCATGTAAGAAGATCTGGCCCGCGGTACTCACAGGAGTGGAGTTTGAAGAGAAGCTTGACAGTGTAGTCATAAAGGTGGCTGCAGTCCAAGATGACCTGGATCAGCGGGGCGAGGCGGCACTGCCCTGCTGCCGTCACGGACACAGAGCGGGACATGTCCAGGGAGTTGAATACTAGGAAATAAAAGTGAGGGAGAAAGGTGGTAGAGCCAGGGGATTACAGGCAGCCTCTTCAGAGGGGCAGAGGCAGGGGTCCAACATACACCAAGGACCGATTCTGTGCGTGCTTTACCTCATCTAATTCATTTAACCTTCACAACACTCCCATGAGATAGGTAAACGTATCCCCATTAAACAGGTGAAGAAACAGAAGGTTAGTAACTTGAAGGCTCTCACAAAGTCAGGAAGTGGTTTTGTTAGCCGAGCATGGTGGCGCATGCCTGTAATCCCAGCTACTCAGGAGGCTGAGGCAGGAGAATCGCTTGAACCCGAGAGGCAGAGGTTGCAGTGAGCCAAGATCATGCTATTGCACTCCAGCAACAGAGCAAAACTCAGTCTCGAAAAAAAAAAAGTGGTTTTGGCAGGGTGTGGTGGCTCACGCCTGTAATCCCAGCACTTTAGGAGGCTGAGGCGGGTGGATCGCCTGAGGTCAGGAGTTCGAGACCAGCCTCTCCAACATGGGAAAACCCTGTCTCTACTAAAAATACAAAAATTAGCTGGGCATGGTGGCACATGCCTGTAATCCCAGCTACTCGGGAGGCTGAGGCAGGAGAATCACTTGAACCCAGGAGGCAGAGGTTGCAGTGAGCCGAGATTGCACCACTGCACTCCAGCCTGGGTGACAAGAGTAAGACACCATCTCAAAAAAAAAAAAAAAAAAGTGGTTTTGTTGAGAGGTGGTGAGTTAACAGACTTGTTGGAGAGCCCAAGAGCTGATGGGGCCAATGATGGTTAGACCAGGAGCCTTTGCTCTTGAGAGTCAGAATATTCAGTGCATCATGACTGGGTGAACTAAGCGCTACTCTGTGCAGAGACCCCTGATAGCTCAGGGAAGAAGAGATTTGCTCATAACCTGGGAGAGCTCCTACCATGGCGGACATGGAGGAGGAGCCTCATCTTCATTTTTTTCCTCTTTACGAGACTGGGTCTCAGCCAGGTGCAGTGGCTCACGCCTGTAATCCCAGCACTTTGTGAGGCCGAGGTGGGGGGACTGCCTGAGCCTGAGTTTGAGACCAGCCTGAGCAACATGGCAAAACCTTATCTCTACTGAAAATACAAAAATTAGCCAGGCGTGATGGCTCACGCCTGTAATCCCAGCTACTTGGGAAGCTGAGGCAGGAGAATCGCTTGAACCCAGGAGGTGGAGGCTGCAGTGAGCCAAGATCCCACCACTGCACTCCAGCCTGGGCGACAGAGTGAGACTCTGTTTCATAAATAAATAAAACAAAACAAGCCAGGCACAGTGGCTCATGCCTGTAATCCCAGCACTTTGGGAGGCCGAGGCGGGTGGATCGCCTGAGGTCAGTAGTTCGAGACCAGCCTGGCCAACATGGCAAAACCCTGTCTCTACTAAAATACAAAAATTAGCTGGGTGTGGTGGCGTGTGCCTGTAAACCCAGCTACTTGGGAGGCTGAGGCAGGAGAATCGCTTGAGCCTGGAAGGTGGAGGTTGCAGTGAGCTGAGACGGTGCCACTGCACTCCAGCCTGGGTGACAGAGTGAGACTCCATCTCAAAAGAAACCAAACCAAAACAAAACAATACAAAACAAGAAAAATAAGAAAAAGGACTTGGGAGAAGGAAGATATGTCAGGGTTCAGGGCTGAAACTTGGGGCACCTGTCAACAAAAATAGAAGTCTTGCCTCCACCCTCTTGAGTTTCAGAGACAAAGTTGCTCCCTCAATTTCTCACGCTGGGGCTCCCTCCACACTAACCTCCTGCCCCCCATCCTAGACCAAGCAACTGGCCGTCTGGCTGCAGACACTCAGCTCACACCACTGGCCAGGCTGATTTTCTTTCTTGCACTGGCCACCCACTGCCTCTGCAGACTCTGCACGCGGCGGGCAATGAAATGACTCTCCCCGCGGTCCCTCTGTGAGTGGAACTGGCCCAGAGGGAAGCCTAGCACTGCCTGTATTCCGCTTCCCGACTGCACTAATCCCTGGTAACTGGGTTAGTCTGGCAGCTGAAAAAAAAAAAAATCCCGAACTGTTCTAATTAAAAGGCAGCTTTTCTTCTTGACACAAATTAAAAGCAGCTGTCACTGCAAGGCAGCCATCCCCAAGTCTACCGGCTTCCTCAGGCTCCAACTGGCAGGAACCACGGGCTGTTCCATTTCCCTGCCTGGCCCCGATTCCTGATACCTTCCAGGAATGCCCTTTGGCATCCAGAAACATCTAGAGCAGTGTCATCACGGACAAGTTGCTCAGTCACTCTGTGCCTCCTGATGCTCTTCTGTTGAGCACATGTGGCTATAACAGTGCATACCTCGTAAGGGTCTCAGAGGACTTCAATGAGAATGCTGGGAAAAGTGCATGGAATTGTGCAGTGGTTCTTGACTTTGGCTTTGAGACTGGTTAGGATCACCTGGGGAAACTGAAACACTAAAGTCTTCCTGCAACCCCCAGAACCGCCCCACCATCTGTTTCAATTGGTCTGCTGTATGTTGGGATGTCAGTGGGTGTCAAAAGTCTTCCCCTGCTGTCCCCCGTTAGGCCAGGTGCTGTGGCTCATGCCTGTAATCCCAGCACTTTGGGAGGCTGAGGTGGGAGGACTGCTTGAGGTCAAGAGTTCGAGGCCAGCCTGGCCAACATGGGGAAACCCCATCTCTACTAAAAATACAAAAATTGGCCAGGTGTGGTAGCGGGCACCTGTAGTCCCAGCTACTCAGGAGGCTGAGGCACAAGAATTGCTTGGAGGCTGCAGTGAGCCAAGATCCCACCACTGCACTCCAGCCTGAACGACAGAGCAAGGCTCCGTTTCAGAGAAAACAAAAACAAAAAAAACGCCCCAGGTAGATTCTAATCTGCATCCAGGGTTGAAAACTGTATGTCCAAGCTCAGTGGTTGTCAAGTTTTAGCACACATCAGAATCACCCACAATAGTGCTATCCAATAGAATTCTACAATGATGAAAATGTTCATATAAACTTTTTAATATATTAGCCATATGTGGCTTTCTGAAATATGCCTGAAATAGGACTAGTGCAGCTGAGGACCTGACTTTTAAATGTTATTTAATTGTAATCAAGTTCAATGATCACATGGGGCTAGTGAGTGCCCTATTGGACAGTGCACACTGCGGGTGCTTCTTAAAGCACAGGAGGCTGGGGTTGGTGGCTCATGCCTATAATCCCAACACTTTGGGAGGCTGAGGTGGAAGGATCACTTGAGCTCAGGAGTTCGAGACCAGCCTGGTCATATAGCAAGACCCCATCTCTACAAAAAATTAAAAAATTAGCTGGGTGTGATGGCACACATCCCTGGTCCCAGCTACTCAGGAGGCTGAGGTGGGAGGATCCCTTGAGACCAGGGAGGTCAAGGCTGCAGTGAGCTATGATTGTGCCACAGTACTCCAGCCTCGGCGACAGAGTGAGATCCCATCTCCAAAAAAAAAAAAACGAGAGAGAGAGAAAAGAAAAACAGCAGTGATGATGAAATAGGTGAATAGAATTCATTACATAGTGTTAACTTTCAGCTACATGCTCTGGGAAACTCTAGGGTGAATTACTTAGAGTCTTCTGGACCAGAGCTACCCGACTATAACTCCTGGATTCAAGCAATCTTCCCACCTTGGCTTCCTAAAGTGCTGGGTTTATAGGCATGAGCCACTGCACCTGGTAGCCTGCTGTTTTTCAAAAAGCAAGCATTCTTTTATGGTTGAGGGCCTGCTATTCACCAGGCACTGGACTAGAACAGAGGGAATTTAGAGATGAGTAGGTCAGCATCTCGTGGTAACAATATTAATGAACAATGCATATAAAACCAGAGCAGGCTGGGCACGGTGGCTCATGCCTATAATCCAAGCACCTTGGGAGGCCAAGGCAGGCCGATCACTTGAGGCCAGGAGTTCGAGACTAGCCTGGCCAACATGGTGAAACCCTGTCTCTACTAAAAGTACAAAAATTAGCCGGGCGTGGTGGCACACACCTGTAATCCCAGCTACTCAGGAGGCTGAGACAGGAGAATTGCTTGAGCCTGGGAGGCGGAGGTTGCAGCGAGCTGAGATGGTGCCACTGCACTCCAGTCTGGGCAACAGAGCGAGACTCTCTCAAAACAAAACAAACAAACACACAAAAAACCAGAGCTAGGGGTCATGAGATGTGGCACAAAAAAGATGGCTGAGCTCACCACCTCTACCCCTTACTCATTCTCTCAGCTAACCAAGTCCTTTTGGACCTCATCACCATCTCCGCTTACTCATGGTCCACGGTCTGTCAGGAACTGGAAGGATGACCCAAAGGTTGAAACATTTGTCTTGCTTATCCCTAAACACCACAGCAGCGGGAGGCAGGCAGGCAGCCGGCTCCAAGAAGAGGTGAGAGCCATGGGGAGAGAGCTTGTGTCAGCCGAACTGCAACTTCTAGGCTGCACTTTCCCAAGGATGACAATTCTAAGAATCTCACTCACGCCTGCATTCAGATCTAGCACATTCCAAAGCTAAATGCAGGCTGGGCGTGGTGGCTCATGCCAATAATCCCAGCACTTTGGGAGGAAAAGGCAGGCACATCACTTGAGCTCAGGAGTTTGAGACCAGCCTGGGCAACATAATGAAGCCTTGTCTCTAAAAAAAGTACACAAAAATTAGCTGGGCATGGTGGTGCGTGCCCGTAGTCCCAGCTACTTGGGAGGCTGAGGTAGGAGGATGGCTTGAGCCCCAGAAGCGGAGGTTGCAGTGAGCCGGAATCGCACCACTGCATTCCAGCTTGGGTGACACAACCAGACTATCTCAAAAGAAACAACAACAAAAAAGTGAAAGCTAAATGCGAATGAATTCTGAATTATCCACATACGTTGTTCCCACCAAAATCCAAATGATGAAAAGTTAGCCACAACAATGTATACTTGTTTATATACTTTTATGCAAACATTTCCAAAGCATTTTTTTTTTCAAGGAGTCTTGCTCTGTCACCCGGGCTGGAGTGCAGTGGTGTGATGTTGGCTCACTGCAACCTCTGCCTCCCGGGTTCAAGCAATTCTCCTGCCTCAGCCATCTGAGTAGCTGGGATTACAGGCACACACCATCAATCACGCCTGGCTAATTTTTGTATTTTCAATAGAGATGGCGTTTCACCATGTTGGCCAGGCTGGTCTTGAACTCCTGACCTCATGATCCACCTGCCTTCGCCTCCCAACGTGCTGAAATTACAGGCATGAGCCACTGCGCCCGGCCCCAATGCATTTTTTAAAAAATAAATGCATCTACACCACTGCTTTCAGTCTGACTGGGAATAGCTTAGGGCATAGACTAGATTCTGCGTTTTATTTTTATTTCTCTACTGACTTTTGTATAACACCCTGCTCAAATAGCTTCCTAGTCGGCTGAATGTCCCTTTCTCGCACAAACCGCAGTTTCCAGCTGTTTCTGGTGTTGGTCTTTCTTTTTTCTGAGACAGAATCTTGCTCACTGCATCTCGGCTCACTGCAAACTCCGCCTCCTGAGTTCAAGCCATTCTCCTGCCTCAGCCTCCTGAGTAGTTGGGATTACAGGTGCTCACCACCACACCTGGCTAATTTTTGTATTTTTAGTAGAGACAGGGTTTCACCATGTTGCCCAGGCTGGTCTTGAACTCCTGACTTCAGGTGATCCGCCCCCCTTGGCCTTCCAAAGTGCTAGGATTACAGGCATGAGCCACTGTGCCTGGCCTGTTTCTGGTGTTTTTCTGACCACATCCTGTGCTGAAGACTGGTCAATGTATTACAGAATTTGTTGCCCTGTCCCAGCCATCGTACAACACAAAACAGAATATTCTGGAAAAGAGGCCAGTAGTAGGCATTTCTGCACAGATGAACAAGCTGAAGGAAGCTGAAGGAAATTCGGGGTCAGAGAGTCCAAGCCCCAAGAGTGGGTCCTGCCTGTCCACATGCAGAGAAGGCCACGAGGCTTGGGCATGAGACCACCAAGCTTGCGTATGGAGACCTGCAATGTGGAACGTTGTCTTTCAGAGTTGGATGCTTGTCATGGAACGCCCTGAGTCTCAGAACGCTGGTGCTTACATCCCCCAGGGAAAGGAGGGGAGCCTGCTGGGAGATGTGGGGAGGAGACGCGCTGGAGAGAAGGGGACCAGCTGAGGCTTGTCAGGGAAGCATTAGGGGCTGATGGTCTGGAGGCACCACAGTTCTTGGCAGGCAGGAGCCTGGAAGTGTGGCCACTCCCCCTGCTAGTGGAACAGGACTGTGTGAGCTTCTCATGTGGACTTGGGTGACAACCAGTCCTGGGTGACAACCAATCCTGACCAGCTTGTTTCCCATGGCTGCCAACTCAACAACAGACATGAGCCCTTCCTCCTCAGTAGAAATCGTGCCCATGAGCCAGCCCAGTTCCGAGTAGCAGACAAGACTGGACCAAGGACTGGCCAGGGCCATGGCTACAGTCCAGTGGCTGGCAAAGAGGTAAGACCTGTCTTTGGGCTTTTGGAGGCCTGCGCTTCAGGAGAGAGGCCAGTAGGAAGGGGCAGTGTGTGGTCTTTCTGCTCAGACGTGAAACCACCCGCTTGGAAAATATCTAGGAGGCCAGGTGTGGTAGCTCACGCCTGTAATCCCAGAACTTTGGGAGGCTGAGTTGGGAAGACACCTTGAGGCTGGTAGTTCAAGAACAGCCTGGGCAACACAGTGAGACCCCTATCTCTGCAAAAAATATAAAAAATCAGCCAGATGTGGTGGTGCGTGCCTGTAGTCCCAGCTACTTGGGAGGCTGAGGTGGGAGGATCATTTGAGCCTAGTAGTTTGAGGTTGCAGTGAGCCGTAACATGCCACTGCAATCCAGCCTGGGCGACAGAGTGAGACCTTCTCTCTCTCTCTCTCTTTTTTCTTTTGAGATGAAGTCTTGCTGTATCACTCAGGCTGGAGTGCAATGGCATGATCTTGGCTCACTGCAACCTCGACCTCCTGGGTTCAAGCAATTCTCCTGCCTCAGCCTCCCAAGTAACTGGGATTACAGGCATGTGCCACCATGCCCGGCTAATTTTTATATTTTTAGTAGAGACAGGGTTTCACCATGTTGGCCAGGCTGGTCTTGAACTTCTGGCCTCAAGTGATGGGCCCACCTTAGCCTCCCAAAGTGCTAGGATTACAGGTGCGAGCCACTGCACCCGGCCGAGACCTTGTCTCTTAAAAAGAAAAATACTGAAGAGGTTCAGTCCCTCCCTGCACGAGGGTTGGAGAGACCAGAGATGGGGTGTGAATGTCTCCATTTTCCTACCCCTTGTGCTGCACACTTTGCAGGGAGAGGAGGACTAGGAATTAGGTAGTTCCCATGAGAGCCTGGGTTAGACGGGAGGGAAGAGACTCACCTGTTTGGAAGAGGTTGAGTTCACACTCCAGGTAGTCAAACATCTCCACTGTTAACTGGAAACTGGACCCAAGAGGAAAGAGAGCTTACACTCCACAGCCTGAGGCCGGTCTGTTACCTGTCCCCTCCCCCACGCTCTACGCTACTCCAGTCTCCAATGCTCATGTGCATGCGCAAACACACACACAACTCCAGCTCCAAGTCTTAGCCTTGTGGGTATTATGGCCATGCAGCCTGGTGAAGTCAACAGTGACAGCGACAGGTCGGGGGCGGTGGCTCACGCCTGTAATCCCAGCACTTTGGGAGGCCGAGGTGGGCGGATCACCTGAGGTCAGGAGTTCAAGACCAGCCTGGCCAACGCGGCGAAACCCCATCTCTACTAAAAATATAAAAATTAGCTGGGTGTGATGGCGCATGCCTGTAATCCCAGCTACTCGGGAGGCTGAGGCAGGAGAATCACTTGAACCTGGGAGGTGGAGGCTGCAGTAAGCCGAGATCAAGTCACTGCACTCCAGCCTGGGTAACAGGGCAAGACTGCCTCTCAAAAAACAAAAACAAAAACAGTGACAGTGACAGAGGGAGAGGATAGGTACCAGTGTTGGAGTCAGAGGGCAGAAAGCGAGACAGACAGGAAAGCTTTGGGGTGTGAAATAGCCAGGCAGGGGTTCTGGATGAGGCACCACCAATAAATAAGTAGCCCCAAGGCCAAGTCACCCAGGGGCTTTGGTCCCCATCCCAGCCACGGCCTCCCCCCATCAGGCCCTCCATGACCCTTATGAGAAGTGTCAGCATTCACAAAAGCTTTCTCCCTCCCTGGGCTCAGGGCAGGAGCCACTTACAAGTTGTTCACGTCACTTTCTCCAGCCTCGTCCAGCTGGCGGTCACTCATCTGCAGGTTGCCTGGGAACCTGGGATTCTGGAAGGGAGGCAGAGGAAGGGAGTCAGGGCAGAAGACATGAAGAGCCCTCTCTCAGCCGGGCGTGGTGGCACACGCCTGTGGTCCCAGCTACTTGGGAGGCCGAGGTGGGAGGATTGCTTGAGCCCGGGAGTTCAAGTTTACAGTTCAAGGCCACTGCACTCCAGCTTGGTTACAGAGTGAGACCCTACCTCAAAACAAACAAAAAAGAAAAAAAGAAAAATCGCTGGTATCATCAATCATTGCTGAGTATCTACAGCCAGCATGATCCTGTCATCTGTGTGGTTTGTCCCTGTGGCAAAGGGAAAAGGCCACAGAGATGGGTGGCCATTCCATCGTGGGGCATCTACATGTACAAGTGGATACTTTAGGCTCTAGGCCAGGTGCGGTGGCTCACACCTGTAATCCCAGCACTTTGGGGGCCAAGGCAGATGGATCACTTGGGGTCAGGAATTAGAGACGAGGCTGGCCAACATGGCAAAACCCTGTCTCAACTAAAAATACAAAAATTAGCCGGGTGTGGTGGTGCACGCCTGTAGTCCCAGCTCCTTGGGAGGTTGAGGCAGAATTGCTTGACGCTGGGAGGCGGAGGTTGCAGTGAGCTGAGATCGCACCACTGCACTCCAGCCTGGGCAAGAGTGAGACTCCGTCTCCCCCACCGCAAAAAAAAGAAAAAAAAATCCCCATTGCAGACTTTGCTCCTGGGCTCCATGGTGCCAAGGCCTCTGAGGCTTGACCTGGCACCTGGGACACAGTTTTCCTTTGCCCCAAGTCATACACGCTGAGATTACAACCTCTGACCTCAATTTCAGCACCTTCACCTCTACTCCATCCCCACTCCAGACTCTGCCATCACCTAAAACATCCCTGCCCAGACCTCCCCACACCAGCATCTCCCTCTCTGGCTGCATCGCCCAGGCCTCTGCCCTTTCAGTCCTCTCCTGCCCTCAAGTCCACCCACTACTCACGCTTCTGTCTCAGAGATGGCCAGTCCCCTCCTGCTCCCTCTCCTCCCCATCTCTCTGCCTGCCTTTGCTTCCTGGCTCAGTCTTGACATCATGACTGGTGGCCTGGCTCCACTTCCCCACACCCTGCCTGCCTTTCTACCACACTGCTTGGAAGACCTGCTGAGAGCCTGGGTCCTTGTCATCGGCTCTGCACCTAGGGCCGGCTGCCGACTGTCCCTGGAGAAAGACTCACAGCTGGTGTCACTATGCATTCACGCTCTCTGTCCTGAACGTCCGTCTCAGTCAGCTCGGGCAGTTATAACAAGATACCATGCACTGGGTGGCTTAACCCATAGAGAGTGTCTTTCAGTTCTCGAGGCCAGGGAGTTCAAAGTCAGGGTGTTGACAGATTCGGTGCCTGGTGAGGCGCTTCATCCTGATTACGTTGCTTACATGGCAGAGGAGGGGGAAACCAGCTCTCTCTTGTTTCTCTCTCTTTTTTTATTTTTTAGAGACATGGCCTCACTGTTGCCCACGCTGGAGTGCAGTGGCATGATCATCACTCACTGCAGCCTCGAATTCCTGGGCTCAAGTGATCCTCCACCTCAGCCTCCTCAGTAGCTGGTACTACAGGCATACACCACCATGCGGGCTAATTTGTGTGTGTGTGTGTGTGTGTGTGTGTGTGTGTGTGTGTGTGTGTGTGTTTAGTAGAGATGGGGTTTCGCCACATTGGCCAGGCTGGTCTTGAACTCCTGACCTCAGGTGATCCGCCCGCCTTGGCCTCCCGAAGTGCTGGGATTACAGGTGTGAGCCACCACGCCCAGCCAGAGAATGAATTTTTCTTTAATGTGTGCGGGATATTTTTGTTGTTGTTTTCGAGACGGAGTCTCACTCTGTTGCCCAGGCTGGAGTGCAATGGCATGATCTCAGCTCACTGCAACCTCAGCCCCTTGGGTTCAAGCGATTCTCCTGCCTCAGCCTCCTGAGTAGCTGGGATTAACAGGCACGCACCACCATGCCCGGCTAATTTTTTTGTATTTTTAGTGGAGATGGGGTTTCACCATGTTGCCCAGGCTGGTCTTGAACTCCTGACCTCAGGTGATCCACCCGCCTCGGCCTCCCAGAGTGCTGGGATTACAAGCGTGAGCCACCGCGCCTGGCCAAAAAAAATTTTTTTTAAGAGACAGGGTCTCACTGTGTTGCCCAGGCTGGTCTCACCTCAAGCCTTGGCCTCCCCAAATGCTGGGATTGCAGGTGTGAGCCACTCTGCCCAGCCTCCTTCCCCACTCTTGTATCGCTAATTGCTAAAAACTGGAAAAGTCCTTTGCTCCTCCACACTTGGACAATACCAGCTTCCCCTTTTTCTCTGCTTTCTAAAACCAGGAAAAACAAGACAGCAGTGAGCTCGAGAGCCTCTGGAAGCAAAGCCAGCTGCATCCTCTTCGACCCCAGTTCTCCAAGCCCACGTGACCATTCCCTTCTGCCCTTCCATGCTATTAAAAGCTAGGGGACTGGCTATTGGCACCAGCTGCTTCTGATGCCACTGAACTCTGCTGTCTTCCTATATACAAGGCAAAGGGACCCCTTTGGCCTCTATCAGCCCCGCAGCCCCACTGCCCCAGCTCCCATCCCAGTCCTCTTCCTCCTTAACCTTCTTCCCAGTCTTGCTTTCTCTACACCCTCCTTTCTTTCCTTTTCCACCTAAAATCCTACCCTAGGCCCTTCCTCCTCCCACTTTCCATTTAACACTTTTTTTTTTTTTTTTGAGACAGAGTCTTGCTCTGTCACCCAGGCTGGAGTGCAGTGGCGCCATCTCGGCTCACTGCAACCTCCGCCTCCTGGGTTCAAGCCATTCTCAAGCCTCAGCCTCCTGAGTAGCTGGGATTACAGGTGCGTGTCACCACGCCCAGCTAATTTTTGTGTTTTTAGTAGAGATGGGGGTTTCACTATGTTGGTCAGGCTGGTCTCCAACTCCTGGCCTCAAGTGATCCTCCTGCCTTGGCCTTCCATTGTGTGGAGATTAGAGGTGTGAGCCACCACATCCAGCTCAATTTAACACTTTCAATCTCTACTCCCAAAACGTCTTTTTTTTTTTTTTTTTGAGATTGAGTCTTGCTCTGTCGCCCAGTCTGGAGTGCAGAGGCAGCATCTCGGCTCGCTGCAACCTCCGCCTCCCAGGTTCAAGCGATTCTCCTGCCTCAGCCTCCCGAGTAGCTGGGACTACAGACGTGAGCTAATTTCTTTTTGTATTTTTAGTAGAGACGGAGTTTTGCCATGTTGGCCAGGCTGGTCTTGAACTCCAGACCTCAGACGATCCGCCCGCCTTGGCCTCCTGAAATGCTGGGATGACAGGCGTGAGCCACTGCGCCCAACCCCAAAACATCTTAAATCCAGTTCTCACCTTTCCCCGCCTCCTCATGACACCTTTACCAGAGCCCGGTCCTCCCTCCAATCACACGCTACAAGCCCCCTCCCCTCCACACTCTCAGCCTCTCCCTCCTGCTTCTTCGCCTTGCAATCCAGCCCAAGGGCAGCCCGACTCCCCGCCTC
Organism: Homo sapiens; assembly: GCF_000001405.40. Taxonomy (NCBI): domain Eukaryota; kingdom Metazoa; phylum Chordata; class Mammalia; order Primates; family Hominidae; genus Homo; species Homo sapiens. The sequence continues at coordinate 75,585,652 of NC_000007.14, forward strand.
AGCCTCTGACACCCTGGCCTGGCCCAGCCTCAGTTCTGGTTTACGTTGCCTCCTATGTGCCCACCCCTCTGCCTGATCCCCGTTGTCTCCCACAGTTGCCAGACCCCTGTACACCCCGCAGCTGCTCGCCTCCCCCACCTCACACTATCCATTGTGTCACCTTCTTCTCTCTTTTTTCTGTGAAACAGGGCCTCACTCTGTTGCCCAGGCGGGAGGGCAGTGATGCGATCATAGCTCACTGCATCCTTGACTTCCCAGGCTCAAGGTATCCTCCCACCTCAGCCTCCCGAGTAGCTGGGACTACAGTTGCACACTACCACGCCCGGCTAATTTTTAAATTTTTTTGTAGAGACAGGATCTTGCTATGGCCCAGGCTGGTCTCAAACTCCTGGTCTTAAGCGATCCTCCAGCCTCGACCTCCCATAATGCTCAGATTACAGGCATGAGCCACTGTGCCCAGCCAGGAATTGTTTTTATTAACAGTAAAATCAATGCTTCTGTAACATTTTCATAAGGCAATATAGTGCCTAGGGTTACTCTTTCTTTTTTTTGTTTTTTTTTTTGAGACAGAGTCTCATTTTGTCTCCCAGGCTGGAGTGCAGTGGCATGGTTTTGGCTCACTGCAACCTCTGCCTCCTGGTCTCAGGTTCAAGCGATTCTCCTGCCTCAGCCTCCCGAGTAGCTGGGACTACAGGCATGCATCACCACCATGGGTAATTTTTGTAATTTTAGTAGAGACGGGGTTTTGCCATGTTGTCCAGGCCAGTCTTGAACCCCTGACCTCGGGTGATCCATCCGCCTGGGCCTCCGAAAGAGCTAGGATTATAGGTGTGAGCCACCGTGCCTGGCCAGGTTTCTTTCTAGCTGCAAAATGGGGAACAAAGGGTGCAGAAGACACGGGCCAAAATCCCAGCCTTCGTCACACCCCGTGGGCCTGGCGGTGGCTTTCCTCTCTCACAGCTTGGGTACATGATGTGCACACTTCCTCAGAAGCCTGGGCTGTCTATTACCTGAAAGAGCTGACAAATGAGCCCAGGGAGGGGCTGAAGGGATGGAGCAGGGGAGGCGGCGGTGGCGGCAGAACTGTCCGCAGAGACTCACTTTGGTGTGGTACTCCATCTTGGTTCTTAGCAGTTTCAGGTAGATGCTGCACAGCTGGCCATACCCCTCGCTCAGGTGGCCCTTTTAGGAAGAGGAGGGGAAACAGAGTCAACAACAAGAACATAACAGTCAAGAGATCTGCAGCCAGGAATTCTCTGGTAAAGAATCTATCTTCTTTGTTTTCTCCCCTTTATTTTATTTATTTAGAGATGGGGTCTAGCTCTGTTGCCCAGGCTGGAGTGCAGTGGCATGATCTCGGCTCACTGCAGCCTCCACCTCCTGGGTTCAAGTGATTCTCCTGCCTCAGCCTCCCGAGTAGCTGGGATTACAGGCACGCACCACCACGCCTGGTCAATTTTTGTATTTTTGCTAGAGATATGGTTTCACCATGTTACCCAGGCTGGTCTCAAACTCCTGGCCTTGAGTGATCCACCTGCTTTGGCCTCCCAAAAGGCTAGGATTACACTACAGGTGTGAGCCACCACGCCCAGCTAATTTTTGTAGCTTTTAGTAGAGATGGGGTTTCACCATATTGGCCAGACTAGTCTCGAACTTCTGATCTCAGGTGATCTGCCCGCCTCTGCCTCCCAAAGTGCTGGGATTACAGGCGTGAGCCACCGCACCCAGCCATCTACCTTTATTCTTAAATGTAAAATAGAATCAATCTATTTTTCTTGCTTAATATGCTGCAATTTTATTCAACTTCTTAAACTTTCTTTCATTATTTTTAGTGACTGACCAGTATTATTGTAATTTATTGAACTGACTCAATAAATTCAAATGAGCTGAAGCCAATTCAAACCAGTTGAAATTTTTGCTATCATAAACCATTTCAATGAACATTCCTTATAGCACAATCTTTTGTACAAACATAAGGACTGCCTTTGATAAATTCTGGACAAAGCTTCCTACTTAAGAATGTTGAGTCTGGCCAGGTGCAGTGGCTCATGCCTGTAATCCCAGCACTTTGGGAGGCCGAGGAGGGAGGATTGCTTGAGCTCAGGAATTTGAGACCAGCCTGGCCAACATGGCGAAACCCCATCTCTACAAAAAATTAAAAAATTAGCTGGGCATGGTGGTGTGCACCTGTGGTCTCAGCTATTCAGGAGGCTGAAGTGGGAGGATCACTTGAGCCCAGGAAGTTGAGGCTGCAGTGAGCTGTGATCATGTCACCATTCCTCCAGCCTTGGTGACAGAGCAAGAAACTGTCTCAAAACACCACCACCACCACCAACACACACACAAAAGACTGCCTCCTTGGTATAGGGGAAGTAAAGATAAATAATAAAGTAACAAACGCTTGTACTCCTGCACTGAGGAAGTCCTCCCTAAGGACTATGAAGAATTCTACCGCCTCAAATCACCGCTGTGATTGGGGAAGGAAAATCTGCCCTAAACTCACAAAACCTTAAGCTGAGAATTTAATTTCGAGTGATCTCAATCGAAGCAAATGCCAATTCTCTCTGGAGGAACCTGCCTTCATTACAGACTTCAAAGAATTCTCCACAGATAAAATTCCAAGGAAGATGAGCAGCTTAGGGTAGAAAGTAACCGAACATAAAGAAAACTACACAGCATGGGCAAAATGCACCAAAAGGGACGGAGGACAGAAACAAATCTCTAAAGACTTTAGATAATAGAATTACAAAACATATATGAGATGACTTTGGTTCATATATCTAAAGAAATAAGAGACTGTTTCAAAATATATGCAGGGCATAATAAATTGTAAAGGAGGAGAAGCAGGGCCAGACACAGTGGCTCCTCCTGCCTGTAATCCCAGTGCTTTGGGAGGCTGAGGTGGCAGATCGCTTAAGCCCAGGAGTTCGAGACCACCCTTGGCAACATGGCGAAAACCTGCGTCTACAAAAATTAGCTGGGTTTGGTGGTGCACACCTGTTTTCCCAGCTACTTGGAAGGCTGAGGTGGAAGAATCACCTGAGCTCAGGAGGTTGAGGCTGCAATAAGCCATGATCGCGCCACTGCACTCCAGCCTGGGTGACAGAGTGAGACCCTGTCTCAAACAGCAACAACAACCACCTTCCCCCGCAAAAAACAAGCAGATTTGAAAAAAAATAAATAAATAGAACTTCAAGAAATGAAAACTGTACTAATTGGGCCAGGTGTGGTGGCTCATGCCTGTAATCCTAGCAATTTGAGAGGCTGAGGCATTGGATCACCTGAGGTTAGGAGTTCGAAACCAGCCTAGCCAACATGGTGAAACCCCATCTCTATTAAACATACAAAATTAGCTGGGCGTGGTGGCACATGCCTGTAATCCCAGCTACTTGGGAGGCTGAGACAGGAGAATCACTTGAACCTGGGAGGTGGAGGTTGCAGTGAGCAGAGATCGTGCCATTGCCCTCCAGCCTGGGCAACAAGAGCAAAACTCTGTCTTAAAAAAAAAAAAAAGAAGAAGAAGAAGAAGAAAAGAAAAGAAAACTGTACTAAATGAAATTGAAAACCTTATGGAGAAGCTTAATAACACATTAGACCCAACTGGAGAGGAGGCAAACTGAAGGCTAGAGTTGATAAAAATTATCCAGAATACAGCAAAGACAAATAGGTAGAAAAAACTGAAAGAGTGGTTTAGAGACATGAGGGGTAGGATGAGAAAGTCTGACACAGGTCTAGCCAAAATCTGAAAAGGGGCTGGGCGCGATGGCTGATGCCTGTAATCCCAACACTTTGGGAGGCCGAGGAGGGAAGATCACTTGAGGTCAGGAGTTCGAGACCAGCCTGGCCAACATGGCAAAACCGTGTCTCCACTAAAATATAAAAATTAGCTGGGTGTGGTGGTAGGCACTGTAATTCTAGCTACTCGGGAGGCTGAGGCAGGAGAATCGCTTCAACCTGGGTGGCGAAGGGTGCAGTGAGCTGAGATTATGCCAGTGTACTCTGGCCCAGGCAACAGAGCAAGACTCTGTCTCCAAAAAAAAAAAAAAAAAAAAAAAAAAAAAAAAGACTTTTTTTTTGGGTTTTTTTTGTTTTTTTTTGAGACGAAGTCTCTCTCTGTCACCTAGGCTGGAGTGCAGTGGTGCGATCTCGGCTCACTGTGAACTCCGCCTCCCGGGTTCACGCCTTTCTCCTGCCTCAGCCTCCTGAGTAGCTGGGACTACAGGCACCCACCACCACGCCCGGCTAATTTTCTGTATTTTTTTAGTAGAGACGGGGGTTTCACCGTGTTAGCCAGGATGGTCTCAATCTCCTGACCTCGTGATCCGCCCGCCTCGGCCTCCCAAAGTGCTGGGATTACAGGCATGAGCCACTGCGCCTGGCCAAAAACGACATTCTTAAACAAGCAAACACAGTGTCAGCCACCAGTAGGCTCTCAATTATGGAAGTTAGAAAGGAAATAATTCAGGCAGAAAGAAAGTGATCTCAGATGAAAGGTCTATGGAGAGCACAGAATAAAACAAGGAAAATAAAACAATAACTTACAGAATTTAAAGATAAACATAACCAAAACCAAAATACATGGTTATGCTAACAGATAAATTGAGGGACTGAATGGAACTAAAATATTCTAAAGTCTTTGTGTTATACAGGAAACAAAGATACGAAAGGTAGACCTAGATAAAACAAGCAAGCATTTTGTAATTATTAGAGAACATGCCAAAAACAAAAAAAGTAGATTTATTTTTTAACCTCCCAAATAGTAATGAGGAAAAAACAGAATGAGAAAAAAACACCCAGCCAATCCAAAAGAAGGCAAGGAATGAGAGAAATAGAAGTAGAACAGATGGGACAAATAGAAAACATAGAATAAAATGGGAGACATAAATCTAAACATACCACGTAGCATAATAAATGTAAATAGACTAAATGCCCAGTTAAAAGACAAAGACTACCATCCTGGATAAAAAAACAACAACCACAAACCACACAAAATCCAACCAAATGTTATTTATAAGTGTTATTTCTAAAACATAAAAATATAGGAATGCTTAAAGTAAAAAGATGGAGAAATATATACCAGGCAAATTCTAACAAAAAGGAAAAAGACCTAAACTTTACATGTTACAGGGAACGTTTTCTAGCACACAGTTGGGAAATCTGGGGACAACTCTCAACTTTGTTCTGGTACCTAATTTTGTGACTTTAGGACAAGCTGCTTCCCTTTCTGGGCCTGTGTTTCCTCACCTATGATAGGTAGATAGGACTACATAGTTGCCAACATTTTATAGGTGCAGACAGATACAGGTAAGACTGTGCAAAAAGGCTAAAGTAGTAGTTCTCAACTGGTAGAGGCAAAAGAACATATCAGAATCAACCAGGGAGATTTTTTTTTTTTTTTTGAGACAGAGTCTCACTCTGTCACCCAGGCTGGAGTGCAGTGGCCCAATCTTGGCTCACCACAACCTTCGCCTCCTAGGTTCAAGCGATTCTCCTGCCTCAGCCTCCCGAGTAGCTGGGATTACAGGCACACGCCACCACACCCAGCTAATTTTTGTATTTTTAATAGAGCCCGGGTTTCACCATGTTGGCCAGGTTAGTCTCAAACTCCTGGCCTCAGGTGATCTGCTTGCCTCGGCCTCCTAAAGTGCTAGGATTACAGGCGTGAGCCACTGCGCCTGGCCAAGAGAGATTCTTCAAAATGCAGATTACCCCTCTCCATATACACACCCACGGACATCAGAATCTGGGGTGATTGTGGTGTGTGTACAGAAATGCTCTTTTCCATTGACTGTGATATTGCCACCTACCTCCCCCCTCATCCTAAAGCACTGATAATCTCTAAACAGGAAAGAAAAAGCTCTGGCATTAAGAATTGGGTATGCTAATTCTAATTCTCAATGCACTATGACTCCAACGGGACCAGTGGAAGGAGAAGAGAAGTAGGAACTGTGGGCTGGGCACAGTGGCTCATGTGTGTGATCCCAGCACTTTGGGAGGCTGAGGTGGGAGGATCACTTGAGGCCAGGAGTTCAAGACCAGCCTGGGCAGCATAGCAAGACCCCGTCTCTACCAAAAAAAAAAAAAAAAAAGCAGGAAACATGGCCATGTAGCTACTGCTGAGGGATCCCAACCTTGGGCAGCTTTGTGACATGAGTTTATGAGTTTTCATTGGCAGGAGAAGCTCCCAGGCCCTGGAACTTTCCTGAAGCGTCCAGAGACCCCAGGCAAGACTATGGATATCATGGTACTCTTTGGGGGCATCCTTAGTCCGTCTCTGGCACCCATGGGAGAAATCCTCAACAAGCTGAAGGAGATGAATTTATTTCACCCTCCAGTCCTTGCTCTGTGGCCTCTGAGGAAGGAAAGGAGAAGCAGGTGGCTCCTGAGTACATCTCCAAACTCACCCACATCCTGCTCATGTCACTCAATTCATTTCTGTATCTCAGAGAGTCCTTCAGGACCTGCAGGGGCAAAAGAACAGCCTGTGAGAGAATGGAGAAGGAAAGAAAGACAAAGGGAAGGAGGATGGAGAGAGGCGGAGGTGAACCTAGGGCAGGGGGACAGGCTGATGGGAGGGAGACTCACCCAACTCTAATGGGGAACCCAAAGGCCAGGAGAAGGGGGCAGTGTGGGAGAGGACAGCAGCCTCTGTGGCCCAGGCAGTCACTTTCCCCACAAGGATCCCTGGCTCCCTGCCACCCCATAGCCCCAGGAACTCACGTTCGGGTGTCCATCTCGGAGGAGTTTGTGGAACACATGGCAGAACTTCCAGCAGAGCACTGCGTTGCTAGACAGAGGCAGGCGGTTGACAACAGACCAGAAGGTCTGTGCCCCTTTCTCATGGTGGGTGCCCAGTATGCACGGTGAGGGGGGGTTATGGAAAACAACGGATGGGCTCTGCCAGTCACTGCAGGGGACTGAGCCTGCACCCAGCCACTGCAGGGGACTGAGCCTGCACCCAGCCATCACAGGGGATAGAGGCTGCACCCAGCCACTGCAGGGGACCAAGCCTGCACACAGCCACTGCAGGGGACCGAGCAGTAGTGCAAGTCGTGGTTGGCAGTGCCTTGGAGGGAGCGCCGCTCAGAGCTAAGACACCACAGAACTGTACATTCCTTCTGGGAGTTTTAGGGCAGATGGGAATACTTATTTTAATAAAATCCACTTGAGTAGACAATTTCCCGAGATGTAAGCGTCTTGAGAGAGAGGTGTGTCTTTTTCTAATTTGCACAAATACCCTGTAGGCCACGGTGGTATTGGGTTGTCCTTTCTACGAGAATGCTGAGTTGATGATGTGTCCTTCGGGAATAACTACAGCTATTTGTTGTGGTGGTTAAGATAGGGTCTTACTCTGTCACCCAGACTGGAGTGCAGTGGTGTGATCATAGCTCACTGTAACCTCAAACTCCTGGGCTCAGGCAATCCTCCTACCTCAGCCTCCCAAGTAGCTGGGGCTATAGGCATGCACCACTGTGCCTGGCTAATTTTTAAATTTTTGGTAGAGATGAGATCTTGCTATGTTGCCCAGGCTGGTCTCAAGCTCCTGGCCTCAAGTGGTCCTCCCCTCTTGGCCTCGCAAAGTGCTGGGGTTACAGGCATGAACCACTGTGTCTGGCCTTATGACACCTAACTTTTAAACAACATTTGAGGGCTTCCTCAGGTTCTTTCTTATGCATTATTAAAAGTAAGGGTGTGCAAGCCAGGTGCAGAGACTCACGCCTATAATCCCAGCACTTTGGGGGGCCAAGGTGGGTGGATCACCTGAGCTCAGGAGTTTAAGATCAGCCTGACCAACACGGCGAAACTCCATCTCTACTAAAAATACAAAATTAGCTGGGCGTGGCGGTGGGCGCCTGTAATCCCAGCTTCTCAGGAGGCTGAGGCAAGAGAATTGCTTGAATCCGGGAGGTGGAGGTTGCAGTGAGCCAGGATCACGCCACTGCACTCCAGCCTGGGTGACAGAGCAAGACTCCATCTCAAAAAAAAAAAAAAAAAAAAAGTGAGAGTGTGCTTCTGCTCCTCATCAAGGACCTTGGTCCCTGCAGGGAGTCCTGCACCTTGACCCCTTGGCTCCTCCTCCAGGCAGCATCTCCCAGCCCCTTTCCATTTAGCCAGCCTTTTGCTTGCCTTGACAGCAGCAATCTTTGTTTAAAATGCCCTTTCTGTAAACCTCAACACCCCACTTCTTCCGTAAACCCACCTGGCCCTGTTCAGGGGCACCTTCAATCTCTCCACACCTTAAATTCCCCATATATGGAATCCTGGAACCGCTTCTCCCCAGGCCTAATTCCAAACACACCCACTCCCTGCAGATAGTCGTCAGTTTGCATGTAATAAATGTCCATCAGGGTGGAGCGCGGTGGCTCACACCTCCAATCCCAGCACTTTGGGAGGCTGAGGCGGGCGGATCACCTGAGGTCAGAGTTTGAGATCAGCCTGACCAATGTGGTGAAACCCCGTCTCTACTAAAAATACAAAATTAGCCCAGTGTGGTGGCGCATGCCTGTAATCCCAGCTACTCAGGAGGCTGAGGCAGGAGAATTGCTTGAACCCGGGAGGCAGAGATTGCAGTGAGCCGAGATCATGCCATTGCACTCCAGCCTGGGCAACGAGCAAAACTCTGCCTCAACAACAACAGCAACAACAAAAGCCCTTTCCATAAACCTGAACACCCGACTTCTTCCATAAACCTGCCTGGCCCTGTTCAGGGTCACCTTCAATCTCTCCACACCTTGAATTCCCCATATATGGGATCCTGGAACCACTTCTCCCCAGGCCTGATTCCAAACACACCCACCCTCTGCAGATAGTTGTCAGTTTGCATGTAATAAATGTCCATCAGGGTTGGGCGTGGTGGCTCACGGCTGTAATCACAGGACTCTGGGAGGCCGAGGTGGGCAGATCACGAGGTCAGGAGATCAAGACCAGCCTGGCCAACATGGTGAAACCCCGTCTCTACTAAAAGTACAAAAATTAGCCGGGCATGGTGGTGCATGCCTGTAATCCCACCTACTCGGGAGGCTGAGGCAGGAGAATCACTTGAACCTGGGAGATGGAGGTTGCAGTGAGCCAAGATTGCACCACTGCACTCCAGCCTGGGCGACAGAGCGAGACTCCATCTCAAAAATAAACAAATGTCCCTCTGGCCTCACATGATTTTAAGTTCGGCTATTCCAGATCTCTGTCATTAGTGAGCTCTTTTTGGAGTGAGGAGAGAATTTCCACTTTTGTAATTGTGTGCTTCAACAAGATTCACAGACCCAGTAACTGGGCACTGTCAGTTGTTAGGACAACTCTGTGCCCGGAACTTTAGGCTTTACTCAGCAAGGCTAGGTCGCAAGTGCACTGTCATTTAGGGCAGAAGGACTCATCTCAGGTAGGAAACTAAATGACTCACCCAGAGCACATGTTATTTTGCTTCTGAACTGGAAGATACCATAAAGCTCCTTTCCTCGATGACATCTTCATTTAGAGAGGGGTGGGCTTAAACAGATGTTTGGGTCTGGAAGCTAAAATCAGCTTTTGGTGTAGGAGTCCTTTCTTTCTTTCTTTCTTTCTTTCTTTCTTTCTTTCTTTCTTTCTTTCTTTCTTTCTTTCTTTCTTCCTTCCTTCCTTCCTTCCTTCCTTCCTTCCTTTCTTTCTTTCTCTCTCTCCCTTCCTTCCTTCCCTCCCTCTCTCTCTCGTTCGTTCTTTCTTTCTATTTTTTTTTTAGACAGGGTCTCGCTCTGTTGCCCAGGCTGGAGTGCAGTGGCACAATCTTGGCTCACTGCAACCTCCACCTCCCAGGTTCAAGTGATTCTCGTGCCTCAGCCTCCCAAGTAGCTGGGATCACAGGCACCCGCCACCATGCCCGGCTAATTTTTGTTTTTTTTAGTAGAGACGGGGTTTCACCATGATGCTCAGGCTGGTCTCGAACTCCTGGCCTCAAGAGATCCACCCACCTTGGCCTCCCAAAGTTCTGGGATTACAGGTGTGAGCCACTGTGCCTGGCCTTGGTGTAGGAGCGATTTCTGAAATAATTCAGAAATAATGCCTTTCTGGCATTCTTTCACATATAAGCATTTTTATGCCCCAAGTATGTGTCAAAGCCTGTAAAATCCATTCAGGGAGAAAAAAAAGAAAATAAGAAAAATAAGACTCAGTCCCCAGCCCTCCAGGAGTGAATACCAAGGTGGCGGGCCAACCTGTTCACCATTTAGGCATCTGTGATAAATGTGTAAGCAGCATTTCTGAAGTCAGACTTCCTAATGCTTATTCAGTTTGTATCTAAGGCAGCTGATAAAAGACCTGATAATAGATAAATGCGCTGGGCATGGTGGCTCACGCCTGTAATTGCAGCACTTTGGGAGGCCCAGCGGGAGGACTGCTTGAGCCTAGCTAGGAGTTCAAGACCAGCCTGGGCCACAGTGAGACCCCATCTCTATAAAAAATTAGCCAGGCATGATGGCATGTGCCTATAGTCCCAGCTACTCAGGAGGCTGAGGTGGGAGGATCACTTGAGCCTAAAAGTTGGAGGCTGCAGTGAGCCTCCAACTGATTGTGTCACTGCACTCCAGCCTGGGTGACAGTGCATGACCCTGCCTCAAAAAAAAAAAAAAAAAAAAAAGCTTTGGGATATCTTTAATTAGGCATTTCAAACCCTACTGTATGGAGTTGATTTTTCAACATTTATTCACCATTTAGAAATTATGAATCAGAGACTCATAGAATGTTAGGGCTGGACTGTTAAATCTTTGAAATCTTTTTCTTTTTGAAACAGAGTTTTGCTCTTGTTGCCCAGGCTGGAGTACAGTGGTACGATCTCGGCTCACTGCAACCTCTGCCTCCCAGGTTCAAGTGATTCTCCTGCCACAGCCTCCCAAGTAGCTGGGATTACAGGTACCTGCCACCACACCTGGCTAATTTTTGTTTTTTCAGTAGGACGGGGTTTTACCATGTTGGCCAGGCTGGTCTCGAACTCCTGACCTCAGGTCATCCATCCGCCTCCACCTTCCAAAGTGCTGGGATTATAGGCATGAGCCACCACACCTGGCCTGAAATCTTCTTTGTCCAACCTTTGATTGAACAGAAAGTGACCTAAGACTCATGGAGGCCCCACTCAAGGTCCCAGAGTGAGCCCGAGAGTTCCAGTGGCAGAATGTCAGAATCTCCTTGCAGGGCCCCTTCCCTCCTCCCAGGGAGCCTCCCGGCAGCATGTGACCTGACCCTGCCGCTGCAGGCCTGGCCTCTCTGCACCCATGTCTTGTCCTGAACAGCACACTGCCTGATGATAACTGTCTCTCCCTTACTCATATCTTTTATCAGATTGATCACAAATTATTCGTAGGTAAGGGTCAGGGCTGAGTCATTTCCTCTGAGAAAATCCACTGGGCCGTTTAAAATAAAGGCTTTTCTTGGTTTGCTTTGAATCATCGCAAGGGTACCAAACGTGATGCAGGAAACCAAGGGGCCTGTGTCTTTCTGGGGAAAAAAAGAGCAAGATCTAGCTAGGCTCGCACAGGGCTGGACTTCTGGGTTACCCCAGAGAGGTTCTGCAGCCGCCATCCTAATTCCAGCCAAAGCATCTTCCCACTAAAGGCAAGCTGCTTTCCCTCTAGCAAACAGCAGTTCATATATCACACTAAGCAATGCTGGGCTTCTCTGGCTATCTAACCTGGAGGGTCGCCTCTAGGGGTTGAGGCTAGAAGGCTTCGGGACAAGCTGCTCTGGCTTGCCTGGCTGTGACACAGTAACCAAGAGCCCAGGTGAGGAGAAGCTTCCCACTGCAGACAGAAGTCCAGCCTCTGAGGCTGGGTGCGGCCTCCGAAGTTGGGCGCGGTGGCTCATGCCTGTAATTCCAGCACTTTGGGAGGCCAAGGCAGGAGGATTGCTTGAGCTCAGGAGTTTGAAACCAGCCTGAGCAACATGGCAAAACCCCGTCTCTACTAAAAATACAAAAATTAGCTAGGGGTAGTGATACACACCTGTGGTCCCAGCTACTTGGGAGGTTGAGGCAGGTGGATCTCTTGAGCCTGGAAGGCGGAGGTTGCGGTGAGCTGAGATCATGCCACTGCACTCCAGCCTAGGCGACAGAGCAAGACTCTGTCTCAAAAAAAAAAAAAAAAAAGTCCCAACTCTGCTTGCCCGGAACTCCACCTTGCTCTGGCCCAGCACACAGAGAGTTAAAAGCTTAGCCACCCCCCTGGCAGACTCTCTCCTTCAGCCTTTGGGGATTAAGCGCTCCAGTTCCTGGATTCTGCAACTCAAAGGCAGATTCCTAGGGATTCATCAGCCAGCATGGTCCTGCACCTCTCTACAAAGCCACAGGCTGCTCCTGGGTGTGGTGGGCTTACAGAGGGCTTTCAAGTCACCCATTCCCTAATCCACTTCAAGGCTCTTGTCTTCTTCCCCCTGGCATAGGTTGAACCTGTTCACGAAGGTAGAGAGCCCCTGCCTCAGTTTAAGGCCAACCAACCTCTGAAGCTAAGACTTTCTTTTTTTCGGCCAGGCATGGTGGCTCATGCCTGTGATCTCAGCACTTTAGGAGGCTGAGGCCAGGCGTTCAAGGCCAGCCTGGCCAACATGGCAAAACCCCGGTCCTACTAAAATTACAAAAATTAGCCGGGTGTGGTGGCACACGCCTGTCATCCCAGCTACTTGGGAAGCTGAGGCACAAGAATCGCTTGAATCCAGGAGGCAGAGGTTACAGTGAGCCGAGAACATGCCACTGCCCTCCAGCCTGGGCAACAGAGTGGGACTCTGTCTCAAAAAAGAAAAAAAAAAAAAACTCTCTTTTTCTTTTTTTTTTGCTTTCATGCTCAGAAAAGGAGATAACTATTGATTATGCAACCCCCAGGGGAGTGGTCCCTGTGTTCCTGTAAAGGCAAAGAAAGGACCTGGAGGGCTTTGAATATAGGTGAAGATCCCTCCTGACCCCCAGGAGGTCTCTCAAAGGAAAGTAACTTTCAAGTGACTATGAGGTTCTACAAAGCTTGAGTCGGCCAGGTGCAGTGGCTCTCCCCTGTAATTCCAGCACTTTGGGGTTACAGAGGAGGGAGGATTGCTTGAGGCCAGCTTGGGCAATGAGCAATACCCCATCTCTAAAAATCATAAAATAAATTAGCCAGGCATAGTGGTGCACACCTGTAGTCCCAGCTACTCGGGAGGCTGAGACGAGAGGATTGCGTGAACCCAGGAGTTTGAGGCTGCAGTGAGCTATGATCACGCCATTGCACTCCAGCCTGGGCAACACGGCAAGACCCCTTTTGGAAAAAGAAAAAAAGGAGTGCTTAAGTCCTTAAGGAAAGGAGCAGGATCTTTGGCAAGTTGAAAGGCCTGGGCTCCACAGCCTTTTTGGTGTCTGCCACCCTGAAGGTCTGTGGTCTCTGCAGCCAGCCCTCTCTGAGAAGCTGCCGTCATCAGAAGCTGCAGGGACCTGGCCTGTGCAGGGTTGCCCCTTCCTGGAGCTGAGCAAGGCAGCCTGGCCCTGACCTCAGTCCCCATGAGCTGACCTCCCTCAGGGTCGGTCTTCCAAGCAACATCCAAAAGGATATTTCTGGCGTGTTTTTCCTTTACAGCCACTTCCTGCGTATTAATGGCCTTATTGATGCTGACAGTCTGAAAAACAAGAAGGGGGGAGGGAAAGGAGGATGAGATGAATAAGCCTCTGAGAGTGGCTGAGACCCTCCCAGATGCCCGCCCCTTTCTCCTCCTCCAGCCAACCTCCCCCAGCCCCACGGGTGGTCGGTTCCTCTGCAGGCGCCCAGCTGGGGGCAGAGGTGGGCAGCGCTCCCAGGAGCCAGCTGGCTGGGCCGTCCTGAGGGAGTGGGCACCACTGCCTGGCATTGGCTGTGCCCAGCTGCTGCTCCCGCCTGCCACTCACTCCCTTGGCACAACAACATGGCAATTAAAGCCCGCACAAAGAGATGCTTTTCATCCCCCAGGGAAACATTATTTCTCCCGGAGCAGGAGGAAGAGGCGCAGAGATCAGGGAGCGACCGTGGCCCAAGAGCATCCAGCTGCCCCTCTCTCCCCTCCAAACCTTCCACAGAGCCTTCTCCGGCTGGCCAGCACCGGCGGTGGTCACTAAGTCTTTGTTTTCCCACACTCTTGGGCATTTTCCAACTTCTAAGCAAATTCCCTTGTACTTCCTTAATGACATCAAGGGACATTAAACATTCCCTCTCAATCGTTTTTAAAATCGTTAACTTTTTTTTTTTTTTTTTTGAGGAGTCTCGCTCTGTCACCCAGGCTGGAGTGCAGTGGCCCGATCTTGGCTCACTGCAACCTCTGCCTCCCGGGTTCAAGCGATTCTCCCGCCTCAGCCTCCCGAGTAGCTGGGCCTACAGGCACCCGCCATCAAACCCGGCTAATTTTTGTATTTTTAGTAGAGACGTGGTTTCACCATGTTGGTTGGCCAGGCTGGTCTCGAGATCCTGACCTCAGGTGATTTGCGAACCCCAAAGTTCTGGGATTACAGGCCTTGTTTTTTTCTCTTTTGAGCGGAGTCTTACTCTGTCGCCCAGGCTAGAGTGCAGTGGTGTGATCGTGGCTCACTGCAACCCCTGCCTCCTGTGTTAAAGCAATTCTCCTGCCTCAGCCTCCCGAGTAGCTGGGATTACAGGTGTGCACTACCATGCCCAACTAATTTTTGTATTTTTAGTACAGACGGGGTTTCGCCATGTTGGCCAGGCTGGTCTCGAACTTCTGACCTCAAATGATCCTCCCACCTCTGCCTCCCAAAGTGCTGAGATTACAGGCGTGAGCCACTGTGCCCGGCCAAATCATAACTCTTTTTAATTTTGCAAAGTGCATATACATAGGAGTACCATTTGCACAAACACAGAAAAGGGATTATATCATGTAGGCTGTTTTCTTAGGTACAGATTTTCTCCTTTTTCTGTTTTGATGTCATTCTATCCCTATAACCCATGTTAAAAACCTGTTATGTATCACATACATACACCCACACATACACATAAATACCTACATACTGAAGAGGTTAATTTTGCCATTGTTCTACAAAAATTAGATTGTCATATATAGACTTCTCTACATCTTGGTTTTCTTGAATGTATCTCCCGGAAAATTCTGCAAAGGGGCTGAAAAAACTCTAGTTTTTATTATTATTATTATTATTTTTCGTCCTGAGACAGGGTCTTTTTCTGTCCCCTAAGCTGATGTGCAGTGGCACAATCATGGCTCACCACAGCCTCCAACTCCTGGGCTCTAGCGATTCTCCTGCCTCAGCCTCCTGAGTAGCTGGGATTACTGGCGAATGACACCATGCTCAGTTATTTTCATTTTTGGTAGAGACGGGGTCTCACTATGTTGCCCAGGCTGGTCTCAAACTCCTGGCTTCAAGTGATCCTCCCACCTCAGCCTCCCAAAACACTGGGATTACAGGCATGAGCCACTGTCCCCAGCCAGGAATTACCTTTAAACTTTTAGGTGTGATAAATATGTTGTGGTTAATTTTTAAAGAGTTTGTTTTTTTTTTAAACAGGTTCATTCTGAAATATTTACTGGCAAGATGATACAATGTCTAAGATTTACTTCAAATAATCTGGAGAATAAAAAGTCTGGTGGTTGATGGTATAGACCCACGGATCAGCAAACTACAGTTACAAGCCACAACCAGACCAGACTAACACCTGGTTTTGAAAATAAAGCTTATGGCCGGGCACAGTGGCTCATGCCTGTAATCCCAGCACTTTGGGAGGCCAAGGTGGGTGGATCACCTGAGGTCAGGAGTTTGAGACCAGCCTGGCCAACATGGTGAAACCCCATCTCTACTAAAAATACAAAAATTAGCTGGGCGTGGTGACGGGCGCCTGTAATCCCAGCTACTTGCTACTCGGGAGGCTGAGGCAGGAGAATTGCTTGAACCTGGGAGGCAGAGGTTGCAGTGAGCCGAGATTCCACAATTGCACTCCAGCCTGGCTGAGAGAGCTCTCAGCGACAACAAAACTCTCAACAACAACAACAAAAAAAAAAAGAAAAAGAAAGAAAGAAAGAAAAGAAATCTTATTAGAATTCACCCACTCTCATGCATTTACGTATTCATTTAATATCAGCTGAGGCTGCTTCTGCATTACAAAGGCAGAGTTGAATGGTTGCGATGGAGACCATGCGGCCTGCAAAGCCTAAAATATTTACTAACTGGCTCTTTGCAGAAAATGCTGACCCCTTGTCCATAGGATATATGTTTGGCCACAAGTTCCTTGTTGATGCTGGGGCTATACCAGGGCTTCTTGGACTAGTCTTCATATTTGTATACGTTTGAACTTTTCTATAATGAAAGGTTAAAAAAAAAAACTTTGACCCAGTAATCTCACTCCTAGGAATCTATCCTTTGGAAATAAAAACTTTTTTTTTTTTTTTCTGTTTAGACAGAGTCTCACTCTGTTGCCCAGGCTGGAGTGCAGTGGCATGATCTCAGCTCACTGCAAACTCCGCCTCCTGGGTTCAAGCGATTCTCCTGCCTCAGCCTCCCAAGTAGCTGGGACTACAGGCGCATGCCACCATGCCTGGCTAATTTTTATATTTTTAGTAGAGACAGGGTTTCGCTATGTTGACCATCCTGGTCTCGAACTCCTGACCTCAAGTGATCCACCCGCCTCGGCCTCACAAAGTGCTGGGATTACAGGCGTGAGCCACAGCACCTGGCCAGCTTTTTTTTTTTTTTTTTTTTTTTTTTTTTCAAAAGAGATAGGGTTTCGCTGTCTTGCTATGTTGCCCAGGCTGGCGGGACTTGAACACTTGGATTCCAGTGATCCTCCTACCTCAGCCTCTCAAGTAGCTGGGACTATAGCTGCACACTGCCACATCCAGCTGCTGTTTTTCTAAATTCTCAGATATGCTCTTTTTTTTTTTTTTTTTTTTTTTTTTTGAGACGGAGTCTCGCTCTGTCACCAGGCTGGAGTGCAGTGGCGTGACCTCGGCTCACTGCAACCTCTGCCTCCTGAGTTCAAGCGATTCTCTCACCTCAGCCTCCCGAGTAGCTGGGACTACAGGCGCCTGCCACCACGCCCAGCTAATGAATATGTTCTTAAATTCATATCTCCTTATATATTTTCTTCTCCTGACCAGACTTGATTTTTAAACAGTATAACCTCTGTTGTAAGTTGAATTGTATACCCCCGCCCCACAAAAATATATAATCACGCCCAACCCCCCCCACCCCGTACCTATGAATATGATCTTATTTACAAATAGGGCATTTGCAGATGTAATTAGTTAAGATGAGGTCACACTGGAGTAGGGTCATATTATGGAATGTAATATGACTGGTGATCCTCGAAGAAGATGTAGGGATCCAGAGACACACAGGGAGGATGCTGCATGAAATGAGACAGAGATGAGTGATGAGTCTACAAGCCAAGGAATGCCAAGGACAGCCAGCGGCCACGAGAAGCTAGAAAGAATCCTTCCCGGCCGGGCGCAGTGACTCACACCTGTCATCCCAGCACTTTGAGAGGCAGAGGCGGGAGGATCACCTGAGGTCAGGAGTTCAAGACCAGCCTGGCCAACACAGCGAAACCGTGTCTCTACTAAAAAATACAAAAATTAGCTGGGTGTGGTGGTGTGTGCCTGTAGTCCTAGCTATTAGGGAGGTTGAGGCAGGTGGATTGCTTAAGCCCAGGAGGTTGAGAGTGCAGTAAGCAGTAATCACGCCACTGCACTCCAGCCTGGGTGACAGAGCGAGACTCTCAAAAAAAAAAAAAAAAATGGAGCCTTTCCTAGAGCTTTCAGAGACAGTATTGCCCTACCTTGCAAGACGGTGAGAGAATGCAGCCACCCAATTAGTGGGAATTTGTTGACAGCCCCAGGAAACTAATTACAGGGTCCTTTCCCCATCAGATGGGGTCCTCTGGGAGGACAAGAATGACATGCGATGCTTCCCCTACAGCACATGATTTGGGGCTCTCCTGAGCACAGTCGTTGGCTCTGCAGGGTGAGCGTAAGAGCAGTCAGGAAGGAATCTCTGGCCAGCACTTTGGGAAGCTGAGGTGGGAGGATCGCTTAAGGCCAGGATTTTGAGATCAGCCCGGACAACATGGTGAAACCCTGTCTCTACAAAAAATACAAAAATTAGCCAGGTGTGGTGGTGCACAACTGTAGTCCCAGCTACTAGGGAGGTTGAGGTGGGAGGATCGCTTAAGCCCAGCAGGCAGAGGTTGCAGTGAGCCGTGATCGCCCCCACTGCATTCCAGCCTGGGCAACAGAGCAAAAACCCTGTCTCAAAAAAAAGGAAAAAAAAAAAGATGCAAGTAAGAAGTGAAAAGTTCATTCCCCTAAACCTCTCCATGAAGCAGTACTTCTCTCCTATGGAGACGCAGTGCTTACAGCTTCCTCTTAGCACGTCCTTCCCTGGACCTTAGTCCTCAGTGACAGAACTGTCCCAAGCACTGTCTTCCCTGTACATTTCCTCAAGTGCATTACAGCCGTTTAAACTATGTTCTTCCCCTGGCACCATAGGCCAGGGGCACCATGACATAGGCTGGGGCACCATGACAATGGCAAAATTCTGGCTGCAGACAGACCCCTGGGCAAAGTCTCCATACTTCCGGAGCCCATCAAGGTTGTCTGCAGTCAGAAAGGACTTACAAGGCATATAAACACATAGAAGGACAAGAAACCCAAATCTGTAAGATGCTGACCTGGACATGGTTAAGTTCCAGGGGGTTTGGGAAGGCCTGTAAGGAATATGGGCCGTGAGGAAGAGGACCACACCAGGTAGTTGGAAATGCTAGAAATGGGGCTGGATGTGGTGGCTCATGCCTGTAATCCCAGTACCTTAGGAGACTCAGGTGGGAAGATCACTTCAGGACAGGAGTTCAAGACCAGCCTGGGCAACATAGTGAGACCTCATCCCTACAAAATATTAGCTGGGTATGGTGGCATGCGCCTGTATTCCCAGCTACTCTGGAGACTGAGGTGGGAGGATTACTTGAGCGATCCAGGCATTGGAGGCTGCAGTGAGCTGAGATTGCATCACTATGCTCGTCTGAATGACAGAGCAAGACCTTGTCTTAGAAAAGAAGGAAGAAGGAAGGAAGGAAGGAAGGGAGGGAGGGAGGGAAGAAAAATGGTAGAAACTGCTTCAGGGCCTCTAGGGAGGACCCATGATGGGTGAGATTTAGATTTACCCTAAAAATAACTGTTCCTACTGCTTGACCAATTGCTCAAACTTGTGGTCATTATGAACCTTGCTCACACACACACGCAAAAATCTTATAGTAACAAATTTTTAAAATCTTTAAAATTCCCATAAGCCACGTAAAATAATATACCGTGAGTTTGTGACTATGGATCCACTGAGTGTGTGTGTATAGCTGAGAATCAGGAAAGTTCTGTGCTGTAGTGTTGAAAGGAGAGAGAAACCTTTTAAACTGAGACACTGCTCAAGGAAGACTTCTTAAAGGGAAAGGAGGGATAACTCGGCCCAGCTACTGTCCCAGCCATTACCCACTTCTGTCATATATGCCTCATAGGAACTCTGGGGTCTGGAGGGCTGTTGTTCAGAAAGGTGGAGAAACTCACCCAAGGTCATGCTCTTTGGTTCCAAGCCCTGAACCAGCACCCGCTCTGTACTGTGGAGGGGTTCGGGCCTGCAGGGGACTGGGTCTGGGGTTCTGGACACAGATGACAGGCCTTCTGGGCAGAGGAAGTGCCACAAGTAAAGGCACCAAAGTGGAAGGGCATGGAGCATGCAGCCTGAGGGCCGGGGGGGATGGAGGAGAAGCCAGGAGGCAGGTGAGGCTGCGTGTGGGAGGCCAGTGGGCTTCTGAGTGGCAAGAAGAGATGACAGCAGGTGGAGGGGAATGGGCCAGCAGTGGCGGCAGCTGGGGTAGAGCTGGATGGAGCCTGGAGGTGAGAATTCAGGGAGGAAGCTATTTTTGTTGTTGTTGTTGTTTTGAGACGGAGTCTTGCCCTGTCGCCCAGGCTGAAGTGCAATGGCGCAATCTTGGCTCACTGCAACCTCCACCTCCTGGGTTCGAGTGATTCTCCTGTCTCAGCCTCCGAAGTAGCTGGGATTATAATAGTTGCACATTACCACGCCTGGCTAATTTTTGTATTTTTAGTAGAGACAGGGTTTTGCCATGTTGGCCAGGCTGTTCTCAAACTCCTGTCCTGAGGTGATCCCCCTGCCTTGGCCTCCCAGTGTTGGGATTAGAGGCGTGAGCTACCGCGCCTGGCTGTATTTTTATTTAATCAATTATTATTATTTTTTGGAGACAGGGTCTTGCTCTGTCACCCAGGCTGGAGTGCAGTGGTGCAATCATAGCTTACTATAGCCTCAACCTCCTGGGTTCAGGCAATCCTCCCACCTCAGCTTCCTGAGTAGCTGGGACCACAGGCACATACCACTATGCCTGGCTAGTTGGTTTTTTTAAATAGAGACGGGGTCTCATTATGTTGCCCAGGCTGGTCTTGAACTCCTGGCCTCAAGCAATCCTATTGCTTCAACCTCCTAAAGTGCTGGGCTTATAGGTGTGAGACACCATGCCCAGCCAGAAGCTATTTAATAGCATAAAAGTACAGGAAAAATGGAATCAAAATGAAAGATGTGAGAATGGAAATGACCCAATATAATGTGAGCTGTAAAACGAGCTTCAGTAGGACTGGCAGATAGGAGCTCCGGGTTACAGGGAGACAGCAGAAGGATGCATCCATGGTGCCTCCAAGATGATGCAGAGACTTTAGGAGGCCGAGGGGGGCAGATCACCTGAGACCAGGAGTTCAAGACCAGCCTAGCCAACATGGTGAAACCCCATCTCTACTAAAATACAAAAATTAGCTGAGTGTGGTGGCTCATGCCTATAATCCCAGCTACTTGGGAGGCTGAGGCAGAATTGCTTGAACACGGGAGGTGCAGGTTGCAGTGAGCCGAGATCCCGCCATTGTACTCCTGCCTGGGCGACAGAGTGAGACTCCGTCTCAAAAAAAAAAAAGATGATGCAGAGGCTCTGGACCTAGATGAGGGGAGGATAGCAGCAAGGGCCACAAGCTGGGGAGACACTGTAAGAAAAGGACCCGAAGGAACAATGAACAATGAGGCCAGGCGGCTCTTGGGTAAGAAATAGCCATTTTTAAAAGAATGAGGAAGTGAACTAGCGGTAACGGTGGTGATAATTATCAAGCTGATGGCACTAATGAGTGCTTAGACCAGGCCCCTTTGTATGAATTATCTTATATAAAGTCTTACAACTCTACAACCTACCAGTAGACACTTAATAGTATTAATCAGCTCCATTCTGCAGATGAAGAAACCAAGGTACCTGAGATCTCTTAGGCTTAGAAAGGCTAAGTAAACCTGGGTGGGGTGGCTCATGTCTGTAATCCCAGCACTTTGGGAGGTTGAGGCTGGAGGATTGCTTGAGAACAGGAGTTTGAGACCAGCCTGGGCAATAGAGCGAGACCCCATCTCTAAAAAAAAATTTTTTTTTAAATAGCCAGGTGTGGTGGTGCACACCTGTAATCCCAGTACTTTGGGAGGCTTAGGTGGGAGGATTACTTGAGGCCAGGAGTTTCAGAACAGCCTGAGCAACACAGTAAGGCACCATCTCTACAAAAAAAAAAGAGTTGTTTTTTGTTTTGTTTTTTTTTTTTTTGAGACAGAGTCTTGCTCTGTTGCCCAGGCTGGAGTGCAGTGGTGTGATCTCAGCTCACTGCAACCTCTGCCTTCTGGGTTCAAGCGATTCTCCTGTCTCAGCTTCCCAGTAGCTGGGATTGCAGGTGCACACCACCAAGCCCGGCTAATTTTTGTATTTTTAGTAGAGATGGGATTTCACCATGTTGGTCAGGCTGGTCTTGAATTCCTGACCTCAGGTGATCCGCCCATCTTGGCCTCTCAAAGTGCTGGGATTACAGACATGAGCCACCATGCCCAGCCTAAAAAAAAAAAAAAAAAAAAAAATTTGTCAAGTGCGGTGGCCGTGCCTGTAGTCCCAGGTACTTGGGAGGCTGAGATAGGAGGATCACAGGAGGATCACTTGAGCCCAGGAGTTTGAAGCTGCTGTGAGCCATGATCACGCCACTGCACTCCAGCCTGGGGACCAGAGTGACACCCTATCTCTAAAATAAATAAATAAAAATAAAAAAAGAACTGCTAAGTAAACTGCCCAGGCCCGTAACATCAGCAAGTGTAGGGCGGGGATTCAGTCTTTGCAGTGTGACCAAGCTCAGGCTCAGGATCACAACCTCGGCACTAGACAAGGCCCTCTACACCACAGAGACACGATCAGAATCCACAGACTGGAAAAATGCATTAAAATTCACAAGATGAAATCCAGTAGGTACAAAGGAAATTTTCTATACTTAGGCCTAAACTCACTGGCACAAGGGAGCCGTGACTCAAAGCAGCACTTGTGAAAAGAATGAAGGTGTTTTGGCTGGGCACATGGCTCACGCCTGTAATCCTAGCACTTTGGGAGGCTGAGGTAGGTGGATCACGAGGTCAGGAGTTCAAGTTCGGCCTGGCCAAGATGGTGAAACCTCGTCTCTACTAAAAACACACAAAAAATTAGCCGGGCGTGGTGGTGGGCACCTGTAATCCCAGCTGCTCGGAAGGCTGAGGCAGAAAATTGCTTAAACCCGGGAGGCGGAGAACGCTGTGAGCCGAGATCACGCCACTGCACTCCAGCCTGGGTGACAGAGAGAAACTCCGTCTCAAAAGAAAACAAAAAAAAGAATTAAGGTGTTTTATTTGGCTGCTAACTTAATAATAGCAAGATTTTGATACGGTTGATGAACATGCAAGTCTGATCTCTCTGGATGCATTAAAAGGAGGGAACGTATGGTTCCAGTTCTCTACACAGATAAGGCCATGCGTGAAACACTATTCAGTTTCAGGCTTTATACATTATGAAGGAAACTAACAAGCTGGACCATTTCCAAAAAAGAGTGACCTGGATTGAAATGGACTTAAGATCTGAAGAAAATTTAGAGAAATATCAGTATTCTGAAGCGTGACCATCTGGAAGCAGGAAAAACTCCAGAGGCTTGAACCTAGACCAATGGGCAGAAGTCCAGAGAGGCAGTTTCTGGATGAACTTAAAGCTGTCTCATGAAAGAGAACTCCTCATTATTAGAAACACACATGCAGAAGAGAGGCAACCTCTCTGGGTTATTGTGAAAAAGATGGACAGGTTCAGATTACATTAGATGACTTCTAGGTCTCTTCCCATTTTTAGACTCTGAAACGGCTGATCAGATGACGGAGGGCTCTGGATATCAGGTCGAGGAAAACTGTGATCTGATGGGTACTGGGGATCCACAGAAGGCTCTTGAGCAGGGGAGGAACATGACACAAATGACCCTCTGTTCTCCTGAATGAGTTACTTCTCCAGTGTGCTAAGGAAAGTGGGGAACACCGTGGGAGTCACCGCCTCCCAGTATGAATCCAGTGCAACTGACAAGGACCTGGCCTAAGCACTGGCTTGTGGAAAGAAGTTTCTTCCTAAACCAGCGGCTACAAGGCACCTGTAAGCTCTGCCTGAGCTTGCCAGGACTGTCCCAGACCCTTCTCCTGCAGCTCTGGGGGGGCTCACAAGAGCTCTCAGGCACTGTCATCATCGTGCCCCAGTTCCCCAAGCAACACTTCATCATAGTGGCTGTACCCATGAGGCAGAGCCCACTCTATGGTTTGGGGCCCATTGCCGAGTCTGTGGCAAGGCTTCTTGGGGGCTCATTCTGGGTTCTAAGGCAACCTGTAGGTCCCCCAGGGGGCCAGGGAATGTCAGATACTGAGGGGTTTCCAGGGCAGAAGTTCCCTGCGAGGACCAGTTTCCCATGGCTCACTAACACTGTGTACCTGGGATACCACCTCTCCACCCCACCCTCCACCATACACGCTCCCTCTTCTTTCTACTTTCCAAACCCTGACCTCCTTCAAGCTCATACTCAACGGTACCGTTTTCTTTTTTTTTCTTTTTTTTTTTGAGAACAGAGTCTTGCCCTGTCGCCAGGCTGCAGTGCAGTGGCGCAATCTCGGCTCAGTGCAACCTCCTCCTCCCTGGTTCAAGTGATTCTTCTGCCTCAGTCTCCTGAGTAGCTGGGACTACAGGTGTGCGCCACCATGCCCAGCTAATTTTTATATTTTTAGAAGAGACGGGGTTTCACCATATTGGCCAGGATGGTCTCGATCTCTTGACCTCATGATCTTCCGCCTCGGCCTCCCAAGGTACCTTTATTTTTTTAAGACTTAACCAAGCTACTCAGGCCAACAATGTATTTTTCTCTCTTCCTTCTTTCTTTTCTCTTCTTTTCTTTTTTTTTTTTTTTTTGAGACAAAGTCTTGCTCTGTTGCCCAGGTTAGAGTGCAGTGGCACAATTTTGATTCATTGCAACCTCTGCTTCCTGAATTCAAGTGATTCTCCTGCCTCAGCCTCCGGAGTAGCTGGGATTATAGGCCCACACCACCACACCTGGCTAATTTTTGTATTTTTAGTAGAGACAGGGTTTCGCCATGTTGGCCAGGCTGGTCTTGAACTCCTGACCTCAGGTAATCCACCTGTCTCAGTTTCCCAAAGTGCTGGGATTACAGGCATGAGCCACCTCATCCAGCCCTTTTTTTTTTTTTTTTTTTATAAGAAACAGGGTCCTGTTCTGTCACCCAGGCTGGTGTGCAGTGATGTGATTATAGCTCACTGCAGCCTTGAACGCCTGTGCTCAAGTGATCCTCCAGCCTTAGCCTCCCGGGAAGCTGGGACTTCCAGGCATGTGCCACCACACCCAGCTAATTTTTTTGTATTTTTTGTAGAGATGGGGTCTCCCTGTGTTGCCCAGGCTGGTCTTGAACTCAGGCTCAAGTGACCCTCCCCCAACAGCCTCCCAAAGTACTGAGATAACAGTTGTGAGCCACCGCACCTGGCCTTTTTTTTCTCTTTTTTTGAATTCCTATTTCTCTTAATACGTTTGACACTGAGTATTACCTTCCCTCCCTACCCAGACTAGAATCCCAAGCACAAGGACCCTGCCTTCTCCTTTCCTGTAGGCCCACAGTCGCGAAGGCAGGTCATAAGTCCATAAGTCATCAGGACTGGCTGCTTCCCAGCACTCTCGCCTCTAAAGTGTACCAGGTAGAGGCCAGGCATGGTGGCTCATGCCTGTAATCCCAGCACTTTGAGAGGCCGAGGCAGGAGGATCTCTTGAGACCAGGAGTTCAAGACCAGCCTGGGCAACATGGTAAGATCCCATCACTATTAAAAAATATATATATATATTTATATATATTAAAATTTTATATATTATTTATATAAAATATATATATACTTTTTTTTTTGAGATGGGAGTTTCACTCCATTTGTCTCCCAAGCTGGAGTGCAGTGGTGTGAGCTTGGCTCACTGCAACCTCTGCCTCTCAGGTTCAAGTGATTCTCCTACCTCAGCTTCCCCAGTAGCTGGGATTACAGGTGCCCGCCACCATGTCCAGCTAATTTTTGTATTTTGTATTTTTTTTTTTAGTAGAGACAGGGTTTTACCATGTTGGCTAGGCTGGTCTTGAACTGCGCCTGTTCTATAAAATTTTTTTAGAAAGAGTCCCAGGTACGCCAGGTGCGGTGGCTCATACCTGTAATCTCAGCACTTTGGGAGGCTGAGATGGGCGGATTACTTGAGGTTCGGAGTTCAAGACCAGCCTGGCCAAAATGGCAAAACCTTGTCTCTACCAAAAATACAAAAAGTAGCCAGACATGGTGGTGCGTGCCTGTAGTCCCAGCCACTTGGGAGGCTGAGGCAGGAGAATCACTTGAACTGGGGAGGCGGAGGCTGCAGTGAGCTGAGATGGTGCCACTGCACTCCAGCCTGGGTGACAGAGTGAGACTCTGTCTCAAAAAAAAAAAAAAAGAAAAAAAAAAGTCCCAGGTATGTGATTCACAGTCTCTTGAGAAAATCTACTCCCTTCCCCTCCCGGCCCCAGGCTCTCTGAAGGACATCATTTGGTTCTGAACTGTTCCCGCCCCGCCACAGGCCAATGCCTGGGGGCCCCTCCCAGCACCAAGGGCGGGCAGTGCGGGGCTGGGTGTCTCACCTCTGGAGGGGGCTCTGGGTTAGGGAACATCATCTGAGAACAGGCTGTTCTCTGGACTTCCCTGGAGTCACACAGGACCTAAGACCAAGCCGTGTCTCCCCTGAAAGGGTGGCATTGTCCACCACTTCCTGACCCAGCAGGCCCTCGTGTCCCCGGCTGGTTCCGGAGAGCCAATTACCAGCAGGCACCGCAGGAAGGGCGCCTTTCTCCCAGCCTCTCTTCCTCCCTCCCCAGCACTCCCCATCCTCCGCTCGCCTGGGACAGCCCAGCCAGGCAGTGGCCAATGGGAAACCCTCTGGCCTTGCTTGTGTGGGGAGCTGGGCCTGGGCCTGGCCTGTGGGCCCAGTTGGACACTGTCAGGTCACATACACACAGCTCTTGGCAGAAGCCCAGCCCTCGGGCTGCCAAGGCCAGGCTGGCTCACAAAGGTCCCACGGCAGGAGCAGGCACGGGGATGTGCCCCGGGTGGGGGTGGCAGGTCCCCAGGCAAGGGGCCAGAGAAGGAAAACCTGAGAACAGGCAGCACAGATGGGAAAGGAGAAGGGCAAAACAAAGGCAGAGGAGGCCGGGCACGGTGGCTCCACCTGTAATCCCAGCACTTTGGGAGGCGGAGGTGGGCGGATCACCCAAAGTCAGGAGCTCCAGACCAGCCTGGCCGACATGGTGAAATCCCATCTCTACTAAAAATACAAAATTAGCCAGGGGTGGTGGCGCGTACCTGTAGTCCCAGCTACTCAGGAGGCTGAGGCAGGAGAATCACTTGAACCCACGAGGTGGAGGTTGCAGTGAGCCGAATTCGCGCCACTGCACTCCAGCCTGGGTGACGAGAGAAACTCTGTCTCACAAAAAAAATAAAATAAAGGCTGGGCGCGGTGGCTCATGCCCGTAATCCCTGAACTTTGGGAGGCCGAGGCGGGTGGATCACCTGAGGTCAGGAGTTCAAGACCAGCCTGACCAACATGGTGAAACCCTATCTCTACTAAAAATACAAAAATTAGCCAGGCCTGGTGGTGGGCGCCTGTAATTCCAGCTACTCAGGAGGCTGAGGCAGGAGAATCGCTTGAACCCAGGAGATGGAGGTTGCAGTGAGCTGAGATCGTGCCATTGCACTCCAGCCTGGGCAACAAGAGTGAAACTCCATCTCAAATAATAATAATAATAATTTTTTTAAAAAGAGGCTGTAATCCCAGTACTTTGAGAGGCCGAGGCAGGCAGATCACTTGAGGCCAGGAGTTCAAGACAAGCCTGGCCAACATGGTGAAACTCCGTCTCTACTAAAAATACAAAAATTAGCTGGGCATGGTGGCAGGTGCCTGTAATCCCAGCTACTCAGGAGACTGAGGTGGGAGGATGGCTTGAGCCCAGAAGTTCAAGGTTGCAGTGAGCTATGATCATACCACTGCACCACTCCAACTTGGGTCACACACACACACACACACACATGCACACAAAAGAAAGAAAAGAAAACTAGAAAGAAAGAAAAGAAAATTGGCCATGGCAGGTTGCAGTACAGGTGGCAATAGCTCAGGTTAACAGCTGGGACCTACCACCTGAGTGAGGATGACAGGGAGAGTACAGAACCAAATGGAGATCAGGTGAGCCTGGGAGAGTAGAGGGACAGGTGAGGCATGAAAGCCAAACAGAGCGTCCCCACCGTGGGGAGCCTTCTGTGCTCCGTGAGACTGCTCTGGTCCTAGCTACAACACTTGGAATTTGCTGCCCAACATCAGGGTCTTTTTAATTCTTCTCTTGATCAAAAATAATAATAATCATCATAGAGCCATTGTCACCAGATTAGTGGTAGTAGCAGGAGCCACTGACCCTCACTTGGGCCTCTTCCTCCTCCCAGGCACTGCACTGGTAATTTACTTCTCATCCGCCTTTGGTCCCTAGAGGGCAAGAAATCTGGGCCCCTATTTTCCAAGACAAGCTACTTGCAAGTAGTACAGCCAGCAAGAAGTGGAGCCAGAATTCAAACCCAGGTCCATCTGAGAGCGCCTCCTCTCCCACACCGTGCTGCCTTCTGTAACTGCCAGGGTCCAACACAAACCTGTTGCCAACCAACGTCCTCCACCCTACTGTCTGCCTCACCTTCTGTTGCCCAGGCTGGAGTACAGTGGTGCAAACGTGGCTCACTACAGCCTCAACCTCCTGGATTCGAGCAATCTCCCATCTCAGCCTCCCAGGCAGCTGAGACGACAGGTGCATGCCACCACACCTGGCTAATTTTTAAATTCTTTTGTAGAGATGGGGTTTGCTATGTTGCCTAGGCAGGGTCTCCCTCTGTTGCCCAGGCTGGAGTACAATGGTGCAAACATGGCTCACTACAACCTTAACCTCCTGGGTTCAAGCAATCCTCCCATCTCAGCCTCCCAGATAGCTGAGACGACAGGTGTATGCCACCACACCTGGCTAATTTTTAAATTCCTTTGTAGAAATGGGGTTCACTGTGTTGCCTAGGCAGGTCTCAAACTTCTGGCCTCAAGTGATCCTCCTGCCTCAGCCTCCTGAGTAGCTGGGATTATAGGCACATGCCACCACACCCAGCTAATTTTTGTAGAGACGGGGTCTTACTATGTTGCTCAGGCTGGTCTGAAACTCCTGGGCTCAAGCGCTTTGGCTGTCCCAGCCTCCCAAAGTGCTGGGACTACAGGCATGAGCCATGCGCTGGGCCCTAAAATGGTGAATTTTATGGTATGTATATTTTACCACCACACACACACATAGACACACACACACACACACAGTTACAAGGTAGATAAGCCTCCAAAACATGCTACATGAAAGAAACCAGACATGAAATGGGACACAATGTGTGATTCTATTTGTATGAAGTGCTCAGAATGGGCAGATCCATAGAGACAGAGAGCTGACTGGTGGCCACTGGGGCCTGGTAGGAGAGGGGTGGGGAGTGATTGCTTAATGGGAACAGGGTTTCCTTTACGGATAGTGAAAATGTTCTGAAATTAAACAGTCATGTCGGTTGCACGACATAGCGAATGTGCCAGATGTTGCTTAATTATACACTTGAATTTGTTACAATAGCGAATTTCATGTTATATGTATTTTGTCACAGGAAAAAAAAAGATAAAAAACACTGAGAAACTGATTTTTTTTTCTTTTTCTGAGACGGAGTCTCACTCTGTCACCCAGGCTGGAGTGCAGTGGCGCGATCTCGGCGCATTGCAACCTCTGCCTCCCGGGTTCAAGTGATTCTCCTGCCTCAGCCTCCTGATAGCTGGGATTACAGGCACCCACCACCCCGCCTGGCTAATTTTTGTATTTTTAGTGGAGACGGGGTTTCACCATGTTGGCCTGTCTTGTCTCGAACTCCTGACCTCAAGTGATCCACCTGCCTCGGCCTCCCAAAGTGCTGGGATTACAGGCATGAGCCACCACGCTGGCCTGAGAAACTGATTTTACTGAATACCTACTACACGCAGGGCAAGGCTGCCACACAGATAGTAAGGCTCTTTGCCATACAACCACAAGAGGGCCTTTCACAGACAGTTGTGGACAGCCATGCACCTGCACATGGCTGCCAGGATCCAGGGCACCACACCAGGGGCTGTGAGAGAGCACACAGATGATAGGAAGTGGACCCTGTGGCCAGGTGTGGCAGCTCATGCCTGGAATCCCAGCACTTTGAGAGGCCGAGGCAGGAGGATCACTTGAGGCCTGGAGTTCAAGACCAGCCTGGGCAACATGGTAAGACCCCATCTCTACAAAAAATGAAAATTTAGCTGGGGATGGTGGTATATCTGTAGTGGTGGCTACTTGGGAGGCTGAGGCAGGAGGATTGCTTGAGCCCAGGAGTTGGAGGCTGCAGTGAGCTATGACTGTGCCACTGCACTCTATCATGAATGACAGATGGAGACCCTGACTCCCCACCCTTAAAAAAGGTGGATCTTGTCCTCAAAGGGACAAAGACTGTACTACTCCTTCCTGTCCTTTCCTTCCTTCTCCTCTGACTGTGCTTATGCCTGTAATCCCAACACTTTAGGAGATTGAGGTGGAGGATCGATTGAGCCCAGGAGGTGGAGGTTGCAGTTGAGCCGAGATTGTGCCACTACACTCCAGCCTGGGTGACACAGCGAGACTCTGTCTCAAAAAACAAAAACAAAAACAAACAAAAAATGGCCAGGCGCGGTGGCTCATGCCTGTAGTCCCAGCACTTTGGGAGGCTGAGGCAGGCGGATCACCTGAGGTCAGGAATTTGAGACCAGCATGGTCAATATGATGAAACCTCGTCTCTACTAAAAATACAAAAATTAGCTGGGTGTGATGGTGCGCACCTGTAGTCCCAGCTACTCAGCAGGCTGAGGCAGGAGAATCGCTTGAACCTGGGATGTGGAGGTTGCAGTGAGCTGAGATCACACCACTGCACTCCAGCCTGGGCGACAGAGTAAGACTCTGTCTCAAAAAAAAAAAAAAAAAAAAAGAAAAGATAAGAAAAGAAAAGAAAACAAAAACAAAAACAAAGTATCTCGTAACATCGTCCTAGACAAGAATGAGAAAGGACAGGCTGCTAGGGGTCCAAACCACCGCCCACCAGCCAAACCTGGCCTCAGCCTGCTTGTGCATGGCCTGTGAGCTAGGACTGGTTTTTGTGTTCTTGTTTAGGGACAGAGTCTTGCTCTGTTGCCCAGGCTGCAGTGTAGTGGTACGATCATAGCTCACTACAGCCTTGAACTCCTGGGTTCATGCAATCGTCCCACCTCCACCTCCCAAGTAGGTGGGCCTACAGGTGCGCACCACCACGCCAGGCTAATTAAAAAATTTTTTTTTGTAGAGACCGGGTCTCACTTTGTTGCCCAGGCTGGTCTTGAGCTCCTGGCTTCTAGCGATCCTCCCACCTTAGCCTCCCAAAGTGCTGGAATTACCGGCGCTAGCCACCATGCCTGGCTTTTTAAGGGTGGGGAGGAGGAGGAGGAGGAGGAGGAGGAGGAAGAGGAGGAGGACGAGGAGGAGGAAGAAATAGTAGCAGCAGGAAGCCACAAAGCCAAAAACATTTACCATCTGGCCCTTTGCAGAAAATGTTTGCTGGCCCCTGGACTAGGCAGGGCAGCCTATGAGGGTGGATGTCCACACATACAGAGGCTGATTACTGGCCATCACTTTGGGGTAAGGCATGCTGGTGCCTGAGCCTGTGTCCTCCTCCTCATGTTTACCAGGGAGGTATATGTCAGGCACAGTGATTGATCTAACTGATGCTGGGAACAACAGTAACTACATTTAGATGACTATTTTTTTTTGTTTGGACAAGGTCTTGCTCTGTTGCCCAGGTTGGAGTGCAGTGGTGCAATCATGGCTCATTGCAGCCTCGACCTCCTGGGCTCAAGCAATCCTCCCACCTCAGCCTCCCAAAATAGTTGGGAGCACAGGTGCATGCCACCACACCCAGCTAATTTTTTTTTTTTTTTTTTTTGAGATGGAGTTTTGCTCTGTCACCTGGCTGGAGTGCAATGGCGTGATCTCAGCTCACTGCAACCTCCGCCTCCCCGGCTCAAGCGATTCCCTTGTCTCAGCCTGCCAAGTCGCTGCGATTACAGGCACCCACCATCACTCCCGGCTAATTTGTTTTGTAGTTTTTAGTAGAGACGGGGTTTCACCATGTTGACCAGGCTGGTCTTGAACTCCTGACCTCAGGTGATCCTCCTGCCTCGGCTTCCCAAAGTGCTGGGATTACAAGCGTGAGCCACCGCACCCAGCCACTAATTTTTTATTATTTGTAGAGGTGAGGATCTCCCTGTGTTGCCCAGGCTGGTCTCGAACTCCTGGCCTCAAGCCATCCTCCTGCAGCGGCCTCCCAAAGTGCTGGGATTACAGGCGTGACCCACCGCGCCCAGCCTCAGCCTGGTTCCTTGCGTGAGTCTTGGTTTCTTGGTCTCCTTTTCCCCGTATGCCAGCTGCCTCCCTCCATAAGAGAACATCTGTGATGACCTTCGGGGTGCCCACTTAGGCTTTCAAAGGGGCCTGGAATGTAGGGCACAGGGTAAGAGACTCGGACACCAGGCCTTGGGGAAAAGGAGAAGCGGGCCCATATGCCCTCCTCTCACCCACAGGGAGCTGTGGCTTCGAAAGGGGCTCCTCCCTTGTAAGGCTGCTGCTCCTGTCGTCATGGAGGAAACCTTGGTTCTGCTTCCCTAGCACCCCAAACTGCAAAGTCACGCTGGCAGGTATTGCACCCAGAGGGCTCATTCCCCATTCATCATAGTCACTGGTTGGGCAAGTCACCCTCCCTAGAAAGCGCAGCCTTGGGTAAATCCACCAGACATATCCTGATCTTTCACTATTCACAGAGCCAGACTGGAGTGGCCTTTCGTAATGGCCCTGGCCAGAGCTCCCGGGGGAAGCCTTCCGGATAGGCAGCTTGTCAGCAAGAGTGGGAAACCCTGGGCTGCGCCCTCCCCACAAACCACCAGCATTGCCCAACTTCCTCTCTTCATGCCCTCTACCACCCTCTCGTTGCCCCAGCTTTCTTTCTTTCATTTTTTTTCTTGAGACACAGTTTCACTGTCACCCAGGCTGGAGTGCAGTAGTGTGATCTCGGCTCACTGCTACCTACCTCCACCTCCTGGGTTCAAGCGATTCTCACACCTTAGCCTCCCGAGTGGCTGGGATTACAGGCACGTGCCACCAACTCTGGCTAATTTTATATTTTTAGTAGAAACAGGGTTTCACCATGTTGGTCAAGCTGGTCTCAAACTCCTGACCTCAAGTGTTTCATCTGCCTCAGCCTCCCAAAGTGCTGGGATTACAGGTGTGAGCTACCACACGTGGCTAATTTTTGTATTTTCAGTAGAGATGGGGGTTTCACCATGTTGGCCAGGCTGGTCTTGAACTCCTGACCCCAGGTGACCTGCCCTCCTCAGTCTCCCAAAGTGCCGGGATTACAGGCATGAGCCACCGCACCCAGCTGTTTCCCCAGCTTTCTAACAGTGAGGTTAGTTTTGTCTCTTCTCTTTTATTAATATACTGCTACTTATCTCCAATGATCTGAAGACTCAAGGTGGGTGATGCCTGACTTACAGGAGATCCCCCAGCACGGGAACCATCCCTTATCCAGCTCTGGGTCTCTTGCAGTGTCCAATTTCTAGAAGTGACCTTTCTGTCAAGTGAATGAGCCAAGCCCCAGCCACATCCCAGCACTAGAAAACCTGATGCCTCTCCCTTGAGCACATCCTTTTTTTTTTCTTCCAAGTTTTTTTGTAGAGATG
Source organism: Homo sapiens (assembly GCF_000001405.40). Classification (NCBI taxonomy): domain Eukaryota; kingdom Metazoa; phylum Chordata; class Mammalia; order Primates; family Hominidae; genus Homo; species Homo sapiens. Next base: position 75,618,886 of record NC_000007.14, read on the forward strand.
GGGTTTCACTATGCTGCCCAGGCTGGTCTCAACCTCCTGGGCTCCAGTGAGCCTCCCACCTTGGCCTCCCACCCAACATCCTTGACATCCCACCTTTTGTTCTATTTCTGCAGGAATCGCTGTGTGTAGAAAGAAAGCCTTTGGTCAGTGGTTCCCAGACTTGGCTAGGCCGGGATATCATCTGAGAATCCTGTACCCCGAGTTTGTACACACACCCCTAGATTCCTTTGCTCCACCCCCAAATTGGACTCATTTGGGCTCGGAAGGGCCCATGGCACTGTTAATTCAGGTGATGTTACAGAAGAACATTGTATGTCAGAGTCTAAGAAAAAATTCAGCTAAAAGTAAAAACAGTGGCCGGGCACAGTGGCTCATGCCTGTAATCCCAGCACTTTGGGAAGCCCAGGTGGGCGGATCACTTGAGGTCAAGAGTTTGAGACCAGCCTGGCCAACATGGTGAAACCCCATCTCTACTAAAAATACAAAAATTAGCCAGGTGTGGTGGCGTGTGCCTGCTGTAATCCCAGCTACTCGGGAGTCTGAGGCAGGAGGATTGCTTAAACCCAGAAGGCAGAGGTTGCAGTGAGCCGAGATCACTCCAGCCTGGGCGACAGAGCAAGACTTTGTCTCAAAAAAAAAAAAAAAAGAGAAGAAAAACAGTAACAAAAAGGAAGAATGAGAGCAAAGAATAAAGATGGTGGAAATGTGAAGAATGAAGTCAGTTTCTCAGCTCAGACAAGTATACCTTGATGTAAGTAAATTTTTTTCTGGAAAATGTGAATTGCCACTAAGGCCAAATTAGGAGATTATTATTCATTTCACAGAAGACATTGGCATTCGATACCCTTAAATAGCAATCTCCGTTAGTACATTTAAGAGAGGATTCAGTTTACAGAAGTGTGATTTATACAAAACCACATCTGTTACATAAAGCTCAGAAAAATAGCTCTCCTCCCATGTCATCTTGCTAACTATAGAACTGGCCCAGTATAGATGGTCACCTATTTTCTTCTAAAAGATACCACCCCTGCTCTCTGTCATCTATTTCTGTTTCACCGTGATCACGGGTAACAGATTCTTAGGGGCCACCCAGATCTCTCTCTGGTCTTCCCTAAACTCAGGGAACAACTGCTCTGAATTGTTTTCATATTCACTCATTCATTCGACATATATTTCTGGAAGGCCTATCATATGCCTGGCACTACTCTAGAAATACAGTGAGGGTGCGGTGGCTCATGCCTGTAATCCCAGCGCTTTGGGAGGCCAAGGTGGGTGGATTGTTTGAGCCCAGGAGTTCAAGACCAGCTGGGGGCAACATGGTGAAACCCTGTCTCTACAAAAATACAAGAAATTATCCAGGCGTGGTGGTGCATGCTTATAGTTCCAGCTACTTGGGAGGCTGAGGTGGGAGGATCACCTGAGCTCAGGAGGCAGAAGTTGCAGTGAGCCAATATTGCGCCACTGTACACCAGCCTGGGCAACAGAGCAAGACCATGTCTTTAAAAAAAAAAAAAAAAAAGGCCAGGCACAATGGCTCATGCCTGTAATCCCATCACTTTGGGAGGCCAAGGTGGGTGGGTCACTTGAGGTCAGAAGTTCGAGACCAGCCTGGCCAACATGGTGAAACCAGTCTCTACTGAAAATACAAAAATTAGCCAGGGGTGGTGGTGCATGCCTGTAGTCCCAGCTACTCGGGAAGCTGAGGAACAAGAATTGCTTGAGCCTGGGAGGCAGAGGTTGCAGCGAGCTGAGATAGCACCATTGCACTCCAGCCTGGGTGAAAGAGTGAGGCTCTGTCTCAAAAACAAACAAACAAACAAATAAATAAACAAAACCAAAATAAAACAGCAAGGAACAGAGATGACGATCTCTGTCCTCACGGAGCTTATATTTTAGCAGGGGAGACAAGCAGTAAACAAATCGGATGGCGAGAGGTGCTATGGAAGAAAGATAAGGGCAAGGATAGGGCTGGAGTGTTCTAGGCAGCATTATAACCTCCCAAAGGGTCACTGAGAAAGGCTGTACTGAGGTGACAGAGGGATACAGACTTTAAAGTGACGAGAGGCTGGCGTGGTGGCTCACACCTAAAATCTCAGCACTTTGGGAGGCCGAGGAGGCAGGACTGCTTGAGACCAGGAGCTTGAGAACAGTCAGGGTGACATAGCAAGATCCTGTCTCTACAAAAAAATTTAAAATGAAAAAATTAGCCTGGCTTGGTGGCAGAGGTGGGAGGATGGCTTGAGCCCAGGAGTTTGAGGCTGCAGTGAGCTACGATAGGGCCACTGCACTCTAGCCTGGGCAGCAGAGTGAGACCCTGTCTCAAAAAATAAATAACATGAAGAGGAAGTGAGCCTGGTACACACCTGGGGGAAGAGTTCTAGGCACACGAGCAGAAGCCCAGCTGGCAGGCGCGAGGAAGTATGGCTAGAGCCGGAAGTCAGGGGCAGGAGGGGCCAAATCCCTAGAGGCCTCGTGGCTCATGGTGAGGACTGACCTTTGTTCCACATAAGACTGGGGCCACTGGAAGTGGTTTTGTTTTTTGCGGTTTTTGGTAAAGACGGGGTCTTGCCATGTTGCCCAGGTTGGTCTTGAACTCCTGGCCCCAAGCGATCCTCCTGCCTTGGCCTCCTAAATTGCTGAGATTAACAGGTGAGCCAGTGTGCCTGGCCTCCCTGGAAGGTTTTGAGCAAAGCGGTAAAACGATCTGATTCAATAGGATCCCTCTGGCTGCTGTGCTGAGAACAGACTGCAGGGACCAGTGTGGCTGCAGGGACCACAGTGAAGACTCTGCTGCCTTCAATCAGGACAGAATTGATGGTGGAGGCAGAGGAGGTGTCGAGACGTGGTCGGTCTCTGAATTTATTTTGAAGCTAGAGCTGATGGGATTATCTGATGTTCTGGATCTGGGGTGTGAGGAAGGAAGGAGTCAAGGAGAACATCGTGATGATTTGCCTGAGCAACTAGAGGGACTGAGCTGCCATTAACAAGCTGGGGGGACCCATGGGAGAGTTGGTTTGGGGCTAGGTTAGACATGACACACCCACCAGGTATCCCAGTGGAGCTGTGGGTGAGCAGTGGGCTGTGCCGCATCTGGAGTTCAGAAAAGGTCTAAGCTAGGCCAGGTGTGGTGGCTCACACCTGTAATCCCAGCACTTTGGGAGGCCGAGGTGGGCAGACCTCTTGAGGCCAGTTCGAGACCAGCCTGGCCAACATGATGAAACCCTGTCTCTACTAAAAATACAAAAATTAGCCAGATGTGGTGGTGCACGCCACCCAGCTGACTCGGGAGGCTAAGGCAGAAGAATTGCTTGAACTCAGGAGGTGAAGGCTGCAGTGAGCTGAGATCATGCCACTGCACTCTAGCCTGGGTGATAGAGTGAGACTCTGTCTCAAAAAAAAAAAGAACAGGTCTGAGCTACATTTATAAATTTGGACGGAATGTAAGAGTGGATAAGAGCACCAAGGAGTGAGTGCAGATGAGATGTCTGGGGACAGCCTGAGGACACCCCGACGTTCAGGAGAGACAGGAGGCCAGGTACGGGCAGTGGCTCATGCCTGTAATCCCAGCACTTTGGGAGTCCAAGGAAGGAGGATTGCTTGAGCCCAGGAGTTCGAGACCAGCCTGGGCAACACAGTGAAACCCCGTCTCTACCAAAAATACAAACATTGCAAGTCTTAAAACCTGGTCTCTAAATAAATAAATAAGGATAGGAGGGAATCAGTGATGGAGATAGAAAAGAAACAGCCTGTGAGGTTGGGGGAAGCCAGGAGACTGTGGCACCCTGGAAGCCATATGAAGAAATGCATTTTGACCGGGCATGGTGGCTGGTGCCTGTAATCCCAATGCTTTGGGAGGCTGAGGCAAGAGGACACTTTGAGCCCAGGAGTTGGAGGCTGTAGTGAGCTATGACTGCGTTACTGCACTCCAGCCTGGGCAACAGAGCAAGATTGTCAAATAAATAATTATCTATCTATCTATCTATCTATCTATCTATCTATCTATCTATCTATATATTTTTTAAAGGAAATTGGCTGGGTGTGGTGGCTCACGCCTGTAATCCTAGCACTTTGGGAAGCTAAGGCGGGCAGATCACCTGAGGTCAGGAGTTTGAGACCAGCCTGACCAACATGGTGAAAGCCTGTCTCTAATAAAAATAAAAAATTTAGCCAGGCGTGGTGGTGCGTGCCTGTAATCCCAGCTACTCGGGAGGCTGAGGCAGGAGAATCGCTGGAACCTGGGAGACGGAAGTTGCAATGAGCTGAGATTGTGCCTCTGCACTCCAGCCTGGGCAACAGAGCGGGACTCCATCTCAAAAAAAAAAAGCAAAAAAAAAAAAAAAAAAAGGCTCTCCCCCTCTGATGGTAGGTCGAGGAGAGAAAGGGGAGGCTGGGAGCTGGAGGCAATGAGTGCTCTACAGGGTTTCTGCTGTGAAGAGGGACAGAGAGAGAGGGCAGCCGCTGGGAGGAGGTGGGCTCAAGGTTTTCTTGTTTCCAGTGGGAGACATAATAATGCATTTGCATGCGCATGAGGAGAGGACGGGAGAGTGGCAGGGATGGGAATGGGGCCTGGTGCCCAGCAGGAGGGCAGGCTGGGCCAGATCCCACAGTACAGACACAGACGGAGGCAGACATGTGGGTGAGGGCAGTGCCAGTTTTCACAGATCGTCTCTCTTCACAGTGAAACAGGAAGCGAGGTCAGGGCTGAGAGCTCAGGATTTGAGGAATGCACAGGATGCCTGGAGCTGCACTCAAGGACCAGGCAAGTGGCACTTGGAGAAAGGAACTAAGCCAGCCTCCGCCTCCTCTTCTCCAGCCCAGTTCTCCCCAGAGCCTCTCCCTTGTCCTCAAACCAACTCTTCTCCTCCTCCTCATTGCCTTTCTGGCTTGTAAAGTGTTTGAGGCTGGGCACAGTGGCTCACGCTTGTAATCCCAGCACTTTGGGAGGCCGAGGCGGGAGGACTGCTTCAGCCTAGGAGTTTCAGACCAGCCTGGGGAGTAGTGAGACCCTATGTCTACAAAACATCAGAAAATTAGGGTGTGGTGGCTCATGCCTATAGTCATAGCTACATAGGAGGCTGAGGCAGGAGGATCGCTTGAGGGCAGGAGGATCACTCGAGCTCTGAAGGTCAACGCTGCAGTGAGCTATGATCGTGCCACTGCACTCCGGCCTGGGAGACAGAGCTGGACCTTGTAAAAGAAACACACGCACACCTCCAAAGCACAGACCTCGCTGATCTCAGGTCAGAACCAAAGAAAAGAGATGGAGTGAGCGGTGAGGCTGTGGTTACACTCTGGAGGCCACGGAATCAGGCAGGCAGAGGCGCTGATGGATACTCCCTGCTCTGGACCCAGGGAGTGAGAACAAGCTGGGGAGGATTTGCTAATCAGTTTTCTAAAGTGGAAAGAGAGGTTGTTGCTAATTCCGGAGGTGGATTTCATCATCGGCTGCACGGCTGTGACGTGACTTCCTCAGAAAGCAAAGCTGCCAGAAACTCTCCCTTCTACTTCTTCTGTCTTTGGGGTGAAGAAGAGCCCTTCCTTAGGGGAGTGGGGGGAAAAAGAGCTATGAGATTCAGAAGTATAGGGGTGTTGGCCGTGGGGGAGTCATCCAACAGGCCCCAGGCAGGGTAAGCCCCACCGAAGCCTCCAGGCCTGACAGCCTACTGGTCTCCTGGTGGCCACAACGTCACTGGAAGCCCCCTTTCTAAAGCACAGCTCCAATCATGTCAGAAACATCCAGGGCTTACGAGGAAACTGCTCCACTCCCTGGCCTGGCACTCAAGGCCTGGAGATCCGGCCCCCACTTGCCTTTCCAGTCTTAGAATTCATTCCTGTCCTTCCCTTTCCCAAATACGTCCTGTCTAATTTGACCCTCATGCCTTCTCTTCATGCCACCTCTCTAACCAAGATTAACTACCCTGCCAAAACCATCTCCATTTATTTAAGTTCCATCATTCATTCAGATAGTTATGATTTTATTCATTCATTGAATTCATCCATCAAATCTATATTCATCCCTCTGTGTCTGTACATAGGTGTATTTTTGTTTAATTTTTTTTTTTTTTTTTTGAGATGTCTTGCTCTGTCGCCCAGGCTGGAGTGCAGTGGTGTGATCTTGGCTCACTGCAGTGCCTCAGCCTGCCTCCTGAGTAGCTGGGAATTACTGGCACCTGCCACCACGGCCAGCTAATTTTTGTATTTTTACAATTAGTAGAGATGGGGTTTCATTATGTTGGCCAGGCTGGTCTCGAACTCCTGACCTCAGGTGATCCACCCACCTTGGCCTCCCAAAGTGCTGGGATTATAAATATAAGCCACCATTGTTTAAGTTTTTATAGAGATGGGGTCTCACTCTGTTGCTCAGGCTGGTCTCAAACTCCTGGGTAGGTGTATTGAGCACCCGGTCAAGTGTTGCATTAAGTCAACTCACAGATCACTAAGACTTAGTCCTGGTTTCAGAGTGAGGTCTAGATGGGGAGAAAGTGATGGCATTGTGTCCACCTTGTGAGAGGAGAGAGATTGGTGGGTATGGACTGTATGGAGGCCTGGGGTGTGGGCATCTATCTGAGGCTTAAGGATTGGTGATGGCTGCCTGAAGGAAGAACCAACCTAACCAGCTGAGAAGCTGGTGTGGAAAGGGGGCCTGCCAGGGCATTCAGGTAGAGATGACAGCATGACTGAGCCACAGAAGTGAGCAAGGCCCAGAGTTGGGGACTGGTGAACAGTCACTGTTTCTAGTGAGTAGAAAAGCAGAGATGGGGCGCTATAGTTTAAATATGTGTGTCCCCTCCAAAATTCATGTTGAAACTTAATCTCCATTGTGATGGTATGAAGAGGTAGGGACTTTTCGGAAATGATTAAGTCTTTTATAAGGACAAATGCCCTTATAAAAGAGGCTTTGGAGGCCGGGCGTGGTGGCTTATGCCTGTAATCCCAGCACTTTGAGAGGCTGAGGCAGGTGGATCGTTTGAGCCCAGGAGTTTGAGGCCAGCCTGGGTAACATGGTGAATCCCTGTCTCTTAAAAAAAAGAGGCTTTGGAGAGCTGCTTGCCCTTTCTACCTCTTCTGCATGCGAAGGCACACCAGTCATCTCTTCTACCTTTTTTTTTGCCATGTGAGGATGCGGCGAGAAAATGCCATCTATGGAACAGGTTCTTGCCAGTCACTGAATCTGGTGGCGCTGTGATGTTGGACTTCCCAGCCCCCAGAACTGTGAGAAATAAGCTTCTATTGTTTATAGACCCAGTCTATGGTATTTTGTTATAGCAGCAAGAATGGACTAAGACCAGGGCCATGACCTGGAAGCCTAATTTATAGAGCCATAGGGCAGCCGCCCAAGGAAACTTCCCCTGTACTTACTACCCAGCTTGAAACACATTAGCAAAAAGAATTCTTGAAAGCTAAAACCTCAAAGCCTAAGTCCTTAAAGAGTAAGTAAGCCAATGGATACATATACTTAGGTGAATGCACAAGGATTTCACCCCAATAGTGGAAAATGTTATTAATAGAGGACAGATCACAATGAAATGATACATCGCCCCCTGGTCATCTGGAATTATAGTGATACTAACATTGACTGAATGATACATGTCAAGGCATTGGTCTAAACACTTTATATGTGGTAATTCATCTGCCCTCACCACAACCCGGTATGGAAGGTAATATGCCTATCCCCACTGTACAAGAGGGAAAGCCTGGCAAAGGGAGACCTCAGTAGCCCACCCAGGTAAGCACACAGTGGAAACTGGTTTTGAACCCATGAACCCAGAACCCATGGATGGCCTGGACCACTGTGATATATTATTTCTAGATCTCCAGCATGGTGAAAACAAAAATTAAAGTCTACAAAACCGTATTATGGTATGGCCCCATTTTGTTTAAATATGTGTGTATTTGTCTGTGTGTACATGCTTGTGTTTGATTGAATCAAATGAAAATTTGGCTGTTTTTGACTTATATAAAAGGCAATTTCATAAGGTTCAACCTAGTGCATGCACACAAACACACACACACACACACACACACACAGAAAAGTCTGTAAGAACCTACACTAAATTGTTAACAGTAGTTTTAGATGGTGGAAAAATATTTGATCTTTATTTTCTTTATACCTTTTCATATTTTCTGAAAAGTGGCAGAAGTTTAACATTTCTGTGGATTACCTGTTTCCTTACTGCTGGTGCTGATGACCTCAGCTATGTGGTATTAAAATGTACTCAGTGTGCAGGAGCCCCAGCCCGGCAAACTACAGCATCAGGGTCCAGTGCACTCAAGGCTATCTCTCCTCGGGGACAGAGAAGCCAAAGTGTGTACTTCAATGAAGCAAGTGCTTAGAACAGCACATGGCATATCAAGGGCACTCTATAAACCTTTTCCAAATAAATGAATGAATGGTCACTTTCTCCACCCCACTTCCTACACCACTTGGCAGAATCAATCATTCCTACTTAGTTTCTATAGGAGTTTCCTTAAATCTCTATAGAATAAAGAACCCAGTAACCTGCCCAGGTAAGTGGTAGAGACAGATTTTGAACCCCAGGACCCAAGGCCTTGACCACTCTGAAATACTGTTCCTAGATCAAAGTGAGGGGCCCTTTGAGATTTGACTTCTCTGAGCCTCAGTTTCTCCAGCTTGAACATGAAAATAGGAATCACACTTTTCTGAGAATTGCATGAGACACGGTGCTCTGTCACCTCCAGCCTTGTTCCAGTTGATGTTACTTGGGTAGGGCTGAGAGGGCCTTGTTTATTGTGGGTAGCATCAAGTCCACACCCAGGGCCATGGCCAGAGAACTGCCCATTTGACCTTGCCTCCCTTACTGGAGATTTGTTGGATATAAGAGGCAGCATCTTCCCTCCAACTACTAGAAAATCTGGCAGAAGTGGATGAGTGTTCAGTGCTCTGTAGACCCTCTGGCTGACGGCTGGATCCACAGTTGAGTAGACCTCAGGATGATGGTCAAGGGGAGCTGGGCACAGGGAAAGGGCCCTGAGGTTTAGACTCAGACAACTCTCAGCAATGAGCCATGAGCTAAATCTGGAGTCCAGGATTTCAGCCAGACTGTAAGCCAAGTACACACCATGAACAGGGGTTCCAGAGTTCCCTGGCAGCCAAGGAAAATCCCCTGCTAGGAATGAATGTGCTCACTCCTCTTTCACAATTCTTATCCAAGCATATTTAGAACAGTGCAGCCATTTCTGCATCTAACCCCATTTCCTGGATCATTTACCACCTTCCAACAGCCTACAAAATTTTCTCATTTACATTTATTGCTATTATCTATGACTCATCCCCTCAGTCCCTGCAGGAGCTCAGCTCCACAAGGCAGGAATCTTTGTTTGGTTCAGTGAAGTATCCCAAGTGCTTGGAACAGCACCTGGCATATGGAAGACACTCTATAAATCTTTTCTGAATAAATGAATAAATGAAATGTCACCTTCCCCACCCCACTTCCTGTACCATTTGGCAGAATTAGTCATCTTGCCTCTGAATGTCTATAGAACTTTCCTTAAATCTCTCATATTGTACCAATCACACTATTGTGATTATTAACATTAATCTAATATTATAATTTTATCTCCTGTACCTCTTTTTTTTTTTTTTTTTTTTTGAGACAGAGTCTTGCTCTGTCACCCAGGCCAGACTGTAGTGGCACAATCTCGGCTCACTCCAACCTCTGCCTCCCGGGTTCAAGTGATTCTCGTGCCTCAGCCTTCCAAGTAGCTGGGATTACAGGCACGTGCTGCCGCACCCGGCTAATTTTTGTATTTTTAGTAGAGACGGGGTTTCACCATGTTGGCTGAGCTGGTTTCAAATTCCTGACCTCAAGTGATCCACCTGCCTTGGCCTCCCAAAGGGCCGGGATTGCAGGTATGAGCCACTGCATGCGGCCTGTACCTCTTTTAAGGAAGAAGCCATCAAAGGATCACTTTCTCTCTTACATTATCTACACCTGGCATGAGGTCTGGGTGGGTCCTCAGTGTCTGCTGACTCAGGGGACAATCTTCACATATACAGGGCAAAAAAGACAATAGCCAGGACCCTGGTTGTAACCATTAGAAACATCCCTACCCAGCACTGGGGCTGGTGACATGATCTTGAGCTAGGGGGAGTAGGGAGGCAGTGATTTTGTAAGACTTCTTCCTAGCCTGAGAAAAATCCAGCAAGAAAAAGTTATTTTAGGTCCCAGAATACGAGGCTGAACTGAGTCCTCCAAAGAGAGGTTAAGATAGAAAGTTAATGAAATGTTCATTTCAAAAAAACTTTGCCCAACCCACGGTTTGCAACTCCCACACTTATCCTGGTACCAGTGAGAGCCATCTCCAGGCCCGGGTAGCAGTAGGCAGCGTAAACCCGTTGGCCAGAATAGCATATCCACGTCTGATTGTCAAGTGGAGGCAGCCCCGCTTACTGGCTCTACTAGAGACTTGCTGGTTATTTTTAACACAGGCCCTCACACCTGTGCCCACTCCTCCTCTCCATTCCTCTGGCCCCGCTCCTAACAAACCTACTCAACATTCATTCCCCAGGGTTGTATGTTCAGCCTGTGTGCAGCACCTCTCTCTCAACTGGAATGTCTTCTTTTGTCTTTTAATCATTCATGCATTCAGCACCCATTGTGCATCCTGTATTTCCTTCAATTGCGGCTCCCCCGCTTTTCTTTTTTTTTTTTTTGAGATGGAGTCTTGCTCTGTCGCCCAGGCTGCAGTGCAGTGCTGCAATCTTGGCTCACTGCAACCTCCGCCTCCCAGGTTCAGGCGATTCTCGTGCCTCAGCCTCCTGAATAGCTGGGATTACAGGCGTGAGCCACCACGCCCAGCTAATTTTGTATTTTTAGTAGAGACGGGTTTTCTCCATGTTGGTCAGGATGGTCTCAAACTCCCGACCTCAGGTGATCCTCCCGCCTCGGCCTCCCAAATTGCTGGAATTATAGGTGTGAGCCACTGCGCCCGGCCTGCTCCCCTTCTTAAAGCACAGCTCTTCCAGGTATCACTGAGGTGTAAAAAGATTCAGCTTTGGGAGGCCAAGTTGGGAGGCCGAGGCAGGAGTATTGCTTGAGGCCAGCAGTTCAAAACCAGCCAGGGAAACATAGCAAAATCCTGTCTCTGCAAAAAAGTTAAAAATTGCTGGGCATGGTGGCATGCACCTGTAGTCCCAGCTACTTGGGAGGCTGAGGTGGGAGGATCACCTGAGCCTGGGAGGTTGAGGCTGCAGTGAACTGGAACTGGAATTGCACCACTGCATTCCAGCCTCAGGGATAGAGTGAGACCTTCTCTCTGAAAAGGAAAAAAAGCCAGCACAGTGGCTCATGCCTATAATCTCAGCACTTTGGGAGACCAAGGCGGGCATATCTCTTGAGCTCAGGGATTCAAGACAAGCCTAGGCAACAAGGTGAAACTCCGTCTCTACAAAACATACAAAAATCAGCCAGGTATGGTGGTGTGCACCTGTAGTCCCAACTACTCGGGAGGCTGAGGTGGGAGAATCACTTGAGCCTGAGAGGTTTGAGGCTGCAGTGAGCTGTGACTACACCACTGCACTCCAGCATGGAGGATAGACCGAGATCCACCTCAAAAAAAAAAAAAAAAAAAGATTTGTGTTCTGTATCCTGGAAACTTTGTTAGCCCACAGAGATAGGGAGTGTGCCTACTTTTCAAGCATCGACCAGAGGTAGTTTCTGAACAAATCCTGTGGTTTCATGACCTTACCCTTTTAGCGTGCCTGAAATACCCTTATTTTCCTCCTTCCAGGGGATCTTCTTCCCCTCTGTCCCCAGTTTTCTTAATGATACCCTTCCTTAAGTTGCCGGCTGGTTAACCCCACCTTCTCCAGGCTGACACATGCCCCATCCTTTGTGCATTGCACCACATGTATTGCAACTACTAACAGGTCTGATTGCCCCGGCAGACTGAGCTCACCCAGCAGTGATCATTCTGCAAGAAGCAATGCTCCCCTCTTTCCCTGAAGTTTTCAGATTTTATTTGTAGCCTAAATGAAAGAGCAAACATATTTCTAATGATAGCCATGGTTTACTAAGCCCCTCCTATGTGCCAAGTACTGTATTTTGTATTTTATCTTATTTTTTTAGACAGGGTCCTGCTCTGTCACCCAGGCTGGAGTGCAGTGGTGCAATCACATCTCACTGCAGCCTTGAACTCTTGGGCTCAAGTGATCCACCTGCCTCAGCTGGGAGGATCCCTAGTAGCTGAGACCACAGGCTCATGCGACCAAACCCAGATAATTTGTTTTTTAAATTTTTTTTTTTTTAGTAGAGATAGGATCTTGCTATTTTTCCCAGGCTGGTCTTGAACTCCTGGGCTCAAGTGATCCTCCCGCCTTAGCCTCCCAAAGCACTGGGATTACAGGCATAAGCCACCATGCCTGGCTTGTGTCAAGTACTTTAAGTGAGCATCTTGACAGTGCTGCAAGTCTGCAGACACCAACCTGCCTTAGAAGCGAGGAAACAGTATGAGGAGATCAACTAACTTGTCTACGATCTGAGAGTCGGCAAGTGGTAGCAACGGGACCTTAGCCTCTGTGATTCCAAAGCCCAGGCTCAGCATCTGGAGCAGCCTCAGGATGCAGACGAGCCTCCCTTAATCCTCTGTGCACAGGGGACAGGGCTGTGGAGTCTGGCTGGGATCCCACTCACTCAACCATTCCCATTTACAAATATGCCTCCCACCCTGACCCCTCTCTACCTGCCCACAGGAACCTCCTCCAAATTAAAGATGCATTAGGACTTTAGGGAATCTAAAGGACACATGGGGAATTTATTTATTTTTTCTTGAATGACCCATGGATTAATTTATTTGGGGCTCCGGAGCAGGGGGAATCTTCTCCGATTATGGAAACCTTTGGCTCAGGGGCAGGTGTGAGACTACGTGCCTGTCCTGGGTTTGAACTGGGACCTCTCTGGGCAAGAAGGGAGACAAAGGTGGAGGGGAAACAGCACTTGGACTTGAGCTTCAAGAAACTCACCCAGCTGCGCGTGTGTTGTGGGGGAGATTGGAGTAGGGGAAAGACGGCAGGAAATGGGGAAGTGGGAGGGAGAGATAGTGTGATGGGGGCAGAAAAGCACTGTGGGAGGGGCTGTCTTAAAACCCATGTTTGCATCTGGACTTAGCCCCTGACCAGAAGTGCAACTCGGAGGGGCCTCCGAAGACAGGTGCTCGTAGGACACTAAATCCTGCTTCACAAGGCCGCTGTGAGGAAGAAAATAATCCAGGTGAGATTGTTCTGTCAATTGCAAATGTCTATTGATGCGTGGTCGCCCTTGGTGCATTTCAAGGAAATCTCTCTTTCAACTCTGTAAGCCTTTTCGACAGACAAGGACTCAGCCATCCTCAGCCCTGGATCCTTTCATATCTTAACGTCCTCACCCAGGGGCCTACGTAAAAAGGGGGTATTCAGTATGTGAGTGAATTGAATGGAACCTCATCTTGGTGAGATAAAATCTTAGTGATCAGTGACGATGAAAGATAGTAATCCACAAATGGTAAACCAAAAATTCTTTTCTCCTAAGCAATTTTTTTTAGAGAAAAGGTCTCACTCTGCCACCCAGGCTGGAGTGCAGTGGTGTTATCATAGCTCACGGCAGCCCTGACCTTTTGGGCTCAGCCTCCCGAGTAGCTGAGATTACAGGCGCACACCACCATGCCTGGCTAATTTTTTCTTTTTTTTTTTTTTTTTGTAGAGACAGGGTCTCACTATGTTGCCCAGGCTGGTCTCAAACTCTTAGGCTCAAGCGATCCTCCTGCCTCAACCTCCCAAAGTGCTGGGATTACAGGTGTGAGCCACTGTGCCTGGCCAATTTCCATTCTTTACAAATTACCAGGTCTCAGATATTGTTAAAGCAGCGCAAATGGACTATGCAACTGACCGTAGTAAAAAACACATTTTACTGTGGTACACATACACCATGGAATACTCTGCAGCCATAAAAAGGAACAAGATTATGTCCTTTGCAGGGACATGGATGGAGCTGGAAGCTGTTATCCTCAGCAAAATGACACAGGAACAGAAAACGAAACACCGCATGTTCTCACTTATAAGTAGGACCTGAGTGATGAGAACACATGGACACGTGGCAGGGAATAATGCACACTGGGGTCTGTCAGAGGGTGGGGAGGGAGAGCATCAGGAGGAATATCTAATGGATGTTGGGCTTAACACGTAGGTGATGGGTTGATCTGTGCAGCAAACCAGCATGGCACGTGTTTACCTATGTCACAGACCTGCACATGTACCCCTGAACTTAAAAGTTGAAGAAAAAAAAAATACATTTTACAGGGCCACCCAGTACTTACTCATGTGCATGCATAAGATACAACCAAAATCAGTTTCATGATCTAATGCTTACCCTCTCACATGGAATATACCTGGATGTTTTCTCATCTATTTCACTCGTGTTTTTATTTTTTTGAGATGGTCTCTTGCTCTGTTGCCCAGGCTGGAGTGCAGTGGTGCGATCTCAGCTTACTGCAACCTCTGCTTCCCGGGTTCAAGCAATTCTCCTGCCTCAGCCTCCCGAGCAGCTGGGATTACAGGCGTGTGCTGCCTCACCTGGCTAATTTTTGTATTTTTAGTAGAGATGGGTTTCACCATGTTAGCCAGACTGGTCTCTAACTCCTGACCTTAGTTGATCCTCCCGCCTTGGCCTCTCAAAGTGCTGGGATTACAAGCGTGAGCCACCGCGCACCTGGCCTATTTCACTCTTTCATATGCTGGCTGAAACCCACTAAATGGATTTTGTGGCCCAGGGCTGAAAACGCTGCTCTGTTTGCTGGGCAGGTCACCCATCAGTCCTTGGCATCATTTTGCACAGCGATCTCTCCAGTTGGGCATTTAACTTCTACCACATCCCTCCTCCAACCCAGCAAATACATGTGATACCAGCAGCAACAACAGGTTGACCAGAAGTCTTTTCCGCTCTGCCATCAATATCATTTACTCAGAACATCTGAAATACCTTCTTTCCACCCCTCTCATCGGCCTGCTGGGTAAGTCAGGTGTCTCAAATTTGAGGAAGCAGTGAGATTCAGGAAGAAACTCCTGAATTTTAAAAACAGCTATAGGGCTATAGGGAGCAGGGCACAGTGGCTCACACCTGTAATCCCAGCAATTTGGGAGGCTGAGGTGGGAGAATCGCTTGAGCCCAGGAGTTCTAGACCATACTGGGCAACATATCAAAACCTCGTCTCTACCAAAAATAAAAAAAGGCAGTCAAACATGGTGGTGGTGCCTGCCTGTTGTCCCAGCTACTTGGGAGGCCGAGATGGGAGGATTGCTTGAGCCTAGGAGTTCGAGGCTGCAGTGAGCTGTGATCGCACCACTGCACCCCAGCCTTGACAACAGAGTGAGACCTTGTCTCTAAAAAAAAAAACCAACAAAAACAGATAGAGGGGATTTACGAGGCTCAGAGTCCACATATAGACACTCATCCTTCTTTCCTAAGTCTTCTCCCCTAGGAACCCAGAGGCCAAAGGCCACGACCCCCAGCTCATCTTTTGAAATTAACTTGTGTCCATTCTAGAATCTAGTCACTAAATCTTTTTCATTACCTTTTATTTATTATATCGCTATAGCGCATACTTTGACTGTCAGAGAACTGGATACAAGACCTGGTTCTAACCCCGGTATGGAATATCAGATGTCACTTTTCTGAACTAATTTTCTGTAAAACGTGGCTAATCACTTCTGCCCTGCCTTCCTCATGGGGTTGCAGTGAGAACAAGTGTGAAAATGCTTTTATATAGGCCAGGTGTGGTGGCTCATGCCTGTAATCTCAGCACTTTGGGATGCTGAGGCAGGAGGATCACTTGAGGCCAGGAGTTCAAAACCAGCCTGGGCAACATAGAAGACCCCCGTCTCTACAAAAGTAAATAAATAAATAAAATAAAAATTAGCCTCGCTTGGTGGCTCATGTCTGTGGTCCTAGCTACTCAGGAGGCAGAGGCGAGACAATAGCTTCAGCCCAGGAGTTCGAGGCTAGAGTCAGCTACAATTGTGCCACTGCACTCCAGGCTAGGTGACAGAGTGAGACACTATCTCTGAAAAAAAAAAAAAAAAAAAAAAAAAGGAAACAAAATGCCTTGTATACTGTAAAGCACCACACAAATATAAATTGTTATGTAAACATTATGTTCTTTGGTAATAATTGATAGCGTTGACTCTATTTCCCAAATTACAGTACTGTGTACTCTGTGTGTTTAGTGAAAGGCACACCCTCCATCATCAACCCCTAAAAGGTATCTGCACTTTATCCCTGAGTGCAGGGTTAAACCAGCTCTCCCTTGGGCAGATATCTGATGTCATCAAAAATTCATGGGTCGCAGCAGCTGGTAAATCCACTGTCTCCAGTCGTGTGTACCCTCATTCACAAAAATCACCAGGCCTGGGAGAATTAGCCCCAAGAGCTGTCAACTGAAATACAGCCTGTGCTCAGCTCTGCAGGCCAATCAAAAAAGTAAAGCATGAGAGGGAAATCAAGAGTCACCTTAGGCCCAGATGAGACGAGAGATCATTATCAGAACAGCCAAATTAGTCGGGCATGGTGGCGGGCGCCTGTAATCCCAGCTACTCGGGAGGCTAAGGCAGGAGAATCGCTTGAACCCAGGAGGCGGAGGCGGTGGTGAGCCGAGATCGTGCCACTGCACTCCAGCCTGGGTGACAGAGAGAGACTCCATCTCAAAAAAAAAAAAAAAAAAAAGAACAGCCACTAGTGTGTGGAAGATTTACTACTCCAGCTTCTATGCCTTAAAAGGATTATTTCCAACCTTCTCTATTATTATGTTCATGATACAGATGAGGGTAAGAGGTTACAGAAGAAACTTGCTAAAAATCATGCAGGGACGCAATGTACAGTGGCTCACACCTATAATCCCAGCAGTTTGGGAGGCTTAGGTGGGTAGATTGCTTGAGCCCAGGAGTTCGACACCAGCCTGGGCAACATGGCAAAACTCCGTCTCTGCAAAAAATACAAAAATTAGCTGGGTGTAGTGGTGTGCGCCTGTAATCCCAGCTACCCAGGAGGCTGAGGTAGGGAGGATCACTTGAACCTGGAAGGCGGACGTTGCAAATGAGCTGAGAATGCGCCACTGCACTCCAGCCTGGGCAACAGAACAAGACCCTGTCTCAAAAAAAAAAAAAAAAAAAAAAAAAATCATGCAGAGGCCAGGTGTGGTGGCTCACGCCTGTAATTCTAGCACTTTGGGAGGCTGAGGTGGGTGGATTGCTTGGGCCCAGGAGTTTGAGACCAGCCTGGCCAACATGGTGAAACTCTGTCTCTACTAAAAATACAAAAATTAGCTGGGCATGGTAGTGCTGGGGGCGCGCGCCTGTAGTCCCAGCTACTAGGGAAGCTGAGGCACGAGAATCGCCTGAACCCGCGAGGCAGAGGGTGCAGTGAGCCGAGACTGCACCACTGCACTCCAGCCTGAGTGACACAGCGAGACTCTGTCTCAAAAAAAAAAAAAAAAATCACGCAGAATCAGGTAAACTATAATCTGCTTTTCCTCACTCTGCGTAAGCAGGAGAAACCTCCAAGGCTGACATTGGACTCTGTCAAGGATGTTCCTGAAAGGCTGCGTTTGAGGTCAAGCCTGCAGCCAAAGGCCCCCAGAGCGAGGACTTCAAACCAGAGATGGGAATTTAATGGCCAGAACAGAAAGTACTTTTGGCCTCTTGCAGGAATGAAAAGCAGACACCAATTCCCCAGGGTGGGTAAGGTTCTCCTTGCTACACAGGCACAGGTCTGTGCTCTTTACAAAGAGCTGCAGACGATTGTTTCTGGATTGGGCGCTTGGCTGCTCAATGATTAATGAGAATCTAATATCACTTTTGTTTGGACCCCAAGCTAAAAGAGGAAAGAGGCAATAGATGCACCTCCCCAGGGCTCAGAATTCTCCAGAGGTTTCCCAGTGCTTACGGGCCAGGGTCAGAATGCCTTGGTTGGCATTCAGGGACTTGCTGGTCTGGCCCCAAACAACCATCTCGATGTTTCCTGATTTCAAACCTCTGTACCAGCCAAATGTCTTCAGCCTCACCCAATGGACTCTGCCCATCCTCTTCCTGCGATTCTCCCAACAGGCAATGCCTACCCCACCCAACCTCCAAGGGCCAACTGAGGTCTTGGTCTTCCTTCTGAACTCTGCACTCCAGTCCCTTCTCAGACCCCCATGGTCCTCAAAGCTTTGGCCTTCTGATCCAGGCCTGTATTGATAGCTAACTGTTGAGTCGGCCTGTATCTCTCTGGATCCTTCACTTTCATGCTAAGGGCCTTGAGAAGCAGGGAGGGAGGCCTTCGATGATGTTTCTTTGTGTTCTTTACCCAGCACTTGCTATAGAAATTATGAGAATTAAATAAATGCTGTTGATTAATGAGGGATGGATGGACAGAGGTCCCTGAGTCCTATAAGCTTGTCCTTGCAGGCCAAGCTTTGCAGGGAACCTGGGTGCAGGGCTGGGAGGATGCTCAAGGGTGATTCGGTTTAGTGGCCATTGGACTAAAGTAGAGTTTCGAAGCTTCAGATCCCTCAACCTCCTAATCATAGCCCAGACAGATGAGTCTTCTGGTCTTGCTCAGACACCTCTAGGAAAGAACTACTGCTTAGTTTTCTACATCTCCACCCCCATAGCTGCAGAGAGGATTTTTTTTTTTTTTTTTTTTTTTTTTTGAGAGGGAGTTCTAATACATGCCCAAAGAAAGCGAGATTTCATGGCAGACAGACAAGGAATGCTGGTCCAACCTCTGGGCACTCACTGCCCAACCATGAACAGGTATTTCTCTCCAAATAAAGATAGGAACCCAAATAAAGACATGAAGCCCCTCAAGCAGCCCCCAACCCCAGGGGCAATGCTCAGTCAGTCTGAGACTGATGCAGGCCATAGAATAGGACTCTCCCCTGTCATCAGCCCCCATCCCATTGTCTCCTAGCCAAGACAGAGTGCCAAAGGCCAGGGCCGGGCAGAGAACCAACCTCCCTTGGTTGCCTCGAAAGGGCACCCTCTGGGGAAAAGTAATATAATTCTGAACAAGATAAACTCAAATTCTAGTACCTCCTCATCTCTATGGCAAGGGCAGACCCAGACCCCCCCCCCCCCCCCACACACACACATACACACACACACACACACACACACACACAGCCCACGACAGCTCCTTTCCTCGAAAGCCCTGATTGCCTCCCCCCTCCCAAGACCCGCCTGACACACAGGCCCTTGAGGGTTGCAAGGCTGGACGGTAGGGACAGTACCCTGGTCTAAACTCGGGGTCAGGGTGATTGAGATGGCAAGGGCACCCTTAAATCTCCATTCAGAGTGACAGCCAATCAAGACCCCTGGGAAAACCTGCAGTTTCCGGGCCTCCAGGTGCTCCCTGCGAACCCCCCTCCCATCAGAATCCCCCAAATCACATCCTGGTACCGGCTGAAGGCTGCTCCTTGGTCTCAATCAATAAGCAATGATTTCTTCAAGATCCTACTGTATTCGCGGTGGAGGTGGGGGTGGAGGGCTTCTCTGGGGGAGGGCACAGACCCCTCCAGAGGAGCCCATTTCTAAAGGAAAGGCGGAGTCATGCTTAGGAGGCGAAGGTGTTGGCTGCACCTCAGGCCCACTGAAGCTGGGGTTCCCAAGTGGCCAACCTAGAACCTTCCCCGTCTCTGCCAAGGGCTCCATTCCTGCCCCCTCACCTCCTAGGATGGTTGAAACCTGGCTTCTCACTGTCCTCCCAGCGCCACCTGTGCCTCCCTGCCCACGGGCTCAGCCCCACACATCTTCCATCGATCTCCTGTAGGTGTGCGGGCAGGGGGCTCCGGAGGGCACGGTACAAGCCCCTTCCGGCGGCGCTGCCCTCCCTCCCGTCCGGCAGGTCTCCCGAGGTGGGCGGCGAGCCCCGCAGCCCAGTCCCTGGAGTCCAGCGCGATCTCCCGGGCAGCCCGGCGGCGGCGCGGCGGGAAAGCCAGAGCCCATCCCGGCCGGCCAGCCGCCTCCAGAATCCTGGCCCGGCTCCCTCCTCCGGCACGCCTGGAGTTGGGGCCAACAGGCAGGATCAACAATCCAGAAACTTTCAATGGATCGCGCCGGCTAGGAGGGGGAGAAGGGAGGGCGCCAGGGCTGGGGGTGTGGGGAGGGGGCTCGGGGCAAAGCCCCTGCTCACACTTACCATCTTGCTCACATCCATGACCGAGGCTGCGGGGCACCCCCCCACCCCTGGAGATCCCGCTTCCCCCAAAGCTGCTCCCGGCTAATCGCGCCCCGAGGGTGCCATGCTGCGGGGAGGGCGGCCGGCAGGGCCCCCGCGGACCGGGGCAGGCGGCGGCGGCGGCGGCGGCACCAAGGCTGGACCGGAGAAAGGAAGGGGAGGGGGAGGGGAGGCGGCGAGGGGGAGGGGGAGGGGGGCGGGCGCGGAGCCGCAGCGCGCGCCGGG
Organism: Homo sapiens; assembly: GCF_000001405.40. Taxonomy (NCBI): domain Eukaryota; kingdom Metazoa; phylum Chordata; class Mammalia; order Primates; family Hominidae; genus Homo; species Homo sapiens. Next base: position 75,639,315 of record NC_000007.14, read on the forward strand.
GGCGGGGGAGGCGCGGCCCCGCCGGCAGAGACCGGCGCGCCCGAGCCCCCGGGGACCGGGAAATCCCGGAATCAGCTGGCGGGGGCGCGAGGGGAGACCGGGAGGCGGGTTCCCGGGCCAGATCCCGCGGCCCCCGGGCTCGCACGGCGAGGATGTGATTTGAATAACAAAAGGTGGCTTCTCCCCAGAGTTCCCGGTGGCGGGGATCGCCGATCCCGGAGCGAGAGGCCGCCGGCCCGCCAGGAAGCGTGTGTGTGTGTGTGTGTGTGTGTGTGTGTGCGCCCGCGTGTGTGTGCAGGCGTGCGTGTGCATGCATGCGTGTGTTTTGGTGGTGGGATCAGTGGGACTCAGGAAGTGAGCAGGGGAGGTGGTGAAAAAGGAGGGACAGATGGGGGGCGCAGGAGGCCGACATTCCAGTGGGGGCAGGGGGTCCGCTCGGCCCCTCCCCACTTGGCTTCCCTGGACAAAGGGGGAATTCACGGCCAGTTGTTTGCCTCCTGCGGCTAATCTGGAGGGGCCTCCCGAATGAGACTGGGGTCTCCAAACAGATGGGCAATTGGGAGGAAGTGGAACAGGTATCCCCAGGAAGGCTCTGAGCGTCCCCCTCCCACGTGAGCCACAGCCAGCCCTTCCTGGAGTGAGGGAAATTGGCTCCGTGGTTCCTAAATGATGTCTGCCCTGAGCTGGGAGCTCCTTTCTCTCAAGCCAGAATCCCGATGTCCCTTTCCTTATTCGATGCCGAAATGCAAGGCAGACATTCCCCTCTGCAGTAGACACAGCTGGTGGCCTCAAAAGGTCTCCTGGCAAATGCTCCTTTGGGGCAAGTTCTCCGGAAAAAGCCTGGCCATTCAAGCCTATAGTTTCAACACAGTCTGTCCCCCCAAAATCAGATGGCAGTAAAGTTTTGGATGCAGCAGGGACCTGAGAGTCCACCTAGATCAACCCCACTTTATACGGAGAGGAAACTGAGATCCAGAGAGGGAGAGGGAGGTGCCCCAGGTCACACACCCGGCAGGGACTGGGGAGCAGGGCAGACTTCAGTAAGGACCATCCAGCCCAAGCCCAGAAGGGCTTCCCATGCTGCCACGGGGCAACCATGAAGTTAGGGCTTTTAAAATAATGAACAGGTGGGCCTGGCTCCCGGCGGGCTCACGCCTGTAATCCCAGCACTTTAGGCCTGTAATCCCAGCACTTTGGGAGGCTGAGGCAGGCAGATTGCTTGAGGCCAGGAGTTCAAGACCAGCCTGGCCAAAATGACGAAACTCCCGTCTCTACTAAAAATACAAAAATTAGCCGGGTGGGGTGGTGTGCGCCTATAATCCCAGCTACTCGGGAGGCTGAGGCAGGAGAATCGCTTGAACCTGGGAGGCAGAGGTTGCAATGAGCCAAGATCACACCACTGTGCTCCAGCCTGGATGACAGAAGGAGACTCCATCTCAATAATAATAATAATAATAATAATAATAATAATAAATAATGAACAGGTGATGGGATCCAGAACAGCTGCGAGGCCGACCTCTGCACCCACATGAAGGGACCCACATGAAGGGGCCCTGAGGAGAAGGCATCTCCTATCATGGCCCCAGGACCTGCTGGGCTTGCCCTATCACAGCCCCTTCCTGTCAAAGCTGAGTTCTTATCGATGAAATTGGGACTCTATCTGCCTGCCTCCTAGGGGTATGTGAGAACATCAAGATATAAGAAATAATATCTTGGGCTTGGTGGTTCACGCCTCTAATCCCAGCACTTTGGGAGGCTGAGGCAGGTGGATCACTTGAGGCCAGGAGTTTGAGACCAGCTGGGCAACATGGCGAAACCCCGTCTCTACTAAAAATACAAAAATTAGCTGGTCATGATGGCGCACACCTGCAATCCCAGCCACTCGATAGGGTGAGGCAGGAGAATCGCTTGAGCATGGGAGGCAGAGGTTGCAGAGGGCCAAGATCACACCACTGCACTCCAGCCTGGGTGGCAGAGTGAGACTAGGGTCTTGCTATGTTGTACAGGCTGGTCCCTTCAGGAGTTTGAGAACTCCTGGACTCAAGCAATCCACCTGTCTCAGCCTCCCAAAGTGCTGGGATTACAGGTGTGAGCCACCATGCTCAGTCTTCCCTCTATTTTATTTGTTTTTTCTTTTTTGGTTTTCTTTTTCTTTCTTTTTTATTTGCTCCTTGTTTGCTTTTTTTTTTTCTTTGAGACAAAGTCTCACACTTGTTGCCCAGGCTGGAGTGCAATGGTGCAATCTCAGCTCACCACAACCTCTGCCTCCTGGGTTCAAGAAATTCGCCTGCCTCAGCCTCCTGAGTAGTTGGGATTACAGGCATGTGCCACCATGCCCAGCCCCGGCTAATTTTGTATTTATAGTAGAGACGGGGTTTCTCCATGTTGGTCAGGCTGATCTCGAACTCCCGACCTCAGCCTCCCAAAGTGCTGGGATTACAGGCGTGAGCCACTGTGCCTGACTGTTTTTCTACATTCACAATCTGTTCTTCCTCCTGTTTTCTGGCTCAACTAATGGTTCTACCTCCACTGAGCTGGTTAAGCTGGAAACTTCAAAGGCAGCCTTAATTCCTCCAGCAACAATCCCCGCTCCCACTCCATCTAATCAGGTCCCACATCCCTGCGATTCTTTCTTGCAAGTAGCTTCCAATCTATGTCTTATTGACTATTCCTTCCCTGGATAAGACTTTCGACAACAGCCTCTGCCTTCAGTCTCTTCCTGTCCAATTCATCCTATACACATCTAATTGTGACTCCCTACTGGCCAGCCCATCCCAAATAGAAAAAAAGAAAAAAACAACAGGCCGGGTGCAGTGGCTCATGCCTGTAATCTCAGCACTTTGGGAGGCTGAGGTGGGAGGATTGCTTGAGGCCAGGATTCTAGACCAGCCTGGGTAACAGAGTGAGACCCTGTCTTCAAAACAAAACAAAAAACCCTTCTGGTTGGGTACGACGGTTCACACCTGTAATCCCAGCACTTTGGGAGGCTGAGGCGGGAGGATCACCTGAGGTCAGGAGTTCAAGACCAGCTTGGCCAACATGGTGAAACCGTCTCTACTAAAAATACAAAAATATCTGGGAGTGGTGGCGCATGCCTGTAATCCCATCTAGTCAGGAGGTTGAGGCAGGAGAATCACTTGAACACGAGAGACAGAGGTTGCAGTGAGCTGAGATCGCACCACTGCACTCCAGCTTGGGCCACAGAGTGAGACTCTGTCTCAAAACAAAACAAAACAAAACCCTTCTATGGTTTATTTGGTTCTCAATGCTATAGACATATCTGCCCCCATTCTTGTCTATCCTCTCTCATCCTCCCACCCTGCCCATCCATCAAACTGCTCATCTGTGCCCAGGATGCTCCTGGAAGGTCCTTCCCTCTTCCTGAGCTTAGAAGTGTCTTTCTCATCCTTCAGGACTGACCTCAAATGTTACCTTCCCTGACCCATCGGACACAGCCAGTCCCTTGGGAGTCCCTTCCCACAATGGACAGCCTTGAGCACAGCCTGCATTTCCCTAGGATGGGAGGGTCTGAGCCCAGGACTACCTGGCTCACCTGTGAGCAAACTCAGGCCAAAGTTGGCCTCACTGGTCTTTGCATCTTGAGTGCCCTGGCCCTTACTTCCAGCCGGAATTCCAACCCCACAGCACTCCACGTTTAACATCCACTGAAAAGCACACAACAGGCCTAGAAGGCTCTCAGTTCCTTGACGTAATTCGTACAGAAGGTGAGGTGGGCGTGTCTTGGTAGAGGCTGACACCTACTGGTGAGTCGAGATTCTGCAGCCTAGCCCTAAAGACCACACTGAGGTTTTCACTGCCAGACTCTGGCAAGGCTTTATAGCCTCCTTTAGAGGCATAGAAGTCCATTAATTCCCAGTAATGATATTTAAGATAAAAAATATTGCTTATGAAAGGGCCTTAAGTAACATATGTTACTATGCTAATGCTAGCAGTAGGCGTCTACAGAGGGCTGTAACGTTTACAAAAGGTATTTTTACTCATTATTTCATTTCACCCTTAAAAAGTCAGGAAAGGGGCCAGTTGTGGTGGCTCATGCCTGTAATCCCAGCACTTTAGGAGGCCAAGGCAGGAGGACTGCTTGAGCCCAGGAGTTCGAGACCAGCCTAGGCAACATAGTGAGACCCCATCTCTATTTCCATTTAAATTAAAAGAATTTTTTTAAGTCAGGAAAGGCGTAGAATGGGTATTATTATTACAATGCGTATTTTGCAGGTATTGTGGAAGAGTGCATGGATGAGACCTGGGAAGGGCAGTGGGATGGGAAGGGTTAGTCCAAAGGTTCTGTAACTTTGCCTACAGTGTTTTAATTTTTATAAGGAGAATGTAATGAAATGTTATTACCTGCATAATAGAGATGGCTATTAAAAGAAATAATAGGGTATGGCTGGGCGCGGTGGCTCACACCTATAATCCCAGAACTTTGGGAGGCCCAGGTGGGTGGACCACTTGAGGTCAGGAGTTCAAAACTAGCCTGGCCAGCATGGTGAAACCCTGTCTCTACTAAAAATACAAAAATTAGCTGGGCATGGTGGCAGGCACCTGTAATCTCAGCTACTCGAGAGGTTGAGACAGGAGAATCACTTGGCCCTGGGAGGCGGAGGTTGCAGTGAGCCAAGATCCCGCTGCTGCACTCCAGCCTGGGTAACAAAGTAAGACTCTGTCTCAAACAAACAAACAAACAAACAAAACCAAAACAGAAATAAGAAAGTATGGGTAGGCCCTGGAGGTAGACAGATCTCAAGTTGAATTCTGGCTCCATTTCTTTCTAGATATGAGCAAGTTCCTTAACCTCTCTGAATTTCAGTTTCCTTACCTGAAAAACAGGCTAATAAACATTATTCCTCCCAGGGTCAATGTAAGAATTAAAGCACCCAGCACAGTGGGTGGCTGGCTCTTGGCTCCACACACCTGTCTCTCAGCTTACTTGGTGGCTAGCTCTTGGAAGCTTCTGGATAATTTTGTTTTGTTTTGTTTTTGAGATGGAATTTCACTCTTGTTGCCCAGGCTGGAGTGCAATGGCACAGTCTCAGCTCACTGCAACCTCCGCCTCCCAGGTTCAAGCGATTCTCCTGCCTCAGCTTCCCAAGTAGCTCGGATTACAGGTATGCACCACCACGCTCGGCAAACTTTTGTATTTTTAGTAGAGATGGGGCTTCACCATGTTGGCCAGGCTGGTCTTGAACACCTGACCTCAGGTGATCCGCCTGCCTCAGCCTCCCAAAGTGCTGGGATTACAGGTGTGAGACACTGGCCCTGGCTAAGATAATTTTTTAAAAGATTAAACGTAAGAAAAAAAAGAATAAAAAGCCAGGATAACAGTAGTCATTGTCATTAAAATGACAGCAAATACGTAGGTTTTATGGTGCGGGGGAGGAGCTAGAGTCACTGACCATGCCCAGCTGAGCTGTGGAGGATATTCATCAACCAACACTAGCTGAGTGATTCCTCATCTCCCCATGGGAACGCCTGCAAGCAAAGCCTTAGCCAGGGTGAGGGAGATCCCAGCCAGGCTGTGATCCTGGTGGCTCTGGCACAGAGCATTCTCACCGGGCTTGCCTTGGACAGGAGATGGACTTTTTCAACAAATCCAGGAACCTTCACTTTGACTCAAATGAGAAAAGCCTTTTGCTGCCTCTCTTTCTGGGGGCATGATTACACCCTCAGGAAACACACAAATTCCTAGACCTAGGGCTTAGTTCAGGACACCTGAAAGGTGCAGCGTCACTCAGGAACTAGGAAGGTGGGTGTTGCTGGTGGGAGAGGGGGCACTGTGTCATGCTATGAATCATAATAACAGATAACATTGATCACGTTCTTAGCATAGTACCAGGCACTATGACAAGCACTTTACAAGGATTGTTTATTTTCTTTTATTTTTTATTTTTAATTTATTTTATTATTATTTTTTGAGACGAAGTTTCACTCTTGTTCCCCAGGCTGGAGTGCAATGGTGCAATCTTGGCTCACTGCAACCTCCAACTCCCGGGTTCAAGCGATTCTCCTGCCTCAGCCTCCCGAGTAGCTGGGATTATAGGCATGCACCACCACACCCAGCTAATTTGTGTATTTTTAGTAGAGACGGGGTTTCACCATGTGGGCCAGGCTGGTCTCAAACTCCTGACCTCAGGTGATCTGCCTGCCTCGGCCTCCCAAAGTGCTGTAATTACAGATGTGAGCCACTGCACCCGGCCTGGATTGTTTCTTTTAGAACTAAAAACAGAACTACCATTTGACCTGGCAATTCCATTACTGGGTAGCTACCCAAAGGAAAATAGATCATTCTGCCAAAAAGACACCTGCACTCGTATGTTCATCAAAGCACTATTCACAATAGTAAAGACATGGCATCAACCCAGGTGCCCATCAACAGTGGGTTAGATAAGGAAAAGGTGGTACATATCCAACAAGGAATATTATGCAGCCATAAAAAAGAATGAAATCGTGTCCTTTGCAGCAACATGGATGCAGCTGAAGGCCATTATCCTAAGTGAATTAACACAGAAACAGAAAACCAAATACTGCATGTTCTCCCTCATAAGTGGGAGCTCAACATTGGGTGCAAGTGGACATAAAGATGGGAACAACAGACACTGGGGACTCCAAAAGGGAGGAGGGGACAAGTGTTGAAAAACTACCTATTGGGTACTGTGCTCACTATCCGGATGATGGATCATTAGAATCCCAAACCTTAGCATCACACAATATACCCATGTAACAAACCTGCACATGTACCCCCTGAATCTAAAATGAATTTTTTTTTTTGAGATAGAGTCTCGCTCTGTTACCCAGGCTGGAGTGCAGTGGTGCAATCTCAGCTCACTGCAACCTCCACCTCCCGGGTTCAAACGATTCTCCCACCTCAGTCTCCCAAGTAGCTGGGATTACAGGCACCCGCCACCACGCCCGGCTAATTTTGTGTGTGTGTATTTTTAGTAGAGACGGGGTTTCACCATGTTGACCAGGCTGGCGTCGAACTCCTGACCTCAGGTGATCCACTCATCTCGGCCTCCCAAAGTGCTGGGATTACGAGCGTGAGCCACCTCGCCTGGCCACAGTCATTAAATCTAATGAGCAGCTGTGCAGTGCTTTGCTGACCACAGGGTCTACAAGTGCAAGGCACTCACCTGCAGCGTGCCAGGGGGCATGGCCAGATATTCTGCCTGTGCTGTCCTCTCTGATGCTCCCAGCGAGCTTCACCAATGTGGACACTGAGATAGAGAGACATTAGTGGCTTGCCCGGGGTCTTGCAGGGAGTAACCACGACCGGTCATCCGCCTGCCTGTTCCTTGCTTCCTCCCATATCCGTGGCCCCCTTTCCCCAGGGGTCCACTTGGCACAGCAAGGGCTGAGATCACTTTTGGTTGACAATTTGGCAGCCTTTTAGGAGCGAGGCCATCTGCTGGGATATGTCTGCCCCATGGCACTCTCTGGACACCAGCTGGGGATGTTGGAGCTGCCCCTGGGGAACCCTGAGAGCTGTAGCATAAATGAGTGATGAGGTGAGGCCTGCAGTGCCACTTAGAGCCAGGAAAGGTCAAGTGCTCTGCAATCATCAGGCCCCCTCCAGGACCAATGTCAGACTGGAGAGGGCGGCAGATCCCACAGGGCCCAGGAGCATAGCCCACTACATAAGGTGCCTGGAAGTGGACCCTCCTGGTTAGGAAAGGGCCAGGGCCTCCTAAGAGGGAGGGCTTAGAGGCTCCGAGTACCCCTCTCACTCTGGTACCAACAAAACTGTGCGTGGACATGGCCAGATGTGGTGGCTCTTGCCTGTAATCCCAGCACTTTGGGAGGCTGAGGCGAGCAGATCACCTGAGGTCAGGAGTTTGAGACCAGCCTGGCCAATATGGCGAAACCCCATCTCTACTAAAAATACAAAAAAAAAAAAAAAAAAAAAAAAAAAAAAAAAAAAATTAGCCAGACATGGTGGCATGCGCCTGTAATCCCAGCTACACGGGAGACTGAGGCAGGAGAATCGCTTGAACCCAGGAAGCAAAAGTTGCAGTGAGCAGAGATCGTGCCACTGCACTCCAGCCTGGGTGACAGAGAGAGACTCCATCTCAAAAAACAAAACGAAACAAAACAAAAAACTGTGCACAAACCATGTGCCTCAGCCTCAGTTTTATCCTCTGTGAATCTAGGAGTCTGGTTCTAGTCCTGTTTACCAGTGGCTGCTTTTGGGACTTTCGCTGCTGCTAAGCCATCTCAGAAGTGTGCTTCCCTTCAGAGGAAGGGACACATGAAAGGCGGAATGAGTGGACAGACAATAGTTTCAAATAAAGAGAAACCAAAGTTCTCCCGGAGCTCTCAGGCAATTCACCATGATGCTCTGGGTCAGGGTGTGCATGGCTGCTCCAAGGCCCTGCTGGCCCTGGCAGCAGCTGGTTGGTCTGCAGGGACCTGGACAGACCAGCCAGTTCTGTCCCCATTTAGGGAGGCACCATGCACTTGCACATGTGGACGGAGCTGTGAAAGGGAAGATCATGGGTGCAGTGTGCTTGAAGAGGTGGGGCAGTGGGACTGAACACGAGTGGCAGTGTGACCAAGTGTGAGGCGTGGTGTGAACCAGGTGAGTTCTATGCTGGAAGCAGAGCCATCTCACTGAGCAGATACACAGGGAGGGTGAGGGAGTTCCAGCTGGGCAGGGAGTTCCAGCTAGACCCCTTAGGCCCTCCTGTGTAGGCCACAGAAAGACAGCACAGGCTGCTATGCAGGGAGGGGTATGCTAGCCAGCCAGGCAAAGACAGACTCAGGTGCAAAGCACTGGGCACTTCTTGGCTTTCGGAGCTCCAGCTGAGGCTGGCTGGGGTAGCTGGGGCTGGTTGGAGTAGCTGAGGCTGGTTGGAGTAGCTGAGGGCTGGATGGAGTAGCTGAGAGTGGTTGAAGTAGCTGGGACTAGTTGGAGTAGCTGAAGCTGGTTGGAGTAGTTGGGGCTGGTTGGAGTAGCTGGGGCTCGTCGGAGTAGTTGGGGCTGATTGGAGTAGCTGGGGCTGGTTGGAGTAGATGAGGCTGGTTGGAGTAGCTGGGTCTGGTTGGAGTCACTGGGCAGGGTCATGGAGGAGCATCAAGCCTCAAAGCCCCTGTAGATTCAGTGTTCTCCCTGAACACTCTGCCCCTGATATTACTAGATCTGTTTTTCCTCCTGACACTGCTGTTGCCCCGATATTAAACACAGGTGTCCATGGTCCCTTTCCACAGATTTGACGTCGCAGGGGAAAGGGTGATTTCAAGCACGGCTGAGCCATATGCGGATGCCAGGTGCACCCCCAGAACCTTTCCATTCTGCATGATAGACCCCCTAAGCTGCCGGAAGTCAGGGGCTGCAGAGGTGAGCCAGGAAGACAGAAGCCTGAATTGGGGCCATGGCTTCAAGAAGGGGGCAAGGAGAGACATGAGACGTGCTGTGGGAAGGAAGGCGGCACAGAGACACCCTGCCCAGAGAGCAGACCCTGGGAATGGGAGGCAGTGGGGACATTAAGAGGAATCAGGGTCAGGTTCAGTGACTCAGGCCTGTAATCCCAGCACTTTAGGAGGCCAAGATGGGAGGATCGCTTGAGCTCAGGAGTTTGAGGCCAGTCTGGGCAACATAGTGAGACCTGGTCTCACTGGGACTACAGGTGCATGCCACCATGACTGGCTATTTTTTATTTTTTTCTTAGAGATGGGGTCTCACTGAGTTGTCCAGGCTAGGAACTTTTTTTTTTTTAAGACAGAGTTTTGCTCTTGTTACCCAGGCTGGAGTGCAATGGCATGATTCCGGCTCACCGCAAACTCCGCCTCCCGGGTTCAAGCAATTCTCCTGCCTCATCCTCCCGAGTAGCTGGGATTATAGGCATATGCCACCACACCCAGCTAATTTTGTATTTTTAGTAGAGACGGGGTTTCTCCATGTTGGTCAGGCTAGTCTCAAACTCCCGACCTCAGATGATCAGCCTGCCTTGGCCTCCCAAAGTGCTGGGATTACAGGCGTGAGCCACTGCAGCTGGTCTGGAACATTTTTAAATGAAATCATAGCAAAGCACTTTTCCAATGCTCCTCGCCCTTTGAGTGAACCTAAATTACTATTAGCAGTAGTAGCAGCAATGACCCTGAACACTATTTTCCAAGCACCCACTATGCACAGCCATACCTACCTCTGAATCTGAGAGGGCAAAAATAAAGGAGCCAGACAGAGGGTGGAGGAAAACAGAGGTTGTTATTGCCAGCTGCGGTTCTTCACCCCAGCTGCACACTCCAATTACCTGGGAAGCCTGGGCCCCGCCCCAGGGATTCTGATGTAATGGGTCTGGGATCAGCCTGGGCATCAGAACTTTAAACCTCCCCCAGGAGGCTGTGATGTGTAGCCAAGACTATGAACAACTGAACAACCACAGCCAGGACTCAGGAACCCCCGGCCTGGTCTTGGCTGAAGCTGAGGGCTGCAGGAAGCAAGGAAGTGTGGCACTTCCCTTACTGCTTCTCCTACACGGGGAATTTCCAAGCTCCCACCTGGAATTTTCCATCCCTTGGCCAAAAGTTCAGCATAGGCGGAGACCTCTGAACGCTTTGCCTCTGATATTAATAGACCTGTTTTTCCTCCTGACACTGCTGTTCCCCCCATATTAAACACAGGTGTCCATGGTCCCTTTCCACAGATTTGACATCACAGGGGAAAGGGTGACTTCAAGCGTGGCTGAGCTATATGGAGATGCCAGGTGCACCCCCAGAGCCTAACCATTCTGCAAGATAGACCCCCTAAGAAAAACACCTGGCTTGGTCTTAGGATCTCATGATTAGCTGGCGGGTTCTGGGAAGCAAAGATCTGCCGAATTTCTAAAGCCTCTCCAGGCAGGCTGCGGGAGGCCAGCAGGGGTCAGAGGGCCTTTTAGAGGCACCAGGACAGACGGGAGCCACTCAGCCAAGTCCCTGAGTCAGCAAACAGCCTGGAAACCTCGCCTCAAGGGTGCCCCAGGCTGCCAGAGCTCTCTGCCCCTGCCCGCCAGCTCCTCCCTGTAAGTGGTAATTTGGAGCACCCTTAATGGCCCAGTTCAGGAGCTGCCAGCCTTGTACTGGGGAGAGGTTTTTCCACTGCTTCTCCGCTGGAGGACAAGTCCAGGGATGTGTCTCTGCCCAGTTATCTTTTTTTTTTTTTTTTTGAGACAGAGTCTCCCTCTGTCACCCAGGCTGGAGTGCAATGGTGCGATCTTGGCTCATTGAAACCTCTACCTCCTGGGTTCAAGGGATTTTCCTGTTTTAGCCTCCCAAGTTGCTGGAATTACAGGTGCACACCACCACGCCCATCTAATTTGTGTATTTTTAGTAGAGACGGGGTTTCGCCATGTTGGCCAGACTGGTTTCAAACTCCTCGGCCTCCCAAGGTGCTGGGATTACAGGCGTGAGCCACCATACCCGGCTCTGCCCAGTTATCTCCAAAGCAGTGTCCCAGAAGCATGGACCAGGCTGAGGGCAGGAAGTACCAGCTCAGAGTCGCCTGTAGTGGCTCAGAGCTGGTGTCCCCGCCCTGGGGAGGGTGGCAGCCAAGCTAATTCCATGTTATCACGGCTTACAGGAAGCCAGCTTGGCCCGGCTGTGAGCCAGCAGCAATTTACTGGCCTTGGGGGCAGAGTGAGGGAGAAGAGGGAAGAGAAAGGAAAACACAGCCCTCTCCCCACCACACAAAAAAACTGATTCTGGGTTATTGTTAGGTGCTTATTCATCCCGCACATTTCTTTTTGAGAGCCACGACATGAGCTCTGCAACCAAAGCCATTTAGCAAGAGACAGCTGCCCACACAGGAGGAGGGAGGGGCATGGGGGGACTCAGTCCGCATGAAAACGGGGGAGGGTGAGAGGGTCTTCAAAGACCTGAGGCACAGTGGCTCACACCTGTAATCCCAGCACTTTGGGAGGCAGAGGCAGGCCGATCACGAGGTCAGGAGTTCGAGACCAGCCTGGTCAATATGGTGAAACCACCGTCTCTACTAAAAATACAAAAATTAGCCAGGCATGGTAGTGGGCACCTATAGTCCCAGCTACTCGGGAGGCTGAGGCAGAAGAATCGCTTGAACCCGGGAGGTGGAGGTTGCAGTGAGCCAAGATTGTGCCACTGCATTCCAGCCTGGGTTACAGAGTGAGACTCCATATCTCAAAAAAAAAAAAAAAAAAAAAAAAAAAAAAAGAAGGATTCTCCACACTGTAAAAACATCCCAAGATTCTAAAGCCAAAGTAGGGATGCTGAATGCAGAGTGGTTCTTACATCAGAACCCCAAGTTCAAGTCCTGCCTTCCTATCTGTGTAGCCTTGGGTGGGTCACTGTCAAATTCAGAGGAGGCCCTGGGCGGCAACCCTGGCTGCAACACTTATTCTACGTGTGGCCTTGGGCAAGTCACTCAACTTCTCTGTGCCTCAGTTTCTCTGTCTATAAAACAAGGCTAATCATAGCTACCTCTTGGGGTTGTTTTGACGCTAAGTTAATATTATGGAAAGTATTTAGAAAATTGCCTGCATACCTACTGTTATATAAAGGTTAGTGATTGTTTTTATTAAAGCACTGGGCATGGTGGTGGGCACCTGTAGTCCCAGCTACTCGGGAGGCTGAGGCAGGAGAATCGCTTGAACCCGTGAGGCGGAGGTTGCAGTGAGCTGAGATTGCGCCACTGCACTGCAGCCTGGGCGACAGAGCGAGACTCTGTCTCAAAGAAAAAAAAAAAGCACTATATGAGCCTGGTATGGTGGCTCACACCTGGAATCCTAGCAATTTGGGAGGCCAAGGCAGGTGGATCACCTGAGGTCAGGAGTTTGAGACCAGCCTGGCCAACATGGTGAAACCCCATCTCTATGAAAAATAACAAAAATTAGCTGGGCATGGTGGCGTGTACCTGTAATCCCAGCTACTCGGGAGGCTGAGGCAGGAGAATCACTTGAACCCAGTTGGTGGAGGTTGCAGTGAGCTGAGATTGCACCACTGCACTCCAGCCTGGGTGACAGAGCGAGACTGTCTCAAAAAAAAAAAAAAAACCACTATATGTATGTTAATTTTTTCATTGTTTTAAGTTTACATTTTCATTTTTTAAGAGATGGGGTGTTGCTCTGTCATCTGGAGTGCAGTGGTGCGATTATAACTCACTGCAGCCTCCAACTCCTGGGCTCAAACAATCCTCTCACCTCAGCCTCCTGAGTAGCTAGGACTACAGGTGCGTGCCACTGCTCCTAGCTAATTTTTAAATTTTTTGTAGAAATGGTGTCTCGTTTTTGTTGCCTGGGCTGGTCTTGAACTCCTGGGCTCAAGCAATCCTCCTGCCTTGGCCTCCCGAAGTGCTGGGACTACAGGCATGAGCCACCATGCCCAGCCACATGTTAATTATTACTGTTAGTGAAAAAAAAAAACTCGTTTATAATGCTATATTAGAGTATGGATAGAATGTGAAGATCAGAGCCACAGAAAGTCTGAAGTGGTGAAGAGGTAAAATAGAAAGTCATATTCACAATCGAACTCCTACCAGTGATGAGTGTGGAAGAGGCTTTATATCTTTTTAGATGAGAAAGCTAAAACTTACTTCTCCCCCTGTGAACAGGGCAATACCCACTCTTGAGGGTCATAAAGGGTTAATGCAAACAGAAGCTCCCAGCAAAGCTCACAGGAGGTGCTCCTGAGGTCAGCTGAGTGTGACAGTTAATTCCATGTGTCAACATGATTGGGCCACAGGGTGCCCAGATATTTGGCTAAACAATATATGTGGGTGTGTCAGTGAGGGTGTCTCTGAAAACTCTGGTAAATAACATATATGTTGGCTGCATTCATTAGGATATGTGATTTGGGTAATAAAGGTCTGGGAGAAAAAAAAAAACAAATTTGATCTCATTAAGCAGAGGAATTCCTATTCCTCCCCAGGCTGGGGGTCTGCTCTGGGAATCTCATTGGCAATGAAGCACTTGATGAGATGTGTCCACGACTGTCAGATATCACACACGTCAAGCCTTAGGCACACACTAGTTCTGTAATCTGAGGCATCTTACTCTCTGTGGACCTCAGTGTGTCTATTAATAAAATAGGTATAGACTAGGCATGGTGGCTTATACCTGTAATCCCAGCACTTTGGGAGGCTGAGGCGGGAGGATTGCTTAAGGCCAGGAGTTCGAGACCAGCCTGGGCAACATAGTGAGACCCCCATCTCTACAAAAAATAGAAAAATTAGCGGGCTGTGGTAGTGCATGCCTGTAGTACCAGCTAATCAGGAGGCTGAGGCAGGAGGATCATTTGAGCACAGGAGGTTGAGGCCTTATGCTTGTAATCCCAGCACTTCGGGAGGCTGAGGCAGGTGGATCACCTGAGCTCAGGAGTTTGAGACTAGCCTGGCCAACATGGTAAAACACTATCTCTACTAAAAAATACAAAAATTAGCCAGGCGTTGCGGTGGGTGCCTGTAATCCCAGCTACTTGGGAGGCTGAGGGACCTGTTCTTGGACCACTGAGTGATCGCTGGGGCCAAGGCCTTTGTCTTTCTTGTTCGTGGCTGAATCCCTGCCTCCCGAGCTGTGCCTGGCATGGAGCAGACACTCAGTTAGTACTTGCTGAATGTGTGAGTGAATGCATGCAAGAAATGACTTCACCATGCCAGGCCCTATTTTGAGTGCTGGGCACACAAGGTCTCTGCAGTCTCGAAAACTAGTGGGCACCTCTGGCTTTAGCAAAGGCACTTACAGCCAGGTCACATGCCTCAGTACGCTCTGCAGCAGGGGCACTTACAGAGCACTAATGACACACAGGGAAGCCAAGGTTTCCTCTAAGAAACAGAACATGGCCGGGCGCAGGGGCTCACACCTGTAATCCCAGCACTGTGGGAGGCCAAGGCGGGCGGATCACCTGAGGTCAGGAGTTTAAGACCAGCCTGGTCAACATGATGAAACCCCATCTCTACTAAAAATACAAAAATTAGCTGGGCATGGTGGCGCACGCCTGTAGTCCCAGCCACTCAGGAGGCTGAGGCAGGAGAATCACTTGAACCCGGGAGGCGGAGGTTGCAGTGAGCTGAGTTCGCGCCACTGCACTCCAGACTGAGTGACAGAGTGTCCATCTCAAAAAAAAAGAAGAAACAGAACTAATGTCACATGTCTGATTCATTCATCAAATGTTATGGCTACAGGTTCTTTCCACGGCTCTGTGCTGCCTCTTGCTGTCCTGTTATACAATCCAGTGGTCTGGAGTTCATTTGGCCATCCATCCAACCAACCAGGCCAACCTTCACTCGGTACCACCAGAGGCTGGGTTCTGTGCTCGGCTTCAGAGTGAGAGAGGAATACGGGGAGGTGACTGCAAAACTCGGTTAAGAACAGGGCTCCGTGACTTCTCTTTCCTCCTCCTCCGAGTATCTCCTCTGCAGCTGCTGTGGAAAACAGTTTGAGGGCGCTTCAAAAATTAAACAGGGGCTGGCCACAGTGGCTCACGCCTGTAATCCCAGCGCTTTCGGAGGCCGAGGTGGGAGGATTGTTTGAACCCAGGAGTTCTAGCCTGGGCAACATAGCAAGAGCCCATCTCTACAAAAAATAAAGAAATTAGCCGGGCATGGTGGCACATGCTTGTGGTCCCAGCTACTCTGGAGGCTTAGGCAGGAGGATCTCTTGAGGCCAGGAGTTCAAGACAGCCTGGATAACATACCAAGGCCCCATCTCTACAACAATGATGACAAAAGTTAAACCGAATTACCACATGACCCAGCAATGCCACTCCTGGGCATCTGCCCAAAAGAACTGAAAGCAGGGACTTAAACAAATACTTGCACACCCATGTTCACAGCAGCATTATTCACAACAGCCAAAAGGTGGGGACAGCCCAGGTGTCCATCAACAGACGAATGCATTGACAAAATGTGGTCTATCCACACCATGAAATATTATTCAGCCATAGAAAGGAATGAGGTTCTGATACATAATGCACTGCGGCTGAATTTTGAAAACATTCTGCTAAGTGAAATAAGCCAGACACAGGCCGGGCACGGTGGCTCACGCCTGTAATCCCAGCACTTTGGGAGCCCCAGGTGGGTGGATCACTTGAGGTCAGGAGTTCGAGTCCAGCCTGGCCAACATGGTAAAATCCTGTCTCTAATAAAAATACAAAAAAAATTAGCCAGGTGTTGTGGCGCACACCTGTAATCCCAACTACTTGGGAGGCTGAGGCAGGAGAGTCGCTGAAATCCAGGAAGCGGAGGTTGTAGTGAGCCGAGATCGCACCACTGCACTCCAGCCTGGGTGACAGAGTGAGCTCTGTCTCAAAAAAAAAAGAAAAGAAAAGAAAAGAAAAAGACAAGCAAAGCAAAGAAATAAGCCAGACACAAAGGGATAAATATTGTATGAGTCCACTTATATGAGGATCTAGAATAAGCAAAGTCATGTCAACACAAAGTAGATTATTAGTGAGTAAGAGTTTCTGTTCGGGGTGATGAAATATTATGGAAATAGCAGTGATTGTTGTACAGCATTATAGATGTAATTAATGCCACTGAATTGTATACTTAAAAAATGGTTACAGGTTGGGTGCAGTGGCTCACACCTGTAATCCCAGCACTCTGGGAGGACAAGGTGAGTGGATCACTTGAGGTCAGGAGTTTGAGCCTGGCCAACTTGGTGAAACCACCCATGTCTCTACCAAAAATACAAAAATTAGCCAGGTGTGGTGGTGCGTGCCTGTGGTCCCAACTACTCGGGAAGCTGAGGCAGGAGGATCGCTTGAGCCTGGGAAGTCAAGGCTGCAGTGAGCCATGGTCGCGCCACTGCACTCCAGCCTGGGTGACAGGCAAGACCCCGTCTCAAAAAGAAAAAAAATAAAAATAAAATGGTGACAATGGCAAACTTTATGTTATATGTATTTTACCCCATTTTTTTTTAAAAGCACAAACACACACACACCAAAACACATGGTAGGCATAGACCATGGGTTAGTGAAATAGACCAAATCTATATATTTATCAGAATTTAGTTTATAATAAAGGTGGCATTTCAAATTAGTAGGGAAAGGGCAGGCTATTCAGATGGTACCAAACAGTGAGAAGAAGTTCTCACTCTGGGGGAGAAACATCCTAGCTTGCGTAAGGAGCCAAAGGCACAAAGCAAAACTATAAACTTAGAAAAAAAAAAAAAAGAAAATATGTTTCCAACTTTAGTATTGAGAAGATCTTTTTGATTTTTGAGATGGAGTTTCATTCTTGTTGCCCAGGCTGGAGTGCAATGGCATGATCTCGGCTCACCGCAACCTCTGCCTCCTGGGTTCAAGCGATTCTCCTGCCTCAGCCTCTGGAGTAGCTGGGACTACAGGCGTGTGCCACCACACCTGGCTAATTTTATATTTTTGGTAGAGACGGGGTTTCTCCATGTTGGTCAGGCTGGTCTCGAACTCCCGACCTCAGGTGATCCGCCTGCCTCAGCCTCCCAAAGTGCTGGGATTACAGGCGTGAGCCACTGCGCCTGGCTGAGAAGACTTTGTTAAGCAAGATATAGAATGACTAAACCGTAAAGAAAAATATTTGTCCTGCAGTGGTACAAGTCTCTGAACAGGACAATCTGGCAGGGTCTAATAAATTTCAAATATACACATAGTCTGACCCCCTGGGAATCTATCCTAGAGGAATGTTCCCACAAGTTCACAATGAGCCACGTTCAAGGACATTCCCTGAAGCACTATTCCCAAGGGAAAGGCAAAAACAACTTGAATGTTCCAGCAATAGTAGAAAGTTGACCCGGCAATCCCATTACTGGGTATCTACCCAAAGGAAAATAAATCGTTCTACCGAAAAGACATATGCACATGTATGTTTATTGCAGCACCATTTACAATGGCAAAGACATGGAATTAACCCAGGTGCCCATCCATGGTAGACTGGAGAAAGAAAATGCAGTACATATACACCATAGAATACTACGTAGCCATAAAAAGAACAATATCAGCTGGGCATGGTGGCTCACGCCTGTAATCCCAGCACTTTGGGAGGCCGAGGCGGGCAGATCACCTGAGGTCAGGAGTTCGAGACCAGCCTGGCCAACATGTGAAACCCTGTCTCTACTAAAAATACAAAAATTAGCCAGGCATGGTGGCAGGCACCTGTAATCCCAGCTACTCGGGAGGCTGAGGCAGGAGAATCGCTTGAACCCGGGAGGTGGAGATTGCAGTGAGCCGAGATCCCGCCATTGCACTCCAGCCTGAGGGACAAGAGACTTTGTCTCAAAAAAAAAAAAAAAAAGCAATTAAATTTAAAAAAAAGAACAATATCATGTCCTTTGCAGCCACATGGATGCAGCTGGAGGTTATTTTCCTAAGTGCATTAAACAGAAAAGAAACAGAAAACCAAATATTGCACATTCTCACTCATAAGCGGGTGCTAAACACTCAGTGCACAGACATAATGCTGGGAAGAATAGACCCTGGGGACTCCAAAAGGCAGGAGGGAAGGAGGGGGAGAAAGGCTGAAAAACTACCTATTAATATTGGGTATTATATGGGCGATGGGATCATTTGAAGCCCAAACCTTAGCATCACACAATATATCCATGCGACAAACCTGCACATGTACCCCCTGAATCTAGAATTTAAATACACACACACACACGCACATACACATTTAAATGAAGAAAAATAAAATTAGGATGCTTTTGTACTAAGAAATACTATGCAGTAGTTAAAAAGAATGTGGTTGATCTAAAAATACCAACAGAGAAAAATTTCAAAAATTTCAAAAACAAACTCTACACCCTGGGACACTCCAAAAGGATTTACTTGCTGGCTTACCAATCTCTTCCTCATATTTTTTTTAGACAGAATCTTGCTCTGTCGCCCAGGCTGGAGTGCAGTGTTGTGATCTCGTCTCACTGCAGCCTTCACCTCCCGACTTCAAGCGATTCTCCTGCCTCCCCAGTAGCTGGGATTACACGCATCTGCCATCACACCCAGCTAGTTTTTGTATTTTTAGTAGAGATGGGGTTTCACCATGTTGGCCAGGCTGGTCTCAAATTCCTGACCTCAGGTGATACCCCCCAACCTTGGCCTCCCAAAGTGTTGGGATTACAGGCGTGAGCCACTGTATCCGGCCTCTTCTTCATTTTTTGAAGGAATTCTGGAGGGTGGAGAACAAATCTGCCCAGCTTCAGGACTAGTTTGTGGAGGTCATCTGAAGAGCTGCCAGAATTGAGAAAAGGATTGGAATGTCCTCCCAGCAGCTGAATTTTGCGGGCAGGAAAGGAGGCACAGAGGTCGCTGGGTTTGGGTATTGGCATGTGTGCAGTGGCGGCCAAGGGAGAAAAAGAGGCAGGAAAAAGGCTGTTAAAACAGCAGGAGGCCAGGCGCCGTGGCTCATGCCTGTAATCCCAACACTTTGGGAGGCCGAGGTAGCAGGATCACTTGAGCCTAGGAGTTCCAGACCAGCCTGGCAACGCGGCAAAACCCTGTCTCTAGAAAAGATTAAAAAAAAAATCACCTGTAATCCTAGCTATTCAGGAGGCTGAGGTGGGAGGATCATCTGAGCCTGGGGAGGCTGCAGTGAGCTATGATTGTGCCACTGCATTCCAGTGTGGGTGACAGAGTGAGACGCCATCTCAAAAAAACCACACACATACACACAAAAACAAACAAACAAAGAAAAAACAGGAAGAAAGCAAACTAAGGCAGGACTATGTGAATGTGAAAAGGGCCAGGGCCTACCAAGTACAGTGAAATTCCAATGACTCGCCAGTCATTCACCAGGTGGAAACACATCAAGTGACATTGACGTGTCCTCACACACTGCTTTGGGTCATTTTGTCTCGTCCTACTTCTGGCCAGTCCCAGGGTTGAAAGCTTTATGGCAAACCAGAGCAATCTTGCAAATGGCTTTCCCCCAAATCCTGAAGCCTGCAAAAATGTTTGGCCTTGGGCTCACTAGGTGTCCTAGCATCCCCCACGCTGGTGCCTATAAGACTCCCCTTCTTCTAGCTCCTTCCCAGCTCAGTAAGGGGAGGGAATGCCCATTGCCAGACATGCATCCTTATCTTTAATATTCACAATGCTTTGTGGCAACTACTGTTATTAGAAACATAAGCAGGGCCGGCCATGGTGGCTTACACCTGTAATCCCAGCACTTCGGGAGGCCAAGGTGTGTAGATCACTTGATCGAGATCAGCCTGGCCAACCTGGCAAAACCCCGTCTCTACAAAAAATACAAAAATTAGCCAGGTATGGTGGCGCACGCCTGTAATCCCAGCTACTCGGGAGGCTGAGGCAGGAGAATCGCTTGAGCCTGGGAGGCAGAGGTTGCAGAGAGCCAAGATTGCGCCACTGGACTCCAGCCTGGGTGACAGAGCGAGACTCCATTTCAAAGAGAAAAAAAAAGACAGAAAAAAAGAAAGGTAGGCAAGAACAAGACTAGAAACAGGATCAGACCTGGGGTTACTTGCCTCAAAAACTCACGGTCTTCCTCTTAGCAGATGCTGCTAAGAAAGCATTTTATTGGGTACCCACCATATGCGAGCACTTTTAAGTGCTCCAAGGGATGTAAAATAACTCAGGTTCTGGCCTGGGGGTGGTGGCTCACACCTGTAATCCCAGCACTTTGAGAGGCCGAGGTGGGTGGATCACGAGGTCAAGAGATCGAGACCATCCTGGCCAACATGGTGAAACCCGGTCTCTACTAAAAATACAAAAATTAGCTGGGCATGGTGGTGCGCACCTGTAGTCCCAGCTACTCGGGAGGCTGAGGCGGAAGAATCGCGTGAACCGGAGAAGCGGAGGTTGCACTGAGCCGAGATAGTGCCATTGTACTCCAGCCTGGCAACAGAGCAAGACTCCGTCTCAAAAAACAAAACAAAACACACAAAAAAACTCAGGTTCTGGTGTCAAGACAGCCTAAGTCTACTGCCGAAGTATTTAAGATACGATACGTGGTAAAAAAAAAAAAAAAAAATGGCAGCATGGGCCTGGAGCAGTGGTTCATGCCTGTAATCCCAGCACTTTGGGAGGCTGAGGTGGGTGGATCACTTGAGGTCAGGAGTTTGAGACCAGCCTGGCCAACATGGCAAAAGCCCGTTTCTACTAACAATACAAAAATTAGCTGGGCATGGTGGTGTGCACCAGTGGTCCCAGCTACTTGGGAGGCTGAGGCAGGAGAATTGCTTGAACCCACGAGGCAGAGGTTGCAGTGAACCGAGATTGCACCACTGCACTCCAGCCTGGGCAACAGATTGAGACTCTGTCTCAAAAACGAAAACACACACAAAAAAGGCAGCATGATTACTTGATTGGTAAGAGAAGCATTACCAGAATGCTACAGAGGTTAAGAGCAGGGAGGGAATGCAACCGGTAGACAGGATCAGCAAAATACTATCAAGACGAATAATGTTTGGGGCATATGAAAATAGTAAAGGCACGTGGTTTGTTGGCCTCCTTCCAGCTCTTTCCATCGTGCCCTGAGGAATCCCTCTTGCCATTACAAAAAAAGAAAAAAGCAAACAATGACAAAAAACCAACAATACCGCCAAAGCAACAAAGAACCCCCTTCATCCTCAAAGCCCTCAGCACCCTCTCTCCATCTCTTTGTTTATTATTATAGATAATGGGGAAAGCATAAAGAGGGAAGAGGACCAAAGACATAGCATCGGGGAAGGCCTGCATTTAGGGTGGGAAGAGCAGTCACTGCAGGCAGCAAAAAAAATCAAGAGACACCAAGTAGCCGGCGTGGTGGCTCACGCCTGTAATGCTAACACTTTGGAAGGCCGAGGCGGGAGGATCACTTGAGCCCAGGAGTTCAAGACTAGCCCGGGCAACATGGCAAAATCCCGTCTCTACCAAAAATGCAAAAATTAGGTGGTGTGGGGATGCCCTCCTATAGTCCCAGCTACTCAGGAGGTTGAGAAGGGAGGATCACTTGAGCCTGGGAGGTCAAGGCTGCAGTGAGCCATCTTTGCATCACTGCACTCCAGCCTAGGTGACAAAATGAGACCCTGTTAAAAAAAAAAAAAAAGGCCAGGTACAATGGCTCAGGTCTGTAATCCCAGTACTTCGGGAAGCCAAGGCAGTCGGATCACCTGAGGTCAGGAGCTTGAGACCAGCCTGGCCAACATGGTGAAACCCCGTCTCTACTAAAAATACAAAAATTAGCCGGGCGTGGTGGCGCACACCTGTAATCCCAGCTACTGAGGAGGCTGAGGCAGGAGAATCACTTGAACCCAGGAGGCGGAGGTTGCAGTGAGCCGAGATCATGCCGCTGCACTCCAGCCTGGGCAACAGAGCGAGACTCCATCTCAAAAAAAAAAAAAAAAAAAAAGGGAGGGACAACAAGTAGAAGATAAGGGCAGTGAGGGGCCCTGAAAGAAGGGGGAGTGGGTCCAGTCCTGCCGAGATCCCCAAGGATGCGAAGCAGGGAATGGGGAGCAAAAGGTGCTACAAGTGCTGTTAGGTCCTGATGTCATCTTGGGGGCAGCTACAGCAGAGTAACGCAGGCCTAAGTCCAAATGTGTGCCTTGGAGCCACTGGGGGAGGATGGGCAGTGGGAGGTGGTGAGAGGGATTTCTCTTTGGGAAAGGCTGGTGGTGAAGGGCAGGGAGTCACAGGAAGTTCCCCAAGAGTGTGGAAAAATCCAGAGGAGGCAATCAGGCTTTTAAGGATGGAGAAGATTTGCATATGGTGGGAGGCAGAAGGAACGGAGTGAAGAGGAAGCGCAATGGGAGAGAGATGGATGAGTGGACAGGGTCTCTGAGGAGGGGTGGACTGGAGAGTGGGTGCGTGAGTGAGCCACAAGGGGTGAAGGTGGAGGGGAGGGAGGAGGGGAAGGAGGGGGCGTAGCTGGCGATGTCATGGGGGATGAAATCAGAGATGATGAGGAGGCTCACACTGGAGGGTCTCCACTATTTTTGTTTGTTTGTTTGTTTGTTTGAGACAGGTTCTTGTTCTGTCACCCAGGATGGACCACAGTGGTGCGATCACAGCACATGGCAGCCTGGAACTCCTGGGCTCCAGTAACCCTCCCACCCCAGCCTCCCGAGTAGCTGGGAGTACAGACCTGCACCACCACGCCCAGCTATTTTATTTGGTAAAGATGAGGTCTTGCTATGTTGTCCTAGCTGGTCTCAAACTCCTGGTCTCAAGCAATCCTCCTACCTGGGACTCCCCCAGTGCTCAGACTACAAGTGTGAGCCACCATGCCTGGCTGGAAAGAGGCTTTTATTTATTTTATTTTATTAACTAATTTATTTTTGAGACAGCGTCTCGCTCTGTCGCCCAGGCTGGAGTGCAGTTGCGTGATCTCAGCTCACTGCAACCTCCCTCTCCCAGGTTCAAGTGACTCTCCTGCCTCAACTTCCCTAGAAGCTGGGATTACAGGCACACACTACCATGCCTGGCTAATTTCTGTATTTTTAGTAGAGACGGGATTTCACCATGTTGGTCAGTCTTGTCTCGAACTCCTGACCTCAAATGATCCATCCTCCTCAGCCTCCTGGAGTGAGCCACGGTGCCTGGCCTGGAAAGAGGTTTTTAAAGGTTAGAGGACACGAGGGCCTGTTTTTAAGCTGAGAGGAGGAATAATTATTGAAGATATGAAAGAGAATGGGGACAGGGACAGAGCAAGTTCTCAGAGGACACCAGCACAGGTGGCTAAGATCCGAGCTGCTTCCTGCAGCGTCACCACACCGGCGACCCATGCTGAGGCTTCCTCAATGAAAATCCCCACCTTTTTTCTACATGAACTGCTGCAAGCCACAGTTGCCCATCTGATATTTGCATGCCTGTGAGTTTCAGATGTAACTACAAGAATTTACACTTATCCTAATTACGTTTCATAAACTGTCTTTATGATCATCTGTTCTGGTACAACGACCAAGAAAACATTCAGTGGGTGGTTTGGCAAGTTCTGTTTTGAATCAGCTGTGCACCAGGTGTGTGCCAGGCCAGTAGGAAGATCCCGGACAGCGTCTTTGCTCTCCAGATGTCTGTAGTGTAAGTGGGAAGGAAAACTCAAAGACAGATCATTTAAACAAATATAATGTCCAGACCAGGAGGGGTGGCGTACACCTATAGTCCCAGCTACTCAGGAGGCTGAGGTGGGAGGATCGCTGGAACCTAGGCAGTCAAGGCTGCAGTGAGCTATGATTGCACCACTGCACTCCAGCCTGGGTGACAGAGTGTGTCATCCTGGCGGCACTGCTCCTACCCCTACAGCAGGCGAGGCGGACTGATGTAGGAGGCAGATGGTCAATTCAGGGTGTTTGCCAGGGGACAGGAGCAGATCTGAGTTTTTGATGCATCACTGACCTCTGTGCAGGGACAGCTCTGAGGATGGCCAGGGTGGAGACTGGGATCAGTGAAGAGGGTACTGCCAGTTCTGGGTGTACTAGATGAGTCCTGACCATGAGCAGTGAAAATAGGAAAGAGATGAGAGAACAGAGCCGCCAGGGAGTATTTAGGAGGTAAAACCCAGCAGGAGACGGGAATGGAAGGGAGTGGGAGGGGAGTGGAGTAGTGAGTGATAATTTGACTTCTAGTTTTCTGACTCAGCTAATCAGTAGAGCAACGGTCCTGCTAAGGCAAGATTACAGGGGATCAGAACACAGGGAGGTGTCAGCCTCTAGCAGGGGAACAGCTACCTTCCATTATTTTATGTATGTGTGTATATATATATATACACATATATGTGTATATATATATACACATATATGTGTATATATATACACATATATGTGTATATATATACACATATATGTGTATATATATACACATATATGTGTATATACACATATATGTGTATATACACACACATATACACACATATGTGCATACATACATGTATGCATATATGCACACACATGTGTGTACATACATACATGTATGTGTGTATATTTACATACATATATGTACATACATATATACACACATATACATATGTATATATACATATATTGTGTGTGTATACATACACATACTATATACACACATATATGTATACATACATATATACACACATATATGTATGTATATATGTATGTATATGTATACATACACATGCATATATATGTGTGTATGTATACGTATACATACATATATACACATACATATGTGTATGTATACGTATACATACATATATACACATACATATGTGTGTGTATACATATACATACATATATACACATACATATGTGTGTGTGTATACGTATACACACATATATACACATACATATATATGTATGTGTATGTATACGTATACATACATATATACACATACATATATATGTATGTGTATGTATACGTATACATACATATATATATGTATAGGGAGAGAGAGAGAGAGAGAGAGACAGGCAGACGGACAGACAAAGTCTTGCTCCATTGCTCCATTGCCCAGGCTGGAGTGCAGTAGTACAATCTCGGCTCACTGCAACCTCTGCCTCCCAGGTTCAAGCAATTCTCATGCCTCAGCTTCCTGAGTAGCTGGGATTACAAGCATGCACCACCACGTCCGACTAATTTTTGTATTTTTAGTAGGGTTGGGATTTCACCATATTGGCCAGGCTGGTCTTGAACTCCTGGCCTCAAGTGATCTGCCTGCCTTGGCCTCCCAAAGTGCTGGGATTACGGGCGTGAGCCATCATGCCCAGTCCAGATACTTTCCATTTCAACAGAGGGAAAGAAGAGACTAATTTGGGCTCAAATACACTGAGATGTCTGGTTGGCTGGGTTTGGTGGTTCGCACCTGTAATCCTAGCTCTTTGGGAGGCCAAGGTGTTCGAAACCAGCCTGGGAAATATAGTGAATATAGTGAGACCCTGTTTCTACAAAAAAAATTTAAAAATTAGAAAGGCATGGAGGTGCACACATATAGTCCCAGCTAGTCAGGGGGTTGAGGGAGGAGGATTGTTTGAGGCCAGGAGTTGGAGGCTACAGTGAGCTATGATCAAGCCACTGCACTCCAGCCTGGGTGACAGAGCAAGACCCTATCTCTATAAAAAAATAAGAACAATTAAAACAAAATAAAGGTCTGGCTGCAGGAAGCAGAGGGCATTTCCATCTGATAAATTTGATTTTCTGTGTGAAATTAGGAGGGATGGAGTTGTAGCTTGGAGGGGCAGGAAGGTTTGAGGTAGTATCTGTGGAGAGAACCACGTGGGGCACAAAAGGGCCACTGAGCAGTGTTGAAGGTCCAGTGGGATGTGGAGGCCATCCTGTCTTGTGGCTTTGCTAATGGTATCTTTTCTCATACTAAAGCTTCTCATTTTTCCGTAGTCATTTTTTTTTTTTTGAGACAGTCTCGCTCTGTCGCTCAGGCTGGAGTGCAGTGGTGTGATCTCAGCTTACTGCAACCTCCACCTCCTGGATTCAAGTGATTCTCCTGCCTCAGCCTCCCCAGTAGCTGGGATTGCAGGCATGCCATCACCATGCCTGGCTAATTTTTGTATTTTCAGTAGAGACGGGGTTTTGCTATGTTGGCCAGGCTGGTCTCGAACTCCTGGACTCAAGTGATCCGCCTGCTTCGGCCTCCCAAAGTGCTGGGATTACAGGCATGAGCCACTGCTCCTGGCCTTTCCATAGTCAAATTTATCAACTTTTCCATTATAGCTTGTAGGTTTGTGGTATGCTTTAGGAAGCCTTCCTTTTATATGGCAATGTGAAAAAAACCAACAAAACAAAACAACTGGGCAGGCCTGTATGTATGGACTGAAACAATATCCAAGATCTATGTTACTCAGCGAAATACCACTGCAGACCCACACAGACGATATGCTTGCAGTTGCACAGAGGTGGCTGCCTCTGCAGAGAAGGACCAGAGGCTGGGGGATGTGGGATGAACTGGTCACCCTCTTGTATGGTAGATTTTTTTTTAATCATGCTTTATTAATTAATTAATTAATTAATTTTATTTTTTTTTGAGATGGAGTCTCCCTCTGTTGCCCAGGCCGGAGTGCAGTGGCGTGATCTCGGCTCATTGCAACCTCTTCCTCCTGGGTTCAAGCGATTCTCCTGCCTCAGCCTCCCAAGTAGCTGGGATTACAGGTGCATCATCACCATGCCCGGCTAATTTTTGTACATTCAGTAGAGACAGGGTTTCGCCATGTTGGCCAGGCTGGTCTCAAACTACTGACCTCAGATGATCCACCCACCTCGGCCTCCCAAAGTGCTGGGATTACAGGCGTGAGCCACCGTGCCAGGCCCATGCATTATATATTTAAAAAATAGATACAATCAATAAAAGAAAATTACAAAGAAAGACAAAGGACAAGAAGGCTGTGGGTCAATAGCGACACCGATATTCTCCACTGCGTGGTCTTCTACAGCAGCATTCAGGAAACTGGGCATGGTGGACCCAAGGTTAGATAGAGCGGGTGTTACTGAAGTCACAGGGCAAGGGAGATGCGAGAAGGATGGAAGGCAAGGACGCTGCTTGTCCAATGGGAGAAAGTACGGATGTGTTTCAGACACGGAACAGTTCCCGACCCCAAGAACGCAGATCACCTGGGACCAGAGGAAAGAAACTAAGGTGCTAAAAGGTTAAATAATTTACAAGGGCACACACACCTACCAGAGCGTTTTGTTCTGGCTCCAGGGCCTAATTAACCTTCACCGTTATGCGACGCTCCATTTCACAAAATCATACTAAGCAAAAAAGCAGGACACGAAACCATTTATATAGTATGAGCACAGTTTTACGAAAAGGGTTATAAATATATATATGTATATATGTGTATATATATTTATAGGTGGTGTATGTATAGGCAGACACTGGAAAGAAATATGCTCAAATGTTAAGAGTGGTTATGAGTGGTGATTTTTAAAACTGTTTTTCTAGACTTTCTAAAATTAACATTAACATAATTAACAGGAAAAAAATGTTATTTAAAATAGCCACTGGGATGGGCAAGAATCAAAGACATTCTATAAAAATAGACTTTCTGGGAAAAGGTACCCTGGCAACATACCCTGAGAATTTGAATAAATAAAAAGTACTTTACTTGATTCATGGAGTGATAATGGAAAGAACATGAGATTTAGAAGACCTGGATTCAGGCTTCTTAGAAAAGTGTTAACTCACTAAGCCTCCATTTCCTTATATAAATATAGGCATGAAAATAGCAAAACTTGTTTCACAAGGCTGTTGTTGTAGAGACCAAGACAGATATTTCAAATGAAAAAATTCTATAAACCAAACTGTGTTAGTTTAATATTATTTATTCATTTATTGAAAATGGAGGCAGGGTCTCCCTCTGTCACCCAGGCTGGAGGGCACTGGTTCAATCATAGCTCACTGCAGTCTTGAGCTCCTGGGCTCAGGTGATCCTCCCATCTCAGCCTCCCAAGTAGCTGAGGCTACACGCGTGTGCCATCACGCCTGGCTAATTAAAAATTTTGTGAGTGTGTAGAGACAAGGTCTCACTATGTTGCCCAGATTGGTCTCAAACTCCTGGCCTCAAGGAATCCTCCCACCTCGGCCTCACAAAGTGCTGGGATTACAGGCATGAGCCACTGCACCCGGCAGTTTGATGCTATTAATTCTACCTTTTACTTATTTATTAATGCATTGGCATATGCCCAATTCAAAATGCTACTGTGATTGTAAGACGCAATGCCAATTCTAGATTAATCAGTGACTTTGATTTTATAAAACAGACATCTGCAAATTCCAAATCAGGAGATGGTTTGTATTACTGAGCCATGTAATTATGATGAATATCTCAAGCCCCTGTATTTCAACTCAAAAATTATTGTCAGGTACACTTCAAGGTGACACCATCCCTGGATTTCCTGTTCCAGGGCTCCACGATTTTCCTAGAAGCCAAGGCCATGACCTTTGCTAACTCGCAGCTATTTGAAGCTTTCAAGCCTGTGCCCATAATGGCTCATAAACCCTTTTTGGCACCAAACCAAAAGTCAGATCAGTTTTCCAAAATGCCTTCCCCTGAACTCATATTCCCTCTTGCCTCAGTGGCGAGGGTCGGGGAGTGTCCCTCCTCCTGTTGAGAACAGCCTCTCTATAGGATTCCTGCACTCAGGACTTCCCAACTTTTGTTTTGTATTGTTTTGTTTTTGAGACAGAGTTTCACTCTTGTCGCCCAGGCTGGAGTGCAATGGTGCCATCTCAGCTCACTGCAACCTCTGCCTCCCAGGTTCAAGTGATTCTCCTGCTTCAGCCTCCCGAGTAGCTGGGTTTACAGGTGGCCGCCAGCACACCGGGCTAATTTTTGTATTGTTAGTAGAGACAGGGTTTCACCATGTTGGCCAGGCTGGTCTCGAACTCCTGATCTCAGGTGATCCACCCACCTTGGCCTCCCAAAGTGCTGGGATTACAGGCATGAGCCACCACCCCTGGCCGGGACTTCCCAACTTTTCAAGCCATCATGCCCTTGGGCCAACCTCCTGGCCAATGATAGCACCATCAGCTCACCGCTGGACCAACTGCAGCATCTGCAACATCCTCCCAGTTTTCACTCTTGGACACCTGTAGCCTATCTCTATATGCAATCAGAATAATACATTTTTTTAAAACTGAGATATAACTCAGACACCATAGAATTCACCATTTTTAAAAAGGGTATAGTTCAGTGATTTTTAATGTATTTTCAAGGTTATATAATCATCATCACCAATTCCAGGACATTTTCATCACCCCAAAAAGAAAACCTGGCTGGGCGCGGTGGCTCACGCCTGTAATCCCAGCACTTTGGGAGGCCGAGGCGGGCAGATCACTTGAAGTCAGGAGTTGGAGACCAGCCTGGCCAACACGGCGAAACCTCGTTTCTACTTAAAACAAACAAACAAACAAAAAAAACAGGCCGGGTGTGGTGGCTCACGCCTGTAATCCCAGCACTTTGGGAGGCCGAGGCGGGTGGATCACGAGGTCAGGAGATCGAGACCATCCTGGCTAACATGGTGAAACCCTGTCTATACTAAAAAAAAAAAAATACAAAAAATTAGGCTGGCATGGCGGCGGGCGCCTGTAGTCCCAGCTACTCGGGAGGCTGAGGCAGGAGAATGGTGTGAACCCGGGAGGTGGAGCTGGCAGTCAGCCAAGATCATGCCACTGCACTCTAGCCTGGGCGACAGAGCGAGACTCCATCTCAAAAAAACAAAACAAAACAAAACAAAAAAACAACAAAAAAATTAGCTGGGTGTGGTGGTGCGTGCCTATAATCTCAGTTATTTGGAAGCTAAGGCACAAGAATCACTTGAACCCGGGAGGCAGAGGTTGCAGTCAGCCAAGCTTGTGCCACTGCACTCCTGCCTGGGTGATAGAGTGAGACTCTGTCTCAAAAAAACAAAACAAAACAAAACAAGAAACACCATACCTGTTAGTAGTCACTCTGTATTCATCCTTCCCCCAACCCCCGGCAAGTGCTAATCTACTTTCTGTCTCCATGGATTTACCTATTCTGAACATTTCATATAATGGGGTTATAATAAAATAAGTGGCCATTTCTGTCTGGCTTCTTCACTTAGCATAATGTTTTCAATGTTTAAGCATGTTGTAGCATGAATCAGCACTTCATTCCTTTATTTATTTATTTACGAGACAGAGTCTTGCTCTGTCACCCAGGCTGGAGTGCAATGGCACGATCTCGGCTCACTGCAACCTCCATCTCCTGGGTTCAAGTGAGTCTCCTGCCTCAGCCTCCTGGTAGCTAGGACTACAGGTGCTCACCATGATGCCCAGCTAATTTTTGTATGTTTAGTAGAGACGGGGTTTCGTCATGTTGGCCAGGCTAGTCTTGAACTCCTGACCTCAGGTGATCCACCTGCCTCAGCCTCCCAAAGTGCTGGGATTACAGGCATGAGCCACCATGCCCGGCCTTAAAATTTTTTTATTGTGATAAAATATACATAAAATTTATTATCTTCACTATTTTTCTTTTTTTGAGACAGGGTCTCACTCTGTTGCCTAGGCTGGGGGCCTGTGGTGGTACAATCACAGTTCACTGCAGCTCCAAACTCCTGGGCTCAAGCCATCCTTCCACCTCAGCCTCCCGGGTAGCTGGGACTACAGGCGCACACCACCATGCCTGGCTAATTTTATTTTTTGTATTTTTTCTAGGGATGGGGTTTCACCATGTTGCCCCGGCTGGTCTCAAACTCCTGAGCTCATGCTATATCTGCCTGCCTCAGCCTCATAAAGTGCTGGGATTACAGGAGTGGGCCACTGTGCTCATGAGGCTCATTATCACTGTTTTTAAGTGTACCATTCAGTGGTACTAAATATATCCATAATTTGTGCAACCATCACGGCCGTTCATCTTTGTAAAACTGAAACGGTCCCCATTAAACATAATTCCCCATTCTCCCCTCTCCCCAGCCCCTAGCAAACAGCAGTCTAATTTTTTGAGACAGGGTCTTGTTCTGTCAGTCAGACTGGATGGAGTGCTGTGGCACAAACACAGCTCACTGCGGCTTTGACCTCCTGGGCTCAAGCAATCTTCCCACCTCAGCCTCCAAAGTAGCTGGGACTACAGGCATGCTCACTGTACTCAGCTAATTAAAACTTTTTTTTTTTTTTTGGTAGAGATAGGGTCTTGCTATGTATCCCAGGCTGGTCTCAAACTCTTCGGCTTAAGCGATCCTCCTACCTCTGCCTCCCAAAGTGCTGAGATTACAGGCGTGAGCCACCGCGCCCGGTCTCACCAGTCTACTTTCTATCTCTACGATTGTGACTAAGTACCTCATATAACGGGAGTCATGCTGTATTTATCATACAGTATTTGTCTTTGTTGTGACTAGCTTATTGCACTTAGCATAATGTCCTCAAGGTTCACCCATGTTGTAGTATGTGTCAGAATTTCCTTCCTTTTTATTGTTTATGTTATTTTTAGATGGAGTTTCGCTCTTGTTGCCCAGGCTGGAGGGCAATGGAGCAATCTCGGTTCACTGCAACCTCCCCCTCCCGGGTTCGAGTGATTCTCCTGCCTCAGCCTCCTGAGTAGCTGGTATTACAGGCACCCGCCACCATGCCTAGCTAATTTTTGTATTTTTAGTAGAGACGGGGTATCACCATGTTGGCTAGGCTGGTCTCAAACTCCTGACCTCAAGTGATCTGCCTGCCTTGGCCTCCCAAAGTGCTGGGATTACAGATGTGAACCACCGCACTCGGCTAGAATTTCCTTCCCTTTTAAGGCTGAATAACATTCCATCATATAACACATTTTGCTTATTCATTCAGCTGGTGATGAACACTTGGCTTGCTTCCATGTTTTGGCTATTGTGAATAATGCTGCTATGAACGTGGATGTACAAATATCTCTTCAAGGCTCTGCTTTCAGTTCTTTTGGGTATAAACCCACAAGTGGAATTGCTGGATCATATGGTGATTCTATTTTTAATTTTTTGAGGAGCTGCCATACTGTTTTTCACAGCATCGTACCATTTTATATTCCCTCCAATCATGCACAAGGATTCCAATTTCTCCACAACCTGGCTAGCAATTTTTATTTCATGTTTTCCTTTTTTTTAATTTTTGAGATGGAGTCTCGCTCTACCAGGCTGGAGTGTAGTGGTGTGATCTCAGCTCACTGCAACCTCCGCCTCCCAGGTTCAAGTGATTCTCCTGCCTCAGCCTCCCAAGCAGCTGGGATTACAGCTACGCGTCACCATGCCTGGCTAATTTTTGAGTTTTCAGTAGAGATAGATTTTCACCGTGTTGGTCAGGCTGGTCTTGAACTCCTGACCTCAGATGATCCACCCGCCTCAGCCTCCCAAAGTGCTGGGATTACAGGCGTGAGCCACTGTGCCTGGCCAATTTTCATGTTTTTCTATAGTAGCCATCCTAACAGATGTGAGGTGTTATCTCACTGTAGTTTTGATTTGCATTTCCTTAGTGATTAGTGATAGGCACCTTTGCATGTGCTTATTGACCATTTGTATATCTTCTTTGAAGAAATGTCTATTCATTTGCCTATTTTTGAACTGAATTTTATTTTTGTTATTGAGTTTTAGGAATTCTGTATATATTCTGGGTATCAATTCCTTATCCAATAATATGATTTCTAAGTATTTTCTCCCATTCTATGAGATGTCTTTTTACATTCTTTTTTTTTTTTTCCTTTTGAAAGACAGTCTTGCTCTGTTGTCCAGGCTGGAGTGCAGCAGTACCATCTCAGCTCCCTGCAACCTCCACTGCCTGGGATCAAGTGATCCTCCCACTGCAGCTTCCTAAGCAGCTGGGACTACAGGCATGCATCAGCACACCTGGTTAATTTCTGTATTTTTTTGTAGAGATGGGGTTTCACCAAGTTCCCCAGGCTGGTCTCAAACTCCGGAGCTCCAGTGATCTGCCTCCCTCGGCCTCCCAAAGTGCTGGGATTACAAGTGTGAGCTACCATACTTGGTCCTTCTTACATTCTCGACAGTGTCCTTTGAAGCAAAAACATTTGTAATATTGTTGAAGAACAGTTTATTTTTTCTTTGGTTGTTCAAGCTTTTGATGTCACATTTAAGAAGCCATTGCTTAATCCAAGCTCATAAAGATTTACACCTATGTTTCCCTCTATGAGTTTTATAAGTTTAGCTCTTACATTTAGGTTTCTGATCCATTTGGAGTTAATTTTTGTGTATAGCGTGAAGAGTCTTGTCATCCTTGTTGACTATCAATTGACCACGGATATGTGGGCTTATTTCTGGACCCCCAATTCCATTGCACTGTTCTATGTTTCTATCCTTATGCCAGTAACACCACTTTGACTACTGCAGCTTTGTAGTAAGTTTTGAAACTGGGGAGTCCACCAACTTTTTTTTTTTTTTTTGAGATGGAGTCTAGCACTGTCACCCAGGCTAGAGTGCAGTGGTGTGATCTCGGCTCACTGCAACTTCTGTCTCCTGGGTTCAAGCGATTCTCCTGCCTCAGCCTCCCCAGTAGCTGGGATTACAGGTGCCCAACACCACGCTGGGCTAATTTTTTCTGTTTTTAGTAGAGACAGAGTTTCACTATATTGACCAGGCTGGTCTTGAACTCCTGACCTCAAGTGATCTGCCTGCCTCGGCCTCCCAAAGTGCTGGGATTACAGGGGTGAACCACTGAGCCCGGCCTTGTTCTTCTTTTTCAAGACTGTTTTGCTTATTTGGGATCCCTTGCATTTCCATATGAATTTTGGTATCAGCTTGTCTATTTCTGCAAAAAGGCATTTGAAATTTTGATAGGGATTGCATTGAATCTATAGATTGACTAGCAAAGTCTTGCCATATTAACAATATTAAGTCTTCTGACCCAAGAACATAAAATGTCTTTCCATTTATTTAGGTCTTCTTTAATTTCTTCCAACAATATTTCGTAGTTCCAGTACACAAGTATTGCACATCTTTGGTTAAATAAGTATTTTATTCTTTTCTATTGGTTTTCTTAATTTCATTTTTGGATTTTTCATAGCTAGCATATAGAAATACAACTAAATTTTTAAATATTAATATTGGGCCAGGTGCGGTGGCTCATGTCTGTAGTTCCAGCACTTTGGGAGGTCAAGGTGGGTGGATTGCTTGAGCCTGGAGTTTGAGACCAGCCTGGGCAACATAGCAAAGCCCTATCTCTACAAAAAAAAAAAAAAAATTAGCTGGGCATGGTGATGCATGCTTGTGGTCCAAGCTACTCGAGAGGCTGAGGTTGGAGAATCACTTTAGCCCAGGAGGTTGAGGCTGGAGTGATCCATGCTTGTACCACTGCACTCCAGCCCAGATGACAGAGCAAGAAAGACCCTGTCTCAAAAAAGAAAAAAATAATAAAATATTAATGTTGTATCCTGCAATTTTTCTTGATTCATTTATTAGCTCTAATAGCTTTTGTTGTTGTAATAGAAAACTTTGTCATGTTTTCTATACATATGAGATAATGTCACTGAAAAATAGAGATAATTTCACTTCTTACTTTCCAATATGTGTGCCTTTTACTTATTTCTTCTTGCTTAACTGCCTTTGTCAGAACCTCTAGTTCTAACAAGTTCTAGTCAATCTTGAATATAAGTGGTAAGAGCAGACATCCTTGTTTTGTTCCTGATCTTAGGAGAAAAGCTTTCAGTCATTCACTATTAAGTATGTTGTTAGCCATGGGTTTTTTTGTTTTTGGTAGATTTCCTTTATTTGGCTGAGGAATGTTAATTTCTCACTCATTTTTGAAGGATAGTTTTATGAAAGATAAGATTCTTGGCTGGCAGTTTTCTCCTTTCATCACTTTGAATATATCATCTCACTGGCTTCTAAACTCTGCGGCTTTTTGTTTTTTTTTTTGAGACAGAGTCTCACTCTGTCGCCTAGGCTGTAGTGCAGTGGCACAATCTCGGCTCACTGAAAGCTACGCCTCCTGGGTTCATGCCATTCTCCTGCCTCAGCCTCCCGAGTAGCTGGGACTACAGATGCCTGCCACCACACCTAACTAATTTTTGTATTTTTAGTACAGATGGGGTTTCACCATGTAAGCCAGGATGGTCTCGATCTCCTGACCTCATGATCCACATGCCTCGGCCTCCCAAAGTGCTGGGATTACAGGCGTGAGCCACCGTGCCAGGCCGGCTTTTTTTTTTTAATGAGAAGCCAGCTGTTAATCTTATTAAAAATCCCTTGTATGTGATGAGTCACTTCTCGCTGCTTCCTCTTTGTCTTCTGACAGTGTGACTATGACGTGTCTTGGTGTAGATCTCTGAATTTATCCTACTTGGAGTTCATTGAGTTTCTCAGATGTGTGGACTACTATTCATTTTTCATCGAATTTAGCATAATTTCAAGTCATTATTTCTTCAAATATTCTTTCTGCTCTTTCTTCTTCCACAGGGACTCCTATTATACGTATGTTGATATGCTT
The DNA here is from genome assembly GCF_000001405.40 of Homo sapiens. Taxonomy (NCBI): domain Eukaryota; kingdom Metazoa; phylum Chordata; class Mammalia; order Primates; family Hominidae; genus Homo; species Homo sapiens. The sequence goes on from NC_000007.14 coordinate 75,675,082, forward strand.
GATAGTGTCCCGCAGGTCATTAATCTTCATTCTTTTTCTCTCTGTTCCTTAGACTGAATAATCTCAATTGGCCTATCTTTAAATTCACTGATTCCTCTTTCATCTTCTCAAATCTGATACTGATTTTTTTTCTTTTTGAGATGAAGTCTTGCTCTGCTGCCCAGGCTGGAGTGCAGTGGTACCATCTCAGCTCACTGCAACATCCACTTCCCGGGTTCAAGTGATCCTCCTGCCTCAGCCTCCAGAGTAGCTGGGATTACGGGCACACACCACCACACCCAGCTAATTTTTGTATTTTTAGTAGACATAGGGTTTCACCATGTTGGCCAGGCTGGTCTCAAACTCCTGATCTCAGGTGTTTGGCCTCACCTTGGCCTCTCAAAGTGCTGGGATCCCAGGCATGAGCCACTGTGCCTGGCCTCCACTAAATTTTTTGTTTCAGTTTTTGTATTTTTCAATTCTGTCATTTTCTTTTTTGTTCCTTTTTATAATTTCTATCTGTTAATTCATCATCTCCCTCTCTCTTTGAAATTCTGTTTTCATACTTTTCATTCATTTTTTAGACATGGTTTTCTTTAGTTCTTTGAATATATTTAAAATAACTAATTTAAAGTATTTGTCTAGGCTAGACTCACACCTGTAATCCCAGGACATTGGGAGGTCACGGCAGGAGAATAACTTAAGGCCAGGAGTTCAAGACCAGCCTGGGCAACATAGTGAGATGCTGTTGCTACAAAAAAATTTTAAAAATCAGCCAGGCATGGTGGTGTGTGCTTGTAATCCTAGCTACTTGGGAGACTAAGGAAGGAGGATCACTTAATAAATAAATAAATAAATTGTCGAATAATTCCAACTTCTGGGTTTCCTCAGGGACTGTTGGCATTGATGGCTTTTTCCCCCTAAGGATCATATTTTTTGCTTTCTTTGCATGTTTCACAATTTTTGTTCAAAACCGGACATTTCAAATAATATAATGTGGTCATGCTGGAAGTCAGATTCTGCTCCCCCCTCTGTAGGGTTTGTTCTTGTTGCTGTTTATTGTGGTTGCTGTTTGTTTAGTGACTTTCCTCATAATTATGCCAAGTCTGTATTCTACATCATGTGTGGCCACTGAATTCTTTGCGCAGTTAACTTAGTGGTTAGCTAATGATTAGACAGATTTCCTTAACCTCTTGGAACCAACACATCTACTCTTTGCTGAGAGGCTCTGGATCCATGCAAACTTTCAACACCTAGCCAGGCAGTTTCTAACTCTGCCTCAGCTTTCACGTTCTGCTCGCACAGAGCCTCAAGGTCAGTCCAAGGGGGGTTATTATTGCCTTCTGAAGTCCTTCCTGGGCACACACGCAGCCAACACACGCACATGGCCATCTGCACACCAGGAGGATGTCAGAGCTTATAGAAGCCCCCTATGGCCTGGCGCGGTGGCTCATGCCTGTAATCCCAGCACTTTGGGAGGCTGAGGCGGGCAGATCACCTAATGTCAGGAGTTCGAGACCAGCCTGGCCAACATGGTGAAACCCCGTCTCTACTAAAAACACAAAATTAGGTGGGCCTGGTGGTGTGTGCCTGTAATCCCAGCTACACGGGAGGCTGAGGTAGAAGAATCGCTTGAACCCAGGAGGCGGAGGTTGCAGTGGGCCGAGATCGTGCCATTGCACTCCAGCCTGGGCAAAAAGAATGAAACTCCATCTCAAAGAAAAAAAAAAAAAGCCCCCCATGGACATCTCATTCCTTAGCCTTTCTTTTAAAACTTTATGTTAGTCTATTGTTTGCCCCAACTGTTATCCATGACCTTAGGCAGCTCTGATGTTAAAATACGCAACAAATGGGCCAAGTGTGGGGGCTCACACCTGTAACCCCAGCACTTTGGGAGGCCAAGGCAGGCGGATCACCTGAGGTCAGGAGTTCAAGACTATCCTGGCCAACATGGTGAAACCCCATCTCTACTAAATATACAAAAATTAGCCAGGTGTGGTGGTGCATGCCTGTAATCCTAGCTATTTGGGAGGCTGAGGCAGGAGAATCGCTTGAACCTGGGAGACGGAGGTTGCAGTGGGCCGAGATCGTGCCATTGCACTCCAGTCTGGGGGACAAGAATGAAACTCCATCTCAAAATAAAAAATAAAAATAAAAATAAAAATAAAATAATAAAGTAAAATAAAATATGCAACAAATGTCCCTTGAGAGAGGCATTTAGCACTGGGAGAGTTTAAGTAAGGTCAAAAAAGACAAGCCTTTCAGCCAGGCGTGGTGGCTCACGCCTGTAATCCCAGCACTATGGGAGGCCAAAGCGAGTTGATAACCTGAGGTCAGGAGTTCGAAACCACCTGGCCAACATGGTGAAACCCCGTCTCTGCTTGAAAATACAAAAATTAGCTGGGCGTGGTGGCGGGTGCCTGTAATCCCAGCTACTCAGGAGGTTGAGGCATGAGAATTGCTTGAACCTGGAGGTGGAGTTTGCAGTGAGCCGAGATCGCGCCACTGTGTTCCAGCCTGGGCAACAGTGCAAGACTCCATCTAAAAAAAAAAAAAAAAAAAAAAGACAAGCCTTTCAAGTAGGGTCTTCAAGGGAATCACTAGACAGGTCACAGAATGACTATTCTCTGTTGCTGCCTAATTCTCCAGCTTCATCTTTATCCCTCTCGGCCCCACTCAGTGCTCCAGCAGCTCTGGCATTCTTGCATTTCTTGAACAATTTTTCTCCTGCCTTGGAGCCTTTGCACACACTGTTTCCTCTGCCTGAAAACAAACAAACAAACAAACAAAAAACCTCTTTCCTATGATCTCTGCTTGGTTGGTTCTATCACTTCATTATGGCCTCTGATCAAATGGTACTTCATCAAATGGTTTTCCAACCACCCACCCTCTCTAATGTAACCTCCTTCTTTCCCAACTCTTACCCCCTTACTCACTATTTTTTCTCTGTCTTCTTTTCCATAGTGCTTATTACAATATGGCATCGTATCATAGATTCACTTGCTTACTGTCTGATTTCTCTACTGGAATCTACATTCTATGAGGATGGACTCATTCTAACTGTTTAGTTTAGCCCAAGATCCTGCAACCAGTACCTGGATCTGCTAATAAATACTTTCTTAAAAATGAAGTGGCCCCTATGATGAATTTGTGTTCTGTCAGCTTAGCTGAGGTGGACTACACCTCACAGAATTCTCTTTCCCTTGTTGCAAATTAGCAAGAGATACTTTGCTCAAGATGTGGATGGCAGCCATGAAGGAGCAGTCTTATTCCTTTATTCTTTTTTTTTTTTTTTTTTTTTGAGACAGCATCTCACTCTGTCACCCAGGCTGGAGTACGGTGGCACAATCTCAGCTCACTGCAACCTCCCTCTCCCAGCTTCAAGGGATTCCCCGGCCTCAGCCTCCCAAGTAGCTGGGATTACAGGCGCCCGCCACCACACCCGGCTAATTTTTGTATTTTTAGTAGAGATGGGATTTTGCCATGTTGGCCAGGCAGGTCTTAAACTCCTGACCTCAAGTGATCCACCTGCCTCGGCCTCCCAAAGTGCTGGGATTACAGGTGTGAGCCACTGCGTCTGGCCTCCTTTATTGTTAAGAACCTGGTACAGGGCACCAGGCACAGCTGAAGCTTGTGCACGTTGCCGATTATCTGCTGGGCCATCTGGTTGGCATGGAGCAGCAGCCAGGCCCGTGCTTTTCCAGCTCCTGCTTTGAGATGGAGCAGGGACCCCCTCCTAGGGGCTTGCAGGCCACTGCATCATTGAAATAAAGGAAAATTTTAAGTTCCTTCAACAGGAATTCCAGGCATCTACCTAACCTTAAGAAGTAAGTCAGTACCTTGATAAGCAAGAAGGTAATAGTAGCCTAAAACGATAGCCAAGGAAGCTAGAACCATGGGATGTTTGGTTCTCCTATAAAAACTAGGCCAGGCCTATCAACCTCTCTCTCTCCGTTTATCCTCACCTGCTTTTAAACTGGGGTCGCTAACTTAAAAACCAAACCAAACCATCTTCAACCTCACACTCTCCTCCAGCTATGACCCCCCTTCTTCCTTTCCCAATTAAACTTCTTGAAACACTTGTCTTCACTGACTGTCTTTGCTTCACAGATTCCACTTTTGCTAGATCAACAATACATCTTGTTTGTTTTTGTTTTGTTTTGAGATGAGGTCTCGCCGTATCACTCAGGCTGGAATTCAGTTGTGTGATCACAGCTCACTGCAGCCTTGACCTCCTGGCTCCAGTGATCCTTCCACCTCAGCCTCCTAAGTAGCTGGGACTACAGGCATGCACCAGCACGCCTGGCTCATTTTTGTATTTTCTGTAGAGACAGAGTTTCAATATGTTGCCCAGGTTGGCTTAGGACTCCTGGGCTCAAGTGATCCTCAGGCCTTGGCCTCCCAAAGTGTTGGGATTACTGGCGTGAGCAACTGTGCCCAGCCAACAATGAATCTCTATTTGCAAAATCCAGAGATTTACTTTTTTACTTTTCTGGTTAGTTCCCATCTAACTAGAGCTTGTTTTCCAGGACTTGCCACTCCGTTGTTCCTGAAACTCCCTTCCCTTGACCTCCATGGGCCAGGCTTTCCTGGTTTCCCTCCTTTCTCTATTAATTTTCTTGTTTGGCTTCTTCTCAACCTGTATGTTAAATGTTGGCGTCCTCAAGGTAGACCCAGCCCCACTTCGTCCTCTGCACTCTCTCCCTTGGTGGTCTCCAACAGCCCATGCCTTTAACTACCACCTATACACCAACCTAACGTCCATCTCTCTGACCTCCAGATCTGCTTAGCAGTATCTCACAGTGACCTCAGCATCAAGATGTCCCAAATCCACCCCTGACCACCTCTGCAGATCTGACAACAGCATCCTTCTTTCGGCTGCAGACAAAGCCAGCATCCTAGAAATAGCCTGTGACTAGCCTCCCTCTCACATCTCCTCAATGAACAAGTCCTCAAAATGCCAGCTTTTATTGATTGATTGATTCATTCATTCATTCATTGAGACAGAGTCTCACTGTGTCACCCAGGCTGAAGTGCAGTGGCACGATCTCAGCTCACTGTAACCTCTACCTCCTGGGTTCAAGCAATTCTCGTGCCTCAGCCTCCTGAATAGCTGGGATTACAGGCGACAGCCACCACACCCAGCTAATTTTTTACGTTTTTAGTAGAGACGGGGATTCGCCATGTTGCCCAGGCTGGTCTTAAACTCCTGAGCTCAGGCAATTGCCCGCCTCGGCCTCCCAAAGTGCTAGGATTACAGGCGTGAGTTACAGCACCTGGCCGAAACTCCAGCTTTTAAATATCTCCACCCATTTCTCTCTGCCTCTGTGGTCACCATCCTAACAGATCCCTTGTCCACCTCCAATCCCTGCCAACCCATTCTTCACACTGAAGCCTCTCTTTCATCCATCCTCTCGCCTCATTCAAATCTTTCTGGGGTTGCCACTATATGCCAGAAAGATTTTTTATTAAATACAGATGCAATCATAACATTCATCTGCTTCCAAACCTTTGAAGGTTTGCTACTGTTCTTAGGATAAAATATAACTTTTTTTTCTTTTTTTTTTAAGACAGAATCTCACTCTGTTACCCAGGTTGGAGTGCAGTGGCGCCATCTCTGCTCACTGCAACCTCCGCCTCCCGGGTTCAAGCGATTCTCCTGCCTCAGCCTCCCAAGTAGCTGGAATTACAGGCATGTGCCACCACGCCCGGCTAAATTTTTGTTTGTTTTTTGAGATGGAGTCTTGCTCTGTCGCCCAGGCTGGAGTGCAGTGACACGAATTCGGCTCACTGCAAGCTCCGCCTCCCAGGTTCAGGCCATTCTTCTGCCTCAGCCTCCCGAGTAGCTGGGACTACAGGCGCCCACCACCACACCTGGCTAATTTTTTTGTATTTTTAGTAGAGAAGGGGTTTTACCGTGTTAGCCAGAATGGTCTCAATCCCCTGACCTCCTGATCCGCCCACCTCGGCCTCCCAAAGTGCTGGGATTATGGGCATGAGCCACAGTGCCCAGCCCAGATTTTTGTATTTTTAGTAGAGACAGGGCTTCACCATGTTGGTCAGGCTGGTCTTGACCTCCTGACCTCAGGTGATCCGTCCGCCTCGGCCTTTCAAAGTGCTGGGATTACGGGCATGAGCCACCGCGCCCAGTGATAAAATATAACTTTCTCAGCAGGGCACCAATGCCCTGTGCATCTGCCCCTAATCCCCTTCTTGTCAACCCTGCAGGCGCTCTGCACTGTTCCTGCAATAAGAAGCATCTTCTCTACCTTCTGGCCTTTGCACATGCTGGGACCACCACCAAGAAGGCTCTTCTTGACCTCCTCTACCAGCTAATTCCCACTCGTCCTTTGGATCTCAGCCAAAACTTCCCTTCCTGCTGCCCCTAGACCAGGGTGTTTCTTCCATTACCCACCCCACAGCACCACAGCACCTGCTTTTTTTTTTTTTTTTTTTTTTTTTTTGAGACAGGGTCTTGCTCTTTCATCCAGGCTAAAGTACAGTGGCACGACCACAGCTCACTGCAGCCTCGACATCCCAGGCTCAAGTGATCCTCCTGCCTCAGCCTCCCGAGTAGCTGGGACTATGGGTGCATACCACCACGCATGGCTAATTTTTTATTTTTTTTTAGAGGCAAGGTCTCACTATGTTGCCCTGGGTGGCCTTGAACTCCTGGCCTTAAGCGATTCTCCCACCTCCCAAAGTGCTAGGATTACAGGCATGAGCCACAGTGCCTGGCCAGCACCTGCTCTTCTTTATGACTGCATCATGCTTGTCATCCCATTTTGAACATCTGTTCACCCGCCAGACACATGAAGGTGGCATCTGGTCCTGTCGTGTCCACCCACCATCTCCCCTGGACTGGCACCTTCCCTGCTCATGGAAAGAGGTCAATAAACGTCCATTAAAGAAATAAATTTAAATGGTATGAAAGCTATTTATCTAAGGCAACAACCTCTTTTTTTTTTTTTTTTTTTTTTTTTTTTGAGGCAGAGTCTTGCTCTGTCACCCAGGCTGGAGTGCAATGGTACCTGGGATTACGGGCACACCACCACACCCAGCTAATTTCTGTATTTTTAGTACAGATGGGGTTTCACCGTCTTGGCCAGGTTGGTCTTGAACTCTTGACCTCATGATCCACCCACCTGGCCTCCCAAAGTGCTGGGATTTCAGGCATGAGTCACCCCCACCAGCCTATCATCATTTTTTTTTAAGAGACAGTGTCTTGCTGTGTCACCCAGGTTGAAGTGCAGTGGTGCGATCATAGCTCACTGCAGCCTCGAACTCCTGGGCTCAAGCGATCCTCCCGCCTCAGCCTCCTCAGTAGCTGTGACTACAGGAGGCTACATGCTACTATAGCCAGCTAGTTTTTTTTTTTTTCTAAAGGTGGGATCTCACTATGTTGCCCAGGCTGGTTTTGAACTCCTGGGCTTAAGCCATCCTTCTGCTTCAGCCTCCCAAAGTGCTGAGATGACGGGATTGAGCCACGGTGCCTGGCCAACATCCTCATTTTACAGACAGAAAACAAAACAAAACAAAACAAAACAAAAAACAGCAGCCCAGAGGGAATTAATACTCCCATTTCCCAGGAGACAAGAGTTTTAGTTGCGTATGCAGGTCTTTAACCCTGGAATGCTTAAAAAAAGCACTGATAGAGCGAGAAAATACATACCTTACTCACCTGCTACAAAAACACACCTGCTACAAAACTCAGAAACAGGAGCAAGCTATTCTGTCCATGTTGCCACCTCCTCCTTGCTAATGTGTCCCCACATTGCTGCGCTGGAGGGACTGTGTGCTAATCTGTCCCCGCTCTGCTGGTCAGCAAGGACATGGTGCTATGGGATGGGGCGTGCTATCTAAGGACTTTGGGAGGGAGGCCAGAGGATTTAAATTACCTGCAAGAGGTATTCGTCATTCACTTGAGATTTTTTTTTTTTGAGATGGAGTCTCGCTCTGTCGCCCAGGCTAGAGTGCAGTGGTGCGATCTCGGCTCACTGCAAACTCCGCCTTCCAGGTTCAAGCGATTCTCTTGCTCAGCCTCCCGAGCAGCTGGGACTACAGGCGTGCGCTACCATGCCCAGCTAATTTTTGTATTTTTAGTAGAGATGGGGGTTTCACCATGTTAGTCAGGCTGGTCTCGAACTCCTGACCTCATGATCCACCTGCCTCAGCCTCCCAAACTGCTGGGATTACAGGTGTCAGCCACCGTGCCCGGCCTCACTTGAGATTTATGAAGGGTCTTCGAGGTGCTGGTTGGGGGCACTGGATGGGGGCTTTTTGACCAAATGAGCTGTAATGGTCCCTTGTGACCCCAAAAGGGGTTCCTGGCCTGAGCCAAAGAGCAAGCAAGAGAAGCAAAGGCATTTACTCGGACTCGTTGGGAGTGCACAGGAGAGCAGGGCGTGTGCATGTATGTGGACGTGTGTGTGTGTACCTGTGTGTGCAGATGCACCCTGGGGAAGCTGGAGGGGCAGGAGGAAGCTGGCTCAAAACAGACCACTCAGAGCTCCCACCTTTCCAGCATGGAGGATATCTGAGGCCCGGAGCCTCTGGAGGTGCAGCATGCCCCATCCCATAGCACCACGTCCTCCACCTGATGCTGGAGGTCACTGACATCTGTGAACCTCCCATCCCTCCCCATCCTTGCCACCTGGCATTGTAGAAAAAAGGACACTTGCTCCCAATTTGTTAAAGGGTCTGTTCTGGTCTCTGAAGTTAGGAGAAAAGAGAAACAAATGGACATCTGTACAGCACTTGACAGTTTACAAAACGTCCCTAATGAAAGGTAGTGGAGCTTGGGTCGAATCCTTGCTCTGCAGCCAACCAGCTACATGAATTTGAACAAGCTAAGTAGTTCTCTGGAATCCTTGCTCTGCAGCCAACCAGCTACATGAATTTGAACAAGCTAAGTAGTTCTCTGAAGTGTATTCCTTCTCTTGGCCAGGCATGGTGGCTCACGCATCCCAGCACTTTGGGAGGCTGAGGCGGGAGGATTGCATGAGACCAGGAGTTCGAGACCAGCCTGAGGCCAGGAGTTCAAGACCAGCCTGAGCGACATAGTGAGACTCCATCTCTATATTAAACAAAAAACCACACAAAAAGGCTGGGCACGATGACTCACACCTGTAATCCCAGCACTTTGGGAGGCCAAGGTAGGTGGATCGCCGGAGCTTAGGAGTTTGAGAACAGCCTGGCCAACATGGTGAAACCGTGTCTCTACTAAAAACACAAAAAATTAGCCAGGTGTGGTGGCGCGCAACTATAATCCCAGCTACAGGGGAGGCTGAGGCAGGAGACTAGTTTGAACCCGGGAGGCAGAGGTTGCAGTAAGCCGAGATTGCATCACTGCACTCCAGCCTGAGCAACAGAACAAGACTCCGTCTCAAAAAAAAAAAAAAAAAAAAAAAAGTACATAAACAGCAGTACCATTTCAGCTATGCCCTCTCTTTTGTTTTCGTATATCCTAAGCAGAAGCTGAACTCCCACTTGCTTTTTTGGGCCCAGTATTCACAGTTTTTCAGTGCTAATCCATGTTGATTAAACATAAACCACTGATTAGTATCCCACTGTACCAACGTATTTGGCTACCCTCACATAGATGAACACTTAGGTTGCTTTTGACTTTTTACAATTAAAAATGAATTATTCTGCGCTTCAGTGAATAATCCTGATCATACATCCTTGTTCACATGTCCCTAGAAGGGAAACACTGGGGCTCAAAGCATGCACATTTAAAAATCTGTTTTGGCCAGGCATGGTGGCTCACGCCTGTAATCCCAGCACTTTGGGAGGCCGAGAAAGGCGGATAACAAGGTCAGGAGATCGAGACCATCCTGGCTAACATGGTGAAACCCCGTCTCTACTAAAAATACAAAAAATTAGCCAGGCGTGGTGGTGGGTACCTGTAGTCCCAGCTACTCGGGAGGCTGAGGCAGGAGAATGGCATGAACCCAGGAGGTGGAGCTTGCAGTGAGCTGAGATCGTGCCACTGCACTCCAGCCTGGGTGACAGAGCGAGACTCCGTCTCAAAAAAAATAAATAAATAAAAATAAAAAATAAAAATAAAAATATATTTCCAGGCTAGGCAGAGTGTAATCCTGGCACTGTGGGAGGCTGAGGTGGGAGGATCGCTTGAGCCCAAGAGTTGGAAACCAGCCTGGACAACATAGTGAGACCCCGTTTCTACCAAAAAAAACCCCAAAAGCCAAACTTCTATTTCCAAATTGATTTCCATAGTAGTGAAGACAATGGACAATTCCAACACCAGGGAACAGGTGCCCCAGCCGCTCCATCTACTCACCAACACTTGTTTTGTTGGGCTTTTAAATTTCCACTGTGAAATGGTATTGCGTGTGCTCCCTACGGTTCACATTTCCTCTTCCGTGAAATGCCTACTGATGTCTTTGCCCACTTTTCCACTGGGTTGCGGTTTCCTTCTTATAGCTCTGTGCTAGTTCTTCATATATTCTGATTCCCAATTCTTTGTCAGTTTTCTTTTTTGTGAGACGAAGTCTCGCTCTTGTCGCCCAGGCTGGAGTGCAATGGTGCAATCTCAGCTCATTGCAGCCTCCAACTCCTGGGTTCAAGCAATTCTCCTGCCTCAGCCTCCCACGTAGCTGGGATTACAGGCACCCGCCACCACGCCCGGCTAATTTTTGTATTTTTAGTAGAGACGGGTTTTTCCCATGTTGGCCAGGCTGGTTTTGAACTCCTGACCTCAGGTGATCTGCCCACCTCGGCCTCCCAAAGTGCTGGGATTACAGGCATGAGCCACTGCGCCCGGCCTGTCAGTTTTCTCTACCACAAATAGCTTATTCTGCCTGTGGCCTTTTTTTGTTGTTGTTGTTCTGTTTTGAGACGGAGTCTCTGTCGCCTAGGCTGGAGTACAGTGGCGTGATCTTGGCTCACTACAACCTCCACTTCTCAGGCTCAAGCAATTCTTGTGCCTCAGCCTCCCTAGTAGCTGGGATTACGGGTGTGTGCCACCACACCTGGCTAATTTTTGTATTTTTAGTAGAGAGAGTGTTTTTTGGCCAGGCTGGTCTTGAACTCCTGGCCTCAAGTAATCCACCTGCCTCGGCCTCCCAAAGTACCGGGATTACAGGCGTGAGCCACTGCACCCGGCCCCAGCCTGTGGCCTTTTTATGTACAATGGCATCTTTTATTGACAAGGTTGTCAATTTTATCAACATCTTCCTTTATTTATATGCTTTTGGTGTCTTAAGAATTTTTTTCCCTATTGAAACTAAGATCATAAAGATATTCTCTCGTATTTTTTTTGAAAAGTTTAAAAGCTTTGGTTTTCGCAGTTAGGCCTTTAATACACTCGGAATTTATTTGTAGTTAAGGCATAAAGTAATATTCTAATTTTATTTCTCCCTGTGCAGAACCAGTTGCTCTAGCGTCATGTATTGAAGAATTCCTCTTAGCTGGGGTTCCCATGGAAGCAGACTCTGAGACAAGGATGTCAGCGCAGGGAGCTTATTTGGTATTTGGGAAGGGCCCTGGAAAATGCTGGAAGGAGATAAGGAAGGAGAGAGAGGGATTTTCTTATCAACTGATGACCATTTATTTTCCTTCTCTTTTCTCATTTTTTTTTTGTTGTTGTTTGTTTTTGAGACAGAGTTTCACTCTTTTGTCCAGGCTGGAGTGCACTGGTGCAATCCTGGCTCACTGCAGCCTTGACCTCCTGGGCTCAAGCCATCCTCCCCTCTTAGCCTCCCAAGTGGCTGGGACTACAGTGCAGGTGCATGCTGCTACACCTGGTATTATTTTAGTTCTTTTTTTTTTTTTTTTTTTTTTTGTAGGTACAGGGTCTTGTATGTTGCCCAGGCTGGCTTCAAATTCCTGGACTCAAATGATCCTCCACCCTCAGCCTCCCAAAGTGCTGGGATTCCAGGCATGAGCCACTACTCCCAGCCTGATGAGCTTTGCTATGTGTCTAAAAGGAAATTTGTTTTCTTTATCGAGCATTTCTGGTATTTGTGGCAGCAGGATTTTCTGTTCTGGTCTCTGAAGTTCATTAAGGAGAAAAGAGAAACAAATGGACATTTGTACAGCACTTGACAGTTTACAAAACATCCCTAATGAAAGGTAGTGGAACTTGGGTCGAATCCTCGACCACTCTGAGGCTGTTACCGAAAGTCTCAGGCAGCCCCTGGCCTTCCCTCCAGGAGTCTAGAGGCACCTCCCAGAAGCAGGAGCCAATCCCTGTGGCTGGCCCCCAGTACCTTTCTCATGTCTGAACTTTTTACAATAACTTCCCAGTTTATCTCCTTGCTGGTCTCTCTTGTTGCCACCTCTTCTTTATCCTGCTGTGAATATCTATTTTTCTAAAACACATCTGGGCCGGGCACGGTGGCTCATGCCTGTAATCTCATCACTTTGGGAGGCCAAGGCGGGAGGATCACCTGAGGTCAGGAGTTCGAGACCAGCCTTGGCAACATGGCGAAACCCCATCTCTACTAAGAATACAAAATTAGCCAGGCTTGGTGGCGGGCACCTGTAATCCCAGCTACATGGGAGGCTGAGGCAGGAGTATTGCTTGAACCCAGGAGGCAGAGGTTGCAGTGAGCCGAGATGGCGCCATTGCACTCCAGCCTGGGAGACAAGAGCGGAACTCCGTCTCAAACAAAACAAAACAAAACAATCAAACAAAAAACTCATCTGGCTCTTGCCAGTCTCTCCACCTTTAAAGTCTCTTATGACCCACAAGCTGGGCCCAACCTTCCTTCCCAGCCTCCTTTCCATGGTGCCTTCCTCTCTTCCCAGCCCCTACTCCTGAACCCTCCGTGTTCCCAGAACCTGGCTGTCTCCCATGCCTCCAGGCCTTTCCATGTGATGTTTTCACTGCTGAATTTTCTCTCTGGAGCGCTGGATTTTCTCTCTTGAGTCCTGGGCTGTAAGAGTTCTTCCAGGCTAGCCCATGTGGTACCACTTTTGTAAGCTTATCCTCCCCAACTAGAAAGAGGCCTCCTGTCCCCCTGAAGGCCACTTACCATCCCCTCCACACCTCAGCCACTAAACTCAGTCTACTTGTTAGTTAGGAGTCTCTCTCCTCCACTAAACTGAGGGCAAAGACTGTGGTTCTTCCCTCATCCTGGATGCAACACAGCACCTGCCCACACCACCAACACCCCTCCGTGGGCCACAATCCGGGAGGTGGGACCGCCCTTGTGAAGCCACCAGGGGTTCCTCCCCTGGGGCAGGGCAGGAGCTTGCAGAGCTGTTGGGTGGAGGGAAAGGGAGACTCCTCACCACACACGCAGAAGTCCCTCAGCCCTACAATGAGAGCCAAGGAAGAACGGCCGGGGGCGCGCCGGGTCCGGGCTCCCAGGGGAGTCCATCATGCTGCGTCTGCAGGGGGTGGGGGGGATGAGCTGTCGGTGGAGCCCCTCGACGGGTGGGGGACGGGCAGGCAGCCAAGCGCACAAGTGCAGCCCGGCTGACAGGAAGCCGCACTAAGGGGAGATCTGCTTGGGCATCCAGGACACAAAGCCCCACCTGTCAGGCCCCCCACGCACACCCTCCACCCGCCGTCCGGGTCTGGCCCCGAGCCCACCACCAGCAGCTGCCTACTCCCTTCCTCCCTCCCTCGGTGGCCTTTGGTCCTCTCCCGGGACAGCTGCACCAAACCAGCAGGTGGGAGGTTGTTTGCACGGGCCTCCCAGCTCTGCCCCCCAACAGCCAGCTTCAAATTCCAGAGCCTCCCCAGGAACCAGCAGCAGAGAGTGGCCCCGTGGCCCCGGCGTGTCCCTGACTTGGGTGACAAGCAGAGCAGCAGTGCTTCCTACTGACCAGCTGACCGGGGCTTTCATCAAGGCCCCCTTTGTCCTCTGAGGTCCCCTGGCTCAGGTCCACCCTGCAGCCACGCGCAGGACCCCTGTCTACTGCAGAGCCTCTGGGCAGCCTGCCGGCAGCCAGTCACCATGATGTGAAAGCAAACAAACAGAGTGTACGCCCAAAGAGAGACACAGGTGGGCCTCGATTTCTGCCTTATAATAAAGGTAGGGCGCGGTGGCTCATGCCTGTAATCCAGCACTTTGGGAGGCCAAGGTGGGAGGACCACTTGAACCCAAGAGTTGGAGACCAGCCTGGGCAACATAGTGAGACCCTATCTTTATTATAAAATTAAAAAAATTTAAAATATATTTAAAAATAGGCCGGGCACGGTGGCTCACACATGTAATCCCAGCACTTTGGGAAGCCGAGTCAGGAGGATCACTTGAGGTCAGGAATTCGAGACCCGCCTGGCCAACATGGTGAAATGTCGTCTCTACTAAAAATCCAAAAATTAGCTGGGTATGGGAGTGCGTCTGTAATCCCAGTTTCTTGGGAGGCTGAAGGAGGAGGATTGCTTGAAACTGGGAGGGGGAGGTTGCAGTGAGCTGAGATTGCGCCATTGTATTCCAGCCTGGGCAACAGAGCAAGACTCCGCCTCAAATAAATAAATAAAGGTAATATCAACTCACTGTAGAAAATTATTTATACATGCATACATGCACATATATATAAATGTGTGTTCATAGATATACATTATATGCATATATAAATAAAAATGTTGGCTGTGCCGTGGCATTCAAGGACACGCTCCTTGGAGTACAGTTTTCGACTGCAGCTGTGCCTCCACAAAGAAACCACAAGAACAAATCCAGGGGGAGGGCTATTGTTGAAAGAGGTACTCCGATACTTCTCCCTTAGGTATCTCTCTGAGCAACCTCAGCCAGGACTGGCTGTGGGACGAGGGATGTCAACTAAGTGGATTGTGAGGGGTGTGCTAAATGGCATTCAGCACAGAATTTACAAGTGGAAACCTTGTAAATAGTGTCATCGTCATTCGTCACTAGGCACACATGGGGATCTGCGAGCCCTGGCTCCCGGTCTGCAGCCCTGATGGCATGATTTGATTTTATTTTTTTTCCGAAAGAGGGTCTTTCTTGCTCATGCCTGTAATCCTAGCACTTTGGGAGGCTGAGGCGGCGGGGGATCGCTTGAACCCAGGACTTCAAGATCAGCCATGGGCAACATGGCAAAACCCAATTTTTACAAAAAAATTTTAAAAATTAGCTGGGCTTGGCGGCACATGCCTGTAGTAGTTCCAGCTACTCAGGAGGCTGGGGTTGGAAGATCGGCTGAGCACAAGGCTGCTCAGGCAGCAGGGGGTGGTGATTGCACCACTGCACTCCAGGTGACAGAGTGAGACTTTGTCACACACACACACACACACACACAAAAGGTAAAGGACTTGAATAGTCATTTCTCTGAAGAAGACATACAACTAGCCAATAAGCACACGAAAAGACGCTTAACATCATTAGCTATAAGGGAAATGCAAATTAAAACCACAATGAGATACCATTTCACACTCACTAGGATAGCTATAATTTTTAAAAACAGAAAATAACAGGTGTTGGCAAGAATGTAAAGAAACCGGAACCCTTGTACACTGCTGGTGGAAATGTGCAATGGTGTGACCACAGTGGAGAAGTTTGGTTATTCCTCAAAAAGTTAAACACAGGGCCGGGCGTGGTGGCTCATGCCTGTAATCCCAGCACTTTGGGAGTCTGAGATGGGTGGATCACCTGAGGTCAGGAGTTGGAGACCAGCCTGGCCAACATGGAGAAACCCCATCTCTACTAAAAATACAAAATTAGCCGGGCATGGTGGTGCATGCCTGTAATCCCAGCTACTCGGAAGGCTGAGGCAGGAGAATTGCTTGAACCCGGGAGGCAGAGGTTGCAGTGAGCCGAGATCGCGCCATTTGCACTCCAGCCTGGGCGACAAGAGTGAAACTCCATCTCAAAAAAAAAAGTTAAACGTAGAATTGCTATACGACCCAGCAATTCCACTCCTAGATATGCATGTGGAACAAGTGAAAACAGGTAGTCAAGTAAATACTTGTACAGGAATGTTCACAGTAGCACTATTCACAGTAGTTCCAAAGCAGCAAATGTGGATCGGCAGATGAAATGGATAAACGAAGGTGGTCTAATCCATGCAATGGGATGTTGTGCAGCCATTACGGGAATGGAGTTCTGATACATGCTCCAGTGTGGATGAGCCTTGAAAACATGCTAAACGAAAGGAGCAGGACACAAAAGGTCACACGTGTGTGATTCCATTTACATAAAACTTCCAGAAAAGGGCCGGGCATGGTGGCTCATCCCTGTAATCCCAGCACTCTGGGAGGCCCGGGCAGGAGGATCGCTTGAGGTCAGGATTTCGAGACCAGTCTGGTCAACATGGTGAAACCCCTGTCTCTACTAAAAATACAAAAAATTAGCCGGGCATGGTGGCACGTGCCTGTAATCCCAGCTACTTGGGAGGCTGAGGCAGGAGAATCGCTTGAACCTGGGAAGCAGAGGTTGCAGTGAGCCAAGATCAAGCCACTGCACTCCAGCCTGGGTGACAGAGTGAGACTCTGTCTCAAAAAAACAAAAAACTTCCAGAATAGGGCCGGGCGCGGTGGCTCATGCCTGTAATCCCAGCACTTTGGGAGGCTGAGGCGGGTGGATTACTTGAGGTCAGGAGTTTGAGACCAGCCTGGCCAGCATGGTGAAACCCCATCTCTACTAAAAACACAAAAAATTAGCCGGGCACCTGTAATCCCAGCTACTCAGGAGGCTGAGGCAGAAGAATTGCTTGAACCCGGGAGAAGGAGGTTGCAGTAAGCTGAGATCGTGCCACTACACTCCAGCCTGGGCAACAAGAGCAAAACTCCGTCTCAAAAAACAAACAAACAAAAAAAACTTCCAGAATAGGCAAACCCATAGAGACAGAAAGAAGACTAGTGGTTGTCAGGGACTGGCAAGGAGGGGACAGAGGAATAGGGAGTGACTGTGTGATGGGCACTATGGTTTCTTTGCAGGGGGTGGGGAGGGGTGAAAGTATCTTGGAACTACACAGAGGTGGGGGCTGTACAACACTGTGGAAGTCCTGAATGGTGAACTGCACCTTTTAAAATGGTTAATGATTAATTTTATGTTGTGCAAGTTTTACCTCAATTACAACCAACCAACCAACTGCTAGGCACAGCTTCTAATAAGCAGCCAGCAGTTTCCAGTTTCCGTTGTCTCCCCCCGTCCCAATTCCACTCCCCAAAGGCAGTCTTGCTTTTTAACCTCTTTTCCCTTCTGGCCAGTAATGATAAACTTGATATTTTCAATTAATATATCTGCATTCCTTTTTCTTTAATTATTTATTGATTTTTTTTTAAGGCAGGGTCTTGCTGTATTGGCCAGGCTGGAGTGGAGTGGTTTGATCATAGCTTACTGCAGCTTCCAACTCCTGGGCTCAAGCAATCCTCCTGCCTCAAGTCTCCCAAGCAGCTGGGACTACAGGCACACACTGCCATACCTGGCTAATTTTTTTTTTTTGAGACAGATTCTTGTTCTATCACCCAGGCTGGAGTACAGTGGCGCGATCTTGGCTTACTGCAGCCTCTGCCCCCCAGGTTCAGACCATTCTCATGCCTTAGCTTCCTGAGTAGCTGAGATTACTGGCATGAACCACCACGCCTGGCCAATTTTTTTTTTTTTTGTATTTTTAGTAGAGATGAGGTTTCACCATGTTGGCCAGGCTGGTCTCAAACTTCTGGCATGATGTGATCTGCCCGCCTTGGCCTCCCGAAGTGCTGGGATTACAGGCATGAGCCACTGCGCCCAGACACTTTATTAATTTTAAATATTACCTAAGTACTTTCTATCATGACAGATACGACATAATTCTCTTGGATATCCTATCATCTCTCTTCCCCATCTTCTGAACAAGAGTTAC
The DNA here is from genome assembly GCF_000001405.40 of Homo sapiens. Classification (NCBI taxonomy): domain Eukaryota; kingdom Metazoa; phylum Chordata; class Mammalia; order Primates; family Hominidae; genus Homo; species Homo sapiens. The sequence continues at coordinate 75,692,839 of NC_000007.14, forward strand.
ACAAATATTTTAGTAAATAATCAGTGTATAAATTATGACGATGCAGCCGGGCATGGTGTCTTATGCCTGTAATCCCAGCACTTTGGGAGGCTGAGGCGGGAAAATCACTTGAGGTCAGGAGTTCGAGACCAGCCTGGCCAACATGGCGAAGCTTGATCTCTACCAAAAATACAAAAACTAGCCAGGCGTGGTGCTACGCGCCTGTAATCCCAGCTACTCAGGAGGCTGAGGCACGAGAATCACTTGAACCAGGGAGGCAGAGGTTGCAGTGAGCCGAGATCATGCCACTGCACTCTAGCCTGGGTAACAGAGCGAAACCCTGTCTCAAAAAAAAAAAAAAAATTATGATGCAAATTGCAAACGGCATTCGAAACAGGACTAAGTGAAAGACTATGCTTACATTTCCATTCTTGTTCAATGTGTTTTTCTTGGAGTAACTCCTTTGTTGTTTTATTTGTACACCTTCCTTTGTGCCACAGACATTCTTTTCCCAAATATCCCATTGTTTAAGGCATTCTGCGGGGCGCCTGGTTTCCAGGAGGCACCCCCCACGCCAGTGCCCTTGGTACCGCACTCACTTCTTCTGGCTGTCATCTTCTCTTCCTCTTGTCTTGCCGAAGTGTGCCCTCCAGGGAAAAGGATTCATGGAGATACATTTTTTTGCACCTTGAATTCTCTGAAAATGACTTTGCTCTGTTTTCACCCTTTACTAGTTGTTTAGCTGGGTATGAAATAACAGACTAAAATGATTTTCTGGCCAGCGCGGTTGCTCACATGTGTAATCCTGGCGCTTTGGGAGGCCGAGGTGGAAGGATTGCTTGAGCCCAAGAGTTCAAGACCAGCCTGGGCAACGTGGCAAAACCTCGTCTCTACAAAAAATACAAAAATTAGCCAGGCATGGTGGCGCTCACCTGTAGTCCCAGCTACTCGGGGGAAGGGAGGGAGGGAGGGAGGGGGAGAGAAAGAGAGAGAGAAAGAAAGAAAATAAATCACTCCCTGCACTGCACCAATGCTGATGACAAGCAATATCTAGCATCCAGTGTGGCTCTTGAAAAGTTCAGAACTATCCAATTCTCTTTTCTTTTTTTTTTTTTTTTTTGAGATGGAGTCTTGTTCTGCCACCCAGGCTGGAGTGCAGTGGTGCAATCTCAGCTCCCTGCAACCTCCGCCTCCCAGGTTCAAGTGATTCTCCTGCCTCAGCCTCCCCAGTAGCTGGGATTACAGGCACGTGCCACCACACCCGGCTAATTTTTATATTTTTGGTAGAGACGGGATTTCACCATGTTGGCCAGGCTTGTTTTGAATTCCTAACCTCGTGATCCACCCACCTCGGCCTCCCAAAGTGCTGAGATTACAGGCGTGAGCCACCGCGCCCGGCCCCAATTCTCATTTCTTTACTAGATGCCTGTTTTTCCTCTTTGGACGCTTCTGGAATCCCCTCATTAACCCTGGTGTTCTAAAATTTCACAGTGCTACACCTTGGTGTATCCTCTGTCATTTATTATGCTGGGCATGCGTGGTCGGCAGATGTGTTTCTGGTTAATGTTCTTGCACAACTTCATTTCCTTACCTCTATTGTCTGTTTTCTCTTTTTGCCACTCCAAATACTTTCATACTGAACCTTCTAGATTGATTCTTTCTTTTTTTCTTTTTCTTTTCTTTCTTTCTTTTTTTTTTTTTTTTGAGGAGGGGGACAGGGTCTCACTCTGTCTCCCAGGCTGGAGTGCAGTGGTGTGATCACAGCACACTGCAGCCTCAACCTCCTGGGTTCCAGCAATCCTCCCACCTGAGGCTCCTGAGTAGCTGAGACTACAGGCACCACCACCACACCTGGCTACTTTTTTTTTTTTTTAAAGAAATGGGGTCTCACTATGTTGCCCAGGTGGGTCTCAAACTCCTGGCCTCAAGTGATCCTCTCATCTCAGCCTCCCAAAGTGCTGGGATTACATGCATGAGCCACCATGCCCGGCCTGGATTGCTTCTCTATCGCTCTTATCTATTCTCTGCACTTTCCAACTTTTGGCTTTCTTGGGTACTTTCTGAGAGAGTTCCTTGACTTTATCTTCTCTGCATTCTGGTGAGTTCTTTCCACAACATTCTATTTTTGTTTTATGAGGCACTGTCCTCTTGAACTCTATGAGAAAACTATGGAAAAGTTCCTTCAGTCTTCTGAAATAGCACTGTCTTTGTTTCCTAAAGATTGCCTTTTCCCCATCACTTATTTTAGTGCTTTTGTTCCTATCATTTCTTGATTCTCCTTATACATCAGCTGATCCTTGGTTAGATGTTTATATTAGCAGTGAGGCTCTAAAAAGTTAATTGGAAATTCCGTGTGCATGGCGGAGCTCATCAGCGGGCAAACTCATTTTTAGGGAGAGTGGGCAGGCAGCCAGCACTCTCACTGGGGACTCCTAAATGTCAGATTGTGCAGGCTTTTTTTTCTGAGACCTTGGTGGTTTCTGCAGAGACGTATCCTCTGATCACCTGGATGGGAAGTGGATGCCAGATGGCTTGTACTTGGCTCATCTGGATACAGGAAATGTTCTAGACTTTCAGTTATTCTCCTTGTTTTCAGCATCCGCTATACCCAAACCTCTGCCACATGAAGTCTCTTGAATTAGGAGCTCTGGGTCAGCTTCTCCAGCCCACTCTCCACTGCTCCAACCCAATGCAGTTGTAGGATAAATACTTGCCTGCCGATATTCAGAAGGGGTTGTGGAGCGGTACCAGTTTTTTTTGTTGTTGTCTGTTTTTTAGATGGAGTCTCACTCTATCACCCAGGCTGGAGTGCGGTGGCACAATTTTGGCTCACTGCAACCTCTGCCTCCTGGATTCAAGCGATTTTCCTGCCTCAGCCTCCCAAGTAGCTCAGATTACAGGCATGCACCACCACACCCAGCTAATTTTTGTATTTTTAGTAGAGACGGGGTTTCACTATGTTGGCCAGGCTGGTCTCGAACTCCTGACCCCAAGGGATCCACCTGCCTTGGCCTCCCAAAGTGCTGGGATTACAGGCATGAGCCACCGTGCCTGGCTGGTACTGGTTCTTAGACATCCTCTCCACCTGCCTTCAGTTCTGCCCCCGTGCCTCCAGTATGATGTCTCCCAGTTCAAGTCTCTCTTGGCATTTGCTTTCCTCCTGTCAGCATCTCTTTTCTTTTCTTTTTAGACACGGTTCCGCTGTGTCACCCAGGCTGGAGTGCAGTGGTGTGATCATGGCTCACTGCAGTGTTGACCTCCCAGGCTCAAGCAATCCTCCTGCCTCACTCAGCCTCCCGAGTAGATGGGACAGGTGTGAGCCACCATGCCCGGCTAATGTTTGCATTTTTTGTAGGGATGGGTTCTCACTATGTTGCCCAGGCTGGTCTCGAACTCCTGGGCTAAAGCTATCCACCCACTTCGGCTTCCCAAAGTGCTGGGATTACAGGTGTGAGCCACCATGCCTGGCCTATCATTTCTTCTTTTCTTTCCAAAATGTGTTAAAATACCCTATTTGATAATGATCCCTCTCTCATTTTCTTTGTCCTTGTGGGTCTTTCTCATTCTTATTTCTTTACTATTATGCATGCAGCTAATCTTGGGAAGGTGTGTAGCCATTCTGCTACTTTAGCTAAAGCCCTTTCTCTTCCTTCCTTTCCTTCCTTTCCTTTCCTTCTTTCTCCCTTCCCTTCTCCTCCCCTCCCCTCCCTTCCCCTCCCCTCCCTTCCCTTCCCCTCCCCTCCCTTCCCCTCGCCTCCCCTCCCCTCCCCTTCCCTCCCCTCTGCTCCCCTTCCCTTTTCTGAGACAGGGTCTCACTCTGTTGCCCATGCCAGAGTGCAGTGGTATGATCTTGGCTCACTGCAGCCTCCACTTCCTGGGTTCAAGTGATTCTTGTGCCTCAACCTCCGAGTGGCTGGAATTACAAGTGCCTGCCACCACACCTGGCTAATTTTTGTACTTTTAGTAGAGATAGGGTTTCACCATGTTGACCAGGCTGCTCTTGAACTCCTGACCTGAAGTGATCCACCCACTTCAGCCTCCCGAAGTGCTGGGATTACAGGCGTGAGCCACTGTGCCAGGCCCAGTGTTTTTCTCACTTGCATATTTCTGAGTGCTTTACAACTCACAGGTCCTCCCCCCATCCCAAAATGCTTCCTTCTGCCTTCCCAAGGATTTTTTTTTTTTAATGGTTTGATTTTTCTCTTCTTGAAACTTAACTTTTTAAGTCGACCTGGAATTTATCCAGGCATGCAGCCTAAGGTGAGAATCTAAAACATTCTCTTCTCAAAAACAGCTAACCAAATTAGCCTCGCCTAATTTATCAAATGATGTGTCTATTCCTGCTGACCTGCAAGGTCGTCTTTATCGTACAGTTAATATCCATGTGTATAAAGGTAAGTTTCTGGGCTATGTATTCTATCTACTGATCTGTTCATTTTTAAGCCATTAATTGAGTCACTGTTTTAATCATTAAAAATGTGTTTTCACCAGCAACCCCAGCACTTTGGGAGGTTGAGAGGGGAGGATCTCTTGAGGCCAGGAATTTGAGATCAGCCTGGGCAACACAGTTCTCTAAAAAAACACAGTTCTCTAAGAAAAAGAAAGAAAGAAAAGAAAAAAATTAATAATTTTTTAGTAAAAAAAAATATTCAGTAGAACAAGTTTCTCCTGGATGTATTCTTCTTCAAAATTTAAAAGTCATTCTCATTTATTCTTCCAGATAAATGTTAGAATTTAAAAGTTCCAAAATGTTGGGAGGCCAAGGCAGACGGATCACTTGAGGTCAGGAGTTCGAGATCAGCCTGGCCAACATAGTAAAACCCATCTCTACTAAAAATACAAAAATTAGCCAGGTGTGATGGTGCACAACTGTAATCCCAGCTATTTGGGAGGCTAAGGCAGAAGAATCGTTTGAGCCCAGGAGGCGGAGTTTGCAGTGAACCAAGACTGTGCCACTACACTCCAACCTGGGCGACAGAGCGAGACTCCGTCTCAAAAACAAAAAACAAAAAAGTTTCAAAAAGAATCCTATTGGGGTTTTGGTTATAAAGGAGATAAGTCTAAGTTATTCTAGGAAGAGCTGAGATAACAAATTCCATAATTTCCATCCAGAAACAAAGTATGTCTCTCCATTAATTCATCTGACATATTTCTTAGTAAAGTTTTATAATTTAAAAAAATTTTTTTGTAGAGACTGAGGTCTCACACACTATGCTGCTCAAGCTGATCTCAAACTCCTGGGCTCAAGTGATCCTCCCAGCTAGGTGCCGGGATTATAGGCATGAGCCACCATGTCCAGCCCAGTTTTATAACTATCAACAGGTCTATTCTATGTAAAGTATCCTCCCAAGTCACGCTTTATCCTTTTTCCTATTTTCTATTCATTACTATTAAAAGACTAAGAAAAGTAGATAATATTTAGAGGGCTCACTAGATGCCAGTCACTGTTGTAAGCATTCTTAGAAGCACCATCTCACTAAATTCTTGCAACAAGTTTAGTAGGTATCTACTATGTCCACTTACACATGAAGAAACTGAGGCACAGAGAGACAAGTGATTAGGCCAATTGTCACAGTGGTAGAACCAGGTTTCAAACCCAGGCAGTTCTACTCTTGGAGCCCATGGTCTTATCTAAAAATCACTATTTTTACTATTCAGCTGTAAAAAGAAATGAGGAAGTCTATTGTAAAGCTGATGTAAAAATACTGCCAGGATTCCAGCCAGGTGTGGTGGCTTGTGACTGTAATCCCAGCACTTTGGGAGGCCAAGGCAGGAGGATCACTTGAGGCCAAGAGTTGGAGGCCAGCCTGGGCAACATAGCAAGACCCCAACTCTAAATACAATTTTTTTTTTTAAGTCAGGCACAGTGGCACACACTTGTAATCCCAGCTATTCAGTAGGCTGAGGGAGGAGGAATACTTAAGCCCAGGAGTTCAAGGCTGCAGTGAGCTATGATCATATCATGTACTCCAGCCTGGATGACAGAGTGAGACCCTGCCTCTTAAAAAAAAAAAAATCTATTATATGCAAGGAGCGAGGAAGATAATATTCCAATATATTTGTATTCACTTGTAGGTAAAAATAAAACACTTGGATGGACACAATAAGAGATCAGTCAATTAGTGGTTCTCTCTCTCTTAGGGTTGAGTGGGAGCTAGGCAGTGGGAGGTCAGGAGTGGAAGGGACGCCTTTCACTTTTTTTTTCTGGAACCACTTGAATGTATTACCTATTTAAAAAATGAAATACATTAGCAGATATGCAGTAACTATGTTTTAAGTGAATGACAAAAGATTTCATAGGTTTTTTTTTAAGAGATGGGGTCTCTCTATATTGCCCAGGCTGAACCTGAACTCCTGGACTCAAGTGGTCTCCTGCCTCGACCTCCCAAGTAACTAGGACTATAGGCGCTCGGCTTTCAAAGATTCTTACAAAGATATTTTCTGGTCTTGCTATTTTGGTGAACAGGATGTTTTCTACTACAAACTAGTTGCTGATATACTAGAAAATATACTCTTGATTTTTATATAGCTCACTCCCAGTACTCTTATTCTCTATGGTGAACTTGTTTATTAATTCTAAGACCTTTTTTCCATCGATCTCCTGGGTTTTCAGTGGATAGAACAAGGTTCTAGGCTGGTTCCATCAATGTGTTTCGGCAGATCAGGATAGAAAACGGGGATGGTGACGTCTGTGGGGAAGGAAAGAGTGAGTTCTCCATATAAAGACATTCAGTTCCAAGTTTTAAAGAACACGGCACGGGCCAAACAAAATGGGCCCGCAAAAGAATCCAGCCCTCGAGACGCCAGTCTGTGGCCTCTGCTGCAGAGTGGTCTCTGCTTACTCACATCGTCCTCCTCTCTTCCCCTCAGCCACACCCTCCAGTCCTTCAAGCCCCTGATCCGGGTCCAGGCCTACCAGACCCTGAAGGTGGGTTCCTCCTTCATCTGGCTCCTCTGAGCTTCTCTTCTCTTTTCCGTGGTTGTCAGGTTTGGAATGACCAACCACAAGCTGTGCAGCCACGGGAGCAGCACTGATTTTTTTTTTTCCTTTGAGACAGAGTCTCTCTCTGTCACCCAGGCTGGAGTGCAGTGGCACAATCTCGGCTCACTGCAACCTCCACCTCCCAGGCTCAAGCGATCCTCCTGCCTCAGCTTCCCTAGTAGCTGGGATTACAGGTGCGCACCACTACACCTGGCTAATATTTGTATTTTTAGTAGAGATAGGGTTTTGCCATGCTGGCCAGGCTGGTCTCGAACTCCTGGCCTCAAGTGATCCGCCCGCATCGGCCTCTCAAAGTGTTGGGATTACAAGCATGAGCCACCGTGCCTGGCCGGCACCGAGTTCTTGAATAAACAGCTTGAGACAGTTCATGCTGGCTTCCTGGGCTCATCCCACCCTTTTCACATCCTCTGCTACTGTGGTTATGAAAGTGACTGCGGTGACCATGAGCCCGTCAGCTCTTCCTGGGGTCCAAGAGCAACTCGAACCCAGCAATCAAGCCAGGTTCAGCCCTGACTTGTGGCGCCTGGCCCTGTAGGCACTTGGGAAACCTTTTCTGTGGCATGAAGGGCACTGTTGAGGGCAGACTGACATTCCAGCTAACCTGCTCACCCAGAACCCTGATGGGCCTTTGCAGAGAAAGCAGAAGAAGATGACAGGTCTCCTGTCCTCAAGGGACCAAGCAGAGTCTCCATGAGGGTGGGATCTGTTTTTTCACACCTGGTACTTACAGTGAGTCCTGAAAAACATATTTGCTGGTTAACTGACATGGAGCTTACCATCTACAGTCACTCAAAACACAGCCACGGCAGAGACAAAAGACAACACCTGAGGAAAACCAACGAGAAGGGGACAGAAACGTCTCCTGGGGTTACAGTGACCAGGTGAACACTTTTTTTTTTTTTTGAGACGGAGTCTTGCTCTGTCGCCCAGGCTGGAGTGCAGTGGCGCGATCTCGGCTCACTGCAAACTCCGCCTCCCGGGTTCACGCCATTCTCCTGCCTCAGCCTCTTGAGTAGCTGGGACTACAGGCACCCGCCACCACACCCGGCTAATTTTTTGTATTTTTAGTAGAGACGGGGTTTCACCGTGTTAGCCAGGATGGTCTCGATCTCCTGACCTCGTGATCCGCCCGTCTCGGCCTCCTAAAGTGCTGGGACTACAGGCGTGAGCCACCACACCCGGCCCCTGACCCGGTGAAAACTTTTAACCCCTAAACAAGAATGACTGCTGTAGCCTCTCCGGATGGGATGAGAATATTCACATTTCATTCTCATAAAAATGCTACCAAGGTCAGGCACAGTGGCACATGCTACCTGTAATCCTGGCACTTTGGAAGGCTGAGTTGGGCAGATCACTTGAGGTCAGGAGTTCCAGACCAGCCTGGCCAACATGATGAAACCCTGTCTCTACCAAAAATACAAAATTTAGCCAAGTGTGGTGATGCCCACCTTTAATCTCAGCCACCTTAACGGCTGAGGCAGGAGAATCGCTTGAACCTCGGAGGCAGAGGTTGCAGTGAGCTGAGATCCTGCCACTGCACTCCAGCCTGGGCAACAGAGCAAGACTCTGTCTCAAAAACAAAACAAACAAACAAAAACACTACCAAATGCCAGTCTGGTGACTCAGGCCTGTAATCCCAGCACTTTGGGAGGCTGAGGCAGGAGGATCACTTGAAGCCAGGAGTTCAAAACTGACCTGGGCAACATAGTGAGACCCATATCTATTTTAAAAAATGTTTTTTAAATTAAGCTGGGCATGGTGGAGCATGCCTGTAGTCCCAGCTACTCAGGAGGCTAAGACAGGAGGATCACTTGAGGCCAGGAGTTTGAGATCAGACTGGGCAACAGAGCAAGACTCTGTCTCTACTAAAAATAATTAAAGAATTAGCTTGGCCTGGTGGTGCACACCTGTAGTCCTAGCTAATCAGGAGGTTGAGGTGGGAGGACTGTTTGAGCCCAGGAGGTTGAGGCTGCAGTGAGCTATGATCACACCACTGCACTCCTGGCTGGGTGACAAAGTGAGACCCTATTGCAACAACAATAACAACAGGACACAGAAAATCCTAAACTCTGCCAGGTATGGCTGTCCTCACTTTATTATTTATTTATTTATTATTTATATATTTTTTGGACAGAGTCTCGCTCTGTCGCCCAGGCTGGAGTGCAGTGGTGTGATCTTGGCTCACTGCCACCTCTGCCTCCCGGGTTCAAGCGATTCTCCTGTCTCACCCTCCCAAGTAGCTGGGACTACAGGTGCCTGCCACCATACCCAGCTAATTTTTGTATTTTTTTCTTTCTTTTTTTTTTTTGAGATGGAGTCTCACTCTATTGCCCAGGCTGGAATGCAATGGCACGATCTTGGCTCACTGCAACCTCTGCCTTCGGAGTTCAAGCGATTCTCCTGCCTCAGCCTCCCGAGTAGCTGGGATTACAGACACGCACCACCACATCTGGCAAATTTTTGTATTTTTGTAGAAATGGGGTTTCACCATGTTGGCCAGGCTGGTCTTGAACTCCTGACCCCATGATCTGCCTGCCTCGGCCTCCCAAATTGCTGGGATTACAGGCGTGAGCCACCGCACCCGGCCTAATTTTTGTATTTTTAGTAGAGACAGGGTTTCACCACGTTGGCCAGGCTGGCCTTGAACTCCTGAACTCAAGTGATCCACCTGCCTTGGCCTCCCAAAGTGCTGGGATTACAGGCATGAGCCACTGTGCCTGGCAAGGCTGGGTAATTTATAAAGAAAAGTGGTTTATTTGGCTTATGGCACTGCAGGTTGCACAAGAAGCATGGTGCCTGCATCTGCCTCTGAAAGGATCTCAGGCTTGCTTCCGCTCATGGCTGAAGGGGAAGGGGACCTGGTGTTCATATGGATCCCATGGTTACAGAGAAGGAGGAAAGACACTGCACTCCAGCCTGGGCGCCAGAGTGAGACTCATCCTGCCTCACAAAAAAAAGAGAGAGAGGAGCAAACAGAGCGAGGGAAGGTGCCAGGTTCTTTTTAACAGCCAGCTATCAAGGAAATTTATAGAACAACAACTCACTCATCCCCACCCCGCAGGGATGGCATTAACCTATTCATGAGGTATCTGCCCCCAAGATGCAAAATACCTCCCATTAGGCCCCCATCTCCAACACTGGTGATCAGATTTCAACATAAGGTTTGAAGGAGGTCAAACATCCAAACTGTAGCGGGAATTAAGACTTCTGGTAGAGAAAAAAATTGAAAAATATTATTAACATAAAGGGCCGGGTGAGGTGGCTCACGCCTGTAATCCGAACACACTGGGAGGCCGAGGCAGGTAGATCACTTGAAGTCAGGGGTCAAGACCAGCCTGGCCAACATGGCGAAACCCATCTCTACTAAAAATAGAAAAATTAGCCAGACATGGTGGTGCATGCTTGTAATCCCAGCTACTTGGGAGGCTGAGGTGGGAGGACAGCCTGAACCCAGGAGGCGGAGGTTGCAGTGAGCCGAGATCATGCCACTGCACTCCAGCCTGGGCAACAGAGCAAGACTCCGTCTCAAAAATAAAAAAAAGCCCAGGTGCGGTGGTTCATGCCTGTAATCCCAGCACTTCGGGAAGCCGAGGCAGGCAGATCACCCGAGGTCGGGAGTTCGAGACCAGCCTGACTAACATGGAGAAACCCTATCTCTACTAAAAATACAAAATCAGCTGGGTGTGGTGGCACATGCCTGTAATCCCAGCTACTCAGGAGGCTGAGGCAAGAGAATTGCTTGAACCTGGGAGGCGGAGACAACAAGAGCGAAACTCCGTCTCAAAAAAAAAAACAAAACAAAACAACACACACAAAACAAACAAACAAAAAAGCCAAATATATAGATGAGCTTGGAAGTACCTCCAAGTACCAGAAGGCCATACTATTCATCTACAATGCAGCTGGAGAGGTCTTTAAAAATAAAACAAAACATAAAGTAGATCGATCATTTCACATCCTACTAAAAACCTTCCAGTGGCTTCCTAATTGCAAATCAAAGCCACATGCTATGGGATAAACAAATCAGCTCTAAAGGACCAAAGTTGAGACCACTGACTGTGTGTGCCTCAGGGGTCTGGAACTGAGCTCCTGGCCAGAGCTGCCGACCCGAAGCCTTTGGTGAAGAGTCTAGGGAAAAGCCAGGGCCCCGGGCCTGGGCTGCATAGGTGTGCCAAGTTCCCCCAAGACTCATGCAGCATGGAAGCCCTGCCCTGGGAACCAGTGAACCTGGTAAGAACTTAGCAGAGACAACCATAAAATTGTCCCAAGAAATACCTCCATAAGTCAAGACACATGCAGGACCCCACAGAATATAAGCTCCACCAAAGATGATCTCACAGACAACAATGACAAAACAAATAGTCTTACACCAGTTCTAGTGGTAGTTCTTACATAACAGCCTTTTATTTTATTTTGTTTTATTTATTTATTTATTTATTTTTGAGACAGAGTTTCGCTCTTGTTGCCCAGGCTGGAGTGCAATGGCGTGATCACGGTTCACTGCAACCTCCGCCTCCCGGTTCAAGCGATTCTCCTGCCTCAGCCTCCCGAGTAGCTGGGATTACAGGCGCCCAGCACCACGCCTGGCTAATTTTGTATTCTTAGTAGAGATAGGGTTTCTTCATGTTGGTCAGGCTGGTCTCGAACTCCTGACCTCAGGTGATCCGCCTGCCTTGGCCTCCCAAAGTGCTGGGATTACAGGCATGAGCCACTGCACCCAGCCTACATAACAGCTTAATCAACTGTTTCTTGTTGTTGTTGTTGTTTGTTTGTTTGAGACGGAGTCTCACTCTGTTGCTCAGGCTGGAGTGCAGTACAGTGGCCTGATCTCGACTCACTGCAACCTCCACCTCCCAGGTTCAAGCGATCCTCCCGTCTCAGTAGCTGGAATTACAGGCACCCGCCATCATGCCCGGCTAATTTTTGTATTTCTGTAGAGATGGGCTTTCACCATGTTGCCCAGGCTGGTCTTGAACTCCTGACCTCAGGTGAACTGCCTGCCTCAGCCTCCCAAAGTGCTGGGATTACAGGCATGAGCCACTGCACCTGGCCAACTATGTGGATAATGCAAATTCTCCAGTTCCAGAAACAGATTTTTTAAAAGCTTGGAATTCCACCTTATCCCATGTTTTAATACATCTTTAAATAAGTACAAATGCGTTTTACTTTCTTTTCCAAGTTTTAAGTTGTGGTAAAATACACGTAATATAAAATTTACCATCTGAACCATTTTTAAGTGTACAGTTCACTGGCACTGAGAACATTCACACTATTGTACAACCATCACCGCTATCCATCGGCAGAACTCTTCCTCTTGCAAAACTGAAACTCTATCCTATTAAACAATTTCTCCCCATCTCCCTTCCCCCAAGCCCCTGGCAACCACCATTCTACTTTGTGTCTCTATGTTTGTGATTACTCCAGGCACTTCATAGAAGTGGAATCATACAGTATTTGTCTTTTTAGGACTCACTTATTTTGCCTAAGATAATGTCTTCAAGGTTCATCCATGTTGTAGCATGTAACAGCAGGATCTCTACCTTTTTTTTTTTTCTTTTTTTTTTGAGACGAAGTTTCACTCTTGTCGCCCAGGCTGGAGTACAGTGGCGCAATCTCGGCTCACTGCAACCTCCGCCTCCCGAGTTCAAGTGATTCTCCTGCCTCAGCCTCCTGAGTAGCTGGGATTACAGGTGCCCACCACCGTGCCTGGCTGAGTTTTTGTTAGCGATGAGGTTTTGCCATGTTGGGCAGGCTGGTCTCCTGACCTCAGATGATCTGCCCGCCTCAGCCTCCCAAAGTGCTGGGATTATAGACGTGAGCCACCACGCCTGGCCAGATCTCTACCTTTTTAAGACTCCATAATATTCCGTTGTATAAATAACCACATTTTGCTTATCCATTCATCCACTGATGCACACCTGGGTTGCTTCCACATTTTAGCTGATGTGTAAATAATGCTGCTGTGAACATGGGTCTACAAACATCTCTTCATGAGCCTGCCTTCAATTCTTTTGGGTGTCTATCCAGAAGCAAAATTGATGAATCATATGGTAATTCTATTTTTATTTTATTTATTTTATTATTTTTTTGAGACGGAATCTTCCTCTGTTGCCTAGGCAGGAGTGCAGTGGCGCGATCTTGGCTCACTGCAACCTCGGCCTCCTGGGTTCAAGTGATTTTCTCCTGCCTCAGCCTCCCAAATAGCTGGGATTACAGGTGCCTGCCACCGTGCCTGGCCAATTTTTTGTATTTTTAGTAGAGATGGGGTTTCACCATATTGGCCAGGCTGGTCTCGAACTCCTGATCTCAAGTGATCCGCTCACCTCGCCCTCCCAAAGTGCTGGGATTACAGGAGTAAGCCACCATGCCCGGGTTACTTTTAATATTTTGAGGAACCACCTGACTGTTTTCTACAGTGGCTGCACCATCTTACATTCCCACCAACACTGCACAAGAGTTCCAATTTCTCCACATCCTCACCAGTACTTGTTATTTTCTGGGGTTTTATTTATTGTTTGTTTGTTTGTTTTTGATAGTAGCCATCCTAATGGGTGAGAGGTGGTATCTCACTGTAGTTTTGATTTGCATTTTCCTAATGATTAATGATTTTGAGCATTTTTTCAAGTGCTTATTGGCCATTTGTATATATCTTCTTTTTTTTTATTTTTTTTTTATTTTTTTATTTTTTATTTATTTATTTATTTTATTATACTTCAAGTTCTAGGGTACATGTGCACAACGTGCAAGTTTGATACATAGGTATACACGTGCCATGTTGGTTTCCTACACCCATCAACTCGTCATTTTTTTTTTTTTTTTTTTTTATTATACTCTAAGTTTTAGGGTACATGTGCACATTGTGCAGGTTAGTTACATATGTATACATGTGCCATGCTGGTGCGCTGCACCCACTAATGTGTCATCTAGCATTAGGTATATCTCCCAATGCTATCCCTCCCCCCTCCCCCGACCCCACCACAGTCCCCAGAGTGTGATATTCCCCTTCCTGTGTCCATGTGATCTCATTGTTCAATTCCCACCTATGAGTGAGAATATGCGGTGTTTGGTTTTTTGTTCTTGCGATAGTTTACTGAGAATGATGGTTTCCAATTTCATCCATGTCCCTACAAAGGATATGAACTCATCATTTTTTATGGCTGCATAGTATTCCATGGTGTATATGTGCCACATTTTCTTAATCCAGTCTATCATTGTTGGACATTTGGGTTGGTTCCAAGTCTTTGCTATTGTGAATAGTGCCGCAATAAACATACGTGTGCATGTGTCTTTATAGCAGCATGATTTATAGTCCTTTGGGTATATACCCAGTAATGGGATGGCTGGGTCAAATGGTATTTCTAGTTCTAGATCCCTGAGGAATCGCCACACTGACTTCCACAATGGTTGAACTAGTTTACAGTCCCACCAACAGTGTAAAAGTGTTCCTGTTTCTCCACATCCTCTCCAGCACCTGTTGTTTCCTGACTTTTTAATGATTGCCATTCTAACTGGTGTGAGATGATATCTCATAGTGGTTTTGATTTGCATTTCTCTGATGGCCAGTGATGATGAGCATTTCTTCATGTGTTTTTTGGCTGCATAAATGTCTTCTTTTGAGAAGTGTCTGTTCATGTCCTTCGCCCACTTTTTGATGGGGTTGTTTGTTTTTTTCTTGTAAATTTGTTTGAGTTCATTGTAGATTCTGGATATTAGCCCTTTGTCAGATGAGTAGGTTGCAAAAATTTTCTCCCATGTTGTAGGTTGCCTGTTCACTCTGATGGTAAAGTTCATATGGAACCAAAAAAGAGCCCGCATCGCCAAGTCAATCCTAAGCCAAAAGAACAAAGCTGGAGGCATCACACTACCTGACTTCAAACTATACTACAAGGCTACAGTAACCAAAACAGTATGGTACTGGTACCAAAACAGAGATATAGATCAATGGAACAGAACAGAGCCCTCAGAAATAATGCCGCATATCTACAACTATCTGATCTTTGACAAACCTGAGAAAAACAAGCAATGGGGAAAGGATTCCCTATTTAATAAATGGTGCTGGGAAAACTGGCTAGCCATATGTAGAAAGCTGAAACTGGATCCCTTCCTTACACCTTATACAAAAATCAATTCAAGATGGATTAAAGATTTATACGTTAGACCTAAAACCATAAAAACCCTAGAAGAAAACCTAGGCATTACCATTCAGGACATAGGCGTGGGCAAGGACTTCATGTCCAAAACACCAAAAGCAATGGCAACAAAAGCCAAAATTGACAAATGGGATCTAATTAAACTAAAGAGCTTCTGCACAGCAAAAGAAACTACCATATATCTTCTTTAGAGAAATGTTTATTCAAGTCCTTTGCCCATTTCTGAATTGGGTTTTTCATCGCTGAGTTTTAGGAGTTCTCTATATGATCTGGATATTAATCCTTTATCAGATATATGATATACAAATATTTTCTTCCATTCTGTAGGTTGCCTTTTTTAATGTTGATAGTGTCTATTGATGCCCCAAAAGTGTTAATTTTCATGAAGTCCAGTTTGTCTGGTTTTGTAGTTGTTGCCTGTGCCTTTTGGTGTCATAGCTCAGAAATCAATGCCAAATCAAATGTCACGACAGTTTTGCCCCGTGTTTTCTTCTTAGAGTTTTATAATTTTAGGTCTTACATTTAGGTCATGGATCAATTTTGAGTTAATGTTTGTATATGGTGTAAGATAAGTGTCCAAATTCATTCTCTTGCATGTGGATATCCAGTTTTCCCAGCACTATCTGGTGAAAAAAAAAAGTTTTTTCCTCATTGAATGGCCTTGGCACTCTGTTGAAAAATCATTTAATCATATATTGAGGAGAGTTTATTTCTGGGCTCTCTATTGTATTTAATTGTTCTATATGTTTGTCTTTATGCCAGTACCACACTGTTTTAATTACTATAGTTTTATAATAAGTTTTGAAATCAGGAAAAACATAGTCCCCCAGCTATGTTTTTCTTTTTCTGGATGGTTTTGGCTACTCAGAGTCCCTTGAGATTCCATATTAATTTTAAGATGGGTTTTTCTGTTTCTGCAAAAACATTATTGGGATTTTGATAGAGATTGCAATAAATCTGTAGATTGTTGTTTTGCCACATCTTAACAATATTAAATCTTCCAATCCATGAACATGGGATGTGTTTCCTTTTATTTATGTCTTCTTTAATTTCTTTCAGAATTTTTTTGTAGTTTTCATTGTACAAGCCTTTCAACTCTTTGGTTAATTCCTAAGTATTTTCTTCTTCTTTTTCTTTTCTTTTTTTTTTTTTTTTACTTTTTTTTGAGATGGAGTTTTGTTGCCCAGGCTGGAGTGCAATGGCCCGGTCTTGGCTCACTGCAACCACCACCTACTGGGTTCAAGCGATTCCCCTGCCTCAGCCTCCCCAGTAGCTGGGATTACAGGTGTACAACACCATGCCTGGTTGATGTTTGTATTTTCAGTAGAGACGAGGTTTCACCATGTCGGTCAGGCTGGTCTCAAACTCCTGACCTCAGGTGATCCTCCCACCTAGGCCTCCCAAAGTGCTGGGATTACAGGCATGAGCCACCTCACCCGGCCCCAGTATTTTATTCTTTTTGGTGCTATTGTAAATGAAATTGTTTTCTTAATTTCCTTTTCAGATCGTTCATTGTTCATGTTTAAAAATGCAACTGACTTTTGCATATTGACTTTGTACCTTGCTACTTTGCTGAATTTGCTTATTGGTTTTAACAGACTTTTTGGTGGTATCCTTAGGATCACAGCATTTAAAATAAGATCACATCATCAGCTACAGAGATAATTTTACCTCTTCCTTTCCAATTTGGATGCCTTTTATTTCTTTTTCTTGCCTAATTGCTCCGTTTAGGACTTCCAGTACTATGTTGAATATAAGTGGCAAAGTTAGGCATCCTTGTAATGTTCCTGGATCTTAGAGGAAGAGCATTTGGTATTTTACCATTGAATGTGACGTCTGCTGTGGGTTGTTAATATATAACTTCTATTATGTTGAGATAGTTTCCTCTATTCCTAGTTTGTTGAGTGTTTTTTTGTTTCTTTGTTTTTGAGACATGGTGTCATTCTGTCAGAGTTCAGTGGCACAATCATGGCTCACTGCACCCTCAACCTCCTGGGCTCAAGTGATTCTCCTGCCTCAGTTTCCCAAGTAGCTGGAACTACAGGCGCATGCTACCATGCCCGGCTAATTTTTCTTTTCTTTTTTATTTATTTTTATCTTTATTTTTTGTAGAGATGGGGTTTTGCCATGTTGCCCAGACTGGTCTTGAACTCCTAGGCTCACGTGATCCTCCGACCTTGGCCTCCCAAAGTGCTGGGATTACAGGCGTGAGCCACTGTGCCTGGCATATTGAGTGTTTTTATCAGGAAAGGGTGCTGGATTTTGTCAAATGCTTTTTCTGCATTAATTGAGATGATCATGTGGGTTTTTTCCTTCATTCTGTTAATGTGGTGTATTACATTGACCAGTTTTCATAAGTTAAACCATCCTTGCATTCTGGCAATAAACCCTACTTGGTCATGGTGTATAATTTTTTTTAATATGCTGCTTAATTTGGTATACTAATATTTTATTGAAGATTTTTACATCAATGTTTATAAGGAATACTGATCAATAGTTTTCTTGTAGTGTCTTTGTCTAGCTTTGGTATCAGGGTAATCCTGACCTCATCAAATGAATTAAGGAGTGTTCCCTTCTCTTCAATTTTTTGGAAAAGCTTGAGAAGAACTGGTGTTAGTTCTAAACGATCTTGTAAAGCCAGGCATGGTGGCACATGTCTGTAGGCCCAGCTACTTGGGAGGCTTAAGTGGGAGGATCACTTGAGGCCAGGAGTTCAAGGCCATAGTGCACTATGATCATGCCTATGAATAGCCACTGCACTGCTACCTGGGCAATACGGTGAGACTCTATCTTGTAATTTTTTTTAATTAATGCCTTTTTAAGAGTTAAAATCATGTACTGGTTAATTTCACTAAAACCAGAAATTAGTGGAAGGCTTGATTAAGGGAGGCTTTATTTGATGTTAACTTACCATTCCATAGACTATAAAGAACATTATAAAAAAACCCTCTAAAGTGACACATGCCCCAAATGACCAAGACATAAGCAAACCTTTTAAATTACTCATCTTTCATATGTGTGTTTGTTCCCCTACTATTATCACTGTGTCTTCTGTCTTTTGTCTACCTATGAGAACTGCACACTATCTGTGGCAATATTGTGCTCCCAAAAGTCCAGAATTTCCCCCAAAGTATTAATATGTTGTGGATATAATGTGTAATATAGCACATCCTGTGTTATCAGGATATTCCCTGTGAAAGACTTACAAATTAGCAACCTTCTAAGATTTTGAGTTCTAATGTCCTAATTTGTGGGTAAATTATCTCCAACTCTTAGATTGCAACATCACTTGAGTAACTCTTTAGCAAACTCTTTAGCAAAGTATCACAATTACACTGCTTAGGCTTTTTAATACTAGCATTAATAATTCATGATGCTTGTGTACTGATCACCAAGCAAGGACCAATAAAATCTTGGCTATAACAAAGGAGGAAAAAAAGATGGTGAAATGTAGACATTTACAGACATACAAAGTTTAAGAGAGTTCACTGGGCAGAGAGCTTCTTACAAAAAGAGCCATGTAGTTTCTCTCCCAAAAGAGATACAAGTTCAGCCTCAAGGAAAGTTCAGAACTCCTAGGATAGTCCTATTTATAGTCTGGAAGGGACATTTGAGATCAAAAACGCCATCCTAAAGTTTTTTACTTTTTTGGACATTATCCTGATTACCCAATGAGCCCAAGATGGAAACCAGAGGAGAGGATAGAGGGGAAGCCGTCTGGCTCCAGGGAAGGCATGAGTGGAATTTCAGTCCAGACCTCTCTCTGAGGTATGCCCTCTTTCCTGGCCTCTGCATCTGCAGCTGACTTTTCACCAGGAAAGATCTCAGGGCCTCATCCCTTATCACCTGCTGCTTGTCAACCAGCACTTGGGAGAGAGAGGGCTCCTCCACCAGTCCCCTGCCAGTCTTGGGGTGAGGGGGCAGCGTAGCTCTCATAATGCCTCCCTCTGGTAGCTCTTCTGAGCTTGGTGAGAAGCGCACACTCATCTGGGGTTACTTTCCAAGGAGAAGGTATTTTTAAATAGAAACGAGAAGTAATTATAAAGAAATGACTGCCTGGCAACAGAAATCTAAATCCCAAGCCCCAAGCTGGTGACAGTTGTAGCATGAACATCTGGTGATTCTATAATTAAAACATTGACACCTCACCGTCGCTCGGCTCCCTGCAGCCCCACAGAAAACCTGGTGTAACTTTGCTCTTCTTTACGGGGGGAAAAAAAGTTATTTTCTTCCCTTTCTTCTCTGTTCAGACATAACATCATCAACATAGCTCTTTAAATATCTGTGCCGGGAAGCTATATTTAGCTACTATTTGGCCCTCAAAATGAGCCTGATTTCCTGTGGCAAAAAGTTCTCAGCAACAAGGAGAGAGGCCAGGAGTGTTCCAGGCACTGACAAACAGCTTTAAAACTTGAGATGCCCAAATGATGTGAAAAAGTTAACTGAGTGCTTTTTCTGGATAGGTGGCTCACACTCCAATAGTAGGGGGAAAAATCACAAAGGGGTGTGTGTTTGGTCTGAACGTTTCCAGAGTCATCCTGGAGAACAGCTTGACGAGGGGCAACTCTTTGGGCCCATATGTTGTACACATCCCTCTTTCACAGGCAGGAGGGGAATCCATTCAATCATTCATTCACTCATTCACTCTCACTTATTCACTCACTCTCTCATTTACTCCCTCATACACATACTCCTTTATTCACTCACATTCCTTCACTCTCATTCACTCATTTACTCACTCTGTCAATCTCTGATTTACTCACTCATTCAATCCCTCATTCACTCTTTCATTCACTCTCTCATTTACTCATTCATTCACTCACTCATTCATTCACTCACTCATTTACTCATGCATTCAGTCACTCATCCATTCATTTATATACTCCTTCATTCACTCACTCATTCATTCACTCATTCACTGACTTGCTAACTCATTTACTCACAAATTCAATCATTCATTCACTTACTCAATTACTCACATATTCAACCATTCATTCACTCACTCATTTACTTATCCATTTGGTCACTTACTTATTCATTCACTCACTCAACACATTTCCTCAGTAGCCCTTATGTGCAAAGCCCTGTGGCCTACAGGAGCTCTGGGTCATAAAGCAGAGAAGACACAAACCAGGGCCATCCCTGAAAAGGGCCCTTGGAAGGGCACAAAGTGAGTGCCATGGGGAACCTGGCCGGCAGTGGGCGCTTCCACTGGAGGCATTAGGGAAAGCTGTGGGCAGAAGAAACAGCCACCAGCCCTGGCTTTGGCTCTAGACCCTCTCGTTCAACACACACAATGAGCCTAGGTGTCAGTTCAAGATCCCATATTATGGGTGCAATGACATAGTTCCCAGGGTCTCCACAAAGTAATAAGGAACAGAACTGAAGCTGGAACTAAGACTGACTGCCAAGTCTTACTAGTATCCGGTGCTAGCTGCACTGCGACAGGGGGAGGCAGACAGCAAAATTTCTGCAAGGCTGCTTAGGAAGGTTCTACTCCATCTCTGCCTCCAAGACCCAGGGCAAACAGAGCAGCTCCTCTTCAAAGCAGGCAATGGACATTCTCCACCCTCTGATGCAACGCGGGCTATTCCAGCTTTCCCTCTTTGGAAACCATCCTGTCCTGTTCCTCTGCATATGTGGGTCTCTAGAGTCCCCAGGGATGAAAGGCCTGGTGGGGCAAGGGAAAGCACATTCACTTAGCCCTAAGGGTTTGCTGAGTGACATGCCATTTTTTTTTTTTTGAGGTGGAGTCTCGCTCTGTTGCCCAGGCTGGAGTGCAGTGGCATGATCTTGGCTCACTGCAACCTCTGCCTGCCTCCCGGGTTCAAGCAATGCTCCTGCCTCAGCCTCCCGAGTAGCTGGGACTACAGGCGTGCACCACAATGCCCAGCATTTTTTGTATTTTTAGTAGAGACAGGGTTTCACTATGTCAGCCAGGTTGGTCTCAATCTCCTGACCTCAAGTGATCCGTCCATCTCAGCCTCCTAAAGTGCTGGGATTACAGGCATGAGCCACTGTGCCCAGCCTCTTTTTTTTTTTAACATTTTATTTTATTTCATTTTATTTTATTTTTTCTTTTTGTTTGAGATGGAGTCTCACTCTTTCATCTAGGCTGGAGTGCAGTGGCGCCATCTTGGCTCACTGCAACCTCTGCCTCCCGGGTTTAAGTGATTCTCCTGCCTCAGCCTCCCAAGTAGGTGGGACTACAGGTGTGCGCCATCATGCCCGGCTAATTTTTGTATTTTTAGTGGAGATGGGGTTTCACCATGTCAGCCAGGCTGGTTTCGAACTCCTGGCCTCAGGTGATCCTCCCACCTTGGCTCCCAAAGTGCTGGGATGACAGGCGTGAGCCGCCGCGCCTGGCCTTTTTAACATTTTAGTTTGAGATAATTTTAAATTTTCAGAGGAGCTGCAAAAGTAGTGCAGAGTTCCCAGACACCCTTTGCCCAGTTTCCCCTTGTATTAACTAACATCTTTTTTTCTTTTTTTTTTTTTTTGAGACAGAGTCTCTCTCTGTCAGCCAGGCTGGAGTGCAGTGGCACAATCTCGGCTCACTGCAACCACTGCCTCCCGGGCTCAAGCAATTCTCCTGCCTCAGCCTCCCGAGTAGCTGGGATTACAGGGGTGTGCCACCATGCCCGGCTAATTTTTGTATTTTTAGCAGAGATGGGGTTTCACCATGTTGGCCAGGCTGGTCTTGAACTCCTAACCTTAGGTAATCCACCTGCCTCGGCCTCCCAAAGTGCTGGGATTACAGGTGTGAGCCACCGTGCCCGACCTAACTAACATCTTCTATAACCATGGAAGAGTCACTGAAACTAAGAAATTCACTCTAGTACAATACCATTAACTATACTACACAATGAATTTGGATTTCACCAGTGTTTCCACTACTGTTTTCCTCCTTCTGTTCCAGAGTCCAATCCAGGATCCCACGCTGCACCGACTGCAATGTCTCCTTGGCCTCCTCCCGTCTGTGACAGTTCCTTAGCCTTTCCTGCTCTTTCATGACCTTCACACTTTGGAAGAGTCCTGGTCAGGTACTTTATAGAATATCCCTCAATATGGGTTTGTCTGATGTTTTCCCATGATTAGACTGAGGGTATGCACATCGGGCAAGAAAACCACAGAGCTGGCTGGGTGCAGAGGCTCACACCTGTAATCCCAGCACATTGGGAGGCCAAGGCAGGAGGATCACTTGAGCTCAGGAGTTTGAGACCAGCCTGGGCAACACAGCGAGACCCTATCTCTGCCAAAAAATTAAAAACTTCGCTGGGCATGGCAGTGTGTGCCTGTAGTTCCAGCGACTCAGGAGGCTGAGGCAGGAGGGTCACCTGAGCCCAGGAGGTCAAGGCTGCAGTGAGCTATGATTGTGCCAGTGCAATCCAGCCTGGGTGACAGAATGAGACCCTGAGAAAAAAAGGGTGAAAAGAAGGAAGGAAGGAAAGACAGAAAGAAGGAAAGAAGGGAGAGAGAGACACACACAGAGAGAGAGAGAGAGAGAGAGAGAGAGAAAGGCCAGGTGTGATGGCTCACACCTGTAATCCCAGCACTTTGGGAGGCTGAGGTGGGAGGATCACTTGAGGTCAGGAGTTC
This sequence comes from Homo sapiens, assembly GCF_000001405.40. NCBI lineage: Eukaryota > Metazoa > Chordata > Mammalia > Primates > Hominidae > Homo > Homo sapiens. Next base: position 75,715,570 of record NC_000007.14, read on the forward strand.
GAGACCAGCCTGGCCAACATGGTGAAACCTCATCTCTACTAAAAATACAAGAAAAATTAGTGGGATGTGGTGGCAGGCACCTGTAATCCCAGCTACTCAGGAGGCTGAGGCAGGAGAATCACTTGAATCCAGGAGGTGGAGGTTGCAGTGAGCTGTCATCATGCCACTGCACTCCAGCCTAGGCAACAGAGTGAGATCCTGTCTCAAAAAAAAAAAAAAAAAAAAAAAAAGATGTCTATCTGGCTCACAGTTCTGCAGGTTATACAAGCATGACACTCACATCTGCTTAGCTTTAGGTGAGGCCTCAAGAAGCTTTCACTCAAGGCGGAAGGGGAAGGGGAAGGGGAAGGGGAATCAGGCGTGTCACATGGTGAGAGAGGGAACAGAGAGAGCCAGGCTCTTTTAAACAACCAGCTCTCACATGAACTAACAGAATGAGAACTCACTCATGACTGCGGGGAGGGCACCAAGCCATTCATGAGGGATCCGCCCCCGTGACCCAAACACCTCCCACTCGGTCCCATATCCAACATCTAGGATCACATTTCAACATGAGATTTGGTGGAGACAAATATCCAAACCACATCACCCTATAATTACTTTCCAGTATGGAAAGTTCCAGACAAAAACAATCATCACCAATCTACGATTCCTGACTTCTCTTTTTTTTTTATTTTGGAGACAGTCTTGCTCTGTCGCCCAGGCTGGAGTGCAGTAGTACAGTCTTGGCTCACAGCAACCTCCACCTCCTGGATTCAAGCAATTGTCCCACCTCAGCCTCCCAAGTAGCTGGGATTAGCACACCACCATGCCCAGCTAATTTTTTGTACTTTAGTAGAGATAGGGTTTCACCAAGTTGCCCAGGCTGGTCTTGAACTCCTGAGCTCAGACAATCCGCCGCCTCAGCCTCCCAAAGTGCTAGGATTACAGGCATGAGCCACCGTGCCTGGACTTTTTTTTTTTTTTTTGAGATGGAGTCTCGCTCTGTCACCCAGGCTGGAGTGCAGTGGTACAATCTCGGCTCACTGCAAGCTCCGCCTCCCGGGTTCACACCATTCTCCTGCCTCAGCCTCCCGAGTAGCTGGGACTATAGGCGCCCACCAACATGCCCGGCTAATTTTTTTGTATTTTTAGTAGAGACAGGGTTTCACCGTGTTAGCCAGGATGGTCTCAATCTCCTGACCTTGTGATCTGCCGTCTCAGCCTCCCAAAGTGTTGGGATTACAGGCATAAACCACCACGCCCAGCTTTTTTTTAGGGGGGGGGAAAGGATCTCACTCTGTCACTCAGTCTGGAGTGCAGTGGTGTGACCATAGCTCACTGGAGCCTCGAATCTCTCAGGCTCAAGCGACCCTCCCACCTCAACCTCCCAAGTAGCTGGGACTACAGGCGCATGCCACCACACCCAGCTAATTTTTAAATTTTGTTTTGTAGAGATGGGGTCTCACTATATTGCCCAGGCTGGTCTCAAACTCCTGGGCTCAAGCAATCCTCTCGCCCCTGCCTCCCAAAGTGCTGGAATTACAGGCATGAGTCACCATGCCCGGCCAATTCCTGACTTCTTACAAAGCCCTTGCCCATGTGCAGTCTCACTTGACCCACGCATGATGAAATTGATATTGATGGAATGCCTATGGTATTAAGTGGCAATTACAGACCGACGGGAGAATGATGGATCATTGGTGATAAATACACAAAAACCCAACCAAACAAAGACAGTTACTCCAGGAATAACAAAAATGTGTGCAGGAAAGGAAAAGGATTCCAAGTACACAAGGAACTCAGCTGCCCCTATAGCACTTAGAAAGTCATGATAAAGTCAACAGTGAACACAGAGTTAAAACTCTGTGGGGACAGGGGAAAATATTTGTCATGGGAAGTGAGGGGATATTTGAGTAAGTGAATGTTGGATCTTTATCTTCCATAATGGCAGGTTCATAACAATGGCTACAAACTATAGCAGTTAAAAGAATTAGCCGGGGCCCGGTGTGGTGGCTTACACCCATAATCTTAGCACTCTAGGAGGCCAAGGCAGGCAGATCACTCGAGGTCCGGAGTTCAAGACCAGCCTGGCCAACATGGTGAAACCTGTCTCTACTAAAAATACAAAAAAAAAAAAGACCAGGCGCGGTGGCTCACACATGTCCTCCCAACACTTTGGGAGGCCGAGGTGGGCAGATCACTTGAGGTCAGGAATTTGAGACCAGCCTCACCAACATGGTGAAATCCTATCTCTACTAAAAATACAAAAAGTAGCCAGGCATGATGGCAGGCATCTGTAGTCCCAGCTACTCAGGAGGCTGAGGCATGAGAATTGCTTAAACCCAGAGGTGGAAGCTGCAGTGAGCTGAGATCACGCCACTGCATTCCAGCCTGGGTGACAGAGCGAAACTCTGTCTCAAAAAAGAAAAAAAAAAAAAGAATTAGCTGGGGCCAGTCATGATGGCTCACACCTGTAATCCCAGCACATTGGGAGGCTGATGTAGGAGGACTGCTTGAGGCCAGTAGTTCAAGATCAGGCTGGACAACATAGCGAGACCCCATTTCTAAAAAAAATTATTTAAAAATTAGATTAGTTTTGCAAGGAAGCCTTATGGTAAAAAAAATAAAATTAAAAATAAATAAATAAAAATAAATTAGCTTAGCATGGTGGTGCACACTCCTGTAGTCCCAGCTATGTGGGAGGCTGAGGTGGGAGGGTCGCTTGAGCCCAAGAGTTAGAGGTTACAGTAAAGTATGATCATACTACTGCACTCCAGCCTGGGCAATAGAGGAAGACTCTGTCTCTAAAAAGAAAAGAAAAAAAAGATTAGCTGATTACCTGGTTGTTTCTGGGAATCAAAAAATGGTTGGAGAAGGAGAAAAAGGCTGAGAGAATGCTGTTTTTTGGTAACAAGCCTGTATAACTATTCGGTTCTGGTAACTCTGTACATGTATACCTTTAATGAAAATAAAACGCAAAACAAACAAATCAAGATCAGCAACTGATAACAGGCAGACACAAACGCCAGTCCTCCGACTTGGAGCCAACGTTCTTCCTGGCCTATCTCTACCCTTGCTCTCCAGCCTTTGCTTTTCCAGACTGGATAGTTCTGTCTGCATCCCTCATCATTTTAGTTGTCACTTCTGAGCTGGCTTTGTGCCATAATGTCTTTCTTGAGGTCACAGAACCAGAAACACACAGATTGCTCCAAGCACGCAGTTCTCCCAAGGCCCTCAACAAAGGCGGGTCACAGTCCAGGTAAGCACCTCCTGACATTTCCCAGTAATTCTTTCCGTGGTTCTGCTCGCCACTCTCCAAAACTACACAGCTGCAAACTCAGGGAGTTCCCACCATATATCCTTGCCCAGATATCCCTCAACTCAGGCCTAATCAGGGAGCAGATAAACCCGGAGACAAGGATGCATTAATCTACTTTTCCAACATCTGTGCCAAAGAGTACCCTAGCCCCCAACACTTAGAGCTGGCCTCATACAGTGGCTCACACCTGGAATCTCAGCACTTTGGGAGGCCGAGGTGGGAGGATCGCTTGAGCCCAGGAGTTCAAGGCCAGCCTGGGCAACATAGAGAGATCCTGTCTCTATTTAATAAATTAATAAAAATTAAAGAGAAAGAATCTTAGATGTTACTAAGTACTAGTAAGAGAAGACTAGGCCGGGCGTGGTGGCTCATGCTTATAATCCCAGCACTTTGGGAGGCCAAGGCGGGCGGATCATGAGGTCAGGAGATCAAAACCATCCTGGCCAACACGGTGAAACCCCGTCTCTACTAAAAATACAAAAAATTAGCCAGGCAAGGTGGCAGGCACCTATAGTCCCAGCTACTCAGGAGGCTGAGGCAGGAGAATGGCGGGAACCCGGAAGGTGGAGTTTGTAGTGAACCGAGATCATGCCGCTGCACTCCAGACTGGGCGACAGAGCGAGACTCCATCTCAAAAAAAAAAAAAAAGAAGACTAATAGGAGCTGGTATTTCTCAATGCTCACATACATGTCAGGCACAATGTTGAGGACTTTTCATGCTTTCTATCGTTTAATCCTTTCCATGACCCTATACTGTCCAGGCTGGTGTCGAACTCCTGGGCTCAAGTGATCCACTCGCCTTGGCCTCCCAAAGTGCTGGGATTAAAGCATGAGCCACCACGCCTGGCCCTCCACGCTCTTTTAATGGATCTCTACTGAATGGATTCAGATTGACCCATGTCTGCCATCCTCTCTGTAAAACAGTCTGCCTGATACCCATAGCAGGTAAACTGTCTGGTTCCAAAGTCCAGGCTCAGAACCACTCCAGTCTTTAGACACAACCTAGACCCAGACACAAGGCTGGGTCTCCCTCAGGTTTGGACTATTACTTGTGGCATGGACCCTAGGGGAGTTATTTTGCCTTTTCTAATCCTCGGCTTCCTCTAGGAAACTGGATTAAATCAGAGACCACACATTAGACAACTCCAGGAACTGGGAAAATAAGGCTCAGTGCATGAAGCTGGTGGAAGACGATAGAGACGATAGAGAGTGGTGGGGACTCTGGCAAACCAATGTGTTTATGCACTGGCTACAGGTTTCAAGTTTTTTGTTTTGTTTTGTTTTTGTTTGTTTGTTTGTTTGTTTTTTGAAACAGAGTCTCGCTCTGTCACCCAGGCCAGAGTGCAGTGGTGTGATCTTGGCTCACTGCAACCTCCGCCTCCTGGGTTCAAGCGATTCTCGTGCCTCAGCCTCCCAAGTAGCTGGGACTACAGGTGCCTGCCATCATGCCTGGCTAATTTTTGTATTTTGAGTAGAGATGGGGTTTCACCGTGTTGGTAAGGCTGGTCTCAAACTCCTGACCTCAAGTGATCTGCCCGCGTTGGCCTCCCAAAGTGCTGGGATTACAGGCGTGAGTTACCATGCCCAGCCTCAAGTTTCTTCTTAAAAGTTAAAGGGAATCTCTCTGAGCCTACTCTGGCTCTAAAGGCTGACCCCCACTTCTAAAAGAAGTTAAAGAAACATATCTGTGGCTGCCAGCCTGCAATCACTTATTAAATAATCTCTCAGGTCCCTGCCAGGTCTAACTTTCTCTATGTCAAACAGGTTTAGTCGTTTGGGGCACAGGTTTACTGCAATGGCATGATATTCAGACACTCCATGTGGCCTCTGATTTAGTGTCAAAAGGTTTTTCTCCTGGCCTGGGCAACATAGCAAAACCTCATCTCAGCCGGGTGCGGTGGCTCACGCCTATAATCCCAGCACTTTGAGAGGCCGAGGTGGGCGGATCACCTGAGGTCGGGAGTTCAAAACCAGCCTCACCAACATGGAGAAACCCAATCTCTACTAAAAATACAAAATTAGCTGGGTGTGGTGGAACATGCCTGTAATCCCAGCTACTAGGGAGGCTGAGGCAGGAGAATCGCTTGAATCTGGGAGGCGGAGGTTGCGGTAAGCCAAGATCGGGCCATTGCACTCCAGCCTGGGCAACAAGAGCAAAACTCCATCTCAAAAAAAAAAAAAAAAGACCTCATCTCTATAAAAAATCAAAAAATTAGCTGGTCACAGCCATGCACGGTGGCTCACACCTGTAATCCCAGCACTTTGGGAGGCCAAAGCGGGTGGATCACTTGAGGTCAGGAGTTTGAGAGCAGCCTGCCCCAAATGGTGAAAACTCATCTCTACTAAAAATATAAAAAATAGCCAGGCATGATGGTGGGTGCCTGTAATCCCAGCTCCTCAGGAGGCTGAGGCAGAATTGCTTGAACCTGGGAGGTGCAGGTTGCAGTGAGCCGAGATTGCACCACTGCACTCCAGCCTGAGCAACAGAGCAGGACTCTATCTAAAAAAAAAATTAGCTGGGCATAGTGCCACACATCTGTAGTCCCAGCTACTCAGGAGGCTCTAAGAGGATGGCTTGAGCCCAGAAGTTCGAGGCTGCAGTGAGCTATGTTCACACCACTGCACTCCAGCCTGGGTGACACAGCAAGACCCTGTCTCAAAAAAAAAAAAAAAGTTTTTCTGGAGAATTATTTTTGTTATATGCTACAAGCTAGGCCTACTGGGAAGGCCAGGATCCAAAGACACTCCCAAAGTTGTGCAACGCTCAGCCTGTGCAACTGTACCTGGGAGCCCTAAGCAGAGGACAGAAGATGGTAAGTGGGCAGAAGTAACTAATTGCAAAAAGTCTTCCTTATTGGGTAAGTTATCTGGGTGAATAACTTTGGGAAACCAGTTCTTCTGGGGGGGCAAAGGCCCATGTGATCAATGCAGAAGTTACCCACAGAAGCTGTGTGCAGCCACTGTTAACCAGGAGAGAGGGTCTCATAGAGAGGGAAGAGGCAAACAGGATCCCATGTGCAAGCTAAGAATCAGGACAGCAAAGCTAGCCTAACAAGGGCCAGGTGTCAAAAGGCAGTGGGCTCCAACAGGGCTGCTACCTCACTAGTGTAACTGACAGTGTAACTGACAGGCTGCTGCTTCAATAACTGCACGCTAGGCGTGGTGGCTCACACCCGTAATCCCAGCACTTTGGGAGGCGGAGGCAGGAGGATCACTTGAGGCCAGGAGTTCAAGACCAGCCTGGCCAACATAGTGAGACCCCCCCACGTCTCTAAGAAAAACGTTCAAAATTAGCCAGGCATGGTGGTGTGCATGTGTAGTCCCAGCTACTTGCGAGGCTGAGGTGGGAGGATTGCTGGAGCCCAGGAGTTTGAGGCTGCAGTGAACCGTAATTATGCCACTGCACTCCAGCCTGGACGACATAGTGAGACCCTGTCTCTAAAAAAATAAAAATAAAAAATAGTAATAACTGCACTTTCACAGAATCACTAAGTCTGTAAGCCTCTGGGACAATCTCATCCAACACCCCTCATTACAGAGCCAGACTGAAGACCTATAGTTATAGTGGGCAGGGACCAGGCAGATCAGAGACAGCCACAGCTTGGAGAAGTAAGACTTCCCGATTCCTAATCCAGTGCTCTGGGAGCTCTTGGCTCCTCTGCAGCCAAACCCAGAATGCTGGGACATTCCAGACCACCACCATGAGCCTGAGTAAGTATCCGGATGCGGCAGGCCTACCCTGGGGGAAGCACCTATTTACTTCCCGTTCCATTTCCTAGCTGTAAGCTCTCTTTCCAGCAGAGATGCCATCATGACCCTACAGTTGCACTGGGATTTCTCACTTTCCTTTTTCTAATAGACAGCATAGCACTTGATAAAAAAAAATTTTTTTTAAGGTTAAGTAAATTATATCTGTGATCCCCAAACTTGGAATTGCAACAAAGAACTCCATGGCTCAGCAGGAAAAAAAATGTTTTGAACAGGCTGCTGAATTGTTTTTCCAGGATAAGACTTTTGTGCATGAGTGCCAGGGGTGTAAATCCAGTGTTTGATCTGCAGCCACGACAAGCACCAATGAAACGACAAGTATTCCTGTAGGTCTGAAAGGGTGGCCTGTCTGTCTATGCAGCGAGACATGGGACCCATCAGGCCTCCTGCCCTGAAGCAGGAGTTACCTGTTATCCTGTATTCATTTTCTATCACTGTTGTAACAAATTACTGCAGGCTCAGCAGCTTAAAACAACAGCCATTTATTGGGAGGCCGAGGTGGGCAGATCATGAGGTCAGGAGTTCGAGACCAGCCTGGCCGACATGGTGACACCCCATCCCATCTCTACTAAAGATACAAAAAATTAGCTGGGTGTGGTGGTGCGTCCCTGTAATCCCAATTACTCAGGAGGCTGAGGCAGGAGAATCCCTTGAACCCAGGAGGCGGAGGTTGCAGTGAGCCGAGATCGCGCCATTGCACTCCACCCTGGGCGACAGAGCAAGACTCCATCTCAGAAAACAAAACAAAAAACAAACCCAGCCATTTATTATCTTACAGTTCTGTAGGTGAGAATGCAACAGGTCTCACTGGGCTAAAATTGGGGCATCAACAGCCCTGTCTTCTGTCCTGGAGGGCCTGGGAAAATCTGCTTCCAAGTTCATTCAGGTTGTTGGTGGAATCCGACATCTTGCAGTGCCAGGCCCGAGGTCCCCGTCTCCTTGCTGGGTCTCAGCCAGGGGCCACCCTTAGCTCCTAGAGGCCTCCCTCTGGTCCTCCCACATCTCAGAGTTAGCAGCTGTGCATGAAACCCTTCTCATGCTGGGAAACTCCCTTGTGCTTGTAGCTAGAGAAGTTACTCTGCTTTTAAGGATCTATGTGATTAGACTGGGCCCACCTGGATCATCCAAGACCCTCCCTGCTTTAAGATCCTTAATTACATTTGCAAAGTCCCTTCTGCCATGTAGAAGGCCTCCTGTTCTGAAGGTCCTTCTGCAATCCTCCCACCTCAGCGTCCCAAGTAGCGGGGACTATAGGTGTGTGTCAGTGCGCCCGGCTAATTTTTTTATTATTATTATCATTTATATATATATAGAGAGAGAGAGAGAGAGAGAAAGAGAGACAGAGTCTCGCTCTGTCACCCATGCTGGAGTACAGTGGTGCAATCTCAGCTCACTGCAACCTCCGCCCCCGGGGCTCAAGCGATTCTCTCACCTCAGCCTCCTGAGTAGTTGGGATTACAGTTGTGAGCCACCACACCCAGCTAATTTTCATATTTTTAGTAGAGACGGGGTTTCACCATGTTGGCCAGGCTGGTCTCGAACTCCTGACCTCAGGTGATCCGCCTTGGCCTCCCAAAGTGCTGGGATTACAGGCGTGAGCCACCGCGCCCAGCCTATTTTTATTTTTTGAGGCTGAGTCTCACTCTGTCGCCAGGCTGGAGTGCAGCGGTGCCATCTCAGCTCACTGCAACCTCTGCCTCCCGGGTTCAAGCGATTCTCCTGCCTCAGCCTTCTGAGTAGCTGCAATTACAGGCACCCGGCACCATGCTTGGCTAATTTTTGTATTTTTAGTAGAGACAGAGTTTTGCCATGTTGGCCAGGCTGGTCTCCAACTTCTGACCTCAGGTGATCTGCCCGCCTTGCCCTCCCAAAGTGCTGGGATTACAGATGTGAGCCACTGCACCCAGCCTAAAAAACTGCCCAAAGTGCTGGGATTACAGGTGTGAGCCACCATGCCTAGCCATCGCCACTAATTTATTTTCTATTTAACAGACATCCTCAGCCTTAGCTGGGATAAAGCCCTCTGCTAGATGCTGGGGCAATATACTAAAAGTTGAATGAGAAATTTAGGGCCTGTGTGCCAGTAAGGAAGGTAGACACAAGACACGAATGAATGGAAGCCACAACTTGGGCATGTGGAATAGCAACACTCTGAGTCTGGCTAACAACAGGGCTCAATTTCCTGGCTGCAAGTTACAGCAGCTCTAGGAAGATGCTGCTTGCAGATGCGTGGTTCATAAATCAAACGCTCCCCAATTCTAGGGCAGCATTGGGAATGCTTCCGAGGGGAGGCAGAATTTGAGAGAGACCTCAAAGGATGCATCAACAGGGTAAGGGGCAGGTTCTTAGACACTGTCTCCTACTCTGACTCTGTGGGGGGAGTTCTGTTGTGTTGGTTGTTTTTAGGGGCAGAGTCTCACTCTGTCACTCAGGCTGGAGTACGGTGGTGCCATCATAGCTCACTGCAGCCTCCAACTTGGGCTCAAGCGATCCTCCCACCTCAGCCTTCCTAGTAGCTGGGAATACAGGCATGCACCACCACACCTGGCTAATTAAAAAAATCTTTTTGTAGAGACAGGGTCTCACTATGTTGCCCAGGCTGGTCTCAAACTCCTGGCCTCAAGTGATCCTCTCGCCTCAGCCACCCAAAGTGCTGTGATTACAGGCATGCGGCACCATGCCCAGCTAGGAGTTTTTTGTTTTTTTCTTTTAAGTTTGTATTTTGAAATATAAAGAACACTGCACAAAACCGTATTGCTTAATGAATTATCAAAAACCATTACCGAGGCTAGCAGAACGCTAGCAGGGTCTCAGAAACTCCCTTTCCCCACCCTCCCAATCACCAACCTCCCCTGCACCCAAAGATAACTTTTACTGGTCTTTTATGAGAATCACTTCCTTTTTTCTTTACAGTTTTACTATCTAAGCAAGCAAATTGAAGTATACAGAAAATGTCCTTTTGTGTCTGCCTTTTTCTTCACTCAACATTCTGTTTGCAGCGTTCATCCGTGTTGTTGAATGTAACTAAAGTTTATTTTCATGGGTGTATAGTATTCTGATGAAAGACTATATTATGTATACATCCATCTACTGTTCACGGGCTTTTGGTGTGTTTGCAGGTTGGGACTATTATAAAATATGATTATGAATATTCTTCTAAATGTCTGTGGGTGCATGTGCTATGCATTTTTTTTTTTTTTTTGAGACTGAGTCTCACTCTGTTGCCCAGGCTGGAGTGCAGTGGCACAATCTCGGCTCACTGCGTCTCCATCTCCCGGATTCAAGCAATTCTCCTGCCTCAGCCTCCCTGTAGCTGGGATTACAGGCATGTACCACCATGCCCAGTTTTTGTTTGTTTGTTTGTTCGTTTGTTTGTTTGTAGTTTAGCTGAGACGCGGTTTTACCATGTTGACCAGGCTGGTCTGGAACTCCTGACCTCAAATGATCTGCCTGCCTTGTTATCACAAACTGCTAGGATTGCAGGCGTGAGCCACCGCGCCCAGCTGTGCTTGCATTTCTGTTGGATATATAACTAGCAGTGGTATGGCTAAATTACTGAGGATGCCTGTCTTTAGTTTTAGCATAACACTAGACATTATCCAATGTGGTTGCCCCAGTTTACAGTCCCACCTGCAGTGCCTGGGCATTTTTTTTTTTTTCTTTGAGACGGAGTCTCGCTCTGTCTCCCAGACTGGAGTGCAATGGTTCGGTCTTGGCTCACTGTAACCTCTGCCTCCCGGGTTCAAGCGATTCTCCTGCCTCAGATTCCAGAGTAGCTGGGACTACAGGCACATGCCACCACACCTGGCTAATTTTTTGTATTCTTAATAGAGACAAGGTTTCACCTTGTTAGCCAGGCTGATCTCGAACTCTTGACCTCGCGATCCGCTCACCTTGGCCTCCAAAAAGTGCTGGGATTACAGGCATGAGCCACCATGCCTGGCCGGGCATTTTTATCACCCCACGTCCTTGCCAATGCTTGGCACTGTCAAGTTTTCTTTTTTTAATATTTTTAATTTCAGCCATCCTGATGGGCATGTAGAGGTATCTCATTAAATGTTTTTCTTTTTTTTTTTTTTTTGGTAGACAGAGTCTCGCTCTGTCCACCAGGCTGGAGTGCAGTGTACGATCTCCATCTCGGTTCACTGCAACCTCCGCCTCCCAAATAGCTGGGATTACAGGCACGCCCCACCATGCCTGCCTAATTTTCATATTTTTAGTAGAGATGGGGTTTCACCATGTTGGCCAGGCTGGTCTCGAACTCCTGACTTCGGGTGATCTGCCCAACTCAGCCTCCCAAAGTGCTGAGATTACAGGTGTGAGCCATTGTGCCTGGCCAGTACCTTATTAAATGTTAATTTGCATTTTCCTGATTGCTAATGAAGCTGCACACCATTTCATAAGTTTATTGGCCATTTGTTTATCCCCTTTCATTAAGTATCTCCTGCTTATTTTTTTTTAAATTAAGTTTGTCTTTTTGTTTGTTTTTGAGACACAGGTCTCACTGTGTCACCCAGGCTGGAGTGTAGTGGTGTGATCATGGCTCACTGCAGCCTTGACCTCCCCAGGTCCCTGGCATCAGTCTCCTAGGCCGAGTAGCTGGGACTATAGATGTACACCTAAGTTTTTGTATTTTTTGTACAGGCGGGTTTTCACCATGTTGCTTAGGCTGGTCTCGAACTTCTGGGCTCAAGGGATCCGCCCACCTCAGCCTCCCAAAGTGCTAGGATTACAGGCATGGGCCACAGTGCCTGGCCTTTTCTTTCTTTCTTTTTTTTTTTTTAAAGTTTTTTGTTTGTTTCTCTTAAATTTTTTACATATTCTGGATATAGGCCCTTTGATAATTATGTGTGTTGCAAATATTTTCTTCTGGGAGGAATTTTCAGTGTCCAAATAAGTCAACCAGAAAAGACTTAGAAAAATAAGGCTGGGCGCAGTGGCTCACGCCTATAATACCAGCACTTTGGGAAGCCCAGGCGGGTGGATCACCTGAGGTCAGGAGTTCGAGACTAGCCTGGGCAACATGGTGAAACCCCGTCTCTACTAAAAATAGAAAAATTATCCGGGCATGGTGGCATGTGCCTGTAGTCCCAGCTATTCAGGAGGCTGAGACAGGAGAATTGCTTGAATCCAGGAGCAGGAGGTTGCAGTGAGCTGAGATTACACCACTGGATTCCAGCCTAGGTGACAAAGCGAGACTCCATCTCAAAAAAAAAAAAAAAAAAACTTAGCAAAATAAATGTCTGTACCTTTTCTAAGTCACACATATCTAAGCCACTGACCCGGCTTCCGCTTTAAAGGGAGATACAGAAAGAAAGTATAAAATTTGGGGCCAGACAAGCCAGGTTCAAACCTCAGTTCTGCCACTTCCTGAGTGCTCTCAAACAAGTCTTTTAATCTCTCTGAGCCTCAGTGTCTGTATTTGAAAACTGACCACAACCATCTACTGCATGCTTGCTCTGTGGCTTCAAAGGAGTAATGTGTCAACATGCCTTTAAACGATAGTGTTACTTGTGTTAAACACAAGCCATAGGCCACACTGGCTTCCTGAGCTGTCTTGTGGCAGTATTAGCAGAGGCAGCAGCAGCAACCTTTCTGATCCAAGAAAAGATGCCATTCTCTCTTCCTCTGAGCCAGCAGACACCTTAAATCACGGTCCCTCTCCCCTCACAAGTCCTGCCCACACACTGGGAACAGAGCTCCTCCCTGGCTGCCCAGGCAGGAAAACAGGAAACAGCCACCACCCTGCCGGGAGGTGGGGCTGACAAGTTCTCTTTCCCAGGTGGGCATCTCTCCAGGTCATCAACCCTCCTTGATGCAGGAGGAGAGCTGGCTGCCAGCCCACTGCACAAGGCTGTGCCCGCTGCCACACCCAGGTCTCCGCCACACCTCGCCTTGAGGCAGTGGAATAAGTGGGCCAATGAATGGGGAGCAGAAAACAGTCTTCATCAGTGCCTTGCAGAAGTGCCAGAGGGGGAACCCTTTCAGTGCCCAAGTGGGGCAGGGAATCTGATCTCCTGGGCCATAGGGACACGCCCCATCCTTCTTAACGTGCAGCACCAACCCTTTATTTTTATTTTTTTTAATCTTCTTTTTCAGAGATGGGGTCTCTGCACTCCAGCCTGGGAGACACAGCGAGACTCTGTCTCAAAAAAAAAAAAAAAAAAAAAAGGACAGGGACCAGGGACCAGGGACGAGGGACCCTGATGGTGCCATATCAGGCAGGGTCTCAGAGAAGGCAGCAAAAGTTTTTGAAAAAGGGCAGTTATAAAAGTAGTTGTCAGTGAAGGGGGAGTATGGTGGGGGGAAGTGGGGTGAAAAACTACCTATGGGGTACTATGCTCACTACCTAGGTGACAGGATCATTCATACCCCAAAACTCAGTGACATGCAGTTTACCCATGTAACAAGCCTGCGCATGTACCATCTGAACTTAAAAGTTGAGGAAAAAAAGTGTAGAGGAAACAGAAGAAAAAAAAAAACCAAAATTCTAACAAGTGAATAAAAATAAGAAACTAGAACAGGAAAAAAAAAAAAAGAAGAAGCATTGTTGGGCCAGGTGCAGTGACTCAATAATCCCAACAATTTGGGAGGCTGAGGCGAGAGGATCGCTTCAGGCCAGGAGTTTGAGACAAGCCTGGGCAACGTAGTGAGATCTTGTCTCTGCAAAAAAAAAAAAAAAAAAAAAAAAAAAATTAATTAGCTGGGTGTGGCAGCACATACCTGTAGTCCCAGCTGCTCAGGAGGCTGAGGTGGGAGAATCACTTGAGCCCAGGAATTCGAGGCTGCAGTGAGCTATGATCGCATCACTGCATTCCAGCCTGGGCAACACAGCAAGACTCTATCTCTTAAAAAACAAAAAAGCGGCCGGGCGCAATGGCTCACGCCTGTATTCCCAGTACTTTGGGAGGCTGAGGTGGGCAGATCACCTGAGGTCAGGAGTTCGAGACCAGCCTGGCTAACATGGCAAAACCTAGTCTCTTCTAAAAGTACAAAAATGAGCTGGGCATGGTGGCAGGCGCCTGTAATCCCAGCTACTCAGGAGGCTGAGGCAGGAGAATAGCTTGAACCCAGGAGGCAGAGGTTGCAGTGAGCCGAGATCGCGCTACTGCACTCCAGTCTGGTTGACAAGAACGATACTCTGTCTCAAAACAAAACAAACAAACAAACAAAAATCACAGTGTTGGATTTGAGGGACACTGTCCAGAACAGGTGATTTAGAGGGCAGGCAGGATGAGATGACAAAAATCCAGGCAAGATGTAATAAGAGCAGGAAATGCAAGATTCACAGGATGAATGGGTGAGACAAGTCTCACAGAGGCACTCAACAGAATGCGGCTGTGAGGGCAGGAAGGAGGGAGGGCTCAGAACTGACACCAGAGAGAAGGTGGGGACCATTGTCCTGCCATGGGGCCGCCCGAGGGGGTACAGTTGTCCAGTGGGAAGTGGTCACTCAGGCTGGGAAGTCAGGAGGGAGATGTGGGGAGTCAGTGCCACAGAAGTGAGAACAGAAACCATCAGACAGAGGTGAGGGCAAAGGAAGTGGACAGGAGGTAAAAGAGAAGTGGGGTGAGGACAACGCCTTGGGGACCCCAAGCATAAGGAGGAAGAGAGCAGAGGGTGCCAGGCAGTGACAGAAGGACAAACAGAGAGCATAGCTATCAACCCCTGAAAGCCTCAATTTCCTCCTCTGTAAAATAGGATTTTTTTTTTTTTTTGAGACGGAGTTTCGCTCTTGTTGCCCAGGCTGGAGTGCAATGGCGCGATCTCAGCTCACTGCAACCTCTGCCTCCCGAGTTCAAGTGATTCTCGTGCCTCAGCCTCCCAAGTAGCTGGGATTACAGGCGCACGCCACCACGCCCAGCTAATTTTGTATTTTTACCAGAGACAGGGTTTCTCCATGTTGGTCAGGCTGGTCTTGAACACCTGACCTCAGGTGATCCACCCGCCTCGGCCTCCCAAAGTGCTGGGATTACAAGTGTGAGCCACCGTGTCCAGCCTAAAATAGGAATTATAATTCATACATGTGTTGCAAGGATCGAAAAGGGTGGCTCATGTAAGGCCTTTACCATTTGCACACAGTATGTGGGCAGTAATTTTTTTTTTTTTTTTGAGACAAGGTCTTTCTCTGTTGCCCAGGCTGGAGTGCAGTGGTGTGATCTCGGCTCAATGCAACCTCCCCACTTTCCGGGTTCAAGCGATCCTCCTGCTTCAGCCTCCCGAGTAGCTGGGATTACAGGCATGCACCACCACGCCCAGCTAATTTTTATATTTTTAGTAGAGAATGGGTTTCACCGTGTTGGCCAGGATGGTCTCGAACTCCTGGCCTCAAGTGATCCGCCCGCCTCAGCCTCCCAAAGTGCCAGGATTACAGGCATGAGCCACCATGCCTGGTCAGTAAATGTTGACGATTACCATTACCATCACTGGGAAGAAACTCAGGACAGTACAAAACCAGGGACCAAAAGAAAGCTCTTAACTTCCTTCTTAAGTTTTCAATACCCACTAAAGGAGCAAGGTTGGGGAGATAGAAGGGTACAGAAGTTTAAGAAGCCAGTTCTGGGCCAGGCGCAGTTGCTCCCGCCTGTAATCCCAGCACTTTGGGAGGCCAAGGTGGGCGGATCACTTGAGGTCAGGAGTTAGAGACCAGCCTGGCCAACATGATGAAACCCCGTCTCTACTAAAAATACAAAAATTAGCTGGGCATGGTGGCGCACGCCTATAATCCCAGCTACTCCTGAAGCTGAGGTGAGAGAACCACTTGAACCCAGGAGTCACATATTGTAGTGAGCCGAGATGGCGCCATTGCACTCCAGCCTGGGTGACAGAGACTCCAACTCAAAAAAAAAAAAAAAAAAAAACGCCAGCTCTGATTGTCAAGTAAATGGAAAAATGGGGTTCACGAGCAGCTCTCCTTGCAAGAAGGCACCTGCTCAGACTTCAGGCAAGGGGTGACTTCTTTGTGCACCTGCTCCAGAAGCAGAAGGGGTGGGGCGCCAGGTTCAAGGCTCAGGGTGCTACACAGCCTGGCTCTGAGCATTTGCATTCCTAAAGAACAAACCTGACACAGATGCTTCTTACCTGCAGGAAGCAGGCTTAGGGCCATCTTGGTTTTCTGAGTATAACCAGAACCAACTGAGCCACCCAAAGTCCGTGGGGTGCCAGGGGTGTGGGAACCCATCAGGACCCACGGTCACCATCTTGATTGCACATGAGAACCACCTGGGACTTTACAAAATGTCAATGATCACCCCATACCAATGAGACAGAATCCTTATGCAGGGGGCCCAGAGAAACAGTATTTTATTTTTTCAAAGAGCTCTCCAGCCAGGGTTGAGAACCGCAGATCCTTCTAGCCCAGCCCTAAAATTTTTTAGCTGCTGAACTAAGGCTGAGCATCTGCTTAAGATCATGAGCAAGAGGGCAGAAGTACCCGCAACGTAAACATGAAAAAAAGGACTTTGCCATTTGGTTGTGAAGTCCTGGCTTCTCGGTTCACTCGCTGTGTGACCTTGGACAAGTCACTTAGCCTCTCTGAGCCTGAGCTATTAAAATGAAATCATAGATATAAATCACCCAGCATGTTCCTGGTACCCAGCAGGCCCTCAATAAATATTTGTTTCTATCTCTTTCTCTCTAGGATCTAAGGCTCTTCTCAACGCAGGATGCATTAAGATCCTTTGCTCTGACGTATGCGCTATCCACCGACTTTTTTTGTTTGTTTCTGGCTTTTTTTGTGTTGTTTTTCCTTTTACAGGGTCTGGCTCTGTCACCCAGTCTGGAGTGCAGTGGTGTGATCACGGCTCACTGCCGCCTCAACTTCCTGGGCTTAAACAATCGTCCTGTCTCTGCCTGCCGAGTAGCTGGGACTACAGGCAGCACCACCATGCCCAGCTAATTATTTGATTTGATTTGATTTTTTTGTAGAGACAGGGTCTCGCTATGTTGCCCAGGCTGGTCTCGAACTCCTGGGCTCAAGCCATCCTCCCGCCTCAGCCTCCCAAAATGCTGGGATGATAAACATGAGCCACTGCGCCCGGCTCACCCAAAGAGATTTTGACTCTCTAAAGGTTTGTTCCCCACTCTGTGTCTTTTCCTCTAATCCCAGAACTCACCTACTACAGAGCACTGTTGCTCAAACATCAGCGTACACAGAGTACCCAGGGCTGTGGTGAACACGACAAGTCCTGATTCAGTAGTTCTGGGTGGTGCCCAACATCCTAATGGCCCTGGTGATGCTGGTGTTTCGGGGCCTGACCACATCAGAGCCCCAAGGCTTGTCCAGGAGCCCCGCAGTGGCCAGTCTGCCTCCCTGCTGACTCACGAGCCCCCCAGAGCCGGTCTCTTTATCTTACTCATCTCTGTGTCTCCTCCACGGTATGTGCTCACTAAACGGATGTTGAAGAAATAAACAAACCATGGAGAAAACCATTTTCCAGCTAAGTAAAAACAGACTATTTTATTTGTCCTGTGATTGACAGCCCTCCTGGCTGATTCCAGAATTGCCCTCTTGGCTGGTGGGAGGACAGTGTGGTCGAACGGGCCTGACACTTGGAACCTGGAGTCCTGGTTTTGAATCCTGGCCCTTCCACTCACCCGTGGGATGACCCTGGGCACGTTACCAAGCTCTTTGAGTCACGATGTCCTCATCCATAAAATGAAAATGATAATGACTGACCACCGTGTGGTCCCAATGATGGCTAGAAACATGCTTTATAAACTGTAAAGTACTCCTGATAAGGTCTCCTTATTACGGCTGGGTTTTCTTTTCTTTTCCTTTCTTTTCTTTTTCTTTTTTTTTTTTTTTTGAGGGCAGGCAGTACTTTTCACTTCCCTAAAGCTTGAAAGTGGCTTGTGATGGATTGGGTGGGGAACACACCAAGGGTCTGGTTGGAGATGGGTGCAGTGGCTGGGCCATGAGGCAGGTCAGTGGTGCCTCCTCTGGCAGTGACAGTGGCCAGGTGAAATGTGAGGATGGTGCAGGAGAGTTGAGGAGGCAAGGCTTCCTGGAGGAGGCTGGCAGGAGTAGGTATGCAAGGCTGGTCTGAGGGTATAGACGCCAGGACAGAAGAAGGCAGGCAGAGCAGTGAGAGTCTTTTGATGGGCATGTGGCCAGGCTCTAGACTGGGTATGCGGGAGGCAAGGCTAGACCAACAGCGACCCTGGAGCATTATAAGAAAACAAGTAATTATAGGCCGGGCACGGCGGCTCACACCTGTAATCCCAACACTTTGGGAAGCCAAGGCGGGAGGACTGCTTGAGCCCAGGAGTTCAAGACCAGCCTGGGCAACACAGCAAGACCCCATCTCTACAAAAAAAATTCTAGGCCAGGAACGATGGCTTATACCTGTAATCCCAGCACTTTGGGAGGCTGAGGCAGGCGGCTCACCTGAGGTCAGGAGTTCGAGGCCAGCCTGGTCAACAAGTGAGACCCTGTCTCTACTAAAAATACAAAAAATTAGCCGGGCGTGGTGGCGCTCGCCTGTAATCCCAGCTACTCGAGAGGCCGAGGCAGGAGAATCACTTGAACCCAGGAGGCGAAGGTTGTAGTGAACCGAGATGGCGCCACTGCACTCCAGCCTGAGCAACAGAGTGAGACTCTGTCTCAAATAAATAAATAAATAAATAAATAAATAAATAAATAAATAAATTTTAAAGATCAGCTAAGCATGGTGGCATGCTCCTGTAGTCCCAGCACTCAGGAGGCTAAGGCAGGAGGATCACTTGAGCCCAGGAGTCCCAGGCAAAACTGAGCTATGATGGTGCCACTGCACTCCAGACTGGACAATAGAGCGAGACCATCTCTTACATAAAAATAAATAAAGTAATTATTAATATATCCTGTGGCCCAGGGCTGAACTACCCACCTAGGCCCAGGGTTCCCTTGCTGACCCCATTCACCACTAACCATGAGCTTCAGGATGCAGGCAAGAGCAAGACACAGACCTGCCCTCAATAAGCTCAGTGTTCAATGGGGGCCACAGAGAGAAATGATGCCAGCACAAGGTCACAGGAACTAGGAGAGGTCACCAGCCCTGCTATAGTTCAGAGGAGGGAGTGGCCAATTTTGCCTCTCTGTCTACCCCAGCCAATGAGTCTCCACTGCACCCGCTGGGAAGTTTATCTGCCTAGTCTAGATGTCTCTTTATTTATGTTCTTCTGTCACTGGAATGCCCCATCCCCTCCTCCACCCAGCAAGCACTAACTCATGCTACAAGATGTGCTTCAGTCCTCGGGGAGGGCTCCCAACCCCAAAGCCTGTGCTTTATCCACGTGCTCTTGGTAATTATCCCATTACCTAGTACCACATCTATCCCTCTAAGGAAGAGTTAATCACAGCCTGCTTGATTGCTCACACTTCTGCTGTCTCGGGTTCGTCTCCCCAGTCAGATTATAACAATAATCACTGAACTAGTGCTCCACAGTTTACAAAATGCCTTCAGGCATATTGGGCTTAATTGAATCCCCACAATAAATCAGCCAGGTAAGTATTATGTTTATTTGACAATAAGGAAACCGAGGCTTAGAAAGGTTAGACAACTTCCCAGAGACCACAAGGCCCATGTACATGCCCAGCTGTAAGCCTCAAATGCCTTCTAACTCCAATGCCAGCATCTGCTCAGTACTCAGAGGCTGCCTGAGGCAGTGGGTAAAGGTTGAGACCGTTTCCAGCTGTGTGACTTCTGGTGAGTTACTTAACCTCTCTGTGCCTCAATCGTCCTGAGAGTAAAATGTGGCTGATACCCACCTCATCCGTTCTTGTCAAGATTTAAAAAGGTAATACAATGATGTCCTTAGAATACTGCCAAACACAATAATTAGTTAGTTATTATTATACCTTGGCTGATTCTCATGGTCTCCTAACTCATTAAATTTTTTCTAATTCATTTTTTATATCTCATAATACATTCTTCCCCTTTTTTCCCTTTGCTTACCAAGCTCTGCAACCTCATAATACATTTGATAGGTAGTCATTAAACAAAATAATTTTTTTGCAGATTGACTAACGTTGGGTTTAGGGCTGTTCTCTTTTCTTTTCTTTTCTTTTTCTTTTTCTTTTTTTTTTATTTGAGATGGGGTCTCACTCTGTTGCCCAGGCCGGAATGCAGTGGCACAATCTTTGCTCACTGCAACCTCTGCCTCCCGGGCTCAAGCAATCCTCCCACCTCAACCTCCAAAGTTACTGGGACAACAGGCACGTGATACCACAACCAGCTAATTTTATTTTTTGTAGAGATGGGGTCTTACTATGTTGTCCAGGCTGGTTCTTTTTCTTTACTCTCCTACACCCCTAAAGAGTTTCAACACCAGAGGCTGGGTGCAGTGGCTCACACCTGAAATCCCAGCACTTTGGGAGGCTGAGGTGGGAAGATCGCTTGAGGCTAGTTCAAGACCAGCCTGGGAAAACACAGTGAGACCTCCGTCTTAAAAAAAAAAAAAGTTAAAAATAAGAGTTTCAACATCAGAAAAATTCTCTTTTTCTGCTCCACTCTACTTCACCCCCACCCACCCCACCCAGGTCAAATCTGGCCAATCACAAATGTCCCACAGAATGTAAAACACCAGAAAACACTGACCTAGACTCTCCTGTTGGGCCGTCCCTGGATAGCAGGGAAACATACCACTCACGGGTGGAAACTTTCACAAACCTAATTTCTATCACTATTATGGGTCAAAGTCTTACGCATATTTCTCTATTGCTCTAGTTTTTACTTATTTGAGACTCTAGAAGGAACGGGTTGTTAAAAAATAATATCTATTTATTTTCTTATTTCATTTATTAAAAAAAAAAATAGGGCTGGGTGCCATGGCTCATGCCTGTAGTCCCAGCACTTTGGGAGGCAGAAGCAGAAGAATCACTTGACGCCAGGAGTTTGAGACCAGTCCGGGCAACACAGTGAGACCCCCATCTCTATGAAAATATAAAAATAAAAGGAATATACACACTGTTTCATGGAGCAAGAAGCCTCATGTAACTAGGCAGCTAGCAGAGGCACTAACATCCAAGACCAATGGAAAACTTCCTTCTTTTCAGGGGTCGGGTCCATGAAACCAGAGAACAAGCCTCAAACCTAGCTGGATCCTGGGAGGCAGAAGTGAAATGACCATTTCCCACTTCCCTCCTGGGGTAGGATAACCAGGTAGAGAAGACTCCCTGCTTCACACCATCCAGACACACCTGCATGGAGGCACTTTCTTTTTTTCTTTTTCTTTTTTTTTTTTGTAGAGACAGGGTCCCACTGCTTCACACTATCCAGACACACCTGCGCGCGGTTTTCTTTCTTTTTTTCACTTTTTTGTAGAGATAGAGTCTCACTCTGTCACCCAGGCTGGAGTGCAGTGGCACGATCATAGCCCACTGCAGCCTCAGCCTCCTGGCTCAAGTGACCCTCATGCCTCAGCCTCTCAAACAGCTGGGACTATAGGTGTATGCCACCACACGAGGATAATTTTAAAATTTTTTCAAAATAGAGGCGGGATCTCAGTGTGTTGTCTAGGCAGGTATCGAACTCCTGGGATCAAGTGATCCTCCCACCTTGGCCTCCCAAAGTACGGGGATTACAGGTGTGAGCTAATGCACCCAGCCTAATTTTTTTATTTTTTGTAGAGACAGGGTCGCACTATGTTGCCCAGGTGGGGGGCCAAAGGTTTTCAGAATAAGAAGAGGGGATGAAGTCCTCTGGGGGTGAAAAGCTTTATTCTTTTTTATTATTATTATTTTGAGACGGAGTTTCGCTCTTGTTGCCCAGGCTGGAGTGCAGTGGCGCCATCTCGGCTCACTGCAACCTTCACCTCCCAGATTCAAGCAATTCTGCTGGCCTCAGCCTCCCAAGTAGCTGGGATTACAAGCGTCTGCAACCACGCCCAGCTAATTTTTTGTATTTTTAGTAGAGACAGGGTTTCACCATGTTGGCCAGGCTGGTCTCAAACTCCTGACGTCAGGTGATCCACCCGCCTCGGCCTCCCAAAGTGCTGGGATTACAGGTGTGAGGTACCGCGCCCGGCCAAAAGCTCTATTCTTTGAAAGATTCCATATACAGAACCTTCAGTCAGATTCTCACTGTCTTTTCTAACTAAAATCCCAAAGCCCTTTCCCTCCAACTGTGTTTGGGGGAAGTATTCCTCGCATAACACATCAGGGGACCAGCCTCTGGAGAGGGGGACCCAAATGGATCTTCAAAGGTTCCACTCTGAGCACAAGAGTGTAGAAGAAATCTGCCCCTCCAGCATTGGCACTGGGATTAAAAGAAGCGTTGTACTCTTTGAAATGGATTTTACATACAAATGAATTGATGAACACCATCAACATGTCAGCTTAATTCAGCCCAATCAATACACCAGGCATTAAAAACTCGGAGAAAAAAATGGATTGTGGCTTTTTGTTGATGACACTGAGGAATTTTGGCCCCAAGCCCTGGCCAGGCAGGACAAATAGGGCAGTCTGCCTATTAGCTGTCAGGCACATCTTGGGGGATAAAACCAAGACCCCAAGTCAGGGCTCAGGGGCACCATGGTCTCCACTTTAGCCCCCAAAGTAATTTTCCCACAAAGTGGCCACACTTTGCATTTCCTACATTCCTTTTCCCTGCTCCGACCCCTTCCGCCCGGCCTCAGAGCTGACAGCTGGGGCTGGCCAGAGCCAAGCAAGAGGCATCGAGAAAGGGGGATGCTAAGGGGTGGGGGGTGGGAAGGGATGTCAATGCAACCAAGAAGTGATCGGAGGGGAAGAGAGGTCCCCTCACCCTTCACATTCCCAGCCCGGCGCCCCCACTCTCCGCCCCCACACTTGAGCCTCCAAGTGGCTCCCGTGCGCTTCCCTTGTTTAGGGGCAACCCTTCCATTCCGCCCCTTTTCAGTTCCTTCCCCTCTCACCTCATCTTGGGACTCCTGCCCGGTACCCAGCCGATCAGGCTCCTCTTGGCCACGCATCCTGCCATCTCCTCCGAGCCCGCCTCTGCCCTTCTCCCCAGGCCAGCTGGGGTACCCTGGGGTCCCCGACCTTCCTGGGATCGCCCAGATCTGCACGTCAATGCCCCCGCTCACTACACCCTCGCCCCGTCTTCAACTGGGGCCTGCAAGACTCCTACTCCCTTCAAAGCCCCTCCCGGACACCGCGTCCCTCAGGGTGCCCCAGGGATGCCCCGGGGTCCCCCGTCCTCACCTGAGTCCGCTCGAAGCTCTCGCGCTCCGCCGCCTCCAGCCCAGCGCCGACCCCGCGCCGGCTCAGCACCTTGGGCAGTGGGTTGGGCACCTGCTTCATGGAGCTGGCCATCCGATCCATGTCGCCGCGAGGAGCCGAGTCAGGGGCCCTCGGCTGCCCCGGGATCCCCACGGCGCCGCCCGCCCCGCCCTACCCGCGGGGATCCGGCGCTAACGGGACGGCTCCCGCCTGCCATTGGCTGTGAGTTCTGCCAGTCTTCCAGAGACCCCGCCCCTCGCCGAACGGCTTCCCCGCCCGCCCCCGCCCCTTCAGGAGCCCCTCCGCTGGCTCGGCCCCGACTAGCCTCTCGGGGCCTCGAGGCGCGTGGTGACTGGTCTGGAGTCCTGTCAGTCACCGTGGTCCCGCCGTTCTAGGCAGGGCCGGGGCGGGGTGCGGACGGGGCGAGGCCTGGATGGGGCGTGGCCTGGGCGGGCTGCCCTGATATGCCCTCGCTCGCCCCGCCCCCGCCCGCGCACCGCCCTCTCCTCCCCTCGGCCGCAGTCCCCGCGCGCCCCGAGCGTGCTGCCCTCCGCCAAGCGCCGCCCACTACCCTGCCCGCTCCTGCAGGGGGCTATCCCGCGACGGCCCGTGGAGATGGGCGGGGATGACGCGGGCCGGGCAGTGGGGCCTCCCCCGGGGGAATCCCAGCCCGCCTGCGAATAGCCCGTTAGCTCCTTCCGGGCCTGGGACCCGGGAGCGCCGGACTGACCAGCCCTGCGGCCGCAGCCCGGGAAAGCGCAGCCCCGCGGGCGGGGCGCAGCGTGGGCGCCTGGCCGGATCCGGCTCAATGGGTGGCCGCCCCCACCCAGCTCCCAGGCTTCCCCGTCCTGCACTTCTCCATTCTGCCCCTGCCCATGCCCTCTGCAAGGATCGCAGAGCCCAGGTCCCGGAGTTCGGGGCTGAGTCCGCGGGCACCTCCCGGGACCTGCCTCCCAAACCTCATCAAAGGAACCCGTCAGAGCTTATTTGTTGGTAGAAAGCCCTGTAGACACTTTCGGTTTATCTTAGGCTCTGAGCCGCGCGTCCCATCCTGCTCAGACGTCAGCCAGGGTACCAGCAAGCAGAGAGAAGTGTGATGCTTAGCAGGAGTGCTGGAGAAAGTTAAAAGTTTTCCGTTAAACTCCAATTTAGGTGTGTTTTTGTTTTTGTTTTTGTTTGTTTTTTTTTTTTTTTTTGGTTTCATTTGGAGTCAGTCTCCCTCTGTCGCCCAGGCTGGAGTGCAGATCGTAACACACTGGGACCTTGAGCTCCTGGGTCCTAGCGATTTTCCTGCCTCGGCCTCTCGAGTAGCTGGGACTACAGATGCACGCCACCAAGCCTGGCTATCTTTTTTGCAGAGATGGAGTCTTTCTATGTTGCCCAGACTGGTCTCGAACTCGTGGCCTCAAGCAAGCCTCCCACCTTGGCCTCCCAAAGTACTGTGATTACAGACATGAGCTACAGCACCCGGCATAGATGTATTTTTTAAAAGTTATTTGAAACTCGGAGTAATGAATGGCACCTTTAGGCCTAACAATTTGGTGATTCGTGTGTGTGTGTGTGTGTGTGTGTGTGTTGTAAATTTGGCCAGGTGCGGTGGCTTACACCTGTAATCTCAGCGCTTTGGGAGGCTGAGGCAGGCGGATCGTTTGAGCTCTGAACTTTGAAACCAGCCTGGGCAACATAGCAAGACTCCATCTGTACAAAAAATTTTAAAATTAGCTGGGCGTGGTGGTGCAAGCCTGTAGTCCCAGCTACTCACAAGGCGGGAGGATTACTTGAGCCAGGGAGGCAGAGGTTGCAGTGAGCAGAGATCGCGCCACTGCACTCCAGCCTGGGAGACAGAGCGAGACCCCGTCTCAAAAAAATATATACATATTTCTTTGTAGTGAGGGGTATGTTGCTGGATTGCCCAGGCTGGTCATGATCTCCTGGGCTCAAATGATCCTACCACCTCAGCCTCCCAAAGCACTGGGATTACAGGTGTGAGCCACCCTGCCCTGCCTGTTTTTTTTTTGTTTTTGTTTTTATTTTTTTTAATAAGAGCGTTTGGTAAAAATTCACACATTCAATAGAGAAGTGAAAGAGGGGTGGGCATTTGCGGTTACTAAGGAGCCACTGAAGACTTTTGCTCAGATGTGTGCACTGAGGAGCTTGTATTGTGGGGATGGATTATGGGGGCCTGATGGAAGGGAGGAAATCAGTGGGGAGACTCTAGCGTAGATGAGAGATGATGAGGGCCTAGAAGAGAAGGGAGAGGAGGAAGTTCTGTCCCGTGGGAGGTTACGCAAATAAGGCTTGGACACAGGGATTGGGGGATGGGCAATGGCGGTGCCATTCAGGCTACATTTGCATAGGAAGGACTGGACTGGTTTCACCTTTACTTAAATTGTGTTTCTGTGGGAGGCTTTGGGAGTGCCCCCTCCCTTGTGTTGCTTTGGGAGAGATTAGATGTCACCTGATTTTTCATGTCTAGGGAGAGGGAGATGACAACTGAGCGTGGGAGCACGGTAGGGGCGCTGACAGAGGAAGAGGAAATTACCTTGGCCGGGCACCGTGGCTCACACCTGTAATCCCAGCACTTTGGGAGGTCGAGGCGGGCAGATCACTTGAGGCCAGGAGTTCAAAATCAGCCTGGCCAACATGGTGAAATTCTGTCTCTACTAAAAAATACAAAAAAGTAGCCAGGTGTGGTGGCATGTGCCTGTAATCCCAGCTACTCGAGAAGCTGAGGCTGGAGAATCACTTGAGCCTGGGAGGCGAAGGCTGCAGTGAGCTGAGATCGCACCAGTGAACTCCAGCCTGCATGACAGAGTGAAACTCTATCTCCAAAAAGCAAAAAACAAAAAACAAACAAACAAAAATCTCAATTTTTAAAAAACATTTATTTATTTAGAGATAGGGTGTAGTGACTTCCTGCTGTTCCAGCAAATCCTGGTGCTTTGCCAATTTACCCGTCCTGGTTGATTCCCCTAACTCAGGTCACACCTTTGTACATAGTTTCTTCCTTTTTTTTTTTTAAGAGACAGACTCTCGCTCTGTTGCCCAGGCTGGAGTGCAGTGTCGCAATCTCAGCTCACTGCAGGCTCTGCCTCCCAGGTTCAAGTTATTCTCCTGCCTCAGCCTCCCAAGTAGCTGGGATTACAGGTGTATGCCACCATGCCCGGCCAATTTTTGTATTGTTAGTACAGACAGAGTTCCACCATGTTGGCCAGGCTGGTCTCGAACTCCTGACCTCAAGTGATCTGCCCGCCTCAGCCTCCCAAAGTGCTGGGATTACAGGCATGAGCCACCATGCCCATCCATGTCTGGCTAATTTTTAAAAAATTTTTTGTGGCCGTGCCACAGTGGCTCATGCCTGTAATCCCAGCACTTTGTGAGGCCAAGGCAGGCAGCTCACTTGAGGCCAGGAGTTCGAGACCAGCCTGGGCAACGTGGCAAAACCCCGTCTTTACTAAAAATACAAAAATTAGCAGGGTGTGATGGCACGCGCCTGTAATCCCAGCTATTTGGGAGGCTGAGGCACGAGAATCGCTTGAACCCTGGAGGTGGAGGTTGCAGTGAGCCAAGTGTGATGGTGCACACCTGTAATCCCAGCTCCTCAGGAGACTGAGACGGGAGGATCCCTTGAGCCCAGGAGGTCGAGGCTGCAGTGAGCTATGATTGCACCCCTGCACGCCAGCCTGAGAGACCGAGACCCTCTCTCAGGAAAAAGAAAGAGAAGGAACTATGTACAAAGGTGTGACCTGAGTTAAGGGAATCAACCGGGACAGGTAAAGCACCAGATATTACTGGAACACCAGGAAGCTGTTACCATCTCTAGACCTAAAGAGAAAAGGGGAGGGAGCTGTGCTGTAACCTGGTGGGGGCTCTGGTCATGGGAAAGTAGGCATTTTCCCAGAGCTGTGACCTTAGGTAGAAAACCCACAGTCACTGTGGAAAGTGGCGTGGCAGGGAGGCAGCTGGGGGATGAATACCCCAATCTCTCTCTCTCTCTTTTTTTGTTTTTTCACGACAGGGTCTCATTCTATTGCCCAGGCTGGAGTGCAGTGGCACAATCTCGGCTCACTGAAACCTCCGCCTCCCGTGTTCGAGTGATTCTCTTGCCTCAGCCTCCCAAGTAGCTGGGATTACAGGTGTCCACCACCACGCCCGGCTAACTTTTGTATATTTTTATTTATTTTTATATTTATTTATTTATTTATTTATTTATTTATTTATTTATTTATTTATTTGAGACAGAGTCCTGCTCTGTTGCTCAGGCTGGAGTGCAGTAGCGGGATCTCGGCTCACTGTAGCCTCCACCTCCCAGGTTCAAGCGATTCTCCTGACTCAGCCTCCTGAGTAGCTGGGATTACAGGCGCCCATGACCAATTCCTGCTAATTTTTGTATTTTTAGTAGAGACAGGGTTTCACCATGTTGGCCAGGCTGGTCTTGAACTCCTGACCTCAGGTGATCCGCCCACCTCAGCCTCCCAAAGTGCTAGGATTACAGGCGTGAGCCACCGCGCCCAGTCATTTCTCTCTCTCTCTCTCTCCCGGCCATTTCTCTCTCTCTCTCTCTCTCTCTCTCTCTCTCTCTCTCTCTCTCTCTCTCCCTCTCTTTCTCATCTACTTTGATTTCCTCCTAGTGCCTCCCATTGTCTAAACCCAGTTGGAAGCCAAGGGCAAGGGTGATGTGGTCAGTGCTGTTCCCATCCCTTCTTCTAGGCACAGAGCCAGCTGGAGAGTTTGGAGCGCTGGATCTGGAGAGGCAAAGAGATTTTTAGCGCAGAGGATTCTCAGGGGTGTACCTCCAAGGAAAAACACCAGACAAGCAGATGATATTCTTAATAACATTGCTTCTTTGAGCCCATTCTCTGTCTTGTGCCCTCGTCACTCTCTGGACCCAGCTAAAGAATGATTTATGACCCTTTGCCCAGAGTTTATGCCTTCAATAAACACGGCCCCTTTAAACAGGGATTAAGGGCTCAGCCTAGTTCTTAATAGGAATAAACCAGACTAGGAATCAGGAATTTGTGGTTTGGAGGGACCCTGTGTGGAAAGGACTCAAGCGAGTTACCTTCCTCTGTGAAACTCAGAGAGAGTTAAAACTAAGGACCTTGGCTGGGCGTGGTGGCTCACGCCTGTAATCTCAACACTTTGGGAGGCCGAGGTGGGCAGATCACGAGGCCAGGAGTTTGAGACCAGCCTGGCCAATATAGTGAAACCCCATCTCTAATAAAAATACAAAAATTAGCTGGGCATGGTGGCGTCCTGTAGTCCCAGATACTCAGGAAGCTGAGGCAGGAGAATTGCTTGAACCTAGGAGGCGGAGGTTGAAGTGAGCCAAGATTGCACTGCTGCACTCCAGCCTGGGCGGCAGAGTGAGACTCCAGCTCAAACAAACAAACAAAACAACAACAACAAAAACAAAACTAAGGATCTCACACTTGCCTTAGCAGCAAAACCCTTTGCCAGGATTTGAGGGAAACTCCTCCCAGGATATAAACTACAGGACTCTGTGAGATGCGTTCAACTCTGACCTTCTCTTCTAGCAATTTAGGAAACAGTTCTTGTACTTTTTTTTTTATAGGGGGTGGGAGGGGACAGGGTCTTACTCTCTCGCCCAGGTTGTAGTGCAGTGGCGCAATCACCGCTTACTACAGCCTCCAACTCCCGAGGGTTGCTCAAGCAATCCTCCAGCCTCAGCCTCCCAAGTAGCTGGGACTGCTGGCGTGTACCACCACGTCCAGCTAATTTATGTTTTAATTTTTTTTACTGAGACAGAGGTCTTATTATGTTGCCCAGGCTGGTCTCAAACTCCTGAGCTCAAGCATTTCTACTGCCTTGGCCTCCCAAATTGCTGGGATTACAGGCATGAGCCACTGTGCCACCCCTCTTGTACTTTTGAGGGATGCTGGTTTCCAGACATAAAATCCTAATCTCTTAGAAAGCCAGAGGAGTAAGTGTCCTATCACCTGCCTTTTATAACAGGTGAAATATGTCCCATTTCATACTCGGTTTGGATCTGGTTTAGCATCTGATATGAAGATGGCCACATTGTCCCATCAGGTTTCTGGAGCCCAAGTACACTTTTTTTTTTTTTAAATTGAGACAGAGTCTCACTCTGTCACCCAGGCTGGAGTGCAATGGCACGATCTCAGCTCACTGCAACCTCCGCCTCCCAGGTTCAAGTGATTCTCTTGCCTCAGTCGCCCGAGTAGCTGGAATTACAGGCATGTGCCACCACACCTGGCTAATTTTTGTATTTTTTTTTAATAGAGGCGGGGTTTCACCATGTTGACCAGGCTGATCTCAAACTCCTGACCTCAAGTGATCCGCCGGCCTTGGCCTCCTAAAGTGCTGGGATTATAGGCGTGAGCCACTGTGCGGGGCCTAAACTTTGACACTTCTGAATAGTACTGACCAGATATTTTACAGGATCTCCCTCCATGTGGGCTTACTTTGTCTTTTCTCATAATTAGATAGATGCTATTAATTTTTGGTAAAATACCACAGAAGTGATGCGTCCTTTTAGCACATTCTCTCAAGGACACATACATATGTGTTATTACTGATGATGTTCACCTCAGTCACTTGGTTAAGGTGGTGTCTGTCATATTTCTTCACTGTAAAGTTATTATTTTCTTATTTGAGAGAGTGTTCCACAGGAAGTAGTTGTATGCAAACCCACCCCTAAAGGCTGAGGAAGCTGCGAGGCTTTAGAAAGATGCTAACACATGCTGTCTCACTGTCTCTCAGAAAAAAAAAAGACTTTTTTTTTTTGAGATGGAGTCTCGCTCTGTCGCCCAGGCTGGAGTGCAGTGGCGCCATCTCCGCTCACTGCAAGCTCTGCCTCCCGGGTTCACGCCATTCTCCTGCCTCAGCCTCCCCAGTAGCTGGGACTACAGGCGCCCGCCACCACTCCCGGCTAAATTTTTTTGTATTTTTAGTAGAGACAGGATTTTGCAGTGTTAGCCAGGGTGGTCCCGATCTCCTGACCTCGTGATCCACCTGCCTCGGCCTCCCAGACCTTGTGATCCACCCGCCTCGGCCTCCCAAAGTGATGGGATTACAGGCGTGAGCCACTGTGCCGGGCCCAAAAAAAGATATCTAATAGGGATTTAGGAAGAGAAGCCATACTGTAGGTGGTTAAGAGACAAGATGGCGGACACCTGCGCCATTACCACCCAGACCCAAGGCTTATATACCACAGGGAAGCAATGTGTAGGGCAATTGAAGTTGACTTCTCAGAGAAAGGCAAGAATGCTATGTGAACCTGTCTAAGGGAAGGACTTATGGTCAAAGTTGTTTTGACCTAAGGGCAGGATTTATGGTAACTGTAGATAAAGTGGACATCTTACCGGCATTCCTAGAACAGGGATTAATCAGAAGTCAACATAGCGGGTTAGCATCCAAGATGGAGTTGCTTTACCTTTGACAGGGAGATAATTTTAGGCTGTGCAAATGTGCTGGAGTCTCGCCCTGTTGCACCCAGGTTGGAGTGCAGTGGCACGATCTCGGCTCACTGCAACCTCCGCCTCCCAGGTTCAAGCGATTCTCCTGCCTCAGCCTCCTGAGTAGCTGGGATTACAGGCATGTATCATCATGCTTGGCTAATTTTTGTATTTTTAGTAGAGACGGGGTTTCGCCATGCTGGCCAGGCTGGTCTCGAACTCCTGACCTCGTGATCCGCCCGCCTCAGGCTCCCAAAGTGCTGGGATTACAGGCATGAACCACCGTGCCCAGCCAGTGCTGTTTCTTCTTAAACTTTTTTGCCCATTTTTAAATTGGACTGTTTGTCTTCTTCTGGAACTAATAAGTGAGTATTTCAGTTGTGGGTTCTTGGACAAGTTGCTGAATGCTTTGAGCCACTTACCCAAAAGTAAATTAGGAAGAGTAATAATGCAAGCTTTCATTCATTCAGCAAACATTCCTTGGGCTCTTACTCTGGAGGAGGCACAATACTAAAAAGATTATACATTTACTGTTTGGTCATGGATACATGTGTTTTTTAGAAAGCACATCCTCACTTGAGCCCAGGAGTTCGAGGCCATCCCGGGCAATATGGTGAGACCCTATCTCTACAAAAAGCAAAAATATAGCTGGGTGTGGTGGCAGGTACCTGTAGTCCCAGCTACTTGGAAAGCTAAGACAAGAGGATTGCTTAAGCCCAGGAGTTCAAGGCTGCAGTGAGCTATGATTGTCCCACTGCACTCCAGCCTGGGTGACAGAGCAAGACCCTGTCTAAAAAAACAAACAGGCCAGGCACAGTGGCTCAAGCCTGTAATCCCAGCACTTTGGGAGGCCGAGGTGGGCAGATCACTTGAGGTCAGGTGTTCAAGATCAGCCTGGCCAACATGGTGAAACCCCTCTCTACTAAAAATACAAAAATTAGCCAGGCGTGGTGGCATACACCTGTAGTCCCAGCTACTTGGGAGGCTGAGGCAGGAGAATCACTTGAACCTGGGAGGCAGAGGTTGCAGTGAGCCGATATTGTGCCATTGCACTCCAGCCTGGGAGACAGAGCAAGACACAGTCTAAAAATAAATAAATAAGAATAAAAATAAGATAAATAAAAAACAAACAAAAAGCACATCCTACACAAGAAAGTAAGTGCCAGAAAGGCCAGGTGCAGTGGCTCACACCTGTAATCCCAGCACTTTGGGAGGCTGAGTCAGGCAGATCACCTGAGGTCAGGAGTTCAAGACCAGCCTCGCCAACATGATGAAACCCTGTCTCTACTAAAAATACAAAAATTAGCTGGGCGTGGTGGCGCACATCTGTAATCCCAGCTACTTGGGAGGCTGAGGCAAGAGAATTGCTTGAACACGGGAGGCGGAGGTTGCAGTGAGCCAAGATCGTGCCAGTGCACTCCAGCCCTGGCGACAGAGCCAGACTCTGTTTCAAAAAAAAAAAGTAAGTGCTAAAATAGAATGATGAGAATGCCATGTTTCTCCAGATGTTTGGGGGATTAAACAAGAAGAGCATCTCATTTATTCAAAAGTATATTTCTCAAGGCCAGACACGGTGGCTCATACCTGTAATCCTAGCACTTTGGGAGGCTGAGGTGGATGGATCACCTGAGGTCAGGAGTTTGAGACCAGCCTGGCCAACGTAGTGAAACCCATCTCTACCAAAAAATACAGGTGGCGTGCACCTGTAATCCCAGCTACTTGGAAGACTGAGGCACGAGAATTGCTTGAACCTGGGAGGCAGAGGTTGCAGTGAGCTGAGACAGTGCCAGCGCACTCCAGCCTGGGTGGCAGAGTGAGACCCTGTCTCAAAAAAAAAAAAAAAAGATATCTGTCTGTATTTGCATGTATGAATGTGAAAAAAGGATAAAGTGGCCGGGCGCGGTGGCTCACACCTGTAATCCCAGGACTTTGGAAGGCCGAGGTGGGCGTATCACAAGGTCAGGAGATCGAGACCATCCTGGCTAACATGGTGAAACCCCGTCTCTACTAAAAATACAAAAAAATTAGCCGGCCGTGGCGGCAGGCGCCTGTAGTCCCTGCTACTGGGAAGGCTGAGACAGGAGAATGGCGTGAACCCGGGAGGCAGAGCTTGCAGTGAGTGGAGATCGCACCACCGCACTCCAGCCTGGGCGACAGAGCGAGACTCCGTCTCAAAAAAAAAAAAAAAAAGATAACGTTAGATCTAAAAATACTGACTTGTAGGGATGTCCATGAAATTTGAAAATTGTCAAGTGAAAAAGCAGGAAGTTGCAGAGTAGAGTGAATAGAATGATTCTACTTTGATAAAAACAAGCAAAAGAAAAATCCCATATAGCTGTATATATCCTTTTGTATGTGAAAGAATACACACACACACACACACACACACACACACACACACACAAGGCATGGAAGGATATAATCCCAGATGCTAGTTTTGGTTATAAGATGGAAGGAGGGTTTATATACAGAGGTTATTGTCTTTATATATACTTTAAAAATAAAGGCAGAAAACATAAAGATAAAATAGTTAACAAACACAGAAACAACAAAAACACACCCAAAGAAACAGCTGAGCGTGATGGCCCACATCTGTAGTCTCAACTACTTGGGAGGCTGAGGCGGGAGGATCACTCGAGCCCAGGAGTTCAAGGCCAGCTTGGGCAACATAGCAAGACCCCGTGCCTAAAAGAAAAGTACTCTCAGCTTATTACTAGCTAGTGTATATCAGGAACTCCAAGACTGAAAGCTGTATTATCTAAAGTCTTTGCCAGATCCTTTAAAAAAAAAAAAAATAGAGACAGGGTTTCACCATGTTGCCTAGGCTGCTCTCAAACTCCTGGGCTCAAGCAATCCTCCCTCCTCAACCTCCCAAAGTGCTGTGATTACAGGTATAAGCCACTGTGCCCGGCAAGTCTTTGCCAGATCTTGAAATGTTCATGTCAGTACTCAAAGTATTAATTGTGTGTGTCTGTCTGCACATGCAGGTGTGTATAGAAAGAGTCAGGGTAGATTGGAGACAAGGGTGGTGCTCAGTAACGGGGCAGCAGAGACCTGCCAGGAGTGGTCTTGGGTGCCCCATACCTTTATTTTTTTATTTTTTATTTTAATTTTTATGTATGTTTATTTTGAGACTGTGTTTCATTCTGTCACTCTGGCTGGAGTGCAGTGGCAAGACCACAGCTCACTGCAGCCTCAACCTCCTGGGCTCAGGTGATCCTCCCACCCCAGCCTCCTGGGTAGCTGGGACCATAGGCATGCACAATCCCCCCGGGTAATTTTTTCTTTTTTATGTAGCTACAAGGTTTTGCTATGTTACCCCAACTGGTCTCGAATTCCTGGGCTCAAGCAATCCTCCCGCCTAGGCCTCCAAAGTGCTGGGATTACAGGGATGAGCCAACGCGCCTGGCCCTATTTTTTTATTTTTTAGACTAGTCAAGTGGAGTAGTGAGAAGGCATTAAACAGTAGAACAAGGCCAGGCGCAATGGCTTATGCCTATAATCCCAGCACTTTGGGAGGCGGAGGCAGGTGGATCACTTGAGGTCAGGAGTTTGAGACCAGTCTGGCCAACATGATGAAACCAGGTATCTACTAAAAATACAAAAATTAGCCGGGTGTGGTGGTGCACCCCTGTATCCCAGCTACTCGGGAGGCTGAGGCAGGAGAATCGCTTGAACCCAGGAGGTGGAGGTTACAGTGAGTGGAGATCATGCCACTGCACTCCAGCCTGGGTGACAGAGTGAAGTAAGACTCTGTCTAAAAAAAAAAAAAAAAAAGCTGGGTGCAGTGGCTCATGCCTGTAATTCCAGTGCTTTGGGATACCGAGTTGGGTGGATCACCTGAAATCAGGAGTTCTGAGACCAGCCTGGCCAACATGATGAAACCCTGTCTCTGCTAAAAATACAAAAATTAGCCAGGCATGGCGGTGGTCGCCGTTAATCCCAGCTACTTGGGAGGCTGAAGCAGGGAGAATTGCTTGAACTCATGAGGCAGAGGTTGCAGTGAGCCAAAACTGCACCACTGCACTCCAGCCTGGGTGACAGAGCAAGACTCTGTCTCAAAAAAAAAAAAAAAAAGGAGTTTGATCTGTAACTGACTATGAACAATCAACTGAGATAAGAGGTAACTCAGCTACCTTCGGACCAGCCTGGCACCCCATTCCTCTATGGGTTGAACCAGGAGCTGGGGCAGAATCTGAAACTGGAGCCAGGAGCTGCACCAAGTCAGGAGCCAGGGAGGCAGGAACTGAGCCAAAATGGGAAGCCCAGCCAGACAGGCAGCCCACAAGCCAGGAGTAGGGAGACAGCTCGGAATTGGCCCAGGTGATGGATGGGATCAAGTGTCCGCAGGACAAGTTGATCTCATCCTACACTAGCAAAATAATGCCATGGCCCAAGATGAGGCATCCTTTGAGGGAAAGATACAAGATCATTTGTGGACAAGCTGAGTTTCAAATGCCACACAGAGATGGCCATCAGGCAGTGGGACCATCCAAAGGGTTGTCAGAGCTGTCAGCTTAGTGTCACCCTCATAGAGATGACAGATGAAGCAGTGGGCCTCGATTAGAAGAGAGAAGGGGGGCTGGGTGTGGTGGCTCACGCCTGTAATCTCAGCACTTTGGGAGGCTGAGGTGGGTGGATCACCTGAGGTCAGCCTGGCCAACATGGCGCAACCCCGTCTCTACCAAAAATACAAAAATTAGCTGGGCGTGGTGGCGGGCACCTGTAATCCCAGCTACTTGGGAGGCTGAGGCAGGAGAATTGCTTGAATCTGGGAGGCAGAGGTTGCGTGAGCTGAGATTGCACCACTGCACTCCATCCTGGGCGACAAGAGCAAGACTCCATCTTAAAAACAAATAAACACTAACTGATAGGGATATAAGTCAAAATAGGAAAAAAAAAAGTGGATATCTCTGGGATATCATATGTCTCCCAGGATATAAACTGGAACTCAAGCAGTAAGCATGACTGAGTGGAAAGTGGCATGAAGTTATCTTCTAAGGAACTACAATGTTGCATATCTTCTGTGATAGTAACATGGGTATATAACTATGTAATGCTTCTTCAGGCTATACACTTAAGATTAGTATACTTCATATACTTTACAGGCTGGGCGAAGTGGCTCACACCTGTAATCCCAGTACTTTGGGAGGCCGAGGCAGGTGGATCTCTTGAGGTGAGGAGTTCGAGACCAGCTAGGCCAACGTGGCGAAACCCCGTCTCTACTGAAAATACAAAAATTAGCCAGGCGTGGTGGCTCACACTTGTAATCCCAGCTACTCAGGAGGCTGATGCAGGAGAATCACTTGAACCCAGGAGGTAGAGGTTGCAGTGAACTGGGATTGCCTGGCGACAGAGTGAGACTCCGTCTCAAAGAAAAGAAAAAAGAAAGAACTTTGGGAAGCTGAGACAGGAGGATCACTTGAGGCCAGGAGTTTGAGACCAGACTGGGCAACATAGTGAGATCACTGTGTCTACAAAACATAAAAAAAATTAGCTGATGCTGGTGGCTACAAATTTTTTTTTTTGAGATGGAGTTTCACTCTTGTCATCCAGGCTGAAGTGCAATGGTGCAATCTCGGCTCACTGCAACCTTCGCCTCCCGGGTTCAAGTGATTCTCCTGCCTCAGCTTCCCGAGTAGCTGGGAATACAGGGATGCACCACCACGCCCAGCTAACTTTTTTTGTATTTTAGTAGAGATGGGGTTTCACCATGTTGGTCAGGCTGGTCTCGAACTCCTGATCTCAAATGATCCACCTGCCTCGGCCTCCCAAAGTGCTGGGATTACAGGTGTGAGCC
Organism: Homo sapiens; assembly: GCF_000001405.40. Lineage (NCBI taxonomy): Eukaryota > Metazoa > Chordata > Mammalia > Primates > Hominidae > Homo > Homo sapiens. Next base: position 75,752,058 of record NC_000007.14, read on the forward strand.
AACATGCCTAGTCGAAAATTTTTTTTAAATTAGTAGAGTGTGTTGGCACATGCCTGTAGTCCCAGCTACTCTAAAGGCTGAGGTGGGGGGATCACTTGAGTCTGGGAAGCCGAGGCTGCAGTGAGCTATGATCACACTGCTGCACTCCAACTTGGGCAACAGAGCTGGATGCTATCTCAAAATAATCTTTTTAAAACAAATAGTTATCTAAGGCTAATAACAACCAGTAAAAGCAGTCTCTGGCCAGGCACTGTGGCTTGCATCAGTAATCCCAGCACTTTGGGAGGCCAATGCAGGAGGATTGCTTGAGGCCAGGAGTTTGAGACCCGCCTAGGCAACATAGCAAGACCCCATCTCTACAAAGAATAAAAGAAAAAATTAGCTGGACATGGTGGTGCATGCCTGTAGTCTCAGCTACTGGGGAGACTGAGTTGGGAGGATCACTTAAGGGCAGAAATTTGAGGCTGCAGTGAGCTATGATTGTGCCATTGTGCTCCAGCCTGGGCGACAGAGTCAGACTCTACCTCTAAAAAAAAAAAAAAGGTTTTTTTTTTTTTGAGGCAGTCTTGCTCTGTCACCCAGGCTGGAGTGCAGTGGTGCGATCTTGGCTCACTGCAACCTCCACCTCCTGAGTTCAAGCGATTCTCCTGCCTCAGCCTCCTGAGTAGCTCGGATTACAGGCATGTGCTGCCACACCCGGCTAATCTTTGTATTTTCTTTAGGGTGGGGGGACGGAGTCTTGCTCTGTAGCCCAGGCTGGAGTGCAGTGGCATGATCTTGGCTCACTGCAACCTCCGCCTCCTGGGTTCACGCCATTCTCCTGCCTCAGCCTCCCAAATAGCTGGCACTACAGGTGCCCGCCACCATGCCCAGCTAATTTTTGTATTTTTAGTAGAGACGGGGTTTCACCATGTTAGCCAGGATGGTCTCGATCTCCTGACCTCATGATCCGCCCTCCTTGGCCTCCCAAAGTCCTGGGATTACAGGCGTGAGCCATCGCGCCCGGCCTAATCTTTGTATTTTTAGTAAAGATGGGATTTTGCCATGTTGTCCAGGCTGGTCTTGAACTCCTGACCTCAGGTGATCCGCCCGCCTCGGCCTCCCAAAGTGCTGGGATTACAGGCGTGAGCAAAAATTTGTTTAAAAATTCCAAATAGTTCTCTAAGGCTAATAACAACAAACAAAACCAGCCTCTTTCACTTCCCGTCCTTTCCTCTCCTTTCCTTTCCCCTACCTCCCCTCTTTTGTCTGACTCTCACTTTCCAGAGCAGCCCTGGGAAATCTTTATTATTATTATTATCATTATTTTAAAATAGAGACGGGGTCTTGAAATCCTGGGCTCAAGCCCTCCTCCCACCTCGGCCTCCCAAAGTGCTGGGATTACAGACATGAGCCACAGTGCCCGACCTAAAAATAAAATTCTAAGTCCTCAACAAACTCAACCCCTGTTGGCCCAGGAAACCCCAGAGAAAGCTTGGAGGCTGAGTTCACAGGCCGTGACAGGAAGAGAGATCAGACACAGCTCATTATCCCCACTCCCTCACTAACTACCATTAGACTTTCTTCCCTAGGGGCTAAACGGAAACCAGCCCTTTCAGTTTTTCATTATTACCAATAATGTCCCTTACTAGCTCTTCCTCACAGATACGGAACAAAGACAAGATGAGATTCATCCCTTCTGCACCTCTCCCCAAGACACCTGCCTTCTCTATTCCCTTTACCTTCAAATGCACACCTTATCTTATGTAAAATGTAGACTCACTGGGCACAAGTAGGCAATCACTCATCTCATTGCCACCACCCTACCTTTTCCTTTTTTTTTTTTTTTGAGATGGAGTCTCAGTCTGTCGCCAGGCTGGAGTGCAGTGGCACGATCTCGGCTCACTGCAACCTCCAACTCTCAGGTTCAAACGATTCTCCTGCCTCAGCCTCCCGAGTAGCTGGGATTACAGGCACGCGCCAACACCCCCAGCTAATTTTTGTATTTTTAGTAGAGACGGGATTTCACCATGTTGGCCAGGATGGTTTCACTCTCCTGACCTTGTGATCTGCCCGCCTTGGCCTCCCAAAGTGCTGGGATTACAGGCGTGAGCCACCGCGCTCAGCCTTTTTTTTTTTCTTTTTTTACAGTCTCGCTCTGTCACCCAGGCTGGAGTGCAATGGCATGATCATAGCTCGCTGCAGACTCAATCTCCTAGAGTCAAATCGATCCTCCTGCTTCAGCCTCCCAAGTAGGAAGGACTATAGGTACATGTCACCACGCCTGGCTAATTTTTTTTTTTTTTTTTTTAGAGACGGAGTCTTGCACTGTCACCCAGGCTGGAGTACAGTGGCACAATCTCAGCTTACTGCAACCTCCACCTCCTGGGTTGTGTGAACTGTAATTGTGCCACTGCACTCCAGCCTGGGTGACAAAGCAAGTCCCTCTCTCTAAAAAACGGGGAAAAAAAATGCCAGGTGCGGTAGCTCACGCCTGTAATCCCAGCACATTGGGAGGCTGAGGCAGGCGGATCACCTGAGGTTGGGAGTTTGAGACCAGCCACCCCAACATGGTGAAACGCTGTCTCTACTAAAAATACAAAAATTAGCTGGACGTGGTGGTGCATGCCTGTAATCCCAGCTACTCGGGAGGGAGGCTGAGGCAGGGAGAATCGCTTGAATCCAGGAGGCGGAGGTTGCAGTGAACCGAGATCACACCACTACACTCTAGCCTGGGTGACAGATCGAGGGAAAAAAAGGAAAAAAACAAGAGCTGACACGGCAATGGAGTTGTTTTTTTTTTGTTCTTTTTTGTTTGTTTGTTTGTTTGTTCTGAGACGGAGTCTTGCTCTGTTGCCAGGCTGGAGTGCATTGGCACGATCTTGGCTCACTGTAACCTCCGCCTCCTGGGTTCAAGGGATTCTCCTGCCTCAGCCTCCCGACTAGCTGGGACTACAGGTGCGCACCACCACACCCAGCTAATTTTTGCGTTTTTAGTAGAGATGGGGTTTCACCATGTTGGCCAGGATGGTCTCTATCTCTTGACCTGGTGATCCACCTGCTTTGGCCTCCCAAACTGCTAGGATTACAGGCGTGAGCCACTGCGCCCGGCCAGACTTTTTTTTTTTTTTTTTGAGATGGAATCTCACTCTGTCACCCAGGCTGGAGTATAGTAGTGCGATCTCGGTGCTCTGCAACCTCTGCCTCCCGGGTTCAAATGATTCTCCCTGCCTCAGCCTCCCGAGTAACGGGGATTACAGGCATGCGCCAGGATGCCCGGCTAATTTTTGTATTTTTAGTAGAGATGGGGTTTTGTCATGTTGGCCAGCCTGGTCTCGAACCTCTGACCTCAGGTGATCCACCTGCCTCGGCCTCCCAAAGTGCTGGGATTACATGTGAGAGCCACCACCCCTGGCCTGTAATGGACTTCTGTTAACCACTTACTACATAGCAGGCTCTGTCTCTGAGCTTTTTATCCATTATCTCATGAAGTCTTTGTAGCAACCTGATGAGCCTAGTATCATTACAATCTCCATTTTACCAGTAAGGAAACCAGGGTTAATGGAGGATTCAGGTTCAAGAACTTAGCTCAGATCACACAGCTAATAAATGGTGGAACCAAGCCCAGGCAACTGGAGTCCAAGCTTGTGCTCCCAGCCATGCTCAACACCACCTGCAACATAGAGATCACGTGTGTGTGCAGCAGGGCTCACTATAAGAAAACTGCTCGAGGCCGGACGCGGTGGCTTACGCTTGTAATCCCAGCACTTTGGGAGGCCAAGGTGGACAAATTTCTTGAGCTCAGGGGTTCGAGACCAGCCTGGGCAACATGGCAAAACCCCATCTCTACTACACACACACACACACACACACACACACACACACACACACACACAAATTAGCCAGGCGTGGTGGTACATGCTGTGGTCCCAGCTACTCAGGAGGCTGAAGTGAGAGGATCGCTTGAGCCTGGGAGGTCGAGGCTGCAGTGAGCCGAGATGGTGCCACTGCACTCCAGCCTGGGTGACAGAGCAAGACCCTATCTCAAAAAAAAAAAAAAAAAACCCAAAACAAAACAAAACAAAAAAACTGCTTATACATGGAAGGAGTTATCATTGCTTAAGACTCTGAGGTCCAAGAAGGGGCAGTGACCTCTTTGTCACAGTGACCCCTTCATGAAGCACTGGAGCCACTGGTTGGGAGCAGGGAGGAAAAGTCATCTAGGCTGTCACCCTGCTCCTCCCAGGAGGGTGGATATCCAGCCTGGTGCCTCCCAGCTTGCCCTGTCTCAGCTCTTATGAACTTGGTGGATGTCTGACTGCCCCAGGAGAGCTTTAATGGAACCGTAGAGTCACAGCCTCAGCTGAAACAGTGGATTCTTAATGGAGAAGACAAGGTCATTACCAAACACAGCAGGAAGGCAGAGGACGGGGAAAAAAAATAAAAAGAGTGGTTTCTATGGAAGCAGCCCCATTCCAGCCGATCCTCGGCTCATATTCCCAACCAGGACTTCTGTTTCTGCTCCAGGTATCCCATGTCTTCTGAGGCCAAAGTTCATCTTTGTGCCTGGGTTCCTTGCCTGCCAGAGGCTCACCTCACCTGGGTCCTCACCCCCCAGCTTCTGTCCTATCCCAGAACATATTGGAATTTGGGCCTGAAGGTTGGAGAGGATTAGCTCACAGGCAGGGACAAGTTTATTTAGGAAAAGCTTCCTAGCGATTCTAAGATGCGGCTGCCTCTCCCCTGTTGCCGACTGATAGCCACTGTGTAGAGTTATTGTTGCTGTCGTTTTTTCCTATGAGACAGGGTCTTGCTCTATTGCCCAGGCTGGAGTGCAGTGGTGCCATCACAGCTCACTGCAGCCTCGACCTCCCAGGCTCAAGGGATCCTCCCACCTCAGCCTCCCAAGTAGCTGGGACTACAGGCATGCGCCACCACACCTGGCTTATTTTTATATTTTTAGTAGAGATGGGGTTTCACCATGTTGACCAGGCTGGTCTCGAACTCCTGACCTCAAGTGATCCGTCCGCCTCGGCCTCCCAAAGTGCTGGGATTACATGCATGAGCCACCATGCCTAGCCCAATGCATAGTTTTTTATTGAAGTACAAATATTTACTTGTCCTTAGTCCTTAATAATATTTATTCCTCTTGTCTCTGGGCTCAGGGGACAGCGGGCTTTCAGGCCCCCTTGTGGTTGAATGAGATCTTGTAGCTTGACCTGTAATGAGTTGTGAGAATTGACTGGTGCTACATATGGCTTAGAACATATAGTTGCTTGTTGGGAGTTGATTTTACCCTGCCACTGCCACTAAAAGGGTGGTTGAGACAGAACCTCTGTTCACTTGGCTCCCTGAGTGACTATGTGAGCAAAACTTCTGGCTACCCATGTTCAGCGTGCAGTATGGGTGGAACATAAACAGAGATCTGGGATTCTTGTTCTGCAGCATAACTTAACTTATCCTGACTGATTTCAGTGGAAGTTGCAGAGAAAGCACTTTTTGCAGGGCTTAGAACAGCAGTCCCCTTGGCCAGGCACAGTGGCTCATGCCTGTAATCCCAGCACTTTGGCAGGCTGAGGCAGGTGGATCTCCTGAGGTCAGGAGTTCAAGACCATCCTGGCCAACATGGTGAAACCCCATCTCTACTAAAAATACAAAAATTTGCTGGGTGTGGTGGTGCATGCCTGTAATCCCAGCTACTCGGGAGGCTGAGGCAGGAGAATCGCTTGAACCCTGGGGGCAGAGGTTGCAGTGAGTTGAGATCGCACCACTGCACTCCAGACTGGGTAACAGAGCAAGACTGTCTCAAAAAAAGAGAGAGAGAGAGAGACAGAACAGGAGTCCCCAACCTTTTTGGCACTAGGGACCAGTTTCGTGGAAGACAACTTTTTCACAGTCTTGTGATGGGGGATGGTTTTGGGATGATTCAAGCATATTACATTTATCATTAGATTCTCATAAGGAGCATGCAATCTAGATCCCGCACATGCGCAGTTCACAGTGGGGTTTGCACTCTTATGAGAATCCATTGCTGCCACTGATCCGACAGGGGGCGGAGCTCAGGGAGTAGTGCGAGTGATGGGGAGCAAATATAAATATACATGAAACTTCGCTTGCTCACCTGCCACTCACCTCCTGCTGTGAGGCCCAGTTCCTAACAGGCCACAGATGGACCAGTACTGGTCCATGGCCCAGGGGTTGGGGACCCCTGGCCTAGAGTGTAGAAATCACTCAATCACTGCTCCTTCCTTCCCCCACATTTTAATGTAGTACTATTTTATTATTTTATTTTATTCATCTTTGAGACAGAGTCTTCTCTGTCACCCAGGGATGGAGTGCAATGGCACAATCTCAGCTCAGTGCACCCTCCACCTCCTGGGCTCAAGCAGTCCTCCTGCCTCAGCCTCCCAAGTAGCTGGGACCACAGGCATATGCCACCACACTTAGCTAGTTTTTCTATTTTTTGTAGAGATGGGATTTCACCGTGTTGCCAAGGCTGGTCTCAAACTCCCAGGCTGAAGGGATCTGCCCACCTTAGCCTCCCAAAGTGCTGGGATTACAGGCATAAGGCAATGTGCCTGCCGCTAATGTAGTAGTTTTATATTGCATCATAATAATGTGTTACTCTGTTTATATGTATTGCTAGAATGTGAGTGTCACAAGGCTAGGGACCTGATTCATATTCTCAAATAGCATGCAATCATTCCATGTTTTGCTTTGTTTTGTTTTAGACAGGGTCTATTACCCAGGCTGTAGTGAAGTGGTACAATCATAGCTCACTGCAGCCTCAAACTCTTGAGCTAAAGTGATCCTTCTGCCTTAGCCTCCCAAGTAGCTGGGACTACAAATACCTGCCACCATGCCCAGCTAATGTTTAAAATTGTTTCTAGAAATGGGGTCTCACTATGTTCACCAAGCTGATCTCAAACACCTGGCCTCAATGGATCCTCCCAGCTCAGCCTCCCAAAGTGTTAGGATTACAGGTGTGACCCACCACACCCAGCCAATGCTTCTTTTGCTTTTTTGAGATGGAGTCTCACTCTGTTGCCCAGGCTGGAGTGCAGTGGTGCGATCTTGGTTCACTGTAACCTCTGTCTTCTGGATTCAAGCAATTCTCCTGCCTCAGCCTCCTGAGTAGCTGGGATTACAGGTACCTGCCACCATGACCGGCTAATTTTTGTATTTTTAGTAGAGGTGGAGTTTCACCCATATTGGCCAGGCTGGTCTCAAACTCCTGACCTCAAGTGATCCACCCACTTCAGCCTCCCAAAGTGCCGGGATTACAAGCATAAGCCACCACACCCAGCCAATAGTTCTTAATAAATGTTTGCAGAATAAATAAATCAAGTATTTTTTTGAAATGGAGTTCTGTCACTTGAACTATTTTTTAAATGATTGGATTTAAATAATCATTCGATTTTTTAAAATTCGTAAATTAGAAGAAAAAATTTCCTCATGGAGTTGTAAGAAATGAAAAAAAAAATCTCAGGGGTTGTGCTCTGATTTGAATGTGTCTCCCCAAATTCATGTGTTGGAAACTTGGTCCCCAGTGCAACAGCGTGGGGACGTGGGGCATTCTGGAAGGTGTTTGGGTCTTGTAGGCTTCACTCTCACAAATGGATTACGGTTGCTATAGAGAGGCTTGCAGAAGTGGGTTTGCTCTCATTTTGCCCTTCTGCCTTCTGCCATGTGAGGAAGCAGCAAGAAGGCCCATGCAAGATGCCAGCACCTTGATATTGGACTTCCCAGCCCCTAGAACTATGAGAAATACATTTCTGGTTTGTATATATTACCTAGTCTGTGGCAGTCTGTTGTGGCAGCACAAATGAACTAAGACCATGTGGAAGTACTTTATTAATTTTAAAATTTAAAATTTTGTATATATGCAAGAGATTACTGCAAGCTAAAGAAACCAAGGCCTTCAAGGTTGAAATGACTAAGCTCAAACCTAGACTAACACATGAAATTTTGAGACTTAAAGGTCCAGAGTTGAGGGGCCCCAAGAGTTCCTTCCAGAAGTCTCCCTTGGGACACCAACCACATGGATCTCAAGGGTACTACATCTGCATGCTGCCCTTTGTTGGGCAAATCCTCCGATGAGACCACAGTGTGAAATTAGCTGGATGTGGTGGTGCATGTCTGTAGTCCCTGCTTCTTGGGAGGCTGAGGCACGAGAATTTCTTTGAACCCAGGAGGCCCAGGTTGCAGTGAGCCGTATCATGACACTGCACTCTAGCCTGGGCAACAGAGCAAGATTCTGTCTCAAAAAAAAAAACAAAAAGAAAAGAAAAGAAAAAAGAAAAGAAAGATGCCAGTTGCTGTGCCTCTCACCTGTAATCCCAGCACTTTGAGAGGCCGAGGCAGGCAGATCACTTGAGGCCAGGAGTTTGAGACCAGCCTGACCAACATGGTGAAACCCTGTCTCTCCTAAAAATACAAAAATTAGCCGGGCGTGGTGGTGAGACACCAAGTAGTCTCAACTTCTTGGGAGGCTGAGGCATGAGAATTGCTTGAACCCGGGAGGCAGAGGCTGCAGTAAGCCAAGATCATGCCACTGCACTCCAGTCTGGTAGACAGAGCGAGACTCCGTCTCAAAAAAGAAATTGTTTTTAGATTAAGTGGGTACATGCGAAGGTTCGTTACAAGGGTATATGCATGATGCTGAAGCTTGGGCTTCTATTGATACCATCACCTACATAGTGAACATTGTACCCAATAGGAAGTTTTTCAACCCTTGCCTCCCTCTCTTTCCCTCCCCACTTTTTTAAAATACTGTCTCCAATATCTATTATTCCCATCTTTTTTTTTTTTTTGAGACAGAGTTTCGTTGTTGTCACCCAGGCTGGAGTGCAGTGGCGCAATCTCGGCTCACTGCAACCTCCGCCTCCCAGGTTCAAGCGATTCTCCTGCCTCAGCCTCCCGAGTAGCTGGAATTACAGGCACCTGCCACCACACCCAGCTATTTCTTTTGTATTTTTAGTAGAGACACGTTTCACCATGTTGGCCAGGCTGGTCTCAAACTCCTGACCTCAGGTGATCCATCTGCCCCGGCCTCCCAAAGTGCTAGGTTTACAGGCATGAGCCACCGTGCCCGGCCCTATTCCCATCTTTATAAAAAAATTTTTTGGCCAGGCACAATGGCTCATGCCTGTAATCCCAGCACTCTGGGAGGCCACGGCGGGCAGATCACGAGGTCAAGAGATCGAGACCATCCTGGCCAACATGGCAAAACCCCATCTCTACTAAAAATACAAAAATTAGCTCGGCATGGTGGCACATGACTGTAATCCCAGCTACTCATGAGAATCGCCGAGATCGCGCTACTGCACTCCAGCCTGGTGACAGAGCGAGATTCTGTAAAAAAAAACAAAACAAACAAACAAAAAAAAACAACTTTGTTTGTTTGTTTGTTTGAGATAGGGTATCACTCTGTCACCCAGGCTGGAGTGCAGTGGTAAAATCACAGCTCACTGCAACCTCCACTTCCTGGGCTCAAGCCATCTCCCACATCAGCCTCCCAAGCAGTTGGAACCACAGGTGTGCACCACCACACCCAGCTAATTTTTTGTATTTTTGGTAGAGACGGCATTTCGCCATGTTGCCCAGGTTGCTCTTGAACTCATGAGCTCAAGTCATCCTCCTGCCTCGGCCTCCCAAAGTGCTGGGATTACAGGCGTGAGCCATTGCACCTGGGCTATTGTTCACATCTTTATGTCCCTGTGTGTTCAGTGCTTAGTTCCCACTTGTAAGGGACAGCATGCTATATTTGGTTTTCTGGTTCTGTGTTGATTCACTTAGGATAATGGCCTCCAGCTGCATCCATGTTACTGCAAAGGACATGATTTCATTCTTTTTATGGCTGCATAGTATTCCTTGGTGTATATGTACCCCACTTTCTTTATCCAGTCCACTGTTGATGTGCACCTAGGTTGGGACACTATGAATGTCTTCTTCCTCTTTTTTTTTTTTTTCTTGAGATGGAGTTTCACTCTTGTCATCCAGGCTGGTGTGCAATGGTGCAATCTCAGCTCACTGCAACCTCTGCCTCCTGGGTTCAAGCAATTCTTTTGCCTCAGCCTCCCAAGTAGCTGGGATTACAGGCATGCGCCACCATGCCCGGCTAATTTTTTTGTATTTAGTAAAGACGAGGTGTCACCATACTGGTCAGGCTGCTCTCGAACTCCTGACCTCAGGTGATCTGCCTGCCTCAGCCTCCCAAAGTGCTGGGATTACAAGCGTGAGCCACCGCGCCAGCCACTGTGAATGTCTTCAATTTCTCCCTCCTCATTTCGTGAAACTGAAGCCCAAGGAGATAGTGTCTCCCGTCAAACTCTCAGGTGTGTTATCTTGTAGGGGATCTTAATTGCTTTGTGTGTATTTCATTGCTCTCCAATGAAATGTACCCTCTGAAGATTGAGCTCAGTCTTCCTTCACTTTTGTCTCTTCCCTGCCCGCCTCCCAAAGAGATTGCACATGACTCTAGATTTCAAGTAGATCCTTGGTAAAGACTCACAGAATAGACTTTTCTGTAAATCTGCCAGTTGTCAACAGTGCAGTGGTAGGAAACTTTAAAAGATGGTAGGAGACTGTTCCCATCTGCTGGTAAACTTGTAGAACTACAGCTAGAAGTCCCTCTTCTTTATAGAGCTCTCAACCAGGAATTTGTCTTGCAAGCTTGGATGTCTGGATCTCTTCCCCTAGGTACTCTGCTCTGATTCAGAGTTGAGCCTGGGCAAAGGGTGTCTGGCAGTATTTGTATTTGGTGGCATATTACACAGATGTTTCCCAAGTCTTTCATTTGTGCAAGATAGAATTAATCCCTGAGGCCTGGGTGGTGTGGCTCACATCTGTTATCCCAGCACTTTGGGAGTCTGAGTGAGCACTTTTGGGGCTCACTTGAGGCTAGAAGTTTGAGACCAGCCTGGGCAACATAAGACCTTGTCTCTATAATTTTTTTTTTTTTTTTTGAGACGCAGTCTCACTCCGTCGCCTGGCCTGGAGTGCAGCCGTGTGATCTCAACTCACTGCAACCTCCACCTCCCAGATTCAAGCGATTCTCCCGCCTCAGCCTCCCGAGTAACTGGGATTACAGGCAGGTGCCACCACACCTGGCTAATTTTTGCATTTTTAGTAGAAACGGGTTTCATCATGTTGGCCAGTATGGTCTTGAACCCCTGGCCTCAAGTGATCTGCCAGCTTCCACCTCCCAAAGTGCTGGGATTATAGGGATGAGCCACTGGGCCCGGCCCCAAAAATTTTTTTTGTAATTATAATAATACTTAAAAAAAAAAAAAAAAAACAGGCTCTCGCTCTGTCACCCAGCTTGGAGTGCAGTGGTGCAATCTCTGCTGATTGCACCCTCCAACTTCCCGGGCTCAGATGATCCTCGCACTTCAGCCTCCCAAAGTGCTAGGATTACAGGTGTGATCCACTGCACCAGGCTTCATAATACTAATTTATTATTATTATTATTTGAGACAGAGTCTCATTCTGTCACCCTGGCTGGAGTGCAGTGGTACAATCTCAGCTCACTGAAACCTCCAACTTCCTGGTTCAAGCAATTCTCTTGCCTCAGCCTCCCGAGTAGCTGGGATTACAGGGACGTGCCACCATGCCCAGCTAATTTTTGTATTTTTAGTAGAGACAGGGTTTCACCATATTGGCCAGGCTGGTCTCGAACTCCTGACCTCGTGATCTGCCCACCTTGGCCTCCCAAAGTGCTGGGATTACAGGCATGAGCCACCACGCTCGGCCAATAATATTTTTTTTAACTAAAAAAATGAATTAATCCCCAAACGCAGGAGGCTTCAGTCTGGTAGCAGAGCTAAGAACATCAATCACCATATTACAATTGTATAAAAGCGCTGTACACGGGAAACAAAAGGTGCCAGAGGCCAGAGACAGCCACTGCTGTTTGGGGACATGACAAAAATCACCGAGGCCTTCTGAAAAACGTGACCCTGACATTCTTTTCTTTTTTCTTTTTTTTTTTTTTTGAGATGGAGCCTCTCTCTGTTGCCCAGGCTAGAGTGCAGTGGTGCGATCTCGGCTCACTGCAACCTCTGCCTCCCAGGTTCAAACAATTCTCCTGTCTCAGCCTCCTAAGTAGCTGGGACTACAGGTGCTCGCTACCATACCCAGATAATTTTTGTATTTTTAGTAGAGGCAGGATTTCACCCCATCAGGCTGGTCTCGAACTCCTGACCTCAGGTGATCCCCCTGCCTTGGCCTCCCAAAGTGCTGGGATTACAGGCATGAGCCACCGTGCCTGGCCATAACCTTGACATTCTTATCAAAAGGAAGAGGCATTTTGCCCTTTTATGTCTAGTTTGGCAAGCAGAATTTTGTTTTATTTATTATTATTATTATTTTTTGAGATGGAGTTTCATTCTTGTTGCCCAGTCTGGAGTGCAATGGCACGATCTCGGCTCACTGCCACCACTGCCTCTTGGGTTCAAGTGATTCTCATGCCTCAGCCTCCCAAGTAGCTGGGATTATAGTTGCCTGCCACGAAGCCTGGCTAATTTTTTGTATTTTTAGTAGAGATGGGGTTTCACCATGTTGGCCAGGCTGGTCTCGAACTCCTGACTTTAAGTGATCCGCCCTCCTCGGCCTCCCAAAGTGCTGAGATTACAGGCGTGAGCCACCACTCCTGGCCCCTTACAATTAATTATATTCTACAGCCTGCAGAATCTGGAACTCTGGTGGTCCACTCTGTCCTTGTACACAGCAGGCAGGAAGTCCTGGAGAATTAATACTCACCCCTGCCCCACCACATCAACCATCAGCCAATGACTGCCTGGAGTTGGTGTATAAATACCCTTGCTCGGCCGGGCGCCGTGGCTCACGCCTGTAATCCCAGCACTTTGGGAGGCAGAGGCGGGCGGATCATGAGGTCAGGAGATTGAGACCATCCTGGCTAACACAGTGAAACCCCGCCTCTACTAAAAATACAAAAAATTAGCCAGGAGTGGTGGCGGGCGCCTGTAGTCCCAGCTACTTGGGAGGCTGAGGCAGGAGAATGGCGTGAACCCGGAAGGCGGAGCTTGCAGTGAGCCAAGATCGCGCCACTGCACTCCAGCCTGGGCGACAGAGCGAGACTCCGTCTCAAAAAAAAAAAAAAAAAAAATACCCTTGCTCCCTGGCCCCGTGGGTGGGGCTAACTCTGAGACGTGGGTTATACATCATTGCCCAGAGCTCCTCAACACCGTTAAGCACTGTAGGCCACATTGATGCCTCGCTTGATAATACACACTTATTGGAGGCTTTCCCTTTTCTGTCTCACGTCCCCACGCCCTAGTGGTGTCTCCTGAGATCACCTTCAAAACATTACATGCAAATTATTATCTTAAGGTTTATTTCTGGGGAAACAACATCTAAAACATCATCCAAGACCTGAGATAAAAAATTAAGAAGATTGGACTTTGAGCAGTAAGTGCTTCCTAAATGCCAAGTACTAACAGCCAATAGCTGTCATGAATGATTTTGTATTTTTACAATGTAAATGTAAATAAGAATCGCTTGAACCTAGGAGGCAGAGGTTGCAGTGAGCTGAGATGGTGCCACTGCACTCCAGCCTGGGCAACAGAATGAGACTACATCTTAAAAAAAAAAAAAAACCGGGTCCGGTGGCTCATGCCTACAATCTCAGCACTTTGGTTTGGGAGGCCAAGGCGGGTGGATCACCTGAGGTCAGGAGTTTGAGACCAGCATGACCAACGCGGTGAAATCCCGTCTCTACTAAAAATACAAAAATTAGCTGGGTGTGGTGGCGGGCGCCTGTAATCCCAGCTACTCAGGAGGCTGAGGCAGGGGAATAGTTTGAGCCCGGGAGACAGAGGTTGCAGTGAGCTGAGACTGAGCCACTGCACTCTAGCCTGGGCAACAGAGCAAGACTCTGTCTCAAAAAAAAAAAAAAAAAAAAAAAAAAGCACAAAGAAGCCTTAATAGACATTTCTCAAAGACATACAAATGACCACCAGGTACATTAAAAAAAAAATGCTCGATATCACTAATCACTAGAGAAATGCAAATCAAAACCACAGTGAGATATATCACTTCACACCATTAGAATGGCTATTTATCAAAAAGACAAGTGAAGCCTGGGCAACATGGCAAAACCTCATCTCTACCAAAAAAAAAAAAAAAAAAAAAACACCAAAAATACAGAAACTAGCCAGACATGGTGACACACACCTGTAGTCCCAGCTACTCAGGAAGCTGAGGTGGGAGGATCGCTTGAGCCCAGGAGGTCAAGGCTGCAGTGAGCTATGATCGTGCCACTGCCCTCCAGCCTGGGTGACAGAGTGAGACCATGTCTCAATTAGAACAACACATTTAAAAAGGACAAATGATAAGTGTTGATGAGATGTGGAGACAAGGGAACCCTCGACTCTGTTGGTGGGAATGTAAATTGGTTCAGTCATTATGGAAAACAGCAGGGAGTTTCTTCAGAAAGTTCAAATAGGCAATAGGATTGCCAGTACATCCCAGCAACCTCACTTCTGGGTACCTATCCAAGGTAATTGAAATAAACATGTCGCCGGCCATGGTGGCTCATGCCTGTAATCCCAGCACTTTGGGAGGCCGAGGTAGGCAGATCACCTGAGGCCAGGAGTTCAAGACCAGCCTGGGCAGTATGGTGAAACCCTGTCTCTACTAAAAATAAAAAAATTATCCAGGTGTGGTGGTGCACACCTGTAGTCCCAGCTACTTGGGAGGCTGAGGCAGGAGAATCACTTGAACCTGGGAGGCAGAGGTCCTGGGAGGCGGAGGTTGCAGTGAGCTGAGATTGCACCACTGCACTCCAGCCTGGGTGAGAGAGAGAGACTCTTGTCTCAAAAAAAAAAAAAAAGAAAAAAGACAAAAAAAATCAACATGTCAATGAGGTGTCTGTACTTCCATATGTATTGAAGCATTATTCACAATAGCCCATATATGGAAACAACCTAAGTGTCCATCAGTGAATGAATGGATAAAGAAGATGTGATCCACACAGACAATGAAATATTATTCAGCCTTGCAGGGCGCGGTAGCTCACGCCTGTAATCCCAGCACTTTGGGAGGCCGAGATGGGCGGATCACGAGGTCAGGAGATCGTGACAATCCTGGCTAACACGGTGAAACCCCATCTCTACTAAAACTACAAAAAATTAGCCGGGCGTGGTGGCAGGCACCTGTAGTCCCAGCTACTCAGGAGGCTGAGGCAGGATAATGGCGTGAACCCGGGAGGCGGAGCTTGCAGTGAGCCGAGCTCGTACCACTGCACTCCAGCCTGGGCGACAGAGCGAGACTCCATCTCAAAAAAAAAAAAAAAAAAAAAAAAAAAAAAAAAAAAAAGAAAGAAATATTATTCAGCCTTAAAAAAGAAGGAAATCCTGCCATTTGCAACAACATGGATAAACCTGGAGGACATTATGCAAAGTGAAATAAGCCAGACGCAGAAAGACAAATACTGCCTGATCTCACTTACTACCTACATAGCATCTAAAAAGTCAAATTCATAATACCAAAGAGTAGGATGATGGTTGCCAGGAGCTAAAGATGGTGGTGGATGGGAGGTGTGATTGTCAAGGGGTGAATGGAGGGAGATCTCCGTGACGTTGGAATAGATCGGGATCTCAGTTGCTATAATGTAAATCTATACACGTGATAAAACGACAGTATGACAGAACTATGCACACGCTTTATACCAATGTCAATTTCCTGGGTTTGATATTGCATTATAATTATGTAAGCTGTAGCCATTGGGGTAAACTAAATAAAAGATAGATTTGGGGGCTGGGCACGGTGGCTCACACCTGTAATCCCAGTGCTTTGGGAGGCTGAGGTGGGCAGATGGTTTGAGCCCAAGAATTTGAGACCAGCCTGGGCAACATGGTGAAACCCTGTCTCTGCCAAAATACAAAAGTTAGCCGGGTGTGGTGGACCATGCCTGTAGTCCTACCTACTTGGGAGGCTGAGGTGGGAGGGTCACCTGAACTCAGGGAGGTAGAGGCTATAGGGAGCTGTAATTATGCCACTGCACTCCAGTCTGGGTGACAGAGCAAGACTCTGTCTCAATAATAAAAAAGATACACCTGACCTCCCCATACCATTTTTGCAACTTCTTGTAAATCTATAACAATTATAGATATTAATAATTAATAACTATAAACAATAATTATAGATTCACAAAAAGTTGCAAGAAATGGCAAAAATAATAATAATTATTATTTTATTTATTTATTTATTTATTTATTTATTTATTTATTTTGAGATGGAGTCTCGCTCTGTCGCCCAGGCTGGAGTGCAGTGGCGCGATCTCTGCTCACTGCAAGCTCCGCCTCCCAGGTTCACACCATTCTCCTGCCTCAGCCTCCTGAGTAGCTGGGACTACAGGCACCCGCCACCACGCCCTGCTAATTTTTTGTATTTTTAGTAGAGATGGGGTTTCACTGTGTTAGCCAGGATGGTCTCAATCTCCTGACCTCATGATCCACCTGCCTCGGCCTCCCAAAGTGTTTGGATTACAGGCATGAGCCACTGTGCCCGGACTTTTTATTTTTTATTAAAAAAATATTTTTGAGACAGGGGCTTGATCTGTCACCCAGGCTGGAGTGCAGTGGTGTGATCTTGGCCCATTGCAACCTCTAACTCCTGGCCTCAAGTAATCCTCCTGCCTCAGCCTCCTGAGTAGCTGGGACCACAGGTGTGTGCCACCCCACCTGGCTAATTTTTTGTGTTTTTGTAGAGACAGGGTTTCACTGTGGTGCCCAGGTTAGTCTTTATTATTATTATTATTATTATTTGAGACAGGGTCTTGCTCTGTTGCTCAGACTGGAGTGCAGTGGTGTGATCATGGCTCACTGTATCCTCGACCTCCTAGACTCAAGCAATCCTCCCACCTCAGCCTCCCAAGTAGCTGTGACTACAGGCACCCACCACCACGTCTGAGTAACTGTTAAATTTTTTTGTAGTGATGGGTGCCACTATGTTGCCCAGGCTGATCTCAAACTCCTGGGCTCAAGTGATCCTCCCACCTCAGCCTCCCAGAGTGCTGGGATTACAGCCGTGAACCACTGCACCCGGCTGATTATTTTTGTAAAAAGCTTATTTAAGCTATATAGACAACGCACCCGCAGTTTGGTAGGTAGATAATATTCACATTAACTAATTAGTGTCTTGCTTTCTTAAGAGAAAGCGCTGCCAAACACGGAGCTACTACATTTACACGGCACTGACAGGCTGTGAGGTGTTGCACAGAACTTACTTTTCCAAATAAACTAAACTTTTTTCTCTAAATAATGTTAAAAAATTCACCAAGCATTTTACCAAAGTGTATTAAAATTACCCTTGCTTTTTTTTGCACAAACAAACAAAAACCCACGGCAGAATTCCGTATCGGGGTCTGCCCGGGGGTTGGGGACCTCCCAGGCAACCAGCCATCCATATTGAATCAATTTTCTTTCCTTAAAGAAAACTCGGGTTTTATGGACAAAAAATGTTATGAACAAGTCAACTCTATGAACAACCTTTATTAAAGTAACTCTGGGAGGAAACACCCTCTCCTCCCCAGCGGGTCCATGTAGCCTTCAGAAAAGATTCCGCAGGCTCCCCAGAGGGCTGCAGAGCCAAGAGCGGGGTCCAAGCGTCCTCGGATGAAAATTCAGCTGAGTCACAATTGTTTCGGAGTTTTCAGTAAAGAAATGTATTTTTGCACCCATTTTTTCCTTGGATGGGTACAGACTTTCTTGCCTCTTTTGGTAGTGAATCTGTGAAAAAGAGACACGGATAAGTCAATATTGAGACTCTTTGCCTCCTGGGGTGGGATAGAAAGGGAAGGAGGGGCAGCTCTCTCACTAGTCTTCTGGCCTTGCCACAAACTTGTTGCTCTCTGTCCCTGTCCCCTCTTCTCCTGGGCCTTGTCTCCCTCCTCTTTCCTATCTTGATTTCCACTGGAAACTATGCCTCCAGACCCACCTCTACCAGGTACCATTTACCGTTTTCCACCAGTTCTAGCCTGCAGCATGTAACCTGCACCAGGACACTTAATTTTTTTTTTTTTTTTTTGAGACGAACTCTCACTCTGTTGCCCACATTGGAGTGCAATGGCATGATCTCAGCTCATTGCAACCTCCATTTCCCAGGTTCAAGTGATGCTCCTGCCTCAGACTCCCAAGTAGCTGGGATTATAGGCACGCATCAGCACACCCAGCGAATTTCTGTGTTTTTAATAGAGACAAGGTTTTGCCATGTTGGCCAGGGTGGTCTCGAACTCCTGACCTCAGGTGATCCGCCTGTGTTGGCCTCCCAAAGTGCTGGGATAACAGGTGTGAGCCACCACGCCTAGCCTTTATTTTGTTTTATTTTTTATTTTTTTTGAGACGGAGTTTCACTCTTGTTGCCCAGGCTGGAGTGCAATGGCGCGATCTCGGCTCACCACAACCTCTGCCTCCCAGGTTCAAGTGATTCTTCCGCCTCAGCCTCCCAAGTAGCTGGGATTACAGGCATGCGCCACCACGTCCAGCTAATTTTGTATTTTTAGTAGAGACAGGGTTTCTCCACGTTGGTCAGGCTGGTCTCGAACTCCCAACCTCAGGAGATCTGCCCACCTCAGCCTCCCAAAGTGCTGGGATTACAGGCGTGAGCCACCACGCCCGGCCTATTTTATTTTTTTTGAAACAGTTTCTCTCTTGTCACCCAGGCTGGAGTGCAGTGGCGCGATCTCTACTCCTGCAAACTCCGCCTCCCGGGTTCAAGCGATTCTCCTGCCTCAGCCTCCGGAGTAACTGGGCTTACAGGCCTGCGCCACCTCACCTGGCTGATTCTTTCATTGTAATAGAACAGCTTTGTTGGGATATAATTCACACGGCACATACAGTTGACTCTTGAACAACACGGATTTGAACTCTGTGGGCCCACTCATAGGCAGCCTTTTGCCAACCAAAGGAGGATAGAAAATACAAAACTCGGTGATGCAAAAGCTGCATAAATTCAGGGGAAATTGTATGCCAAAATCCTGGCACCAATCCCCTGTGGTTACTGGGGGATAACTGTAATTCACTCTTTTTTTTCTCTTTTGTTAGGGATGAAGTCTCTCTGTGTTACCCAGGCTGGAGTGCAGTGGTGCGATCATACCTCACTGCAGCCTTGAACTCCTGGGCTCAAGCGATCGTCTAAACCTCCCCACCATGTACAACTCCACCAATTTAAAGGCTATAATTATAATTCAATGGTTTTTAGTATAGTCATAGATTATGCAACCATCACCACAATCAATTTTAGGATATTTTCATCACCCCAGAAAGGAACCCTGCACTCAACATGTCATTTAATTGTTAGCCACATTTTCAAGGTTATTCATCATAGCTGATGATTCCTGAGCTCTTACTTCACTGTGAGTTTATTAAAAGTGGGGATTGGCTGGGTCCAGTGACTCACACTTGTAATCCCAGCATTTTGGGAGGCTGAGGCGGGCAAATCACATGAGCTCAGAAGTTTAAGACCAGCCTGGCCAACCATGGTGAAATTCTACTAATAACACAAAAATTAGCTGAGCATGGTGGCATGTGCCTGTAATTCCAGCTACTTGGGAGGCTGAGGCAGGAAAATTGCTTGAACCCGGGAGGGGGAGGTTGCAGTGAGCCAAGATCGTGCCATTGCACTCTAGCCTGGGCAACAAGAAAGAAACTCCGTCTCAAAAAGAGAAAAAAAAAGTCAGGTTCTACCTGAAGCTCAGAGTCACACTTGTTAGTGTGCAGAGGTGGGGTTTCCAGGTTCCCATCCCAAGGCTCATCCTGGGGGTCTGCCCAGCACCCATCCTGTTGCATGACTGATGGGGCCCCAGAAAGTACGTCCGAGAAATACTCACATCACAGCCCGCTGGGAGCAGCTGTTACTGGTGAATTCATAGCTTCGCACCCAGGTCCAGGGAAGGGGCTTGTGGCTGTATTGGAAGCAGCAGGTCTTGGATATGTCACTCCCACCTAAAAATCAGGGAGAGGAAGGGTTTGGAGATACTCATTTCCATCCACTCCCAGGCGGTCCGGGAAGGAACCCCAGGAGGGGAATGGGCCAGCTACGTACGTGTGGCAGTTCCAAGGTGGAGACTCAGGAGGGAGGCCAGGAGCACAGCAGAGGCCAAGGAGAGGCCCATCATGATGCTGCAAATCAGGCCCTTCTCAGGTTTCTCCCAAACTCCTCCTGCCTGATCCCCTTTTATGAGACTGAGACGGCCCTGAAAACAATTCCAGAGAATTCTGTGGTTGGGAACAGAAGCAGCACTTTTGACCCAACAAAGGAAAAGTAAACTAATACTCATAGGAATGAAATTAGACAGTGAAGAAAGATAATCTGGCACTGGGCGTGGTGGCTCATGCCTGTGATCACAGCACTCTGGGAGACCGAGGTGGGCGGATCCCTTGAGGTCAGGAGTTCAAGATCAGCCTGGCCAACATGGAGAAACCCTGTCTCTACTAAAAACACAAAAATTGGCCGGGCATGGTGGCAGGCAACTGTAATCCCAGCTACTCCTGAGGGTGAGGCAGGAGAATCACTTGAACCTGGGAGGTGGAGGTTGCAGTGAGCTGAGATGGCACCACTGCACTGCAGCCTGGGCGACAGAGTGAGACTCTGCCAAAAAAAAAAAAAACAAACAAACAAACAACAAAAAAAAACAAGTGACAGATGGTAGAGATCCCTTTATTGAATTCCATCAACAGGGACAAAAAAAGAAGAGAATTTGGGAGAAGAGCAGGGGCAGGCAGGCCCCAGGGAGTCTGGTTCCCAGTGCTGTTGGCTGAGTCAACACTTTCTTGTTTAAAAAGAAAAAGCAGAGGAAATTAAGTAATATTCCAGTGAACTGAACTAAGTTACTTTATAGCACAATTGGTTGTTGAAGATAGGTTTCTGGCTCTTGGGCAAAGTTTTGTTTCCTTTCTAAGCATTGCTTATCTCTGTGTGGAGCTCTGGATGGTCTCAAGATGTGATCATAGAGTAGCCCAACCTCGACAATGGATATTTAAAAACAGGGTCCAGGCAGGTGCCAGCCCATCTTCTTGGGGCCACACCTGTAGGGCCAGGGCTGGCTGGGGGCATTTGAGAGATCTAACAGATCCCAAACCTGACAGATCATCACAATCACCCGAGGCTTAAAACAAAACAAAACAAACAAACAACAACAAATAATATATATATATAGTGAGAGAGAGGGCCTGGTCAACATGGTGAAACCCCGTCCCCACTAGAAATAAAAAAATTAGCCAGGCACGGTGGCGGGCACCTGTAATCCCAGCTACTAGGGAGGCTGAGGCAGGAGAATCGCTTGAATGCAGGAGGCAGAGGTTACAGTGAGCCGAGATCCCGCCATTGCACTCCAGCCTGGGCGACAGACCAAGACTGTCTCAAAAAAGAAAAAAAAATAGAGATGAGGTCTCTCTATGTGGCCCAGGTTGGTCTTAAACTCTTGGCTCAAGTGACTGTCTCACCTTGGCCTTCAAAAATGTTGGGATTACAGTGAGCCACCACGTCTGGCCATACCTGGTCAATTATTATTATTATTTTGTGTGTGTGTGTGGGGCCAGTCACAGTGGCTCACGCCTGTAATCCCAGCACTTTGGAAGGCAGAGGCAGGGGGATCGTCTGAGGTCAGGAGGTTGAGATCAGCCTGGCGAACATGGTGAAACCCCGTCTCTACTAAAAATACAAAAATTAGCCGGGCTAATTTTGTGGTGGCTCATGCTTGTAATCCGAGCAACTTGGGAGGCTGAGGCAGGAGAGTCACTTGAACCTGGGGGGCAGAGGTTGCAGTGAGCCAAGATCGTGCCATTGCACTCCAGCCTAAGAAAAAAGAGCAAAACTCTGTCACAAAAAAAAAGAAATTTGTAGAGCCCAAAGGTTGCCAGGCTGGTCTCAAACTCCTGGCTTCAAGGCGATCTGCTTACTCCAGCCTCCCAAAGCACTGGGATTATAGGGGAGAGCCACCACACCTGGCTTCAGCCAAATTTTTAAAAGAACTTAACAGAAGTTTGTGATAGTCAGAGCTGTTGTAGGTGGGAAGAGGATAGATGGTGAGTTGCCTGTCACTCAAACCAGGCACAACAGTCTGGATGATCATGAGAGGGTGGTTTGTTTTTGTTTTTGTTTTTATTGAGATGGAGTTTTGCTCCTGTTGCATACGCTGGAGTGCTATGGCACAATCTCGGCTCACTGCAACCTCTGCCTCCCAGGCTCAAGCAATTCTCGTGACTCAGCCTCCCAAGTAGCTGGGATTACAGGCATGCGCCATCACGCCCGGCTAATTTTGTATTTTTAGTAGAGATGGTGTTTCACCATGTTGGTCAGTCTTGTCTCGAACTCCTGACCTCAAGTGATCCACCTGCCTCAGCCTCCCAAAGTGCTGGGATTACAGGCATAAACCGCCATGCCCAGCTGTTTGTTTGTTTTTTTGAGACAGAGTCTTGCTCTGTCATCCAGGCTGGAGTACAGTGGCACAATCTTAGCTCACTGCAGCCTCCACCTCCTGGGTTCGAATGATTCTTCTGCCTCAGCCTCTGAGTAGCTAGGATTACAGGCATGCACCACCATGCCCGGGTAATTTTTGTATTTTTAGTAGAGACAGGGTTTCACTATGTTGCCCAGGCTGGTCTCGAATTCCTGACCTCAACTGATCTGCCCGCCTCAGCCTCCCAAAGTGCTGAAATTGCAGGTGTGAGCCACCCCACCCGGCCTATTTTTTTTAATTAAATAAAAATTAACTGAGTATGGTGGCATGTGCACCTGTAGGCCCAGCTACTCAGGAGGCCGAGGCAGGAGGGTCACTTGAGCCCAGGAGTTCAAGGCTGCAGTGAACTATGATCATGCCACTGCACTCCAGCCTAGGTGACCGAGCAAGACTCTGTCTCTTTAAAAAAAGAATTATTGGTCGGGCCCGGTGGCTCACCCCTGTAATGCCAGCACTTTGGTAGGCTGATGGGGGTGGATACCTTGAGGTCAGGAGTTCAAGATGAGTCTGGCCAACATGGTGAAACTCCGTCTCTACCAAAAATACAAAAATTAGCTGAGCATGGTGTCGCGTGTCTGTAATCCCAGCTACTTGGGAGGATGAGGCAGGAGTATTGCTTGAACCGGGAGGCAGAGGTTGCAGTGAGCTGAGATCACGCCACTGCACTCCAGCCTGGGCAACAGGGCGAGACTCCATTTCAGAAGGAAAAAAAACAAATTCTTTTTTGACTGAAATCTATATTCCCATTTCTTCTACCTATTGACCCTGTTCTTTACAAAAATGCTTAACTTGTCTTTTATTTTGGAAGATAAAGGAAATTGAGGCTTAGGCAGATTTGAAGATCGTTGTTTTTATTTCAGTTCCTCCAGCAGGCCCTGAGACAAGGATTCTGGTGCAAGTCCTTTATTTGGGAGGTGATTCCACGGGAGCCCCAGGAGAGGAGGGGGAAACTGAGGCAAGGAAGCAGAGGCAGCAACGCAAGGGGAGTTATTAAGCAGGGCATGGCGTGAGCAGCCAAGGAGTTCTGGGAGCCTGTGCAGGGCAGACCTCAGAGCTGGCTTAGCGGGTGGGTCAGGTACCCCCCAGTTCCCTGCTGTCACTGGTTGAGGGCTGCACCCTACACTCCTGGCTTGTGTTATGATCAAACTGAGGGTTCTCTGTGACCAGGAACAAGGCCCTCAGGAAGAGTCCCCAGGAAGTGGCCTTTGGTTTACAAAAGTGACTGCTGAAGGGATACGGGGAGTTACCTGACAGTATCCGCTGAAGCCATGATCATGTTTGCCCTGATGTTCTCTTCTTTAGACTGAACTTTCCTTTTTTTAGTTTTTTTTTTCTTTGAGACTGAGTCTCATTCTGTCACCCAGGCTGGAGTGCAGTGGCTGAAGGCATCCTCCCACCTCCCAAAGTACTGGGATTACAGCAGTGAGCCACCACCCTCCATGGCCTTCTTATAAAGACATATTGGATTTAGAGCCCACTGTAATCCAGTATGTCCTCCTCTTCACTAATTACTTCTGCAAAGGCCCTATTTTCAAATTAGTTCACACTCTTTTTTTTTTTTTTTTTTTTTGAGACAGAGTCTCACTCTGTCGCCCAGGCTGGAGTGCAGTGGCACAATCTCAGCTCACTGCAATCTCCGCCTCCCAGGTTCACACGATTCTCCTGTCTCAGCCTCCCAAGTAGCTGGGATTACAGGCGCACACCACCATGCCCGACTAATTTTTGTATTATTGGTAGAGATGGGGTTTCACCATGTTGGCCAGGCTGGTTTTGAACTCCTGAGCTCAGGTGATTCACCTGCCTCGGTCTCCCAAGTGCTGGGATTACAGGTGTGAGCCACCACACCCAGCCAAAAAAATTTTTTAATTAGCTGGGGCTGGGCATGGTGGCTCACTCCTGTAATCCTAGCACTTTGGGAGGCTGAGGCAGGAGGATCGCTTGAGGCCAGGAGGTGGAGGCTGCAGTGAGCTACGATTGCATCACTGCACTCCAAAAAGGAAGGAAGGAAGGAAGGAAGGAAGGAAGGAAGGAAGGAAGGAAGGAAGGAAGGAAGGAAGGAAGGAAGAAGGAAAGCAAGCAAGAAAGAAAGAAAGAAGAAGGAAAGAAAAAAAGAAAGATAATGGCTGAGGCGTGAACACTTTACGAGAAGGAAACCCACATGGTGAATATAAAAAGCAACTTGGTTTTATTAGTCATCACAGAAATACACACTTAAACCGCAGTGTGCCACTATGCACACACTCACCAGATGGCTACAATGGAAAAAGACAGAAAACATCAAACGTTAGTGAGGATGTGGTGCATGGCAAGTCATACTGCTGGGGGTGGGGTGGAAAACTATTGGCAGTATTTATTAAAGCCAAACATATGCACACTCTATAATCGAGCAATTCCACTCCTAGGCATGTACCCGTCAGAAACGTGTTCATGGCCAGGCGCGGTGGCTCACAACTGTAATCCCAGCACTTTGGGGGGCCGAAGTGGGTGGATCACCTGAGGTCAGGAGTTTGAGACCAGCCTGGCCAACATAGTGAAACCCGGTCTCTACTAAAAATACAAAAAATTAGCCGGGTGTGGTGGTGGACACCTGTAATTTCAGCTACTCAGGAGGCTGAGACAGGAGAATCGCTTGAACCTGGGAGGTGGATATTGCAGTGAGCCGAGATTGCACCACTGCACTCCAGCCTGCGCAGCAAGAGTGAAACTCCATCTTAAAAAACAAAAACAAAAACGTGTTCCTATGTCCACCAAAAGACACACACTAGAATATTCATAGCAGCATTATTTATAATAGCTCCAAACTGGAAATGACCCTCATGTCTGTCAATAGTAGAATGGAAAATAAATTGTCATTTAATAACATAATACAATACTATTCCGCAGTGAGAATGAACTACAGTTACTTGCAACTCACAACCTAATGCTGAGGGGAAAAAGTCAGATATAAGCCAGGTGTAGTGGCTCACACTGCTAATCCCAGCACTTTAGGAAGCCGAGATAGGAGGATCGCTTGAGCCCAGTAGTTGGAGACAAGCCTGGGCAATATAGCAAGACTCCATCTCTACAAAAAGTAAGCAAAATTATCTGAGTTTGGTGGTACATGCCTTTGGTCCCAGCTGCTTGGGAGGCTGAGGTAGGAGGATTGCTGGAGCCCAGGAGTTCAAAGCTCAGGACTACCCAACAGAGTGAGATCCTGTCTCAGAAAAAAAAAAAAAAAAAAAAAGCAGCAGCAGCTAGATAAGAAAGAATAATGTTGTAGGATTCCACCTGTGTAAAGTACCAAACCAAACAAGCAAAACTAATCTTTTTTTTTTTTTTGAGATGGAGTCTTACTCTGTTGCCCAGGCTGGAGTGCAGTGGCACGATCTTGGCTCATTGCAGCCTCTGCATGTTGCCACCATGTTTGTCCAGGCTGGTCTCGAACTCCTGGCCTCAGGTGATTCACCCGCCTCGGCCTCCCAAAGTGCTGGGATTACAGGCATGAGGCACCAACCCCAGCCGACATATTTATTTCAATTACCTTTGATAGGTACCCAGAAGTGAGGTTGCTGGGATGTACTGGCACTCCTATTGCCTATTTGAACTTTCTGAAGAAACTCCCTGCTGTTTTCCATAATGACTGAACCAATTTACATTCCCACCAACAGAGTCGAGGGTTCCCTTGTCTCCACATCTCATCAACACTTATCATTTGTCCTTTTTAAATGTTTTGTTCTAATTGAGACATGGTCTCACTCTGTCACCCAGGCTGGAGGGCAGTGGCACGATCATAGCTCACTGCAGCCTTGACCTCCTGGGCTCAAGCGATCCTCCCACCTCAGCTTCCTGAGTAGCTGGGACTACAGGTGTGTGTCACCATGTCTGGCTAGTTTCTGTATTTTTGGTGTGGTTTTTTTTTTTTTTTTGGTAGAGATGAGGTTTTGCCATGTTGCCCAGGCTTCACTTGTCTTTTTGATAAATAGCCATTCTAATGGTGTGAAGTGATATATCTCACTGTGGTTTTGATTTGCATTTCTCTAATGATTAGTGATGTTGAGCATTTTTTTTTTTAATGTACCTGGTGGTCATTCGTATGTCTTTGAGAAATGTCTATTAAGGGTTCTTTGCACTTTTTTTTTTTTTTTTGAGACAGAGTCTTGCTCTGTTGCCCAGGCTGGAATGCAGTGGCTCAATCTCAGCTCACTGCAACCTCTGCTTCCCAGGCTCAAGCTATTCCCCTGCATCAGCCTCCTGAGCCACCATGCCCATAAAACTAATCTTTAAAGGATGGGAGTCATGCCGGGCACGGTGGCTCATGCCTGTAATCCCAGCACTTTGGGAGGCCAAGGTGGGGGGGGCAGATCACTAGGTCAGGAGTTCAAGACCAGCCTGACCAACATGGTGAAACCCCATTGTCAGGCCTCTGAGCCCAAGCTAAGCCATCATATCCCCAGTGACCTGCACGTATACATCCAGATGGCCTGAAGTAACTGAAGAATCACAAAAGAAGTGAAAATGGCCTGTTCCTGCCTTAACTGATGACATTACCTTGTGAAATTCCTTCTCCTGGCTTATCCTGGCTCAAAAGCTCCCCCACTGAGCACCTTGTGTCCCCCACCCCTGCCCGCCAGAGAACAACCCCATTTGACTGTAATTTTCCATTACCTACCCAAATCCTATAAAACAGCCCCACCCCTATCTCCCTTCGCTGACTCTTTTCAGACTCAGCCCGCCTGCACTCAGGTGATTAAAAAGCTTTATTGCTCACACAAATCCTGTTTGGTGGTCGCTTCACACGGACGCGAGTGGAATTTGGTGCTGTGACTCGGATCGGGGGACCTCCCTTGGGAGATAAATCCCATGTCCTCCTGCTCTTTGCTCCGTAAGAAAGATCCACCTATGACCTCAGGTCCTCAGACCGACCAGCCCAAGGAACATCTCACCAATTTTAAATTGGGTAAGTGGCCTCTCTTTACTCTCTTCTCCAATCTCTCTCACTATCCCTCAACCTCTTTCTCCTTTCAATCTTGGCACCACCCTTCAATCTCTCTCTTCTCTTTATTTCAGTTCCTTTCCTTTTCTGGTAGAGACAAAGGAGATGCGTTTTATCCGTGGACCCAAAACTCCGGCTCCAGTCATGGACTCGGGAAGACAGTCTTCCCTTGGTGTTTAATCACGCGGGGACGCGTGCCTGATTATTCACCCACATTTCATTGTTGTCTGATCACCGCAGTGACGCCTGCCTTGGTCATTCACCCACATTCCCTTGGTGGCAAGTCAATTGCAGGGACGCCTGCTTTGGCTGCTCACCCACATTGCAGCCCAGGGCTGCTCCCCACCCCTTCTCTCTGTGTCTCTATCCCTTTTCCACTTTCCTGGAGGGCAAGCCCCTCCCACCCTTTCTCCACTTTCCTGGGGGGCAAGCACCCCCCTCCCCTTCTGTCCATGTCTCTACCCTCTCTTTTCTCTCCACTTTCCTAGGGGACAAGCACCTCCTACCCCTTTTCCACTTTCCTGGGGGGCAAGCACCCCCCACCCCTTCTGTCCATGTCTCTACCCTCTCTTTTCTCCACTTTTCTGGGGGGCAAGCACCTCCCATCCCTTTTCCACTTTCCTGGGGGGCAAGCACCTCCTACCTTTTCTCCACTTTCCTGGGGGGCAAACACTTCCCACCCCTTTTTCCACTTTCCTGGGGGGCAAGCACCTCCCACCCCTTCTCCACTTTCCTGGGAGGCAAGCATTCCCCACCCCTTCTCTCCGTGTCTCTACCCTATCTTTTCTCTCCACTTTCCTGGGGCACAAGCACCCACTAACTTTTCTCTCTGTGTCTCTACCCTCTCTTTTCTCTGGGCTTGCCTCCTTCACTATGGACAACCTTCCACCCTCCATTCCTCTCTCTTCTCCCTTAGCCTGTGTTCTCAAAAACTTTTAAAACCTCTTCAACCGACACCTGACCTAAAACCTAAATGCCTTATTTTCTTCTGCAGCACCACTTGACCCCAATACAAACTCGACAGTTGTTCCAAATAGCCAGAAAAATGGCACTTTCGATTTTTCCATCCTTCAAGATCTAGATAATTCTTGTCATAACATAGGCAAACAGTCTGAGGTGCCTGACGTCCAGGCATTCTTTTACACATCAGTCCCTCGCTAGTCTCTGTTCCCAATGCAACTCATCCCAAATCTTGCTTCTTTCCCTCCCGCCTGTCCCCTCAGTCCCAACCCCAAGCGTCTCTGAGTCTTTCCAATCTTCCTTTTCTATGGACCCATCTGACCTCTCCCCTCCTCCACAGGCTGCTCGTTGCCAGGCCGAGCCAGGTCCCAGTTTTTCCTCAGCCTCCGCTCCCCCACCCTACAATCCTTTTATCACCTCACCTCCTCACACCCCGTCCGGCTTACAGTTTCGTTCCATGACTAGCCCTCCCCCACCTGCCCAGCAATTTCCTCTTAAAAAGGTGGCGGGAGCTAAA
This sequence comes from Homo sapiens, assembly GCF_000001405.40. Classification (NCBI taxonomy): domain Eukaryota; kingdom Metazoa; phylum Chordata; class Mammalia; order Primates; family Hominidae; genus Homo; species Homo sapiens. The sequence goes on from NC_000007.14 coordinate 75,780,969, forward strand.
GGCATAGTCAAGGTTAATGCTCCTTTTTCTTTATCTGAACTCTCCCAAATCAGTTAGCATTTAGGCTCTTTCATCAAATATGAAAAACCCAGCCCAGTTCATGGCCCATTTCACAACAACCCTTAGCGGCTTTACAGCCCTAGGCCCTGAAAGGTCAGAAGGCCGTCTTATTCTCAATTTACATTTTATTACCCAATCCACTCCCGACATTAAATAAAACTCCAAAAATTAAATTCTGGCCCTCAAACCCCACGACAGGACTTAATTAACCTTGCCTTCAAGGTATACAATAATAGAGTAGAGGCAGCCAAGTAGCAACGTATTTCTGAGTTGCAATTCCTTGCCTCCACTGTGAGACAAACCCCAGCCACATCTCCAGCACACAAGAACTTCCAAACTCCTGAACCGCAGCTGCCAGGGGTTCCTCCAGAACCTCCTACCCCAGGATCTTGATTCAAGTGCCAGAAATCTGGCCACTGGGCCAAGGAATGCCCGCAGCCCAGGATTCCTCCTAAGCCTTGTCCCATCTGTGTGGGACCCCAATGAAAATAGGACTGTCTAACTCACTGTCAGGGCTCTGAGCCCAAGCTAAGCCATCATATCCCCAGTGACCTGCACGTATGCATCCAGATGGCCTGAAGTAACTGAACAATCACAAAAGAAGTGAAAATGGCCTGTTCCTGCCTTAACTGATGACATTACCTTGTGAAATTCCTTTTCCTGGCTCATCCTGGCTCAAAAGCTCCCCCACTGAGCATCTTGTGACCCCCGCCCCTGCCCGCCAGAGAACAACCCCCTTTGACTGTAATTTTCCTTTACCTATCCAAATCCTATAAAACAGCCCCACCCCTATCTCCCTTCACTGACTCCTTTTTCGGACTCAGCCCACCTGCACCCAGGTGAAATAAACAGCTTTGTTGCTCACACAAAGCCTGTTTGGTGGTCTCTTCACATGGACACGTGAGACATTTGGTGCTGAAGACCCAGGTCAGTGGGACTCCTTCGGGAGACCAGTCCCCTGTCCTCACCCTCACTCCATGAAGTGATCCACCTATGACTTCTGGTCCTCAGACCAACCAGCCCAAGGAATATCTCACTGATTTAAAATTGGGTAAGTGGCCTCTTTTTACTCTCTTCTCCAACCTCTCTCACTATCCCTCAACCTCTTTTTCCTTTCAATCTTGGCGCCACCCTTCAATCTCTCCCTTCTCTTAATTTCAATTCCTTTCATTTTCTGGTACAGACAAAGGAGACACATTTTATTCGTGGACCCAAAACTCCGGCGCCAGTCACGGACTCGGGAAGGCAGCCTTCCCTTGGTGTTTAATCATTGCGGGGACGCCTCTCTGATTATTCACCCACGTTGCATTGGTGTCTGATCTCTGCGTGGACGCCTGCCTTGGTCATTCACCCACATTCCCTTGGTGGCAAGTCAATTGCGGGGACACCTGGTTTGGCTGCTCACCCACATTGCAGCCCAGGGCTGCTCCCCACCCCCCTTCTCCATGTCTCTACCCTTCTCTTTAAACTTGTCCCCTTCACTATGGGCAACTTTCCACCCTCCATTCTTCCTTTTTCTCCCTTAGCCTGTGTTCTCAAGAATTTAAAACCTCTTCAACTCTCACCTGACCTAAAATCTAAGCGTCTTATTTTCTTCTGCAATACCGCTTGGCCCAATACAAACTCGACACTAGCTCCAAGTGGCCAGAGAATGGCACCTTCCATTTGTCTATCCTACAAGATCTAGATAATTTTTGTCGAAAAATGGGCAAATGGCCTGAGGTGCCTGACGTCCAGGCATTCTTTTACACATTAGTCCCTCCCTAGTCTCTGCTCCCAATGAGACTCATCCCAAATCTTTCTTCTTTCTCTCCTGTCTGTTCCTTCAGTCTCCACCCCAAGCTCTGAGTCCTTTGAATCCTTCTTTTCTATGGACTCATCTGACCTCTCCCCTTTTCTCCAGGCTGCTCCTCACCAGGCCAAACCAGGTCCCAATTTTCCTCAGCCTCTGCTCCCCAACCCTATCATCCTTCTATCACCTCCCCTCCTCACACCCGGTCTGGCTTACAGTTTCGTTCCGTGACTAGCCCTCCCCGACCTGTCCAACAATTTCCTCTTAGAGAGGTGGTTGGAGCTGAAGACATAGTCAGGGTACATGTGCCTTTTTCTCTATCAGACATTCCCAAATCAGCCAGTGTTTAGGCTCTTTCTCATCAGACCCCACTAAATATATACAGGAATTCCGATATCTAACTCTGTCCTACAATTTAACCTGGAGTAACTTAAATGTCATCCTAACTTCTACCCTCTCCCCAGATGAACAGGAAAGAGTTTTTTCTCTAGCCCAATCTCACACTGATAACCGCCGGCTTCACGAGCCAGACCTCCAGGAAGTTATTAGAGCAGTTCCCCTAGGAGATCCAAAATGGAACTATCAGGCTGATTCCCCAGGTATAGCTAGGTGAGATTACATGGTTTCCTGCCAGGTTGAAGGGCTTAAAAAGGCAGCTTACAAAGCTGTTAATTATGACAAACTTAAAGAAACTACCAGCCAGGCACGGTGGCTCACGCTTGTAATCCCAGCACTTTGGGAGGCCGAGGTGGGCGGATCACGAGGTCAGGAGATCGAGACTACGGTGAAACCCCATCTCTACTAAAAATACAAAAAATTAGCCAGGAGTGGTGGCAGGCGCCTGTAGTCCCAGCTACTCGGGAGGCTGAGGCAGGAGAATGGCGTGAACCCGGTAGGTGGAGCTTGCAGTGAGCTGAGATCGTGCCACTGCACACCAGCCTGGGCAACAGAGCGAGACTCCAGCTCAAAAAAAAAAAAAAAAAGAAAGAAACTACCCAAGGTAAAGAACCCAGTCCAGTTCATTGCCCACTTAGCAGCAACTCTGAGATGCTTTACAGCCCTACACCCTGAAAGGTCAGAAGTCCGTCTTATTCTCAATATACATTTTATTTTATTACCCAATCTGCTCCTGACATTAAATAAAGCTCCAAAAATTAAATTCCAGCCTCAAACCGCACAATAGGACTTAATAACCTCGCCTTCAAGGTGTACAATAATAGAGTAGAGGAAGCCAAGTAGCAATGTATTTCTAAGTTGTAATTCCTTGCCCCCACTGTGAGACAAACCCCAGCCACATCTCCATCACACAAGAGCTTCCAAACGCCTGAACCGCAGCTGCCAGGGGTTCCTCCAGAACCTCCTCCCCCAGGAGCTTGCTATAAGTGCTAGAAATCTGGCCACTGGGCCAAGGAATGCCCACAGCCCAGGATTCCTCCTAAGCTGTGTCCCATCTGTGTGGGACCCCACTGGAAATCGGAATGTCCAACTCGCCCAGCAGCCACTCCCAGAGCCCCTGGAACTCTGGCCCAAGGCTCTCTGACTGACTCCTTCCCAGATCTTCTCGGCTTAACGGCTGAAGACTGACACTGCCTGAACACCTCGGAAGCCTCCTGGACCATCACAGATGCTTTGGGTAACTCTTACAGTGGAGAGTAAGTCGTCCCCTTCTTAATCAATACAGAGGCTACCCACTCCACATTACCTTCTTTTCAAAGGCCTTTTTCCTTTGCCTCCATAACTGTTGTGGATATTGATGGCCAGGCTTCTAAACCTCTTAAAACTCCCCAACTCTGGTGCCAACTTGGACAACATTCTTTTATGCACTCCTTTTTAGTTATCCCCACCTGCCCAGCTCCCTTATTAGGTTCAGAAATTTTAACTAAATTATCTGCTTCCCTGACTATTCCTGGGTTACAGCCACACCTCATTGCCACCTTTTCCCCCAGTTCAAAGCCTCCTTCACATCCTCCCCTTGTATCTCCCCACCTTAAACCACAAGTATAGGACACCTCTACTCCCCCCTTGGTGACCGATCATGCACCCCTTACCATCCCATTAAAACCTAATCACCCTTACACCGCTCAACGGCAATATCCCATCTCACAGCATGCTTTAAAAGGATTAAAGCCTGTTATTACTCGCCTGTTACAGCATGGGCTTCTAAAACATAAAAGCTCTCCTTACAATTTCCCCATTTTACCTGTCCAAAAACCAGACAAGTCTTACAGGTTAGTTCAGGATCTGCACCTTATCAACCAAATTGTTTTGCCTATCCACCCCGTAGTGCCCAACCCATACACTCTTTTGTCCTCAATACCTTCCTCCACAACTCACTATTTTGTTCTTGATCTTAAAGATGCTTTTTTCACTCTTCCCCTGCACCCCTCATCCCAGCCTCTCTTTGCTTTTACCTGGACTGACCCTGACACCCATCAGTCCCCGCAGCTTACCAGGGCTGTGCTACCGCAAGGCTTCAGGGACAGCCCTCATTACTTCAGCCAAGCTCTTTCCCATGATTTATTTTCTTTCTACCCCTCTGCTTCTCACCTTATTCAATATATTGATGACCTTCTACTTTGTAGCCCCTCCTTTGAATCTTCTCAACAAGACACTCTCCTGCTCCTTCAACATTTATTCTCCAAAGGATATCAGGTATCCCCCACAAAGCTCCAATTTCTTCTCCATCCATTACCTACCTCGGCATAATTCTTCATAAAAACACACGTGCTCTCCCTGTCGATCATGTCTGACTGATCTCTCAAACCCCAACACCTTCTACTTAACAACAAGTCCTTTCCTTCCTGGGCATGGTTGGATACTTTCACCTTTGGATACCTGGTTTTGCCATCCTAACAAAACCTTTACATAAACTCACAAAAGGAAACCTAGCTGACCCTATCGATCCTAAATCCTTTCCCCATTCCTCTTTCCGTTCCTTGAAGACAGCTTTAGAGACTGCCCCCACTCTAGCTCTCCCTGACTCATCCCAACCCTTTTCATTACACACAGCCAAAGTGCAGGGCTGTGCAGTTGGAATTCTTACACAAGGACCGGGACCGCGCCCTGTAGCCTTTTTGTCCAAACAACTTGACCTTGCTGTTTTAGGCCAGCCATCATGTCTCCATGCAGCGGCTGCTGCCACCCTAATACTTTTAGAGGCCCTCAAAATCGCAAACTATGCTCAACTCACTCTCTACAGTTCTCATAACTTCCAAAATCTATTGTCTTCCTCACACCTGACACATATACTTTCTGCTCCCTGGCTCCTTCAGCTATACTCAGTCTCTGTTGAGTCTCCCACAATTACCATTGTTCCTGGCCCAGACTTCAATCCGGCCTCCCACATTATTCCAGATACAACACCTGACTCCCATGACTGTATCTCTCTGATCCAGCTGACATTCACCCCATTTCCGCATATTTCCTTCTTTCCTGTTCCTCACCCTGATCACATTTGGTTTATTGATGGCAGTTCCACCAGGCCTGATCGCCACTCACCAAAAAAGGCAGGCTATGCTATAGTATCTTCCACATCTATCATTGAGGCTACCGCTCTGCCTCCCTCCACTACCTCTCAGCAAGTCAAACTCATTGCCTTAACTCGGGCCCTCACTCTTGCAAAGGGACTACGCGTCAATATTTATACTGACCCCATATCCTGCGCCACCATACTGTTTTATGGGCTGAAAGGTTTCCTCCCTCGTAAGGGTCCTCCATCATTAATGCCTCTTTAATAAAAACTCTTCTCAAGGCCGCTTTACTTCCAAAGAAAGCTGGAGTCAAAGCAGGGCCATCAAAAGGCATCAGATCCCGTAGCTCAGGGCAACGCTTATGCTGATAAGGTAGCTTTTAAAGAAGCAGCTAACGTTCCAATGGCCAGTTTTTCTTCTTCTCATCGGTCACTCCCACCTACTCTCCCACTGAAACTTCCACCTATCAATCTTTTCCCACACAAGACAAATGGTTCTTAAACCAAGGAAAATATCTCCTTCCAGCCTCACAGGCCCATTCTATTCTGTCATTTCATAACCTCTTCCATGTAGGTTACAAGCTGCTAGCCCGCCTCTTAGAAACTCTCATTTCCTTTCCATCATGGAAATCTATCCTCAAGGAAATCATTTATCAGGGTTCCATCTGCTATTCTACTACTCCTCAGGGATTGTTCAGGCCCCATCCCTTTCCTGCACATCAAGCTGGGGGATTTGCCCCCGCCCAGGACTGGCAAATTGACTTTACTCACCCTGAGTCAGGAAACTAAAATACCTCTTGGTCTGGGTAGACACTTTCACTGGATGGGTAGAGGCCTTTCCCACAGGGTCTGAGAAGGTCACTGCAGTCATTTCTTCCCTTCTGTCAGACGTAATTCCTCGGTTTGGCCTTCCCACCTCTATACAGTCCGATAATGGACTGGCCTTTATTAGTCAAATCACCCAAGCAGTTTCTCAGGCTCTTGGTATTCAGTGGAAACTTCGTACCCCTTACCATCCTCAATCTTCAGGAAAGGTAAAACGGACTAATGGTTTTTTAAAGACACACCTCACCAGCCGGGCACAGTGGCTCACGCCTGTAATCCCAGAACTTTGGGAGGCTGAGGCGGGCAGATCACAAGGTCAGAAGATCAAGATCATCCTGGCTAACATGGTGAAACCCCGTCTGTACTAAAAATACAAAAAAATTAGCCAAGCGTGGTGGCAGGCACCTGTAGTCCCAGCTACTCGGGAGGCTGAGGCAGGAGGATGGTGTGAACCTGGGATGTGGAGCTTGCAGTGAGCCGGGATCACACCACTGCACTCCAGCCTGGGCGACAGAGTGAGACTCCGTCTCCAAAAGCAAAAAAAAAAAAAAAAAAAAAAAGACACACCCCCCAAGCTCAGCCTCTCAACTTAAAAAAAAAAATAAAAGGACTCTGTCAAAAACAGAGCCCAAAAACTCACCAACCAAACAAGTAATTACACTAAACCCCCTTGGACACTCTCTAATTGGATGTCCTGGGTCCTCCCAATTCTTAGTCCTTTAATACCTGTTTTTCTCCTTCTCTTATTCGGAACTTGTGTCTTTCGTTTAGTTTCTCAATTCATACAGAACGGCATCCGGGCCTTCACCAATCGTTTTATATGACAAATGCTCTTTTTAACAACCCCACAATATCGCCCCTTACCACAAAAATCTTCCTTCAACTTAATCTCTCCCACTCTAGGTTCCCATGCCGCCCCTAATCCTTCTCGAAGCAGCCCTGAGAAATATCGCCCATTATCTCTCCATACCACCCCCAAAAATTTTCGCCGCCCCAATACTTTACCACTATTTCGTTTTATTTTTCTTATTAATATAAGAAGACAGGAATGTCAGGCCTCTGAGCCCAAGCTAAGCCGTCGTATCCCCCAGTGACCTGCACGTATACATCCAGATGGCCTGAAGTAACTGAAGAATCACAAAAGAAGTGAAAATGGCCTGTTCTTGCCTTAATTGATGACATTACCTTGTGAAATTCCTTCTCCTGGCTCATCCTGGCTCAAAAGCTCCCCCACTGAGCACCTTGTGTCCCTCACCCCTGCCCGCCAGAGAACAACCCCTTTTGACTGTAATTTTCCATTACCTACCCAAATCCTATAAAACGGCCCCACCCCTATCTCCCTTGGCTGACTCTCTTTTTGGACTCAGCCCGCCTGCACCCAGGTGACTAAAAAGCTTTATTGCTCACACAAAGCCTGTTTGGTGGTCTCTTCACATGGACGCGAGTGAAACCCATCTCTACTAAAAGTACTAACATTAGCCAGGTGTGGTGGTGTGCGTCTGTAATCCCAGCTACTCAGGAGAATCCCTTGAACTCGGGAGGTGGAGATTGCAGTGAGCCAAGATCACACCACTGCACTCTAGTCTGGGCGACAGAGCAAGACTCCGTCCAAAAAAAAAAAAAGAAGAAAAAAAAAGATGGGAGTCAGAAGAGTGGTCACCCTTTGGGGCAACTGACTTAAAGCGGTTTCAAGGGGGCGTTCTGGGGGCTGGTATGCTCTGTTCCTTTATCTGGGTGCTGGTTCACCTTTTAACCCTTGTGGAAATTCTTTGAGTTGTACTCTTAGAGTTTGCATACCTTTCTTTTCTCTTTTTCTTGTTTTTTAAGATAGGATCTCACTCTGTCACCCAGGCTGGAGTGCAGTGATGCTGTCATAGCTCACTGCAGCCTCAACTTTCCAAGGCTCAAGGGATTCTCCCTCCTTAGCCACCCGAGTAGCCAGGACTACAGGTGCGCACCACCGTGCCCAGTTCATTTTTTGATTTTTTTTTTTTTTTTTGTAGAGATGTGGCGGGCGGGGGGGTCTCTCTGTGTTGCCCAGGCTGGTCTCAAACTCCTGGCCTCAAGTGATCCTCCTGCCTCAGCCTCCCAAAGTGCTGGGATTATAGGTGCCAGCCACCGTGCCTGGCCTGCGTACTTTTCTATATGTATATTATATTTCAATAAATTAGTAAAGAGGAATGAAATGATATGGCGAATAAACAAAACAAATAATTCTGCAGTTAAGGAAATGTAATATGGGAGCCATGGCCTCCCTACGTTCTCTCCCTCCTTCCTTGAGATGAGAATATTTCTCTCTCTCTCTCTCTTTGCCACTCTTCTGGGAACATCCATTTCTCTTTTTCTCTTTTTTTTTTTTTTTTGCCAGAATGTTTCTCATTTCAAGAGAAAGTGCTGGCTGCCTACAGCATGTCAGACCCCAGCTGTTTTCCATACTTCTGCCTTTCCCTGCCTTTGGCAATGGAGTCTATCCTCTGAAAATTCTCTTCTGCAATGAGAAACCCCCACACTTTGCCCCCCTCCCCACCACCAAACAAGGCCCATTACTTCCTTCCAAACCCCAACCTGGCAGGTTCCCAGAAACAAAGTCCCTGACCCTTACCTGGGGTCTTTGGCTCAGCCTCAATTCCAGACTCCTGGCTCATCCTCCAGAGCTTGCTAGTGCTGCTCCAGTCCCTGGGATCTGCGGTACCCCTGGGACCCCAAGTCAAGACCTCCTCTTGGCTTACGTAAGGACATTTACAAACAGCCATTCCCAAATAACTCACATTTCTGAGGTTCTGGGTGGACAATGAATTCTTGGGGTATATTATTCAACCCAGTACAGATGTATTGCAGAAATAATCTCCCATCCCACAGATTGCCTTTCTACGTCTTACGGTTCTCCCTCCCTCCCTCCCTCCCTTCCTTCCTTCCTTCCCTCCATTCCTCCCTACCTCTCTTTCTTTCTTTCCCTTCTTTTCTTCCTTCTTCCCCAGCTCTCTCCCTCCTTTTCTCTTTCTTTTTCTTTCTTTCTTTCTCTCTCTCTCTTTCTGTCTCTCTCCCTTCCTTCCTTCCTTCCTTCCTTTCTTTCTTTCTTTCTTTCTTTCTTTCTTTCTTTCTTTCTTCCTTCCTTCCTTCCTTCCATCCTCCCTCCCTCCCTCCCTCCATACCTCTTTCTCTCTCTTTCTTTTCTTTTTCTTTTCTTTGCAGTGGTGCAATCATAGCTCCCTGCAACCTCAAGATCCTGGGCTCAAGCAGTCCTCCCACCTCAGCCTTCTGAGTAGCTGGAACTACAGGCATGCACCACCATGTTCTGCTAACTTAAAAAAAAAATTGTAGAGATGGGGTCTTGCTGTGTTGCCCAGGCTGGTCTTGAATTCCTGGCCTCAATCTCCTGGACTTAAGTGATCCTCCCACCTCAGCCTCCCAAAGTGCTAGGATTACAGGCAGGAGCTGCTGTGCCTGGCCTCTTATGGATGTCTTCTAATGGATTTTAATATAGTTTTATTTATCAGCTTTCCTCCTGTATGGGTAAGTGATTATACCCTGTTTATAAAACATTTGAGGCTGGACATGGTGGCTCACACCAGTAATCCCAGCACTGTGGGAGGCCGAGGCAGGCAGATCACTGGAGGTCAGGAGTTCAAGACCAACCTGGCCAATGTGGTGAAATCCCGTCTCTATTAAAAATACAAAAATTAGCCAGGTGTGATAGTGAGTGCCTGTAGTCTCAGCTACTCGGGAGGCTGAGGCAGGAGAATAGCTTGAGTTTGGAAGGTGGAGTTTGCAGTGAGCCAAGATTACGCCACTGCACTCCGGCCTGGGCGATAGAGACTCCATTTCAAAAAAAAAAAAATTTGAGTCCCTTCACCCAAGAGGCATGTCTGTCTATAAATGGCTTCTGCTGAAACTCCTCCTTTTTTTTTTTTTTTTCTTTTTTTCTTTTTGAGACAGAGTCTTGCTCTTGTCACGCAGGCTGGAGTGCAATGGCACGATCTCGGCTCACTGCAACTTCTGCCTCCCGGGTTCAAGCAATTCTCCTGCCTCAGCCTCCCGAGTAGCTGGGATTACAGGCACCCGCCACCACACCTGGCTAATTTTTGTATTTTTAGTAGAGACAAGGTTTTGTCATGTTGGCCAGGCTGGTCTCAAACTCCTGGCCTCGTGATCCACCCGCCTCAGCTCCCAAAGGGCTGGGATTACAGGTGTGAGCCACCACGCCTGGCTGAAACTCCCTCTTGGTACTTGTGTCCGAGGCCCCCTCAGTCAGGACCTTGAGTATGCCCTTGATGTCAGCCCATAGCTGGCGGCCCTGGCTCCTGCTCTCTTCCCTCCAGGCCCTTCCCTGTGGCTGAAGCCCCTTCCCTGTACCCTCCAGGTTGCTTCCTGGGCTCCAGATTCCTCTGTGTGGATCTCCCAGGAGCCCCCATCTGCTGTGGTTCCCAGGGTCTAGGCTGCCATCTGGGCTTCCCACTTCTCGGCCTCTCAAAGTGCTGGGATTACAGGCGTGAGCTGCTGTGCCAGGCTGTAAGTTTTAATGAGGTCATAAGGATGGGACTCTGATCCAACATGACAGATGTCCTTATAAGAAAAGAAGCCAGGCCTGGGTGACTCATGCCTGTAATCCCAGCACTCCCAGGCGGGAGGATTGCTTCAGCCCAGAAGTTCAACAAGTAAGTAAGGTTTTTTTTCCATCCTTTTTTTGTTTTGAGACAGGGTCTCACTCTGTCACCGACGCTGGAGTGCAGAGGTGTGATCACAGCTCACGGCAGCCTCCACCTCCCCAAGCTCAAGTGATTCTCCCACCTCACCCTCCCAAGCAGCTGGGACCACAGGCATGCACCACCACACCTGGCTACTTTGTTTTTATTTTTATTTATTTATTTAGAGACAGAGTCTTGCTGTGTTACCCAGGCATGTTACCCACGATTTCAGCTCACTGCAGCCTCTGCCTCCTCTGGCTCAAGCAATCCTCTTACCTCAGTCTCCCGAGTAGCTGGGACTACAGGCATGCGCCACCACACCCAGATACTTTCTGTATTTTTAGCAGAGATGGGGTTTCACCGCGTTGGCCAGGCTGGTCTCAAACTCCTGACCTCAGGTGATCCACCCACTTCGGCCTCCCAAAGTGCTGGGATTACAGGCGTGAGCCGCCATGCCTGGCTGTAAGTTTTAATGAGGTCATAAGGATGGGACTCTGATCCAATATGACAGGTGTCCTTATAAGAAAAGAAGCCACCAGGCATGGGTGACTCATGCCTGTAATCCCAGCACTCCCAGGTGGGAGGATTGCTTCAGCCCAGAAGTTCAAGACCAGCCTGGTCAACATAGTGAGATCCCATCTCTATAAAAAATAAAAATTAGCCAGACATAGTGGCGCACGCCTGTAGTCCCAGCTACTCAAGAGGCTCAAGCGGGAGGCTCCCTTGAGCCCAGGAGTTTGAAATCAGTCTGGGCAATGTAGTGAGACCCTATCTCTACATAAAATACAAAAATTAGCCGGGCGTGGTGGCACATGCCTGTAGTGCCAGCTACTTGGGAGGCCGAGGCAGGAGGATTGCTGGAGCCCAGGAGTTCAAGGCTGCAGTGAGCTGTGGTCACACCACTGCACTCCAGCCTGAGCAACAGAGCAAGACCCCTATCTCAAATAAATAAATAAATAAATAAATAAATAAATAAATAAATAAATAAATAAGTGTAACAGGGAGAGAGTAAAGAGGTTTTGTTTTGTTTTTTGTTTTTTTTTTTTTTAGATGGAGTCTTGCTCTGTCACCCAGGCTAGAGTGCAATGGTGCGATCTTGGATCACTGCAACCTCTGCCTCCCGGCTTTAAGCAATTCTCCTGTCTCAGCCTCCCAAGTAGCTGGGACTATAGGTGCCCACCACCATGCCCGGCTAATTTTTGTATTTTTAGTAGAGATGGGGTTTCACCATGTTGGCCAGGCTGGTCTGGAACTCCTGACTTCAAGTGATCTGCCTGCCTTGGCCTCCCAAAGTGCTGGAATTACAGGCATGGGCCACCGGGCCCGGCCAACAGTAAGGAGTTTTAAGCAGGGGAGTCACACGATGAGAGGACTCATTGATAAAGATGAGTCTGGCTGCTGTAAGGACACAATACTAGAGAGGGACAGAGGGATGTGGAGGCCCAGCATGAAGCCTCCTTTTGTCTCCATAACCCTTCAGCACAGGGTTCTGGAATGTATTTATGTGGCAAATGTTTGCTCGTTCTTTTTTTCTTTTTTTTGAGATGGAGTCTCGCTCTGTCAGGTTGGAGTGCAGGTCGGCTCACTGCAACCTCCACCTCCTGGGTTCAAGCAATTCTCCTGCCTCAGCCTCCCGAGTAGCTGGGACTATAGGTGCGCACCACCACATCCAGCTAATTTTTGTATTTTTAGTAGAGATATGGTTTCACCATGTTGACCAGACTGGTGTCAAACTGCTGACCTCAAGTGAGCTGGCCACCTCAGCCTCCCACAGTGCTGGGATTACAGGCATAAGTCACTGCATCCAGCCAAATGTTTGCTGAATTCTTACAGCCCCAGCAATGTCCAAGGCTCTGGAGACACCGTGGTGGACAGGACACCATCCCTGTCCTTAAGAAAGGTGAGTATAGAATTTGAGCATAAGTGGAGAAAGAACAAAGAGAGAAAGAAAGAGAGAGAGAGAGAGAGAGGGAGAGAGGGAGGGGAAGGGGAAGGGGAGGAAGGAAGGGGAAGGAAGAAAGGAAGAAGAAAGGAAGGAAGGGAGGAAGGGAGGGAGGGAGAGAGAGAGAAAGAAAGAAAGAAAGAAAAGAAAAGAAAAGAAAAGAAAGACAGAAAGAAATAAAGAAAAAGAAAGAAAGAAAAGAAAGCGGGCCAGGTGAGGTGGGTAACACCTGTAATCCCAGCATTTTGGAGGGCCTAGGTGGGCAGATCACTTGAAGTCAGGAGTCGAGCCCAGCCTGGGTAATATGGTGAAACCCTGTCTCTACTAAAAATAAAAAAATTAACTGGGCGTGGTGGTGCCCACCTGTAATCCCAGCTACTCGGGAGGCTGAGGCAGGAGAATCTCTTGAACCCAGCAGGCAGAGAATGCAGTGAGCCAAGATTGTGCCACTGCACTCCAGCCTGGGCGACATAGTGAGACTCTGTCAATAAAAAAAAGAAAGAAAGAAAAAGAGAGAGAGAGAGAAATAAGAGAGAAAGAGAAAGGAAGGAAGGAAGGAAGGAAGGGAGAGAAAGAGAAAGAGAGACCGCGTGCAGTGGCTCACACCTGTAATCCCAGCACTTTGGGAGGCTGAGGTGGGTGGATCCCTTGAGGTCAGGAGTTTGAGACCAGGCTGGCCAACATGGTGAAACTTGTCTGTACTAAAAATACAAAAATTAGCCAGGTGTGGTGGCACGTGCCTGTAATCCCACCTACTTGGGAGGCTGAGGCAGGAGAATTGCTTGAACCTGAGAGGCGGAGGTTGCAGTGAGCCGAGATCGCACCACTGCACTCCAGCGTGGGCAACAGAGCAAGACTCTATCTCAAACAAAAAAAAAAGAAGAAGAAAAAAGGAAAAAAAAAAAGAGAGAAGTAAGGAGTGGATGTAAAGAAACTCCCTTGTCTGCTGTCCCAGTGAGACCTACACATGGGGAGCTAGTGAGGGGAGCCAGAGGAGGCACAGTGTGTTAGGAGGGGTTCCCCAGCCCTGGGAAGCTCTTCCTGGAGGAAGCAGCATCCTGGCTTGTGTGCAACAGAGACCAAGCCGAATCAGGAGAATAAAAACATGTTTCGGCCGGGCGCCGTGGCTCACACCTGTAATCCCAGCACTTTGGGAGGCTGAGGCAGGAGGATTACTTGAGCCCAGGAGTTCAACACTAGCCTGGGCAATATAGTGGAACCCTGTCTCTACAAAATCTTAAAAATCAGCTGGGCATGGTGGCACATGTCTGTAGTCCCAGCTACTTGGGGAGCCTGAGGTGAGAGGATCGCTTGAGGCCAGGAGGTTGAAGTTGCAGTGAGACACGATCACACCACTGCACTCCAGCCTGGGTGACGGAGTGAGACCCTGTCTCAAACAAACAAACAACTAAAAAACCGTATCTCCTGGAGTTGGAAGAAAAACAAACTTTTTTGTTTGTTACCAGTTAATCCATTTACCCTGAAAGCGGTTCTAGGAGAGTGGTTTCTTTATTTCTCTTTCTTTCTTTCTTTCCTTCTTTCTTTCTCTCTCTTTCCTTCCTTCCTTCCTTCTTTCTTTCTTTCTCTCTTTCTTTTTCTATCTTTGTTTCTTGATCTCTTGCTTTCTTCTTTCTTTCTTTCTTGATCTCTTGCTTTCTTCTTTCTATCTTTCTTTCTTGCTCTCTTGCCTTCTTCTTTCTTTTTTTCTCTTTCTTTTTTTTTTTTTTGAAACAGGGTCTCCCTCTGTCACCCAGGCTGGAGTGCAGTGGTGCAATCTCGGCTCACTGCAGCCTCCAGCTCCTCGGTTCAAGCGATTCTCCTGCCTCAGCCTCCCAAGTAGCTGGGACTATAGGCATGCACTACCACGCCTGGCTAAGTTTTGTACTTTTAGTAGAGACAGGGTTTCACCATATTGCCCAGGCTGGTCTCGAACTCCTGACCTCAAGTGATCCACCTGCCTCGGCCCCCAAAAGTGCTGGGATTACAGGCATGAGCCATGACACCCGGCCTAGGGAGGTTTTCTTATCCCCTTTTACAGCCTAGAAAACTGTGGTTTGTTCAAGGCCACAAAACTCATGGATGGCAGAACCAAGGCTCAGAGCTGGGTCTGTGTCATGCCTGTGCCTTGTCCTGCCTCTGACAGTCTCAGAGTCCTACCCCCCAACCCTTAACGCTGAGAATGAACCTTCAGGGTGGCTTCCGCCAGGCTTTGTCCCGAAGCTAAAACTACTCTGTAGTTACAGGACCATATCAGAGCCAAGGGCAAATAGCAGCTAGATAGATAAGGGGAGGCATCTGCGGGTTAGCAAAAGTCAGCAAATTCCCTTCCAAACTTTCAATTGGCCAATAAAAAAAGGGAAATGCAGCCCATCCCACCAGCTTCGAGAACATAACAACGAACTGCCAGTTGCTTGGGAGAAGCGCAGCTCTTCCCCATTCTGAGTCTTGAGAGATGTTTCCCCAAGCAAGGTCGTGACCGGGCATGACCCATAGCAAGAACTGAATGTTCCTTTGGGCTTGAGATTATTCAGAAGTTAGAAGGCTGGGGAGAGAGAGACTTCCAGGGAATGCCTTTTTAGAGGCTGAAAAGCACTCCAACCTGGACAACAGAGTGACACTCCGTCTCAAAAAAAAACTAGTGGCAAAAGGCAGAAGGTGGGATTTAGTAGGAGCCACGGGAGGAGGGGTCTGGGGTCCTCTTGCTGGCCTGCTTACACTGAGCATTCGGGGAGTATTAGTCTCCCCTACTCAGCTACGGTCAGTAACAGAATAATTTCCTCTAAATCTTGCCTGTATCTCAGGCAGAATAAGCGACTGGAAGACCCAAATGACCACCTTTCTTTTGATGAGACACGGTCTTGATCTGTTGTCCAGGTTGGAGTACAGTGATGCAATCACAGCTCGCTGCAGCCTCCAACTCCTGAACTCTAGCGATCCTCCTGCCTCAACCTCCTAAGTAGCTGGGACCACAGGCACACATCACTATGTCCTGATAATTTTTTTTTTTATTTTTAATTTTCTAGACATGGGGGTCTCCCTGTGTTGCCCAGGCTGGTCTCAAACTCCTGGGCTCAAAGCATCTTCCCACCTTGTCCTCCCAAAGTGCTAGGATACCAGGCACGAGCCATCACACAGGGCCACGTACAGCTTTCTAAGAAGGAAACTTCTGGCCGGGCGCGCCCGTATTTCTAGCACTTTGGGAGGCCCAGTTGGGTGGATAGCCCAAGCTCAAGAGTTTGAGACCAGCCTGGGCAACACGGTGAAAACCCATCTCTACTAAAAAATCCGCTGGGCATGGTGGCATGTGCCTGTAATCCCAGCTACTGGGAAGGCTGAGGCACGGGAATTGCTTGAACCCAGGAGGCAGAGGTTGCAGTGAGCCGAGATCGTGCCACTGCGCTCCAGTCTGGGCAACAGAGGGAGACTTGGTCTCAAAAACAAAACAAAACAAAACAGTCCAGGCGCGGTGGCTCACACCTGTAATCCCAGCACTTTGGGAGGCCAAGGCGGGCAGATCACAAGGTCAGGAGATCGAGACCATCCTGGCTAACACGGTGAAACCCCGTCTCTACTAAAAATACAAAAAAAATTAGCCAGGCATGGTGGTGGGCGCCTGTAGTCCCAGCTACTCAGGAGGCTGAGGCAGGAGAATCGCTTGAACCTGGGAGGCAGAGGTTGCAGTGAGCTGAGTTCACCACCACTGCACTCCAGCCTAGGCGACAGAGCGAGACTCCATCTCAAAAAAAAAAAAAAAAGAAGAAGGAAACTTCCATAAGTTCTTTTGTTTTCTTAGAGATAGGCTCGCTTTTTTTTTGTTTGATTTTTCTGAGACAGAGTCTCACACTGTCGCCCAGGCTGGAGTGCAGTGGCACCATCTCAGCTCACTGGAACCTCCGCCTCCAAGGTTCAGACAGTTCTCTTGCCTCAGCCTCCCGAGTAGCTGGGACTACAGGAATATGCCACCACATGTGGCAATTTTTTGCATTTTTAGTAGAGACAGAGTTTTGCCATGTTTGCCAGGCTGGTCTCAAACTCCTGGCCTCAACTGATCCGCCCGCCTCGGCCTCCCAAAGTGCTGGGATTACAGTCAAGAGCCACCATGCCCAGCCAGAGTCTTGCTTTGTTGCCAGGCTGGAGTTCAATGGCACGGTCATGGCTCACTGCAGCCTCCAACTCCTGGGCTCAGGCAATCTTCCTGCCTCAGCCTCCTAAGAGGCTGAGAATACAGGTACGTGCCACCATGCCCGGCTAATTTTTTAAAATAGAGATAAGGTCTCACTATATTGCTCATAGTAAGACTCGTCTTCTGGCCTCAAGTGATCCTCCTGCTTTGGCTTCCAAAATACTGGGAATACAGGTTTGAGCTGCTGTGCCCAGGCCCATGCGTTCTCAAGGGGCTTCCTGGAAATGAACAGGTCTGTAATTTTGGGAAGTGAGATAGTATAACTACCCTTTTAATAGAGAGGTTTGACCTAGAGAAACAAGGTCATGGAATTCTTCAGAATCAATAACTTTGCAAGGGCTGGGACCTAGAGCCAGGATAGAATTTCAGCAGTTCTGACAGCAAAACATCTTTCTCGGTCAAAAAAAACATTCATTCTGGCAACTTCTCCCAGCAGTATACTTCCCAGAAGGACATGGGGATGGGAAGAAGAGAGAGAGACTGCGTCTCAGAAAGAATTGATGAGCTGGGAAGCCAGGTGGGGTGGTTCACACCTGTAATCCCAGCACTTTGAGAGGCTGAGGCGGGTGAATGGCTTGAGGCCAGGAGTTCGATACCAGCCTGGGCAACATAGTGAAACCGCGTCTCTGCTAAAAATACAAAAATTAGCAAGGCGTGGTGGCACGTGTCTGTGGTCCCAGCTACTTGGGAGGCTGAGGTGGGAGGATTTTTTTTTAGCCCAGGAAGTCGAGGCTGCAGTGAGCTGTGATCATGTCACTGCACTCTAGCCTGGATGACAGAGCGAGACCCTGTCTCAAAAAAAAAAAAATTATAAGCTGGGATTTACTAGGTAGGGAAGCCCAACACTGCATGGCTCTCTAGAAGCATGTTCTATCAAGAGATGGATGGAGGCTTGGCATCCCTTGCAGGAAGGCTGGTTGGTGGAGAGAGGACAAAAAGCCAGGGAGGAGGAGAGGAGGAGGGGAAGCGAGGAGTTGAAAGCTTTGAAAAGTTCAAAGGCTTCGAACAAGATAAGACCTTATGCTGACCTTTCTTTATCTGGCAGTTCCAGCTGCCACCTGGAGGAAGAAGTGACTGAGACCAGAACTGTGCCCACCAGCTGCCACACTTACCTGGCAAGGGCTCAGAGTCAAGATACCCAACCCAGCTCAGCACTTCTCCCTGGACCTCTTCCAACTGCATGAAGCCCTGGGTCCCTGGGTTGTTCACAGTTCGTTGTCTCCCGGTGTAGAAAAGTCTGTCAACCCTGCTTGGACATCGCAATCACCTGGGTAACTTTTTTTTTTTTTTTTTGAAACGGAGTTTCTCTCTTGTTGCTCAGGCTGGAGTGCAATGGTGCGATCTCGGCTCACTGCAAACTCTGCCTCCCGGGTTCAAGCGATTCTCCTGCCTCAGCCTCCCAAGTAACTGGGATTACAGGCGCCCGCCACCATGCCCAGCTAATTTTTGTATTTTTAGTAGAGATGGGGTTTCGCCATGTTGGTTGGGCTGGTCTCGAACTCCTGGTCTCAGGTGATCCTCCTGCCTCTGCCTCCCAAAGTGCTGGGATTACAGGCATGAGCCACCACGCCCGGAGTAATCTGCATTTTTTAAGCTTCACAGCTGACTCTGAAGCCCAGGAAGGGTTGAGAACTGCTGTTTTGTGTGTCTCTCTCCTTCCTTTTCTCACCCACTGTGCTCAAGGACTCATGTTTGCTCTTTCCCCTCCTAGCCTCGGGTTACAATGGTACCTGGTGATACACCAGCCTTGTATTTACTACAGCACACTAAAATCAGTTCTTGTCCCAGCACAGTGTGGCTCATGCCTGTAATCCCAGCACTTTGGAAAGCTGAGGGGGGCAGATCGATAGAGCCCAGGAGTTTGAGCCCAGCCTGAGCAACATAGTGAGACTCTGTCTTTACAAAAAATACAAAAATTAGCCGGGTGTCGTGGTGCACGCCTGTGGTCCCAGCTACTCAGGAGGCTGAGGTGGGAGGATCGCTTGAGCCTGGGAATTGGAGGCTGCGGTGAGCCAAGGTTGCACCACTGCACTCCAGCCTGGGTGACAGGGAGACCCTAAAAAAAAAAAATCATTTTTCATGAGTCATGTGACAAGTTTACCTGGGGACAAAAGAGGACTCCCCCCAAACATGGGCCAGTTTTGGCTTAACTTGGCTACAGACGGGGCCCAGACCCTCCCTGACCACAGCCAACCCCCGACACCCCCTCCATCTTTAGATTCCTCCTTCACAAAGTGGCTCAAGAAAGAGTGTGGTGACTCTGTGGACGGGTCATCATGCTGGTGGCCTGCCCCGACGCACGACAGGGTGGTCAGCGTATGATCTCCACACGCATCGACTGGCCGTGCATATCCAAGGCTCATGTTCTGTTGTAAGGCCAGGCAAGGGCAGGCCAGGCTGTCTGGTGGACAGTTCAAGTGCCCCAAAGGCCGTCATTCCAACCAGTGGCTTTTTTTTTTTTTTGAGACGGAGTCTTGCTCTGTTGCCCGGGCTGGAGTGCAGTGGCATAATCTCAGCTCACTGCAGCCTCCGCTTCCCAGGTTCAAGTGATTCTCCTGCCTCAGCCTCCCAAGTAGCTGGGACTACAGGCGCCCACTACCGCACCTGGCTAATTTTTGTATTTTTAGTAGAGACGGGGTTTCACCATGTTGGCCAGGCTGGTCTCGAACTCCTGACCTCGTGATCAGCCCACCTCGGCCTCCCAAAGTGCTGGGATTACAGGGGTGAGTCATCACTCCCGGCCCAACTGGTGCCTTTTTTATCCAGAGGCATCCGTGGCTGCTAGAAAAATGACACGGGGGAGGCGGGGGGCCCAGAGCCTGCCGGAATGGCCATAGCAGTGTCTGCCAGATGCCCCGGGTATAGCAGGACCAACATGCCCCTCTGCCTCCCAGCAGAGCTTGGATATTCTCCTGTTAACATTTATGGAGACTTATCATGAGCCAGGCATTGGGCTTAGTGCTTCTCATGCATTAATTGCCTAAATTATCCTCACAGCCCACCTATGAAATAGATATTTCTTTTTTTTTTTTCTGAGACAGAGTCTCATTTTGTCATCCAGGCTGGAGTGCAGTGATGCAATCTTGGCTCACTACAACCTCCATCTCCCAGGTTCAAGCAATTCTCCTGCCTCAGTCTCCCGAGTAGCTGGGATTACAGGCACCCACCACCACACCTGGCTATTTTTTTCGTATTTTTGGTGGAGACGGGGTTTCACCATGTTGACCAGGCTGGTCTCGAACTCCTGACCTCAAGTGATCCACCCACATCAGCCTCCCAAAGTGCTGGGATTACAGGTGTGAGCCACTGCACTGGGTTCCCCCTGAGGGTTTTAATTCCCTGGCATTTCTGGTCTGTCATAGCAGAGTAGCCTTTGGTATAAGGCACCCCAGTCCAGAGATGGAGATACTATTGGCGATGGGAAAACATCAGGAGCACACCAACTGGGGCAGCCCAATAAAAAGAGGCATGGATATCACATCATCAGCTTCCCTGACTTTTTATCATAAAAGTGGTTAATGCACATAGTAAAAAGCTCAAACACCATGAAAACGCACTAATAAAAGTATATCTCGGCTGGGCATGGTGGCTTACACCTGTAATCCCCACACTTTTTGGGAGGCCGAGGTGGGTGGATCTCCTGAAGTTGGGAGTTCGAGACCAGCCTGACCAACATGGAGAAACTCTGTCTCTACTAAAAAAATAAATAAATAAATAAATACAAAATTACCTGGACGTGGTGGCACATGCCTGTAATCCCAGCTACTCGGAAGGCTGAGGCAGGAGAATCGCTTGAACCCGGGAGGCAGAGGTTGTGGGGAGCTGAAATCTCACCATTGCACTCCAGCCTGGGCAATAAGAGCGAAACTCGTCTCAAAAAAAAAAAAAAAGAAAAAAAAAATTCTCTCTCCCAGATCCTAGTCCTGAATTGCCATCCTGTCAGAGGTGTGTGAACCAGAGTGACTCCATCTTGAATAGGAGCTGGGTAAAATGAGGCTGAGACCTACTGGGCTGCATTCCCAGGATGTGAGGCATTCTAAGTCACAGGATAAGACAGGATGTCGGCACAAGATACAGGTCATAAAGACCTCACTGATAAAACAGGTTGCAGTAAAGAAGTTGGTCAAGGCTGGGCATGGTAGCTCACGCCTGTAATCCCAGCACTTTGGGAGGCCGAGGTGGGAGGATCACCTGAGGTCAGGAGTTCAAGACTAGCCTGACCAACATGGTGAAACCCCGTCTCTACTAAAAATACAAAAAAAAAAAATTAGCCGGGTGTGGTGGTGTACGCCTGTAGTCCCAGTTACTTAGAAGGCTGAGGCACGAGAATCGCTTGAACCCGGGAGGCAGAAGTTGCAGTGAGCCGAGATCATGCCACTGCACTCCAGCCTGGGCGACAGTCAGATTCCATCTCAAAAAACACAAAAAAAGAGATTGCAGTAAAGAAGGCAGCCAAAACCCACTGAAACCAAGATGGCGATGAAAGTCACCTCTGATCCTCCTCATTGCTCATTATACCCTAATTATAATATATTAGCATGCTAAAAGACACTGCCACCACTGCCATAACAGTTTATAGATGCCACGGCAACGTCAGGAAGTTACGCTATATGGTCTTAAAAAGGGGGAGGAATCCTCAGTTCCAGGAATTGCCTACCTCTTTCCCTGAAAACTCATGAATAACCCACCCCTTCTTTAGCATAGAATCAAAAAATAACTGTACGTATGCTTATTCGAGCACCCCATGACACTGCTCTGCCTATGGAGTAGCCATTCTGTATAACTTTACTTTCTTAATAAACTTGCTTTCACTTTACTCTATGGACTTGTCCTGAATTATTTCTTGCACTAGGTCCAAGAACCGTCTCCTGAGGTCTGGAGCGGGACCCCGTTTCTTGATAGTTTGTATGTCCAGCAAATTACTAATCATATGTATATCTTTTTTGTTGCACAAATAGTATCATCCAGTATATACTCTTGTGCACTTTGATTTTTTTCATTTAAAAATAGATCTTTGGAAGGGCGTGGTGGCTGATGCCTGTAATCCCAGCACTCTGGGAGGCCAAGGCAGGCAGATCACGAGGTCAGGAGTTCGAGACCAGCCTGGCCAACATGGTGAAAGCCCGTCTCTACAAAATTCAAAAATTAGCCCGTGGTGGCAGGTGCCTGTAATCCCAGCCACTCAGGGAGGGGCTGAGGCGGGAGAATCGCTTGAACCGGGGAGGCGGAGGTTGCAGTGAGCCAAGATCGCACCACTGCACTCCAGCCTGCATGACAGAGCAAGACTCCATCCCAAAAAAAAAAAAAAAAAAAAAAAAAAGATCTTTATCAAGTCATCTATGAATGGGCAAATGAGCTTGTTGCCAGTTTTCCACAACTACCGATATTACTGCAATAAACCTCCCTGCCCATGCATCTCTGTGCATTTGCATAGGGTTCCCTTCTGGAAGTGGAGTTGCTGGGTCAACAGATATGTGTGTTAAGCGTTTTAGCAGATGTTACTAGATTGTCCTCCAAAGAGGCTGGTCCAGTAGACACTCTAGCTGGTAGTGCAACAGAGTGCCAGCTTCCCCACACTCCCAAGTGCCTGCTACCCTCTTCTTCTGCATTGCCTGCTTCAATCCTCTCAAGGCCCCTGGCTGGAGTATAGACACCATACGATACAACCTCTGGGAAAATAAATGAAGACCACCCAAATGAAAACTAACACACTACTCACTCTGAGCTTGCTACAGCAAGAGGGTCAGCCTCCATCCATTGAAGAGACTCAGAGGCAGGCAGGGGAGAGGGAACACTTTGCAGTAGGAAAGAGGGAAGGCACGGGGTGCTTTGTTTTACTTATTTCTTTATTTTTGAGACAGAGTCTCACTCTGTCACCCAGGCTGGAGTGCAGTGGCACAATCTCAG
Source organism: Homo sapiens (assembly GCF_000001405.40). Classification (NCBI taxonomy): domain Eukaryota; kingdom Metazoa; phylum Chordata; class Mammalia; order Primates; family Hominidae; genus Homo; species Homo sapiens. Next base: position 75,803,832 of record NC_000007.14, read on the forward strand.
CTCAATGCAACCTCCACCTCCTGGGTTCAAGCGATTGTCCTGCCTCAGCCTCCTGAGTAGCTGGGATTACAGGTGTGCACCACCACACCTGGCTAATTTTTGTATTTTTAGTTGAGATGAGGTTTCACCATGTTGGCCAGGCTGGTCTCAAACTCCTGACCTCGTGATCCACCCACTTCAGCCTCCCAAAATGCTGGGATTACAGTCATGAGCCACTGCACCCAGCCTGATGGACCACATATACAACGGTGGCCCCACCCCATAAGATATAATACTAAATTTATACTCTACCTTTTGTATGTTTAGATATGTTCAGATACACAAATACTTATCATTGTGTTGCAGTTGCCTCCAGTGTTCAGTAGTCACATGCTTGTGCAGGTTTGTAGCCTAGGAGTGTAGCCACCCGATAGGTTCTCCTTGCCTGCTGCCTAGACAGAGCCAGTTTATCAAGATAGGGGAATTGCAAGAGAGAGAGTTTAATTCATGCAGAGCTGGCTGTAAAGGAGACCAGAGTTTTATTATTACTCAAATCAGTCTCCCTGAGAATTCAGGGATTGGAGGGTATTTTTGGTTGTTGTTTGTTTTTTTGAGGCAGGGTCTCACTCTGTCACCTAGGCTGGAGTGCAGTGGCGTGATCTCAGCTTACTGCAACCTCCGCCTCCTGGGTTCAAGTGATTCTCCTGCCTCAGCCTCCCGAGTAGCTGGGATTACAGGCACACGGCACCACGCCTGGCTAATCTTTTTTGCATTTTTAGTAGAGACGGGGTTTCACCATGTTGGTAAGGCTGGTCTTGAACTCCTGACCTCAGGTGATCCACCTGCCTCGGCCTCCCAAAGTGCTGGGATTACAGGCATGAGCCACCGTGCCCGGCCCTAACTTGATCACCTTTCATTAGTTTTACAAGAACAGTTTAGTTTTGGGGAAGGGCTATTACCGTTTAAACTATAAACTAAATTTCTCTCAAAGTTAGCGTGGCCCATGCCCAGGAATGAGCAAAGACAGCCAACCTGTGAGGCTAGAAGCAAGATGGAGTCAGCCATGTCAGATTTCTCTCACGGTCTTATAATTTCCTTGGTTTTAATTTTTGCAAAGGTGGGTGCAGAAGCAATAGGCTAGACCATCTAACCTAGGTGTGTAGGAGGTTAGCCCATCTACTTTTGTGTAAGTCCACTTGATGTTTGCACAATGATGAAATCATATAATAACACATTTCTCATATAACCCTTGAGCAATGCACGTCTGTATCGTTGACTTTCTTTTCTTTTCTTTTTTTTTTTTTTTGACGGAGTCTCGCTCTGTTGCCCAGGCTGGAGTGCAGTGGCACTATCTCGGCTCACTGCAAGCTCCACCTCCCAGGTTCACACCATTCTCTTGCCTCAGCCTCCCGAGAAGCTGGGACTACAGGCGCCCACCACCAGGCCCGGCTAATTTTTTTTGTATTTTTAGTAGAGACGGGGTTTCACCATGTTAGCCAGGATGGTCTCGATCTCCTGACCTCGTGATCCCCCCCACCCACCCTCCTCAGCCTCCCAAAGTGCTGGGATTACAGGCGTGAGCCACTGCGCCTGGCATCATTGGCTTTCTATGGCTGGTTCTGAGTTGGAAAAGTGGGGAGAATAGGGAAGCTGGCAGCTACTGAAACTGTCTTTGCAAAAACCATAATAGTGAGAAAATGATGACAGTGAAAAAGAGCTGACCCAACCAACCCCCATCTTTCCTTTAATCTCCAAACTGCCCTTGGTCATTCCTGGGCTTGGACCAAGCTAACTTGGGGGAAATTTAGTTTATAGTTTAAATGATAATAGCCCTTCCCCCAAATTAAACCACCTTTGTAAAACACAAGAAAGACCACAAGGTTAGGAGGATGAGAGGGGCCTGAATTCTGCAAGATTTAGGCGAGTTACCAGCCATTGTTCCAGAAGTCACAAGATCTGCAACTTCTCCAATTACTCATGTAGATAACATCACTATTGCAGAACCTGTGATAGACTTTTTTTGGTTTGTTTTTGTTTTTTTTTTTTGAGACAGGGTCTCACTCTGTCACCTAGGCTGGAGTGCAGTGGCATGATCTCAGCTCACTGCAACCTCTGACTTCTGGGTTCAAATGAATTCTTATGTCTCAGCCTCCTGAGTAGCTGGGATTACAGCTGCATGCTGCCACGCCTGGCTAATTTTTGTATTTTTAGTAGAGACTGGGTTTCACCATGTTGGCCAGGCTGGTCTTGAACCCCTGACCTCAAGTGATCTGCCCGCCTCAGCCTCCCAAAGTGCTGGCATTATAGGTGACAGACACTGCCCCTGGCCTATGATAGGCCTTTGAAGATGTGTTTTCAGGCCGGGCACGGTGGCTCACACCTGTAATTCCAGCACTTTGGGAGACCGAGGCAGGTGGATCATGAGGTCAGGAGATCGAGATCATCCTGGCTAACACAGTGAAAACCCGTCTCTACTAAAAAATACAAAAAATTAGCCAGGCGTGATGGCAGGTGCCTGTATTCCTAGCTACTCAGGAGGCTGAGGCAGGAGAATGGTGTGAACCCAGGAGGCGGAGCTTGCAGTGAGCCAAGATTGTGCCACTGCACTCCAGCCTCGGGGACAGAGCAAGACATGTCCAAAAAAAAAAAAAAAAAAAAAAGATGTGTTTTCAGACTTTTGCATTTCTGACTGTTGGATGAGTCCACCCAGACCAGTGACTCCTCTGTGGCTCTACCCAGAAGCAGACTCAATGTAAAAGGACCATTTTCCACACCTGTATGATTGCATCCCCAACCAATCAGCAGCTCCCATTCCCTAGCCCACTGCCTACCAAACTATTCTTGAAAAACCCTAGTCTCTGAACTTTGGGGAAGGCTGGTTTGAGTAACAATAACGCTCCGGTCTCCTGTACAGCCAGCTCTGCATGAATTAAATTCCTTCTCTGTTGCAATTCCCCTGTCTTGATAAATTGGCTTTATCTGGGCAGTGGGCAAAATGAATGCACTGGATGGTTACACTATGGACCAAGCACCGGCTCTCCAGGCTGAATGCTGCAGAGGCTGTGGTGAGAGTCCTATTGTCACATGCAGTTGGGACACTGTCTGTATTTCAGTCTCATCCCTGAATGCTCTGGCTCTCCTCCCTCTTTAGGAACATGCTCTCTCTCCAGGGTGGAACCCAAGTCACCATTCAGGTGCCAACTCTGTGAAGCTGGTTCTGCAGGCTCCTTCTTCCCATCAGAATGTCCCCTGCTGTGTATTGTTTAGCATTGCTACTTATTCTGCTTTGCATTAGACTTACAATAGCTTTAGTAGCTACTGTATATGCAGTGCCTACTACTGGGCCTCTGTGTGCTCTGCAGACTCCTGGCTGCCAGTATGTGGCTCCCTGTGCCTGGGGGCTTTTTTTTAACCATGGGAACTTACTCTGCTCCCACTTGCTGAAAGCCCACCCCTCACGCACAGCTGGCAAAGACTGATGGAGTGGGTGTGTACTTCCGAGGAGGATGGATCTGTAGGTTGATGGATCCCCACCAGGTTATTTAAGGGTATATGTTGGCCACACATGGTGGCTCATGCCTGTAATCCCAGCACTTTGGGAAGCTGAGGTGGGCAGATCACTTGAGGCTAGGAGTTTGAGACCAGCCTGGCCAACATAATGAAACGCTGTCTCTACTAAAAATACAAAAATTAGTCAGGTGTTGTGGCGCATGCCTCTAATCCCAGCTACACAGGAGGCTGAGGCAGAGAATAGCTTGAACCTGGGAGGCGGAGGCTGCAGTGAGCCGAGATTGCCCCACTGTGCTCTAGTCTGGAGTGCAAAAAAAAAAAAAGTATATGTGTCAGAAGCGTGTGAACCAGAGCAACTCCATCTTAAATATGGGCTAGGTAAAACAAGGCTGAGACCTACTGGGTGCATTCCTAGATGGTTAAGGCATTCTAAATCACAGGATGAGATAGGAGGTCGGCGCAATATGCCGGTCATAAAGACCTCGCTGATAAAACAGGTTGTGGTAAAGAAACTGGCTAAAACCAACCAAAACCAAGATGGCAATGAGAGTGACCTCTGGTCGTCCTCACTGCTACTCTCCCACCAGCGCCAGGACAGTTTACAAACACCATGGCAACATCAGGAAGTTACCTTATATGGTCTAAAAAGGGTAGGCATGAATAATCCACCCCTTGCTTAGCATATCATCAAGAAAAAAACATAAAAAATGGGCAACCAGCATCCCTCAGGGCTGCTCTGTCTATGGAGTAGCCATTCTTTTGTTCCTTTACTTTCTTAATAAACTTGCTTTCACTTTACTCTATGGACTCACCCTGAATTCCTTCTTGTGTGAGATCCAAGAACCCTCTCTTGAGGTCTGGATTGGGACCCCTTATATGTCTGCTGCTTAAACCTCACCTCCCAGGCCATGGTGCTGAGCCAAGGGGCAGGTGTCGCGGAGAACCCAAAAGTCCCAGAGCATATCCGGGAACATAGCCAAGGCAGACAGTCTCATTGCATACAATAGGCAAAGAGCCAGAAAATTAGCTTCAAAGCAGCATAGAGATGGGTAGCGGGGTGGATCTCTGCAGTGGTCCTGCTGCTAGCTAGGAGTCCCTATATGTAAATCCTCACACACTCACCTACTCGCCAGGCTGGACTTCTCTGAGTTCTTTGGTCTCGGCTCTTTCCCAGCTTGGGAGAACATTCTTCTAGACAATTGCGAGTTTTCTCCATGACAGGGTCTCATGCCACTTCCCAGTGGTTTGAGCTCTGATTGTCCTCTGCTAAATCATGCACTTTTTTTAATTTTTAATTTTATTTTTATTTTTGTGGAGATGAGATTTTCCATATTCCCCAGGCTGGTCTCAAACTCCTGGGCTCAAGCAATGTGCCTGTCTCAGCCTCCCAAAGTGCTGGGATTACAGGCGTGAGCCACCATCCATGCCCCTCTGATCATGCACCCATTTTTTTTCTTTTCTTTTTTTTTTTTTGGAGACAAAGTCCCGCTCTGTTGCCCAGGCTGGAGTGCAGTGGCGTGATCACAGCTCACTGCAGCCTCAACCTCCTGGGCTCAAGCAATCCTCCCATCTCAGCCTCCAAAGTAGCTTGCACCACCACCACATCCAGCTACCTTTTTAATTTTTTGTAGGCTGGGCGCAGCGGCTCACACCTGTAATCCCAGCACTTTGGGAGGCCAAGGCGGGCAGATCACTTGAGGTCAGGAGTTTGAGACCAGCCTGGCCAACATGGTGAAACCCATCTCTACTAAAAATACAAAAATTAGCTGGATGCAGTGGCATGTGCCTGTAGTCCTTGCTACTTGGGAGGCTGAGGCAGGAGAATTGGTTGAACCTGGGAGGTGGAGGTTGCAGTGAGCTGAGATCATACCGCTACACTCCAGCCTGGGAGACAGAGCAAGACTCCGTCTCAAAATAAATAAATTTATTATTATTATTATTATTATTATTATTATTTTGTAGAGAAAGGATCTCCCTATGTTACCCAGGCTGGTCTTGAACTGCTGGGCTCACAAGATCCTCCCACCTTGGCCTCTTAAAGTGCTGAGATTACAGGCATGGGCCACTGCACTCAGCCAGAGAATTGGAAAGCTGCATGGTGTGGAAAACTTACATATTTGGTGTCAAAACTGTCGCGAGCATAGAAAAAGAGTTTTTCTCTTTCAAGGTCATGCAACTTGTAAAGCAGAATTGGCTTTGAACCCATAGTGCTCTTGATTCACGAGTGTGTTCATGTTATAATTCTAATTCTTTGAAGCAAGACATCATCGTGTATCATTTTTTTAGCCTCCTAATACCCATAATAACTCCTTGTGCAATAACATGTTTGTTGAAATATTTTAAAAATTTGGGGCCAGGCAGAGTGGCTCATGCCTGTAATCCTTGTAATTCCAGCACTTTGGGAGGCTGAGGCAGGTGGATCACTTGAGGTCAGGCGTTCGAGACCAGCCTGACCACCATGGTGAAACCCCATCTCTACTAAAAATACAAAATTAGCCAGGCGTGGTGGTGTGTGCCTTAATCCCAGCTACTTGGGAGGCCAAGACAGTAGAATCGCTTGAATCCGGGAGGTGGAAGTTGCAGTGAGCCGAGATCATGCCATTGTACTCCAGCCTGGGCAACAAGAAAGAAACTCCATCTCAAAAAAAAAAAATTTTTGTTTGGGGCCTGGTGCAATGGCTCACATCTTTAATTCTGGTGTTTTGGGAAGCCGAGGTGGGAGAACTGCTTGAGGCCAGGAGTTCTAGACCAGCCTGGACAACAAAGCAAGATCTCATCTCTACAAAAAATGAAAAGATTAGCCGGGTGTGGTGGTGCACACCTGTAGTCCCAGCTACTTAGAGAAGCTGAGGTGGGAGGATTGCTTGAGCCCAGAATTTCGTGGCTGCAGTGAGCTATGATTGTACCACTGTACTCCAGTCTGGGCAACAGAGTGATACCCTGTCTCAAAAATTTTTTAAATTATTTAATTGAACCTAGCTGTGCATGTGTGTTTTTCAAAGTCAATAACAGGACTCCCAGCGGCAGGGCAAGGTCACTCCCAGATGCTTTGGGCTCCGGCTGTCTTCTTCCCCTCCAACCTTGGAGAGGCAGCCTGGGATGCTTTCTGGGGCACGTACACCATTGGTCACAGCCCAACCCTACCCCCTCCAGGAGAGTCAAAAACACAAAATGCCGGGCGCAGTGGCTCACACCTGGAATCCCGGCACTTTGGGAGGCTGAGGCGGGTGGATCACCTGAGGTCAGGAGTTTGAGACCAGGCTGACCAACACGGTGAAACTCTGTGTCTACTAAAAATATAAAAAAATTAGCAGGGCATGATGGCAGATACCTGTAGCCCCAGCTGTTCAGGAGGCTGAGGCAGAAGAATTGCTTGAACCTGGGAGGCAGAGGTTGCAGTGAGCTGAGATCGTCCCATTGCACTCCAGCCTGGGGCGACAAGAGCGAGACTCCATTTCAAAACGAAAAGAAAAAAAAAAAAAGAACACACAAGACACAACAACCTTCAAAGAAAAAAAGAATCGCATTTTATTTGGCCTATTATTTGAGAACAGCAACTGTGTCTACACTCTTGATAAACCCACACAGTATATCATGCATAGAAAAAAAAAGCTAGAGTCTTTTCTCCCCCTAATCCCCCCACCCTATCTTCCCCTCACCAAAATGTGGGGTGAGCCCAGATTTGAAGGCAGTACAGGCCCTTGTCCCCAAGACAGCATGGAGCAACCTGTCACAAAGCAGGGAATCTCCTTAAAGTCATGTCTTCCCAAAAAGATTAAACTACCCAGGCTGGCCCTTCACCCCAGTCCTCCACGTTCATTTCCTTTAAAAAAAAAAAAATTATGATTTTTTTTTTTCAACATAAAAGTTTGAGTAGGCTGGGTGTGGTGGCTCATGCCTGTAATCCCAGCACTTTGGGAGGCCGAGGCAGGTAGATCACTTGAGGCCAGGAGTTTGAGACCAGCCTGGCCAACATGGTGAAACCTCATCTCTACTAAAAATACAAAAGTTAGTTGGGTGTGGTGGTACACACCTGTAGTCCCAGGTACTCGGGAGGCTGAGGCACGAGAATCACTTGAACCCAGGAGGCGGAGGTTGCAGTGAACCGAGATTGTGCCACTGCACTCCAGCCTGGGTGACAGAGCGAGACTCCGTCTCAGAAAAAAAAAAAAAAGAAAAAGCATCAGAACCAGGTCAGGAGGAGAAGGCAAAGAGTTGCCACTGCTCTCCTTCTGGGATCTTCTCACCCAGCTCCAGAAAGGCAAGGGGCCTTGGATGCTTGGAGCCATTGCTCAGCCCCCGGGAACCACATCACCTGCTCCCTCGGGTTTTTCATAGAAGAGACACATCCCTGGAGAGTGTTGCTAAGAAACAGGAAAATTAGCTCTTCCCCCCATCACTGTGGCTTCTCCAGGCCCCGAGTAGCCCGCCAAGCAGCTCAGGCCCAAACTCAGGGCTGGAGGGCTGGGCGGGGATTAGCAGGTGGTTTGGTTGCCAGGATATCTCTGGACAGGGCCCTTGACAGCCACTGCCCTGGCCCTAGGGGAAGCCTTCTTCTGCTTGGCGTCCAGGTTCTTCATGTACCTCTGGACCCACTCCTGCTTGGGGTCGCCACAGAACTGCTGGCCCTTCTTGGTGGTGAAGCTGTGGAAGAAAGGGACAGGGGATCAGCTGAGGTCGACAGGGACCTTGGGCCACTCCACTTCATGGCGGGGGGGATGTGGACGCCCAGAGACAGTAAGGCTTCCTTGCAAGTTGCTGAGATGATGTCATCTTCATTTTTTGACACAGGGTCTCACTCTGTTGTCCAGGCTGCAATAAAGTGGCGATCATAACTCACTGCAGCCTCAAATTCCCAGGCTCAAGCTGTCCTCCCGCCTTAGCCTCCTGAGTAGCTGGGACTACAGGAACATGCCACCATGCCCAGCTAATTTTTTTTATTTTTTTGCAGAAACGGAGTCTCACTATGTTGCCTAGGCTGGTCTTAAACTCCTGGCCTTAAGCAACCCTCCTGCCTCAGCCTCCCAAAGCACTGAGATTGCAGATGTAAGCCACTGCACGTGGCCTTCTTATTGTATTTCTATTTCATGCCTCTGTTTACAAAATGAGTTCACAGTTACTACTTATGAAGCTATTTGGAGGACAGACACATGTCAGCCCACGTGACCTTGAGCAAGTTACCTTCCTGAGCCTCAGCTGTCCTCTGTAAAATGGGAACAATCATCGCTACCCCATAGAATTGTTGAGAGAATTAGATAAGATATTGTCTTGTGCCCCTGAATAGTGACTTGTTATATATTTGGTGCTCAGTAGATATTGAATCTAAATCCTTCTCCTGGTGGATCACGCCTGTAATCCCAGCACTTTGGAAGGCTGAGATGGGCAGATCACTTCAGGTCAGAAGTTCGAGACCAGCCTGGTCAACATGGTGAAACCCTGTCTCTCCTAAAAATACAAAAATTAGCCGGGCATGGTGGTGCGTACCTGTAATCCCAGCTACTCGGGAGGCTGAGGCATGAGAATTGCTTGAACCTGGGAGGCGGAGGTTGCAGTGAGCCAAGATCGTACCACTGCACTCCAGCTTGGGTGATAGAGACTCTGTCTCAGGGGAAAAAAAAAAAATCCTCCTCCTGGCTGGGTGTGGTGGTTCATGGCCGTAATCCTAGCACCACTTTGGGAGGCTGAGATGGGAGGATCACTTGAGCCCAGGAGGTTGAGGCTGCAATGCAATGAGCTATGATCGTGCCACTGCACTCCAGCTTGGGTGACAGAGCAAGACCCTATCTCCTAAAAAGAAAAATGAAATTAAAAAAATAAATATATCCTCCTCCTAGTTTTATGGGCAAGGAAGTTGAGGACCAGAGAGGGGAGGTGACTTCTCCAGGGATGCACAGAGCTGGGGCTGGCTGACCTTGCTTCTCAGGGACCCTGGAGTTGCACCTGCCCCCACCCCTCTCCTGCCACGTGCCCATGAAGGATACCTACATCACTCCTGCCTTGAGGCATGTGCTCCTGCTGGACAGCTGGTAGCTGACCACTCGGTTCTCAGGAATTCTCTTGGAAACAAAGAACATGCAGCAGGGAGAGGGGATGACCACAGAGCCTAGAAGAGGAGAGAGAGAAGAGCCACGTCTTTTCCCAGCCTCCCCTTGGCTCTGGGCCTCAGAGCTGGAGCTTGAACCCTGCACCAAACACCGCCAGTCCATTCACTGGGCCACCCTTTCCCCAGCGCTTCCCTCCAGCCCCAGGCTGGTCAGTCCTGCACCCCCCACTGTGCCATCCCAGCCATGCCCTTGGAACTGCATCCTGTCGGAGGTCTTACCCGTAGGGATGATGTGGTGGGCACAGACACCAAGGAACAGAAGGCTGGTTACTATGGTCATCAGGCCTGCCATGTCTCAGAGAGCAGAAGCACCAGCTCGGGGCTCAAAGCTGACGTGCAGGAGGAAAGGACCTAGGGATAAATAGCTCGGGTCCTTGCAGAGTACCCCAAACTCCCTCCCTCTGCCCTTTATGGGGCAACTAGAAGGAAACACGCCCCCGAGCCCCCTCCACGCTTCCTTGAAAATCCTGAGGCCTGTGGTCTGGAAAGAGGAAGTTGTTGTCCCGTTGTTGCCCAGCTGAGTCAAGGGTTATCTTGGGCTCCGAACGAAAGAACTGGGGGAGGGGACATCACCCCACCTAGGCCAAGTTCAAAGGTGTTGGATGCATTGTCAGAAGGCCCATGGGATCCTGGCTGTGTTGGCCACTCCCTGTGGGATCCTGGATAAGTCACTCACCTCCCTGAGCCTCAGTTACTTCAGCTGAAAATGGGCAGAGTCATCCCTATCTTCTCCCTTCCATTCATTCATTCATTCATTCACCCAATTATTTATTAGGCATGTGGTCTGTGCCAGGCACTGGGAGGACTCTAATGGGGAGACAGATTTGTGATCAAGTGTGTGTAACAGACAATGAGAGGTCAGCTGGGCACGGGGGCTCATGCTTGTAATCCCTGTGCTTTGGAAGTTTCAAGTGGGAGGATCATTTGAGGCCAGGACTTTGAGACCAGCCTAGGCAACAAAGCAAGACCCTATCTCTATAAAAAATAAAAAAATTAGCCAGGCGTGGTGGTGCAGGCTTGTAGTCTCAGCTCTTGGGGAGGCTGAGGTGGAAGGATGACTTGAACCCAGGAGTTCAAGGCTGCAGTGAGCTGTGATCACACCACTGCCTCTCCAGGCTGGGCAACAGAGCAACACCCTGTCTTAAAATCAATCAATCAACCAATCAATCAATCAGTCCATGACAAGTCTTGACAGAGCAAAGCAGATGCTGTCAGGACCGCTTTCCATCAGCTCTCGGTGGCCTTGAAGTCCCAACAGCCATCGCCTGTACCCTCAAGTTGCCGGAGCCACTTAGTCACCAAGATTCTAGGGAAGTGGGAAATGCCTGGAAATTCACATCCTCTGAGGTGGCCAATGTCTGCCAGAGGGATGCCGACTCCAGATCCAGCATGACCTACCCTGTTTCCTGAGTTTCCAACTCGGTCAAATCTGTGACTCTCTGTGCAGCCGGACTTTGCTTGGCCCCTTCCCGCGCCGACCAGATTCCCAGTCCCCCGATGGTCTCTCGTGGAAGCATCTCTTAATAAACCACAAGCCCATGAATCCCTGCCAAGGGTCTGCTTTGGGGACCCTGACCCAGGACAAGGTATGGGGGTGGTGGGTGGGAGGAAGGGAAACATAGGAGAAACCAGGGGCCGGGAGCGGTGGCTCATGCCTGTAATCCCAATGCTTTAGGAGGCTGAGGCGGGAGGATTGACTGAGGCCAGGAGTTTGAGACCAGCAGGGGCAACATAGCAAGACCCTGTCTCCAAAAGAAATAGAAAAATTAGCCAGGCACGGTGGTATGCGCCTGTAGTCCTAGCTACTTGGGAGGCTGAGGGGGCAGGATCACTTGAGCCTAGGAGTTTGAGGCTACAGTGAGCTAGGTGAGCACCACTGAACTCCAGCCTGGGTGACAGAGCATAATCCTGTCTCTTAAAAAAAAAAAAAAAGAAAGGCTGGGTGAGGTGGCTCATGCCTGTCATCCCAGCACTTTGGGAGGCTAAGGTGGGAGGATTATTTGAGCCCAGGAGTTCAAGACCAGCCTGCTCAACATAGCAAAACCCCGTCTTTAAAAAAAAAATAAAAAGAAAACAAAAAAACCACGGGAAAACTGGCCAATTGTGCCAGGAGGAAAGTTCAGGAGGGACTCATAGCTGACAGCTGCACTGAGGTTGGAGGACAGAAGGCACTGGCAACTACGCGGAAGCCTGTAAGTCATAACGTCCAGTTCAGTTGTAAGGGACTGAGGCAACTTTATGAGGCAGAGTGGGACATGGCTCCCACCTCACTCCACCCCCGATTCCAGGATCCCAGGTCAGGACCTCATGATCAGAGACTCCCTTCACCTGCCACTCCCATGTGGCTGACTGCCACGGAGGCTCTACAGCCCTTTGTAATTATTGGGTAACAAGAACAAGGAGGAGGAGGTAACAATTGGTCAGCTGCTTAATTGATCACAGGTTCATATTGCTACTGACAGGCTTCAATTATGCCTAACCATAAGAAAGATTTGTGCTGTCTCCAACACTCCCATACCCAACCCCTCCCTACGGTTCTCTCCATTTGCCTTCTCCAACCTCCCTGCTCTGGGATTCCAGGGCACACACCGATGTAAGACCCACACAGTGGCATAGTGGGAGCACAGTGGTACTCGTCACTTGGTGGCCAGCTGGGTGTCTGCGTCTCAGTCTCATGCTTGACCTGAACGCCTTGAGATAAATTTATATACCCGCCAAGTGCCGAGCAAATCACCTGTGCCATGGCCAGCATTTGCAGAATGAATAGATGATGGATCAACTCTGAAACAACTTCCTCTGGACCAGGGACTCCTGTGTGGGTTTTGCCCACAGAGCACAACTGGAGCCTGCGTGTACACAAGGTAAGTCAGCAAGGCGGGTCCCCTGATGGAGGCAAGACTGAAGTCGGGGAGGCTGGTAGCACCTGATCTCACTGCCTATGCTTACAGAGTGAAAAATGCTGAGAGCCCAACTCAGGGCTTCATTAGCCTGGCACCTGCCCCTGTCTGCCTTCACCTCCCCATCAGCCAACAGTAATTATCCTCTGCTGGCAGAGCAATTAGGGAGGATTAAGTGAGAAAAGTCATGGGAAGGCCCTTTATACATGCAGAGGTTTTTTTCTTTAAAATTTTATTTATTTATTTATTTATTATTTTTGATACGGAGTCTCTCTCTGTCGCCCAGGCTGGAGTGCAGTGGCGCGATCTTGGCTCACTGCAACCTCCACCTCCGAGGTTCAAGCGATTCTCCCGCCTCAGCCTCCCCAGTAGCTGAGATTACAGGCACCCACCATCGTGTCTTGCTAATTGTTGTATTTTTAGTAGAGACGGGATTTCACTAGGTTGGTCAGGCTGGTCTTGAACTCCTGACCTCAGGTAATCCACCCACCTCGGCCCCCCAACGTGCTGGGATTACAGGTGTGAGCCACTGCACCTGGCCAAAAAAAAAAAAAAAAAATTTGAGACAAGGTCTCACTCTGTTGCCCAGGCTGGAGTGCAGTGGTGTGATCATAGCTCATTGCAGCTTCCAACTCCTGGACTCAGGCGATCCTCCTGCCTCAGCATCCTGAGTAGCTGGGACTACAGGTGCACGCCACCATGCCCAGCTAATTTTTTAAATTTTTAGTAGAGATGGGGTACCCCTATGTTGCCCAGGCTAGTTTCCAACTCCTGGCTTCAAGCAATCCTCCCACCTCGACCTCCCAAAGCGCTGGGATTACAGGCATGAGCCACTGTGCCCAGCTCATCATGATGTCTTATGACAGCTCTTCTAATTTTTGCTCCCCAGTGATTCAGAGGGGATGCCGGTTGACTGCCTGCATTTTCTCACTCAGTGGGTGCCGGGAGTGTGGTGTGTGGGGAGGAGGAAGTTGGGGGGAGAAAGGATGGTCAGACAGAGGCAGCACTCAGGAGAAGAGTGAGGCTGGGGTAAATAGGGCGGGGATGCCTGCCATCCCCATGTTGCAACAGGAGTGGGCGAGCAGAAGGTCATTGGGTGGGAGTGTGTGGGGTGGGGTGCTTCACCCCAGATTAGTAATACCCATTAAGGGCTTTTCCAAGGCCTTAAAAAACACAAAATATCCAATTTTTTTTTTTTTTTGAGAAGAGTTTCACTTTGTCACCCAGGCTGCAGTGGAATGGCCTGATCTCAGCTCACTGGAGCCTCAACCTCCCGGGTTCAAGCAATTCTCATGCCTCAGCCTCCTGAGTAGCTGGGATTATAGGCACCCATCACCACACCCAGCTAGTTTTTGTTTTTTTAGTAAAGATGGGATTTCACCATGTCAGCCAGGCTGGTCACCAACTCCTGACCCCAAGTGTTTTACCCACCTCGGCCTCCCAAAGTGCTGGGATTACAGGCATGAGCCACCGCACTGGGCCAAAACACCCAATGTTTTGTTGCTGTTGTTGTTGTTTGTTTTGTTTTCAGACACAGTCTCTCTTTGTCACCCAGGCTGGAGTGCAGTGGCATGATCTTGGCTCACTACAACCTCCGCCCCCCAGGTTCAAGCAATTCTCCTGCCTCAGCCTCCCGAGTAGCTGGGATTACAGATGCACACCACCATGCCTGGCTAATTTTTATATTTTTAGTGGAGGCGGGGTTTCACCATGTTGGCTGGGCTAGTCTCAAACTCTTAATCTCAAGTGATTCGCCCACCTCGGCCTCCCAAAGTGCTGGGATGACCAGCATGAGCCACCTCACCCAACCAAAACTCCTAATCTTTATGCTCTATACAGGGAAATTGTTAAGGCAGGGATTACCAACCCTGTTTTACGAGGGAAGAGCTGATGCCTTGCAAGGATAAGTGAGCAGACACCATCACAGGGCCACTTAGCTCCCGAAATGGGAGCCCATCTCTACTACAAATACAAAAATTAGCTGGGCGTGGTGGCACGCACCTGTAGTCCCAGCTACTCGGGAGGCTGAAGCAGGAGAATCGCTTGAACCTGGGAGGCAGAGGTTGCAGTGAGCCGAGATCGCACCACTGCACTCCAGCCTGGGTGACAGAGTGAGACTCCGTCTCAAAAAAAAAAAAAAAAAGAAAGGGAGTGGTTAGGTAAAAAGAGAAAGAGCCAGGTGCAATGGCTCACACATGTAATCCCAGCACTTTGGGAGGCCGAGGTGGGAGGATTGCTTGAGCCCAGGAGTTCAAGTCCAGCCTGGGCAACATGGCAAGACCCGGACTCTTTAAAAAAAAAAAAAAAATTAGAAAGAGGAAGAGGGAAGCAGTAGAAGTGGGAACCTGGCAGGGGCAGAAACAGCATGTGTGGAGGAGGCTGGAGGGTGGGTGGGAGGTGACCCACAGCAGTGTGAGGCTCTTAGAACCCCTGATGGCTCCAGCACAGACCCTGTCCCTCTCTTGGCCTCGGTTTCTCCATCTGAGAAGTAGCGTGTTGGCCAGAGCGGCCTCTCCCCAAGTGTAGGACCACCAGCCATGATACAAGAAGGAACATTTCTCATTTTATTTAAATGTTTTGTTATGGTCACCCTCTTTAATAAGGGACTTTAAGGAACTTTATATATATATATATTATAGTAATACAAGATTTCCCTAAGGTAAGAAATATGAGGGCCAGGGCTCACGCTTGTAATCCCAGCACTTTGGGAGGCCAAGGTGGGCAGATCACCTGAGGTCGGGAGTTTGGGACCAGCCTGACCAACATAGAGAAACCCCATCTCTACTAAAAATACAAAACCAGCTGGGCGTGGTGGCACATGACTGTAATCCCAGCTGCTCGGGAGGCTGAGGCACAAGAATCTCTTGAACCTGGGAGGCAGAGGTTGTGGTAAGTGGAGATCGCACCATTGCACGCCAGACTGGGCAACAAGAGTGAAACTCCGTCTCAAAAAAAAAAAAAAAAAAAAAAAAAAAAAAAAAAAATATATATATATATATATATATATATATATATATTCATAGGCTGGGCGATGTGGCTCACATCTGTAATCCCAGTACTTTGGGAGGCTGAGGCAGGAGGATTGCTTGAGCTCAGGTGTTCGAGACCAGCCTAGGCAACATAGTGAAACCTCAACTCTACAAAATATAAACGAAAAATTAGCCAGACACTGGGGTGCATGCCTGTAGTCCCAGCTATTTGGGAGACTGAAGCAGGAGGATCGCTTGAACCCAGGAGTTCAAGACTAGCCTGGGTAACATAACATATCCCCATCTCTCAATAAATAAATAAAAGAAGGGGGCTGTCATCTCTGAAGATAAATGACTTTAAATACCTGAGGAAGGGTCCCAGAAAGGGGGCACTGGATCTGATGGCCCTAATTAGGGTAAAAGTAGACCACACACACACACAAAGAAAGAAAGAAAAAAAATCCTGTGTCTTCTTACTAAGGTCTGAACTGAATTTTAGGTCAAACCATAGGCCCAAGATGGGCAGCTATGGTGTAGTGACATATTTTAGTCCCTGACCTGCTAAAAACTGGCTGTATGAGCCTGGGCAACTTGCTCACTCCTCCCAAGCTTTGATTTCCTCATCTATGAAATGGTGGGGGCGGGGAGGATGAGGCCACTTTTTACCCATGATCTCATGTGATTCTAGAATCCTAGAAAGTTACGGATGTAAGGGCTTTTAGTAAACTACTTCTTCTTCTTCTTCTTCTTCTTCTTCTTCTTCTTCTTCTTCTTCTTCTTCTTCTTCTTCTTCTTCTTCCTCTTCTTCTTCTTCTTCCTTCTTCTTCTTCTTCTTCTTCTTCTCCTCCTCCTCCTCCTCCTCCTTCTCCTTCTCCTTCTCCTTCTCCTTCTCCTTCTCCTTCTCCTTCTTTTTTTGAGATGGAATCTTGCTTTGTCGTCCAGGCAACAGCACAATCTCGGCTCACTGCAACCTCCAACTCCCTGGTTCAGGCAATTCTCCTGCCTCTGCCTCCCGAGTAGCTGGGATTACAGGCGCACGCCACCACACCCAGCTAATTTTTTTGTACTTTTAGTGGAGGCGGGGTTCCACCATGTTGGCCAGACTGGTCTCGAACTCCTGGCCTCAGGTGATCTGCCAGCCTTGGCCTCCCAAAGTGCTGGGATAACAGGCATGAGCCACCTCGCCTGGCAGTGCACATGCAAGTCTTCACCATCTAGCAGGAACCAGACCCTTAAGCTAGAGGAACTCAGCCCCAAGGGAGGTGTTTCAGGTATCCATCCATCCACCTACCCATTAATTCATCTACTCACTCATCCATCCATCCATCCATCCACCCACCCACCCACCCATCTACCCACTCATCCACCCATCTATCCATCATCCATCCATCCATCCACTTATTCATCCATCCACCCTTCATCCATCTACCCATCCACCCATCCACCTACCCACCCATGCATCCACCCCTCCACCCATCCATCCATTCACCCACCCATCTACTCATCTATCCATCCATCCATTCACTAATCCATCCATCCATCCATCCATCCATCCATCCCTCCACCCATCTATCTATCCATCCACTCATCTATCCATCCATCCATTCATTAATCCATCCATCTATCCATCAATTCATCCATCCATCCATCCATCCATCCATCCATCCATCCATCCCTCATCGAACCCTGCTATATACCAGGTGCCCCATCCCAGGCATACCAAGAAAAACTATATACAGGTGTTGCCTTGGGGAACTCTCACACTAGCCTTGAGAGACAGAGGCAATTATGACACAGGTGATAAGTGTCCAGATGGAGGAGGTCTACCGAGGCCACAGTGGAGAGCAGAAGTCATAGAAAACTTCCTGAAGGAGGTGCCCCTTGTGCTGAGTTAGGCTGACCAAGGGGAGTTGGGCTTGACAGGGAGGAAACTGGGCAGAGAAGGGTATTTCAAGCCCTGGAAGCCACAGAGATGAAGTCAAAGCAGAGGGGTGACTTGGCCAGGTTGGAGCCTTAAAGAAATCACTCTGGCTGCAGTAAGTCATGTGGCAGAACTGGTGGGAAGCCTGTGGTAGGGAATCTAGGATGGAGAGGTGGAGGAAGTTAGGATGGAAAAAAGAGGATGGATTTGAGGATTACTCAGGATTCCATTTGCTGAGCTCTGATGCCATATGGTTGAGGAAAAGGAAGGATTGTCTAGGATAACACTTGGGTTTCAAACTTGAGTGCATGTGTTGGGGGGACCATTCATGGATAAAAACAGTCTGCAGGGGCTGTGGGGCTTCCAGGGGTTCTGGTAGATGCCCGAGGCAGGCAGGGCAGGTAGGGAGAGGTCTGGATGTCCAATAAATTATCAGAACAAGGGAGGGGCTCAAGGCTGTAATCCCAACACTTTGGGAGGCCAAGGCGGGTGGATCACCTGAGGTCAGGAGTTTGAGACCAGCCTGATCAACATGGAGAAACCCCGTCTCTACTAAAAATACAAAAAATTAGCCGGGCGTAGTGGCGGGCGCCTGTAGTCCCAGCTACTTGGGAGGCTGAGGCAGGAGAATGGCGTGAACCCGGGAGGCGGAGCTTGCAGTGAGCCGAGATCCCGCCACTGCACTCCAGCCTGGGCGACAGAGCGAGACTCCGTCTCAAAAAAAAAAAAAAAGAAAACAAAATTAGCCAGGTGTGGTGGCACAAGCCTGTAATCCCAGCTACTCCGGAGGCTGAGGCAGGAGAATAGCTTAAACCCGGGAGGCAGAGATTGCGGTGAGCCAAGATCGCACCATTGCACTCTAGCCTGGGTGACAGAGCCAGACTCCATCTCAAAAAAAAAAGAAAAAAAATCAGAACAAGAAGAACCTTTGGAGTCTCACCTGTCCCGACACTTTGTGGCTGGGAACTGGAAGCCCAGGGAGATTAGACAGCCTCAACTGCCCCACCCAGCTCAAGACACAGTGTAGTACCATGGGGAGGGCATGGCCCTAGAGGTAGACACTCCTGGGTTTGAGCCTCGTCCCAACCATATGCTCACTTGGTGGCCCAGGCAAGGTGTTTAGCCTCTGTGAAGCTTAATTCATTTACTAAAAGATGGGTGTGTGACTGTGCACCTCCCAGGATGGTGGAGGGAGTAGGCCTCAAGCTTCAGTGAGGGACTCCATGAAACGCCACCAGACCAGCATCCCTTCAGCTGTTCCCCTAAAGCCCTACATGGCTCCTCTGAACTCATCTTATCCTCTTATTGTCCCCATGTCACCAGTAAGGAAACTGAGGTTCAGGCTGGGCATGGTGACTCACGCCTGTGATCCCAGCACTTTGGGTGGCCTAGGCGGTGGATCACCAGGGGTCAGTTCGAGACCAGCCTGGCCAACATGGTGAAACCCATCTCTACTAAAAATACAAAATTTAGCCAGGCGTGGTGGCAGGTGCCTGTAATCCCAGCTACTCAGGAGGTTGAGGCATGAGAATTGCTTGAATCCAGGAGGCGGAGGTTGCAGTGAGCCGAGATTGTGCCACTGCACTTCAGCCTGGGTGACAGAGCAAGACTCAATCTCCAAAAAGAAAAAAAAGAAAAGAAAACTGAGGTTTAGAGAGTTAAATGACTTGCTCAAGACTCCTAAGCCACGATGGGGCAGAACTCGTCCTACATCTTCCTGGGAAGGAACCTATGCCCTTGTCATGGTGCCAGGCAGCATGCTCCGCTGAGTGGCACCAATGCCACCACACCGAGTTCACTTTCCGAGCTGCTCTCCGATCCACCCCTTACTTTAGACTCTCACGGCCACCAGCTTTGCACAGCCTCCATCAATTCTTTCTTGCATTCTTGTCCCAGCCTCCTAAAGGAAGCGGGTAGACATCTGGGGTGTGATGCAGGGGGGAGAGGGCAGTGGGGTGCCAGGATGAATGGGCACTGTGGTGGGGAGTGCAAGGGGCTAGACTCAGGCATGCAGACTGGGGGTGTCACTGCTTCCTGGGATATCCTGCTTCCTCGATACCAAACACACACACACAAAGTCCCAGAATACTGGGCACAGGGGAGCCACTTACCCGGAGGTAACAGGGTGACAGCCTTGGTGCCAAGTGCAGAGCAGAAATGATTTCCTCTGACTCACCAGATCTGGGATGGCAGGAAGAATGGGACGAGAGGAGGGGCACCTGGGGAGGGAAGGGCGCCTCCCCTGCATCTCGCCTGGCTTGGCTGGGAAATTCAGGAGTCCAAGGTTTACAAGGACTTCTGAGAGGTTGGCTTTGTGGCAACAGGCAGGCCCTGATGGGGGCCCATGTGCAGGGTGGGTGGTGGTCCCCATCAGAAGAGCACAGTGAGCCCATTGTCAGACAGACTTCTGTCCACACGGACAGACTTCTGCCCTGGAAAGGGTGTGGTCCCAGACGGGGCTGGGGAGGAAAACAGGTGGCAGCTATGGAGTGCCTTACCCTTTCATCTCCAGATGGGAGGGCTTTCAACAGCTCAACAGGGACGGGAACAGGAGGCACATATAGCAGCTGAAGCCCAGGGCACTGCCAACCAGCCAGCCTAGCATGGATGGTAAACGGGGATGCTGCAGATCAAAGAGGCCAAGAGGATCTTTTTTTTCTTTTTTTCTGGTGGGGGGTGGGTGCAGAGGGAAGGGAGACAGAGTCTTGCTCTGTTGCCCAGGCTGGAGTGCAGTGGTGCAATCTCGGCTCACTGCAACCTCTGCCTCCCAGGTTCAAGCGATTCTCCTGCCTCAGCCTCCTGAGTAACTGGGATTACAGGCACCCACCATCATGCCCAGCTAATTTTTTGCATATTTACTAGAGATGGGGTTTCACCATGTTGGCCAGGGTGATCTCAAAACTCCCGACCACAGGTGATCCACCTGCCTTGGCCTCCCAAAGTGCTGGGATTACATGTGTGAGCCACCATGCCCAGCTGAGAGGATCTTTTTGTACATCTGTGTCACAGCTGCCTCTTAGATGTTAAAGGCCTAAGGAGAAGGAAGCAGGTAAAGCTGTCCAGAGACAGATCTGATCACCTTGGATGACAGTGAGAGCCCCACCAAGGGAGGTAAGCAAGCACCCTGTGGCAGATCTCCAGGTAGGAAATTGAAGTCTCAGATGAGGGAGCTCCATTCGGCCAAGGCATTCTGGGATCCAGTGAAGGACGTGTTTCAGACTTCATGTTATAAGATCTCAGAGTCCACTGGAAAAACCAACACAGAAATAATTAGAGCCCAAGTATAGTGGTTCATGCCTGTAATCTCAGCACTTTGGGAGGGTCACTTGAGCCCAGAAGTTCAAGGCCAGCCTGAGCAACATGGTAAGACCACGTCTCTACAAAAAATGTTTAAAATTAGCCAGGTGCACTCCTGACCCCAAGCGATCCGCCCGCCTTGGCCTCCCAAAGTGCTGAGATTACAAGTGTGAACCAGAGTACGAGACCAGCCTGGCCAACACGGTGAAACCCCATCTCTAATGAAAATACAAAAATTAGCCGGGTGTAGTGGTGGGCACCTGTAATCTCAGCTACTCAGGAGGCTGAGGCAGGATAATTGCTTGAACGCGGGAGGCAGAGGTTGCAGTGAGCTGGGATCGCACCACTGCACTCCAACCTGGGTGACAGAAAGAGACTCCATCTAAAAAATAAAAATAAAAAAATAAAAAATAACCAGGTGCAGGCACACATGTCTGTAGTCCCAGCTACTCAGGAGGCTGAGGTGGGAGGATCACTCAAGCCCAGGAGGTCGAGGCTGCAGTGAGCTATGATCACGCCACTGTACTCCAGCCTGGGAGACAGAGTGAGACTCTGTCTCAAAGGAATAACAATAATAATTACAATATAGCATAAGATTTAGGAATCAGACTCGTTGAGGACATACGTTTTGGAGGCGATTAGTCCTGGATTCCGATCCTGGCCCTACCCCAGCCTTGGCTTTGTCATTGGGAAATTGAGACAAGTCCTTGTCCCTCCTCTGGGTATCACAAAGAGTGACTGAATGACTGTCCCTCATGGTCCAGGCACAGCTCCCAGCCTACAGTAAATATGGATAAGGACCAGTTAGTAAGGGGTAATCATTGCTATTGCCAGGTAACTACCAGGTTGAAAGGGCTCTGCGTGGGGGATCTGAGAAGCTTCAGAACAGGACAGGTAGGAGTTCCCAGGTGGAAAAGGAAGCAGGGGGTTCCAGGCCAAGGGAAGACCAGGGGCAGGAGAGCCAGGTGAACAGTGGGATGTGGCTGAGTTTCTGGAAGGCAAAAGGAAGAGGTGGGCCGGGCATGGTGACTGGGATTTCAGGCGTGAGCCACCATGCCTGGCCTTAACTTCTTCCTTTCTGATTTGGATGCCTTTTATTTCTTTGTCCTGCCTAATTGCTCTGACAAGAGGAAGGGAAGGCGGCCAATAAGAGTCCATGACCAGGCCAGACATGATGGCTCACACCTGTAATCCCAGCACTTTGGGAGGCCGAAGTGGGCAGATCACCTGAGGTCAGGAGTTCGAGACCAGCCTGGCCAACATGGTGAAACCCCGTCTCTACTAAAAATAAAAAAAATTAGCCAGGTGTGATGGTGTGCACCTGTAATCCCAGCTACTGGGGAGGCTGAGGCAGGAGAATCACTTGAACCCAGGAGCTGGAGGTTGCAGTGAGCCGAGATAGTGCCACTGCGCTCCAGCCTGGGTAACAAAGCAAGACTCTGTCTCAAAAAATGAAAATAAAAAATAAAAAAAGGAAGAGGTAAGGTTGGGAGACTGGGGACAGGAGGCAGGAATATCTATCATGTGGTATCTCACATTCCTGCTCCAAATGCACTAGTTGTATCATTCCTTAAAAATCTTCCAGGGAAGGTACCATCACTTCCCTCCCAACTCCCTGCCATCCCCACCCCCAACACACACACACACACACACACACACACACACACACCCCTAATCAGGCCTCTCATTTTGTTGATTTTACCTATTTAACACCTCCCAGATCCACCTGTTCCTTTTTGGCCCGTTCCACTGCCTCCCCACTCACCTTTCTCCAATCTGTTCTGTGCACAGCTGCAAAACAAACGCCCCTCCTAAAATGCACACCAGCCTGGTCACCCCCTGCCTAAAACTTTTCACCAGTGCTCCATCACCAACACCCAAACTTCATCCACTCGCTCATAACCTTCATATATACGTATATATATATATGGATATATAATACTATGGAAAGTATTTAAAAATAAAAATATATATTATATATATATATATATTTTTTTTTTTACAATTTCTTCCCACCACCCAATTTATTGTACACTTAACGGTTTTGTCAAAATGGACTTCATCCAAAAATAGCCACAAAATCACAGATTTAGGGCCAGGCACGGTGTCTCACACCTGTAATCCCAGCACTTGGGGAGGCCAAGATGGGTGGATCACCTGAGGTGAGAAGTTCGAGATCAGCCTGGCCAACATGGTGAAACCTTCCTCTCTACTAAAAATACAAAAATTAGCTGGGCATGGTGGCAGGCGCATGTAGTCCCAGCTACTTGGGGGCCGAGGCAGGGGAATCGCTTGAAACAAGGAGGCAGAAGTTGCAGTGAGCCGAGACTGTGCTATGCACTCCAGCCTGGGTGACAGAGGGAGATGTCATCTCAAAAAAATAAATAAATAAAAAATCACAGATTTAGTGCACTAGCTGTGTTTTCCCCCATAACCATTAAAATAAACCCACAAGTATTAAAGGAAACCAGGCCAGTTCTGGTGGCTCACAGCTATAATCCCAGCACTTTGGGAGGCTGAGGTGGGAGAATCGCTTGAGCCCAGGAGTTTGAGATCAGCTTGGGCAACATAGTGAGATCCTATCTCTACCAAAAATTAAAAATTTGGTTGGGGCCAGGCACGGTGGCTCACGCCTGTAATCCCAGCACTTTGGGAGGCCAAGGCGGGCGGATCACCTGAGTTCAGGAGTTCAAGACCAGCCTGGCCAACATGGTGAAACCCCGTCTCTACTAAAAATGTGAAAAAAATTAGCCGGGCATGGTGGCACATGCCTGTAATCCCAGCTTCTTGGGATACTGAGGCAGGGGAATCGCTTGAACCTGGGAGGCAGAGATTGCAGTGAGTTGAGATTGCGCCATTGCACTCCAGCCTGGGCAACAGAGCGAGACTTCATCTCAAAGAAAAAAAAAATTGGCTGGGCATGGTGGCACATGCCTGTGGTCCCAGCTACTTGGGAGGCTGAGGCGGGAGGATTGTTTGAACCCAGGAGGTTGAGGCTGCAGTGAGCCATGTTTGCACCACTGTGCTCCAGCCTGGGCAATAGAGCAAGATCTTGTCTCAATTTTTTAAAAATAATTAAAACATAAAGTAAACCAGGTGTGTGTGTGTGTGCACGCACATGTGATGTCTGTCACAGAAGCTATCCATGCTCCATGCAAATCCTCTTGTCCTTCCCAATTCAGGGATGCTGGTCTGACCTCAATTGCCACCTTCTGGCTGGCTCAGTCCCCCAGAGCCAGGGTGACCTGCTGGGGAGGTGGACACAGGAATGCCACATGGGAGAGACTGATACCAACACAAAGGATTATTAGCCAACACCTGGGCAGGTCTGGTTGACCAGGGTAAGGTGAAGCCAGGGTTATGTTGGCAAATATTTAACAAACTGGCTCTGTGGGGACAAGTGTGATTAGCAGCGTTTGTCAATTGCCATGGTGTAAATCCTCCCACCACGGCTGAATTCAAGCTACCAACCAGATGTCCCTGAAAGTGAAGTTGGGAAGAGATGCTGACAGTCAGCTCTCCCAGGTCGGCGTGGGCTGGCTATGATGTACCACTGGTGGGGCCCAGGACATCGTCTTAGGGAGCTCCTGCTCTGTAAGTCCTGAAAGACATGTGGAGAGAAGAGAATGACATTGAGGCCAGGCGCGGTGGCTCATGCCTGTAATCCCAGCACTTTGGGAGGCCAAGGCGGGTGGCTCACCTGAGGTCATGAGTTTGAAACCAGCCTGGCAAACATGGTGAAATCCAGTCTCTACTAAAAATACAAAAATTAGCTGGGCAGGCTGGCAGGTGCCTGTAATCCCAGCTACTCGGGGGCTGAGGCAGGAGAATCGCTGGAACCCAGGAGGCGGAGGTTGCGGTAAGCCGAGATCACACCACTGCACTACAGCCTGGGCAACAGAGCGAGACTCCCTCTCAAAAAAAAAAAAAAAAAGAATGGCGTTGAGAAGGAGGTTGGAAGATACTGACTAACCAGAGGCTCACTGAAAACAGTTGTGTGCAGGAGAAAGGAAGAGCTACAAGCCTATGCACAAGATTCTTTCTGAGGGTCCACAGCTGGGGAGGCCCAGAAGGCAGGGAATTCCAGGACAGAAGGGGGCCAGAAGCCCTAACCGCCCGGTTTTCCTGTCACTCCCTGAGACTAGGTGTCATGCTTCTGCTTGTAGGTAGAAATAGCTCCTGATTGGAGGCCAAGAAAGGACCAGATTCTGCTAATCCACAAAATCTGGTGGTCAAGAACTTCACTAAAAGAAGAAGTGAAAGGATTTCCTTCCTGAAGGACCTGCACAGCTGGATTGCTTCCCTAAGACCAAAAAACCCTGGAGCCCTGCTTGCAGAGACCCAGCCCCCTCACTGCACTGCCACAGGACACTGACGGCCTGAGGCTGGAGATGGACACACTCTGCCCACTTATTTGACCCCAACGCTCACGGGGTCGGTTGGAATAGCCAGGAAACGTGTACATTCGGGGTCCCAAGAGACAGCGTGTGGGCTGGGCACGGTGGCTCTCACCTGTAATCCCAGCACTTTGGGAGGCCGAGGTGGGTGGATCACTTGAGGTTGGGAGTTCAAGACCAGCCTGGCCATCATGATGAAACCCCATCTCTACTAAAAATACAAAAATTAGCCAGGCTTGGTGGTGCACCTGTAGTCCCGCTACTCAGGAGGCTGAGGCAGGAGAATCACTTGAACCCAGGAGGTGGAGGTTTCAGTGAGCTGAGATCGTGCCACTGCACTCCAGCCTGGGCAACAGAGTGAGACTTTGTCTCAAAAAAAAAAAAAAGAGAGAGAGACAGCGAGAGTGCGTGGCAGGAAAGCCCTGTGTGGTAGAGAGCTGCCGGCCACTGGAGCCAGGGCCCTGACTCTACCCTTTAGGAGGATATGAATTTGGACAGCACTTTCTTCCTCCATGCACTGGCACTAATGGTGCTTGCTTGCAACACCTTATTTTACTGTTGGAAGGCTCGAATGAGACAGAGTCACAGGAGCACTTTGTTTTTTGAGACAGGATTTCACTCTGTCGTGTAATAACAGCTCACTGGCAGCCTCAATCTCTCCGGGCTCAATTGATCCTTCCACCTCAACCTCCTGAGTAGCTGGGACTATAGGCACATGCCACCACGCCCAGCTCATTTTTGCTTTTTTTTTTTTTTTTTTTTGTAGAGATGAGGTTTTACCATGTTGCCCAGGTGGATCTTGAACCCTTGGACTCAAGCCATCTGCCTGCCTTGGCCTCCCAAGATGCTGGGATTATAGGCGTGAACCACCACACCCGGCCGACACAGGAGCACTTTGCAAACCGCAAAGCATTGCAGAACAATGAACAGTGAAATGACGGCGATGCCCCAGCCACCCAACCCCCCTGGGAATCAGCTTCTGTTCATCAGCTCAGGCCACAAAGGAAGTCTTTGGACAAGCTGGATAGTTAGTCACCCAGGGAGTCTGGAAGCTTAGGGAAGGTAGAATCCCCAGGGAGCCCCAGGGGGAGGCAGGACACACCAAGGCAGACAAAGGCACTGAGAGGGGAAATAGGAAGATTCTCAACACCAACCCTGCCACTGCATCCGGGAAGCATCTCTGCCCCCACAAGGCTTTTAACCTCGCCAGGAAGGCAAGGGGCACAGGACAGCCCACTTTGCTCATCCTCTCCTCCAGAATGTCTGAGAAATGCCTAGTGATTCCTGCCTCCCCTGCCCTCGTCTCTCTCCCTGCTTTCTGCCACTATGGACCACAGCCCTAAAGAATGACTCCTCTCAAGGAATGGTCTCCTTAGGAACACAGTCCCCCAGAATATGCCAACTCCAATCGGAGGACATCCATGCGACATGAGAAGTTCTGACTATTTTGCAATTCTTTCTTTTCTTTTCTTTCTTTCTTTTTTTTTTTTTTTTTTTTTTTTGGAGACAGGGTCTTGCTGTGTCGCCCAGGCTGGAGTGCAATGGCATGATCTCGGCTCACTGTAACCTCCCCATCCCAGCCTCCCAGGTCCAAACGATTCTCATGCCTCAGCCTCCCGAGTAGCTGGGACTACAGGCACACACCACCATACCTGGCTAATTTTTGTATTTTTAGTAGAGATGGGGTTTCGCCTTGTTGGCCAGTCTGGTCTCGAACTCCTGACCTCAAGTGATCCACTCGCCTCAGCCTCCCAAAGTGCTGGGATTACAGGCGTGAGCCACTGCACACAGCCATATTTTGTAGTTCTTGAGATACATGGGGAGATGCTGGACTGAGAGTTGATAGATGTAGATTCCTAGATTCTTTTTTCTTTCTTTCTTTCTTTTGTTTTTTTTTGATACAAGGTCTTCCTCCATCGCCCAGGCTCGAGTGTAGTGGTGCTGTCTTGGCTCACTGCAGCCTCAATCTCCTGGGCTCAAGCTATCCTCCCACCTCAACCTCCTGAGTACATGGGAATACAGACACACACCACCATACCTGGCTAATTGTTTGTATTTTTAGTAGAGATCAGGTTTCACCATGTTGCCTAGGCTTGTCTTGAACTCCTGAGCTCAAGCAATCTGCCCACCTCGGCCTCACAAAGTGCTGCGATTACGGGATGGAGCCACCACACCCAGCTGATAGACCTAGATTTTGATTCCAGTTCTGCTGCTTACTAGCTGAGAGGGGAAGTGGCTAATTCTCTCTAGGCCTTGGTTTGTCCATCTGTAAGATGGGCATAGTGATCCCCACCCTGTGTTCTGGCTGGACAGCATTGTCATGTCAAGAACTTCGCTGAGGACTGGGCGTGGTGGCTCATGCCTATAATCCCAACACTTTGGGAGGCTGAGGAAGGAGGATCACTTGAGCCTAGAAGTTTGAAGCCAGTCTGGGCAACATCGTCAGACTCCATCTCTACAAAAAATTTAAAAAATTAGCTGGGTGTGGTGGTGTGTGCCTGTAATCCCAGCTACTTGGGAGGCTGAGGTGGGAGGATGGCTTGAGCTGGGGAGGTCAAGGCTGCAGTAAGCTATGATTGTGTCACCCTACTCCAGCCTGGGTGACAGAGTGAGACCCTGTCTCAAAAAAAAGAAGACCCAGATCTTCAGGAAAGAAGAAAGGACATGATAAACAATAAATGTGAGTAAATATGAAAGACAATCTTTTTACGCTTAATTTGTTTAAAATATATATGACAATTTAAGTCAAAAGTAAAAACGTTTGTCAGGTGCGGTGGCTCACGCCTGTAATCCCAGCACTGTGGGAGGCTGAGGCGGGGAGATCACGTGAGGTCAGGAGTTTGAGACCAACTTGGACCACATGGTGAAACCCCATCTCTACTAAAAATACAAAAATTAGTCGAGCGTGGTAGTGCATGCCTGTAATCCCAGCCTGTGTGATCCTTTATGGGAGAGAGAGAGCATAAGGAAGTCTGCACTTGGATTCCTCCAGATTCCTATGACTATTTTTTTTTTCTTGAGACATAGTTTTGTTCTTGTCGCCCAGGCTGGTGTGCAATGGCATGATCTTGGCTCACTGCAACCTCTGCCTGGCAGGTTCAACTGATTCTCCTGCTTCAGCCTCCTGAGTAGCTGGGATTACAGGCACGTACCACCATGCCTGGCTAATTTTTGTATTTTTAGTAAAGATGGGGTTTCACCACGTTGTCCAAGGTGGTCTCAAACTCCTGACCTCAGGCGATCTGCCCCCCTTGGCCTCCCACAGTGCTGGGATTACAGGTGTGAGCCACCGTGCCCGGCCACTATGACTTTTTCCTTTATGATCCAGCTGAGGTAGGATGTGGGACTCAACTCCAGAGGCAGGGAATCGAACTCTGGACCAGATTGAGGACTAGCTAAAACAGAAAAGAGGCAAAAGCACCTCTGCATGAGGCAGAGGTAAAGAGGACTTCTTGAGCTCAGGAGTTTGAGACCAGCCTAGGCAACATGGTGAAACCCTGTCTCTACCAAAAATGCAAAAATTAGCCAGGCATGGTGGAGTACCCCTGTGGTCCCAGAAAAAGAAAAAGAAAAAAGAATTAACCACCAATTCTTCACCAACTCTTCCAAAACGTAGAAGAGGAGAGAATATTTTCCAACTCATTCTATGAGGTCAGTATTACTCTGATACCAAAAACAAAGACATCACAAGAAAAGAAAAATACATAGCAATATCTCTTATAAAACAACTAGGAATAAATTTAACCAAGGAGGTGAAAGAACTATATACTGAAAACTGGCCGGGTGCCGTGGCTCACGCCTGTAATCCCAGGACTTTGGGAGGCCAAGACGGGCGGATCACGAGGTCAGGAGATCGAGACCATCCCGGATAACACGGTGAAACCCCGTCTCTACTAAAATACAAAAAAATTAGTCAGGTGTGGTGGCAGGCACCTGTAGTCCCAGCTACTCAGGAGGCTGAGGCAGGAGAACAGCGTGAACCCGGGAGGCGGAGCTTGCAATGAGCTGAGATCGCGCCACTGCACTCCAGCCTGGACGACAGAGCAAGACTCCGTCTCAAAAAAACAAACAAACACAACAACAACAACAAAAAAACTACAAAACGTTGTTGAAAGAAGTTAAGGAAGACCTAAATAAAGTTTTTAAAATCTCACATTCAGATGTTTCAGCTGTGGACCTCTCAAGAACTGCAAAATATGGCTGTGTGCAGTGGCTCACGCCTGTAATCCCAGCACTTTGGGAGGCCAAGGTGAGCAGATCACTTGAGGTCAGGAGTTCGAGACCAGACTGGCCAACACGGCGAAAAAACGTCTCTACTAAAAATACAAAAATTATTCGGGTGTGGTGGTGTATGCCTGTAGTCCCAGCTACTCGGGAGGCTGAGGCATGAGAATCGCTTGGACCTGGGAGGCTGGGAGGGGGAGGTTGCAGTGAGCTGAGATCATGCCACTGCATTCCAGCCTGGGCAACAGAGCAAGACCCTGTCTCCAACAACAACAACAAAAAGAATCGCAAAATAGTCAGAACTTCTCATGTCGCATAGATGTCCTCCGATTGGAGTTGGCATATTCCGGGGGACTGTGTTCCTAAGGATACGATGAGAGGAGTTATTCTTTCGGGCTGTGGTCCACAGTGGCAGAAAGCAGGGAGAGAGACGAGGGCAGGGGAGGCAGGAATCACTAGGCATTTCTCAGACATTCTGGAGAAGAGGATGAGCAAAGTGGGCTGTCCTGTGCACCTTGCCTTCCTGGCGAGGTTAAAAGCCTTGTGGGGGCAGAGATGCTTCCCGGATGCAGCGGCAGGGTTGGTGTTGAGAATCTTCCTATCTCCCCTCTCAGTGCCTTTGTCTGCCTTGGTGTGTCCTGCCTCCCCCTGGGGCTCCCTGGGGATTCTACCTTCCCTAAGCTTCCAGACTCCCTGGGTGACTAACTATCCAGCTTGTCCAAAGACTTCCTTTGTGGCCTGAGCTGCTGAGCTAATGAACAGAAGCTGATTCCAAGAGGGGTTGGGGCATCGCCATCATTTCACTGTTCACTGTTCTGCAATGCTTTGCGGTTTGCAAAGTGCTCCTGTGTCAGCCGGGTGTGGTGGTTCACGCCTATAATCCCAGCATCTTGGGAGGCCAAGGCAGGCAGATGGCTTGAGCCCAGGGGTTCAAGATCCACCTGGGCAACATGGTAAAACCTCATCTCTACAAAAAAAAAAAAGCAAAAATGAGCTGGGCGTGGTGGCATGTGCCTATAGTCCCAGGTACTCAGGAGGTTGAGGTGGAAGGATCAATTAAGCCCGGAGAGATTGAGGCTGCCAGTGAGCTGTTATTACATGACAGAGTGAAATCCTGTCTCAAAAATCAAAGTGCTCCTGTGACTCTGTCTCATTCGAGCTTCCCAACAGTAAAATAAGGTGTTGCAAGCAAGCACCATTAGTGCCAGTGCATGGAGGAAGAAAGTGCTGTCCAAATTCATATCCTCCTAAAGGGTAGAGTCAGGGCCCTGGCTCCAGTGGCCGGCAGCTCTCTACCACACAGGGCTTTCCTGCCACGCACTCTCGCTGTCTCTCTCTCTTTTTTTTTTTTTGAGACAAAGTCTCACTCTGTTGCCCAGGCTGGAGTGCAGTGGCACGATCTCAGCTCACTGAAACCTCCACCTCCTGGGTTCAAGTGATTCTCCTGCCTCAGCCTCCTGAGTAGCGGGACTACAGGTGCACCACCAAGCCTGGCTAATTTTTGTATTTTTAGTAGAGATGGGGTTTCATCATGATGGCCAGGCTGGTCTTGAACTCCCAACCTCAAGTGATCCACCCACCTCGGCCTCCCAAAGTGCTGGGATTACAGGTGAGAGCCACCGTGCCCAGCCCACACGCTGTCTCTTGGGACCCCGAATGTACACGTTTCCTGGCTATTCCAACCGACCCCGTGAGCGTTGGGGTCAAATAAGTGGGCAGAGTGTGTCCATCTCCAGCCTCAGGCCGTCAGTGTCCTGTGGCAGTGCAGTGAGGGGGCTGGGTCTCTGCAAGCAGGGCTCCAGGGTTTTTTGGTCTTAGGGAAGCAATCCAGCTGTGCAGGTCCTTCAGGAAGGAAATCCTTTCACTTCTTCTTTTAGTGAAGTTCTTGACCACCAGATTTTGCGGATTAGCAGAATCTGGTCCTTTCTTGGTCGCCAATCAGGGGTTATTTTTTTTTGTTTTTTGTTTTTTGCTTTTTTTTTCAGACAGAGTTTTGCTCTTTGTTGCCCAGGCTGGAGCACAATGGCACGGTCTCGGCTCACCACAACCTCTGCCTCACGGGTTCAAGCGATTCTCCTGCCTCCACCTCCCATGTAGCTGGGATTACAGGCACCTGCCACCACGCCCCGTTAATTTTTGTATTTTTAGTAGAGACAGGGTTTCCCCATGTTGGCCAGGCTGTTCTCGAACTCCTGACCTCAGGCGATCCACCCGCCTTGGCCTCTCAAAGTGCTGGGATTACAGGCCTGAGCCACCATGCCCGGCTAATTTTGTATTTTTAGTAGAGACGGGGTTTCCCCATGTTGGTCAGGCTGGTCTCAAACTCTCGACCTCAGGTGATCTGCCTGCCTCGGCCTCCTAAAGTGCTGGGATTACAGGCCTGACCCACCGCGCCCTGCTCAGGAGTTATTTCTACAAGCAGAAGGATGACACCTAGTCTCAGGGCATGACAGGAAAAGCGGGTGGTTAGGGCTTCCTGCCCCCTTCTGTCCTGGAACTCCCTGTCTTCTGGGCCTCCCCAGCTGTGGACCAGCAGTGGTGCCGGCGTGGAGACGGGTGGGAAACTGCTGGTGTCCAATCTAGGTTTTGAAGTATCAGACACTGATATTTGGGAACTCTGCAGAATTTGGAACGCTGAAGAAGGCGGCTGTGCACTACGATGGCTCTGGCCGCAGCTTAGGATCAGCAGACATGCGCTTTGAGCGGAAGGCACACGCCCTGAAGGCCATGAAGCAGTACTACGGCACCCCTCTGGCTGGCCGCCCTGTGAACATTCAGCTTGTCACATCACAGATTGATACATAACAGACACCTGCACAGAGCGTAAACAGAGGTGGCATGACTAGAAACCGTGGCGCTGGAGGTTTTGGTGGTAACGGAGGCACCCGGGGAGGCACCCGGGGAGGCACCCGTGGAGGCGACCGGGGAAGAGGCAGAGGCGCCGGCAGGAATTCAAAGCAGCAGCTTTTCGGCAGAGGAGATGGACGCCTATAATGCCAGAATGGACACCAGTTAAGCAGACCAGCAAATCCGCGTGCGCAACAGGACCCAGGCGGCTCCTCTCGCTCCATGGTGGGGAGGCCGTGGCTGGGGCTGTGTGGCCAATGATGGATTTGTTTCTTTTGTGTTTTAAAGTAGGATTTAAAAACTCGTGTAAAGATGTTTTTTCTTTCTTTCTTTGTTTTTAAATTCTGAAACAGAAAAAAAAAATCCCACGTTCACGTGTTGAAAGTTTGAAATACCGGCCGGGCGCAGTGGCTCACGCCTGTAATCCCAGCACTTTGGGAGGCCGAGGCGGGCGGATCACAAGGTCAGGAGATCGAGATCATCCTGGCTAACACTGTGAAACCCCGTCTCTACTAAAAGTACAAAAAATTAGCCGGGCACGGTGGCGTGCACCTGTAGTCCCAGCTACTCTCGGGAGGCTGAGGCAGGACAATGGCGTGAACCCGGGAGGCAGAGCTTGCAGTGAGCCAAGATCGCGCCACTGCACTCCAGCCTGGGCGACAGAGCGAGACTCCATCCCAAAAAAAAAGACTGAAATACTGTTAAGATGACAATAGTCCCCAGATGACCTACAGATTTAACACAACCCCTAGCAAAATCTCATGTGGTTTCTTTGCAGAAACCAGTTCTTTGACAAGCTGACTCTAAAATTCATATGGAAATTCAAAGGACCCAGATTTCAAAACTTAATACAAAACTACAATAATCAAGACAGCTTGATCCTGGCATACGGATGGACATATAGATCAATGGAATAGAATTGACAGTCTAGAAATAAACCCTCACATTTACAGTCAATTGATTTTTGACAAGAGTGCCAAGGCCATTCAATGGAGAAAGAAGTATATTCAACAGGTGGTGCTAGAACAATTGAATATCCGCCCGCAAGAGAAAGAAGTGCAACTGCTACCACATACCATATACAAAAATTAACTTGGCTGGGCGCGCTGGCTCATGTCTGTAATCCTAGCACTTTGGAAGGCCGAGGTGGGAGGATTGCTTGAGGCTAAGAGTTCAAGACCAACCTGGCAAACATGGCGAGACTTCATCTATTAAAAAAAAAAAATTAACTCGGCCGGGCGCGGTGGCTCACGCCTGTAATCCCAGCACTTTGGGAGGCCAAGGCGGACGGATCACGAGGTCAGGAGATCGAGACCATCCTGGCTCACACGGTGAAACCCTGTCTCTACTAAAAATACAAAAAATTAGCCAGGCGTGGTGGCGGGTGCCTGTAGTCCCAGCTACTGGGGAGGCTGAGGCAGGCGAATGATGTGAACCCAGGAGGTGGAGCTTGCAGCGAGCCGAGATCACGCCACTGCAGTCCAGCCAGGGCAACAGAGCAAGACTACATCTCAAAAAAAAAAAACTCAGCATGGATCAAATACCTAAATGTAAGAGCCAAAACTATAAAATATAGGGAAGAAATATAGGGGTAAATTTGTTTCTCTGTTACCCAGGCTGGAGTGCCATGGCGTGACTGTAGTTCACTACAGCCCCCAACACCTGGGCTCAAGTGATCCTTCCACCTCAACCTCAGAAGTAGCTGAGACTACAGGTGTGCACCACCATGCCTGGCTAATTTTGTTTATTTTTTTATAGGAATGAGGTCTCACTATGTTGCCCAGACTTGTCTCAAACTCCTGGCCTCAAGTGATCCTTCTGCCTTGTGACACTTGAAATTTATTTCAAAATAATAAGGAGGCAATATGAAACATTAAAAAAAAAAATTGGGGCCAGGCAGGGTGGCTGCATGTGTAGTCTCAGCTACTGGGGAGGCTGAGATGGGAGAATCACTTGAGCCCAGGAGGTCGAGGCTGCAGTGAGCCATGATCTCGCCACTTCACTCTAGCCTGGGCAACAGAGCAAGATCCTGTCTCAAAAAAAAAAAAAAAGGAATCATAAGACTTTTGCTTAAGAATTGCTGGGCAGGCACAGTGGCTCACGCCTGTAATCCCAGCACTTTGGGAGGCCGAGGTGGGCAGATCACCTGAGGTCAGGAGTTCGAGACTAGCCTGGCCAACATGGGGAAACCCCGTCTCTACTAAAAAAAAAAACAAAAATTTGCTGGGCATGGTGGCATGTGCCTGTAATCCCAGCTACTGGGGAGGCTGAGGCATGAGAATCGCTTGAACTGGGGAGGCGGAGGTTGCAGTGAGTTGAGATCGTGCCATTGCACTCCAGCCTGGGCAACAAGAGCGAAACTCAGTCTCAAAAAAAAAAAAACAAAGAATTGCTTAAGATATTTTTCAGATCCTGAATTCCAGCAAAACAGCTGATGTCAACCAGTTTGAAGACCCCCGCAGGGGAAGAGAATGAGCATGAGAACCCAGCTTCTTCATCTCCCTGTCCCGTGACTTCACCCCGCACACTTCCGCCCATCAACCACCTCCACGCTTCAGCCCACTCCAAAACTCTGAAAAACCCTAACTCCAAATTCCTGGGGGAGATGAATTTGAGGTTTCCTCCATCTCCTCGTTTGGTGGCCTTATGAAGAAACCTCCTTCTCTACTGCAACCTGGTGTATCTGTGTATTGACTTGCCGTGAATATCAGACAAAGGACCTATCTGCAGGTACTCTACATTGTTGGTGGCGATGTAAAATGGTCCAGTACCGTGGAAAAGCAGTTCCTCTAAATGTAAACATAGAATCACTAGGCTGGGCACGGTGGCTCATGCCTGTAATCCTAGCACTTTGAGAGGCTGAGGTGGGTGGATCACTTGAGGTCAGGCGTTCAAGACCAGCCTGGCCAATATGGTGAAACCCCGTGTCTACCAAAAATACAAAAAAAAAAAAAAAAAAAAAAGTAGCTGAGCATGGTGGTGCATGCCTGTAATCCCAGTTACTGGGGAGGTTGAGGCAGGAGAACCGCTTGAACCTGGGAGGCAGAGGTTGCAGTGAGCTGAAATCGTGCCACTGCACTCCAGCCTGGGTGACAGAGCGAGAGTCTGTCTCAAAAAACAAACAAACCCAGAATCACTAGATGACCCAGTATATTAAGCATGTATCTTTATTTTCTGCATTTTGATTCTTTTTTGTTTTGTTTTGTTTTCGAGACAGAGTCTTGCTGTGTTGCCCAGGCTGGAGTGCAGTGGTGCGAGCTTGGCTCCCTGCAACCTCTGCCTCCTGGGTTCAGGCTATCCTCATGCCTCAGCCTCTCTTGTAGCTGGGACTACAGGCACGCAACATCATGCTCAGCTAATTTTTGTATTTTTAGTAGAGATGGGGTTTCACCATGTTGGCCAGGTTCCTTGACCTCCTTGAACTTGAACTCCTGACCGCAGGTGATCTGCCTGCCTTAGCCTCCCAAAGTGCTGGGATTATAGGCATGAGCCACCATGCCTGGCTCATGGAAGGCCTGTATTTTGATTCTATTTTTTGACATCTGGGGCCTTGCTGGTGCTAGAGGAGGAAACTGACCCTCCCAGGGTTAGCTAATACCGAGAGATACCAAACAACTCATAGTTAGGAGTTTTTTAGGGTTTTGGAGTAGGCTGAAGTGTGGAGGTGGTTGATGGCTGGGGGTATACCTTTTTGTTTTGTTCTGATTTTTTATATTTTAGACACAGAGTAGCCAGGCGCGGTGGCTCACGCCTGTAATCCCAGCACTTTGGGAGGCTGAGGTGGGTGGATCACGAGGTCAGGAGATCGAGACCATCCTGGCTAACATGGTGAAACCCCGTCTCTACTAAAAATACAAAAAAATTAGCAGGGTGTGGTGGCGGGTGCCTGTAGTCCCAGCTACTCAGGAGGCTGAGGCAGGAGAATGGCATGAACCCGGAAAGTGGAGCTTGCAGTGAGCCGAGATCGCGCCACTGCACTCCAGCCTGGGCAACAGAACAAGACTCCATCTCAAAAAAAAAAAAATAGACAGAGTCTCACTCTGTTGTCCAGGCTGCAGTGTGATGGTGCGATCAGAGCTCACTACAGCTTTGAACTCCCAGGCTCAAGTGATCCTTCTGCTTCAGTCTCCCAAGTAGCTGGGACTACAGGCCTGTAATACCATACCTGGCTATTTCAAACAGTTTTTATAGAGGCAGGGTCTTGCTATGTTGCCCAGGCTGGTCTCAAACTCCTGGCCTCAAAAGATCTTCCTGCCTCAGCTTCCTGAATACCTGGGACTACAGGTGCATGCACCACCTCAGTCACCTGTGATTGATTTTTAATAGAGATGGGGTCTTGCTATGTTGCCCAGACTGGTTTGAAACTCCTGAGCTCAAGCAATCCTCCCGCCTTGGCCTCCCAGAGTGTTGGGATTAAAGGTGTGAGCCACTGCCTCCGGCTTGTCTATTTGTTTTTAACAATCCTTTAAAAATACAAAAACAATCTTAACACTGTGGGCTGTACACTGTAGCCTACGAGTGGATTTGGTCTACAGGCTAGAGTTTTCCAATCCCTTAATCCAGATGCTTCCAGCTGAGTCTTGGAAGGGGCTGCAGTCAGAGGCCATAGGCACCAACCTGCCCACAGGATCTCTTCCAATATGATTCCTCCCCAACTCCCATCCTCAGTCATTGCAATAGGAGTCAATTTCTAGTGAAACTGTATTAGTCAAGGCTCTCAAACAGAGTGAATAGGATATACATACAGAGAGAGAAAAATAATCCTTTCATTATTTTAAAGCACTGGCTTAGGCTGGGCGCGGTGGCTCATGCTTGTAATCCCAGCACTTTGGGAGCCGAGGCAGGCAGATCACCTGAGGTCAGGAGTTCAAGACCAGCCTGGTCAACATGGAGAAACCCCGTCTCTACTAAAAATACAAAAAATTAGCTGGGTATAGTGGTGCATGCCTGTAGTCCCAGCTAGTCGGGAGGCTGAGGCAGGAGAATCACTTGAACCCGGGAGGTGGAGGTTGCAGTGAGCTGAGATCATGCCATTGCACTCCAGCCTGGGCAACAAGAGCGAAATTCCGTCTCAAAAAATAAATAAATAAGAATTGGTTTAGGCCAGGCGTGGTGGCTCATGCCAGCACTTTGGGAGGCCAAGGCAGGCGGATCGCCTGAGGTCAGGAGTTCAAGACCAGGCTGCCCAACATGGTGAAACCCCATCTCTACTAAAAATACAAAAATTAGCCAGGCATGGTGGTGGGCACCTGTAATCCCAGCTACTTGGGAGACTGAGGCAGGAGAATCACTTGAATCTGAGAGGCGGAGGTTTCAGTGAGCTGAGATCATGCCATTGCACTCCAGCCTGGGCGACAAAAGTGAGATTCTGTCTCAAGAGAAAAAGAAAAAGAACTGGCTTCTGTAATTGCAGAGGCTGGCAAGTTCAAAATGTGTAGGGCAAGCTGGCAGGCTGGAGATCCAGGGAAGAGGTGGTGTTGCAGCCTCGTGTCTAAATTCTTCAGGCAGGCCAAGCAGGCTGGAAACCCAGCCAGGGTTTCTATGTTGCAGTGGAATCGAGGCCCAATTCCTTCTTCTTCAGGAAACCTCACTCTTTGACCTTAAAGCCTTCAAGTGATTGGATGAGACCTACCTGCTTTGTGGAGGGTCATCGTCTTTATTCAAAGTCTGCTGATTTAAATGTTCATCACAGCCAGGCACGGTGGCTCACGTTTGTAATCCCAGCACTTTGGGAGGCCGAGGCAGGAGGATCGCTTTGAGTTCAGGAGTTTGAGACCAGCCTGGGCAATATAGCGAGACCCTGTCTCTACAAAAAAAATAAAATAAAGCCAGGCGTGGTGGTGTGAGCCTGTAGTCCCAGCTACTTGGGAGGCTTAAGTGGGAGGATCACTTGAGTCTGGAAGGTTGAGGCTGCAGTGAGCTATGATCGCACCACTGCACTCCAGCCTGGGCGACAGAGCAAGACTCTGTCTCTAAAATAAAAATTAAAAAAGTTAATCATGTCTGAAAATTACCTTCATAGTAGCACCTAGACTGGTGTTAGCATCTAAACTGATGTCTAGACAGGCACCTTAGCATAGCCAAATTGTCAGAAAATTAGCTACAACATAGATCTTTTGTCTGTGCCTCAAAATCCAGGTTTAGCAGCCCTGGGGAGAGAAAAAGCTTTTGTTTTGTCTTTGAGACCCACCTCCCCAAGCTTCTTTTTTTTTTTTTTTTTTTGACACTGAGTCTCAGTCTGTCACCTAGGCTGGAGTGCTATAGTACGATCTTGGCTCACTGCAACCTCTGCCTCCCGGGTTCAAGCGATTCTCGTGCCTCAGCCTCCCAAGTAGCTGGGACCACAGGTGTGTGCCACCACACCCGGCTAATTTTTTTTTGTAATTTTAGTAGAGAAAGGGTTTTGCCATGTTGGCCAGGCTGGCCTTGGACTCCTGACCTCAAGTGATCAGCAGACCTTGGTGTCCCAAAGTTCTGGGATTATAGGTATTAGCCACCGCGCCCAGCCTTTTCATTTTTTTTTTTTTTTCTGTCTCCGAAGACTGGCCTCTTTCCAGGATGACTTTCAGTGAAATTTCCACTCCTTTCAGGGGAAACACAACTCCCACCCACACTGATAACAGACATTTCCTTCTTGCTGCATCAGGATGATGAGA
The DNA here is from genome assembly GCF_000001405.40 of Homo sapiens. NCBI lineage: Eukaryota > Metazoa > Chordata > Mammalia > Primates > Hominidae > Homo > Homo sapiens. Next base: position 75,842,632 of record NC_000007.14, read on the forward strand.
ATTGAAGTCTGGTTTAACCCTGTCCTTAACCTTCCCTGGGGCCCTGGATGGGTAGTTCTGTAGCTCCCGGCCTCTTGCTGACCACTGGACCAAAATACACAGAAGAATCCTATACAAGGTAAGCATTTGACGGATACCTCTTAGGTGGCCTCAGCTTTAGGAAGCTTTATTGGATCCAAAAATAGCTTTATTTCCCCAGGCCAGCCTCCCCACATACCTTGCCTCCAGCTTAGTGTCACAGTGCCTGTATCTCTGTGCGAAGAGTGATATTGGGGTGTTTGCAGGCTGGACTCAGAGCTGAAAGTCTCCCTGCCAAGTAGTGAGCATTTCACTATTCACGGAGGTGCCCCAGGGGCCAGCAGAGAGATTTCCAGAACAGGAAACACCCCCGCAGAAGTGGAGATCAACAGTAACAACAATGTATATTTCTAAACAGAACAGTGACTCATATTAAACATCTGTTTCACAATAGGGCCTTATATGCAAAACAACCCTAAGTATAGAAGGAGCCAAGAAACCAAAGAATGAGGCAGACAAATCCAGTTTGTCATCACGGGGTGTTTCACTGGGGGAACTATGGACAGAAGCATCGTCTTGGATGGCCACAAGGCAGGTAGATCTCCATGCTGTTACATCCCAGACTCAGGAACTATATACCATAAGGAAAGAATGCACATGCTCCAGAAGGAATGTGTAGGAATTTGCTTAAGGGCAGGATTTACAGTAAGTAGGAGTTCATCAAGGTTGATTTGATCCAAGTGTTACCAGAAAGGGGTCCCGATCCAGACCCCAACAGAGGGTTCTTGGATCTCGCGCCAGAAAGAATTCAGGGCAAGTTCATAAAGTAAAAGCAAGTTTATTAGGAAAGTAACGTGGTGAAGGACACAGCTACTCCACAGACAGGTTAGGAAGAGGAGGAATGTGTCCACCCTGGAGACAATACTTGTTTATATATAGCATAAGAAAAGATTATGGGGAGATGTGTTCTGCTACAAGGGTTTGTGATAAAGGATTAATTTTCTTACTGTATTTCGCAAGAATCGAAATTATCGTAGGAACGCTTCTGTTGTCAAGATATCGGGATATCAGGACACTCCTAAGTCTGGGTCTGTTTAGTAAACATTGTCAATCTGTTCCCTTAACTGTAAACATCTGGAGGCTAGGAATACCTCACTTTCTGGGAGTGCGGCCCAGCAAGCCCCAGCCTCATTTTTCTTAGCCCTCACTCAAGATGGAGTCACTCTGGTTCTAACGCCTCTGGCATAAGGGCAGGATTAATGGTAAGTATGCGCTTTTATATAAGGAATGATAGATAAACTGGAAATCTTAGAGGCATTCTTGGAACCAGGGTTAATCAGAAGCCTAGCTTCCAAGATGGAGTTATTTCAGCCTCCACAACATCTCTTCAGATAGATGGGACTTCACAGATTTCCCCAAGAATCACGGATAGAATTGGTTTGACAAGTGTGTGATTACATAGACCACTTTATGGCTCCCATAGAGGCTGGCATGATGGTTTACGCCTACAACCCCAGCACTTTGGGAGGCTGAGGCAGGAGGATTGATTGAACCCAGGAGTTCGAGACCAGCCTGGGCAACATAGGAGACCCTGTCTTTATTTTGTTTGTTTGTTTGTTTTGTGTTTTTTGAGACAATCTCACTCTCACTGCCAGACTGGAGTGCAGTGGCACAATCAGCTCATTGCAGCCTCGACCTCCTGGTCTCAAGCAATCGTCCTACCTCAGCCTCCTGAGTGGTGGGGACTACAGGTGCTTATCACCACACATGGCTAATTTAAAAAAAGAAAATTTGGAGCTGGGTTTGGTGGCTCACTCCCGTAATCCCAATACTTTGGGAGGCAGGCTAAGGCAGGTGGATCACCTGAGGTCGGAAGTTCAAGACCAGCCTGGCCAACATGGTGAAACCCCATCTCTACTGAAAATACAAAAATTAGCTGGGCATGGTGCTGTGCACCTGTAATCCCAGCTTCTCAGAAAGCTGAGGCAGGAGAATCACTTGAACCCGGAAGGTGGAGGTCGCAGTGAGCCGAGATCATGCCATTGCACTCCAGCCTCAGTGACAGAGTGAGACTCTGTATCAAAAAAAAAAAACAGAAAAAAAAAACTGTAGACAGGGTTTTACCATGTTGCCCAAGCTGCTCTCAAAGTCTTGAGCTCAAGCAATTCACCCGTCTCAGCTTCCCAAAGTGCTGGGATTACAAGTATGTGCCACTGTGCCTGACCTAAACAAAAGTTTATATATATGTATATATACACACACACATATATATGTGTGTGTATATATATGTATGTGTGTGTCTATATATATATATATATATGTATGTATGTATCTCAAAGAAATATATTTGTGGGTAAAATACTTTGATTTCTTTCAGGGCCTGCTATCTGTCATGCTGGTATCTCATTGCTAAAGAGTGTGTTTTGTCCATCTTAAGGTTTCTCTTTTCATGTTCATGCTTGTTGGCTATACCTGAATTTCAAAGGGAGGTGGGTATAATGAGGCATGTCCAAACACCCCTTCCCATGATGGCCTGTACTAGTGTTTCAGGTTAACTTTGGAATGCCCTTGGCTGAAAGAGGAGTCCATTCTGTTGATGGGGGTGCTTAGAATTTTATTTTTGGTTTGCACAGGAACTATTCACACTTGACAGCTCTTCAGATATTTTCAAACATGTTAGTCCCTGACTTTGGTTTTTTTTGTTCGTTTGGTTTGTTTGTTTTTTTGAGACAGAGTTTTGCTCTTGTTGCCCAGGCTAGAGTGTAGTGGCGTGATCTTGGCTCACTACAACCTCCGCCTCCCAGGCTCAAGCGATTCTCCTGCCTCAGCCTCCTGAGTAGCTGGAACTACAGGCACCCACCACCACGCCGGGCTAATTTTGTTTGTATTTTTAGTAGAGATGGGGTTGGCCAGGCTGGTCTTGAACTCCTGATCTCAGGTGATCCACCCACCTCGGCCTCCCAAAGTGCTGGGATTAGAGGCATGAGCCACCATGCCCAGCCAGTCCCTGACTCTTATATTCTGCAGGCGTTCAGCCATTCCTCATGTCACCTCTTTTCAAGTCCCCATCTCACCCATCTTAGCTCCTCCATGAACTTGATCTACCTATTTGGTGGTTTTCAACCCCGGTAGCACAATGGAATCACTCAGGGAGCTTTGACAAATGTAGATGCCTGAGAAAGCTTTAGGAGACTTCATGATTTTATTAAATACAAAGTGAAAAATGGTAATATAACAGTGGAAAATCTCAGAAGACACCACTTGAACCAAATGGTCAAGGTGAACATCTCCAGCAATGAGATATAATGCCATCATGAACCCTCTAATGTGATACACTAAAAAGGACACAGCTTGGAGGCTGAATACAGTAGCTCACACCTGTAATCCCAGCACTTTAGGAGGCTGAGGCAGGAGGATCACTTGAGCTCAGGAGTTTGAGATCAGCCTGGGCAACGTAATGAGACCCTGTGTTTACAAAAATATAAAAATTAGCTGGGCACGATGATGCATGCCTGTAATTCCAGCTACTCGGGAGGCTGAGGTGGGAAGATCACTTAAGCCCAGGAGGTCGAGGCTGCAGTGAGCTATGATTGCACCACTGTACTCCAGGCTGGGTGACAGAGTGAGACCCTGTCTCAAAAAATAAATAAAAAGGACACAACTGTACTATTACAGTCTCGTTGAGAAAAATGCATAGCCTCAATCTAACCACAAGAGAATATCAGACAAACCCAAATTGATGGGCATTCTACAAACTAACTGTCCAGTAGTCTTCAAAAGTGTCAAGACTGTGAAAGGGCAGGAATGTCTCAGTGCAGGCAGGAATGCCTCCGTGCCTCCAGCTGAGTAACGCTGACAGATGGCTGTAGACCTGGACAACATCTTGGCTACAACCTTAAGAGAAACCTTAAATCCAAACCATGTACCTAAGTCATTTCTGAATCCCTGACCAAAAAAAGTATGTAAAATAATCAATGTTTATTATTGGTGTTTTTTTTTCTTTGGAAACAGGGTCTCACTCTGTCACCCAGACTGGAGTGCAGTGGTGCAATCTTGGCTCACAGCAGCCTCAACATCCCAGGCTCAAGTGATCCTCCTACCTCAGCCTCCCTAGTAGCTGGGACTACAGGTATGCACCACCACACTTGGCTAATTTTAAAAAATTTTTTGTAGAAATGGATCTCACTATGTTGCTGAGGCTGGTTTTGTTTTTTTTTTTCCACTCTGTCATCCAGGCTGGAGTGCAGTGGGCCAATCTCAGCTCATTGCAACCTCCAGCCTCCCAGGCTCAAGCGATTCTCCTGCCTCAGCCTCCTGAGTAGCTGGGATTACAGGCACATGCCACCACCGCACCCGGCTAATTTTTGTATTTTTAGTAGAGAGGGGGTTTCACCATGTTGGCCAGGCTGGTCTTGGATTCCTGACCTCAGTTGATCCGCCCACTTCTGCCTCCCAAAGTGCTGGGATTACAGGCGTGAGCCACCGCACCCAGTTCACAGCTTCTTTTCTAAACCCCCGAGTCTTTTCCTGCAGTGCCTTGCCTCTCCTTTCTGGGATTTGGTCATGGCTTTGTGACCAGAGGCTTAGCTATTTCATCTCCTAAGAGTTGGACCTTTTCTCTAGCCTGTTAGGATCCTGAATGTCTCCTCTCCCACCCCCAGATTTGGGCACACATTCTTGAAAATCAGGCCTTTTTTTTAGAGACAGGGTCTTGCTCCATCACCCAGGCTGGAGTGCAGTGGTGCGATCATGGCTCACTGCAGCCTCAACCTCCTGGGCTCCAGCGATCCTCCTGCCTCAGCCTCCTGAGTAGCTGGGACCACAGGCACACACCACCACCCCCAGCTATTTTTCATGTGTGGTAGAGACAGGGCCTTGCTAAGTTTCCCAGGCTGGTCTCCAATTCCCAGCCTCAAGCAATTCTCCTGCCGCAGTCTCCCAAAGCGCTGGGATGACAGGAGTGAGCCACAGTGTCTGGCGAAAATGAGAGCTTCTCCGTCTTCATTTGAGATCCCAGTGGCAGCATTGAACAGGAGGATGGAGCCCTGCTGTCCATCCTTAGGTGTCCCGGTTTGCATCTGTCTGGTTGTTTCTGTTAGAGGGCTGGGCTTGTGGTGCCAAGGAGCCACACTGGCGGGCAGGGAGGTTACTCGAATTGTCTCAGACTAGAGAGAGCCAGAGGGGAAGTAGAAGTGACAGCCTTAGAGAGCACCACAGGTCAAACTGGTGAGCTGCATGTTGTCACCAAGAGCTGGCAATGGAAAAAGGACAAGAATCCAGAAGGCAGCAGAGGCTGAAATAAAGAGAAGAGCCTGAGCCATGGTGGGAATGGAGGGAGGGCTAAACTGGCTGCTTTTACTTCCCCAAAGGGGCCGCCTCCAAGCCTGTGTTGTGCCATTCTCTCTGCTTAGATTGTCGTTTCTCCTTAAGATGCAGCTTTGAGGCCGGGTGCGGTGGCTCACACCTGTAATCCCAGCACTTTGGGAGGCTGAGGCAGGAGGATCCCTGGAGCCCACGACTTTGAAACCAGCCTGGGAAACATAGAGAGACCCTATCTCTATTTAAAAAAAAAAAAAAAGAAATCTTTGAGTACTAAGCTTTCTTTTTTTGAGAGAGAGAGAGAGATCTTGCTCTATGATCCAGGCTGAAGAGGGCAGTGGCACATTCTCTTCTTTTCTTTCTTTCTTTCTTTATATTTTTCTGAGACAGAGTCTCGCTCTGTCACCCAGACTGGAGTGCAGTGGCACGATCTTGGCTCATTGCAATCTCTGCCTCCTGGGTTCAAGTGATTCTTGCTCCTCAGCCTCCCAAGTAACTGGGACTACAGGCACGTGCCACCGTGACCGGCTGATTTTTTGTATTTTTAGTAGAGATGGGGTTTCACCACGTTGTCCGGGCTGGTCTCGAACTCCTGACCTCAGGTGATCCACGTGCCTCGGCCTCCCAAAGTACTGGGATTACAGGTGTGAGCCACCACACCCGGCCTTCTTTTATTTTTTATTTATTTTATTTTGAGACAGGTTCTCACTCTGTCACCCAGTCTGGGGTGCAGTGGTGCAATCATATAGCTCACTGCATCCTCCAACTCCCAGCCTCAAGAGATCCTCCCACCTCTGCCTCCTGAGTAGCTAGGACTACAGGTGTGCACCATCATGCCCAGCTAGGTTTTTACAATTTTTTGTAGAGACAGGATATCATGATGTTGCCTAGGCTGGTCACAAACTACTGGGCTCAAGTGATCCTCCCGTCTCAGCCTCCCAAAGTGTCAGGATTACAGGCATGAGCATCTGGCCTGGATGGACTTTTGAATGATCCACTGGCCAGCCTGAAAATAAGCCCACTCTGCCAGGAGAGTAGTTTTGTAGGACAGTGGGATCCAAATGGATCTTGGCAGTGAAAACAGTGGTGTGAAACTGGTAAGATGAATTTTAACAGAGGCCAGGCACAGTGGCTCACGCCTGTAATCCCAGCACTTTGGGAGGCCGAGGCGGGTGAATCACCTGAGGTCAGGAGTTTGAGACCAGCCTGGCCAACATGGCAAAATCCCGTCTCAACCAAAAATACAAAAATTGGCCAGGCGTAGTGGTGCACTCCTATAATCCCAGCCACTCAGGAGGCTGAGGCAGAAGAATCACTTGAACCCAGGAGGGAGAGGTTGCAGTGAGCCGAGATCGCACCACTGCACTCCAGCCTGGTTGACAGAGTGAGACCCTGTCTCAAAAAAGAGAAAAAAAAAGAATTTTAACAGGGAGGTTTGTACACACCTAAACCTAAGCCCATAAGCCCAGTAGACTACTTGGTAATTATAGCTTAACTGTAACCCACATAAGACAATTCAGGACTTTGGTTGATTATAAAAGGGACTTCTATAATCTCGGTGCTTTAGGAGGCTGAGGCAGGAAGATTATTTGAGCCCAGGAGTTTGAGACGAGACCGGGCAACATAGCAAGACCCCATCTCTAAAAGAAAAACACTGTGTATAACTGGCCCATATAGTTCAAACTTGTGTTGTTTAAAGACCAATTGTAATTTCATACAGTTTCAAAGAAAAGACTCCACCCACTGTTGGCTAAGTGTGTCGGGTTGGGATATTTTCTTCCAGCAACTCCTTGTAGTAGGCAAACTTTGCACACCTTGTATTTCCACTTGTGACTCAGACTCTGAGTCCCAGACTCTGGGACTCTCTGTGAAAAGGTATTTGCCAGTATTTAATAAGGAAGAGATAAATTGAGGCCAGGTGAAATGGCTTACACCTGTAATCCCAGCACTTTGGGAGGCTGAGGCAGGAGGATCACTTAAAGCCAGGAGTTGGAGACCAGCCTGGGCAACGTAGCAAGACCCCATCTCTAAAAAAAAAAAAAAATTTTTTTTTTTAAGACAGAGATAAATCAAAAGTTGGGTTGTCAGTAGACTTGTGATTTACCAGAGAGCTGATCTTGGGACTATCTAGCAAGAAAGGAACATTTTGTGCAAAAATTAGCCAGGCTTGGAGGCATGTGCCTGTAATCCCAGCCACTTAGGAGGCTGAGACAGGAGAGTCGTTTGAACCTGGGAGGTTGCAGTGAGCCGAGATCGCGCCACTGCACTCTAGCCTGGGTGACAGAGTAAGACTCCATCTCGAAAAGAAAAGAAAAGAAAACATTTTGGTCTGGGGAGTTTTCAAGGGATTGAGGTAGGAGTGTGTGTGCATGTATATGTGTGTGTGTTTAGCAATTCAGCTGCAGCTGGAAAGAGGCAGAGGAAGTTATGTCAAAATGTATAGAAGAAGTTGTGGTTGCAGGACTATGGCTGAGGGTCTGTTTCTCTGGAAGGCATGGCGTACATTGACCTTGGTTGGCAGCAATATCTCAGAGTGGAACTCTCCTAAGTCAGCGTGTGCTCACTGTGATTGAAGGCTTGCAATCGCTGAGAAATAGCCATGTCTTGTCAGCACCAGGCCATGGGAATGGAAGAATATTTGCCCTAAAGTTGCTAATGTTCACCCAATGAAGATGATTTTTAATTTAGTTATCATTTATTGTATTTATTTTGAAATTTTAAAAAATAAGTTAAATGACTTTTTTTTTCTTTTTTTTGTCTGAGACAGAGTCTCATTCTGTCGCCCAGGCTTTAGCATAGTGGCGCGATCTCAGCTCACTGCAACCTCCGCCTCCCGGGTTCAAACGATTCTCCTGCCTCAGCCCCCCAAGTAGCTGGGATTACAGGTGCATACCACCACACCCAGCTAGTTTTTGTATTTTTAGTAGAGACAGTGTTTCTCCATGTTGGCCAGGCTGGTCTCAAACTCCTGACCTCAGGCGATCCACCTGCCTCAGCGTCCTAAAGTGCTGGGATTACAGGTTCATACCACCACACCCAGCTAGTTTTTGTATTTTTAGTAGAGACAGTGTTTCTCCATGTTGGCCAGGCTGGTCTCAAACTCCTGACCTCAGGCGATCCACCTGCCTCAGCGTCCTAAAGTGCTGGGATGACAGGCGTGAGCCACCATACCTGGCCTTAAGTTACTTTTTTTTGGTTAATTTAACTTAAATTTTTTTTATTATTTTACTTTAAGTTCTAGGGTACATGTGCACAATGTGCAGGTTTGTTACATATGTATACATGTGCCATGTTGGTGTGCTGCACCCGTTAACTCGTCAGTTACATTAGGTATATCTCCTAATGCTGTCCCTACCCCCTCCCCCCCCCCCTTAAATTACTTTTTATTTCAACTTTCATTTTAGATTCAGAGGTGCATGGGCAGGTTTGTTACATGGGTATACTTCCGGATGCTAAGGTTTGGGTTATGAATGATCCCATCACCCAGGTAGTGAACGACCAATAGGTCGTTCTTCAGTCCTTGCCTCCCTCCCTCCCCACTCCAGTAGTCCCCAATGTCTATTGCTCCCATCTTTTTTTTTTTTTTTGAGACAGAGTCTTGCTTTGTTGCTCAGGCTGGAGTGCAGCATCGTGATCTCGGTTCACTGACGGCTCTGCCTTCTGAGCTCAAGCAATTTATCCTACCTCAGCCTCTGGAGTAGCTGGGATTACAGGTGCCCACCACTACATCTGGCTAATTATTGTATTTTTAGTAGATATGGGGTTTCACCATGTTGGCCAGGCTGGTTTTGAACTCCTGACCTCAAGTGATCCACTCACTTCGACCTCCCAAAGTGCTGGGATTACAGGCGTGAGCCACTGTGCCCGGCCTATCGTTCCCATCTTTGTGTCCATGTATACCCAGTGCTTAGCTCCCTTTTCTAAGAAAGAACATGCGGTATTTAATTTTTTGTTTCTGCATTAGTTTGCTTAGGCTAATGGCCTCCAGATGCATCCTTGTGACTGCAAATGACATTGTTTCATTCTTTTTTATGGCTGCATAGTATTCCATGGTATATATGGACCACATTTTCTTTTTTTTGTTTTATTTATTTATTTGTTGAGACGGAGTTTTACTCTTGTTGCCCAGGCTGGAGTGCAATGCCACGATCTGGCTCACCGCCACCTCCGCCTCCTGGATTGAAGCAATTCTCCTGCCTCAGCCTCCCGAGTAGCTGGGATTACAGGCACACACCACCATGCCCAGCTAATTTTGTATTTTTAGTAGACACAGGGTTTCTCCATGTTGGTCAGGCTGGTCTCGAACTCCCAACCCCAGGTGATCCTCCCGCCTCGGCCTCCCAAAGTGCTGGGATTACAGGCGTGAGCCACCATGCCTGGCTGGACCACATTTTCTTTGTCCAGTCCACTGTTGATGGGCACCTAGGTTGATTCTGATTATCATTTATTTTAATAACTACTGTGCATAGATAATGTCCCAGGCTCTCTGGGAAGTACAAAGATGATTCAGATTTAGGATCTACCCCAATAACCTTGGCATCTGTTCATATTTTTGGGGGTGATAGGGGAGGTTTGAGATAGGATCTCCCTCGGTCACCAAGGCTGGAATGCAGTGGTGCAATCACAGCTCAGTGAAGCCTTGAGCTTCTGGGCTCAAGCAGTCCTCCCGCCTCAGCCTCCTGAGTAGCTGGGACTACAGGCGTGCGACCACCATACCGGGCTAATTTTTTTTTTTTTTTTTTTTTTTTTTTTTTGTAGGGACAGGGTTTCAGCATGTTGCCCAGGCTGGTCTTGAACTCCTAGGCTCAAGCAATTCTCCCGTCTCGGCCTCTCAAAGTGCTGGGATTACAGGCGTGAGCCACCATGCCAGGCAGATAATTCTTCATGTGATTCTCCCACATAAAGGGTTACCATAGTAGTATACCAAGGGGCAGGGCTGATGCTCCTTTTATAGGGAAGAGCAGCAAATATTTGGAATGATGAGGCAACAGACCACAGTCCACCCTCTTGGTGAGTGCTTTGCTTCCCGCCCTACACGTGAAAATACAGTCATTCCCCTCTTCAGGGAAAATACCCCAAATCCCACCCAGTCATAGCATGAGGCTCAAAGTCTAGGATCTCATGATAGTCTCCATTTCAGATCAGTTTTGGCTATCCTTGATCCATGGAGTAGTGAACTAAACAGGCAAGTTATCTGATCTCCTCTCCAGTATTTACCAACATACAATAGTGAAGCAGAAAGGGTTAGCCCTGCTGGTCACTCCCACTTGTATACGGGAAGGGTGGAATGCAGGAGCCAACTGGCCCATAGCAGTTCTAAAAGGCATATGCTGGCCCGGCACAGTGGCTCATGCCTGCAATCCCAGCACTTTGGGAAGCCAAGGTAGGAGGATCACTTGAGCCCAGGAGTTTGAGACCAGCCTGGGCAACATAGCAAGATCCCATCTCTTAAAAAAAAAAAAAAAAAGGGCATATGCCCTGGGCATCCCTTGCCAAAGCTCCTTACCTGGGAATGGGGAAAATTTATTGACTAGGTCTTGATCTGTCCCTGGAAGTGGCTCCCTGATCCCTTGTTCTTTCTTTTTTTCTTTTTTTTTCTGAGATGGAGTCTCGCTCTGTTACCCAGGCTGGAGTGCAGTAGGACGATCTCGGCTCACTGAAACTTCCGCCTCCCGGGTTCAAGCGATTCTCCTGCCTCAGCCTCCCGAGTAGCTGGGACTACAGGTGCCTGCCACCACGCCCAGCTAGTTTTTGTATTTTTAGTAGAGATGGGGTTTCGCCATGTTGGTCAGGCTGGTCTCGAACTCCTAGGCTCAAGTGATCCTCCTACCTTGGCTTGACCTGAAGCGATCTGCCCACCCTCAGCCTCCCAAAGTGCTGGGATTACAGGCGTGAGCCACCGTGCCCGGCCAGGTCCCTTGTTCTTGATGGCTCTCTCCGGTCCACCCACTGGGAGGCTCATTAAACTCAATGGCCGTATCTGAGGTCACCATTGCCTGTATGTTCTCCAGGGAGCTGAGTGGCTTTCTCATCTTGTTTCCTGCTGCGGAATGTTGGCAAGTCAAAGAGTCATTTTAAGTATTGAAATGGTCACTGTTTCTTGGAGTTCAGATGAATGTTTCTTTGGGTGATACACATTTCCCAAAAATTTAGATGGCTTTGGGATAGGTATGGTGGTTCACATCTGTAATTCCAACACGTTGGGAGGCCAAGGAGGGAGGATGACTTGAGCCCAGGAGGGCAAGACCAGCTTGGGCAAGATAGCAAGACCCCATATCTCTAAAAAAAAAAAGAAAGTTTTTTTAAATTAGCTGGGCGTGGTGATGCATACCTATAGTCCCAGCTACTTGGGAGGCTGAGGTGGGAGTATCACTTGAGCCTGGGAGGCTCATGCTGCAGTGAGCCATGATTGCGCCACTGTACTCTAGCCTGGGCAACAGAACAAGAAGACCGTGTCTCAAAAAAAATTTTTGTTGGTTTCACAAATATGTGGTTCTGGCCAGCTCTAAGTTGTAGTAACGCTTTCTGAGACATGCCTCTCTAGACTACATTGCAGATCCTTGAACTTCCAGTCTTCCTGGGAGGGCCATTCTCTGTCTCTCTCTGTTTTGTTTTGTTTTGTTTTGTTTTGAGATGGAGTCTCACTCTGTCGCCCAGGCTGGAGTGCAGTGGCACCATCTGGGCTCACTGCAAACTCTACCTCCCGGGTTCAAGCGATTCTCCCGCCTCAGCCTCCTGAGTAGCTAGGATTACAGGCGTGCGCCACCATGTCCAGCTGATTTTTTGTATTTTTAGTAGAGATGGGGTTTTGCCATGTTGGCCAGCATGGTCTTGATCTCCTGACCTCGTGATCCACCCACCTCAGTCTCCCAAAGTGCTGGGATTACAGGCGTGAGTCACCGCACCCGGCCTCTTTTTTTTTTTTTTTTTTTTTTTTTTGAGACAGGGTCTCACACTGCCACCCAGGCTACAGGGCAGTGGTGCAATCGCGGCTCACTACGGCCTCGACCTCCTGAGCTCAAGTGATCCTCCCACCTCAGCCTCCTGGGTGGCTGGGACTACAAGCATGGGCCACCATGCTCAGCTAATTTTTTGTACTTTGTAGAAAGACAGTTTTGCCATGTTGTCCAGGCTGTTCTCAAACTCCTGGGCTCAAGTGACTCACCCAGGCCTTCCAAAGTGCTGAGATTGCAGATGTGAGCCACAGTGTCTGGGTGTGCTCTTGGCCTCATAATCCTTGGCCATGTTGTCCAGTTGAAAGTATTTATGGCTGGGCGCTGTGGCTCACACCTGTAATCCTGGCACTTTGGGAGACTGAGGCGGGTGGATCATGAGGTCAGGAGTTCAAGACCAGCCTGGCCAAGATGGTGAAACCCTGTCTATACTAAAAATAAAAAATTAGCCGGGTGCGGTGGCAGGCACCTGTAATCCCAGCTACTCGGGAGGCTGAGGCAGGAGAATCACTTGAACCCGGGAGGCAGAGGTTGCAGTGAACCGAGATCATGCCACTGCACTCCAGCCTAGGCGATAGAGTGAGACTCTGTCACACACACACAAAAAAAGTATTTACTTGGTACCCTATTAATGGATTCAGAAGTTTTAACAGAGTTCAACCTGTTTATCCTTGATTTGGTCATAACCACAAGGCCGAGTATTATAAATAAGGCTTTTTCTCACAAAGACTTCTCAGTTTTATCATTCACCTTTTGGGAATTAGAATCATCTTTCAACTTTATAAGCCCTGGAATTTCTGGACTTTCTATATTGCCTTTAAATTCCGCTTACAGCCAGGTGCGGTGGCTCACCCCTGTAATCCCAGCACTTTGGGAGGCCAAGGTGGGCAGATCATTTAAGGTCAGGAGTTCAAGACCAGCCTGGCCAACATGGTGAAACCCCGTCTCTACTAAAAATACAAAAATTAGCTGGGTGTGGTAGCGGGCACCTGTAATCCCAGCTACGTGGGAGGCTGAGACATGAGAATCGCTTGAACCCAGGAGGCGGAGGTTGCAGTGAGCTGAGATCGCACCATTGCACGCCAGCCTGGGCAACAAGAGAAAACTCCATCTCAAAAAAAAAAAAAAAAAAAAAACCTGCTTGCAAACTGGCCCATTCTTTCTTATTGCAGTTTGTCAAATGTAACCAGTAGAAACCAACTCATGTTGCCAAAATTCCTTTTCCCATTTCTTTACCCAAAGCCAAAACATTCATTTGCTAAGTTATCTTCTTTCCGTATTATTTCAAGTGAGGATTTTGACAAAGGTTGTACCACCGCATGACGTGGGCTGCCATTTTTCCAACCTCCAATGACAGTCACCACCTGGCCCCAAAGCTAATGCTGCCTCTAGATTTTTGTACTCAGGTATCAATTTTTGTATAGATCAGTGTTCACTATTATGCTACAATAACAACTTCAAACCTCAGCAAGCTTATAAAAGCAAAGGTTTGCCAGGCGTGGTGGCTTACGCCTGTAATCCTAGCACTTTGGGAGGCTGAGGAGAGAGGATCACTTGAGTCCAGGAGTTCATTCAAGACTAGCCTGGGCAACATGGCGAAACCTCATCTCTATAAAAAATTAGCTGGGCATAGTGGTGTGAGCCTGTAGTCCCAGCTACTCAGGAGACTGAGGTGGGAGGATCGCTTGAGCCCAGGAGGCAGAGGTTGAAGTGAGCCAAAATTGCACCACTACACTTCAGCCTGGGCAACAGAGCAAGACTCCACCTCAAAAAAAAGAAGAAGAAGAAAGAAGAAGAAGAAGTTGTGGGTAGAGGAAAGACTGTCTAGTCCGATTGAGGTTTCTCTCAAAAGCGTAGGATACACTGACCTACGTCAGCCACTGGCAACATTTCAGAAAATGATTCGATAAGTCATTATGTTCTATTGTCATTAAACGGTTGTCAAAATTGCTAAGAAATAGGAACCTCTTCCTAGCCCCATGGGCTCTGGGAATGAAAAAAGTAATTGCCCTAAAGCTGCTAATGCTTACCCATAGAAAATAATGTCCATTTAATTATCATTTACTTTAATAAGAAACTACTAAACATCAGGCAGTGTACTAGGTTCCCTGAGAGGAATGAAATTGATCCAGGTTTAGGGTCTACTCTCAAGAAACTGGAAATATCTTCATATTTAAATTTTACTTGAATATCCACATACAGGGAAATTTATTCCTTTTGGTGTACAATTCTATCTGAGTTTTCGTTTTCTTCTTCTTTTTTTTTTTTAATGAGATAGGATCTGGCTGTGTTGTCCAGGCTGATCTTGAACTCCTGGGGTCAAGCGATCCTTTTACCTCAGCCTCCCAAAATGCTGGGATTATAACAGATGTAAGACAGACTGCCCAGCACTTTGACCAATTTTTAATTGAGTTGTCTTGTTATTGTTGAGTTGTAGGCATCATTCTTTATATTGTGGATACTAAGCCTTTATCAGATAGGTGATTTACACACACTTCTCCCATTTGGTGGGTTGTCTTTTAATTTTCTTGATAGGGTTCTTTTTTTTTTTTGAAACAGAGTCTTGCTCTGTTGTCTAGGCTAGAGTGCGGTGGTATAATCTCGGCTCGCTGCAACCTCCGCCTCCCAAGTTCAAGCGATTCTCGTGCCTCAGCCTCCTGAGTACCTGGGATTACAGGTGCACGCCAACACTTCTGGGTAATTTTTGTACTTTTAGTAGAGATGGGTTTTTGCCGTGTTGGCCAGTCTGGTCTTGAACTCCTGAACTCAAGTGATCCACCCGCCTCGGCCTCCCCAAGTGCTGGGATTACAGGCATGAGCCACTGCGCCCAGCCTCGATAGTGTCCTTTGACACACACAAATTCTTAATTTTCATGAAGTCCAACTTATCAATATTTTCTTTAGTTGCTTGTGCTTTGGGGGTCAAAAGAAAGAAACCACTGCCTGATCAAAGGGCACAGAGAATTTTCTTCTAAGAGTTTATAGTTTTAGGCCAGGCGTGGTGGCTTACGCCTGTTATCCCAGCACTTTGGGAGGCCAAAGTGGGAAGATCACTTGAGGTCAGGAGTTCAAGACCAGCCTGGCCAACATGGTGAAACTAAAAATACAAAAATTAGCTGGGCGTGGTGGTGCATGCCCTGTAATCCCAGCTACTCAGGAGACTGAGGCAGGAGAATTGCTTGAACCTGGGAGGCGGAGATTGCAGTGAGCCAAGATCGTGCCACTGCACTCCAGCCTGGGCAACAGAGCAAGACTCCATCTCAAAAAAAAAAAAAGAGTTTATAGTTTTAGCACTTATATCTAGCTCTTCCTTCTATTTTGAATGGATTTTGCACATGAGATGAGTTCAACTTTATTATTTTGCATGTAGATATCCAGTTGTCCCAACACCGTCTGTTGAAAAGACTCTTTCCCCTAGAATGGTCTTAGCACTGTTGTCAAAATCAGTTCACCAATAAAACCATCTGGTCCTGGACCTTTATTTGTTGGAGGTTTTTTGATAACTCTGCTGGTTATGTGTCTGTTCTATTTCTTCTTGAGTTAGTTTTGGTAGTTCCTTTCTTTCTTTCATTTTTCTTTCTTTTTTCTTTCTTTCTCTTTCTTTCATTTTTCTTTCTCTTTCTTTTTCTCTTTCTTTTTTCTCTTTCCTTTTCTCTTTCTTTTTCTTTCATTTTCTTTCTCTTTCTTTTTCTTTCTTTCTCTTTTTCTTTCTTTTTCTCTTTCTTTTTTTTTCTCTTTCTTTTTCTCTTTCTTTCTCTCTTTCTCTTTCTTTCTTTTCTTTTCCAGGATCTTACTCTGTTGCCCAGGCTGGGGTGCAGTGGCATGATCATAGCTCACTGCAGGCTCAACCTCCCAGGCCCAAGCAATCCTTCCATCTCAGCCTCCCAAGCAGCTGGGACCACAGGTGTGCACCACCATGCCTGGCTAATTTTTTTATTTTTGTAGAGGCAGGGCCTCCCTATGTTGCCCAGGCTGGTCTTGAACTTCTGGCCTGAAGTGATCCTCCCACCTCAGCCTCCCAAAGTGCTGGGATTACAGGCATGAGCTACTGTGCCTGACCCCCTTCCAATACTTTTTATTTCTGTAAGGTACGTAGTAATATCTCCTCTTTCATTCCTGATTTTCTTATTTGAATCCTCTCTCTCTCTCTCTCTTCGGTCTGGCTAAAGGTTTGTCAATTATGTTTATCTTTTCAGAGAATCAATGTTATGGGTTAAATTGTGTCCTCCAAAAATATGTGTTTGAATTCTAGCCCCCAGAATATGCAAATGTGATCTTATTTGGAAGTAGGGTCTTTGTAGATACAACCAAGTGAAGATGAGGTCATAGTGGAGTGGAGTGGGCCTTAATCCAGTTACTGATGTCCTTATAAGAAGAAAGAGGCCGTGCACAGTGGCTCACACCTGTAATCCCAGCACTTTGGGAGGCCAAGGTGGGCGGATCACAACGTTAGGAGATCAAGACCATCCTGGCTAACATGGCGAAACCCCATCTCTACTAAAAATACAAAAAATTAGCTGGGCACGGTGGCGGGCGCCTGTAGTCCCAGCTACTCGGGAGTCTTAGGCAGGAGAATGGCGTGAACCTGGGAGGTAGAGCTTGCAGTGAGCCGAGATCCCGCCACTGTACTCCAGCCTGGGTGACAGAGCAAGACTCCGTCTCAACAACAACAAAAAAAGAAATGTGGACACAGACACACAGTGGAGAATGCTGTGTGAAGATGGAAACAGAGAACGGAGTGATGCGTCTACAAGCCGTGGAATGCCAAGAATTGTTAGCAAACGCCAAATCTAGGAGAGGGGCATGGAACAATTTCTCCCTCTGAACCTCTCCAAGGAACCAACCTAGCTGACACCTAGATTACAGATATCTATATAACTGTGAGAAACCTAAATTTCTGTTGTTTTAAGCCGCCTGGTTGGTAGTAAATTTTTTTTTTACAGCAGCGCCCTAGAAAACTAATATGCCAATATTGGTTTCATTCATCTTGTGTCTTGATTTCCTATTCTCTACTTCATTTATTTCCACTCTAATATTTTTTTTTTTTTTTTTCAGATGGAGTCTCACTCTGTGGCCCAGGCTGGAGTGCAGCGGCGTGAACTCAGCTCACTGCAACCTCTACCTCCCAGGTTCAAGCGATTCTCGTGCCTCAGCCTCCTGAGTAGCTGGGATTATAGGGGCATGCCAGAACCCCCAGCTAATTTTTGTATTTTTAGTAGAGATGGAGTTTCACCATGTTGTCCAGTCTGGTCTTGAACTCCTGACCTCGAGTGATCCACCCACCTCAGCCTCCCAAAGTGCTGGGATTACAGGCATGAGCCACTGCACCCAGCCTCTGAGCACTGTTTTTAATACATTTTACAAATTTTAGTATATTTTTAAGCATCTGGAAGTATTTTATAATTGCTTTTTTTATGTGTGTGTGGAGACAGTGTCTCACTATGTTGCCCAGGCTGGTCTCAAACTCCTGGGCTCAAACAATCCTCCCACCTTGGCCTCCGAAAGTGCTGGTAAAAGGTGTGAGCCACCGCGCCCAGCTCTATTTTCTAATTCCCTTGGTGATTTCTCCTTGGATCCATTGGATATTGAGAAGTGTGTTGTTTAATTTCCACATTTTTTTTCTGTTATTGAATTCTAATTTCATTTCACTGTAATAGGGAGAACATACTTGGCATGATTTTCTTTTTCTCTTTTTTTTTTTGAGACGGAGTCTCGCTCTGTCACCCAGGCTGGAGTGCAGTGGCGCCATCTCGGCTCACTGCAACCTCTGCCTCCCGGGTTCATGCCATTCTCCTGCCCCAGCCTCCCAAGTAGCTGGGACTACAGGTGCCCGCCACCAAGCCCGGCTAATTTTTTGTATTTTTAGTAGAGACAGGGTTTCACCATGTTAGCCAGGATGGTCTTGATCTCCTGATCTTGTGATCCACCCGCCTCAGCCTCCCAAAGTGCTGGGATTACAGGGATGAACCTCCGCGCCCGGCCAATTTTCTTTTTCTTTTTGAGGCAAGGTCTCACTTTGTCGTCCAGGCTGGAGTGCAGTGGTGGGGATCTCGGCTCACTGCAACCTCTGCCTCCCAGGCTCAAGAGATTCTCCCACCTCAGCCTCCCTAGTAGCTGGGACTACAGCCATGTGCCACCACAGCTGGCTAACTGTTTGCTTTTTTTTTTCTTTTTTTTTTGAGACGCAGTCTCGCTCTGTTGCCCAGGCTGGAGTGCAGTGGCGTGATCTTGGCTCACTGCAACCTCCGCCTCCCTGGTTCAAGCAATTCTTCTGCCTCAGCCTGCCGAGTAGCTGGGACTACAGGCACGTACCACCACACCCGGCTAATTTTTGTGTTTTTAGTAGAGACGGGGTTTCACTATGTTGGCCAGGCTGGTCTCCAACTCCTGACCTCATGATCCGCCTGCCTCGGCCTTCCAAAGTGCTGGGATTACAGGAATGAGCCACCGCGTCCGGCCAACTGTTTGTATTTTTAGCAGAGACAGGGTTTTGCCATGTTGCCCAGGCTGCTGTCAAACTCCTGGGCCCAAGCAATCTTCCCATCTTGGCCTCCCAAAGTGCTGGGATTATAGGCACGAGCCACATCATTTCAATCCTCTTACATTTATTGAGATTCACTTTATGGCCTAATGTGTGTTCTGTTTATCCTGGAGAATGTTCCACGTATACTGGAGAAGACTATATAGTCTGCTGTTGTTGAATGTTCTATCTGTGCCTGTCAGGTTTAGTTGGTTGATAGCGTTGTTCCAGTCTTCCATAACCATGCTGATTTTCTGTCTAGCTGTCCTATCCATTATTGCAAGTGGAAGTACACACACTAGTGGAATTACCCACAGTAGTGGAATTACTAGGTCATATGGTAATTCTATGTCTTAGCTTTTTGAGGAACTGCCAAACTGTCTTCTGTAGCAGCTGCATCATTTTACGTTTCCATCAGCAGTGCAAAAGGATTCCAGTCTTGCCACATCCTTGCCGGCGCTTGTTATTTTCTGTTTTTTTAAAAATATGTCATAGCTATCCTAATAAGGTGTGAAGTGGTATCTCATTGTCTTTTCAGTTTGAATCTCCTTAATGATTAGTGATGTTGAGCATCTTTTTATGTGCTTATTGGCACTTGTCTATTTTCTTTGGAGAAATATCTATTCAAGTTCTTTGCCCAATTTTCTTTCTTTATTTCTTTCTTTCTTTTTTTTGAGACGGAGTTTCGCTCCTGTTGCCCAGGCTGGAGTGCAGTGGCATGATCTCAGCTTACTGCAACCTCCACCTCTAGGGTTCAAGCGATTCTCCTATCTTAGCTTCCCAAGTAGCTGGGATTACAGGCTTGGGCCACCACGCCCGGCTATTTTTGTATTTTTAGTAGAGACGGGGTCGGCTATTTTTGTATTTTAGTAGAGACAGGGTTTCACCGCGTTGGCCAGGCTGGTCTCAAACTCGTGACCTCAAGCGATCCATCCGCCTTGGCCTCCCTAAGTGCTGGGATTACAGGCGTGAGCCACCGTACCCAGCACCAGTTTTCAGTTGGTTTGTTTGTTGTTGAGTTGTAGGAATTCTTTATATATTTTGGATTTGATTTGTAAATATTCCCTCCCTTTCTGTGGGTTGTCTTTTTACTCTCTTGATAGTTTCTTTTGATGCACAAAGGTTGAAAATTTGGTGGTCGGGCACAGTGTCTTACACCTGTAATCCCAGCACTTTGGGAGGCCAAGGCAGGAGGACTGCTTGAGCCCAGGAGTTTGAGACCAGCCTGGGCAAAATAGTGAGACCTTGTCTCTATTTAAAAAAAAAAAATTTTTTTTAAGTTTTAAATTTTGATGAAGTTCAACTTCTCTATTTTTTCTTTTATTGCCTTTTTATGGCTTTTGGTGACACATCCAAGAAATCATTGCCAAAGCCAATGTGTTTTCTTCTAAGAGTCTTATAAGTTTTACCTCTTATATTTAGGTCTTTGACTCATTTGGAGTTAATTTCTGTATATGGTGTGAGGGAAGGGTCAAATGGCATTTTTTTTTTTTTTTTTTTGCATATGGATATCCCACTTTTCTCAGCACCGTTTGTTGAAAATGTTGCCTTTTCCCCATTGAATGGTCTAGGTCCTCATGTCAAAAAGCAATTGACTTTAAATATGAGGGTTTATTTCTGTGTTCTTTCTTCTATTCCATTGGTCCACATTTCTGTCCTTGCACCAGTTCTGCACCATTTTGTCACCTTGAATCACTTTGAATAGACTCACTGCTCTTTATTTTTTTTTTTTTAGACAGAGTCTCGCCCTGTCACCCAGGCTGGAGTGCATTGGCACTATCTCAGCTCACTGTAACCTCTGACTCCCAGGTTCAAGCCATTCTGCTGCCTCAGCCTCCCAAGTAGCTGGGATCCAGGTGCATACCACCTCACCCAGCTAATTTTTGTATTTTTAATAGTAACGGGGTTTCACCATGTTGGCCAGGCTGGTCTCGAACTCCTGGCCTCTCGTGATCCGCCTGCCTCGGCCTCCCAAAGTGCTGGGATTACAGGTGTGAGCCACCACACTTGGCCTAAATAGATTAATTCTCAATTATCCTGCTTCTCTGCCCCCATGCCTTCCCTGCCCTCTCAGCTTCCCTCAATCTGTCCTCTCCAAAATGCAATGGTACCTTTCCTACCCCTACTCCAATGCCAATCTTCTTCTCCCTCTAGCTTCCCCCAAACTCAAGGGCACGACTATTCATGTAGGAGTGCTCCTTGATTTCTTTCTTTTTTTTTTTTTTTTTTGAGACAGTGTCTTACTCTGTCACCCAGGCTGGAGTGCAGTGGCACAATCAGGGCTCACTGCAGCCTCGACCTCCCGAGCTCAAGCAATCCTCCCACCTCACTCTCCCAAGTAGCTGGGACTACAGGTTCATGCCACAATGCCCTGCTAATTTTTGTACTTTTTGTAGAGATGAGGTCTTCTATGTTTCCCAGGCTGGTCTCAAACTCCTGAGCTCAAGTGATCCACCCACTTCGGCCTCCCAAAGTGCTGGGATTACAGGCATGAGCCATCGCACTCGGCCTGATTTCTCTCTTTCTCTTACCCCCATACCCACTCCATCAGCCACCTCATAGGCTCCACTTCCAGGTATATTTGAAATCCACCTGCTTCTCCCCTCCTCAGCTGCTACTCCCCTCATTCAACCATGGTCATCTCTTTCCAGGATTCCTGCACCACCTACAGAAAATGGTGAGATGAGCCAGACAGGTAGCTCATGCCTGTAATCCCAGCACTTTAGGAGGCTGAGGTGGGTGGATCACTGGAGGTCAGGAGTTCGAGACCAGCCTGGCCAACATGGTGAAACCCTGTCTCTATTAAAAATACAAAAAACTCGCCGGGCATGCTGGTGGGCACCTGTAGTCCCAGCTACTGGGAGGCTGAGGCAGGAGAATTGTTTGAACCTGGGAGGCAGAGGATGCAGTGAGCCAAGATCACACCACTGCACTCCAGCCAGGGTGACAGAGCAAGACTCTAGTTTCAAAAAAAAAAAAAGGGAAGAAAAAAAATGGTGAAATGAACCATTTTCACTCTTGCCTCCTTCCACACAACAGCCAGAGTAATCTTTTTTGTTTCTTTTTAAATTAATTAATTTTTTTTTTGAGTCAAGGTCCTACTGTGTCTCACTCAGGCTAGAGGGCAGTGGCATGATCATAGCTCACCGTAGCCTTGACCTCCTTGGCTCAAGCGATCCTCCTGCCTCAGCCCCCTAAGTAGTTGGGACTACAGGCACACATCACCATGCATGGCTAACATAAAAAATATTTTTGTAAAGACAGTATCTCACTATGTTGCCAAGGCTGGTCTTGTACTCCTGGACTCAAGAGATCCTCCTGCATCAGCCTCCCAAAGCAATGTGATTACAGGCATGAACCACTGTGCCTGGCCTGTTTCAAAATATATATATATTTGAGACAGGGTCTCTCTCTGTCACCCAGGCTGGAGTGTAGTGTTGTGAACATAGCTCACTGTAGCCTCGAACTCCCAGGCTCAAGTGATCCTCCCACCTCAGCTTCCCAAAGTGCTGGGATTACAGACATGAGCCACTGTGCCTAGCCTCTCCTATACCTTTTAAAGCCTTTTGTTATTTGTGTAACATACTATAATCACTGTTAGGAACCTTGCCTCTCTCAATAAAATATTTTAGGTAGCATTCTGTATGGATACTAGCTTCCTTAGTTTGGGGTTTTTTTTTTTTTTTGGTTTTATGACTGCAGAGGATTACTTCAAAAGGACACACCATAATTTATTGGCCAGGCATGGTGGCTCATGCCTGTAATCCCAGCACTTTGGGAGGCTGAGGTGGGTGGATTACCTGAGGTCAGGAGTTTGAGACCAGCCTGGCCAACGTGGTGAAACCCCGTCTCTACTAAATACAAAAAATTAGCAGGTCATGGTGGCACACACCTGTAATCCCAGCTATTTGGGAGGCTGAGGCAGGAGAATCGCTTGAATCTGGGAGGCGGAGGTTGCAGTGAGCTGAGATCCCACCACAGCAATATGTCTCAAAAAAAAAAAAAAAAAGGACGCGCCATAATTTATTAATCATTCCCACATTGATCGACATCTGGGTCATCTCTAATCATTTATTCTGGCAGTCAATGCTGCAATGAATAACTTCTTAAACCACTTTGCACTTAAGCAAGGATATCTACAAGTTAGAATCCTAGAAGTGAAATTGATCAAATATATGTACATTTGTCATTTTGATAGATATTGTCAGATTCCCTTCTATAGAAATTGCACCCAGCTGGGTGCGGTGGCTCATGACTGTAATCCCAGCCTTTTGGGAGGCCAAGGCAGGTGGATCACCTGAGGTCAGGAGTTCGAGACTAACCTGACCAATATGGTAAAAGCTCGTCTCCACTAAAAATACAAATATTACCCAGGTGTGGTTGTGGGTGCCTGTGGTCCCAGCTACTTGGGCGGCTGAGACAGGAGAATTGCTTGAACCCAGGAGGCAGAGGTTGCAGTGAGCCGAGATCGCGCCACTGCACTCCAGCCTGGGTGACAGAGGGAGACTCCATCTCAAAAAACAAACAAACAAAAATTAGCCAGCCGTGCTGGCGTGCACCTATAATCCTAGCTACTCAGGAGGCTGAGGCAGGAGAATCACTTGAACCTGGGAGATGGAAGCTGCAGTGAGCCGAGATTGCACCACTGCACTCCAGCCTGGGTGACAGAGCGAGAGTCGGTCTCAAAAAAAAAAAAAAAAATTGCACCCATTTTCGATCTCATCAGCAATGTTTTTGAGTGCTTGTTTCCCATTCCTTCGAAAATATAAATGGGTCATTAGTCATTACCCTCCCAGCTTAACCTCTCTAAGCAACTTCCCACTGTCCTTGGAAACAGCATCTACTTTCCTCGCCATGGCCTCCAAGGGCTTGCCTACACTATTTGACTCCTGCCTGTCTCGCTTCCCATGCCCTGCTGAAGGCAAGTGTTGGACACATCTAAGGGATGCCAGCCAGCAGGGTTGGGAGGGAGTTGGCATTTCTTCCCAAGGGGATGTGTGCTTGGGCAGTGGACCTGCAGACTGTGCCCATCCTATGAATGTGGGGAAAGAGAGCATGGCACATGAATGCTAGGGAAGGCAGGCTGCAGTTTCATAACTTTGGGGGATTGCCCGAAGGTACGATGGACCTGGGGAAATTGGGGCATTGGGGTGCCTGTTTAAAGCCATCGTCTGTAAGTGAGCCATGTCACAGGCCAGCCAGCAGAGGACAGTATTCTGCTTTGGGATGAGGCCATTTCTCCATCAGACCAGAGGAAGCCAAACCCAGCTGTCCATCTACCACGGGGCAGTGAGGACCCGGCGTGGGGGCTGCAGAGCAGTTAAATGAGCCGGAGTCCGCAGCTGGCAACCAACCCCTGCGTTCTACCGATGACAGCCTCCTGTTGAACAAGGAGCCGCACTGCTCCCTGGGGCACGGGCCTGAGAAGCTGGGACCACCCGGGGTTGGGGGCTGGAGGGACCTGATGTCCTGCTCCCCTGGGATGCCCAGGTGGTGGATGAGGTCCAGGTCCCACCCAACCCTCAACCATTCCATCCCTGCAGTCATTCCGTGCCTTCCCAAGGTGTCTGCAGATGTGCAGTGGAGGTTGGGGGTCAATCCAGGAACCACCCGAGAACTGGCTAAGTGGGATGCCTGGCACTGGTCCCAGAGCTGTCTCAGCTGTGCAAAGTGAGATATCACCTTCTAAACCCTACGATGCACCTGTAAAGGGAAAATGTGAAATCTCAGAACCCCCGAAACTTATGCCACAGGGAAAGCTAAGCTTAAAGGCTGAGTCACGCAACACACTCTCTCTCTGTCTGTCTGTCTATCTGTCTGTCTGTCTCTCTCTCTCTCTCTCTCTCTCTGTGTGTGTGTGTATGTTAGACAGGGTCTTGCTCTGTCACCCAGGCTGGAGTGCAGTGACGCAATCATGGCTCACTGTTGCAGCCTGGACCTCCTGGGCTCAAACAATCCTCCCTCCTCAACCTCCCAAAGTGCTGGGATTACAGGCATGAGCCACTGCACCCAGCCGGGAAGAAGTATTGATACAAGCAACAACATGATGAATGTCAGATCATCTGGCTGAGTGAACGAAACTAGGCCAAAACCACAAGTGCATATTATACGATTCCATTCATATAACATTTTAGAAAATCTAAACGAATCTACAGTGACACAAAGCAGCCATTGGTTGCCTGGGGATAAAGAAGGCAGGGATTATAGAGTAGAAGGGATTATAGAGGGGTGAGATATAATTTTTGGGGGTGGTGGGTATGTCATTATCTAAATTGTGGTGATAGTTTCATGGGTGTGTGTATATATATATGTATGTATATG
This sequence comes from Homo sapiens, assembly GCF_000001405.40. Classification (NCBI taxonomy): domain Eukaryota; kingdom Metazoa; phylum Chordata; class Mammalia; order Primates; family Hominidae; genus Homo; species Homo sapiens. Next base: position 75,867,763 of record NC_000007.14, read on the forward strand.
TATATATATGTGTATATATGTATGTATATGTATATATGTGTATATATATGTGTGTATATATATATGTCAAAATGTATCAAAATCTATACTGTAATTATATGTAGTTTATTGTAAGTAAATCAAACCTTTTTGGTTTTTTCAAGATGGAGTTTCATTCTGTTGCCCAGGCTGGAGTGCAGTGGCACAATCTTGGCTCACTGCAACCTCCACCTTCTGGGTTCAAGCGATTCTCTTGCCTCAGCCTCCCGAGTAGCTGGGACCACAGGTGCCTGCCACCACACCTGGCTAATTTTTGTATTTTTAGTAGAGACGAGGTTTTGGCATGTTGACCAGGCTGGTCTTGAATTCCTGACCTCAAGCAGTCCTCCTGCCTTGGCCTCCCAAAGCGCTGGGATTACAGGAGTGAGCCACCACACCCGGCCTCAGTAAATAAAATTTTAATAAAACTTTTTTTTTTAATGCCAATATAGTCATGTCTGTAATCCCAGTGCTTTGGAAGGCCAAGGCAGGAGGATTGCTTGAGGCCAGGAGTTCGAGACCAGCCTGGGCAATATAGCTAGAACTTCTGTTTACCAAAAAAATGCTGATGTGTCAAAAATAAATATTTTTCATCACTGGCTCAAATTTTAATATCTTCCTTTGCCATGTATACTGCATGAGGTGGGGAATGGGGGAATGGAATAATTTGGGAAAGTAAAGATGATCAAGGCTCAGTGTTAATTCTACAATATATTGCTTTCATTGCCTTAACCATGCATGCTTATTACAGCAAAGTCAGAACAAGGTTGAGACGGGGTCTCGCCGTGTCGCCCAGGCTGGAGTGCAATGGCGTGATCTCGGCTCACTGCAGCCTCTGCCTCCCAGGTTCAAGCAATTCTCCTACCTCAGCCTCCTGAGTAGCTGGGATTACAGGCGCGTGCTACCACGTCCGCCTAACTTTTTGTATCTTTAGTAGAGACGGGGTTTCACCATGTTGGCCAGGCTGGTCTCGAAGTCCTGACCTCGTGATCCACCTGCCTCGGCCTCCCGAAATGCTGGGATGACAGGCGTGAGCCACAATGCCCAGCCTATAACATTTTTATAAATGTTTTTGAGTGAATGGAGAAATTAATTACTCTGTTCTGTGATGCTTGGTGTTTGTCAGCTTTAAATCCCCCATAGCACTCAGATCTTAGAGACAGAACTTTGGTCTTTATGGGTGAATTACAACCAATTCCATTTACATTACTTTCATTTCTCTATATGCTAAAGTTACCTTTTTTTTTTTCTTCAGTCTATTGCCCAAGCTGGAGTGAGGTGGTGCGATATCAGCTCATTGCAGCCTCCAACTTTTGGGCTCAAGCAATCCTCCCACCAGCCTCCCGAGTAGCCAGGACTACAGGCATGCGCTACCATGCCAGGCTTATTTTTAAAATTTTTTGTAGAGATGGAGTCTCACTATGTTGCCCAGATTGGTCTCAAACGCTTGGCCTCAAGCGATCCTGCCTCAGCCTCCTAAAGCACTGGGATTACAGACGTGAGCTACTTATTGATAAATTTCTGGATTATAGAAGGTCATATAGGTTTAAATTGATAAATTGAAACCAGCAGATTTCTGGCATTTAGAATGCTTCCTCAACACCTTTCCAAGAAGGCTGGCTGTGGCCAGGCATGGTGACTCAAACCTATAATCCCAACACTTTGGGAGGCCAAGGCGGGTGGATCACCTGAGGTCAGGAGTTTGAGATCAGCCTGACCAACATGGTGAAACCCTGTCTCTACTAAAAATACAAAAACATTAGCCAGGCGTGGTGACGGGTGCCTATAATCCCAGCTACTCAGGAGGCTGAGGCAGAAGCATCGCTTGAACCTTGTAGGTGGAGGGTACAGTGAGCCAAGATCACGCCACTGCACTCCAGCCGGGGGGATAAAGTAAGACTCCATCTCAAAAATAAAAATAAAAATAAAATAAATAGAAACCAGCACATTTCTAGTATTTAGAATGTTTCCTCAACATCTTTCCAAGAAGGCTGGCTGCCTTGCAGGAATTTCAGCACACGTGCCCACAAATACAGGACCAATGCCTTTGCCGCCTGGGTTATACTCTACACTTGAGCTGCTCTTGTTTTTATATTATAGACTGCTGTTCATTTAGCTTCGTCATGATTGATTCGTTTGTGGTGGGTTGCTTGTCCTGCTGTAGAATGTGTAGTAAGATCTATTTGCTTCAAAAGTGGTTTGGAGCCAGGTACGGTGACTCACACCTATAACCACAACACTTTGGGAGGCTGAGGCAAGAGGATGGCTTGAGCCCAGGAGTCTGAGACCAGATTGGCGAAACCCCATCTCTACAAAAAAAAAAAATTAAAAAAATTAGCTGTGCATGGTGACATGTGCTTGTAGTACCAGCCACTTGGGAGGCCGAGGCAAGAGGAACACTTGAGCCCAGGAGGTGGAGGTTGCAGTGAGCTATGATCATGCCACTGCACTCCAGCCTGGGCAACAGAGTAAGACCCTGTTTCAAAACAAAAAAATAGTTTTAGTCTATAACATTCCAGGAAGTAAACTTGAAGCCATGTCACAATTCAAATATGAACTGCCTATACTCCTATGGATCACTTGAGGTCAGGAGTTCAAGACGAGCCTGGCCAACATGGCAAAACCCCGTCTCTACTAAAAATACAAAAATTAGCCGGTGTCGTGGCATTCACCTGTAATTCCAGCTACTCAGGAGGCTGAGGCAGGAGAATCTCTTGAACCCGGGAGGCGGAGGTTACAGTGAGCCTAGATCGCACCACTGCACTCCAGCCTGGGGGACAGAGAGAGACTCTCTCGATTAAAAAAAAAAAAAAGATATATCACAGCCCCACCCTCCCACCCACAGTTTTTCCCTTGTGCAGTGACTCAATTGCAAATGCCAAGTTCCTCCTCTTCCTCCCCAAGTTACAAAGTGAAAACATATAGCGTAGGCAGGTTGCGGGGGGCCTATCAATCCACAAAGTTTAGGAGCCCCTGGTGTAGCAAGAAGAACCACGAACCTACCGTCAGGTGAGCTGATGTGGATTCTGCTGCTCTATGGCTGTGTGAGCTTGCCAAGTCACTTTACCTCTCTGAGCCTTTAGATTCTTCTAAAAATGGAGCTGTTATATCCAATTTCCAGATTTGTTGTAAAAATTAAACATGGGTTAGGCGTGGTGACTCATGCCTGTAATCCCAGCAGTTTGGGAGGCTGAGGTGGGAGGATGGCTTGAGCCCAGAAGTTTGAGACCAGCGTGGGCAACATAGTGAGACCGCTTCTCTAGGAAAAAATAAAAAAAAAAAAAAATAGCTGGGTGTGATGGCACATGACTGCGGTCCCAGCACCTTGGGAGGCTGAGGTGTGTGCATCACCTGAGGTCAGGAGTTGGAGACCAGCCTGGCCAACCTGGTGAAACCCCGTCTCTACTAAAAATACATGGCCGGGCGCGGTGGCTCACGCCTGTAATCCCAGCACTTTGGGAGGCCGAGGCGGGCAGATCACGAGGTCAGGAGATCGAGACCATCCTGGCTAACATGGTGAAACCCCATCTCTACTAAAAATACAAAAAAAAAAATTAGCTGGGCGTTGTAGGGGGCATCTGTAGTCCTAGCTGCTCAGGAGGCTGAGGCAGGAGAATGGCGTGAACCCGGGAGTCGGAGGTTGCAGTGAGCCGAGATCGTGCCACTGCACTCCACCCTGGGCGACTGAGCAAGACTCCGTCTCAAAAAAAAAATAAAAATAAAAATAAAAATAATAAAAGAATAAAATAAATTTTAAAAAATTAAAATTAAAAAAATATACAAAAAATTAGCCAAGCATGGTGGTGCACGCCTGTAATCCCAGCTACTTGGGAGGCTGAGGCACGTGAATCGCTTGAACCCGGGAAGCAGAGGTTGCAGTGAGCCGAGATCTCGCCACGGTACTACAGCCTGGGCAACAAGAGTGAAACTGTCTCAAAAAAAAAAAAAAAAAAAGTGGTAAGTGGTGCTTTTGGAAAGTGCTTTGTAAACTACAGAGTCCTCTACAAAGACTCTTCTGTTGTCCTCCTTTTGTAAACCCAAAGTGCTCAGCACAAGGCCTGGCACACAGGAGGCACTAAATAAATACTTACCAAATTAATAAATCAGTGGCCAGGTGTGGTAGCTCACGCCTGTAATCCCAGCACTTTGGGAGGCCGAGGCGAGCAGATCCCTTAAGGTCAGGAGCTTGAGACCCGCCTGGCCAACATGGTGAACACCCCATATCTATTAAAAATACAAAAATTAGCTGAGCCTGGTGGTGCATGCCTGTAACTCCAGCTACTCAGAAAGCTGAGGCAGGAGAATCGCTTGAACCCGGGAGGCGGAGGTTGCAGCGAGCCAAGATCACACCACTGCGCTCCAGCCTGGGCGACGTGCAAGACTCTGTCTCCAAAAAAAAAAAAATAGGAAGAAAGTTATCTCTTAAGTCAAGTGTGTCTCCGCATCATTTCTAGCCTTCTGCCTTAGCTCTCCCCTCTGCAGTGACACAGAATCAATCATCTTCCTCTCCTCCCAGTAAGCCCTTCAGATAGTTCAGCCAGTGGCCATGACCCCTGAAGCTTCTCCAGGGAGGCCTCCTGGTCCCTGCAACTGTTCCTCATCAGACATCTTTGGAAGGTTCCCCTCTGTCCCAGTCCTGGTCACTTTTTATTGCACAAGTTCCGATTTGCCTACATCTTTTTTCAGAGTATATGTCTAGAAGAAGAACCGGAACTCTTAGGGTGACCTGACAGGCACAGAGAGGAAGGGACCACCCCATCTCTTCCTTTTTCCAAGCCCCAGACCTCAGTGACAACAGCTCAGGATCCCAAGTTCTCAAGATGCTATTTTTAGCCCACTCCTGATTCATATTCTGCTTCCTGCTGGGTAAAACCTTAATTATTCTTTTGGCTGGGCTCGGTGGCTCACACCTATAATCCCAGCAGTTTGGGAAGCTGGGGCGGGTGGATCACTTGAGGTCAGGAGTTCAAGACCAGCCTGGCCAGCATGGCAAAACCCCGTCTCTACTAAAAATACAAAAAATTAGGCAGGCGTGGCGGCACGTGCTTGTAGCCCCAGCTACTCGGGAGGCTGAGACAGGAGAATCACTTGAACCCGAGAGGCAGAGGTTGCAGTGAGCCGAGATCACGCCATTGCACTCCAGCCTGGGCACAGAGGAAGACTCCGTCTCCAAAAAAAAAAAAACTTTATTTTTCATGCCCACTGCTGCGTCATGAGCGATGTTAACTTAATCTTTAACTGAACTTTAGCAATTTTATCAGTTATGGATATAGGCAATGAAACACAGTCTTATTACCAGTACCAGTAACTTTGTCACCAGTAGAAGTCACAGGTATGTTCATACCATGTTCCACTTATAGAAAACTCAAAAAAAATCATTTATGCTTCAAAATTATGGTAGCTATCAGGCCTGCTGTTAGATCTTGTTATTTAATGCATCCATAAAGCAGCACATAGAGTATGGTTTTTGTTTTTGTTTTTTTTTGAGATAGAGGTTTGCTCTTGTTGCCCAGGCTGGAGTGCAATGGTGCAATCTTGGCTCACCGCAACCTCCACCTCCTGGGTTCAAGTGATTCTCCTGCCTCAGCCTCCCAAGTAGCTGGGATTACAGTTGCCCACCACCACACCCAGCTAATTTTTTTGTATTTTTAGTAGAGACAGGAGTTTCTTCATGTTGGTCAGACTGGTCTTGAACTCCCAACCTCAGGTGATCCACCTGCCTCAGCCTCCCAAAGTGCTGGGATTACAGGCACGATTTTGTTTTTATTAATATTTTGATAACTACAGGCTTCCTTGGTAATTCAGTGTATTTTATTTTATCCATTTAAAAAGCAACATTCTTGGCCAGGTGTGGTGGCTCACTCCTTTAATTCCAACACTTTGAGAGACCCAGGCAAGAGGATTGCTTGAGGCCAGGAGTTGGAGACCAGACTAGACAACATAGTGAGCCCCTGTCTCTACAAAAAAAAAAAAAAAAAATACAAAAATTAGCCAGGTGTGGTGGCACGTGTCTGTAGTCCTAGGTACTCGGGATGCTGAAGCAGGAGGATCGCCTGAGCCCAGGAGTTGGAGGCTGCAGTGAGCTATGATTGTACCAGTGCACTCCAGCCTGGGCAACAGAATGAGACCCTGTCTCAAAAAAAAAAAAAAAAAAAAAAAAGCATCATTTACATGAGGAGTCCCTAGGTTTCATCAGATATGTCAGATATGACAAAAAGGAGTAAGAACTTCGGCCAAAAGCCAAAAAATTCAAAGAGCCTGCCTGCCTGCCTCCCTTCCTTCCAGACATTTCCTGAAGGCCTACTCTGTGCAGGACTCTACATGGTGCTGTCCCTCAAGAAGCTCACAGTCTGGGAAGAGAGACAGACACAACAAACAGGATTTTTTTAAAAATATTTTTTTAAATATAATAGAAATGGGGGTCTCACTATGTTGTCCAAAGGCTAGTCTCTAACTTGTGGGCTCAAGCAATCCTCCTGCTTTGGCCTCCCAAAGTGCTGGGATGACAGGTGTGAGCCACTGCACCCAGCCTTTCTTTTTTGTTTGTTTGTTTGTTTGTTTGTTTGTTTGTACAGACAGGGGTCTCACTATGTTGCCCAGGCTGGTCTCAAACTCTTGGGCTCAAGTGATCCTCCTGCCTGGGCCTCCCAAAGTGCTGGGATGACAGGCGTGAGCTGCTGTGACTGGCCAAAAACCAGGAAGTAAATACCGTGTTATACTTGCCATGGTAGAGATGTGTGTAGTGGTAGAAATAGAACAACCTGGCTGGGCACAGGGGCTCACGCCTGTAATCCCAGCACTTTGGAAGGCCAAGGCAGGTGGATCATGAGGTCAGGAGATCGAGACCATCCTGGCTAACATGGTGAAACCCCGTCTTTACTGAAAATACAAAAAAATTAGCCAGACGTGGTGGCGGGCGCCTGTAGTCCCAGCTACTCGGGAGGCTGAGGCAGGAGAATGGCGTGAACTCGGAAGGTAGAGTTTGTAGTGAGCCAAGGTCGCACCACTGCACTCCAGCCTGGGCGACAGAGCGAGACTCCGTCTCAAAAAAAAAAAAGAAATAGAACAACTTGGCCAGGTGCAGTGGCGCACGCCTATAATCCCAGCACTTTGGGAGGCCAAGGCAGATGGATCACTTGAGGCCAGGAGTTTGAGAGCAGCCTGGCCAACATGGCGAAACCCTGTCTCTACTAAAAATACAAAAATTAGCAGGGCGTGGTGGCATGTGCCTGTAATCCCAGCTACTGGGGAGGCTAAGGCAGGAGAATCACTTGAACCTGGGAGGTGGAGGTTGCAGTGAGCCAAGATCACGCCACTGCACTCCAGCCTGGGCGACAGAGTAAGACTCTGTCTCAAAAAAATAAAAAGAAATAGAACAACTTTAGAGATCTAATGACCCAAGTTCAAATCCTAGCTCTTCCACTAACTCACAGTGTGACCTCCTCACATCCTATTCGTCCCTCGGTCAATCTTATCTGTTTTCTTCATCAAAACCCTGCAAGATAAGACTTAGTTCCCATTTTATAGATGAGGAAACTGAGGCTCCCTTACCCAAGATCACTCAGGCAGCGAGTGAAAGAGCCAGGGTGAGGTCCTGCTTCCTCCTGACTTCCAGCCTGAGCTCCACCAGCTCCACACTGGCTGCTTCTCAAATGCTAATGTAGGAGCCATTAATGTCTCCTTTAAGGGAACATTAAAGGAAATGGCCAGTATAACATGGTATTTATCTCCTGGTTTTTGGCTTGGCTCATGCCTGGAATCCCAACACTTTGGGAGGCCCAGGCACGAGGATCACTTGAGCCCAAGAGTTTGAGACCAGCCTGGGCAACATAGTGAGACCTCTGTCTGTACAAACAACAACAACAAAAAGGCCCAGTGGGCTGGGCGTGGTGGCTCAAGCCTGTAATCCCAGCATTTTGGGAGGCTGAGATCTCAGGCGGATCACCTGAGATCGGGAGTTCGAGACCAGCCTGACCATCATGGTGAAACCCCGTTTCTGCTAAAAATGCAAAATTAACCGGGCATGCTAGCGCATGCCTGTAATCCTAGCTACTCGGGACGCTGAGTCAGGAGAATCGCTTGAACCGGGGAGGCGGAGGTTGCGGTGAGCCAAGATCACACCATTGCACTCCAACCTGGGGAACAAAAGCGAAACTCAGTCTCAAAAAAAAAAAAAAAAAGTGCAGTGTCTCACACCTGCAATCCTAGGTTTCCCTTAAGGGAAACGTGAATATCTCCTGCAACTGCCCTCTCCGAGCCTAAACCCTCTGCACAGCAAATGCAGAAAACTCTTTCTACAGAGAGCTAGGTGGGCTGACTGGCCATGCCATCCTAGACTGGTGTACCTCAGGTCTCCTCTTCAAAAAATATCTTGAAATTCTTGCCAGAAATTCAGTGTGAAATGCATTCGGGATGGTGGCTGTTGTTATAACAGTCCCCAGGGGTCTCAATTACGTGAGAACCCTCGGCTTCTGGACAAGAGACAAGGAAGGGAAGTAGGTCACATCCCAAAGGCATCAGGGCTAATAACTTTGCATTGAACATTTTCTGTGGCCCCACTGTGTGCTAGGTGCCAGGGCTGTGGATACAGACACAGGTATAAATCAGACATGGCTTCTGCCCTTGGTAAGCTCACAATTACGGGCACAAATATGCAATGATAGTATAATATGGGAAGTGCCTCAGGAGGCTGAGGCAGCGAACTGCTTGAACCAGGGAGGAGGAGGTTACAGTGAACAGACATTACAGCACTGCACTCCAGCCTGGGTGACAGAGCAAGACTTCGTCTCAAAAAAAAAAAAAAAAAATTCCTGGAAGACTTGTTGCCTAATTTTAAGTTACTTAACTTCTCTGTATCTCCATTGCTTCATCTGTAAAACGGGCGTAATTACAGAACCAGCCTCACAAGGGTTGTGAAAATGTAATGAGTAACTACATAAAAAGCACACAACAGGCTAGGCATGGTGGCTCACACCTGTCATCCCAGCACTTTGGGAGGCCAAGGCGGGACGATTGCCTAAGCCCAGGAGTTCAAGACCAGCCTGGGCAACAGAGCAAGATCCCATCTCTACAAAAAAGAAGCAGCTAGCTAGGTGCGGTAGCACGCACCTGTGGTTCCAGCTACTTGGGAGGCTGAGGCAGGAGGATACCATGAGCCCGGGAGGTCAAGGCTGCAGTGAGCTATGATTGTGCTACTGAAGCAGGACACACAAGCCCCAAAATTTAGCCTCCTTCCTTCAGAGCCAGCAGGAGCTTCTAAGCTATGGGGGGCAGCAGTTACAGCTGAGTCAAACCAAAGCCTGCAGCCAAGGGCAAGGAGCTGATAACACTAGGGTGGGTGTGTGGGGAAGGAGCCAAATACTTCTACCATGTGAGGGGAGGGAGTACTGGGCAGGGTCACTGGAGAAAGCGAAAAAGGTAGTACCCTTGAAGGTACTGCTGGGCACAGTGGCTCATGTCTGTAATTCCAGGACTTTGAGAGGTCAAGGCAGGCTTATCACCTGAGGTCAGGAGTTCGAGACCAGCCTGGCCAATGTGGTGAAATCCCATATCTACTAAAAATGCAAAAATTAGCTGGGCGTGGTGATGCACACCTGTAGTCCCAGCTACTTGGGACTCGGGAGGCTGAGGCACAAGAATCACTTGCATCTGGGTGGCAGAGGTGGCAGTGAGCAGAGATCACGCCACTGCACTCCAGCCTGGGTGACAGAGTGAGACTCTTGTCAAAAAAAAAGGAAGGTCTACCTTAAACAGCTGTTCTCCAGCAAAAGCACTTTTCAAACTGTAAAGTGCTGAAATAGATCTCGGTTATGAGTGTTCTATTACATCCCTAACTTTTGAGTCCCTTCCATTGAATCCCTCTCCCGTTTCCTGTCCCTTTTCCTTTTTTTTTTTTCCGAGATACAGTCTTGCTCTGTCACCCAGGCTGGAGCGCAGTGGTGCGATCTCGGCTTGCTGCAACCTCCGCCTCCTGGGTTCAAGCGATTCTCCTGCCTCAGCCTCCGGAGTAGCTGGGATTACAGGCACGCGCCACCATGCCGGGTTAATTTTTGTAGTTTTATTAGAGACGGGGTTTCACCATGTTGGCCAGGCTGGTCTCTAATTCTTGACCTCGTGATCCGCCCGCCTCGGCCTCCCAAAGTGCTGGGATTGCAGGCGTGAGCCACCGTGCCCAGCCTCCTGCCCCTTTTCTTCAATATGAAGATAAAGCTGCCCCTGGCTGTACTGGAGGCCAATTCCGGGCCATAGCAGGAGGAACTGAGTTCTAATTCTGTCTTTGCCATGTAACTGAATTACCCAGGGCCCTCCCTAGTCCTGTTTCCTCTTTGGTGTAATAGGGATGAATACAGATGGGAAGATCGTGATATGAAAGAGTTCTGTGAGCTGTAAGGCATAATAATCATGAGGTATTATTACAGGACCAACAGGTGCCTAGGCCCGCTGTGCAATAACAGACCAGTTACACTGAGGAAGCAGGGTTATCAGCAGAAAAAGGGTTTAAAGATGGCAGGGTGCCTAGGAGGAGACGCAGGGAGACCAACAAATCCATCTTCCCCAAGGAGTTCCGGGCTGGGATTTTAAAGGGCATTGTGAAGGGTGAGGGGCTGGAAAATTGGGGTCATCGACTGGTCAGGGTAAGGGGGTTGAAATCCTCAGGATATGGAAACTGCAGTCCCCATTGAGTCTTGCTTCTGTGGGCTCCTTCAGAACAACTGGTGTCAGTAATTATGCTGGTATGCGGGACCTGAAAGAATATCTCCAAGGGAAAACGTTTCATAATGTTCAAGTTGTTATCTATGGAGTTAAGGGGAATTGTAATCTTGTGACAGGGTCTACGTGATTCTAGGACAGACGATGGGCACCTATCATAGCTGATACACAGAGCTATGAGCAAGCAGGTCGGAGAGCAAGGTGACCTAGTGATGAACGCAGAGTGTGCTGCAAGCTTCGTTTATTTTCGTTTTTCCCCCTCCCTTCTTCCCTGATTAATTTCCTAAAGTTTATAGGAGCAGTTTCAGTACCAGCCCGAGTAGGATGGAATCAAACACGGTGCTGGAACATTCCTACCCGGAAGTGGCCCCGACCCCCCTCCCCCCGTCCCGGCCTCCCACGCACGGGGGGGGGGGGGGGGGGGGCTGATCGGCGCTACCGGATTGGACAACTTGGCATGGGGCGGGGCCTCTGGGAGGCGTGGCCTCCGGCCGGCTCCTCTGCTGTTGCCAAGGGAAACTGCCGCGAGGAGGCGGAAGGAGCAGAGGACCGGCAGCCGGCGTCGAGGCGGGGCGCGGGAACGACGGCGGCCATGGCGGCCTCGGGGCCCGGGTGTCGCAGCTGGTGCTTGTGTCCCGAGGTGCCATCCGCCACCTTCTTCACTGCGCTGCTCTCGCTGCTGGTTTCCGGGCCTCGCCTGTTCCTGCTGCAGCAGCCCCTGGCGCCCTCGGGCCTCACGCTGAAGTCCGAGGCCCTTCGCAACTGGCAAGGTGAGCAGGGGCGGGCCGGGATCGCGGGGCGAGTCCTTGTCCTCCGACTTTGCCGGTTCCTGGGCTCTAGCCTCCGGGACTCGCCCCTTCAGGCCTCACCGCCAGTCTCCCCCTGTCTCGGTCCTCATCACCATGCCCGCCCCCCGGAGGACCGACCTCCAGCACCGTCTCTTGCTCTCCGTGTTCCACACCTTTGTCTGCAGACCCCATCTTCGTCATCACTGTAATCCCTTCCCTACCCGAATTTGTTCCCTTCCCTGTCGCCACCAGACTGGTTAAGGCCCCAAATCCATTCGCTAGCAAATCCATGCTCGCTCTCCAAGGGTAAAGATTTTTCGTCTCCCCCTCCCATTTCACATACACACCTACGTCTGCTTTAGGCCTAAGCCCCACTGAAAAACGTTTTTCTCTCACCTACATCACGACAATTGGACTTTATCCACAAACCCCTATAAGCCCTATAAACGTCCTGCCCTCTTGAGATTTGGAATTTCTTCTGCTTTTTCATCTGTATCTTAATCTTGACTGCCATTCCCAGCTCATGGGGGTACCAGGGTGTCTTCTGCCTTTGGAGAGAAGTGTTTGTTTTTCTCTAGGGGAGAGAAATTTTGCAGACCAATTAAGTATAAACATCCATTCCTGAAAGACATTCCTAGTCTCCGTGTCTTCCTCATTTTCTCGAGAGGAACACAGGAAATTTGCATATCTCCTGCTGTTTTGCAAAGCACACACACTGATATGTATTAATTTCGTTTAACCCTCACAAGGATCCCATGACGTAGGACCTGTTATTGGCCCGTTATCTAGATAAGATTGAGGTTTCATGCAGAGAATCGCAGAGCTGTTGCGTCATGCAATTGAGATAGGAATCTATATTTTTTTTTTTATTCTGTGATGTTTTGGAACTAGAGCCTTCGGGTAGATAATCTCCAAATCATGTACAGTTGCTTCTAGAATCTTTTCATGTTTATACTTGGAATTTCAGTTTTGGAAATACTCAACAAATAATGAAGTACTCTTCAGATAATGAAGCCTCTGGTGATGGCCAGACTGAGGTATATGGTTCCATAGCCTGCTTCCCCACTCCAATCTAAAACTGTTCCCCCCACCCTAGGTATACATAGCACCACCTCACAGACAGAAGCAAAATGCCAACCTAACCTTAACCTCCCACTTTCTGGGGTTCACTGCTTCCCTGGGTGTGGGTTTCGTGGATATGTGAGCGTTAGAGACGTAAGGGACCTTTGAAGTCCTCAATCTAACTCTTGTTACTTTACAGTGAGGAAACTGACGCCTAGAGGACCTGTGACATGATTAAACTCAGCCAGCCTGGATGTAATAGAGCCAAGATTCCACTCCAAGTCTTTAGACTCCCAAGTCCAATATTACCATCAGTTCTTTGGTCTCTCTCCTTGAGTTTAGTCGTATTTGGGCATGCAGGGACATAAAAATACTTAAGAGATAACCACTTCTAAAATTTTTTTAGAGATAGGGTCTTCGTCTTACCCAGGCTGGAGTGCAGAGATGCAATCATAGCTCACTGCAGCGTTCAACTCCTGGAATCAAGCGAGCCTCCTGCCTCAGCCTCCCAAGTAGCTGGGACTACAAGTACACATCATCACACCTGACTAATTTTTAAATTTTTTTTAAAGACGGGGGTCTCACTATGTTACCTAGGCTGGTCTTGAACTCCTGGGCTCAAGTGATCCTTCCACCTAAGCCTCCCAAAATGCTGGGATTACAGGTGTGAGCCACCATGCCTGGCGATAACTGCTTTTAGAAAAATAAAAGGCCAGGAATGATGGTTCGTATGTGTAGTTTCAGCACTTTGGGAATTCAAGGCAGGAGGATCACTGGAGGCCAGGAGTTCAAGGCTAGCCTGGGCAACGTAGCAAGACTTTGTCTCTACAAATAAAAATTTAAAAAAAGGAAAAGGAGGATTCTTTGATGTCTTATTACATATAAAGCATCAGTTTACCTGTGAGATCGGATAAGCACTTTCTGAGGAGACTTATAATTTCTATAATCTTTATTGTTAATGATAGTGTTATAATTCTTACAGCTGCAAAATAATTCATGGTCCCTTTTTTCTTCCTCTGAACAGCCACTATGGAAGGAGGGGTCAGGATTACAGCAGAGGAGACTGGCACACAGAGTGTTAAGTGACACCCACTCAATCCACCCCGAAGCTGTTACACTTAATTAACCCTCAAACTGCCCAGTGAGGTAGGTCAGTATGAAAACCTGAAAAAGGATTATAAAGCACTTTACAAATTCAGAGACTGCCCTCTACCGAAAAGTATTATTTTTTTCCCTCTGGAAGTCAGTTACCGCTAAGAGTTGCACCAGGCCTGGGGAAGTGTAGGGATTAGATATTCATGCCTCTCCTTTGAGGCTCTGGGTCCTTCATTGTTGAACGCACTGCTTGTATTGCCTCCTGCTGCGACTCACTGGCTCTCACTTCTCTGTCACGGAGGGGGGCTCTCTGCCTTTCCTAGGCGGCTTATAACCTGGCTTCCCTCCTGGGAGCAACCCGCCGCCAGGCCTCTAACCCGACTCCCTCTGCAGTTTACAGGCTGGTAACCTACATCTTTGTCTACGAGAATCCCATCTCCCTGCTCTGCGGCGCTATCATCATCTGGCGCTTTGCTGGCAATTTCGAGAGAACCGTGGGCACCGTCCGCCACTGCTTCTTCACCGTGATCTTCGCCATCTTCTCCGCTATCATCTTCCTGTCATTCGAGGCTGTGTCATCACTGTCAAAGCTGGGGGAAGTGGAGGATGCCAGAGGTTTCACCCCAGTGGCCTTTGCCATGCTGGGAGTCACCACCGTCCGTTCTCGGATGAGGCGGGCCCTGGTGTTTGGCATGGTTGTGCCCTCAGTCCTGGTTCCGTGGCTCCTGCTGGGTGCCTCGTGGCTCATTCCCCAGACCTCTTTCCTCAGTAATGTCTGCGGGCTGTCCATCGGGCTGGCCTGTATCCTTCCTAGCAGAGAGCTATAGAACAACGCATGTCAAAGGGTGAACCAGGCTGGAGGGTCTGGGGTGTCAAGTAGATAAAATTGGGCTTACTTTGTATTTTTTCGAAACAGAGTCTCTGTCACCCAGGCTGGAGTGCAGTGGCAGGATCTCAACTCACTGCAACCTCTGCCTCCTGGGCTCAAGCAATCCTGCCTCAGCCCCCTGAGTAGCTGGGACTACAGGTGTGCACCACTACACCCGGCTAATTTTTATATTTTCTTTTTAGTAGACACAGGGTTTCACCATGTTGCCCAGGCTGGTCTTGAACTCCTGGTCTCAGGTGATCTACCCACCGTGGCCTCCCAAAGTGCTAGGATTACAGGTGTGAGCCACCGTGGCCGAGTCATATCTGATCATAATTTTTTTTTACTTTTTTTTTCATATCTGGTAATTTTTTATTTTATGCTAGACACTGAATGCTGTATTAGGGGCTCTAGATTTTGTTGTTTTCCTTTAAAAAATGTTGACTTTTGTTCTGATAGGCGGTTAACTTACTTGAAGATTGGCTTGAAACTTGAGGTTTGTTTCTAAGCTCTTTTCGGGAGAGTCTAGCATAGCCTTTATTCAAAGGCTGAATCTTTGTGGCTGCCTAATCAGTGGTGGGTGACTTAGGTCAGACGACCAGGATACCACCAAGTTGCTGGGGATGGTGACAGGGTATGGAGGAAGCACAGCCAGAGAGGCCCACATGAAGCTCACATGGTCGCACTGAGGCAGGTGCCCTCTATTTGAGATAAAAGGACGAGGTGTTAGTCCCTCAGGATGATACTGGTACAGCCTCCTGCCTTATCCTGCTACACCAGCAGAGGCATGTCCTGGCTTCTGACTGACTGCAGTGGCTAGAAGGGTGCAAGTGGTGGCACACATGGGTGTAGGAGAAGGGACAGCATTAATACCCCCTGCTGCTGGGCGCATTCATTCCCGGTGAGGCACAGTGAGTAGAAACCTTTGGCTCTGGGGTCAGGCGCAGTGGCTCACGCCTGTAATACTAGCACTTTGGGAGGCTGAGGCAGGCAGATCACGAGGTCAGGAGTTTAAGACCAGCCTAGCCAATATGGTGAAACACTGTCTCTACTGAAAATACAAAAATTAGCTGGGTGTGGTGACGGGCACCTGTAGTCCCAGCTACTCTGGAGGCTGAGGCAGGAGAATGGTGTGATCTGGGAGGCGGAGCTTGCAGTGAGCCAAGATCACACCACTGCACTCCAGCCTGGGCTGCTAGAGTGAGACTCCATCTCAAAAAAAAAAACAAACCTTTGGCTCTGGGTTTCCCCTGAGCTGCAAACTCCAGCCAGAGTGTGCAGCGTGCTAAGCATGAAGGCTTCTGTAGAGTGAGTGGGAACCTGTGTTCTCCCCGGGGAGTGTTCGGCCCTCCTCCCTTTGCTGCCTCCAGTTTCACTTAACACGCCAACCTCAGATGGCCTCACCTACTGCTATTCCATCGACCTCTCAGAGCGAGTGGCACTGAAGCTCGATCAGACCTTCCCCTTCAGCCTGATGAGGAGGATATCCGTGTTCAAGTACGTCTCAGGGTCTTCAGCCGAGAGGAGGGCAGCCCAGAGCCGGAAGTAAGTGACAGAACTCTTAAGTGCTGTTAAATCTTTTTTAAAAAAAAAATTATTTTTTTTTTTTGAGACGGAGTCTCACTCTGTCACCCAGGCTGTAGTGCAGTGGCACAATCTCGGCTCACTGCAACCTCTGCTTCAGGTTCAAGTGATTCTTCTGCCTCAGTCTCCTCAGTGTCTGGGATTACAGGTGCCCACCACTACATCCAGCTAATTTTTTTGTATTTTTAGTAGAGATGGGGTTTCACCATGTTGGCCAGGCTGGTCTCGAACTCCTGACCTTGTGATTTACCTGCCTCGGCCTCCCAAAGTGCTGGGATTACAGGCGTGAGCCACTGCCCCCGGCCAAATGCTGTCAAATCTTATTCTGTTTTTTTATTCTTTTTTTTATTTGAGGACAGGGTCTTGCCCTGTTGCCCAGGCTGGATTGCAGTGGTATGATCATAGCCCGCTACAGCCTCACACTCGTGGACTCAAGTGATCCTCCCACCTCAGCCTCCCAAGTAACTGAGACTACAGGCACATACCATCATGCCTAGCTAACTTAAATTTTTTGTAGGGACAGGGTCTCCACTGTGTTACCAAGGCTGGTCTCAAACTCCTGGTCTCAATCCATCCTTCCTTGATTTCTCAAAGTACTGGGATTACAGGTGTGAGCCACTGAGCCTGGCCTAACCTTATTATTAAAGCAACTCCAGGGCATGCAGAGGGTGTGGCTGGTTTATTGCCGTAAGTGATAAAGAAATGAGGTGCGGCAGATTGGAAAATAATGCACAGATGTCTTCTGAGCATTCTGGATTCTGCACAACTGCTTCTGAAGTAGCAACAGCAGGAAAGGGAAGGCATTTGAGGACACTTAACATGTGATCCTGAGTGACTTGTAGATAGGCTGGGCAGGAGGGCCCCCATCTAATTGACATTAGACACATACCTGCTGCAGGTCAGCCTGGGCTGTGACACACAATAGCCTCGATAAGTGCAGATAGGGCTGGGTGCGATGGCTCACGCCTGTAATCCCAGCACTTTGGGAGGCCAAGGTGGGCAGATCATATAAGGTCAGGAATTTGAGACGAGCCTGGCCAACGTGATGAAACCCCATCTCTGCTAAAAATACAAAAATTATCCAAGCGTGGTGGTGGTTGCCTGTAATCCCAGCTACTCAGGAGGCTGAGGCAGGAGAATCACTCGAACCTGGGAGGTGGAGGTTGCAGTGCACCGAGATCACACCACAGCACTCCAGCCTGGTTGACAGAGCAAGACACTGTCTCCCAAGAAAAAAAAAAAAAAAAAGGTGCAGACAGTCCACACAGCCAACTAGGCTGCTTAGGAGGTGGCCCAGCCCAGGTTTTCTGGTGAGGTTTACTGTTTTCCAGTTGGCTGATTAACTCACAGATGGAAAGTGCTGGTAAGCCGCCAGAGCTTGTGTGGCCTGGCTGCTTCATTTTATAGAGGAGGCCCAAAGAAGACAAGGGTCTTTCTCACCCACTCTGTTTCCAGGTAACAGAGTCAGGAGAGGGGCCATCTGGAAGCACGTCCCCTGCTTAGGAGGCCACCTCCCTCCCTCTCCCCTGTTCCCAGTGCCTCCTGCCTCTGAGTTCTCCGCTGGTTTCTGTCCATGCTGAGACCTCACAGTGTAGGATTTTTTCTTTCCTTCAGTGGTCCTCCCCCCAAAAAAGGAGCTCGCTGGGAAAGGCGTGTTCATCCATTTTGTATTGCTATAAAGAAATACCTGAGCCTGGGTCATTTATAAGAAAAGAGGTTTATTTGGCTCATGGCTTCGTAGGCTACACTAGGATCATGGCACCGGCCTCAGGCAGCTTCCAATCATAGGGCAAGGGGAGGCGGCACCACACATTGAGAGAGGGAGGGAGGTGCTGGGCTCTTAAACACCCAGCTCTTACCTAAACTCAGAGGGAGAACTCATTACTACGGGGAAGAAGCCAAGCCACTCACGCAAGGTCTGCCCCCGTGACCCAGACGCCTCCCACTGAGCTCCACCTCTAGTGCTGGAACACTGGGAATCACGTTTCTTTTTTTTTGAAATGGAGTCTCACTCTGTGGCCCAGGCTGGAGTGCAGTGGCGTGATCTCAGCTCACTGCAACCTCCACCTCCTGGGTTCAAGTGATTCTCCTGTCTCAGCCTCCCAAGTACTTGGAATTATAGGCGCGTGCCACTATACCCGGCTAAAGATCCATTTCAGCACATGATTTGGAGCAGAGGAAACATCCAAAGTGTATCAGAAGGCAAGGTGCTTGGTCCTTGGCCCTTTTTGGCCCGCCACCAGCTGTGGAGTAAATTTTCCCCTGCACGCTGGCCTGGATGTGGGGTTTTTGTTGAATAGGAAGCTGCCCTTAGAGCTTCTTCCAAGAGGTGCTCCCAGCTGTCAACAGCTCAGAGCCCTTGGACTATTTTTCTAAAAGGCCAGGAGGGCTGCTGGGAAAACAGAAATGCGGACTCACCGCATTATTGCTTCAGGCAAGTAATTCCTGGGGTCTCAATGTGGGGGAGACTGTACATTTAGGACTAGGTGTTTTGTGGGTTTTAGTTGTTCTCATTGAATCTGGAGAACTGTCTGTCACCAAGGAATCCCCTCTGTAATAGCTGATGGTGGTCTCCAGCTGTATCTCACATACAAGAGCTCACTCTCCAAGACTGGCCCTGATGAGAAAGTTCTTCCATGCTGAAGGGCCGGGCGCGGTGGCTCACACCTGTAATCCCAGCACTTTGGGAGGCTGATGCGGGTGGATCACGAGATCAGGAGATCGAGACCATCCTGGCTAACACGGTGAAACCCCATCTCTACTAAAAATACAAAAAATTGGCCATGTGCGGTGGTGGGCACCTGTAGTCCCAGCTACTCGGGAGGCTGAGCCAGGAGAATGGTGTGAACCTGGGAGGTGGAGCTTGCAGTGAGCCGAGATCGCGCCACTGCACTCCAGCCTGGGCAAAAGAGCGAGACTCCGTCTCAAAAAAAAAAAAAAAGAGTTCTTCCATGCTGAATTGCAATCAGCCTCACAGACACTGCCACACCCAGTGCCAGGTCTGATCCTGCCTCACTGTGACAGGCAGATCTTAGGGTTTAAGAGGAAGATGGTGTTCCTTCTGTGTTCCCCACGTGACATGGAGTCCAGTCCCTCAGGTCTGGTGCCTGCTGCAGACACTCAGAATATTGTGTTTCAGGCAGCCTGACAGTGGGTCCAGGGCCATGTCATGACACGCATGTTTATTTTGTCAGCAAGATGGCCGTTTGGACAGCTTGTCTCCTCAGAGGCTCTTGTTGATAGATAATTTTTTTTTTTTTTTTTTTTTTACACATGGTCTTGCTCTGTTGCCTAGGCTGGAGTGCAGTGGCACAGTCATAACTCACTGCAGCCTCAAACTTCTGGGTTTAAGCAGTCCTCCTACCTCAGCCTCTTAAGTACCTGGGACTAGAAGCATATGCCACCAGACCTGGCTAATTAAAAAAAAAAAAAAACAATTTTTTTTTTTGAGACAGAGTCTTGCTCTGTCACCCAGGCTGGAGTGCAGTGGCACAATCTTGGCTCACTGCAACCTCTGCCTCCCAGGTTCAAGCGATTCTCCTGCCTCAGCCTTCTGAGTAGCTGGGACTACAGGCGCCTGCCACCACACCTGGCTAATTTTTTTTTTTTAATTTTTAGTAGAGACCGGGTTTCATCATGTTGGCCAGGCTAGTCTCGAACTCCTGACCTCAGATGATCCACCCGCCTTGGCCTCCCAAAGTGCTGGGATTGCAGGTGTGAGCCACCATGCCCAGCCTGAATCCGTTCTCTTTGGGCAGAATTGTCGAGCCAGCCACACAGGCACTGGCAGCTGTGACCTGGTCCCAACGCTCCATCTGGTTTAGAAGCTGCTGTGAGCAGGTCACCCCTCCGGTGGTCTCAGTGGCAGGTCCAGTGTCCTTTCATACAACTCCCTTGCTGCAGGACTGCAACTGGCCCCACCCTCCCTGGGCATCTGTGGTCTGATTGGTTGAGGTTAACCTTTCTCCCACTTGGTACTTAGAGCAAGTCACAGAAAACATCCAAGGCATGTTGTACTAGAAAGCGGGGGCAACCTCAAGCACAAGATGCCATGACCTTGCCAAGACTCGCTGAAGGACCATTTTCTCTCTTGTTCCATTCCAGACTGAACCCGGTGCCTGGCTCCTACCCCACACAGAGCTGCCACCCTCACCTGTCCCCAAGCCACCCTGTGTCCCAGACGCAGCACGCCAGTGGTCAGAAGCTGGCCTCCTGGCCCTCCTGCACCCCCGGGCACATGCCCACCTTGCCTCCGTACCAGCCTGCCTCCGGCCTGTGCTATGTGCAGAACCACTTTGGTCCAAACCCCACCTCCTCCAGTGTCTACCCAGCTTCTGCGGGCACCTCCCTGGGCATCCAGCCCCCCACGCCTGTGAACAGCCCTGGCACGGTGTATTCTGGGGCCTTGGGCACACCAGGGGCTGCAGGCTCCAAGGAGTCCTCCAGGGTCCCCATGCCCTGAGAGAATTTCTAGGGAAGTCATCTCACTTGGCCTTCTGAAGGTCCTCCCTAAGAGTCTCCTGACAAAAGTTACTTATTGAACACCTCTATGTGCCAGGCTCTGTGTTGGGTACTTTGATCAATGCCCCTGTTTCAGTCTCATCTGTACTCACGGCAGCCCTGTGGAGTACGGTGTACTGGCCCAGCTTACAGATGCAGAAAGCGAGACGTTCTGCCATCAGATAAAGTCACGTGGCTCTTTAGTAACACGGACAAGGCTCCTCGCCAAGGAACTCGTGGCAGAAGAGGGCAGCAGTTGGCAGTAGCTGCCGATGTCTGTCCCCAGCTCCACCATTCCTCCCTGTGGCTGTGCCGTGCTCGTGGTTTCAGTGTCCGTGTGTCCATGTGTCTGCCCTTCAGGAGCTCGCAGCTGGTGTGCTTGGCGGTCCCAGGCCTGTGTAGTGTCTCTCCCCTGCTGCGGGCGCCCCCACCCCGATTCCTCTCCCCAGAAGCGGTGGGATGGGCCCCCATGAACTGCAGCAGCATGCTGAGGTGTCCATGTTGTCTGCCTTTGTATAAAGAAACAGCCTCTGACCTGCCGTGCTGGCGTGTGCTTCCTTTGTGGTCTGGCTGGGGAAGAGGGAGTGCGCTGAGATCTGGGCAGTGGCAATGTGTGGTGTGGCGGCAGAGAGGAGAGATGCACCAGGGCCAGGTCAGGCAGGTGACCAGGGCCCAGTGGGTCAGGAATGGGGGTCTCGTGGGGAGCAGGCAACTGAGATGGGTACCAGCAGGAGCCACTGCTGCCCTGAGAGAGAGGGGTGTTGCCAGAGCCCAGAAGCTGGGACTACAGTTAGGAGGGCTGCTGGCAGGGCTGTGCCAAGAAGGACATGGGCACTGCTGGCGATGTCCCTGAAGCAAGACGGGAGAAGACGCTGGCTTTACCACCAGTGTCTCCTGTTGGCCATGTTGACCAGGAACCAGGAGTGAGGGGCGGGGGGCCTCTATGAGACAGTGCAGGGCACTGATGAGTGTGGCTGAGCTGTCACTCACCTGGCCAGCCCTTGAGGACAGCTGGGGCTCCTCACGGCAGGCTGTGTTGAGAAGGCATGCCAGCTGCCTGGTGTTTTGTGGACCTAGTAACACGTGGCCTTCATTTATCCCAGGAGCTGGATGGCCCATTCTAGACTGGCTTTCTGATAGGTTTTAGGTCTTTGGACATGTATAAGACAGAACCCCAAGCCCATCCAGCCTGGTGAGGGTGGGGCCGTGACGGGCCCACGCCTGGGGGGGCCTCAGACATGAGCAAGAAGGGGCCTGCGCTGGGGTGAGAGGGTGTGCCACTGTGTGTGGCCCTGGTTTTTAAATCTCTTTGTTCCTTGGGACTTTTCCTTAGTCTGGCCACAATGCACAACACAGCCTGGAGTCAGCTCACAGTGGGACCCTTTCTCACCCTCACGTGCATTTTGGAAGCTCTGGAGGCCATCCCAACCCCTTCTCCCATTTGCCTGTCAAATCATCCACTAATATGCCCATGTCCGGAAACCATTCACTGATTCTGTGCCAAGCCGGAGGCTCAATGATGATGAGCCCCATGTGCGCAGGGAGCCCCTAGCATGGGGCCTGGCACTCAATAAATATGAGTGGAATGAACGGATGAATAGGTGATGCCCGCCCTTGGGGAGCTCATTGGAGCAGAAGAAATGGAAAATAATTATCATTCAGGCCGGGCTCAGTGACTCACGCCTGTCATTCCAGCACTTTGGGAGGTCTGGGTGGGCGGATCGCTTGAGGTCAGGAGTTCAAGACCAGCCTGGCCAACATGGTGAAATCCCATCTCTACTAAAAATGCAAAAATTGGCCGGGCGCAGTGGCTCACATCTGTAATCCTAGCACTTTGGGAGGCCAAGGCTGGTGGATTACGAGGTCAGGAATTCAAGACCAGCCTGGCTAAGATGGTGAAACCCTGTCTCTATTTACAAAAATTAGCCGGGCGTGGTGGTGGGCGCCTGTAATCACAGCTATCCGGGAGGCTGAGGCAGGGAGGCGGAGGTTGCAGTGAGCCGAGATCATGCCACTGCACTCCAGCCTGAGTGACAGAGTGAGACTCCATCTCAAAAAAAAAAATTAGCTGAGCATGGTGGCACACGCCTGTAGTCCCAGCTACTCGGGAGGCCAAGGCAAGAGAATTGCTTGAACCCAGGAGGCAGAGGTTGCAGCAAACTGAGGTCACACCACTGCACTCCAGCCTGGGTGACAGAGCAAGACTCCCTCTCAAAAAAAAACATTTGTCATTCAGTGCCCTGCAAAGCTGTGATGGGGCGAAGCAGCACTTCAGGGGCGCAGAGGAGGCCCCCAGCCCAGCATGGCCTGACAAGCTGGGGATCAGCAGGATCCTGAGGACCAACCCTTCCATGGAAAGAGAGGGGGGCTGTGGAGGGAGGGTGGGAGGGTACTAACCATGTCCTCTGGCTGTTAGGAGGATGGAGAGCACAGCTCATTAAGCATAAGTGAAAGCATTACCCCCAACATGCTGGAAACCCCTCCCCTCCCATCCCCAGACAGGGCAGGACCCACAGCGGCCAGAGAAGCTTCCAGACATTATCAGTTTCCCTGCTCGGTTGGCGGAGGGCAGCAGAGAAGCAGATTCATGCCCTGCTCGCTCTGCAAACCTCAGGTAGGCTCTGCTCCTCAGCGCGGACATCAGAAGAAAGGCTTGCCCTTATACTCTAAGGCAGTGGTCCCCAACTTTTTTGGCACCAGGGACCGGTTTCGTGGAAGATAATTTTTCCACAGACAGGTATGGGGATGGTTTCAGGATGATTCAAGTGCATTCCATTTATTGTGCACTTTATTATTACATTGTTAATATACAATGAAATAATTATACAACTCACCATAATGCAGAATCAGTGGGAGCCCTGAGCTTGTTTTCCTGCAACTAGAGGGTCCCATCTGGGGGTGATGGGAGACAGTGACAGATGGGTAGACTGGTGCCAGTTGGTGGTCCCTGAGGTTGCGAACCCCTGCTCTAAGGAACTGAGTACCGTGTAGGAAGTTGATTTGCAGGTAATTACAAGGCAAGATAAAGGCTGTGGGAGCCGTGGGTTGAGCTATGTCATTCCTTCACACGCCCATCTGTTTACTGAATCATTCTTTCATTTAAAGAACATGCCGGGCACAGTGGCTCACGCCTGTAATCCCACACTTTGGGAGGCTGAGGCGGGCAGATCACTTGAGGTCAGGAGTTCAAGACCAGTCTGGTCAACATAGTGAAAAACCATCTCTACTAAAAAAAAAAAAAAAAAAAATTAGCCGGGCGTGGTGGCGGGCGCCTCTAGTCCCAGCTACCCGCGAGGCTGAGGCGGGAGAATCACTCGAATCCAGGAGGTGGAGGTTGCAGTGAGCTGAGATCGCACCACTGCACTCCAGCCTGGGCAACAGAGTGAGACTCTGTCACAGAAAAAAAAAAAAAGAGCAGCAACTGTAAATCCAGTGGTCAAGGATGGCCTCCCTGGGAAGGTGACATTTCTGCTGAGACCTGAAGGAATCCAAGAAGAGAAGCAGGTGAAGAGCTTCCAGGTGGACAGGGAGAACAGAGAGCCAGGAGGGAATGGGCCAAGCACGCCCACCCAACATGACAAAGTGGCTGCAGGAGCATGGCACGGGTGATGCAAACAGCAGGTGCTCAATAAATGTTTGTTGCCCTGGACATCTGCACAAGGACAGCGTGGGCTTGGGAGGCCCCACCCATGCTTATTGCTTGGTGCTCTGCGTCCTGATGACCTGTCTGCCTGGCCTAATGGGGAACTCACAGCCAAAGGCCACAGATCCCAGGAGCCTGAGTCCTGGTCACCCCCTCCCTCACCCTTTCACGCATTCATTCATTCGCTCACTCATTCATTCTCTCATCAAATAATTACTGAGCATGTACTACATTCTGGCCTTATCCCAGGGGCTGGGGACACAGAGGTGACTAAGACCTGGTCCCAGCACAGTCTCTAAGGGAGACAGAAACCCACGGTAATGCCAGGAGGTACCAGTTCTGGGAGAAGCAGCCAGTCCTGTAGGACCCAGGCAAGGTCTCTGCTGGCCTCAAGGGCTGGCCAGACCTATGGAACGTAGAAAAAGATGTTCCAGGCTGGGCGTGGTGGCTCACGACTGTAACCCCAGCACTTTGGGAGGCCAGGGCTGCTGGATCACGAGGTCAGGCGTTCCAGACCAGCCTGGCCAACATGGCGAAACCCCATCTCTGCTCAAAATACAAAAATTAGCTGGGTGTGCTGGTGCACACCTGTAATCCCAGCTACTCAGGAGGCTGAGGCAGGATAATTGCTTGAACACGAGAGGTTACAGTGAGCCGAGATTGTGCAACTGCAGTCCAGCCTGGGTGACAGAGAAATACTGTCTCAGAAAAAAAAGAAAGAAAAAGAAAAGAAAAAGACGTTCCAGGGGAAGAGGGCGGTGTGCACCAAAAACAGCTGTGTCCCGCCTGTTAGGACAAGAAAGTGGAGTGTGGGAGATTACACAGGGCTGGCTCAGAGGACGTGGAGAGGCCACCCAGGCCGGGGTGGGAAGGGCTTGGAAGGCCAGCCTGAGGGTTTCAACTTGACGCTGTGGGTGGTAGTGACCACGATAAGGTTTCTCTGATCATTTTACTGTGCACAGAACTGGGGCCAGGGAGTCTGAGCCCAGTGCCTGAGCCCCAGGCCTCACCCCGGGGGACTGGCTCTTTCACGTGGCTGGCATCTCGGCGGAAAGGTGAGCTGCACTTTCTCAGTGCCATGTGACAGGCCCACTCCTCCTCTCTATGCCTGGCCAGGGCGCATTCCTGCGGTTGGCAGGAAAGGCAATTTAAAACCCTTGAGGCTCCTGTGAGTCCTTTGTTGCTCCCAGGTGTGGTCCATATTTTGTTCACTCACAGGGCTCCAGGTGCACAGAAAGGTTACCTACCGGTAGAGGTTGGGGAGGACAGAGCCAGACTCCCCACTGAAAGGAGGGAGCCCAGATGTCCCACGACCTGAGTGCCCCACACTCTTCCCCTCTCTGCCCTCTCGAGGAAGCCAGCAAAGAGAAGGAGGTTTGCTTTCTCACTGCAACCTCCGCCTCCCAGGTTCAAGCAATCCTCGTGCCTCAGCCACCCGAGTAGCTGGGATTACAGTCATGCGCCACCATGCCTGGCTAATTTAGGCCAGGTGTGGTGGCTCACGCCTGTTATCCCAGCACTTTGGGAGGCCCAGTTCGGTGGGTCACTTGAGATCAGGAGTTGGAGACCTGCACCTGGCCAAGATGGCGAAACCCCGTCTTTACCAAACAATACAAAAGAAATTAGCCAGGTGTAGTGGCAGGCGCCTACAGTCCCAGCTACTTGGGAGGCTGAGGTGGGAGAATCACTTGAACCTGGGAAGCAGAGGTTGCAGTGAGCCAAGATCGTGACACTGTACTCCAGCCTGGGTGACAGAGCGAGACTCTCTCAAACACAAAAGGTAGGGGAGAAGGTCCTGGGGAAAGGCCCAGAGGTCCAGGACAGGACAGGGAGAGCTGGAAAGATGAGCTAGGAAGATGGGTGGGTGAAGCTCCCTCTGCAGACAAACCTTGACATGGGAAGTGTATGTGAGTGTGTGTATGTGTGTGCATACGCATGCATGCCTTTGCACACTATGGTCTTTGGGCCTGAGCAAAGGGGCCCCTGCCTGGTTCCTGTGCTTCTCAGGGCCATGCTAGCCTGAAACCCATGCTCCTGGCTTCTGGAGCACGCCCTGGGATCCTGGAATTCTCTGCTCTTAGGGCCCCCTGCCTGGCTCTAGGGGTGTTGTGGACCTCAACCCGAGTCCATCCTCCTGAGGACAAATCCCCCAGCAGTGTGCCCATCCCAGGCCCAGGGGCTGCTGTTGGCAGAGGGTGTGTCCCAAGTGTGAGTGTGTGGGCCAGGACATCTAAGGGGGGAGGGTGCAGGAGGCCCCAAATGGTGCAGACTGAGCAGCGGTGGGAAGAGAAAGGCAGCCAGTGGCCCATGGGGCCGGGGAGTGGGGACAAGTGACACCACATCCCCAAGCGTGGAACTCTGAGGACTAGGAATGTGAACTCGGCCTTATGGTTTCTCATGAAATTATTATTATTATTATTATTATTATTATTATTATTATTATTATTTCGAGACAGAGTCTCGCTCTGTTGCCCAGGCTGGAGTGCAGTGGTACGATCTCGGCTCACTGCAACCTCCACCTCCTGGGTTCAAGCGACTCTCCTGCCTCAGCATCCTGAGCAGCTGGGACTACAGGCACCTGCCACCATGGCCGGCTAAATTTTGTTTGTTTTTTTGTTTGTTTTTGTTTTTTGTTTTTTTGTGACGGAGGCTCGCTCTGTCGCCCAGGCTGGAGTGCAATGGCATGATCTCAGCTCACTGCAACCTCTGCCTCCTGAGTTCAAGCCTCCAAAGTAGCGGGGATTACAGGCGTGCGCCACCACGCCCGGCTAATTTTTGTATTTTTAGTAGAGGCAGAGTTTCACCATATTGACCAGGCTGGTCTTGAACTCCTGATCTCGTGATCTGCCCGCCTCAGCTTCCCAAAGTGCTGGGATTACAAGCGTGAGCCACTGCGCCTGGCCTAATTTTTGTATTTTTAGTATAGATGGGGTTTCACCATGTTGGCCAGGTTGGTCTTGAACTCCTGACCTCAAGCGATCTGCCCACCTCAGCCTCCCAAAGTGCTGGGATTACAGAAGTGAGCCACCATGCCCAGCCTTGTCATGAAATTATAGTTGTCTGTTTAACAATTTGTTACAGGCTGGGCACGGTGGCCGATGCCTGTAATCCCCGCAGTTTGTGAGGTGGAGGTGGGAAAATCTCTTGAGACCAGGAGTTTGAGAACAGCCTGCACGACATTGTGAGACCCCCAACTCTACAAAAAAAAAAAAAATTATGTGAGATGGAGGTCTCCCTTTGTCACCCAGGCTGGAATGACAGTGGCACAAACATGGCTCCCCACAGCCCAGAATTCCCAGGCTCAAGCGATCCTCTCACCTCACCTGAGCCCCCCAAGTTGCTGAAACTTCAGGTGCACACCACCACACCTGGCTAATTTTTGTAGAGGTTGGGTCTTTCTATATGACCCAGGCTGGTCTTGAACTCCTGGGCTCAAGCAATCCTCCCGCCTAGGCCTCCCAAAGTGTTGGCGTTACAGGCATGAGCCACCGCGCCCAGCCAAAAAAAAATTTTTTTTTTTTTTTTTTTTTGAGTAGTCTTGCTCTGTCGCCCAGGCTGGAGTGCAGTGACATGGTATCAACTTACTCAACCTCCACCTCTGGGTTCAAGTGATTCTCCTGCCTCAGCCTCCTAACTAGCTGGAATTACAGGTGCACACCACCACGCCCGGCTAATTTTTTTTTTTTTTTTTGCGTTTTTAGTAGAGATGGGGTTTCACAATGTTTGCCATGCTGATCTCAAACTCCTGACCTCAGGTGATCCACCCACCTTGGCCTCCCAAAGTTCTGGGATTACAGGTGTGAGCCACTGTGCCTGGCCAAAATTTATTTTTATTTTTTTATTATTATTTTTTTGAGACAGAGTCTTACTCTGTCACCCAGGCTGGGGTGCAGTGGCGCAATCTCAGTTCACTACAACCTCCACCTCCCGGGTTCAAGCGATTCTCCTGCCTCAGCCTCCTGAGTAGCTGGGGGTACAGGTGTGTGCCACCACACTCAGGTACTTTTTGTGTTTTTTTAGTAGAGACGGGGTTTCACCATGTTGGCCAGGCTGGTCTTGAACTCCTGACCTCGTGATCCCACTCATCTCGGCCTTCCAAAGTGCTGAGATTACAAGCGTAAGCCACTTCACCCAGCCCCCAAAATTTTTTAATTAGCCAGGTGTGGTGGCGTACCTGTAGTTCCAGCTACTAGGGAGGCTGAGGCAGGAGGATCACTTGAGCCCAGGAGGTTGAGGCTGCAGTGAGCTATGATCGCACCACTGTGCTCCAGCCTGGGCAAGAAGATGAGACTCTGGCTCATTAAAAAAAATCAAGATGGAGGTGCTATTCCCAGGGCCAATGCTTGGGATGACTTGGGGGGCCTTGCAGGCTTTCTGGCTGCAGAATGAGAAAGAGTGAGGTTGGTGAGAAGCCGCGCTGTGCACTGGGAACAGAAGCCAGTGCCAGGAGGACCATCGGGATGTACGGAGGCTTTGAGGACAGTAGATCAGATGTTGCACAGGGCAGTGCTGAGACCAGGCCCTTTATGTCCCATGGCAGGGACAAGCATGGAGACCTCCCCCAACCAGCTGTGGCATGGATGAAATGACAGGTTAGTGTCTGCTCCACTCTGTCCCCGCTAACCCAGGGCATCTCCAATACCCCACAGAGCACCTGTCCTGCTCAGTAAGCTGGCGGGTATCTGTGTGCCTTCCTTGCTGTCCTCCAAGTTCTGTGGGGCTCTTTCTTTGCAGCCCGCAGCCCCGTGCTCTGTGAATGAACATGAGTTTGAAGCCAGGAAGCAGGGAATGGTCAGTTTCCTCCAGCACCAGCTAAGGAGGCTGCCTGCATGGCTCCCTCCCCTCACCCCTGCATTTCACACATTTTCAAAGGATGGGACCAGGCCCTGGATTTCTGCCCTCAAGGACTCCTAGGCCTTGACGTGAGTCCCAGGGAAGGAGAGAAAGCTGAGTCCTGTGTTTTTGTTCACTAAATCTAGAATGTAGGACACGCGGGTGCTATCTGACCCAGGCTGGTCAAAATCACTGCAAATGCCAGGGCCACCTTTCATCCTGAACCTGCCTGGCAGTGAAGGTCATCCTCAGAAGGTCACAGCCTACAGCTGCCTCCCCTCCACCCCCCCAGGAGAGGTCCACATAGGGGCTTCCGCTGGCAGCTGTCTTGGAGGCCAGAGCGGCTCCGTCAGCAGGGCCTCTGTCAGCAGTTCCAACCTTTGCTCCCCAGACATCCAGTTGTGTTGAAGGCCCACTGTGTGGGGTCCACCCACAGCCTGGTTGCAATGTTGTGATTCAGGCCCCATCAGGGACAAAATGCATAGTCTTAAGCAAGTCACTCTGCCTCTCTGAGCCTCAGTTTCCCCATCTGTAGTTGGTTGTAACAGTGAAAAGCTTGCTTATGTGAAAATGCCCAATTAGTGTGCCTGTGGTCCCAGCTACTCAGGGGGGTGAGATGGGAGGATTGCCTGAGCCCAGGAGGTAGAGACTGAAGTGAACCCAGATTGTGCCCCTGCACTCCAGCCTTGGCGACAGAGCAAGACCCTGTCTCAAAAAAAATAATAGGCCAGGAGCAGTGGCTCATGCCTGTAATCCCAGCACTTTGGGAGGCCGAGGGGAGTGGATCACTTGAGGTCAGGAGTTCGAGACCAGCCTGGCCAACATGGCAAAACCTCATCTCTACTAAAAATAGAAACATTAGCCAGGCATCGTGGTGCATGCCTGTAATCCCAGCTACTTGGGAGGCTGAGCCACAAGAGTGGCTTGAACGTGGGAGGCAGAGGTTGCAGTGAGCCAAGATTGTGCTCCTGAACTCCAGCCTGGGTGACAGAGTGAGATTCTGCTAAAAAAAATAATAATAATAAATAACAAAAATAGTAGGCCAGGCATGGTGGCTCATGCCTATAATCCCAGCAGTTTGGGAGGCCGAGGCCTGAGGTCAGGATTTCAAGACCAGCCTGACCAATATGGTGAAACCTTGTCTCTACTAAAAATACAAAAATTAGCCGGGTGTGGTGGTGTGTGCCTATAGTCCCAGCTGCTGGGGAGGCTGAGACAGGAGAATTGCTTGAACCTGGGAGGCAGGGGTTGCAGTGAGCCAAGATCTTGCCACTGTACTCCAGCCTGGGTGACAGAGTGAGACTCTGTCTCAAAAATGAATGGATAAATAAATATAAAATAAAATGGCCTGTAAGCGGTAAAGAGTGATGGGCTGAATGGCTGGTGAGCTTACTCCCAGTGCTGCTATAAATAAACCTCCCTTATCCTAGAAAGGACAGTGAGGAGAATAAGATCTTGATGGTTCAAGTAACTGTATTACTTATCTATTGCTGCATAATAAATTATTCCTAGACCCAGCAGTTAAAATGACTATGTATATATATAATGTAGTTATAAATTTATAGTTATATGTAATTATATATAGTGATAGCTAGCTAGCTAGATAGATGGATAGATAGATTCTTTTTTGAGACAGGGTCTCACTCTGTAGCCCAGGCCAAAGTGCAGAGGTGTCATCATAGCTCACTGTAGCCTCTGACTCCCATGCTCAAGCAATCCTCCCACCTTTATCTCCCAAGTAGCTGGGATCACAGGTGTGCACCACCATCCCAGCTAATTTTTTATTTTTTGAAGAGATAGGGCCTCACTATGTTGCCCAGGCCGGTCTCGAACTCCTGGGCTCAAGCGATCTTCCCGCCTCAACCTCCCAAAGTGCCGGGGTTACAGGTCTGAGCCACCACACCAGGCCTATTCTTATTATTTGTATTTTAGGGATGAAAAAACCGAGGCTCCAAGGAGCCTCACTTGTTTGAGGCTTCAGGGTAAGTGGCAATTGTCAGGTCTGGCTGGCTGCAGAGGTCCCTGTTCCTCATGTAGGGGCCCAAGTCTTAAAGAGAGGACTAAAGGGAGCTGGAGAGGCCATTGGTACCTAATGAGCCTCACTCCCGGGGCCCTGCCCAGCCCCATGGCTTCTCTTTGTTTTCGTGAGGAGGGAAGGGCCTTGGACAGGGCAGAGGCTGTTCCGGAGCCAGACGTGGCCTCAGCTGCTGCTTTCCGTGCCTAGCAGGGGTACTGAGGGTGGAACATTTCTCAGGTGCAGATATCATGACCTACACCCCTAATCCCTCACACCACGCCTCTCTTGCTCATAAAGAGGCTCAAGCCCAGGGAAGCCAAGACCGCCCTCAGCACAGGACCTGCCCTGGCTGGTCAGCCCTGCCTGGGGCACCCACAGCCCCAGCTGTCCAGGTGGGTGCCTCCTTAGCATGGGGACAGAGCAGGATGGGGGTATGGGGGCCAAAGTGGAGCCCTAGGAAGTGGCGGTCCTGCTGCCCCACCCTCCTTGTCCCTCCAAATGGCTCCAGGGAAGGAGGGCAGAGAGCAGGCTGGCTGTATACCTACAGGTCAGCTGGAGCCGAGCCCTGAGGTGCAGCTGGGGGAAGATGGCACCAGCTCCGAGCCTTGGTGATAGGGCCCGGCATGGACCAGGCATGGCCATGCCCTCCTTCCTGTCCCAGCCTGGAAGTGGGGAAGGGGCTGGAGCTGGTGCAGGTCCTGCCTCCACAGCTGTGCTGAGGCCTGGATGGTGTCACAGGGACAGGCCCTGAATAGGGATCTGAACCAAGGGCCCCAGTCCCAGCCTTGCTGTTGTTTTCCTGTTGACTTTGAGCAAGCGCTTCAACCTCTCTGGACTGAGTGTTCACATCTGTAAAATGAGGATGCTGGTGTGATGATCTGGAAGGTTCCTCCATGCTGACCACCTCTGCTTTAAGTCTGTGGGGGAATGGACATTGGCGCCCCTTTCTCGTCCACCTTGCATCCTACCTGCTCCCACCCTCATCCCACCCTGCAGCCATTTCTGATTTCTAGCCCTGAGCCCCTGGGCCAAGGGCTGGTGACTTTGGGGATTTTCCAGGGCCTTGTGGAGCACAGAGAGGCAGCCAGGTGTCTATTATCAGCTGAAGGAAGTGCAATGGAGGGGACAAGGCCACAGAGCTGGAGGAGCACACAGCTGGCCCATTGAGGCCTGTCCTTCCTACATGATTCCAGTGAGGGGTCTCGGAATATTCACCTAGCTGCAGGGACTGGCACTGAGTCCCTGGGGAACCACCTGTAATTATTTCTCCAGTTCCATGCTTCCAGGACCGCCTGCAGGGTGGAAATGCTTGTAAAAAAATTTTGGGTGGCTCACACCTGTAATCCCAGCACTTTGGGAGGCTGAGGCAGGAGGATCGCTTGAGCCCAGGAGGTTGAGGCTGCAGTGAGCTATCTATGATCGCGCCACTGCACTCCAGCCTGGATGACGGAGACCCTGTCTCTAAAAAAATTAAAAATAGGCTGGGCGCGGTGGCTCACACCTGTAATCCTAACACTTTGGGAGGCTGAGGTGAGAGGATCACCTGAGGTCAGGAGTTCGAGACCAGCCTGGCCGACATGGTGAAATGCTGTCTCTACTAAAAATACAAAACTTAGCCGGGCATGGTGGCACGCGGCCTGTAACCCCAGGTACTACAGAGGCTGAGGCAGGAGAATGGCTTGAATCCAGGAGGCGGAGGTTGCAGTGAGCTGAGACTGCACCACTGCACTCTGGCCTGGGTGACAGAGCGAGACTCTGTCTCAAATAAAATAAAACAGAAAATATAAATAAAAATAAAAACAAAAAATTTAAATAAAAAGGGAGAAGGAAGAAGACAATCACCAAAAAACGGAGACATCCTCTTCAAACCGAGGGTTCGGACAGCCACATGCCCTCTGGAAGCCCAAGGCAAAGATGGGTAGTTTCTGGGGCTCCTTCCTTCTCATGCAAAACACTAATCCCTCTGAAAAAACATGTTCTGGGGAATGAGGCCAGGATGGTTGTTTTTTTCTTTTCTGAGCTACGGCATCATCTTTTTCTCTTGCCACACTTGACAGAACCAACATTGCCAAAACAATTAAAATAATCCTGTCATTGTCCCCAAGGATCTACATAAGGGCCCTGATCAGATCAGGTTTCTTCTTTTGTGGGACACTAGCTACACACCCCCAACAGCAAAAGCAAAGTGATTCTCTTAGGCCCCAAGAGCTTGAGAGCTGCCTCTGGGATAAAAAGTCTCTTCTGGCTGGGTGCCATCTCGGGATGACATCTCGGGAGGCTGAGGCAAGTGGATCACCTGAGGTCAGGAGTTCGAGGCCAGCCTGGCAAACATGGTGAAACCCTGTCTCTACTAAAAAAAAAAAAAAAGAAAAGAAAAAAAACCCAAAAAATTAGCCAGGCGTGGTGGTGGGCACCTGTAATCCCAGCTACTTGGGAGGCTGAGGCAGGAGAAATGCTTGAACTGTGGGGGCAGAGGTTGCAGTGAGCTGAGATCCTGCCACTGCACTCCAGCCTGGGTGAAAGAGCAAGACTCTATTTCAGAAAAAAAAAAACAAATAGTCTCTCTGAATCCATATTATGTTGTGCTGAACCTATATTAGCTCCAGTGGGGATGGCACCAGGTTCAAGAGGCTGAAGAACAGCCCCAGAGCCAGCAGATGAGACATGGGGTTTTACTGGGGGCTTCCATGTGGCAACAGAGTCCAATGGCAGTGGGCTGCACAGGGGACTGCAACCCTGCAACTGCTTGCAAAAAGCATGCACTGTAGATAGCATTTTAAAATTAATTATTAATTTTTTTATTTTTTGAGACAGAGTCTTGCTCTGTCGCCCAGGCTGGAGTGCAGTGGTGCGATCTTGGCTCATTATAACCTCCGCCTCATGGTTCAAGCGATTCTCCTGCCTCAGCCTCCTTAGTAGTTGGGATTACAGGCACCCACCACCACGCCCGGCTAATCTTTTGTATTTTTGGTAGAGATGAGGTTTCACCATATTGGCCAGGCTGGTCTCGAACTCCTGACCTCAGGTGATCTGCCCACCTTGGCCTCCCAAAGTTCTGGGATTACAGGCGTGAACCACCACATCTAGCTCACTGCATTATCTTTTGATAGAGAGCAAATCCTCTGGCCAGCTGGGCTCACTGATTCTCCCAGCAGGCTTTTTTGGAGATCGTCCACATGCAGTGTTAAGCTGGAATGCCCATCTCTCTCCCCTTGTCTTAGTTACTGTCCATCAACCTACCCTTTCCTCCTATACCCAGACTCCAAAAATTCATCTTTTTTTTTTTTTTAAGAAATAGGGCCTTGCTCTGTCACCCAGGCTGGAGTGCAGTGGTGTTATCATAGCCCACTGCAGCTTCAACCTCCTGGTCTCAAGCAATCCTCCCACCTCAGCCTCCTGAATAGCTGGGACTACAGGCATGTGCCACCAAGCCCAGCTAATTAAAAAAAAAAAAAAAGTTTTGTACACACGGGGTCTCGCTATGTTGCCCAGGCTGGTCTTGAACTCCTGACCTCAAGTGATCCTCCCACCTCTGCCTCCCAAAGTGTTGGGATTGCAGGCATGAGCCACTGTGCCTGGCCTTTAAATTTTTTTTTTTTTTAATTATCTGTAGAGATGGGAATCTGCCTTGTTGCCCAAGCTGGTCTCGAACTCCTGGCCTCAAGCGATCCTCCCTCATCATCCTCCCAAAGTGCTAGGATTACAGGCACAGCCATTGCACCTGGCCTACCTGCTTTGTCTACCTGCAGAGGAGAGGTGGTAGATTCAGGGGAAATGAATAGCATAGATATTCCTCCTTCCTCTCATACTTTAAAAATCCATAGATATCCCTCCTTTCTCTCTTACTTTAAAAATCCTGTGGCCAGGCACTGTGGCTCACTCCTGTAATCCCAGCACTTTGGGAGGCCAAAGTGGGCAGATCACCTGAGGTCAGGAGTTCGAGACCGGTTTGGCCAACATGCAGAAACCCCATCTCTCCTGAAAATATAAAAATTAGCCAGCTATGATGGCACACGCCTGTAACGTAGCTACTCAGGAGGCTGAGGCAGGAGAATCACTTGAACCTGGGAGGCAGAAGTTGCAGCAAGCTGAGATCTCGCCACTACACTCTAGCCTGGGCAACAGAGTGAGACTCCATCTCAAAAATAAATAAAATAATCCTGTAATCTCTGTTACAGGGGATTAGACACGTGTTATAAAATGTGGATTTACCTGAGGATATATTTCAGCTCACTCAAAGGGAAACCTAAACCAGTTGGAGATTTCATAAGCTGATGCGCTGCCTGAATAGGTCCGCAGCTCCTAGTCACGGGGCATGTGCAAAAACAGTCTGGAAGTTATTAGTTGCTGAAGAGGAGATTCCAAACTGTGGAAAGGGGCTGGGCACGGTGGCTCACACCTGTAATCCCAGCACTTTGGGAAGCTGAGGTGGGCGGATCACCTGAGGTCAGGATTTCAAGACCAACCTGGCTAACATGGCAAAACTCCGTCTCTACTAAAAATATAAAAATTAGCCGGGCACAGTGGCATGCGCCTATAATCCCAGCTACTCAGAAGACTGAGGCAGGAGAATTACTTGATCCTGGGAGGCAGAGGTTGCCGTGATCTGAGATTGCGCCACTGCACTCCAGCCTGGGCAACAGAGCAAAACTCTGTCTCAAAAAAAAAAAAAAAAATGTGGGAAGGAGTGGGGAGTTCAGGCATATGTTGTATGAGATGGGACCCTGAGGGCCGGGCGCGGTGGCTCAAGCCTGTAATCCCAGCACTTTGGGAGGCCGAGGCAAGTGGATCACGAGGTCAGGAGATCGAGACCATCCTGGCCAACACGGTGAAACCCCGTCCCTACTAAAAAATACAAAAAATTAGCCAGGCGTGGTGGCGGGCGCCTGTAGTCCCAGCAACTCGGGAGGCTGAGGCAGGAGAATGGCGTGAACCCAGGAGGTGGAGCTTGCAGTGAGCCGAGACAGCGCCACTGCACTCCAGCCTGGGCAACAGAGCAAGACTCCTCAAAAAAAAAAAAAAAAAAAAAAAGAGATGGGACCCTGAGAGTCTGTGGGGGAGGAAGTATGGAAAGAGATTAACCTGGCGTGTCAGTGAGATCTCAAGACTAGGATTTAGGCCAGGCACGGTGGCTTATGCCTGTAATCACAGCACTTTGGGAGGACGAGACAGGAGGATCACTTAAGCCCTAGACTTCGGACTTCGATACCAGCCTCAGCAACAGAGCAAGACCTAGTCTCTACAGAAAATAAAAAACTTAGCCAGGTGTGGTAGTGTGCACCTGTAGTCCCAGCCACTCGTAAGGCTGAGGCAGGAGGATCACTTGAGCCCAGGAGTTCAAGACCAGCCTGGGCAACATAGTGAGATGCTGTCTTTACAAAAAAATTAGCTGACCAAGGTGATGTGAGCCTGTAGTCCCAGCTACTCAGGAGGCTGAAGTGGGAGGATTTGCTTAAGCCCAGGAGATCGAGGCTGCAGTGAGCTATGATTGCACCACTGCACTTCAGCCTGGGTGACAGTGCAAGAGCCTGTCTTGAGGAGGGAAAAAAAAAGAAGGAAAAGAGGCTGGGCGCGGTGGCTTGCGCCTGTAATCCCAGCACTTTGGGAAGCCAAGGCGGGAGGATCACGAAGTCAGGAGATCGGGCCATCCTGGCTAACACGGTGAAACCCTGTCTCTACTAAAAATAAATTAGCTGAGCGTGGTGGCAGGCGCCTGTAGTCCCAGCTACTCAGGAGGCTGAGGCAGGAGAATGGCGTGAACCCAGGAGGCAGAGCTTGCAGTGAGCGGAGATCACGCCACTGCACCGCAGCCTGGGCAACAGAGCGAGACTCCGTCTCAAAAAAAAAAAAAAAAAAGAAGGAAAAGAAAAGAACAGATTTGTGGTTCTCAATCTTCAGCCTGTATCAGCATCACCTGGAGGGCTTGTTCAGCCACAGATGGCAGGGCCCCACCCCCAGAGTTTCTGATTCAATCAATTTGGGAAGTGGCCTGAAATTTGGCATTCCTTTTTCTCTCTCCTTCCCGCCCTCTCTCCTTTCGTTTTTTTTTTTCTTTCTCTGTCGCCCAGGCTGAAGTACAGTGGCGTGATCTCCGCTCGCTACAACCTCCGCTTCCCAGGTTCAAGCGATTCTCCTGCCTCTGCCTCCCAAGTAGCTGGGATTACAGGTGCCTGCCACCACGCCCAACTAATTCTTTTGTATTTTTAGTAGAGATGAGGTTTCACCGTGTTAGCCAGGATGGTCTCAATCTACTGACCTCGTGATCCACCCGCCTTGGCCTCCCAAAGTGCTGGGACTATAGGCATGAGCCACAACCCCTGTTTTTGTTTATTTCTTTCTTTTTTTGAGACAGGGTCTTGCTCTGTCACCCAGGCTGGAGTACAGTGACACAGTCATAGTTCACTGCAGCTTCAACCTTCCAGGCTCAAGCAATCCTTTCATCTCAAGCTCCTGAGTAGCTGGGACCACAGGCGCACGCCATCTTGCCTGGCCAATTTTTTATAGAGATGGGGTCTCGCTGTGTTCTCCAGGCTGGTCTCAAACTCCTGCCTCACAAAGTGCTGGGATTACAGGCTTGAGCCACTGCACCAGGCCTTAATTTGACATTTCTTTTCTTTTTCTTTTTTTTTTTTTTTTGAGACAGAGTCTCGCTCTGTTGCCCAGGCTGGAGTGCAGTGGCATGATCTCAGCTCACTGCAACCTCTGCCTCCTGGGTTCAAGCGATTCTCCTGCCTGAGCCTCCCGAGTTAA
Organism: Homo sapiens; assembly: GCF_000001405.40. Taxonomy (NCBI): domain Eukaryota; kingdom Metazoa; phylum Chordata; class Mammalia; order Primates; family Hominidae; genus Homo; species Homo sapiens. Next base: position 75,905,631 of record NC_000007.14, read on the forward strand.
CTGGGACTACAGGCATGCTCCACGATGCCAGACAATTTTTGTATTTTTAGTAGAGATGTGGGGGGTTTCACCATATTGGCCAGGCTGGTCTCGAACTCCTGACCTCAAGTGATCCACCTGCCTTGGCTTCCCAAAGTGCTGGGATTACGGGCTTGAGCCACCATGCCTGGCCTAATTTGACATTTCTAACAAGTTCCCAGGTGAGGCTGCTGCTCCTGGTTTGAGAATCACTGAACTAAACCAGTACTGGCTGGGATGTGAGTCAGCCTGGAGACTCCCAGCCCCTGGAGGCCAGGGATCAGCTCTCATCAACTTCCATTTCTGCTAAGTGACTGCTCAGAGGCACAGGCAGGTGTCCTCCACAGCACTGTCTGAACAGTTCGTGGAAGCCAGGCAGGCTTCTCTTCATCGGCCCTTGCACAATGGTGCTGGTTGCTTTGGCAACAGCCAGCAGCAGCCAAGCAATTTTGAGCACAGAATCCTGGGGCTTGTGTCATACTGGGGAGACAGGGCAAAGGTTCTGGCCCATTGGCATGTGAACGCGAATGGGGAGGAAGAGGGGGAGAAAGGGCGTGGCTTCCGAGGCCCCCTCTCACCCGAACACCCTCTCATTTCCCCAGAAGCTTGCTCTGGCTCCCGCATGCAAACCCAGAAGAGCTGAAACTTTGATTGCGTAACAGAGGGGAACAAAGGATGGAGTGAAACTGGGGCGGGTATGCGGGCAGTAGGAAGGAGAAAGAAGCCATCCTGGGCTCTGAGAACCGCTGGGTGCACCAGGCCATGTCACACACACAGCAACTCATTTAATCCTCACGCAACTGCCTGGGTCCGTGTGCCCAGGACCCATCCATGGCCACACAGCTAGCCGGAAACCTGATCTGCTGTAGCTAAAGGCCATGTTTGCTTTCTCAGTTCAGGGCCGCCTCTTTGAAATGCCTCTTTGGCCGTGTTAGGAAGACCCAGGGGTTTGGGGCAGCAAGGAGGCAGGAAGAAGGTCTGGGGGAGTTATTTGGACAATGAAGAGAGCCAGGCGGGTCAACCATCCTCTTGGCTTTGCACTTGACAGCAACCGCCTCCCTCCTGTTTCTCATTTTCTTTTATTATTAAATGCTCTAATTTTCTTTTATTATTATTGTTTTTTAAACATAGAGATGGGGTTGGCCGAGCACAGTGGCTCACGCCTGTAATCCTAACACTTTGGGAGGCCGAGGTGGGTGGATCACAAGGTCAGGAGTTCAAGACCAGCCTGGCCAACATCGTGAAACCCCGTCTCTACTAAAAATACAAAAAAATTAGCCAGGCATGGTGGCACGCACCTGTAATCCTAGCTACTTTGGAGGCTGAGGCAGGCAGGAGAATCGCTTGAACCCAGGAGGCAGAGGTTGCAGTGAGCCAAGGTCGCACCACTGTACTCCAGCCTGGGCAACAGAGCGAGACTCGGTCTCAAAGAAAAAAAAAAAAAGATACTTGGCCAAGGCCATGCACTTGGTTCCGTCTAATTGGAATTTGTCCCCTGATCTCCAGAGAGAGATTCTGCGCTTCTACACTTTGGTGATGTTCTCATCCCTGACCCTGTAGGGTTATCTCAACCCAGGAAATCTGCAAACTCACTTGCCTTGCACCCTCATGGACGCCTCTCAAGGGGAATAAACCATCCTGTCCAAAGGTCATGGTGTGATACTGGAGACACATGAGACACGGTGTCAGAGGCCGCTGTGACATTTGGAGTTCTGGGAAAGTGGGAGCACCTCCTCTAAGGATCAACCACACCCCTCTAGCATCTATGGTGGAAGCCAATCCAGCTTCTCTCAGTGCCAAGCTAATCTGGGATCCACTTTTTCTTTTTTTCTTTTCTTTTTTTTTTTTTTTTCAGAGACAGAGTTTGGCTCTGTTGTGTAACACGGTTAAACTTTGGCCATGTTAGGAGGACCTAGGGGTGTGGGGCAGCAAGGAGACCGGAAGAAGGTCTGGGGAAGTTATTTGGACAATGAAGAGAGCCAGGTGGGTCAACAATTCTCTGTGCTTTGCACTTGACAGCAACCGCCACCCCCCCTCCTGTTTCTCTGCTCTCATTTTATCTTTTATTTTTATTTTTTTAAAACATAAAGATGGGGTTGGCCGAGAGCTCTGTTGCCCAGGCTGGAGTGCAGTGGCACAATCACAGTTCACTGTAGCCTCAGCCTCCAGGCTCAAGCGATCCTCCCACCTCAGCCTCCTGAGTAGCTGGGACTACAGGCACGCGCCACCACACCTGGCTAATTTTTTATTTTTTGTAGAGGCGGGGCCTTGCTATGATGCCCAGTTTGGTTTCAAACTTCTGGCTTCAAACAATCCCCGCCTCAGTCTCCCAAAGTGCTAGGATTACACGTGTGAGCCACCATGCCCGGCTCCACTGCTTTTATTTTATTTTATTTATTTTATGTTTGAGATGGAGTCTCACTCTGTTGCCCAGGCTGGAGTGCAGTGGCGCGATCTCAGCTGACTGCAACCTCCGCCTCCTGGGGTGAAGCGATTCTCCTGCCTCAGCCTCCCAAGTAGCTGGGATTATAGGCGCCTGCCACCACGCCTGGCTAATTTTTGTATTTGTTTAGTAGAGACAGGGTTTTGCCATGTTGGCCAAGCTGGTCTCGAACTCCTGACCTCAGGTGATATGCCCACCTCTGCCTCCCAAAGTGCTGGGATTACAGGCATGAACCACCATGCCGAGCCTGGCTAATTTTTTTTTTTTTTGAGACAGAGTCTCGCTCTGTAGCCCAGGCTGGAGTGCAGTGGCAATCTTGGCTCACTGCAAGCTCTGCCTCCCGGGTTCATGCCATTCTCTTGCCTCAGCCTCCCGAGTAGCTGGGACTACAAGTGCCTGACACCAAGCCCGGCTAATTTTTTTGTATTTTTAGTAGAGACAGGGTTTCACTGTGTTAGCCAGGATGGTCTCAATCTCCTGACCTCAAGTGATCCTCCCGCCTCGGCCTCCCAAAGTGCTGGGATTACAGGCATGAGCCACCGTGCCTGGCCCAGCCTGGCTAATTTTTAAAAAAATTTTTTGTAGAGATAGGGTCTTGCTGTGTTGCCCAGGCTGGTCTTGAACTCCTGGCCTCAAGCCATCCTCCCACCTCGGTCTCCCAAAGTGTTGGGAGCCACCTTACCTGGCCAGAAAACATATTTAGAATATAGATGTTATCAAGCTCAATAATGAAAATGTAGAGGTTCAGACGGCTAAAGTTTTAGAGGGACAGAGCAAAGGGAAAGGGAAGCTTCATCGTACAATATTAAGAGATACTGTTCATGGATCAAAAAACAAAGGCCCCAGGCTACTACTTAAATTATAAAAGTGATTAACAGAGGAATTAAATTAGGTGTATAAATAATATTGGAAGGGTGTGGGCAGCAGAGGTGAGCTGTGGTTTAAATGGCCTAACTCACATCAGTGGGACTCCAGAGGTAACATCTAAAATATCAGGCAGAGGGCTGGACATGGTGGCTCATGCCTGTAATCCCAGTGCTATGGGAGGCTGAGGCAGGAGGATTGCTTGAGCCCAGGAGTTTGAGACCAGCCTGGGCATCATAGTGAGAACCTGTCTCTTTATTTATTTATTTATTTATTTATTTGAGATGGATTCTCTCTATATATCCCAGGCTGGAGTGCAGTGGCGTGATCTCGGCTCACTGCAACCTCCGCCTCCTGGGTTCAAGGGATTCTCCTGCCTCAGCCTCCCAAGTAGCTGGGATTACAGGCACCCACCACCACACCCAGCTAATTTTTATATTTTTAGTAGAGACCGAGTTTCACCATGTTGGCCAGGCTGGTCTTGAACTGCTGACCTCAAGTGATCCGCCCGCCTTGGCCTCCCAAAGTGTTGGGATTACAGGCGTCAGCCACCGCACCTGGCCTGTCTCTATATTTAAAAAAGAAAAGAAAAGAAAAGAAAAGAAGAACAAGGAGGAGGAGGAGAAAGAAGAAAGAGAAGAAGAGGAAGAGGAAGGAAGAAGAAGAGGAGGAAGAGGAAGAAGAGGAAGAGGGAGAGGAGGGAGAGGTGGGAGAGGAAAGAGAGGAAGGAGAGGAAGGAAAAGAGGAAGGAGAGGAGAAGAGGAAGGAGGAGAAGAAGGAGAAAAGAAAAGAAGAAGAAAGAAGAAGAAAAGAAGAAGGAAGAGGAGGAAGAGGAAGAGAAGAAGAAGGAGGAGGAAGAAGAAGAAGAGAGAAGAAGAAAGAAGAAGAAGAAAAGAAAGTCACAGGTCAAAATCAGCCAGAAAAACATGTATGTACCAGCATGGCTGTAATGACCAGAAGAAAATGCTAAAAAAGAGAAGAATTTATCCTTTCAGCCAGATGCATTGGCTCATGCCTATAATCCCAGCGCTTTGGGAGGTCGAGGCAGGTGGATCACTTGAGGTCAGGAGTTCGAGACCAGCCTGGCCAAAGTGGTGAAACCCCATCTCTACTAAAAATATAAAAAATTAGCTGGGCGTGGTGGAGCGCACCTGCAGTCCCAGCTACTCTGGAGGCTGAGGCAGGAGAATCGCTTGAACCCAGAAGGAGGAGGTTGCAGTGAGTCAAGATCACACCACTGCACTCAAGCCTAGGCGACAGAACAATACTCCACCTTAAAAAAAAAGAAAATCAAGTCTATAGTCACTATTCTTTAGATTTGGGGAGCAAGTAAAAGTTTGTTCTTTGGCCAGCAGCAAGATTATCTGGGTATTTAAAAAGTATTTATGAGCTGGGTGTAGAGGCTGACACCTGGAATCCCAGCGCTTTGAGAGGCCGAGGTGGGAGGATCACTTGAGCCCAGGAGTTCAAGACCAGCCACATAGCGAGACCCTCTCTCAACAACAAATAAAAAATAAATTAGCCAGGTGTGGTGGTGCTCACCTGTAGTTCCAGCTACTCGGAGGCTGAGGTGGGAGGATTGCCTGAGCCCAGGAGGCAGAGGTTGTAGTGAGCCATGATCATGCCACTGTACTCCATCCTGGGCGACAGAGCAAAACCCAGTCTCTAATTTAAAACAAAAAAAGGTATTTATGTATTTGACTTAGAATAAGTAATACATTCATAAGGTACAAAATTTGAATGATACAGAGTAGTATATAGTGAAATATATTCCTTTGCCCCTGGTCTCCCTCCTCCCAGTTCTCCAGAGACAACCAACCTTACCTCCCTCCCTTTTTTTTTTTTTTGTTTTTGTTTTTGTTTCAGGAGGTATTTCATGCACATACAGGCAAATATGTATACCTAGTATCTATGTTCTTCCCTCATTTCCCACCACAATTGTTTGAGAACATACAAACGGTAACATTCTATACCTACTGTTCTGTACCTTGCATATTTATCAATTTGTCTCAGAGATTTTTCTGTTTAAGCAATGAGCTTCCTTCCTTGTTTGTTTGTTTGTTTGAGACAAGAGTCTCACTCTGTCACCCCGGCTGGAGTGCAGTGGTGCACCCTTGGCTCACTGCAAACTCCGCCTCCCAGGTTCAAGCGATTCTCCTGCCTCAGCCTCCCGACTAGCTGGGATTACAGGCGCCCACCACGCCCAGCTAATGTTTTGTATTTTTAAGAGACGAGGTTTCACCATGTTGGCCAGGCTGGTCTCAAACTCCTGACCTCAAGTAATCTGCCTGCCTCGGCCTCTCAAAGTGTTGGGATTACAGGTGTGAGCCACCGTGCCCTGCCGGCCCCTTGTTTGTTTGTTTTTGTTTTTTTGAGACGGAGTCTCAGTCTGTTACCCAGGCTGGAGTGCAGTGGCGCAATCTCAGCTCACTGCAACCTCTGCCTCCCGGGTTCAAGCCATTCTCCTGTCTCAGCCACCCCTGGGACTACAGGCATGTGCCACCATGCTCAGCTAATTTTTGTATTTTTAGTAGAGACGGGGTTTCGTCATGTTGGCCAGGCTGATCTCGAACTCCTGGGCTCTAGCGATCCTCCCACCTCAGCCTCCCAAAGTGCTGGGATGACAGGCGTGAGCCACTGTACCCAGCCCAGATTATTTCTCAATGTTTTCATTTATGGCTTCTGGAGTTTATGTCATAATTTCATAATTTAGAAATGCCTCTTGGGGATTATTAACACCAATTCTCCCATGGACTTTTGGGGGCTTTTTTTTTCCTTCTCCCTTAAAAAATCATTTAAATATTTTATCTATCTGGAATTTATATTAGTGTAATATGTGAGATGTGGATGCAACCTACTTTTTTTCCCCCCAGCTGGCCAGCGAGAGTGTTTTTTCGGGGTGGGGGTGGGGAGGGAAGGAGAGGAAGGTAGGACAATGAGGAGGACAGTAACTGAAGAAGAGAAGCTTTCAGCTCGGTGTGGTGGCTCACGCCTGTAATCCCAGCACTTTGGGAGTCTGAGGAGGATGGATCACCTGAGGTCAGGAGTTCGAGACCAGCTTGGCCAACATGGCAAAACCCCGTCTCTACTAAAAATACAAAAATTAGCCAGGTGTGGTGGTGCACACCTGTGATCCCAGCTACTCAGGAGGCTGAGGCAGGAGAATCGCTTGAACCCAGGAGGTGGAGGTTGCAGTGAGCCTAGATCTCACCACTACACTTCAGCCTGGGTGTCAGAGTGAGACCCTGTCTCAAAAAAAAAAAAAAAAAAAAAAAAAAAAAAAAGAGGCTTCCTTGCCAGTGGGTGTAGCAGAAACGAGAAGTGACATAAACAGTCAGGAAGCCGGCTAGGTGCGGTGGCTCACACCTGTAATCCCAGCACTTTGGGAGGCCAAGGCAGATGGATCACCTGAGGTCAGGAGTTCGAGAGCAGCCTGGCCAATATGGTGAAACCCCATCTCTACTAGAAATACAAAAATTAGCCGGGTGTGGTGGCACAAGTCTGTAATCCCAGCTACTCAGGCAGCTGAGGCAGGAGAATCGCTTGAACTCAGGAGGCAGAGGTTGCAGTGAGCTGAGATGGTGCCCCTGCACTGCAGCCTGGGTGACACAGTGAGACTCCATCCCCCCCAAAAAAGTCAGGAAGCTGCTGAGATCATCCAGGTGAACGGTGAACCCACGTGGCCCCAACTGGAACAGGGACAGCAGAAAAGATGACAAGAGGAGGTTCTGGAGATAGAATCCATAGGACCCAGTTATTGGTTCAATGGGAAAAGGCCAAAGAGGTAAAATGCCTGTTTCCTGATGTTTCCTTAGTGATGCTATATTATTAGCAGACAGAGAAGACTCAGTGTTTTAGGAGTTCTGGTTTCAAAAAAAGCAGGGGGCATGGAGTCAAAGTCCAAATTTGAAGCCTCACTGGGACATCCTGGGGAGATGTCCAACAGGGTGTTGAAAAGATGGCACAGAGTATCAGATATCTGGGTGAATTTCTCCACAGCTCTCTCTCTGGGTGAGTGTGGAGTTCAGTCCCTTCTTTGGACAGGTATTGTGCCCCACCCTGAGGGCTACTGCATTCATCCAACCTGTTGGAGGGACTGGTTCCTGGACATAGGAAACCTGGCACCTGGGCCATGGTAATAATCTCTTTATATAGGATTTTGCTATTTTCACAATATTTTAAAGATGAAGAGTGGATGGGAATGGTGGCTCACATCTGTAATTCCTGCACTTTGGGAGGCCGAGGCAAGGGATCCCTTGAGGCCAGGAGTTCAAGACCAGGTTGGGCAACATAGCGAGACTCTGTCTCTACAAAAAATTTAAAAATTAGGCTAGGTGCAGTGCTCACACCTGTAATCTCAGCACTTTGGGAGGCCAAGGTGGGAGGACTGCTTGAGGTCTGGAGTTTGAGACCAGCCTGGGAAACATGGCAAAACACCATCTCTACAAAAAAATTTCAATCAACTTTCTTTAAAATGAAAAATAAAAATACAAAAATTAGCCAGTTGTGGTGGCGCATGCCTGTAATTCCAGCTACTAGGGAGGCTGAGGCAGGAGGATCACCTGAGCCCAGGAGGTCGAGGCTGCATCCCAGCCTCAGCGACAAAGGGAGACCCTGTTTCAAAAAATAAGTAACATATATGTTATTATATAATATATATTATTTATATAATATATAAATATAACAAATATAACATTTATATAATATATAAATGTTATATTTATGTATTATTTTATAAATTAACTTTTTTTTTTTTGTGAGACGGAGTGTCACTCTGTCGGCCACACTGGAGTGCAGTGGTGTGAACTGGGCTCACTGCAACCTCTGCCTCCGGGGTTCAAGTGGGTCTCCTGCCTCAGTCTCCCCAGTAGGTGGGATTACAGGCACCCGCCACCATGCCCAGCTAATTTTTGTATTTTTAGTAGAGACGGGGTTTTGCCATGTTGGTCAGGCTGGTCTCGAACTCCTGACCTCAGGTGATCCGCCCACCTCAGCCTACCAAAGTTCTGGGATTACAGGCGTGAGCCACCGTGCCTGGGCTATTTTTAAAAGATGGAGAAGGGGCTCTGAGAGAAGTGAGTTGCACAGTGTTGCAAAAGGAATTCACAGCACAGCTAGTAATAATAGTAGTAGTAGTAATAATAACAATGGCGATGAGAACACTTAGTAATGCCGTGCTCTAAATCCTTTAGGAACAAAGGTTATACCACTTAATCTTCATGACCCTGTAAAGTAGAAACCATAGCAGGAGGCAGAGGTGGGCTTCACTCCCCAACCAAGGCTGCCAGACTTTTCAAACCCCAGAAGCTCTCTGTATCCCCCCACTCCTCTTCCATCCAGGGCTTGCCTCCTGCTTGGTCACTTCCCACCCCCAACAGGCCGGCCTTCAAAAGCGAGCTCTAGGCAGCGTGTGGGACCTCACGCCTGTAATCGCAGCGCTTTGAGAGGCCGAGGAGGGAGGATCACTTGAGACCAGTTCGAGACCAACCTGGGCATCATAGCGAGACCGCATCTCTGCAAATAAAATAAAATAAAATTAGCTAGGTGTGGTGGCGCGCCTGTAGTCCCAGCTACTGGGAGGCTGAAGTGGGAGAATCGCCTGAGCACAGGAGTTGAAGGCTGCAGTGAGCTGTGACTGCACCACTGCAATCCAGCCTGGGCGACAGAACGAGACCCTGTCTCTAAAAACAAACGCGCGCCCTCCGCCGTCAGGCTGGATGGAGGGAACCCAGGGAGACGACTTGGGCCTGAAGCCTCGCCAATTTCAGGTGAGGAAACAGGGCCGTGGAGGAGACAATGTGGCGATCACAAGCAAGCGGCGGCCCGAAGGAGGAGGCTAGACCGGCGGGCGCACAGCCACAGTTCTGCAGTGATCCCCGGGAAGGTGGGCAGCCGGCCCGGTGACCTGCAGGGTCCGAGCTGTAGAAGCCGCAGCCGCCGTCTCCAGGCGACTCCGCCACCCCCGGAACCACGCACTTTCATTTCTCTGCCGGGCGACCCAGCCGAGCCGCGAGGGGGCGTGGCCGGGCCGGGCCGTACCAAGAGCGCAAATTTGCAGGGGGAAGCGCGGGGCTCCGGGAATGCACGCGCGGCTCGAGTGGGCGGGGCGGCGGCCCAATGGCCACGCCCCCACCCCCGCGGCCGGCGAAGGCGGTGGTAGCGCCTCAGTGGTGTGGGCCTGAGCCCTGCCCAGGTGCCCGCAGAGAGCAGCCGGGCTGCCAGCGGTGAGTGCTATCTTTCGCGGCGACGGCGGGGTGGGTGAGGTCGGGCCCCAAGACTCGGGGTTTGCCGGGCGCCTCAGTTCACCGCGGCCGCCTGGCTCTCTGCGTCGGGGTGGGCCCTCGGGCCTGGGCACTGCGCGTCTGGCCCGACGCTCGGGCGGAAGGCATGGCTCCCACCCCGGCCCTCCTCCGCGTCGCCCTTCCCCTAGAGCTGATCTCCCGCGGCGGCCTGAGGGTCGACTTTTCCACAGCTTGGGCCGAGAGAGCCCGGCAGGCCCTCGGCTGAGGGTTAGGGCTCGGTATCTCAGGGCTCGGGGTCCAGTCCCCGCGCCGCCGCCCCCCACGGGCTAAGCCACTTTAACTCTCCGAGCCTCAGTTTCCCCATCTGTACGATGAATGGGCCTCGGGAGGCAGCGAATTCTGGGGGTACCTAACGTGAGAGGCGCTCGATGCATGCTCATGGGACCCGAATCTAACCCTGCAGCATCAGGTGGGCTGAGTCGATGGATCACGGGAGCCCCCCAGCCCGGCCTGCATCCCTGAGGGCAGTGCCCCTCGCAGTCAGGTGTCTCGGCGGCCCCCACAACACAGGTACCCGGATCTCCTGGGGGAGCCGGGACACCCTTAGATCGGGGGAGCAATTGGGTAAGAGTTCAAGGTCTCTTGGGCGCCAGGGGGAGGAGAGTAGAGGTTTCAGTGAGCTTGATTGACTTCGACTTTCTGCGTATTGTTTTTCAAAACGAGTTACCCTTGTGTAAACTGGTGACCACTAATAAGGAGTTTGGGGCTGTTTCAATGAAAGTGGCTGTCTCCTCTCTTAAACCCTTAAAGCTGCAGCCTTGCCTTGCCTTGCCTCTGAGCTTGGCCAAGCTGGAGAATGATGCCAGCACAAAAGGAGACAGGACTGGACTGGGTGGCCCTGGTTTGATTCTTGGCAAGCAAGATACCTCCTGGAGCCTCCGTTTTCTGATCAGTGGGTCTGGTAGTAAGACAGCCACCCTGCTCTCCCCACAGGGTTGAGATTCTGAGGATCAAGACAGGGTCCCAGAGAGTGGCATCGAGAACTTTAATCCTCCTTGTAAGCAGAACGTTTATGGAACCCTCTGGGGGATCCAGTATCCCCACCGTTGTTCACTGCTGTAATTCCTTGGGTCTTGCTTTATGGAGAAGGCATTGATTCATTAACCATTTGCAAGTTCTACCTACGGAAATCCCTTTTGAGTGGTTATGGGGTTGGCTTGGTCAGGAGAACAGCTCCAAAGGCCCAGTTAGTAAACCAGGGAACCCAGAAAGGTCCACTTCCTTTTTTTTGGGAGGAGGGCTGTTTTAGGAGTTCTTATTTTCCTTTTAAGAGAGTGGTTTTTGAGCTACTTATGACCTTCATGCCATCTAATGTTGGAAACTTTCGCTGAGCAGATAGCTTATTATAAAAAGTATTTGTACAACATCCGCATTTCAGAGAATGGGATGCTAGCTGCCAGTTGCGTGGTGGTGTGGAAACTTAGGAGTGATCTTAATTTTCCAAAATTCTTCAGGTCTAGCACTTGAAGAAATAATAGGTAGATTTGAAATGAAACAACCCAGGGATATTCCTGAAAACAGCAGCATTGACCGCAGCCAATGTAAATCAGGTGTGGATCGTCCTGGGTAGTAGGAGTTTATAAATGCCACAGAGGATGTTTGCTGCCAGACATACCTGAATTTTAGGACCTGCTGTTGGTTAACTCTGGGTTGATCCACCCTTAACCCCTTGAAAATCAGAATCTGTGTTAGGTAAGTCTGTGTATGATTAGGAGACAGGCCAATTGAAATCAAAACTGCTTGGCAAATCCAGAACATTTACTCGTGAAGTCCATGGAACATTTCAAGTTAAAAATAATTTAGCTTTTAAGTAACTTTTTTTTTTTTGTGAGACAGGTCTCACTCTGTCGTGCAGGCTGGAGTGCAGTGGCGCAATCATAGCTCACTGCAGCCTCAACCTCCAGGATTCAAGCAATCCTCCCTCCTCAGCCTCCCAAGTAGTTGGGAGTACAGGCACGCACCACCACACCCAGCTAATTTTTTAAATGTTTTTTAGAGATTTGGTTTGCCATGTTGCCCAGGCTGGTCTCGAATTCTGGGGTTCAAGTGGTCCTCCTGCTTTGACCTCCTAAAGTGCTGAGATTACAGGTGTGAGCCACCGTTCCTGGCTTTCTTATTTCTTCTTCTTTTTTTTTTTTTTTTTTCTGATGGAAGCTCTTGAAGTTATAGGACCTTTCATGGTTCCAGAGAGGCTGGCCGCCCCTACAAGAGCTTCGATGTCCTTGTGCTTTAGGGAGGAGCCAGAGAAACAGAGGTCAAGCTCTGGCACTAGCACCGTGTGTGGCCTCAATTGAGCATGTTGGGATTTAACTTTCTGTTATATGTCAGACTCACTTAAAAATTAAAGTTAGAAAAAGGTGAAATGGAGAAATGACAATTTTCTTTTCTTTTCTTTTCTTTTTTTGAGATGGAGTCTCGCTCTGTCGCCCAGGCTGGAGCGCAGTGGGCTCAGTGCAGCCTCCACCTCCCCCAGGTTCAAGCAATTTTCCTTGCTTGAATTCTGCCTCAGCCTCCTGAGTAGCTGGAATTTCGAGTACCCACCACCTGGCCAAAGATTCTGTGCTCATTAGCACACAGCCTCCCAGGTGGCTACAGCCTTAAAAGACTTTCAAATGCCAATTCTAGGCTGGGAACAGTGGCTCACGCCTGTAATTCCGGCACTTTGGGAGACCAAGGTGGGTGAATTGCTTGAGTCCAGGAGTTTGAGACCAGCCTGGGCAACACGGCGAATCCCTGTCTCTATAAAAAAAATACAAATACAAAAATTGACTGGGCATGGTGGCTCACGCCTGTAATCCCAGCACTTTGGGAGGCCGAGGCAGGCAGATCACTTGAGGTCAGGAGTTCGAGACCAGCCTGGCCAACGTGGTGAAACCCCGTCTCTACTAAAAATACAAAAATTAGCCGGTGTGGTGGTGTGCACCTGTAATCCCAACTACTCAGGAGGCTGAGGCAGAAGAATCACTTGAACCTGGGAAGCGGAGGTTGCAGTGAGCCGAGATCGTGCTGCTGCACTCCAGCCTGGGTGACAGAGTGAGACTCTGTCTCAGAAAAAAAAACCCAAAAAACAACAACTTGTTTTGCTGTGCAGTTTTGTCATCTGGCATTGGGCAGAAATTTGGACCCGCCGGGCAGGTGGGAGAAGCATCTGAGTCAGAGGTCACTTACCTGCTTGCATAGGCCGCTGACCTATACCAAGCCTTAGTTTCTTCATCACTAAAGTCAGAGAAAGAACCCACTCCACCTGCCTCTGGGACAGCTCAGAACATGTTAACCCTTTCAGCAGTGGGTCCTTCTTCATCTTCTTGGCGCTGTTTGGATCCCTGTAGCGTGACACATAAAAAAGCACACATCCGGCCTTAGGATATGTGTAGGCTCTGGTTTGGGCACTTGAGAACTCTCACAGGGAGGGAAGCAAGCATACAATTCAACAAGAATGGCACGGTGTGTTGCATTCATTCTCAAGATGATGGGGTGAGGCTTTTATTAGTGCTGAGCCTGCTGTTTGTTTCCACAGCAGGGCTCCAGGGGAGAGGTGATGTTTGAGTTGGGTCTTGGAGGATTGCTAGGAGTTCTCTGAGCCCACCCAGGCACACCAGCTCTGGGGGGCATGTAGGGTGTAGATTGCATGAGGCTGAGGTCGCGTGGTGGCACTTGTCTGAAATGGTCCTAGGAACCATGGGAAGAGATGGGGAGGTGTTTTAAAAGGTCAGGGCTATGTGACTAGCTCAGATCAGTGTTGTGTGTTTTTTTTTTTTTTAGACAGAGTCTCACTCTGTCACCCAGGCTGGAGTGCAGTGGTGTGATCTTGGCTCACTGCAACCTCTGTCTCCTGGGTTCAAGCAATTCTTGTGCCTCAGCCTCCCGAGTAGCTAGGATTACAGGCACCGGCCACCATGTCTGGCTCAGGACAGTGTTTTCTTGTACTGAATATTCTCTTACTGCCTAATATCCTCTCTGGGTGAATGAACAACCATTTGGGAAATTTTTACTGTGTCTAAATTTGTAATCATACTGTTTTAGAGCTCTACATCTTAAAAGTTTTTCCTCCCCAAGCGAGATGTTTACATCAGTTGTGTTCTTGTTGGGATTAGTGTGCACACGCCTGTCTGCATCTGTGCGTGCGTGTGTGTGTGTGTGTGTGTGTGTGTATGCATATAAGAGGGAGAGAAGATGGAGGAATTCCATGGGGGCAGACCATGGTTCTTTGCAGATTGGTGGCTCCAGTTGGTTGGGTTCACTGGAGCCACGTTCATCAGTTTGTTTCTTTCTTTCCTTTTCTCTCTCTGTATGTTTATTTATTTATTTATTATTTGTAGAAGTGGGGTCTGGCTATGTTGCCCAGGCTAGTTTCAAACTCCTGGCCTCAAGTGAGCCTCCTATCTCAGCCTCCCAAAACGCTGGGATTACAGGCATGAGCCACCGCGCCCAGCCCAGTAACTGTTACTCCTGACGCTGGTCGGTGTGGCAACTCAGTTGATGCTTGGACGTGTTGTGAACAAAGCCCCGGGGAACCTGATCCTTCTGGTGGCTTGTGCAGCAAACTGTTGATGTGGGAAGCTTATTTATTTCACTTGTTAAAGAGGTGACTTGGATAGGGGGATATCTAAGAATTGTCCTTTCATTGGAGTGCTGGAGGGTGTGGCATTCGGATCTCCTTTGTGCAGCATCTGTACCTAGCTGAGAGAATTGTACACATAATTTCCCGAAATGCGTCAGTTTCAAGGCTAACTTAGAATATGTTGGTGGCCAGACTGTGGTGCTGTCAGCTGTGGACTGTTCTCCAAGAGTTGAATTTCTTTTTTTTTTTTTTTTTTTTTTTTTTTGAGACAGAGTCTGACTCTCTCGCCTAGGCTGGAGTGCAGTGGTGTGATCTTGGCTCACTGCAACCTCTGCCTTCCAGGTTCAAGCAATTCTTCTGCCTCAGCCTCCCAAGTAGCTGGGATTACAGGCGCGTGCCATCACGCCCGGCTAATTTTTTTTTGTATTTTTAGTAGAGATGAGGTTTCACTGTGTTGGCCAGGCTGGTTTCAAACTCCTGACCTCAAGTGATCCACCCGCCTCAGCCTCCCAAAGTGCTAGGATTACCAGGCGTGAGCCACCATGTCCAGCTTATAAGAATTGAATTCTTTAGGAGACATTTGGTAGGAGAATAGAAGGGGGAAAGTTGCCTTTTGTCTACTTGGATGTAGTAATGAGGAGGAAGATGGGGCATTGTGGGGCGTGTCCTCTAACTTGGAACAGATGTAATTTATTTCTAGGTGAAAGTTAAGAACAGTGCTTACTCATTCTATTTATCTGCCCTCCTTTTATCTTCGGCACTTTTTCCTACAGCCCTGTTTCTGAGCTCACGTCACATCACCTCTGCGGTGGTGATGCCGGTGTTCTTAGAGCACTGTGTCCTAGTGATACTTTGATCTTCGTGGGCATGCATCATCAGTGCATTGGGTAAGCCGGGCCTGTACAAAGGTTTGCAGGTTTGGTTAGGAACACGTGAACTACGGTCACCTTTCTGAACTTTCTGAACTCATATGTAGTGACCATAGGTCACCTGGGTTGAGTTTTCAACACTGCAAACAGGGATGGCAGTTCTTGAATACACAGGAGAGTGCATTAGCCAGTGGTGCCCGGCATCATTCAGAGTGCAGTTTGGCATCAGGAATGTTCCGTCAGGTATTTGTGGTCTTGTGGAGAAAAGCCACTGTTGGTTTTGGTGAAGGGCTTCAGACCCTTTGACTGCTCATGAAACCACACAGTCTTAACATGGACACGTTGGACGCGTTCCTTACGTAACGTGATTTGCAAACTCAGGAGTCATTCAGCGTCACAGCAGTGATCAAAAGCTCCCAGCCCATCTACCCGAAACCTCCACAACAAGAGCTCTATCTGTCAGTGGCCTCACCGACTTCCTGGGCCCTGAAGCTCCAAGGACAAAAGACTCCTGTCCCTTTTCCCTTCCTCTCCATTCTGGGTCTCCCACCACCACCAAGTCCTGTAAGTTTTTAGTCTTTTTTTTTTTTTTTTTTTGAGACAGATTCTTGCTCTGTTGTTCAGAGTGCAGTGACACAATCTCAGCTCACTGCAACCTCTGCCTCCCAGGTTCAAGTGATTCTCCTGCCTCAGCTTCCCGAGTAGCTGGGATTATAGGTGCGCGGCACCGCGCCCAGCTAATTTTTGTATTTTTAGTAGAGACAGGGTTTCACTGTGTTGGCCAGGCTGGTCTCGAACTCCTGACCTCAGGCGATCTGCCTGCCTCGGCCTCCCAAAGTGCTGGGATTACAGCAGGCGTGAGCCACCACGCCCGGCCCTTTAAATCTCTTTCCACTGCTGTGGTCTTACTGTAGCCCCTTGTCACTTCCTGCTGCGCTGACCCGTAATTGACCCATAATTCTCCCTCTCTTCCCCTCCCTACCACGTTCCAAGATCTGTCCATGGTACCATTGCTGGTTGATCTTGGAACCCTGCTTCGGTCACCCCTCCTTTCTCTTCGCCCAGACTGGAGTGCAGTGGCACGATTTGGCTCACTGCAACCTCCACCTGTCAGGTTCAAGTGATTCTCCTGCCTCAGCCTCCCGAGTAGCTGGCACTACAGGCACGTGCCTCCACACCTAGCTAATTTTTGTATTTCTAGTAGAGACAGGGTTTCACCATGTTGGCCAGGCCAGTCTCGAACTCCTGGCCTTAAGTGGTCCACCCAGCTCAGCCTCCCAAAGTGCTGGGATAATAGGCAGGAGCCACTGTGCCCGGTCACTGTCACTGTCTTATTGCATGTTTTCTTCTTCATCTGCTTTCATAAAGGATAAACAGTGACTTAATAAAAGGTGTCTAATTCTCCCCTCCCTAGTGGCAATACGGTTGGACTAGAAGGTGAATTCAGTTGAGAACAGGGAACCTATCATTTCTGCGAGTGTAAGCTGGGGCATAGAACAATGCCAGGCATAAGGTAGGCACTTGGATGAATGGATGAATGAATAAATATGGCTTCTGTCCCCCAAGTTTACTGCTGAGCTTTCTCCTGCATATTGACTGAGCTCAGATGTCAAAATTGGGTCTGATCTGTAGTTTTTTTTTTTTTTTTTTTTGAGACAGAGCCTGTCACTCTGTCGCCCAGGCTGGAGTGCAGTGGCGCAATCTTGGCTCACTGCAACCTCTGCCTCCTGGGTTCAAGCAATTCTCGTGCCTCAACCTCCTGAGTAGCTGGAATTATAGGTGTGTGCCATCATGCCTGGCTAATTTTTTGTAATTTTAGTACAGATGGGGTTTCACCATGTTGCCCAGCTGGTCTCGAATGCCTGACCTGAAGCAGTCTGCCCGCCTCGGCCTTCCGAAGTGCTGGGATTACAGGCGTGAGCCACTGCGCCTGGCCTGGTCTGTACTTCTGAAGATTATTCCAAAGTACAGTAGGAACTTTTGGTAGGACTTTAGTTTTCCATCCAGGTATAAAATTTTGTGTCAGTGGTGGGGTTGCGCATGTTCAGTAGCTGCAACACTAGAAAGATGGCAAAGCAGGAGCAAAGAAAAATCCCTTTGGCTCCAGAAAATCTCCTGAAAGCAGAAGGCTTATCAAGGCCTCAAAGCCACCCAGTCAAAGTAGGCACTTTTGGCAAAGGAGGAGCAGAGGGAAGGAAAAGAGCTCAGGTTTAAACGACTGGAATCATTCCTACATGATTCCTGGCGGCAGAAACATGACAAGGTGTGTCTCAGACGACTAGAAGTAAAACCTCACACCTTGGAATCGCCAGATAAACATTCCTTGGCCTTTGTTGTACGCGTCGAAAGGATTGATGGTGTGAGTTTACTGGTGCGGAGAGCCATTGCAAGACTTAAACCTAAAAATGCAGCGTATAGTATGTAACCTTATGTGACCTGGGGATTTCCAAATCTGAAGTCTGTCCAGAAACTCATTTTGAAACGTAGACAAGCCAAGGTCAAGAATAAGACCATCCCTCTGACAACACAGTGATTGAGGAGCACCTGGGAAAGCTTGGTGTCTTTTGCTTGGAAGACCTCATTCATGAAATTGCCTTCCCAAGGAAGCATTTCCAGGAGATCTCATGGTTCTTGTCCCCTTTCCACCTCTCAGTGGACTGTCATGCTACCAAAAATAGTGGACTTTCTGAAGGAGATTGGCACACCTCCATCTTCTTGGGGGTGTGTGCATCAATCAGCTCATCCGCCAGCTGAACTAGAGCCAGGTGCCAAACTACAGTAAATTTTTATCAATGAACTGGAAGCTTGTGTTATTTTTGGGGGCGGGGTGGAATTTTTATCAAGTATCTTCAGAGAAGATTATTTCCTGCTTTATCTTCAAAAACTGTAAAGGAAGGGTCAAAGGAAAGACAGTGGCTGGCCGGGCCCGGTGGCTCACGCCTATAATCCTAGCACTTTGGGAGGCTGAGGCGGGCAGATCACCTGAGGTCGGGAGTTCGAAACCAGCCTGACCAACATGGAGAAACCCCGTCTCTACTAAAAATACAAAAATTAGCTGAGCGTGGTGGCACACGCCTGTAATCCCAGCTACTGGGGAGGCTGAGGCAGGAGAATCGCTTGAACCCGGGAGGCGGAGGTTGTGGTGAGCCAAGATCAGACCTTTGTCCTCCAGCCTGGGCAACAAGAGCGAAACTCCATCTCAAAAAAAAAAAAAAAGAAAAGAAAAGACAGTAGCTTACGTTCATGGCGGCACCTCTCATCACAGTCCAGTTCCAAGGAAAAATTCCAGCGTTTTCTACGTTGGCTGCTGCCTTGTCTGAAATCACATTTTGTGGAGAAAGGAGTCTTGCTTTGTTGCATCTTCTATCCTAGGGTTTAATGTTGGTGAATGAGTAACTCTAGCATTTGTACAAGGCTCCCTAAGAGTCCTGCAGCAGTCGACCAAGCCCGGGGACATAATTGAATCCGGAGATTCCTGGGGCCTTGAAAAAGGCTTGAAATATACATAGGAAGAAAGGCACAAAAATAAATGCTCACTTGTCTCTGCAAAAAAAAAGAAAAGAAAAATTGTGTCTCAAGTTCCTTCTGTAGTTGATAATTTATTCAGTAATCATTTTATAATTGAAGAAGAATATTCTGACTCTAAATCTTTCTAGATCAGTTACCTGGATGCTGAAGACATGAATAAATTTGTTTATTTTAAAAATCCTAGGGCCTGGCACAGTGGCTCATGCTTATAATCTTAGCACTGTGGGAGGCCGAGGTGGACGGATCACTAGAGCCCAGGAATTCAAGACCATCCTGGGCCACATGGCAAAACACCATCTCTATTTAAAAATTAGTGTTTTTAAACATCAGTGTTTAAAAATTAGCTGGGTGTGGTGGTGTGTACCTGTCATCCCAACTACTTGGGAGGCTGAGGTGGGAGGATCACCTGAGCCCAGGGAGGTTGAGGCTGCAGTGAGCCATGATCAGACCACTGCACACCAACCTGGGTGATAGAGTGAGACCCCCATCTCAAAATATACAGTAATAAATGAAAAATAGAAAATTCCCCAAATAAATAAATAATAGAAAATTCTAATGAAAATAAAAGGAGTTGAGTGTAACCGTTGAGTGTCTGCGCTGGGTGTTTATGTCTCATGTAACCAACGTAGCACTGTGAGCATGGTCATCCCGGAGACGGACTGTGATAAATCGTGTGCCCAGGATCCCAGAGTGCATAGGTGGCATATCTAGGTTTTGAACCAAGGTCTGTTGGTCTTTTATAGCTCAACTGGGTTGTGAGTTTGTTGAATTTCACTTTCCATGCTTTCCCCAACCAAACCAAAAACCAGAGGGGGAACTGAAAGCTGAGAGCCTAGTAATTGAGAAAAGGACTCTGGGAGGTGATGGTGTCAAAAAGCAGTCCAGGGAAGCTCTTGTGGTTGAGCACACAGCTCTGCCCAGAGCTTCCTAGATGCCAAGGCAAAGAAGGATGGGGTTACATAGCAGTTATTGGAAAAAGGAAGCTGACCAGTTTCTCATTAGTATTTTTCAGCTGGGCGCGATGGCTCATGTCTGTAGTCCCAGCACTCTGGGAGGCTGAGGCAGGAGGATCACTTGTGGCCAGGAGTTTGAGACCAGCCTGGGCAAGAGAGAGAGAGAGAGACCCTGTCCCTTCAACAAGAAAATACACATTTAAAATATTAGCCAGGCATGGTGGTGTGCACCTGTAGTCCCAGCTACTCAAGAGGCTGAAGCAGGACGATCGCTTGAGCCTGAGAGTTCAAGGCTGTAGTAAGCTATGATTGCACCACGACACTGCAGCCTGGGTGATGGAGCAAGACCCCATCTCTTAAATTTTTTTTAAAAAGTGCTTTTCCCTGGGCCTTTACACGAGGATCATTGAATAAAGCAGTGGTCAGCAGCCCATGTACTCAGCAAGTATTTGTAGAGCACCACGTATGTGCCAAGCTCTCTTCGAGGTGCTGGGACTACTTTTGTGTGTGGAAAAGACCAACAAGATGAAAGATGATGTTGGCCTAGGCCAGGGTGGAGGCACTGTTTTCAAGAACAGGAGTGTTCCCACAGGTGACCCTTTCTGGGTCCCATCTAGGTAAGAGGCTGAGAGGTTCAGGCTCGGTTGTAAATTCTGTAAGGGCAGTTCTTTGGGAGGTGTGAGCAAGAGAATGGAATCAGAGCGATTATTTTAGCAGGCAGGAGTGAAGCTTGAGAATCTGGCAGAGTGAGGAGCGATCTTGTGCCAGAGTGAGAGGCAGCCAGTCCAAAGTGAAGGTTCTGAAGCTCTTAGTACCTCCCACGTACAGTGTCCTGCTTTTTTTTCTTTCTCTTTTCTCTCTCTTTTTTTTTTTTTTTTTTTTTAAGGCAGGACACTTGCTCTGTCACCCAGGATCATTGCTCACTGCAGTCTCAAACTCCTTAAGCCCTTCCAAGTAGCTGGGACTACAGGCACACACCACCATGCTTGGCGAGTTTTTCTTTCTTTTTGCAGAGATGGGGTCTTGCTATGTTGCCCAGGCCGATCTCAAACTCCTGGGCTCAAACGATCCTCCTGTTGACCTCCCAAAGTGCTGGAATTACAGGCATGAGCCACTGTACCTGGACCCCTGCTATTTTTCCTGTGATATTTGAAAAGCTTGGCTTGGTTTCTTGCCCTTTAGTAGGTGATTGCAGGCAGAGCCACGAGGTCTTAGAAAGCAGCACGGCTCTGTTCCGATACTCCTGGCTGAAGGGCCAGTGTGCTGTGCCATTGAGGGAGAAGCATTGACTCTGGTCTGGGAGATTCTGTTCATTTAGTCATTCAGCAAACAAATATTGAGTGCTGGCCAGGTGTGGTGGCTCACACCTGTAATCCCAGCACTTTGGGAGGCCGAGGCGGGCAGATCACCTGAGGTCGCGAGTTCGAGACCGGCCTGACCAACATGGAGAAACCTGTCTCTACTAAAAATACAAAATTAGCCGGGCGTGGTGGTGCATGCCTGTAATCCCAGCTACTTGGGAGGCTGAGGCAGGAGAATCGCTTGAACCCGGGGGGCAGAGGTTGCAGTGAGCTGAGGTTGCGCCATTGCATTCCATCCAGCCTGGGCAACAAGAGCGAAACTCTGTCTCAAAAAAACAAAAACAAATATTGAGCACTCATGTTATGCAAAGTCTGATGAGCACCAGGGTTACAGAGGTGCAGGATAGCTCCACCCAGACACGAGACCAATCCTGTGTCCTTCTGCAGGGATTATTTCATCTTGGGTAATGCTGTCATCTGATGATGTGGCCAGGATGTCAGCTGCAAAATGAACCCCAGGTCATTCAGTGAGGCTGCGTCTACCTGTAACTTTGCCATGTCCTAAAAAGGTCTTGAAGGGCAGACAGATGGTTGATAGAATAGCTCTGGAGACAGTTGGTCTGGGTTTGAATCCTGGTTCCACCATTTATCGATTCCCTGATGTTGGACAAGGTCCTTTAACCTTTGTGATAATTACAGCTCCTGTATGTCAGAGCAGTGTTAAAACACTGTTCATTAGTTAAAAACAAATCAGGGCCGGGCTTGGTGGCTCACACCTGTAATCCCAGCACTTTGGGAGATTGAGGTGGGCTAATGGCTTGAGCCCAGGAGTTTGAGACCAACCTGGGCAACATGGCGAAACCCCGTATCTTAACAAAAAATTAATGGGGCTTGGTGGTGGGTGCCTGTAGTCCCAGCAACGCAGGAGGCTGGGCTGTCATCACGCCACTGTACAGCAGCCTGGCTGACAGAGTGAGACCCTGTCTCAAAAAAAAAACAACAACAAAAAAAACCCCAAAAAACAAAAACCAGGTCAGGAGTGGGGAGTGACTGCTGATGAGTGTGGGATTTCCTTTTGAGGGTATGAAGATGCTCTGGAATCTGGTAGTGGTGATGCTTGCACAATGGGTGAATATAGTGAAAACCACTGAATTTTATACTTTAAAATGATGAATTTTATGGTGTGTGAATTCTGTCTCAATTTTTTTTTTTTTTTTTTGAGACTGACTCTCGCTCTGTGGTCCAGGCTGGAGTGCAGTGGCCCAATCTCAGCCCACTGCAACCTCTGCCTCCCGGGTTCCAGTGATTCTCTTGCCTCAGCCTCCTGAGTAGCTGGGATTACAGGTGCCCACCACCACACCCAGCTAATTTTTGTATTTTTAGTAGAGACGGGGTTTCACCATGTTGGCTAGACTGGTCTCGAACTCCTGACCTCAAGTGATCTTGCCCTCCTCGGCCTGAGGCATGAGCCACTGCTCCCAGTCTCTATCTCAGGTTTCTTTTTTTTTTTTTTTTTTTTTGAGACGGAGTCTTGCTGTGTTGCCCAGGCTGGAGTACAGTGGAACAATCTTCACTTACCACAACCTCCACCTCCTGGGTTCAAGTGATTCTCCTGCCTCAGCCTCCCAAGTAGCTGGGATTACAGGCACACACTGCCATACCAGCTAATTTTTGTATTTTTAGTAGAGATAGGGTTTCACTATGTTGGCCAGGCTGGTCTCGAACTCCTGACCTTGTGATCCACCCGCCTCGGCCTCTCAAAGTACTGGGATTACAGGTGTGAGCCACCACACCCGGCTTCTATCTCAGTTTTTAAAAATCAGGTTTATAGGTCATGAGTTCTTGAGCAACTAGACTCCCACCAGTTGTGCCTCCAGTTCCCTGTCATCTTGAGCTAGTCGTGGACACCTGCAGCAGACGTATGTTCACTGCGTGTTTCTGGGCTCCCACACATTTCTAAGCCCTCTTGAAGTTAACTTCGGGTAATGGCCTGTGAGAGGAAGTCACGTATGTCACTTCTGGATGGAAGCATTTAAGAGCCAGGGCCAGGCCCTCCAGCAATCTTCTTCCCATCAGGACGGCCCGGAAGTTGAACATTGAGATGGTGGAATGACAAGAGAAAAAGCTGCTTGAACCACTGAGTCACCTTATGGAGGCCAAGGGCCTAGCGGAGTCACCCTGCCCACACTAGACGTTGCTTAGAGTTCAGCTTGAAGCCATGTGATGTGGGTCACTGCCCAGGAGGACTTTTTTCTAGTGCTGTGGCCTGGAGGACTTTCCCTCTAGCCTCTCATGCAGGTGTACTGTGTGATGTGGTGGGTCTCTTTTCTAACAGGAAGCCCCAGTGGGTGCAGCAGAGCTGTGGCTCTCCCAACTCAAGCACATCTCCACAGCTAGCTGCCGGCAAGTACGCAGCTCTCTTGGTGGTGTCTGAGAAATGGAGCATTAAGCCCTCAGTCTAAAGGAGCATCTTGGGTAACCTAGTGTACCTGTCTCGAGCAGCAGGCATAGTACAATGTCAGGCCAGCACCAAAGGATTTTGTCTTCCTTGTAAGACAACATGGGGCAATAGAAAGCTCTGTATGGGCAATCTTGTAAATGGTATAATAATTATGATGCTTTTATAGACACCGCATGACCGTCCTTAGTCACCATAGCGATGGGATCTAATTATTACTGACTTGTTCATGTTGTGGGTTTTTAGTAACCCTACTGCCCACATTCTAGAATTTAAACACATGCTGTGAATATCCAAGCACAGGTCACAGAGATGACCTAGAGTTGGTGCTCAGTACACTTTTTTTGTTTTTTTGAGACCGAGTCTGGCTCTATCGCCCAGGCTGGAGTGCAGTGGTGCGATCTCAGCTCAGCGCAACCTCCGCCTCCTGGGTTCAAGTGATTTTCCTGCCTCAGCCTCCTGAGTAGCTGGGATTACAGAGCATGCACCACCATGCCCAGCTACTTTTTGTATTTTTAGTTTCACCATGTTGGCCAGGCTGGTCTTGAACTCCTGACCTCAGGTGATCTTCCCACTTTGGCCTCCCAAAGTGCTGGGATAACAGGTGTGAGCCACCGCGCCCGGCCTCAATACACATGTGATTGCCTTGAATGCATAGCAATGACCGAACATCAAGGTGAAACGCAAGCAACGCTGGGGAAGGAATGACCAATACGGTGCCCTCTGAGGCCTCAGCCCAGGGGCCATCTGGCTTGTCTGTCTCATTAGTACCATTGTTCCCTGTCAGCTTGTGGAAGAGCTGATTTGAAACCACCTGTTGGACCGAAGGAAGCCACTGACCAATACCTGTTCTGTGGGTGAAGCTGTCGCCCAGAGCACCCCCTGTGACTCCGTGGTCCTCTATGCACTAGTAGAAACTCTGTTTTTGCTGAATGGCACAGCCCACTACTAGCTGAATGTGGGGTGACAGTAGCCAGCATGAGAACCATCAAGACCATTATGGGCCAGGAGTTGGGTCACCCCTTCCTTGTCTAGGGTTGCAACAAGAAGTGACAGAGAGGGTCCCACAAGGTCTTTAAATCTCCCTCTGTAAGTTGTGGGAATTTCAGTAACTTGCTTGGTCCTTAGGGCTTTGAATCTGAGTCTGTAAAATGGGTGAAATAATATTTCTCTAAACAGGTTTATCATATGAATCAAAAGAAATTGTAGAAGGTGCCTAGCCAGGGTGCTTGGCACGTAGTAGGTGTTGAGTGAACGTTGGTTGCATTGCTTGGCTCCTCCTTAGTGAGCCTGTAGTAAACACAGTGCTGTGTAGACTAGGCAGGCCTTTCTCTCTTCTGCAATTCTGAGTGCTTTTTCTTAAGAACCAAGGGGTACTAACCCTTGTTTTAGAGACATTCAGAAACTAGCCAGGCGTAGTGGTGTGCACCTGTAGTCCCAGCTCCTCGGGAGGCTGAGGTGGGAGGATCACTTGATCCTGGGAGGTAGAGGTTGTGGTGACCTATGATTGCACCACTGCACTCCAGCCTGGACAACAGAGCAAGACCCTGTCTAAAAATAAATAAAATAAAATAAATAAATAAATGTAAACAAGGAAATAGAAAACGTTTATACTGATGGAGTCTCGCTGTGTCGCCCAGGCTGGAGTGCAGTGGCACGATCTTGGCTCACTGCAGCCTCCACCTCCCGGGTTCAAGTGATTCTCCTGCCTCAGCCTCCCAAGTAGCTGGAATTACAAGCATGTGCCACCACGCCCGTCTAATTTTGTATTTTTAGTAAAGACAGGGTTTCTCCATGTTGGTTAGGCTGGTCTCCAACTCCTGACCTCAGGTGATCCGCCCACCTCGACCTCCCAGAGTGCTGGGATTACAGGCATGAGCCACCTTGCCCGGCCCTTATGTATTTATTTTTTAAAGACAGGGTCTTGCTCTGTCACCCAGGCTGGAGTGCAGTGTTGGGATCATATCTCACTGTAACCCCCAATTCCTGGGCTCAAGTGATCCTCTAACCTCAGCCTCCTGAGTAGCGGGGACTACAGGTGTGCACCACCACACCTCACTAATTTTTTAATTTTCTGTAGAGATGGCGTTTCACTATGTTACCCAGGCTGGTCTCAAACTCCTGGCCTCAATCCATCCTCCCGCCTCAGCCTCTCAATGTGCTGGGATTACAGGCATGAGCCACTGTGCCTGTCCAGCAACAATATTTATAACAGCCCCCAAAAGGAAACAATCCAAGTATCCATCACCCATTGAATGGATAAACAAAATGTGGTATATCCATACGATGAAATGTTACTCAGGCATGAAGAGGAATGAAGGGCTTTTATGCATGCCACAACGTGGATGGACCTTGAAGACATTATTCTAAGTGAAAGAAACCAGTTACAAAGGGCCACTTATTGTGTGATTTTATTTATTTATTTATTTATTTATTTATTTATTTATTTATTTATTTGAGACACAGTCTCCCTCTCTCACGCAGGCTATAATGCAGTGGTGCAGTCTTGGCTCACTGCAACCTCCACCTCCCAGGTTCAAGCGATTCTCCTGCCTTAGCCTCCCGAGTAGCTGGGATTACAGGCGCCTGTCATCACACCCGACTAATTTTTTTGTATTTTTAGTAGAGACGGGGTTTCACCACGTTGGACAGGTTGGTCTCGAACTCCTGTCCTCAAGTGATCCTCCCGCCTTGGTCTCCCAAAGTGCTGGGATTACAGGTGTGAGCCTCCGCACCTGGCCTGTTTTTCCTTTTAAAGCCGTGACTCTATTTTCCCTTCTGGCCTTGGTGTGTGCTCTTCCCCACTCTGTCTCCTTCCCTTTTGAGTCCTTTCCATCAGGAAGCCCTCCTTAACCACTACCAGACTCACCCACACATGAACCGGCTCCCACCATCTGTTCTGTTTATTTTGGCAAGGAAATAAAGATGTGTCTTCCACCAGAAAAGCTGAGGCCACTACTCGATTCAGTTTGCCCTCCCTGCTGGGGCACAGGTGTCATGGCCTCCCTTAAGTGCTTATTAATTCCTGTGTTTCAGCTTTCATCCTTCCACCTGCTGCTAGGCCTCTGTGCACACAGTGCTTTGTGGAATTGCTCCCGTCTCTTCAGCTTAGCAGCGTGCCTTGAAGAGGAAGAGCTGCAGAGAAATTTTGAAAATAAATTGCTTTTTGAAAAATAATTTGACAGTAAGTCAGGGACCTTGAAAATATTTGTTCCCTTTGATTCAGAAATATTTCTAAGACAAATTCAGAAATTCTTTTTTTTTTTTTTTGAGACAAATTCTGTCTCTGTCTGCCCAGGCTGGAGTGCAGTGGTGCAGTCTTGGCTCACTGCAACCTCCGCCTCCCAGGTTCAAGTGATTCTCATGCCTCAGCCCCCCGAGTAGCTAGAACTGCAGGTGTGCACCAACACGCCCAGCTAATTGTTGTATTGTTTTATAGAAACAGGGATTTGTTGTGTTGCCCAGGCTAGTCTTGAACTCCTGAGCTTAAGCAATCTGCCTGCCTCGGCCTCCCAAAGTGCTGGGACTACAGGCATGTACCACTGCGCCTGGCCAGAATTTCTATTTTAAGGAACTTATCAGTGGCTTACAAAGACTTATGTTGAAAATATATCAATCCTGTTTTTCATGACTTTTTTAAAAACAGTTTTAATTTTTTTTTCTGTACTAGAAAATGCACTGTAACTTGACATTGTAATAGTGAAAATATAATGACATTTGAGAATTTATAACAAGAAAATGTTCACAATTTAATATATGAAAAGTAGAACAAAATTATATGTAGTATAAGACCGATCATGTTAAAAACATGGGCGGGCACGGTGGCTCACACCTGTAATCCCAGCACTTTGGGAGGCCGAGGTGGGTGGATCACGAGGTCAGGAGTTTGAGACCAGCCTGGCCAACATAGTGAAACCCCATCTCTACTACAAATACAAAGATTAGCCGAGCATGGTGGCAGGCACCTGTAATCCCAGCTACTCCAGAGGCCGAGGCAGGAAAATCCCTTGAACTCGGGAGGTGGAGGTTGCAGTGAGCTGAGCGAGATGGCACCACTGCATTCCAGCCTGGGCAACAACAGAGCGAGACTCCATCTGAAAAAAAAAAAAAAAGGAAAAGTATGTCCTGTAATATGCATGTAAAAAACTGGTAGAATGAAACCAAATAAGAGTTTGGATTATGTTTTCCTTAATTTTATGTTTTAAAATATAGCACATTTTCTTCACTAAACATGCTTTTAAATTTTTTAATTGACAAAGTTGTATATATTTATAGTGTATGGCATATTGTTTTGAAGTCTGGTAGAATGGCTAAATTGAGTTAATTAACATATGCATTACCTCACACCTTTTTTTGTGGTGAGAACACTTAAAATCTACTCTTAGCAGTCTTCAAGAGTACAACACATTGCTACTAACTATAGTCACCATGTTATACAATAGGTCTTTGTTTTTTTTTTTTTTTTTTTTTTTTTTTTTTGAGCGGAGTTTCACTCTTGTTGCCCAGGCTGGAGTGCAATGGCGCGATCTCGGCTCACTGCAACCTCTGCCTCCCAGGTTCAAGCGATTCTCCTGCCTCAGCCTCTGGAGCAGCCAGGATTACAGGCACCTGCCACCACGCCTGGCTAATTTTTTGTATTTTTAGTAGAGATGGGGGTTTCACCATGTTGCCCAGGCTGGTTTCTAACTCCTGACCTCAGGTGATCCACCTGCCTGGGCCTCCCAAAGTGTTGGGATTACAGGCGTGAGCCACCGCACCCAGCCTCAGTAGGTCTCTTGAACTGTATTTAATTTTAACTTTTTGTTTTGAAATAGTTTCAGATTTGCAAAAAAGTTGCAACAGCAGTGCTAACAATTCTTGAGCGCCCTTTACCCAGATTTCCCCATTGTTAATATTTTACCATATTTGCTTTATCAATGTGTGTGTGTGTGTGTGTAGATATATTTTTTCTTGAACTATTTGAGAATGAGTTGCAGATATGACCAAGATACTTGGTTACCCCTAAGTACTTCAGTGTGTATTTTCTTCAAGGCAAGGACAGTTTTTTTTTTTTTGGTAAGCAAAATACAGTGATCAATAGCAGGAAATTAACATTGATATCCTGTGTTGTCTAATCATAGAGTTTCTTTACATTTTGCCGTTAATATCTTTTACATCAGAAAAAATATGTTTTTTTCCTGGTCCAAGACCTCAGAGTGTGTGTGTGTGTGTGTGTGTGTGTGTGTGTGTGTGTGTGTGTGTGTGTCTTAGATCACTCAGTCTTTGTTTATCTTTCATGGCCTTAACATTTTTGAAAATGTGAGGCCGTGTCTTTGTCAACGTCTCACAGTTTGGTTTGGGTTTGTATAATTCCCTTATAACAAGATCCAGCTTCCACCCGAGGCAACAGAGTGAACAACAACAACAAAAAAAGAGGTGACCTGGGTGCTTTTACTACCCTACATTCAGATGTGGGAGCAAAGAAATGACTTAAAGTTGGAGTTTATATTTAAAAGGGAAGCGGAATGTAAGTTTGGAAAATTTGCAGGCTGGCCATGTGACAGAAAGAAAAAACTTTTTCAAGAGAATTCAAGCAGGCTGTGGAGCAACCGCTTGCTAGAGCGATTTGTAGATTTAAAAAGGAGCCAAGTGCTGATAGCCAAGACTGTGGGGAAAAAAAGGCCTTGAAGGCATTTCAGAGACCTTCCCGGCAGCCCCTCCCATTACAGTTGTGGAGGCCTCAGAGGGAAGAATGCTTTGTGGTTCAGGCCCAGTGCCAGGGACAGCCTCAGGACACTGCTCCTCACATCCCTGGCCATTCAGCTTCCAGCCTTGGCTCAAAGGGGCCCAGATACAGCTCAGGCTGCCACACTAGAGGGTGAAAGCCATGAGCCTTGGCCGCTTCAATGTGGTGGTGAGCCTGTGGGTGGACAGAATGCAAGAGTGAGGGAGGCTTGGCAGCCTCCACCTAGATTTCAGAGGATGTATGGGAAAGCCTGGGAAAGGGGCAGACCCCTTACCGAGAACCTCTGGTAGGAGAGGAATGTGGGACTGGAGGCCCCATACAGAGTTCTCACTGGGGCACTGCCTAGTGGAGCTGTGGGAAGGGGGCCACTGTCCTCCAGACCCCGGAATGGTAGATCCACCAGCATCTTACAACCTGTCCCTGGAAAAGCCACAGGCTGTGAGAGCAGCCTCGGATTGAACCCTGCAAAGCCACCAGGACAGAGCTGCCCAGGACCTTGGGAGCCCACCCTTCGCACCAGCACGCCCTGGATGTGAGACATGGAGTCAAAAGGAGATTATTTGGGAGCTTTAAGATTTAATGACTGTCTGCCAGGTGCGGTGGCTCACACCTGTAATCCCAGCACTATGGGAGGCCGAGGTGGGAGTGCATTGGCGCTATCTCAGTTCACTGCAACCTCCACTTCCTGGGTTCAAGCGATTCTCCTGCCTTAGCCTCCCAAGTAACTGGGACTACAGGCACCCACCACCATGCCCAGGTAATTTTTGTATTTTTAGTAGGGACAGGGTTTCATCATGTTGGCCAGGTTGGTCTCGAATCCTGACCTCAGGTGATCTGCCCCCGTCGGCCTCCCAAAGTGCTGGGATTATAGGCTTGAGCCACTGCGCCTGGCTGGAGGGACCGGTTTTTTAATTGAGAGGGTTGGTACTTCTCCCTTCCTGCCTTTTTCCAAGGGCTGCTCGGGGCTTGTGTGTGTGTGTGTGTGTGTGTGTGTGTGTGTGTGTGTGTGTGTGTGTGTTTCAAAGACAGAGATCTGTATTTATTAACTCAGGTCAGACACTTGGGATTTTTCACCAGGCATCATCACCAATCAGCCAGCTCAGATTAATTAATATTAATTTGGTTGGTCTGTTCCCAGGCCCTTGGTGTGCAGGCACTTTCTGTCATTAAGTCCTTGTGACCCAGCCTCGTGTGACACATCTCCCATGATGGGGAGCCACTCCCCCAATAGCGCATTCTATGTTCAGACTCCTTTATTAGAACGTCTTTGCTTGGAGGGGTTGTAAACCTCTCTCCTCTATGACCACTCCTATTTCTGAATGCCAGGCCTCTCCCTTTGGCAGTTTTCTGACCACCTAAAGAAGGGATCAAGTACCTCTGAATCTTCTTTTCTTAGGATTAACTTTTCCAGTGTCTTTACTGTTTCTTTCTTTCTTTTTTTTTTTTTTTTTTTTTTTGAGAGATGGTCTCGCTCTGTCACCCAGGCTAGAGTGCAATGACACAATCATCATGGCTCACTGCAGCCTCTGCAGCCTCTAACTCCCGGGCTTAAGTAATCCTTCTGCCTCAGCCTCCTGAGTAGTTGGGACTACAGGTGCATGCTGCGACACCTGGATAATTTTTTTTTTTTTTTGAGATGGAGGGGGTGGTCTCACTTTGTTGCCCAGGCTGGTCTCGAACCTCTGGCCTCAGCACTTCTCCAGCCTCGGCCTCCCAAAGTGCTGAGATTATAGGCGTGAGCCACTATGCCTGTTTCTCTTGTGACAGGTGTTGGGGACTACTGTGCCCTAGAGCCACTTTCTGAGTGTTGCAGTTTGTCTTTGATGTTCAATGTGGAGCTCATTTGGAATTCTATTAAAGAATCCTTAGTGTGCCTTCCCTTTTGGGGAAGCCATGTTGACTTCGGCCCATCCTATTCTCATTTCGGTAAAGGAGGAGGGAGTAGCACTGCCCATGCTGTGGGCTTGCTGCCGTGGACTTGCTGTAGGAATTGTAACACATGCGTGTGTGGGCAGGGGGTTGGGGGGCAGGTGGCATTCTGATTGCCTCCAGGTGATCTCTCCAGACTGTTGCCCCTGCGCTGGAGGCAGAAGCCGACTTCAGAACTGATCTGCCCAGATTTGAGAAAAGTAAAGCAAGACCCCTGGCTCTGTTTCTCTTATTATTATTAATTTTTTTTTTTTTTTTTTTTTGAGACCGAGTCCTGCTCTGTCACCCAGGCTGGAGTGCAGTGGCGCGATCTTGGCTCACTGCAAACTCCACCTCCCGGGTTCATGCCATTCTCCTGCCTCAGCCTCCCAAGTAGCTGGGATTACAGGCGCCCGCCACCACACCCGGCTAATTTTTTTGTATTTTTAGTAGAGACGGGGTTTCACCGTGCTAGCCAGGATGGTCTCGATATCCTGACTTCGTGATCCGCCTGCCTCGGACTCCCAAAGTGCTGGGATTACAGGCGTGAGCCACCGCATCCGGCCGCTGTTTCTGTTTTCTATATTTTTATTCAAAATTAATTGAGGCAATCAGCTAGGCTTGGTGGCTCATGCCTGCAATCCCAGCACTTGGGAGGCCAAGGCAGGTGGATCAGTTGAGATCGGGAGTTTGACATCAGCCTGGACAACGTGGTGAAACCCCATCTCTACAAAAAAAAAAAAAAAACAAAAAAACCAAAAATTAGCCAGGCATGTTGGCGGGTGCCTGTAATTCCAGCTACCTGGGAGGCTGAGGCAGGAGAATTGCTTGAACCTGGGAGGCGGAGGTTGCAGTGAGCCTAGATTGTGCCACTGTACTCCAGCCTGGGGACAAGAGCCAGACCCTGTCTC
Source organism: Homo sapiens (assembly GCF_000001405.40). Taxonomy (NCBI): domain Eukaryota; kingdom Metazoa; phylum Chordata; class Mammalia; order Primates; family Hominidae; genus Homo; species Homo sapiens. The sequence continues at coordinate 75,937,472 of NC_000007.14, forward strand.
AAAAAAAAAAAAAAAAAAAAAAAAAAGAAGGCCGTGTTTGGTGGCTCACGTCTGTAATCCCAGCACTTTGGAAGGCTGAGGGGGTGGATCACCTGAGGTCAGGAGTTTGAGACCAGCCTGGCCAGCATGGCGAAACCCCATCTCTACTAAAAATACAAAAATTAGCCAGGCGTGGTGGCAGGCACCTGTAATCCCAGCTACTCGGGAGGCTGAGGCAGGAGAATCGCTTGAACCTGGGAGGCAGAGGTTGCAGTGAGCCGAGATCGTGCCATTGCACTCCAGCCTGGGCGACAAGAGCAAAACTCCATCTAAAAAAAAAAACAATTGAGGCAAAAGTGGGGATGGTCAGGAGGATGAACCAGCGTGAACTCCTGTGGAGAGTTTTGTGCCTGTAAATCACCTTGTGCCACCTTTTAATGTTGACGCTGGATTATATCCATGCAATGCCCTGGAGCTTAGGGGAGCTGTGGTCTCGTCCCCTTGGCATTCAAGCCAAGGAGCCAAGGCCGCAGAGATGCTGCTAGAAGCAGGCACGGGGAGCTGCAGCTGCAGCATCAGCCCCTGTGGGCCTGGTCAGTTCGATTTGTGCTGAGTCATGCCCACTGTTCGCCTGCTGTCCCTCCTGTCCCCCCAGTCACGCTTGCACAGATCTGACTCAGCAGCTGCCTTCCTCCTTTCACGTCATTGCATCGGGCACATGCTGGTCATGTGTTTCTAAATTAAGTCCTGTTGTGTGGGGAAAAGGCCATCAGCTGGGAGCGTTTGGCCATGGCCATCTTCAGTGGAGAATGTTCTCCAGGATACCTTGGTGAAAGCCCCGTGACTGCATTGATATTAGGGGTGCAGGCATCGTTGTACAGTAGTACCTTCCTGTAGCAGCATTCTGATCACAGCACCCCCTTGCCCTGTCCTCACCAGCTTCCCCAGGGCCAAACACCTTAGACTGGCATACAGGCCCCTAGGCCCTTACGCACTCATCTGGGTGTCTCTTAAAAGTTTATCTCGGCCGAGTGTGGTGGCTCTTACCTGTTATCCCAGCACTTTGGGAGGCCAAGATGGGAGGATTGCTTGAGCCTAGGAGTTTGAGACCAGCCTGGGCAACTTAGTGAGACCCCATCTCTACAAAAAAATTTAAAAAATCAGCTGGTATGGTGGTGCATGCCTATGGTCTCAGCTATGCAGGAGGCTGAGGGAGGAGGATTGCTTGAGCCCAGGAGTTAGAGGCTGCAGTGAGCTGTGATCACACCACTGCACTGCAGCCTTGGTGACTCCAGCCTGTTCCGTGAATGAATGAATGCTTATCTCTTATTCGCCATCTATGCATCCCCACATAAAAACACATCCCATTGCACCACACTTGAGTTACCCCAGACCCCGAGTTTCTCGTGTTCTAGGCTCTGGTACACGCTTCCTCTATCGGTAGCTTCGCTCATCCCCCTAATCTGACTGGTGGACCCTGATCATTCTTCACAATCCAGCCCAGATGTTGGCCTCTGGGAGCCCCTTCCTTGACTGTTTCAGACTGTCATGCCTGCTTTTTCCTTCCAGCTCTATTTCCCCTGCACCTGGCCTCCCCATGCAGCCGTGACTGTTGGGATAGGTCTGCCCTTTCTCATAGCAGGAGGACACCTTGGGGCAAGGTTGGCATGTCTGCTCCTGCCTGAACCCACACAGTTCCTGGAGTGCAGCAGGTGCTCCTCAGCTGTTTGCTGCACGCATGGACGTAAGAGTGACAGAAGCATGTCCTTCGACATGACGTTTTTGTACCTGAACATTGTCTAGAGGCTTTCCAGACTGTAAGCTCTGTGGGATTAGGAGCCTGCCTGCCTCGCACTCCCTGGCATCCTTAGTGCTTTGGGCCTCACAGGCCAGCGGAGCCCTCGTGCGGGTTCCAGGCCTGCTTTGGTGGGAGTGCTCAGTACTTTTAGCCACACAGAGCCGTGGCCTGCAAGGCTTTCGGAGTACATCTCTAGCACATCTGAGAATCCGGAAGCAACTCAGAGTTTCTGGAATGGATTTCACAAAGTCTGTGAATAAGAAGGCCCCACAGGCCCTACTCAACAGCTTTTTTTTTTTTTTTTTTTTTTAAATACAGAAGATGCTAGTCTTCAAAGAACCTCTTTACTCTTTTACTCTTTTTCTTTTTTTTTCGAGACAGAGTCTCATTCTATCGCCCAGGCTGGAGTGCAGTGGCATGATCTTGGCTCACTGCAACCTTCACCTCCTAGGTGCAAGTGATTCTCCTGCCTCAGCAGCCTCCAGAGTAGCTGGAATTACAGGGGTGCGCCACCATACTTGGCTAATTTTTGTATTTTTAGTAGAGACTGGGTTTCCCAATGTTGGCCAGGCTGGTCTCGAGCTCCTGACCTCAAGTGATCCACCCGCCTCAGCCTCCCAAAGTGTTGGGATTACAGGCGTGAGCCACCGCACCTGGCCCTCTTTACTCTTATTATATAGTGATGGGGTCTTGCTTTGTTGCCCAGGCTGGAGTGCAGGGATACTCACTGCAGCCTCAACCTGCAGGGCTCAAGTGATCTCCTGCCTTACCTCCCAAATAGCTGGGACTACAGACCTGAGCCAACGCTCCCCACCTCTTTACTCTTATTTTATTTTATATTTATTTATTTATTGAGACGGAGTCTCACTGTGTTGCCCAGGCTGGAGTGCAATGGTGTCATCTTGGCTCACTGCAGCCTCCGCCTCCTGGGTTCAAGTGATTCTCCTGCCTCAGCCTCCCAAGTACCTGGGATTACAGGCACGCACCACCACGCCTGGCTAGTTATTTTTGTATTTTTAGTAGAGATGGGGTTTCGCCATGTTGGCCAGGCTGGTCTCAAACTCCTGACCTCAGGTGATCCACCTGCCTCAGCCTCCCAAAGTGCTGGGATTCCAGGCGTGAGCCGCTGTGCCTGGCTTACTCTTATCTTAGATATCACGCTAACAAGCAGCTGATTTCCCAATTTACGCAGATTCAAAGCAGCCAATTAGAAATGGGTGAGAGACTTTTGAAAAAAAACGTAGGCACTCTCGTGGCCGGGTGCAGTGGCTCACACCTGTAATACCAGCACTTTGGGAGGCTGAGGCAGGTGGATCACGAAGTCAGGAGATCGAGACCATCCTGGCTAATATGGTGAAACCCCATCTCTACTAAAAACACAAAAAATTAGCCGGGTGTGGTGGCAGGCGCCTGTAGTCCCAGCTACTCAGGAGGCTAAGGAAGGAGAATGGCGTGAACCCAGGAGGCGGAGCTTGCTGTCAGCTGAGATTGCGCCACTGTACTCCAGCCTGGACGACAGAGCAAGACTCCATCTCAAAAAAGAAAAAAGAAAAAACGTAGGCACTCTCATAATGGTGAGGGTCATCCTGCCTCAAGAAAAGACAAACACTATCAACAACAAAGATGCAGGGGCCGGGTGTGCTGGCTTACACCTGGAATCCCAGGACTTTGGGAGGCCAAGGTGCGAGGATCGCTTGAGCCCAGGAGTTTGAGACCAGCCTGGGCAACCAAGCGAGACCCCATCTCTACAGAAATAAAAGTTTTTAAAAAATTAGCTCGGTGAGGTGGTGCATACCTATAGTCTCAGCTACTTGGGAGGCTAAGGTGGGAGGATGGCTTGAGGCCAGGAGTATGAGGGTGCAGTGAACTATGCTACTGCTTTCCACCCTGGGTAACAGAGTGAGACTGTGTCTCTCAAAACAAGCAAACAGACCAAAAAGATGCAGGAACCTGAGATCCCACAGCCTGGGTTCCCTCTGTGTGCAAGCAACCTCTCCTGCCTCTTTAGGCCCTAAGTATGTTGTACAATGACACGATGGCCGAGTAGTCTACAAAAGGAACCGTGCGTGGACTCGAGACAGCATGGACATGGTTCACGTATTCCGGAAGTATTTCTCTAGCTGTGTAGAATTTTAGAGCTGAGGATGATCCTTGGTGACCAGCTCCATATTGCTTTGTGGAGAAGAAACCTGAGTCCTGGGAGGTCAAGTAACCCGTTCAGACTCCCACAACCAGAGCCTCCGGCATCTGTACTGCCCAGTCAGTACAGAGCTCCGGTAACTAGGTGCACTTCAGTTATCTAGAGTAGGCGCTAATAACTTATTTCTTGTCAGAGGCCAGGTAATAAATATTTTTTAGGCTTTGCATGCCAAGAAGTAAAATCTAGGATGTTATATATAATGAGAGGCAACAAGTTTCCATGTTTTTTGTTGATGAAATTCAAATAAGGCTGGTTGCGGTGGTTCACACCTGTAATCCCAGCACTTTGGGAGGCCAAGGCGGGAGAATTGCTTGAGCCCAGGTGTTTGAGACCAGCCTGGGCAACTTAGCCAGACCCTGTCTCTATAATTTGAAATATATATTTTTAAAAGAAATTCGAGTAATAACTAATAACAGTTGAGTGCAAGTTTTTAATACAGGTTTGTTAATAAGAAGAATGGAATGATTTTTGTAGGGATAACAATTTTGGGCCAGGTGCCATGACTCACGCCTCTAATCCCAGCACTCTTGGAGGCTGAGGTGGGAGGATCGCTTGAGTCCAGGAGTTTGAGACCAGCCTGGGCAACATGGCTAACCCCTGTCTCTACAAAAAAATATTTAAAAAGTTAGCTGGGCATGGTGGGTAGTATACACCTGTAGTCCCAACTACTGTGGAGACTGAGGTGGGAGGATCACTTGAGCCCAGAAGGCTGAGGCTGGAGTGAGCTGCGATTGTGCCACTGCACTGCAGTCTGGGTGACAAAGCAAGACCCAGTCTCAAAAAAACAAAAAACAGAAAACAATTTTGTTTCATTGGGGTTCTGAATTAGTGTTCCCAAACATCAAAATCTGTTGCAAATATCCCCGTGTCAGTGCTCATCTGTAATGAGATTGTATAGGTGACATCTTTGAAAATATCTTTTCACACAAATAGGTACTGCCAAGTTATATTGGTCAGGGAGCATAAATTTTGATGGGGCATTTTAATCATTGGAAGACAGCATTTATAGATTTTTTTTTTTAGATTCCCCTCTTGATATTTGCCTTTTTGCATTATTGCATTGCAGATCAGCCACTTCCAATTGAAGGTTAGATGAGAGCTGCTCAATTGTACAGTTAAATGGATTTTAAAATATGGGAATTTCCTTCATACTTAGATCAAGATCTGAAAAACGCTGCTAGGGCTAGAACTAGCAGCTCAAAGTTTTTGTTTTTTTTGAGCTCAAGGTTTGAGCTCAAAAAAATGTGCAAAGGTTTTTCACTTGTTCTAACCTTGACAGTCTAGGAATTGTATGGCGCAGGTTGACATTACTTGTGATTCATACAATGTTAATTTCATTGAAATGACTTTACCGCAATATAAGTTTTGCATATAACTGCTGTTTTGCCTTATAATTTTAGATTGGCCTCATTAAGAAACATCAAGTCTGCAGCAAAAGCTAATTTCCAAAGCGATTTAGTATTTGGTAATAGTGGTTGAGGGCAGTTCTTTCTTTTTTCTTTTTCTTTTTTTTTTTTTATTGAGATGGAGTCTTGCTCTGTCACCCAGGCTGGAGTGCAGTGGCATGATCTCGGCTCATTACAACCTCCACCTCCCAGGTTCAAGTGTTTCTTCTGCCTCAGCCTCCTGAGTAGCTGGGACTACAGGCACGTGGCACCACACCCAGCTAATTTTTTGTATTTTTAGTAGAGATGGGGTTTCACCGTGTTAGCCAGGATGGTCTCGATCTCCTCACCTTGTGATCCGCCTGCCTCGGCTTCCCAAAATGCTGGGTTTACAGGCATGAGCCACCGTGCCCGGCCCTCTCTTTTTTTATTTTTTATTTTTATTTTTAGACTAAGAGGGCAGTACTTTTCAGTTATTCTTGTTCAGAAAAGATTTAATATTCACTCTGAGCTCAAAATAGTCACACCAGACTTTACCACTGCTAAGCTGCTGAACTGCTGTATGGTAGGCCAGTTAGGATATTCAGCTTCTATTTTTGACAAAAATCCTTAAGACCAACTTAGGTTAAGTCCATGAGAGCAGATACTGTTGACATTCCCTTGTTCGATCACATATAATAGATTCAAATTTTTTGCATAATATCTGCTGGTGAATAATATAGTGAACAACCATAGGCTCCAACTAAGCCTTTTTCTGCCCCCCACATTCATTATAACACATCTTAGTGGATTCCATTTCAGATTGTACTAAACTTTTCTCAACTTCTTTGAAAATGCTCTTATTTGTAGTTGTTTCATGCTAATTCTTCAAACTTGGTATTGACTCCCCAAGTAAACAACAACTGAAAAGTATTGGTAACGTCTTTAGATTCATCAAGAGCCAAGGAATTGCATTCTTAAACCCTCTTGGTGGCTTCCCTGTAAATGCTTCCAAGATATGAGCGAATGCTATAGAAATTGCAGGAAAGTCCAAAGGGCTGCGCGTCTCCTGTGGCTCAGTCTTATTTCATACCTGCAACATCTTTTAAGGGAAATTTGCAAAAGGGAGAATTATCAACTTAAAAAAAAAATAGCCAAGGAAACCTCGACTCTTCAAGGAAGCAAGGAAACGTGCTCTCCTTGGGAGTGACATTAGAGGAGGCCCAGTGTGAGTCAGGACTTCATCACCACCTGGCGGAACCAGGGAGCCCCACCCCATGTGTCAGTGGAGATCATGTGCTGTCTTCCCTCTCCAAGCTAGGGTTTGTCAGCAGAGGCCCAGGAGGGAGACTGAATCTCGCCTGACAGCAATGAACTGATACCTTCCTTCCCTATAAGCAGGTGACAGACAATATTTAATAAAATCAAAAAAGGCTGGGTGCAATGGCTTACACCTGTAATCCCAACACTTTGGGAGGCCAAGGTGGGTGGATCACTTGAGGCCAGGAGTTTGAGACCAGCCCCAGCAACATGGTGAGACCCTGTCTTTACTAAAAATACAAAAAAATAAATTAGCCAGGCGTGGTGGCACACGCCTGTAATCACAGCTACTCTGGTGGCTGAGGCATGAGAATCAGTTGAACCTGGGAGGCAGAGATTGCAGTGCACTGAGATCACACAATTGCACTCCAGCCTGGGCAATAGAGACAGACTCTGTCTCAAAAATAAAATAGGCTTAAATAAGATTCAGGATCTTAAAGTACCCAGAATGCCCAGAATACAATAAAAATCAATCACTATACCAAGAACCACAAAACTCTCAACTTGAATGAGAAAAGAGAGTCAACAGACACCAGCATCAGGATGACACAGATGTTGGAATTAAGATATAGAGAAGAATGAAACAGATGTCTTAGAACCGAAATATACAATAGTCAAAATAGGAAACTGAATGGATGACTCCACAGCAAAATGGAGGAGACAGAAGAGAGAATCCATGAACTTGAAGTTAGAGCAGTAGAAATCACCTAACCTAAACAACAGAAAATAGACTGAAAACCAAAACAAAACAAATGAACAGAGCCTCAGGATTTTGTGGGACTAATAACAAAAGATCTGACTTTCATGTCACCCAAGTCCCAGGAGAAGAAGAGAAAGAGAGTGAGGCTGAAAAGTTATTTAAAAAATAATGGCGGCCGGGCACGGTGGCTCACTCCTATAATCCCAGCACTTTGGGAGACAGAGGTGGGCAGAATCTCAGGAGTTCATTACCAGACTGGGCAATGTGGCAAAACCCTGTCTCTACTAAAAATACAAAAATTAGCCAGGTGTGGTGAGGCACACCTGTAGTCCCACCTACTCAGGAGGCCTGAGGCAGGAGGATCCCTTGAGCCCGGAGGATCCCTCAAGCCCAGAAAGTTGAGGCTTCAGTGAACAGTGATTGCACCACTATGCCTCCAGCCTGGGTGATAGAGCAAGACCTTGTCTCCTAAAACAAAAAAGAAAAGAAAAGAAAAGTTGCTATATTTTGCAAAAGACATAAATCTACAGATTCAAGAAACTGAGTGAACCCCACAGAAGGTAAACACAAAGAAATCTGCACCAACATCTCAGTACAGATAATAAACTTCCTGGGTACTCTGGCTATTGTGGCTGTGGAGCGATCTGTCTGAGTCACTCTTGGACACTGCTTTTTAACAGGTCACCTTGGAGAGTGTAGTGTTCCCCGAGTACCTCTCAGTCCCTGTGGGTTGCGCTGTCAGGCAACAGTAGGGTATGGTTCCATGAGGGTTTTCCCTCATCTTGAAGCCACTAAACCTTGGCAGAGGGGCTTGTGAACCTGAATGACCCCGCTCCCCCTGCAGCCAGAAGGTGCAGCCCCTGGTGCCAGAGCCTTGTCTAGGTGGCCCTGACATGACAGTGACAGCTAAAGGGTTGACTAAATTACAAGTTTTATTCTTTCCTTTCTTGTTACTGCTTTGATTGGGGTGTCTGACTCACCCCAATATCAGTGCTGAGTTGGTTGCTCAATCTTTTTTACGGACCAGAAGTTGCAAACAGTAAATGCAAAACTGCAAATACTTCCTGGAAGATAACCTGTTCCAGTGTTGCAAATGGTTGGCCTCAGAGAGCCCTTGTGTTCTTGCGTCATTCTCCCTTTCAGAAGCTGGTGAGGCTCCTGCCAGTGCCCCCCAGCCTGTGTGCTCCCTGATTTATTTGTCCATCTTGCTCAGTGGTGTGTGGGAGGGACTGGAGCTGTTGCCCTTGATTGCTACCTTGGTGGGAACCAGCCAGCTACCGAAATTGACAGGGAATCGTGGTCAAGCTATACATGCATAGTTTTTACCCTTCTCTGTATGTTGTATTTTATAATAATGAAAACATGTAGAGACCTAATTTATAATAAAAGTCAGGTCTGCTCTATTTAGAGTTGGGGAGATCTAGTTGGCTGGTATTCTGACATGTGCCTTTTTCTGTGCCTAATTTTTTCTTGAGACAGGACCTCACTCTGTTGCCTAGACTACAGTGTAGTGGTGTGATTATGGCTCACCGCAACCTCAACCTCCTGGGCTCAGGTGATCCTCCTACCTCGGCCTGCCACATAGCTGGGACTACAGGTGCGCACCGTCACACCTGGCTAACTTTTGTATTTTGTGGTAGAAGTGGGGTTTTGCCATGTTACCCAGGTTGGTCTCAAACTCCTGAGCTCAAGTAATCTGCCCGCCTTGGCCTCCCAAAGTGCTGAGATTAAAGGCATGAGCCACTGCACCCAGCTCTGTACCTAATTTTACAGATGAGAACATGAAAGCCTTCTGTTGGTAAGGGGTGTGTCTGGGGTCCCAGCCAGCTGGTGTGGCGGGGCTGTGGCAAGAGCCTGGTCTAGTTCTTGTTTGCTGTTTGGATTGATACTGTGTTTGGCCCCATGAGCTCTGCCTTGTCTCTTGTTCCTTTTGCTGAAGGTATAAAGAAGAAACTCAGAGATTAAAGACTCTTTCAGGGCAGAAGGCTCACACAGGCTTCCAGAACCTCCTCGGAGCGATTGTAGGGACTGCCTGACCCGGAAGAGAGTTGTCAGTCAAGACCGCCAGAGTTTTCCCATCAGAGTATTTGGCATAGCAGAGGTGGCTCCCAAACTGTGCCAGGGCACTGCAGCAAACTCACAAGTGATCATTCTCAATGCGGCGGACGCTCAAGTCTGTTGAACTCCATGCGAAGTGCTAGCTTGGGACAGTTCACGGTTCCAACGTGAGATCCTTGCTGCATTCCTTCTTAGGATTTTACATCTTTGCGAAGCTGGGTTTGCAGTGGTTGTTCAGACCTAACTATACGTGGAACTGTTAGGCATTTTTTTTTGGCCTACGGATACCATTAAAAATTTGCTGAGATACCAGGGACTCCACAAACGAAGGACATTTGGGATCTGTCCAGACAGGTACACTGGAAGCCCAATGTGTGTTTTATTTGTTAATTGATTGATTGATTGAGACAGTCTTGCTCTGTTGCCCAGGCTGGAGTGCAAGTGGCACGATCTTGGCTCACTGCAACCTCCGCCTCCCGGGTTCAAGCGATTCTCCTGCCTCAGCCTCCCAAATAGCTGGGATTACAGGTGTCTGCCACCATGACCTGCTCGCAGCACCACGCCCAGCTAATTTTTGTATTTTTAGTAGAGACGGGGTTTCACCATGTTGGCCAGGCTGGCCTCAAACTCCTGACCTCAAGTGATATGCCTGCCTCAGCCTCCCAAAGTGCTGTGATTACAGGCGTTAGCCACCACGGCCGGCCCCAATGTGTGTTTTAAATCTTTGCGCTTAAATGTTTTTGATTTCTGCACATTTTGTGTTGCACGTGTCATAATGCATTCACCGATTCCCTTCATTCCCTTGAGTAGTTATTGCGCCCTGGATTCTGCGCCAAGGAAGTGTGTGCTGGGGAGGGGATGGTGGAGCTGAGGTCTGAAGAATGAGTACGAAGCTTCGAGAGGAGGAGCATCTCAGACACCTGTCAGGCTCTGGGGCAGGACCGCAGAGGTGCAAGCTGGAGAGTGGCTCAGGGTGGGGCTGGAGAGATGGGTGTGTGTCTGTGTGCGCGTCAAGGGGAAAACGGTTAAGTTTCTTAACCCAGGGGCTCATTTGTGGCCTCAGCCCCCAGGCACACTGCTTGGATCCTGGGATTCCTCCAAGCTTAACCTCCTTGAGAGGCCTTCCTTTCGCACCGCATGCCAGACACAGAGGTGCCTGAGATGCTGTTCTTCCCTCAAGGAGCTCACACCGAGTGAGAGAGAGACCCATGTCCTAAGTAGAGGGCGGTGAGCACAGCCCGGTGGGAAGCTGGGCCTGTTTCTCGTTTTGCCCGAGTGAGGTGCTTACCCCGTGTGGCCTCATCTGTAGCTCAGGGCCTTGGATAAAGTGATGGCTGGGTCCTTCCCACCGCACCTGTCTTCTCTCAGAAGTAGTTTGATATTTCAGAGTCAAAGCTGCTGGGAACATTCTTGTTCTGTGGAGCCTCCAGGCTGAGCGCTGGGAGTGCCCAGTGTGCTGGTCGGGGCTGGGGGGCACTCAGGGCCAAGCCCCACCCCTGTTGGCTGCAGGAAGTCAGTCACAGCCTCAAGGAGCAGCTCCTGTTCGTTTCCTTCGTTTTGCGTGTTAGTTTCCTTACAGGCGTGAGACTGTGTGGTCCTGACTGTGAACTCCGGGAAGAGGCTGAAAGAAGCTGTGAGTGCAGGTGTTAGAGACAGGCAGCATGAAGAGGAGGGAATAGAGTCAGCCTCACAGACTGTCCTGATGGAGTTGCAGTGTGGTTTTCAGATTATAAAGGCATTCCATAGTCTGTATGCCAAGCACTGCCAATCCAGGTACCCGAAAATCGGAAGGTTCTTGCCTTCTATTCACATGTTTATTTATTCAACAAATCGACATAAATGCTCATTATATGCCAGTCTGTGAACTAAGCCAAGTCCCTGCCCTTGTGGGGTGACCCTCTAGTCAGGGAGAGAGCCAGTGGTGGGGTAATGTATAATATAATGTGAGGTGGGGATAAGCTCAGTTGTGAGGGGTCAGAGGGTGGGGATTGTGGCCAGGGGGCAGTTGTAGATTCTGTTCTCAGGCAAAGTTTCTCTGAGATGGTGACATCTGAGCAGAAACTTAAATGAGGGAGTGAATTTTGCAAATAATGAGATGGCCATGTGCAAAGTCCCTGAAACAGAAGGAGGCCAGCGTGACCTGCAAGGTGTGAGGAAGGGGAGCGTAGTAAGAAATGTGGGTGGTGGGAGTGGGTTCTGAGGGCCGGATCGTATGGGCCTTATGAGCTGTGTAAGGACTTCAGGGCTTTGTTGTTGTTGTTGTTGTTGTTGTTGTTGTTTTTGAGACGGAGTCTCACTCTGTCACCCAGGCTGGAGTGCAGTGGCGTGATCTCAGCTCACTACAACCTCTGCCTCCCAGGTTCAAGCGATTCTCCTGCCTCAGCCTCCCCAAGTAGCTGGGACTACAGGCACGCGTCACCATGCCTGGCTAATTTCTGTATTTTTAGTAGAGATGGAGTTTCGCTGTGTTGGCCAGGCTGGTCTTGAACTCCTGACCTCGTGATCCACCCGCCTCGGCCTCCCAAAGTGATGGGATTACAGGCGTGAGCCACTGTGCCTGGCCACTTTAGGTTTTTGTACGAAGTATGATGTGAAGACATCTCAGGGTTTGTTGTTGTTGTTGTTGTTGTTTGAGATGGAGTCTCACTCTGTTCTCCAGCACTCCAGGCTGGAGTCTGGAGTGCAGTGGTGTGATCTCAGCTCACTGCAACCTCCGCTTCCTGGGTTCAAATGATTCTCCAGCCTCAGCCTCCTGAGTAGCTGGGATTACAGGCATGCGCCACTGCATCCGGCTGATTTTTGTATTTTTAGTAGAGACAGGGTTTCACCATGTTGGCCAGGCTGGTCTCAAACGCCTGACCTCAGGTGATCCACCTGCCTCGGCCTCCCAAAGTGCTGGGATTACAGGTGTGAGCCACCGTGCCCAGCCCATCTCAGGGTTTTGATCAGGGAGGGGACATGACCTGACTTACTTTTTTTTTTTTTTGAGATGGAATCTCGCTCTGTCGCCCAGGCTGGAGTGCAGTGGCACAATGTCAGCTCACTGCAAGCTCTGCCTTCCGGGTTCACACCATTCTCCCACCTCACCTCCCTCCTCCTGTTTCTGGGACTACAGGTGCCTGCCACCACGCCTGGCTAATTTCTTGTATTTTTTTTTTTTAAGTAGAGACGGGGTTTCACTGTGTTAGCCAGGATGGTCTCGATCTCCTGACCTCGTGATCCACCCGCCTTGGCCTCCCAAAGTGCTGGGATTACAGGCATGGGCCACCGTGCCCGGACGATCTGACTTACTTTTTAAAGCATCCCCCTGTCTGCTGTGTGGGGAATGGCCCGTCCATCAGAATTCTCTTGCGGTGATTACGTAGGTGCAGATGTACCGCTAACCTCACTCCCAGCGTCGTCGATTTATTAATAGAAACTGCCATGAGTTATGCAATCAGCTTGAGTCTGCGTTGAGAAGGACTTCACATCATGGGCATTAGATCTCTTCTGGAAAATGAGGGGACCGGTCACTTGGGGAGTTAGAAGGGAGGAGGGTGAGGGACAGGGAGCGCGAGTTTCTTGGCTGCTGCCTTGTGATGGATAACAGCTAGACAGCTAGGGGAGCTCCTGTGTCACCATGGCACTCCTGACTGGTTCCAGTGGGGCCCTGACTGTCTGCTGCCTCATGACTCTGTGGGACAAGTCCTTCCAGAATCTGTCAGAGCAGATCCTAAATGCCTCTCTGTCTGGTTCTATGAAAATGTGACAGGTGGCTCATAAGCTTGACAGAGATCCTGATATGACTAGCATTAAGTAAATATTAAATGTGTTTATAAGATTAAATATAAATAGTTTTCTCTGGGGACAACAGAATTCACTTTGTCCTTTAATGTCATATCAAAAAAGCTGGCCAGGTGCAGTGGCTCACGCCTGTCATCCCAGCACTTTGGGAGGCCGAGGCAGGATCACGAGGTCAGGAGTTTGAGACCAGCCTGACCAACATGGTGAAACTCCATCTCTACTAAAAATACAGAAAATTAGCCGGGTGTGGTGGCACATGCCTGTAATCCCAGCTGCTCAGGAGACTGAGGCAGGAGAATTGCTTGAATCCGGGAGGCAGAGGTTGCAGTGAGCCGAGATCGCACCACTGCACTCCAGCCTGGGTGACAGAGCGAGGCTCTGTCCCCCGGCCCCCCCCCCCCCCGAAAAAAAAAAAGTCATATCAAAAAAGCCAAGTTGAGGCCAGGCACAGTGGCTCACGCCTGTAATCCCAGCACTTTGGGAAGCCGAAGCAGGCAGATCACCTGAGGTCAGGAGTTCGAGACCAGCCTGGCTGACATGGTGAAACCCCGTCTCTACTAAAAATACAAAATTAGCCAGGTGTCGTGGCGGGCACCCGTAGTCCCAGGTACCCTGGAGGCTGAGGCAAGAGAATCGCTTGAACCCAGGAGGCGGAGGTTGCAGTGAGTCGAGATGGTGCCATTGCACTCTAGCCAGGGTGACAGAGAGAGACTCTATCTCAAAAAAATAAAATAAAAAAGAAAGAAAAAAGCTAAATTGAGATGAACTCAAGCCATTGGAAAAGCAGCTCAGATTAGTGAGAAAGCAAAGACCCAAGCTTGCGGGCCTGTTCTGAATGGCCTGTTCCCAGCAGGTTGTGTAGCAGTAGACCGATGCCCACAACCCTCGGATGCCCTGGCTTCCCAGACCAGCCCCATGGTTTCCTGGTGACAGTGACAGCCATCAGCAGTCAGCTAGAACATAGTCTCTCATTGCCTAATTGCTGACACATGACTAAGGCTTTCCTGATTGAGTCTGGGTGCTCTGGTTGTGGTGAAAAACCCAGTCGGTCATATCCATGATTGCAAAATGGAATAGTGTGAATTTCAGGGCTGAGCCCAGCCTCCTTGGTAAGCAGCAGAAGCTGCTGTTTCAGGGACTCTCACTTGGACCTTTGTTGACTCATGTCACGTCTGCCTACCAGGTGTCGTTGGTGGAAGGACCAGTTGAGCATCTTATGAGGGAACTAGGCTGGTGACATGGGGGTTCCCCCACCTCCCTCCCGGACGGGGCGGCTGGCCGGGCGGGGGGCTGACCCCCCCACCTCCCTCCCGGACGGGGCGGCTGGCGGGGCAGAGGGGCTCCTCACTGCCCAGTAGGGGCGGCCGGGCAGAGGTGCCCCTCACCTCCCGGATGGGGTGGCTGGCCGGGCGGGGGGCTGACCCCCCCACCTCCCTCCCGGACGGGGCAGCTGGCCGGGCGGGGGGCTGACCCCCCCACCTCCCTCCCGGACGGGGCAGCTGGCCGGGCGGGGGGCTGACCCCCCCACCTCCCTCCCGGACGGGGCGGCTGGCCGGGCGGGGGGCTGACCCCCCCACCTCCCTCCCGGACGGGGCGGCTGGCCGGGCGGGGGGCTGACCCCCCCACCTCCCTCCCGGATGGGGCGGCTGGCCGGGCAAAGGGGCTCCTCACTTCCCAGTAGGGGCGGCTGGGCAGAGGCGCCCCTCACCTCCCGGACGGGGCAGCTGGCCGGGCGGGGGGCTGACCCCCCCACCTCCCTCCCGGACGGAGCGGCTGGCCGGGCGGGGGCTGACCCCCACCTCCCTCCCGGACGGGGTGGCTGCTGGGCGGAGACGCTCCTCACTTCCCAGATGGGGTGGCTGCTGGACGGAGGGGCTCCTCACTTCTCAGACGGGGCGGTTGCCAGGCAGAGGGTCTCCTCACTTCTCAGACGGGGCGGCCGGGCAGAGACGCTCCTCACCTCCCAGATGGGGTCGCGGCCGGGCAGAGGCGCTCCTCACATCCCAGACGGGGCGGCGGGGCAGAGGCGCTCCCCACATCTCAGACGATGGGCGGCCAGGCAGAGACGCTCCTCACTTCCTAGATGGGATGGCGGTGGAGAAGAGGCGCTCCTCACTTCCTAGATGGGATGGCGGCCGGGCAGAGACGCTCCTCACTTTCCAGACTGGGCAGCCAGGCAGAGGGGCTCCTAACATCCCAGACGATGGGCAGCCAGGCAGAGACGCTCCTCACTTCCCAGACGGGGTGGCGGCCGGGCAGAGGCTGCAATCTCGGCTCTTTGGGAGGCCAAGGCAGGCGGCTGGGAGGTGGTTGTAGCGAGCCGAGATCAAGCCACTGCACTCCAGCCTGGGCACCATTGAGCACTGAGGGAACGAGACTCCGTCTGCAATCCCGGCACCTCGGGAGGCCGAGGCTGGAGGATCACTCGCGGTTAGGAGCTGGAGACCAGCCCGGCCAACACAGCGAAACCCCGTTTCCACCAAAAAAATACGAGAACCAGTCAGGCGTGGCGGCGCGCGCCTGCAATCGCAGGCACTCGGCAGGCTGAGGCAGGAGAATCAGGCAGGGAGGTTGCAGTGAGCCGAGATGGCAGCAGTACAGTCCAGCTTCGGCTGGGCATCAGAGGGAGACCGTGGAAAGAGGGAGGGGGAGGGGGAGGGGGAGGGACCAGACTTTGTCTCTTAAAAAAAAAAAAAAAAGACTCCCAGGCATAGGAAAGCAGGCATTCACCATAAATCTCATTGTTAACAGGAACTACCTTCATAGCCCAAGGTTTTAGGAATACAGAGACACTCTTGCCAGTCAGGATAGTCCAAGGCTCGTGAATATCAGGAGCCACTCAAGGGCCAGGCCTGGAGACTTGGAACATGCAGGGTTTAGGGCAACCCCCGCCAGCCACACAGCTGGGGAAAGGGTTTGCTGCGAAATGGTCCACTCTTGCGTGCACTTCCTCCCGCCTGCCCCCCGTGCGGTGTCCTTGTGGGATTAGAGGATGTTCCAGCACACTGAGAGTCAGTGGCTGTCATTTTCTCTGTCTTCCAGGGACCCAGTCCCAGCTGCTGCCTTAGCTTGCACCCCAGGACCACCCTGGGCTGGTGCTGACACCACTGGGGGCTGTCTGTTATGTCAGCCCCAGTCCAAGACTGTGGCTGTCTTGGCAGGAACCTGGCTGAGTGAGCCCCTTCTCCTACCCCGTGCAGTGACCATTTCCTGCAGCCCCAGGGGCAAGGCCCAGCATTTAGGTGGGCACCCCAGCCAGCCTCAGGGGCACCCTGCTACCCTCTGCTGACATCTGCTGTTTCTGTCTCCTAACAGTTTCATGATCAACATGGGAGACTCCCACGTGGACACCAGCTCCACCGTGTCCGAGGCGGTGGCCGAAGAAGTATCTCTTTTCAGCATGACGGACATGATTCTGTTTTCGCTCATCGTGGGTCTCCTAACCTACTGGTTCCTCTTCAGAAAGAAAAAAGAAGAAGTCCCCGAGTTCACCAAAATTCAGACATTGTAAGTGCCGCCTCTCAGCCTCCTCTCTCTGTCCCTCTTCTGTCACCACTCCAAGCAGTGTCCTGCATGCGGGCCTCAGGCTGAAAGAAGCAAGGCTCCTTGTAGCATTTTGGGGTGACTCTTGGGTTTTGCCTTCTTGCTAGATTGTGCTTGAGCTCTCCCTTAATCATCTCTTATGTGGGGTTTATAAGGCCCTTTTCTATCTGCTGTTTATATGACCTTCACAGGAAGCACTGCGAAAATGACACCAGTTTACAGATTAAGAACCGGGGGCTCAAGAATGTTAACGGGCCTGCCAGGGTCATTAGCCAGCAATAGCAGCGCTAGAGCTGGAACCCTTTTTTCCATTTATTTATTTATTTATTTATTTGGAGACATGGTCTCACTGTATTGCCCAGGCTGGAGTGCAATGGCGGTGGCACGATCAAGGTTCACTGTAATCTCCACCTCCCAGGCTCAGGCAGTCTTCCCACCTCAGCCTCCCGAGTAGCTGGGACTAAAGGTGTGCACCACTATGCCCAGCTAATTTTTTTTTTTTTTTTTTTGAAGCAGAATCTTGTTCTTTCAACCAGTCTGGAGTACAGCGGTGCGATCTCGGCTCACTGCAACCTCTGCCTCCCAGGCTCAAGCAATTCTTCTGCCTCAGCCTCCTGAGTAGCTTGGATTACAGGTGCCCGCCACCACGCCTGGCTATTTTTTGTATTTTTAGTAGAGACAGGGTCTCACCATGTTGGCCAGGCTGGTCTCAAACTCCTGACCTCAAGTGATCCGCCCACCTCGGCCTCCCAAAGTGCTGGGATTACAGGTGTGAGCCGTTGCGCCCAGTCAATTTTTGTATTTTTTTATAGAGACAGGGATTTGCCATGTCCCGGGCTGGTCTCGAACACCTGGACTCAAGCAATCCGCACACCTTGGTCTCCCAGAGTGTCGGGATTACAGGCGTGAGCCACTGTACCCAGCCTAGAATTGGCATTTTAAAGTCTTTTTAAGGCTGTAGCCACCTGGAAGGCTATGTGCTAATGAGCACAAAATCTTTGGACAGGCCTTATTTTGTTGCTCTTTTAAACTTTTCATGAAGCTTCCTTTTAAGAATAAGTGAAAAAGATGGATTAGTTAAAAGAAAAACGTTAAGGAAATAATAGTATAGATGGTATGTAGACAGAAAAAAATGATACCGAAGGTCTGCCTAAGTGACTGCATCCCTGTCTCTCCAAGATTGATTTCCATAAGCCACACGGAAAAGTCATTCTCCAGATTTTAGGGTCCTGCGGCCAGAATTACTTCCTGCGGTTACGCTTGGCTGTGTTTAACACCAGTCTCAGACTCCAGGGGCCCGCAGCCAGGTTTGAGTGGGGACCTGCCAGGTCAGGTCTGAGCCGAGGGAACTCCAGGGGCACGGGCCTGCTGCCTTCAGGGACTCCCTGGATTTGGCAAGGGGCAGGTCTCAGGGGCAGGATTGGGAGCCATTCTCAGACCAGAACCCCTTTCATTCTGTCTGTCTTCAGGGGACCCAGTCCCAGCTGCAGCCTTAGCTTGCACCCCAGGGCCACCCTGGGCTGGTGCTGACACCAGTGGGGGCCATCTGTCATGTCAGTTCCAGTCCAAGGCTGTGGCTGTCTTGGCAGGAACAAGCCACACAGAAAAGTCATTCTCCAAGGCTGGGCATGGTGAAGCATGCCGCTCACATCAAATCCCGATTCCCTATTCCAATCTGGGTATCAGCCTTCCCCGCCAGAACACTTACAGCCTTCACACCGTAAAGCAGATATTCACACAACACAGTTCTTATACCATGGACAGGGAATTAGTTTTACATTTTTAAAAACTGGGTTCAGGGCCAGGCACAGCGGCTCACGTCTGTAATTCCACCACTTTGGGAGGCCGAGGCGGGAGAAATCACTTGAGGTCAGGAGTTCGAGACCAGCCTGGCCAACATGGCGAAACCCCGTCTCTACCGAAAATACAAAAACTAGCTGGGCGTGGTGGTGCATGCCTGTAATTTCAGCTACTAGGGAAGCTGAGGCAGAAGAATCGCTTGAACCCAGGAGGCAGAGGTTGCAGTGAGCCAAGAATGCGCCACTGCATTCCAGCCTGGGAGACAGAGTCCGTCTCAAAAACAAAACAAAACAAAACAAAACTGGGTTCAATCTTATCTCCATCATTGACTCACTGAGCAAACATTTCCTGAGGCCCTACCTACAGTGTCCCAGACACTATGCTAAGGTGTGTGGCTGCAGCAGTGAAGAAAATAGATGAATGCTGTCTTCATCAAGCTTACGCTCTAGTGGTGAGTGAACCCTGGGCGAGACCTTAACCTCATTCTGCCTCAGTTTCCTCACCTGCTAAATGGAGGCAGTATTCCCAATCTTGTGGGGCTTTTGTCTTAAATGAGGAAGAGTCTATAAACTCACCTAGCACTGCCCCTGAGGGATAGGAGCTGTGTAGTGTTTGCGTTGATCGTATTTCGTGCCAGGCACTATGACGGGCACGATCAGGACCACAGAGCCAGCATTTATGTTAAGCTGGAAAATGAGGGTGTTGCAACATAGTTTTTTTTTTTTTGAGACAGACTTTTGCTCTTGTCACTCAGGCTGGAGTGCAGTGGTGCAATCTCGGCTCACTGCAACCTCCGCCTCCCGGGTTCAGGCGATTCTCGTGCCTCAGTCTCCCGAGTGCCTGGGACTACAGGCACATGCTACCACGCCTGGCTAATTTTTGTATTTTTAGTAGAGACGGGGTTTCACCATGTTGGCCAGGCTGGTCTCAAACTCCCGACCTCAGGTGAGCTGCCTGCCTCTGCCTCCCATAGTGCTGGGATTATAGGCGTGAGCCACCACACCCGGCCACAGCGTACTTTTTAGAAATGCTTTGTGAACTGCTTTAACCTACATTGTCTAATCAGGGCCTCCTTGCAACAGCGCCGTGCGTTAGGTAGCGTGGGTTGCCTCATTTCTGCTCTCAGAGAGGTTATGGGATGTGCCCAGGGCACAGGCTGGAGAGACAGGCTCCGCCAGCTCTAAGAGAGAAGGAATTGGTGTGGGGATCAGACCAAGTCCTGCAGGAGGGGTGTTGGGCAGGTTCTTAAAGGTAGAGCCACACCCTGAAGCTGAAAGGACTTTAGAGCAGAGGGCCCGATATAGGAAGGGCAGATCAGCTGGAATCCAGCCCATCCTGTCCAGGGCTGGTACACGGGGCATTGCTGGTGTGGAATAGTACTTTTGATAAAAAAGCGTAGTAGTACTCAAGATAAAGAGACCAGGGTCCAGGACCCAGCTCCTGAACTGGCCCTTGTTCCCTCATCTGTAAAATGGAAGTTCCGCCCCACCGCCGTGAGTGAGGACGTGGGTTGGCCCTGGGAGCCTGCGGAGCTTGCCACCAAGGGAGGCAGCATTCCTCTCATAGCTCATCTGTTCTCGCTGTCACCTCCCTGGCCTTACAAGAGGAAGTTGACATAAAACCTGTAGACTGTGGGAGCTGTAGGGTCCCAAAGCACTTGTATTTTTTTGTTGATTCTCACTGTTCCTCTTTGCCAGGATGCTGAAATTCTGTTCCCTCCACCTAATCATGATCTTCTAACCTTATGTGTGTGGAGATATGCAGTTTCCAGAGTCTTGTCTCTTCCCTCATTAAATCACACTGGATGCCTGCTGCAGCCAGGGCTTTTACCTGTACGCTGTACAAGACAAATATTTCTAGTACCATGGCTACATTCTGGACCCTGAAGTTGGGTGCTCAAGGTTGAGTACTGACTCTCCCACATTAGCCATCTGACATCAGCCAGGTGACTTGATCTTTCCAAGTCTGTGTCCCCAACTGTAAGCTGGAGGTAGTAGTAGTACTTACCTCATAAGGCTGTGAAAACTGAGTTAATCCATCATAGAGCTCTTTGCTCAGTTCCTGGTGCATAGTAGGCTCTCAGGTGTTATGGATTGTTACTATTTATTTATTTATTTTGAGGCAGGGTCTCACTCTGTCGTTCAGGCTGGAATACGCTGGCACGATCTCGGCTCACTGCAACCTCCGCCTCCCAGGCTCAAGAGATCCTCCCACTTTGGCCTCCCAAGTAGCTGGGACTACAGGCGTGCACCACCACCCTTGGCTAATTTTTATATTTTTTGTACAAATGGACATCTAACAATGTTGCCCAGGCTGGTCTGAAACTCCTGGGCTCAAGCAGTCTGCCTGCCTCGGCCTCCCAAAGTGCTGGGATTACAGGCGTGAGCCACCATGCCTGGAGTGTGTTATTATTTTTATCCTTTTTATTAATACCATCTCCAGTCTTACAAGAGCCCTTCCACGAAGACATGAGCAGCCCATTTTGCGGATGAAGAAACCGAGGTGCCAGGGATTGCAGAGTTTGCCCAAGGCCACCTAACTTCTAAATAGCAGCAGAGTTGGCTTTTGAATGAAGTCTGCAAGCTCCACAAGCCATGTTTTCTCTACTTTGCCATGCTGCTCCTAATTTAGTGTTAATAGGCCTCCTACGATAGTGTTAGTCTCCTAAGATAGTGTTAATAGGCCTGGCATGGTGGCTCACGCCTGTAATCCCAGTGCTTAGGGAGGCTGAGGCACAAAGATTGCTTGAGCCAGGAGTTCAAGACCAGCCTGAGCAACATAGGGAGACCCCCACCCCCCCGCCATCTCTACAATAAACAAAAAAGAGTGGTGTTAATTTGTTAATTTACCGACAAGGAGAGTATTCCTTATCTGAAGTGCTTGCCAGAAGTGTTTCAGATCTTGGACTTTGGAATGTTTGCATTATACTCACCAGATGAGCATTTCTTATCTGAAAATCTGAAATGCTCCAATGATTCTTCCCTTTGAGGATCATGTTGACGCTCAAAAAGTTTCAGATTTCAGATTTTAGATTAGGGACATTCAGCCTGTAGATGTTATTTTACAGAGCAGGAAGTTGGGTGTAGTGGTTCACACTTGTGATCCCAGCTCTTTGGGAGGCCAAGGCAGGAGGATTGCTTAAGCCCAGGAGTTGGAGACCAGCCTGGGCAACGTAGCAAGGCCCTGTCTCTATAAAAAATAGGAGAAAACTGAGGCTCAGAAAGGTCACCTAGCTGATACAACCAGGCCTCAAGCCTAGATCTCCTATTCTAAATCCCACATCAGTGTCCCTGGCTACCGGTATTTCAGTGAGCACAGGTGATTTCTGTTATAGCCACAGAGCAGTAGGGAGTAATAGGGCTTAGTGTGAGGAAGGTATGTGGCCCAGGGCTATATCAGGAACTCTCACCATGATTTCTGGTGGCTTCTAGAATTGGCATTTATTTATTTTGTTTTAGAGACACGGTCTCGCCCTGTCACCCAGGCTGGAGTGCTATGGCGCGATATCAGTTCACTGCAACCTCTGCCTCTGGGGCTCAAGCGATTCTCTTGCTTCAGCCTCCCAAGTTGCTGGGATTACAGGCACCCACCATGATGCCCGGCTAATTTTTGTATTTTTAGTAGAGATGGAGTTTCACCACGTTGGCCAGGCTGGTCTTAAACTCCTGACCCCAAGTGATCCATCCGCCTGGGCGTCCCAAAATACTGGGATTACAGGTGTGAGCCACTGTACGGGGCCAAACACATTTTTAAAACAAAAAACCCAGTGGGATTTTTGTTGGAATTGGATTGAATCTGTATATTAATATGGGAAGAGTTGACATCCTACAATATTGAGCTTTCTATTCCATGAACATTGTTTTATCCCTCCCGGGGAGGTCTTTTGGACTGTTTGTAATAGCAATTAATGACTTGTTAGAGAGGAGTGGTAATGAGCAACAAGTTCTTTTTCATAATAATAGTAGCAGTAATGATAATAAATGGCTCTTCCTGCCAGGTGTGGTGGCTCACGCCTGGAATCCCACACTTCAGGAGGCCGAGGCAGGTGGATTGCTTTGAGCCCAGGAGTTCAAGATCAGCCTGGCAACATGACGAAACCCTGTCTCTACGGAAAAAATACAAAAATTAGCCAGGCACGGTAGCATACGCTTGTAGTCCCAGCTACTCAGGAGGCTGAGGTGAGAGGATCACCTGAGCCTGGGATGCCAAGGCTGCCGAGCGCCGAGCTCACACCGCTGCACTCCAGCCTGGGCGACAGAGCAAGACCCCCTCTCAAAATAATAATAATAATAATAATAATAATATATAATAATGACTCTTTCACGTCCACTCCCACTCACTCAGGTTGCACCTCTGAACAGAGCATTTCGCACTGGGGCAGCTCATGCCCTAAGGGAGCCCCAGGGAATGCTCAGCCTCTTGAGTAGCTGGGGTGACGGGCACATGCCACCATGCCTGGCTTATTTATTTTTTTTTAAAGACATGGTCTCGCTCTGTTGCCCAGGCTGGGTCTTAACCTCCTGGCCTCAAGCAGTCTCCCTGCCTCAGCCTTGCAAAGTTCTGAGATCACTCACTGTGTAGGATCCAAAGTCCCACAGGATCCAGGGCTCCTGTGGGCTCTCTCTCCTGTGGGCCTGGCAGCTTTGCTCACCCTTATGGAACAACACCGCATGGCGTGCCCTCTTGGTGATGGAATTTGTATTTTTGCCTCCCATGGTGCAGAGAGCGTCCCATTTCCATCTGGGTCCCTACCTTAGTGCGGGGCCGCCTGTCGGAGGGAAGCTTCTCAGAGAATGGCCGTTGAATTAACCAAGGCTAAATCTGTATGTGTGGCTGCCTCTAGGGAAACCTGTGGCCTCCAGGCTGGGTTTGGCTTACACAGTATTTTTTTAAAAAATATTTTAATTAGAACATTAAAAAGTGTGGCAGTATCAGGCCCAGCGTGGTGGCTGACACCTGTAATCCCAGCACTCTGGGAGGCCAAAGCAGGTGGATCACATGAGGCCAGGAGTTCAAGACCAGCCTGGCCAACATGGCAAAACCCTGTCTCTACAAAAAGTACAAAAATTAGCTGGGCATGGTGGTGCGTGCCTGTAATCCCAGCTACTCGGGAGGCTGAGGCAGGAGAATTGCTTGAATCCAGGAGGTGGAAGTTGCAGTGAGCTGAGATCACGCTACTGCATTCCAGCCTGGGCGATGAAGTGAGACCAAAAAAAAAAAGGCAGTATCAAATAAAAACTTAGACTTACAGCTTCTTTAAA
This sequence comes from Homo sapiens, assembly GCF_000001405.40. Classification (NCBI taxonomy): domain Eukaryota; kingdom Metazoa; phylum Chordata; class Mammalia; order Primates; family Hominidae; genus Homo; species Homo sapiens. The sequence goes on from NC_000007.14 coordinate 75,961,278, forward strand.
AAAAAAAAAAAAAATAGAGGATCTGGTCATACTGGACCCACAGTGATGCCCACCAGCTGTGGAGCAGCTGAGCAGCGGCCCCATTCTGCACGAGGCCTGTGCGCTGCATTCACTCTGACCCTCCAGCCCGCTCAGGCTGCTGTGCTCATGTTGCCTCTACTGGCCCTGAGAAGCTCTGCAGTGCCCCCTGCACCTGTGCTTTGCTCCTGGAATGCTAGAGTGCTTTAAAGAAAAATAAAGCTTCTTATGGAACATTTCAAACACCAGAGTGTAGGGCACAGGAGAGTGGACCCCATACGCCTCCAGCCCCCAGTTTTCATAACTACTCACTCCTCGCCGGTCTTATTTCTTTCCGCTGCCCCCCACCGCCGCACCAGTCCTGGATTATTTTAATGCAATCCCCAGATGTCATATTTCATCAGGAAATGTTTCAGTCCTCTAAAATTCAAGGACTCGCCAGGCATGGCGGCTCATGCCTGTAATCCCAGCACTTCGGGAGGCTGAGGCAGGAGAATCACTTGAAGCCAAGTGTTCGAGATCAGCCTGGGTAGCATAGCAAGACCCCGTCTCTACAAAAAACACAAACATTAGTCAAGTGTGGTGGCACATGCCTGTGGTCCCAGTTACTCAGAAGGCTGAGGTGGGAGGATCACTTGAGCCCAGGAGGTTGAGGCTGCAGTGAGCCATGGTTGTGCCACTGCACTCCAACCTGGGTGACAGAACGAGACCCTGTCTCAAAAAAAAAAAAAAGTAAACTTCAAGTATTCTCCTTTCTGAACATAACACAACGCCATCTTCACACCTTGGAAGTCAACAGTAATTCTTCAGCATCGTTAGATACCCAGACAACATTTATTCATAGTTCCCTGATTGACTGATGTTTGATTTTGTTTAACAGTTTTTGTTTGTTTAATTCAGGATCTAAACAAGACCCATACACTGCAGTTGATTAATAAATCTTTCGTTTGGGAGAGGTCAGGTATATTCAGGTATAATTTGCATACAGTAAAATGCCCCCCTCCTCCCTTTTTTTTGAGACAGGGTCTTGCTCTGTCACCCAGGCTGGAGTGCAGGGGTGTGATCAGGGCTCACTACAGCCTCTACCTCCCAGGCTTAAGGGGATCGTCCCATCTCAGCCCCCTGAGTAGCTGGGGCTACGGGCATGTGCCACCATACTCGGCTAATTTTTATTTTTAATTTTAGTAGAGACAAAGTCTCACTATGTTGCCCAGGCTGGTCTTGTTCGAACGTCTGAGTTCAAGTGATCCTCTTGCCTCAGCCTCCCAAAGTGCTAGGATTAGGATTACAGGCATGAGCCACTGCACTGGGCCAACATTTTCCTCTTTAAGTGCACCAGTTCATGAGTCTTGACAGATGTATGTGATTCTGTAATCAGTATCATAATCGAAATCTAGAACATTTCATCACTCCGAAACAGTCCTGTCCTACCTCTTTGCAATCATCCTCCTCCATCGGGTAATCAGCCTCTGGCAACTGCCAATCTTATTTCTGTCCCTGTAGTTTAACATTTTCCAAAGCGTCACATAAATGGAATGATAGCACCGTGGGCTGCTGTGCCAGCGGTTTTTCCTTAGCGACACGTCAGCTCCCTTTCCATTCCTAAGCTTCCCTTCCATCCCGTTTCTTCCTTGAAACATCATTTGTATCACAGTTTCCCACAGTCTGGATTTTCCTGATTACGTCCCCCTGGAGATTGCTTTTGAAAAGCCACAAAAGATCTCATTTTCCTGAGTGACCTTCCTTTTGGGGCCTGTTCTTGACAGAAAGCCCGGGAGGCCAGGGGTCAGGGCTGCCAGCATCACGTGTCTGTTTTTTATCTCCTGAGTGCCAACAGATGGGAAGTGGATCTGGGGGTCTTGCCACATCCAGTTCAGGGTCACTTTCTCTGTAGTGAGGTCCTTGGCTCCATCGAGCATGAAAAGAGAAATACAAATGAGACTGACAAAGAGGAAAGCATTAGGGGAAGCCTGTGGCCACGAGAGTAGACGGTGCAGGGGGCCCACTGCCTCCCGCTGCTGTGGGAACGGCGAGGACATGGGCCAGGGTGTTTCTGCCACTTCTGCAAGCACAGCTCTGGGTTTTCTGCTGCCATCTGACCTCCAAAGGGACCTCGCCTCCTCTCCTTCCTTTCCTGGTCCCTGATGAGATGGGGGAGGTTTCTGTCACTCTGACAAGTGCTTGAAACTCCAGACATGGGCTGTCGGGAACTGTCGGGTACTGCCGTGCAGAGCGCATGTTGTCTGACCTCCTGACTTCACTGGGCCCTGTCGGGTGCAGGAGAGGGAGCTGTGGATGGCACAGTGGGACATGTGCTCTACTGGCCTGGGGGTGGTGGGAATGCAGAGGAGGGGTATCCCCCATTGGGGGTGTGTCAGGGATGAGATGCCCCCACAGGAGCCTAGGAGGCCAAGTGTGGAGGCTGGGAGGTGAGGACACGCGGGGCTGTTCCAAGGGAGCCACATGCTGGTAGAGCCCAGGCACAGGTCACCAAGGGAGTCAGGGGTCGTGGGGGGTCAGAGGTCATAAAAGGAGTTGGGGTCACCAAGGAAGTCAGGTCATGGAGGGAGCTGACACAGGAGAGCATCTTAGAGGGCCTTGGGACCTTCCAAGGGGTATGGATTTTTTTCCCCAGCTTTATTGAGGTATAAATGACAAAAATTATATATATTTATCAGAGCATCTAAGTTTTTTTCTTTTTCTTTCTTTCTTTTTTTTTTTTGAGATGGAGTCTTACTCTGTGGCCCAGGCTGGAGTTCAGTGGCACAATCTTGGCTCACTGCAACCTCTGCCTCCTGGGTCCAAGTGATTCTCCTGCCTCAGCTTCCTGAGTAGCTGGGACTACAGGTGCCTGCCACCACGCCCAGCTAATTTTTGTATTTTGAGTAGAGATGGGGTTTCACCATGTTGACCGGGCTGGTCTTGAACTCCTGACCTCAAGTGATCCACCCACCTCAGCCTCCCAAAGTGTTGGGATTACAGGCGTGAGCCACCATGCCCAGCCTAAGCATTTTTCTTTTTTTCTTTTTGAGACTAAGTCTCGCTCCTGTCCCCCAGGCTGAAGTGCAATGGCGCAATCTCGGCTCACTGCCACCTCCGCCTCCCGGCTTCAGGCGATTCTCCTGCTTCAGCCTCCCGAGTAGCTGGGATTACAGGCGCCTGCCACCACACCCGGCTAATTTTTGTATTTTTAGTAGAGACGGGGTTTCACCATATTGGCCAGGCTGATCTCGAACTGCTGACCTCAGGTGATCCGCCTGCCTCAGCCTTCCAAAGTGTTGGGATTACAGGTGTGAGCCACCGCACCAGGCCAGCATTTTTCTTTCTTTGTAAATTTTATTTTTCCCAGCTTTAAAATGACATAATTGACAAATAAAAATTTTATACATATATTTAAAATTATGTAAGTTCAAAGTATACAGTGTGATGTTCTGATATACGTATCTTAGCTGAGCATGGTGGCTTACACCTGTAATACCAGCTACTTGGGAGGCTGAGGCGAGAGGATCACTTGAAGCCAGGAGGTCAAGGCCAGCTTGGGCAACATAGCAAGACATCGACTCTACAAAAACTTAAAAATAAATTCAAAAATTAGCTGGGCATGGTGGTGTGGACCTGTCATCGCAGCACTTTGGGAGGCTGAGGCAGGAGTTGGAGGCTGCAGTGAGCTGTGGTCACGCCACTGCACTCCAGCCTGGGCAACGGAGCGAACCCCGTCTCTAGAAAAACTAAAAAATCAATTTAAAAAAATGACATATGTGGATGACGCTAACAGGGAGCTGGGGAAGCCTGTGTAGGATGGCGGTGTCTGGAGAGCGGTGGCCCCATGAAGCGCCATTTGGAGCTGGAGTGGAGGGAGCTGACTTGGAAGCAGGAAGATGGGCCAGGAGGCTGCTGGCCTCAGCCTAGCAGAAATTGACCAGGGCCGCTCGGCACAGATGGAGAGCCGAGTGCAAATGCAGGTGTCAGTGGATCAGAGAAAGGGCTCCAAGCCAGTGCTTTTGAAAACATAATTCTGGGACCCTCATCACCCACCAGAGGTGATGTTCTTATCTCCATTTTACAAATGGCAGTGCTGATCCCAGGAGAGGGTGAGTGACCTGGTCAAGGCTGACGTTAGCACATGAGAGCTGGGATTCCAGCCTGGGGCTTCCTGCACCACGCTTTTGCTCCCTCGGACCCCTAGCTCTTGTCATGGCCACCCCAGCCCACCCCTCCTTTCCATCCCCTTTGATTGCACACAATAGCAGAGCCACTTTGTGCCAGATCAGATGATCTTACTGTCTGAGGGTATGGCCTTTTCTTTCTGTCACCGATGGGCTGAATAACCCTGAGTTTCTCTTCTCTGTCTCCGGAAAATTAGCCCTAGTCCTGGCCACCCCCTGGCTCAGGGTCACTGCTGAGGTCGTCAGAAGAGCATCAAGGCTTTTGCGTGTGTGGAACAGCACAGCAGGCTTTCTGAGCTTCACAGACTTGCTCACGGAGTCCTGATGTGAACACGTGCTGGAGGACATGGTCGGGGGGAATGAGGGAGCGGCAGCCCACCAGAGCCTTAGAGCATCCTGAGGACACGGCCCCAGGATCCTTGGGAAGGGCTGTGAGATGTGCTGCCTGAACGTGCCCGGGGCGCACTGCAGACAGGGTAAAGCCGGGGGAGGTGCACCTTGCTTGGGGAGCAGACAGGAACCCCGGGTGCTGGGCCACTGGGCCCTGGAGCTTTCACAGGCCTGGAGTTGAATTACCGCTTCACCCACCCTGAGCCTCACTGCCTTGTCAAGGTGGATAGAAACCCTTGCGCACTGCACAGGGTGGTGAGGATTAAACAAAATAAAATAGAAAGCTTCTTGAATGCTAGCCAGCATGCAGTAGGCACTCAGTAAGAAGTCATTCCCTTCGCCTGTTTTGTCTCTGACCTGTGGCCACTCACACCTGCTTTCACCTCCCCCTGCCTGTAGCCAGCTGTCTCCAGCAGCTGCCCTCCCCACGTGTTCATCAGAGTCCCTGTCCGCAGAGACAGCTGCTGGCTTCTGTCTGAGCTCCAGCAAACCACTTTCTGTTTTCACCAAAGACTGGCGTTTCCAACCATTAGCCCCATGCCACAAGGCTCTGAAGGTCAAGAAATCTGGGTCCGCCTAGCAGAGCCCACTCTCCGTCCTGCCAGAGCAGGCTGCCCCCAGCTCTGCTGCCATCGTGCCTCTGTGCCTCAGCCGCCACCCCTTCTCTCGCCGTGGGCACCCATGACCCTGGAGCCTGGAGAACTTGGCAGTAGACGCTAGGTTCTGAAAGGGAGCTGGTCCAAAGCAGCTTCCCCATGTGTTGCTAAGGGCAGGGGACAGTCTCAGGAGAAATCGAGTCCGCTGCAGAAAATCCAACCGGATTTGCAGTTTCCAGAAATGTTCCTCAGCGTCGCCTGTGACGGGAACAAAATGAACCGCACATCTCGGTTCATCTCGGTCCAAGTGACTCAGTGCTTTTCCCGCCCTCCCTCATCTTCCCCACGCAGTGGACTACAGCTGACTTCTGATCCTGAACCCAGAAAGACTCCTGCTCCCAATTTAGGCGTGGAGAGCCTTAATTGGAACCTTTCATGCTCCGTTCTGGAGCCACGTGGTCTGTGTGCTCCAGGCCTGGGACAGCTGCCACCTCTGTACGGCTGGAGCCTTGGGCTTTCTGGTTTTGTTTGTTTTTTCTTGAGACAGGGTCTCACTCTGTCAACCAGGTTGGAGTGCAGTGGCACAATCTTGGCTCACTGCAACCTTCACCTCAGCCTTCAGGCTCAAGTGATCCTCCTACCTCAGCCTCCCAAGTAGCTGGGATCACAGACGCACACCTCTACACCCGGCTAATTTTTGTATTTTTGGTAGAGACAGGCTGTTTCGCCATGTTGCCCAGGCTGGCCTCAAACTCCTGAGCTATGGCGTCCACCCACCTCGGCCTCCCAAAGTGCTGTACTGGTGTGAGCCACTGCACTCCGCCGAGCCTTGGGCTTTCGGATGGGCTGTTTGCACTCGGGAACCTCAGAAGGGTGCTCCCCAAGACAGAACATCACCACTGCAAACGGAGCCCACCTTGCCAGGCATTTCCCCAACTGCCCTGATGGGAGGGGAAGGTGTGTCTTTCATGGCACACAGGATGCTTCCCGCTGACATGGACCCAGTGTCTTAAGCTCTGTTTGCCCGCAATTCTTTTGTGTGGGGGAAGACAGGGACCAGACTTAATTTAATGTGATTGTGTGGCGCCCTGGCAGTGGGATCAGTGTGGCTTCCTTTATGGAGTGCAGCCCTGCCATAGCAACCTGCAGGCTGTCTTCTAGAGCCTAGAAGAGCTTTGTTCCGCAGACATGACTTCCTTTTTTTTTTTAATGGGAAACGGGGAGGGCGTGGGGAGAAGGGCTCTGATATAAACAGTTACCAAGGAGACCCGAGTCGGGGTTGGAAAGGTTTTCTCCTTCCCTCGGTCCATACAGAGGGAGGAGGGGTGTGTGCCCGGTGCAGGGACTCATGGGAGGCTTCACTCTGGAATCCTGAGTCCTGCCTGCTGGGGCTCCAGATGTTGCAGAGTTCTTGGGCTCATGGGGGCAGACGCAGGCAGGAGCTCAGGGAAATTCCGAGAGGACTTTGGGGTGTCCAGGAGCACTTTGAGGCCACGGGCCCAGGCAACTTCCTCACCAGTACGGAACAGGGGATGCACAGGGCCGAACTTTCCATCTGCTGGCCCCTGCTGGTGTCCAGGAGAGAGCTGTGACCCTCCTTTTTCCTTAAGTCCTGGAGCTGAGAGTGAGAAGCCATGGGGTGCACGTACTCGTCTCCACCTGAGGAGCCCGCTCTGAGAAGGTCAGTTCCTGACACTGTCCCTGGCGGCAGACTGCCCTCATGCCCCTTGGCCAGGGGACGCCTGCACCCTCACTCGAGTGTGGGAGACTTCCTCCTGGCGGGGACCTGCTGGAGGCCTGAAGATGCGGCTGCCTGGAGTTAACAGCAAGGTCAGCCATTCCCAGGGTTGCTGCCCCTGTCTCTGGCGAGGGACTCAGCCAGGCCTAGGCACTGGTGGCCCCTCTGGTCCAGGACTTGCACGCTGCATTTCCCTGCTTCCAAAGGAAGGAATTTGGACTGGAGACCAGGAAGGCCTCATGCACCCTCTTCTCTGCCTATAAATAATCAGGTCCCCCATGCAAATCCAGGTCTGAGGTCCTCCGATGGAATGGAGCCCATTCAGAGCAGTCCAGTGTGGGCCCTCTCGGGCTAAGCCCGTGAACTTTGCTTCTTGGAGCCCCCAGCAGGGCCTTGGGTTGGGAAGGGAGTTTCCTGGCACCCTCCCCGGCAGGATGGGTTTAACCAGCAGGAACTTGAAGGAATTGTTCTGTGTTGCGCCGGTGACCTAGAGGCACAGGTCCGCCTCCAGCTCCTTGGGTTCCCTTTTCCCCCCTGGACCACTCACACTTCCTGGGTGAACCCTAGCCTTGGGGCAGAGCAGGCTGGCACACCTTGTCCACTCTGACGTTCCAGCCCAGAGGCTCCCCTGTCCACTCCCAGGGCCAGCCAGCCTGGCATTCTGCTTTGTCCAACTGCGTCAGGAGGTCACATGGAAGCCCTCCTCCCCCGCCACTTGCCGGGCTTCTGGGATGGGAGCCGAGCTTGGAAGTTGCCATCCCTTGGCACCCCGCTTCCCGTGGGGCTGTCTCTCCAGGGGGCCGTTTTCTATTCCTGAGAAGACAGCCCAGCTCGTCCAAGAGGCCTTTCCCGGTTTCTTCAGCCATAAGCGTCTGCTCCCTTTGAAGCCCTGTGGCGTGAACCTGTCCTGTCCCATCCGTCCCTGTGGCGTGAACTGTGCCATCCATCTATGTGGTCTTAGCACATGCCACCTTGTGCCATGGATGTCTTTGAAATCACAGGCTGACCGCCTTCCAGGGAATGCCCTTTTTTCTACTGGGTGTTAACCAAGTTCCCCAGTCAGGCACTGGGGAGGCTGCAATAACCAGATGCAGCTCTTTAATAATAGTGTGGGCACGAGAGGGGCGGGGCCTGTGCAGTCCCGTGCCTGTCTAGTGTCAGAGCCAGGATTTAAAGCCAGGTCCGCCCTGCCACGTGGCTCTTCCCATCTTGCTGGGATCCTCCTCGGAGGCTGTCTTCCCCTGGCTGGAGGATTGGGCCTGTGAAGTCACAGGTTGTCTCGTTCTAGTCTCATGCCCTCGGTGCCTGGCGCAGTGCCTCCCGTGCCCCCACCTGGCTGGCCTGTGTTACCCGCCAGGCACTCACGGGGCACTGGAGTTTGCTCTTGTCCTTTTCTTCAGCAAATCTTCAGATCCACTTTGTTGGAGATGGAACTTCCCTGGAAGCATCTGTCCTTTGAGTAGAGATAGGGGTTGGCTTTTCAGCTGATGCCAGGTCAGACCTCAGAGGTGGCTAGGGAGTGAGAAGTGCCCTCAACAGCCTCTTAGTCCGCCCCTGCCAGCCTCGTGCTGGACAGAGAACTCAGGGCTGGCCACCCTAGGAGGAGACACGGCGTCCTGTGCCGTGTGCTAGGCGTCGCGCTCATGGCAGGGATACACAGACAGCCCCCAAGGTTATTCAACCCAGGCTTCCAGTTAAGCCACAGGAATGTGCAGAGTAAAGTGCCTTGGCCGACCAGTGTGTGTGCCACAGCGAAGACGGCGACAGTAGCGTTGCTGCGTGAGGGGCAGGGACGGCCTCTGGGAGAGGAAAGTTAAGTTCTGTGGTAAAGGATGAGTAGAAGGTGGGAAGGGGTCACAGGAAGGGCCTTGTAGGCCCAGGGAGCCGCGTGGAAATGTGAGTAGCTTAGCGTAGCCCAGAGAGGTGGGAAATGGGGCCGGGCCACTGCGGGAGGGGTGTTCAGAATCGGCCACTTTTCTCTTGTTTAAAATATCTGCTCTGCTGGGGTCCCCTTACTCAGGGTGTAGCTATTCTAATTATCCTTATTGTTGGAGGCTTCAAAATCAATCAGTCGGGCCCCACATGTACCACTTCTGTTTATTTATATCGGTTGGTTGGTTGATTTACAGGGTCTCCCTCTGTCTCCCGGGCTGGAACCCGGGTGTTTGAAGCTGCAGTGAGCTATGATCGCACCGCACGGTCATGTGATCGCACAGTGGTGAGATCATCGCCCACTGCAGCTTCAAACACCCAGGTTCAAGGGATCCTCCCACCTCAGCCTCCTGAGTAGCTGGGACCACAGGCACAGACCACCACACCGGGCTAATTAAAAAAAATTTTTTTTTTTAGAGGTAGAGTATTGCTGTTTTACCCAGGCTGGTCTCAAACTGGCCTCAAGTGATCCTCCCACCTTGGTTTCCCAAAGTGCTGGCATTACAAGTGTCGGCCACTGAGCTAGGTTCTTGGATACTCTCTTTAAGAAAATGCCTCTTCTTGGAAGTTGCAGTGAGCCAAGATCGTGCCACTGCACTCCAGCCTGGGCGACAAAGCGAGACTCCATCTCAAAAAAAAAAAAGAAAAAGAAAATGCCTCTTCAAGTCTTTTGATAGTTTTTCTGATGGAGGATTTGTCTTTTTCCTGTTGATTTGTAGGGCTTTCTTACATTCTCGATCAAAGTCTTTTGCCCACATATAAGTACATTACAAATATCCTCTCCCACACTGCAGCTTGCCTTTCCTTCCTTTAATGGCGTTTTTTATTTTATTTTATTTTATTTTATTTTATTTTATTTTTTGAGACAGATTCTCACTCTGTTGCCCAGGCTGGAGTACAGTGGCGTGATCTCGGCTCACTGCAACCTCCGCCTCCCTAGTTCAAGTGATTCTCCTGCCTCAGCCTCCCGAGTAGGTGAGATTACAGGTGCGCGTCACCAGGCCCGGCTAATTTTTGTATTTTTAGTAGAGACGGGGTTTTGCCATGTTGGTCAGGCTGGGCTCAAACTCCTGACTCAAGTGATCCTCCCGCCTCAACCTCCCAAAGTGCTGGAATTACGTGCATGAGCCACTATGCCCGACCAAAAATGTCATTTTAAATACAAAAATGTATTTTCATCTTCAGGTTTGTCACTTGATTCAGAATGGCCATATTTCAAATCTCCACCACCCAGAGGAAGGTGTTTCCCACCTTGCTGTATTCAGCCAGCGTTTTTCACCTCCTTCAGCTTGAAAGTCCTGGGCAAGGGGCACTGGGCTTGTTCCTCTGGCCCTGCAGGCTTGGGGCAAGGGTCAGAAGGAAACAGAAGAACGGAAAATGGGGCGGGGTGAGGGGTGGTGCGGGGGTAGAAGGCCAGAAGTGGACAGTGGACAGAAGATTGTGTCACCCCAGCCTGATCCTGAGGCTGGCGGGCACCAGGCTGCCCTCTGGAGGGGATGGACCAAGGTGAGGGCTGTAGTCCCAGGAACGCAGAGAAGGGAAAAATGAAATGTGGCCCAGTGCAGGGGAAGCAGAGGGGGTCTTTGAATCCCAGGGGAGCTGACCCTTGCGCAGGACCTTGAGGGCAGAGCGGGGGTCAGCCAGGTGAGGGGACTGTGGCAGGAAGGCTCTGGGTGGAAGCGATGGCGTGCACAGGATTCTGAGGCCACCATGCAGGGAGGGGGTGTGAATTAGGCATCAAGCTTGGTTTGTGGAGGGGAGTGGCAGGTGACGCTGGAGACAGACTCTGAGGGGACTCATGTGCCCGGATCCCATGGGTCGTGGGAGCTGTTGAAGAGCGGAGCAGGGAAGTGGCAGATGTGAGAGGCAGGGGCTGGAGAAGGAAGAGGTGAAGAGGTGGAAGGTCAGGCTGAGGTCAGGCCGTGGGGACCTGGGCTGTGGGTGGGGAGGAAGAGGGAAGTGGAAACCTTGGCTCTTCCTTGAGGGAAACAAGCCCATATCTATCTGGGTGCAGGAGAGGTCTTGGCTTTGCAAAGCACTGGTGTCGCAAGAGGCTTTACTGTAGGGGAAATGGGAAGGGTGAGCTGGTGCGGGAGGCCTGGGAGCCCTGGTGTTGGATTAGAGGCCAGCTGCTGGCTTAGCCCCTGGGGAGTGGCACGGGACAAAGCTGGAATGTCCCCTCCCTGTGCTGCCACAGCATCCCATGAAACCTGCATCTAAGGACACCCACGTCCCGTGACACCTGTGTCCCATGACACCTGCCTCCCACGCTCATTGCACACTTTTGTCTTGCAGGACCTCCTCTGTCAGAGAGAGCAGCTTTGTGGAAAAGATGAAGAAAACGGTGAGTTTCCTGCATGTCTTTACTCTTCTCAGGAAGCCTCGGCCCCGATGGGCATGTAATCAAGTCTAGCAGACGGCTGGCGTCACCGCATAGAGGATGTCCCGGTGGCCAGGAGAGGGAACGCAGCCCGGCTCGCTTGGGAGTCATTCTTGCCTAACCAAAGCCCTGAAGCAGCTCTGCTGTTGCTGGGACAGTTTGTTTCCTTGAATCTTTACTTTTTGAACAAACCAAAGTCTAAGAACAGACCCTCCCTCTAACTCACGAAGCTTCTCCCGTCTGGCCCTGGCCTGTCCAGGAGCAGAGGTAAATCTCACAGAGCTGCGGTCGTGGCACCACTGCCATTTTCTCTCCGCTTTGTTTTTGTTACTTTTTTTTTTTTGAGATGGAATCTCGCTCTGTCACCCAGGCTGGAGTGCAGTGGCGCAATCTCGGTTCACTGCAAGCTCCACCTCCCGGGTTCAAGCCATTCTCGTGCCTCAGCCTCCCGAGTAGCTGGGATTACAGGTGCGTGCCACCACGCCCAGCTAATTTTTGTATTTTTAATAGAGATGGGATTTCACCATGTTGGCCAGACTGGTCTTGAACTCCTGACCTCAGGTGATCCGCCCGCCTCAGCCTCCCAAAGTGCTGGGATTACAGGCGTGAACCACCGCACCCAGCCAATTTAACTATTTAATTGTAGGCATCAGTACTACATTTACATAGTTAAAATAAAAACATCCACTATTCAGTGGAAAGCTCCCCTCTGCCACCCACTCATCCCCACTGTTCTTATTATTTATGGATCCTTCTAGAGTTCCTGTATGAACATACAAGTAAAACAAACAGAGACTCTTATTTTTAATTTAAAAAAACCTTTATTTTATTTTAGAGACAGGGTCTCACTGTGTTGCCCAGGCTGGAGTGCAGCGGCGCCATCATAGCTCACTGCAGCCTCAAACTCCTAGACTCAAGCCATCCTCCTACCACAGCCTCCCAAGTAGCTGGGACTACAGGTGCACACCACCACGCCTGGCTAATTTTTTAATTTATTCTTCATAGGAACAGGTTCTCGCTATGTTGCCCAGGCTGGTCTTGAACTCCTGGCCTCAAGCAATCCTTCTGCCTCCGCCTCCCAAAGTGCTGGGACTGTAGGTGCGAGCCATTGCATCCAGCCTACACTTTTCTTAAAACACAAAACGTGGCATACTATGTGCACTGTTCCAGACCTTGCTTTTTTTTTTTTTTTTTTTTTTTTTGAGACAGAGTCTCGCTCTGTCGCCCAGGCTGGAGTGCAATGGCACGGTCTTGGCTCACTGCAACCTTCACCTCCTCGGTTCAAGTGATTCTCCCGCATCAGCCTCCGGAGTAGTTGGGGTTAGACGCCTGCCACCGTGCCTGGCTAATTTTTGTATTTTTAGTAGAGACGGGGTTTCACCATGTTGACCAGGCTGGTCTCAAACTGCTGACCTCGTGATCCATCTGCCTCGGTCTCCCAAAGTGCTGGGATTACAGGCGTGAGCCACTGCGCCCGGCTGACCTTGCTTTAAAAAAAAAAGAACACAAAACAACTTGATATGTCTCAAAGATCCTTCCATATCAATACAAAGATACTGCCATCATCTTAGCTGTACCATGATTCCATTATATGGCCATCTGGATTCACTGTAACGCACTTAACCCTGTCCTATTAAAGATGGGCACTGGGGCTGTTGCTACTCTTTGGCTCTTACCAACAATGTCACTGTGAATATGTAGCTCGGTTTGCACATTTCAAATACAAAGCAGTCCCAGAAGTGGAATTGCTGGATTGGAAGGTAGATGTGTTTGCAATCGTGATAGAAGCTACAAATCGTCCCCGTAGGAGTCACACCGTGGCACGCGCTCAAGAATAGCGACGTGTGAGAAAACTGTTCCCCACAGCCTTGCCAACAGTTTGTTATTAAAGTTTAGATTTTTGTCAGTTTTCTAGGCTTAAAAAAAAAACTCAGTATAGTTGTAATTTACATTTTTATGAATGAGATTCAGTAGATTTTCACCCACCTAGGTCTAGATGGCTTCGTTTCTTTTTCTTTTTTCTTTTCTTTTTTTTTTTTTTTTTTTTGAGACAGGGTCTCGCTTTGTTGCCCAGGCTGGAGTGCAGTGGTGTGATCTCAGCTCACTGCAATCTCCACCTCCCGGGTTCAAGCAATTCTCATGCCTCATTCTCCTGAGTAGCTGGGATTACAGGTGCGTGCTACCATGCCTGGCTAACTTTTGTATTTTCAGTAGAGACAGGGTTTTGCCATGTTGGCCAGGCTGGTCTCGAACTCCTGACCTCAGGTCATCCACTCAACTTGGCCTCCCAAAGTTCTGGAATTACAGGCCTGAACCACCGCACCCAGCCTCTTTTTTCTTTTTTTAATAGATTCTCTCTTCACATCTTTTGCCTGCTTTTCTGTTGGGATTGATCTTTCTCCTTGAAATTATTAGGGAGATGAATCTCTTGTCTGTGATATAAGTTGAAAATATCTTGCCCGTTAAAGAGTTTGTCTTTTAGTGAGATTCCATCTCTTAAAAAAAAGTTTGTCTTTCAACCTAGCTGATCGCATTTTTATTTGTTTTGCTGTGTAAAAGTTACAGAGTCACCTATATGATTCTTTCTTTTCGTGACTTCTGGTCTTAGAGTCATAATTTGAAGGTCTTCCCCATGCTAAAGAGATAAAGATATTCCTGTATTTTTTTTTTCTAGTACTTTTAGGGTTTTGTTTTTCATATTCAAAATTTAAAATCTGATCTATTGGGAATTTATCCTGATGTAAGATGTGAGGTATGAATCCAACTCTACATTTTACATAGCTGTCTAAACACCATGTATTAGAGTCCATCTTTCCCCCACTGGTTTGAAATGCCACCTTTATCATATACTTAATTCCTGGGCTGGGCGCAGTGGCTCATGCCTGTAATCCCAACACTTTGGGAGGCCGAGATGGGCAGGTCGCTTGAGCCCAGGAGTTTGAGACCAGCCTGGGCAACATGGCGAAACCCCATCTCCACAAAAAATAGAAAAATTAGTGGGACACAGTGGTGCGCACCTATAGTCCCCGCTACCTGAGAGGCTGAAGTGGGAGGATAGCTTGAGCTTGGGAGGCACAGATTGCAGTGACCACTGGACTCAAACCTGGGCAACAGCTACACCCTGTGTCAAATAATAATAATAATAGCTGGGTCTCTGGGTTCTTTTCACTGGGCGCAACGTGTTCAAGGTTCACCCACACTGTAGCATATGTTAGTACTTCCTTTTTATTGCCAAATAATGTTTTAATATATGGATTCTTACTTATTTTTCCGTGACTTTTAGGATCAATTTGTTGAGGAAAAAAAAGCTGTTCAGATTTTTTTTTTTTTTTTTGGTAGAGACTGGGTCTCACTCTGTTGCCCAGGCTGTTCTCAAACTCCTGGGCTTAAGCAGTCCTCCTGGTGTGGCCTCCCAGGGTACTGGGATTACAGGTGTGAGCCACTGCACCCAGCTGGTTCAGATTTCTATTACATCATGCCACATTTCTCTAGTGACATAAATAGAGCTGCCATTTTTGTGGGTCGAGACTCCCTGTCCATAATCGGGGTGCTTTTCCATTGGCGTGAGTCCTTTGTGTGTAGTTCAGTAGCTTCTGACACATCTCTTACAAAGTTTATTTCTAGGTATTTTATATATTTTGATGCTCCTGTAAATATTTAGCTGCTATCTTAGGTCATCTTTTGTTCTCTTAACCTGATAATCATGAGCACTTTCTCTTCTATTAAGTATTTTTACGGTGATTATTTTAAAATATCCTTTTGGGCGAAAACCCTGTCTCTACTAAAAATACAAAAATTAGCCGGGCGTGGTGGCATGCACCTGTAGTCCCAGGTACTCGGGAGGCTGATGCAGGAGAATCACTTGAACCCGGGAGGCGGAGGTTGCATTGAGCCAAGATCGCACCACTGCACTCCAGCCTGGCCAACAGAGCAAGATTCCATCTAAAAAAAAAAAAAATCCTTTTGGCCGGGTGCAGTGGCTCATGTCTGTAATCCCAGCACTTTGGGAGGCTGAGACGGGCGGATCACCTGAGGTCAGGAGCTTTGAGACCAGCTGGACCAACATGGTGAAACCCTGTCTCTACTAAAAACACAAAAAATTAGCCAGGCATGGTGACGGACACCTGTAATCCCAGCTATTCAGGAGGCTGAGGCAGGAAAATCGCTTGAACCCAGGAGGCAGAGGTTTCAGTGAGCCGAGATCGCACCACTGCACTCCAGCCTAGGCGACAAGAGCAAAACTCTGTCTCAAGAAAAAAAAAAACAATTTTTAATGATTTAACAATGATTTGTGGAAAATTCAGGAACTTTAAAAAGTATAAGAACATTTATTGTAATCCCTAAGTTTTTTTTGGTGGTGGTTTTGTTTTGAGACTCAGTCTCACTCCTGTCACCCAGGCTGGAGTGCAGTGGCTCAATCACAGCTCACTTCAGCCTCAACCTCCCAGGCTCAAGTGATCCTCCCACCTCAGCCTCCCAAGTAGCTAGAACCATAGGCATGCGCCACCACACCCAGATAAATTTTTTGTATTTTTAGTAGAGACAGGGTTTTGCCATGTTGCCCAGGCTGGTCTCAAACTCCTGGGCTCAAGTCATCCTCTTACCTCGGCCTCCCAAAGTACTAGGATTACAGAAGTGAGCCACGGCACCCGGCCGCGTAAGTTTTATTTTGTATGAGGTGGGATTCAGTGTGAAAACTAGAGACTACTTTAGGCATTTTAATCTGGAAGGGATTTCACACAGGGAAGGGGGTACTTCCAGGTTACTGGAGGGGCTGAAGGAGCAGGTTGGTCTCTAAGATATCACAGAAGCAACCTGCAAGGTAGCTGCTCTGTTCGAATGCAGCCTGAAACTGTTGAGTTCAGGACACACCACGTGTAGCTGTGATCCAGGATAAGAAGCTACTTCTACAGCTGCCTCTGAACATCACATAAGCCAGTAGCCAGGACTAGGAACTTGCAGTCTGGCTACCAAAACTATTAGAAATACCTCAGGTGGCTGGGTGCGGTGGCTCACGCCCGTAATCCCAGCACTTTGGGAGGCCAAGGTGGGCAGATCACCTGAGGTCAGGAGTTCGAGACCAGCCTGGCCAACGTGTTGAAACCCAGTCTCTACTAAAAATTCAAAAAAATTAGCCTAGCATAGTGGTGGGTGCCTGTAATCCCAGCTACTCAGGAGGCTGAGGCACGAGAATTGCTTGAACCCAGGAGGCAGAGGTTGCAGTGAACTGAGATCGTGCCATTACACTCCAATCTGGGCGTCAGAGCGAGACTCCGTCTCACACACAAAAATAAAAAAAAGAAAAGAAAAAAAGAAAAATGCCTTAGGCACTGAAGACCAGGCACTGCAGAGAACCTCACATGTGCATGAGGGGCCAGGAAGCCTTGGCCTCCCTTCCACCCTTCAGATCTTGCAAAGCACGTTCAATTGGCTGAACCGAATTGGCTGCAACTCCAGCCCCAACGGGCTCTGGGGAATAGGATTTCAGGCTTTTCAACAGCTGCTGGAGGAGGAGGGTGGACTGACGAGTATGTGAGCCAGCCCCTAGGACCTTTCCCTGTTGTAAAATTTTATAATGAATATGTATTTAACCAGCAAAACACATCCAGAATGCCCCATTTAGGGACCCTCGGTATATTTCTTGCCAGTCTGTTTTCTTTGTGCCTGTGGGTATAGAAAGAAAATACATATGTATGTTTTGATATACATATCTATTATTTATATAACACAATTGGATTGTATAGCCAGCCCTGCATATCCGTGAGTTCGGAGTTCAAGAATTCAACTGCAGACTGAAAATATTTGGAGAAAAAATGGATTGTTGTGTCTGTCCTGAACACATACTGTCATCTTACTGTTCCCTAAACAATACAGCATAGCAACTATTTACAGAGAATTTACATTACATTAAGTATTACATTAATAAGTAATCTAGAGATGATTTAAAGTATGTTGGAGGATGTGTGTAGGCTACACACAAATACCACATCATTTTATAGCAGGGACTTGAGCATCCTTGGATTTTTGTTTTTTGGGTTTTTTTGTGATGGAGTTTTGCTCTTGTAGCCCAGGCTGGAGTGCAATGGCGCGATCTCGGCTCACCACAACCTCTGCCTCCCAGGTCCAAGCGATTCTCCTGCCTCAGCCTCCCAAGTAGCTGGGATTACAGGCATGTGCCACCATGCCCGGCTAATTTTGTATTTTTAGTAGAGACAGGGTTTTCTCCATATTGGTCAGGCTGGTCTTGAACTCTCGACCTCAAGTCATCCACCCGCCTTGGCCTCCCAAAGTGCTGGGATTATAGGCGTGAGCCACTGGAGGTGGAGTCTTGCTCTGTCACCCAGGCTGGAGTGCAGTGGCGTGTTCTCAGTTCACTGCAACCTCCACCTCCTGGGTTCAAGCTGTTTTCCTGCCTCAGCCTCCCTAGTAACTGGGATTACAGGTGCACGCCACCATGCCCGGCTAATTTTTGTAGTTTTAGTAGAGATGGAGTTTCACCATGTTGGTCAGGCTGGTCTTGAACTCCTGACCTCAGGTAATCTGCCAGCCTCAGCCTCCCAAAGTGCTGGGATCACAGGTGTGAGCCACCACGCCCGGCTGCATCCTTGGATGTAAGTATCTATGGGAGGTCCTGGAACCATTCCCCCACGGATAGGGGCTATACATTTGGTTACTTTTTTTAACTTTGTTTTTTCCCCGTGTCATGAAAATGTCAGAAGTGTGATCTTGAGCAGCCGCGTGTGTGAGATTGCCTTGGTGACCTTTGCCCTCCTTTGCCACAGTGGCTGTGACAGTGAGAAGCAAGTCCCAGAGGAACTTAGAAGGGACTCAAAGCCAGGAAGGAAAGGGGGCGGCCTGGAGGGCCCCCGCCTGCCAGGCCTGCCCAGTGGGTGTTCACCGGAGCCGTGGCTGAGGTCTGTGGCCCTCACCAACCCTGTGTCTGCCTTCCTTAGGGGAGGAACATCATCGTGTTCTACGGCTCCCAGACGGGGACTGCAGAGGAGTTTGCCAACCGCCTGTCCAAGGACGCCCACCGCTACGGGATGCGAGGCATGTCAGCGGACCCTGAGGAGTATGACCTGGTAAGCTGCCACCGCGTGCTGGCCCCAGATGGAGGCAGTGGGTAGGACAGGGAGCAGGTCTGTAGGGCGCCCCTCAGCAGGGGGAGGCCGGCAGGGAGTGGGGTCCTGGGAAGACGTCCTCGGAAGTTGCCTTCCCGTGAGGGTCATTGCCATCCCTGCCCGGGCTGACTGACGGAAGGGCCATTCCTGCAGTTGCAGCCACGTGCCAGGCATCGTTTCCCCAGGACTGGCCCTCCCCTGAGTGCCGGCTGCCCTCCTGGCGGCCGCCACATCTCCCAAACCAAACCCACCCTCCCCAGCTGCTCCACTCCCCTCTCCTTCGAGGTCTTGGTGACGGGCACTACCCCACAGCCCTCTCCAGGCTGCATTTGCAGTTGATGAACAGTTTAGTTAGATATCAGTGTGCACCGGGGCTGTGCGGTGCCTGGGAGCTTTGGAATGAGGTTCCCAGGGTGGCCCCAGACCTGCATCAGCTCAGGAGGCTGCATTCTGATGGCTCTTTTGTGCCAAGCTTCACTTTCCTCTAGAAACACATCCTCTCCGCTCCAGCCTAACACGGGTGACCTTGTCCTGCCCACCTGGCACAAATGCCCATGCCCCAGCCCCTCCGTGTTGTTACTTCTCTCTGATCCCACGACACTCAGACATCCCTGGCCTGGTGCCACCCTGGGCAGGACCTGGCCTTCCCCATCTGGTGCGGGTTGAACCTTGAACAGGCTCAGTCATGGCCGGGGCGCGGTCCTGTCCCTGTTTCTGCAGGCCGACCTGAGCAGCCTGCCAGAGATCGACAACGCCCTGGTGGTTTTCTGCATGGCCACCTACGGTGAGGGAGACCCCACCGACAATGCCCAGGACTTCTACGACTGGCTGCAGGAGACAGACGTGGATCTCTCTGGGGTCAAGTTCGCGGTGAGTCACCCAGAGACTGCTATGGGCTCCCGGTGGCCTGCGGTGCCTCCCTGGGGACTCCAGATCCATGTATCTGAAAGGCAGCCCTCCAGACCCCCACCCTGTCCTCAGCAGCCAGGGCAGGCCACTTGTGAGACCCTCTCCTCTGCCCCAGACCCCAGCACTACGAGAATGTCCCCTCCCTGTCCCCAGCCCCAGTCGGCTCCAGGGGGCATTGGGTGCTGGAGACTAAAGGCAAGAAAGGTCTGGCTGGACGACTGAGACCTGCCTGGCCTCGGAGAGCTGGAGCCCCAGCCCGGTGGGGAGGGTGGGCTGGCCCCGCTTCCCTGTGGGTTGAGGCTGGCAGTGGACGGGGCAGGCTGTGGGCTGCAGGTCAACCAGATGAAGCCTCTTCAGTGGCCCAGTGTTCCTTGCAGTGCGAGGCGCCTGGTGGAACGGAGGCCTGCAGGTGTTGCCAGCAGCTCAGCCAGTGCTGTGGGGCCTCCCGCCCTGCCCCCATGGCCCCTCCCACTGGTCAGGTCGAGGGCCAGGCCTCAGAGCGGCCCCTGTGTCCACGCAGGTGTTTGGTCTTGGGAACAAGACCTACGAGCACTTCAATGCCATGGGCAAGTACGTGGACAAGCGGCTGGAGCAGCTCGGCGCCCAGCGCATCTTTGAGCTGGGGTTGGGCGACGACGATGGGAAGTGAGTGCCCACCCTGCCACCATGATCAGCGCGGCGGGCTTAGGCAGGGGCCGTGGAACGTGAGGGGCGCGCACACCATTGTGTCAGCTGAGACTCAGCGACACGCACCTCCAACACAGAGGGAAGGGGCTCTCCTGCCTCTGCCCTGCCCCTGCCAGTTTTGCTTTTCGGCTTGCCCAACTCCCTGGAGCCTTCCTGATGCTCTGGGTTTATGTCGCTGGGTGCCCCAGGGTGCACAGTCCTGAGCTTTGGGGATGGGGTGGGGTCGGGGCGTGCCTGGCACCAGGTACCGTTGCCACATGGGCCTCCCCTGAGCCGCTCCCCCTCTCCTCTCCTCGGCCCAGCTTGGAGGAGGACTTCATCACCTGGCGAGAGCAGTTCTGGCCGGCCGTGTGTGAACACTTTGGGGTGGAAGCCACTGGCGAGGAGTCCAGGTGAGCAAGTGCCCGCAGGTGCGGTGGGTGGCCTGGGCGGGTCCTGTGCCGAGGGCAGCCACCCTGGAACAAGGGCTGGCAGTGGGTCGCAGCAAGGTTAGAAGACACTCCGTCATAGGGTCGAGGAGGGACCTTGGTCCCAGCCAAGGACTCACTCTGCCACGTTGCTCTGCACTGCCCTGGGGCAGCGGGGTGCATCCCACCTCTCGACAAGGACACATCGCGTCGGGCTCTGTGGCTAGGTTCAACTTTGGCAAAAGGGCTCATTTCCTTAAAATCTGCCTCCACAGACTTGGCCAAAAACATAACGTTCCTCTCTGTGCCCTTGATGGCCCCTGGGTGCTGCCCGGGCTTCCTTACCTTCTCCCAGATGGAAGCCTGCCCAGCCCTGCCCCGGCTTCTGGGCGTCTGGCCCCCGGCAGCTCCACGCCGCCTCCCTCCTTGCTCCCTCGCCTGCCCTCCTTGTGCATCTGCAGCAGGGGCTCCCCTGCTTCTTGTCGTATGTACCTGGGACCTCACCCCAAAGGCCATGCACGGTCTCCCCTGTAGTCCAACCCCTCCCTCTCGGGACTGACCCCTGCCGCTTCCCGGCCTCACCCTTGGTCTCCCCTTTCCAGCATTCGCCAGTACGAGCTTGTGGTCCACACCGACATAGATGCGGCCAAGGTGTACATGGGGGAGATGGGCCGGCT
Source organism: Homo sapiens (assembly GCF_000001405.40). Taxonomy (NCBI): domain Eukaryota; kingdom Metazoa; phylum Chordata; class Mammalia; order Primates; family Hominidae; genus Homo; species Homo sapiens. The sequence continues at coordinate 75,982,299 of NC_000007.14, forward strand.
GAAGAGCTACGAGAACCAGAAGCCGTGAGTGGAGGGAGCGTGGCTTGGGGCAGACGGCTCTATGGCCACTGGTGCACCCCAGGCTCAGTCTGCCGTGTATCCCCATATCCCCACAGGGCCCTTCTCACCAGACCCCGTGCCCCGAGTGGGTGTGAGTGTCCACGACCTGTCCACGGCCCGGCCCCAGGAGACTGGCACTCGCCCAGTTTGTACTGAGCTCACTTAGCCACCTTACTCTGCACTGCCCAGGGCAGCGGGGCACATCCCACTTCTCGACTAGGACAGTGCATTGGCCTCTGTGGCTAGGATCCTCTTTGGCAGAAGGGCTCATTTTCTTAGAATCTATCTCCATAGATAGACTTGGGGGAGAAACCTGGCGTTCCTCTCTGTGCCCTTGATGGCCCCTGGTTGCTGCCCAGATTCCTGCCCGAGCCACCCAGGGAAGTCCTCGTGCCACTGCATCCAAGACCAGCTGCCCTGCTTTCTGTAGGCCTGCCCCAGCCTGGCTGGAGCGAGAAGCCCTGCATGTCGGTGGCTTTCCGGAGTGCAAGTTTCTCTCTTGTCCACGGTGTAGTCCAGGACGTGTGGGGGTGGGGGAGCTGTGCTCCTCATTTGGGGACCAGCCACCTTCCAGCCTGTGGCACCGTCAGCTTGGGCCTCACAGTTCTTTTAGGGGCCAGCCTCAGTTTCCACATCTGTAAACAGACACTGATGACCCAGCTCTGCCCATGTGGTGGGACTATAGAGAGAACTGCATTAGGGCTGGGCGAGGTGGCTCACAGCTCTAATCCCAGCACTCTGGGAGGCCGAGGTGGGTGAATCACCTGAGGTCAGGAGTTCAAGACCAGCCTGGCCAACATGGTGAAACCCCGTCTCTAGTAAAAATATAAAAGTTAACCAGGCATGGTGGCGAATGCCTGTAATTCCAGCTGCTCAGGAGGCTGAGGCAGGAGAATTGCTTGAACCTGGGAGGCAGAGGTTGCAGTGAGCCGAGATCGCGCCGCTGCACTCCAGCCTGGGTGGCAGAGCGAAACTCTGTCTCAAAAAAAAAAAAGAGAACTGCATTGGACCAGGCTGGGAGAGCCCTTGATGTAACCGGTGAGATTTCCTCATGGAGATCTCTGAGATTCCCTGTGCTTTGTGCAACCAGAAGCGTCCTTGGAGACGGAGACTCAGATCAAAGCCCCGGCCGCTCACTGTGCTTCTCTCCTCCCCACCCAGCCCCTTTGATGCCAAGAATCCGTTCCTGGCTGCAGTCACCACCAACCGGAAGCTGAACCAGGGAACCGAGCGCCACCTCATGCACCTGGAATTGGACATCTCGGACTCCAAAATCAGGTACCAGCTGCCACTGTCACCCCCTGAACCCTCACTCTGGGCCTCCTGACCTGGGGCAGGGCCAGCCTTCCGCCCCTCCCGAGCCTCACATCTCCCTCCAGGTATGAATCTGGGGACCACGTGGCTGTGTACCCAGCCAACGACTCTGCTCTCGTCAACCAGCTGGGCAAAATCCTGGGTGCCGACCTGGACGTCGTCATGTCCCTGAACAACCTGGATGGTGAGTGCCACAGTCAGGGCGCCCTGCCGGGCTCAGGCAGCCGCGGGATTGGGCCTGTAGGAAGGCCCTGGGTTGAGCTTCTGCTTAGGCCTGAAGCCCCGGTGCCTGGGAGGCCCTTGCACCGAGACTCCACGGTTACAGGATCCCAAGCAAACGGGAGGCGGGGTGGCCCTAGGGGTCTAGCCCTCTCTGTCGGGGTTCCCCCTACCCCGTCACTGTCATAGTCCTTTAAGGGAGTGAGGTGCTGAGGCCTGGTGGCAGAGGCAGCCCTGGCTCCCCCATGGCCACTGTGTCCTGCTGGGAAGGAGGGCCTGGCTCCACGACCCACCTCTGCCGGCCTGGGGCTGCCCCCACCTCCTCACTGAAGTCAGGAGTCAGCAGCCCTCCCAGGCCCCCAAGGGTGCACAGTGGTGCCGAGTGGCAGTAGCCATTACGCGGGGCTGCCTGGGCCTGGTGGGGCTGCCCAGCCTGAGCCTCCCGCTGTGAAGCCCTCGGACCCCACTGGTCACCAACCTGGGCCGAGCCCACCTCGCCCCACCCCTGCTTGCCGGTCCTCAGCTGCCATGCCAGGGCTGCCCTTACTGTCGGCTTCCACAGCCCGCCTGTAGGGAAGCCTGGGCGGGGCTGTGTCAGACCGTGTAGTGTGCGGTGAAAGCACAGCGGGTGCGTTAGTGTGCAGGGGCTCCCCCGCACCTCCCCTAGCAGGGTCCTGCCTCTGATGAGGACTTCCTGTCTGGTTGGAGGCCCCAGACTTGGCCCCAGGGCCAGGGAGGCATCAGAGAGCATAGGCCTTGTTTCCAGCACCAGCTGGGGCACCTGTTGCCGCAGAGCTGGCCCAAGGTGTCACCCCCTCCTGCCGCAGCCACCCATCCCCAGGAGGCGGCCGCCTACCCCAAGTCCTGCCTGTCTCTTCCCTGCAGAGGAGTCCAACAAGAAGCACCCATTCCCGTGCCCTACGTCCTACCGCACGGCCCTCACCTACTACCTGGACATCACCAACCCGCCGCGTACCAACGTGCTGTACGAGCTGGCGCAGTACGCCTCGGAGCCCTCGGAGCAGGAGCTGCTGCGCAAGATGGCCTCCTCCTCCGGCGAGGGCAAGGTGCGCCCCCTCAGCCCCCGCAACCTCCGCCCCGTCACCCCGCCGTTTTCCGAGCTCCGTGGGCCCCAATCAGCCCCATCTCACCCCCGTGTCTCTTAGGAGCTGTACCTGAGCTGGGTGGTGGAGGCCCGGAGGCACATCCTGGCCATCCTGCAGGACTGCCCGTCCCTGCGGCCCCCCATCGACCACCTGTGTGAGCTGCTGCCGCGCCTGCAGGCCCGCTACTACTCCATCGCCTCATCCTCCAAGGTGAGGGCCGGCACTGCCCTGCCAGCCACACGCTGGAGGCCCAGCCCTGCTCACAGCAGGCAGAGTGCAAGGCGGCACAGGAGCTCCGAGATCTGAGCCCTGAGCTCCAGTTCCAGCCCCAGCGCAGCTCCAAATGCCTCCCCAGGCTGTGGACTCAGTCGGGCTGGCTTGTGAGATTCTCAGCATCTGTCCAGCCCCGGTCCCCAGAACCAGTCCGGGAAGCCGCTGGGGAGGGGGCCTCTGAGGTTTGGGTGCCAGGTGGGCTGGAAGAGGCCCTGGGTGAGTGGGGCTGGCCTGCAGAACGGGACTTGGGGCCGGGGCTGGGCAAGGGCCTCGGTGTGGCGGTGGAGCTCACACGGCCCTCCCCACAGGTCCACCCCAACTCTGTGCACATCTGTGCGGTGGTTGTGGAGTACGAGACCAAGGCTGGCCGCATCAACAAGGGCGTGGCCACCAACTGGCTGCGGGCCAAGGAGCCTGCCGGGGAGAACGGCGGCCGTGCGCTGGTGCCCATGTTCGTGCGCAAGTCCCAGTTCCGCCTGCCCTTCAAGGCCACCACGCCTGTCATCATGGTGGGCCCCGGCACCGGGGTGGCACCCTTCATAGGCTTCATCCAGGAGCGGGCCTGGCTGCGACAGCAGGGTGAGTGGGGTCCCATGGGGGAGAGGGGGTGACGACTGGGAGCCCCGCGCTCACCCCGGCCCCTGCCACGCAGGCAAGGAGGTGGGGGAGACGCTGCTGTACTACGGCTGCCGCCGCTCGGATGAGGACTACCTGTACCGGGAGGAGCTGGCGCAGTTCCACAGGGACGGTGCGCTCACCCAGCTCAACGTGGCCTTCTCCCGGGAGCAGTCCCACAAGGTGAGACGGGCGGGCACCCACGAAGGTGGGCATGAGGCTGGCAGGGCCACAGCCACAGTGCCCCCCTCACAGCACCACCCTTGGCCCCAGGTCTACGTCCAGCACCTGCTAAAGCAAGACCGAGAGCACCTGTGGAAGTTGATCGAAGGCGGTGCCCACATCTACGTCTGTGGGTGAGTGAGTGGGGTCACTGGAATAGGGGGCAGGGAGGACAAGGCCCTGCCTGCCACAGTTGGCCCAGCCCCCAGCACCCCCTCTTCCTGCCCAGGGATGCACGGAACATGGCCAGGGATGTGCAGAACACCTTCTACGACATCGTGGCTGAGCTCGGGGCCATGGAGCACGCGCAGGCGGTGGACTACATCAAGAAACTGATGACCAAGGGCCGCTACTCCCTGGACGTGTGGAGCTAGGGGCCTGCCTGCCCCACCCACCCCACAGACTCCGGCCTGTAATCAGCTCTCCTGGCTCCCTCCCGTAGTCTCCTGGGTGTGTTTGGCTTGGCCTTGGCATGGGCGCAGGCCCAGTGACAAAGACTCCTCTGGGCCTGGGGTGCATCCTCCTCAGCCCCCAGGCCAGGTGAGGTCCACCGGCCCCTGGCAGCACAGCCCAGGGCCTGCATGGGGGCACCGGGCTCCATGCCTCTGGAGGCCTCTGGCCCTCGGTGGCTGCACAGAAGGGCTCTTTCTCTCTGCTGAGCTGGGCCCAGCCCCTCCACGTGATTTCCAGTGAGTGTAAATAATTTTAAATAACCTCTGGCCCTTGGAATAAAGTTCTGTTTTCTGTATTTGCCTGGTATTGTGTGAGTAGATCTGGGACCTCCACCTGCATCAACTTAACTAACTCAGACCCCAGGAACCCATGTGGTGGGGCCACCCAGCCCTCCCCTCCCCCAGGAGAACACACACGCTCAGGCCACCTCTGGGCCTCTCTTTATTGAGGGCACTGGGCCCAGGTCTTCCTTCAGGGCCCACAGCGCCCATAAAACCCAAGGGAGAATAGAAGAGACCCCCTGATACACGCACACTCGAGGGGCGCCTCCCATCCCCTCCCACAACACACAGGACAGAAGCCCCTCTGGGCCGGCAGGGGAAGGCCCAGCCTCAATCCTTCTTGCTCCCGTGCCGCTGACTGTGAAACTTGTGGTGCACAACCCTCAGGGTGGTGAAGAAATTGCCGAGGAAAAGGAGGAGGAAGGGAAAGCCGCACATAAGCACCTGCCGGAGGAATAGGGTGAGGGCTGGACATGGGCCTGGCCCCCCATCCATCCTGTCCAGGGACCCCGGCTCACCTGCCACTCCTTGCACTGAGGGTCCTGGGCCAGGTTGAACAACGTCAGCGCGTTAAAAAGCTGCCAGAACTAAGCAGGGAGGAGGCATTTTACTCAGAAGACCCAGTCCCTGCTGGAGCCCGAAACCGGCGCAGAGGACGGACAGACAGACAGGCAGGGACACAGAGGCACGACTTACGTGTCCAAAGAAAAGAAAAGGCAGCAGGAAGGTGAGGCCCCGCCACATCCAGGACTGGAAGCCCTCTGCGGGGAGGAAGGTCAGGGCACAGGACGGCCAGGGACAGAGGGGACGCTACCACTCAGACCCGGGATGGGAGGAAAGGGGAATGTCCAGATGCCAGGGCCACTCCCGACTCACCCACAGTGAGGTCCATGGTGTGCCGCTCGCCCAGCGCCCGCAGGCGGTAGAGGCAGCCGCTCTGGTAGTAGTACTGGAGAAACTGCACGAAGCCTGGGCCGGGCGGAGGACAGAGGAGCAGGGCTGAGCCCCGGGAGGGGTTCCCTGCCCCTGCCCCCCACCACGGGTGCCTCCAGGGCTCAGCACAGACATCTGGGACACTCACTCTGGTACATGGAAAAGGAGAGGAATTGGTTCCGGAATTTCTGGTACATGAGACCGTCGGGCCTAAGGTAAAAAGTGGAGGGCAGTGTGGGGACCCTTGGGGATGCCGTGTATCCCCTCCTTGTCCCAGCTCCTGCCCCTGCCGGGGCCCAGCCACTCACCACGTCAGCATGACTCCCGACAGGAAGGTGGACACGTAGTGATGGAACACCCACCAGCCTTTGATCCTGGAGCAGAGAGCCACCATCACCCCCAGCGCCTGTTCCTGCTTCCCGGAGGGTCCTGGCACCCCATTCCATGCTCCCCTCCCTCAGGGCCCGCCCTGCCCACCGGGAGCCGTTGTTGATGAGGATGCTCTCCCGGATGGTCAGGGTGCAGTAGTACCAGACCAGCAGGAAGTTGAAGGCAGCATCTGTCACCCTGCGGAGGGAGGGGACCGAGGGTTGGTACTGCAGCGACTGGGGATGGGGTGGGTCCTCGGCCGGGGTGGGACGCCCACCTGGAGTTGAGCAGGAAGCGGCAAGTGAAGGAGATGAGGATGAGGATGATGGTGAGGTAGAGCTTGAACTTCTCATACTCGTCCTTGTAGGCAAACCTGGGGGGCGCAGGCCGGTGAGACGGGTGGGGTGCTGGTGGGGCCCATGTGTGCCCCCACCCCGGGAGGGCAGCTGAGCCAAGGGTAGTCGGATGGAGGAGAAGGCCGGGTTGGGGGGTGGAGGGGAAGGCCAGGTGGGGTGGGGGGTGGAGGGGAAAACCAGGTTGGGGGGAAAGCCGGGTGGAGGGGTGGAGGGGAAGGCCGGGTGGGGGGCTGGAGGGGAAGGCCAGGTGGGGGGCTGGAGGGGAAGAAGGCCGGGTGGGGGGCTGGAGGGGAAGGCCGGGTGGGGGGGTGGAGGGGAAGGCGGGGAGGGGGTGTGGAGGGGAAGGCGGGGAGGGGGTGTGGAGGGGAAGGCCGGGTGGGTGTGTGGAGGGGAAGGCCGGGTGGGTGTGTGGAGGGGAAGGCCGGGTGGGTGTGTGGAGGGGAAGGCCGGGTGGGGGGGTGGAGGGGAAGGCCGGGTGGGGTGGGGGGTGGAGGGGAAGGCCGGGTGGGGTGGGGGGTGGAGGGGAAGGCCGGGTTGGGGGGTGGAGGGGAAGGCCGGGTTCCGGGGGAAGGCTGGGTGGAGGGGTGGAGGTTGAGGGGGGGAGGGGGGTAGGGGGCTAGGGGTGGAGGGGTGGAGGTTGGGGGGTGGAGGCTCGGCCTGATTACTTAGCCTGCTTGCTCAGGAGCGTGACGTTGACGTTCCCCAGAACCAGGCTCAGGTACAATCTAGGGAAGGGGGTGGCGGGGTGAGGAGAAGCCCGAGTGACAGACAAGCCACCGGTACTCAGCCAAGCCTGCCAGGCCAGAGCCTGGGCCACCACCCCACCCCCTCACCCGCTGCTTTCCGCAGGGCCTTGGCATCGGGTTCTGACCTTGGAGGCTGCAGACCCACTCCCTGCCATGCCCAGCCTTCCTGGCCGCCTGCTCCGGAATCCTGACCCCCGGAGGAAACAGTGTTCCCCCCCATCTCCAGAGTCTTGTCTGAAACTCCCCCACCTCAGGGCACCAAGAGAACCCGGCTCTCCCTCCCTGCTGAGGGCCGTCCCCCTGTCCCCGATTGCTCCCCTGTGCGATGGCCACCACCTACCCCCCAGCTCCCTGCCACCTCCCCTCCAGAACCTGCAGTACTAGGTTCCACTTCAGAGACCCACACGCCTGGCCACATCTAGGACGACCTCCCAAACCAGAACAGAAACTCAGAGCTCTGACTGTGGGCTGACCCCAAGTACTCAGCCTCCCGGGGCGTTTCTTCCCACCACGACCCCCCTTGTCCCTCACCGAGGCCCCCACGCTCTCCAGTCCCAGATCTCATCAGAGCTGGCTGAGTCCCCAGGCCACCCGCCAATTACACCACTTTTTTGCCAATCCCCTTCATGTCCAGCCTCCACACCCACCAACTGAGATCATCTTGCCCTTCTCTGCCAGAGATACTCCAAGAGGTGACAGCAAAGTCACGGTCACTTTCTCAGCACCTGCCCCAGACACATGGGCTCTTGTTCACACTCAAGCCAAACAGACAGAGGCTCAGCATGGTTAGGCAATTTGCCCCAAGGCCACAAAGAACTTCTGGGACAGCCATGCTTCTCCCTCTACAGAATGCTCCCGGCACAGTGCTCCCCAAGCAGGCCAGCTTCAGCCTCCACTGCCAACCCACCAGGCTGCGGATGTGTCCCCACTCAGCTCGCCATCTGGTTCCCAGCACTCGCCTCTCCACATCCTCTCCCCGAAACCCTCTACCCTGTCTCCTCCCACCTCGGGCCCCACCTGCAACACTGCAGAGAAGACAGCCTGACTCCTGCTCTATGGGGAGCACTATGCCAGGAGCACTGTGCCGGGAGCACTCCTCACTCTCATCTCTGCACCCTCCATCCCCCACTAGCCCTTCTCGCTCTCCCCAGGCTTCCCTCCATCACCTCCTGCCCTTCTCCTGGGTCTTTCCCCTCTCGGCCCCTCTTCTCAGCAGGTGGATGTGCTCGAGTCTTCCCAGAGGCAAAGTAACCCCACAAACAGGCAGTAGCTGCCCCTCAACCCAGTGCTAATTTCCAGTTCCTAGTTGCTAATTCTCTCCCTCCACTCACAGCCAAGCTCTAAAAAGTCTCCCAGAGGGCTGGGTGCGGTGGCTCACACCTGTAATCCCAGCACTTTGGGAGGCCGAGGCGGGTGGATCATGAGGTCAGAAGATCGAGACCAGCCTGACCAACATGGTGAAACCCCATCTCTACTAAAAATACAAAATACAAAAATACAAAAATTAGCCGGGTGTGGTGGCGGGCACCTGTAATCCCAGCTACTCCGGAGGCTGAGGCAGGAGAATCGCTTGAACCACGGAGACAGAGGTTGCAGTGAGCCGAGATCAAGTGACTGCACTCCAGCCTAGCGACAGAGTGAGACTCTGTCTCAAAAAAAAAAAAAAAAAAAAAAAGTCTCCTAGACTTGGCTGTCTCCCTTCCTTGGCTCTTCTGTCATCCCCAAGATCGACATCCATCCCCTTCCACCAAATGGTTCTGCCAAGATGACCCAACTTCCAGGAAGCGCATCCCCTTCCTTATCACAGGACTGACCCCAGGCTACGGACACTCCTTTCTTCTCCCTGCCTTCTGGGCCACGCCCTCTCCCAGCTATCTCCCTGCCTGCAGCCTCTGCTGGGATTTTTTGCTCAGCAGGGGGTTTTGCACTGCCCCATCCGTCCTCCTGGGTGACAGCTGCTGGCCTTTCCAGGTGCACATTCCACCGCCCCCGCCCGCCTACTGGGCTCAAGGCAAGAGCTGCAGCCCAGCAAAGCCTCTGATCTCTTGGCTGCCTCTCACCTCCCGCCCCGACCTCTGGCCACTACAAGTTCTCATGGCCCGTCCACCTGCTGCTACCTCTCGCCCTCAGCCCATGTGTCTGCCTCATTTTTTTTATTTATTTACTTATTTATTTTTTAAGACAGAGTCTCACTCTGTTGCCCAGGCTACAGTCCGGTGGTGCGATCTCAGCTCACTGCAGCCTCCGCCTCCCGGGTTCAAGTGATTCTCCTGTCTCAGCCTCCCAAGTAGCTGGGATTACAGGTGCATGCCACAATGCCCGGCTAATTTTTGTATTTTTAGTAGAGATGGGTTTTACCATGTTGCCCAGGCGGGTCTTGAACTCCCGACCTCAAGCGATCTGCCTTGGCTTCCCAAAAAAGTGCTGGGATTACAGGCATGAGCCACCGCGCCCAGCCTATTTGTTCTTTTTAAATAAATAGAGACATAGGGTCTCAGTATGTCACCCAGGCTGGTCTTGAACTCCTGAGTTCAAGTGATCCTCCCACCTCCATCTCCCAGAGTGCTGAGATTACAGGTGAGAGCCACCACGCCCGGCCCACTCTTTATTCTGTAAGACTCAGCCCACCCATCCCCTAATCCAGGAAGCCTTCTGCGACCTCCTGGACTGGGTCAGGTGTCCCTCACTGTGCCACCTCATTCCCCATGCTACAAAGCACCTATCACAGTGAAATGTCACTCTCAGCCAGGTGTCTCCCCTGAAGTCAGCACTGTGCCTCATTGCTCAGCCTGTACTGGGCCCAGGGAACATTTGCTGACTATAATGACCAAGAGGAGGCAGCACCCGGCTTCAGGAGTGGCTGTGAACTGAGCTGGGGGTGGCGGTGGGGGCCCTCACCCATTCTTCTTAGGCAAATAGGCCTCCATGTCAAAGAAGAGGCCTTGGCGCTCTTTCATCTGGTTCTCCAGCTCCTGTGCGGCCCCCTCGGCCTCTGCTGGGAGGGAGGGTTTGCATCTGCGGGTAAGGCCAGAAACAGTCAGGGCAAGAGGACTCCCAAGTGTCCTCCCTGACTCCCACAGGGGCAGAAGGGCAAACAGGGCCCAGAGAGGGGAGGGGCGGTGCCCAGGGTCTCACAGCGCCAGCCCTCCCACCCCACACTCTGCCCATGGCGGGTGGGGTAGGGGATCCTAACTTCTTCAGGGCGAGGGCCAGCTCCTGGAGCCGCTTCTTCTGCCGCGTGATGGAGCTGGTGCAATTGTTCTGAAGTTTGGTCAGCTCCTCCAGCTTCAGGCGGTAGAGCCGATGGGTCTCCTGGGGGCCGGAGGGGAGAGGCTCAGGCCAGTTGGGGAGCTACTGAGCCAGAGCCTGCAGGCAGGACGTGGCGCTCAGGCTCCCCCAGGGCTGCTGGGAGGGTTTCGCTCAGCGGGAAAGGAGGTAGAACTGTGCCTGCCCAGGGATGAGGTGGCTGTCTCCCCAAGGCAGGCAAGGACCTGGGTGTCCTCCTGTGAGCCCAGAGACCCCCACAGCACCCCTCCTCCAAAAACAGACTAGGTGTTTTTGTTTTTGTTTTTGTTTTGAGACAGTCTTGTTCTGTTGCCCAGGCTGAAGTGCAATGGCAGGATCTCAGCTCACTCCAACCTCCGCCTCCCGGGTTCAAACCATTCTTCTGCCTCAGCCTCCCAAGTAGCTAGGATTACAGGCACCTGCCATCATGCCTGGCTAATTTTTGTATTTTTGTAGAGACAGGGTTTCACCATGTTGGCCAGGCTGGTCTTGAACTCCTGACCTCAGGTGATCTGCCTGCCTCGGCCTCCCAAAGTGCTGGGATTACAGGCATAAGCCACCGCACCCAGCCAAGGTTTTCTTAGTCTCAGCCCATCTGCTAGTTGTCCCCACCCTACAAGGACAGACTCTTTCTCCTACCTTGAGTCTGGAGCTTAGGCCCCCAGGGCCACCTCCTGGACCAAGCAGGCAGCCCAGAGCCACCCCTCTATCCTCTCAGCTCCTCCTGCCTATCTAGCCTTCCAGTACAGGAGGAGCTCAGGTTCTCAGGAATCCCTGACATCTTCTTCCCAGGTTAAAGGTCATCAGGTTTCAACCCTAGAGCCTCCTGCTCTAAGGCCAGCCCCACTCCCTTCCCCTAGCACCTTTGGCCCAAGGATTCCCCAAGCACTTTGCCCTGGTAGGTGAGTCTCAAGAAGGCGCAGCCTAGAGATGGGGCAAGGGGCAGTGTGAGGAGAGCCAAGCAGGGGCTGTGGCCAGGACAGCGGCGGCCAGGCGGGGAGACTGGGTCTGCTCAGTCTCTGGGGAGAAGCACCAATGGCAGGGGCCTTGGCAGGGCCAGGGGCAGCTGGGTTTCAATGCCCACAGGAAGCAGTTGGAACCAGTCCAGGAGAGGCCAAGGGCTAACCAAGCCATCAGCTGGCCAGGGCTCTACTCTGTCTGGATCTTGTTTCTCATGCCCAGGAGGGGTCACCACGCCCCCTCGGACCCCAGCACGTGCCACTTCTGCCCACCCACAGCCACCGCCCTCTTCCCTGCCTGGATGAGGCCAACAGCCTCCTCCTCCCTGGCCTCTGGACAGAACAGCCACGGTGGCCCTGGGGAGCTCAGTCCAGACAATTCCTCCCGTAGCTTTCCACTGGCCTCGGAGGGACTCTGATCTCTGCCAGGCCAGAGCGTCCCTGCAGGGCCTAGCCCCGCCCACCCCTCCCACCCGTCCCACCCCTCCCCTGGTTCTCCTTGATGCAGCCACATGGGCCTGTCAAGTCCCCTCTTTCCTTCCAAAGGCCTCGGCGGCGCGCGGTATCCCTCTGCCTGGGGCGTCCCCCATCCAGGCCGAGGACACCCCCCTAAACGCTGCTCCCCCGACCTGGGCTGCCTCTCGGGCGCTGCCCGCTGCGCGTTTGCTGAGTGGCTGACCCAAGGCTGGGCCCGCCCGTGTGTGACTCAGGCGGCCGCTCTCTTCTGGGAAGGGACGGGGTCGGGGTCTGGGCCCCTTTCCAAGGCCCTCATTGGAAGCCGAGGTCGCCCAGCGCGATGGGGTCCCGCCGGGGTTCCCGGACACTGGAGGTGGTGGCAGTGGACACCAGGACCAGGGGCCTCGCCCCCCTTGGCAGTGACGCCAGGGCCCCGACCCCTGACCCTTAGCTCCCCACTGCCTGACCCAGGGCTGCCCGACCCTTGACCCTGAGCCAGCGAGACGCGGCTCGGGGGCGACCCGGCGTCCGCAGCGGCGCTAACCTGGATGTTCTGGAAGTCCTGCTGTAGATCCTCCCAGTCCCGCAGGCAGTCGCCCAGCGGGCCCGGGGGCGGGGGCTGCATGGCTGCAGCGCCAGTAGCCAGTAGTGGAGGACGGCGCAGCAACCCCGGCCCACCCGAGGCTCCTCCGCCACCGCCCCCGTCCGCTTCCGGGCTCGCGCCGCCACGGGCACCAATGGGGAAAGGCCACGCCCCCCACCCCAGCCAATCCGGGACAGGGGCGGGGTATGGGCGGGGCCGTATGCAAGGGCGGTTGCTAGCCCCGGGACTCGCGGCCTGGACCGGGACTGGGACGGCTGCAGCCCCCGGGCCTGGACTGCACTGACTGTGCCAGCCGCGTGGTGCAGCCAGCAGGGCTCTGGCCCGTCATGCTGAGAGCAAACCAAGGTGCAGGGAGGTGACACCTGCTTGCAACATTTTCGTCCTTGGGAAGCTGAGCCTCTTTGGGGAAGGGAGTTAGAGCTGCTTCTCTCGCTTGGATTTTTACAGCGGCCTCCTTTCTCCCTGCCTCACCTCCACTGTCCCTTCTCGCGGCCACCGGACTGCCCTTCCCAAAACACAAGGCTGATTCCCCATCATGTTCATGCTTAAAACTTTCCAGCGGCTGTGTCCTGCCTACCAGGAGGTCCCTAATCGGAGCTCTGCAGCCATCCCGGGCTCTGTCCCAACTCACACCCTGAGGAAAGCCAGGGCTGTGTGTAAAGCCGTTCCCCCTCTGGCAAAACCCCACTCCTCCTTGAAGGCCTGCCCTTCTGTTGAGGGGAATCCCCCACCCCCTCCCACCCCCATCCCTCCACAGAGCGCGCTAAGTGGTGGGACGGCATTCATCTCTCTGTTCCCAGCCCCACCCACGCGGTGGCAGGGAATGGTTGCCGAATGGACTTGGGGAAGGTCCTGCATGGATGGACATCCTAATCCCCTACCAGTCCCCTAGTCTGTGCCGTCTCCTGATGCCCAGTTTGTTCTGTGGGTGCTGCCAGCTTTGGAGAAGTGCATTTGGAAAACAACTTCCAACTGGGTGCCGTGGCCCACACCTGTAATCCCAGCATTTTGGGGAGGCCGAGGCTGGAGGATCACTTGAGCCCAGAAGTTCGAGACCAGCCTAGGCAACAGAGCAAGACCCTGTTTCTACAAAAATAAAAATAAATTAGCCAGGTGTGATGGTGCATGCCTGCATTCCCAGCTACTCACTCAGGAGGTTGAGGTGGGAGGATCGCTTGAGCCCAGGGAAGTTGAGGCTGCAGTGAGCCATGATTGCGCCACTGCACTCCAGCCTGAGAGACACAGCAAGACCGTGCCTCCAAAAAAAAGGAAAGGGGGTAAAAAAAAGGAAAACTTTTAAGACCTTAGGAATTTCTAGAAACGTGGATAGGGAGATGGGGGAGGGGGTGAGAATCTCTCCTTGGTGAACACAGCCAGGCAGAAATGAGTGGGGAGCAGGGAAAGAAAATCTGTTTCAAGGGGTGGATGGCAGGAAGCGCTGGGGATGAGGCAAGGGTGTGATCCCATTCTAGGAGCCTGGGGGCTAGACAAGGCTGGGCTTGGTATCTCTGGGACTAGGGGACTGCCTATTGGTGGCTATTGTGACATCCTCTGTGAACCAACACAGGCAACCTCTGGGTACCCCCAGGCAGCCTCCAAAGGGTCTAAGTCACCAGGGGGATGCAGGGCAGCTGCTCTAGCAGCCAGATGCTCTTCCAGAGGCAGCCTCAGGGGTGCAGTTGGGATGGCCCGCGACACCTCAGGGATGCGGGTTCTTGGTGAACCTGAGCAGGGCGCATCAGCTAGGTGGCGTGAACAGGCACTTGGGAAGAATCAGTACAGGAGGCTAACATGAGACTTTCAGGCAGCAAAGGCCTTCTCCTTCCAGACAAGCCTGGGTATACACACTCTGGCCCTCCACCCACAAAATGCCCCCAGGTGAGGCTCTTCAGTACCCTTCGGTGGGCCTCGGAGAAGATCAGTAGAGCGGATCCATGATGTTTGTGATGGAATCTCCAAGGATAGTCTTCTCCCATTCCAGCAGCTGGCTCACCAATCCCCGATTTGGACACATGTTGTTTTTGCACTTCTTGACATAGGCCCAGGACCTCTATGAATACAAAGAGAGAAAGTGAACTTCACGATTGGTCCTGGGCCCTTTCCACTTGGATCAGAGGCAGCTTTCAGAGACAGGAGGCACTTGCACAGTGCCAGCAACACGGCTTAAGGGCTGGATGCAGAAACAGGGCAGCCTGGCATGAATGCATCAGTGCTGGGAGTCATGGGAGCTGACTCTGCCTTGGGCAAGCCCCTCTGCTTCTAAATCTGGTGACAGAAATAATTCCTATTTCAAACAGCTTCTGGGAAGATTAAGACAATATACATGAAACCACCTGTGGATGGCAAACACTATGCCAAGCCTAGTGCAGTCTCAACAAAGGTTTGCATTGTGACTGGACAAATTAATGGAAAGAGGAAGAGAACTGTGGGCAAATTCTCTGAAGAAGAAAATTCAAGCTGCCCTCCTTCAGGCATCCACCTTAAAGTACAGGAAGTGTTGCTGCATGAAGGAGGGTGAGCACCTGGTCTCCATCTGGATTGAGGACAAACGAAAAAGGGAAAGGCAAGAGTGGTGCCTAAAACTAGGAACAGAAGGAAATGGCCAGGCACAGTGGCTCATGCCTGTAATCCTGGCACTTTGGGGGGCCGAGACGGGTGGATCACCTGAGGTCAGGAGTTCGAGACTAGCCTGGCCAATGTGGCGAAACCCTGTCTCTACTAAAAAAATGCAAAAATTAGCCAAGTATGGTGGCACATGCCTGTAATCCCAGCTACTTGGGTGGCTGAGGCAGGAAAATTGCTTGAACCTGGGAGGCGGAGGTTGCAGTGAGCCGAGATTGCACCACTGCACTCCAGCCTGGGTGACAGAGCAAGACTCTGTCTCAAAAACAAAAAAGGAAGGAAGTGATGTCAACCTGATAAAGGCCATATATGAGAAGCCCACAGCTAACATCACACTCAATGGCGAAAGATAAAGTTTTTCCTCTAAGATCGGGAACAAGGCAAGGGTGCTTGCTTTCATCACTTCTGTTCAACATAGTCCTAGAAGTCCTAGCCAGAACAATGAGGCAAGAAAAAGAAATAAAAGGCATCTACAATGGATAGGAAGAAGTAACCTTACCTCTGGTTTGAAGATGACATGATTTCATATGTAGAAAACCCTAAAGATTACACACACACACAACACACACACACAGCTAATAAATTCAGCAAGGATGCAGGATACAAAACCAACATGCAAAAATTAGTTGCATGTCTATATACTAAACAATTCAAAAAGGAAATTAAGAAAACAATTCCATTTACAGTAGCATCAAAAAGAATAAAATATTTAACCAAGGAGGCAAAAGACTTGTACACTGAAAACTCCAAAACAGTGCTGAAAGAAATTAAAGGTACAAACAAATGAAAAGACATCCTGTGTTCATGGGTTGGAAAGCTTAATATTATTAAGATGCCAATACAACTCAAAGTAATCCACAGGTTTAAGGCAATCCCTATCAAAATCCCAACAACATTTTTTGTAGAAATAGAAAAATCCATCCTAAAATTCATATGGAATCTCAAAGGACCCCATAAAAAATATTTAAGAAGAACAAAGTTGTAGGTCTCACACTTCCTGATTTCAAACCTTAGTCTAACAAAACTACAGTAATCAAAACAGTATGGTATGGACATGAAGACAAAGAGACTAGTGGAATAGAATAGCCAGCCTAGCCTAGAAATAAACCCTTACCTATATGGTCAAGCAATTTTTTTTTTTTTTGAGACTGAGTCTCACTCTGTTGCCCAGGCTGGAGTGCAATTGTGCAATCTCAGCTTACTGCAACCTCCGCCTCCTGGGTTCAAGTGATCCTTGTGCCTCAGCCTCCCAAGTAACTGGGATTACAGGCATGTGCCACCACGCCTGGCTCATTTTTGTATTTTTAGCAGAGACGAGGTTTTGCCATGTCAGCCAGGCTGGTCTCAAACTCCTGACCTCAGGTGATCTGCCCACCTCTGCCTCCCAACCTGCTGGGATTACAGGTGTGAGCCACTGCACCGGGCCTGTCAAGGAATTTTTGATAGTATGCCAAGACCATTCGATGGGGGAAAAGGACAGTCATTTCAACAAATGGTGCTAGGAAAACTAGATACGCCATGCAAAGAATGAAATTGAAAACAGGAAATCAATAGAGAAAATCAAAAAAACCAAAAGCCGGTTCTTTGAAAAGATCAATAAAATCGATACACCGCTAGCCAGGCTAACTTAAACAGAAGACACAAATTACTAATACAGAAGTGAAAGAGAAGACATTGCTACAGATCCCACAGACATTAAAAGGATAATAGAAGAATATTCATATCCACAAATGTGATTGATCAATTCCTTGAAAGACACAGACTGCCAAAACTCACACAAGAAGAAACAGACAATCTGAATAGGCCTACATATATTAAAGAAATTGAGTGGTGGCAGATGCCTGTAGTCCCAGTTACTCGGGAGGCTGAGGCAGAAGAATGGCATGAGCCCGGGAGGCAGAGCTTGCAGTGAGTCGAGATTGTGCTACTGTACTCCAGCCTGGGTGACAGAGCGAGACTCCGTCTCAAAAAAAAATAAATAAATAAAATAACAATAATAAATTGAATCAATAATTAGTAACCTTCCAAAACAGAAAGCACCCAGCCTAGATGGGTTTATTGGTGAATTCCACACATATAATGGAATATTATTCAGCCTTAAAAGGAAGGAACTTATATAAGGTACCTAGAGTAGTCAAATTCACAGAGACAAAAAGTAGAATGGTGGTTCCCACGGGGCGATGAAGAGGGGAAAGTAAAGAGTTGCTGTTTCAGGTTTGCAAGATGGAAAAGTTTGGGAGATTAGTTGTACAATAATGTGAATGTACTTAATGCTCCTAAGCTATACATTTTAAAATAGTTAAGATGGTAATTTTTTTGTTGTGTGTGTGTGTGTGTGTATGTGTGTGTGTGTGTGTGTGTGTGTGTGTGTGTGTGTGTGTATATTTTTTTTTGAGACAGAGTTTCGCTCTTGTCACCCAGGCTGGAGTACAATGGTGCAATCTCAGCTCACTGCTGCCTCTGCCTCCCAGCTTCTAGCGATTCTCCTGCCTCAGCCTCCAGAGTAGCTGGGATTACAGGCACGCACCACCACGCCCAGCTAATTTTTGTATTTTTAGTAGAGGGGGTTTCACTATGTTGGCCAGGCTGGTCTTGAACTCCTGACCTCAGGTGATCTGCCCGCCTCGGCCTCCCACAATGCTGGGATTACAGGCGTGAGCCACCGCGCCCGGCCTGTTATGTATATTTTAACCACAATTTTTTTTAAAGTGGTGTGAGGGGCAGAGCTGTGCAGTCAAAAGGCTTACTATGTCCTCGCTGGGTCAGAACAGGCCCTGGAGGAAGAATCGTAAACCACCCATCCCCCACCACCACCCCACACATCGCCTGGCCAAGATGGTGAAACCCTGTCTCTACTAAAAATACAAAAATTAGCCGGGCATGGTGACACGGACCTGTAATCCCAGCTACGCGGGAGGCAGAGACAGGAGAATCGCTTGAACCCAGGAGGCAGAGGGTGCAGTGGAGGTTCAAGAATCGCTTGAACCCAGGAGGTGGAGATTGCACCACTGCACTCCAGCCTGGGCAACAGAACAAGACTCCATCTCAAAAAAAAAAAAAAAAAAAAAAAAAGGACTTTCTAGCCTACAACTTCACCCCCAAAGTGCACATGGGGGCAACAACCGAAGCCACTGGCCAACGAGTTTTATTCTTTGTCCCTCTCCTTCCCCCAAAAACATCCCTGGGCAAATGTTGGGGCTTTGTAGGTCCTATCAAGCCCTCTGGGGATCACGAACAGGCTGTGACAGGCAGGGCAGGCCCTCGAGAAAGGTGCTGTGAGTTAGGAGCTCCGAGTTCCGCCTGGGTTTGCTGCGATGGGTCCCTGCTTCCCTCTCTTCTCTGGACCCTGCGCCCAAGGTACAGGGAGATAGACGGGAGTGGGTGGGCGCCTGTGCTGCAGCTCTGGGACTCCAAGCAGTTCTCCCTTGGGCAACACCAAACAAACACAGGTGGACGGCCTGACAGCAGTGGGGGCTGCAGGACAGCCTGACCTGGCCTGAGTCCCTGGGCCAGCCCTGCATATCCAGCCTCAGGCCTCAAGCATGCAACACTGGGGCCTTGCCCTTGGGTGACGCGGACTGGGGAGCACCCTAGACTTGGAGTTATCTGGGATTCTTCCTCCCAAAGCAGTGCTGGGGCCCCACTCCTCCCAGGTTGCGCTCTGACCTCACCTCCCAGGGGGTGGCCGTGGTGCGAGCCTGGCCCGGGGAACGCATACCTGCAAGGTCTGCTCGTTACTATGCATGAGGTAGGCTATGATGGCGGCACAACTGCGGCTGATACCTTGGGTGGAAAAGATCAGAATGACAGAGCCAAGGTGATGGTGAATTTCTGCAAAAAGAAGTGGGGGGTTGGGTCATGCCTGGCCCTCCTCCCTGTGGGCCTGGGTTGCTGTCAGACACTGGCCTCCATGGGCCCGTGGTCCAAGCATGAGTTCAAAACCAGCCCACGTGACCTCGGCAAGTCCCATGATTTCTCTGGGAGCCCATTTCATTGTCTAGCAAGTGGGCATCCCTCAGACCTGGCTGGAAGTTCCAGAGAATCATGCCTGGGCAACCAGCATCACCAGGCAAAGACCTTCTCCTGAACTCCAGGTTTCTAGCCCAGGAAGCTCTGCTACCAACTGGCCTCCCAGTATGGGGCGGACAGGACCATCGTCATCCCAAAAACAGTCAGGAGCTGACAGAGCCAGTGTAGCCTGAGTGCCAATCCTGACTGCCACTCACTGGCCGTGGGGCTTGGGCAAGTTACTTCCTTTCCTTTCCTTCCCCCATCTCCTCTCTTCTTTCCCCTTTCTTCTCCTCTCTACTCCTCTCTCTCCTTTCCTTCTTTCTTTGTTGAGACAGAGTTTCACTCTTGTTGCCCAGGCTGGAGTGCAGTGGCACAATCTCAGTTCACTGCAACCTCTGCCTCCTGGGTTCAAGTGATTCTCCTGGCTTAACCTCCCGAGTACCTGGGATTACAAGCACCTGCCACCACGCCCAGCTAATTTTTTGTATTTTTAATAGAGATGGGGTTTCACCATGTTGGCCAGGCTGGTCTCCAACTCCAGACCTCAGGTGATCTGCCTGCCTTGGCCTCCCAAAGTGCTGGGATTATAGGCATGAGCCACTGCGCCTGATTTTTTTTTTTTTTTTTTTTTTTTCAATATAGACATGCAGTCTCACTATGTTGTTCAGGCTGGTCTTGAACTCCTGACCTCGGGTGATCTGCCCACCTTGGCTTCTCAAAGTACTGGAATGACAGGTAAGAACCACTGTGCCCAGCCTATTTTTATTTATTTTATTTTAGAGACTGGGTCTTGCTCTGTTGCCCAGGCTGGAACGCAGTGGTGTAATCACAGCTCACTGCAACCTTGAACTCCTGGGCTCAAGTAACCCTCCGCCTTAGCCTTCTGAGTAGCTGGGACCACAGGCATGTGCCACCATATCCAGCTAACTTTTTTGTACAGATGGGGTCTCACAATGTTGCCCGGGCTGGAGGGTAAGTTACTTGAGGCCACGGTGTCCTCATCTGGAAAACGGGATCACAGTATACTACCTACTTCATACAGTTTGGTTTTGTTCTGTGCTGAGCCCAGTGCCTGGCACAGAAATATCAGCTCTAATCACAGCACCCCTGAAGCTGTGAGTCCTGCCCAGGGAGAGGAAATCTAAGCTGGCACCCGAGGCTGGTCTGGCAACCCTCAGGAACTGAAGATAAGCCTACCAAGTGCAAAATCACAGACTGCCAGGGCTGAAGAAGGACGCAGAGATGACGATGGCCACCTTCCTCACCATCTGAATAAAGGAACTGAGCATGCAGTTTAATTTATTGACTGGCTCAGTGCTACCCAGGGAGGCAGGCTAGATGGGGTCCCTCCTTGGGCCACAAGGCTCTGCCATCTCGAGGTGGGACACATGGGAAGTCTCAGCCTCAGGCCCTGGTTGAGCAACATTTGACATCTACTGGGCAAATAAAGGATGGTTGGGGCTGGGTGTGGTGGCTCACGCCTGTAATCCCAGTACTTTGGGAGGCTGAGGTGGGTGGATTGCTTGAGCTCAGGAGTTCAAGACCAGTTTGGGCAACATGGCAAAACCCCATCTTTACTAAAAATGCAAAAATTAGTTGGACGTGGTGGTGCATGCCTGTAGTCCCAGCTACTTGGGAGGCTGAGGTAGGAGGATTGCTTGAGCCCAGGAAGTAGAGATTGCAGTGAGCCAAGATTGTGCCACTACACTCCAGCCTGGGTGAACAAGCCAGACCCCGTCTCGAAAAATAAAATTTAAAATAAGGGATGGTTGGGCCAAAATGCCATGCTCCAGCCCCTGGTACAGTGGCTCAGGCCAGGAGCTGTTGGTGCCAGACAGGCAGGCATGGGGTGGGGACTCTGACCTGACTCAGCCCTGCTCTCTCTACAGATCTTACTCTCCTCTGGCAATCTGGAGCCCCAGGAATGAGTAAAAAATCCACTCTTGATGAGTTAAGTAACTGGTGGGCATCACTTGGGTGTGGTGGCTCATGCCTATAATCCCAGCACCTTGAGAGGCTGAGGTAGGAAGATCGCTTGAGGCCAGGAGTTCAAGACCTGCCTAGGCAACATAGCAAGACCCCAACTCCACCAACCAACCAACAAACAAAAACAAAGAAAATCTTGGAAGTCAGAACTGAAAGAGCTTTGTAGTCTTCCTTCCATTCCACCGACATCCCACAGACCAAGGATGAAGGCGGGGATGGAGAGAGATAGATTTACTACTGGTCCCCAGAGCTCAGCCCAGAGCCTCCATGAGCATGTGCACTTGTGGGTAGCCATCACTCTCATTTTACAACAAGCCCAGAAGGGCACAGCCATCTAGCCAGGGCCAGAGCCTTGGGCCCCACTGCCCCCGAGGTAAACACCACGGTTGCTCGTTTCACTGAGGGCTCCCCAGAAGTTGGACGTGTCCTGGAGCTTGTCCCACCCAGATGGAGCATATGCCGAGCTGGGCCCTTTCTCTCTAGAGCATGGGGAAATCACGGTCCAGAATAAGCCTGTGAAGGAGGCTCCACTGCCCCTCTGCTTCCCAGACACAGGCCAGTTGCTACCCGGCCAAGGAACGCTCCTTACCAATGAAGTGACACATGTGGCGTAAGAAGGGAAGAATCTGGGCTTCCGGGGAATCTTCTATCCGGATGTGCAGAAGCTTGTCAGCATCGCCTGCAAAACTACACGGAAGGACCACACAGGTCATCAGGTGGAATGCAGAATGCAGGCATCCCCATTGTGGGGTTTTCATCACAGCAGAAGGGCCACAGGGAGGACGCTGAGCTTGTGTAAGGGGGAATGTGCACAGGTAACTCAACCTCTCCTGGAAAAAAACATCCAGGCTGGGTGTGGTGGCTCATGAATAAGCCCAGTAATTTGGGAAACAGAGATGGGAGGATCACATAGCGAGACCCTTGTCTTTTTTTTTGTTTGTTTGAGACAGATTCCCGCTCTGTTGCCCAGGCTGGAGTGCAGTGGCACGATCTCGGCTCACTGCAACCTCTACCTCCCAGGTTCAAGCGATTCTCCTGCTTCAGCCTCCCAAGTAGCTGGGATTACAGGCATGTGCCACCACAACCGGCTAATGTTTATATTTTTAGTAGAGATGGGGTTTCACCATTTTGGCCAGGCTGGTCATCAAACTCCCAACCTCAGCTTATGTACCCGCCTTGGCCTCTCAAAGTGCTGGGATTACAGGTGTGAGCCACCACACCCAGCCAAAAAAATTTTTTTAAGTACCTATCTTGGCCAAGCATGGTGGCTCACACCTGTAAACCCAGCACTTTGGGAGGCCAAGGCAGGCAGATCACTTGAGGTCAGGAGTTCGAGACCAGCCCAGGCAACATTTTGAAACCCTGTCTCTACTAAAAACTACAAAAATTAGCCGGGTATGATGGCACACACCTTTAGTCCCAGCTACTGGGGAGGCTGAGGCAGGAGAATCACTTAACCCTGGAGGCGGAGGTTGCAGTGAGCCAAGATTGTGCCACTGCACTCCAGCCTGGGTGACAGAGCAAGACCCCATCTCAAAAAATAATAAAATAGGCCAGGCGCGGTGGCTCATGCCTGTAATCCCAGCACTTTGGGAGGCCAAGGCGGGATGATCACAAGGTCAGGTGATCGAGACCATCCTGGCTAACACGGTGAAACCCCATCTCTACTAAAAATACAAAAAACTAGCTGGGCGTGGTGGCGGGCGCCTGTAGTCCCAGCTACTGGGGAGGCTGAGGCAGGAGAATGGCGTGAACCCAGGAGGCGGAGCTTGCAGTGAGCCGAGATTGTGCCACTGCACTCCAGTCTGGGTGACAGAGTGAGACTCCGTCTCAAAAAATAATAATAATAAAATAAAAACTAAAGGGAAGGGATAGCATTAGGAGATATACCTAATGCTAAATGACGAGTTAATGGGTGCAGCACACCAACATGGCACATGTATACATATGTAACAAACCTGCCCATTGTGCACATGTACCCTAAAACGTAAAGTGTAATAATAATAAAATTAAAAAAAATAAATAAAATAAATTTAAATATTATATAAAAAATAAAATGAAATATAAATCAGTAGTTTCTCTTTACTTACAAGGGCCCTGTATCCATGGAGACATTGACATGGGCTTTGATTTTCAAGTCCTTCTGAATCTTGGGGTCACAGGCTTGACTGAAATTGCCAACGAAGACCTTCCCTGGCACGATTTCAATGGGGTATGGCTGAAATGCATCCAGTTCCTGAAGTGTGGAGGGAGAAAGGCAGCTATGAGCATATTCCTCAGGGAAGAGGGATGTCTATCTCTTGAAACACAGCTCAGCAAACGAGCGTAAAAGGGCAGTTCCAGGACAGTGAATGTGACGGAGATCCAGACTTTGAAAGAGATTGGCACACGGTAACTTGCATGGGGTGGCACAGGGCGAGTCATGACGAAAGGACTGAGCCTCATCGTGCAGAGCGCTGGGTCTCAGCACTGGTGTCCATTCCCTCCGTGGCAACTGTTTACACTTGGCCAGGTGCACAAAGGTTGCAGTGAGGACGCTGTGGCCCAGAACTGTAACAACCCAGCATGTACTGGGGGCTCAGGAGGATGGAGAGGGACAGCTCTCTTAAGACCACCAGAATTTAAGCATCGAGAGAGAGAGAGAAGGAGGAGGAGGAGGAAGAGAGAGGAGGAGGAAGAGAGAGGAGGAGAGAGGAGGAAGAGAGAGGAGGAGAGAGGAGGAGGAGGAGGAGAGAGGAGGAGGAGGAGGAGGAGGGAGGAGGTGGAGGAGGAGAGAGGAGGTTTCATCATGTTGGCCAGGCTGGTCTTGAACTCCTGACCTCAAGTAATCCACCTGCCTCGGCTGCCCAAAGTGCTAGGATTACAGGCGTGAGCCACTGTGCTCAACCCATCTTTTTCTTTTCTTTTCTTTTTTTAAAGATACAGGGTCTCTCACTCTGTCACCCAGGCTGGAGTGCAAGTGGCTCAATCATAGCTCGCTGCAGTCTTATCTTCCTGGGCTCAAATGCTTCTCCTACCTCAGCCTCCCAGGTAGCTGGGACTACAGGTGCGCATGACCATACTCAGCTAATTTTGATACTTTTATCTTTTGTAGAGATGGGGTCTCACTATGTTGCCCAAGCTGTCCTCGAACTCCTGGCCTGTAGTGATCCTCCTGCCTCAGCCTCCCAAAGTGTTGGGATACACATGTGAGCCACCCTGCATGCCCAGAAATGAAGCCAGTGTATGTGCAGAGGGGTAGAGAGAACAAGACACCTACTTAAATGGGAGCTTCCTGAGTTCCAGGTCCAAAGTTATCATTAAAACTTTCGTTTGCCGGGCGCAGTGGCTCAAGCCTGTAATCCCAGCACTTTGGGAGGCTGAGGTGGGCGGATCACGAGGTCAGGAGATCGAGACCATCCTGGCTAACACGGTGAAACCTCGTCTCTTCTAAAAAATACAAAAAATTAGCCGGGCATGGTGGCGGGCACCTGTAATCCCAGCTACTTGGGAGGCTGAGGCAGGAGAATGGCATGAACCTGGGAGGCGGAGCTTGCAGTGAGCTGAGATTGTGCCACTGCACTCCAGCCTGGGCGACAGAATGAGACTCCGTCTCAAAAAAAAAAAAAAAAAAACAAAACAACAACAACAACAACAAAAAACTTTCGTTTATTTGAAACACAGACAAGGATTATCTCTACATTTCCCAAAGTGTGTTCTAAGAAACACTAGTCCCCCATAAGGCACTATGAGAAAAGGGTTCAGGGGTTCAGATAACCAAATGCAATCTGTGTGTTCCACATCCATATATTCAAGCAACCTTGGATGAAAAATATCCAGAAAAATAATTCATGGTTGCATCTGTACAGAACATGTACAGACTTTTTTTCTTGTCATTATTCCCTAAACGATACAGTATAACAATTATTTACATAGCATGTACATTGTATTAGGTATTATAAATAATCTAGAGATGATTTAAAGTATACACAAGAGGGGCCAGGTGAGGTGGCTCACATCTGTAACCCCATCACTTTGGGAGGCCGAGGCAGGCGCATCACCTGAGGTGAGGAGCTTGAGACCAACCTGGCCAACGAGTGAAACCCCATCTCCACGAAAAACACAAAAATTAGCCAGGCATGATGGTGCATGCCTGTAGTCCCAGCTACTCGGGAGGCTGAGGCAGGAGAATCACTTGATCCTGGGACGTGGAGGTTGCAGTGAGATGAGATCATGCCACTGCACCCCAGCCTGGCAACAGAGTGAGACTCTGTCTCAAATAAATAAAGTATACGAGACGATACGCTTAGGTTAGACGCAAATACTACACCATCTTGTATCAGGGAGTTGAAGATCCAAGGATTTGGTATCTATTGGGGGCCCTGGAACCAACCTCCATGGATACTGGACAACTGTACAAACGGACAGCTGTATCTATGATTCCTCTCTCGGAAACAACACGTACATTAGCAATCAAAGGTTCAAAGAAGTTGGGCACAGTGGCTGCTCATGCCTGTGATATCAGCACTTTGGGAGGCCAAGGTGGGAGGATCGCTTGAACCCAGGAGTTCAAGACCAGCCTGGGTAACACAGCAAGACCCTTGTCTCTACAAAAAATAAAAAATTCGCCAGGCATGGTGGCACATGGCTGTACTCCCGGCTACTCAGGAGGCTGAAGTGGGAGGATCCCACAGGAGTTTGAGGTTACAGAGAGTTATGACCGCATCACTGCACTCCAGCCTGTCTCTCAAAAAAAAAAAAAAAAAAATAGCCGGGCACAGTGCCTCATGCTTATAATCCCAGCACTTTGGGAGGCTGAGGTGGGTGGATCACTTGAGGTCAGGAGTTTGAGACCAGCCTGACCAACATGGTGAAACCCTGTCTCTACTAAAAATACAAAAATTAGCCAGGTGTGACAGTGCACGCCTGTAATCCCAGCTACTCGGGAGGCTGGGGCAGGAGAATCACTTGAACCCAGGAGGTGGAGCCTGCAGTGAGCCAAGATTGTGCCATTGCACTCCAGCCCGGGCAACAAGAGCAAAACTCCATCTCAAAAAAAAAAAAAAAAAAAAAAAAAAAAAAATCTCAAAGAAGCTCTGCAGTAGAGAAATCCACTCCAACTGGATAACTTGATGTTTCCATGAGGCTCTGATTAGAGACCACTTTCTCCATTATTACACCACAGAAAATGCTGACCTTTGCCAAAGATCAAAATCAGTTCCAAAAGTCCCCTGGCTCTAAGTCTGACTCAGAAATAACATTTTAAGGACCTCAGGCGTGTGGGTCCTTCAGAGCCACCTGAACTCAGCACATCTCACTCCCTTCCCCACGGCAGTGAACCCTCTGCAAGCCCACATCCTTCCCAAGCTACCAGCTTCGAAAGCCATTAGTAAAGAACAGACACCAAGCTGAGCCAGTTCTCCAGCCTGTGACACGGAGATGCATGACCCCCCACTGCCTGCGGGCAGGCCCAATTTACTCCAGCATGTGGGCTGCCCCTAACCCGGATGGACGCTCAGCTTGCTGGTGCCAAATGAAATCCCCCTTTCAATTTCCACTTAAAAATCTCGCTAAAAGGCCAGGCATGGTGGCTGATGCTTGTAATCCCAGCACTTTGGGAAGCTGAGGCAGGTGGATCACCTGAGGTCAGGAGTTCAAGACCAGCCTGGCCAACATAGTGAAACCCCATCTCTACTAAAAATATAAAAATTAGGCGTGGTGGCACACGCCTGTAATCTCAGCTACTCTGGAGGCTGAGGCAGGAGAATCACTTGAACCCAGGAGGTGGAGGTTGCAGTAAGCCCAGATTGTACCACTGTACTCCAGCCTGGGCAACAGAGATGCTATCTCAAAAAAAAACCAAAACAAAACAAAACAAAAAAAACCCCACAAAAATCCCATAGCAAATCTATCAACCCCTCTTCCTGCTGTTTTTAAACCAGCTTCCTTTTCTGCGGTTGTGTGGGTTTGGCTGGGAAGAGGGTGTGATGTGGATAAAAACACACTGTACTGTAGAATGTGTGTAAATGCTCAGTGACACAATGCAAACGAAACCAGTATCTCAAATGAATATGCCCGAACTGGGCACACTGCCTTCCCCCAAAACCACCTCCTTCTTCCCCCACCCCGCCCCCTCCCGAGTGTTCCCCAGAATGAACCACATCACAGCCCCCGTCACCCACGCCTAAAACCAGGGCATCATCCCAGCCCCCTCTCTCTCCTATGCCCTCATGTCTGATCGGTGCTACCTCCTAAATCTTTCTTTCTTCTTTTTTCTTTTTTGAGATGGAGTCTCACTCTGTCACCCAGGCTGGAGTGCAGTGGTGTGACTCAGCTCACTGCAACCTCCGCCTCCCGGGTTCAATTGATTTTCCTGCCTCAGCCTCCTGAGTAACTGGGATTACAGGCATGTGCCACCACACCCAGCTAATTTTTGTATTTTTAGTAGAGATGGGGTTTCACCATGTTGGCCAGAATGGTCTTGATCTCTTGACCTCGTGATCCGCCCGCCTTGGCCTCCCAAAATGCTGGGATTACAGGCGTGAGCCTCCAAGCCCAGCCTTTTAAAAAAATTTTTGTGTAAACAAGGTCTTACTATGTTGCCCAGGCTAGTCTCAAACTCCTGGACTCAAGTGATCCTTCCACCTCCTCTTTGACCTCCCAAAGTGCTAGGATTCCAAGCTTAAGCCACCACAGCTGGCCAGTCACCTACATTCTAAAGACAGCTGCAAACAAGTAACCCAATCCAACCCTCACAGCTACCCTAGCCACAACCCTGCGCCTTCTTCCCAATGTGACTAGACTAGGAGCAAAGGCAAGTTTCAGGAATATGCAACTGTCAAAACGGACCATACCGGGCCTTTTAAATATGTGCAGTTCATCATGTCAATTACACCTTACTAAAGCTTCAGAAATGAGGAGGTGGCAGTGATGAGTTATCAGCAGCGTAGGGTTTGCAGAGAAGAAATTAATCTCTCTGCACCCTGCAAAGCCAGGGTGCTCCTCCAAGAGCAAGGAGGAGCAAGGAGGAGTTCCAATCAAGATAAGACTTGATTCAGATTTGAGGCTGGAACATTAAACTGCCCTGGCTTATACTAGACTGATTGTCTTTACTTCCTTTATTTAACTGACTGTACACCTGTTGAGCTGAAATTCACAGTGCTGTTATCTCAGTGGAAGAAAGGGATGTCTTTGGGAGCCAGGCATGCATACCCTGGATCTGGGAACATGTCTGACCTCAGGCATGAGTCCCTGCCTTCTACGATTCCGGTGAAGGAATGTGGGCATGCGGGGCAGGGGACGGGTCATGGGCTTCCAAGTTAAGGGGAGGAAGTTGGAGGAGATGCCTGGCAGGGGTTGAAGGGAGTCACCACTGGCTGCGTTCTCTGGGAGATCCTCAGCCCCAGAAGGAGCCAGGGTGAGGCTGAGCTGGGTCCCGAGAAACCCAGCAGCAGAGGCTACCAGCAGCTCACACAGCCAGACGGGGCCAGAGAGCAGGCACTTTCCCACCACTAACACGCAGCCAGGCACACAGACAGGTCCACTCTGGGCCCTACTGCCAAAGGTACTCTGCCCAGAAGAGGGGAAGAGAGCAGCTGTCCTTAAAGCTAACCCCCATCCCTCCCTACTTTGAGTGCCCCCAGCAAACCCTAGGCTGCCCAGCTCTAGGGCATGGGAAGAGATGAGACTTGATTCAGATTTGAGGTTGGAACATTAAACCGCCCTAGCTTCTACTAGACTGTCTTTTTACTTCCTTTAACATTATTTCAAAACTATACACTAGTTGGCCAGGTGTGGTGGTTCATGCCTATAATTCCAGTACTTTGAGAGGCCAAGGCAGGAGGATTGCTTAAGGTCAGGAGTTTTGGACCAGCCTGGGGAACATAGCAAGACCCTGTATCTGCAAAAAATTTTAAAACTTAGCTGACTGTGGTGGCATGCATCTGTAGTCCCACCTACTCAAGAGGCTGAGGCTGGAGGATACCAAGCCCAGGAGGTGGAGGCTGCAGTGAGCTATGATTGCACCACTGCACTCCAGCCTGGGCAACAGAGTGAGACCCTGTCTCTAAAACGTATATATCGCCCAACTTCAAACATTAACAACTCATTGGCCAATTTTGTTTCCTCTATACCCTCACTGCCTTCTCACCTCACCCCAGATTATTTGAAAGGAAATTCCAGACATCACGTCATTTCACCCGTAAATATTTTGTTCTGTATTTCTAAAAGATAAGGACTTGTACTTTATAATAACCATAACAATGTCACTACAACCTTCGAAAAGCAACAATTCCTAAACACAGTCAAACATCCTGTGAATAGTCACATTTGCCCAGTCATTCTATACTATGATTTCGATTGAAGTTTTTTGTAACCAAAAGTGGCCAGAAAGTATGGAATCTGCTCACGATGTTGCTAAGGGCAGGAAGGGGAACACAGCTGAAGGCAACTGTTAGAAAAAGTTAAAACCACTTTCTGTTTACATTCCATTGTGTTCAGACGCTTCAATAAGCCAGACATCTGTACACGGCACTCTCCAGGGACCAGGCCCTGCCTGCAAATCTCTGCATAGTCTGGTGCTAGCCTTAGACAACTCCACCCAGTTCTCTTCCTCGAAATCTCCTCCTCCGTCAGATTTGGCTCTGGGAAGCTCAAGTGCCCCTTCTCTGGGCTCCAGATACCCGGGGCGTCCCTTGACACAGTCCAGCTTCCAGCCACTGCCTCCCCTACAGACAGGACCAGTCATCAGCAGAAACTGGAATCTCAAAATTGTTTTGTTTTGACAAAACTGACCATGAGTTGACAATGTTTGGAGCTAGGTGATGGACAAAGGGGTTTAATATCTGATTCTCTTTTTGTATTAAAAAATAGGCTGAGTGCAGTGGCTCACGCCTCTAATCCCAGCACTTTGGGAGGCTGAGGCAGGTGGATCACTTGAGGTCAGGAGCTGGAGACCAGCCTGACCAACATGGTGAAACCCTGTCTCTACTAAAAAAGAATTATAATAGAGATGGGGGTCTCACTATACTGCCCAGGCTGGTCTTGAACTCCTGAGATCAAGCAATCCTCCTGCCTTGGCCTCCCAGAGTGCTAAAACTACAGGTGTGAGTCGCCACACCTGGCTGATTTTCTTTTTGTTTTTTTTGGAGACAGGGTCTTGCTTCGTCAACCAGGCTGGAGTACAGTGGCATGGCAACGGCTCACTGCAGCCTCGACCTCCTGGGCTCAAGCAATCCACCCATCTCTTTTCTAAATTATTTTTTTGAGCCAGGGTCTCACTCTGTCACACAGGCTGGAGTGCAGTGGTGTGATCTCGGCTCCCTGCAACCTCCTCCTCCTGGGTTCAAGTAATTCTCCTGCCTCACCCTCCTGAGTAACTGGGACTACAAGACAGGTGGGCCACTATGCCCGGTGAATTTCTGTATTTTTGGTAGTCAGGGTTTTGCCATGTTGCTTAGGCTGGGCTCAAACTCCTGAGCTCAAGTGATCCATCCAGCTTGGCCTCCAAAAGTGCTGGGATTATAGGCGTGAGCCACCACAGCCAGCTCCATTTATTGATTTTTTTGTAGAGACAAGGTCTCACTATATTGCTCAGGCCGGTCTCAAAGTACTGAGCTAAAGCAATCCTCCTGCCTTGGCCTCCCCAAGTGCTAGGCTTATAGGCGTGAGCCACCGTGCCTGACCAATCCTTCCCACTTTTGTGTATTTTTGTATCCTCTGGATCCAGCTAGGATTTGTGGAATCAGACAGCCAAGAAAAAAGAGGTGGTCTCGAGCCGCCATGCCCCTGCCTTTCTGACCTTGGTATCGGTCCACCATCCAGCCTGCCCTCTGAATGGGTCCACCTTTGCTCACTGTTTCAACCCGACAGCCATCAGTTCCTTATAAAGAACTGTGGCCGGGCAGGATGGCTCACGCCTGTGATCCCAGCACTTTGGAAAGCCGAGGCAGGTGGATCACTTGAGGTCAGGAGATCGAGACCATCCTGGCTAACAGGGTGAAACCCTGTCTCTACTAAAAATACAAAAAATTAGCCGGGCGTGCTGGTGGGCGCCTGTAGTCCCACCTACTTGGGAGGCCGAGGCAGGAGAATGGCGTGAACCTGGGAGGCAGAGCTTGCAGTGAGCCAAGATGGCACCACTGCACTCCAGCCTGGGCGACAGAGCGAGACTCCGTCTCAAAAAAAAAAAAAAAAAAGTGGAGGAGATGGGGGAGACTGGGCTGCAGACATGAACTTAGGGCTGCCAGGAGTCCAGATCTAGTTTTTTTTTTGTTTGTTTTTGTTTTTGTTTTTGTTTGAGACAGTCTTACTCTGTCATCCAGGCTGGAGTACAGTGGCATGATCTTGGCTCACTGCAACCTCTGCCTCCTGGGTTCAAGCAATTCTTCTGCCTCAGCTTCCCTAGTAGCTACGACTATGGGCACGCACCACCACGCCCAGCTAATTTTTGTGTTTTTAGTATAGACAGAATCTCCTCCACTTTCTCTATATCCTCTGTCCCATCCTCCTGTTTCTCCCACTCAGTCACCCACAAGTCAGTTTCTAGGCCCATCCTTCCCGTCTGGGCCTGCCTGTGCTCAGCATTTGGCCCTACCTGAGGCATCCAGATGATCTTCTGGGTCCGGAGAAAGTGGTACGTGCCTGAGAAGCGCTCATAGCCCCCTTTCAGGATGTAGACGGGGTGGTGGGTGAGGCGGGTCAGGATCCTGCCATACTCAATGGCTGCTTGAGGCACAAGATCTGAGAGTGGAGACCAAAGACATGAATGTCTCCTGTGTATCTGCCATTGGTCTAGAGCTGGGATAGATGACCACTTTCTTCTGAAATGCAATTATTTTATTTATTTTCTGAGACAGAGTCTCACTCTGTCGCCCAGGCTGGAGTGCAGTGGTGCGATCTCGGCTCACTGCAACCTCTGCCTCCTGGGTTCAAGCGATTCTCCTGCCTCAGCCTCCCAAGTAGCTGGGACTACAGGCGCCCACCATGCCTGGCTAATTTTTTATTTTTAGTATAGACAGGGTTTCACCATGTTTGCCAGCCTGGTTTTGAACTCCTCAGCTCAGGTGATCCTTCAGCCTCGGCCTCCCAAAGTGCTGAGATTACAGGCGTGAGCCACCATGCCCGGCTTGAAATGCAATTATTTAGGAAGCTGAAGCAAGTATAGAGATGCATCATATTAAAATTTTAAAAGTAGCTTACCACCGGGTTTTTTTTGTTTTTGTTTTTGAGACTGGGCTTCACTCCATCTGGCTGGAGTGCAGTGGTACAATCTCGGCTCACTGCAACCTCCAGCTCCTGGGCTCACACCATCCTCCCACCTCAGCCTCCCGAGTAGCTGGGACTATAGGTGCGCACCACCACACCTGGCTAAATTTTGTATTGTTTTGTAGAGACAGTGTCTCACTTTTTTGCCCAGGCTTGTCTTGAACTCCTGAGCTCAAGCAATCTACCTGCCTCAGCCTCCCAGAGTGCTGAGATTACAGGTGTGCTCAGCCTAAGTTAATCTTCTTTTCTGCAAACTCTGAGATATATGTATTGTATGATGTCATACAATACATATATCTCAGAGTTTACAGAAACTGCCAGCTCGTTAACCACTCATATGCATACATATGGTTTACATATTATATACATGTATATATTATATTTATACCACATATATATGTCAACTGTATGTTGTGTATCACACAATTCACCCATTTAAAGTGTGCAATTCAAAACATATAGACCAATGGAACAAAATAGATAACCCAGAAATAAAGCCACACACCTATAACCATCTGATCTTCAACAAAGTTGACAAAAATAAGCAATGGAGGCTGGGGATGGTGGTTTACATCTATAATCCCAGAACCTTGGGAGGCAGAGGCAGGAGAATTGCCTGAGCCCAGGAGTTTGAGACCAACCTAGGCAACATGGAAAGACCCCGCCTCCACAAATAAAATTCAAAAAATTAGTTGAGTGTGGTGGCGGGCACCTGCAGTTCCAGCTACTAGAGAGGCTGAGGCAGGAGGATCACCTGAGCCAGGGAGGTTGAGGCTGTAGTGAGCAATGGTCGTGCCACTGCACTACAGCCTTGGAGACAGAACAAGACCTTGTCTCAAAGAACAGGAAAGGGGAAAGGACTCCCACTTATTGGTCAATAAATGGTACTAAGATAACTGGCTATCCATATGCAGAAGAATGAAACTGGACCCCTATCACCATATACAAAAATCAACTCAAGATAGATTAAAGACTTAAATGTAACACCTGAAAACTATAGAAATCCTAGAAGAAAATCTAGGGAATACCCTTCTTGACATTGGCCTTGGCAAATAATTTTTGGCTAAGTCCTCCAAAGCAATTGCAACAAAACAAAAATTGACAAGTGGGACCTAAGGACACGAAAGTGCTTCTGCACAGCAAGAAAAACTACCAGAGTAAACAAACAGCCTGCAGAATGGGAGAAAGTATCCACAAGCTATGCATCCAACAAAGATCCAATATCCAAAATCTATAAGGAACTGAAATCAAGAAGCAAAAACCAAACAACCTCTGATGGTTAATACTGAGTGTCAACTTGATTGGGTTGAAGGATGCAAAGTACTGATCCTGGGCGTGTCTGTGAGGGTGTTGCCAAAGGAGATTAACATTTGAGTCAGTGGACTGGGAGAGGCAGACCCACCCTCAATCTGAGTGGGCACCATCTAATCAGCTGCCAGTACAGCTACAACATAAAGCAACCAGAAATACATGAAAACACTAGACTGGCCTAGCCTCCCAGCCTACATCTTTCTCCCTTGCTGGATGCTTCCTGTCCTCAAACATTGGACTCCAAGTTCTTCAGCTTTGGGACTCACACTGGCTTCCTTGCTCCTCAGCTTGCAGACAGCCTATTGTGGGACCTTGTGATCACACGAGTTAATACTCCTTAACAAACTCCCATATATATAGATACACATGTATCTACATATACACGCATATATATACACACACATATATCTATACATATGTACATGTATAGATATAAGTATATACATATGTACATTTATAGATATATGTATATCTATACATATGTACATGTATAGGGATACATATATATAATTATGTGTGTATAGATATACGTATATCTATATGTATGTGTGTATATATGTATATCTATACATACATGTGTATATATACACGTATATCTATACATATGTGTGTATATATACACGTATATCTATACGTATGTGTGCACATATATAGCGTATATACGTATGTGTGTATATATACGTATATCTATACGTATACACATATATACATATATACGCATATATACACATATATACATATATACGCATATATATACACGTATATATATAAAAACACACACACATATATATATCTCCTATTAGTTCTGTCCCTCTAGAGAACTCTAATACACAACTCTATTAAAAAGTGGGCAAAGGACATAAACAGACACTTTTCAAAAGACATACAAGCAGCCAACGAACGTGAAAAAATGCTTGACATCACTAATCATCAGAGAAATGCAAATCAAAACCACAATGAGATAACCTTCTCACATCAGTCAGAATGGCTTTTATTAGAAAGCCAAAAAATAATAGATGTTGACAGGGCTATGGAGAAAAGGAACACTTACATACTGTTGGTGGGAATGTAAAGTAGTTCAGCCCCTGTGGAAAGGAGTTTGAGATTTGTCAAGGAACCAAAAATAGAACTACCATTCAACCCAGCAATCCCATTACTATGTACACATCCAAAAGAAAATATATTGTTACACCAAAAGGATACCTGCACCCATATGTTCACTGCAGCACTACTGACAACAGCAAAGACATAGAATCAACTCAAGGGCCCATCAACAACGGATTGTATTTATTTATTTATTTATTTAATTTTTTTTTAGATGGAGTCTCGCTCTTGTCGCCCAGGCTGGAGTGCAATGGCACGATCTCGGCGCACTGCAACCTCCACCTCCCTGGGTTCAATCAATTCTCCTGCCTCAGCCTCTCGAGTAGCTAGGATTACAGGCATGCACCACCATGCCCAGCTAATTTTTGTATTTTTAGTAGAGACGGGGTTTCACTATGTTAGCCAGGCTGGTCTCAAACTGCTGACCTCAAGTGATCCACCCGCCTTGGCCCCCCAAAGTGCTAGGATTACAGGCATGAGCCACCGTGCCCGGCCCCAGATTGGATTTTTTAAATGTGGTTAACATATACCACAGAATACTACACAGCTATAAAAAAAGAACAAAATCATGTCCTCTGCAGCACCATGGATGGAGCTGGAGGCCATCATCCTAAACGAACTAACACAGATATAGAAAACCAGATACCACATGTTCTCATTTATAAGTGCAAGCTAAACATCAGAAGCATATAGAAATAAAGATGCGGAACAACACACCCTGAAGAATACGAGGAGGACAGAGAGAGAGGGACAGGGGTTGAAAAACTACCTACTGGGGCCAGGCGCGATGGCTCACACCTGTAATCCCAATACTTTGGGAGGCCAAGGCGGGTGCATCATCTGAGGCCAGGAGTTTGAGACCAGCCTGGCCAAGATGGCGAAACCCTGTCTGTACTGAAAATACAAAAAAATAGCCGGGTGGGGTGGTGCGCACCTGTATTCCCAGCTACTTGGGAAGCTGAGGGGAAGCAGAGACTGCAGTGAGCCAAGATCACACCATTGCACTCCAACCTGGGCAACAAGAGCAAAACTCCATCTCAAAAAAAAAAAAAAAGGCAAGACAGAAGAAAAAAGAAAAACTACCTACTACCTATTGGGTTCTATGCTCACTACCTGGGTGATGGGTTCAATATACAATTCAGTGACTTTTAGTATATTCAGAGTTATGCAACCATCCCCCACAATCAATTTTAGAATGTTTTCTTCTATTTTTAGTATTTATTTGAGACAGAGTCTCACTATGTTGCCCAGACTGGTCTCGACTCCTGGGCTCAAGCAATCCTCCCACCTCAGCCCCTCAAAGTGCTGGGACTACAGGTGTGAGCGACAGTGCCCGGCCTAATTTTAGAACATTTTCATCACCCCTACAAGGGACCCTGTACCACTAATCAGCCACACCCGTTTTTCCCCAAACTCCCAGCTCCACTTAACCACTCATTTCTATGGATTTGCCTATTCTGGACTTTTCATATAAATGGAATAATATGTGATGTTTTGCATCTAACTTCTATCACTTACCATGATCTCTTTAGTGTTCATCTACATTATAGCACATGTCAGTACTTTTATTTTTTTTTTTTTGAGACCGAGTTTCACTCTGTTGTCCAGGCTAGAGTACAATAGCACAAACTCGGCTCACTGCAACCTCTGCCTCCCAGGTTCAAGTGATTCTCCTACCTCAGCCTCCCTAGTAGCTGGGATTACAGGCACATGCCACCACGCCCAGCTAATTTTTGTATTTTTAATAGAGATGGGGTTTCACCACATTGGCCAGGCTGGTCTTGAACTCCTGACCTCAGGTGATCCTCCCGCCTTGGCCTTCCAAAGTGCTGGGATTACAGGCATTATTAGCCACAGCGCCCAGCCCCATTCCTTTTTATGGCTGAGTAATATTCCATTGTGTGGACAGACCACATTCTGTTCTACCTGTTTAGCTGCTGATAGACACTTAGGTTGTTCGTGCTTTTTGGCTATTATGAATAACACTGCTATGAACATTCATGTAAAAGCTTTGGTGTGGATGTGTTTTCATTACTTTGGGGTCTATATCTTAACCTTCTAAAGAAACACCACACTGTTTTCCAGTGACTGCACCATTTTACTTTCTGGTTCGCAGTGTATGAGGCTTCCAATTTCTCCATGTTCTCACCAACACTTATTATCATCTGTCTCTTTGATTATTACCATCCCAGTGGGCGTGAATAATATCTCAATGTGGTTTTGACATCAATTTAATCTTAAACACCTTCATTGATCTGCAGAATCACAATCAGACTGCATGTAAATTAGATATATGTGACAGGAAGTTTGCATAATTAAGGCTAAGCCAAGACATCCTTAAACCAAGATATCCTGAGGCCAGGTTCTGGCCCAGAAAGAGAAATAGTGTGTGGCAGACTTCAGAGAGCCAGATAAAAGGAGAAAGAAAACAGCATGAACTCTAACTGTTTTTTTCTTTTTTTTTTTTTTTTAAATACGTTTTTTTTAGAGACAGGGTCTTACGCTGTCAGCCAGGCTAGAATACAGTGGTACAGTCATAGCTCACTGCAGCCTTGACCACCTGGGCTCAAGTGATCCTCCTGCCTCAGCCTCCTGAGTAGCTGGTGCTACAGGCATGCACCACCATGCCTGGCTAAATTTTTTTTTTTGTATTTTTGGTAGAGACGGGGCCTTGCTATGTTGCCCAGGGTGGTCTCAAACTCCTGGCTTCAAGCAACCCTCCTGCCTCAGCCTCACAAAGTGCTGGGATTACGAGTGTGAGGCACCGTGCCTGGCTAACTCTGCTTCCATATTGAATTTTTGTTCAGGGAGACAAAGACACTTCCAGAAGGGGCTGTGGAGGATATAAGTGGCTGGGACCTATCTGAGAGATGGCATTGACAGGAAGAATCTGGAATCTGCAGCCAGGCTGAGAGAGAATCTGCAGCTCTCAAGACAGGAGCCAAAGCTCACCCCACAGGGCCTGGCTCAGAAGTCAGAGTTCAGGCCAGGCATGGTGGCTCATGCCTGTAATCCATGCACTTTGAGAGGCCAATGCAAGAGAATTGCTTGAAGCCAAGAGTTCGAGACCAGCCTGGGCAACAAAGCGAGACCCTGACTCAAAAAAAAAAAAAAAAAAAGAAAGAAGGGGGTGTTGAGAGAAGCCTTGAGATGGTCTTGTACCCCCAAAGACTTTTCATTGACCTGAAAGATGCCATTTGAAACAAGAAAAGTTGCCTTGAATGCACAAGTTGTGTGGTTGTGGTTTCCTGTGAATGGGGGCCCCATAGCAAAGTAAGGTCAGTTATAGAATGTAAAGGGGATTATCCATGTTGAGTACCATCTCCTAGGGTTTCAAGGCCTAGCCTACAGTCCTAGGATTGCAGACCAGAGCCCAACAGGATGAGCTTAGGGAAGAAGGGACAATTTCCTGGCCAAGGACCTCCTGGGACAAAAGTCCAGACAGCTGGTTTTATGAAAGGTGGGAGCATAGCGCCACCCCGTGGCAGTTGGTGTGAGTGCCCCCAGCTTCTGGAACGGCACCCACAGGTGCAGTTCTGATTCCTAGAAGCAGAGCTCCCAGTGCCAATGGCAAAGGGTGGTCAGCCCAAAACCAGGGGCTAATGAAGAACACAGCAGAGCCTCAGAGGTTCGATGGAGCACATTGGAACTGACCACGCTTTAATGTTCTGACTTGGGGCTGCATGCTCTCGTGCCACTACCCAATCCCTGGGGGACAGGACAGAGCCAAAAAGGCCTGGGTTTGAATCCTGGCCCCACCACTTATAGGTGTGGTGGTTTAAAAATATGTCCACAACACTTTTAAAAGCTTAAGTCTCAGGCAACACAGCAAGACCCAGTCTTTACAAAAAGTAAATAAATGAGCTGGGTACCTTATCTTGCCATATCACCCAGGCTGGTCTTGAACTCCTGGGCTCAAGTGATCCTCCTGCCTCAGCCTCCCCAAGTGCTGGGACTACAGGTATGAGTCACTGGGCCTGGCTTCCTCACAGCTCTTGATGTTAGTTAGCGTCCTTGTAAGCTGTTCTGCAGATCCAAGTAAAGCCCTTGGTTCCTGGTGCATGGCACACATGGAACTGTCCCCATAAACTTTGTGAAATCAGCAAAGAAGGGAGGGGAACAAATGAAAATAAAGCAAGCTTGCAGCACATTCAGCATTCATCACTAAGTCACCTTGCTTGCTCTCCAACCTGCTTGCTCACAGCTGTTTGATGTGTATTGTCCTAGAATCACATAAGACCCTGTTACAAGAATTTTTTTTTTTTTTTGAGAAGGAGTCTCGCTCTGTCGCCCAGGCTGGAGTGCAGTGGCGTGATCTCCGCTCACTGCAAGCTCTGCCTCCTGGGTTCACGCCATTCTCCTGCCTCAGCCTCCCAAGTAGCTAGCAGGGACTACAGGCGCCTGCCACCATGCCCGGCTAATTTTTTGTGTATTTAGTAGAGACGGAGTTTCACCGTGTTAGCCAAGATGGTCTCAATCTCCTGACCTTGTGATCCGCCCGCCTCGGCCTCCCAAAGTGCTGGGATTACAGGCATGAGCCACCGCGCCCGGCCAAGAATATAGTTCCCCTTAACTGCTCTGTAGGTGACAACTTGAACATCATGGAACACTGTTTTCCCTTTGAGATATTCTTTCAGGTCCCGCGTACTGATGAAACCACTGACATCAGCTGGTCTGACGGGCCCCACAGGAGCTGACTCACCAAAGAACGCAGTTTCCACGTCCTGATTATTTCATCCCCCTTTCCTCAACCAATCAATGACCCCAACTTTCCAGTCCCTCACCCTCCCCAATCCCCTTAAAAACCCCATTCCAAACTCCTTGGGGAAATGTATTTGAGGGCCTCCTCCCATCTCCTTGCTCGGTATCCAGTGATCATGAAGCTCTTTTTCTGACGCAAACCCTGCTGTCTCAGTGTCATTGGCCTGTTCCCGTGCCATGGGCATATGAACCTGTTGGTCCTATAACAAATTTGTTCAATAGCCGTTAACTATTATTCTTGCTGCTGTTGCATAAAACCCACCTTTGCCATCACCATCAGAGTCTGAATCATCATCATCATCTTTTAAGAGTATCTCCAGGGTGCTGCTGTTGTTATCATACACCACGCAGTACTTCACACACTCCAGGTCCACAGACTCCGGGAGAAGATATTCATTATTTTTCTTAAAAAAAAAAACACACACACACAAGAGAGGCCTGTTGGTGGGCAGGTTCGGTTGAGCAGAGACTCCCTGCATAGCAGCACTGGGAGGAGCTAAGACCGCACTCTCTCCCCTGACTATACACACAGGCCCAGAAGCACTGAGACAGTGGATGGAGAGTCTGTTAAATCCCAAGGATCCTCCACAACTGTGTTCCCTTCTGAGAAAAGCTGACCACAGCTGACTGGACCAGAGAGAAGTGCCTGACCAAAGAACAGCTGGTCTGCTGACTGATCCACAGCCTATTAGGTACCCTGGTGTCAGAGAAACCATGGTCAATTGAATTAGTGATATCCTTTCTCATGGGGAGAGTGTTTGGCAGTGGAGATTGAATCCAGAAATACCAGACTGGATGCAGTGGTTTGCACCTGTAATCCCAGCACTTCAGGAGGCCAAGGCAGGAGGATTGCTTGAGGCCAGGAGTTCCAGACCAGCCTGGACAACAGCAAGATCCCCGACTCTATGAAAAAAAAAAAAATACAAAAATGCCAGGCATAGTGGCATGCGCCTGTAGTCCCTACTACTCAGGAGGCTGAAGTGGACGGATCACTTGAGCCCAGGAGGCGGAGGCTGCAGTGAGCTGCGATTGTGTCACTGCACTCCAGTCTGGGTGACAGAGCAAGACCCTGTCCCAAAACAACAACAACAAGACAAAAAACACCCCAAAAAAGGACAGTAAGTAGACAGTGTGTAGAAGCAGAAGTCATGAGTGAGCAGAAGGAATGAGATAGACTAGAAGATCAAATGTGGCTGGCCATGGTGGCTCATGCCTATAATCCCAGCTACCTGGGAGGCTGAGGTGGGAGGATCGCTTGAGCCCTGGAGTTCAAAGCTGCAGTGAGCTATGATTGCACCACTGCACTCCAGCCTGGGTAACAGAGTGAGACTATGTCCCAAAAAAACAAAAATAAAACAAAAACAAAACAAAACAAACAAACAAACAAAAAACCTCATGGATCATAAGATGTACTAACAATTTAACCAGGAGTGTGCACAAAAGAGGGACTTACTGGCAGGTAACACTCCAGGGTAAGGCAAAGATGCAGCCGGTTTCCAAACCTAAAGCAGCTGGCTTTAGGACCCAGAGACCCTAAAGCCCAGACTTCCTTCGGGCTCTCTTCCTCTCTGCTTCCCACTCCACCCCTCCACACTGACTTCCCCTTCTCAGACAGCTTCCTCCAGAGGCTTAAGTCACGAACCCCAGCAATGCTCAGACTCCCATCTTCCCAATTCCACCACCAGGCTGGACAGAGACACCTTTCTTCTAATTCCAATTCTGATTGGCTCAGCTTTCATCCCAGACCCAGGACCAATCACTGTGGCCAGCGTTCTGGATATTATTTTATTTTAGAGACAGGGTCTCACTCTGTTGCCCAGGCTGGACTGCAGTGGTGCAGTCACCGCTCACTGCAGCCTTGAATTCCTGGGCTCAAATGATCTTCGCACTTCAGCCTCCTGAGTAGCTGGGACCACGGGCATGCACCACCATACTTGGCTAATTTATATATTTATATCTATATATATAGATATATTTGTAGAGACAAAAAAAGCCGGGTGTGGGAGGGTGCACATGTAGTCCCAGCTACTCGGGAGTCTGAGGTGAGAGGATCACTTGAGTCTGGGAGGTGGAGGCTGCAGTGAGCTATGATTGCATCACTGCGCTCCAGCCTGGGTGACAGCAAGACTTGTCTCAAACCAACAAGGCCGGGCGCGGAGGCTCATGTCTGTAATCCCAGCACTTTGGGAGGCCAAGGTGGGCGGATCACCTGAGGTCAGTTCGAGATCAGCCTGGCCAACATGGTGAAACCTCATCTCTACTAAAAATACAAAAATTAGCCAGGTGTGGTGGCACACGCCTATAGTACCAGCTACCAAAGAGGCTGAGGCAGGAGAATGGCTTGAACCCGGGAGGCAGAGGTTGCAGTGAGCCGAGATCGCGTCACTGCACTCAAGCCTGGGCAACAGAGTGAAACTGTCTCAAAACAACAAGAACACCACCACCACTTAAAAAGAAGGCAGTAAACAGATGCCTTCTCAGGTCCCACTGTGTTGTCCAGGCTCGTCTCAAACTCTTGAGCTCAAGCAAACTCCCCACCTCGGCCTCCCAAAGTGTTGGGATTACAGACTTAAGCCACCGTGCCTGGCCAGAATATTACTTTAGAGAGCACCACTAGAAACCCATGGTTTGAGCAGAGAGAGGAGACGTTCCCCTCAAAAAGGGGGAGGTGTTGGGCAGAAAAACAACCGATATTCACCACACCCACTTTTAGGGAAAAAGACACTACCATATTAAAAGTACAAATCAGGCCAGGCCTGGTGGCTCATGCCTGTCATCCCAGCACTATGGGAGGCTGAGGAGGGAGGACTGCTTGAGCCCAGGCGTTCAAGACCAGCCTGGGTAACATAGCGAGACCCCATCTCTACAAAAAATACAAGTTAGCTGGGTGTGGTGGTGCACACCTATGGTCCCAGCTACTGGGAAGGGTAAGGTGGGAGGACTGCTTGATCCTGGGAGTTTAAGGCTGCAGTGAGCTGTGATGGTGCCATTGCACTCCAGCCTAAGCGAGAGAGTGAGACCCTGTCTCAAAACAAAACAACAAAACAAAAAAAACAAAACAAAAAAAAGCCATACAAATTGGCCAGGTGCGGTGGCTCACACTTGTAATCCCAGCACT
This sequence comes from Homo sapiens, assembly GCF_000001405.40. Taxonomy (NCBI): domain Eukaryota; kingdom Metazoa; phylum Chordata; class Mammalia; order Primates; family Hominidae; genus Homo; species Homo sapiens. Next base: position 76,024,707 of record NC_000007.14, read on the forward strand.
TTGGGAGGCCAAGGCAGGCGGATCACAAGGTCAGGAGTTTGAGACCAGCCTGACCAATATGGTGAAACTCCATCTCTACTAAAAATGCAAAAATTAGCCAGGTGTGGTGGTATGCGCCTGTAGTCCCAGCTACTTGGGAGACTGAGGCAGAAGAATTGCCTGAACCTGGGAAGCGGAGGTTGCAGTGAGCCAAGATCGTACCACTGCACTCCAGCCTGGGCGACAGAGTGAGACTCTGTCTCAAAAAAAAAAAAAAAAAAAAATTCAACAGTACGACATATTCTGTTTTCAAAAAAAAGTTACAGTATGGGATACATGTGCATCATAGAAGGAAACATGGCAGCACAGTGCTGCTAAGGTGTCAGGTGAGAGTGGAAGTGTACTGGGAATGAGGCTGGAGACAGAGGTGGTCAGATCTAAGAAGGCTGAGAACACGGGCGGGAGGGGGGTGGGGCTGGGAGCCTTTCTGTCCTGCTAGGGCTGGGAATGCCCTGAAGGCCTCAATCTGCTAACTGGGAAGCTAGAGAGGGAAGGCAAGAGCCAAGAGTGCGCCACTGCACTCCAGCCTGGGCGACAAGAGCAAGACTTTGTCTCAAAAAATAAAAATAAAAATTAAAAAAAAAAAGCTATCAGTCTGAATTGGAGACGCTGAGGGGCAGAGGCCCAGAGCAGGAGGTGCTGCCAGAATCAAAGAAATGCACAGACTTGAGAGCTGAGTGGGAATAGAGGCCCATACATCATGAGGGGCTCTGAATCGGTTGCAGCAAAAGGCCTGCAATGGGGATTAAGAGTAAGATTATGGGCCTGGTGTGGTGGCTCATGCCTGTAATCCCAGCACTTTGGAAGGTCAAGGCGGGTGGATCACCTGAGGTCAGGAGTTCAAGACCAGCCTGGCCAACATGGCGAAACTCCATCTCTACTAAAAATATAAAAATTAGCCAGGTGTGGTGGCGGGTGCCTGTAACCCCAGCTACGAGGGAGGCTGAGGCAGGAGAATCCCTTGAACTTGGGAGATGGAGGTTGCAGTGAGCTGAGATTGTACCACTGCACCGGGCAGACAGACAGAGCAAGATTCTGTCTCAAAAACACAAAAAGACAAAAAGACAATAATGATGGATTTGTACGGGGAAATATCCTGGAAAAATACAGCCTGCCCATGCTCCCTGCTGAGTTATTGAGTTATGTGCAGAAAAAGCAGCACAGAGGCCGGGCGCGGTGGCTCACGCCTGTAATTCCAGCACTTTGGGAGGCTGAGGTGGGCGGATCATGAGATCAGAAGATCGAGAGCATCCTGGCTAACACGGTGAAACCCCGTCTCTACTACGAATACAAAAAATTAGCCAGGCATGGTGGCGGGCGCCTATAGTCCCAGCTACTCGGGAGGCTGAGGCAGGATAATGGCGTTAACCCGGGAGGTGGAGCGTGCAGCGAGCTGAGATTGCACCACTGCACTCCAGCCTGGAGGACAGAGCAAGACTCTGTCTCCAAAAAAAAAAAAAAAAAAAAAAAAAAAAAAAAAAAAAGCAGCAGAGACAGGGTGTGGAAAAGTACAGCGGGAATGGGGAGGAAAGGGGAATTTTAGAAGACAAAGTTTTATTTTATTACTTTTGAGACAGGGTCTTGCTCTGTCGCCCAGGCTGGAGTGCAGTGGTGCAATCAGCCTCCTGGACTCAAGTGATCCTCCCATCTCGGCCTCCCAAGTAGCTGGTACTACAGAGGTGCCCCACCACACTGAGTTAATTTTTCAATTTTTTTGTAGAGACAGGGGTCTTGCTATGTTGCCCAGGCTGGTCTTGAACTCCTGGACTCAAGCAATCCTCCTGCTTCGGCCAACCAAAGTGCTAGGATTACAGGAGTAAGCCTCCATGCCCCGCCCAAAATTTTAGATGTAAACTTGCCAGGAATGCTAATTGCATGTGGATATGTCATTGCAGCTGTAAGCTCCAGTGAAATCTCTGGCAAGAAAGTACCCTGACAGATGTGGAGATCAAGGACAGACCAGCAGTTACATTCAGGTGGCAGAAGGAGAAAATGAAGGTGAACCAAAGAGATAGAAAATAAACCAGGAGGCCAGGCTCACGCCTGCAATCCCAGCACTTTGGGTGGCTAAGACAGGCAGATAACGAGGTCAGGAGTTCCAGACCAGCCTGGCCAACATGGTGAAACCCTGTCTCTACTAAAGATACAAAAAAAGATAAGAAAAAATTAGCCAGGTGTGGTGGCGCACGCCTGTAATCCCAGCTACAGGCTGGAGGCTGAGGCAGGAGAATCATTTGAACCTGGGAGGCAGAGGTTGCAGTGAGCCGAAATTGTGCCACTGCACTCCAGCCTGGGTGACAGGGAGAGATTCTGTCTCAAAAGAAAAAAAAAAAGAATAAAGAAAAGAAACCAGGAAAGTCAAAGAGAACCTCCAAGTTCAGGGCAGAGAATTTGATCAGGACTGCAGAGGGGAGAGACGGGTCCTGGGCAAAGGCTGCCAGGCTTCACAATCATGAGGGAGAAGACACCCTGGAGGCGTGGGGAAAAGGTTTCGCTGCAGTAGGGGACATGGTGACTGTGTGCAGGGCTCTGTCCACTCCTCAGGATGGGGAAGGGAAGAGGGGACAGGAGGGGAATGGAAGAGGGGAGGGGATGGGAAGGAAAAAAGGGAGATGCTTCCATCTTTGGATTATAGCCAATTATCTCTAGGGTTTATTGTCTGTTTGCTAAATAGAAGAGAAGGTCCATGACAGCCTGGGCAACATAATAAGATCCTGTCTTTAAAAAAAAAAAATTAGCATGTTGGCACAAGTCTGCAGTCCCAGCTACTCAGGAGGCTGAGATAGGAGGGTTGATTGAACCCAGGAGTTCAAGCCATGATTGTGCCACTGCACCCCTGCCCGGGTGACAGAGCAAGACCCTGTCCCTAAAAATTTACAACATAAAGCTCCAAAAATAAAGATAAAAATGAAAAAAATATATAAAAACAACACATAAAAACAGAAAAAATAATTAAAAACAACAAAAAAAGAAAGCTCCACAACGGCAGGGACAATGAACTCAGGCTGTTGTATTCTGTTGTATCCCCAGGGTCTGGAACAATACCTGGCATATCAAGGAATTAAATCAATATTTGGCCAGGCTTAGGCGGCTCACATGTGTAATCCCAGCGCTTTGGGAGGCTAAGGCAGGAGGATGGCTTGAGTCCAGGAGTTCAAGAGCAGCCTGGGCAACACAGTGCAACCCCATTTCTATAAAAAATACAAAAATTAGCCAGGCCTGGTGGCATTCCCCATTGTAGTCTCAGCTACTCTGGAGGCTGAGCGGCGTAGGATTGCTCGAGCCCAGGAGATATATATATATTTTTTAGACCAACACTCACTCTGTTGCCCAGGCTAGAGTACAGTGGCGTGATCTCAGCTCACTACAAACTCCGCCTCCCAGGTCCAAGCGATTCTCATGTCTCAGCCTCCTGAGTAGCTGGGACTCAGGCGTAAGCCACCACACCTGGCTAATTTTTGTATTTTTAATAGAGATGGGGTTTCACCATGTTGGCCAGTCTGGTCTTGAACTCCTGACCTCAGGTGATCTGCCCGTCTCAGCCTCACAAAGTGCTGGGACTGCAGGCATGAACCACCATGCCCAGCCAAGCCCAGGAGTTTAAGGCCGCAGTGAGCTATGATTGTGCCACTGCACTCCAGCCTGGATGACAGAGCGAGACCCGGTCTCAAAAATTAAATCAGTATTTGTCTAATGGAGTTGTTGACCATTCTTGGGGGATGGGAGGACACCTGAGAAAATGTGTGAGGGTGAGAGGTGTGGAAGACCACCACGGTGGGCACATAGAAAACAGTCCTGCTTCTGCTGCCCGCTGGATTGAGGGTGAAACTTCCCACTCTTCCCCACCCCACTGCAAGGTAGCCAGCCTGCCCCAGATCCTGACGCTGCCCATGTACCTTCTTCACTCGAAGGGCAGTGATCACATGGCTTTCGTCATACTCCCATTTGGAACGGACATCTGGAAAGGAAACGTATTTAAGAACTGAATTTGCAAAGGAACATACGACCAAACTACTCAGAGGACCTACGTCGTCATCAACGTCTATTTGTTTGGCAGTTAAGGGATAGTCATTGTCAGTTTAAAACTTGAGATGTGGGGCTGGGCGCGGTGGCATGCACCTGTAACCCCAGCACTTTGGAAGGCCGAGGCAGGTGGATCACTTGAGCCAGGAGTTCAAGACCAGCCTGGCCAACACGGCGAAATCCCATCTCTACTAAAAATACAAAAATTAGCCGGGCGTGGTGGCAGCGCCTGTAGTCCCAGCTACTCACGAGGCTGAAGGAGAATCACTTAAATCTGGAGGCTGAGGTTGCAGCAAGCCAAGATCACACCATTGCACTCCAGCCTGGGCAACAGAACAAGATTCTGTCTCATAAATAAATAAAAATGGTAAGGGGAAGGAAGAAATCAAATTTGAAGTGAGCTCACACTAAATCCCCATCCAGGTTGGAGTGCAGTGGCATGATCTCGGCTCACTGCAATCTCCGTCTCCTGGGTTCAAGCGATTTTCCTGCCTCAGCCTCCCTAGTAGCTGGGACCACAGGCACATGCCACCACACCCGGCTAATTTTTGTATTTTTAGTAGAGACGGGGTTTCACCATGTTGGCCAGGCTGGTCTCAAACTCCTGACCTCAGTTGATCCGCCCACCTCGGCCTCCCAAAACACTGGGATTACAGGCACAAGCCACCACACCTGGCCTCTTAACAGCTTTCTAAAGCAGCGATCCCCAATCTTTTTGGCACCAGGGACTGGTTTCATGGAAGACAATTTTTCCACGGAACAGGGCAGTGGGCTGGGGGGCGGGGATGGTTTGGGGATGACTCAAGCCCATTACATTTTTTGTGCATTTCTATTATTATTACATTGTAATATATAATGAAATAATTCTACCATCATGTAGAATCAGTGGAAACCCTGAACTTGTTTTCCTGTGACTAGACGGTCCCTTCTGGGGGTGACAGGAGATAGTGACAGATCATCAGGCATTAGATTCTCACAAGGAGAGCGCAACTTAGATCCCTTGAATGCACACTTCACAGTAGGGTTTGCGCTCCTGTGAGAATCTAATGCTGCTGCTGATCTGACAGCAGGTGGAGCTCAGGCGGTAATGCAAGCGATGGGGAGTGGCTGTAAATACAGATGAAGCTTCTGCTTCACCTGCTCACCTGCTGCTCACCTCCTGCTGTGCTGCCTGGTTCCTAACAGACCACAGACTGGTACTGGGGGTTGGGGGTTGCGGACTTCTTTTTTATTTTTTTTTTTCTTTTTTGAGACAGGGTCTCACTCTGTCACCCAGGCTGGAATGCAGTGGCCCAAATCTCGGCTCACTCCAACCTCCACCTTCCAGGTTCAAGCAATTCTCATGCCTCAGCCTCCTGAGTAGCTGGGATTACAGGCATGCACCACTGCAGCTAATTTTTTTGTATTTTTAGTAGAGATGGGGTTTTGCCCTGTTGGCCTGGCTGGTCTTGATCTCCTGGCTTCAAGTGATTCGCCCACCTTGGCCTTCCCAAGTGCTGGGATTACAGGCGTGTGCCACCACACCCAGCCCAGGGATCCCTGTTCTAAAGTCATTCACTGCCCCCCACCCCGCCAAAAGTTTGTTAACTCATCAAAAATAATGTTTGAAGGACACTGTGTTTGACCTCCTCCGCTTTTTTCCAAGTACTTACCCAATAAACAGAGATAGTTGGGGTCTGTTAATCTGGAGAGTTTTGTGGCCTGATTCAGGATGTTGTAAAGCTCTGTTGGTTCACATAAAAGCAAACCAGGCATCCTGCTGGGAAGAATCAATAACACACAAGGGTAACATAACTCTATTTTAGATGAATGACCACAAAGTAATATAATGAATTAAACTCTTTTTTAACATACCTTCAAGCAAAGATGACAGTAATCATGTAAATGATCAGGAATGCTTCAAAACTGTATAGTGAAATATAGTGCGCAGAGGAGAATAAAATCTTAAATACAACATATCTAGCCAGGCGTGGTGGCTCACGCCTGTAATCCCAGGACTTTGGGAGGCCGAGGCGGGTGGATCACTTGAGGCCAGGAGTTCAAGACCAGCCCGGCCAACAATGGCAAGACCCCATCTCTACTAAAAAAAAAAAAAAAAAAAAAAAAAATTGGCCAAGAGTGGTGGCTCACACCTGTAATCCCAGCACTTTAGGAGGCCGAGGCAGGTGGATCACCTAAGGTCAGGAGTTCAAGAGAAGCCTGGCCAACATGGTGAAACCCTGTTTCTGCTAAAAATACAAAAATTAGTCAGGCATGGTGGTGCACATCTATAGTCCCAGCTACTCAGGGGGCTGAGGTAGGAGAGTCGCTTGAACCCAGGAGGCGGAGGCTGCAGTGAGCTGAAATCATGCCATTGCACTCCAGCCTGGGTGACAGAGCGAGACTCTGTCTAAAATAATAATAATAATAATAATTAGCCAGGCATGGTGGTGCACACCTGTAATCCCAGCTACTCGGGAGACTGAGGCAAAAGAATCACTTGAACCTGGGAGGCAGAGGTTGCAGTGAGCCGGAATCATGCCATTGCACTCCAGCCTGGGGGACAGAGTGAGACTCTGTCTCCAAAAAAAAAAAAAAAAAAAAAAAAAAAGTAATATATTGAACTTCAAACAAAGATGAGAGTAACCAAGGAAGTGATCAGGAGGGCTTCAAAAATGTATAGTTGGCTGGGCGCAGTAGCTCACGCCTGTAATCCCAACACTTTGGGAGGCCGAGGTAGGTGGATCACCTGAGGTCAGGAGTTTGAGACCAGCCTGGCCAACATGGTGAAACCCCATCTCTACTAAAAATACAAAAATTACCTGGGAATGGTGGCAGGCACCTGTAATCCCAGCTACTTGGGAGGCTGAGGCAGGAGAATCACTTGAACCCGGGAGGCGGAGGTTGAAGTGAGCCAAGATTGCACCACTGCACTCCAGCCTGGGCTACAGAATAAGACTCCATCTCAAAAAAAAAAAAAAATGTGTAGTGAAATGTGGGCAGAGAATAAAATCTTGAATACAACGTTATCTGAGCCATATACATACCACATGGGCTGTAAAACAGCTGCCAGTTCATTTGCTTATTTAGCAAATAATTACTGAGCACCTACTATGTCCCAGGCACTGGAAATAACTGTGGTAAACAAAACCTGCCTTCATGAAGGTTATAGTCTAGCATGGAATGCAGACACTTGCAGAAAGAATTGCAAGATGCAAGAGCACTATAAAAGATCTCAGGGCCATGCATAGTGACTCATGCCTGCAATCTCAGCACTTGGGGAGGCCTAGGCAGGAGGATCACTTGATCCCAGGAATTCAAGACCAGCCTGGACCACATAGCAAGACCCTGTAATACAAATTAGCTGGGCATGGTGGTATACACCTATAGTCCCAGCTATTCAGGAGGCCAAGGTAGGGGGGATTGCTTGAGGCTGGGGGTTCAAGACCAGCCTGGACAACATAGTGAGACCCCATCTCTAAAAAAAAAAAAAAATTCTTAAACTAGCCAGGTGTGGTGGCACATGCCTGTGGCCCCAGCAACTCAGGAGGCTGAGGTGGGAGAATCACTTGAGGCTGGGAGGTGGGGCTGCAGTAAGCCGTGATCACACCACCACAATCCCGTCTGGGCAACAGAGTGAGACCCTGTCTTGAAAAAAAAAAAAAAAGAAGGAGGAGGATCAGCTGGGCGTGGTGGCTCACATCTGTAATCCCAGCACTTTTCGAGGCTGAGGCAGGCAGATCACCTTTGGTCAGGAGTTCAAGACCAACATGGCAAAACTCCGTCTCTACTAAAAATACAAAAATTAGCTGGGTGTGGTGGTGCATGCCTGTAGTCCCAGCTACTCGGGAGGCTGAGGCAGGAGAATTTCTTGAACCTGGGAGGCAGAGGTTGCAGTGAGCTGAGACTGCACTACTGCACTCCAGCCTGGGTGACAGAGTAACTTTGTCTCAAAAAAACAAACAAACAAACAAAAACAAGTAGGATCCATTGTGACAGGAGTACCTAACAGGAGGTTCTCACCTAGTTGGGGGAATGGGAAAAGGGTTGTCTGAGGATGTGACTGCTAAACTGAGACAGAAGGTTGGGCAAGAGGAAGAGGGAGGGGGAGAGAGGACGAAACAAAGGATAAGAACATTCTGCTTGGAGCAGGGGCAAGTGCAGTACCTAAGAGAGTTCAAAGGAGCCTGGTGTGGCTCCTTTGATGACACTGCAGAGGCCAACACAGATGGCCTCTACGTTAAGGATCCCGACAGTCATTGTTGGGTGGAGAATCACTGATGTGTCCAGAGCTAGGCTCGGGCTCCAGTTGGCAGAGCTGCTCTTGGGACACTGGCTCCTGGGCCCAATTGTTTCTGGAAGGGTCAGGCCTGTGCAGGAGCTTCCTGTAGGAAGGCTTTTATTTTATTTATTTTTGAGACAGGGTCTTTTTCTGTCATCCAGGCTTGAGTACGGTGGTGTGATCATGGCTGACTGCGGCCACAAACTCCCAGGCTCAAGCAATCCTCTGGCCTCAGCCTCCTGAGTAGCTGGGACTACAGCGTATGCCATCATGCCCGGCTAAGTTTTGAATTTTGTGGAGATGGGGGTCTCACACTATGTTGCCCAGTCTGGTCTCAAACTCCTGTCCACAAGTGATCCTCCCTCCTCGGCCTCCCAAAGTGCTGGCATGACAGGTGTGAGCCACTGCACCTGGCCAGCTATCTTTTAGCAAGAGGGCTAGAAGGAGAGCAGAGTGGAGCCTCTGGAGGCCAGTGGGGGATGGCGAAGGGGAGAAGTTGAGTCCAGGGGTAATCTTGCTCTAAACGGTTAGGCTCCACTTCAGAGTTACCAGACGATGCTCCTGGGAAATGCCAGCACCTCAACTTAAACCTCAGATCCTTCTCACCTCCTCAAAGACTTCAGTTCTCAGCACCCCCTCCACAGCATCATCAGTTTCAGCCTCCACATGGGTCCTTCCTGTTGACATGCAAACATCCTCTTGTACCTATCTGTTCTTCTTTCCAGCAGAAGCGTGGAAAGAGAAACACCATCTCTCAAAAGCGTGGTGTTTCATTTACCGCCTCCACTTCTTCACCTCCAATTATGCTGTCCCTGGAGTCAAACTCTTTTAGGTCTGAATCCTGGCTCTGCGATTCACTATCAGCTGCCTGGCCCTAAGGAGTGGTTAGCTTCTCTGTGCCTCAGTCCCCACCTCTGTAAAATGGGGGTGAGAATAATATTGCCACTTCTATATAATGAGGGTGACAGTACCTGCCTGGTGTATGTGGATTCATGAAGTCACATTTGTCAGGCATTCTAAGCAGGGAGGAAATACTCAGTGAGTACTGGCCATGGGCATAACCTACTTCTTTGGAGCTGCTGCCTTTTTTTGAGACAAGGTCTTGCTCTGTTGCCCATGTTGGAGTGCAGTGGCACTATCATAGCTTGCTGCAGCCTCAACCTCCTGGGCTCAAGTGATCCTCCTACCTCAGACTCCTACGTAATTGGAACTACAGGCACATGCCACCATGGCCGGCTAATTTTTTTTTAAGAGATGGGGTCTCACTATGTTGCCCAGGCTGGTTCCCCTGGAGCTTCCAACCCTACCAAACCACAAAGACTGCTCTGTATCAAAGTCATCAACAATGTCCATCTTGCCTAAGCCATTGGTCACTTCCCTCTGGGCTCAAACGCCTCAGCCTCTTAGGAGCATGTAACACGGCTGAGCATTGTTTCTTCCCCAGACACTCTCCCCTCCCAAGAAAAAGCACTCTCCAAGCTTCCCTTCTTCCTTGCAGACTGTTCCTCTCCAGCTCTGCATGGAAGAATGCCCCCGGGCTTACTTTCCTTTTTTTCTGCTTTATCTACACTCACTCTAGGGTAGGGGGTTTCTCAACCTTGACACCACTGACGTCCGGGGCCAGGTAACTCTATGTGTGGGGAGCTGGCCTGTGCACTGCTATGTTGAGTGGCATCCCTGGCCTCTGCCTAGTGGATGCCGGAAGCAAACTGTACCTCTTCCCATCACCAGTAACAGAAAGTATCTCCAGACATCACTAAGGGTCCCCTGGAAGAAGGGGGCAAGATCACCCGTAGCTGAGGACCAACACTCTAAGACCTAGAGTCACAGTGATTCATCCAGTTCCCTGAATACCACACACATACCAATGATTCCCAAATTTTATCCCACCTTGACCTGTCTACTGAGCTGCAGACTCTAGAAGGGTGCCTGGTAGACATCGTAAATACAGCATGGCCGAAATACAACTTCAATGCTCTCGTGCCCACACCTCCAGTACCTGCTCCTCATTTAGCCTTCTCAGTCTCAATCAACAGCACCATGATCCACCCAGTTGCTTGGGCCCGATGACCTCATTCCCCTTTCCCTCACATCCAGTCTCTGAGCTCTGCCTCCTTCATGTATTCCAAGTCCATCCACTTCTCTCCATCTCCAGGGGTACCATCTTGGTCCAGGACACTACAATCTCTCTCCTGATGAGGCAGTAGTGCCCAACTGGATTTCTTGCTTCCTCCTTCCTCCCTCCAGTTTCATCTTCACATAATAGTCCGGGAAATCTTTAAAATCTGAGTAGGGCCTTGTCTTCACCTCACTATCACCTGAAGTTATTGTGCTTATTTGCTTGTTTATTGTCTCCTGGTTTCTGAGGGAAGGTCTTGCCTGTCTTGTCCACTGCTAGGTCCTCACCCAATACCCCAGATTTACATGCTGCAAAGTAATAGTCAATGAACACATGTGGAATGAATACATTATTGTCAGTTACCATTATGGCCTTTCCCAACACCGCCATCTGGACCTGCCATCATACTTTTTCCACGTGTGGATTCCTCTTAAGGATCTCCTCACTCCCACCCCCCAAGTCAGGTTCCACATCCTCTGCCTCTGAAAGCCAGGCCACTTTGGCAGTGGTAAGTATAGAGGAGAGAAGTGGGCTTTGTGTCTAGTCCTACAACCTCATTAAGCAAAACTAAAAGCTGGCTCCTAACCCATCTGGTCTATGGCTCATACCCATCCTCAGCTACTACCTACTTTCCCCCATTGCTAACTCTATCTCCTTACTCACTAGCCAAAGAATCATCTCTGGTCCTATAGATAAAAACCCAGCCCCAAGGATCTCCTTCTGCAGATCCTTCTCCTTCTCAAAGCACTCTACCTGGTCAAGCAGGAACTGCCCCTCATCCACTGGTAAAGTGCTGGAAGGATGAGATCGGTCCCTGAACCTAACAGCATGATTCCAAGAGAAGATGCATCCCTGTGAACTGAAATTAGGGCACCTCTAGCCTTGGGTAAGTTGAGGACTGAGCACAAGTAACCATCCCATTTGGTGCTATTCTGAACCCTGAAGAGTTTATTTATTTACTTATTTTCTTGAGACAGAGTCTTGCTCTGTCCCCCAGGCTGGAGTGCAGTGGGATGATCTCGGCTCACTGTAACCTCCACCTCCCGGGTTCGAGTGATTCTCTCACCTCAGCTTCCTGAGTAGCTAGGATTACAGGTGCCCACCACCACGTCCAGTTAATTTTTGTATTTTTAGTAGTGACGGGGTTTCACCATGTTGGCCAGGCTGGCCTCGAACTCCTGACCTCAGGTGATCTGCCTGCCTTGGCCTCCCAAAGTGCTGGGATTACAGGCGTGAGCCACCACGCCTGGTCCCTGGAGAGTTTAGCTGTCCTTAGCTCCACCATTTGAGCCCTCAAGGATATTCTGATGTATCGTGCATTTACATAAAAATATTAAAGTAATATAGATGAGTTTTTGCCAAAAGTATTTTCCTTTGTGAATCCATTAAGCCACTTTAATTCCTTGATTTTCTGTATGTCACAATTAGCCAGTTTCAATTTTTTTCACTTTCAATTTTGATTAAATTTATTTATCCCAAGATCAAGTCTTTTCCATGTGAATTTTTTTTTTTTTTTGAGCCACCTCGCCAGGCTACCAAGTCTCATTTTCCTGGTGACCTGTTCAAAACAGAGTCAAAATGGCAAATTTAAGACATCCTCCTTTATACAGGACTCTTTCAACACAGTATAGCTCTTTTTTTTTTTTTTTTTTTTGAGACGGAGTCCCACTCTGTTGCCCAGGCTGGAGTGCAGTGGTGCGATCTCTGCTCACTGCAACCTCCGCCTCCCGGGTTCATGCCATTCTCCTGCCTCAGCCTCCTGAGTAGCTGGGACTACAGGCGCCCGCCACCACACCCGGCTAATTTTTTGTATTTTTAGTAGAGATGGGTTTTCACCGTGTTAGCCAGGATGGTCTCAATCTCCTGACCTCGTGATCCGCCCGCCTCGGCCTACCAAAGTGCTAGGATTACAGGCGTGAGCCACCGCACCCGGCCAGCTCTTCTTAAGAGACCCTTGGTGGGGTGTGGTAGCTCACACCTGTAATCTCTGCATTTTGGGTGTCCAAGGCAGAAGGAACTCCCGACCTCAGGTGATCTGTCCGCCTCGGCCTCCCAAAGTGCTGGGATTACAGGCATAAGCCACCATGCCCAGCCCAAAGACACTTACTGTCAAGACAGCAGGGTGCTAGCACAGGCTTTGTCCCTGCACACAGTACACCCACCAGGGGGAAGGTCTGTCACCTTCCATATGACCACCTAGTCTGGCCTTCAAACCAGGGGTTCGTGGGTGGCTCTCTCCCCAAGTCAGCCCAGCATGGTCCAGAAGCTGTTGGGCTGGGAAGCTCCCCTCTAGTGACAGCACGTGTCTATATTTGGGGAAAACAGCCAACTGGGAAGGGATGTTTCATTAGAGGTTGCCAGAGCCTGTGACTAAGCAGGGACCCAGCCAGATCCAGCTCATCTCCCTGCCTCCCTGTGTCTGCTCAACACCCAGGGGACTTCCATCCTGACTGACGGTGGAGGTGTCAGAGGCTGGGCCTGACCACAGGCTTCTTGTAGGAGTTCGAGGATACTGCAGGCTTGACCCAGCGCTCAACTGCCAAGCCACCCTAACCCCCAAGACAGTCCAGGTGGACACAATTGATGGGCATTTGCTTCTGGTGAAGAGACAACACTTGATGATCCTGGAGAAGCCAGACCATGAGCTTCACTTTGAGACTCTGGCTCAAGCTGACCAGCCCAGGTAAGGGTCAGGGTCCACAGCCAATCCCCACCGCTGTTCTGGTTCGCGGTGGGAAGCTCAGGCTGTGCCAGCATGACCAAGGCTTAAACATAGTGACAGGCATCAATGCCCTCACCTGTAAGCTGAGATAATACACACTGGCAAAGCTATAGGATCATTCAAGAGCTAAATGATATAAATTGCCTAGCAGTGGGCCTGACACATGGCAGTAGCTTAGGAAATTCCTTTACTCCTACCCTCTCAGTTTCTTTTCCTGAAACAGGGGCTCACTCTGTTGCCCAGGCTGGCGTGCAGTGGCACAATCATGGCTCACTGCAGCCTCAAGCGATCCTCCCACCTCAGCCTCCTGAGTAGCTGAGGCTACAGGTGCATGCCACCACACCTAGCTAAGTTTTTATTTTTTTGTAGAGACAGGGTCTCGCTTCCGGAAGAGAACAATGGGGAAGAACAGAGAGGTCTGAAGGAATGTGGGGGTGTTTGGTTCTGTGGGATGACATGAGCCTCTCCTCTGTCGTCCCAGAAAAACCTCCCTACTCGTTATGTGACTTCGAGGCTGTCAGGACCTGCTTTATGTTTGGGAATTGAATGACATTTTTTTTTTTTTTTTTCCTGAGACGGAATCTTGCTCTGTCACCCCAGGCTGGAGTGCAGTGGCACGATCTCAGCTCACTGCGAGCTCTGCCTCCTGGGTTCCCGCCATTCTCCTGCCTCAGCCTCCTGAGTAGCTGGGACTACAGGCGTCTGCCACCACGCCTGGCTTTTTTGTATTTTTTTTTAGTAGAGACGGGGTTTCACCGTGTTAGCCAGGATGGTCTCGATCTCCTGACCTCATGATCCACCTGCCTCGGCCTCCCAAAGTGCTGGGATTACAGGCGTGAGCCACCGTTGAATGACATTCTTGAGAATGGCCTCAAGGCGAGCTAACTAACTCTTGTCATATTTGGGTTACATTTTGTTTTGCTGTTTTCTCTTAGAGACAGCGTCTCACTCTGTTGCCCAGGCTGGAGTGCAGTGGCGCGATCGTCACTCACTGCAGCCTCAAACTCCTGGGCTCAAGTGAGCCTCCCACCTCAGCCTTCCGAGTAGCTGGGACTACAAGTGTGCACCATCATGCCTAATTTTTTTTTTTTTTTTGAGACGGAATCTTGCCCTGTTGCCTAGGCTGTACTGCAGTGGTGCAATCTCGGCTCACCACAACCTCCGCCTCCCAGGTTCAAGCGATTCTCCTACCAAGTAGCTGGGACTACAGGCATGTGCCACCATTCCCAGCTAACTTTTGTATTTTTAGTAGAAACGGGGTTTCACCATGTTGGCCAGGCTGGTCTCGAACTCCTGACCTCGTGATCCACCCGCCTTGGCATCCCGAAGTGCTGGGATTACAGGCGTGAGTCACCGCACCCGGCCAACTAATTTTTTTTAGTTTCTGTAGAGTCAGGGTTCCACTATGTTTTCCAGGCTGGTTTCGAACTCCTGGGCTCAAGTGATCTTCCCGCCTCAGCCTCCCAAAGTGGTGGGATTACAGGCGTGAGCCACTGCGCCCAGCCAAGGGTCAGGATCTTAAGGGATTTGGTACAGTCTTTCCTCAATCCCAGCTTGACACATTCTCTGTGGCCTGAACCTTGACAAAGCTGGGTAATACAGTCCCAGGTCACAACACCCCCAGAGCTGTGGAGGCTGCAGAAGTGGGCCTGAAATCTGTCTCTTAACTCAGAGGGACACCAGGTCCCACTGGCACAGAAGAAAGAAAGAGGGAAGAGGAGGAGGAGACCAGGGCCATCATAACCTCCTAACTTTGCCTTGATCATCACTAGTATCTACTATCACCTTTTTTTCTTTTTGTGACAGTGTCTCTGTTGCTGAGGCTGGGGTGCAGTGGCGTGATCTCACCTCACTGCAACCTTCGCCTCCCAAGTTCAAGCAATTCTCCTGCCCCAGCCTCCCCAGTAGCAAGGACTACAGGCATGCACCACCATGACAGGCTAATTTTTGTATTTTTATAGAGACGGGGTTTCACCACGTTGGCCAGCTTAGTCTCAAACTCCCGACCTCAGGTGATCCACCTGCCTCAACTTCCCAAAGTGCTGGGATAACAGGCATTAGCCACGGCGCCTGGCCTCCATCGCTAGTACCTCTATATTTTAGGGAGAGCAGGTATGGATCAGAGGCCTAGATCCAGCCGTCCACATCCCTGCTCCTTGCCTTAGATCTTGCTATCAATTCCATGTCCCCAAACCTAAGCCTGCTAGACCCCTGAGAGGTGCCCTAGTGGTCCTGTAAGGGTAACAGGTCTGCTCATACGGCAACTAGGCTGTCAGGAGGCGGTGGTGGGGTCTGGAAACTACAGCACAGTCTCCAAAGACGGTGACCACCACCTTTGGCTCACTTCCTCCGACTCTGTCTCTGGGGCCTGCTTTTCCTCTGCTCCCTGATTGGGCTCAGGCCCCACCTTCCACTTCTCTGACATGAGTTAATGGCCCTGACCAGGCTGTGACCTGGCTTTGCTCTCCCTTCTCAGGCCTCAGGCTGGTCTGCCTGACAGAAGGCTTCACTGCAGACTCAGATCTGCCACAATCAGCGACTCTCAGCTCTTGGAAGCCCCTTGGTGGCTCTGCTGTGGCCAGTCCAACACCTCCCGGTTGTTCTGCTGGGACCTATCCTGGAAAGCCAACTCCTTTGACTTCCAGCAGGTAGGAGGCCCAAATAAAAGTTAAAGCTATTTATCTAAGGCTGGGCACGGTGGCTCACGCCTGCAATCCCAGCGCTTTGGGAGACCGAGGCAGGAGGTTTGTGAAGTCAGGAGTTCAAGACCAGCCTGACCAACATGGTAAAACCTAGTCTCTACTAAAAATACAAAATTAGCCAGGCGTGGTGGCGCATACCTGTAATCCCAGCTACTCCGGAGGCTGAGGCAGGAAAATCGCTTGAACCTGGGAGACGGAGGTTGCAGTGAGCTGAAATCGTGCCATTGCACTTCAGCCTGGGCAACACAGCTAAAAAAAAAAGAAAAAAGAAAAAAGAAAAGAAAATGAAAAGAAAAAGAAAAAAAAAGCTATTTATCTAAATATGGTTCTGTTTTAAAAATACATGTCCCCAACTTCCAATATCCTAGAGCAGCTACAGAAAAATGAGGAAAACTCCCAGGCAAGGCAGGATGATAACCACCTTTCTAACCCTTTGTTTTAGCTCCAGGGATCCAAAAGGAGCGGTTTAAAATACTTCACTTGGCTAGGCGTGGTGGCTCACACTTGTAATCCCAGCACTTTGGGAGGCTGAGCTGGGAGAATCACTTGAGGCCAGGAATTCAAGACCAGCCTGAGCAATATAGTGAGAACCTCCCCCCATCTCCAAAAAAAAAAAAAAAACTAAATTAAAATAGTAAAATACTTCACTTGATCTATGACTTTAGAGTTGAAGAGAAGGTAGGTTAGTATATAATGTGTGCACCTAATACCAAAATCTGATAGCACATGATTGTGATATAAGCCCACTGTAAGGTACAAAATGATCAGTACATGTGGGTGTGTAGGGGTGGGGTGAGGAGGGTGTGTTATGGTTTGAATATGGTTTGTCCCCAGCAAAACTCATGCTAAGGCTTGGTCCCCAATGTGGTAGTATTGGGAGGTGGTACCTTTAAGAGGTGATTTGGCTATTAAGATGGATGAATGTCTTCTCCAGGGAATGGACTAGTTCTTGAGAGCAGGTTGTTATAAAGCAAGGTTTCCTCTTGCATTTTCCCTTTTCCACGCCTAATTCCCTGTCTCCACCACTATGTTATGATGCAGATGCAGCCCTCACCAGAAGCCGACCAGATGCAGCTACCCAATCTGGAACTTCCTAGCCTCCAGAACAGTAAGCTAAATAAACTTCTTTGCTATATAAATTACCCAATCTCAAGCATTCTGTGACAGCAACAGAAAAGAGACTAAGACAGGCTGTCAATGTATTTGTATATTTTCCTATCCGATGACAAATAGGCAAAGCAACTTTACGATCATAGAAATCAGGAAATAGCTGTCTTGGCAGATGAATGGAAAGGAGCATGAGAGAACTTTCTGGAATAATGGCAATGTTTTATCGTTTGTTTTGGGTGGTTGTTACAAGGGTGGAATTTGTCAAAACCAAACTGAACACTTGAGACCTATATACTTCACTGTATGAAAACCGTAGATCAATAAATAATTCCCTTGTCGAGATTGATGTGTTTAAGTGTTCCAGGATGTGAATCTGCAGGTGCATGTGTGTGCATGTACGCATGTGTGTGAGTCTGTGTATATGTCTGTGACCTTGGTATGGGGTCTGGGCTGTAGAAAACTATGTGGACTTGGGCACACAGCAAGTACACATTACAGAACTTCAGCTTGGCCCTCATAGCCACTAGCTAATCCCACTCTTGTTTTTCCACATTTGACCAGCATTTTCCCAGTGATCACAACTGTTATCCAAACCAAATCCTCTTTGGGAGCAACTTCTCTAATTTTCTATTCTTGCCTGGGAAAGTTAAGGCCACTGGCTGTGAGTCGCCCTCCTCCACCAACTGCTCCCTGGGTGCCCTTATGTGCTTTTTTTTTTTTTTTTTTTTTTTTTTTTTTTTAAGATGGAGTCTCATTCTGTCACCCAGGCTGGAGTACAGCGGCGCGATCTCAGCTCACTGCAACCCTGCCTCCAGGGTTCAAGCAATTTTCCTGCCTCAGCCTTCCAAGTAGCTAGGTCTACAGGCACGCACTGCCACCTCTCCCGGCTAATTTTTTGTATTTTTAGTAGAGACGGGGTTTCACCATGTGGCGAGGCTGGTCTCAAACTCCTGACCTCAGGTGATCCATCTGCCTCGGCCTCCCAAAGTGCTGGGGTTACAGTCATGAGCCACTGCAGCCGGCCCTTATGTGCTTTTCTCCACAGTCCAAGGGATAAGCACCCTCTGATCTCATACAATTTCACCTAATCTCTCTTGTTCTCCTTTCAGAATCTCAAAGCTCTCCCTATTAGCATCTTTCTGATTCCAAACATTCACAAGTCTCTGCTTTCTTGGAACAATTAATGAAACCAGAAGCCAGCCCCTAGGGTAGCTTGGCCTGTGCCCTCTGAAGCTTGTGCAGGCACAGAGGCTGGTAATAGGCCTTGGGCTGGAAATCTGAGGCTGGCGTGAGGCTGGCGAGCTGTTGGCAAAGCAAGAAGAGGTAGCTGCATTTGAAATGGCCTGCACCCCCAGAATTTGTTGGGGCAAAGGATACCTAAGTGTTTCCCGTTGATCAGATATGGACCAGGCAGGGGAGAAGGCCAACTAGTAGCTATTTTACTCATTTATTTTTATTTTATTAGTATTGCTTTTCTGAGATGGAGTCACGCTCTGTTGCCCAGGCTGGAGTGCAGTGGCATGATCTCGGCTCACTGCAACCTCTGCCTCCTGGGTTCAAGCAATTCTCCTGTCTCAGCCTCTCCAGTAGCTGGGATTACAGGCGCCCGCCACCGTGCCCAACTAATTTTTTGTATTTGTAGAGATGGGGTTTCACCATGTTGGGCAGGCTGGTCTCAAAACTCCTGACCTCAGGTGATCCACCCACCTCAGCCTCCCGAAGTGCTGGGATTACAGGCGTGAGTCACCGCACCCAGCCGAGAAGCCATTTTAAAGGAACTTTGCCCAAGAGGGCCACCGAGAGGGAAAATGGACCAATGGCATGTGGTGGAGGATTCCAGAAGCCAGGGGCTGAGGGAGGAATTGAAGCAGCAAGACTGAGATGGCCACCTGATCATGGGAACTGGAGGTAAGAAAGACCCCCAGAAGCACTGCATGGGAGAGTCAGTTACAAATTCCCATCAAGCTGAGACAGTAACAAGGCCAGATGTCGAAGGGGCTTTTCTTGCCCCATCTCTACTCTCTTATAACCCCCTCCACCAACACAGGATGCCTCAGAAGCCATAGTTGGCCTGGGCTGGGGTGGGATGGAAGAGGAAACAAAATAAACAGAAGTCAACTACTGTCCTCCTCAAATGTGGGAGCCCAAAGAAAGCTTGAGAGGGGAAGAGAAGCAGCTTTACCTTTGAATTAAATTCCTAGTTTTGATTATTAACATGAACTGGACAGTAAGTCTGTCCTAGTAACCAGACACAATCCAAGGGCAAGCAAAGATTTAAAGACAGAAAGCTGCTGCATGATTGAATTCTACTTCTTGACTGTGGAAACCCTGCTTGTTTAATATAAGTTTCACTTGCAAAACACCAAGTAAAATCAATGCCTACCACACAGTGCTTCATACAGCAGCCAATAAGACTGTTGTTAATTACCTTGGTATTTCCTTAGAGAGAGGCAGATAGGAGCTGAGTGTGAGGCTTTTTATGTTTTTTTCCTTTGAGATAAGGTCTCATTCTGTCACCCAGACTGGGGTGCAGTGGTGCAAACACAGCTCACTGCAGCCTCAAACTCCCAGGCTCAATTCTCCTGCCTTAGCTTCCTGAGTAACTGGGACCACTGGCACATACCACCATGCTTGGCTAATTTTTATTATTTGTAGACAGGGTCTCCTGTGTTGCCCAGGCTGGTATTGAACTCCTGGGCTCAAGCGATCCTCCCACCTTGGCCTTCCAGAGGGGTGGAATTACAGGCATGAGCCACTGCACTGGGCCAAATGTGAGGCTTTTCTAGCAGTCAAGTTGTTTGGGATGGCCCAAGTAGAAGGCTTGGGAGGTAGCGAGTTCCTCTTCTGTGGAGATGAGGACTTGGGAGGGATGTGGAGGAAACTGAATTCCAGATGTGGGAGGGAGCCTGACAATCTGTGATTCCAGTTTATTGCTCATGGTCTCAACTCTCCCCCTCTACAGAGGTGACTTCCGCCCTGGCCTGAGTTTCAATCCCACAGTTCCTTTTTTCCCCCCTTAAATGAGACATATCTTGCTCTGTCACCCATGTCAGAATGCAGTGGCACAATCATGGCTCACTACAGCCTTGACCTCCCCCGATCGCCTGAGCTCAAGCGATTGTTTCATGTCAGCCTCTTGGGTAGCTGGGACTACAAGCACACACCATCACGCCCAGAGAATTTTCGTACTTTTTGTAGAGATGGGGTTTTGCCATGTTACCCAGGCTGGTCCTGAATTCCTGAGCTCAAGTGATCGTCCGCCTTGGCTGCTCAAAGTGTTGGGATTACAGGCATGAACACGGCCCATACCACTGAAAGGTCTATATGGACAACTCAGCATAACTCCCAATTAAGCCCATCTAAAACGGAACTCTTTATTTTTTCTCCTCTCCTTTGGTATAACCTCCTTTATTTTTCTCCTCTCCTTTGTATAACCCGACTTCCCTCTTTATGTATTTTCCACACCTCTTTCTTTCACTCCTCAAACCCAGATGAGCACAGACTGTTACCCATTCTTCCCATGAGACTTCTCCCACACTGGCCCTACCCACTCCATTTCTATGGCCACCACCGTAATTCAGACCTTTGTCATCCATAAAATAGATTCCTAAACAATCTCCCTGAATAGATTCCTAAACAATCTCCATTTTTTTTTTCCTGGGAATTCTTAGCATACAAGGTCAGTCTAATCTTCCTCAAACACAGTTCTGGCAGTGTCACAAAAGCCTGATTGGCCAGGTGCAGTGGCTCACGCCTATAATCCCAGCACTTTGAGAGGCTGACTCGGGCAGATCACTTGAGGTTAGGAGTTCTAGACCAGCCTGGCCAACATGACAAATCCCTGTCTCTGCTAAAAATACAAAAATTAGCCAGGTGTGGTGGTGCACACCTGTAATCCCAGCTACTTGGGAGGCTGAGGCAGGAGAACTGCGTGAACCCGGAGGTGGAGGTTGCAGTGAGCCGAGATCGCGCCACTGCACTGCAGCCTGGGCAACAGCGTGAGGCTCCATCTCAAATAAATAAACAACCTTTGATAAACACTTGCTTCCCAAGAAATGAAATACAAACTTCTCAGCTAACATTCATGGGACCGGCACAATCTAGTTTTTCCCAACCTGCTGTTTCCAGCTGTACCTAAAACCACTCAACTCTCCACAAATTCACTGAGGCCCTTTCAGCCCAGTCGCATGTTGGACAAAAAAAACAGAAGAAAGACTTAGTACCTGGCAAGACTTAATACCTGGCTCTGAGGTGCTCTCAGTTACAAGACAGAGGAGTAAATAATTACCAGAAGATGCAGTCAGTGATAAGATAAACAAAGGACACTGCTTGCCCTAATGTCCCCACTCCAAAATAAATGATCTATTCACTGTCCCCTGAATACTGGCCTATGCTTATTTTTTCCCGCTAGGATTTTATTTGGCCTTTTTTCTCCTCCTTTCCTGTCTAAACATTTCCCATTGTTAAATGCTCAGGCCCTAGTGCCCCTCCTTTGAGAATTCTGATTCCAAGGCAAGGGATCTTTCCCTCCTCTGGAGTTGAATGTTCCATTGAGAAACACCTACTCTTCCAGCATGTCTCAGCTTATCTGCTGTGTGTGTGTGTGTGTGTGTGTGTGTGTGTGTGTGTGTGTGTGTGTGTGTGTGTGTGTGTGTGTGCGCGCGCGCGCGCGCGCGCTTTTGAGCCGGAGTTTAGCTCTTATCACCCAGGATGGAGTACAATGGCACAATCTTGGCTCACAGCAACCTCCACCTCCTGGGTTCAAGGGATTCTCCTGCCTCAGCCTCCTGAGTAGCTGGGACTACAGGCACACGCCACCATGCCCAGCCAATTTTTGTATATTTAGTAGAGATGGGGTTTCGCCACATTAGCCAGTCTGGTCTCAAACTCCTGACCTCAGGTGATCTGCCCGCCTTGACCTCCCAAAGTGCTGGGATTACAGGCATAAGCCACCACACCCGGCTTTTTTTTTTTTTTTTTTTGAGACAGAGTCTTTCTCCGTCGCCCAAGCTGGAGTACAGTGGGGTTATCTCGGCTCACTGCAACCTCCCTCCACCTCCCGGGTTCAAGCGATTCTCCTGCCTCAGCCTCCGGAGTAGTTGGGGCTACAGGTGTACACCACCACGCTGGGCTAATTTTTGTATTTTTAGTAGAGATGGGGTTTCACCATGTTAGCCAGGCTGGTCATGAACTCCTGGCCTCAAGTGATCGGCCCGCCTCAGCCTCCCAGAGTGCTGGGATTACAGGCATGAGCCACCTTGCCTGGGGGTGTTGTTTAATTTTAAAAATATGTATCAGGCCGGGCGCGGTGGCTCACGCCTGTAATCTCAGCACTTTGGGAGGCCGAGGCGGGTGGATCACGAGGTCAGGAGTTCGAGACCAGCCTGACCAACGTGGTGAAACCCCGTCTCTACTAAAAAAAAAATACAAAAAATTAGCCAGGTGTAGTGGTGCGCTAATCCCAGCTACTCAGGAGAATGAGGCAGGAGAACCACTTGAACCTGACAGGCAGAGGTTGCAGTGAGCCAAGATCGCGCCACTGCACTCCAGCCTGGGCTAGAGAGACTCCGTCTCAAAAAAATAAATAAATTCATACATTTAAGTAATAAACTCATTGTGAGCAAGGAATTCTACTCGACTTTCTGTCTGCGTAAACTCTACAAATCCACTTGGCCTCAGCCACAGTGTCTTTATTCGTAAAGCAGAAACAGTGGGACCGTCAGAGCACTGCCGGGCAGGCGAGAGAAGACAGGAACTGTATGACCACGGAAGTTGTTGTCCCTACAACCTATTTGCTCATCTGGAACACAGAATAGTGGTCCTCTAAAGCTTGCAGGGCTGGAGGTCGCCATTATCAGCAGTGGTGTCACTAAACCTGAACCCAAGGGTCTCTGCAACTTGGGAAACGACGGCCCGGATCTGAGGAGATGGCCCCTTCCTCCCACCCCGCCTAAGGACTCTCAGCCTCCCTGACCCTACCTTTCCGGAGCTCAGAGTCCCCTCTGGCCTCCAAGGGCAGAAGGAATGGGTTTGGCTGAGGTCGGGGGCTCGGGTCTGGGACGCGCTCCACCTCCCCGGCTGCGCGACTATGGCCAGGCTCCCTGTCGGAGCCTCTGCCTGGGGCCCCACCTGGAAAAATGGCTCCTCTAAGGCGCTTCCAGCCTAAAGCCCGTCCTCTTCCACCTCTTGGGTGCAGACTGGCCCTCCCACTCCGACCGCAGGTCCCCCACCGGCCACACAGACGGCTACGCTAGAACCCAGCCAAACACCGGGGTTGCCAGGATGGTCCCACAGCTTTCCTTTCCGACTCCCGGAAGTGGCCGTGATCTCACGAGATCCCGGAGGCGAGCGCGACCGGAAGTCCGGTCACTCTCGCGAGGCCCCAGAGAGCAGGCGCTGGGCAGTGTGGAGGTCGTTGGAGTCACTTCCCCGTCACCAGCTCCTGTGCCTGCCAGTCGGTGCCCCTCCCGCTCCAGCCATGCTCTCCGCCCTCGCCCGGCCTGCCAGCGCTGCTCTCCGCCGCAGCTTCAGCACCTCGGCCCAGGTAGGCCAGACGAGGGGCGGCCTGCAGGCGGAGGCCCCCCGGCCCGGGCCACGTGCGTCCCCGGTTCGCGGGCAGCTCTGACCCTCTCCAGGCCAGCCTGGACCGCAGGGATGCCCGGCACTGGCTGGAGACTGTGGCGCCCGGGGCAGGCCCTGACACTGGCCTGGAGGTGCGGGGGAGAAAGCCGGGGAAAAGGGGGCGAGGTAGTCCCGCTCCAGGGCCGGTCCATTTGTCAGGGTTCCCCCAGGTCTCCCAGATTTCCCAGAGGACCTGCTCTTGGCTTGCACGCCTTCAAGGTTGGGAAACCAGGGCTCTGCATCTGAAAGTAAACTTACGTTTTTTTCTGCAGCGTTCCATTGCTTTGACGTAGCTAATCTCCTTGCAGCATCCGTGTGAGTTGTGCGTGAATAAAAGAAATCGTATACTTCCTAATTCCATAGTATGGACAAACCGAGGCTAGAGAACTGGGCCAGGGTTACAGTCATTTGGCCAGAGGATTAGAATTCAGCGCTTCTGACCTGAAGACGGCTTCCTCTTAACCTTTTTGGAGGATCTCTCCTGCTGTGGGCGGACTGAGCCTGCCGCCAGGTGTCTTAACAGTGCTTGACTTGGCCCGCGACCACTTAAGCCTAGGAGCCTAGGCTATTTTTAGCCATCTTCTAGAATGGTGGTTCTTAAACTCTGCAGTGTGTCAGAATCACCAGAAAGCTAATAAAAAACAGACGTCTGGGTTCATTGAAGAAGCTTAAGACTGCGGGGGGGGGGGGGGGGGTCCGCATTTTTACCAGGTGAATCTAATTAAACCTAATTTTGAGAACCCAGGAGGTGCTCGCATTGCCTTTTAATTACGACGCCCAAGAGGGAGGTAATTTTAAAGGGGAATCCAAATTTATCATCGAAGTTCTCGAGTTTCCTGTACATCCAGTTCATTTGAAAAATAAATACAAATGCTCCTGGATTGATGGCTACTTCCCATACCCATCGCAAGTTGGTAATATCCTAAGTCAAAAGGCGAGTTTAACTTTGTGTATTTTCAACTTGCAATGGGTTCCCACAGGCAACCCCATTGTAAGTTGAATGTACCAAATGCTTTTGCGCTGCGGTGAAGTGGGGGCCCAGCTGTATACAGATAAGTACATTAAGTACCTGTGCTTGCCAACAACTATGCTGGGTGCTGCAGGGGATACCAAGATAAGTGAGAAGTGACACTTGATATGGGACAGGAATGAGTAAACTTAGGACAGGTGGAAGCGATGAAGGTCTTAGGGAATGAGTAAACTTAGGACAGGTGGAGGCGATGAAGGTCTTAGGGAATGAGTAAACAGGACAGGAGGGATGAGGTGTGGGGGAGGGGCAGCCAACCAAAGAGAGGACAGGGGTGTCCAGGGAGAGGTTGAGTTTTGGTAGGACCTTCAGATATCCGACATATTTATTGAGCTAGGTACTGGAAATACAGCGGTGAACAAAACACAGAAGTCCCTGCTCTCACGGAAATTACTAGATATTTTACTTATTGCCCCACTCATTATAAAGTATCTTAAAATAGTGATGAACATGCAAGAAAAATGGGGATTGTAGGGTGCTTGTGTTAGGGAAGAGGGTACCAATTTTATTTACTTTTTTTGATGCAGTGCCTCGCCCTGTCGACAGGCTGGAGTGCAGTGGCGTGATCTCGGTTCACTGCAGCCTCCACCTCCCAGGTTGGAGCGATTCTCCTGCCTCAGCCTCCCGAATAGCTGGGACTACAGGCGCGCACCACCGTGCCCAGCTAATTTTTGTGTTTTTAGTAGAGATGGGGTTTCACCATGTTGGCCAGGATGGACCTGACAGAGTCCCACTCTGTTGCCCAGGATGGAGTGCAGTGGCGCCATCTTGGCTCACTGCAACCAACTCTTGGGCTCAAGCTATCCTCCTGCCTCATCCTCCCGAGTAGGTGGGAATCACAGGCAAGGGCTACGACAGCTGGGTAATTTTTGTAGTTTTAGTAGAGATGGGGTTTCACCATGTTGGCCAGGCTGGTCTCAAACTCCTGGCCTTAAGTGATCCACCCTCCTTGGCCTCCCAAAGTGCTGGGATTACAGGCGTGAGCCACCACTCCCAGCCGAGGGTAGCAGTTTTACATCAGCCAGGGTAGGCCTCACGCAGAGTGAGATGTTTGAGTAAAGTCTGAAGGAAGCAGAGATCACATCATATGGAAAGAGTATTGCAGGTAAGGGATATGTCTCAGGATGTAGCTGAGAGCCCTTGGAGAAGCATGGGGCATGCCTTGAAGGTTTGAGAAAATGAGGCTAGGGTAGTTCCAGAGAAGGCAGTGGAGGTAACAGAACAGGCCTTGTAAAACTTTGGTATTTTCTCAGAAATGGGGCGGCCAGTTGAGGGTTTTCAGCTGCGTAATGACTTGCTCTTCCTTCCATTTTAACAAGATGGTCTTAGGAGTGAGAGAAAGGTAGGTTAGGAGTTCATTGTGGTTATCTAGGTGCAGGTGGTAAGAAATGATTGAATTCTGGGTATTCATTGATGGTACCAGAAGGATTTGCTGATGTGTGATTAGATAAGGGGTCGGGGATGACACCAAGGTTTTGGGCCTTGGAGTTGGGCTGAAATAGGCAAGACTTATAGAAGAGAGTGGGTTTAACCAGGGAGAAGATATCAGGAGTTCAGTTTTTATTTATTTACTGAGAGTCTCGCTCTGTTGCCCAGGCTGGAGTACAGTGGCGTGATCTCGGCTCACTGCAGCCTCCGCCTCCTGGGTTCAAGTGGTTCTCTCACCTCAGCCTCCTGAGTAGCTGGGATTACAGGTGCTGCCACCACGCCCAACTAATTTTTTTTTGTATTTTCAGTAGAGATGGGGTTTCGCCATGTTGGCCAGGCTGGTCTCAAACTCCTGACCTCAGGTGATCCACCTGTCTTGGCCTCCCAAGGTACTGGGATTATAGACGTGAGCCACCACACCCGGCCAGGATCTCAGTTTTTCATATGTTCAATTTAAAATGCCTGTTGGGCATACAAGCGACATTGTTGAGAAGGCAGCTGATGAAAGCAGAAAGAAAGATGGGCTTGAGCCCATGGTGCAGTGGTCTCCAGACTTTGGATTTTTTTTTTTTTTTTTTTTGAGACGGAGTTCCGCTCTTGTTGCCCAGGCTGGAGTGCAATGGTGCGATCTCAGCTCACCGCAACCTCCGCCTCCCAGGTTCAAGCCATTCTCCTGCCTCAGCCTTCCGAGTAGCTGGGATTACAGGCATGCGCCACCATGCCTGGCTAATTTTGTATTTTTAGTAGAGACAGGGTTTCTCCATGTTGGTCAGGCTGGTCTCAAACTCCCGACCTCAGGTGATGCGCCCATCTCAGCCTCCCAAAGTGCTAGGATTAAACGCGTGAGCCACCACGCCTAGCTGGATCCTGTATCTTTAACAGTAAAAGCGTAGGAAGCACATAGCCCCAATGTATTTACTTATAGGTATATGTACTAATATATACATTACAATATAAACTCAAGTAGAAATTTTAAAACAAACCATAACACGTTATAAAGTGTTAAAACTTATAAATGAAGGCAGTGTTAACATATGTCGGTTTTCAACACAGTTGCCAAGCAGTGTGCTGTTGATAGCCACTCTGCCACCCAGCAAAGGTCAGCGGGTCTGGAAGACAGCTCTTTGACAAGGAGATCATGATCTAACCTCCGGGCCACCAAAGATTTTCATCTCATTGCAAAGCATGTAAAGATTATACTACTTAAGGATTGTGGTTTTGTAAAAATTAAGTTGGTGACATCCTGTAATATACAAACAGTGACATCACCTTGACAAAGTGAAAGCAAAGAAACCAGTGAGGCAGTCTTCTTCCCCTCCCTCCCCCATGTTGTGTTCACCTTATGTACACATGGGACCCATCCATTTAAGCACCCTAGCGAGGGCACAGGTCGGTCCATTTCTTGGTAGAGATTAATTCTTTGTTAGATAAAGATAGAGACAGTCTGGGCATGGTAGCTTACACCTATAATCCCAGCACTTGAGCTCAGAAGTTTGAGACCAGCCTGGGCAGTGTGGCAAAACCTCATTTCTACAAAATGAGTGGTGTGTACCTGTAGTCCCAGCTACAGCTAAGGTGGGGAGGATGGCTTGAACCGAAAATGCAGAGGTTGCAGTGAGCCAAGATCGCACCACTGCACTCCAGCCTGGGTGAGAGAGGGAGACCCTATCTCAAAAAAAAAAAAAAAAAAAAAGATACACTCATTGCAGCAGTTTCATCCTCCACCCTGGTGGGATTGTCTTGGCCACTCCCCTGTGGAACCACTGCCCTGGCTGAGTGATGGAGGCATGAAAGCTTTGGAAGATTTTTTTTTTTTTTTTTTTGAGATAGACTGTTGGTCTGTCACCCAGGCTGGAGTGCAGTGGTGTGATCTCCTCCTGGGTTCAAGCGATTCTCCTGTCTCAGCCTTCTGAGTAGCTAGGATTACCGGTGCGCGCCACCATGTCTGGCTAATTTTTTTTATTATTAGTAGAGATGGGGTTTTGCCATGTTGGCCAAGCTGGTCTCAAAGTCCTGACTTAAGGTGATCCACCTCGGCCTCTCAGAGTGCTGGGATTACAGGTGTGAGCCACCACGCCCAGCCCAGAAGATATTTTTTTAAAGAGATGGAATCTTGCTCTGTTTCCCAGGCTGGAATGCAATGGCGCCATCATGGCTCACGGCAGCCTCAACTCCTGGGCTCAAGTGATCCTCCCACCTCAGCCTTCTGAGTAGCTGGGACTACAGGTGCATACCACCATGCCAGCCTGAGCACGAGAGTGAAATGATTAAGACTTTGATTTTGGGAAAGCATGCTTTGGAGGTGTTGCTGAGTACCTAAGTTAGATAACGGAATAGAATGAAGAGGAGGAGCGGGTTGGGAGGGTGGTTGAGCTGCCAAGTTCTTCATGTCCTGACTTGATGTCTCTGATAAGAAGGAGGTGGCAGAAGATGGTTCTAGAAGTTTACATTTAGTGAACACAAGTGCCATTTGGGACCAGGGATGGAGGGAGGGGGGCAGGATAAATGGACAGTTGAGTTTGTGGAACCCATGGAACGCCTAACAGAACTGGGAATGCAGAGCTGGGATTTGGGAGTCCCTGAGACTCACACAAGATGTGGGAGTGAGAGCTGAAGATCCAGAAGTGGGTGAGGCTGAGCCTGCCCGACCTCAGGTTCTGAGCGGGTCTGACAGGTTCAAGTTTCCAGGCAGCCAGGGGTTCACCTTTAAAGCACCAACTTGAAACTCAAAAACCTGTTTGAATTCAAATGTTGGTTGTATATGCTTCCACAGTTTAATTTCCTGAGCAGAAACCCACTGGGTAAGCGTCTTGATTCGGATTTTGGTTTGTTGGGTTTTGGTTTCTGATAACCAAAGCCTGTTATTAGCTGGCCTCAGCTACTGTAGAAGACTGTGCAGTGATGCTGTCAGGCCCCAGATGACCACACACGGTGCCGAGAGTTCCCGTGTCTGCCACTTTGTTTGCCTCTTCCCTCACTGGTAGCTGCCTGCCTGCCTGCCTGCCAGGGATCGGCTGTGCTTCTCATTTGTGAGTTTAGATCAGAAACAAGCTCCCTGGGTATGGCTGTAATTTTGGTCAGACCTTGAGTGAGACCTAGAGGGGAAGAGTGCCTTCGAATAACGGGAGTGATTGCTGGATGCGGGGCCGGGTCACTTTCACCCCATCACTTTCCTAACTGTTCCAAGCTGAAATGCCCAGGGCCAGCTGCTACTTTGCTGCCTGTTCTTCTGATTAGCCTGGTATGAAACAGTGATTCTCAAACTGTTTGGTATCAAAATCATCTGGGGAAAATGGCAAAAATGCCAAGGCCTAAGCCCCATCCCGCTTCCAGGAGCCTAGTCCTGAGTGGGCTTCATTAGCTCAGCAGGTGGCTCTGATGCACACCTAGGCTGGAGAACCAGTGTGAGATACTGGAGCCCGAGATGACAGATCTGACTCACCAGGAGGGTTGGAGTCTTTCGCAACGTACGTAACCCCTTCCACCTCTTGTTAGGCAGCTCCTTGTCCTGCCTGAGGCTCCAGCCACAAGTTTGCTGCCTGGATGAATCTTCTCTGATTCCCCACCCCTGCAGGGAGTTGATTGCCGCAACCCCATCTGCCCTCTTGCACAAGGGGCTTCTGTGACAGTGTTCTCCCTGCTCCTAATGCATCTCATTACCTGTCTCCTACAGAGCCAGCAGGGATCTTCCTGCAACCTCAGTTACCGGGAGGGCCTGTTGCTAGGCACTCAGTGTGTGTTTATAGTTTATAAAGCTGCAGGTTGAAGGGAAGGCTGCTGTTACCAGTCCAGCTGCCTGATGGAGTCCAGCTTGTTCTTCATCTTTCAGGAGGGTTTTGAAGTACCCTGAGTATCACAGACTCTACAGACATAAATTCTCCCCATTTGAAAGTGGACCTTTGGAATGAAGGTCCTGAATTCTTCCAGAATGAGACTGTTACAAATACAATGATTGTATCTTGCTTTGGCAACTGCAGTAAAAAGAGGCCCAGTGCAACATTATAGGATACCATGTGAATCCTTTTCATGCTCATTTCCTCCTAAGAGTCCTTTCTCTGTGCCTCTTTTTAGAACAATGCTAAAGTAGCTGTGCTAGGGGCCTCTGGAGGCATCGGGCAGCCACTTTCACTTCTCCTGAAGAACAGCCCCTTGGTGAGCCGCCTGACCCTCTATGATATCGCGCACACACCCGGAGTGGCCGCAGATCTGAGCCACATCGAGACCAAAGCCGCTGTGAAAGGTACTGGGCGCGCTGACCCTGGAGACTTGCTTCCTGTCCCCAGTAGGCCAGGATTCGAGTTTTGAGTAAGATTCTTAGATGAAACTAAATGTTTAGAGACGGGGGTTTCTCTGTTTTAAATTTAAATTTTACAAGTGATTACACCCTTTTAGACTTGGCGTCTATAAAAATTGAAACAGCGGTGTCTTTTAGAAATGTGAGGTAGCCTAATCATCCCATTTTCTACTTTTTCTAATTTGAAAAGTAGTATGAGGATGGGGAAGAGGGAAGTGTCAGCAACCTCTGGTGAGGATTTGGGGACAGTAAGGTGGTGGTCTCAGCTGCGGGCCACCTTCCCTCCACCCCAGGGTTATCTTGCCAGCTTCTCAAAAAGCACGGCCTCTTTGGGAAACCTCCCCGTCTGTGGAAGGCAGTGTCGGATATTCAGTAAATGTTGTCTGGAAAATGATTCACTGGACTTAGTGCAGTGGCTTATACCTGTAATCCCAGCACTTTGGGAGGCCAAGTCAGGAGGATTGCTTGAGTCCAGGAGTTCAAGACCAGCCCAGGCAACATGGCGAGACCCCTATCTCAACAAAAAGTCCAAAAATTAGCTGGGCGTGATAGTGCACACCTGTGGTCCCAGCTACTTGGGAGGCTGAGGTGGGAGGATTACTTGAGCTCAGGAGGTTGAGGCTACAGTGAGCCCTGATTACACCACTGCACTTCAGCCTAGGTGAGATAGTGAGACACTGTTTCCAAAAAAAAAAAAAAAAATTTCATAAATATGCATATTTATATATGCTGCTTATTTAACCTTCACAATGTATCAACATTTTTGCATGTCACCAAATTTTTTTTTTTTTTTTGAGACCATGTCTTCCTCTGTGTCCCAGATGGAATACAGTGGCACAATCTTGGCTTACTGCAACCTCCCCATCTTGGGTTCAAGTGATTCTCCTGCCTCAACCTCCCGAGTAGCTGGGACCACAGGTGTGCAACACCATGCCCAGCTAATTTTTGTGTTTTTAGTAGAGATGGGGTTTCACCATGTTGGCCAGGCTGGTCTAGAACTCCTGACCTCAAATGATCCACCTACCTCGGCCTCCCAAAGTGCTGGGATTACAGGCATGAGCAACTGCGCCCAGCCCGAATTCTTGATAAAATTATTCTTAAAGCTGTAATTTATCATTTATGATAGCTCTGCTGTTGACCATTGGCTGTTTCCTGTTTGCTTCTGTAAATATAAATATATTAATGTAAGTTGCAGTACGTATCTTTATCTTTACATCTTGTTGAAGTCTTAGAGTTCTAAACACAGAATTAGTAGGTATGAATATTTCAAAGCTTTTACTATAAAGTTCCAAATTGCTGTCCAGAAAGATTCTACTGATTTCTTTCCCCTCTGACAGCGTATGCGATACCGTGTCTGATGGTGTTTACATGAGTCTTAAGTTGGTGTGAACAGCTGGGGAGGCTGCCTGGCAAATTTTATGTTCGTGCACCTTCCAGAGTTCTCTGAATGGGTTGCCCATTTTCTTTTGGGCTGTATATTCGGGTTAAGAAGGCTCCTGCATTAAGGAAAAAGTCAAGATCGAAGCAGATTTTGGATATTGTAGCAAATTTCCCTGAAATCTTTGAAAACATACTTTTTCCTTCAGATGATAGGAGTAAACGAAATAGTAATATTTAGAGTCTTTCAGCACAGGACGTTTTCTTTCCTGGCCTTCAGTGCCTTCTGATCAAGGAGTTTGGGCTGGCACAGTGGGTCACTCCTGTAATCCCAGTACTTTGGGAGGCCAAGGTGGGTGGATCACTTGAGTTCAAGAGTTCAAAACCAGCCTTGCCAACCTGGTGAAACCCCTTCTCTACTAAAAATACAAAAATTAGCCAAATGTGGTGGACCATGCCTGTAATCCCAGCTACTGAGGAGGCTGAAACAGGAGAATCACATGAAGCCGGGAGGTGGAGGTTGCAGTGAGCCAAGATCACACCACTGCACTCCAGCCTGGGTGACAGAGCAAGACTCCCTCTCAAAAAAAAAAAAAAGGAGTTTTCATCAGGATTGTGGTGATGGGGAATGAGCAGCTCCTCTCATTCTAACTGGAGGCCAAGTGTGACTTACAATGCTCACGAGTAGGATGAAGACAAGCAGTGGCTCAGTTCGCTTTTGTGGAAACCTGGAGGGCTGACCCATTCTAGCTGGGGCCTGGGCAAGGAGAGGCTGGGGAAAGCAGGGTAGAAGGGGAGGGTTCCTGCCACGGGAATTGTCAGCTCGCAGGGCAGTAGTCGTCAACAGAAGGAAGTCACGTTACAGGCAGGGCTTCTAGCCTTTCTCGAGGCCATTAGTTGGCCTTAAGGCCAGGGCTGAACTTTCCAGGCCTCTCTGAATCAGAAACGGTGACATTTCTCTTGTGGGGTGTTTGTTCTAGGCTACCTCGGACCTGAACAGCTGCCTGACTGCCTGAAAGGTTGTGATGTGGTAGTTATTCCGGCTGGAGTCCCCAGAAAGCCAGGTTTGTGTTTGAAAGCCTTGTCTGGTACCTCCCCACGTGAAGATGTGGGGATTAAATCCATTTCCTATTAAAAATGGATTTAATCTGGTTGCTTTGTTGTAGGAAAAATGTCACCAGCTCCCCTTTCCTGTGGGGTAAAGGTCACATCTCTTTGTTGGCCTGGGATCAAAGTCGTCTTGCCGTTCCCCTGTGCCTCTGTGCACGGACGCCCTTCCCTCTTCTCAGTCCCACTCTACCTTGGGGGTTCTTAATAAACCTCGACGGTCCTTCTCAGATGTTGTCCTCCCCTGCTCCACCCATGCAGACCTCGCTTCTGGCACTCATCATGCTGGATCATTTACCCTGCAAGAGGGACTGACTTGAAACGGGGACCTTGAGTGGCTAAATTTCCTGTAACAGCTGGCGCTCAGCACATGCTGCCTGTCTGGAAATTTGTGGTGTTCTCTGTTAACATCTCATATTGGATCATTTCCAGGCATGACCCGGGACGACCTGTTCAACACCAATGCCACGATTGTGGCCACCCTGACCGCTGCCTGTGCCCAGCACTGCCCGGAAGCCATGATCTGCGTCATTGCCAATCCGGTGAGTGTGGCAGCACCCGGCTCTTGCAGCTATGGCAGGTGTTTAGGTGCTGACAGTGCGTGAAAAGCTCACGGTTTGCAGCAAAGGCTGCTGATGTGCTGGGGGGATGGGGGGATACACAGATGAAGGGGCTGAAATGGAGAGGTCGGGTGCACTAAGCAGAGGCCCGTCCGTGCACTTCCTAAGGACTCCTTCCAGCATGAACTGAATGAGGGTTGTCACAGCCAGCCTTGTGCTGTGGGCAGACCACGTCTCTCTCTGCTTTAGTTTCCCCACCTGAAGAGAAGTCCATTCTCAAGGCTCCTTTCAGCCGTGATTGTGGTGGTCTCTTGATTCCCTTTTTGACACAGTAGCTCCTACTTAGCCGGAAAAGTATGTTCCAAGAGCCCAGTAGGTGCCTGAACCCTGAACCCTGTATATACCATGTGTATACTGAACCCTGTATATACCATGTGTTTTCCTAGGCATGCACACCTGTGATAAGTTAATGCATAAACTAGGCACAGTAAGAGATTAACAACAACAACTCATAGTAAAACAATCACAACAAGATACTATAATAAAAGTTATTTCTTTCCCTTTAGTCAGGAACTTCCACCTTCTCGCTTAAGGGAAGTACTTAATGGCTTCTCTGGTTTCTGTTTCTCCAAATTGCCAGCATCACTACTCTTGCGCTTTGGGGCCATTGTAAAGTAAAATAAGGCAACTGGAACACAAGCATCATGATCCCTCAACAGCTGATCTGATAACCAAAATGGCTCCTAAGTGACTCAGGCAGGTGGTGTAGACGCATGGGTATGCTGGGCAAAGGGTTGACCCCTGTCCTGGGCGGGATGGAGCCAGAGTTCATCCTGCTACTCAGGATGGCATGCAGTTTTTTTGTTTGTTTGTTTTTGGCTCTGTCGCCCAGGCCAGTGTGCAGTGGTGCGACCTTGGCTTACTGCAGCCTCTGCCTCCCAGGTTCAAGCGATTCTTCTGCCTCAGCCTCCTGAGTAGCTGGGATTACAGGTGCATGCCACTATGCCCAGCTAATTTTTGTACTTTTAGTAGAGACAGGATTTCGCCATGTTGGTGAGGCTGGTCTCAAACAACCAACCTCAGGTGATCCTCCCGCCTCACTCTCCCAGAGTGCTGGGATTACAGGCATGAGCCACTGCGCCCAGCCAGTTTAAAACCCATGAATTCTTTATTTCTGAAATCTTCCGTGTAATAATTTCAGACCTCAACTGACTGCTGGTAATTAACACAGCAGAAAGTGAAACCATGGATAAGGTGGGACTATCTGCATTCTACTCAGGATTTCCATTCCTGGTCCCCTGTTGTCCCCATTTCCTCATTCACACACAGTCGCGGACACACACACAGCCACCCCAGGCCCCACTCACTGGTTTTTGCAGGTAGCTGCTTACTCTCGGAAACGTTGAGTGCTGCGTCCTCACTGAGAGGGCGGCCATGGTTCCCCAGCTTGACCTGCAGGGCCTTGTGCTCATTTAACAGCAGCCACCTCACTGCTCCTTCCTGGCGGAGCCTGGGTCCTGGTGTCTGAGGATGAGGATCAATTGGGGTGAAGGGGCAGGGACCATGATGTCACTGAGAGGCATGGATGCCAGCAGGCATGCAGAGCTCGTGCTCCTGGCCTCTAAGGGTCCTGCGTTCCCCAGAAGCTCCTCAGGGTGGTGGGTCACAAATAGAGAGCTGCTATTCCCTTTGTTGGGGAGCTAACCAGTGCCTAATAGAAACCTGGCCATTCTGTCATCTTCTGGCGTCCCGGGTGACGTGTTCAGCACTCGCCGTGTGTGAAGTCATTTAGTATTTATGACTTCATGAGGTTGTCGTTTCCCCCACTTACAGAAGAAAAAAACGGGTCCCAGGGAGTTAGGGTGACCTGCCCAGGGTCATAGCACAGAGGGACTGAGCTGCCAGTGGACCTGCTTCCTTGGAGCACACAGCCGCTGTGCACTGCTGTCCCATCAGGAGTGGCCCTGCAGCTGTGAGTCCCGGCCGAGCAGAAGGTGATCCATGGAGGCATCATCACACATTTCAGTTGATAGCTGAAGGGCCACCAAGGGAAGAAGCATCCTCTACAGCAAAGGGTTTCTTTGTTCACATGGTGCGGCCTGTCCTTTCTGGCAGGTGGCTTGCCAGTACAGAGTTATCAGACAGGGCAGTTTAATGTGGCATCTTTGGACTAGTTAGACCTTTGGGAAGGTCTGACAAAAAGCCCTTTTCCTGCTGTGGCTTGGCCCTGCTCTCGGAACCCAGGGCAAGCCATGCCTGTCTGTTGGATGTCCTAGGTTAATTCCACCATCCCCATCACAGCAGAAGTTTTCAAGAAGCATGGAGTGTACAACCCCAACAAAATCTTCGGCGTGACGACCCTGGACATCGTCAGAGCCAACACCTTTGTTGCAGAGCTGAAGGTAAGGGCGGCGTGGGTGTTGCTCAGGTGACCTTTCTGAACTTCTCCCGCCACCCGTGCTCATTTACGGGCGTGGAAGACATGAAGGCATGCCCAGGTCACGTGTCACTTTGGGGTTTTAAATGTTTTTAGAGCTCGCCCTCTTGATGGAAGCAGCCCCTGTGTTTCCTGTGGGTTCCAGGCACTCGGCCCAACAGGCATCTACTCTGGCCAGTGTCTGTCTCCCGGCTCTCGCTGTCTTCCTTCTCGCCAAGAGCACTGTGGGTTCACACCTTCTTTGGGCTTCTCAGTGGCTGGACTTGGACGGGGCTCCCCCAGTCCTCCCCTTTCTCCTTGCCCCTGAAAACTGGTCCTGGGAGGATTTACCTGTTGGCCACTAGATAAAGGGTGGGAAAATTAGCAAACATGAAGAACTGAGGAAAGTGCCAGAAGTCCTGAGGTATCAGAATTGTTGTTGGCCCTGGTCCCTGGCACTGACTTTTTTGGGTTGCCCGTGGTAGCTCACCCTGGAGAGTCCAGGCCTGGCCAGGTGCCTGACCCTAGGGCCGCTGGACGGAGACTGAGCTGCTGGGTGTGGCTTGAGCTCGGCTTGGTTTGGTGCCAGTGCCGGGCCTGGAGTCCTTAGTGCTTTGCACAGCCTGCTTTCGACTTGCTTCCATTGTGGAGCCAGCAGAACCACTTCCTTTGGCCCCAAAAAGTATTTCTCTTGAGCTTCAGGCCTTTTTGTTCTGATGGCAGATTGGAGGTTATACGTGCGGCATGGTAGGAAGTGCACCCGCAGCACCCTTGGCCTCCGTTTTACTCCCGAGTGACAGGCACATCTGCTTCTGAGGAGTTAGAGATGCCCCACTGTAACAGACATGGCAGCACGTACCCGAGGGCCTGGTAGTGGGACTCTGTTACAGGTGTGGGGGTCACAGAGTTTCAAAAGGCATGGCCCCAGGCCTTAGAGTTCCATGGAATGGGAGAGACACTTGAATCGAAGAGACAGTTTAAGCCTGGCACAGTGGCTCACGGCTGTCATCCCAGCACTTTGGGAGGCTGAGGTGGGATGGTTGCTTGAACCCAGGAGTTCAAGACTGCAATGAGCTGTGATTGCGCCACTGCGCTCCAGCCTGCGTGACAGAGCAAGACCCTGTCTCTTTAAAAAAAAAAAAAAAACAGTTTGAGTGAGCAGGTGAGCGCAGGTGTATGTCCAGAGGCCCCCGGGATTGCCGCAGTACGGAAGTGGACACAACAGGCAGGATCCCACCTCCCACCTCCAGAGGCGCAGCCCCTGGCGTCCTGGAGGCAACAGAGTTCATTCTCGTGGGCTCTCAGGGCTGGGCACACCCCAGGCCCTAGTCCTGCCCTGCACCATAGCTGCCACTAGCTACATTTGGCTATTTATGGTTAAATAACATTAAAACTATATCCCTCTGCCACACAAACCACATTTAAGATGCTCCATGGCCACATATGGCTCCTCTGTCCTCACAGAAAGTCCTGTTAGGCAGTCCTATCTCAGCCTTGAAGCTTCACTGTTAGAGTTGGGGACAGGGTACCTTGGCCCTTGGGAGATCCCGTCCCCCACCTCCAACAGTGAAGTGGACTGTCATTACCCCTGGCTGCCTGACATTCTGGAAATTTCCTGGATCATATCAAGAATGCATATCAATCCTTAAACTTCCGATGGCTGGTTCCTCCCTCATCCTCTCACCCACCATATTCCCTTTCAACGTGGCTCCAGGACCTCCCAGGCCAATGCCTTGTTCCCGTTTGCTGCAAAGTCGCCTTGTCCCCCGTCTTAGCATGCACCATTGGAACATACATTTCTAGGAGTCTTGTATTTGAGGGCAAGCCTCTGGAAAGCAGGGCTGTGTCCCTTCAGCCCCACGTCCCTGGTGACCGTGCAGTGCCCGCACGTGTGTGCTTATACACCACCAAGCTAAGCCTCTCGGATCTTTGGCTCCCGGCTCCATGAAGCTGATCCTACTTTTCCCGTGCGTGAGGCTGATCCTCCCTCTCCCAGACCAGGCTCATTTTCCAACCTAGGACTGGGCTCTTCAGTGGCCATGGCCATCGGGGCAGGTGGCTGTTCCCTCGCTACCATTACTCCCACCAGGTTATTGTCCGTTTTAAGAAATACTTGGTTCAGCCGGGCGCAGTGGTGCATGCCTGGAATCCCAGCACTTTGGGAAGCCAACGCAGGAGGATGGCTTGAGCCCGGGAGTTCAGGACCAGCCTGGGCAACATGGCAACACCCCATCTGTACAAAACATTTAAAAAACATAGATTGGGTGTGGAGGTGTTTGGTACTTGGGAGGCTGAGGTGGGAGGATCATTGAGTCCAGGAGGCAGAGGTTGCAGCCATCCAAGATTGTGCCACTACACTCCAGCCTGGGGGATAGAGACCCTGTCTCAAAAAATAAAACAAAAACCTGGTTCACAGATTCTTGGGGGTGTGGTACCTCCAGTTTAAGAAATGAGGCAGCCTTGAACTGTGCTGTTTGGAGCCATAGGAGTCAGTTTGTTCTTTCTGTCCCAATCACTGTTTGAGGTGGCAGACTTCTAACTCATGGGTATCCTGGAATGGATTTGAATTTTGTTCTGTGGGGCCTGAAGAAAAGGGAACTTGGATTGTTCTGTGTAGGGAGGAGTCTGGGCTTGTGCATGGGGAGTGGAGCCGGCTCTGGGAAAGAGGATGCCAGGCCCGGGGGGGGCCTCCACAGGAGGCAGCATCCTCCCATGCCCATCCACAGTGGGCACAAATGCTCACTATGAAGGAAGGACTTGCGATGGCCTCGCCAGACGGCGGCAAGCCCTCACGGCACCTGCTGGCGCTCATGCTCAGCCTTTTGGGGCACCGTGGCAGGAGATCCAAGCGCAGCAGGGGCTGGACAGGGCCTCCTCCTAGCTGGCTCTGTTCCACCCTGAGTTCTGGGGGGCTTTTCCAGTGTTGGGGCTGTGGGCAGCTGTGACATGTTTTACAGTGAAAGAGCTTGTTAACTCATCCAGCTTCATACTTTGGTCACCAGGGTTTGGATCCAGCTCGAGTCAACGTCCCTGTCATTGGTGGCCATGCTGGGAAGACCATCATCCCCCTGATCTCTCAGGTACACGCATATGACCCTGTGAGGGGCTTCGAGGTCAGGATTCCCTTTACCAGGCCCTGCTTTGAGGTGATCCCGGTAGACTGGAGAAGGCCTGGCCACGTGCCAGGTTTTGGAAGGGCTCCTGTTGTAGGCAGCCCCGCCCCTCTGCTGCAGGGCGGTGTCAGTCCTGGAGCGAATGTGGGTGGAAGCTGCTCAGGGCCCAGCTCCAGCACGCAAGGAGAACCACTGTTGGGAACCTCACCGGGTTACTGGTTAGGCCGGAGCGGGCGAGGTGCTTTTTTCAAAAATGAGTCCAGGGCTGGACACAGTGGCTCATACCTGTAATCCCAGCATTTGGGAGGCCAAAGCGGGAGGATTGCTTGAGCCTGGGAGGTTGAGGCTGCAGCGAGCTATGATGCACCACTGAAGCCTGGGCGACAGAGCCAGACCCTGGCCTCAAAAAACAAATGAGTAGGGGACTCACCACACTTCCCAACAGAGTTGATTTCACTTCGTCTTTTTTTTTTTTATCTTTTTATTATTATTTTTTTGCTGCTCCTTGTGGAGCAGGGCTACCCCATAGGCAGTGTGCCCAGAATAGCATGTCATTTTTCTATAAAGGTTTTCTTTTTCTTCTTTATAGAAAACCTTTCCCATGCCCTGGTGATGGGAGGGAGAGGAGAGGTCGGGAATAGTGGGGGTGGGAGGCAGTGGGTCTGGGGTCATGGGCCGGAAGCCACTCACTGATCCCATGGCTTGGCTTGCAGTGCACCCCCAAGGTGGACTTTCCCCAGGACCAGCTGACAGCACTCACTGGGCGGATCCAGGAGGCCGGCACGGAGGTGGTCAAGGCTAAAGCCGGAGCAGGTAGAGTCTCAGGCAGCCCCGGGGCTGGGTGCCAGTGAGGCCCTGCGAGAGCTCAGGGTTGGGGAGAAATGCTGCTTGTCCCTGGGCATGGACGATCCTTTTCAGTGTTGATTTGCAGTTGCCTGGTGGAAAATCCCTGTGTGAGAGGGCAGCTCGGCCTGCTTTGTGGGGTTGAGAGTCATTTTTGAGGGTGGCAGAGTCAATTCTACACCATTCATGTATAAGTAACAAGAAATCGGGGTGCTGACTGAAATTCTCCACTGTCAGGCTGGAAGGTGTGCAGGTGTCTTGGCTGGCGGGGCCGGCTCACCTGGGCGTCACGTTTGTGGCACCAGCCAGGCTGACCTGTCTGTGCCCCCCTAGGCTCTGCCACCCTCTCCATGGCGTATGCCGGCGCCCGCTTTGTCTTCTCCCTTGTGGATGCAATGAATGGAAAGGAAGGTGTTGTGGAATGTTCCTTCGTTAAGTCACAGGAAACGGAATGTACCTACTTCTCCACACCGCTGCTGCTTGGGGTACGTATCCAGGCGTGGGTCCTTCTGACTGTGGAATAAGGGGGCGTTCCCTTTGCTTAAGCCTCAGGAGCTCTCCCTGGCCCTTTATGCAGTAAGCTCATGTGCCTGCCTGGCGAGTGCTGTTGTTTTCAAGGGTGGACGCACACCCGAGAAAAAAGAGCTGGGAGGATCACAGACTGTGAAGGGTGAACCTCCCAGCAAGTGGGTCTCCTTCCCTGCAGTTTGACAGCGGGTGCCCAGCAGCTGCAGGAGTATTGACTGATAAGACACTCCATCTCCAGGCAGCCCAGGGAGGCCTCCCTACCCCGCCTGAACACCTCCCTGTCGCTCCTTGTTCATCTTGTTCTGACTGCGGGGGGCGGCCAGGCCCAATTCCTCTTCGAGAGTGTGCCCCATCCAGACAGCCTGAGTCTTCAGCAAACAGAAACCCTTAGGTCTTACTCATACCCCCTCAAGCCGAGTTTCCATTTCTCACCTGTGGGCAGAAATGAGGCAGATGTGTGGTTGCCTTCATCACGTGGCCAGAAAGTAATATGGCTCACTGGGCCACCCCAGGACCTTTCTCAGAGATGCTCCGATACAGAAAGATCCTTCAGCTATGGCCCCAGGCCTTGGTGAGAGACAGGCACTCGATGGTATAGTTCTGTCCCCATGTCGGTGCAGGTGTATGGAATGGCAGGGCCTGCAGGTGAGACGCACCCGGTTCTCATAGGCCCTTGAGCCAGGGGAAGCAGTAGGAGGGAATTGAGTTGAGGTGAGGACTGAGGCTGTTGCCACACAAACTGTGCTCAGTTTCTGCAGGTGAGACGGTGGCAGAGATGCCTGTTTTTGCCAATGTCAGACATTTACCTACTTAGTGACACCTGATTCAGGTGACTGTGACAATGTTTTCAGTCCTTTACCAACCTGCGGGGAGAGACAAGAACCCAGAAACAGGCTCTGTTGGGGAGAATACGGTGAAGTGTTCCTGATGATTGAGTTCCTGGCGTCCAGGTGCTTGTCGCATTGTCCTCGTGTTCACGAAGGTGGATGGTGCTTGTTTTATAGCTAAGGAAACACATTTGGAAGGTCAGTCATTGTCCAGGGTACCTGCCTAGACAATCACAGTGCTGGGACCCCTGCCTGGCACCCTCTGGCTCTGAGCCTCGCACTCCTGACCGCAGCTCAGTCCCACCCACCTGCTCAGCAAGGCGTCCCCAGCAAGGCACCCAGAACCCGCATGTGTAGAGAGACTCCTCGGCAGGGCTGATGGAGCGACAGGTCGGGGTTTCTCTAACAAGCACTTTCCTGGAAACTTCATTTTAACATGTTCCCATCTCCCTCAGAAAAAGGGCATCGAGAAGAACCTGGGCATCGGCAAAGTCTCCTCTTTTGAGGAGAAGATGATCTCGGATGCCATCCCCGAGCTGAAGGCCTCCATCAAGAAGGGGGAAGATTTCGTGAAGACCCTGAAGTGAGCCGCTGTGACGGGTGGCCAGTTTCCTTAATTTATGAAGGCATCATGTCACTGCAAAGCCGTTGCAGATAAACTTTGTATTTTAATTTGCTTTGGTGATGATTACTGTATTGACATCATCATGCCTTCCAAATTGTGGGTGGCTCTGTGGGCGCATCAATAAAAGCCGTCCTTGATTTTATTTTTCAAGGTCCCTTCTGTAAATGCTGTGCTTTCTTCCCTGTGAGAGCCAACTTTAGAGTGTCTGCTACCTCTTCATTACCAATCAGAATTAGATGATGTTTAACTGTTAGACTGAAGCGTGACGCTTTCATCAGTAGCTTCAAGAAAGTCTAAATTGTTAATTTATGGAATTGGACACAGTATTCAGTTTACCCGTACATGCTCCTCCCGCCCCTCCTGTTGGCACCCTTGCATCGCCCAGGCCTGATTCCTCCTGGGGGTAGTTCACCCCCACGGGTTCATAGTTCAGCGGCGAATGCCAGGCAGCTGTTTTCTGGCTGA
The DNA here is from genome assembly GCF_000001405.40 of Homo sapiens. Classification (NCBI taxonomy): domain Eukaryota; kingdom Metazoa; phylum Chordata; class Mammalia; order Primates; family Hominidae; genus Homo; species Homo sapiens. The sequence continues at coordinate 76,066,914 of NC_000007.14, forward strand.
GCAAACAGCACCTTTCTCATTGAGCTTCCTCTACTGACCTCTGTCCCCCTTGGGATTTCATCTTCTGACCGAACCCTGATGTTCAGTGGCAGAGACAGCCCATAGCCAGAACTGTGGGTAGACCAGGGTTGGGGTGTGCGGTTTGGGACAGCCCAAACCCCAGCCGCTGTGTCAAGGCCTAGGACGCCATGCTGCCATCAAAAGGGGGTTCCAGGTTTCCATCAGTGGCCTAAAGAAGGGACTTCTTGTTGTACTGAGGAGTGCGGAATTAAAGAGATTTGACTCCCTTTAGTATTGGGGGCAGTCCGTTCCCCAGACACTGTGGCCTCTGAAGTGGAAACTGAAAGCTGCATACCTGGGAAAGAACTTTCTAGGAATAGGCAATGGCCTTCAGTGGAAGAGGGAGGGCTGGAGGTGTGCCCAGTACTTGGATGTTCATCTGTCCACAACAGCTTTTTGTTTTTTTAAAAAAGCTAAAATGGAAATGGATTTTATCATAAAGGATGACATCGTTTTCTTCTACAATTAATACATGTTCATTGTATAAAACCCAAAAAGCAGCTAAAAAATAAAGCGGGAAAGGAACTACTGGTAATACTTGTCCTCTCTTGCATATTTCATAGGTTGAGAGAATGAAGCCTGCTCTGCAGGTTATCTGCTACTGTAACAATCCCAGCCCTCTCCACTCTGGTGGCTTTTAGGCTATTTCTGTTCCTATCTCCCGACGCTGGGGGTTGACAGGACTCAGCTGGGTGGTTACATGCCCACAGCTCCCACTGCAGTCACTGGAGGCTTGGCTGGACTGGAGCACGCGAGGCTGGTGTTTGGGAGATGCCCGGACAGCTGGCCTTTTCCCCGAGGTCTTGGGCCTCTCATTCTTCACAACGCATCTACAGCAAGGTCCATATGTTTGTTGAATGACTCAGTTCCCACAAGCAAAAGCAGAAGCTGCCAGGCTCTAAGGCTTGGGCTGAGAACTGGCCCAGCTTCGCTTGCGCTGCATTCTCTAGGTTAGAGTAAGTTACAAGGCCCCCAATGACATGGGCAGGAACCACACAAGGGTGTGGCTGCGGGAGACCTGACTCTGATGGCCATTTATGGAGATGAGCTGCCCCCCACTTCTTTCACTGTGTGTATTTGCCCTTGTCACTTTTCTAAATTTTTCTTTAGAGACAGGGTCTCTGTCGCACAGGCTGGAGTGCAGTGGTGTGATCATGGCTCACTGCAGCCTCCAACCCCTGGGCTCAAGCGATCCTCCCACCTCAGCCTCCCCAGTAGCTGGGACTATGGGTGCCTGCCACCACGCCCGGCTAATTTTATAATTTTTTGTAGAGACCGGGGTGGGGGTGACCGGGCGCGGTGGCTCACGCCTGTAATCCCAGCACTTTGGGAGGCCGAGGCAGGCAGATCACGAGGTCAGGAGATCGAGACCATCCTGGCTAACACGGTGAAACCCCTTCTCTACTAAAAATACAAAAAATTAGCTGGGCGTGGTGGCGGGTGCCTATAGTCCCACCTCCTCAGGAGGCTGAGGCAGGAGAATGGCATGAACCTGGGGGGCGAAGCTTGCAGTGAGCCAAGATTGCACCACTGCACTCCAGCCTGGGCGACAGAGCCAGACTCCGTCTCAAAAAAAAAAAAAAAAACAAGATATCAGGGTGGGAGGACTTGCTCTGTTGCCCAGGCTGGTCCTCCTGGCCTCAATCAATCCTCCCACCTCGGCCTCCCAAAGTGTTGGGATTACACGCATGAGCCACTGTGCCCTGCCATTCTTTTCACAGCTGGATAACCTTGAGGGTGGATAATTCGGTGTTTTTGTTTTTCACTGCTGTAGAGAGCAGAACTCTGAGCGTGGTACTTTAGCATTGTTTCCTCCTGGTGGTTCTATATGCAGAGCACTATGCTGGCTGTATTTGGGGTACATTTGCCATTTTATGGGATCCTTGCAACAACCCTGACAGGACCTGGGACTCAAGCTAAGTCAGGTTGTGTCTTGGTTGAGGGTGGTCACTACCTCTCTCCATAAACCAGGGGCTACCCCTTAAGAACCTCCCAGAGAGTTCACTCAGGATACTCCCACTAAGGTGGGAGGACTGCTTGAGCCCAGGAGCTTGAGGTTGCTGTGAGCTGTGACTGTGCCACTACACTCCAGCCTGGGAGACAGAGAGAGACCTGTCCCAAAAAAAAAAAAAAAAAAAAAAAAAAGCGCATTTCTGGTTCCATCTCAGAAATTCAGCTCTAGCATCCTAAAGGGAGGACCTGGAATGTAGAATATCCTAGATTCTTTCAGATGATGATGAAGGGGCCTGGAGATACTGGCCGTCCCTGGGCTATTCACCCTCTAGCTCCTGCCTTCCAGGGCTAAAGACGAGTCAGGTACTGAGAATCCACAAGACAAACACAGAGGAAGTACCGTGGGACTCCAGAGGAGGGCAAGGTTACTTCATGTCTTGGCAGAGCATCAAGGAGGACTTCCCCTATCAAGATCTCTAGGAGGAGGGAAAAGGAGGAGGAGGAGATGGCATACGCTCTGGCTCTGCAGGCTGGGCAGGATTTCAACCAGCAGGGAGGGTGGGATGGGCGTCATAGGCAGCTGCCGGAGCAGACAGGCTGAAGAGCTTGTGGATGGCAGGAACAGGGCGTCCCAGGAGCTGAGCAGGATGGTGACACGGTGGCCAAGGCTGCTCACACTCCACCAAGGACGGGTTGGCAGGGGGGTCCCTGGAGCCTGCTGCTGGGCCCAGATTCTGATTTTTTTAATTTAAATTTTTATTTTATTTTGAGACGGAGTCTTGCTCTGTCGCCCAAGCTGGAGTGCAGTGGTGTGATCTCGGCTCACTGCAACCTCTCTGGCCCAGGTTCAAGCAGTTCTGCCTCAGCCTCCCAAGTAGATGGGACTACATGCACGCCACTACCACAGCCAGATAATTTTTGTATAGTAGATGGGGTTTCTCCATGTTGGTCAAGCTGGTCTCAAACTCCTAACCTCAAGTAATCTGCCCGCCTTGCCCTCCCAAAGTGCTGGGATTACAGGCGTGAGCCACCGCACCCGGCCCAGATTCTGCATTTTCTAGTCAGCTTCCCAGCAATGCCTGAGCTGCAGGTGCACACGAACTAGGAGTGACGTGAAGGCAGGGACCACTCGGATGCTAAAGACCAGAGATGGGGTGGTGGTGAGTAGGAGGGGGGATGATAGGGACATGGAGGAGAAACAGCATCTCCCAGCACCATTTCTGCCACCCAGAACTCCATCAGGAAGTTGTCAGTGTGGATGAAACTCACCACACGTCTACTTCCAAGCTCCAATTATCCGTCCTCCCATCCTTCTGGCCACCTCCTCACACAGAACTCCTGTCCTCCTCTGTGAGGAAAAAAAGACCAGTGGCTGCATGTATGGTGTTAAGGACCAAAATGATGTGGCCAAGGCCTTTGCCACGGGAAGCCAAGAACCAGTCTTTGTTTTTTGTTTTGTTGAGACGGAGTCTCGCTTTGTCGCCCAGGCTGGAGCGCAGTGGCAAGCTCTCGGCTCACTGCAACCTCTGTGTTATGAGTAAAATGTTTATTCAGAAACAAAATGCTTCTTCCCCAGTACTGCAAGGAAAAATCAGCATTTAGACAAAGAAGTTTTCTCAGTAAGGTAATTTTACTTTCTGGAGAAAAGAGGGAAGCAATTTTTATCCTTTATGCAGCTTGTCCTTGCTACTGTGTGTTGTCTCCATTGACTGGAGCTAGAAATTACAATTTAAACTGAACCTGATTGGCTAACAACTTAAAACACTGCTAAATAGGTAAAACTAATGGAGAATAAAGAAAAAGAGGAAGTTGCTTATGAAAAGACATAGAAAAGTTATAACATTTCCTGCCGGACGCGGTGGCTCACACCTGTAATCCCAGCAGTTTGGGAGGCTGAGGTGGGCGGATCACGAGGTCAGGAGATCGAGGCCATCCTGGCTAACACGGTGAAACCGTGTCTCTACTAAAAAAATACAAAAAATTAGCTGGGCATGGTGGCACACGCCTGTAGTCCCAGCTACTTGGGAGGGTGAGGCAGGTGAATCGCTTGAACCTGGGAGGCAGAGGTTGCAGGGAGCTGAGACTGTGCCACTGCACCCCAGCCTGGGCAACAGAGTGAGAGACTGTCAAAAAAAAAAAAAAAAGGACATTCCAAAATAAGGAACGCAGCAAGCTAAGACATCCCTGTGAGCACAGCCAGCAAACATACCTTGGTTTAAGTACAAGAACATAGACTGTACTATGTGCCTGTAAGCATGTGTAGCACAAATATATTGTTTAAAGTACAAGGACATAGACTGTACTTACTCTTTTCTATCTAACAGCTACACAGTATAGGGCTTAACAGTTATTAGCACAAAGCAAGGAGGTCTCAAGGAAGCTAATTTTTAAAAAATTATTTCTAAAACTTATGATTTATTCTTTATGAAGAAGGGAAACTTTGAAAAGGAAACTTTTAACATTGTACACTCCGCCTCACGGGATCAAGAAATTCTCCTGCCTTAGCCTCCCGAGCAGCTGGGATTACTGGCACCCACGGAGAAACCGCTGTCAGGCAGTGGCTGGGACTCTTCAGGCCGCCAGGGAGCCGAAGGCGGGGCCTGAGAGGCCTCACTTCGAGGAGCCTGGGGCCTACAAAGGCTGCCAGGAGCTGGGCAGGAGCTGGGCCGAACGTGGCTGTTGCGAGGCAGGAGCTGGGCCGGCAGGCGCAGCCGGCAAGGAGAGCTGGGCCTGGAGAGGCTGGCTGGAAACACTTCTGGGCCTGGAGAGGATGGCCAGAGGCGAGAGCCGGGCCCGTGGAGGCTGCCCACAGGCAGAACACGAGCCTGGCCTGAGGCGGCCATGCTGAGGCAAGAGCTGGGCCTGGTGGGGGTCCACTGTGAGGAGGCAGAGGCCGTGCCTCAAGTCCAGGGGCCTACGACAGGCAGGAGCTGGGCCTGGCGAGGCCGACTTCAGGACACTTTGGGCCCGCACAGGCCATCGGCCGGGGGGCAGCAGCTGGGCCCTGGAGGGGCCCACTTGAGAAACCCTTGGCCGGGAGACGCCGTCGGGGCGGGCGGGAGCTGGGCCTGGAGAGGCCACCGTGAGGCTTGAGCTGGACCTCCAGAGCCCAGTGAGAGGCATGCGATGGGCTTGTCGAGGCCGCTGGGAGGCTGGCAGGAACACGGCCGGGGAAGGCCACCGTGAGGCAAGATCTGGCCCCGGGGAGGCCACTGCGAGGCCACAGGTGGGCCTGGAGAGCTGGGCTGGAGGAGGTTTTGGTCGTACGAATGCTGCCGGGATCTGGGCACGAGCCGAGTCAGAAGCAGCTGTCTGCAGGCTGGGGCTGGGCATGGAGGCGCAGCCGCGAGAGAGTGCTGGGCCTGGAGAGTAGGCTGGGAGGCAGCCACCGGGCCGTGGTGGTGGCTTGCCAACTTGGGCCTGCAGAGGCTGCCACGAGGGAAAAGCCGGGCCTCTGAAAGAGGCCGTTCAGAGGGATGAGCCAGGCCTAAAGAGGTCATCGGGATGCAGGAGCCGGGCCTGCGGAGGCCGCCAAAAAGCAGGAGCCTGGCCTGGGGGAGGTCACGGTGAGGCACGAGATGAGCCCAAAGAGGCCGTCGGGAGGCAAGAGCCAGGTCTGTCGGGGCTGCCGCGAGGCAGGTGGCAACGTGGCCTGGGGAGACCGACGTGAGGCACGAGCCGGGCCCGGAGAGGCCGCTGTCACGAGGAGCTGCGCCTCTCCAGGCCGCCGGGGAGCCGAAGGTGGGGCCTGAGAGGCCTCACTTCGAGGAGCCTGGGGCCTACAAAGGCTGCCAGGAGCTGGGCAGGAGCTGAGCCGAACGTGGCTGTTGCGAGGCAGGAGCTGGGCCGGCAGGCGCAGCCGGGAGGGAGAGCTGGGCCTGGAGAGGCTGGCTGGAAACAGTTCTGGGCCTGGAGAGGCTGGCTGGAAACACTTCTGGGCCTGGAGAGGATGGCCAGAGGCGAGAGCTGGGCCCGTGGAGGCTGCCCACAGGCAGAACACAAGCCTGGCCTGAGGCGGCCACGCTGAGGCAAGAGCTGGGCCTGGCGGGGGTCCACTGTGAGGAGGCAGAGGCCGTGCCTCAAGTCCAGAGGCCTACGACAGGCAGGAGCTGGGCCTGGCGAGGCCAACTTCAAGACGCTTTGGGTTTGCACAGGCCATTGGTTGGGGTGCAGCAGCTGGGCCCTGGAGGGGCCCACTTGAAATAGCCTTGGGCCAGGAGATGCTGTTGGGGCGGGCGGCAGCTGGGCCTGGAGAGGCCACCGTGAGGCGTCAGCTGGGCCTCAAGAGCCCAGTGTGAGGCAGGCGCTGGGCTTGTCGAGGCCGCCGGGAGGCCGGCAGGAACACGGACGGGGAAGGCCGCCGTGAGGCAAGAGCTGGGCCCGGGGAGGCTGCTGCGAGGCCACTGGTGGGCCTGGAGAGCTGGGCTGGAGGAGGTTTCGGGCCTACGAAGGCCGCCGGGATCTGGGCACAAACCGAGTCAGAAGCGGCTGTCTGCAGGTGGGGGTTGGGCCTGGAGGTGCAGCCGCGAGAGAGCGCTGGGCCTGGAGAGGAGGCCGAGAGGTAGCCACCGGGCCGTCGCGGTGGCTTGCCCACTTGGGCCTGTAGAGGCCGCCACGAGGGAAAAGCCAGGCCTCTGAAAGAGGCCTTTCAGAGGGACGAGCCGGGCCTAAGGAGGCCATCGGGATGCAGGAGCCAGGCCTGCGGAGGCCACCGAAAGGCAGGAGCCTGGCCTAGGGGAGGCCGCGGTGAGGCACGAGATGAGCCCAAAAAGGCCGATGGGAGGCAGGAGCCGGGCCTGTCTGGGCTGCCGCGAGGCAGGTGGCAACGTGGCCCGGGGAGGCCGACACGAGGCAAGAGCGGGGCCCGGAGAGACCGCTGTCAGGCAGGAGCTGGGCTTCTCCAGGCCACCAGGGAGCCGAAGGCGGGGCCTGGGAGGCCTCACTTCGAGGAGCCTGGGGCCTACAAAGGCTACCAGGAGCTGGGCCAAACGTGGTTGTCGTGAGGCAGGGGTTGGGACCGCTGGACGCGGCCCGGATGGAGAGCCGGGCCTGGAGAGGGCCACTGGAAACAGTTCTGGGCCTGGAAAGGATGCCGGCAGTCAAAAGCCAGGCATGGATAGACCACCAAAAGGCAGGAGCTTGGCCTGATGCGGCTAGGATGAGGCAAGAGCTGGTTCCAGGGGGGCTGGTGTGGGGCAGAGGCCGTGCCCCTAGGGGCCTACAACAGGCAGGAGCTGGGCCTGGTGAAGCCAACTTCGGGATGCTTTGGGTGGGCCCGCAGAGGCCATCAGCAGCAGGCAGGAGCTGGGTCTAGAGGGGTCATCGTTCAGTAAGGGAGCTTTGGGCCGGGAGACACCATCGGGGTGGGCGGGAGCTGGGTCTGGAGAGGCCACCGCAAGGCACAAGCTGGGCCTACAGGGACCAGCATGAGGCAGGAGCTGGGCTTGTGGAGGCTGCCCGGAGGCCGGCACGAGGGGGGTCGTGGAAGGCCGGCACGAGTGGGGTCGTGGAAGGCTGCCGCGAGGCGAGAGCTGGGCCTGGAAAGGCCGCTGCGAGGCAAGAGGCGGGCCTGGAGAGCTGGACTGGAGCAGGCTTTGGGCCGATGTAGGTTGCCAGGAGCTGGGCAGGAGCCGAGTCAAAGGAGGCTGTTTGGAGGCAGGAGCTGGGCCTGTGGGCGCAGCCATGAGCAAATAGCTGGGCCCGGAGAGGAGGCCGGCAGGCAGCAACTGGGCCGGGGGAGGCCGATTTGAGGAAGTTCTGGGCCTGGAGATGTCGCCAGAAGGGAAAAGCTGCGCCTCAAGAGGCCGCGGTGAGGCAAAGCCAGGCAAAAAAAGGCCATCGGGACACAGGAGCTGGGCCTGCAGAGGCTGCCGAAAGGTGGGAGCATGGCCTGGGGAGGCCACGGCGAGGCACGAGATGAGCCTCTTTAAGAGGCCCTCGGCAGGCAGGAGCTGGGCTTGCCAAGGCTGCCGCGAGGCAAGCGGAAACGTGGCCTGGGGAGGCCAATGTGAGGCCACAGCTGGGCCAGGAGAGGCCTTCATCATGGCTCCGGCGTTGGGGACCCTGCTCAAGTACATCCAAAAGGACCCTTCCCACACCAGTCTTTATAGCGGTCAAGTGCAGCAGCCACTTAGCACCCAAGGCATGTGCCACAGCTGGCATTTCATCACAATCAACAATAAGTGGTAGCTTGAGTCATTGTGAGGTCACTTCCTGGAAATCAACAGCATCCCATGTCCCATTGGCAAGGAGCTCAGCACGGCCCCTTGGATAACCAAATCTATGCCCAAATCCCATCTGTGTGGGTCTGTCTCCTGGGATCCTTCCCAGCATCAACTCTGTATTAGTCAGGGTCCAATCAGGAGACATAAACCACTCAAAAGTCCAAAGTCCTAAAATTTAATACAGACAATTATTCATTATAACAGGGGAACAGCATAATGAGAGATTGGCTAGCACAAAGTAAAGACAATTCTAGAGAATATAGGACTAGCCAAAGTCAGGCATGGTGGCTCATGCCAGCATTTTAAGAAGCCAATGCAGGAGGATTGCTTGAGGCCAGGAGCTAGAGACCGGCCTGGGCAACACAGTGAGACCCTGTCTCTATCCAAAAAAAGAAAAAAATTAGCTGGGTGTGGTGGTGCATACTCATAATCCCAGCTACTTGGGAAGCTGAAGTGGGAGGGTAGTTTGAGCCTGTGAGGTCAAGGCTGCAGTGAGTCATGATTATGGCACTATAGTCAAGCCTGGGTGACAGAGCAAGACCCTGTCTCAAAGAACAAAACAACAACAACAACAATTTACAGACAGAAAAGAAATAGGGTTAATAAGGTATAAGGAAAGATGTTGAAATGTGACAAAGTAATATGACGGCTTTCATCCATTTAAAATCATCAAACAAAAAATAACTTATTAAATTATAATACCCTGTGCTGGCAAAGATGCAGTGAAACGGGCATTTTCTTATACAATAAGGGGTGTTTAAACTGTATATAAGCCTTTCAGGGTAAAGCTTCCAATTTTTTATTTATTTATTTATTTTTTGAGATGGAGTTTCATTCTCATTGCCCAGGCTGGAGTGCAATGGTGTGATCTCGGCTCACTGCAACCTCCACCTCCCGGGTTCAAGCGATTCTCCTGCCTCAGCCTCTGAGTAGCTGGGATCACATGTGTGTGCCACCACACCCAGCTGATTTTGTATTTTTAGTAGAGACAGGGTTTCTCCATGTTGGTCAGACTGGTATTGCACTCCAGAACTCAGGTGATCCACCCACCTCAGCCTCCCAAAGTGTTGGGATTACAGGCGTGAGCCACCACATCTGACCGGCAATTTTTTTTAATAATAGAGACACTGTCTCACCATACTGTCTCCTCCAAGTCCTGGGGTCAAGCAATCCTCCTGCCTTGGCCTCCCAAAGTGCTGGGATTATACCTGGGAGGCACCCAAAACCTTGACAATTTACATCAAGGACAATGAGAATGTCCATTCACCATGACTCACAGTAATCTTTCTTCTGGAAATACCTTCGAAGACAACTGAACCTAAACAAAAAGTCATCTGCACAAACACAGTGAAAATCTGGGAGTAACTGAAGACAGAGTGGTTAAGCGAAATAAGAAACAGTTATAAGAAATTAAACTATCTATGGTATTTATAGGCACCTGGTAGAAGGTCAGTTAATGTTAGCTAGTACTTTTTGTTGTTTTGAGACAGGGTCACTCTGTCACTCAGGCTGGAGTGCAGAGTCCTGATCATGACTCACTGCAGTCTAAGCCTCCCTGGGCTCAAGTGATCCTCCCACCTCAGCCTCCCAAGTAGCTGGGACTACAGGAACATGCCATCACACTAGGCTAATTCATGTATATTTCTGTAGGGATGGTGACTCCCTTGATTTCTGAGGCCTGTCTCAAACTCTTGGCCTCGAGCCATCCTCCTGCTTCAGCCTCCCAAAGTGTTGTGATTACCGGTGTGAGCCACCACACCTGATCAGCTGCTACTTTTATATTATACCACTAAATTCAAAATTATTTGTCATTAAAAATTATCATTTTCAAGGCTATGGAACAATATGTGTCCTACAGTGTAACTGTAAAAACATATACGGTCATCCCTCGGCATACAGAGAGGATTCGTTCCAGCCCCCCATCTCTGCATATACCAAAATCCATGCATACTCACATTTCGCAGTCAGCCCTTTGGAACCCATGTATAGGAAAAGTCCAAATATTAGTTGGGCATTGTGGCAAGCACACACAGTCTCAGCCACCTGGGAGGCTGAGGTGGGAGGACTGCTTGAGCCTGAGAGGTCGAGGATGCAGTCAGCTGTGATAGCACTACCACATTCCAGCCTGGACAACAGAGCAAGACCCTGTCTCAGGAAAAAAAAAAGAAAAAAGAAAAAAGGTTAGAAATTCTAATGACGTCTGTTGGGCAAAATTCCATATAAGCAAAGTATAAATTAATGAAGCAATTGGTGATAAATCACTACGATTGACTTTCTGGAGTTTCTGACAATAAAGGTAAGAAAAATGCAAAACAAAGAGACAGAGGGTAAAAAAACAAATTAGGGAAGGATTCTACGTGTTAAATAGGATGACACTGGCCATGTTCATGCAGCAGAGGTATGTCATATTATGACATAACTTCTTGGAAAGAAGTTAGCAGATAAGGAAGTTGACAAAAATGATGAGAGATGCTAAATACTGATAGCGACAGTCAAGTAAACCACGAAGAATTTCCATAACTGACATCAGCAAAGTGGGAATATTGTGCAGTGTGTGTTGAAGTTCCTGTACAACATTATTTGCCTTCTGTTTGTTTGTAAGGAATGTATTTACTAAAAGTTCTTCTTGCTGTCAAAAAAATATGTGTAAGTCATTAGAACTTATTCTTCTGTTTTTCTACTTTTATCTTCTGGCCATCATCCCCCAGCCTTAATTCGGAAATTTGTTTATTTTTAGAAAATCGAACAAGTGTTTGCTGTGGTGGCTAATACCTCTAGGATGGGAGGCAGGGGTGGAAGGGTCACTTGAGGCCAGGAGTTTGACACCAGCCTGGCCAACAAAGTGAGACCCCATGTCTACAAAACAATTTAAAGAATAGCCAGGTGTCATCATGTATAACTACAGTCCCAGCTACTAAGGAGGCTGAGGCAGGAGGAGCCTTAGCCTAGGAGTTCAAAGCTACGGTGAGCTGTGATTGCACCACTATACTCCAGCCTGGGTTGCAGAGGAGACCCCATCTCCCAAAACAAAACGAAAGAAAGAAAGAAAAGAAGAAAGAAAGAAAGAAAGAAAGAAAGAGAAAGAAAGAAAGAAAGAAAGAAAGAAAGAGAGAAAGAAAGAAAGAAAATAGGTAAAGTAGCAAGTTGTATGTGGCTTACTCTGAATATGTCTAAACTACATGTTCTCAATCTTTTCGAGTCTTGCATCCCTTTACATTTTTTAACTCTATTGAAGCTCTCTTAGGACTTTTTCTTTATATAAATAATTATATTAAAATTAGAAAATAACACAAAAATTTTAAAATATTCATTACATATTAATAATAAAACCATTTCATGTTGATATAATACAGAACAAATTTTTAAAATATATATTCATTACACATGAATAATAAAACCATTACAAGTTGACATACGTAATACTTTTTTTTTTTTTTTGGGAAACAGTCTGACTCTTTCACCCAGCTGAAGTGAAGTGGCACAATCTTGACACACTGCAACCTCCGCCACCTGGGTTCAAGCAATTCTCCTGGCTCAGCTTCCCAAGTAGCTGGGATTACAGGCGCCCAACACCATGCCTGGCTAATTTTTGTGTTTTTTTTAGTAGAGATGTGGTTTCGACATGTTGGCCAGGCTGGTCTCAAAATCCTGACCTCAGGTGATCACCTTGGTCTCCCAAAGTGCTGGGATTACAGGCATGAGCCATTGCGCCCATGCTAATATATATATTAATATATATGTATGTGTGTACATATATATTTATATAAATATGTAGTGATATATTTATATAACTATATATTTATATAACTATATATTATGACTATATATAAATATAAATTTATATAAATTTATATAAATATAAAAATTTATAAATTTATATATTTATATAAATATATAGTTATATAACTATATTTATATACCTATATATTTTTTTTTGAGACACAGTCTCGCTCTGTCCCCCAGACTGGAGTACAGTGGCACAATCTTGGCTCACTGCAAGCTCCATCTCCCAGGTTCACGCCATTCTCCTGCCTCAGCCTCCCCAGCAGCTGGGACTACAGGTGCCCACCGCCACGCCTGGCTAATTTTTTTGTATTTTTAGTAGAGATAGGGTTTCACCGTGTTAGCCAGGATGGTCTAGATCTCCTGACCTCGTGATCCGCCCGCCTCGGCCTCCCAACAGATTCATATATTTTTTAAAACACTGATTAGTCAGGCAACAATACTGGGGAGGGGTCTCCTCATTCCCAGTGATGCAAACCCCACTGCACGGCTCCAGGGTTGCAAGGGCTACAGAGCCAAAAGGCTCTAACTTATGATTTCATTACTTTATTTGTATTGTGAGACAGGGTCCTGCTCTGTCGCCCAGGCTGGAGAGCAGTTGTGCACTTATAGCTCACTGAAGCCTCGACCTTCTGAATTTAAGCCATCTTCCTGCCTCAGCTCCCCACTGGCTGGTACCACAGTTGAGTGCCACCATACCTGGCTATTTTTTAATTTTTTGTAGAGTGAGGGGTCTTGCTATGTTGCCCAAACTGGCCTCAAACACCTGACCTCAAGAGATCTGCCCACCTCAGCCTCCTGAGTAGCTGGGACTACAAGTACACATCAACATGCCTAGCTACATTTCATTTTATTAAATTTTGAAAAACATTTTTATTGAGAGTAGGTCTTGCTATATTGCCCAGGCTGGTCTCGAACTACTGCCCTTAAAAGATACTCCCATCTCTGCCTCCCAAACAGGTGGAACTACAGGCATGAGCCACTGCACTGAGCGTGAAGAGATTTCTTTAATCTACTATCCCATACTTAATAGGACTGGGAAAGGCAGTAGTGTTTTTTAAAATTACTTAATAATTCAGTAAGAATCTAACACAACCTTGACCCCTGCCTTCTCTCACACCCCACATCCAGTCTGTCAGGAAATCCTGTTGACTGTCTTCAACATGTACTGAAGATCCCCACCCAGCAACTCCCTGGCCTCCTCCCCAACTTCTCTCCTCTGACTATCTCTCACCACCACCACGACCCTGGTCAAGACCACTATCATCTCCCACCTCGATGTTGCCACAACTTGGCCCCCATGCTTCTATCCAAATCTTCCCACAGTCTTTCTCAACTCAGCAGCCAGAGAATGCTTTTAAATCGGCAGACAGATCATGTCGCCTCTCTGCTCAGAACCCTCCTGAATTTCCCATCTAGCCCAGCAATAACCTCCCAGGGCTTACACAGTCTGTACCGATCCCTGCCCAGCAAATCTCTGGCCTGCTGCCCTAATTTTCTCCCTCTCTCCTTCTGCTCCACTAGCCTCCTTCCAGAGCCTCAGACACACCTCAGACACCTTATTCCGTTGTTTCTGCCTACAATGCTCTTCCCACAGCACCTTGGCCAACTCCTTCCCCTCCTTCAAGTCTTTGCTTAATTTTTACTTAGGAGGCCACCCCTGACTATTCTATTGCCATCTGTCCCCTTGCCCACCATGCTCATTTATTCTTTTTTTTTTTTTTTTTTTTTTTTGTGAAGACAAGATCTCACTCTGCCACCAAGGCTGGAGCGCAGTGGTGCAATCACAGCTCACTGCAACCTCTAATTCCCAGGCTCAAGCAATCCTCCCACCTCAGCCTCCCTAGTAGCTGGGACTACAGGTGCATGTCATCAAGCCTGGCTGATTTCTTTTATTATTTTATTTTATTTTATCTTATTTTAAGATGGAGTTTCACTCTTGTCGCCCAGGCTGGAGTGCAATGGTGCGATCCTGACTCACTACAACCTCCACCTCCCAGTTTCAAGGGTGTCTCCTGCCTCAGCCTTCCCAGTAACTGGGATTACAGGCGCATGCCACCATACCCGGCTAACTTTTGTATTTTCAGTAGATATGGGGTTTTGCCATGTTGGCCAGGCTGTTCTCGAACTCCTGACCTCAGGTGATCTGCCTGCCTCAGCCTCCCAAAGTGCTGAAATTACAGGTGCAAGCCACCGTGCCCAGCCATTTTTAAAATTTTTTGTAGAGACAGGGTCTCACTATGTTGTGCAGGCTAGTCTTGAACTCCTGGCCTCAAGTGATCCTCCTGCCTGGATTCCTAAAGTGCTGGGATTACCAGCATGAGCCACCATGCCTGGCTTTATGTTCATTTCTTCTTGTGGCTGCAACAAACTTTCCTACATTTAGTGGCTAAAAACACCACAAATAAACCATCTTACAATTCTTGGGGCCTTGAAGCCCCAACTAGGTCTATTAAAGCTAAAGTCAAGGTGTCAGCAGGGCTGCATTCCTTTTGAAGGCTCTAACGTGTTCTCTTGGCTTTTCCAGCTTCTAGAAGCCACCCCCATTCCTTGGATCATGGCCCCTTACTCCATCTTCAAAGCCAGAAGTGAAGCATCTTCAAATCTCCCTCTCTGACCTCGACTTCCATCACCACATCTCCTGCTCCAGTTCTGACTCTCCTACCCTCTTTCTTTTATAAAGATCCTTGTGATTCACCTGAGGTCAAGAGTTCGAGACCAGCCTGAACAACAGGGAGAAACCCCGTCTCTACTAAAAATACAAAAATTAGCCGGGCATAGTGGCGCATGCCTGTATTCCCAGCTACTCTGGAGGCTGAGGCAGGAGAACTGCTTGAACCCAGGAGGCAGAGGTTGCGCTACGGCACTCCAGCCTGAGCAACAAGAGCGAAACTCCGTCTCAAAAAAAAAAACAACCAAAAAAAAAAAAAATCCTTGTAATTGCTGGGCATGGTGGCTGCCACCCATAATCCCAACACTTTGGGAGGTCAAAGCAGGAGGAACACTTGAGGCCCAGAGTTTGAAACTAGCCAGGACAACAGTGAGACCCCACCTCTACAAAAAAATAAAAATGAATATTAGTCAGACATGGTGGTGTGTGCCTGTACTCCCAGCTACTTGAGAGGCTGAGGTGAGATGATCGCTTTAACCCAGGAGTTTGAGATCAGTCTGGGCAACATAACTAAATTTCATCTCTACAAAAATGAGTTGGGCATGGGTGACATGCATGTGTAGTCCCAGCTACTTGAGAGGCTGCTGTGGGAGGATCACTTGAGCTCAGGAGGTCAAAGCTATAGTGAGCTATGATCACATCACTGCACTCCAGCCTGGATGACACGGGGAGATTTTGTCTCAAAAAAAGAAAAGAAAAATATATTTGGTCTCTGTCCCTGGTTCCTGGCACAGAGCTTCTAAAGCTTTTATAAAGACCTCAGTGTTAGAGGTGATAGGAGCATCTTTTGTTTTAATATTTGGTCTTTGTCCCAGATTTCTAACCCAAGAGCCTTTAAGAACTTTGGGATCTCCAGCATGATAAGAATGCATTTGGGGGTATTGTTGAGATGATGAGTGGCTGCAAGCTCCTAGATTTCTTTAGGAGGAGGGCTGATTGCCAGAAAAAGCAACCACATGATTAGAGGCTTGGAACTTTCAGTCTCACCCACTTAACTCCAGGAGGCAAGACTGGCTGGAGACTGACTTAATCACCAGTGGCCAAGGATTTTATCAATCGTGCTTGCATAATAAAGCCTCCATAAACACCCTGAACAACAGGGATTGCAGAGCTTCTGGGTTGCTGAACATAGGAGATGCTGGGAGGGTAGCATGTTCAACAAAGTGCATGGGAGCTCTGTGCCCCTCCCCACTTACCCTGCCCCGGGCATTTTTTTTTTTTTTTTTTTGAGAAAGTGTCTGGCTCTTTTATCCAGGCTAGAGTGCAATGGCACAATCTTACCTCACTGCAACCTAAGCCTCCCCAGATCAAAACATCCTCCCACCTCAGCTTCCCTAGTAACTGGAACCACAGGTGCACGCCACTGCGCTCATTTATTTATTTATTTATTTATTTATTTATTTATTTATTGAGACGGAGTCTAGTTCTGTAGTAACTGGAACTACAGGTACACATCACCCCACTCAATTTATTTATTTATTGAGACAGAGTCTAGTTCTGTCGCCCAGGCTAAAGTGCAGTGGTGTGATCTCAGCTCACTGCAACCTCCACCTTCCGGGTTCAAGCGATTCTCCTGCCTCAGACTCCTGAGAAGCTAGGATTATAGGAGCACGCCACCATGCCTGGCTAATTTTTGCATTTTTAGTAGAGACGGGGTTTCACCATGGTGGTCAGACCGGTCTCGAACTCCTGACCTCGTGATTCGCCCACCTTGGCCTCCCAAAGTGCTGGGATTACAGGCTTGAGCCACCGTGCCCAGCTTTTTAAAAATTTTTTAGAGACAGGGTTTCACCATGTTGCCCAGGCTGGTCTCAAACTCCTGAGTTTAAGCAATCCTCCCACCTCGGCCTCCCAAAGTGCTGGGATTAGTGTGAGCCACTGCATCTGGCATGTACATCTCTTTCATCAGCTGGATAATGTATCTGCGATGTATCCTTTACAAAGATGTATCCTTTACACCGCTGGATCTGCAGTGCATCCTTTACAAGGAACCAGTAACAGGAAATGAACTGGCCCGATGTGGTGGTTCACATCTGTAATCCCAGCGCTTCAAAGAGGCTGAGGTGGGAGGATCACTTGGGCCCAGGAATTTGTGGCCAACCTGTGCAACATAACAAGACCCCATCTCTACAAAAAATAAATTAGCCAGAAATAGTGGCGCAAGCGTGTAGTCTCAGCTACTAGGGAGGCTGAGGTGGTCAGGACCACTTGATCCCAGGCAGTCGAAGCTGCAGTGAGCTGTGACTGCACCACTACACACCAGCCTGGGCAACAAAATGAGACCCTGTCTCTCAGAAAAAAAGGAAACAAACTGTTTTTCTGAGTTCCGTAAGCTGTTCTAGCAAATGATTAAACCCCAAGAAGGGGGTCATGGGAACCCCTGATTTGTAACAGGTTGGTCAAAAGTATAGGTGACAACCTAGGACTTGCCATTGGCATGTGAAGCGAGGGTGGTCTCGTGGGACTGAGCCCGTAACCTGTGGGGTCTACACCAACTCCAAGAAGTGTCAGAATAAAATTGTGGGATACCCAGTTAATATCCAGAGCATTGGAGAACTTGGTGTAGAAATTCCACACACACATTCAGTCAGAAGTGTGTGAGTAGAGACAAACACGGGCTTTTCTTTCACCTGTCTACCTGCTTAACTGCATAGGAGAGGCAACATGTGGTGCTCATGAACAAAGCAAACATTAAAGTCAGACCAGACCCAACATTTGACTCACTCTTAATATCCAGGTGAGCTTGGGCAATCACTCATCATTCCTAAGTCTTCATCACTTCATTCACAAAATGGGGATAACTGTGGCACCTACCTGTGATTTTGTGAGAATTAATGAAATATTATGCTTGATGTTATTGTGATCATTATACCTATTCCAAACTATCTGACAAGGACAGTGATAGACGATAACATCAAAAGATTAGAAACTGTAATGAGGTCTCTTGGGCAAAATTCCATACAAGCAAATTACTCTCTCTCCAAAGCATTCCTGCCACAATTAATTCACCATTCCCTGAATAAAATGTGCCATCTTTATTGACCAGGTCTTTACAGTGCTGGTTTCCCTGCTTGAGCAGCTCACTCCATCTCAGCCCATTCCCCATCCCTCCACCTCCCCCTTCTCTGCCCACTCTCATACAATTCTTCCTCATCTTTCAGGACCCAGCTTCAATGTCACCTTAACTGGATGCTTCTCTCACCCTCCAGAAGTGCTTCTTATTGCATTGGATGCATGCACTATTATTTGATCATTTTTGAGTCATAGTCCAAGTCTTTTTGTAACTGAATAACATGTTGCCCAATCAGTCTCTCTTCCTGGACTCTGAAGTCTTTCATGGTAGATCCAGCTGGAAGTGACAAAAAGATATTCTTTAAAAAAAAAAAAAAAGGGATGACACAGACAGACACAAGTTCTTAAACGTTTTAAATGGTATGTGAAAAGCAAACAAAATTCAAAGCCTTATGGGGAACACTTAGGAAGGAAAGAATTACTGGGAACTTCATAAAGGGTTAATTTTTTTTTTTTTTTTTTTTTTTTTTTTGAGACAGTCTTGCTCTGTTGCCCAGGCTGGAGTGCAGTGGCGCAATCTCGGCTCACTACAAGCTCTGCCTCCTGGGTTCACACCATTCTCCTGCCTTAGCCTCCCGAGTAGCTGGGACTACAGGTACCTGCCACCAAACCTGGCTAATTTTTTGTACTTTTAGTACAGATGGGGTTTCACCGTGTTAGCCAGGATGGTCTCAATCTCCTGACCTCGTGATCTGCCTGCCTCGGCCTCCCAAAGTGCTGGGACTACAGGCGTGAGCCACCATGCCCAGTCTAATTTTTATTTTATTTTATTTTTTGAGACTGAGTCTCATTCTGTTACCTATGCTGGAATGCAGTGGTGCAATCAGGGCTCACTGCAGCCTCGACCTCCTGGGCTCAAGTAATCTCCCCTAATTTTTATTTAAGAAATTCAGTCTTGGTTGAGCGTGGTAGCTTACGCCTGTAATCTCAACACTTTGGGAGGCTGAGAGGGGTGGATTACTCGAGCCCAGCAGTTTGAGATCAGCCTGGGCAACACATTAAGACCCTGTCTCTATGCAAAAAAACAGAGTGAATTTATGAAAGGCAATTTTTCCCACAGACTGGTGGTGGAGGGAATGACTTCAGGATGATTCAAGTGCATTACATATATTGTGCACTTTATTTCTATTATTATTGCATTGTAATATACAATGAAATAATTCTACAACTCATGATAATGTACAATCAGTGGGATCTCTGAACTTATTTTCCTGCAACTAGACTGTCCATCTGGGGCGAAGGGAGAAACAGGCATTAGATTCTCATAAGGAGCACGCAACCTAGATCCCTTACCTGCACACTTCACAACAGGGTTCATGCTCCTATGAGAATCTAATGCTGCCGCTGATCTGACAAGACATGGCGCTCAGGTGGTCATGTGAGCAATGGGGAGGGGCTATAAATACAGATGAAGTTTCCCCTCACTCACCTGCTGCTCACCTCTGGCTCTGTGGCCCTGTGGATGGAGACCCCTGCTCGAGTGCATTCGTAAGTATCCATCCCATACCATTCTTCAGACTCATCTATACTGCCGCAGTGGTCAAGTGTAGCACCCTTAGCTTGAATGGCATATGCCTCGGCTGGCATTTCATCACAATCAACATTAAGTGGTAGCTTGAGTCATTGTGAGGTCACTTCCTAGAAATCATCAGCATCCCATGTCCCACTGGCAAATAGCTCAGCTCTGCTCCTTGGATAACCAAACCTATGCCTAAATCCCATCTGTGTGGGTCCATCTCCTGGTACCCTTCCCAGCATCAATTCTGTATTTCTAGGAGTCCAATCAGGAGATATAAACCACTCAGAAGTTTAAACTAAAATGGGCATAGTGGCTCACACCTGTAATCCCAGCACTTTGGGAGGCCAAGGCGGGTGATCGCTTTGAGCTCAGGAGTTTGAGACCAGCCTGGGAAACGTGGCGAAACACCGTCTCTACAAAAAACACAAAAATTAGCCAGGCGTGGTGGCACATATCTGTAATCCCAGCTACTCAGGAGGCTGAGGAAGGAGAATTGCTTGAGCCTGGGAAGTGGAGGTAGCCATGAGCAGAGATCGTGCCACTGCACTTTAGCCTAGGTGATCGAGTGAGACCCAGTACCAATAAAAAACAAAAAAAAAGTAAAAAAATATATATATATATGTAAATTTAATATAAAAAGTATTAATTATAACAGAGGATTGGCGTAATGAGTGACACACTAGCACAAATGAAAGACAACTCTAGAGAATACAGAACTAGCAGAGGCCAGGCATGGTGGCTCATGCCTGTAATCCCAGCAATTTGGGAAGCCTAGGCAGGAGGATCGCTTGAGGACAGGAGTTGGAGACCAGTCTGGGCAACATAGTGAGACCCTGTGTCTACCAAAAAAAGAAAAAAAATTAGCCAGGTGTGGTGGTGGTGCACACCTATAGTTCCAGCTACTTTGGAGTCTGGGGTGGGAAGATCCCTTGCGCCTGAAAAGTCTAGGCTGCAGTGAGTATGGGTGGATTTTGGTGTACACAGAAATGGGGGAGCTGGAACTAATCCCCCCAATATACCAAGAGACAAATTGTATCTGTTTTTACAATTATACTGTAGGATACATTATGTTCCATGACAATGGTAATTTTTAATGACAGTTTTTAATTGAGTGGAATTACCATAAAAATAATAAAAGTAGCAGCTAATATTTACTGAGCTGTTACTAGGTGCCTATAAATACCATAAATTTTTAAATTCCCCATAACTCTTCCTTATTCCACTTAACCACTTTATCTTAAATTACTCATGCTTGCTTCAGTAGCACGTATACTACAGTTGGAACAATAGGGAGATTGGCATGGCCTCTGTGCAAGAACGACATGCAAGTTTCTGAATCATTCCATATTTTTTTTAAAAAGAGAAAAAAATTACATCCGGATTTTCACTGTGTGCATATGACCTTTTGTTTAGGTTGAATTATATCCAAAGATGGTATTTCCAGAAGTGAGATTACTGTGAGTCACAGGGCGTGAGCATTCTTATTACACTTGATGTAAACTGTCGAGCTTTCAGGCATGGTGGCTGTCTGCTTATAATTCCAGCACTTTGGGAGGCTGAGGTGGGAGGATTGCTTGAGCCCAGGAAGTTGTGGCTGCAGTGAGCCATAATTGCACCACTGCACTCCAGTCTGGGCAACAGAGTGAGACAGAAGGTTGACTGTTTAATAGAATTTTTCTGTTGACTTGAAGATATGGCCATGACTGTGCCATATGAAAATTCTTCATAAAATAATTATCTCATCCAATTAAATGTTGGAATTGGGAACAGAAAATGTTTTGGTGACTATTTATTCCTTCACTTGCTATTACAGAAACTACTGCCAGTGGGCACTTAACAACCAAAAGTGTCATCTCTGAGCTACTCACAATGAAAGGTGATGTCTGGGGCCCAGGTGTGTTGAGGTCCCCATGTCTGGGCTATGGGTGCTGAGTGGGACTTACTTGTCCATCCATTTTCTATATTCCAGCACTGGGAAACTTGGGTTTATCCATCTTGATAAGAGGTCATTTAAATTCCACCTGGCAAAAACCACAAATGGAAAAAAGGCAATGAAACTACAGGCTAGCCCTTGTTCTCAAAAGAATATTTAGCTTAGGTGGTTCTGTAAAAGAGGAATCACATTGTTGAAAACTCATCACAGGTCAGGTGAGGTGGCTCACACCTATAATCCCAGCCCATTGGGAGACTAAGGCAGGAGGATATCCCATGAGGCCAAAAGTTCAAGACCAGCCTGGGTAACACAGTGAAACCTCATCTCTACAAAAAATTAGAAAATGAGCTGGGTGCGGGGGCACATTCCTATAGTCCCAGCTACTTTGGAGGCTGAAGTGGGAGGATCAAAGTGGAAGCTGCAGAAGTAGAAGCTGCAGTGAGCTCTGATCCCACTGCACTCCAGCCTGGGTGACAGAGTGAGAAAACATACACACACACACACACACACACACACACCCCTCATCTCAGTCTGCCCAGCCTTCACACACACACACACACTCATCTCAGTCTGCCCAGCCTTCACACACACACACACACACACACACACACACCTCATCTCAGTCTGCCCAGCCTTGACTAGTGAAAAAGGTCTTCTGGTTACAGAAGACGTATGCTCTTTTTTAGGACCGGGATGGACCAGCAAGCTTGTTCACAGCCTTTCCCTCATCCTCTGCTTAGTTTTCCAAGAAACTTCAGGTGGAAAGGGAGTCCCTGGGGAAAAGACCTAACTCATCAGGTTACCAAAGGAGAAATTTGCATCCTTTGTCAATTAATAAATGGAACACCTGCCTTAAAAACCAGGGAGTTCTGCTAGGGTGAATCACTCCCTACAACCCTGACCTATGCAGGGAATGTAAAAACCTGGAGTTTGGGGACCTATAATATTGAAGGCCACATTGCAGATGTGGAGACCTTACCAAAGTACAGCCTTTCCACAAAGCACTACCGAACACCAGCTGGCTGTCTCCATGGGACACCGCTGTATCTCTGGCTCTCGTTTCCCCCAGAGATGCTCTATTCCAGCCTTCTCTTACATTTTGTATCCTGCACAGTTCCTGGCATAAGGACTTACAACATATCAGGCTGCTATGTTAATGGTGATCTACTGCAGATCCAACTTGAGATTCTGGCAGGGCGCTTTGTGTTTGAGAAATTAAAGGGGAGAGAATGGACCCAGCCTGCTGGAATATAAAAAATTTAAAGAAGAAAAAAATATTAAAATAAAAATTTCTCCTAAAGAGCACTCAAAAGCACACTCCCACCAATGCTAGATCTATTTACCTCTCTCTTGCTTTTTTTTTTCTGAGATAGGGTCTCACTCTGTCACTCAGACTGGAGTGCAGTGGCAAGATCACTGCTTACTGCAGCTTTCAACTCCTGGGGTCAAGCTATCCTCCCACTTCAGCCTCCTGAGTAGCTGGGATTACAGGTGAATGCCACCATGCCTGGCTAATTTTTTAATTTTTTGTAGAGACGGGGTCTCACTATGTGGCCCAGACTGGTCTTGAACTCCTGGGTCAAACTAATCCTCCCGCCTTCGCCTCCGAAAGTGCTAGGATTATAGGCTTTAGCCACTGTGCCCAGTCTATTTATCTTTCTATAACTCATATATTAAATCTTCCTCCTTAAATCACCTCCTACCCACCCATCTGCAGGGATAGCAAACACAGGTCTCAGCAGGTCAGGCAACCTACAGGAGGGAATGAGGCCAGAGTAATGTGGGAGACCAGGGGGAACTGTAGCAAACTGCAAGGTATTCACTTCAATAGTTCTTCAACACTGTGATGGTCAAACCAAACACAGAAACAGGAAGCCCAGTTCAGTCGCCAGCAGCCAATGTGGGATATTTGATCTACATGCTACAGGGCAAACTGCTTACGATAAATGACCTGGTCTCCACCAACCTGCTCTTCAAGTCCAGCCGCTCCTGCCCAACTCCCTACACTCTACTGACACGACCCACATTCACAGTACTCTCCTGAAACTTTGCTTGTTCACTCTTTTTTTATTTTCCCAATGAATATTTCTTTTTCTTTTTTTTACTTTTTTTGAGACAGAGTCCCCTTCTGTTACACAGGCTGAAGTACAGGCGGATGATTATGGCTCACTGCAGCTTCGTTATGGCTCACTGCAGCTTCCGTCACCTGGGCTCAAGTGATCCTCCCACCTTAGCCTCCCAAGTAGCGGGGATTACAGTCATGTAACACCACACCCAGCTAAATTTATTATTTTTTCTTGTCTTTTTTTTTTTTTTTTTTTTTTTTCAGACGGAGTCTCGCTCTGTTGCCCAGACTGGAGTGCAGTGGCATGATCTCAGCTCACTGCAACCTCTGCCTCCTGGGTTCAAGCAATTCTCTTTCCTCAGCCTCCCGAGTAGCTGGGATTACAGGTGCATGCCACCATGCCTGACTAATTTTTATATTTTTAGTAGAGATGGGGTTTTACCATGTTCACTAGGCTGGTCTTGAACTCCTGACCTCAGATGATCTGCCCACGTCGGCCTCCCAAAGTGCTGGGATTACAAGTGTGAGCCACCGTGCCTGGCCAGTTTATTATTTTTTCTAGAGACAGGGTCTCACTACGTTGCCCAGGCTGGCCTTGAACTCCTGGGCACAAGCAATCCTCTGGCCCCCACCTTCCAAAAAGCTGGGATTACAGGCTTGCGCCAACACATCAGGCCCTAACAAACACTTCTTGAGCTCCTACTATATACCAGGCACTATAATAGGTGCCCAGGAAACAGCGGTGAACAAGGTATAACAGTTTCTGCCCTTGGCCGGGCGTGGTGGCTCATGCCTGTAATCCCAGCACTTTGGGAAGCCGAGGCCGGTGAATCACCTGAAGTCAGGAGTTCGAGACCAGCCTGACGAACATGGTGAAACCCTGTCTCTATTAAAAGTATAAAAATTAGCGGGGCATGGTTGTGCATGTCTGTAATCCCAGCTACAGCTACTCAGGAGGCTGAGGCAGGACAATCGCTTGAACCCAGGAGGCGGAGGTTGTAATGAGCTGAGGTTGCGGCGCTGCACTCCAGCCTGGGCAATGAGAGCGAAACTCCGTATCAAAAAAAAAAAAAAAGTTTCTGCCCTCGCAGAGCTTATAGGGTAGCAGGAAATTGATACAGTTTGAACGTTTGTCTCCTCCAAATCACATATTGAAATTAAATCCCTAATGTTGGAGGTGGTGCCTGGTGGGAGGTGTGTGAGTCGTGGGGGCAGATCCCTCATGAATGGCTTGGTGCCTTCCCCAAGGTAATGAATGAGTTCTCTCTCTACTAGTTCATGTGAGAGCTGATTGTTTAAAGAGAGTGGCATCTCCTCCCCTCTCCCTTGCTCCCTCTTCTCAACAAGTGACATGACGGCTCCTCCTTCACCTTCCGCCATGAGAGGAAGCCTCCTGAGGTCTTCACCAGCAGATGCTGGTACTACGCTTTTTTTTTTTTCTGAGACAGGGTCTCACTCTGACACTCAGGCTAGAGAGCAGTGGTGTAATTATGGCTCACTGCAACCCTGACATCCTGGGCTAAACAGGTCTTTTTACCTTAGCCTTTCAAGTAGCTGAAACCACAGGAATGCATCAGTGCACCACCATACCTGGCTATTTTTTTTTTATTTTTAGCAGAGACAAGATCTTACCATGTTTCCCAGGCTGGTTTCAAACTTCTGGGCTCAAGCAATCCTCCTGCTTCAGCGTCCCAAAGTGCCGGGATTACAGGTGTGGGCCACTGCTCCCAGCCTGGCACCATGCTACTTGTATAGTCTGCAGAACTGTGAGCCAAATAAACTGTTTTTCTTTATAAACTACCCAGCCTGAGGTGTTTCCTTATAGCAATGCAAAATGGACTAATCTAGGAATCACAGGCCAACACTTACCAGACTGTGATGAGCACATGACAGAAGTACAAAATGGGACTGAAACGTTCTCCAGGGGCTTCTTGTTGCATCAGAGAGAGTGGGGTGAGACATCTTGGCTGAGGCTAAAAATGAGCAAAGATGAGAGTGAAAAAGTGATGATGGAGGTAGGAAGAGGGTTTCCTGAAGGACCAGTAAAGTCCCCCAAGGAAACTAACATTCCTTGTGGCTGGAGGGTAGGGATTTGGGGAGGGTGGTGCAGGATAAAACTGGGAAGGTGAGCGGAGACCAGCTCTTACCAGGCCCTGTGGCCAAATTAGTTTGGACTTCGTCTTAAAGGCAATGGGCAGTCACCAGCAGGTTTTAATCAAGAACTATTTTGACCCAAATTTGCCTTTTAGGAGAATTCCTCTGGCTTCAGTGAACAGGCCGAAGTGAGCAAGCCTAATAGTCAGAAAGACAATTGGAGGCCCTCACAATAAACCAGTGTAAAAGAGAAAAGGGCTGGGCATGGTGGCTCCTGCCTGTAATCTCAAAACTTTAGAAGTCCAAGGTGGGTGGATGGCTTGAGCCCAGGAGTTTGAGACCAGCCAGAACAATGTGATGAAACGATGAAACCACATCTCTACAAAACACAAAAATTAGCTGGGCATGGTGGCTCGTACCTGTGGTCCCAGCTACCCCAGAGGCTGAGGCGGAAGGATAGCTTGAGCCTGAGAGGTTGAGACTGCAGTGAGCCAAGATCAAACCACTGTGCTCCAGCCTGGGCAACACAGGGAGACTGCCTCAAAAAAAAAAAAAAAAAAGAAAGAAAAAAAGAAAAAGAAAAAGATCCCATTCTTCACTTATTAGTGCCCTAACATTCTCATGAGAACCTTGGTGACAGTGAATTCAACTGTCATTGTAATTCAGCAACCAACACATTTAAGTTTGTGTTTGATTTCCAATAATATTAGCCCTGTGGATACAAGAAATAAGGAATTGTGTTTGGGCTATCATGGAAGCTCTCTGGATCTTAGACCATGACTTACGCTGAGAGGTAAAGACTTGAGCTTTTTGTTTTTCTCTCTGTGTTGAGTGCAGCGGTCCCCAATTTTTGGGGGAGCAGGGACCAGTTTTGTGGAAGACAGTTTTTCCATAGACTGGGGGCAGCAAAGGTCAGTTTTGGGATATATCAAGCACATTACGTTTATTGTGCACTTTATTTCTATTATTATTACATTGTAGCATATAACGAAATACTTATATAACTCACCATAATGTAGAATGACTGGGAGTCTTGACCTTCTTTTCCTGCAACTAGATGGTCCCATCTGGGGGTGATGGGAGATAGTGACAGATCATCAGGCATTAGATTCTCCTAAGGACAGAGCAAGATAGATCCCTTGCATGCACAGTTCACAATAGGGTTCGTGCTCACATGAGAATCTAATGCTGCCGCTGATCTGACAGGAGGCAGAGATCAGGTGGTAACGTGGGGAGCAGCTGTAAATACAGATGAAGCTTCGCTCGCCCACCCTCTACTCACCTCCTGCCATGTAGCCCATTATAGTCCTGTGACCCAGGGATTAGGGGCCCCTGCAAGTGCATCCAAAAGGATTCTTCCCACACCAGTCTTCATAGTGGTCAAGTGCAGCAGCCACTTAGCTCCCAAGGCATGTGCCTCAGCTGGCATTTCATCACAATCAACAGAAAGTGGTAGCGTGAGTCATTGTGAGGTCCTCGAAATCAACAGCATCCCATGTCCCATTGGCAAGGAGCTCAGCACTGCCCCTTGGATAACCAAACCTATGCCCAAATCCCAGTTGTCTGGGTCTATCTCCCGGGACCCTTCCTAGCATCAATTCTGTATTTGTCAGAGTCCAAACAGGAGACATAAACCACTCAAAAGTTTAAACTGTTAAATTTAAAATAAAAAATTATTAATTATAACAGGGCAACAGCATAAGGAGAGATGGCTACCAAAAAGTAAAGAGAACGCTAGAGAATATAGGACTAGCAGAGGCCAGGCACGGTGGCACATGTTTATAATTTCAGCAATTTGGGAAGCCAAGACAGGAAGACTCCTTGAGGCCAGGAGTTTGAGACCAGCCTGGGAAACACAGTGAGACCCCGTCTCTACCCAAACAAACAAACTAACAACAACAAAAAAAACCTGGGTGTGGTGGCACACACCTATAGTCCTAGGTACTTAGGAGACTGAGGTGGGAGGATTGCTCGAGCCTGGGCGGTCAAGGCTGCAGTGAACCATGATTTCGCCACTGCACTTTAGCTTGGGCAACAGAGGGAGACCCTGTCTCCAAAAAAAAAGAGTATAGGACCAGCTGATATAACAAGCAGTAACTGTCCCTACTGTCCCAACGCTGAGATACCGTGATCAAGGAAAAGACTCCCCACTAGGGCTGAGATCCAGCCCCCACTTGGAGAGGGCACAGTCATGGGTAATTCAATAGCAGAATTGCTGCATTACCACATGGTTGAACATGCTAGCAATCTGCCCTCTGGAATTTGCTGAAAATTCACCCTCTGGGGTGCTAGATTAAGCTATTAATGAACAGTTGTCTCACTACAAATCCACCCAGGCAGGTGCAGAGAAACTGCTGGTCGCTGGATGCTGCTGAGCACTGTGCAGGGCAGCATCCCGGTGCTGGAGAAGCTCAGTGCCTGTGGAGATTCGCACACAACAACCAGAAAGAAAAGCCTCTTACAAGGTCCCTCTAGTACTATGTACTGACAACATTTAATCATGTACCAGCTGACAGAGGAAGCATTTAAGGAACACACCTCTATGTTTGCAGATCAGGCAGTGAAGGGTGAATTTGGAACTGATGGGCACTCATTGGATGGATAGCTGGTACATGACATATTTCCCTCCACCAAGAAAGAAAGGGAAGAGAGAAAAGAGAGAGAGGACCAGGCATGGTGGTTCCCACCTATAATCCCAGCAGTGTGGGAGGCCAAGGCAGGTGGATCACTTGGGTCCAGGAGTTAGAAACCGGCCTGGGCGACATAGTGAAACCCTGTCTCTACTAAAAATAAATTAGCTGAGTGTGGTGGAGTTTGACTGTAGTCCCAACTTCTCAAGAGGCTGAAATAAAAGGATCACGAGTGTCTGGGGGTTCGAGGCTGCAGTGAGCCATGTTCACACCACTGCACTCCTGCCTAAGTGACACAGAGAGATCATGTCTCAAAAAAAGAAATGTTGGTGAAAATGTGGAGAAATTGGAACCCGCATACATTACTGGTGGGAACACAAAATGGTTTAACTACTTGGGGTGTTTCTTTTCTCGTCATTTTATTTATTTATTTATATTTTTACATTTTTTGTGTGACAGAGTCTCACTCTTTTGCCCTGGCTGGAATGCAGTGGTGTGATCCTGACTCACTGCAACCTCCACCTCCTGGGTTCAAAAAATTCTCCTTGCCTCAACCTCCCGAGTAGCTGGGATTACAGCATCTGCCACCATGGCCAGCCAGGCTGGTTTTGAACTCCTGACCTCAAGTTATCCACCTGCCTCGGCCTTTCGAAGTGCTGGGATTACAGACGTGAGCCACCGCACCTGTCTTCTTGTCATTTTAATTTGATTTTTCAAAAACCGAAACAGGGTCTTGCTATCTTGCCCAAGCTGGTCTCTCTTTACTCGTAGGCTCAAGTGATCCTCCCACCTCAGCCTCTCATGTAGCTGGGATTACAGGTGTAAGTCACTGCACCTGACTGGTGTAACCACTTTGGAAAACAGTTTCTCAAAAGGCTAAATGTACAGTATCATAGAATGCAACAATTTCTCTCCTAGGTATATATGCCAGAGAAATAAAAATATATGTCCACACAAAAACTTGTACATGCATCTTCATAGCAGCATTATTCATAATAGCCAATACATGGAAACAACCCAAATGTTCATCAACTGAAGAATAAACAAAATGTGGTGTGTCTCTACCATGGAATATTACTAAGCCATAGAAGGAACGAAATACTGACACATGCTATGACAGGAAGAAACTCTGAAAACACTGTGCTAAGAGGGAAAAAAAAGCCAGCCACAAACAATCACATATTGCACAATCCTATTTATATAGAAGGTCCAGATTAGGCAAATCTAAATCTATAGTGACAGAAAATAGATCAGTGGTTGCCTATTGGCAACACAGAAGCATGGCGGGGAGTAACCTAGTGGCTTACTCCCCGCCATGTTCTTAGCTAGTGGCTAAGAACAGTGGATTTCTCTATAGGGTAATGAAAGCTTCTAAAATGGATTGTGGTGATAGATCACAGCTCCATGAATATTCTAAAAACCACTGAATTGCATACTTTGACAAATAAATTGCATGGTATGTGAACTACATTTCAATAAAGTTGTTATTTAAAAAAAGAAAATAGCGGGCTGGACACAGGTGGCCCATGGCTGCCTATAATTCCAGCACTTTGGGAGGCTGAGACAGGAGGATCACTTGAGGACAGGAGTTTGAGATCATCCTGGGCAGCATAGCACAATCCCATCTCTACAACAAAAAAATAAAAAATTTAGCTTTGCATGGTGGTGTATGTCTGTAGTCCAAGCTACTTGGGAGGCTGAGGCGGGAGTATTGCTTGAGCCCAGGAGTTTGAAGCCACAGCGAGCCATGATCACACCACTGCATTGCAGCCTAAGTGACAGAGTAAGATCCTGTCTCTAAAAAGGAAAGAAAAGAAATGCAAGTTTTTATCACTTTGTGAGAGTAACCAAGTTTGTAGAGAAACAGATAAGAACAAGAGCAATGAATGGTGAGAGTGAGAGGCTGGTTAGGCTCATTGCTAGCTAAGGGACTTCTGAAAAATTCATTAGTAAAATCACAGCTCTGGGGGTCAGTCAGGCAGTCAAACGATGAATGTTAAATCCATTACAAATGCCCATCGTCTTTCTTTACATCCCTTCTAATGAAAAATTCCTAAGTGCCTAAATAGCAAGTGTTCTCAAATGATAGCAGCTGTTTATTAAAGAAATAACATCTCAAATTTTAAAAACCATGAGTCAAATATTATTTTCTTCCTCCCATTTTACAGGTGTGCAACCTAAACAACAGAGAATTTAATTTTTCTAAGTGGCAGAGCACTGATTTAAATCCTATCACTTTGGCCTCAGAGTTTGTGCTTTATTTTACTTTATTATTTTAAAAGCCATCGTTTTTAAAACCAAGAGACTTATGCAAAATTCTGCGAGGATTCAAAACAAGCCTCTTGCTTTTCCTGACTGTGGGTGCAGGCAGGGCTCATGCTGCATTTTCTTTACTTATAATTGGATGGAGACATGATGGATGGAGACACGATCACAGGAGTTCTCTTGGTCATTGTGCACCAGAAAGGAGAGTGAAGAGAGGCACAGGGAAGCCAGTCTTACCATGTTTGAGCAACTGAACCAATATCAGCCTTAGCCTACCTGCACAATTACATTTTTGTGAGAAAAACAGGCATCTCCCTATTTTGATAATCACAGCTAGCTACAGTAACAAACAATCCTAAAGTTATTCTTGGTAACATTATTCCTACAGCCTCAATCCTTTTAACTCATTATATTAGCTGTTCATTTCTCCGTTTTTCCTGACATCTAATTGATAACCAAAACCTTATGTTATTAAATAAGCTTTGGGTTAACAGGATCAATGAATGAAGAGTTTAAAGATACCAAAAAAAAGTTCACAGAAGTACCTGCCAAATGTGCCAACTGACTACTATGAACTAATTTACTTTTGAGAAACATGCTATTTCTTATATGCTACTGACAGTGCCTGTAAAAATGGTGCACATTAACTGGCTGTTTTATTTTCTCCCCAATCTTAATATCTAATATCCACAGACTGAGATTAGGGCACCAACATATACAATGTAACTTCATACTAGAGTTAGAAGGTGACACGAAGTGTAGAAATCATAATCTTATCCATAAAGTTCCTGTCACCTTGGAATTAACCTCCCCTTTACATAGTCTCATTGTTCACCTTGTTCAGATCTTTATAGGTTCAGGCTCAGGTCTCTGCGGTCGCGCAGTGTGTCTTTTTACCAAAAGGAACACCTCATGCACTTTACAAGGAGCTCCTTCAGGAAAGGATGGCACCTCGTGTTGAGGAGAGATCTCTGATCCTCTGATCTTTTCCAAAAGGAGAAAAGTAAAGGTTTGAATGGATTTTTAGTTCTCGGCATTTTTGAACAGAAATAGTCAGGTATTAAGTTGCTCAAAGATGCCCACAAGCTTTCATAGGAGAAACATCTAATTCATAACCAAGAGTTTATGTTATTAAGTAAGCTTTCCTTTAACAGGATGAATGAATGAAGAGTTTAAATACTCTAATCCCCATTTAGTCATCTGGTATACTCTCTGTATACTCTCAGTCATCTGGTATACTCTGTCATCTGGTATACTCTCTGTGAGGTATACTCTTAAGTCATCTGGTATCCTCTCTTTGAGTATGCCAGATTATTAAATGGAAATTACTGCACCACTAAACACCAGTACTGCAAACCCTTATTTAAAAAATCGACACCTAGGACATAAAAAAAAATGATCCTAGGCTGGGCGTGGCGGCTCACGCCTGTAATCCTAGCACTTTGGGAGGCCAAGGTAGGCAGACTGCCTAAGCTCAGGAGTTTGAGACCAGCTTGGGCAACATGGTGAAACCCCATCTCTACTAAAATACAAAAAATTAGCCAGATGTGGTGGTGTGCACCTGGAGTCCCAGCTACTCGGAAGGCTGAGGCAGGAGAACTGCTTGAACCTGGGATGCTGAGGCTGCAGTGAGCAGAGATCATGCCACTGCACTCCAGCCTGGGTGCCAGAGCGAGACTTTCATCTCCAAATAAAAAAGAATGATCCTAATGCGGTTATTTCCTTTTGCATTTATGAGGAGATGGAAGAAATACCCATATTTGATGGTTGTTTGGGAACTGTCTTTGGTATTGTAGGAAGTATTTTAATACTGTGAACATGAAAAGATGAGAACCCTGCAGACCCCGTGGGCATGGAGAGAAGGAAGTACATTAGAGGATGTTGTAGGAAATACTTTCATTCCAGGCACTGCTTTTTAAACCACCCCTCAACTTTCTTTCCTTAAAAGAACAGAAAAAACAAGACAAAAGATGAAACATTCCATGTGACCCTCTGCACCCTTATTTGTTGTAATAAAGGAAAAGCATTTTAGGGATTTTCTTGAGTGCAGTTTATGATGTGATCCATGTTATTTATTTCCTGTTAATAATTTTCAAAATTTCAATTAAAGACATTCAGAAATTTAGCTTTATCACAGGCAGCTGTTCACAGGTAAAACTAGTTTGGTTACCTTCATCTGTATAAACATGTAGCTAGTGAATTGACATAACTATTAAACTGGAGAATCAACAGAAACATGCCAAGGACTGGCCCTTACCTTCCACAGTGACCTCAATTTCAGGAACCTTTTCATTACTCTCAGGGCTTCATGGTCTTTTTAGAAACTGCGAAGCTATAAAATAAAGCACAGAATTACTTTAGTATATTGTAGAAAAAAATACAGAAGGAAATGCTTTATAAGAGCGGAGTATTAAAATTCATTCAGTTTGGCTCTTTTCAAAGAAACCTGCAGAATTAAACTTGTAGTGTAATCCTCCACAGGGGACTCAACAAAGCCATGGAAACATGAATGAAGTGGGATTGCAAATGTGACACTTCCAACAAAATTTTTTTTAAAGAAAAAGAGGTCCATTAAATAAAATACCTTAAAAAGCCAAGAAATTAACTGCAAGTCCCACAAAGAGAATGGCCAATGATTCTGTGTGATTTAAGGAATGCTGATAAAGAATGTCTTAATGTAGTGAAATATAATACAAAACACAGGTAATCTCTTACCTTTAGTGTTTATTTTATTAGCAACTCCAGGAGGCAAGTAGGAAATAACCAGTTCAGGTCTAGAAAGAAAACCAAGAAATGTTACAGCAGCCAGTACAATGGTGGCCTCACAGCTAGTAAAACGGTTGTGATATGACCAGGGTTTTTTCCTAAAGGTGTTCACAGAGTCATCCTGTAATGTCACAATAATTCCTATCATTGTAGATGAAAACCCTGACTTTTCCTTCCCATGACTGGCAAGTAATTGTATGAAAAGTAAATTACTTCTTTCATGAAAAAGAAAATTAACACTAGTGTACTTTCTTCAGCCACCAAAATTCTGCAGAAACGCAGATATAATTAAAAAAAAACCTCCATCATCAGGCCGGGCACGGTGGCTCATACCTGCAGTCCCCATACTTTGGGAGGCTGAGGTGGGTGGGTCACCTGAGGTCAGGAGTTTGAGACCAGCCTGACCAACTTGGTGAAACACCGTCTCTACGAAAAATACAAAAATTAGCCGGGCATGGTGGTGCATGCCTGTAAT
Organism: Homo sapiens; assembly: GCF_000001405.40. NCBI lineage: Eukaryota > Metazoa > Chordata > Mammalia > Primates > Hominidae > Homo > Homo sapiens. The sequence continues at coordinate 76,100,424 of NC_000007.14, forward strand.
CCCAGCTACTTGGGAGGCTGAGGCAGGAGAATCACTTGAACCTGGGAGGTGGAGGTTGCAGTGAGTCGAGATCGTGCCATTGCACTGCAGCCTGGGTAACAAGAGTGAAACTCTGTCTCAGAAAAAGGAAAAGAAACTCAATCATCAATATTTACTTGCTAATAAGATTGACCCAGGAATAACAGAGCAGATAAAACCCAGCAGATTAAACTTCATTCAAGTACTTAGGCATACTGCAAGCCACCACAGTGTGTCTGAACATCGGGGAGGCAGTGGTCACTATTCTTGCACTGATGAAGATGACTGAGTATGGGATGGGGAATGGCAGGGGCAATGGAGAGTGCCAGGACTGCAGCTCAGAGCCAGGCTTTTCCATCAAGGACTTACAGACACACCTGTCACTTCTAGCTAGAAAAACATTTTAGTAGAAATGTCATTTTATTGTTTTAATTCCAGAAATGACTACAGTGGCAAATATAACTTACTTTTTTATTGTTGTTGTTGTTGTTGTTGTTGAGGCAGAGTCTCACTCTGTCACCCAGGCTGGAGTGCAGTGTTGTGATCTCGGCTCACTGCAGCCTCTGCCTCCCAGGTTCAAGTGATTCTCCTGCTTCAGCCTCCCAAGTAGCTGGGATCACAGGTGCCCGCCACCATGCCCGGCTAATTTTTTGTATTTTTAGTGGATACGGGGTTTTGCCATGTTTGCCAGGCTGGTCTCGAACGCCGGACCTCAGGTGATCTGCCCACCTCAGCCTCATAAAGTGCTGAGATTACAGACGTGAGCCACTACGCCTGGCCTAAAACTTACTTTTTACCAACAAATTTGATTTTATTACTCCCATGGACGATCCTTTCAAGTCATGGAATTCCAAACCAGGAGGGCTTCGAAAGGGAATCCTGTCTGGCAAACCTTCTACGTACAGGAACTTGGGATTTGATTCAAACACAGGATATGGTTCTTTTACTGCCTCAGTGAGTCCAAGAACTTAAGCTGAAAGTGCAAGAGAACATAATTTGTGGAAAATAAAATCTGACACGGACATTCTTTTATTTGTATCTGCATTCTCAAGTACATTATGGACAAGTTCCCTACAATCAAGCAATATTTACTTCATATTGAAGGCATTTTGCTTAGGATATTGGCCAAATCTGAAGAACAAGCTTAAAAAATAAGTACTTTTGAGAGGAACACTTTAACCCTTTCACTCAAAAGGAGAGTTATGTTATTAGCCAAAATGACCTCCAGAGTATAGCTGGGACTACAGGCACCCGCCACCATGCCTGGCTAATTTTTTGTATTTTTAGTATACTAGAGACGGGGCTTCACCGTGTTAGCCAGGATGGTCTCGACCTCCTGACCTCGTGATCCGCCCGCCTCAGCCTCCCAAAGTGCTGGGATTACAAGAATGAGCCACCGCGCCCCGCCCACATTTTAGAAAATGAATTCTAAGACACAGAGAGTTCAACTACCTTTCCAAAGATGACACAGCTAATTACACAGCAGACCAGGTGGCCTGACCCCAGGACTTTTGCCCTTGATCTCTACACTACCATGTTGAGCACAGCAGTAAATATTTCATACAGTTTTATCCAGATTTTTCCTGTTGGTTGTGGTAAACCACGTTTTGTTGTTTGGAGACAAAGTGTTGCTCTGTTGCCCAGGTTGCTGGTGTGCAGCGACACAAACATGGCTCACTGCAGCCTCAACCTCCTGGGCTCAGGCAATCCATTTCAGCTTCCCAAAGTGCTGGGATTACAGGAATGAGCCATCATGCCTGGCCTCACACTATATTTTAATGCCTTTTTTGAAAATGGAAACTTTTACCAATGACTCACTTCATTCAAACTAATGATAAGGAAATGATGCTATTCTCTTTTGTTTTGTTTTTGCATTTTTTTTTCTTTTTTGAGACAAGGTCTTGCTCTGTTGCCCAGGCTGGAGTAGGTAGTGCAATCATGGCAGCCTCAACCTCCCAGACTCAAGCAATCCTGCCCCCAGGATTCCCAAGTAGCTGAGACTACACGTGCATGCTACCACGTTTGGCCAATTTTTGTTGTAGACACAGAGTTTCACCATGTTGCCCAGGCTGGTCTCAAACTCCTGGGCTCAGCTATCCTCTCCCCGCAGCCTCCCAAAGTGTTGGGATTACAGGCATAAGCCACTGTACCTGGTTGATGCTGTCCTTTTTAAATGCATTTTTCCTTTTTTTTTTTTTTTTTTGAGACGGAGTCTTACTCTTTCTCCCAGGCTGGAGAGCACTGGTGCAATCTCGGCTCACTGCAGCCTGGTCTTGAACTCCTGACCTCAGATGATCCACCCGCCTCGGCGGCACACAGTGATTTTGCTCATTTTAGATATTACAACTTTTTAATTAAAAAAAATTTTTTTTCTTTTTTTTGAGCTGCAGTGCAGTGGCATTATCTCGGCTCACTGCAACCTCTGCCTCCCGGGTTCAAGCGATTCTCCTGCCTCAGCCTCTTGAGTAGCTGGGACTACAGGCGCATGCCACCATGCCCAGCTAATTTTTGTTATTTTTAGTAGAGACAGAGTTTCACCATGTTGGCCAGGATGGTCTCAATTTCTTGACCTCGTGATCCACCTGCCTCAGCCTCCCAAAGTGCTAGATTACAAGCATGAGCCACTGCGCCTAGCCAAAAAAAAAATTTTTTTTGAGACAAAGTCTAACTCTGTCATGCAGGCTGGAGTACAGTGGCAGAGTCACAGCTCACCGCAGCCTCGACTTCCTGGACTCAGGTGATTCTCCCACCACAGTCTCCCAAGTATCTGGGACTACAGGTGCACGCCACCACACCTGGCTAATTTTTTTGTATTTTGTAGAGAAGGAGTTTTGCCACATTGCCCAGGCTGGTCTTGAACTCCTGGGCTCAAGCGATCTTTCAGCCTCACCCTTCCCAAAGTGCTGGAATTGCAGGCATGAGCCACTGCTCCCGACCTTTTTAATGCAATTTAAATTATAAATGTGATCACCACAGAAAATATGTGTATTATTTATCTGCTGCTATATAACAAATTACTCGAAACCTAGTGGCTTAAAATAAATTCTTAGGGCCAGGCACAGTGGCTCATGCCTGCAGTCCCACCACTTTGGGAGGCCGAGGTGGGAGATCGCTTGAGTCCAGCAGTTTAAGACCAGCCTGGGCAGCACAGTGAGACTCCATCTCTACAGAAAATGCAAACATTAGCCAGGCATGATGGTGCAAACCTGTGGTCCCAGCTACTCAGGAGGCTGATGCAGGAGAATCGCTTGAGCCCAGGAGGGAGAGGTTACAGTGAGCCAAGATCACCCACTGCACTCCAGCCTGGGTGACAGAGTGAGACTCTGTCTCAAAAATAAATAAATAAATAAATAAATAAATAAAATACTTACTTAGGATCTCCATTTCTGTGGGTCAGGAATTCAGGAGTGGCATAGCTGGGTCATTTGGGCTCAGGGTGTCTCATGACATTGCACTCAAGCTGTCCACTGAGACTGCAGTCACCTAAAGCCTGTTTCCAAGATGGCTCCCTCATGTGACTGCTGACAGGAGGCCTCAGTTCCTGTTACATGAGCCTCTCTACAGGCTGCTTAGGTGTCATGGTGTGACAGCTGGCTTTCCCAAGTGAGTAATCAAAGAGTGAGCAAGGAGGAAGCCACAGTACCTTTTATGATGTAGTTTGCAAAGTTGCAAGCCATCACTTTTGCTTTTTCCTATCTGTCAGAAGGGAATCACGTAACCCAGCCCTCACTCAAGGCGATAGGGACTGGGCTCCACCTTTGACGAGAGTATCAGAGATGTATTTTAAATGACCAACTATGTTTAATTATTGCAAGTACGGTCACTGCAGAAAAACTGGAAAATAGGGACAAGCAAAAAAAAAAAAGTCACTTGTAATTCCATGACTCAATGGATAACATTAGTAGTTGGGTATATATAATTCCAATATTCAAAATATATATTTACTTTCTTAAAATATAAACACACTATATGTACTGTGGTGTAATCTGCTCTTTCACTTAATGTATTGTAAAAATACCTTTCATGTCAAATATTCTTAATTTTTTTTTTTAATTGAGACAGCGTTTTGTTTTTGTCACCCAGGCTGGAGTGCAATGGTGCAATCTCCACGCACTGCAACCTCTGCTTCGTGGGTTCATGCGATTCTCCTGCCTCAGCCTCCGAAGTAGCTGGGATTACAAGCATGGGCCACCACGTCAAGCTAATTTTTTGTATTTTTAGTAGACACAGGGTTTCACCATGTTGGCTAGGCTAGTCTAAAACTCCTGACCTCAAGTGATTACCCGCCTCGGCCTCCCAAAGTGCTGGGATTACAGGCATGAGCCACTGCACCAGATTTTTTAATGGCTGCATACATTTCATCATATGTATGTATCATAACATTTAATGAATTCTATTATGGGATACTTAGGCTGTTACAGGATTTCCCTGTATACATTTTGTTAAATGAACATCCCTACAGCACATTTATTTGTAGAATCATGACTGTTTCTTAAATCCCTAGAAGTGAAATTTCTGGAACACAGTTTGCATAACTTTAAAACTTCAAATGCCTGTTACCTAATTTGAGCAGAATTTTTACTGCAATAATCAAGAGTCCATTTGGCCAAATGTCTTATCTATGACAACACCTGCAAAAGTTCAAATATTGATAACTATAAGTGAATTTGTTGAGAGTGACTGAAATCACTACAGAATGCAAAGTTGCTGTAAAAACTTTACTAAAGAGTGAACTGGCCGGGCATGGTAGCTAATGCCTGTAATCCGAGCACTTTGGGACGCTGAGGTGAGCAGATTGCCTGAGCTCAGGAGTTTGAGACTGGCGTGGACAACACGGTGAAATCCCATCTGTACTAAAATACAGAATTATCTGGGCATGGTTGTGGGCCCATCACCATGACACCCGGCTAACTTTTTTGTATTTTTAGTAGAGACAGGGTTTCACCATGTTACCTAGGCTGGTCTGGAACTCCTGACCTCAAGTGATCCACCCGCCTTGGCCTCCTAAAGTGCTGGGACTACAGCTGTGAACCACCGTGCCTGGCCTGGTTTTTGTTTTTTTTAATATATATATTTATATATACAGGGTCTTACTCTCTCACCCAGGCTGAAGTACAGTGGTACAATCATAGCTCACTGCAGCCTCAAACTCCTGGGCTCAAGTGATCCTCCTGCCTTACCCTCCTAAGTAGCTCCTGGGACTACAGGCATGCAACCTCATCTCTACTAACAATAAAAATTAGCCAGGCGTGGTGATGCACGGGAGTCACCCCTGCTTGGGAGGCTAAGGCAAGAGGATCGCTTAGGCCTAGGAGTTAGAGGCTGCAGTAAGCTATTATCACGCCACTGCACTCCAGCCTAGGTGACAAGAGTGAGACCCTGTCTCAAAATAAAAAATAAAAAAAGAAGTTTGAATATAATTATCTTTTTTAAAAAAAGACAATGGATTCTGTTACTATTTCATTATTGTCAGTACAGAGAAAATGCTCATTTTTAAAAACCTAGATGAGGGGTAGACCAGTAAACATCATTTGTACACACAGGACCTGCCAACCCACCAGGCAAAAAAGAGGCCTCCACTGAGCAAGTCTAACTGCTAGATGCTATGTCATATTTAAACTTCATGAGATCTGGCCAGGCATAGTAACTGATGCCTGAAAATCCCTGCAGGCCAAGGCGAAAGGGTTGCTTGAGGCCAGGAGTTTGAGACCAGCCTGGGAAACAGCGAGACTCAGTTTCCACAAAAACTTTTTTAAAAATTAGCTGGGTGTGGTGGTGTGTGCCTCTGGTCCCAGCTGCTTGGGAGGCTGAGGCAGGAGGATCGCTTGAGCCCAGGAGTTCAAGGCTGCAGTGAGTCATGATCGTGCCACTGCACGCAGGCCTGGGTGGCAGAGTGAGACTCTGTCTCCACAATAAATAAGTAAACATCGTATGATCCGTACCAGGGTACAGGCAGGTGTTATCCCCACTTTTCATCCTCAACTCTGAGTTGAGTCATACATCAACTCTGATGACTTTTGTTTGCACTCCCCTTAAGTCATCCACAGGAACAGCTACTTTACATAGAAAAGTCAATCTCAGAGGGTTGACTAACTTGCCCAATTACTGAAAAAGGTAAAGCTTCAATTAGCACCCAGGCTCATCTGATGCTAGTATTCCCTCTCCACCCCTCCATGTGGCTTCTCTTTATTTATTTTAATTTTCTTTGAGACAGAGTTTCACTCGTTGCCCAGGCTGGAGTGCAATGGCGCTATCTTGGCTCACTGCAACCTCTACCTCCTGGGTTCAAGCGATTCTCCTGCCTCAGGCTCCCAAGTAGCTGGGATTACAGGTGCCTGCCACAATACCCATTTAATTTTTTGTACTTTTAGTAGATAGGGGGTTTCACCATATTGACCAGGCTGGTCTTGAACTCCTGACCTCAAGTGATCCACCCGCCTAATCCTCCCAAAGTGCTGGGATTACAGGCATGAGCCACCGTGCCTGGCCTTGGCTTCCCTTTAATAAATCACCACTCAATTTGATGTGGAGGCTCTGTTAGTTCGCAAAATATAATGAGTGGATTATTTCCAAATCCACTTCCTCTGTTTTATCTATCAGTGTAATCAAGGGCCAGGGTCTTCCCTTGTTCTTGCCTCAAGGTGAAACAGAAGTGGCTTCCCTGTGCTCCGCAGCAGGTTAGACCTAGGCTTAAATCCTGAAGAGTGCTGAGACTCCACTGCACACTGCCATGCCGAGGCCCCTGTGATGTGTCTCGACAGGGGTCCTCTCCCTCCAAGCTCCATGAACCCCAGTGCTGGGACCCTGGTCACCAGCCTAAACTTAGTCTCAGAGTTCAGTAACCTTTAGGAACCCTGAAGCCCGTGACTTCTCACACCCCTGCCATCCTATTCTTAGTTCTCTGTCTGTATTAACTCAATTAATCCTGACAACTTTTGATGCAGAAACTATTGTTTTTTATGTTTTACAGGTGAAGAAACTGAGGCTTGGAGACGCAATGCAGCCTGCCCAAAATCACATGGTTAATAAGTTGCAGAACTAGAATTCAAACTCCAAGTCTACCTCCTGGACCCAAGCTCTTAACCCCTGTGCTATGAGCTAATAACATATGGAGAATTTTGATTATTTTCCTTAGCATTTACCACCATATAACATAATATGCATTATACTTATTTATCTTGTTTATGCCTGTCTCTCCCACTAGACTATAAGCCCCACGAGGGCAAAGATCTTTATTAACTGTATCAGCATCTAGAATAGGCCCCAACCATAGAGTAGGCACCCAGTACATATATATATATATATATACACACACACACACACGTTTATACACACACATATACATACACATAGATATATAATTTTGTATTTATATTTTTGAGACAGAGTCTCTGTCGCCAGGCTGGAGTGCAGTGGCGCAATCTCGGCTCACTGCAACCTCCGCCTCCTGGATTCAAGCCATTCTCGTGCCTTAGCCTCCCAAACAGCTGGGATCACAGGCCTGCGCCACCATGCCTGGCTAATTTTTGTATTTTTAGTAGAGACGGGGTTTTACCATGTTGTCCAGGCTACTCTTGAACTCCCAGCCTCAAGTGATCCACCCACCTCAGCCTCCCATAGTGCTGGGATTACAGGTATGAGCCACCAGGCCCAGCCGACATCCCCTGCCTTGATACAGATATTCACAGCTTCCTGCTTGAGGAAATGTTAATGGACCAAGAACACAGTCCCCCTATTCCTTGGAGATTTCAGAGATTGAAAACAATCTCAAACACCAAACACAACTTACCAAAAGCTGCCTTGAGGGAGATGGATAGGTGAGGTCACCACATTCCTCGTCTTTCTGACACCACAGAGAAGCTTCCACTCTAAGGAAGCAGAAACATGAGCTGTTGCTTTCTCTTAAGGTTTGAAACTCAGGTGCCTTATTTCCCCCAATGTATTCTTCCATTAGTAGGTAGTAAGTATAAAGCAAAACAAAATAAGCAACTACCTGATCCTCTTTTGAATGGCAAGATCTTTCTTCTCATCATCAGTGAGCCGAGATCGTGCCACCACACTCCAGCCTGGGCAACAGAGCAAGACTCCTTCTCAAAAAAATAACAAGTCAGTGGATGTCATCTTTCCTCATTCCTCCCAGGGGTGCGCATTTTTCAGCATTCCCCAGTCACATCTTTCACTAGCATTGGATTGATGACATTTCCCATAGCACCCAGTCTTCCAGGCTCACTGGGGTTCTGGACAGAACGCATATTTACAGAGATGAGTCATGATGTACTTTTCAATCTGATCCATTATCTTCTCAACCCTTTCTGGAGGCACTGAAATAGCCAAACAGACAGAAAAGCTCAAGAGAGTATATATACTCCTTGTACCGGTAGTAAGTAAGCCACTCCTTGTACTGGCAGTAAGCCTAAAAGTACTCACAGATTATATTAATCCTTCAGGAGAGTAAAATCTATCCATTAATATTATTTCCAATATCCACTGTTGCAGGATTTTTCCTTAGTTCAGCTAAAGATGGGGTCCTTGTCCGTCTCAAGGCCACAAAAATTTAGGCTCGCAGACGGTTTGAATAGTGAGTAAGACAGGGTTTTATTGGGACTCTCACAAGGCCAGAGTCCCTGCTAGAGTGCTTTCCGCCAGCAGCTAGAATACTGGGTTTTACACAGTAAGAAGACGTGCCAGGCTCCTCCCCACTATCAACAGTGCAAACATCCTGAAGTTCCACCCCAGTGCACAGGCCGGTTGGAGTTTTTCCGGGGAGCTCCACCCCACTGCACAGGCCGGTTGGAGTTTTTCCGGGGACCCCTTCCTACCTAGCAGTCTCACCATGACCATCTCATTCTTTTTGCTACATCTACATATTATTAAATAGATTTAATGCATGTTTTGATAATTTACGTATTTTATGGACACTTCTATTTATCTAACCCACTGAACATTTTTGGTGGCTTTATAACATTCCATTATATTAACTGACTTATTCGACTCTCCTCTACCACTGTGCATTTAGGTTGATTCCCCTCTTTCACTGTTGTGCATCATAGCTATAAATAATTTTGTAAGGACTATCTTCTTTTGGGTTACTTCTCTGTGATACATCTCCAAAAGTGGCATTAACCTCTTAATAAGAATAAACAACTTTATAGTGCTAAGTATCTATTGCTAGCCACACTCCTCAGAAACTCAGTGCACACTGTCATTAACCACGTGTATGCGCTTATTTCCCTATGGCCCTTACAACATTGGGCTTGATAATTTGTATTTGATTTTACTGATTTTATATGTAGAACATACGTATGTATTCCTCACTTTCTGCCAAAGAATATTTAAAGTCTATTTAAAAGATAAATGCAGTTCAGCACAACAGACTAGAAAATAAAAAGAATAACAAATAACTGTAATCCCAGTGCTCTGGAAGGCTGCAGCTAGAGGATCGATTGAGCCTAGGAGTTCAAGACCAGCCTGGGCAACATAGTGAGACCCCACCTCCAGTAAAGACAGATAGATAGATAGATAGAGAGAGAGAGAGAGATACATAGATAGACAGACAGATTATGATAGATATTTTAAAAATTCTTTAAAAACTTTAGGCTGGGTGTGGTGGCTCACGCCTGTAATCCCAACACTTTGGGAGGCCAAGGCGGGCAGATCACAAGGTCAGGAGATCGAGACCATCCTGGCTAACATGGTGAAACTCCGTCTATATTAAAAATACAAAAACAAAATTATCTGGGCGTGGTGGCTGGCGCCTGTAGTCCCAGCTACTCAGGAGGCTGAGGCAGGAGAATGGTGTGAACCTGGGAGGCGGAGCTTGCAGTGAGCCGAGACTGCACCACTGCACTCCAGCCTGGGCAACAGAGTGAGACTCCACATCAAAAAAAAAAAAAAAAAAAAATCACACATGGAGAGAGACCTGAAGCAGAGCCACAGATGACAAGACAGAAATGTTCTCCTGGAATATGTCTAAATTAGTCAAGAGTCAGCCCATACATCTGTCTCTAACTAAACTTTTTAGCAACCATCACTAAGATGAAAACAGTCACATAATTCAGGGTTCAAAACATGAAAGCAAACTAATTCTTCAGGTGAAATTCTGACACCAAAATCAGAAATTTCTCCCAAGGGTTCTCACAAGGATGTCACAGTAGAAGAGCATGAATAAGGCCAAGAACAAACCCCCAGAACTGGCTGTCTCAGACCTCATCTACACAGGCCACTGACATCACACGCCAAGCGCCAATACATCCTGTGGAAGCCCACAGCAGTCTGACCGTCTGGCTTAACTCTAAAAGGATGGCAGGACACTTGGGGTCAGAGGCAGTCACCTCATTCCCTCAGTGAAAATGGCCAAGCACTCATGGCACTTTGTGATCACCTTGACTGCAGCCCTAATCACTGTCAACTAGTTACTCATATACATGTCATTTGGCTGAATTAAAATTGATCCCTCATCTATAAAAGCCTAGGTACTACCTTTAGTAAAGTTTAGATATTTCACTGTATTAAGCTCTTATTTATATTCATGACTTCCCATGTTTTTTATTGCACAGATTTTTAAAAAGTTAATATTATTAAGCCTTTTATCTGGTCATTAAAAACAATTCTTTTGGCCAGGCGCAGTGCCTCACACCTGTAATCCCAGAACTTTGGGAGGCCGAGGCGGGCAGATCACCTTAGGTCAGGAGTTCAAGACCAGCCTGGCCAACATGGCAAAACCCCGTCTCTACTAAAAATACAAAAATTAGCTGGGCAGGCTACTGCACACCTGAAATCCAGCTACTCGGGAGGCTGAGGCAGGACAATCGCTTGAACCCGAGAGGTGGAGGTTGCAGTCAGCCAAGATTGCGCCGTTGCACTCCAGCCTGGGCGGCAGAGCGACACTCTGTCTCAAAAACAAACAAACCAAACAAACACATTTTTTGTAAGTTTTTAATTTTATTTCTCTTTTTATTTTATTTGTTTTTTAATATATAGAAACAAGGTCTCACTATGTTGCCCAGTCTTGTCTCAAACTCCTGGGCTTAACTGATCCTCCTGCCTTGACCTCTAAAAGTGCTGGGATTATAGGTGTGAGCCACCATGCCCAGGTAAAACAATTTTTTGATAGTTCAATTTTTGCTTCTCTCTACAGCTGAAATACGTATCCTAAGGTACTGTTCATATATATATATATATTTTTCTTTTCTTTTCTTTTTTTTCCCCCGAGACGGAGTCTCGCTCTCTCACACAGGCTGCAGTGGTGTGATCTCATTGTAACCTCTGCCTCCCTGGTTCAAGCGATTCTCCTGCCTTGGCCTCCCAAGTAGCTGGAATTACAGGCAGGAACCACCACGCCCAAGCTAATTTTTTTTTTTTTTTTTTTTTTTTTTGAGATAGTCTCACTCTGTCCCTAAGGAGTACAATGGTGTGATCTTGGCTCAGTGCAACCTCCACCTCCCGGTTCAAGTGATCCTCCTGCCTCAGCCTCCTGAGTAGCTAGGATTACAGGCACCTACTACAACACTCAGATAATTTTTATATTTTTAGTAGTGATGGAGTTTCCCCATGTTGACCAGGCTGCTCTCAAACTCCTAGCCTCAACTCATCTGGCTGCCTCGGCCTCCCAAAGTGATGGGATTATAGGCATGAGCCACCATACCCAGCTCATATCCTAATCTACTTTCTTCTCAATTTTTTCATGTCAAGCTCTTTAATTTGGCTGGAATGTAAGGTGCATGGTATGAAACACAGAACTAAAACTCTATACAAGTGTATCTGTCATCACCATCAGCAGTTAGTAAAGCACAACCTTGTTCCCCCTCGTCCTCACAGGTGTCATGTAACTTGCTCCTGAGAAATTAAATCTATTTCTCAAATCTCTGGCTGATATCACTGTTCTGTATTTTCATTTTTTACCCAAATCTCATCTAGATGTGATGACTTTCATTTTAGAATGTATTAAAAACTCTGCTGGATTTAGAAACATCCCCGCTTCACAAATTCTTGCTTTTTACCCCCTCACAAAAATATCATATGGTATATTTGTTTCCTTGTTTTTCTATAATAAATAATGTAACACGGTAATTCAAATGATATTTTAAGTGTTTATACTGACCTGCAAAGTATTTTTTTTTTTGGAGACGGAGTCTCACTCTGTTGCCCAGGCTGGAGTGCAGCGGTGCAAACTTGGCTCACTGAAACCTCCGCCTCCCAGGTTAAAGCAATTCCCCTGCCTCAGTCTCCTGAGTAGCTGGGACTACAGGCGTACGCCACCACGCCTGGCTAATTTTTGTATTTTTAGTAGACACAGAGTTTCGCCATGAGGGCCAGGTTGGTCTGTAACTCTTGACCTCAAGTGATCCGCCTGCCTCAGCCTCCCAAAGCACTGGGAGTGTGATGACTAGGTTTTCACGTGTGAGATATGCCTCACTCACACCTTGTTACAACACTGGCACATTGCCTGTCGGATGTGAACAAAGACAAAAAAAGACCCTCACGCTCATAAGGGTGGAACTTGCTGTGACAGAGTTCATCTTGGCAGTGCTTGCTGAACACTTCCTGAATCTGGACTTCACTCATTGTGAGTCTCACAGAGAGAGGTTCTTCAGGTGAGGGTTATTGTCTTTAATTTCTTCTTCTGGAACACACTGTGTTGCCTTCTCCAAAACATCTGCAACCTCTAACGAGTCCTTGCAGAAGCCCTGAATGCTATACATATTTCCCTCCTCCACCAATTTTTGGCTGCTCTGCTCTGAGCCCTCAGTATCTGCCAGTGCTTGCTTATCTTCTTCCACAGCCTCCTTCAGCTGCTCTTCTAACTTGACTTCTTCCATGAGTATCTTGTCCATAGAGGGAGTATCTGTCCTCCATTTGGTTTGGATCCACATCCTCTTCCAAGTGCTGGCAACTGTTCTTTTGTTTTGTAGCTGTGTGCAGAACTGAGGAGAAGGCCTGGAGACAATGCCAACACCGGGAGACCGCGTGGCACCAGCCTCACGCATGGAGCCGCCGTGGCTGCCCCGGGATGATGATTTAAGTTTCCCCTCGCCCATCACTATATGCTTCTATGAAATGTTTTAAATTATTTTTATTCCTTCAGCATAATTATCAAATACATCTTTTATCTATTTTTTTCCTTATGACTTACAGATTCTGAGAGCTCAGAGCTATTTCCACTGCCTCACTTCTCATCCTCACTGCTTCTAGTTTTAAAATTAGGTCCTGGGTTGCTACCCCCGCTGAGGTTCTCACAATAATTAAAGCCTATTTGCTGGTTAAGGTTGCTTTGTTTTGGATACATACTTCTGTTCTTACAGTAATTACACAGCAGGGCAAATTACTCCTTGCATAAATATACACTTTAGAACAATGGAGTCATTTTAAAATATAGAAGGACACTTATCTTTCTACTTATTGTGGGAAAGATCATGGAAATGAAGATATAGTCATGTCTTAAACTGTATATTTTTTGTCCTCATGCAGGTACAAGGCTTTAAGTACATAATATATAATCAGTATCACTTTTTTTTTTTCTTTGAGACAGAGTTTTTTTGCTCCTGTTGCCAAGGCTGGAGGTGCAATGGCGCGATCTCGGCTACCTGCAACCTTCGCCTCCCAGGTTCAAGTGATTCTCCTGCCTCAGCCTCCCTAGTAGCTGGGATGACAGGCGCCCACTACCACGCCCAGCTAATTTTTTGTATTTTTAGTAGAGACAGGGTTTCACAATGCTGGCAAGGCTGGTCTCGAACTCCTGACCTCAGGCGATCCACCCACCTTGGCCTCCCAAAGTGCTGGGATTACAGGCATGAGCCACCGTGCCCAGCTCAGTATCAGATTTTTACAGAAGGACTGGCTAGAAAAAGAACAATGAAACAAGCAAAAGGTGTTACGTTGTGCTTAACTGCTTCCTGAGAAAAAAGAGCTTATCAGAATGACTACTAAGATGTCTTGTTGTAGAAACTGAATTGATTGCCCTGAAGGGAGTATTAAGGGATTAATAAAAATTAAAAAAATAAAAATAACTGAATTGAGAAACCCAAAAAATGGGCACTCCAGCCCATTTTAATAATAATTATTATTATTATTATTCAAGTTATGTTGTACATATTCGGTTTCAAAATTTAAAAATTTAAAAATTAAGCTTTATTAATTTGGTTCATCAATTTAAATTCTTGCTATGATTTGTAAGAACAGAAAAGTAGCTGGTGACAATCGTATGTTCAACATAAAAGGATTTTGTGTTAATGACATGGCTGCCTATCTCATTTGCAATGGAAATATCTTGTTTAAAGGACCTATACAGGTACTACAAGAGTATACATGTTTTAACATTAAATAGCTACTAAGAATAGCAAGAAAGAAAACAGAGCAAAATAAACAAGCTTCAGAAAAGTATTAGCAAACAACAATATTTGCTGAATAGCACTGGGTGCAGTGGCTCACACCTGTAATCTCAGCTCTTTGGGAGGCCAAGTTGGGAGGATCACTTGTAATTCAGGAGTTCAAGACTAGCCTGGGCAACACAGGGAGATCCCGTCTCTACAAAAACTAAAAAACTCAGCCAGACATGGTGGTGTGTGCCTATAGTCCCAGCTACTCAGGAGACTAAGGCAGGAGGATCACTTGAGTCTGGGAGGTCAAGCCTGTGGTGAGCTGTGACTGTGCCACTGGGCTCCAGTCTAGGAGACAGAGTAACACCCTGCTTCAAAAAAAGAAAGGAAGGAAGGAAAGGAAAGAAAGAGAGATGTGTTGCACAGTACAGCATTACATGGAAATACTGCAGTGGGTATGAAAATTATTAGGTGCTGAAATTTAAATTCTAAAAACAAAAAACATCTAAGTGTAGATAAAGTGTTTCTCGATAAAGATAAAATGGCTTAAAAATTTTAAGGCAGGCCGGGCACGGTGGCTCACGCCTGTAATCGCAGCACTTTGGGTGGCCGAGGCGGGCGGATCACGAAGTCAGGAGATCGAGACCATCCTGGCTAAGATGGTGAAACCCCGCCTCTACTAAAAATACAAAAAAATTAGCCGGGCATGGTAGCGGGTGCCTGTAGTCCCAGCTACTCGGGAGGCTGAGGCAGGACAATGGCGTGAACCTGGGAGGCGGAGCTTGCAGTGAGCCGAGATTGTGCCACTGCACTCCAGCCTGGGCAACAGAGCGAGACTCCGTCTCAAAAAAAAAAAAAAACAATTTAATGCAGTTCGGAAAAGATTTTTCTGGAGTTGACCCATATGCTGAAAAGGCTGCTCACCGCCGGCATGTACAGGGATTGGAGAAAACAGAAATGATGTGGGAAAAGATGTGGGCAAGAGCGGATCACTCTTCTGGATCTCAGAAATTTTAGAAAGCAAATACTGTGGGATGCAGTAGGAACAATTATCCGTTTATGGCAAGGCTGCCTGGGCAGTTTTTAAACAGGTAAGAATGAATTCTTATATTGCATAGGCCCTTAGGATACCATCTAGAAAGTTTAGTTGGTGGGAATAACATGAATTTAAAGTTTTTAAGCAGTTTTGATAAATTGAGTACAAAGGCTATTTTATACTACCACATTCTTCACAACGTCAGAGGAACTGCCCCAAGAAATTTATATGATTACTGATCTGAAGTTAGTTAGGTTAGTTCAGGTGTAAAGAGTGTTTATTTACTTATTTGAAAGGACATTAACTTGCAGCCAAAGGCCAAAAGGGCTTCTCTAGGGACATTCAGTTTAAAAAACATCTCTTTCATATACAGTATGTGCAGACTTCATGTTGGACACTAAAGATACCGGAGATACATGCACAGGACTTGGCCACCTAACTATGAAACACACAGTGTAGAAATGGAAAATAGGTGGCTTAGTGGCTCTTCAAACAGGAGAAATCTGAGGCCATATCCAGGTGTCTGATATAAACTAGTGATGCCTTACAAATAGGCATGGTGATATTTGTACTAGTTAATTACCTCTTTACTTTAGTACACTAATTTAGAAGTCTACTAAATTATTATAGAACAAGAACACATCACACTTCCGAGCAAAAGAAAAACATCAAATCCAAGTTGAGCAATTTTCTAAAACATATTATTATACAGCATATATGCTTAAGTACTACAATATACATATTCTAAGTTAGTACAGCTATCCCATCAACATTTCATGTGGGCTCAAGAATAAATACAAAACCTCAGTTTTTAGTTCTGATAAAAATGAAAGACGTATGTCACATGAACTCTGAATTTTTCCATATTAAGGATATCTATCATGGTTCCTAACTTAAAAAAAAAATCAATAACAGCTCACTTGTTTTAACTCCAAATGTTTTACTCTAGAGAGAAAAAATACCTAGAGAAAGACAGCTACTTACTTACACAGTCTAATTACATTTCTGAAGGGCGAGAAAGCAAGCTTTTCTCCTTTACAAACTGAATTCAATATCTAAAAATTATTTCAACACAAGTCCACTGCTTATTAGCCTAGTGATTGCTGACCCCAGCTAGAATATAGCTAAACAGTTAAACACCCCTGCTGCTTTTCTAATTTCCTTTTTCTTTCTAAGACTTCCTTACTGCATAGAAGGAACTTTCGGAGCTAATTCTGAGTTTAATGGTTATAGAATGTTACAACAGAATTAATCCCTATTTACAAAATGAATTCCTTTACAGGCAGTCTTATGAATTATTGCCACTGAAATTATGGGTCAGAAATTATGGATAAAAGAAACAGGTGTGGAAGTCACAACTACTTGACATTGGCAAAATCTAGCTGTGTAACCTTGGACAAGTCACTTATCCTCTTTGGCTCTCAACTTCCTCATCTATAAAATAAAGGGACTGAAACTCCATAGTTGCTAAAGTCCCTTTCATTGTCTAAATTCTGTCCTTTCTCTAACTGAATGAAAAAATTCAAAATCAAAATACAAAGAACAAAACAGAATTCCACAACAACAACCCTTAAAATTACTGCCACTGGCCTAACAATGGTTGCACAGAGTTAAAGGTCTACTATGGCAGTTTATACTATTTACAAGGTCACAAGTCAAAAAGGCCTGTTACTAAAAGCACATAATTCAAGTGGCTTCAAGGTCAGAATTTCCACACAAAGATGATCCAAACACCACTGAGTTGCAGTGGAAAAGTACTAGCCTCAGAGTTGGGTTTTAGCTTGATTCAGAGGCTTTTCTTAGGTAAGTAATTTAACATCTCTTGGTCTTGATTTTCTCCGGTATAAAATGACAAGGTTGCACTATATTATCCCTAAGACCTTTTCTCAAACCAAAGCTCTATGTTTCTATGTGGTTATTCTCAACCTACCCTTTTGTAATGCATCCCTTCCAAAAACAGCTTGGTCTGTTTATAGATTTCTTGGCCTGTCTTGTGGAAGGTCTTGAGAAATTCTATGAACTCCTTAGACACTCTATCCGTTTCAATGCTGGTTCGCCGGTTTATGGAAGGACTGGCTTTTGCTTCCTGAATTTCTGCTGGGAAAATTAAACATAGAAAGTTTCATGACATAAAAGATCCATGCGTGGAATTACTTTAAGTATCTTACCTAAGGTTATTTAAATTATGCTTCATCAAGGTTAAACTTGAATTTAAATCATTTTATGTTTGAATGATTGGACAACTTACCTTAAAGTAAACTAAATCTGTTTTACAAGTAGGAAGTATGAGTAGACAAAACTACATTATCTAAAAGATATTCCTACTGAAATAAAAGTTGTTCTATTAATATTTTCTTTGCCAAAATCTACCATGCTTTCATCTATATCTTCAATCATGAACACTGAAATGGCACCACTAGGCTTCTCAAAGACTGCTGGAGTTTATAAAACCAGTCAACAAATAGAATAACAATCAATAGAAGCACTGAAATGTTAGATGACTTATAAATGTTAGACAACCTTTCCAAATCCCATTTTACTTGACAAAAAGGCAAAGGTTAATGTGTTTGTGTGGAGACTCACAATTATTTACCCACCATTTCGTTGGTGAGTCATACTGATCAAAGTGAAAGAATGAATCCAAAGTATTAATAGCATGATGAACACGACAAAGCATACAATGAAGAGACAAGGGAAACATGCACTACACTATCCCACCGGCTGGGCAGACAATTCTTTCCCCTCTTCAGATAAACACACTGAAAGGAAAATGGGACATTTACACAAGAGAGGTAAGGATGTTGTAATAGGCAGTAAGTGCTTTCAGAAAGTATGAACTACCACTTGGTCTTTGACCACATTCTAAGCCTCCTGATTTTGAACTATGCTCTCTAATGTTTATAAGGAATTTAAGTTCCCCATATCCCAATGATTTCCTAAAAATAATTTTTTAAAAAGGTATGTTTTATTTGATTTTTTTTTTTTTTGAGACAGAGTACTGCTCTGTTGCCCAGGCCGGAGTGCAGTGGCAAGACCTCAGCTCACTGCAACCTCTGCCTCCTAGGTTCAAGCGATTCTCCTGGCTCAGTCTCCAACTAGTTGCAATTACATGTGAGTGCCACCACATCCAGCTAATTTTTGTATTTTTTTTTTCTTTTTTTGAGACGGAGTCTCACTCTGTCGCCAGGCTAGAGTGCAGTGGTGTGATGTCGGCTCACTGCAACCTCCACCTCTTGGGTTCAAGCGATTCTCCTGCCTCAGCCTCCCAAGTAGCTGGGACTACAGATGTGTGCCATCATGCCCAGCTATTTTTTGTATTTTTAGTAGAGACGGGGTTTCGCCATGTTGGTCAGGCTGGTCTCGAACGCCTGACCTCAGGTGATCCGCCCACCTCGGCCTCCCAAAATGCTGGGATTACAGGTGTGAGCCACCGCATCTGGCCAGAAAAAGTATGTTTTAAAGATATTAACCTGCCTATTCTACAGTTTCTTAGAGTAATTTCTTTTTTTTTTTTTTTTTTTTTGAGACGGAGTCTTACTCTGTCGCCCATGCTGGAGCGCAGTGGATCTCGGCTCACTGCAACATCCGCCTCCCAGGTTCAAATGATTCTCCTGCCTCACTCTCAAGTAGCTAGGATTACAGGCATGCCCCCCCACGCCCAGCTAATTTTGTATTTTAGTAGAGACAGAGTTTCACCATGTTGACCAGGCTGGTCTCAAACTCCTGACCTCAGGTGATCCTCCTATCTCAGCCTCCCAAAGTGCTAGAATTACAGGTACGAAACACCGCGTCTGGCTCTCAGAGTAACTCCTTATAATCTTTTATCTTCAGGACTCTTTTTTTTTGAGACGGAGTTTCACTCTTGTTGCCTATGCTGGAGTGCAATGGCGCGATCTCGGTTAACAACTTCCACCTCCTGGGATCAAGCAATTCTCCTGCCTCAGCCTACCAAGTAGCTGGGACTACGGGCATGTGCCACCACGCCTGGCTAACTGTGTATATTTAATAGAGAAGGGGTTTCTCCATGTTGGTCAGGCTGGTCTTGAACTCCCGACCTCATGTGATCCGCTTGCCTCCTAAAGTGCTGGGATTACAGGTGTGAGTTACTACGCCTGGCCTAACATTTCTATTTCTCCAAAATTTTCTACTAATAAAATTTTACATGTACCAAATGAAATATGTACATTTTAGCATTACTTGTAATAGCAAAAGACTGGAAATAACTGGCCATCACTGATGGACTAAATAAATTATCCTTTAATCCATAAAATAAAATGCCATAGGGTTTTAAAATTAAAAAGTATGCTTCTTGTGTACTGATATGGAAAGAGCTCATAAATGTATTGGAAGCAAAAACATAAATTAGCAACATAGTGAGATGCTCTCTCTACAAAAAGTAAAAACATTAGCCAGGCATGGTAGTGCGTACCTATAGTGCCAGCTATTTGGAGGGGCTGAGGCAGAAGGATCACTTGAGCCCAGGAGTCTGACTGCACTCCAGCCTGGGTGACAGAGTGAGACCTGGTCTCAAAAAAAAAAAAAAAAAAAGTAAGGGATGTACACTGTGCTGTGTTTTATATAAAACAGGGGGTAGCGGGGTAAGAATATATGTGTTTATAAATTAGAATAAAAGCACAGAAGGATACATAAGAAACTAATAACAAAAGTTCTGTGAAAGTAGGGGAGCAATAGGCCGGGCGCGGTGGCTCACGCCTGTAATCCCAGCACACTGGGAGGCTGAGGCGGGCGGATCACGAGGTCAGGAGATCAAGACCATCCTGGCTAACACGGTGAAACCCCGTCTGTATTAAACATACAAAAAATTAGCTGGGTGTCGTGGCAGGCACCTGTGGTCCCAGCTACTCGGGAGGCTGAGGCAGGAGCCACTGCGTGAACCCAGGAGGCAGAGCTTGCAGTGTGCCGAGATCGTGCCACTGCACTCCAGCCTGGGCGACAGAGTGAGACTCTGTCTCAAAAAAAAAAAAAAAAAAGTAGGGGAACAATAGCAGTGGTACTTAGGAACTAGATGGGCGAGAGACAAAGTAGAAAGGAAACTTCTAACCATACCTGTTACGTTTGAGTCATTTGGATATACTACCTATTTTTTTTAAGCACATAAATAAATCAGGTACAATCTAATTCAAAACAAAAAGGGCAACATCTTTTCTAAAATTCTTTTATGTAAATAAAAAACCAAAGACTGTGCTGACATCTGTATGATTAGGAAAAAATTCTTTATCAAAAATCCTTCTCTGTCTGATAATTCCGCTTCTAGTCATGATGGAATACTCTGATGGCATCAGGTTTACCCTACTATCTTA
Organism: Homo sapiens; assembly: GCF_000001405.40. Taxonomy (NCBI): domain Eukaryota; kingdom Metazoa; phylum Chordata; class Mammalia; order Primates; family Hominidae; genus Homo; species Homo sapiens. The sequence continues at coordinate 76,121,114 of NC_000007.14, forward strand.
ACAACTGAAGGGTGAGACAAATATATGAACAAAAGGTTTTCAGACATTGGATGACAAGCAAACAGCAGATTAACTCCTGAAAGAAGGGAAACAAATACAGTCTGTCCTAGAGTGTCCCAGCTCACTGCTGGGAGAGTTTTAAAGTCATGGCACAGGGAGAGGCCACTCAAACAGAGCCTAGCTGACTTGCTGAATTGAGGAGACAGCATTTGGAGTTCAGGGAGGCCGATGTGACCAGAATTTGCATGGCAAAATATCATGCAAACACTACGGAGGGGAGAGGGCTACACAGAAAAAGCTCCAGGTATCTGCAGAGGGTTCCCTTGAGTGTGGCTGAGTACTGCACATGCATATGAGGAAACTACCCAAGATGAAAGAACCACCAAGTAACATGTAGAACCACAGCACAAAGGACAGGAGGAAGAAATATAAGAATCTTGTTTAAGATTCTTATATGTAAAGTCGTATAATACTATTATTAAAAAAATTTTTTTCTGTAAAGTGGTATAAATATTATTTGAAGGTAAGTTAAAGACGTATTCTGTAAACCCCAGAACAACCAGTAACAAAAACCAAACAAAACCAAACAAACAGAACAAAGAGGTGTAGCTAACAAGCTGATAGTGGAGATAAAGGTGTGGTCATAAAGAAGGCAAAAAAAGAGGAGAAATGGAACTAAAACAAGATGAGATAAACACAAAAAGCAAGATGACAGGAGTAAAACTTCCCTTATCAAAAATCACATTAAATATAAGTGCTATAAACAGTCTGATTAAATGTCAGAGATTATCAGATTAGATTAAAAAACAAGACCTCACTTCATGTTGTCTGTAAGAAATTTACTTTAAATATAAAGATACAAATATGTTAAAAACTAATGAAAGGAAGAGGATACTCTGAAACAATGAAATAGAGCTTAAGTGGTTATACCAATGTTAGACAAAGTAAACTTAAGAACATGGACCATATTATCAAGAACACAGAGAGGTATCTCATCATAAAAAAGGGGTTAATTCTTCAAGAAAACCCAGCAATCCTAAATTTGTATATACTAATAACACTGCTTCAAAACACATAAAACAAAATTTGATAGAACTGAAAGGAGAAACAAATTCACAATGATATTTGGAGATTTCAATACTCCTCGCTTAGTAATTGACAGAGAGGTGATTTTTAAAAAGTCAGTAAAGACAGAAAACTTGAATGATGTTATCAACCAACTTGACCTACCTGACATTGATAGAACACTCAACCCAATAAAAACATAATACATATTCCATCTGACAAAATAATAATGGTAGCATAAACTTACATATAGGTAATGCCTGTTATGCACTAGGTACTTTTACAATGCTATTTTGTATAATCCTCACAAGTCTATCAGGTAGTACACTTATGATATTTACAAATGAGGAAGCTGGGGCTTGAATATGTTAAGTAACTTGAATAATGTTGCAGTCACTTATAAAGACTGGAATTTGAACCCAGGTCTGTGCGCTTAAATCCAAAGCCTGAGCTGTTGATTATGCTACAACTACCTCAGTAAGCCAAAGAGAGGACTGAAGACTCTTAGAATAACACCAATCCCTCTGACTTTAGAGGTCTGTACACCAGTCAAAGACAGGAAAACCCTACTCATTTCCTTTATTGCTTTGCTTATAACATGCTTCCCTCCCACACATACTTTTCCAAAGAGACACTTTTGCTTAAAAAAGAAAAAAAACTCCTTTTAAAATGTAAATGAAGATTAATTCTATTAGCTACTTAAGATCATACAAGTTACTAAAATCAACACTTTGTTGTTTTTCTCTAAGCTTGCTAAAAATCAACCCCTACTAAGAGGCCAGAAGTTTGGATTAGAGAGGGGAAAGTGAGAGACAGTTCAAGTGTTTGGTACACAGGGAGGAGGTGAGTTATGTTTGAACAGCCAATAGGGATTCAGTGTGTAAGGTGAAAGAAGTGAAGAAGAAGGAAACAGGGAAAAGAACAACCTCACCCACATTACAGTTTATAGTTTTGCCTAGGGCTCAAATGGCAAGTGCTTGCTCTTCAACTTAAAGTCACCTTGCGTTTTTTTTTTTTTTTGTTTTTGTTTTTAATCAGGGTCTCGCTCTGTCACCCAGGCTGGAGTACAGTGGCATGATCGCAGCTCACTGCAGCCTCAACCTCCCAGGCTCAAATGATCCTCCGACCTCAGCCTCCAGAATAGATGGGGCTACAGGCACTAGCCGGGCTAATTACTATCATTATTTTTAAGAGATGGGATCTCACTGTTACCCAGGCTGGTCTTGAACTCTTGGGATCAAGCAATCCTCCTGCTTCAGTCTCCAAAATGCTGGGATTACAAGCATGAGCCACTGGACCAGGCTGCACTTTATGTTTTTAATACAGAAACAAAGCTTGTATTTCAGGAATAGCAAGTAGACCATGATTATCAAGCCTTCCATTGCCCAATCTTTCTCTCTCTCTCTCTTTTTTTTTTTTTTTTTTGGAGAAGGAGTCTCACACTCTGCAGCCCAGGCGGGAGTACACCAGCGCAATCTCGGCTCACTGCAACCTCTGCCTTCCAGGTTCAAGTGATACCCCTGCCTCAGCCTCCCAAGTAGCTGGGATTATAGGCATGGGCCACTATGCCTGGCCAATTTTTGTATTTTCAACAGAGACAGGGTTTTGCCATGTTGGCCAGGCTGGTCTCCAACTCCTGGCCTCAAGTTATTTGCCCGTCTTGGCCTCCCAAACTGTTGGGATTAGGGGCATGAGCCTCTGCACCTGGCCGTCTCCATGCTTCTTCCACAGCCTGCAGAACCATGAGCCAAATGAACCTCTTTCCTTTGTAAGTGATCCAGCCTCAGGTATTCTTCTGTAGCAATGCAAAGGGATTAAGCCATTGTTTTATGTACCTTACAGGATAGTTACCAAATTCAGGAAAATTTACATTGATACAATACTTTTACTCAATTGAAAATCCATATTCCAATTTTCTCAATTGTTCACAATGAGCAGTTCACAATTTTCCCAGCCTTTGTTTCTCTCGGCATGACATTTCTGAAGAACACAGGCCAGGTATCTTGTTGAATGTCATTTAGATTGGGTGTCCTCATGACTGGATTCAGGTTGTTAAAAATTTTCAGCTTAGATATTTCATAAATGATGTTGTGTTCTCAAAGTGTCATGTCTGGAAGCACGTAACATCTATCCTTGCCCCATACATCCCCATTTTATAGTTACCATTTCTCCATTTATAATTAATGAATAATCTGGCTGGGCATGGTGGCTCACGCCTGTAATCCCAGCACTTTGAGGCTGCAGTGGTGGGATCACTTGAGGCCAAGACCAGCCTGGGCAACATAGCAAGACCCACCTCCCGTCTCCACAAAAAAAGGAAAAAAAGAAAAATAAATAAATACATAAATAATTCATAGGCAGTGAATTTGAGATCATGTTCATAACTTGTTTCCTAGGAAACTCGCTCCCCTCATCCCAGATTTAGCACCCAGATAAACTTTACCTGAATCAATTTTTACTACTAACATGACTATAACCTCTCTATTTTATTATTATTATTATTTTTTTTTTTGAGACGGAGTCTTGCTCGTTGCCCCAGCTGGAGTGCAATGGCATGATCTCGGCTCACCCCAACCTCTGCATCCCGGGTTCAAGCGAGTCTCCTGCCTCAGACTCCCAGTAGCTGGGATTGCAGGCATGTGCCACCACGCCCAGCTAATTTTGTATTTTTTTAGTAGAGACAGGTTTCTCCATGTTGGTCAGGCTGGTCTTGAACTCCCAACCTAAGGTGATCCGCCTGCCTCGGCCTCCCAAAGTACTAGGATTACAGGCATGAGCCCCTGTGCCGGCCGTATTTCTCTATTTTACTAGTTAAATTAACACATGGATTATGATTTTGTTCATTTATGGTCCTTATTTATTGATTTCTTCACTTTATTTTATTTTTTTTAAGACGGAGTCTCACTTTGTTGCCCAGGCTGGAGTGCAGTGGCACAATCTCAGCTCACTGCAACCTCCACCTCCCGGGTTCAAGCGATTCTCCTGACTCTGCCTCCCAAGTAGCTGGGATTACAGGCACGTACCTCCATACCTGACTAATTTGGTATTTTTAGTAGAGACGGGGTTGCGCCATGTTGGCCAGGCTGGCCTGGAACTCCTGACCTTAGGTGATCTGCCCACCTCGGCCTCCCAAAGTGCTGGGATGACAGTTGTGAGCCACTGTGCCTGGCCTTATTGTCCTTATTTATTTTGACACTCAAATTATCCCAGACTTGGCCAGTGGAAACCCCTCCAAGCTGGCTTCTAGATCTTCTGAAATGTCCTCGAAATATTGAAGGGGCCTTTTTTTCCCTGCCCCAGCCCCAGAATCAGTCATTTCTCTAAGAAGCCCTGGTTCACTTTAACGAATAAAGTGTTTAGAGTCTAAGGTCTGGGTGGTATTGGTATTTTAACTCTAAAAAAGAAAAGATATGCTTTGTAGGATTACTGTCTTCAGATCCATTTGTGAAAGAGGTACACAAGATTCTACTTGTGATGACAAGATTACAGGAGTTCTGAAAGAAAAGGGCACTTTGGAATGTATAAGCAAGTATCTCAGCTTGGCCAACCACTATGACTTCCTCACTCACCCAGACTGTGGAGACTAAAACACTTTAACTGAGTCTTCACAGTCAAGATTTACTTTCTCTGAAGGCGTATCCAACTCTAAAAGAATGTGAAAATAGTCTTCAAATTCCATAGAAGTTTATTTGTATTTTGTCTGCTTCCAAGCTGCTATGTATGGCGTAAAAGCTTTCCTTTATGCTACTAATAGAAACAAGTAAAATACCAAGAGCAAGGGCATCATGGACTAAAGAAGATAAAGAATACAGAATCCAAAAAGTCTGTTTCTAGTCTAGGCCCAATACATTAAAACTGCACTTAGGCTAACCTTATCCAAACACAATGGCCAAACAAGTAATCAGTGTGAAATGCAAAATTTACCTGGCTAAGTTATATTAAGTGATCTGTGAAACAAAGACATAATGGAATCTTCTTTTCTAACATAAATTTTTAAATGCTTTAAGGTCTTTATCCCCAAAAGCTTTCTACTGACAAAAAGCAACTAAAGAACAAAAAATAGAAAGTACAAATCTACCATTCGAAAAGATGGGGGGCGGGGGGAAACAAGAACAAAGGTAAAAACCGTTCTGCATACATATTTTTAAAATAAAAGTCACTTGGATTGTTTCTTTTTTTAATTAATTAATTTTTTTAGAGATGGTGTCTCACTCTGCTGCCCAGGCTGGAATACAATGGCACAATCACAGCTCACTGGAGCCACTAACTCCTAGGCTCATGTAACCCTTCTACCTTAGTCTTCCAAGTAGCTGGGATTACAGGTAGGTAGAAGCCACTGCACCCAGCTCCAGAATTGTTTCTTTTTAAAGTACAGACTCTGCACTAAATTGTAAATCTTCTTTCCATAGTATCATGCACACTGTACAGAGGCTTTTGGGACATAGGTTTTTAAAATCACCAAGGGGAGTCAGCGAATATAAATGACAATTACGTACTTAAGTAACAGAAACTTAATTATATATATATATATTTACTATTTATTATACACATTAAATAACCTGGGTTTCTGAAGTATACACATTGAATAAAGGAATATAATGGAAAAATATTGACCCAGGAGTTAGGAGACCTGAGTTCTCATACACAAACAGATTGTGCAACCTTGGGTAAATCAGTTAACATTTATGGACTTTCATATTGTCATCTGCAAAATGAGGCTATTCGAGCTGATAATTTTATAATTTTTTTACTATTTCATCTGTTATAAATACTTATCATTTCACTACGTATCATCAAGAAACAGACTTTAAGCTAAATAGAAATGAAGGATCTTAATAATAAATGGCCTTTAGCTCCCTGCAAGATTATTCTATCAGAAGAATAACTTGCATTTTAAAAAAGCTAACACTTACTGGAGATCTAACGTGTGTGTCGGGCACTATGCTAAGCTCTTTACATATGTCAACTCATTGAATCCTCATCACATATCTCTGATAGGTATTACTGTCCCTCAGTGTGGACAAGACTTGGAGTTGTTAGTCCGCCCAGGGTCACAAAGGTGGTAAATGACAAAGCTAGGACTCAAACCAGGAGTGACTCCAAAGTCACCTTACTAACCACCTGGAAATTTCACCTCCTAATAAATAAATCATGAGCCGAATACATACTTATTTAATCTCTGGCAGGTGCTAATTTTTTTCCCCTTTTTAGTAGAGACAAAATAGCTACAACTGGCAGCCAACCAAGAAACAACCAAATTAATCATGTAATCATGCAGGTGGTTCCGGATAATTTTTGTATTTTTTGTAGACATGGGGTTTCACCATGTTGCCCAGGCTGGTCTCAAACTCCCAAGCTCAGGTGATCCATTCATCGTGGCCTCCCAAAGTGCTGAGATTATAGGCATGAGCCACTGCATCTGGTATCCATGTCTTAAGGAGAAGTGTGTTTTTGGTAAGCAATATTTCCTTTTATTTCCTTATAATAAAACAAAAGGAAACAGCAAAAGTCACAAAACCTAGAAGATTGGCAAGGGTCTTAAGGGGTAACACTGTCTTATTATTCATTCCCCTGCCTCCAGGGGAGAACTCATTACAATTACCCCAGGGTAGGAACTGGGGAGCAAGAGAGGGGGCTCCCAGAAAACAGGTCTTCTGACAGCATCAGTGTCGGTTCCCAGTCTCCCTCATTATTTCACATTGACTGCATAACTCTGAGTACCAACATAAATTTTCGGAGACCAAGGCCTAACGACAAAGATTCTTTCTTGCTTCATGTTGGGCCATTTCAACTGGCTTGTCTGCTCAATTGTAGAACACCTGTGACTTACGTGACAATCTTCTTGCTGGTTATATGGCACTTTAAGAAGCCGGGTGAATATGATCACCTACATACAAACCCATGCACTGGAAAACAGCTACTATGGCTCACTTTCATCCCCCCAAGAGCCCAACGTGGGCTTTTTCCTATATGCTCTCAATACACTTCCCCAAGACACAAGCTGTCTCTCAAATAAGCTCTCGGGCAGAAAATCTCTCTCTCAGATGACTTTCAAGCCTAGAAATCACCATTTCTGACAAGCTATGAACAGTGAGGGTATTATGCCACAGAACAAACCAAGATCCACAAATGCACAAAAAACAAAACATCCAAAGAGACAGTCACTTGGATAGGCATGAATTTCATAAACAAAACTACCTATTTCAATTCTCTTGACTCCTCCTACAGAGTAAACAAATTTCTCTAAAACACAATGTCTTTTGACCAAAGAGAGTATGGGTTTCATATATTGTCTGACCCTCAAACCCAATTTCAGTCTCAAATCTGAGCTGATGTTCTCAAAAAGTTGACAGAAATTACAAAGCTGAGCCTATAAGCATTTTGGATCTACTCTGTGTCTCACTCAGGCAGAGAAGAAAAAAAAGAGTATCAGAACATTACCCTTCTTTGATCCGACCCTGGAAGACGCACTGAAGATTTCTTCACTGTGGTAACCTCGTGGGTCTTCTCGTTGGTTTTCTTTCCTTCAAACTTGGAGAATGTGAGGGATTGGGCCCCTTGGCTGCTCTGACTGCTGGCAAAGGCCTCTTCCTCCCACTGGAGTCTGCAATTCAAGAGAGGATTAGAATGATCTAGATATTCTCCAAGATTTCTCTGTATCTGAAGGTTATTACTCCATTTATTCAGGAGGATCTAAAGATTTTAGAACTAGAGACTAAATATGCAAAATCAGTCTGAGGTCTCACATAGCTACAGGATGGACTGCTCTTCATGCACTACAGATTTCAAATGGGATCTTCTCATGCTCATTCAGCAACTGCTCTAGGGTTACATGAAAGAAACCAAGTCTAGTCCTTTTCCCCAACAAGCTCAGTGAAATAAAGAAAGTCTAGTCCTTTTCCCTAACAAGCTCAAGGTTGGAACAAACAAAAAGGTAAGTAAACAACTGCTATATAATGGGACAGCTGCTACATCAGAGAGTAAAAATTGAGTGCTGTGAGAACACAGAAAAGAACAACGCAATCTGCTGGAGGAGTCTGATGAGGCTTTACAACGGTGCTGTTTGGGGTGAGTCTTAAAGGACAAACAGGATCCTTTTTTTGTTTCTGTTTTTTTTTTTTTTTTTTTTTGAGACAGTGTGTCACTCCATCACCCAGCCTGGAGTGTAATGGCACGATCTCAGCTCACTACAACCTCTGCCTTCCAAGTTCAAGCAATTCTCATCCCTCAGCCTCCCAAGTTATTGGGACTACAGGCACACACCACCACGCCTGACTGATAAGGATGATTAGGATTCTACGTGAAAGGACATTCCAGGAAGAAGGAACTACGAATGTGCAAGCCTGTGGTTTGCTTCACAACAAGCTGAATGTAGCCAGAGCACTGGCGTGTGATGAACTGTGATGCTGGCTACACAGGAAGGCACCAGAGGGTAGGGAATCTTGATTGCTAAGCCCATTGCTAAGCCTATTCTGGATTTCATCATGCGGTGGGGAAGCAAGAAAGACTGTAAATCCAAAAAGTTATTGTTGTCAGATCTGTGCTTTAGAAAGATCATGCAGGTAGCTGTAAGAACAACTTGAAGGATAGAGAAACCAGAGACATGGACAGGAATTAAGAGTATATTATAAAGGTTTAAGTAAAAGAAAATAAATACCTGGAAAAGAGGAGTAGAAAAGGTAAAATTCAAAAGACTTTTCTAAGTTGGAACAAACAGAACTTGGTCAAATTGTAGGTGCCAAGGGAGGTTAAAGAGAAATCAAGAGTGAAACCAAGGTTTTTTAGCTAACTTGGTAAAGAATGACGCCATTAACTGACTCACGAGAAGGGTTAGGAGGAAAATGTTCAGAATGGGGAGAATAATAAATAAAAGCAATAAATTTGGCTTCGGATTAGCTGCATGTGAACCATCTGTAATAAATAACAAACACAGGCCGGGTGCGGGGGCTCACGCCCTTAATCCCAACACGCTGGGAGGCCAAGGCGGCTGAATCACTTGAGCTCAGGAGTTTGAGACCAGCCTAGGCAACATGGTGAAACCCTGTCTCTACATAAAATACAAAAATTAGCTGGGCATGGTGGCATGCTCCTGTAGTCCTAGCTACTTGGGAGGCTGAAGCAGGAGGATCACTTGAGCCAAGGAAGCAGAGGATGCAGTGAGTTGAGACTGCACCACTATACTCCAGCTGGGGTGACAGAGCAAGACCCTGTCTCAAAACAAAACAAAACAAAAAACCAAGCACTATCTATAAGACAGTGGTTCTCCAAGTGTGATTCCCCAGACAGCAGCAGCAGCATCACCAGGCAACTTGTTAGAAATGCAGATTCTCTAGTCTTACTCCCAAATTACTAAAATCAGAGACTCTAAGGGTAAGGTCCAGCAATCACTGCTTTTACAAGCTTTCCAAGAGATTTAGCAGGGTCACAATTAAAAGCAGTAAGAAATAGAAACAAAAATCACAGGTGGAGGTGCTAAGTCTGAGGATGGAATCAGGACACCTCTTTCTCTGGAACAGACAAGAAGTTAATATAAAGGTATTAGTACATTTTTATGTGGCAAGGGGAGGAAGCTGAGGCAGTTGGTGCCTAGTGCCCTCTACTGTTTTTGAAACAGGATCTGCTACTGACAGCATCAGGCATGCAGTGGAAACCCTGAGGAGATCATTCATGTTCTGGGCTAAAATTTTCTCTTTGATTGACCACAGTCACTGAAAGCAATGTGTAATTTCTAATTCTCTGAGTTCACCACAGATGCCAGCAAAATAGTCACTCAACAAATATTGGCTGACTGGATGAAAAAAACAAAAAAACTACCAAGAAGATTTGGCAGAATTCCATTTGACTTTCTTCTGTTGAAGCAGTTTTAGAATTTCCAAAATGCTCTGGCAAAGAATTAACATTATTCATGGCATTTTATTAGTTCCTATGCTCACTAGCCATCCCATCATTTAATTTTTTTTTTTTTTTTTTGAGACAGAGTCTCACCCTGTCACCCAGGCTGGAGTGCAGTGGCACGATCTCGGCTCACTGCAACCTCCAACACCTGGGTTCAAGCAATTCTCCTGCCTCAGTCTCCTGAGTAGCTGAGATAACAAGTGCGCACCACCACGCCTGGCTAACTTTTTAAATATTTTTAGTAGAGATGGGGTTTCACCATGTTGGTCAGGCTGGTCTCAAACTCCTGACCTCAAGTGATCCTCCCGCCTCAGCCTCCCAAAGTGCTAGGATTACAGGCATGAGCCACTGCGCCTGGCTCATTATTTAATTTTTAACATCACTGTATTTCCAGATAATATAAACTGCCTTTGACTAATCTAATTTTTAAGGAAAAGTTAAATTTCTATAATGCAAGGACTATGTATACAAGTCAACAGATTTCTACTACTGTGTTTTATCACTGAGCTACATGCCACGCTGAATATATTAAAAGAACAAGGGAAATAATGCTTGATGAGTGCCATTTGCAAGCCCTGCACTGGGTACATCATATTTATTAGCTCATTTAATCTTCACCGGGAAATATGCCTATCTCCATTCTTCCACTCCAAGGAGCTTATTGTCTAAATTTGAGAACTAACACAACCCAAAGAATATAATCAGAAGTTAAGACATACACAAAATGAAGAAACTATTGAAAGCTGTTCATTAAAGGTTGACTGAGAAGAAGAGGAGAAAACATCCTTTTCCTTAATTTTAAACTGACTTGCTGATAGGTCAAAGCAGAAATTTAAAAAAATGTATCTGGACGGTGACAGAAGTATGTATCCAGTCACGTCACTGTTCAACTACCCCTAGTTAAGTCCTTTTACCGCTCCGCCAGCTCCCAGTCCTCCTGAATCTCCTTCTGCCTGGCTTTGTGGTACTCTTCCCTCCAGCACTTGGAGCAGAAACCCTGCCAGGCAGGGTTGCCGTAGTAACCACATCCTTCCTTGCACAGGAGGTCTGACTGATGCACATGAATTCCTCAGTGTTCAGACTTAAGGCTCATCTTCTTCCTGCTAACCAATGAACAAATAACAAAGTTCTGTTGAAAAGGAATTATCATTCTACCAACTAAAATCTTACCAATTATGAACAAAAAGTGAGTGATTCCATTATCTTCAAGCTGTAAGAGAGGGAAGAAGGGAATGAAAGAGGGAGGGAATGAGGGAGGGAAAGAGGGGAGGAAGGAAGAAGGAAAAAAGAAAAGTTAACTATGGTAAATTCCTGAAACAGTCATATTAAAGACTTATTCCCTGCCGAAAATACACAGAACCCATTAAGAAAGGGCTAACATTGGATTAAATACCTAAACGTAAAGGCTGGAAACTACAAAACTTAGGGGAAAAGCTTCCCAACACTGGATTTTGCAATGACTTCTAGGATATGACACCAAAAGCACAGGCAACAAAAGTGAAATCAGACAAATACATTAATTACATCAAGATTTAAAACGTCTGCACAACACAGGAACCAACTGACAGAGTAAAAAGGAACAACACACAGAATGAGAGAACATATCTGCAAACCACATATCTAATAAAGGGTTAATATCCAGAATATAAAGGAACTCCTACAAGTCAATAACAAAAAAATAATAATAATAATCCGGTTAACAAATGGGAAAGGACTTCAATAGACAATTCTCCAAAGATATACCAACAGCCGACAAACATGTGAAAAAATGCTCAACATCACTAATCATCACAGAAATGCAAATCAAAACCACAATGAGATATCACTTCATACCCATTAGGACGGCTACTGTAAATAAAAAAAAACAAACCCAGTATGGGCACAGTGGCTCATGCCACTTTGGGAGGCCAAGGTGGGAGGATCACTTGAGGTTAGGAGTTCAGGACCAGCCTGGGCAACACAGCAAGACCCCATCTCTACAAAAAAATACAAAAACTAGCGAGGTGTGATGGTGTATGCCTGTAGTCCCAGCTACTCGGGAGGCTGAGACAGGAGGATCGCCTCTCTAGGAGGTGCAGGCTGCAGTGAGCTATGATCACACCACTGCACTCCAGCCTGGGTGACAGAGCGAGGCCTTGTCCAGAAAGAAGAGAAGAGAAAAAAATTGAAATAATACCATAATTTCCAAAGTCAATTTTCTTTTCTACTGTATAATATTTAAAGTCATTTGTTCATAGTCTCACAGCTGCATGGTAAATCGCTACGCAACAATTTCCTTTCAAACTGAAACCACATGGTCCTCATTCTTCTCCACAATAACAAACTGCCAAACAAGCACAGTAAAAAAGCAGCACTCTACAGCATTCATTCAAGGGACTCACATGTGCAGATAAAATTAGGCCCTATATCTTGGAGGTCTCATTAATTTAACTCAAACATTTACTAAGTGCCAACTGTGTGCAGAGAACTGAGCTAGATGGCACTGGTGATGCAACTGATAGAACACGTCTTTGCCCTCATGAAGCTCATAACCAAAAGTACACGCAGACTGAAAAACACGGAAAAAGAGAAAGTGTTAGGAAACTGTTGGGGAGTAACGCACATACAAATTCTGACCTAGGGAGTACAGAGAGACCACTTGGGGATGCTGGTGATAGACCTTAAAGAGCCTTGTGTTGAAAGGGTCTTGGAAAGATGACAGAAAGAGGAAGGATATTCTGGACAGGAAGAATGCCTTTCACAAAAAGCTCAGAAGCAGGAAGGCAAATGTAAAATATGAATGATGTAGTATAGACAGAAGATAAACTAAAGAAGTTAGGTGGGAAGTCAAATCATGATGGATTTTTAAAACTCGAAGCTACTGAGTCCAGATGGAAAGTCACCAGCTATCAAACCTGACAGTATGCAATGTGCACTACTTTTGAGGATTCTGAAAAGCAAAATGGAGAAGTGGGGAAGACCAGAATTGAAAGTATCACCCAGCCGTCTAACAGATTACCACTTTCTCCCATCCAATACCACCAGCCAACCTGGAAATGGGCCCCACAGCACAGAGAAAGCTCCTCTAGTTCGGGCTCCAGGCATGTGAAAAGAAACTCTTAACAGCCAGAGAGAATATGGGGATCCCCCACTTACCATCTCCCCCTTCTCTTGAGCCACAGTGCCCAGCAGTCGTGTGCTTTGTCTGCAGCTATGGCTGAAATGAGAGTGCCGGAGCCAAACTCTGAGTCAGGAGAACTATGGATTTTTCCCAATCTCTATCCTTGGTCTCAAATGTGCAGGCAGTGGTGGAAGGACATGGCAGAGTGGAGTAACTAAATCCACAGTTTTCTGGACAAAAGAAAGAAAATATGAGCCCTTTGGGAACAAAAAGTGTGGGAAAAATTGCTGAGGAGAACTCAAGAAAGCAATTTCTAGGCTTACCCCTAGGCTGCATATGCATGGATCTGATGCTATTCAGTACCAAAGGTTTCCAAATTGGAACTAACGGAGAGACCACTATGCAGGTCTCATCAGATCAGCACATACACAAAACAGATGGAAACAGCACTACAAAACTCCCAACAATGGACTGACATTAAAGCCACAGCCCACAGAACCTGTATACCAAACTTGGCAACACAACAAAACACTTTTGCTCTGGGAATAACTGTTTAGAAAATGAAAAGACGGCCGGGCGCGGTGGCTCACGCCTGTAATCCCAGCACTTTGGGAGGCTGAGGCGGGTGGATCAAGAGGTCAGGAGATCAAGACCATCCTGGCTAACACGGTGAAACCCCGTCTCTACTAAAAAAACAAAAAATTAGCCGGGCATTGTGGTGGGCGCCTGTAGTCCCAGCTACTCGAGAGGCTGAGGCAGGAGAATGGCATAAACCCAGGAGGCAGAGCTTGCAGTGAGCCGAGATAAGTTGCACTCCAGCCTGGATGACAGAGTGAGACTCTGCCTCAAAAAAAAAAAAAAAAAGAAAAGAAAAGACAAGCTACAGAATGAGAGAAAATAATGGCAAATCACCTATTTGGCAAAGAACTTACGTACCCAGAATGTATAAAGAACTCTCAAAACTCAGCTGTCAGAAAACAAACCACCCAATTTAAAAATGAGCAAAAAATCTCAACAGACACTTTACCAAAGAAGTTATACACACCGGTGTCCCACATTTCCATGAGAGTCCTTTGCTACATACTGTCCAGTCAAAGATGTTTGTATATTGAACATCCTTACAAGAGAAAGATGATAGCTCCTTCCACAGCAGAAGACAATTTATTAACTGTCCAGTACAGTAAATATAATGTCTCCCTTCATATCAAAGGTTTGAAACATTTGTTTGCCACCCCTTATGAGAGCTGAGTTCCCTGAGCTTGGATTTCCTACTTGTGTCATTGCCCACAGGGAACTTACAGGGCAAAGGTAGTCCACGTGGACATGAGGCTGGTTCTGCTGATGTCCTGTGACCTGTGTCCTCCCCTTTTGCCTCCAACCCAGGAGTTTCATGTCTTGGGCCAATATCCATGAAACCATGGAGACTAACTTGCTACGTTTAAGTAGGGAGAACTCAAAATTCAGGTCCCTTGCAGTTACTGACATGGTGGCAAATAAGCATATGAATAGTTGTTCAACATTGTTCAATCATTAAAGAAATGCAAATTAAAACCACCATGAAATATCACTCAAATCTATTAGACTGGCTAAAATAGAAAATACTGACACAGACTGGGAAACATGGCAAAACCCTGTTTCTACCAAAAAAAAATACAAAAAAATTAGGGAGGGATGGTGGTGCATGGTTGTGGTCCCAGCTACTCAGTAGGCTGACGTGGGAGCATCACTTGAGCCTGGGAGGTGGAAGCTGCAGCAAGCCAAGATCACACCACTGCCCTCCAGTATGGGTGACAGAGTGAGACCCCACCTCAGAAAAAAAATAAATACTGACAATACTAAGTGGTAGCAGGGATGCAGAGCAACTAAAACCCTCATACCTTCCTAGTGGAATGCAAAATAGTACAGACACTAGAGAAAACAGGTTTCATAAAACTGTATACATACGATGACCATCCAACCATGCAATCCCTCTCCTGGGTATTTCCTCTAGAGAAATAAAAACTGCTATTTACTCAAAATTCTGTACATAAATAGTTATAGTAGCAATATTTGTGATGACAAAAAAATGACAACTAAAATATCCTTCAATGGGTGAATGAATAAACAAACTATGGTGCATCCATACAACAGAATGCTACTCAGGAGAACAAGAACAACAGGTATCAGTACACCCAACAACTTCGATGAATCTCACAGGCTTTATGCTGATAGATGCCAGCATCTTAGTTCCTTCTGGCTGCAGTAACAAAATACCATAAACTGGGTAGGTGATAAAAAAAACAGAAATTTATTTCTCACAGTTCAGGAAGCTGGCAAGTTCAAGATCAAGAAGTCAACAGATGTTGGTGTCTGGTGGTTCATTGAAGGTACCTTCTCCCTGTGTCCTCACATGGCTAGGCTCTCTGCGGTCTCTTCTAAGTGCACTAATCCCAATCATGAGGGCTCCACTTTCATGAACTAATCACCTCCCACAGGCTCCACCTCCTAGTAGCATCAACTTTTGGATTAGAATTTCAACATATGAATTTGGAGGACACACAAAGATTCAGACCATAGCAGCCAATCTTAAAAGTTTACATACTGTACGATTCCATTTAGGAACTAGGGGTAGGAAAGGATGTGACTATAAAGGATTAGCACAAGAAAGTTTTTTGGGGTGATGAAACTGTTCTGTATTCTGATTGTGGAAGTGTTTACATAAATCTAATAAAATTTAAAAATTCGCAGAACATTATGCTCCTCCCAAATCAATTTTACTCTATGATAAAAAAAAAAAAAAAACCTCGGCTGGCACGGTGGCTCACACCTATAATCCCAGCACTTTGGGAGGCCGAGGCAGGTGGATCACCTGAGGGCAGGAGTTTGAGACCAGCCTGGCCAACATGGCAAAACCCCATCTCTACTAAACATACAAAAATCAGCTGGGCATGGTGGCAGACGTCTGTAATCCCAGCTACTCGGGAGGCTGAGACACGAGAATCGCATGAACCTGGGAGATGGAGGTTGCAGTGAGCCAAGATCACGCCACTGCACTCCAGCCTGGGCAACAGAGGGAGACGCAGTCTCAAAAAAAAACAAAAACAAACAAACAAAAAACTTGAGAGGCAATTTCTAGGTTGGATTAGGGAGAAGTACAGAACAGGAGACAACGGATACTGACCAAGAGACAACTACAATTAGAGGACTTGAGGTAACACAGTGGGTAGCCAGGTGTGGTGGCGCTTGCCTGTAATCCCAGGTACTCAGGAGGCTGAGGCACGAGAATCGCTTGGACCTGGGAGGCAGAGGCAGAGGCAGAGGCTGCAGTAAGCCAAGGTCGCACCACTGCACTCCAGCCTGGGCAACAGAGTGAAACCCTGTCTCAAAAATAAATAAATAAGTAAGAGGTAACACACTGGGAAGGGAAAGACGACGGGTGGTGGTAATCTACCTTAGAGGACAGATCTGTAAGAGTTATTTAATGAGACTTGGCAGGGAGAGGGAAATCTAATTAGAAAGAACTCTCAAGTTTACTGTTTACTTCCTCTACAAGGTTAAAGCTTCCCAAGGTCAGGATTTAGATCTAAGACACCAGCCATTTATAAATAGTAGATGAGGCTTAGGTAGAAAGAAAGAAAATAAGAAATAGAAAAAAAAAAGAAAGAAAAATAGTCCTAAAATGTTAAGCTGCAGAAACTTTAAAGACCATCTACTATGTCCTATTGTAAGAGATGAAGATACTAATATTAAGAAATCATAACTTATTCCATCAAAAAGATATTAAGTGGCAGAGACATCACTAAGCTTCTTTTTTTTTTTTGGAACACAGGGTGTGTCATTCAAGCTGGAGTGCAGTGGCATGATCACAGCTCACTGCAGCCTTCACTTCCTGAGCTCAAGCAATACTCCCACCACTCAGCCACCATGCCTGGCTAATTGTTGTATTTTTTTGTAGAGGCGGTGTTTTGCCATGTTATCCAGGCTGGTCTTGAACTCCTAGGCTCAAGTAAGCCTACACTTAGTATACCAAGTCCTGGGTTTCAAATTATTTTGAAAGTCTGAGCTAATCTTCTCGCCATGATCATCCTGATGACCCTTTTCTTCCCTTCCAAGAGAAATGGGCAAAAGGAAATACCTATTTTTTCCACAGATCAATTAAGTTTTTTAAAATTTTGTACTGTAAGTATGACAGTACTAGTTGATGTTACTAAAATGAACATAGTTTGGGGAGTCTGCCTAGCACATGTGCAAATACCTCCTGTGTATCAGGAAACCGTCCTCTGAATCCACAAAGATAAGCTAGCAGAAGCTATGTTTGTATAAGGTGAATGGTCCCCCAATTCAGGGTCACAGCTGATTGCCCCAAACTGTGTTAGAGTCTTTTGCTTGAGTTTTGGAAATGGGACTAAGTCGGGGCTGTTCTCTTAAATGATGGAGCTGTGTGACATGACCATCTTCCATCAATTGGTCCGAGTATCAGGACAGTCTACAGAGTGAAATAGACATACGCCAAGAAGCAGAGAAAAGTAGAAGGTCCTGTACGTCCCGAGTGATTTCAATCTCCCAGTTCCAATCGCTGGCTAAGGTTTAGCTGCACGCCCACCCTCAGATTCTGAGTCATACCCCCTGGTCCCGTAACTGCTTTTTTCTTTTTTTATCAAGCTAGTTCCAGTACAGCCTATTATCTATGCCAAAAGACTTGTACAGATGCTCTTTAAGAGCTAGAAAAAAAATAAAGGAGTACTCTGTGGATTACTTGGCACACATTAAAAGCTCAGTATGTATTAGACAGAAACAATAGCAATAGCTCTGAGTCTAAGACTGATTTGGTGTAGACCATGAAATCACAGAGATCAGTCAAATCTGCACTCAAACCCCAGCTCTGCCACATACTAGAAATGTGACTTTAGGCAACTATGTAATATTTCTGAAACTCCCTTTCCTATCTCCCTCTCCAGCCTCTCTGCTCCTATCATTCTCTATCTTTTCACCAAACTAAGCCTCATAGGACCTGTGCACCCATGACCTTCACTCTCTGGTGCTACAACTGTGATTATGTCACCTTACACTGCAAAAAAGACTTGGCAGATATAATTAAGTTGACTAATAATGGAAATAAGGAGATTATCCTAGATTATCTAGATGGGCCCAAGAAAAGCACATGAACCCTAAAACGCAGAAGAGAACAAGGACCCAAAATGGCCAAAACAGTCTTCAAAAGAATGTAAGAAAACTTACATTTCCTGATTTCAAGTTACTACAAGGCCATAGCAATTACTACAGTGTGGTACTGGCACAAGGACAGTCATAGAAATCAACAGAATAGAACTGAGTTCCAGAAATAAACCCACACATCTTCGGTCAACTGATTTTCCACAAAAGTACCAAGACCATTCAATGGAGAAAAAAGAGTCTTTTCAACAAACAGTGCTGGGAAAATTGGATAGCCACGTGCAAAAGAATATTACATTTTAGATGCTTACTTCATACCACGTATAAAAATTAACTCAGAATCAATCAAAGACCTAAATGTAAAAGCTAAAACTAAAGCTCCCAGAAGAAAATATAGAGGTAAAATCTTCATACTGAATTTGACAAAGGGTTTTGTTGACTGGAGTTGACAAAGCAGGAGCAACAAAAGACAGATAAATTGTACTCTCACAAAATTTTAATCTTTGTGCTTCAGAGGACCTTATCAAGTGAAAATAGAACCCACAGAATGAAAGAAAATATTTGCAAGTCATTTATGTAATAAGGAACTCGTAACCAGAATATATAAAGAATTCTTATAACTCAATAATAAAAAAGTAAGTAACAATTGTTTCAGCAGGTAAAAGATCTGAATGGACATTTCTCCAGAAAGATAGGAAAACAGTCATGAGTATGTGAAAAGATGTTCCACATCATCAGTCATCAAGGAAATGCAAAATGAAACCACAATGAGATGCCACTTCACATCCAGTAGGATGACTAGAACCAAAAAGTCAGAAATAACAAGTGTTGGGAAGGATGTGGGGAAACTGGAACCCTCATACATTGCTTGTAGAAATGTAAAATGGTACAGCCATTGTGGAGAAGTCTGGCAGTTTCTCAAATGATTAAACAATATTACCATAGAAACCAGCAATTTCACTCCCAGACTAAGAGAAATAAAAACGTGTCCACAGAGAAACATGTACATGAATGTTTATATCAGCATTATCCGTAATAGTCCAAGAGCAGAAACAACCCAAATGTACATCAGATGATGAATTAATAAACAAAATGTCATATATCCATAAAATGGAATATTACTTGGTCATAAAAAGGAATGAAGTACTGATATATGCTACAACATGGTGAACCCTGAAAACATGCTAAGTGAGAGATGCCAGTTATAAAAGACCACCCGTTATATGATTCCATTCATCTGAACATCCATACCAGGGAAATCTAGAGACAGAAAATAGACTGGTGGTCACTGAGCACTAAGAGGGGAGAGGATGGGAATAAAGGGGATAGAGAAAGGGCATGGGTTTCTTTTTGAGATAATGAAAATGTTCTAAAGTTGACTGTGGTAATGGTTGTCACTTAATTGTGTACTTTAAACAGAGAATTGTATGGTATGTGAATTATACCTCAATAAAGCTCTCTTTTTAAAAAACAGAAGAGACAGAATGTGAAGTTAGAGAGAGTCAAAGCACTACTGATGGTTTTGAAGCTGGAGACTAAAAGCCAAGAAATTTGAGTGGCTTCTAGAAGCTGAGAATGACTTCTGGCTGACAGATAGCAAAGAAATGAGGACCTCAGACCTTCACTACATGAAAATGAATTCTGCCGACATGAGTGTGTGTGGAAGGAGACTCTCCCTATCACCTCCAAATAAAAACCCAGGCTGGCCGGTGCTTAATTCTGACCTCCTGAGGTCCTCAGCAGAATACCCAGTGGAGCCTGCTTGGACCTCAAATCTACAGAACTTTGAGATAATAAACGAGTGCTATGGACTAGGGGCGATGGCTCACGCCTGTATTCCCAGTACTTAGGAAGGCTGAAGTAGGACGACTGATTGAGGCTAGGAATTTGAGGTTGCAGCGAGCTATGACTGCACCACTGAACTCCAGCATGGGCAACAGAGACCTTGTCTTTTAAAAAAATAAAAAATAAATGAACGTTGTTTTAAACTGCTATCCTTTCCACTTCCCCCTTTGTTGGGAGAGCCTTTGCACATGCTGTTCCAATGTGAGGAATGCCATGCTCCTTGCTGTCCAGGTGGTGGTTTCTTTCTCATTGTTTAGATCTAAGCTTTCATGGCAGACTGTGAGAGGCCTTCCCTAGCCTATGTGAAATATTACCTACCCCAACCTACCCAACCCTCTCCTGTCCTGGGCCAAATGCCGCTTCTCCATGTCCTATTTCTTATTATTCTTTGGGAGGGGTAGAGGCAGGGTCTCACAAGGTAGCCCAGGCTGGTCTTTAACTTCTTTAACTTCTCACAGATGTGAGCCACCATGCCTGGCCTTCGTGTGCTATTTCTTTCTCTTTTCCTTTTTTTTTTTTTTGAGACAGGGTCTCACTCTGTCACCTAGGCTGGAGTGCAGTGGTGCAATCATGGGCTCACTGCACGCGACCTACCCAAGCTCAAGCGATCCTCTAGCCTCAGCCTCTTGAATAGCTGGGACTACCGGCCTGTGGCACCACACCTGGCTAAGTTTTGAATTTTTTGTAGAGACAGGGTTTCGCCATATTGACCAGGCTGATCTCAAATTCCTGGCCTCAAGTGATCCACCCACCTTGGCCTCCCAAAGTGCTGGGATTACAGACATGTGCCACTACACCCAGCCTCCATGTCTTATTTCTAATAAATATTTTTTATTTACTTATTTACCTGTTGGTCTGTCTCCCTCACTGCCAGAATGCAATTTGCTGAGGACAGAGACCTTATGTTCCTTCTCTACTGTTACATTTCTAGTGACTCAAATAGTATCAATGTGGTGTTATAATATATATTGATTTTTGCCCATGGTTCCTGGCTGGTAACTACCATAGTGCTCATACCAGGTTTTTTTTTTTTTTTTTTTTTTGAGACAGGGTCTCACTCTGTTGCCCAAGCTGGAGTGCAATGGTAAGATCTCGGCTCACTGCAACCTCTGCCTCCCAGGTTCAAGAGATTCTCCTGCCTCAGCCTCCCGAGTAACTGGTACTACAGGTACCTACCACCATGCCCAGCTATTTTTGTATTTTTAGTAGAGACGGGGTTTCACCATGTTGGCCAGGCTGGTCTCGAACTCCTGACCTCAAGTGATCCACCCACCTCTGCCTCCCAAAGTGCTGGGATTACAGGTGTGAGCCACCAGTCCCAGCCCCAGGCTTTTGTTACAAGGTTGGG
This sequence comes from Homo sapiens, assembly GCF_000001405.40. Lineage (NCBI taxonomy): Eukaryota > Metazoa > Chordata > Mammalia > Primates > Hominidae > Homo > Homo sapiens. The sequence continues at coordinate 76,142,518 of NC_000007.14, forward strand.
TGTGTTAGGCCTCATGGGCAGCTTCTCTGATTTTCTTCTGCCCTCCTTTCACCTGCCCCAAGGCAGGACTCTACTCCCTCTGCCTTTCTGATGATTGGTCTTAAACCCTCCTTAGAGAGGGTCCCGCTCTATACTCTGAGGGACGAATGCTGATGTCAGGAAGCCTCCATAAAAACCCAAGAGAACTGAGCCCAGGAAGCCTTCAGATAGCTGAACACAGTGGAGGTCCCTGGAGGGTGTGCACCCAGGGAGGGCATGGAAGCTCGCACCTTCCCCCATTCCTCGCCCCCAGCATCTCCCTCCTCTAGATCCTTTGCAATATATGTTGTAATAAACCGGTAAACAGAAGCATCTCCCTGAGTTCTGTAAACCACCTCAGCAAATTAATCGAACCTAAAAAGGGAGCCATGGGAACCCCAACTTGAAGCTGTTGTCGGTTAGAAGTCCTGGAGGCCCAGAGTTGCAACTGATGGGGGTTGGGAGGGGCAGTCATGGAGACTGAGTCCTCACCCTGTGCAATCTGACACTATCTCCTGGTAGATAGTGCAGGAAGTGAACCAGAAGACACCCAGTACAGAAAGTGAACTAGAAGACACCCAGCTGATGTGGTGTGTAGAGGAAGAATCCCCACACATATGGTCATGGAAGTCTTCTGTGTTGATGATTGCCGTGGCGTGAACAGAGGAAAAACACAGTTTGAGAATTTTTTTTCTCTACATAGCCGAGCATATCACAGGTTCTCAAATCTTTGTTGAAAGAATAACTGAATGAGTAAGGTTATTGTAGAGACTATAGAATAACATGGCTATAGAGCAATGATACACACTAAATGCATAATAAATACAAAAATCCCTTCCCCCGGGGCCAGGTGCAATGGTTCACGCCTATAATCCCAGCACTTTGGGAGGCGAAGGTGGGAGGATGGCTTGGAGCCAAGCGTTCAAGACCAGCCTGGGCAACATAGCAAGACCCTGTCTCTATTATTTAAAAATGTTTAAAAATCTCTTCCCCTCGTGAGTGATTAGCAATTACGTTAAAATTACACATGCTGGCCAGCCATGGTGGTTCTTAAGGCTCTGGATGCAAACCACTTTCATCTCAGAAAAGCAAAACCAAAACACTTTGCAGATGTGAGTAGTTTCCCTCTATCCTTCTTGAGCGGGCCCTGCTTCATATTCCTGGGTTCAATGTCATGCCCTCAGAGGTCACTCCTATCTCCAGGCAACTCATCTGGGACTTACACCAAATATCCAATCAATTCTAGCAAAATGATAAGCTATCCATTGACCGCAGTTAATAAAACAGGTGATTTTTTTCCCTTAAATTTGTTTTTTTTTTCTAGTTAAAGAAGAATACTCATTATTTTACAAAACCAGATATATATAGACAAGTAAAAAAAATGTTTTAGTCATAGAGTCACTGTATATGGTACATATTCTTATAGTGTTCCCTTGCACTCATTCAACAAATATTTATATACTGTTTGATTACTGAATGACAGGCACTTAGGATACAAATATAAGTAAAAATAAATCATTTCAGTCCTTGTGGAGCTTACCGTGTAATATGAGAAATATGACTATATATCTGGAAGGCCTAAAGAAAATAAAACCCTGTTACTGCTGAGAAATTAACTTTAAAATGGCTTTCATAAAAGAATTCATATTTATGTGAAATAAGCTAAACAGGTACATGAAATCTGTGGAACTCTTGTAACAGACAAACAATAACAAGTTAGAAAGTATAAAAAGAGGTATCAGTCAAAATAGCATGAATATGTAAAGACATGGAAAATATTTTAATGAGAAAATTATAATCCACATAAAAATACTGAGATATACTTAATGCAATGAGCGAAAATAAAATGTTATAACCATGTCAAACATTCCAAAAGGTGTAAGTTTACTACGAATGGCAATAAAAATCCCACAAGACTTTTTGGAACTCAACAAGATGATTCTGTCAGCAAAAATAAACACTCAATTATTTTTTGATTTTCTAAATTAATTTTCTGAATTTTTATTTGCAAACTAGTTAGAAGACTGTAAACTCAAGAACAGACCTGTCAAACAAACCACTACAGGACAGACTCAAAAATGAATCTAATATAATATATAAGGTAATTTAATGTTAGAAGAAGGAGGGGAAGGGGAAATTTTCAATAAATAGTGTTGCAATAACTGGTCAGCAATCTGATACCCCCTACATTAATTACAGGTATCTTTAAAAAGTTAAAGTTTTTAGAGACAAACAGAAAATAGAAAGAACTAAAATGAAGAATTCATGAAAGTTCTAAAGAGGTGAGGGTTATCTAAGGTTACAAACTGCAGGGAAGTCAAAACGGAAACAAAACTTAAAATACATAAACTGAAACATCTAGCTAGTTCTTAATAGGCTATCTGTAGCCAAAACATAAAAGCAAATAAGGGACTAGAAAAAAAATCTGAAGTAAACAGGACAATGAGGTATTTTATTAAATTCAGAAATAGTACTAACAAAATTTATAAACCTTTGATAGCCAAGCAGGACAAGGTTATGAGCAGGCCATGACCTTGAGCAGACCGCAAAATGTGAGCAGTTTGCTAGAAACAGAAACGGAATGCCAAAGGGTATGTGCATTTAAAATTCTGACATATACCAAACTGGTCTGACAAAAAGGCTATACTCTTTACATTCCCACCTACAGTGTACGAGAGAATCTGGTCTCCCATAACCTCATAAGCATAGCATTGTCGAACTTTAATTTTTGTCAATCTGACAGGCAAACAAAAAAAAATCATTTAACGTGCTTTTCCCTAAGGTTAGCCACCTTTACAGATATTTATTTATGCCATTCTCCAGACTAATAGCTCAAAATTACATACAAGATTATCTGGCTACCGTAGCCTACTTTGTACCATTCTCTATGCCCTCGCCCAGGGAAGCAGCACAAATGGTCAATTTATTCAATAAGTCACTGACCAAAAATTATTTCTCTTAACTCCACTAAAGTAACAGCAACCTGCAATACCTGAGGTGGTCTCTGTTAAAGGCATTTCTTTACTTTTTTTTTCCTTTTTTTTTTTTTTTTGACATAGGGTCTTGCTCTATAATCCAGGCGAGAGTGCAGTGGCATGATCACAGCTCACTGTAGCCATGACCGCCCAGGCTCAAGTGATCCTCCCCACTTCAGCTTCCCAAGTAGCTGGGACTACAGGTGTGCACCAGCATCTCTGGCTAAATTTTTTTGTTGTTCTTTTTTGTAGAGACAGGATCTCGCTATATTGCCCAGGCTGATCTTGAACTCCTGGCCTTAAGCAATCCTCCCACCTTGGCCACCCAAAGTGCTGGGATTACAGGCATGAGCCAATGCACTCAGCTCAGTTTTTTTTTTTTGGGGGGGGCGTTCAGCGGTATATTTTATTTCTTTAGAACATCAGGTGCAGAGCTGTTTACATCTTTCAAAAACATCAACTCTTCTTTTTGACGACAAAATGGTGAATAAATTAAATTCAGAACTACAGTTTGTGAAGACACATGACATTTATGATTCATGAAATAGAAGTCATGTACTGCTAAAATAAAGTTTCAACTGAGAAATACAGATTTAATTAAAACTGTGCCCTATTCAGTGTTTGAATCCCTACTACGAAAATCAACTGTACAATGATTACTGAGTAATCATCTCAAATATAACTTCAGGTGCTGTTTAATGTCACCTTACAGCAGAGTTCTTAGACTCAGGTGTGCATGGGTACAATATTGGAAATTTGTCCAAAATGTAGAAACCCTGAGGCCTGGTGTGAGAAACACAGCCTTAGAGTTCTGGAAGGTCACTGAGAAACCATCACTTCTCCTCATGCCAAGGAATGAAGGACTAATGCATAGAACATAAAGGTACATAAAAACATACATGTCTTTGTTGTGTTACCAACACAATTATTGCATTTGAACTCTTATGCATTCAAACCTTAGACTAAATTACAAAGTGACTCTAAGCATTTCGTAATTTTCTACAAATGTTGATAGTGCAGGCCTGTCTACTATTTTTAACTCAGAAGGGAGTTCCATGGAGTTTAGCCCAGTATTTTGGAGCTAGAAGAGAGGATCGGTCATTGAGTCCAATACTCTACAGGTCAGAAAATGAAGGAGAGAGGGGTCACCCGTGCTCCTTTGGTCAAAGACTTCAGTTGAAGGGTCAAAGAGAATCCAGGCCATCTCCTGACTCGGGATTCTTTCAAGTTAGCAAATATGTGATGTTTTCATTACTCAGGAAAAGTGTATAGAACTACTTTCAAAAATATTTTAGGGACAATACACTAGAAGTGTTATCAAGAGATAAATTGCTTTGTAGTTAAAAAGTGAAAACTACAGCCTAAATGAAAGGAAGGGAGAATAAAAGGAAAATTGTATTTTTTTCAGCTGTCATTATAAAAGTGATGTTGCCCCCATTTACCAATGAAAAGACACTGAGGGCCACAGTGTCCCTCTGAGACCCTCTTTCCAGGGTCACATAGCTGAAATATGTGGCCAAAACAGTATCTTTCCCAAGGCTTATAACTGTAGGCCCTTGTACTACACTGTGCTATATCTGGTAGGAAAGAATATAGATACACAAACTAAAAAACATCACTTATTTTAAAACTCTTGTTATTTCATGAAATGGCAGACCATAATGATTTGGTGTGGACATTAAACAAAAAGAGTTTATACGCCTCATTAAGATAATTTTCTGGAGCTTTGAATCCATCGTTTATACATAATGTGTTCAGTATATTTTGTTTAGCCACAAAATCACAATTGTTAAATCTTTAATTACTGAAATATGAAGTTATGCAATTTATTTTTGAAAGCTGTGTATGCTACTCACCAGATTTTTGTTCTTTAAAAAATATTTTGTTTTGCAATTTTCCAAATACAGTAGACCCACAGTGCATATAGCAATCGTAAGACTTTATCAACCTCTGGTTTCTGAACTCACATCCAACATTCATTACTTTCCTCTATTGAAATTATTCCCCACTAGTGGAGTTTTTTTTTCTTTCTAGTGCAATGACATGTTACAGCATACCATCTGATTGTTTGTGAAATCAATTATTTAAATTAATTCAGGAAAAGTGCATGGAACTACTTTCAAACATCTTTTAGGGACAATTCACTAGAATGGCCCCTAAAACCAGTTATAAGATAAAACCAGGAATTGGATAACAATGATGGACAATATTGCCATTGTCATCCAAATCTTGGTTTTATCTTATAACTTAATTCAGAATGTTATTTGATGCCTACTTAATGGCTAGGGTTGCTATGTTTCTTAAATACTCATATTGTATTTCTAATGGTAATACCATAAATCTAAGCCTGGATCTTTCTTTTTACAACTGATATAAAGTGCATTATGATATTTTAACTGCTATTTACCTTCCTCAGAGAACTGCTGACTTTTCTATGCTGCATAAATATTTCTTATTTTAAGGTAATTTGTAATCTAATATTTTGAAGATTCCAAATACATATTTGAAAATAATATTTTCCTGGATTCTAAGTTGCAATAGGTTGAATTAACTCAAAGAAAACAACTTTCCATATGCAATAAGCTATTTGATTATCTGATTATCAACACCAAGGGAAAAATAGCGTTAATTGAAAAAATTATTTTTACTAATGGTTTTTTTTTTGAGATGGAGTCTCACTCTGTCGCCCAGGTTGGAGTGCAGTGGCGTGGTTTCAGCTCACTACAACCTCCGCTTCCCGGGTTCACGCCATTCTCCTGACTCAGCCTTCCGAGTAGCTGGGACTATAGGCACCCGCCACCACGCCTGGCTAATTTTTTGTATTTTTAGTAGAGACGGGGTTTCACCATGTTAGCCAGGATGGTCTCGATCTCCTGACCTCGTGATCCGCCCGCCTTGGCCTCCCAAAGTGCTGGGATTACAGGCGTGAGCCATCACGCCCGGCCACTAATGGCTGTTTTTTAAACGCTTTTTTGTATGTTGACTTCAATATGGGTTTGTTTGAAATTGTGCTGTTTCACATGTCAGATACAATAAAGCAGCTTCAGCAAAAAGATTCAACCGAAGAGAAGCTACAAGTCCCTCAACTTGCCCACATTCGCATTCCCACATTTCCAATTTGTTCCTCCTGCTTCAGTCAGTACCTATCCTTGGCACGGCTTCTTCTTCTTCTTTTTTTTTTTTTTGAGACGAAGTCTCACTCTGTCCCCCAGGCTGGAGTCCAGTGACGTGATCTCAGTTCACTGCAACTTCCGCCTCCCGGGTTCAAGCGATTCTCCTGCCTCAGCCTCCCAAGCAGCTGGGAATACAGGCGCCCGCCATTACGCCTGGCTAATTTTTTGTATTTTTAGTAGAGACGGGGTTTCACTATGTTGGCCAGGCTGGTCTCGAACTCCTGACCTCGTGATTCGCCCGCTTCGGCCTCCTAAAGTGCTGAGATTACAGGCATGAGCCACCGTGCCGGGCCCTCTCTCTTTTATTTAAAAGGATAGGCACAGCCTTTGGAACTGAATGTCTTTCTTCAGGCCTCACAATAGAAAATGAGGAAAGTCCATTCTGACAACTGGCTGCCTTAAGAAACAGAATTTGGGATTCTTTCCCTTCCAGCTCCTGTTGAGTCAAAGGCAAAGGCAATAACCCAATAAATGTGGTGAGACAGTAAATGGAAACTGACATAAACATAGCAATAAAAGCCTACTTCCTTCTTGACAATCAACATATAATGGAATGGGTATGATTTTACACCATAAAAGATCAGAGAATAACAGAATTTGGGCTGAAGAAAGTTTAGAAAGAAGACACAACATTTTCTATACCTTTTGATTTTCAAAACGATTTTTAAGATTTGTCGAGAGTATTTGTTTTCAATTGTTTCAGTGAGGCTCAGTTTGACCACATGTAACCAAAATAGAGAATTTCATGGAGGATGGTCACAGGATTGGCTTAGAAATGTAATCCTGTGAGCTGTCCCATTTTATAAAGGATAAGGTTCCAATGGCTGCACCGAATGTTCCTCCTTTCAAAGAGGCTGGGCCGAGATGAGCTCCCAGCAGCTAGAGCATTTTTAGTCCATCTTGGTCTCTCACCTCTGCCTCCTGCTCAGCTGTCTGAATGCCAGACGGCTGTGCAGCCCAAAGCAGCCCACTCCGTTTTAAACTTGCTCAGTTTGCAATCAGGTAACCCGCTACTGACAACAGAACCCTCAAGGCCTGTTTATATGCGGTTCTCAGGTTTAGGTCTAGGGAAGTATCCAGGAAGCTTAGTGTTCAGGGAGGAATTCATTTTGCTTTTGCTAATCAAAGAGACACAAAAGCACAGCTGAGTCCCGAAGCTGGCACATGGGAAATCGAGGTACCACTGTCCCCTCACCAGAGCACGCAACAATCACTTGGGGAGCGGGGAATAGGTCCCCACCTTCCCCAAGCCTGGGGCACCCTTCCTCCCACGGCCCCAGCTGGTGGTGGTCTCAACACCACGCTCAGTGCAGAGTCACACGCCAGAGCTGGAAAGGGGAGGTCCAGCCCCAAGTAAAGCGACAGAGTAAGGGCACAGTGGTGGCCAAGGGCTGTCCCCTAACCCCAGTTCCGAAAGACAGTGTGGAAGGTCCGTCAGCACGGCAGCCCTTGAAGCACTCTGCTGGTCCGGCCGCGGACCCTCCCCTGCGCGCCCCCACCTGTTGTGAAGCTCCCCAACCTCCGTCTTGCCCAAATGCTTTGGAAACTGCCAAAGGACACTCAGAGGCCAGGGAGTGTGACAGGCAAGCACAAATATGCAAAAGAGATGGCACCAACATAGCAGGCACGCAGGGCCGGCGCTCGCAGGGGTCGGGGATCTGGAGCCAGGCCCCCGCCGCCGTGGCTGCGCCAGTGGTGCCAAGACCCAGCAGGCAGCACCGGCGCATGCCAGGCACCGAGTCTGCAAAAGGGGCCCTGAGCCAGCGGCCAGACACCTCGCAGACTGCGGGAAGCAATCGTGGCGGCCGCCTCCCCGGGGCTCCACGGCGGACCCGCCGCCTGCCGCGGCCATCCCCGGCCCGCTCCTGCCAGGCCCCCGACCAGACACCCAGAGGCACCTGCTCTGCGCAGCCACGCAGCCCGGCTGCATGAAGCCCGGCATGGTGCCCCGGCCTGCCAAGCCAGCCACGGCGTGGGAAACCGCCGCCCACCAAGGCAAGGGCAGGAAGAAGACAGCGGCGGCCTCAGCTCAATATTTTTTTCTCAAAGGCATATCATAGTTTTAGCTTTGCTGCAGCCATTTCATCCATAATCACTTGCTGTGGCTGGGTAAAGTGATACACACGTACACACACATGCGCACACTGGTTTAGAGAAATAGAAAACGCAATGCCTAGACATGAAATGTATTTATTTAGATTTGTTAGATGGTGCAAATAAATATTTGTGTTATGCTCTAAGCTTTTAAGAAGCCTCTTGTATCTAAAATATAAGACACATATGTAAATGACATCCAACTGACCTGGATCAGGCCAATGTACTGAAAAAGGGCTACCACATGTTGCTACAGGGCCTCACTCTGTTGGTCAGTCTGGTCTCCAACTCCTGGGTTCATGTGATCCACCCACCACGGCCTTCCAAACTGCTGGGATTACAGGTGTAAGCCACCACGCCCAGTCTAAATTCTCAACATAAATAATAAAAGCCAGAAGATAATTTGACAGTGCTGAAAGATTCTAAAGTATGATGGCTTTAAAAAAAAAAAAAGCTGAAAGAAAAAACCTGCTCACCTAGCATCCAGTGCTAAGTAGCTGTTTCCTTTAAAAACTGATGGCAAAGGTCTGGCACAGTGGCTCCTGCCTGTAATTCCATCACTTTGGGAGCCCCAGGTGAACAGATCACGAGGTCAGGAGATTGAGACCATCCTGGCTAACATGGTGAAACCCTGTCTCTACTAAAAATACAAAAAATTAGCCGGGCATGGTGGCGTGCGCATGTAATCCCAGCTACATGCGAGGCTGAGGCAGGAGAATCGCTTGAACCCAGGAGGCGGAGGTTGCAGTGAGCTGAGATCATGGCACTGCACTCCAGCCTGGGAGACAGAGTGAGACTCCATCTCAAAAACAAACAAACAAAAAAAAAACATAGCCAGCGCAGTGGCTCACACCTGCAATCCCAGCACTTTGGGAGGCAGAAGCGAGTGGAAATGAGGTCAGGAGTTCAAGACCAACCTGGACAACAAAGTGAAACCCCAACACTACTAAAAAGACAAAAGTTAGATGGGTGTGGTGGCACGCGCTTGTAGTCCCAGCTACTCGGGAGGCTAAGGCAGGAGAATCGCTTGAACCCAGGAGGTGGAGGTTGCAGCAAGCCGAGATTGCACCACTGCGTACCAGCCCAGGCAACAGTGGGAGACTCCATCTCAAAAAAAAAAAAAAAAAAAAAAGATGGCAAAATAGACATTTTCAGATGAGAAAAAAACATTGTTATGGGAAGACATCCACGGGAAGAAATACCAGGGGGAGCTCTTCAAACTGAACAGAAAATTACCCTACCCCAACTGAAACACAGAGATGCAGAGGGAGCCTGGCCCAAAATACAACTTTTATATCCACTGGGTAACACAAAAATGTGTGTGACTCACTTTACTGCAGTGGTGCGGAACCAAACCTGTAATATCTTCAAAGCATGCCTGTAATATTTTACAGCAGCCCTGGGGAAAAAATATGCCATCCAATAAGAATTGTTGAAAACTCTACAAATAATTAGAAGAAATGAGTTTTCCACAAATTTACATCGAACTATGGCTTCACAGCATCACTCGTTCTTTACAAATAGGGCAATCATACACCCCCGTTAGCAAGCAACAGTCCTGGCCTAAAAGCACCCACTTTGATTCTCAAAAGTGACCTACTTTGGATAATAAATTGCATGATCATCCTATGTATGAACCCAATTAGAATACCCTTCTGTCTGTTCATCTTCGAATCCTACCCTGTTCAAGGATCAAGTGACATCTGACTCCATCTTCCCCACTGACAGGATAATTTTCTCTCCAGTTCCTGTAGCTTTTTATAAATATATATATATATACACATACATATATATATGTATATATATACATATATATGTATATATATATACATATACATATATATACATATATATGTATATATATACATATATATGTATATATATACATATACATATATATACATATATACATATATATATATATAAAATACCTTTAGCCATTATAATACTCATGTCCTATTACAATTACCTGCTTACATGTCCACCCCATGCTCTTAGCCACTTAGCACAGTGCCAGGAACTGAGAAGGTGCTCAACAGATGTTTTCTAGGTTTCTCAAATGATTCAACAGAAGACTGACAAAGTACCTGCAGAGACAGTGTTCTCTCACTTTTGTCCCTTACACACTCTCCAGGGTCCAGTGAAGGTGGGAGTAAAAAATTAGCAAACAACTAACTTGACAAGCAGTAGTTCTCAGACTTGAATGCACATCAATATCACTTGGAAGACTAGTTAAAACACAGAGTACTGGGTCCCACCCCAGAGTTTCTGATTCAGTTGGCCTGGGATAGGGCCTGAGAATTTGAATTTAACAAGTTTCCAGGTGATACTGCCAGGAACTACCTTTGAGAACCACTGCTGTAAAGAAAACACCACAATTATGAAAATGCCCATTTCTTCTCATGACTTTACTCCTAATGGGAGACTCCCTTTTCTGAATATGAGGGAATATCATTCCATGACAGAAGAAGATTATCCCATGGCAGAAGGCAGAAGGACAAGAGAGTGCGAGAAAGCAAGAGGGCAACAGGGGCTGAACTCTCTTTTACAATAAGCCCACTCTTGTGATTACTAATCTATTACCAAAATAACATTAATTCATTCATGAGGGCTCTCTTATTAGGCCCCACATCCCAACTGTTGAAGATTGAGTTTCCAGCACATAAACTTTGGAGGACACATTTAAACTACAGCAGAGCTTTTATGTAAATTCAACCAACAGGAGATGGGAAAATCAAAGGCATGAGAAAGACAGCAAGGACAAGCAGAGAAGTATGTGCAGGTTAAGGGAAAAAGTCACAATCAATCCTGTAGTGCAGACTACTTTATCAAAAGCACCTAAAAAAGATCTCAGTAACTCACCCAACTCATCTCCACCCACATCTAAAGAGCCACACACAGCACCACCAAAGGCAGCACAATGAGAACAGCGTTCTCCTCAACAGATAAGCTGTGAGTATCCAGACAGACACCCGACCTTAACAGCTCCAGAACAGCCCCAAGACAGCTCCTCCCTAACCACCACTCAAGTAACCAGCTGGGAAAGTATTCAGAAAACCCACATCCTGACACACCACTACCAAACAACTTAAACAGCAAAGAACAACCCATTTAAACAGCAATGCCAGCTGCCAGGAAAAGTAGGGACAATAAGTAGAGGAAAAGCAGACTCCTTGGGGTCCGCCAAGACCCAGTCTCTCAGCATCAGCACTTTCAAATGTAGAATCCACACACCCCTGGGGCCTGCGGAGCTCCACAAGGCATGTCCTCAAAGATAAATGAGCAGGCAAACTGGACAGAAAACCACTCAGGGTATTACTCTTTAAAATATCTTTACAGGGTCAAAGACGAATGGGTCTACAGGCTATGTGCATTCCCAACAGATTCTGAGAATGATGTCACTATCCCTTTCAAGATGTGTTTAACACTTTGAGGACACCTGTATTCCTGCCACTGAGCGCTACTGCTTTGCTAATTTGAACTGATTCCAGCTCACGCTGATCCCAGCTCCCTAGATCTGGTCACCATTAGCCAAGATTGTCATCCATATTGTAACCTTTCAAAGAGTCCTAAAAGCAGTTCTTCTCCTACTCTTCCGAGACAAGTAAAAATATCTGCCAAAGAAATGAAGAAAAAAGATTCAGAGAGAGAATAGAATTAACATACTACCAAGAGAGCAAAAAGTGAAGGAAGAGGAAAAACTAGGAAAATCATATGTGGGCTCACACCTATTTCCAAAGCTGAGCTAATATCCTTTTGCTTGTGTCTAAATGAGGCACCAATTTTAAACTGCTACTGAAAAAAAAAAGAGAGAGAGAGAAAGAAAGAAGCAGGCCCAGGCCCAGTGGCTCACACCTGTAATCCCAGCACTTTGGGAGACCAAGGCGGGTGGCTCACCCAAGGTCAGGAGTTAAAGACCAGCTTGTCCAACATAGTGAAACCCCATCTCTACTAAAAATTTTAAAAAATTAGCCAGATGTGGTGGTGCATGCCTATAATCTCAGCTATTTGGGAAGCTGAATCAGGAGAATCATTTGAACCTGGTAGGCGGAGGTTGCAGTGAGCCAAGACAGTGCCACTGCACTCCAGCCTGGGCAACAAGAGTGAAACTCCATTTCAAAAAAAAAAAAAAAAAAAAAGAAGCAGGCCCAAATTGTAAAGTAAAACTTTTAGCATAGAAAATAAGAATTGGTGAGAATTCCATTCCCTGGTTACTTACCCCATAGGCTGAAGAGCTGCCTCTGCCTCTAAGGATCAGGGCATTCTGTGTTCGATGGCAGAACCTAAGTCAGAATGCAGCACAATCCCTGAAAAGTTAGAACATCAGGGTGAGTTATCTTGACCTTGAGATTGCTTCTCTAGCTCTTTCATTTAAAAAAAATATATAAGAACCAAGAAGGAGATCCCCTCTTGCCACCTCAGTTATTTGAACTCAGCTACTCAATGTCCATTTTGTCGAGATCAAGGGCTCTCGTGAGTGACTGTGAGGCAGATCTGATCACTCAGAGGGCTAAAGGTAACCTTATGAAACCTGAAGATGTGAAAGGAGAATGTAGCTGCTGCTCAAAAACTCCACTAGCCCATCTTGAAAAGAAATCATCTACAGAGTAATTCCGTTTCCAATTCTAGTTTTATTGGGTGTCCCTAAACTTTTCTGCCCCTTTTTTTTTTTTTTTTTTTTTGGAGACACAGTCTTGCTCTATCCCCCAGGCTAGAGTGTAGTGGTGCAATCTCGGCTCACTGCAACCTCCGCCTCCTGGGTTCAAGCAATTCTCATGCCTCAGCCTCCCAAGTAGTTGGGATTACAGGTACACACCATCACACCCAGCTGATTTTTGTATTTTTAATAGAGATGGGGTTTCACCGTATTGGCCAGGCTGGTCTCAAACTCCTGACCTCAGGTGATCTGCCCGCCTCAGCCACCCAAAGTGCTGGGATTATAGGCGTGAGCCTCCGTGCCCAGCCTTCTGCTCTTTCTTATTTTGCCGACCGAATGTAAGAAAATTAAGCTAAGATACATTTTGTAACCAAACCAAAAGGAAGCTCTCTAGGACGTATGGCTACTATACTCAGGAGACTTGAACTTTCCTTGACCCAAAAATGGCTATCTGGAAGTCAGCATCCTCAGAGTACATTAATGCCGGGTGTGGTGACTCACACCTGTAATCCAGCACTTTGGGAGGCTCGGGCAGAAGGATCACCTGAGCGAAGGAGTTTGAGACCAGCCTGGCCAAAATGGTGAAACCTTGTCTCTACACAAAATACAAAATTTGGCCAGGCATGGTGGCGCACGCCTGTAATCCCAGCTACTCAGAAAGCTGAGGCCGAGGCAGGAGAATTGCTTAAGCCTGGTGGCAGTTAGCCAAGATTGCACCACTGCACTCCAGCCTGGATGACAGAGTGAGACTCTGTATCAAAAAGGGGAAGAAAGAAAAAAAAAAAGCTTGAGTGATTCCCTACACTGCATATGTTCATATCAATAAATCAAGGAGTGCCTGTATTGAGCTTCAGCAAAATATTTTTCGGGGAGGTGAAGGAGCAGTTCCATCAAATTAAAAGATTAATTTTTAAAAGCTTGAAGATTAATCTGTGCTTTTAAAAAGGATTTCACAGCTATGTTACCTGTTGTATTTGTTCTAGGCTGAGTAACATCAGTTGTATTGTAAGAAGTTCTGATCTGTAAAAACATAGTTGATATTAGTATTATAATAAAGCACTTAGAAGAAATTTATAGGCCTTTCTCACACAGCTGTGCACTAATTATTATTATTATTATTATTATTATTATTATTATTATTGAGACGGAGTCTCATTCTGTCACCCAGGCTGGAGTGCAATGGCATGATCTCGACTCCCTGCAACCTCTGTCTCCCAGGTTCAAGCAATTCTCCTGCCTCAGCCTCCCGAGTAGCTGGGACCACAAGTGTGCCCCAGCACAACCAGCTAATTTTTGTATTTTTAGTTGACACAGGGTTTTGCCATGTTGGCCAGGCTGGTCTCGAACTCCTGACCTCAGGTGATCTACCTGCCTCAGCCTCCCAGAGTGCTGGGATTACAAGCATGAGTCACTGTGCCCAGCCAAATTTTTAAATGGTCCACTCTGCCTTCATTTTATAGTGAAAAAACTCATTCTGGTGACTTGAATTTTGAAAATAGCAATTTTCAGACATTCAGGTGAGACCACCTGGGTATCTCCAAAGTCATCTTTTTTATAAGATAAATATGCAAAAGTCACTTTTCCCCCAAACCAGCTCAATTCTGTTTCTGAATCTTGGATGAACTGTCCCACAGCACAGCCAGAAGCAGCTTGCATCATCTTAAACCTTTCTTCTCCCTTATAACTGAGCCCCAACAAATATACACAGATACACAACCCCAATCAGTAAACAAGACTCTGCCCACTTCAACATTCCTTCCATGAGTAGAGAAAGGCCTTCTGTTCCTACCGCCTACACTCAAACTACCCACTGTGTTATTCTTCAAAATCAACCCAGAATAATCTTTCTAAAGGACAGATCCACATTATTTTAAGAGAGAAGTGCTATGAGACCATTTAATGACTGCCACTGCTTTTGTAGGATCTAAGGCCTTCCTCCACTTGGCCACCCAAGTCTATCTATGCAATCCTACAATGCCCACATGGCACTCCTCACTCCACACAGAATAGGTCAGGTATGTGAACATGTGAGCATACTTGACACCTCCCTGCCTTTACTCATATTTGAAACACGTTCCCTCCCTTCTGGATGCACAAGTGACTGATTGGGGTGTGCCACCTACCTCCTGAAGCTGGTTTATCAAGTTGTAAATCTTCATGTGTTGAATTCATAAGATTATGTCTGAAAGGTGAAAATAAATAATATTCATAAGCAATATTCAGCAAAGTAATATCCACTAGTACACATTTAACATTTAATTACCAAGGGTGGTTTTGAAAAGAAAAGACATGCTGGGCACAGTGGCTCACACCTGTAATCCCAGCACTTTGGAAGGCAGAGGCTGGCAGATCACAAGGTCAGGAGTTCGAGACCAGCCTGGCCAACATGGTGAAACTCCACCTCTACTAAAAATACAAAACTTAGCCGGCCATGGTGGCAGGTGCCTGTAATCCAAACTACCTGGGAGGCTCAGGCAGGAGAATTGCCTGAACCCGGGAGACAGAGGTTGCAGTGCGTCAAGACCATGCCACTGCACTTGCATCCTCGGTGACAGAGCAAGATTCCATCTTGGGAAAAGAAAAAAAATTAAGAAAAGACAATCTGGATGCTTGAGCACAACTAAATCTTCATTTGGGGTTTCTACAGAGTAACAAAAACAAAATGATAATTGCAAATTGTCTCATAACATGCTTCACGGAGCATGTGTCCTCACAAGTAAAGTGGTAACTTTGCAGCCCACAGGTCTTTGAAGCATATTACAAAAATCTTAAATGGGATCCTTTAGTCTCACATTGCATTCAAGACTATCTTCCTCTACACATCTAGAGAAACAATCATATATTCCCACATATGCTATAAAAATCTCAGGCCTAAAAGCAAGACATGGAAATTATTATTTTTAGCAAAAGTAGCAGAAAATTGTGAAAGAAAATATCAGTTGCATGCCAGTCAGGTGCGGGCAGTGTTCATGTTTCAAAAGGTAACACTAGCATGACTGACTCAATGTTGGACCCAGATAAATTAAAAAGTGATACATAAAAATACATATAATAGGCCAGATGCAGTGGCTCAAGTCTGTAATACCAGCACTTTGGGAGTCCGAGGCGGGCGGATCACAAACTCAGGAGTTCAAGACCAGCCTGGCCAATAATGGTAAAACTCCGTCTCTACTAAAAATGCAAAAATCAACGGGGCATGTTGGTGGGTGCCCGTATTCCCAGCTACTCGGGAGGTTTAAAGAATTGCTTAAAGCCGGGAGGTGGAGATTGCAGTGAGCTGAGATCACGCCACTGCCCTCCAGCCTGGGCGACAGAGCAAGACTCCTTCTCAAAACAACAACAACAACAACAACAACAACAACAAAATAAAATAACTCAAACTTAATTAAATATAACCCTAATGGTGAATGAATATTTGTCAACAATAACAAAGATATATTACTCAGAACAGAGATAAGAGTCCAACAAGAATCCAAGAGTCTTACTTTTTAAACACAAAACAAATCCTTTCCTTTGCAAGTAATATCCTCTCAAGGCCAGGAATTCCGTAAGTAGACAGCCTTCTTAAAAAACATTCCTGGCGGGGCGAGGTGGTTCATGCCTGTAATCCCAGCACTTTGGGAGGCTGAAGCGGGAGGATCACCTGAGGTCAGGAGTTCGAGACCCGCCTGGCCAACATGGTGAAACCCCAACTCCACTAAAAATACAAAAGTTAGGCAGGCGTGGTGGTGTGTGCCTGTAATCCCAGCTACTCAGGAGGCTGAGCTAGGAGAATTGCTTGAACCTGGTAGGCAGATGTTCAGTGAGCCGAGATCACACCACTGCACTCCACCATGGGCAACAAGAGCGAAACTCTAGCTCAAAAAAAAAAAAAAAGAGAAATATCCCATTGCTTTAAGGCAATGTAGACACAGCCAGACTTTCTACAAAAATCTGAACCACATTACAAAGCCAAAAAAAATCACCGTCTAATTTTATTTAATATATTTAGTACTAAACGGAAGAGGTAATATTTTCAAAACATAAACATTAGTGTAACCTAATTGGACTTTTACAAATAATTTTTTAAATAACAGAAGAAGATTCTCGTGAACTGCAACATTTCAGCGAGCATTTATTTACTCAAGATTAAAATAATACAACAGCTATAAAGAGTCAAGAGCTGACCAGGTGTGGTGGCTCATGCCTGTAACCCCAGCACTTTGAGAGGCCGAGGCAGGTTGATCACCTGAGGTCAGGAGTTCGAGACCAGCCTGGCCAACATGGTGAAACCCCGTATCTAACTAAAAATACAAAAATCAGCCGGGCGAGGTGGCACTCGCCTGTAGTTCCAGCTACTAGGGAGGCTGAGTCGAGAGGATCGCTTGAACCTGAGAGGTGGAGGCTGCAGTGAGCTGAGATGGTGCCACTGCACTCCAGCCTGGGTGACAGAGCAAGACTCTCTCTCAAAGAAAAAAAAAAAGTCAAGAGCATGGGAAGTATTAAAATCTAACATAATCAACGGTCTCCCATCAGAACAGCTCCATTTTTTTGCTATCATTATGTGTTAATGTCTATTTGCTAAACATTGATATCTGTACTAAAGTTTCAAGTGTACCATATAACACATTAGTGCTGACTTAGGTTTAATATCCTTTGCTGTACATTAAACTTCAGTATCATACCTATATATCACAACAAAACTATCTTTCTCTAAGGTAATTACCATTAATATTGCTTTAAAATTATGAAATGTGAAGATTATTTTTGTAATTTCACAACAGCTGAACGTTGTCTTTAAACAAAATAATCTAATAAATCACCATCACAACAAAAGCCCCACAACATTAATGTTTCACCTTATAAAAAGCATTGACATTTATAAAATTGTCAATTTATAAAACTGTAATAGCAAATTATTTTTACTCAGAATAGTACTAAATTAACAATATAATAAAAACATAGTACCCTAAAACTTAAATAATTAAAAAAAAAATCATTACCATTATTCATGAAATTTAAAAATCTTCCCAAAAAAAAAAAAAAAAAAAACATGGGCCAGGTGTGGTGGCTCATGCCTGTAATCCCACTTTGGGAGGCAGGTGGATCACCTGAGGTCAGGAGTTCAAGGCCAGCCTGGCCTACATGGCAAAACTCTGTCTCTACCAAAAATACAAAAATTAGCTGGTATTAGCTGGGCATGGTGATGCACACCTGTAATCCCAGCTACTTGGGAGGCTGAGGCAGCAGAATTTCTTGAACCAGGGAGGCAGAGGTTGTAGCGAGCTGAGATAGTGCCACTGCACTCCAGCCTGGGTGACAGAGTGAGATTCTGTCTCAATCAATCAACCAACCAACCAATAAATCGTTAAAAAGGAAGCATTTACCATGTATTTATATGCCCGGTATTATGTGAAACACTTTACTATCTTATCACATCTTCGGGATAAATATTCAGTTTTCATGAACACAAGAGAGGATACTAAGGCTCAGAAAGGAGAAGAGACGTGGCCAGGCTGTGTCCCCAGAGCCTATGATCTCACCACTAGGTTACAGTGCTTCCAAATAGCACGTTATGAGGTTTTTGCTTTAAAATGAACCAATAAAAAAGGCAAAAAAAGGCATAAGCTATTAAAAAGTAGGAGAAACACTGAAAGAACCTTAAGCACATAATTAAAAATATTATGGAAAAGTTATTAATTCATTAGCAAATTTACTCTAATTCTAGACTTTCATTGAGGGGTATGTTATATTACTCATGATGAAGAAAAAATGTTCGCTTCGAGTATATTAACATAAACACCAGCCGGACGTGGTGGCTCACACCTGTAATCCCAGCACTTTGGGAGGCTGAGGCGGGCGGATCACGAAGTCAGGAGATCGAGACCATTCTGGCTAACATGGTGAAACCCTGTCTCTACTAAAAATACAAAAACATTAGCCGGGTGTGGTGGCACATGCCTGTAATTCCAGCTACTCGGGAGGCTGAGGCAGGAGAATCGCTTGAACCTGGGAGGCGGAGGTTGCGGTGAGCCAAGATCGTGCCGTTGCACTCCAGCCTGGGCAACAAGAGTGAAACTCCATTTCAAAAAAAAAAAAAAGCATAAACACCATTAATACGGTTTATCATGTTTAAATGTTCACTTAAAGCACTTCAGTTAAAATTCTGCATATCACACAATTCTATAGCTTGCTAGTAGATTGCAAAGTAAACAGTCATTCAAATAAAAACGGCAAAACACATGATGTTTTTTGCTAGTTGTTGCTATTTTTAGGTGAGCATTTGCTATATACCATCAAAGAGATGACAACAACAAATTGCTGATTTCTTTCATCATTATATAAAGGTGGCTTTAGGATAGAATAGTATAAGGGCAAGGAAGAATTTGAAGTCTAACGTCAACTAGGTAATGCATCAAGATAAAAGTAGAGACAATAGGGGCATCTTGATGAATATCGAATTTTTTTTTTTTAGACAGAATTTTGCTCTTTTTGCCCAGACTAGAGTGCAATGGTGTGATCTTGGCTCACCACAACCGCCACCTCCCAGGTTCAAGCAATTCTCCTCCCTTGGCCTCCTGAGTAGCTGGGACTACAGGCATACGCCACCACGCCCAGATAATTTTGTGTTTTTAGTAGAGAAAGGGTTTCTCCATGTTGGTCAGGCTGGTCTCGAACTCCCATCTGAGGTGATCCACGTGCCTCAGCCTCCCACAGTGCTGGGATTACAGGCGTGAGCCACCGTGCCTGGCCAAATTAACAAATTTAACAAAGCAGATAGAGAGAAACAATTACTTTAAAAAAATAAAAAATGGCCTGGCGAGTTGGCTCATGCCTATAATCCCAGCACTTTAGGAGGCCGAGGTGGGTGGATCACAAGGTCCAGAGTTTAAGACCAGCCTGGCCAAGATCGTGAAACCTTGTCTCACCTAAAAATACAAAATTAGTGGGGCATGGTGGTGGGCACCTGTAATCCCACCTGCTTGGTAGGCTGAGGCAGAGAATTGCTTGAACCTGGCAGACGGAGGTTGCAGTGAGCTGAGATCGCACCACTGCACTCCAGCCTCGGTGACAAGAGTGAGACTCCATCTCAAAAAACAATATATATATATATACGTATATATGCGTGTGTATATATACACGTATATATGTGTGTATATATACGTATATATGTGTGTATATATATGTATATATGTGTGTGTATATATATACATATGTGTGTGTATATATATATACGTATATGTGTGTGTATATATATACGTATATATATGTGTGTATATATATATCTATTCAATTAAACCCCTAAGATCCAGGGATTTGCAATAAATATGTAAATAAATCCCAAATATCTATGCTGAATGTTTAAAATAAATGCTAATTGATAATTAGAGAAATACAACTTTTCCTTAGCTTTCTAGCAATCTAGAAACAAAGAATGTTTCTAATATTTAGACAGACACTACAAAGTACCTTACAAGGAGAGACATGTAAGGATGGCATGACTCACCAGCAGCCCTGGGCTTGTCCACAGTACCCCCATGATGAACAGTAACTCCATTGTGTAAATGCTCATGAACAAACTATCACAGGACTTTTCCAGTTCAGACACACCATATTTTCTTTCAGACAATTCTTCAACTTGTTTACGTAGATCAGCAATACAATTATTCCATTTCTCTGAAAACTGACCAAAAGTTGATTCTCAATACATCCCTATGTCAGAGCAGCAATAACATATAATGACTTATTTTCTATATTTTACATCCTAACAAACCATATCATTTTACTGCTTTCGAAAAAAATTTTCCCCTTTTTGGTGGTTCTTAGAATTACTTTAAAGGGAGACTATAAGAGAAGTTTTAAAGTTTAGTACCTCTTTTTAGCCTTTTAATTCTGAAAAGCAGGAGGGCAGAGAAGATCAACCAAATTAAACACAACAGCAGGGAGGCCACAATGAGGACGTCTCCAGGGGTCTTTTAGCAAACTTCCTAAAACATGTCTCAGCTGTGTGGAAATAAGATTTTACGGTGGTGGTGCGGGCCTGTAATCCTAGCATTTCAGGAGCAGAGGCAGGGCAGATCGCTTTGAGCTAAGGGCAACACGGTAGAAACCCCCCTCCCCTCCCCCACCCCCCAGTCCCACCCCCATCTCTACCAAAAATACAAAACTTAGCCAGGCGTGGTGGCAGGCGCCCGTAGTCCCAGCTACTTGGGAAGCTGAGGCAGGAGAATTGCTTGAACCCAGGAGGCGGATGTTACAGTGGGCCGAGACCACGCCACTGCCAGCCTGGATGACAGAGCAATACTCCGTCTCAAAAAACAAAAACACAAGGTTAAGAGGGACCCCAGACCTTACATATACAAGTTTAACTGGGACCCCAAAGCAAAAAATCCCAACCCTTTTTCTCCCAATCACTGAAACACCAGGAGGGTGTAACAGTTTTGTAGCCTAGCTGTAGTAGGCTGATGCCCCCAAGATGCCCATATCCTAATCCCGGGAACCGGTGAACATGACCTTATATGGCAAAAGGGGCTTTGCAAGTATAATGAAGTTAAGGGTCTTTGGCCAGCTTGTCCCGGCAGGGTTTATGTACTCACCTGGATCCTCGTAAGAGCACAGCAGGTGATGGAGAGCGGTGGGAGGTGTAGTGATGAAAGCAGGAAACTCGAGTCATTCCAGAAGGGCAGCACAAGCTAAGGAGTACAGGCCGCCTCCAGGGCCAGGAAACAGATTCTCCCGCAGAGCCTGGGAAGGCACTGACCCTGCTCCCACCTTGACTCAGTGGGACTGATTTTAGAATTCTGGCCTTCAGAAATGTAAGGGAATACCTCTGTGCTGTTTTAAGCCACTAAGTGTGTGGTAATTTATTGCAGCAGCAACGTGAAGCCTCAAAACCCACCTGAAGGGGCCAGGCGCAGTGGCTCACACCTGCAGTCCCAGCACTTTGGGAAGCCGAGGTGGGCAGATCACTTCAGGTCAGGAGTTCCAGACCAGCCTGGCCAACATGGTGAAACCCCGTCTCTACAAAAAATACAAAAATTAGGCAGGTGTGGTGGCACATGCCTGTAATCTCAGCTACTCAGGAGGCTGACACATGGGAATCACTTGAACCCGGAGGGGGCCGCGGGGGGACGGGGGAGGGGGGATGGAGGTTGCAGTGAGCTGAGATTGCGCCACTGCCCTCCAGCCTGGGTGACAGAGTGAGATTCCGTCTCAAAAAAAAAAAAAAAAAAACCCACCTGAAGAAGGTTTCCAGTTCTGCCAGCAGTCCCCCACCCAACCCCCAGAAGCAGACATTCCTTTGCTGTGGGCCATGAACAGGCAGAAGGAAGCGCCTCCTCATGGCAGAGGCCTACCCAGGAGAAACCCAAGGGAAGGCACTGCCGGGCCAGCCCCTCTGCCAAAGCCATTTTCTTTTTTCTTTTTTTTTTTTTTTTTTTGAGACACAGTTTCACTCTGTCTCCCAGACTGGAGTGCAGTGGCACAATCTCGGCTCACTTCAACCTCTGCCTCCCCAGTTCAAACGATTCTCCTGCCTCAACCTTCTGAGTAGCTGGGATTACATGAGCATAGCACACCTAGCTAATTTTTGTATTTTTAGCAGAGACAGGGTTTTGCCATGTTGCCCAGGCTAGACTCGAACTCTTGGCCTCAAGTGATCCACCTGTCTCAGCCTCCCAAAGTGCTGGGATTACAGGAGTGAGCCACCGCACCCAGCACTCGTCAAGGTCTTTGATGGCAGGTTTTTCCAGGTGATCAGTTCTTGTCTGGTCTGGCTCTGTCCCACTCTCCCTCTCACCAAGTTGGAACCCCTAGCTAGTTTTCAGATGGGAAGAATGTGTACCCCAATCCCAACTTGGTATGGTTCAGATCTGCATTTAACTCATGAAGCCTGGCTGCTCCCCAGGTCCTGGAGAAAAAAAAGGGTCTCGCTGCAGGTATGATACAGGACGGGCCTATCCCCAGGACCCGCCTGTCCCCAGGACCCTGTAAGAGGGAAGCCCAAATTCCCACCAGGTTGGGAGGGCTGGGGAAGGGAAAGTGTTATGGTAGCCCCAAGACTAAAAAGAGGCAGCAGAGGGAGCAGGACAGTGCTCCCAGGTAACTCATGCCGCTGCCTGAGTGAGGTGAGGGAAGAGTGCACCCACTGACGTCAGGGGGCAGAGAGGCGCGCTTCCAGGGCGGCTTTTCCCCTCGCTTCTTGCCATTTTACTCTGATCCCCTCCAGGTGAGCCTGCCCACTTTGGGCCCAGGGTTGCCGCTGGGGCCTGTACCCAAAAGCAGCCCCCCGTGGCCATGGCCCCAGGAGTGGGGCAGAGCAGGGAGGAGTCCTGGACCGAGGAGACGCAGGGGCAGGAAGGAATGGGCCTCAAACTCCAGGAGGGGGCCCTTCTCATGGGTCCTGCTTTCTGGCCTCTCCTCTCTTACCCCTGGGCTGATCACCCTGGGAAGAACTAAGCCAAGGTTTCTCACCCTCAGGTCCGAGGGGTTCAATTAACGGGCCCTTAGGGAGGTGCGAGCCTCCTGAAACGATGCAAGGTGCCTGGCCTAATTTTTATATTTTTAGTAGAGATGGGGTTTCACCATATTGGCCAGGCTGGTCTCGAGTTCCTGACTTCAAGTGATCGGAATGCCTCGGGCACACAAAATGTTGGAATTACAGGCGTGAGCCAACGCGCCCGGCCAGCCCTATTTATTTAAGCCTATACATTTTGCACTTGTTAAAAGTATTTGAACATACAATTACCATGTTTTCTTTAAGCGGTCCCTCCCTGTTGCACACTTGGATAGTTTATTTTTTTAGACAAGGTTTACTTCAGTCTCGCAGGATAGAGTGCTGTGATGGGATCATAGCTCATTGCAGCCTTGAACCTTGGGGTTCAAGTATCTGGGAAGCTGAGGAGGGACTACAGAGATGGAGTCGCGCCATGTTGCCCAGGCCGCTCTTTAACTCCTGGCCTGAAGGGATCCTTCCGCCTCGGCGGAGCCCGGACATAGTTTTCTAGTTTTGACCCACAGAAACACTGTGCTGGGTCGGAGTTTGTCAACTACCCTTCTCCAGCCAGCAACACACAGAACATGGCGGGGAAGTCACGGTCACCAGGCTCCAAACCGAGGAGAAAACAGCCCAGCTCCAGGCACTGTAGCGTCACTGTGACATCGCCGAAGGCCGGCGCTATTACGTCGCCGGAAGGCCCGCGCCTGTGACGTCAGCGGAGGCGCGCCCCTTCTGTAGAACCAATCGGAACTCGAGGCGCGGCGGCTGGGTATTCCAGGAGAGCGCATGCGCAGACGCGTGGCCACAGACTGCCGGTCAGTGTCAGTAGGCGGCGGGTTAGTGTCCGCAGGCTCCGACTCGGCCGCCGACACCAATAAGCTACAAGGACGAGCTTTACCACTGCCTGTACTACTGCTACCTGCGCGACTTCCCAGCCTGCGGCGTAGGGCGCAGCAAGGGCCTGACGCTGAGCGAGTAGGCGCTGCGCACCAAGCGGCTGTGGCCCGGAGGGCACTGTCGGGCAGAAGCTCCTCAGTGGCCACCACAAGCCCGCTAGCTCCGGCTACAGCCCTTGCCGCACACTCGCGTCACCTGAGCCTGTGTAGGTGCGCCCCCCCAACTCCTCCCCCAGCCAGGTCCCGGGGACACCGGCAGCGTCCCCCACCGCCCGGCGCCGCTCATTCTGGGCAGGATCGGCCCCGTCTGAGGCTACACCGCATTAGGGAGCTGCACCCCTCGGCTTGACCTCTCATGGCCTTTGCAACAACATCAAAGCCTTTGGAACTTTGTAGGGGGTACGAGGGGCTAGGAAACCAAGAAAACATCTCTTTAAAAATATAAGCGATCGGGCCGGGCACGGTGGCTCACGCCTTTAATCCCAGCACTTTGGGAGGCCGAGACAGGTGGATCACGAGGTCGGAAATTCAAGACCATCCTGGCCAGCATGGTGAATGCCGTCTATACTAAAAATAAAAAATTAGCCGGGCGTGGTGGCGGGCACATGTAATACCAGCTATTCGGGAGGCTGAGGCAGAGGCAGAGAATTGCTTGAACCCGGGGGGCGGCGGCTGCAGTGAGCCGAGATCGCGCCACTGCACTCCAGCCTGGGCGACAGACCGAGACTCCAACTAAAAAAAAAAAAATATATATATATATATATATATATATATATATATATTTGGAGCCCGGGAGGTTGAGGTTACCGTGAGCTGAGATTACGCCACTGCACTTCAGCCTGGGTGACAGAGGGAGACCATGTCTCTAAAAAAAATTACATGTGAGTGAGAGCTTTTCTTCCAGTGCTCATGCTCAGACTGAAGAAAGTAATTGGGCCGGCCTGGTAACTCACGCCCTTAATCCTAGCACTTTGGGAGGCCGAGGTGGGCAGATCCCTTGAGCTCAGGCGTTCCAGACTAGCTTGAGCAACATGGTGAAATTCGGTCTCTACAAAAATACAAAAAATTAGCTGGGCGTCGTGGTGGGCGCCTGTAGTCCCAGCTACTCAGGAGGCTGAGGCAGGAGAATGGTGTGAACCCGGGAGGCAGAGCTTGCAGTGAGCCGAGATCGCGCCATTGCACTCCAGCCTGGGCGACAGAGTGAGACTCCATCTCAAAAAAAAGAAAATGGAAACTTTTGCCAGTGATTCCCTTCCTTCAAACTAATGATAAGGAAATGACGCTGTTCTGTTTTGTTTTCTTTTTGCATGTTTTTTTTTCTTTTTTGAGAGAGGGTCTTGCTCTGTTGCCCAGGCTGGAGTGAGGTGGCGCAATCATGGCTCACTGCAGCCTCGACCTCCCAGACTCAAGCAATCCTTTCCCCAGCCTCCCAAGTAGCTGAGACTGCAGGTGTTTACTACCACAGTTGGCTAATTTTTGTATTTTTTGTAGAGACAGGGTTTCACCATGTTGCCCAGGGTGGTCTCAAACTCCTGGGCTCAGCTATCCTCTACCCTCGGCCTCCCAAAGTGCTGGGATTACAGGCGTGAGCCACTGTACCTGGCTGATGCTGTTCTTTTCAAATGCATATTTACTTTTTTTTTTTTTTTTTTTTTTTTTGAGATGGAGTCTCACTCTGTCTCCCCAGCTGGAGTGCAGTGGTGCAATCTTGGCTCACTGCAGCCTGGTCTTGAACTCCTGACCTCAGATGATCCACATGCCTTGGCATCCCAAATTGCTGGGATTACAGGTGTGATCCACCACACGTGACGATTTTGCTCATTTTAGATACTAGAACTTGTTAATTAAAAAAATATATATATTTTTTGAGCTGGAGTGCAGTGGCATGATCTCGGCTCACTGCCACCTCCGCCTCCTGGGTTCAAGTGATTCTCCTGCCTCAGCCTCTCGAGTAGCTGGGACTACAGGCACATGCCACCATGCCCAGCTAATTTTTGTATTTTTAGTAGAGACAGGGTTTCGCCATGTTGGCCAGGATGGTCTTGATCTCTTGACCTCATGATCCACCTGCCTCGGCCTCCCAAAATGCATGAGCCACTGCGCCCAGCCAAAAAAAAATTTTTTTTTGAGGCAAAATCTCACTCTGTCATGCAGGCTGGAGTACAGTGGCACAGTCACAGCTCACTGCAGCCTCGACTTCCTTGACTCAGGTGATTCTCCCACCATAGTCTCCAAGTATCTGGGACTACAGGTACACGCCAGCACACCTGGCTAATTTTTGTTTGTTTGTTTGTTTTTTGAGATAGAGTCTCACTCTGTTGCCCAGGCTAGAGTGCAGTGGCGTGACCTCGGCTCACTGCAAGCTCTGCCTCCTGGGTTCATGCCATTCTCCTGCCTCCACCTCCTGAGTAGCTGGGACTACAGGTGCCTGTCACCACGTCTGGCTAAATTTTTTGTATTTTTAATAGAGACAGGGTTTCACCGTATTAGCCAGGATGGTCTTGATCTCCTGACCTCATGATCTGCCCGCCTCAGCCTCCCAAAGTCCTGGGATTACAGGCATGAGCCACCGCGTCCAGCCCACACCCAGCTAATTTTTTTTTTTGTATTTTGTAGAGAAGGTGTTTTGCCATATTGCCCAGGCTGGTCTCAAACTCCTGGGCTTCAAGCGATCTTCCAGCCTCAGCCTCCTGAAGTGCTAGGATTACAGGCATGAGTCACTGCTCCCAGCCTTTTTAATTCAATTTAAATTATAAATGTGATCGCTATAGAAAATATGTGTATTATTTATCTGCTGCTATGTAACAAATTACTCCAGACCTAGTGGCTTAAAATAAATACTTAGGGCCAGGCACAGTGGCTCATGCCTGTAATCCCAATACTTTGGGAGGCCGAGGTGGGCAGATGGCTTGAGTCCAGCAGTTTAAGATCAGCCTGGGCAACATAGTAAGACTCCATCCCTACAGAAAATGCAAACATTAGCCAGGCGTGGTGGTGCACACCTGTGGTCCCAGCTACTCAGGAGGCTGATGGGGGAGAATCACTTGAGCCCGGGAGGAAGAGGTTACAGTGAGCCAAGATCACAACACCGCACTCCAGCCTGGGTGACAGAGTGAGACTCTGTCTCAAAAATAAATAAATAAATAAATAAATAAATAAATAAATAAAATACTTACTTAGGATCTCCATTTCTGTGGGTCAGGAATTCAGGAGTGGCATAGCTGGGTCATTTGGGCTCAGGGTGTCTCATGACATTGCACTCAAGCTGTCCACTGAGACTGCAGTCACCTAAAGCCTGTTTCCAAGATGGCTCCCTCATGTGACTGCTGACAGGAGGCCTCAGTTCCTGTTACATGAGCCTCTCTACAGGCTGCTTAGGTGTCATGGTGTGACAGCTGGCTTTCCCAAGTGAGTAATCAAAGAGTGAGCAAGGAGGAAGCCACAGTACCTTTTATGATGTAGTTTGCAAAGTTGCAAGCCATCACTTTTGCTTTTTCCTATCTGTCAGAAGGGAATCACGTAACCCAGCTCACATTCAAGGGGATAGGGACTGGGCTCTGCCGTTGAAGAGGGTATCAGAGAATTTGGGCACATATTTTAAATGACCATACTATGTTTAATTATTGCAAGTACGGTCACTGTAGAAAAATTGGAAAATAGGGACAAGCAAAAAAAAAAGTCACTTGTAATTCCATGAATCAATGGATAACATTACTAGTTGGGTGTATATAATTCCAATATTCAAAATATATATTTTCTCAAAATATAAACACACTATATATACTGTCGTGTAATCTGCTCTTTCACCTAATGTATTGACTATATTATAAAAAATACCTTTCATTTTCATGTCAAATATTCTTTCCTTTTTTTTTTTTTGAGACGGAGCTTCATTCTTGTCACCCAGGCTAGAGTGCACTGGTGCGATCTCTGCTCACTGCAACCTCTGCCTCACGAGTTGAAGCGATTCTGCTGCCTCAGCCTCCCTAGTAGCTGGGATTACAAGCATGAGCCACCATGTCGAGCTAATTTTTTTTTTTTTTTGAGACGGAGTCACTCTGTCACCCAGGCTGGAGTGCAGAGGTGCAATCTCGGCTCACTGCAAGCTCTGCCTCCTGGGTTCATGCCATTCTCCTGCCTCAGCCTCCCGAGTAACTGGGACTACAGGTGCCCGCCACTACACCTGGCTAATTTTTTGTATTTTTTAGTAAAGACAGGGTTTCACCGTGTTAGCCAGGATGGTCTTGATCTCCTGACCTCATGATCCACCCGCCTCGGCCTCCCAAAGTGCTGGGATTACAGGTGTGAGCCACCAAGCCCGGCCGAGCTAATTTTTTTTGTATTTTTAGTAGAGACAGGGTTTCACCATGTTACTAGGCTAGTCTCAGACTCTTGACCTCAAGTGATCACCCACCTTGGCCTCCTGAAGTGCTGGAATTACAGGCGTGAGCCAACGCTCCCGGCCTAAATGTTTTTTCTTTATTTATTTGAAGAAGTTCTTTATATGTGAAGCTCATTAACCTTTTACCTGCCACGTGGAGTGTGTCATTTGTCTTGTTTTTGATTTTAAAAAACTATTCATTCCTAGATGGGCATTACCCTTATTAAACAACGAATAGAATATGTGATATCCAATGATACATTTAAGACAAGACAACCAATATCTTGATGTACATAAAGACAAACTTCAGAAGACAAATATTAAATGTTTTAACATACATTTGAATAAACTTTACTTACAAATTATTTAACTGGAAAAGGAATTTGTGTTCAAAAAATGTTTTCACTGATGGAAAAATAAATCTAACAAAACCAATATGTGAAAACATTGATTTACAAAGCCAAAATATATTATATCTTAGTTTCATTTCCTATATACCCTCAATGAGGTCTCCTCTTTTTTTTTTTTTT
The DNA here is from genome assembly GCF_000001405.40 of Homo sapiens. Taxonomy (NCBI): domain Eukaryota; kingdom Metazoa; phylum Chordata; class Mammalia; order Primates; family Hominidae; genus Homo; species Homo sapiens. Next base: position 76,171,719 of record NC_000007.14, read on the forward strand.
TAACGGAGACAGAGGTCTCACTATGTTGTCCAGGATGGTCTTGAACTCCTGGCCTCAAGTGATCCTCCTGCCTCGGCCTCCCAAAGGACTGGGATAACAGGGCTGAGCCACTGTGCCTGGCTGAGGTTCTCATTAAAAGAAAATAGGCTAGGCGCGGTGGCTCACACCTGTAATCCCAGCACTTTGGGAGGCCGAGGCGGGCGGATCACGAGGTCAAGAGATCCAGACCGTCTTGGCCAACGTGGTGAAACTCCGCCTCTACTAAAAATACAAAAAGTAGCCTGGCGTGGTGGCAGGCGTCTGTAGTTCCAGCTACTCGGGAGGCTGAGGCAGGAGAATGGCGTGAACCCGGGAGGCAGAGCTTGCAGTGAGCCGAGATTGTGCCACCGCACTCCAGCCTGGATGACAGAATGAGACTTTGTCTCAAAAATAAAAAAAAAAGAAAATAAAGGCCAGGAGCGGTGGCTTATACCTGTAATCCCAGCTCTTTGGGAGTCTGAGGTGGGTGGATCACCTGAGTTCAGGAGTTTGAGACCAGCCTGACCAACATGGTGAAACCCCATCTCTACTAAAAATACAAGAAATTAGCTGGGCCTGGTGGCAGGCACCTGTAATCCCAGCTACTCAGGAGGCTGAGGCAGGAGAATCGCTTGAACCTGAAAGGCAGAGGTTGTAGTGAGCTGAGATTGTGCCACTGCACTCCAGCCTGGGTGACAGGGCAAGACTCTGTCTCAAAATAAATACACGCCCATGCCAGGCCGGGCTTGGTGGCTTACTCCTGTAATCCCAGCACTTTGGGAGGCCAAGGTGGGTGGACCTCTTGACCCCTGGAGTTTGACACCAGCCTGGGCAACATAGTGAGACCCTTGTCTCTACAAAAAATAAAAAGTTAGCCGGGCGTGGTGGCTGGTACCTGTGGTCCCAGCTACTTGGGAGGCTGAGGTGGGAGGATTGCTTGAGCCTGGGAGGTCAAGGCTGCAGTGAGCTGTGATTGCACCACTGCACTCCAGCCTGGACAACAGAGTAACACCTTGTCTCAAAAATACAAACATGAGGCCAGGCACGATGGCTAATGCCTGTAATCCCAGGACTTTGGGAGGCTGAGGCAGGCAGATCACCTGAGGTCAGGAGTTTGAAACCAACCTGGCCAACATTGTAAACCCCGTCTCTACTAAAAATACTAAAAATAATTAGCCAGGTGTGGTGGCACATGCCTATAGTTCCAGCCACTCAGGAGGTTGAGGCAGGAGAATCACTTGAATCCCGGAAGCGGAGGTTGCAGTGAGCCAATATTTGTGCCATTGCACTCCAGCCTGGGCAACAGAGCAAGATTCTGTCTCAAAAAAAAATACATGGATGCATATATACATATACATACATACTACATGCATACATACATACCAACACCAGGTTCAATGCCTGTCCTGAGTGCCCACCAGACCCTGCCCCCAGCAATCAGCTTGGCTACCATCCACCAACACCCCCCAAGCACGTTCTGACCTCTTAGGAGCAGGGGTGGGCCATTTCTCCCAGAATCCCCAAATCATATCAGGCCTCTCCCCGCAGTTCTCTTGGAGGGAGGGAATTAACCAAATCATCCGTCCCAGGGTTCCTGCCACCTTCATTCCCCAGCCCCCAACTCCAGATTCTTAAGCCTTTCCAGGCCCTGCAGGTCTCAGTCTCCCACAAGCAGTGATCAAAACCCCACTGTGTCAAGCTCAGGAGCCCTAGAGCTCCCAGATGGTTAAGAAGGGGGATCCCCAGATGGTTCACCCCAGGACAGGGAGCACATACCTGGCTCGGCCAACCCTGGAAATTGTGGTCCCTGGAGATAGCGCATGGGGAATCTGTCTTCCTGGTGGAGATGGGGAGCACCATCCTGGGGGCCAGGGGCTGATGGGGACAGGGATGCCTTCTGCAGTGGCGCCCGCGGTGGGCCCCGACCGCCTGGAGGGGCAAGGCTGGGGCAGGGTGGCCCTGGACTTGGCTGACAGGTGTCATTTCCTGCTTCCCTTCACAGGTCAGACAAGGGCAGCATGTCTGAAGACTGCGGGCCAGGTGAGAAGGAATAGGGCCCACTGTGTATGTCATGGTCCGGGAGGGCAACCACCAGCCCTACCCGGCAGCCTTGGCGGGGAGCTCAACTCAGCCCATGAGCCTGGAGTGCTAACGAGCCTCCTCTGCCCACCTGCATCTCCCAGGCCTCACAGCGCTGAGGTGCAAGGCATGCTGGGAGCTTACTGGGGTCGGGGACATGGAGAGCTGGGTGCTGGCCATCACCACTGCCTCCTGTTGATGCCTAGACCCAGGCCCCAGGATCTTGGACCAGCAGCCTCCCCTCTAGGGGGTCTTAGTCACTGGGTCTGTAAATTGGAGCCTCTAAGCCTGGCCTGAGGGCCCCCCTGACCTCCAGTTCTGGTCTGGGCAGGAGCCAGGGGACTGACATGACTTGTCCTAGGTAGGGCCTCAATAACAAGTTACAGACAACAGAATGTTCTGGAAAGACTCACTCTGCCCAGTCAGGCTTGTGCCAGACTTGACCAGATCCTTCCTTTCCTCCTTGCAGGAACCTCTGGGGAGCTGGGTGGGCTGAGGCCGATCAAAATTGAACCAGAGGTTCTGGACATCATTCAGGTCACTGTCCCAGGTAAGGGACGGGCGTCTGACCACCCCCTGCAGAAATCAGGGCCGTATCGTTAGCCTCCCGAGGGTCTGCCCTGGTGAAGAAGAGGCCTCCAGGCCACTGTTTCTCTCCGTGGATTCTGAGAAACATCAGGGTATTGTGAATGCTTTTTCTGGCCACATCTGTCCCCTGCATTGAGAATCAGCGTTCTCAGCTCTGACCTTCCAGAAGGTCCCCTCAAACTTCACCTCCCTGGCTTGGCTTCCCTGGGATTTGTGAGGCTGGTGAGAAGAAAAAGGCATGAGCGTGAGAGGCTCTGAGTTGGACCCTACCCCCTGCCCAGCCTCATTTTCCACATCTTCAGAGGAGAGGGTAGATTTGGGCACTGGATCCTCAGTATGGGGTGACTGTCAGAAGCCAAGAGGGTGCCGGGCACAGTGGCTCATGCTTGTAATCCTGGCATTTTGGGTGGCTGACATGGGAGGATTGCTTGAGGCTAGGAGTTCAAGACCAGCCTGGGCAACATAACAAGACCCCCATCTCTACTAAAAATACAAAGAGTTAACCAGATGTGGTGGTGTGTGCCTGTCAGTGTAGCTTCTCAGGAGGCTGAGGCAGGAGGATCACTTGAGACCAAGAGCTGGAGGCTGCAGTGAGCTGTGATCGCACCACTGCACTCCAGCCTGGGCAACAGAGTGAGACCCTATCTCAAAAAAAAAAAAAATGACTGGGCGCAGTGGCTCACGTCTGTAATCCCAGCACTTTGGGAGGCCGAGGCGGGCAGATCACCAGAGGTCAGGAGTTTGAGACCAGCCTGGCCAACATGGTGAAACCCCATCTCTACTAAAAACACAAAAATTAGCCAGGCATGGTGGCTCACGCCTGGTAGTCCCAGCTACTCGGGAGGCTGAGGAAGGAGAATCGCTTGAACCCAGGAGGCAGAGGTTACAGTGAGCCGACATGGCGCCACTGCACTCCAGCCTGGACGACAGTGTGAGACTCCATCTCGAACCAAAAAAAAAAGAGAGAAAGAAAAAGACCCTTGCCTGTGGGGAGACTGGGCTGGGTGGTCCCTGAAGGACTGTGACAGGAGTATGACAGGCAGAAGACACCCATGTCATTTGGAGTTTTGTCTTCAGATGCCTTGCCAACCTCTGAGGAAATGACAGACTCAATGCCTGGGCACCTGCCATCGGAGGATTCTGGTTATGGGATGGAGACGCTGACAGGTAAGAAATGGACCTGGGCTGGTGGTGCTTAGGACTCATCTCCCCAGGGAGCAAACGGAAAGGGGTGGGCCAGGCAGGCCCCAGACTTTTCTTGATTTTGACCGCCTCTAGTAGAGGAAACCCAATATATGCCTGACCCCAATCCAAGGCTGGGTTCCTTTTGGAAACCTCAAGTAGGCTCTATTTATTTATTTAGAGACTTTGGAGCAATCTCAGCTCATTGCAACCTCCGCCTCCCGAGTTCAAGCGATTTTCCTGCCTCAGCCTCCTGAGTAGCTGGGATTACAGGCACGTGCCACCATGCCTGGCTAATTTTGTATTTTTAGTAGAGACAGGCTTTCACCATGTTGGTCAGGCTGGTCTCGAACTCCTGACCTCAGGTGATCCACCCTCATCAGCCTCCCAAAGTGCTGGGATTTTAGGCGTGAGCCACCACACCCGACCATAGGCCCCATTTCTAACAAGGCCCAGCATGCTTCCCAGGAGCCACCTGTTGGGATTAATTTGTCCGTTTATCCAACAGCTATTTATTGAGCATCTATTGTGTACCAGGTCCTGTGTAAGGAGCTGGAGACAAAGCAGTGAACCAAGCAGAAGTACCCACCTCCTGGGGTGCACATCTGCCTGTGAAGAGATAGATGGATAGTAAGCAAATAAGTAAAATAGGCAGGCTAAGGTGGCTCATGCCTGTAATCCCAACACTTTGGGAAGCCAAAGCGAGGGGATTACTTGAGGCTGGGAGTTCAAGATCAGCCTGGGCAACATAGAGAGACCCATCTCTTAAATGTTTTGAGATGGAGCCTTACTCTGTTTCCCAGGCTGGAGTGCAGTGGCGCGATCTCAGCTCACTGCAACCTCCGCCTCCTGGGTTCAAGCACTTCTCCTGCCTCAACCTCCTGAGTAGCTGGGATTACAGGTGCCCGCCACCATGCCTGGCTAACTGTTTTGCATTTTTAGTAGAGGCGGGGTTTCACCATGATGGCCAGGCAGGTCTCGAACTCCTGACCTCAAATGATCCTCCTGCCTCGGCCTCCCAAAGAGCTGGGATTACAGGCGTGAGCCAACGCACCCTGACTCAACAAATATTTATTGAGCACCTACTGTGTACTAGGTCCTGCACAAGGCGCTGGGGAAAAAGCAGTGGACCAAACAGATGTCCCCACCTCCTAGGGTACACATCCTCATGTGGAGAGATAAACAGTAAGCAAATAAGTAATATAAGCAGGGCAAGGTGGCTCACGCCTGGCTCACCTCCCAGGAAGGCCCTCAAAAGGGCTCTGGCAGCTTTGCCCCCTACACAGGCATGAGACACAGGGGTTGAGATTCCTGGCCCTGTGGCACCGGGTGGCCTTACAGCAGCCATGTCTCTGCAGCCAAGGCCATTGGCATCTCGGAGCCCGTCAAGGTGCCATACTCCAAGTTTCTGATGCACCCGGAGGAGCTGTTTGTGGTGGGGCTGCCTGAAGGCATCTCTCTCCACAGGCCCAACTGCTTCGGGATCGCCAAGCTCTGGAAGATTCTGGAGGCCAGCAACAGCATCCAGTTTGTCATCAAGAGGTAAGGCCCGACCAGGTCCACGGGAGACAGCACCGGGCCTGCTCAGCACCCAGGGTCAGGAGCAGCACCAAATTGCCATCAAGCGATTTTTGTGCCTCAGCCACCCGAATAGCTGGGACCACAGGTGTGTGCCACCATGCCCAGCTAATTTTTTGATTGATTGATTAATTGATTGGTTGGTTGATTGATTTTATTTTTTTAGAGATAGGGTCTGGCCATATCGCCCAGACTGTTCTCAAACTCCTGGACTCAAGCCATCTCCTGCCTGGGCCTCCCAAAGTGATTACAGGCGTGAGCCACCGTGCCTGGCCACTATTTCTTTCTTTTTTTTTTCTTTAGACAGAGTCTCACTCTGTCTCCCAGGCTGGAGTGCAGTGGTGCAGTCTTGGCTCACTGCAACCACAGCCTCCTGGGTTCAAGCAATTCTCCTGACTCAGCCTCTTGAGTAGCTGAGACTACAGGTGCCTGCCACCATGCCCGGTTAATTTTTGTATTTTTAGCAGAGACGGGGTTTCACCATGTTGGCCAGGCTGGTCTTGAACTCCTGACCTCAGGTGATCCGGCCACCTCAGCCTCCCAAAGTGCTGGGATTACAGGCATGAGCCACAGCGCCCGGCCTTTGTTTTGTTTTTGAGATCAGGTCTCCCTCTGTTTCCCAGGCTGGAGTGCAGTGGTACAATCATAGCTCACTGCAGCCTCCACCTTCCAGGCCCAAGTGATCCTCTTGCCTCAGCCTCCTGAGTAGCTGGGACTACAGGCATATGCCACCACACCTAATTTTTTTTTTTGTAGAGTCGGGGTCGCTCTATGTTGCTCAGGCTGGTCTCCAACTCCTGGATTCCTCCCACCTCAGTCTCCCAAAGTGCTGGGATTACAGGCATAAGCCACCCACCAGGTGGAGAACCAGTCTTTAAATAACAGAGTGTGGGAGTAGGGGGCGCCCAGGGCGAAGGTACTTAGACAGCAGAAGAGTCCATCCAGCAAAGAAGCTGCTGTTAAGTCCTGGGGCCACCCAGCCACGCTGGGTAATTATAAAGAAAGCAAGTCTCGAGTCTCGTCTGCGATCGCGGACGGGATGAACAGCGTAACCTAGAACAACCCTGACCTCCACGAGGAGGACCTGGTCTCCCGCAGGCCACAACTCCCCCGCAGTTCCCGCCTGCTGCCTGCAGAGGGAGCCAGAGGCTGAGGCTGCACCAGCCCTGCTCCAGCCCCGGGAGGTCACGGTCGGCAGAATGCTCATTAGCATTCCAGAGCCAAATCCAGCTTCCGGCTCTGTCTGGTCTCTGCTCATCTAGGCAGGAGGGACAGCCGCCTTCAGACGGCGAGAAGGGAGGCCGGAGTGGATCCAGGAGGGCGGTGGAAACCGGAGACACAGTATCGGTGCAGGAAGTGCAGAAGCTGTCATCTTGCCCAAGAGAAGCAAGGCAGAGACCAAGCACGGTGGCTCACGCCTGTAATCCCAGCGCTTTGGGAGGCCCAGGTGGGAAGATCCCTTTAGCCCAGTTCAAGACAAGCCTGGGCAACATAGTGAGACTGCCCCCCACCTCCCATGTCTCTACAAAAAATTTAAAAATTAGCCGGGGATGGTGGTGCATATCACCCATATACCCAGCTACTTGGGAGGCTGAGGCAGGAGGATTGCCTGAGCCCAGGAGATGGAGGCTGCAATGAGTTATGATCATGCCACTGCACTCCAGCCTGGCCAAAAAGCCAGATCCTGTCTTAAAATTTAAAAACAGAGAGAGGAGCAAGGTGGTGCCCCACAAGATGAATTGTCAGGGAAACTTCCATTAACCAGGTAACCTTGACTCCCTCCTGGCTCCACTGCCCTGTGGGGACAGCAGGGACAGGACATTCCTGCCTGACATGCCCAGGGGATAGGGATCAATTACTCCAAACTCAGGGTGGGAGGAAGCTGCTGGGGACAAGGAGGGAGAGCTGGAGCCTGCCCTGCAGCCACTATGGATGTCTGCAGTAATCTCCATCCAGAGGCCGGGCATAGTGGCCTACTCCTGTAATCCCAGCACTTTGGGAGGCTGAGGCGGGCAGATCACGAGGTCAAGAGATTGAGACCATCCTGGCCAACAGTGTGAAACCCCATCTCTACTAAAAGTACAAAAAATTAGCCAGGCATGGTGGCGTGTGTCTGTAGTCCCAGCTACTCGGGAGACTGAGGCAGGAGAATTGCTTGAACCCGGGAGGTGGAGGTTGCAGTAAGCCAAGCTCGTGACACTGCAGGGGGCCTGGAGACAGAGCAAGACTCTGTTTCAAAAACAAAAATAGGCCAGGCGCAGTGGCTTACGCCTGTAATCCCAGCACTTTGGGAGGCGGAGGTGGGAAGATCACGAGGTCAGGAGATCGAGACCATCCTGGCTAACATGGTGAAACCCCGTCTCTACTAAAAATACAAAAAAATTAGCGGGGCGTGGTGGCAGGCGCCTGTAGTCCCAGCTACTAGGGAGGCTGAGGCAGGAGAATGGCATGAACCCAGGAGGCGGAGCTTGCAGTGAGCTGAGATTGTGCCACTGCACTCCAGCCTGGGTGACAGAGCGAGACTCCATCTCAAAATACAAATAAAAATAAATAAATAAATAAATAATAAATAAAAAAATTAAAATCCCCATCCAGGCGCTGGCAGGCTCTAGCCTACAGGGGGCTGGGCCCGGGTCTCCCGGTGCTTGCCTCTGTGGGTCCCAGTTCCTAATCTCGTAGGGCTTGAGATGGAATTCCTCAGTTTCCCCACTCGCAGAGGCTGCCCACATCCCGCCCCTGCCTGCGCCCTGGCCCCCACGGACTCATAACTTGGGGCGAACTTCCTGCATCAGCCAGAGCTGGCCAGCCAGAAATGAGTTCTTTTCCTCCTCTTAATTTTCTTCTAGTTGCTTAAGTTTCCTCGCAAAGTCTAAGGGGGTCACCCTGGGTCAGGCAGAACAAGATGCTGAGAGATAGGACCAGGTGGGCTGATCTGGGGCTGGTTTGTACCAGCACAGCAGATGTGATTGTGAGATGGGGAAATGTCTGAACTGACTCATCAACAGTGGTGGCCCCAGTCTGCAGATCCTCTCCTGCGACCCCCCTGGGAGCCCCCCAACCCCACCCCACCCATGGAAAACAGTAATCTTAACAAATGACATTTGCAAAGGCCTTGTTTCCAAATGAGGCCATATTCTGAGAAACTGGGACTTAGGACTTCAATACATGAATTTTTAGGAATAAAATTCAACCCATCCCACTAAATATATGGAGTAAAAAGTTGAGAGCACCCTACACACAATACACATTCCAAAGGCAATTTCCATCTTCATTCTAGATGTTTGTCCTTCGAGATCTTTTTCTATTCATTGATTTGTTTATTTATTTGAGACAGGATCTTGCTCTGTCGCCCAGGCTGGAGTGCAGTGGCGCGATCTCGGCTCACTGCAACCACTGCCTCCCGGGTTCAAGCGATTCTCCTGCCTCGGCCTCCGGAGTGGCTGGGATTACAGGGATGCGCCACCATGCCATACTATTTTTTGTATTTTTAGTAGAGATGGGGTTTCACATTGTTGGCCAGGCTGGCCTCGAACTCCTGACCTCAGGTGATCCACCCATCTCAGCCTACCAAAGTGCTGGGATTACAGACATGAGCCACCTCACGTGGCCTAGTGAGTAATTATTTTAATAGCACAGTAGGCCAGGCGCCATGGCTCACACCTGTAATCCCAGCACTTTGGAAGGCCGAGGTGGGCGGATCTCGAGGTCAGGAGATCGAGACCATCCTGGCTAACACAGTGAAACCCCGTCTTTACTAAAAATACAAAAAAAAAATTAGCCGGGCGTGGTGGCGTGCACCTGTAGTCCCAGCTACTCAGGAGGTTGAGGCAGGAGAATTGCTTGAACCCGGGAGATGCAGGTTGCAGTGAACCGAGATTGCACCATTGCACTCTAGCCTGGGCGACAGAGTGAGACTCCGTCTCAAAAACAAAAACAAACAAACAAAAAAACCAGCGTCCTCCCTGCAGATGAGCAGGAGATCGAAGGGCCCAAGAATAAGGTGCTGACCCCCAGCACACACCCACAGAGCTGCCCCCTCCCCAACCAAGCTTTGGCCCAAAGGGAGGGTCCCAATGCAGGGCTTTGGAGTGGTTTCCCAGTGGGTTCACTATTCCCTATTCTCTCCGCAAGGCCAAAGCTAATAAACGAAGTGCTGATCTGCCTCCAAAGCCTCTCCCCAGCCTATTAGATGACAACAGATGTGTATCGTAGGATTCCATATATGGGGGTAAAATGTATTTGCAGTTGAATATAAAAGCATAGAGGCTGGGCACGGTGGCTCGTGCCTGTAATCCCAGTACTTTGGGAGGCCAAGGCAGGAAGATTGCTTGAGCCCAGGAGTTCGAAACCAGCCTGGTCAACATAGTGAGACCTCGTCTCTATCAAAACTAAAAAAATTTTGCCAGGTGTGGTGGTGTGTGCCTGTAGTCCCAGCTACTTGGGAGGCTAAGATGGGAGGATCACTTGAGCTGAGGACCTGGGGTTGCAGGGAGCTATGATCGAGCCACTGCACTCCAGCCTGGGCGACAGAGCAAGATCCTGTCTCAAATAAATAAATGAATCAACAAATAGAAAAAGGTCTTGAAGGACAAACTTCTAGAGTGGAGATGGAAATTGCCTTTGGAATGTGTATTGTGTACTGTCAACTTTTTACTCCATGTATTTAGTGGGATGTGTTGAATTTTGTCCCTAAAAAGTCATACATTGAAGTCCTAACCCCCAATTCCTTAGAATATGGCCTTATTTGGAAACAGGGTCTTTGCAGATGTCATTTGTTAAGATGAGGTCGTGCTGGCGTGGCGTGGGCCCCTAATCTAATGTGACTGGTGTCCTTATAAGAAAAGAAGAGGGGCCAGGCACGGTGGCTCACACCTGTAATCCCCGCACTTTGGGAGGCCAAGGAGGGTGAATCACTTGAGGTCAGCCTGGCCAACATGGCAAAACCCCATCTCTACTAAAAATACAAAAATTAGTGGGGCATGGTGGTGCATGCCTGTAATCCCAGCTACTTGGGAGGCTGAGGCAGGAGAATTGCTTGAACCCAGGAGGTGGAGGTTGCAGTAAGCCAAGATCGTTCCAATGCACTCCAGCCTGGGTGACAGTGACAGAGCAAGACTCTGTCTCAAAATTAAAAAAAAAAAAAAAAAGGAAACAGAGGGCTGGCATGGTGTGGTGTGGTGTGGTGTCTCACACCTGTAATTCCAGCCCTTTGGGAGGCTGAGGTGGGAGGATCACTTGAGGCCAGGAGTTTGAGGCCAGCCTGGGCAACATAGCAAGACCCCATCTCTAAAAAATAGCCAAGTGCAGTGATGCACACCTGTAGTCCCAGCTATTCAAGAGGCTGACGTGGGAGGATTGCTTGAGCCCAGGAGGTCAAGGCTGCAGTGAGCTATGATTGTATCACTGCACTCTAGCCTGGGCAACAGAGTACGATGCTTTGAAAAAAAAAATTTAAAAAAAAAGAGAGAGAGAGAGAAGAGACAGAGACAGCCACAGTGACACAACACCCAGGGAGAAGATGGCCATGTGATAATACAGGCAGAGATGCAGTGATGCTTTTGCAAGCCAAGCCACACCAAAGACTGCCAGCAAACACCAGAAGCTCTGGGAAAGGCCTGGAAAAGATCCTCCCTCACAGCCCTCAATAGGAAGCAACCCTGCTGGCACCTGGATTTCAGACTTCCAGGCTCCGGAGCTGTGCGACAGTAAATTTCTGTTGTTTAAGCTGCTCCGTTCATGGTACATTGTTCTGCCAGCCCCAGCACACGAATACACTTTGTACAGTGAAATATTGCACAGTGAGAAGTCCCTCCTAATAAGGATCAGAATATACAAGAAGTATTCCTTGTGAAATTAGAATTCAAATATGCGGCTAGTCGCGTTGGCTCACGCCTGTAATCCCAACACTTTGGGAGGCCAAGACGGGCGGATCACCTGAGATCAGGATATCGAGACCAGCCCGGCCAACATGGCGAAACCCCAGCTCTACTAAAAATACAAAAATTATCCAGGTGTGGTGGTGGGCACCTGTAGTCCCAGCTACTCGGGAGGCTGAGACAGGAGAATTACTTGAACCCGGTAGGCGGAGGTTGCAGTGAGCCAAGATCGTGCCGCTGCTCTCCAGCCTGAGTGACAGAGCAAGACTCCATCTCAAAAAAAAAAAGCCGGGCATGGTGGCACATGCCTGTAATCCCAGCTATTTGGGTGGCTGAGACAGGGGAATTGCTTAAACCCAGGAAGTGGAGGTTGCAGTGAGCCAAGATCATGCCACTGCACTCCAGCCTGGGCGACAGAGCAAGACTCTGTCTCAAATAATAATAACAATAAATAAATAAATATTTTTTAAAAATTTAAAAATAAAAAGCATGTCATCAAGTCAACCCCTTACTCTAACATGGCTCCCGGACTTGTGTGTGGGTCTTGGCATTTAATGCAGCAACCCCTTATGATTACCCTGGTTTTTGTTTGTCTGTTTGTTTGTTTTCTAGAGACAGGGACTCAATCTGTTGACCAGGCTGGAGTGCAGTGGTACAATCATAGCTCACTGCAGCCTCGAACTCTTGGCCTCAAGTGGTCCTCTCACCTCAGCCTCCCAAGTAGCTGGGACTACGGCCACACACCACCACACCTGGCTAATTTTTTAAAAAATGTCTTGTAGAGACAGGGTCTCACTATGTTACTCAGGCTGGTCTTGAACTCCTAGGCTCAAGCGATCCTCCTGCTTCGGCATCCCAAAGTGCTGGGATCACAGGTATGAGCCACCATGCATGGCCATTTAAGGATTTTGAGATGGGAAGGTTCTCCTACAAATCCCAGTGGGCCCAATGTAATCATAAAGGTTCTCCTAAAAGTGGGCAGGAGGGTCAGAATCAGAGAAGGAGATGTGACCCCAGATGCAGGCCAGAGAGAGAGAGAGAGAGAGAGAGAGAGAGACAGAGAGAGAGAGATTTGAGGATGCTGCAGTGCTAGCTCTGAAGATGGAGGAGGGAACCATGAGCTGAGGGATGCAGCCAGCCTCTAGGAGGTGGAAAAGGGAAGGAAAAGAGCTCTCTGCGACAGCCTCCAGAAGGAACACAGCCCACGGACACCTTGGTATTTATTTTATTTTATTTTATTTTATTTTTTATTTATTTTGAGACAGACTCTCACTCTGTCACCCAGGCTGGAGTGCAGTGGTCTGATCTCAACTTACTGCAACCTCCGCCTCCCGGGTTCAAGCAATTCTTCTGCCTCAGCCTCCTGAGTAGCTGGGATTACAGGCGTGCGCCACCACGCCCAGCTAATTTTTTATTTTTAGTAGAAACAGGGTTTCACCATGTTGGTCAGGCTGGTTTCGAACCCCTGACCTCGTGATCCGCCCACCTTGGCCTCCCAAAGTGCTGGGATTACAGGCATGAGCCACTGCGCCTGGGCTGCCCACTATTTTTATTTTATTTATTTTTATTTTTTATTTCTTTTTTTTGAGACGGAGTCTCGCTCTGTCACCCAGGCTGGAGTGCAGTGGTGCGATCTCGGCTCACTGCAACCTCCACCTCCCGGGTTCATGCCATTCTTCTGCCTCAGCCTCCTGAGTAACTGGGACTACAGGCGCCCGCCACTACGCCCAGCTAATTTTTTTGTATTTTTAGTAGAGACGGGGTTTCATCGTGTTAGCCAGGATGGTCTCGATCTCCTGACCTCATGATCCGCCCATCTTGGCCTCCCCAAGTGCTGGGATTACAGGCGTAAGCCACCGTGCCCAGCCCTGCCCACTATTTTTATATTTTATTTTATTTTATTTTATTTTATTTTATTTTATTTTATTTTATTTTATTTTTGAAATAAGGTCTTGCTCTGCCTCCCAGGCTAGAGTGCAGGGGTGCAATCATAGCTCACTGCAGCCTGGACCTCCTAGGCTCAAGCAATCCTCCCACCTCAGCCTCCCAAGCAGCTGGGATTGCAGGCATGTGCCACCATACCCAGCTAAACATTTTATTTTTTTGTCGAGATAGGGCTTTGCTATGTTCCCCAGGCTGGTTTTAAACTCCTAGGCTCAAGCAGTCCTCCTGCCTTGGCCTCCCAAAGTGTTGGGATTTCAAGTGTGAGCCACGATGCCCAACCTTCTGCCCACTTTAGAGCCATTTCACTCCCCCTAGCTGGCCTCTTTGTCCCAAAAACCCCTGCGTGTGCTTTGTGTCTCTCCCAGGCCCAGCAGGGACAGCTCTGGCAGGAAGCCACGGTAATCCCCTTTCCGATTCTCGGACCCCTCCCCACCTTCCTGGAAGCCCCAGGCCGGCCTGGTACCTCTAAGGAGAAGCCACACGCATGCCACCCTGTCCCTCTGACTGGAGCCTCCCATCATTGTGTGGAGCCCCCTCCTCCCTAAGCCACCAGATCCACCTCAAGCCCCACCTTGCTGCCTAAAAATAACACCTTCGCGTCCTGCTGGCTCCCCAATCCCTCCCTGCCCCGGGATCCTTCTGGTTTGTATTCTCCCAGCTGGCTGTGAGCTGTGAGCCGGCGCCAGTGTGCCAGGCCGACCGCAGGCCCGGAATTAGGTTAACTCCGCTGCAGCCCTGGAGGGAGGTCGCCTGTTTGGGGCCGTGGTTGCGGGTACTGAAAATGCTCCCTTCATGGGCTGGGGCCTGATTCTGTGTTGGGGGAAGGCAGTGACATGTGCCTGGGTGTGTATGTGTCGGGGGCTGGGTACGGTAAGCTTTGACAGTGGTGACTGATGGCAGATATACCCCAGGCTGGGCTGAGCTCGGCTAAAATGTCTGGCTCAGAAAAGAGGGGTGCAGTGGGACCCTCCCAGCTCCTGCTGCAAACCCTAGAGCAAACCCTGGAAATGTCTGCACGCAGAGCATCTTGTCGCCTGGAATCTTCCATCTGCCATCTCACAGAGTCCCAGGAGGCCTCTGAGGGAGGCTGTTCACCCCACATTACACATGGAGAGGCAGAGAGGCGCTGCCCTGAAACCGCCTTTGCAAAAATTACCACAGTGAGAAAATTATGACAGTGAAGGAGATCTGATCTAACCAACCCCCATCTTGCCTTTTTTATTTTTATTTTTTTATTTTTATTTTTTTTTAAGACAGGGTCTCATTCTGTTGCCTGGGCTGCAGTGCAGTGGCACAATTATGGCTCACTGCAGCCTTGACCTCCTGGGCTCAAGTGATCCTCCCACCTCAGCCTCCCAAGTAGCTGGGAACACAGGTATGTGCCACCATGCCCAGCTGAGTTTTGTAGAGGTGGGGTCTCGCTATGTTGCCCAGGCTGGTCAAAAACTCCTGGGCTCAAGCAATTCTCCCACCTCAGCCTCCGAAACTACTGGAATTACAGGCATAAGCCACTGCGCCTGGCCAGGTTTTTGCATTTCTGACGACTGATTGCTTCATCCAGACCCACCAACTGGCCATGTATCCCCACCCAGATGTGCACTTCCTGGCCCCCCAAACTATCCTCAAAAAACCCTGGCCTCCAAATTTTTGGGGAGATTGATTTGAGTAGTAATTCCATCTCTTATGTGGGGTGGCCAGCCTCATGTCAATTACACTCTTTCTTTTTTTTTTTAAGATGGAGTTTCACTGTTGTTGCCTGGGCTGGAATACAATGGCACGATTTTGGCTCACTGCAACCTCCACCTCCCGGGTTCAAGCCATTCTCCTGCCTCAGCCTCCTGAGTAGCTGGAATTACAGGCACCCACCACCATGCCTGGCTAATTTTTGTTTTGTTTTGTTTTGGTAGAAATGGGGTTTCGCCATGTTGGCCAGGCTGGTCTTGAACTCCTAACCTCAGGCGATCCGCCCGCCTAGGCCTCCCGAAGTGCTGGGATTACAGCTGTGGGCCACCGCGTCTGGCCTACGCTCTTTCTTTATTGTAATGCTGTGGTCCCAGGGAATTGGTTTTGTCTGTGGAGTGGGCAGGAAGAACGCATTGGGTGACTACAGCCCCCAGCCAGGCACGGTCCCGGAGTGAGCCTAAGACAGCTATTGCTGTCTTTATGGGATGGGCACGCTGTGCCCTGCTGGGCATGGATGTGGGGTGGGGGAAATTAGCAAGCTCAGACTCAGAGTAGAAGACCTAGCCTGCAGTCACACAGCACGTTGACGGGTGGGTGGCACCTGAATCCTCTGAGCCCCAGCAGACCCTACCCCAA
Organism: Homo sapiens; assembly: GCF_000001405.40. Classification (NCBI taxonomy): domain Eukaryota; kingdom Metazoa; phylum Chordata; class Mammalia; order Primates; family Hominidae; genus Homo; species Homo sapiens. Next base: position 76,187,303 of record NC_000007.14, read on the forward strand.
AGTGCTTCTCCTGGGTAAGGGAGTGGGGTCATTGACCTGGCTGTGGTCATTAGCCTGGCTGTGGGCGGGAGTGAGACTGTCTCAGGAGCTCTGGGCAGGGCCTGGTGCTGGGAGCCAAGCCAGGCATCTCCAAGGGGTGCCAATATGACTTAGACACGTTCATTTTGTGGATAATGAATAATTCACATATGCGAATATGGGTATCAGAAATGCTAGAAACCAGTGCATTGAGCCTACCACATCCTGGGCGGCACTGCCTAGAACACAGCTTAGTACAAATATGAGTAGACTTAAAGAAAGGGATAAAGGAAATAGCCCTGCAGGAGGAGTGGAGCGAGAATGTGGACATAAAATATGAATTACAGGCCAGGCACGGTGGCTCACGCCTGTCATCCCAGCACTTTGAGGGAGAGGTGGGTGGATCATTTGAGATCAGGAGTTTGAGACCAGACTGGCCAATGTGGTAAAACCCCATCTCTACTAAAAATACAAAAATTGGCCAGGCGTGGTGATGGGCACCTGCAATTCCAGCTACTCGGGAGGCTAAGGCAGGAGGATCACTTGAACCCGGGAGGCAGAGGTTACAGTGAGCTGAGATCACACCACTGCACTCCAGCCTGGGTGACAGAGGAAGACTCTGTCTCAAAACAAAAAACAAAAACAAAAAAAAAAAAACAAAACGTGAATTACAGCCAGGTGAGGTGCCTCACGCCTGTCATCCCAGCACTCTGGGAGGCCGAGGCAGAAGGATTGCTTGAGCTCAGGAGTCCAAGACCAGCCTGGGCAACATAGTGAGACCCCCGTCTCTACTAAAAAATAAAATAAGACAAAATAAAATAAAATAAAAATTAGCACACTTGTGGTCCCAGCTACCAGGGAGGCTGATGCAGGAGGATCGCTTGAGCTTAGGAGGTTGAGGCTGCAGTGAGCTATGATCGCACCACTGCACTCCAGCCTAAGCGACAGAGCGAGACCCTGTCTCTAAAAAAAAAAAAAGTAAAAAAAGACTTCTGCTGCCTGGGCTTCTCTGGAGTCTGGGGCCCCTTGGACAACCAGGAAAGGCCTTGTGGAAGAGATGGGGCCTCGGGCTAGGACCTCATGAAGGAAACTTCAGTCCATCTCCTCCTGTCTCTGGGTAGCTGGGGCTCCAAGTCAGTGTGGGTGTGCTTTTCCTTCGGATAGCCACCTCTACAGGCTACATTTTCTACTCTCAGCCTCAGCTTGCTAACTTCCCCCACCCCACATCCAGGCCCAGGAGGCACCTGGCACAGGATGGCCATCCCATAAAGACAATAGCTGCCCTGGGCTCACTCTGGGACTGTGCCTGGCTGGGGGTTGTAGCTGCCCGATGGGTTCTTCCTGCCCACTGCACAGATAAAACCAATTCCCTGAGACCACGGCATTGTAATAAAGAAAGAGTGTAATTGACATGAAGCTAGCCATGCCACGTGGGAGACGGAATTATTACTCAAATCAATCTCCCTGAAAATTCGGAGGCCAGGGTGTTTTTTGAGGATAGTTTGGCGGGCCAGGGTCCAATGCATTGGCAGGTATATTAGGCATGGCTGCACAGGCAGGGTCCAATGCATTGGCAGGTATATTAGGCATGGCTGCACAGGCATGGGTGCCCATGTGTTTTTGTTTTCATTTTTGTTTTGAGACAGGGTCTCGCTCCGTCTCCCAGGCTGGAGTGCGGTGGTACAATCTCGGCTTACTGCAACCTCTGCCTCCTGGGTTCAAGCGATTCTCCTGCCTCAGCCTCCCGAGTAGCTGGGATTACAGGCATGTGCCACCACGCCCGGCTAATTTTTGTATTTTTAGTAGAGACGGGGTTTCCCCATGTTGGCCAGTCTAGTTATAAGGGAGTGTGTGTGTTGTGCATGTTGGGAGCTGCATGGGTGTGGGGTGTGCCTGAAGTTTGATTCTCACGGGGTGAAAGAGGTGTGTAAATACAGCCAGTGCATGGAGCATATCATGGGGTGTGAGGGGGGCGTGTAGAAAAGCGTGGGGGATGCATGGCTGTGCGTGTGTGGCATGTATATATGATATACAATACATGGTAGATGTGTGTGAGTCTGGCATGTGGGTGTGGATGTGTGCAATACATTCAGGTGACTGAATCTGTTCTCCTGGCAGACAGATGCAGATGAAACTGGGTCACATTGTCCAAGGTAGCCTCAGCTGCTATCTCTGCTGGCATCTTGCCCCCAGTCGGAACACGGGGACCCAGGTTCAGTGCTCCCAGCCTCCAAGGAGAGACAGCCCACTGCACAATCCTTGGGGGTGAGGGTCCCTGGGCCGGGCACCTGCCCAGTGGACCTGGACACAGGTCCCCAGTATGGGATGAAGGGACTATGATGAGTAGGTGATGGCCAAGGAAAGAGGCGGGGGGCCTGGCACAGTGGCTCACGCCTGTAATCTTAGCACTTTGGGAGGCCGAGGCAGGTGGATCACATAAGGTCAGGAGTTCGAGACCAGCCTGGCCAATATGGTGAAACCCTGTCTCCACTGAAAATACAAAAATTAGCCAGGCATGGTGGCAGGCACCTGTAATCCCAGCTACTCAGGAGGCTGAGGCAGGATAATCACTTGAACCCGGGAGGCGGAGGGAGGTTGCAGTGAGCTGAGATCGTGCCATTGCACTCCAGCCTGGGCAACAGAGTGAGACTCCGTCTCTCAAAAAAAAAAAAAAAAAGAAAAGAAAAAAGAAAGAAAGAAAAGAAAAAAAAGAGAGAGAGGAGCTGCACCTCAGGCCACCATTGTCCTCTGCCCTCTACCACTGCCCACATCATCACCCCATTCTCTCCTCATCCTAACCTTCCCTCTATTGGGCTGGGCAATTTTTGTTGTTGTTGTTGAGACAGAGTTTCACTCTGTCATCCAGGCTAGAGTGCACTGGCGCGATCTCGGCTCACTGCAGCCTCTGCCTCCTGGGTTCTAGTGATTCTCCTACCTCAGCCTCCCGGGTAGCTGGGACTACAGGCATGCGCCACCACACCTGGCTAATTTTTTGTATTTTTAGTAGAGATGGGGTTTCACCATGTTGGCCAGGCTAGTCTCAAACTCTTGACCTCAGGTGATCCACCTGCCTCGGCCTCCCAAAGTGCTAGGATTACGGGCGTGAGACACCACACCCAGCTACTGGGCATTTTAAAAAACTTTTATTGCAGAAAGTATAGAAATCTGGCTGGGCATGGTGGCCCATGTCTGTAATACCAGCAATTTGGGAGGCTGAAGCAGGAGGATCATTTGAGGTCAGGAGTTCAAGATCGGCCTGGGCAACATGGCAGGACCTCATTTCTACAAAAACAAAACAAAACAAAAAAACTTAAAAAATGAACCAGGCATGGTGGCGTGCACCTGTAGTCCCAGCTACCCAGGAGGCTGAGGCAGGAGGATCACTTGAGCCCAGGAGTTCGAGGCTGCAGTGAACTATTATGGTGCCACTGCACTCCAGCCTGGGTGACAGAGCAAGACTTTGTCTCTAAAATAAAAGAAAGTATAGAAATTGTACACACAGAGCCCAGTGCATTTTCACAAATTGAACATATCCATGCATCCAGCACCCAGCTCAAGAAACAGAACATTCTCAACCTTCCTTGTGCCCCCTCTGGTCAGCATCTCCTGCAAATAACTACTCTCTTGATTTTAGACACCACAGAGGAGTTTTGTCAGCCATCATGTTTAACCGCAACACCTGAATCCCTCCCCTAACTCAACAGAGACATTAGCTCCTTTCTGCATAATGAGAGGTGAAGAGAAAGCTGGGAGGGGATGCTGTCTGTCCTTACCGCTGACAGGAAAAGGATGAAGGTCCTGCCTGGTCCCGGTCACAGATGCCTGTCATGGATCTCCAAGTCCCTGCCTGGGAGATGATGATGATGATTATTATTATTATTATTATTATTTGAGATGAAGTCTGGCTCTGTTGCCAGGCTAGAGTGCAATGGCGTGATCTCGGCTCACTGCAAACTCCGCCTCCCGGGTTCAAGTGATTCTCCTGCCTCAGCCTCCTGAGTAGCTGGGATTACAGGTGCCTGCCACCATGCCTGGCTAATTTTTGTATTTTTAGTGGAGACAGGGTTTCACCATGTTGGCCAGGCTGGTCTCGAACTCCTGACCTTATGTGATCCACCTGCCTCGGCCTCCCAAAGTGCTAAGATTACAGGCATGAGCCACTGTGCCCAGCCAGATTTCTGGGCTAAGTTCCTTGGCTCAAGCCTACAGGGGACCTCTGCCTAAACATAGCTTGATGACAAATAATTTGCTTGTGCTAGTGTGTTCAGGCAATGCTGCTGTAACAGTTAAACTCCAGCATTTCAGGAGCTTCTCACTACTTACTATTTCTCATTCTCTGGTAGTCCTAAGGTTTTGTTTTTGTTTTTTGTTTTAATTTTTTACTTAATTTTAGAGAAATAGAGGCAGAGTCTTACTATGTTGCCGAGGCTGGTCTCGAACTCCTGGCCTCAAGCAAGCCTCCTGCCTCAGCCTCCCAAAGTGACAATCCTAAGTTGATGTTTGTGGTCAGCAGGCAGCTCTCCTCCATGTGGTGATTCAGGGACCCAGGCTCCTTCCATCTTGTGGCTCCCCACCCAACCCAGGGCCTTGGAATCCTGGGCATTCTGCCAGCAGCCAATGCAATGGGGAAGGAGAGAGCAGAGAGGGCACATCTACTTTCTAGGGACTATTCCAGGAAGTGGTCACATCTGCTTGCATTCCATGGGTGAGAATTAGTCACATGGTTCATCTCCATACCAACAAGGAATGCTGGGAGATGTAGTCCCCAGATTGGCATTCTTGTCTCGCTGACAACTCTCCTTTCCGGAAGGGAAGCATGAACACTTGGTGGTCACAGTGGGGGTCGTGGGGAGAGAGAACACAGTGAGCATGAAGTCTCTGCCCCTGCCTCAGCCTTGCCTGGAAGGCAGAGTTCACTGACTCAATACCTCATTCACTTATTCATTGGAATGCATCCTCATTCATTCATTCATTCATTTGCAAAATCATTCATGAACTTATTCATTCATTCGTTTTTTTCCCCCAGGTCTCATGCACACACTCATCTGTGCACATGCATTCATACACACAGCTGTACCTCCTGTAAGACCTATTCAAGGCCTAGGGGCCTGGGCAGGGTAGCTGGGCCAGCCAGGGTCACACACCCACCGTGTGGACAGTTCAGGGGGTTTCAGACTCTAGAGTCCCAAGAGGTCCAAGGGAAGAGGGGAACATGCTGAGGAGTCGGGAAATTGACAACCTGGTTCTGAGAGGGCTGTCCCTCCAGCACAGCCTGCCGTCAAGGGCCTGGGTAGGTTCCGGGATCAGGAAGGGGGAAGAGCTGTGTGCCCTGCTCAGGGCAGGGGCCTGGGCCGCAGACCCAAGGAAGAGAGATGAGATGGAGCACAACCCCAAGGCCACTGGCCCAGGGGCAGGCCTGGCTTTGGGTCAGACAAATCCTGGCTCAAATCATTGCCCAGGATGCTTATGGACTGAATGGCTGTGGCCAAGCTCTGAACCGCCCTGATCCTCAGTGTTCTCATCTGTAAGATGGGACGCTGGTCCTTTGCTCACGGTCTCATTGTGGGATTAGAGGTAATCAGCAGGAAGTACAATCACTGGAATACAGCAGTTTCCATTTTTAAATTTTATTTTTATTATTTATTTATTTATTTTTGAGACAGGGTCTCATTTTTAGCCCAGGCTGGAGTGCAGTGGCCTGATTCAGCTCACTGCAAATTCCGCCTCCCAGGTTCAAGTGATTCTCTTGCCTCAGCCTCCTGAGTAGCTGGGATTACAGGCACCACCACGCCCAGCTAATTTTTGTAATTTCGGTAGAGACGGGGTTTCGCCATGTTGGCCAGGCTGGTCTCGAACTCCTGGCCTCAAATGATCAGCCCGCCTCGACCTCCCAAAGTGCTGGGATTACAGGCATAAGCCACCGCACCCAGCCTTATTTATTTATTTTTAGAGACAGGGTCTTACTCTGTCACCCTGGCTGGAGTGCAGTTATGCAATCATAGCTCACAGCAACCTCGAACTGCTGGCCTCAAGGGATCCTCCTGCCCCAGCCTTCCAAGTAGCTTGAAGGTGTGTGCACTGCACTCAGCTAATTTTTATTTTTTTTAGTAGAGACAGGGTCTCACTATGTCGCCTAGGCTGGTCTCGAACTCCTTGGCTCAAGTGATCCTTCCACCTTAGCCTCCCAAAGTGCTGGAATTACATGTGTGAGCCACCGTGCTCAGCCAGATTACTGCACTTTTCAAAGATGTGCGTCACTGTCACTCCTGGGCTCAGGCTGAGAGCAGACCTGGATCTGCAGGAGACTTGATTTGAAGCTCCTCCAAGTGGGTGAGGCATAGGCTACTGCTGACAGCCATCCCTTCCCAGACTAGGATGACCTCAGGCTGGGATGGTGGCTGGACCATTAGGACTGTGTAACACCTTGGTGGTGAGAGGGGGTCCTAGGGCCGGGGGGCACATGTGAAGCTCTAGGCAGAAGCAGCAGAGGCCACAGCCTCAAAGTGTAGCCCCCTCCCCTTCTACATCACATCCCCAGATCTCAACAAAAGCTTTCTTCCTTCACATCCCCACGTCCCAAGAATGCGCAGCTTTTAAAAGACCCTAATGAGGGCAATGCTTACCCCAGAGCAATGGCCCCTGATGGTGGATTTACGAGCAATGGCGAGGAGAGTAGAAGGCTGGGAGGGAGGAGGGGCGAGCAGGGGAGGCTGCTGCCTCTGCTCATTTTTTATTAAAGATCTGCTTCAAGGTCAGCCCTGCCACAAGGGACTCCTCAATTTCCCAGGCTCTGCAGACAGAGAGGGAGATGTGCTGGGGGAGGGGAGGGAGATGGAGAGAAAGAGATCTGGATGGGCTAGGCAGAGGGGCACAAAGAGAAGAGAAGGAGGCTGCATGGTCCACAGGGGTCCCCCAGTATGATCCAGCAAAGTGCTGGACATGGGGGGTGCATCAGGGAGGTGCCGGAGGGAGTGAGGAGAGAAAAAGGAGGCCGATAGCATGGGAATGTTGATGGATTGGGCCAGCAGAAAAGAGTGGGTATTTAAGGTATTGGGACAGCAGAGCGACCAGGTTTTGTTTTTTGTTTTGTTTTGTTTGAGACGGGACCTCGCTCTGTTGCCCAGGCTGGAGTGCAGTGATGTGATCTCAGCTCACTACAGCCTCAACCTCCTGGGCTCAAGTGATCCTCCCAGCTCAGCCTCCCAAGTAGCTGGGACCACAGGTGCCTGCCATCATGCTTGGCTAATTTTTTTTTCTTTTCTTTTTTTTTTTTTTTTTTGAGACAGTCTTGCTCTGTCACCCAGGCTGGAGTGCAGTGGCGCTATCTAGGCTCATTGCAACCTCCGCCTCCTGGGTTCAAGTGATTCTCCTGCCTCAGCCTCCTGAATAGTTGGGATTACAGGTGCCTGCCACCATGCCCGGCTAATTTTTGTATTTTTAGTAGAGATGGGGTTTCACCATGTTGGTCAGGCTGGTCTCGAACTCCTGACCTTGTGATCCGCCCGCCTTGGCCTCCCAAAGTGCTGGGATTACAGGTGTGAGCCACCGTGCCCGGCCTTAATTTTTGTATTTTTTGTAGAGATGGGGTTTTGCCATGTTTCCCAGGCTGGTCTTGAACTCCTGGTTTCAAGCATTCCTCCTGCCTTGGCCTCCCAAAGTGCTGGGATTATAGGCGTGAGACCCCATATCCAGCCAAGGTTTTGTCATTCTCCAGATAAAAGGCACCACATGCATCATCAAATCCCTCTAGGCTATAACCATGAAATTTCTTTCTTTCTTTTTTTTTTTTTTTTTGAGATCAAGTCCCCCTCTGTCTCCCAGGCTGGAGTGCAGTGGTGCGATCTCAGCTCACTGCAACCTCCACCTCCCAGATTCAAGTGATTCTCCTACCTCAGCCTCCCGAGTAGCTGGGATTACAGGCACATGCCACCAGACCCAGCTACATTTTGTATTTTTAGTAGAAATGGGGTTTCATCATGTTGGCCAGGCTGGTCTCGAACTCTTGACCTCAGGTGATCCACCAGCCACAGCTTCCCAAAGTGCTGGGATCACAGGCGTGAGCCACCATGCCCAACAGAGAAGATTTCTAACAATAGAACTCATAGCAACCCTCAGAGACAAGTGTTATTAGCCCCATTTTACAGATGAAGAAACTGAGGCTCCAGGAGACTTTCCCAAGTCCACATGGCTACAAAGCAGCAAATCTGGCTCAGGTCCTGGGTCTGATTCCAGATCCCACTCATCCCATGGAGTCAGCCACATCCTCCCCACCTTTTGTGCCTGGCTTGAGACTCTCCCTCCAGTAATACCTCCCAGCTAAACGGGGTTTCACCATGTTGGCCAGGCTACCACAATTTTAAATAAAGAAAGAGGGGAAACTAGTGCTGGACAGGGAGACACTGTTTTATTTATTTTATTTTTTATTTTCAGAGACAAAGTTTCAGTTTGTCGCCCAGGCTGGAGTGCAGTGGCAGGATCACAGCTCACTGCAGCCTCAACCTCCTGGATCAAGCGATCCTCCTGCCTCTGCCTCTGAGTAGCTTGGACTACAGCTGTACACCACCAAGCCCAGCTCATTTTTATTTTATTTTTTTTAAAGAAACGGATACTCACTATGTTGTCCAGGCTGGTGAGACACTGTTTTATATGCAGATGTCTTTAAAAGGTTCATTGACCAAGTGCCATCTGAGCAGAGATTGCCTGTTCAGAGGGAGAGTGACTGGGGAGGGGGAGGACACAGGGCAGGGGTCTGGTATCAAGGCCTGGCCCAGGCAGACATTCTGAGGCTGCAGAAATGGGGACAGGGCTGGGCGCGGTGGCTCACGCCTGTAATCCCAGCACTTTGGGAGGCCGAGGCGGGCAGATCACCTGAGGTCAGGAGTTCGAGATCAGCCTGGCCAACATAGTGAAACCCCATCTCTACTAAAAATGCAAAAATTAAAAATTAGCCGGGCGTGGTGGTGGGTACCTGTAGTCCCAGCTACTCAGGAGGCTGAGGCAGGAGAATCGCTTGAACACGGGAGGAAGAGGATGCAGTGAGCTAAGATCATGCCACAGCACTCCAGTCTGGGAGAAAGAGTGAAACTCCATCTCAAAAAAAAAGGAAGAAAGAAACTCCATCTCAAAAAAAAAAAAAAAAAAAAAAAGAAGTGGGGACAGTCCCAGGAGATGGAAGGTCTAAAGGGCGAAGGGAGGAACTGGAGAATCCCACAGACTCACAGGTCTCTGACTTAGAGACCGGACTTGGGGCAGGGAAGTTTCTTGGGTCAGGGATCTAGAATGAAACAGACATCCCTGTACAAAGGTCCCATTGACGAGAGCTTGATGAAGGGACCCTGCACACAGGTGCAGATGAGGATATGAGAATGAACCAACAAGACATAGAGAAGCGGCCGAGGACTTAAATTACTGGGAAGCCGTTACCACTCCTAGGCTGTAGGGAGGAGGCTGAAAGCCAGAACTTGGCCAGAAGAACAGGAGGTGGAGAAGAGGGGCAGGAGAGGAACTCAGTAGGGGAATAAATCCCTAACTTATCTCTTCTCCCCTTCTCCTGGATCTGGCTTCTCCTGGTGATGCCTCCCCTTAGATGAACCCAACCGGACACCAAGAGCGAGGGAGCCTGGGTAATCGGACCACAGAGGCCAGCCTCCCTCCAAGGCCTAGAGCAGGGCAGAGCCGGAGCCAGAGGATCACACAGAGAAAAGCCAGCACAGATGGCGGTGCTGTTTTTTGAAACAAGTCGCACAAGGGGAGGAGCGCGTTTTGGGGAAATTAGCAGGCTGGGTGGGGAAACCAAGACAGAGTGTATCCCTATGAGCCAGGAGAAGGGAGCGCGAAGGGAGAGGGGGGAATATTGGGATGGAGAGGTGGCCTGGGATTCCGAGACTGGTAGAATGCAGAGTTCCAGGCAGCTGGAGAAGTTTGCTTGCAGCCAGCCTTTTTTTTTTTTTTTTCTGAGATAGAGTTTCACGCTGTCAACCAGGCTGAAGTGCAGTGGCGCGATGTCAGCTCACTGCAACCTCCGCCTCCCTGGTTCAAGCAATCCTCCCACCTCAGCCTCCCAAGTAGCTGGGACTACAGGAGCCCGCCACCACATCCAGCTAATTTTTGTATGTTTAGTAGAGACAGGGTTTCACCATGTTGGCCAGGCTGGTCTCGAATTTCTGGCCTCAAGTAATCTGCCTGCTTCGACCTCCCAAAGTGCTGGGATTACAGGTGTGAGCCACCGCCTCTGGTTGCAGTCAGCTTTTATAGGCCCAAATCCCCTTCTCCCCTGAAGCTGCTCCCATCGCGAAACCAGGGAGGCAGGTACTGCAGAGACAGACCAGGGGAGGGCAAGAGAAGGTGTGCCCAGCTGGGGCAGTGTTCCCAGGTGCTAATTCCGGAGTTGAGGCCAGGGTCGGTCAGGAACCAAAGCAATGTGGTGAAGTTTCATAAAGCCAACTTTGGCTGGGCACGGTGGCTCACGCCTGTAACCCCAGCACTTTGGGAGGCCACAGTGGACGGATCACCTGAGGCCAGGAGTTTGAGACCAGCCCGGCCAACATGGTAAAACCCCATCTCTACTAAAAATACAAAAATTAGCTGGGCGTGGTGACATGCGCCTGTAGTCCCAGCTACTCGGGAGGCTAAGTTAGGAGAATTGCTTGAACCCGGGAGGTAGAGGTTGCAGTGAGCCGAGATCGTGCCACTGTACTCCAGCCTGGGCAACAGAACAATGCTCCATCTCAAAAAAAAAAAAAAAAAAAAAAAAAAAGGCCAGCTTCATTTAAGGCATGCATTTCACTCTGAGATGATGCCGCGTCTCCACACCTCCTGTAAGTTTCCTCCACTCCTCTCCACACACCCAGCCATGGTTCTTCAGTCAAGGAAAGGCCTGCAGCCGCCAGCCCCAACCCCCCCCACTCCCAGGGCCTTCTCCCAGACCTTGACCTGCCTGGGAAGTCCCAGCCAGGCACAGAGAGGGCAGCTCCTCTCAGGAAGAAGGAGCAACCAAGCTGACTGGTGCTAGGCCAGCCCAAAGTCTCAGCAAATGAAATATTCATGCAGCCAGAAGGCAGGAGATCAGCAGAGGACTTGCCCCCCGGGGCTGTGGAGCTGCAGTACTGGTGGCAGCAGCTGTAGCCCACCCCTCTCCCTCACCCTCGATCTTTGTTCTGCAAATAGTGCAAGGGCCTGCAGTTCAAGGATCTTAAACACACACACACACTCCAAAGATTCTGGTAGGTAAGGAAACCTGGGCAAAGGAAGAGGGGAGGGGAAGAGTGAAACCGCCTTTGCAAAAATTATAAGAGAGGGCCGGGCATGGTGGCTCATGCCTGTAATCCCAAGACTTTGGGAGGCGGAGCGAGGCGGATCACCTGAGGTCAGGAGTTCGAAACCAGCCTGGCCAACATGGTGAAACACCTGTCTCTACTAAAGAAAAAAAAAAAAAAAAAGAATGAGGGCCGTAGAGACAGGGTTTTGCCATGTTGGCCAGGCTGGTCTCAAACTTCTGAACTCAGGTGATCCGTCCACCTCGGCCTCCAAAGTGCTGGGATTACAGGCGTGAGCTACCGCGCCTGACCAGGCTTTTGCATTCCTGTCAGATTATTCCACTCAGACCAGCTACTCTTCTGTGGCCCTATCCAGAAGTGGACTCAATGCAAGAGGACCATTTTCCACATCCACAGGAATGCATCCCCAACCAAAGTTTGAGACCAGCCTGACCAACATGGAGAAACCCCGTCCCTACTAAGAATGCAAAATTAGCCGGGTGTGGTGGCACATGCCTGTAATCCCAGTTATCGGGAGGCTGAGGCAGGAGAATCGCTTGAACCTGGGAGGTGGAGGCTGCAGTGAGCTGAGATCGCACCATTGTACTCCAGCCTGCGCAAGAAGAATGAAACTCCATCTCAAAAAAAAAAAAAAAAAAGGAATGCATCCCCAACCAATCAGCAGCTCCCATTCCCTAGTCACCTCCCCCATCGACCCACCAAACTATCCTTGAAAAACTCTAGCCTCTGAATTTTTGGAGAGGCTGATTTGAGTAATAATAAAACTCTGGTCTCCCATTTAGTCGGCTCTACGTGCATTAAACTCCTTGCATATTGCAATTCCCCTGTCTTGATAAATTGGCTCTATCTGGGCAGCAGGCAAGGAGAATCCATGGGACAGTTACAGGAGGGCACGCACAGACACAGACCCCAGAAAGACATGAATCCAAAAACAGATGCACAGGCCAGGTGCGGTGGCTCACACCTGTAATCACAGCACTTTGAGAGGCTGAGGCGGGTGGATCACCTGAGGTCAGGAGTTCAAAACCAGCCTGGCCAACACGGTGAAACACCCGTCTCTACTTAAAAAAAAAAAAAAATACAAAAATTAGCCAGGAGTGGTGGCGGGCACTTGTAATCTCAGCTACCCTGGAGGTTGAGGCAGGAGAAATGCTTGAACCTAGAAAGCGGAGGTTGCAGTGAGCCGAGATCGCACCATTGCATTCCAGCCTGGGTGACAAGAGTGAAACTCCATCTCAAAAAAATAAAAACAGATGCACAGACACAGACCCACGGGGGCACATACACACATAAACCCATACAAAGACTCACAACAAACATACACTCAGACCAAGGGATGCCTCTTGGTGTCATGCAAATGCTTCCTAAAATCTACACCCCAGGCACCTGATGTGCCTCACCACTGTTCCCTCAAGTCAGGGCTGCTGTGGCACTTCCAGTCCTGCCTCCTGACACAGCCATGGAGACACCAATGGTGAGCTTGAAACAGGGGACTCCATGTTCCTGGTTTCTAATGTCTCTATTTAGGGAAGGTCTCTGGTCTCCCAACGTCTCTAACTCTGAATTTCCTTCACTTAGCCTGCTCACTGAAAGGGGGCCAGGAGCTGTGGGAGGAACAGACCAAGGTCACACAGAGAGTAACCCAATGGTGACTTGAACTGTGGAACCCAGACTCCCAACCCAGCAACATGAAAGGCTCAGCATTTCCATTCTCAAAATCCTCTCCCCCTGGCCAGGCACAGTGGTTCATGCTTGTAATCTCAGCACTCTGAGAAGCTGAGGAAGGGAAGGAGGATGGCTTCAGCCCAGGAGTTTGAGGTTGCAGTAAGATATGATCACACCACTGCAGTCCAGCCTGGGCAACAGAGCGAGACCCTGTCTCAAAAAAAAAAAAAAAAAAAAAAAAGGTCTGGTGTAGCAGCTCATGCCTGTAATCCCAATACTTTGAGAGGCCAAGGCAGGAGGATTGCTTGAGTCCAGGAGTTCAAGGACAGCCTAGGCAACATAATCAAACCCTATCTCTATCAAAAATTTAAAGTTTTTTGTTGTTGTTGTTTTTGTTTTTTTGTTTTGTTTTTGTTTTTGAGACAAATTGAGGCTCTGTCACCTAGGATGGAGTGCAATGGAGCAATCTTGGTTCACTGCAACCTTCGCTTCTCAGGCTCAAGCCTTCCTCCCACTTCAGCCTCCCAAGTAGCTGGGACCACAGGTGCATGCATGCCACCACATCTGGCAAATTTTTGTATTTTTCATAGAGACAGGGTTTCCTCATGTTGGCCTGGCTGGTCTCAAACTCCTGAGCTCAGTGATTTCCCACCTCAGCCTCCTAAAATGTTAGGATTACAGATGTGAGCCACTGCATCCAGCCAAAATTTTAAAATTTAAAAAAATAATTTAAAATCTCCTGTCTCCATTAGGATGTCTCTCACACTACACCCTCCTTTTTTTTTTTTTAAATTTTTGAGATGGTGTCAAAAAATGACAGCCTCTGTCATTCAGGCTGGAGTGCAGTGGCGCCACCATAGGTCACTGCAGCCTCAAATTCCTGGGCTCCAGCGATCCTCCCACCTCACCTCCCTGGTGCCTTTTATTTTATTTTATTTTATTTTATTTTTGACCCTAAGTCTTGCTCTTGTCGCCCAGTCTGGAGTGCAATGGTGCGATCTTGGCTCACTGCAACTCCGCCTCCCAGATTCAAGCGATTCTCCTGCCTCAGCCTCCCAAGTAGCTGAGTAGTTGGGATTACAGGTGCCTGCGACCACGCCTGGCTAATTTTTGTATTTTTAGTAGAGACTGGGTTTCACCATGTTGGCCAGGCTGGTCTCGAATTCCTGGCCTCAAGTGATCCTCCCGCCTCAGTCTCCCAAAGTGCTGGGATTATAGGCGTGAGCCACCGCGCCCAGCCCCTGGTGCCTTCTTTAACACTGGGTGGGAAGAGAGTGTCCTGGCGAGGCCTCTGCACACCGACTGCATTTCCCAGATCCAAACTAATAACCTCCCTTGCCCCAGGCGCCTTCCAGGGCTGACATGCCTCCTCTCGCAAGTGGGGGAAACAGATGTCCCCGGGGGCTGGGGATAGGGGCGGGGGTGTGGGGAGGTGAGGGGCGAGGGGAAGGGGGGGAGGGGGGCGAAGGGGGCGGGGAGGAGGGGGAGCCGGCCGGGAGACGGCCCGGCCCAGCCGCCCGGGCTGTTGCCTCCGCTGCGGGCGTTCCTCCAGGCCTGCGGAGGGCGCTGCGGGCGCGGGGCTGGGCCGCTCTGGCTGGCGGGCGAGCAGAGAGGCGCCTCGGTGGCGGTGCGCTGTCCAGCATTTCAGCAAGCGGCGGCAGCACCCGCGGGGAGGCAGAGGGTGCGGGGCCGTGGGGGCCGCGGAGCTGCCCTGCCCAACTCAGCCCAGACTAGGCGGCAGCCCGGACCGGCGGGACCCGAGGGCCTGGCCCCAGCGCCCGGTAGATCGCGGCGGTCAGCGGTGAGGTGAGAGCGCCTGTGGGGCGGGGGCATATCCCCGAGGGGCTGGGGCTGGGTGGAAGCTCGGGCCTCCCCAGCACCCCCGTGGTCTGCAGGCTCCCCCGAGCAGAGGGGCAGTGTGGGAGGTCGGCGAGGGCGTCTGTCCGGGGGTGCCAGGCGCCCGGGGAGCAGAGATGAGGAACATTCATTTCACTGAGAGGGATGGAGACAGTGGAGACCTTTGGGGTCATGGGCAGGACTCCCCTGGGCATAAATGACCATGGCCTAGTCCATGAGGGTGCCAGGGAGGCCCCCCAACCGCAGTCCCACTGAGGAGAAGGACCTGCTCCCCAGGGAAGGGAGGACCGATGCAGTAACCCTGTGGAGATGCTGGTCACTGGCCCTGGTGAAGGGAGCAGGCCCCCACCTGGATGCTGGGCCTCTGTCCAGCAGGAGGTGCCGGCCCAGGGGACAGCCTGGCCCCTTTCCCGGCTACCCAAATGCCCCTAGGGAGGCAGGAGCTGGCAAGGAGAACTGGGTCTCACAGGATGGCATTTACTCTTGCACTGGGAAGAGGATGGAGGACACAGAAGAGAAAATAGCTACTAGGAATTTGGGAGGGGGTTCTCTGTGCACACCCCCCACCCCAACCACGGACGCCCAGAGAGAGTTTCTAGCCCAGAGTTAGACCTGCGCCAGAGTGAATTCCTGGTAAAGAAGAGAGCTGAGAAAAGACGCAGCCTCTGCCTTGCCTCCGCCTCCCCCTCCCTCCCAGGGCTCCTGCCTGGACAGTGTTGAAGCCTCCTGCAGTTCCTACTCCTGACAGCAGATCCATTGTGGGGAGAGATTTAGTGGGAGGAAGGGAAGGTTGTACCAAGGTCTGACGTGGTACTTCAATGCCTGTGCCCTATCCCAGCCATAACTTCTCGCTGTCCTAAGACCTCACTCACCCTAGCATCGGGGGCTTGAGCTGGTCTTTTGTCCCATGGCAAGAGAAAAGGCAGGTGCTGGGCTTTGACGGAGAGACGTGCACAAGTTCCTCTGTCCAGGGAGCATCTTAAGGTCATGGCCCCAGTTTGTGCCAGCTTCTTCCTCAGTCAAAAATAGGACCCAGCTGGCTAGGAAATTGTTCCCACACAGCAGTAGCTTTCTGGTTCCTTAACTTTATGCCCCATCCCACTCTCCTGTGGGGTGGAGGAGGTATTCTTGAAGACTGACTAAAGAGTCAACTGGGTTTTAAGAGGTAGGGGTATGTGGGTTGGGAGTCATGGACTCTGATGTCAGAAAGACATGGGATCAAATCTAGGTTATGTGACCTCAGGTAAGCCATTGACCTTTCTGAGTCTGTTTTCAATCTGTAAAACAGGTGTAGTGTTAGCAATGTCTACTTTGCTGTTGAAAGAAATAATCTGGATAAGGAGATGGGAGACTACTTTTACGGTATAAAATGCTGGGTGAGTGTTAGTAAATAGGAGACAAGTAAGAATTTCTTAAAGAAGAGCTGGATAAATGTGGAATAGTGTTCAGTGATATTTGAAGCACATTTTTCTGTTCCCAGAGGAGATGAACAGTGGTTGAGAGCCTCATGCCCAGCTCCATGCTGGGCACAATGCAACGGTTGACTCAGCTAATCCTCACAGAAGCTTCATGAGGAAGGCATCATTGTCCCTATTTCATAGCTGAGAAATGAAGCTTGAGTGACTTTCCCAAGGTCATGAAGCCACTCGCGCTGTCCTCCTGGAGGCAGGAGAGTTACTGATGACCTGTCCCATCCTCTGAGTATCAAGGCCCAGTTCAATGCCAGTGTCTTGATTTATGATGCCAGCTTTACAGGTGGGGAGCCTGAGGCAGGTGGGTGAGGGCATACAGTGCAGTAAGGAGGTGACTCCCACAAGGTCACTGGGATACTTAGAGGTAGAATGTGCCTTGAACCGGCCAGCGGGGTGCCTCTACCCCGTCACACCTGCCAAAGGGGGGGTCTGGGTCTGACAGTCCCATCTGCTCACTGCTGCACCCGTTCTGCACCTCCTCTGCCTCCCAACCTCTTGCTGACCTCTGCCAGCCAGTGACTGCTCCTTCCTTTCTTAGTGGTTCACCCTCACCTCCTGAGATGGTCCATGGCCAGGAGCAGCTACTAGCGCTGCTGGGGTCAGCCTCCCTTCCTGACTTTTCTCCCTCCTCTGCCCATATTTTATTGTCCCCCAGGGACAAAATCATAGCTCTTCCTGTCTCAGAAGCCTTCCAGGGGCACCAATGGGGAGGTTAGAGAAGCCCAGCCCCTCTTTCTTCACTCCTACACATACACTGAGCCTCTGCCCATGGTCCTGTAACTTCGTATACATGATCTCATCTCATCCTCACATAACCTGGACCCAAAGGTGCTGCTGTCTCCCTTTCACATAGGAGAAAAACAAGGCCTGAAGGTGTGATGGGACTTTCCCAAAGTCACAGAGCAAGGTCTTGGTGCAACCCAACCCCACTGCCTCAGGACCCCAGGATGACTTCCACAACACCACTCTGCCCCCGATTCTCCAGGCTCCCCAGGGCGAGAATCAATCCAGGCACTGTAGGCCAGTGAGTGTTGGAGAGGTGGGTGGCACATGGTGAAGGCAACTGAAGGACTCTTGAACATGAGTCCAAGGACCTTCTTTCTGGCCCTATCTCTGATCCTGGCTCCCTGTATGACCTTGAAGGGGTCCCTTCCCACCTCTTGGCCTCAGTGTCCCCAACCCTAAAATGATGGGGTTTAATGCCAGGTGCAGTGGCTCACACTTGTAATCCTAACACTTTGGGAGGCCAAGGCAGGAGGATCCCTTGAGGCCTGGAGTTCAAGACCAGCCTGGGCAACATAGTGAGACCCCATCTCTACAAAAAATTATAAAAAGAAAGCTATTCTCCTCTGAACATCGCTTCTCCCAGCTCCTTTCTCCTCACTCAGCCTCCTGCCCCTCAGTGAGTTCCCCCTCTTGATCCCCTCTCTCCTCATTGAACCCTCCCCCATCTCTGATCCGCTCCCCTCCGCAACTCCTTCACTGAGCCAAGGTGTTGGAACTGAGAAGGAAATTCACCTCCATTTCTTGCAGTCCCTCCCATTCAGCCTAGACTCATTTCCACACTGACCCAGCGCCTCTGCAGGGCTTGCCTCCTTTCTCTCTCTCTCTCTCTCTCTTTTGTTTTGTTTTCTTTTGAGACAGAGTCTCTCTCTGTCACCCAGGCTGGAGTGCAGTGGTGCAATCTCAGCTCACTGCAACCTCTGCCTCCTGGGTTCAAATGATTCTCCTGCCTCAGCCTCCCAAGTAGCTGGGACTACAGGCATGTGCCACCACACCTGGCTAATTTTTATATTTTTAGTAGAGATGGGGTTTTGTGATGTTGGCCAAGCTGCTCTCAATCTCCTGACCTCAGGTGATCCGCCTGCCTCAGCCTCCCCAAGTGTTAGGATTACAGGCGTAAGCCACCACGCCCAGCCATGCCTCCTCTCTTTACAACACCAGCTGCAAACTCTCCTATTTTCCCCAAAATTCCATGAATAAGCCTCAATCACCTCACCTCTGTTGCTTCCCTAGTCCCATGCCTGTGGTCCTTGGGGGCCTCCTGGGCTCTGGTGAACAACCCTGAGAGGGTGTGGAAGGCATCTTCAGTGTCCCTGCAGCTCACCTCAAATTCTGGGCCAGAAAGGACTCTAACCTTGGTTCAGCCAAAGAGTCCTGGGATCTGTAGATGGGCCACTGGGCCTGTCTAAGCCCTATTTTCCCCCTTTAATTAAGACCCAAGTCTGTAAGTGACTTGGGACAGGTGAATTTGAAATCTCAGCTCCAATAAATCAAAGCTTGAAACACTGGAGGTGACTTCAACCTCTAATGATGGAACTGCAGGCTTCCTGACATACAGATTTATAGGACAGAGATATGTTTAAATCTTGGGACTGACAGGGCCTTCGTGGGTGGGGGGTCATCTGGTCAAAACCCATTTTTTAAATTTTTTTGAGAGAGGGGCTCAATCTGTTGCTCAGGCTGGAGTGCAGTGGCACAATCACGGCTCACTGCAGCCTTGACCTCCTGGAATCTAGTGATCCTCCCGCCTCAGCCTCCCGAATAGCTAGGACTGCAGGCATGTACCACCACACCAAGCAATTATTATTATTTCTTTTAGAGATGGGGTCTCACTATGTTGCTTCAGCTTCCAAAAGTGCTAGAATGTGGCGTGAGCCACCACATCCATGCAAGAACAGCTTTTGATGAATGGAGAAGAGTCGGATGAGGGGAAGGGAAGGGAAGGTGTTTGGGGGGCAGAGTGAGGGAGAGTGGGTTCAGAGAGGAGAAAGGGATTGGAGAGAGAGAGAGAGAGAGCAGGAGGAGTGGGATGCCCAGGAGAACAGAGGGGATTATGACAGGGAAGGGCTTGTTACCAAAAATTACAGACCCAGCCTGGCCCAGCCTAGGCCTTCACTGTGGCTTAGCACCTGCTGATACCTCTGGGGTGCTGTCCCTCTGCCCTCTTCTGGGTCATGAGCGCAGGAGGGCGACATCTCCATCCTGGAGGCTCAGCCCTGTTGGCCCCATGTCATCTAGAATAGGGCTCTCAGAGGGCCTGGGTGGGTGAGCCGGGTTCAGGCTGCCTCACTGACTGTTAGCCTAGAAGACAGGCCCCTGGGGCCATGTGTACATTGGCTCCAGAGCAGTCCTCGCCCCCCAAGGACTCCTTCAGAGCCTAAAGCCTCTGGCCTGTCCTTCTGCAGCGCTGCTTCCTCGGCAGCCAGCCTGGCCTCAGCCTCCTGCCGCCCCCGCCCTGGCCTCCTGCCCACTGCAGAGGCTGCTGTGCCGGCGGAAGCTGACGGACGGTGCCACGGCTCCCTTAGCATCCTGCCAGGGCCTCTGAGGGCTGTGAGGAGGCCTGACCCATTTACTCAGACCCCAGGGTCCAGGCGACTTCCTCAGCTGAGCCCCCTCCTAGTCCAGCACTCCCTCCCCACCACCATTTCCCAGGACTTCCCAGGACAGAGACAGGTAAAAGCAAGTTGTACAGAATCGTTCTGATTGTAAGAATGGCGTATCTTCAGCCTAGGCGGCATAGCAAGACCTCGGCTCACTAAAAAAAAATAAAAATAAAAAATTAGCCATGTGTGGTGGCACGTGCCTGTAGTCCCAGCTACTTGGGAGGCTGAGGTGGGAGGACTGCTTGAGTCTAGGACTTCAAGGATCTAGTGAACTATAATTGCACAACTACACTCCAGCCTGGGCGACAGAGTGGGACTCCATCTCAAAAGAAGAAAACACAGAGAAAGAGAGAGAGAGAGAGAATGGCATATCTTCATTGTACAAGTCTTGGGAAATACAGAAACCAAGGAGAAAATAGAAACTATCAGTAGTTCCACCACCCAAAGACAACCACTTTGAACACAGTATGGTATTTCCTTGCAGGCTTTTTTCCATGTGTCCGTAGGTACATAGAGTTAAATAACCAGGAACATGCTGCTGGAGGAGGTCTGTTGCTGTTTTTACTCTATCATGAGCATTCTCTGATGTCTTTAAAGACTCTTTAGGGCCAGGTTTGGTGGCTCACCCTGTAATCCCAGCACTTTGGGAAGCCAAGGCAGGAGGATCGCTTGAGCCCAGCAGTTTGAGACCAGCCTGGGAAACAGTGAAACCCCATCTCTACCAATAAATAAATAAATAAATAAATAAATATTAGCCAGACTTGGTGGTGCACGCATGTAGCCCCAGCTACTCAGGAGGCTGAGGTGGGAGGATCGCTTGAGCTCAGGAGTTCAAGGCTGCAGTGAGCTGAGATCGCACCACTGCACTCCAGCCTGAGCAACAGAGCGGGGGACTCTGTCTCAGTAAAGAAAGAAATAAATATTCTTCCAAAAGCATATTTTTAATGGCCTTATAAAGGCTGGGCATGGGTGGAGCTGAGAGCAGCAGAGAGAGTCTCTCCCTTGCCCCTGCCCTGTCCCTCTTGGGTGGCACAGCTTTGGGGTCTGCGTGTGTGGATTTCCCCTGGTGAAAATAACTTTATGGCCTGGGATAGGTCAGACAGAAAGTAAGGCAAGCCCCTCTGCCAGGGATTGAGGTAAGGATTTGCCAGAACTGCTAGGGAAGGAGGACATGAGAGCATCACATATCCCTGGCGGGGTGGGCTTAGGGGGCGGTGAGGGCTTGGATCCAACAAGACCCCAGAAGAAAGCACCCAGAACTGGAATCTGGTGGCTCCCAATCTCTTGAGCCCTGATTTCCGCTGGCCTCCAACCTCCAACCCTTTTTCTCTTCTGTAAAATGGATATAATGATACTTGCCTCCAGATGATACTAGAAGTGACTCAGGTCCTGGGTTGGAAAGCACCCCGGAGCCAGGTATGGTGGCTCATGCCTGTAATCCCAGAACTTTGGGAGGCTGAGGTGGGAGGATCACTTGAGCCCAGGAGTTGAAGACCAATCTGGGCAACATAATAAGACCCTATCTCTACAAAAAAAAAAAGAAGAAGAAGAAGAAAGAAAGAAAAAGAAAAAATTAAGCCAGGCACGGTGGCTCACGCCTGTAATCCCAGCAGTTTGGGAGGCTGAGGTGGGCAGATCACTTGAAATCAGGAGTTCGAGACCAGCCTGGCCATCATGGAGAAACCCCATCTCCACTAAAAATACAAAAATTAGCCAGGCCTGGTGGAGGGTGACTGTAATCCCAGCTACTCAGGAGGCTGAGGCACGAGAATCACTTGAATCCGGGAGGTGGAAATTGCAGTGAGCTGAGATCACGCCACTGCACTCCAGCCTGAGTGAGTGTAGAGCAAGAAGACCCTGAAAAAAAAAAGAAAGAAAAAAGAAAGAAGAAAGGAAGGAAGGGAGGAAGGGAGGAAGGGAGGGAGGGAGGGAGAGAGGGAGAAAGGAAGGAAGGAAGAAAGAAAAAGAAAACATTAGCCGAGCATGGTGGTGTGCACCTGTAGACCCAGCTACTCAGGAGGCTGAGGCAAGAGGATCACTTGAGCCCAGAAAGTCAAGGCTGCAACGAGCTATGATTGCACCACTATACTCCAGCCTGGGTGACAGAGCAAGATCCTGTCTCCAAAAAAGCACCCCAGGAAGGGTAAAATCCAGTGCACTTCTGCTAGGTGGAGGTCACCCTTTGAGGGGGTTAGACTATACAATCGACATTTAATGAGGGCCTCCTGTTTTCTGGGCACAGCACGAGGCCCGAGGACACAGAGGTGAATCAGACTCTGCCTCTGACCTTGAGGAGCTTCTGGACCAGTGGAAAGGAAGGCAGTCATGAAAACTGATGATCCACTGAGGTTCTGCTAGAACTAAGTCGTCCAAAGTGATATGGAGCATCAGAGGAGGCTTCTGGGAGAGGTGACATTTCAGTTGGGCCTCAAAGAATGACAGGGGAGGTGCCAGACAGAGAGGGCAGAGGATTGGCACTCCAGAGAGCATCATGGGCAATGGCACAGAGGTATGAAACCTCCTGGCTGGATTCAAGGGATAGTTACCTAATGTGGTCATAGGACAGGACAGAGGGCAGGGCTGATAATAGGCAGCCCAGTGGGAGTGGTTGGCCTTGAAGAGTTGGAATTTTTTTTTTTTTTTTTTTTGATACAGGGTCTCACCATCTGCTAGGCTGGAGTGCAATAGTGAGATCATAGCTCACTGCAGCCTCCAACTCCTGGGCTCAAGATATTCTCTTGCCTCAGCCTTCCAAGTGGCTGGGACGACAGGCATGTGCCACCACACCCAACTAATTTTTTAATGTTTTTTTAGAGATGGGGTTTTGCTATGTTGCCCAGGCTGGTCTCAAATGCCTGGCCTCAAGCAATCCTCCCATCTCGGGCTCTCAAAGTGCTGAGATTACAGGCATGAGCCGCTGCACCCAGTCAAGAGCTGGAAATTTATTCAGAAAGCAATGACAATTATAAGCTCTGGAGCAATGCCATCAAATGCTCAGGTTTGCACTTCAGGAAGGCCCCTCTGCCTGCAATAGGGTAGGAGGCAGAGAGGGAAAGGAAGAGACCTAGAGCAGAGAGGTCAGGGAGGTGTCTGTCTGCCTATTCATGTGGGCAGGAGGTGATGGTACCACTGAAAGGGGGTACAGGATACCAGAGACATGCCTCTGGGAGCTGGGCAACCTGCCCCCTACACCAATCTCCAGCTGATGGCACAGCCCTTGGTATCAGACAGAGCACCCCAGGTTAGAGGAGTGGGCTTCAAGACTGGCAGAACCTCCAAGCCACCCCTTCTCTCATCAGGGCCCCAGAGGGGGCTTCTGGGGAGGCAGGAAAGCTGGAACATTCAGTGGGTCCTTCCTGGGGGAAGTCCTGTCTTCCCTCTCTGTCAGGCCCTATCTGACACATATGTCATTCTCCCCAGAAACCTCTCTCTTCCCTGCCTCTCAAATGCTGTCTTCTTCTCTCTCCTGCTCCTCAGACATCAGAAAGCAGAGATCGTCCTTGATTCATTCATTCATTCATCACACAGCAGTAGCTCTTCCCCACTTAAAAGCTGCATGAACACATTGTCATCCCCAAGCCCTGTGCTAGGCATTAGGTAAAGAGAGGAGAAGCAGGAGTTGGGCACGGTGGCACACACCTGTGGTCCTAGATACTTGGGAGGCTGGGACATGAGGATTGCTTGAGTCCAGGAGTCTTGGGGGGGCGGGTAGTGCACTATGATCACACCTGTAAATAGCCCCTGCACTCCAGCCTGGGCAACATAGTGAGATCCCGTCTCTAAAAAAATGGGAGGAGCAGGACAGTCCTTGAGCCCCAGCAGCCCTGGATAATTTTTTTTTTTTGAGATGGAGTCTCACACTGTTGCCCAGGCTGGAGTGCAGTGGGGCAATCTCCGCTCACTGCAACCTCTGCCTCCCAGGTTCAAGCGATTCTCCTGCCTCAGCCTCCCGAGTAGCTGGGACCACAGGCACCTGCCACTACACCCGGCTAATTTTTTTTGTGTGTGTGTATTTTTAGTAGAGACAGGGTTTCAACATATTGGGTAGGCTGGTCTCGAACTCCTGACCTTGTAATCTGCCCACCTCAGCCTCCCAAAGTGCTGGGATTACAGGCGTGAGCCACTGCGCCCAGCCAAGAATGTTTTTTAGATGGACTAGGGGTTATGTAGCAGCATTCCAAGGGCTACCGGGACACCGGTGTGGGGAAGGACTCCCTGACCTGGTTGACTTTGGTTAACTTTTGAGCCGGCCTCACAGATGGAGCTCGTAGAATGAATGCAGGTTTGCCAGGCAGAGGCACAAGGAGGCAGGGTGATTTTGGCAGGAGCAGAGAGGAGGAGGTAAGAGCACCAGGTGCTTGGGGAACAGCATGGCTGGAGTGCCAGGGTCCGGGCGGAGGAGCGAAAGCCCGGGTTGGAGACAGGGGCCTCACTGTTGGGGGGCGGGGGGGGAATTATTGCCAGGTGAGGCAGCCTAGCCTTTTTTCCGTAGACAGCAGAGAACGCCAGGAATGTTCCCAGTAGGTAAGTGCATGGCCAGAGCTGTTCCAGGAAGGTCACCCTGAAGAGCGGTTTTGATTTGGACAGATGGAGACAACAGGGGGCCTGCGGTGTGTTTTCAGGACATAGGTCATATGGCCTGGGGCCTTTCCTCTCCTCTCTGCGGCTCAGCCCAATCTGGACACCCAGAACCGCTGCAGCCATGGTCCCTAGGTGCAGAGGTACCTGCCCCAGTATTTCTAGAACAGTCCATGAGAAGCAGATTCCCAGGACCCACCCAAAACGACTGATTCCAAATCTGAGTGTGGGGCCTGAATTTTATTATTATTACTATTACTACTATTATTATTATTATTATTATTATTATTATTATTATTATTAGAGACTAGGTCTCACTCTCTTGTCCAGGCTGGAGTGCAGTGGCGCAATCACGGCTCACTGCAGCTTCCACCTTCTAGGCTCAAGCAATGCTCCTGCCTCGGCCTCCTGAGTAGCTGGCACTACAGGCACATGCCACCGTGCCCAGATAATTTTTTAAAATGTTTTTTGTAGAGACAGAGTCTCTACAAAACTCAGCCTGTTGCCCAGGCTGGTCTTGAACTCCTGGCCTCAAGTGATTCTCCCACCTTGACCTCCCAAAGTGCTGGGATTACAACTGTGAGCCACTGCACCCAGCTGAGGTCTGCTTTTTTTTTTTTTTTTTTGACAGGGTCTCAAACTGTTACTCGGGTTGGAGTGCAGTGGCACAATCGTGGCTTACTAGAGTCTTGACCTCCCCCAGCTCAGATGATCTTCCCAAGTAGCTGGGACCACAGGTGCACGCCACCATGCCTGGCTAATTTTGCTAATTTTGTATTTTTTTTAAAGACAGTGTTTTGCTATGTTGCCCAGGCTAGTCTTGAACTCCTGGCCTCAACTGATCCTCCCACCTCGGCCTCCCAAAGTGCTGGGATTACCGGCATGAGTCACTGCACCCAGCAAGGTCTGCTTTTTTTTTTTTTTTTTTTTTTTAGATGGAGTGTTGCTCTGTTGCCCAGGCTGGAGTGCAGTGGTGCAATCTCTGCTCACTGCAACCTCCGCCTCCCAGGTTCAAGCGATTCTCCTGCCTCAGCCTCCCAAGTAGCTGGGATTACAGGCACCCGCCACCATGCCCGGCTAATTTTTGTGTTTTTAGTAGAGACAGGGTTTTGCCATGTTGGCCAGGTTGTTCTCAAACTCCTGGCCTCAAGTGATCCTCCCACCTTGGCCTCCCAAAGTGCAGGGATTACAGGCGTGAGCCACTGCGCCTGGCCAAGGTCTGCATTTTTTAAAGTTCCAAGGTGGACCGTACACACTAGAGTTGAGAACCGGTGCCTCATCACTTTGCACATGTGGTTCCCTTCGCCTGGAATGCCCTTCCTCCCTCTTCCTCTACCTCCCTGAGCTTCAGGCTCTGCTCAGACATCTTCTGCGTGATGTCCTGTTCCAATCTGGGTGCCCTCGAGGGCCCGGTGCTGCTTCTTCCCTGGCCCACTTTACACCCCATTCCTTTTTTTTTTTTTTTTTTTTTTTGAGACGGAGTCTCACTCTGTCGCCCAGGCTGGAGTGCAATGGCGTGATCTCAGCTCACTACAACCTCCACCTCTCAGGTTCAAGCAATTCTCCTGCCTCAGCCTCCCTAGTAGCTGGGATTACAGGGGACTGCCACCACGCCCAGCTAATTTTTTGAATTTTTAGTAGAAACGGGGTTTCACTATGTTGGCCAGGCTGGTCTCGAACTCCTGACCTCAGGCAATCCACCCGCCTCAGCCTCCCACAGTGCTAGGATTACAGGCGTGAGCCACCGTGCCCGGCTTTACACCCCATTCACACTGGTGGTTTACCTTTCCAACTCATTTGGTATTTTCTGTGTGCCGGCACTGCTGCGTGTATTAACTTATTTAGTCCTCACAACATCCAATGATGTAGGTCGGTCCTAGTTGGGGAAATGGAGGCACGGAGAGGTAAATAACATCGCCCAGCTAAGAAGTGGTTGACCCACAGAGGTTGCACCAAGGTACTGTGAGGCCCAGGGTGGCTGTTCTTTAAGGGCAGGGACCTCGTGGGATTCATTGTTGCAGGTTGTCAGTGCAAGCATGGGGCCTGGCATCTAGGAGGTACTCGGTTTCCTCATCTGTAGGATGGGCTGAAGGATGGGAATTCTCTCTCAGGGTTTCTCTGTAGCTTGGGGACTTGAAAGGGGTTATGAGCTCTAAGGTGCTTGGTGTGGATGGGAAGTGGTGGCAGAGGCTCCTCTCTGGGTTTTTGGTTTTTTTGTTTGTTTGTTTGTTTTTTAACAGGATTTTGCTCTGTCACCCAAGCTGGAATGCAGTGGCACAATCATAGCTCACTGCAGCCTCGAACTCCCAGGCTTAAGCGATCCTCCTGCCTCAGCCTCCCAAGTAGCTGGGACTACAGGTGCATGTCACCATGCCTGGCTAATTTTTTTTTCTTAATTTTTAGTAGAGATGGGGGGGTCTCACCATGTAGCCCAGGCTGGTCTTGAACTCCTGGACTAAGTGATCCTTCCACCTCAGCCTCCCAAAGTGTTGGGATTACAGGCGTGAACCACTGCGCCCAACCCTCTCTGGGATTTTAGGGTGGAATAGTTTCCCAGACAGGAGGCCTTTTCCCTCCTCCACCATGCTGTGGTTCACCCTGTCCCACAGAAATCAGCCCCTTTGAGCCTGGCCTGGGGCTGGGTACCCTGATGGAGATTCTCGGATGATGGCAGAGCAGAGTGGAGACTTGGAGAGGCCACTGCTGCACCAGGAGCTCCCACTCCCGATCCGACATTAAGGGGCTCACCTGTTCCCAGGGCAAGGAAGACCTCCCTTCAGCACCCCTGCCATTCCTACCTCCCACCCACCATCCCTCAGGAGCCGTGGGTTGTTGTCAATGATGTTGTAAATTAGCTGCTTAATTAACTATTTAGGCTAATCAGATTAATTGACATTAATTGGTTACCATTTGTCAAGGACCTTGAAAAGCTGTGCTCCTCAGAGTTGAAGTGTGTGACTGGTGCCGGGCAGGGGAGTCGGGGAGGAGCTGTCACCATGCTAACAGCTGGGAGTGTGCAGGTGGCAGGCAGTGGCAGTTCCAAGGCCACCAGGACCGCTGCTCAGGGACTGTGCACCTCCTGGCACCTCTCAGGGAGCCCCAACTTCTGAGTTCTGGCCCCTCACACCTTGGGAAACACATCAACTCTTCCTCTCCCTTAGTTGTTTAAGGAAAGGTTTGGCAGGGACCAGTGGGAAGACTGAGAAACTTTCCTTTTTGTAAAAAGAAAAAAAAAATAGAGATGGGGTCTTGTTATGTTGCCCAGGCTGGTCTAGAACTCTTGATCTTAAGTGATCCTCTTACCTCAGCCTCTCAAAGTTCTGGGATTACAGACATGAGCCACTGTGCCCAGCTGGGAGACTTTCCTTCCTCCATCCCCAAGGGCTGTAAAGACCTCAGAGGGAGAGAGATCTTAAAATTCTAAATAAGTCATGAAATAAGTAGGTCACCACATAACAACTGCTAGGATGACGTGCATATATTCACTCAAAAAAAAAAAAAAAAACAGGAAAGATGAGCAGTATAGGGTAGATAAAATATGCAAAATATTAAACTGTGATAAAATGATCAGATTTGCATTATTTAGTCAATTACAGCCCCCAAAACCCACAGTACATTTTTATGCCTGTTTTAAAGCACAACTAACAGTTTTAAATTATAGCACTTGAAACAACAACAAAAAAAACTACTATGAAATGCATCCTACGTTTTGGGAAGAGAGAAAAAAAAAGCCAACCCACTGAAAAATGGGAGTGTGCATTTGTCTTTAGAGACATTCTCTGAAGATTAAATGGCTCCCATATTTAGTCCAATACTGGGCTGGGAGTTAGGAGCCCGCAGTTTTTTTTTTTTTTTTTTTTTTTTTTAGACAGGGTCTGGCTCTGTTGCCCAGAATGGAGTGCAGTAGTGTAATCATAGCTTACTACAGCCTCAACCTTCTAGGCCCAAATGATCCTCCCACCTCAGCCTCCCGAGTAGCTGGGACTACAGGCGTGCACTACTACACTGGCTAATTTTTTTATTATTATTATTTTGTGTAGAGTCAGGGTCTTGCTATGTTGCCCAGTCTGGTTTTTTTTTTTTTTTTTTTGAGACAGAGTTTCACTCTTGTCGCCCAGGCTGGAGTGCAATGGCATGATCTCAGCTCACTGCAACCTCTGCCTCCCAGGTTCAAATGTTCTCCTGTCTCAGCCTCCTGAGTGGCTGGAACAACAGGCATGTGCCACCACACCTGGCTAATTTTTTTTTTTTTTTTTTTTTTGAGACAGAGTCTCACTCTGTCGCCCAGGCTGGAGTGCAGTGGTGCGATCTTGGCTCACTGCAAGCTCCGCCTCCCGGGTTCATGCCAGTCTCCTGCCTCAGCCTCCCCAGTAGCTGGGACTACAGGTGCCCACCACCACGCCCAGCTAATTTTTTTTTTTTTTTTGTATTTTTAGTAGAGACGGGGTTTCACCGTGTTAGTCAGGATGGTCTCGATCTCCTGACCTCGTGATCTGCCCACCTTGGCCTCCCAAAGTGCTGGGATTACAGGCGTGAGCCACCGCGCCCGGCCCACATCTGGCTAATTTTTTGTCATTTTAGTAGAGATGGGGATTCACCATGTTGGCCAGGCTGGTCGTGAACTTCTGACCTCAGGTGATCCCCCAGCCTCGACCTCCCAAAGTGTTGGGATTACAGGCATGAGCCACCATGCCTGCCCCCATGCTGGTCTTGAACTCCTGGGTGCAAGCAGTCTTCCCACCTCGGCCTCCCAAAGTGCTGGGATTACAGGCGTGAGCCACCGTGCCTGCCCCCAGGCTGGTCTTGAACTGGGTTCAAGCAGTCTTCCCACCTTGGCTTCACAAAGTGCTGGGATTACATGCATGAGCCACTGAGCCTGGACAGGGAGCCTGCAGTCTTATCTTGACTTTTCCACTGAGTCCTTGAGGGTCCCTTCCTTCTCTGAGCCTTGATTTCTTCAATGGCGAGTCCCTGGCCTGTCTTCCTGAGAGAATGCTTACATGGAGCAGAGGAGGAATGGATTTCCAGTACACTGGAGGTGCATACAAATGTGAGGAGAGAGAAGAGGTTCATTTTGGTGGGAGGGTCAGGCTCTCAACATGGACAGGGGAATTGCTTTCTGGGGAGGAGAGGTTCCCAGGTTGGTGACAGAGGTTTCTAGCTTGGGAGGGGATGACATGGAGAGTGAATGTGGGGTCTCTCCCTCTCTCCCCTTTTACTGTCCAATTCTGCAGCCCCTCGGGGGAGGAAAGACCGGGAGAGACTGGAGGCTGTTGCCTAGCAACGAGAGGCGCATCTGGATCGATGGGAAAGTCAGTGATGCTCCAGCCCCCAGCCCGACTCTCTCTTTGATCTCAGCCGGCCCAGCAGAAACCTGAGGGGATGCCCCCCAGGCAGCCAGCTTGATTGGAGCTGAGTCAATAGAGGGAATGTTCCATAATGAGATTGTATGGGCAGTGGAGGCAGCTGCCTGTGGCTTCTCCTGTCACCCTCCTCAGCAGGTGGAAGGGGCCGGACTGTCTGTCCAGCACACACCCTTCCTGCTGATAGCTCTGGCCTGGGTAGGGGTAGGGTAGGGGTACACATCACCATCCAATTTTGATTCTTGTTAGTCTTGCACTTCCAGGGACTCAGAGCCCAGCTCCCCCTGTTAGGTTTTGAAGGGAAGGCGAGGATTATAGAAAGACACACACACAGAAAGAGCACGGCTCAAAAGCAAATGCAGCTTTTGTTTTGTTTTGTTTTTTGAGATGAAGTTTTGCTCTTGTCCCCCAGGCTGGAGTGCAATGGTGTAATCTCTGCCCACTGCAACCTCCTTCCCCCAAGTTCAAGCGATTCTCCTGCCTCAACTTCCCGAGTAGCTGGAATTACAGGCGTCTGCCACCACACCCGGCTAAGTTTTGTATTTTTAGTAGAGACTGAGTTTCCCCATATTGGCCAGGCTGTTCTCAAATTGCTGACCTCAGGTGATCCACCCACCTCGGCCTCCCAATCACGCTGGGATTACAGGCGTGAGCCATCACACCTGGGCGCAAATGCAGGTTTTACGTCCAGCATAAAACCTTCAGAAGTGGGGGACCAACCTAATGTCAGAGCCCACCACTGCTTACAGGCTGGCACAATTTATAGGTATGGGCAGGAGGGGTCTAGGCAGTATGGCTTGCCCAGCAGGATATTGATAAGATGTCCCAATAATGAGGCAGTTCTGGCCCTTGTTCCAGCAGAATGTGGTACTCCTTGCATTTTCTCCCAGCAGAATATCGTAAGAGGAAGGCTGTTTCTTCAGTCGGGCCTTTGTCCACCTTGTGGTCAGGTGGTTAGGTAGGATGTTTCTCACGACCCGAACCACTGTGAAGTGTTTCACTTTGACTAAGGTCTGCAAAATAGCAGGGAGCTTACAAAATGGTGCAGTTTAGACTAACACTACCCAAGCCCTGCCAGTATCCAGGCCCCTGACACTTGGTCCAGATAAGAGAAACTGAGGCTCAGAAAGGAAAAGGGATCTGGTTATACAACTTCTAGCCCATCGTGCCTTCCTCTGCCTAGCTCCCAGGTGTGAGCCTGGAGCGGGGGTTGGGATCTGATCCTGGGGGAAGGAGAAGGAGGTGATGAAAACTGGGTAAAGCACACAGGCTTCTCCGATTTCACTGCAGGGTCAGTCCTCAAGGCCAGCTTGGGAGGGTCCTCAGAGAGCATGGGCTTCTGACACACAGGTGGCTCTCCCTCCATATCTCCACCAAGGCCATCTGATTTGCACCCTCCCGGGACACAGAGACCGCCACCTGCCATCGGTGACAGCTCAGTCATAAGACTGTTCTTTCTTGGGCTAAGCTGAAGCTGCTTCTGTAGAACATTCTCCCCACCCTCCACCCCACCCCCATCTCCATTCTTGCTCAGCAGCCCCAGGGAAGCTGTCTGCTCTTGGTGGCAAGGCTTCAGCCTCCCACAAGGCCACTGAGGGCCCTGACAGAGAGCAGGAAGACTGAGTAAGGCAGGGATTCTTTTGTTCCTCTAGAATGCAGGGGAGAAGAGACCAAACCACTACTTGCTTATTTCATATCAGTTCTGGCCTCTACAGATCTGTCTACTAGGTTGAACTCGTCTGTGTTGCTTTCTTTTCTTTTTTTTTTTTTTTTTTTTTTTTGGCAAGGTCTCACTCTGTTGCCCAGGCTGGATTGCAGTGGTGAAATCTCGGCTCACTACAACCTCTGCTTCCCGGGTTCAAGAGATTCTCCTGCCTCAGCTTCCCAAGTAGCTGGGACTATAGGCATGCACCATCACACCTGGCCTTTTTGTTTGTTTGTTTTTTGTTTTTTTCAGACAGAGTGTCGCTCTTGTTGCCCAGGCTGGGGTGCAGCGGCGTGATCTTGGCTCATTGCCACTTCTGCCTCCCAGGTTCAAGCAATTCTCCTGCCTCAGCCTCCCAAGTAGCTGGGATTACAGGCACCAGCCACCATGCCTGGCTAATTTTTGTATTTTTAGTAGAGATGGCCATGTTGGCTAGGCTGGTCTTGAACTCCTGGCCTCAAGTGATCCACCTGCCTCAGCCTCCCAAAGTGTTGGGATTACAGGCGTGAGCCACCATACCCGGCCTGTATTGCTTTCAGTAGCCAGTGTTGCTTGTTCTGATACCTTCCAGCTGTCTGTCATGCTGGTGTGCAGTGTCCCCACTGTCCTCTGTTGATCAGTCGGTCTGAGCTCCTGGCTTGGCTGGGTCTGTCCCATTTACAAGGCTCTGTATGACCTGTCCTGGGCTACATCAATCTGCACTGATCTCACCTGAGCATTGTTACCTGTTCTCACCTGGGCTGCATTACCTGTACTGTGGACTCCTCTGGAGGCAGCAGACAGTGGAGGCCTCCTTGTCCCTCCTTGTCCCTTGTCAGTGATGCTCCAGCCCCCAGCCGGCTTTCTCTTTGATCTCAGCCAGCCCAGCAGAAGCCTGAGGGGATGCCCTGGGCAGCCTGCTTGGTTGCCACCCAAATCTTTGCTCCAGGAACCCAAATCAGAGCCAACAAAGACAGGAGCCTTGACCAGAGAAGTCCTTCCTATCTATTCAAAGACAGGGCTGGGGCCGGGTGCGGTGGCTCACACCTGTCATCTCAGCACTCTGGGAAGCCAAGGTGGGTGGATCACTTGAGGTCAGGAGTTTGAGACCAGCCTGGCCAACATAGTGAAACCCCGTCTCTACTAAAAGTACAAAAAATTAGCCAGGCATGGTGGCACACGCCTGTAATCCCAGCTACTTGGGTGGCTAAGGCATGAGAATGGCTGGAACCCAGGAGGTGGAGGTTGCAGTGAGCCGAGATCACACCACTGCACTCCAGCCTGGACAACACAGCGAGATACTGTCTCAAAAACAAACAAACAAACAAACAAAGACAAGGCTGGACTCGAGGGCTTACAAAGTAGATGACCATGAGGCCCATGCAAATGTCAGCATGCACATAGTCTAGGCATAGTGAGAGCAGTGACCAAGGACCTCTCCCTCTGTAGTTCCCAGAGATGATGGTGGTAAAACAATAAGTAGTGAGCTCCCATCGGTGCAAACACAGGCGGGGTCTCAGCAAACAGTCCCAGGTGGCTGCTCTGTGCCAAGCCCTGTGCTGAGCACTAGGGATACAGATGTGGATTGGCCCAGTCTCTGCCCTTGGACAGCCCTCAGTCAGCCAAGGAGCAACAGTCATGCTAGATTGCGAGTAGTAGCCACAGGGTGACAGCAGAGGCACGTCCCCCAGGGAGTCCTTCCAGGCAGTCAGGGAAGGCTTCACGGAGGAGGTGATGCTTGAGCAGTCTTGCAGGAAGGGTAGATGAGGAAGAACCTTCCAGGCATGAGGAACAGCATGGGTCAGTGCATTCTTGGGTGGAGTGGAATGTGGTGTGGAGCTGGACAGGGATAGCGTAGGACTGGGCACATTGCCAGCTAAGCCACCAGGGCTTTCTCCTGTGGTCTGCAGGCTCGCCCTCTCTGCCTCACCGGCCCCGGACACCCCATCTTGGCCCTGGAAACTTTGCCAGCCCAGCCACCTCCATTGCCCAGCACAGACTGAGACGGCAGGGAAAGGGTCAGCCCGAGTCCTGCCCAGGCATGGCTGGACCCAGCCCTAGACTGAAAAGGGGAGGGCAGAAGAGGGACCACAAGGGCTATGGTCAAAACACAGAGCTGCAGTGCCCGCACCCTTGCAAGCCAGGCTGCCTGCCCCTCCAGGAACCAGCCCTCCCACCCCCAGCCAGCCCCAGCCTTGGGGCTCTGGCCAAGATTTTCCTCCAGCTCCAGCAGGGGCAGCAGGAAGCTCCAGCTGCTGAATTATTGAAAGCAAGGCTTTCAGCAGTTCCCCTCCCCCCACCGCGTCTTCTGGAGGGTTGGGTAACAAACAGCCGTGCCAGCACCAGCGCCTCTCCAGAGAGACTCCAAGGAGTCATGGAGGAAGCTCACTGGGCTCTGCCCGCTCCCTGAGCCACCTCCTCCCAGGCCTCTCCCTGCAGTGTCTTCTTACCCGTCTTTTTTTTTTTTTTTTTTCCAGACAAGGTCTCACTTTGTTGCCCAGGCTGGAGTGCAGTGGCGCAATCTCAGTTCACCGCAACCTCCGCCTCCTGGGTACAAGCGATTCTCCTGCCTCAGCCTCCCAAGTAGCTGGGTTCACAGGTGCCCGCCACCACACCCAGTTAATTTTTGTATTTTTAGTAAAAGAGTTTTGCCATGTTGGCCAGGCTGGTCTCGAACTCCTGACCTCAGGTGATCCACCCGCCTCAGCCTCCCAAATTGCTGGGATTACAGGTTTGAGCCACTGGGCCTGCCCTCCTCTTTTTTTTTTTTTTTTTTTTTGAGACGGAGTCTCGCTCTGTCGCCCAGGCTGGAGTGCAGTGGCATGATCTCAGCTCACTGCAAGCTCTGCCTCCCAGGTTCACACCATTCTCCTGCCTCAGCCTCCCTACTAGCTGGGACTACAGGCGCCCACCACCACGCCCAGCTAATTTTTCATATTTTTAGTAGAGACGGGGTTTCACCGTATTAGCCAGAATGGTCTCGATTTCCTGACCTTGTGATCCACCCGCCTCGGCCCCCCAAAGTGCTGGGATTACAGGCGTGAGCCACCGCGCCCCGCACCTGCCCTCTTCTTACCCGTCTCTACTGGTCTCTACTGGTCTGTGTGGGTTTGTATCTGTGAAAAGTACCATGATTGGGCTATGAGTGTTTGTAATGATTTAAAATGGTAATTATTGACCTGATCTGTTCTGATTTATATGGATCTATATTTCCTCCTGGTCTAACTCATGCCTGTAATGGTTTAGACTGATTGGCATAGTTCATGGCTGATAACAGCTAACACTTAATGCATAGAGCTTATCGCCTACCCAGGCACTGTACACACGTTATTCCTTTACTCCTTACCCTGAGGTGCGGGTACTTATATTAACCCCATTTTACAGATAAGAAAGAGGTTAAGTCACTACGCACACATAGTAAGTGATTTGAACCCATCTGCTACTGGCTGATCGGCACGGGTCTGTCTTGGTTCATGTGGACTGGGTTATCAGTTATCCTTTAAGGGCCTGAGGGCATCAGGTTGCAAGAGAGAGTTGAGCACAGTGGCTCACACCTGCAATCCCAGAGCTTTGGGAGGCCAAGGCAGGAGGGTTGCTTGAGTCCAGGAGTTAGAGACAAACTAGTGAGACCCTGTCTCTACAAAACTTCTAAAAACTAGCTGGACATGGTTGTATGCACCTGTGTGTAGTAGTGGCCAGCTACTTGGGAGGCTGAGGTGGGAGGATCACTTGAGCCCAAGAGGTAGAGGCTGCAGTGAGCCATAATTGTACCACTACACTCCAGCCTGGGTGATAGGAGACCCCGTCTCAAAAAAAAAAAAAAAAAAAAGTTGCAAGAGAGATCTTTCCAAAATGCAAATCTGACCTCCCCAGCTCAATACCCTTCACTGGCTCCCTATTGCCTGCAGGGTGTGGTCCTAGGTCCTCAGCCTGAGTCTGAAGGCCCTGGGGACCTGGCCCTCCCTCCCCTCCTGGCTTAGTGGGCTCAGCAAGACAAGCCCATGTTTTGTTTTGTTTTTTTAATTTTTTTAATTTTTTGAGATGGAGTCTCCCTCTGTCTCTCAGGCTGGAGTGCAGTGGCGTGATCTTGACTCACTGAAACCTCTGCCTCCTGGGTTCAAGCAATCCTCCTGCCTCAGCCTCCCAAGTAGCTGGGATTACAGGCACCCGCCACCATGCCTGGCTAATTTTTGTATTTTTAGTGGAGACAGGCCAGGCTGACCAGGCTGGTCTCGAACTCCTGACCTCCAATGATTCTCCTGGCTCAGCCTCCCAAAGTGCTGGAATTACAGGATTGAGCCACCGCGCCCAGCTTCAAGTCCATGCTTTTCCCTCTTTCCTCTCCATGCCTTCTTCCTGCTCACCCCCACACCCTGACCAGGACATCCTTCTCCTCCTCCTTTGTCCCGCCAACTCCTACTTATGCTTCAAGATCTCTCCTCCAGGGAGACCTCCTAGCTATGCTCCTCTCCTGACGCACCCCAGCTGTTAGATGTCTCTGCCATGCATCCATCATCCCCAGCATGATAAGCACCAGTGCTTCTCCTTCTGCATTTCTCTCGTGTCCTCTGGTGAACCCCAGAGTAGCCACTCACAAATAGCTGTGACCTGAATGAATGACCCAACCCTGAAGTTGATGGGGTGTCTCTTGGTCCTCTGGTCCTTACCCCCCCAGCCCCACGCTCTTGGGCAGTGAGCACAGGGGAAGCTTTCAATATAAAGTGTTCAAGGCTGGAGGTCTGCAGAAGGGTCCTTACACAGGGAAGGGAAGGGTCAGCAGGAGAGTGCTCCAGGGAATATGTCCCTGTCATGGCTGCACCTGGCTTCAATGCCAGGATTTGGAGTGGGGACACACCTAGATTCCTTGGACATGATGCAGATGGCTTTTCTTTTCCAGCTTGATAAAGTATCTTGACAAACGATTGTTGCACACACTTATTTTTAACAAGACCCAGAATGAGTTTCACAACTTAAGGACCTGGTTTCATGGGTATTTATCAGTTCTGTCTCGTTTCTGACAGTTGGAAAGAATCTTTTTCCTCAGGAGGCACATCCTTGCCCACCTGCTGTCACCACACTGGGCTTTTTCTCTGGAAGGTCTCATCCTGCGTTTGCAGCCACCACCTTCACAGGAATGCAGTTTCCTGGATCATAAATTCCATTCCACTGTAGCCCTCTTAGCCAAGGGTCCCTGGATCTTAACATGCCCTTGGCTTTTGCCTTCCCTTCCCTTCCCTTCCCTTCCCTTCCCTTCCCTTCCCTTCCCTTCCCTTCCCTTCCCTTCCCTTCCCTCCCCACCCCTTCCCTCCCCTCCCCCAACTTGCCCCCCTCCCCCTCTCCCTTCTCTTCCCTTCCCTCTTTTTTTTTTGACAGAGCATCCCCTCCCCTCCCCCCAATTCCCCCTCCCCTGCCCCCACTTCCCCTCTCCCCTGCCCCCACTTCCCCTCTCTCCCTCTCCCTTCTCTTCCCTTCCCTCTTTTTTTTTTTTTTTTTTTTTGAGACAGAGTCTTGGTCTGTCCCCCAGGATGGAGTGCAGTGACACGATCACAGCTCACTGCAAGCTCCGCTCCTGGGTTCAAGCGATTCCCCTGCCACAGCCTCCTGAGTAGCTGGGAGTACAGGCGCACACTGCCAGTCCTGGCTAATTTTTTGTATTTTAGTAGAGACCGGGTTTCACCATGTTGCCCAGGCTGGTCTCAAACTCCTGAGCTCAGGCAATCTGCCCACCTTGGCCTCCCAAAATGCTAGGATTACAGGCATGAGCCACCGCGCCCGGCCAAAGACACATCTTTCAAAGGCACATGTCTAACATCATTCTCTTCATGAAACCTTCCCTGACCATCCTAGGCAAAGGTAGAGCCTCCCTGGTCTCTTTTTTGCTCCTGCAGGACTGGGTGGGTGGGTGGGAGAATGGCATCAGAATCTCTTCATAACAAGCCTGTTACCGCAAGAAAGGATGAATGAATGATCCCACTAAGCTACAAGCTACAAGACTAGGGAATATTGTCTCCGTCGAGGTATTGCTCCTCACAAGAGGGTATTAGCTACGAGGGTCTGCCCACAGACCCTGACCCAAATGATGAATAAAACGTACACTGATACACAGAGATTCTGTTTTGCCAGTCCTGCTGAGTGACCGCCTACACACCAAGAGAGGTTTGTCACTGTGGCCGCCCCGATCAGCTAGGGAGACTCACATTTATTCATTAAGATTAGTTAACAAAAGCTTGAGTCAGCGCCATTAGAGGTAATTGACATTGAGGACTTCCCGAGTAAAAAGCACACATCAAAGGCTCGTCTTGAGACCACATGAGTAAACAAGTTAACTAGATAACTTCCCCACATCCCGTTATTTACTACTCTAATCTATTTAACTGAAGGTAATGGGACCAGCCCACCTTCGCCCCGGTCTATTACCGAAGTCATGTGAAAACCCTCAGGCCTTCCGAAAGGGTTTTGTGGCTATCATAACTAATATTTTTTCCACCAGCCTGACCGAATCCCAACACTCCATTTTACAGATGAGGAAACTGAGGCTCGGAGAAGTTTAATGACTTTTCCTGATCACCCAGGCAGAAGTAGTGGAGCCAGAATTTAAGCTAAAGTCTTCTGACTCCAAGTCCTTGTCCTGGTCTAACACTCTTTTTCCTGGCCCCAGTAGAAGACAGCAGAAAGATCTTAGAAGTAAGAAGGTGGTTAAATTGTGTGACCACAGACGAAGTGCTCAAGTGCTTACTTGAAGCTGTGGGAATCTGTACCTTTGAGCGTGTGGAGGCTCTGAGTCCTGACATTACCTCTGGGGAGGCATGCCTCTGGCTGGCAAGGCCAGGAAAAAAAAGCCCCTAGAGGAACGGTGCTGCCCCCCTCCCCGCCCCCCCCGCCCCTTTCCCCGGCAAAAGAGGCTTCTCAGCCCCGGCAGCAAATGGGGCCCCCTGAACTGGTGATGGGGGTGCTGTCCGTGGTGCTGGAGGACTGCGACGCTGCCAGAGACAAGGGGAGCAGGGAGGAGTTTGCTCACTCCTGTAATCCCAGTGCTCTGGGAAGCCAAGGCGGGGGATCACTTGAGGCCAAGAGTTTGAGACCAGCCTGGGCAACAACGTGAGACCCTGTCTCTACAATAATAATAATAATAATTAATCTCCAGTGCCTTTTACGAGACATTCATTGCATACTAGGTACTGTGAGGGCATTTCCCATGCATTAGTCCTTTACAACAAACCTATGAGGAAGATGCTATTATTAAATAGTTTCATTTTACAGGCAAGGAAACTGAGACCCAGAGAGTTGAAGTCACGTGCCCTAGGTCTCTCAGCTTATGAATTCCCAAAGATCACTCTCCTGTCTCCCTCTCAAATCAGGGGTCCCCAGGGCAGGGCTGGGCCTCTTCCCAGACTCATCTGTGGTCCACTTCTCACTACAGCCCATTCCCTCTCCCCCAGACCTGACCAGGTCACTACGATCTGAGCATCTTCTCCCTCTGAGCCCCAGGGTGAGTGCTGACCTCATTAGCTAAGAGGCCTCTGTGCCTGTCAGCAGCTGACTTTCCGAAACAGGCTGGACCCTGCAGTACAGATGAGCTGTTTCACCTTCAATTAATCACTTGCAGGTAGCAGCATCCAGTTTGTGGCCCACTGTGTCCACACCCAGGCTTGCTCAGGAAACCCAGGCTTGGGCTTGTGGGAGGGAGGCAACTCCAGGGACCCAGCCAGGAGGCTGGGAAATCAGGCCTCTAGGCTTTTAACCACTTCCTGGCTTGTAGAAGAAGGAGTGTGCCCCTTTGGCAAGCATTAAACTAGGGCTTCATGACTTAATCTACACATGGGTTTGGCTGGCTCCAGCATCTGGGCTTGCCCTTGGGAGCTGACCCAGTGCTGGGGACAGCCTCAGTTGAACTCTAAGGGTGGCCGGTGGGGCCCCGGCTCCTGGCTGTATCAGCAGAAAGGAAGTGGGCTGAAGGTCTGGTGTTATTTATTTATTTATTTATTTATTTATTTATTTTATTTTTTGAGATGGAGTTTTGCTCTTGTTCCTCAGGCTGGAGTACAACGGTGTGATCTCAGCTCACTGCAACCTCCGCCTCCTGAGTTCAAGCAATTCTTCTGCCTCAGCCTCCCAAGTAGCTGGGATTACAGGCATGTGCCACCACACCCAGCTCATTTTTGTATTTTTAGTAGAGACAGGATTTCACCATGTTGGTCAAGCTGGTCTCAAACTCCTGGCCTCAGGTGATCCACCTGCTTCGGCCTCCCAAAGTGCTGAGATTACAGGCATAAGCCACCACACCCAGCCTGGTGCCACACACTTAGAGTTAGTATTACCCAGACTTCCAGAGTAGGAAAGGACCCTTGGGGTCTTTGAGTCATTGTTCAGTGGGAGAAACAAGGGTGCAGAGAGGGGAAGGGACTTGTTCATGGTCTCACAGCCAATCAGTGGTAGGGTAAAGACTTCCCATGTGCTGCTCTCAGCCAATCAGTGGTAGGGTAAAGACTTCCCATGTGCTGCTCTCAGCCAATCAGTGGTAGGGTAAAGACTTCCCATGTGCTGCTCTCAGCCAATCAGTGGTAGGGTAAAGACTTCCCATGTGCTGCTCTCAGCCAATCAGTGGTAGGGTAAAGACTTCCCATGTGCTGCTCTGCCTCCAAAGAAGTACAGTGTCAATGCCCCCAAAGACCAGAACAAGTTAGAGTTAGGGTTCAGATTATAGCTCTAGACTCCATATCTGCCTGCTTGCCCCTGCAAACCCCTCACCCTCAAGCACCTCCAATTTGTTCTCCGTGTTCCCCATCACAATAAATGGCTGCACCATCCACCTGGTCACCCAGGCCAGAGACCCGGTGTCATCTAAGCTGCCTCCCCCATCCCACATCCAGTCAATTACAAACCCTGCCAGATTGGCCCATTTATTTCTTGAATCCTGGTTGTCCTCACTGGCTCTGGCAGCCCTGCCTCCTGCTCCCTCCCAGCCTTGCTGGGAAGCCTGCCTTGACGAACCAAGCAGGGCTACAGACACTTCTCCAGTTCTCTTTTATCACACTATGCTGCTGTTTACCTGTCAGTCTCCTGAACCAGCCTGTGAGCTTCTACAGGGCCATGATGGGGTCATGTTCATCTCTATACCCACAGCCTTTAATAACGTGAGGCCAAGAGTAGATGTTGGGTGAGTGTTTGTTGAGTGAATGCTTGAATATCGTTTCTATCTCATGTTTGAACAATTCCTGTAATAGGGACCTCATT
Organism: Homo sapiens; assembly: GCF_000001405.40. Taxonomy (NCBI): domain Eukaryota; kingdom Metazoa; phylum Chordata; class Mammalia; order Primates; family Hominidae; genus Homo; species Homo sapiens. The sequence continues at coordinate 76,227,836 of NC_000007.14, forward strand.
CATCCTACGACAAACTGCTTAGTTTTGTTTTTTGTTTTTCTGTTTGTTTTTTGAGACGAAATCTCACTCTGTCACCCAGGCTGAAGTGCAGTGGCGCAAACTCAGGTCACTGCAACCTCCACCTCCTGGGTTCAAGCTATTCTCATGCCTCATCTTCCCAAGTAGCTGGGATTATAGGCACGCACCACCACATTCAGCTAATTTTTGTATTTTTAGTAGAGACAGTGTCTGACTATATTGGCTAGGCTGGTCTCGAATTCCTGACCTCAAGTGATCCACCCGCCTCTGCCTCCCAAAGTGCTGGGATTACAGGTGCAAGCCACCACACCTGGGCAGAACTGCTTCATTTTTAAAGAGTTTTGATTATTATAAAATAAAAACAAAACAAGACAAGACTCTTTTTTGAACTGAGCTGAAATCAACACTAGATGACTTGCCTGTGAGAATCTTGGGGCTCTGTTTTGCAGATTGGCTAGGGCCTTGCTCCTCTTAGGGAATTCTAAGGACCAGTAGTATTGGTGTTACTTGTTAGAAATGCAAATTCTCAAGCCCCACTCCAGATCTATCAAATCAGAAACTCTGGGGGCGAAGTCAACAATCTGTGTCTTGCTGGGCGCGGTGGCTCAAGCCTGTAATTCCAGCACTTTGGGAGGCCGAGGCGGGTGGATCATGAGGTCAGAAGTTCAAGACCAGTCTGGCCAACATAGTGAAACCCTGTCTCTACTAAAAATACAAAAAGTTAGCCGGGTGTAGTGGTGTGCACCTGTAATCCCAGCTACTCAGGAGGCTAAGAAAGGAGAATCATGTGAACCTGAGAGGCGGAGGTTGCAGTGAGCTGAGATCGCACCATTGCACTCCAGCCCAGGCAACAGTGCGAGACGCCGTCTCAAACAAAACAAAACAAAACAAATCTGTGTCTTAACAAGTCTTCCTGGTGATTCTGATGCCCAATAAAATTTGAAAATGGCTATTTCTAGACCACTGCCCACCTCCCCCTAATTTGTGGTCCATACTTGGGCTATATCAGGAGAACCTGGGGGACGTGAGCAATTTCATCCCCAGAGACTTTTTTTTTTTTTTTGAGACAGAGTCTCACTCTGTCACCCAGGCTGGAGTGCAGTGGCATGATCTCTGCTCACTGCAAGCTCTGCCCCCTGGGTTCACGCCATTCTCCTGCCTCAGCCTCCGGAGTAGCTGGGACGACAGGCACCTGCCACTACACCCGGCTAATTTTTTGTATATTTAGTAGAGACAGGGTTTCACCATGTTAGCCAGGATGGTCTCGATCTCCTGACCTCGTGATCCACCTGCCTTGTCCTCCCAAAATGCTGAGATTACAGGCATGAGCCACCGCGCCCAGCCGAGACTTTGATTCAGTAGATCTGGGTTGGATTCCAGGTAGAACTGACATATGAAATATAGGACACTCAGTTAAATTTGAATTTCAGATAAACAACGGATAATTTCTTAGTAGGATTATGTTCCAAATATAAAATTCAAATTTAATTTAACTGGGTATCCTGTGTTCCTATTTGGCAAATCTGGCAATGCTAGCTAAACATCACTACTTCTAACAAGCCTCTCAGTCGATTCAGCCAGGTTTGACCTAAATCCTCTACAATCCTTCATATATTTGAAGCTAGGCATTCTGACCACCTGTATATTCTTATAATCTTCCCCCTCCTTGGCACCCTATTTTTGTTGATATATCCTAAGATAACATGCATTTTTGGCATCCACATTGTGATATTGACTCAAATTGAGTCTGTGATCATTGAAAATCCCTATAATCCTTCCCAAATATTCTGCTTCTGAACTATGTCTACCCCATTCCAATTTTAGTTTGGGACCCAGCTTCAGAATGTGGCACTTTTCACTATCCTGTTTCACTTTCTTCTTCTTCTTCTTTTTTTTTTTTTTTTTTTTGAGACGGAGTCTCGCTCAATTGCCCAGGCTGGAGTGCAGTGGTGCGATCTCGGCTCACTGCAATCTCTGCCTCCCAGGTTCAAGTGATTCTTCTGCCTCAGCCTCCCGAATAGCTTAGATTGCAGGCATGCACCACCATGACTGGCTAATTTTTGTACTTTTAGTAGAGACGGGGTTTCACCATGTTGGCCAGGCTGGTCTCGAACTCCTGACCTCATGATCTGCCCACCTCAGCCTCCCAAAGTGCTGGGATTACAGATGTGAGCCACTGCACCTGGCCCTGTTTCACCTTCTTAGATTCTTCCAATGTCTCCGGCTACTGAGTCCTTTTAGATTCTGACTGTATATCCATGAGCCCTCTCAGGCTGTGTCCTCAGTGAATTTGATTGTCAGACTACCAGTGTTCTATCCAGTCAATAGTGAACATATTGGATCAGATGTGGTGAGAATAGAGCCCTGTGATTCTCCACTAAATACCTACATCTAACATGACATTGATCCATTAACCAGCTCCTTTTGAGTATAGGTCAATCAATCAACCAATTACAACAAAATGGGATATTAGCACCCACCAGGACAGTGTCACCTTATGAAATCTCACAGTGAGGCCAGGCGCAGTGACTCATGCCCGTAATCCCAACACTTTGGGAGGCCGAAGCAGGAAGATCACTTGAGCCCAGGAGCTTGAGAGCAGCCTGGGCAACATAGCAAGATCCCATCTCTACAAAAAAAAATTAAAAATCGTCTGGGCATGGTGGTGCACCTGTAGTTTCATCTACTTGGAGGCTGAATCAGGAAGATCACTGAAGCCCAGGAGGTCAAGGCTGCAGTGAGCTATAGTCACGCCACTGCACTCCAGCCTGGGCAACAGATTGAGAGTCAGGAAGGGAAGGGAAGGGAAGGGAACAGAAGGGAAGGGAGAAAGGTAAGGTAAGGAAGGGAAGGAAGGAAGGAAGGAAGAATAAATCTCACAATAATTTCTTTTACTTACTTTTTTTTTTTTTTTCAAGACAGAGTCTCACTCTGTCGCCCAGGCTGAAATACAATGGCACAATCTCAGCTCACTGCAACCTCTGCCTCCCAGGTTCAAGCGATTCTCGTGCCTCAGCCTGCTGAGTAGCTGGGATTACAGGCGCCCACCATCATGCCTGGCTAATTTTTGTATTTTTAGTAGAGACGGGGTTTCACCATGTTGCCCAGGCTGGTCTTGAACTCCTGACCTCAGGTGATCCACTCACCTCAGCTTCCCAAAGTGCTGGGATTACAGGTGTGAGCCACTGCGCCCAGCCTCACAATGATTTCATAAAATATAATGTCACATGGCTCACAGAGGGACCCTGTGCGTGCAGTCCTGCAGTCACCCCCTGGTCTGCTGGCCCAGCAAACCTGACTTGGAAGGAAATGGGCTTAGTGTGCAATGATTTGGGTCATTCTATTAATGACCTGCTGCAGATTCCCACCTGGTGCCTCTCCAACTCACCAGGTGAAATTGGTCAAATCCACCATCTGTTCTAGTGAAAATCCAGACTGCATCTGCCACGCCCCTCTTCACATAGCTCTCCTTTCCTCCTCAATCATTTCTGCAACGATTACCCTGGGCAACCTAGCATTGCTACCCAGGCGTTCTCCTAGCACTGGGGCTAGATTTTCTCAGGGTTTGGAGATCTGAGTGCATTCAGAACGACTCTCACCAGCTTTCCGCCTCTGCCCTCCAGGAGCTCAGGCCAAGTTCTAGGCTGGGGAGCCTTGCCCAGGTCAGAGGGAAGATGTGCGGAACAGCATGGCTCCCAGGGCTCTCACCCGCGCCTTCGCGCTCTCTCCACACCTTCAGCGCGCCTCTTGCATTGCCTGGTGCTGGGGTAGGCTCTAACGAGCCAGAATGAAAGGACGGTTCCCTCCCCTAAAAGGGCTCACAGTTTAGAATAGGAGTTACAAGCAAACAGCCAACTGAATCTCGGTATCTAAATATCGCATTTAAAAAGTGTGGACAAAAGATGCGGAAGCACAAAGAAGGAATGACTCATCCTTCCTGGAAGAGCGGAAGATTCCCAGAGGAGGTGATTTTTGGGCTGGGCCCTGAGGGATGAGTTGAAGTTCCCTAGGTGAAGAAAAGGGGAAACAGGACTCCAGCGGAGGGGAAACACATAGGCAAAGGCACAAAGGAGGAAGTAAGGGCATGCATTTGGGGGATGAGGACCAAGGCTAAGAGGCTGGGTGTTGGTTGCAGGATGGGGTGCAGCATGGGATGAAGTTGCAAGATAGCATTCGACAGAATGCAAAGGGGTCTTGCAGGCCGTATCAAGGACCATGCCATGTATTCCTCTCTCTTGCCTCCTGTTGTCACGTCTTTGTTCAGCCCCGGGCGCATTGAGCTTCACATGCACTAGGCGCTTAGCTGGAGCTAGGAGTTGAAAGCTAAGCTGCCCTCAGCCCAGGGGGAGCCAGACCTTTGAACCCACAGCAACAACAGCGAGAACTCTGGGAGGTAAGGCCAGGAGTGGTGGCTCATGCCTGTAATCCCAGCACTTTGGGAGGGCAGATCGCCTGAGGTCAGGAGTTCAAGACCAGCCTGGCCACGAGGAGGGCAGATCACTTGAGGTCAGAGTTCAAGACCAGCCTGGGCAACATGGTGAAACCCCATTTCTACTAAAAATACAAAAATTAGCCGGGCAAGGTGGCAGGCGCCTGTAATCCCAGCTACTCAGGAGGCTGAGGCGGGAGAATCACTTGAACCCAGGAGGTGGAGGTTGCAGTGAGTCAAGATTGCACCACTGCACTCCAGCCTGGGTGACAGAGTGAGACTCCTTCTCCAAAAAAAAAAAGAGCTCTGGGAGGGTGACACCAGCCAGAGGGGAAAGGAAGGCTTCCGGAAGGTGATAATGCCTATGAGCGGTGACTTTGAGGACAACTAGGAATGAAGAGTATCCCAGGAAAGGGCCTGGAGCCAAGAGAGGTAGAGGAGGATGTGTGTGGTGCGGAGTGGTGGAGACGGGGCTGGACCAGGAGGCAGGGCCATGTTACGGCTTTAAGCCAAGGTAACAAGAGTCACGGGAGGCTGCTAACCAGGGCATGACATGGTCTAATTTGCTCCTGGACCCGTCTGCCAAGTTGCCAATGGAGGATGAAGGTCTGGGAGCAGGGAGGCCAGGCAACCACAGAGAGGCAGTGGACCTGCATGGAGGGAGGAGCTTGGGTCCACGTGGTAACAGGGGAGGAGAGGAAGTGGATAAATGTGAGCGATGTTGAGAAGAAGGGATGGGGCTGGGCGCGGTGGCTCACGCCTGTAATCTCAGTACTTTGGGAGGCCAAAGTGGAAGGATTGTTTGAAGCCAGGAATTCAAGACCACCCTGGGCAAAATAACAAGAACGTGACTCTACAAAAAAAAATTCTTTGTTTTAATTAGCTGGGTATGGTGGCACATGCCTGTAGTTCCAGCTACTGGGGAGACTGAGGTGGGAGGATATCGCTTGAGCTCAGGAGTTCAAGGCTGCAGTGAGCTATGACTGTGCCACTGCACTCCAGCCTGGGTGATAGAGTGAGACCCTGTCTCAAAAAATGAACAAAGAAGAAGGGATGAGGGACCCAACTTGATGACAGGTGAACTGTTGTGGGTCAGGTCAATAGGGGTCTCCAAGCTCCACACATGTCCCTGGCTCAGATGACCAACAGATAGAGGGGTCACCCATGAGCCAAGCACTGCAGCCGAGGTGGGTGGGGAGCAGGGCACCCGGAGCTCTGTTTGGGGCATGGTGGGTGATTCTTGTGGAGTGTCCTGGGAAAACCCCTGGTGGAACTGGGGTATAGGGCTGGTCTCGGGACAGAGGCGGGAAGCCAGCAGGTGTGGGAGTGGAAAAGAGGGGTTAGAAGAACAGCTTTGGTCTCTGAGTCCCCAGGCACTCCCCTCTCCAGAAGACTCTGGCAGATGCTCCCAGGAACAGGTGGAAATCAGAGGCTCAGAGAGGGGTAGTGACATCTTCAGGGTCACACAGCAAGGAGTGGAGAAGCGCAGCCTAGAACCCATGCACTTGGGACTCAGGGGGAAGGACATATGAGAAGAGCTTATGTTTTCATCACCGCTGTTGCCTCCTGTCACTCTGTCCCCTTCAGAGCCTCCTGTAGCTGTCACAGTCCCTCTCTCTTCTCTGCCTTCCAGTTTCTGTGGCTCTGAACACTCCCACCCCCATCCCATCACTCTGAGGCCAGAGAGGGGAGGGTGTGTTGGGGGAGAAGTGTCACAGGGAAGGCCCGATCCAAGATGTCCAGGCATACCCAATCCCTTCTTTTCCTCCCTCCCTCCTTCCTTTCCCTCCCTCCCACCCCACTCCCTGGGAATGAGGCCTCCCTGTTGCTTAGCAACTAGCAGATCCTTGGAGAAAGGAAATGGAAATAGCTCAAGAGGTGCCTCCCCTCTGTTAAGATAGAAGTCCTTGGAGTGTGTGTGTGTGTGTGTGTGTGTGTGTGTCTGCTCTACTTTGGAGGGCCTAGCATGGAGTCAGGGATTCTTAGCTCCAAGCCAAGTTGACTCCCACCCCACCCCGAGCCTACAGGAGGACGTGGCTGCCTGGAAAGCTAATGTCAGTGTCAGCTTTGGTCACGTCATCAGAAGCAGTGTTTCCAGAACAAAGGAGGGGATAGTCTTGTGGGCCCAATCTGGGTGAGCCCCGCTTATCTGGAATGTTGGCTTTGGAGAAGTTGGCCAGATCAAACAGAGAGCTAAAATCTGCCTCTGGGGTGGGAATAGAGTAGGCTTCCATCTTCCCCTCTCTGTAGGGCTGCCCTGGGAGCAGACTGGGAGGTAGGAACACATGTAATCTGTGTGCCACTGGACAGAGCCAGGATAGTGGGCCTGGTGTGTGCGTAAACAGTTTCAACTGAGCCTAAAGGAGAAATATGACTGGGGAGTTAATGATGTGTGCAAGCGGGCGCTGGGATGTCTGGCCCAAGCATTCGTGCAAGCCAGAGAGGATGGTCCTCGGTAGTTCCTGGAGGTGACACGATTCCCAGCCAATGGCTCTTAGAGGCCATCCAGTCTGGCCTGCATCCACCCACCTTACAGATGGAAAAAGCCCAGTGTCCAACCCACTCGTGCCCTGAGGTGTGACCCAAAGGTGCAAACCAGCCGTCCGCTTCCCTCTGCACCAGGAAAGGAAGCGGATTAGAGCCATGAGTGTGCCCTTAAATCTCCAGGATTAACTCCAGCAGAGAGGAGCTTAACAGGTGGCGAAGAAGTGACCATCCCGCCTCGTGTCTGTGTCTGTCCCTCAGGGCCAGCGGCCCAGGCCAGCGGCTCCAGGGCCAGCCACGATGTCCTCCACCGTGAACAACGGGGCGGCCAGCATGCAGTCCACACCCGACGCCGCGAACGGCTTCCCGCAGCCCAGCTCCTCCTCGGGGACCTGGCCGCGGGCGGAAGAGGAGCTGCGCGCCGCGGAGCCGGGCCTGGTGAAGCGCGCGCACCGCGAGATCCTGGACCACGAGCGCAAGCGGCGGGTGGAGCTCAAGTGCATGGAGCTGCAGGAGATGATGGAGGAGCAGGGGTGAGCAGGCCGCGGGGCGGGACTGGGGTGGGGAGATAGGCGGGGCGAGGGTGGGAGAAGCGAGTGATGCTGCACGTGGGCGTGGCGAACGTCGTGGGCGGGGAGAAGGGCGGGGCTAGGGGCTATTAGGGCGGAGTCGGGCGACTGTGGGAACCCAAGAGCCTTGTCCAGACAAGAAGCCAGAGTTCAGACCAGTTGGGGTGAAGCCATGGCAAGTCCAGCTCATCTTTCATTTATGTATTAGGTTGTTGCAAAAGTAATCACGGTTTTTGCCATTACCTTTAATGGCAAAGTGATGGCTCACACCTGTGATTCCAGCACTTTGAAAGGCCGAGGCGAGCGGATTATTTGAGGTCAGGAATTCGAGATCAGCCTGCCTAACATGGTGAAACCCCGTCTCTATGAAAAATACAAAAAAAAATTTAGCTGGGCGCGGTGTCTTACACCTGTAATCCCAGAACTTTGGGGGGCCTAGGCAGGTGGATCACCTGAGGTCAGGAGTTTGAGATCAGCCTGGCCAACATGGTGAAAATCCGTCTCTACTAAAAATACAAAAATTAGCCAGGCGTGGTGACGCGTGCCTGTAATCCCAGCTACTCGGGAAGCTGAGGCAGGAGAATTTCTTGAACCCAGGAGGCGGAGGTTGCAGTGAGCCGAGATCCGGCCACTGCACTCCAGCCTGGGCAACAGATCGAGATTCTGTCTCAAAAAAAAAAAAAAAAAAAAAAAAAGGCCGGGCGCGGTGGCTCACGCCTGTAATCTCAGCACTTTGGGAGGCCGAGGCGGGTGGATCACAAGGTTGGGAATTCGAGACCAGCCTGACCAACATGGAGAAACCCCGTCTTTACTGAAAATACAAAATTAGCCTGGCGTAGTGGCACATGCCTGTAATCCCAGCTACTTGGGAGACTGAAGCAGGAGAATCGCTTGAACCGGGAGGTGGAGGTTGCAGTGAGCTGAGATCGAGACATTGCACTCCAGCCTGGGCAACAAGAGCAAAACTCCGTCTCAAAAAAAAAAAAAAAGAAAAGAAAGAAAGAAACTAGTGGGCTGGCTGCTGAAGGGGTCAAAGTCAGGAGCAGGGACTGCCCATCAGACTTGCACTGTCAGTGAGCTGAGAAATCGGAAATTCCCTACACGGGGTGGGGGGGCGGGGAGCTGGAGCCTGGAGCCACATGGGGCCAGACACAGCCTGTGTCCTTCAGTCCTTCCAAGCCACACCTTTGTCCACCCCAGGCCTCCTGGGCTCCCTTAGACAGGGGCCACCATCTCTGAGGAGCTTAGGAAGACCCCCAGGCTTAGGCAGAGACAGCGAGTTGCTGAAGGCCATCCGGAAGGCGGGGGGCCAAGGCGGAGCCAGGATCAAGAGCCCTGCTGGCTGCCAGGCAAGGCTGCTTGTAGGGAGAAGAAGGGGTAATGGGGACCTGATGCTCACCTCACCCAGAGGACCAGGTAGCGGGGAGGAGGCCCCTTGCAGAGAGGGATGGATGGATGGATGGCAGGATGCTGAGGACACACACAAAGGAGGTTCCAGCTGGCAAGGGAACATGTTGATGAGCTGTGGGTACCGGAAGAGGGAATGAGATCTCAAGGGGCAGGGGCAAGGAGGGGCGAGGTGGGGAGCATCTCCTACAGTGAGAACCTCAGGTCGTGAATTAAACCGGCAAATCCAGCCAGATTCGGTGGCTCACGGCTGTACCAGCTCACGTGGCTCCCGGCACTTTGGGAGGCCGAAGTGGGCAGATCGCTTGAGGTCAGGAGATCGAGACCAGCCTTGCCAACATGGTGAAACCCCATCTCTACTAGTAATACAAAAAAATTTAAAAGGCCAGGTGCGGTGGCTCACGCCTGCAATCACAGCACTATGGGAGGACAAGGCGGGCAGATCGTGAGGTCAGGAGATCGAGATCATCCTGGCAAACACAGTGAAACCCCATCGCTACTAAAAATACAAAAAATTAGCCGGGCATGGTGGCATGCACCTCTAGTCCCAGCTGCTCAGGAGGCTGAGGCAGGAGAATCGCTTGAACCCGGAGGCGGAGGTTGCACTGAGCTGAGATTGTGCCACTGCACTCCAGCCTGGGTGACAGAGCAAGACTCCGTCTCAAAATAAAAATAAAAATAAATTAGCCAGGCATGGTGACGAGCGCCTGTAGTCCCAGCTACTCGGGAGGCTGAAGCAGGAGAATCGCTTGAACCCGCGAAGCAGAGGTTGCAGTGAGCCAAGATTGCGCCACTGCACTTCAGCCTGAGCAACGGAGGGAGACTCCATCTCAAAACAAAACAAAAACAAACACACAAACAAAACCTGCAAATTCTGCGAAATTCTGTCTGGAGAGTCAAGGAGGGAGGGGAGTGTGGGCAGAGGACAAGAGGGTTGACAGGGACAGACAAGGTGTTCCCTGCACTTTCCTGCTCCTCCTCCTCCCAGAACTCCACCTCCTTGATGAACCCATCCCCATCCTCAGCCCCTCTCCCTTCACTAAGTCCCCTCCTCTTCTCTGTACTTTCCCATCCTGAAAGCCCTCCCCCTCAAAGACCTTCACCCTTTCAAGGAACCTTCCCTCACTGAGCCCCTCCCCAAGCAAAAGGTGATGGCATTTGGCCACGTCCTGGGTGTAAGACCCCCAGCATCAAGGATCCTTGCTTCCCTGGGAAGCACCCACTATGTCCCCACTTGCTCAGTCAGGGTCCCTTCCCCCACCCAAGCTCTCACTTGAGGTGGTCCTTATCCTGGAGCCACCTCTGAAAAACCAGCTCTTGAATGGCCCTCCCCCTGCCCTCCCCATCCTCAGCAGGGCATTTGATCATGGCAGGGACAGGCATTCTGAGACTCCCAAATCCAGGCTTCCAGCCCTATCTTGACCTTGAACAAGCCACGGTTTACTCACCTGGAAAATAGGGGCACCTGTGTTCTGGAGCTGTTCTGAGAGTCCTCCGTTGAAGACACACATGGGACTGCCCAGCCCCCAGCCAGTCCTCACAAAGTGCCAGCAAACACCAGGCACCCCTGCTCTTTTATCAAATCGAGTCATTAATATCCATTTCTAGAAACACTGGTTCAGTCCCGTTTATTTACCGGGTTCTCGGGCATTTGACAAATATTCACATCAGTCACAGGAACACACACTCTTTGGCCTCATTAAAAAGCAATCCTTTTCCTTAATATTGATGGCTGGCTGGCTAATCCACTGGTGATTGATGGCGTACTTGGAGTCACCTTCCCAGACAGCCTTGGCTTGCAGTCTGCAATCACCGCGGGGCGGGACGGAGCCTCCAGCCTTTCTGACGAGATGCTCCCACCCCAGCCCCCAGCATCCTCCCTGCCACCCTGTTTATCTTCTTGCCATGCCTCTTTTTTAGTTTGTTTGTTTCGTTTGAGATGGATTCTCGCTGTGTCACCCAGGCTGGAGTGCAGTGGCATGTTCTCTGCTCACTGCAACCTCTGCCTCCTGGGTTCAAGTGATTCTCCTGCCTCAGCCTCCTGAGTAGATGGGATTACAGGCACATGCCACCACACCTGGCTAATTTTTGTACTTTTTAGTAGAGACGGGGTTTCACCATGTTGGCCAGGCTGGTCTTGAACTCCTGACCTCAAGTAAGCCACCTGCCTTAGCCTCCCAAAATGCTGGGATTACAGGCATGAGCCACCATGCCCAGACGCCATGCCTCTTCTTGTAAGGACTTGGGTGAGGCGACAGAGCACAGCTCCATCCCTAGCTAGTCTTGGAGCTTTGTTTGTTTTTCCCTTAGGCGGAGTTTCACTCTTGTTGCCCAGGCTGGAGTGAAATGGCACGATCTCGGCTTACTGCAACCTCCACCTCCCAGGTTCAAGCCATTCTCCTGCCTCAGCCTTCCGAGTAGCTGGGACTATAGGAGCACGCCACCACACCCAGCTAATTCTTTGTATTTTTAGTAGAAACGGGGTTTCACCATGTTGGCCAGGCTGGTCTCGAACTCCTGACCTCAGATGATCCACCCACCTCGGCCTCCCAAAGTGCTGGGATTACAGGTGTGAACCACCGCACCCAGCCTAGGCTTGGAGTTTTGAGCCCTCCCTCCCCTCTCCCTGTTCTGTTTGCTCATCTATAAAATGGGAATCAAAAGGCTACCATTCCAGCCGCTGTGGCTCATGCCTATAATCCCAGCACTCTGGGAGGCTGAGGAGGGAGCACTTGAGCCCAGGAGTTTGAGACCAGCATGGCAACATAGTGAGCCCCCTGCCAATCCACCTACAAAAAAAAATTTTTTTAACTAGCCAGGTGTGGTGGCACATGCCTGTGGTCCCAGCTACTCAGAAGGCTGAGGTGAGAGGATTACTTAAGCCTGAGAAGTCGAGGCTGCAGCGAGCTATGATTGCACCACTGCACTCCAGACTGGGTGGCAGAGCAAGACCCCATCTAAAAACAAAAAACAAAAACAAAAACAAAAACAAAACAAAACAAAAGGTCACTGTCTGGCCTAATGTAGGAATTCATGCCTGTAATCCCAGTACTTTGGCAGGCCAAGGCAGAAGGTTTTCTTAAGGCCAGGAGGCCTGGGCAACATAGGGAGACCCTGTCTGTACCAAAAGATAAAAAATTGCTGGGCGTGGTGGCTCATGCCTGTAATCCCAGCACTTTGGGAGGCCAAGGTAGGTGGATCACCTGAGGTCAGGAGTTCGAGACCAGCCTGGCCAACATGATGAAACCCCATCTCTACTAAAAATACAAAACAATTAGCCAGGTGTGGTGGTGGACGCCTGTAATTCCAGCTACTCAGGAGGCTGAGGCAGGAGAATCGCTTGAACCCAGGAGGTGGAGATTGTAGTGAGCTGAGATCACGCCATTGCAATCCAGCCTGGGCAACAAGAGTGAAACTCTGTCTCAAATAATAATAACAATAATAATAATAATAATAATTAGCTGGTCATAGTGGCACACTCCTGTAATCCCAGCACTTTGGGAGGCTGACGTGAGAGAATTGCTTGAGGCCAAGAGTTTGAGACCAGCCTGTGTAACATAGCAAGACTCCATTTCTACTTTTAAAAATTAAAAATAGGCCGGGTGCATTGGCTCATGCCTGTAATCCCAGCACTTTGGGAGGCCGAGGCGAGCAGATCACGAGGTCAGGAGATCGAGGCCATCCTGGCTAACACGGTGAAACCCCTTCTCTACTAATAATACAAAAAATTAGCCGGGTGTGGTGGCAGGTGCCTGTAGTCCCAGCTACTCAGGAGGCTGAGGCAGCAGAATGGCGTGAACCCGGGAGGCGGAGCTTGCAGTGAGCCGAGATTGCGCCACTGCACTCCAGCCTGGGCAACAGAGCGAGACTCCATCTCAAAAAAAAAAAAAAAAAACATTTTTCACTCTGAGGAACTCTTAAAATTCAGTGTCCCCTCACCCTACTCCTGTCCCAGAGAGCGACCCAGGAAATCCCCAAAGCCACAATGCATTTGGCATGCCCTTCCCTTATGGCCCATAGAGTGGCATGAGGACTAAGGGAGCCAGACTGGCTGGGGGAACACGTGGGCCAAGAGGCTGGGGACCCTGGGACAGACATCACTGCCCCCTATTCCCCCTTCCCCACCCACACACAAGCCCTTGACGTTGTTTTTTTGGTTTTTTGTTTTTTTCAAGACAGAGTCTCCCTCTGTCACCCAGGCTGGAGTGCAATGGCGCCATCTTGGCTCACTGCAACCTCCGCCTCCCAGGTTCAAGCGATTCGTCCTGCCTCAGCCTGCCAAGTAGCTGGGATTACAGGTGTATGCCACCATGCCCAGCTAATTTTGTATTTTTAGTAGAGATGGGGTTTCACCATGTTGGCCAGGCTGGTCTCAAACTCCTGACCTCAAGTGATCTGCCCGCCTCGGCCTCCCAAAGTACTGAGATTGCAGGCATAAGCCACTGTGCCCGGCCTAGAAACCCTTGACTTTGAGTTTGAAGCTTTGGCCATGCTAGCCAGCCTTCCTGCATGGCCCTAGGCTGGCCGGCTCTGCCACCTCCACAGGGAGCAAGTGGTTTGGGTAGCAGCCTCCCCCTTTATCCCAGCCTTTGCCTCCTGGCAGAACAGACAGAGAAGAGGCCCAGGCAATTCTCGGAGCTGGTGCCATGCCAACCTGGCAGGGGTCTCAGATGGAAAAGGGCAGGGAGCCTGGGATGACTGTACACTCTGTCCCCACTGCTCTGGGACAGATAAGCTTCAGTTGCTACTATTTATTTATTTACTTATTTATTTATTTTTGAGACAGAGTCTCACTCCATTGCCCAGGCTGGAGTGCAATGGCGCAATCTCAGCTCACTGCAACCTCTGTCTCCTGGGTTCAAGTGATTCTCCTGCCTTGGCCTCCCGAGTAGCTGGGACTACAGGCACGCACCACCACGCCCAGCTGATTTCTGTATTTTTAGCAGACACAAGGTTTTATCATGTTTGCCAGGCTGGGGTCAAACTCCTGACTTCAAGTGATCCACCCACCTTGGCCTCCCAAAGTGCTGGGATTACAGGCATGAGCCACTGTGTCTGGCCAGTTGCTACCATTCATTGAGCACCTACTATATGCCAGGCACTGTGCAAAGTGATGTAAATACATCACGTCTGTGTTAGCCCACTTTGCATTGCTCTAAAGGAAAACTTGAGGCTAGGTAACTTATAAAGAAAATAAGTTTACTTGGCTCACGGTTCTAGAGGCTTGTACAGAAGCATGGCGCTGGCATCCAATTGGCTTCTGGTGAGGCCTCAGGAAGCTTTTAGTCATGATGGAAAAGAAGGGGAGCCAGCATGTCTCACATGGCACCAGAGGGAGAAAGAGGGAGAGGAGAGACACCCCAGACTCCTTAAAACAATCAGCTCTTTCCTAAACTAATAGAGCAGCAGTCTCCGACCTTTTCAGCACCAGATACCAGTTTTGTGGAAGAAAATTTTTCTGGCTGGGCGAGGTGGCTCACGCCTGTAATCCCAGCACTTTGGGAGGCTGAGGTGGGTGGATCACCTGAGGTCGGGAGTTCGAGACCAGCCTGACCAACATGGAGAAACTCCATTTCTAGTAAAAATACAAAAATTAGCTGGGCGTGGGGGCGCATGCCTGTAGTCCCAGCTGCTTGGGAGGCTGAGGCAGGAGAATCGCTTGAACCGGGGAGATGGAGGTTGTGGTGAGCCGAGATTGCACCTTTGCACTCCAGCCTGAGCAACAGGAATGAAACTCTGTTTCCCAAAAAAAAAAGAAAATTTTTCCATGGACTAGGCGGGGTGGTGGGGGGATGGTTTCAGGATGATTCAAGCACATTGCATTTATTGTGCACTTTATTTCTATTATTATTAGACTGTATTATGTAATGAAATAATTCTACAACTCACCATCATGTAGAGTCCGTGGGAGCCCTGAGCTTGTTTTCCTGCAGCTAGACAGTCCCATCTGGGGTGATGGGAGACAGTGACAGATCATCAGGCATTAGATTCTCACAAGGAGCGTGCAACCTACATCCCTCGCATGCGCAGTTCACAACAGGGTTCCCACTCCTATGAGAATCTAATGCCACCACTGATCTGATAGGAGGTGGAGCTCAGGTGGTAATGGGAGTGATAGGGAGCAGCTATAAATACAGGTGAAGCTTTGCCCCCTTGCCTGCTCCTCACCTCCTGCTGTGCAGCCTGGTTCCTAATAGGCCACAGAGTGGTACCCCAACCTGAGGTATCAGCAACCTCTGTAATAGAGTGAGAACTCACTCATGGCCATGGGGAGGGCACCAAGCCATTCTTGAGGGATCCACCCCCATGACCCAAACACCTCCCACCAGACCCCACCTCCAACACTGAGGATCACATTTCAACATGAGATTGGGAGGGGACTAATATCCAGATGACAACCTTGAAAGGTGGGTCCTGTTCCCATTTCACAGATTAGAAGCTAAGGCTGGGAGAAGCACATGGACTTGCCCAAGGCCACAGAACTGGGAAGTGGGAGGTGCCAGGATTCAAAAGCAGGACTGTTGGGCTCCTCTGTCTCTCCCCGTCATCACTGTCCCAAGTGGCTCAGCTGAGAAGATTGATTCCAAGAGATAAGAGGGGAAAGGACACTCAGAGGTGGTGGTCACATGAGACCAATCACCAGGTGTCATCCTTGTGTCCCCAGCTTCTCCCAACAAGATACCCTGGGGCACAGAGGGACCCTCCCCAAGCCTCTGAGTTGGTTCAATCCAGCAGCCCATCCTCAACAGACAGGTGCTGGAGTTCATCAACTTGCCTCCAGCCCACTGACTCCAGGACGACCCCCAGCCCTGCATATATGCCGCTGCAGGTCTCCCTGAAACCCATTTGTGCCCATTTCCCAGCCTTCCATGTGCCAAAGACCCCCAGGAAAGGGGGCTTGGATCCTGGCCTGAAACCCCCTGCCAGCCCCCCACAAGCAGCTGGGGAATGGCCCACCCTCACCCTTAGGCCATCTCTTCCCACCCACCTGGCCCAGGGTCCCATGCCAGTCTCTGTCTCCCTCTGTGGGGCCTATAAATTAGGGGCTAAGCAGTGTTGGAGGGCCTGTGCTGTGTTTGTCTCTGTGCTGGTGACAGTGACAAGCTAGTCTCTGCAAGAGAAGGTGATGTGGGAGCAATTGCTCTCTGCCTCTGCTGGGGGGGTGGGGCACCACCCTTTCTTCCTGGGTGCCAGGCTCTGCACTGCCCAACTCACATGCCCAGACAAGGGACCTCCAGGTGAATGCCCGAGTCTGAGGGCCACACAGGGACTGAGGTGGACACTGAGGAGCCAGGGCCCTGAACTTGGTGGAGCTAGGTTGGTGGCAGCAGTGCAGGGTGGCCTGAGCCACGAGGGGATGGGGGGTTAGAAGAAAAGCCCCCCACCCCTAACCAGGCCAGGACCCAGCCCTCCCCACGGTGAGCGACACAGCAGGCTGAACCCACACAGACTCCGACCCTAGCTGGGGGTCAGGGGACACCTGCTTAAGAAGTAGGTGGTGACCAGGCACAGTGGAACATGCCTGTAATCCCAGCACTTTGGGAGGCCGAGGTGGGTGGATCATCTGAGGTCAGGAGTTTGAGACCAGCCTGGCCAACATGGTGAAACCCCATCTCTACTAAAACTACAAAAATTAGCTGGGCATGGTGGCGGATGCCTGTAGTCCCAGCTACCCGGGAAGCTAAGGAGGAGAATTGCTTGAACCTGGGAGGCAGAGGTTGCAGTGAGCCGAGATTGTGCCACTGCACTCTAGCCTGGGCGACAGAGCAAGACTCCATCTCAAAAAAAAAAAAAAAAAAAAGTTGAAGAAGAAGAAGAAGTAGGTGATGCTTCTTACCCAACCAGACCTCCTGACTCATTCAATTGGTCCCCAAGTCCCATCCCTCTGACTCAACCGATTGGTCCCCAAGCCATCTCCCTCCTAGAGGGCTTTTTGTCCATTTCTCGCCCTTCATCCTCAAGACCTCTCTCCCTGCTCTGGAGTCACTGTCTCCTCCTGAACCCCTATGGTAGCGCAACACCAGCTTTCTGCCTCCAGTTCTCTCTTCTCCAGCCATGAATTCACCAGAGCCATTTTTTCAAAAGGAAAATCCAGTCTTCAAACTCTCCATGCCTCTCTATCACCAGTCACTCATTTAGCACACATTTTTGGATGCCACAATGTGGCAGGCATGGGGCCAGGTGCTGGGACTGCCTCTGGGAACCAGACAAAGCCCCTGCCCTCAGGGAACTCCAGGCCAGCATTGGATACAGACCAGCCAACAGATAATTACTGGAGCCTGAACCACCTGCCAGGAGTTGGGATGTATGGGTTGCTATGGACATGCAAACGCTAGCATTGAACCTGCGATGGGGGGAGGCATCCATCTTACTGTAAACATCCAAGGAGTCAAATCTTTGCCATGATTATTTCCACAGGGTAGACCTGAAAGTTAATGTATGAGTCAAAGCATGTGTTCATTTTTTTTAAAGGCTTTTGAAGATAATTGTCAAATTGCTGTCCTGCAAATATTTGTTGAAGGAGCAGAGGGAAGCAGGGAGTAGAGAGATGGGATCTCTGAAAGGAAAAAACAAAACATACCATTTTCGTGGATGGCTGAGTGGGGAGGGCTGGACCCATGCTGCCACCATGTCTTCTTTTTAAATTTTTTTAAAATTATTTTTTAAAACTTCGCTGGGTCCAAAAATTTTTTAAAATAATTTTTTAAAAATTTAATATACATAGTAGTTATACATATTTATAGGGTACATGAGATGCTTTGATACAGGCATGCAATGTGAAATAAGCACATCATGGAGAATATAGTATCCATCCCCTCAAGCATTTATCCTTTGAGTTACAAATAATCCAATTACATTAAGTTATTCAAAAATATACAATTATTCACTGTAGTCACCCTGTTGGGCTATCAAACAGTAGGTTTTCTTGTTGGTTTTTTGTTTGTTTGTTTGTTTTGTTTTGTTGTTTTTTGAGACGGAGTCTCGCTCTGTCACCCAGGCTGGAGTGCAGGGGCGCAATCTCAGCTCACCACAATCTCCACCTCCCGGGTTCAAGCGATTCTCCTGCCTCGGCCTCGTGGGTAGCTGGGATTACAGGTGTGCACCACCACACTCAGCTAATTTTTTTATATTTTTGGTACAGACAGGGTTTCACCATGTTGGCCAGGCTGGTCTCGAACTCCTGACCTCAGGTGATCTGCCCACCTCAGCCTCCCAAAGTGCTGGGATTACAGATGTGAGCCACTGCACCTGGCCAGTAGGTCTTATTCATTCTATTTTTTGTATCCATTAATCATCCCTACCTCCCCCTCACCATGTTCTCTGTCCTAGACAACGACCTGCAGCCCAGGGAGAGCAGAGAGAAAGGTTTGGGACAAATAAGCCTTAGTCATTACCATTTATTGGGCACCTACTCTAAGCCAGGCACTGTGCAAAGTGCTATAATGACATCACCTCCATGAATCCTCTGACAATCTTGAAAGGCAGGTTGTGTTCCCATTTCACAGATGTAGAAGCTAAGGCTAGAAAAGTTGTATAGTGGCCGGGTGCGTTGTCTCACGCCTGTAATCCCAGCACTTTGGGAGGCTGAGCTGGGCAGATCATCTGAGGTCAGGAGTTCATGACCAGCCTGGCCAACATAGTGAAACCCCATCTCTACTAAAAATACAAAAATTAGCCAGGCATGGTGGCAGGCTCCTGTAATCCCAGCTATTTGGGTGGCTGAGGCAGGAGAATCACTTGAACCCGGGAGGTGGAGGTTGCAGTGAGCTGAGATCGCACCACTGCACTCCAGGCCAGGCGACAGAACGAAACTCCGTCTCAAAAAATAAAAATTAAAAAAAAGAGAGAAAAGAAAAGTTGTATAGGTGTACACAAGTGTATAGAAATGTTGAGTTGAACCAACTCGGAGGCCTAGGGAGTGTCCCTCCATGCCCAGGGCATCTTGCTGGGAGAAGCTGGGGACCCCGGGATGACATCTGGCTACTGGACAAAGAGGCCTCAAGTGTGACCACCACCTCTGAGCATCCCCTGCTCTCATGTTTTTCTAGGTCAACCCTCTTAGCTGAGCCATGGGGGCCAGTGCTGAAAAGGAGAGCCCCAAGAGTGCAGCAGTCCTGTTTTGAATCCTGGCACCTCCCATTTCCCAGCTCTATGAGGTTGGGCAAGTCAATTCACTTTGCCTTAGCTTCTACATCTGTGAAATGGGAATGTGACCTGCCTTTCGAAGTTGCCAGAGGATCCCTTCAGTAACAGCTGCTGGACACCTGCTGTATGCCAGGCACGGGGCCAGGGCTGCATGATCAAAGACCTCCAGGGGCAGTGTGGACACAGGCTGGAGGGAGAGACTCCAGAGGAACTGGGAGGCCAGGTAGTGGCTGTCACAGAGGAGCAGTGAGAGAGAATGACCACTGACCCCAGCAGTGGGAGCAGGGATAAGGAGTAGATAACCGGACTTTGGTCCCTAAACTGAGACTGGGCTTAGGGTGGGAGAGGGAGGGGAGTAGAGACGTCAGGGGCTTCCATTTGAGGCCCAGATATCAGCCACCCCCTACCCCAAGCCAGCAGCAGAAAGAAGCAATGAAACTACCCCTTGCCCCCCGATAACCCCCCTACAAGCCACTTGGCAGCCTTACCCTTGCAGAAATGGGGGTGCTTTGACGACCTCCCATGGCTATATGAGGATGGGATGTCATGGAGGCCAGGAAGGCAGAAAAGGCTGTGTATGTTTCAAAGCCAGAATTCTCACTCTTCCCCTAAAATTCTCGAAAGAGCGACTGCAGTCTGGATGTGGGAGGGAGGCCTGCCCTGGTGGGTGGAGGAGGGTACGGAGGAGGGGCTCAGCCTCACCTGAGGGGCGAGGGGGTCGTCTCTCCCCACCTCTGGGAACAAGTTTTTCTTTTGTCTGTTTGTTGGTTATTTGGTTGGTTGATTGGGCTGGTGTACAATGTTTTGTTGCTGTTGTTTGTTTTTTGAGATGGAGTCTCTGGGTCACCTAGGCTGGTGTGCAGTGGCGTGATCTTGGCCTACTGCAACCTCTGCCTCCCAGGTTCAGGTGATTCTCCTACCTCAGCCTCCTGAGTAGCGGGGATTGCAGGCGCCCACCACCACATCCGGCTAATTTTTGTATTTTTAGTAGAGACAGGGTTTCGCCATGTTGGCCAGGCTGGTTTCGCACTCCTGAGCTCAGGTGATCTGCCTGCCTCGGACACCCAAAGTGCTGGGATTACAGGCGAGAGCCACTGCGCCTGGCCAGGCTTGTGTACAGTGAACTTGAGCTTCCTCAGTGCTGAAGACCTGGCTTGATCTGTGACCTTGGACAGGTTATTGCAAGCCGGAGTGTGCACTTGTGACCCAGGGGTTGGCGGGGCTGGGCTGAGTGCGGGGCAGGAAAGAGGGAACCAAATCTGGGAGACCAGCCCCTTCACCCTCTCTGTGCCCCTGCAGGTATTCGGAGGAGGAGATTCGGCAGAAAGTGGGGACATTCCGGCAGATGCTGATGGAGAAGGAGGGAGTGCTCACCAGGGAGGACCGGCCTGGGGGCCACATGTGAGTGCTTACCTGTGTGGGGATGAGGGAGAGGGGGTGCAGGCTCAGGCAGCAGCTGGGTACTAAAGGGGCCTGTCCAGGTGGCTTGGTCTGGTTGGGGCTCAGGTGAGGGGGTGGAGAGGAAGAAGATAAGGAGAAGGAGAGGAGAGCATGGTCTCTGCCCACTGGAAATGCTGGCCTGGCCCACGGACATCTGGACATCACCAAGGGCCTCCTCCTACCCTCCCTGGGTCCTACCTATGGCTCAGCAGTGGGAGGCATGGGGAAGGCAGCCCAGATCTCAGCTCAGGGGATTCTGAGCTGCAAATCGGAAGACCTCAGATATGCCCTGAACCCAACATTGTCTCTGGCCGACAAAGTGACCCCAGGCAAGCCCTGATGATTCCCTCCTATAGAAATGAAATTTGGGCAGGGTACAGTGGCTCAAGCCTGTAATCCCAGCACTTCGGGAGGCCAAGTCAGGCAGATCGCTTGAGGTCAGGAGTTCGAGACCAGCCTTGGCCAACACGTCGAAACCCTGTCTCTACTAAAAATAGAAAAGTTATCCGGGCATAGTGGCACATGCCTGTAATCCCAGCTACTTGGGAGGCTGAGGCAGGAGAATCGCTTGAACCCGGAAGGCAGAGGTTGCAGTGAGCCGAGATCCTGCCACTGTACTCCAGCCTGGTCAACAGAGCGAGATTCCATCTCAAAAAATAAAATAGAATAAAATCAAATAAAATTCAGAGTAAGCACACACTCTGGGATGTAAGAGCCCACACACCAAATCCCACTGCTACCATGACCAATGGCTTGGTGGCTAAAGAGGGTGTAAGACTGGGCATGGTGGCTCACACCTGTAATCCTAGTACTTTGGGAGGCCAAGGTGGGAGGATTGCTTGAGCTCAGGAGTTCGAGACCACCCTGAGCAACATGGTGAAACTCAATCTCTACAAAATACACAAAAATTAGCCAGGCATGGTGGCCTGGGCCTGTAATCCCAGCTACTCAGGGAGCTGAGACACGAGAATCACTTGAACCTGGAAGGCGGAGGTTGCAGTGAGCCGCGCCACTGCACTCCAGCCTGGGTGACAGAGCGAGACTCTGTCTCAAAAAAAAAAAAAAGGGTGTATGGCTTTGCTGAGGTCACGCCTCTGCCGCCTGTCACAGGATAGGAGGCACACCGGTTTGCCGTGGGCCTCTGGGTGGGCCTTGGATCAAACGGGCAAGTTATAGCAAGGCAAATATTGTCTCAGATCAGAGGCGAACTGTGAACCACTCAAAACCATACAAACACTGGAGGAGGCTGCATTATGAGGGTGGGAACAGCCTGTGCCTGGGATTGTCCAGCCATTGCTGGCCGAGCTCCATGCCTGGCAGGCACCGTGTGCTCAGGGAGCGTTGCTGAATCCACTCAGATGAGCCTTCCCCTTGTTCACCCTCAGTTTCCCCGCCCAGCACCAACATCTGATGCTTCTCTGGCTAGAAGTAAAATTAGCTGGGCTATGTGGTACATGCCTGTAATCTCAGCTACTTGGGAAGCTGAGGCGGGAGAATCACTTGAACCCGCCTCAGAACAGAGTGAGATTCTGTTTCAAAAAATAATAATAAAATAATAATAATAATAAATCTTAGCCTACATGCAGGAATGGGTAAAGGTCTCTTAAACAAAAATGGAGTTAATTATATTCATTCATTTGCTGTTCCGCTATCCCAGCAGCACCTTCTGAGTGATTCTCCTGTTGCAATCATCTTTATTTATTTATTTATTTATTTATTTTTATTTATTTTTTGACACAGGGTTTTGCTCTGTTGCCCAGGCTGGAGTGCAGTGGCGTGCTCTCGGGTCACTGCAACCTCTGCCTCCCAGGTTCAAGCTATTCTCCTGCCTCAGCCTCCTGAGTAGCTGGGACTACAGGTGCATGCCACCATGGCCCAGCTAATTTTTGTTTTTTTGTTTTGTTTTGTTTTGTTTTGTTTGAGACAGAGTTTTGCTCTTATCACTCAGGCTGGAGTGCAGTGGTGTGATCTCAGCTCACTGCAACCTCTGCCCCCCGGGTTCAAGCAATTCTCCTGCCTCAGCCTCCTGAGTAGCTGGGATTGCAGGCGCCCACCATGACGCCCCGCTAATTTTTTTGTATTTTTAGTAGAGATGGGGTTTCGCCACATTGGCCAGGCTGGTCTCGAACTCGTGACCTCAGGTGACCCACCCGCCTCGGCCTCCCAAAGTGCTGGGATTACAGGCATGAGCCACCACACCCAGTCTTAGTCATCGTAAAGGCTGGCAGCACTGTAGGAACAGACAGACCTCAATAGGAAACGGGGAAACCCTTCTTGCAGACTTTCTGTATTGCTGGGTAGTGAGGGGTAAAGTATTTCCCACCTTACCCCACTTAATCCTCATCTCTCTGGCCAGAGTAGGAGCAAAACAGGAACAGAGACAGGCTCCAGCCTGGGTGACGAAGAAAGACTCCATCAAATAAATAAATAAATAAGACTAATACATGTAAAGTGCTCATCGTACCTGGCACCTGGGTCAGTAATTATCATAATATGCACCGTGTCATATTGTTGCCCCACAGTCTGAGAAGTGAAGGAAAAAGCTCGAGACTGGATTCATCTCTGTTTCTATCATCACTACCCCCACCCAGGGCCCCTGGCAGGCCTGGCAGCCTGGCTGAGTGATGAGCAGAGAGGGTGGACCCTTTGCCTGGACTCCCCGCCCTCCTCCCACATCTGGGCCCTTTCATCTGTCAGTGGGCCATTGTGTTCCTGGCTAATGGGAAACAGGACCATTTAATTGGCGAAAGTGCTGGCATGAGGAAGAGCGTGCTGCCGGCAGTCTCTACCCAGGGCAGAGCCCTGCCCATGGCGGTCAGCCCGACGCCCGTCCTCTGTGGGGCTGTGTTCCACTTCCACATGCTCTTTGTCCTTTTGTAGCAGACTCTGTCTGGGTCCACTTTGATCAGCTCTGTGGGGCTCAGTTTGTTTTCACAAGGGGGTAAAACTTCCCCTGCCTACTCCACAGACATGATCAGGAGTAAACTAGTTAGCAAACATGAATTTAAGGCTGGGTACGGTGGATCACACCTGTAATCCCAGCAGCACTTTTTTTTTTTTTTTTGAGACGGAGTCTCGCTCTGTCACCCAGGCTGGAGTGCAGTGGCGCAATCTCGGCTCACTGCAAGCTCCGCCTCCCGGGTTCACGCCATTCTCCTGCCTCAGCCTCCCCAACAGCTGGGACTACAGGCGCACGCTGCCACGCCCGGCTAATTTTTTGTATTTTCAGTAGAGACGGGGTTTCACGGTGTTAGCCAGGATGGTCCCGATCTCCTGACCTTGTGATCCGCCTGCCTTGGCCTCCCAAAGTGCTGGGATTACAGGCGTGAGCCACCGCGCCCGGCCCCCAGCAGCACTTTGGAAGGCTGAGGTGGGAGGATCACTTGAGCCCAGGAGTTCCAGACCAGCCTGGGCAACAGAGCAAGACCCCCATCTCTATTTAAAAAAAAAAATGCTGGGAGCTGTGGTTCATACCTGTAATCCCAGCATTTTGGGAGGCTGAGGCGGTTGGATCACTTGAGGTCAGGAGTTCAAGACCAGCCTGGCCAACACGGTGAAACCCCCATCTCTACTAAAAATACAAAAAATTAGCTGAGCATGGTGGCACACGCCTGCAATCCCAGCTACTCTGGAGCTGGGAGCTGAGGTGGGAAAATTTCTTGAACCCAGGAGGTGGAGTTTGCACTGAGCCAAGATCACGCAACCACACTACAGCCTTGGCAACAGAATAAGGCTCTGTCTCAAAAAATAAATAAAAACAAAAATAATTGAAAAAGAAAACATGAAAATTTAAGAGCATAAAACATTAAACAAATTTAGGACTCAGAGAGCACACACCCACAACAGTATCTATCGAGTCGGAAGGGGATGAGTGAGCTGGAAGACCTCATGCTGGCTTACATCTCCAGCAGGGAAGGTCAGCCAGCGCATTCAAGGGCTGTGTCATTTGCACATGAATTCTCAAAGCCAGTTGCTAGATGAACTTATATAGGTGTTTGCTTGTTTGTTTTTGAGACAGAGTCTCACTCTGTCATCCAGGCTGGAGTGCAGCTCTATGATCTCTGCTCACTGTAACCTACGCTTCCCGGGTTCAAGTGATTCTCCTGCGTCAGCCTCCCAAGTAGCTGGGATTATAGGCATGTGCCACCATGCCCAGCGAATTTTTGTATTTTTAGTAGAGATGGGGTTTTGCCATGTTGGCCAGGCTGGTCTCGAACTCCTGACCTCAAGTGATCTGCCCACCTTGGCCCAAAGTGCTGAGATTACAGGCGTGAGCCACCGGGCCTGGCCTCATGTAATTTGATTTGTAGAAATGTGATCTTACTATGTTGCCCAGGCTGCTCTCAAACTCCCAGTCTCAAGTGATCCTCTCACCTTAGACTCAACGTATATGCTTTACTAAAAGGTCTTGACATCATAGGGAATGTTCCTTTTCTTCTCTGCACCTCAGTTTTCTCATCTGCAAAATGGAAAGGGGTGCAATTTCTGTAAATCATTAAGGGGCTATGAATGGGATTGTGAACTATGAAGCACTCTTTAAATATTAAAGAACAGGCCAGGCGCGGTGGCTCACGCCTGTAATCCCAGCACTTTGGGAGGCCAATGTGAGTGGATCACTTGAGGTCAGGAGTTCAAGACCAGCCTGGCCAACATGGTGAAACCCCGACTCTACTAAAAATACAATAGTTAGCCGGGCATGGTGGGGGGCACCTGTAATCCCAGCTACTCAGGAGGCTGAGGCACAAGAATGGCTTGAACCCAGGAGGTGGAAGTTGTTGCAGTGAGCCAAAATCATGCCACTGCATTCTAGCCTGGGTGACAGAGCAAGACTCCATCTCAAATAAATACATAAATAACATTAAAGAACACTGTTCTTGGCCGGGCACAGTGGCTCACGCCCGTAATCCCAGCACTTTGGGAGGCCGAGGTGGGTGGATCACCTGAGTTTGGGAGTTTGAGACCAGCCTGACCAACATGGAGAAACCTCATTTCTACTAAAAATACAAAATTAGGCTGGGCACGGTGGCTCAAGCCTGTAATCCTAGCACTTTGGGAGGCTGAGGCAGGTGGATCATGAGGTCAGGAGTTCGAGACCATCCTGGCTAACACGGTGAAACCCCGTCTCTACTAAAAATACAAAAAATTAGCTGGGCGTGGTGGTGGGCACCTGTAGTCTCCGCTACTCGGGAAGCTGAGGCAGGAGAATGGCGTGAACCCGGGAGGTGGAGCTTGCAGTGAACCGAGATCGTGCCACTGCACTCCAGCCTGGGTGACAGAGCGACACTCCGTCTCAAAAAAATTAAAAAAATAAAATAAAAATAAAAATAAAAATACAAAATTAACTGGGCGTGTTGGCACAGGCCTGTCATCCTAGCTTCTCGGGAGGCTGAGGCAGGAGACGGAGGTTGCAGTGAGCCGAGATCCCGCCAGCCTGGGCAACAAGAGTGAAACTCTGTTTCAAAAAAAAAAAAAAAAAAAAAAAGGACATTGTTCTTAGTGACAGTGTCATCTAGGAGAAGCAGGATAGGAGAGTCTAGGATTCTAACCCTGGGAGTTCCCACACAGCACAAAGCCAGTAAAGGAAGCCTCAGCCCAGGTCCATGCTTATCCCTGGGACTCTCAGGACAGGTTGTATCAGGAGGTTCCAAGACCTTGTGTCTGCTCCTCTACCCTGTGCTCATCTTTATTTATTTATTTATTTATTTTTGAGATGGAGTCTCACTGTCACCCAGGCTGGAGTGCAGTGACACAATCACAGCTCATTGCTGCCTTGAACTCCTGGGCTCAAGTAGTCATCCCACCAGGACTACAGGCATGCACCACCACATCCAGCTAATCTACATGTTTTTTGTTTTTTGGGTTTTTTTTTTTTGTACAGACGGGGGTCTTGCTTTCTTGCCCAGGCTGGTTTTAAACTCCTGATCTCAAGTGATACTCCCACTTAAGCCTCCCAGGTTGCTGGGATGATAGGCATGGGCCACTGTGCCTGGCTGAACTGGGCTGTTTTGAGATGGAGTTTCGCTCTTATTGCTCAGGCTGGAGTGCAACGGCACGATCTTGGCTCACTGCAACCTCCGCCTCCCAGGATCAAGTGATTCTCCTGCCTCAGCCTCCTGAGTAGCTGGGATTACAAGCATGTCCTACCATACCTGGCTAATTTTGTATTTTTAGTAGAGATGGGGTTTCACCATGTTGGTAAGGCTTGTCTCGAACTCCTCACTTCAAATGATCCAGTTGCTTCAGCCTCCCAAAGTGCTGGGATTACAGGCACGAGCCACCGCACCCAGCCTGGGCTATTTTATTTTGTAAATAACCTTCATCATTTTTGTGTCAGTATCAACTGAAGCTCCCTGCTCCTACCAGCTCACCCACACAATACGCAATGTGAGCTTAAGTTTTGCTAAAGACTATGTTTTATGTGTCAGGCAGGCACTTTTGCGGCTGAGGACCTGTGTAGGGGTAATGGGCCCTGGAAGGATGGGGCTTGATGAGCTGAGGGTGCTGGGAATTTTAGGGACAAGGACAGGAGGCAGGACGCCACTGGCCTCAGGAAGAGGAGCATGGAAAAGAAAAGAGAAGTTTAAACAAAGGAATGTGGGGGTGTTTGGCTCTGTACAAGCTGGGGGATGACATGAGCCTCTCCTCTGTCACCCCAGAAAAACCTCGCTACGTGCTGTGTGACATCAAGGCATCACCCAGCTTGGGAATCGGGACTTGTTTGGGAATTGAATGAAGTTCTTGAGAATGGCCTCAAGGCTAGCTACCCCTGTCATATTTGGGTAACATTATTTTTCCTTTTCTTTCTTTCTTTCTTTCTTTCTTTTTTTTTTTTTTTTTTTGAGATGGAATCTAGCTCTTTCACCCAGGCTGGAGTGCAGTGGTGCGATCTTGGCTCACTGCAACCTCCGCCTCCTGGGTTCAAGCGATTCTCCTGCCTCAGCCCCTCAAGAAGCTGGGATTACAGGCATGTGCCACCACACCCAGCTAATTTTGTATTTTTAGTAGAGACGGGGTTTCTCCATGCTGGTCAGGCTGGTCTCGAACTCCCGACCTCAGGTGATCCGCCCGCCTTCGCCTCCCAAAGTGCTGGGATTATAGGCATGAGCCACCACGCCCAGCTATTTTTTCTTAAAGATGGGGTCTCGCTGTGTCACTCAAGCTGGAGTGCAGTGGCATCATCATAGCTCACTGCAGCCTCAAACTCCTGGGCTCAAGCCATCTTCTGGCCCCAGCCTCCCAGGTAGCTGGGACTCCACAGGTGCATGCCACTGTGCCCTGCTTTTTATTTTTATTTTTGTAAAGACAGGAGTCTCACTATGTTGAGACCTATGCTGGTCTCAAATTCCTGGCCTCAAGGGATCCTCCCACCTTGGCCTCCCAATGTGTTGGGATTACAGGCATGAGCCATCACACCCGGCCTGGTTACATTTTTTAAAATACAAAATCAGGCTTCAAAGAGTCAATTAGTGGGTTCCCTAAAAAATCTGTCTTTTACCCTGTAGCTGTGGCCTGCCTCCCTTCCCTCTGTTTCATTTTCTGTGTTGCAGCGTCTTTTCTCCCCGGAAGAGATGTTGGTGTGTAAGTAGCAGCAACGGCCCCTCTGTTTAACGGTGGCTACCCCTCCCCGGATGACAGTCACAGGCCAGGCCTCATAGACAGCATTTTACTTTCCTCAAAGGTGGTCTGTTCTTTCCCTCGATGTATAGATATGACCGAGAACTTAGTCATGCCTGGATTCAAACCTGTCTCTGTGAATCTGTTACAGGAAAGGGATTTGATCTAAACCCCAAGAGAGGGTTCTTGAATCTCACTCAAGAAAGACTTCAGAGGGAGTCCACAGTGCAAAGCAAAAGCAAGTTTATTAAGAGAGTAAAGGAACGAAAGAATGGCCACTCAGGCAGGGCACAGTGGCTCATGTCTGTAATCCCAGCACTTTGGGAGGCCGAGGCAGGTAGATCACCTGAGGTCAGGAGTTCGAGACCAGCCTGTCCAACATGGTGAAACCCCGTCTCTACTAAAAATACAAAAATTGGCCGGGCGTGGTGGCAGGTGCCTATAATCCCAGCTACTTGGGAGAATGAGGCAGGAGAATCGCTTGAACCCTGGAGGCGGAGGTTGCAGTGAGCCGAGATCACGCCACTGCACTCCAGCCTGGGCGACAAGAGCAAGACTCTGTTTAAAAAAAAAAAAGAATGGCTACTTCATAGACAGAGCAGCCCCGAGGGCTGCTGGTTGCCCATTTATATTGTTATTTCTTGATGATATGCTAAACAAGGGGTGGATTATTCGTGCCTCCCCTTTCTAGACTACAAAGGGTAACTTCCTGACATTGCCATGTCACTCTCATCACCATCTTGGTTTTGGTGGGTTTTGGCCGGCTTCTTTTTCTTTTTTTTTTTTTTTGGAGTTTCATCCTTTTTGCCCAGGCTAGAGTGCAATGGCATGATCTCGGCTCACTGCAACCTCCGCCTCCTGGGTTCAAGCGATTCTCCTGCCTCAGCCTCCCGAGTAGCTAAGATTACAGGTGTGCGCCACCACGCCTGGCTAATTTTGTGTTTTTAGTAGAGACAGGGTTTCTCCATGTTGGGTCAGGCTGGTCTTGAACTCCCGACCTCTGGTGATCCGCCCGCCTCAGCCTCCCAAAGTGCTGGGATTACAGGCGTGAGCCACCCGCCAGGCCCTTGGCTGGCTTCTTTACTGCAACCTGTTTTATCAGCGAGGTCTTTATGACCTGTATTTTGTGCTGACCTCCTATCTCATCCTGCGACTCAGAATGCCTAACCTCCTGGGAATGCAGACCAGTAGGTCTCAGCCTCATTTTATACAGCTCCTATTCAAGATGGAGTTGCTCTGGTTCACATGCCTCTGACAAATCCAAAACTCATGTTCTTAATGCTCTGCCGATCCAAGCCCTTTTCCCTATTGCTGTAGGAGGGGAAGGGGTGAGCCAGGTGGACAGCACCCAGAAGTAAGGGGAGCTCTGCTGAAACCAGGGCTAAGCCTCCATCTTGGTGGGGGAGGGCACTGTCTGAGCCAGCTTGGATAAAAAATGGAAGGTCGGGGCCACCCCCCTAGAGACAGGTCTCTGGAGGGTCACTTCCAGGCTTGTTCAATTAAAAAAAAAAAAAAAAAAAAAAGAAGGCCAGGCATGGTGGCTCACACCTATAATCCTAGTACTTTGGGAGGCCAAGGCAAGATAATTTCTTGAGCAATCCTCCTGGGTTGAGGCCAGGAGGTCAAGACCAGCCTGGGCAACATAGTGAGACCCCATCTCTACAAAAAAAGTTTTTTTTAATTAGTTGGGAGTGGTGGTGTGCTCCTGTAGTCCCAGCTACTCTGGAGGCTGGAGTGGGAGGATCGCTTGAGGCCAGGAGTTCAAGGCTGCAGCGAGCTGTGATGGCACAACTGCACTCCAGCCTCGCGACAGGGTGAGACCCTGTCTCAAAAAATAAAATAAAAAATAAAAAATAAACTGCACAGCACCTATGACCTCAGCAAATTCTCCCAACAGCCCTGGAATGGAGTTATCACTCTCACCTTCGAGAAGAGGCTCACAGAGGGACACGGCAGGCTCCAGGTCACAAGGCGGCTCAGGACAGTGCAGGATGAGCCCTTGTCTGGAGCTTCAAATCTCATGCTCTTGCCTCCAGCCCAGCTACCTCTAGAAAAAAAGAAGCGCTCTGAGAAGAGCCTGTAGGGAGCCAACATCTGTGGCAGAGGCTGGCTGGGGCTGCGGGAGCAGGGACAGGAGGTGTCTGGTCCCTGCTGAGCGAAAAGGAGAGTTCTGTAAGATGGATAGGGAGTATTGGAGGCCCCCACCCTCTGCCACCAGGCTTGATTGATGAGCACAGTCCTGCTGCCAGAGATGAGCAGGGGGGGCCCCTGGAGGCTGCAGAGGGGAGGGCGAGGAGAGGCTATGAATATTTCAGCGACAGAGGCCGGGCTGGAGGAAAGGAGGGGAAGCGGGGCAGGGAGGCACTCAGCCAGCGGGAGGGGGCTCAGGGACTAGGACACCCAGGTGAGGAAAGACCCACATCATTGAGCCAGGGCTCGGGGAGGGCGGAGATAGGCCAGGAGGAAGGGGCTCTTTAAGAAATTAGAGTTTGCCGGGCGCGGTGGCTCACGCCTGTAATCCCAGCACGTTGGGAGGCCAAGGTGGGTGGATCACAAGGTCAGGAGTTCAAGACCAGCCTGGCCAGCATGGTGAAACCCCGTCTCTACTAAAAATACAAAAAATTAGCTGGGCGTGGTGGTGCATGCCTGTAGTCCCAGCTACTCGGGAGGCTGAGGCAGGAGAATTGCTTGAACCCAGCAGGCGGAGGATGCAGTGAGCTGAGATCATGCCACTGCACTCCAGCCTAGTCGACAGAGTGAGACTCCATCTCAAAAAAAAAAAAAAAAAAAAGAAAAAGAAAAAGAAAAAAAAAAAAGGAAGAAATTAGAGTTCGCCGTGCGCGGTGGCTCACGCCTGTAATCCCAGCACTTTGGGAGGCCAAAGCTGGCAGATCATCTGAGATCGGGAGTTCCATACCAGCCTGACTAACATGGAGAAACCCCATCTCTACTAAAAATACAAAAATTAGCGGGCACCTGTAATCCCAGCTACTCGGGAGGCTGAGGCAGGAGAATCACTTGAACCCAGGAAGCGGAGGTTGCAGTGAGGTGAGATTGCAGGAGACTGCAGCAGGCAGAGGTTGCAGTGAGGCGAGATCGGGCCCCTGCACTCCAGCCAGGACAACGGAGTGAGACTGAAAAAAAAAAGAAAGAAAAGAAAAGAGAAATTAGGGTTCAGTGAGAGAAAGGAGGGGTGGGGATGGGGTTCCCAGAATAGGACAGTAGGGTTAGGGGCACAGGGATCAAATGGGGGGTTCACTGAGGGGGAGGGCTTCAATGAATGGGGCTAGGATATGGAGGGGATTCAGTGAAGAAGAGGAGCCTCATCTAAGGAGTAGCCACACACACCCCACCCACGACTGCAGGGTGGCTCATGCCTGGAATTCCAGCACTTTGAGAGATCAAACGGGAGGATCGCTTGAGGCCAGGAGTTCGAAACCAGCCTGAGCAACATAGTGAGACCCCGTCTCTGCAAAATTTTTCAAATTAGCCAGGGTAGGGGTCCACGCCTGTAGTCCCAGCTACTCAAGAGGCTGAGGAGGAAGGATCGCTTGGGCCCAGAAGTTCAAGGCTGCAGTGAGCTATGATCCCACCGCTGCAACCCAGCCTGAGCAACAGAGCAAGACCCTATCTCCAAAATTAAAAAAAAAAAAAAGAGGAGGGGGCTTACTGAGATGGTGAGAACTCAGAAGGGGTGCGGGCTAAATAAGGGGCTCGGTTATCTCCTTCTTTTTTGCAAAAGATTGTACCGTGAGGTCGGGGACCTGTAGGGGATGTGCCCCGTTGGGTTCCCCAAATCTCTGCCTAGCCCTGTAAGGCCAGGGGCCGCAGTTACCCCTCGCCCCTCCCCCAGCCGGGTAGCAGCCCGCAGACTTGCGGGGCTAGGTCAGGCCCCCTGCGCCGAGAAAAGGGGTGAAGAAAAGTCGTCCCGAGACTGGTGGTGAGCGTCCCTGTCGCCGGCAGTGTGGCGGAGACCCCGCGGCTGACCGAGGGCGCTGAGCCGGGCCTGGAGTACGCGCCCTTTGACGATGACGACGGCCCAGTGGACTGTGACTGCCCGGCCTCCTGCTACCGCGGCCACCGCGGGTACAGGTCAGCGGCCGCCGCGGCGGGGGTGGGGGGCGCGCGGGGCTGCCCCCCCTCACCGCCCCCACCCCCGCCCCTTCTCCCCCAGGACCAAGCATTGGTCTAGCAGCTCGGCATCGCCCCCTCCCAAGAAAAAGAAGAAAAAGAAAGGCGGCCACCGGAGAAGCCGGTGAGAACCGCGCCTGACCGGAGCGGGAAGGGAGGAGGAGGTGGGGTCTCTCCCCGGATGCCCGTCCCTGGCTCACAACCATGCAGCATTTGTGAGCCCCGCCCCTCTCTGAGCCCCTCCCTCGCCCTCCCCGTGCCGTCCCCCGACTAGGTGCCCTCCGGGTAACTGAACCCACCCCAGGCCTCAAGCTCCTCCCCTCGCTAGGCCCCGCCCCTCGACAAGCCCCTCCCCTTCGCTAGGTTCCGCCCCCCAAGGAGCCCCTCCCCTTCTCTGGGGCCCGCCCCTCACCGAGCCCCTCCCCTTCTCTAGGACCCGCCCCTCATCGAGGTCCTCTCCCCACTAGGCCCCACCCCTCATCGAGCCCCTCCCCTTATCTGGGATCCGCCCCTCACTGAGCCCTTCTCTAGCACCTGCCTCTCACTGAATCCCCCAGAGCCAGACTCACTGACCGGGCCCGTGTGTTACCAGCACCTGCTCCCAGTCCCCCTCTGCCCTCCCAGGGGTCCCGTGCCCACCAACACTAGTGCGAGTGGCCCTGGGGAGGAGGGGCCTCATCTGCCATCCCCGAATCTCTCTGTCCACCCTCCCCTGTCCTGCGTGAGACCCTGGCAAGTGTCTGGGGCCCCAACTAACCCCATCCATCCGTCTGTCCTTTCTTCCTGGCATCTGCCCTCAGCAAAAAGAGGAGACTGGAGTCCGAATGCAGGTCAGTGGGGACAGAGCTGGCTGGGGCCAGGGCGGGGGATGTCTGTGGGTGGGAGAGATTCCAAGGCCATCCCCCAGAGGCCGGAGGCCTGGACCCTCAGGGCCTGCACCTGGACACTGCCAAGGTGCAAGTTTTGCCCCTACAGAGGCCGTGAATCCCACCGTTGGAGCCTCTGACTTCTGGGTTTGAAACTATCTTTGCCCACAATGCCAGGGGGGACATTGTTGTCCCCACAATTGTGGGGACAACATAGGCAGCGCCATCAACTACCCTGAGGGACCTTGGCGACCCTTGGGGCCTCGGGTCACTCTGTACAAGGGACCTTGGGCTTCCTGGCCTGGAATTCCCTTTCCAGCTTCAATGTCCCAAGCACCCAGGTCTCTCCAGCCATTTCCAGCCCCCCACCCCCCACCCCAGCTCACTAGAGCCCACCTCCCTGTGTCCACAGCTGTGGGAGCTCCTCACCCCTCCGCAAGAAGAAGAAGAGTGTGAAGAAGCATCGCCGAGACAGGTACCCTTGCTGCCCCCACCCTGGGGCCTCCTCTTCCTCCCGTGGGGCCCAGGGCCAGGGCTGTGGCCCTCCATAGGTCTCCCCTGGGCCACCCCAGGCAGGCTCAAGAGAACTCCTTTATCGCCCTACAGGTCTGATTCTGGGTCCCGGAGGAAGAGACGGCACAGGTGAGCGGCGCTTTGCAGAGGACATGGTCAGTGGTCCCTTAAGGACCAAAGCCCAAAGGACGCAATGATGGGAGGGGGTTTTGAGGGTCCCACAGGGCTCCATCCTTCAGCTCCAGGGTTCCTTCCCACAGCCAGGCTGCGGGGACAGGGCAGTGGAGAAGGAGCATGAAAACCAACTGTTTGCAACCCTTGCCTGCCCCATGCATCAGCCATGACGTGGTGACCCCAAGAATTTCTAGACAACATGGCAGGTCCAATGCCCAAGGGGTGTGTCTGTCTGTGGAGGTGCCAGTTAGACAAGCAGAAACACCGAGACCCTGAATTTGCAGGGAAACAGCTCGCGAGGCAGGAGGACCTCTGTGAGCTGGGAGGGCTCCATGGATAGGAGGCAGGGTCGGGGAGCTGTGGCTAGAGGTAGAGTTTCTCGGGGACAGGTGCTAGCCTCCCAACAGGTTTGACTGCCAGGTTATGGAGCCATCCTCCACCCAGGAGGGCTGGGGGTTAGTGTGGGGGAGCTCTGAGCAGGGCAGTGGCTTGTTCAGGGTGGACTGGGGGAGGGGAGAGGAAGTGAAAGGCAGGAGTCCAGGTGGAGGCAGAGTGGTGCAGGAGAAGAGGGTTGCTGAGAAAGCAGAAAACAGCCTGAGCCAGGCACGGTGGCTCACACCTATAATCCCAGCACTGTGGGAGGCTGAGGCAGGTGGATCGCTTGAGGCCAGGAGTTTGACACCAGCCTGGACAACATGGTGAAATCCTGTCTCTACTGAAAATACGAAAATTAGCTGGGTGTGGTGGCAAGCGCCTGTAATCCCAGCTACTCGAGAGGCTGAGGCAGGAGAATCACTTGAACCCGGGTGGCGGAGGTTGCAGTGAGCCAAGAGATTGCAGTGGAGTGCACAGCACTCCAGCCTGGGTGACACAGCGAGACTCTGTCTCAGAAAAAAAAAAAAAAAAAAACAAAGTCTGGGTGTGGTGGCTCATGCCTGTAATCCCAGCACTTTGGGAGGCCGAGGTGGCTGGATCATTTGAAGTCAGGACTTTGAGACCAGCTTGGCCAACATAGTCAGTCTCTACTGAAAATACAAAAATTATCTGGGCATGGTGGCGGGTGCCTGTAATCCCAGCTACTTGGGAGGCTGAGGTAGGAGAATCGCTTGATACTGGGAGGAGGAAATTACAGGGAGCTGAGATCGCACCACTGCACTCCAGTCTGGGCGACAGAGCAAGACTCCATCTCAAAAAAAAGAAAGAAAGAAAGAAAGAAAAGAAAAGGAAAGGAAAAGAAGGGAAAAGGGAAAGGAGAGGAGAGGAGAGCTCGGAAGGAAGTTGTGGGGCAGTCACATTCCAGAGGTGGCATCAGAGCCAGACCCCCTTCCAGCAGCCCAGAGGAAGGGCAGAGTCTGGAGTTCCTTCTTTGTAGTGGGAATTTGCCAAGTAGGGGAGGAGCCTACATAAACACCTAATCCTGCCCCTCCAATGTCCCCAATTTTTCATCTTCCCCTGGCCTCCCAGTGTCTATGGATCAGTGTGGGTCCCTACTGCCCCCAAGTGGCCACCATTAGCTTACACACACCCTCTGGCCAGCTCCCATCCTTCCTGGACAGGTCCTAAAAGTGAACTAGGAATAGACCAACTTCCAATGGGGAGACTGAAGCCCAAAGCAGGCTCCAGCACCCAAACCCATAGCCTCCGGGCCTTCCCCGCAGTCACTCTGCTCCTGTGGGAGCACATTTCTGTGTTCCTTAGTATGGCTTTGTTTTGGGGTCAGAAGGACTGAAGGGATCTGGTGGCACCAGGGAGGATGGGGCTGAGGATTGGGGTTGGGTGAGACCTTTGAGGGCTAACCAGAAGCTTCTCAGGCCTTTCATCAAAGGTAGAGGGTGCTGGGTTGGGGGGCTTGCCCCAGAGGGCTGGATGGGATGTGACAGGAAGCTGTGGGAGTTGGGAGGGGGCAGCCCTGCAGATGGATCCAGAGATGTCATTCAAAAGCAGGGAGATTGGCCAGGCACGGTGGCTCACATCTGTAATCCCAGCACTTTGGAGGGCTGAGGTGGGCAGATCACTTGAGGCCAGGAGTTCGAGACCAGCCTGGCCAACATGGTGAAATCCTGTTTCTACTAAAACAAACAAACAAACAAACAAAAAATAGCCAGACGTGGTGGCAGGCTACTGTAATCCCAGCTACCTGGGAGGCTGAGGCATGAGAATTGCTTGAACCTGCAAGGTGGAGGTTGCAGTGAGCTGAGATTGTGCCACTGCACACCAGCCTGGGCAACAGAGCGGGACTCTGTCTCAAGACAAAAAAAAAAAAAAAAAAAAAAAAAAAAGCAGGGACATCATGCCCTTGGGAAAGCATTTCTTTCCTAAACCCCTGGTGAGCTGGCCTAGGGCTGGGCCAGTCTGGGAGCACACGGAGGAAGGGGGCACAGGAGGTATGATTATCAGGCCACACCCCAATACTCAAGGGAATGAGTATTGGGCATGTCCCAAGTCCAGTACCAAAAGACAAGAGCAAATCACCATTTCTATCTGGCCCAGACCTAAGGCTTGAGGCTGCCACACCTGCAAACAGCAACCCCTGCCTTTTTTTTTTTTTTTTTTTTCCTGAGACGGAGTTTCACTCTTATTGCCCAGGCTGGAGTGCAAAGGCGCGATCTCAGCTTACGCAACCTCCGCCTCCCAGGTTCAAGCGATTCTCTTGCCTCAGCCTCCCTAGTAGCTGGGATTATAGGCACACACCACCACGCCTGGCTAATTTTGTATTTTTAGTAGAGACTGGGTTTCTCCATGTTGGTCAGGCTGGTCTCAAACTCCTGACTTCAAGTGATCCACTGGCCTCAGCCTCCCAAAGTGCTGAGATTAAAGGTGTGAGCCACCATGCCCGGCTATAGCACCCCACTTTATCTGGGGCCAGCCACACTTCTGTGGCCCTCCCAGACTGGGCAGCATTTGCGACCCAGGGAGGTGTTCACGGGCCAGGACTTCCAGGAGGAGGAAGGCCGGAGCTTTGGCTGAGTGAAAGGGACAAAGGGGTGGAGTAGGATGGAAAAGTCCCCGCCAGCCATGGGGCTTAGGCCCTAGAGTGGAACAAATCTCAGATCCACACCTGAGTATACCCAGGCTCCAGGGCACGAAGGCCACACCCTCCCCGGGCCACACCATCACTGTGGTCTCTGCTCTCTGCAGATCTCGAAGCTCCAAGTGCAAAAGAAAAGAGAAGAACAAAGAGAAGAAGAGGTAAGCGCCCTCCCTACTCTCCAGCCCCCCATTCGTTCTCCCTCCCGCCCCAGCAAACTACGCCTTTTAGAATCACAGAATCAGGCCATTAAAGGTAGCTCATTTTGCCCAGATGGAAAAATTAAGATCTAGAAAGAAAGCCAAGGGCTCTTGCTGAGTCAGAGCTTGAACCAAAACCCAGGCCTCTTGCCTTCCAATCCAGGGTCCTCCCAAGCCCAGTCCTCGTGACTCCCACCCTCCTTCCTCCCACCCCACAAGTCCCAGGATCACCTGCTGAGGGCTGAGGGGGGTCTTGGGAGGCTGGGGTTGTCTAGAGAAAAGGGGGCCTTTTACTAATTCTCACAGATGACCCATATGGACCAGATAGGCTCTGCAGCCAGCACCAACACTGCTGATGTACCTTTTATAGGAGACTTTAGGGGACTGATGAACACTGGCTTTCAGTAGGGTTCCACTGGGATCCTGGTGGGAGGCTGGGCAACTTGGGGGCTGGGGGGATCACGGGGGGCAGAATTGAGGTACAGGCTGATTTCCCCCATCCACGCCAGGCCTCACACAGAGTCCCCAGGCCGGAGGTCTCATCGCCATAGCAGTGGCAGCTCCCACAGCCCCTCCCTCTCCTCCCACTACAGTGATTCCAGATCTCCCAGCAGGTAGGCCTGGGCCTCTGGGAGGCTTTCTCCTGGTGGGGGATGAGGGTTGCAGATTAAACACCCCCAAGGGCTGGGGAGCAGGGCTGGTGGACAGAATGTCAATTCATCGGTGGGTAGAAGTTTATCAGGGGTAGCCAGGTGTGGTGGCTCACTGCTGTAGTCTCAGCACTTTGGGAGGCCAAGGCAGAAGGATCGCTTGAGGCCAGGAGTTCGAGACCAGCCTGGGCAACATAGACTTCCTTCTTTAATTAAAAGTAATAATAATAATTATTACTTTTATTATATATAATTATATATATTTAATATTTATATATATTTATATATTTAATATTTATATATTTTATATATTTAATAAATATTTATATATATATATATATATATATATATATATTTTTTTTTTTTTTTTTTTTTTTTTTTTGAGACGGAGTCTCGCTCTGTCGCCCAGGCTGGAGTGCAGTGGCGGGATCTCGGCTCACTGCAAGCTCCGCCTCCCGGGTTCACGCTATTCTCCTGCCTCAGCCTCCCAAGTAGCTGGGACTACAGGCGCCCGCCACTACGCCCGGCTAATTTTTTGTATTTTTAGTAGAGACGGGGTTTCACCGTTTTAGCCGGGATGGTCTCGATCTCCTGACCTCGTGATCCGCCCGCCTCGGCCTCCCAAAGTGCTGGGATTACAGGCGTGAGCCACCGCGCCCGGCCTTATTTATATATTTAATATATATAAATATTTATATATTTAATATATATAAATATTTATATATTTAATATATATAAATATTTATATATTTAATATATTTATATTTAATTATATTATATATTTATATATTTAATATAAATATTAACATATTTTAATATAAATATTAATATATATTTCAATATAAATATTAATGTATATTTTCATATAAATAATATATTTAATATATTTATATATTTTAATTTATATATATTTATATATCTATATATAAATATAGATATATATTTTAATATTTATATATATTATAAATATTTATATATTTTATATATTTATATATTTAATATATAAATATTTATATATTATATATTTAATATATAAATATTTATATATTAAATATATAATATATAAACATTTATATATTATATATTTTATATATTTATATTTAATTATGTTATATATTAATATATATTTAATATATTTATATATTATATATATTATTATATATATTTATATATATAATATATATTTTGAGACGAGTATTGCTGTGTTGCCCAGGCTGGAGAGCAGTGGTGCAATCTTGGCTCACTACAACCTCCGCCTCCGGGATTCAAGCAATTCTCCAGCCTCAGCCACCCGAGTAGCTGAGATTACAGGCGTGCACCACCATGCCCGACTAATTTTTGTATTTTTAGCGGAGATGGGATTTCGCCATTTCGAACAGCCTGGTCTCGAATTCCTGACCTCAAGCGATCCGCCTGTCTCGGCCTCCCAAAGTGCTGGGATTACAGGCGTGAGCCACCAAGCCCAGCCTAATAATAATTTTTAAAAAGAGAAATTTACCAGGGGAGTGATAACTTGAGGAAGAGCTGCCCTAAGGCCCCTAAGCCTCCGCCTGAATTGGAAATCGAGGCACAGCCTCGCTGGCTCACCCTGGTCAAGCCCTCTCTAAGTGGAAAGGTTCCCAGCATGGTGAAAAGGCAGGTGGAGGGCTGCTCTCTTTCCCCGTGCTGGGGAAGGGGGAAAGAGGAGGCGCAACTGCTTGCAAAGCGGGTGTCCCACGCCGACTCCCCCATTCTTCCTGGCGCCTAACCCCAGGCTGAGCCCCAAGCACCGAGACGAAGGGCGAAAGACGGGCAGCCAGCGGTCCAGCGGAAGCCGGTCGCCTTCCCCGTCGGGCGGCAGCGGATGGGGGTCGCCCCAGCGGAACGGCGGCAGCGGGCAGCGGAGCGGAGCGCACGGGGGCCGCCCCGGCTCGGCGCACAGCCCGCCCGATGTACGTACGCTTCGCTTTGCGGAGGGTTCCCGCGCCGCGGGCTGCGCCGTGCGTGGTCGGGCGGGTCGCCAGCGGGGCAGGGGGCGATAAGTGTGGCATGGGGGCGGGGGCGGGGGCGGCCGCTTCCTCCCTCCTCGGCTCCCCGCTGGGCGTCCTGGCTCGGGAGCCGCCGGGAGTGCTAGGCCGTTGCGCCCACCTGGCCCTGGTGTCAGGGTGAGGGGCGCCTGCGGTCTTGGGCCACCCTTGCGCTTGGCAAACTGAAGGCCAGAGGGGGGTTGACCGCGGGGCACTGAGTTGGGTACAGGGCTGGGGAGGAATCAGGGTCTCGTGCCCTCCCCAGGCATATTAGGGTGGGAGGGGCATGGACATTGATAGGAGTCCCAGGCAGGAGCAGGATTCGAGAGACAGGACCCCCCACTGGGCACCACCTGGGCCCTGAGTCTCCCTCTTCCCACCAAGCCCTGGCCCCACCTCTGAGCACCCCCCTCCCCCTCCCTCAATCTTCTCCCCAGCCCCTCCCTCCCTCAGCCCCCTCCCCCATCTCAGTCCCTCTGCCCTCTAAAGTCCCTGCTCTGAGGAGACTCTGCCCTTTTCCAGGCACCGCCCACACTTGGACTGGTGTCTCAAACCTGCCGGCTCCTCTTCCCACGGCCACCCTCCTGAGGCACCTGCCAGCGTGCCTCAGAGACCCCACACCAACACCCCCAAAACTGTCCCCACCCTTCCTCCAAGAGGGGCACAGATGCCCGAAGACCTACAGGCAGGTGCAATGGGGGAGCTGGCAGAGGAGAGAGACGTCTCAGCCTGTCCCCAGATGGATGGGCTGGGCCTGGGTTGGGGCTTCTCCCAGACCCCAGGGAAGGTCCACATCCCCTTCTGGTCTGTTGATTATAGAGTACACAGTTGAGACCCCTCAGAGAGAGGGGGCTGCAGTGCTGGCAGGGGCACTGGGGTGGGTGGGGGGGTGGCTTGGGGTGGGGAGACCTGCAGGTTCCTTCCCAGACCCGCAGACTGCCCCCCACCCAACCCCAAAGCCTCAGCTGGGAGTGGGAGAGCTGCCCCTCCCCAGACCTCAGGTCTCAGCAGCAAACATGTACGTGTTGGTCAGTTTCATTTTGATTTTTGGCTGTTTCCTTTCACTCCCTTTCTTTTCTCAAACACCCTTTACTCCCACGGCCTCAGAGAGGAAAGTCAAGGGCAGCTGACTGAAGGCTCTTGGTCTCAAGGTTAAGTTTTATTGAAGGACATTTACCTGTCTCTAGACTGTCCCACCTGGACCAGGCACCAGGCTCCTGGGCTCTGGGGGTTTTGGTTGGGCCGCGCAGGGAGGATGACACTGATGTCCCCGGATCTGTCTTGGGAGGGGGTTGAGGGCAGGCAGAGGTAGCTGAGGGTAGCATGGCAGAGGCTGGAGAGGATTAACAACCCACAAGAGGGGCACCCACCATCCCCCACCCCTGTGGGCATGGAGTCCCAAGAGCACAGGACCCGAAACACCTTCTTGCCAGCTTCTCATCCACCCTTCTGGGGCCTCCCAAGAGACACAGAGATGCGGGTTCTCTGAAGTCAGGGCTGGAAGTGGGTCCCTTCGTACCTCTGGTCCTCTCTCCAGCCCTGGAGTCCTGAGCAATGATCCCACCTCCACCCCCTCCCCAATGCAGACAAAATGGCCACAGCATCTAGGCATCCCCAGGATAGGGCAGTCGGGGAAGGGGACCCAGCCACCAGCCTTGGGGCGGGAGCTTCTGAAGCACCCACATCTTGTCTCCCTCCCAGCATGGGACTCTAGTTTGGCACAGCCCTGGGAGTTTTCTTGGAGACGGCATTTTGTGACTCCTTTCACCAAGCATGGTCCCCAAATCCTATCCCTCACCCTTGGGGCCCTGGGAGATCTGGGACTTCAGAGCATCCCGGGTCTCAAACCTGCATTCAGATCCCTGCCTCTCTGCCTTAAAAAGACCCCTGAGGAGTCAAAAGAGGCTAGTTCTTGCTCATATGCAGAAAAGTGAGATGGGGGATGGGAGAGGGGTCCCAGACTTTACCATGAACGAAACCGTCTTCGGGAAAAAATACTGGGGGTGGTATTCTTGGACGATACCTTTAAAAAAAAAAAGAAAAGAAAAAAAGAGAGAGAGAAACAAATGGAAAAAAAGGAAAGCTCAACATTTTTTAACCCCGTCTATGTTTTTGTTTGTTTTTTAGCCTCCCATTTGAAACGTGGTAATACTGTGATTCCATTTCTTGTTTAGCTGGTGAGGGAAGAGGGTGGGCAAGTTTATGTAACTTTTTCTGTTGTTTTGTTTTTATTTCCTTTTCCTTTCTTTTTTTTTTTCCCTATTTTAATGTACAGAAATGCAAACTATCTCTCTGGGTTTTTTTTTTCTATCTTCTATGTTCTAGAATTTTCTTTTTGTGTGTGTTACTGTGGGAACCTTTCCTCTTAATGCAGAGATGGCTTTTGAATTTTAAGTGAACATTAATCATATACACATCTCTATATACTTTTTTTTCCTTTGTAATCTGAATTTAAAAGGGAAGATAACTCTAAAAAAAAAAATCACTCCCACACCAACAGCTCCTGCCAAGTCAGCAGCGGCAGCAAATCCTCCTTTCAACTCCAGGCACAGGCTGGAGCTGCCGCAGATTTTAAATTAACTATAGTGGTGCAGCCTGTGCTGCTGCGTTCCCCAGGAAGCTGGAGAGAAGCGGGAGACCCAGGGAGGGGAAGAGACTTGTCCTGGGTTGCCCAGGGAGCTTCTTGGAGCTTGCTGCTACTCCTCGGTTCAGTTTAGTATAATGGGCTGGACACAGGGGACAGGGAGCAGGACAGGCTGTTCAGGACCATCAGTGTCAGACCTCAGACTCAGATCCTTAGGAAACTGTGGAGGAAGGAGAGATCTGAAGGCACCTGGCAGAGTTTAGCTGAGACACTTCAGGCAAGCAAAAAATTCCATCTTGGGCTGGGCACAGTGGCTCACACCTGTAATCCTAGCACTTTGGGAGGCTGAGGGGGGCGGATCACCTGAGGTCAGGAGCTCAAGACCAGCCTGACCAACATGATGAAACCCCAGCTCTACTAAAAATACAAAAATTCGGCTGGCCATGGTGGCTCACACCTGTAATCCCAGCACTTCGGGAGGCTGAGGTGGGCAGATCACCTGAGGTCAGGAGTTCGAGACCAGCCTGGCTAACATGGCGAACCCCCGTCTCTACTAAAAATACAAAAAAATTAGCCAGGCATGGTGGTGCATGCCTATAATCTCAGCTACTCGGGAAGCTGAGGCAGGAAAATCACTTGAACCTGGGAGGCAGAGGTTGCAGTGAGCGGAGATCATACCACTGCACTCCAGCCTAGGTGACAGAGTGAGACTCCGTCTCGGAAAAAAAAAAAAAATAGCCAGGCGTGGTGGGCACCTGTAAAACCAGCTACTTGGGAGGCTGAGGCAGGAGGATCGCTTGAACCCAGGAGGCAGAGGTTGCAGTGAGCTGAGATTGTGCCATTGCACTCCAGCCTGGATGACAAGAGCGAGACTCTGTCTCAAAAAAAAAAAATCCATCTTGATCTCGAGACTGAGGCCAGTGATGTGGTTACTCCCAACAAACCCCTTTGTTGGCCCATCCCAGGTGATGGTTGAACCCCACAGGACTTTCTGGGTTCTGATGCTTACAGGAGAAACTGCAGCTCCGAGAGGTCAAGTGACTGGCTCAAGGTCACACAGCTATTTAGAGGTAGATCCAAAAGTAGACCCCAGGCAGGGCGCAGTGGCTCACACCTGTAATCCCAGCACTTTGGGAGGCTGAGGCAGGAGGATCACTTGAGGCCTGCAGTTCCAGACTGACTGGTCAACAGAACAAGACTGTATCTCTACAAAAAATATATATATATTTTTAATCAGCCAGGCATGGTGGCATGTGCCTATAGTCTCATCTACTGAGGGAGATGAGGGAGGAGAATCACTTGAGCTCAGGAGTCCAAGGCTGCAGTAAGCCATGATTGCACCACTGTACTCCAGCCTGGGCAACACTGCAAGACCCTGTCACTACAAAAATTTAAAAGAAAAAGCTGGGCATGGTGGAATACACCTGTAATCCCAGCTACTCAGGAGGCTGAGACAGGAGGATTGCTTGAACCAGAAGTTTGAGGCTGCAGTGAGCCATGATTGCGCCACTGCACTCCAGCT
The DNA here is from genome assembly GCF_000001405.40 of Homo sapiens. Taxonomy (NCBI): domain Eukaryota; kingdom Metazoa; phylum Chordata; class Mammalia; order Primates; family Hominidae; genus Homo; species Homo sapiens. The sequence goes on from NC_000007.14 coordinate 76,271,617, forward strand.
TGGGCAACAGAGCAAGACCCTGTCTCAAAACAAACAACAACAACAACAAAAAATAGACTCCAGCCCTCTGACTCTGACCTCTAGACTCCAGCTAAGCTGTGGAGAGGGTGGAAAATGGGAAGCACAGTCCACGAGCCCTGAGCAGAAGGAGGATTTGGGAGGTGGTTGCTGGTTGACTCAGCTCCTGCTTTCCCCCATCAGACCCATCCAGAAATCAGCTTCCTGCTCTCTCATGTCCCTAGGCCAAGGTCTGCCTACACTGAGAGACCTGGGTGCAGGTGGCCCCCACATTACAGAAACTCATATGATTGTTTCTTCTGTGACTCAGGGAACCCTAAACCCTCACAGTTCATACATGTGGGGAAATAAATATCGAGGCACAGAGAGGGAAGAGAGTCACTCAAGGTCACACAATGTAGGATGAAAGAGGAAGATACTGATCAGGAGACCTCCTGGGAGAAGCCCTCCTGTCCAGTCTTACCTGGTGCCTTCACTGGCCTCCCTCCAGCCCCCACCAGCACAACCTGGTGCTAGGCTCACCCTCCCAAGGCCCAAAAAGAGTATACAGAGTTTGCCGTCTTTTCTATTTTATTATTGCATTCCTGTCCCAGGGGCCACCTGCTCACCTTAGAAGTCTCTAGCGTTAGAAGTTTCAGGGGATGGGGCAGGCACAGTGACTTATGCCGGTAATGCCAGTACTTTGGAAGGGCGAGGCACGAAGATCGCTTGAGACCAGGAGTTTGAAATCAGCCTGGGCAACATAGCAAGACCCCTATCTCTACAAAAAAAAAATTTTTTTTAATTAGCCAGATGTGATGGTGCATGCCTACAATCCCAGCCACTTGGAAGGCTGAGGTGGGAGGATCACTTGAGCCCAGGAGTTGGAGGCTACAGTGAGCTATCATCCTGTCTGTAGTCCCAGCTACTCGGGAGGCTGAGTCAGGAGAATCACTTGAACCCAGGAGGCAGAGGTTGCAGTAAGTTGAGATCGCACCACTGCACTCCAGCCTGGGTGACAGAGCGAGACTCCATCTCAAAAAAAAACCCCAAAAAACAAAAAACCCTACAGTGTCCGGGGCTGTCTGGAAGGTGACACCCTTAGGTGAGGGTGGCAGAGAAGGCTCAGGATCATGGCCTTGGGGCTCTCTCTGGCTTCTCCCTGTGGTCCAAATTTTATCATGTAATGGGCAGCCTCGGGTGACCCCCAAGAAGAGGTGCCAAGGCACCCCCTGACCTGCCTTATACAGGAACAGAAAAAGGCAAAAGGGATGAATTTTGCTAAAAGGATGCCAAAGCCAGAGGGAAAGGAGTGGGACTGACCTGAGGCAGGGCCACTCCTCCAGATCGGCTCTGTGGTTGCCTTCCCTTTTAAATGCGCGTTTTCCCTTCACCCATCTGTCCACTCCGATTGGCCTTGTTTAAACAGTGCTTGTCTCCTCTTTCTGTCTGGGGGCACCTTTCTCTCTTCCTGCCTCTCTGTTTCTGTTTGCTTCTGTCATTGTTTCTGTCTTTCTGTTTCTCTTTCTCCTTCTCTTCCCATTTCTATCTCTGCCTGACTTTGTCTGTTCGTCTGTCTCTCTGTCTGCCTCCTGTCTCTCTCTCTTCCTTTCCATCCCTCTCCCCCGGCATGGGCCTCTCTCCCATGCTGCCAGCCCCTCTGTAGCCCACCCTGTGGTTCTCTTCCATCAGCTGCTTCCTGCATGCTCTATGGAGGTTTTCTGTTGTTTGAACAATAAAGAAAGCTTGGCTAGTGGAACCCATTGTTTAAAAAGGAGAAAAAAAAAAGAGCAAACAGAAATGGCCGTGCAAGAGCCCCCTCCCATCCCTGGGATGAGACAAAAGCCACATTGGCCACCCATCTACTGGCTCAGAGGGGGAGCACAGTTTAGGGTCACTGTCTTTCCCCCATTCTGCATTCCCAATGCGGAGACCTTCTTTTCTTTTTTATTATTGCATTCCTGTCCCTGAGCACTGAGAAGGTAGGTATCCCAGCTCCGCTGTGCGCTCTCGCTCCCATCTCCAGATAAGCCCTGCCACTTTGCTTGGTTTGAATGTGGTTTTCTTTCTCTCTCTCAATCTTGCCCTGGTTGGTTTCATATTCCTCCCTTTTCTTTCTTTATTTTAGTGACTACTCATTTGTAACTTGCACTTTCTTCAAATGAGCTACAAAGCTATGTTTCCTGGTTTGTCATTTGGTTTTCTTGACTTTCCCCGACCAACTTTTCTAGCCCATCTCCCCTCCTTCTTCACCTTCCTTGTTCCCTCCTTCTTCCTCTCCATCCCTGACTTCCACCCCTAAATCCTCCTTCACGCCTTCTTTCTCATTCTGTTGTCCGAATGCATTTCTGTGTGGTTTAGCATTCCAAGTTTGTGTTTCTTTCCTGAACTGTATGCTGCAGTGAAGCCAATTTGATTTCTGTTGTCTGGAGTAGCTGCGAAGCCCCTCCTCACCCTTCATCCCTGCCAGCCCCCGGGACTTCGGTCACCCCGCTGGCCTTCAGGGCCCTTTCGGGCAAAAGGCAGTGACAGAGGAGCCAGTGCGGGGCCTCCTGGCCTTCAGATCCTGGAGGAAGTTCTGGCCAAGGTCAGGCACAAGGGAAAAGCCCCATCCCATCCTTGGGGGCCTACTGGGCCAAACGGAACTCTGGGCTTCCTCAAGTCCTTCCCTGGCTGCAGGATGGAGCTTTGGGGTGGGAGCTGCAGGGCTCTGGAGGAGCAACGGGCACCAGGACTGAGCTTCCAGCTTCCATCTATTGGGTGCAATTAGTAGATTCATTTGGGGTGGCAGTGGGCAGGGCAGTGAGCTGGCCAGGAGCAGGTTTGAGACCTAGAAGGCCTACTTAGCAAAGTCTCTGTGAGACAATTTACAGGTAATTTACCTGCCCGCTGCCTGGTCCATGATCCAACTCAGACAGGGGCTCCTTCTACCCTCAGCATCCTTCCATCTTCTGAATTTGAGCAGCTTAATGTGAACCCTCAGAGCAGAACAATTCCAAAAGAACAGCCAGCAGGGACTAGGGGCCCACAGGGTGCAGCGGCAGAACCAGGACTAGGTCCTGGGACTTGTGACTCCCAGCCCAGGGCTCATCCAGCCACACTGAGGGTACTAGAGTCAGAGGTGGACCCTAGGGGACCCCACCTCCGCACCCCTGCCCTTTAAACTGTTTCCTTTCCCACCTGGGAGCAGCTACAGAAATTTGGCATTCTGGCCAGGTGCAGTGGCTCACGCCTGTAATCCCAGCACTCTGGGAGGCCGAGGTGGGCGGATCACTTGAGGTCTGGAGTTTGAGACCAGCCTGGCCAACATGGCAAAACCCCATCTCTACTAAAAATACAAAAATTAGCCGGGCATGGTGTTACATGCCTGTAATCCCAGCTACTTGGGAGGCTGAGGCAGGAGGATCGCTTGAACCCGGGAGGCAGAGGCTGCAGTGAGCCTAGATCGTGCCACTGCACTCCAGCATGGGTGACAGAACAAGACTCAGTCTCAAAAAAAAAAAAAAAAGAAAAAGAAAAAGACATTCAGCATTCCAACCATTATGAGGCCTACACGGGCTTCTATCTTCAGCTTTGAAAAGAGAAGGCCCAGCCACTCATCCCTACCCCACCCCATGTTTATCCCGGAGGCAGGTGTCAGGGAGCTCACCCACTCAGAGCATCCTCCTCAACACTGGGTGGTGCCAGGAGGGCAGACAGCAAGTGGCTCTTGGAAAGGAAGAAAGGGCAAGCTAGGCGAGGTGGTACCACCTGTAGTCCCAGCTACTCAGGAGGCTAAGGCAGGGGTATCGCTTGAGCCCAGGAATTTGAGGCTACAGTGAACCATGACTGCACCACTGCACTCCAGCCTGGGCAACAGAGCGAGACTCAGTCCCTGCTCCCTCAAAAAAAAAAAAAAAAAAAAGAAAAGAAAAGAAGGAAAGTGCTGGTGATCTGACAGGAGAAACTGTGTTGAAGCCCCATGAGGAAGAGGAGGGTCCGTCCTTGAGGAGTTTCTGATATGACCAGGGACCCACGAGTTGGGTGGTCATCTAAGTCCTCAAAGGAAGCAAGAGTAAAACATCTCAGGTGTTTACCTGTTCTTGTCCTTCAGAGTACCAGGACCAGGTGAACACACTGCCCCTTGCTACTCCCTTCCACCATCTTTTCCACTTGACCCTCAGAAATTTCTTACCCAAAGGTTGGGCCCAGTGGCTCATGCCTGTAATCCCAATGCTTTAGGAGGCCGAGGCAGGAGGATCACTTGAGGCCAGGAGTTTGAGACCAGCCTGAGCAACACAGCAAGACCCCATCTCTACTAAAAATAAAATAAAATAAATAGCCAGACATGGCGGTGTGTACCTGTAGACCCAGCTACTGAGGAGGCTGAGGTGGGGGGATCACTTGAGCTCAGGAGTTGGAGGCTGCAGTGAGCTATGATTGCACCATTGTACTCCAGTCTGGGCAGCAGAGCCAGACCCCCATCTCAAAAAATATATATATATATATATTACACAAGCAAAAGAAAACATGTCAGGTAGCAAGTCATAAAAAGGAGAGGAGGGGCTCCTGGGAACAGGGCTCAGAGGCAGGCGAGGTCCCTGATTCACTCACTCACTCACTCATTCATTCGTTCCCACACACACTAAGCAGACATGTGCCCAGCACCTCCTTTGTGCCAGGCCCCATCTGGATGTCCATGCCAGGAGAGAGGCAGGCAGACCTGGGCCTCCCAGGATGGAGGACGGACGAAGACCACTGAGCATGATGAGAGGGGAAAAGCTGAAATGTGAGTGGGAAGCTCCTGCTCACCACGGCAGCCCCCTGGCTAGCACGGCCTGGCAGAGTCCATATGGAAGGAAGGAACCAGGTTCTATGGGATCATAGAGGAGCGGACGTGATGCAGCCTGGAAAAGGCGCCCTGGAGCTGAGGGTAGGGATGCCAATAGGCATTAGCCAGGCTGTGGGTGGGAGGTGGGGAGAGGGGATCCCTGCAAGAGGCACCAAGGCACAAAAAGCAGCTTCCTGGAGGGGAGGTTCGGAGGTCTCTGAGCATCCTATGAAATCCCATAGTGCTTGGCCTTGGATCTTCCCAGGAAGCATGAGACCCAGCCAAGCTGAGGACGAGGCTCAGACTCTGGCAGGCGCATGGTGACCCCTTCCTGAGGACTTCCAGAGGGATGGGTGGAGAAGGACATGAGAGGTGCCTTCCTCCCATCCTCTGCCATCTTGGTACTTGGTGGACACCGCATAGGGTCCCCCAGTCCTTCCTGCACTGCTCTGACCCTGTGAAAGGACCATGAGTTGGTTGTACTCTGAAAAGTCTCCCAACCCCAATATAGGCTGACCCAGCAAAGACTCCGCTTATCCTCATTTTACCAATGGGGAAACTGAGGCTCCCCACCGTCAGGTGACTGCCTTAAGGCGTCACAACAAACTCACACCAGGGCCGATTCCAGGGTGTTCCACTTTTCCAGTGACTATCATCTTGGGCCATGGCAGGCCCGTGACTTGGAGGAGATGAGAAGGAAGTGGGGAAGAACTTGGTCTTCAAAAATAGCAGGCAGGAAGGATCTGGATCAGCACAGGGGATTGGACTTGGGGGCTTGGACCTTGATGGTAGGGGACAGGACCATGATGGGGGTGAACAGCCATCCAACCTAGACCCTTTTTGCTCCTAACACTCCCATCCCACTCTCAGCATAATGTAGTGGGAAGTCAGGAGGGTTCTGCAGTATCTGTGGGAAGGACCCATCACGGCCTGTGGTCTTCCTCGCCTACTGTTGGCTCCTTTCTTTGAGTCAGAAGCAGCTGGCTCAGGCCAGGCGGGGTGGCTCATGCCTGTAATTCCAGCACTTTAGGAGGCCAAGGCAGGTGGATCGCTTGAGGCCAGGAATTCGAGACCAGCCTGGCCAACATGGTGAAACCCCGTCTCTACTAAAAATACAAAAAAATTAGCTTGACATGGTGGCTCACGCCTGTAATCCCTTAGCTACTCAGGAGGCTGAGGCAGGAGAATCACTTGAACCTGGCAGGTGGAGGTTACAGTGAGCCAAGATCGTGCCATTGCACTCCAGCCTGGGCAATAGAGTGAGACTCTGTCTCAAAACAAATAAACAACAACAAAAAAAAAAAAAAAAAAAGAGAGAGAGAGAAAGAAAGAAAAGAAAAAGAAGAAGTAGCTGGCTCAGGTTCAAACTCCAGAGTTGGAGCCAGGGTTCACAGCCAGGCTGATTCCTAAGTTCCGTACTCTGCCCTGCTGCACTGCCTCCCCTAACCAAAGTAGCAAGCAAAGATTTCTTAAAGAAGGAGACCAGCGTCAGCTTGAGTTATGCACTACTGTGAATTGGCTCCCAAGCTTCCCCCACCTCATATGTGTTCACTTTGCACTCTTTGACGACCCAGGGTATAGGACAGAAACTGCAAATATAAAAATCCCAGAGAAGTTCTCATTTGCCTCCTGTTGAGGGAAAAGAATGGTGGGCTGGGGGCGCTTGAAAGTTCTGGGGCACTGGCTGCCTGGCTGCCTCCTGGAGTGGGGGGAGTATGTGTTAGGGGAGCTGATGGTCTCCTGTTGAGAACACAACTGCCATCTCAGAGGGGCCAACCCAAGGCCGGGCACGATGGCTCACACCTGTAATCCCAGCACTTTGGGAGGCCGAGGCAGGTGGATCACCTGAGGTCAGGGGCTCAAGACCAGCCTGGCCAACTTGGTGAAACCCTGTCTCTACTAAAAATATAAAAATTAGCCAGGCGTGGTGGCGGGCACCTGTAATCCCAGCTACTTGGGAGGCTGAAGCAGGAGAATCGCTTGAACCCGGGAAGCAGAGGTTGCAGTGAGCTGAGGTCGTGCCACTGCACTCCAGCCTGGGCAGCAGAGCGAGACTCTGTCTCAAAAATAATAAAAAAATAAAAATGAAAGAGGGGCCAATCCAGCCTCCAACTCTCCTAGCCTAGGGTGAGGGGTGAGCTTGTGATCAGGAGAGTCAGGGGTGCTCAGAGGGGCACCCCAAAACCAGGAAATATCCATTGTGCCCACTTATGCCTGTGTCTGCCCCAAATGGAGACATTAAGCTCTCCCAGGAGAGGTCTTCATGGCCTGATTGGCTTTGGGCAGCTATGGCTAGTGTTCATTGGCTGCTTCAGGCACCAATCAGGAGCCATCTGTGCCTTTCCACCAATGAGGTTGACCTCCTGGGTCTACCTCCATGTTCAGCTCAGCTCCAGCCCTGCAGGGAAAGGCTTGGACAGCACCTTGCCCTCTGTAGGAAACACCCAGGGCCATGCCAAGGAAACTGTGCTCCTTCCAGTCCCTAGCGGCAAGGTGCCCTGAGAGGTGGCAGCATCTTTTGTCTTCTCATCCAAACAGTCTGCCAGTGGCCGGGCTCGGTGGCTCTCGCCTGTAATCCCAGCACTTTGGGAGGCTGAGGACAGAGGATCACTTGAGGTCAGGAGTTCGAGACCAGCACCAGCCTGGCCAACACGGTGAAACCCCGTCTCTCCTAAAAATACAAAAATTAGCCAGATGTGGTGACAGACGCCTGTAGTTCCAGCTATTTGGGAGGCTGAGGAAGGAGAATTGCTTGAACTTGGGAGGGAGAGGTTGCAGTGAGCCCAGATCACGCCAGTGCACTCCAGCCTGAGAGACAGAGTGAGATGCCTTCTCAAAAAGAAAGAAAAAAGAAACAGCCTGCCAAAAGAGCTTGGTCCAGGCACCACCTGGCTTCTAGGACTCGCTTCCTTCCTTAGCAAACAGAATCAAAGTTTTACTAGGTGCCAAGTTCGGTGATAAAAAGTGATGTTACAGAGGTGAATCAGATACCACATCTGCCCTGGAGGTGCTAAAAGTCAAGTTGGTAGTGGTGATCGGAGGATTTTCGGGGAGGAACAGACCTACAAACAGACAAGGACAGTCAACTGCTACTAGATGGAGGGCCAAGGACAGGAGGAGGGATCAGCTCTGTGTAGGGAGGGAGACAGGGAGGGCGGGCAGGGTGCATGCAGAGAATCCTGGAATCTTTGCCCTGGAAGGGACACCAGGAAGCAAAAGCCAACCCTCTCATTTTGTGGATGGAGAAACTGAGGCCCAGACTGGGGAAGTGACGTGGCCAGGGTCACTCGGTGAGATAGAGGCAGGCTCTCAGACTCCTGAATCCCAACCAGGGCCCTTTTGATGGTGCCAGATGCCCTTCCTGGTTTTCTGTGTCCCAATCCTTGTGTCCTAACTCCACTTTTGGAAAAACATTTGCCACCTCTATCCAGCGGTCACCTAAGAGTTGCCCACTCAGGAGCCGGGCGCTGCCAGCCCTTCCTCCAGAGGCGGCGTGGCCTCTTCTCAGGCCTAGAATGGGGTGGTTGCGTTTCTCTCTCTCTCTCTCTATCTCTCTTGCATTTTTGTGAATCTAATGATGAACTTATACTACCACACTTTTCCCTTCTCTTACACACCTTACCTACTAAAGGAGGAAGTGCCACTTTATTGGTAAGTGGACGTTAACCAAGAGGGACTTAAAAATCAGAACTTAAAAAAAAAAAAAAGAAAAAGAAAAAGAAAAGAGAGAAACAGAAAGACAGTCGGGTGCTACTGACAGCTCCAAAGCTCTCTGCAGGGCCGGAAAACAAAGAAAAATATTAACAGAAAAATGTCAGGTTCCCCAGGATCAGATATTGTTTTTGATTTTTGGTATCTAATGACATTTGTGGATTTTGTTTTTTTATTTCTGTTTTTCCTCCCTTTCTTCGGTTCAGTTTTGAGTTCAGTTGTCCCCCTCGCCCCCTCCCCCATCTGTGTGCCGTGTGACGCCCCCACCCCCTCCATCCCCTCGCCCACCCCCAAGCGCTGGGGGTCCGGCCTGGTGGGCTGGCCCTGGCCCCGCTCCCGGTGCCGCTCTCTCTTCTCTCTGCCGGGAATCGTCCGTCCCATCGGGGGGGCAATGCCAGCCCCGATGCCTGTCCTGGAGCCCCTCCCCCTTTGGCCCCCGCCCCCCACCGCTCCGTCCCTCTTGTGTTTTGCATGCCAAGAACCCTGCATGAGCTGCACTGTTGAGGCCAGAAGGTGGACACCCAGGAGAGGCAGAGGCAGGGCAGGCGCGGGGAACCGTGTGTGCGATGCTCCGGGACTGGCAGCCCCCGGCTCGGGCCCGGTGAAAGCCCTCTCTCCTTCTCTCCCCCCACCCCACCCGCCCGCTCTCTCACCCCAACTTCTCGCTCCTCTTGCTCTGTCCTCTCTCTGCCCCCACTCTTGTCCCCTGCCTGTCTGGATTTTTTCTGTTTCTCGAACTTCTCCCTGGCTTCCATCCTTCTCTCTCTTCGCTCTTTCTCTCTTCCTCTCTCTCTCTTCTCTTCCCCCACCCCCGTCTCTCCTCTGTCTCTTCTTCTCACTGTCTCTGTCCCCTTCTCTCTTGCCCCCTTTTTTCCTTCTCCTCCCTCTCTCCTCCCTTGCTCTCTCCTCTCACCCTCGCTCTTTCGCCCTCTCTCTTTCTCATCTCTCTCCCTCTCACTCTGTCTCTCTCCTGCTCTTTTTCTCTCTTCCTCTTTCTCTTCTCTGCCTCCTCCCTCTCTCCCTCTTTCTTTCTTCTCTCTGTCTTTCCTCTCTCCCTCTCTCCTGTCTCTCTTCATTCTCTCTCTCCGTCTCTTTTTCTCTGTCTCTCGCTCTTTTTCTGTCTCTCTGTCTCTCTCTCTCTCCTCTCTTTCTGTCTCTGTCTCTCCCTCTTTCCTCTTTCTGTCTCTGTCTCTGTCTCTTTCTTTCAATCTCTCTCTCCCGTCTGTCTCCTCTCTTCTCTCTCTGTCTCTGTCTCTCTCGTCTCCCTCTCCCCCCTCCGTGCCCTGTCTGCCTCTCTCCCCGTCAGAAGCCCAGCTCGCCCTCGCCCAGGGTCCGTGACAAGGCGGCGGCCGCCGCACCCACGCCGCCCGCGCGGGGGAAGGAGAGCCCGAGCCCGCGCTCGGCGCCGTCGTCCCAAGGTCGCGGAGGCCGCGCGGCGGGCGGGGCGGGCAGGCGGCGGCGGCGGCGGCGTAGGCGGCGGCGCTCGCGGTCCTCGGCGTCCGCGCCCCGCCGCAGGGGTCGCCGGCGCCCCCGGCCCGCGCCCCCCCGGGGCTCGTCGCGCTCGCTCAGCAGGGCCCGCTCCAGCAGCGACTCCGGCAGCGGCCGCGGCGCCCCCGGCCCCGGGCCCGAGCCCGGCTCTGAGCGAGGCCACGGCGGACACGGGAAACGGTGAGCGTGCTGGACCCGGAGCTGGACTCCCGCCCCCACCCCGCACAGGGCTCCCCTCCACTAGCGGATCCCTGCCCACGGGATCCCTCCCCGCGCTGAGCTACCCTCCAGGGATCCCAACCCCCTCCCACCGAGCTACCCCCATGGATTCCACCCCCCCATGAGCTACCCCCCACGGATCCCAACCCCTCCTCACTGAACTACCCCCCACGGATCTCAACCCCCCACGGAGCTCTCCTCCCTCTCCACGGACCCCAAACCCCTATGGACCCCATGGATCCTCCCATGGATTTCCTCCGCACACTGATCTCAACTCCCCTCTCACAGGGCTCCCTCCCTCGACGACCCCAACTCTCTCTAGGGAGTTACCCTCCCTCCACTGACCTCCAAACTCCAGGGAGTTTCCCTCCCCACACTGATCCCAGCCCCCCGACGGAGTTCTCCCTCCACTGATGCCAACCCCCCAGGGAGCTCCCTCCCCACCCTGAGCTACCCCCGGTTATCCTGACCCCTCCCCACAACTGATCCGTCTCCCCTTACTGATCACTGCCCCCAGGGAACCCCCTCTCCTCCCATGAGGCTCCCCGCTTACTGATCACTCTCCCCCCATCCCGCAGAACAATCTCCTCCACTGATCTCCCCCAACACGCCCCCTCACGGGGCTCCCCCTGAACTGACCCCTGCCCCTCACTAGGCTCCGCGTTCACTGCGCACTCCGCGCGAACTGACCACAAACTACACGGACCCCGCCCCTCCGCCCTAAGCCCCGCCCCAGGGAACCCTCCCCGCCCCCAGCCCCCTTTCCGGGTCGCTGAGCCCTATCCCGCGCCGTCTCCCTCCTCCAGGGCCAAGGAGCGGCCCCCGCGCGCGCGGCCCGCCAGCACCTCTCCGTCCCCGGGCGCGCACGGCCGGCGCGGCGGCCCAGAAGGGAAGAGCTCGTCGCGCAGCCCCGGCCCGCACCCCCGCTCCTGGAGCTCCAGCCGCTCGCCCTCCAAATCTCGCTCGCGCTCTGCGGAGAAGCGGCCCCACAGCCCCAGCCGCTCGCCGTCGCCCAAGAAGCCCCTCAGCCGGTGAGTGCCCGCCCGGACCGGGCCGACGGGGCGGGCGGCGGGGTGGAGCGGCCGGGCCGCGTCGCTCACTTACCTCGCGCCGGCCCCGCAGGGACAAGGACGGCGAGGGCCGCGCAAGGCACTCTGAGGCCGAGGCCACCCGCGCCCGGCGCCGCTCCCGCAGCTACTCGCCCATCCGCAAGCGGCGCCGGGACTCGCCAAGCTTCATGGAGCCGCGGCGCATCACCAGGTATGGAGGGTCTTGGGGGGGCCGGTGGCGCAGGGCTGGGGCCGCTGACCCGGATCAGGGACAGAGACCTCGGCCCGGGGACCTTCTCTGAGGATCCACTGAACCTGGCACGGGGATGGGGGGGGGTGCTAAGGGACAATGAGTGGGTTCTGCCAGGGTAGGGGGCCAGGGGAGGAGGGGGCTAGAACTGGAGGTGCTGGGGTCTATCAGAGAGACAGGTGCAGGAGGCCACGCAGAAGGAAGGGCCACGGTGGGGGCCTGAGGGCCCATGAAGGGGAGGGGGCTCTGTACTTGGGTCTGGGTGGGCCGCAGCCGGCATGGAATTCAGCTCTGCAAGAGTCCCGCCATCCCTCCGGAGCCCCTCCCGCCCTCCCTGCATCCGTCTCCGGACAATGATGTCTCCTTTTCTCCTTCATCTCAAGGTCCAGCCTGCTGAGTGGCCTGTGGTCAGCCTGGGGGCCAGGCGGACCCCTCTGCACAGGCTGCCTGGGAGATGCCCAAGTGAGCTGGTCTGGCCCTGGTCAGCTGTCCGTCTGTCTGCCTCTCTCTTTCTCACTAACCTGGGGGATTTGGAGGAGGGGGCACAGCAGTCTGGTCTCTGGGGCAGCTGTCAGAGGAGCCAGCCACACCTCCTTGCCCTACACAGCTGTGGGGCTGTGCCCAGGGCGTGGCTGGTGAAGCCATTATCAGTTTCTCTGCTAGGACTGGAAGTGTCTGGGCCTGGGTCTCCGGGTGACATTATGGTCTGCCTTTGTGGAAATCACCCTGAAGCCCTAGATTACCCTGGCAGGGGGTTGGGGGGAACACAGGCAAAAAGTTCTGAGCCCAACTCTGCCACTGCCTTGCTGGGCAGCCTTGGGAGATCGGTGTGCCTCTCTGGGCCTCGGTTGCCACATCTGTACAATAACCAGGGTTTCGTGAGCATCTTTTCAGTTCTAACAGGGTATGATTATCAAACTAGTCCCTCCTAGTCCTTGGTGATCCAGGTAACCAAGAAGCATGGGGTGGGCATTACCCCAGAGCTCAAAGCCAGACCGCCTTGAAGGAGAAGCCAGATTGTGCTACTGCTTCTTTTTTTTTTTTTTTTTTTAAGACGGAGCTTTGCTCTTGTCACCCAGGCTGGAGTGCAATGGTGCAATCTCGGCTCACTGCAACCTCCACCTCCCAGGTTTAAGTGATTCTCCTGCCTCAGCCTCCCAAGTAGCTGGCATTACAGGCACCCACCACCACGCCCAGCTAATTTTTTTTGTATTTTTAGTAGAGACGGGGTTTCACCATGTTAGTCAGGCTGGTCTCAAACTCCTGACCTCAGGTGATCCACCTGCCTTGGCCTCCCAAAGTGGTGGGATTATAGGCGTGAGCCCCCGCGCCCGACCAAATTGTCCTACTTCTAACGGATGTCCTCTCCCACCTCCTGTCCAGCCACCGTGCCCAAGGAACAAAGAGCCATTTTGAACCCAGGGATCTTCCTGCGTCCCCCCTTCCTTCTGATGCCAACTCACCAGGCTGGGGACGCCCCCAGACAGGTCACACACCCTGCCCGTAGGCCAGGCCCTCACACCTTCCACCTGGCACCCACTCAGCCCCTCTCCCAGGCTGCCTCCTCCTCCACTAACGTACACCTGTTTTCTTCCTCAGAATTAACCCTGCGACGGGGCAGTGTTGCCCCTTAACCTCTCTTTTCTCTTCTCTGGGTCATAGCCTCCTGGCTTCCAACTAACTCTGGGCCAGCGGGAGGTAGCTGAGTGAGGAGTGGGGCCGGCGGGACTGGACCGGACCGTGGGCATGGGGAGCAGCGGCCAGGACTCCCCTCCTTGTTCCTTTCGAGTGACCTGAAAGCAACAAATTCCTTGATTGCAGAGGGGACAGGGGAACAGAGAGGCAGGGCTGGGACGTAGTCACAGACACTTACACGCCAGCTTGGGTGATGGGAGCTGTCCACATTTGCAAGTTTCATTCATTCAACAAGTTTTTTTTTTTGAGACGGAGTCTCACTCTGTCACCCAGGCTGGAGTGCAGTGGCGCAATCTCCACTCACTGCAGCCTCCGCCTCTGGGGTTCAAGCGATCCTCCCACCTCAGCCTCCCAAGTAGCTGGGATTACAGGTGCACACCACCATGCCCGGCAAATGTTTGTATTTTTAGTAGAGACAGGGTTTCATTATGTTGGCCAGACTGGTCTCAAACTTCTGACCTCAAGTGATCCGCCCGCCTCAGCCTCCCAAAGTGCTGGGATTACAGGCGTGAGCCACCGCGCCCAGCCTCAACAAGTATTTATTAGCAGGTGTTCGGATCGGGCAGAGACATGGTCTCCTTTCCCTGCAGATAGGTGAAGAAAAGCAAAATGATCAACATGGAATTTGCAAGTAACCAATGACCGTCAGATTCCATTTGGAGAAGGCAGGTGTCTCTAAGGCCAGGGCTCAGGGGAAACTGAGGCAGGAAGCCCTGGCCGCTGCTGGGATGGGGCTCGGGGCCTGGGATGGCCTGTAATCAGCTTTTTCTTCCCGGCAGCGCCCGCAAGCGTCCTATTCCATACTACCGGCCCAGCCCCTCTTCCTCCTCCAGCTGCTTGAGCAGCGACTACTCGACCCGGAGCCACAGCCGCAGCCCCAGCCCCGGCCACAGCCACGGGAGCTACAGCAGTCGCAGCCATGGGACCCGCAGCCGGACACGCAGCCCCTCGAGGACCCCCAGTCCCAGCTACCACAGCCGGAGCAGCTCTGAGAGCGGGGGCTTCTGAGCCCAGACAGACTCAGCTTGGTGCCCCCCTGGCACTGGGAGAGGCGAGGGGCGGGCCCCAGGACCCCAGTGGGGAGGGGGCTATATCTCCTTGCCCCCAAGGCTACAAAGAGGTCTCAGGGCCAGTGCACGGGCAGATGGGACCGGGGAAGACTTTGAGGGTGGGCATCCAGTGGACAAGGAGAAGCCAGATGTGCTGCTTCTACGGGTGTCCTCTCCCACCTCCTGTCCACCCACTGTGCCCGGGGAACAAAGAGCCGTTACGAACACAGGAATCTCCCCATCCCCCTTCCTGCTGATGCCAACTCACCAGGCTTGGGACTGCTGCCGGTGGATGGTACCAGAGTCCATGATCTGCTCTGTCACTTCACCTTAGCTCAGTGCAGCCAGGGACACCTTGCAAGGTGCCAGCCCTGGGAGCCCCTCTTCCGCACTACACAGCTCCCTCCACTCCTCTCTTATCACTGGGCAGACGAGGAGGTGGTACAGCACATGGGTTTGGAGCTAGACAGAAGGAAGAACAGCCTAACCCTTGGTGCACCCCCATCCAAGCTGGGGAGCTGCATCCTTTTGAGCTGGCTGCAGGAGGACCCTGGCTGAGGGCTGGTGGCTGGCCCCACAGCCTCCCCCAAGCTCCTCCACTGACCCAGGAGTGCCCAGACGGGTGGCCCCCAAAATCCCAGCCTGGGGAGCTAGGCACCTCACTCTTGGTCTGACCTCTCCAGGCCAGGCTCTCCTCACCCCATGCCCTGGGCCAAGGTCCTACCAGCCATGACTACTGCATGACAAGAGGTGGGGGGTACAGACCTCAGGTACATTTGACCCTGAGGTTAAAAGGGGTTCAGGTCAAGAGGTGGGAGAGGAAAGGGGTAGATGGGAGGTGGAATCTGTAGGAAAGAGAAAAAGCAAAGTCGTTCACTGACTGAGTAGCCCCCAGGGAGTGGAGACGGGTCCCTGGGGAGGGAGCAGCTGACAGGTCAGCAGTGCCCCCAGCCCCACCCAAGAGGAGGGCAGCGTGTGCCTGTGGTCTGGGACGTGGGCTGGATGGCAGCCCAGGGTCACAGGCATAGGATAACATGTGCTTTGGACCTGACAAGGGAGTACCTTGGGGGTCTGATGGGGTCATGGCCAGCCGAGCCTCTGTAGAGATGGAGGCTACAGCCCTCAGAAGGGAGGGGAGGAAAGAGACTGAGGGCCCTGGCCTGGGGCGTCGATGGGGAAGCGGTGGCCCCCAGTCCTCTTCTGCTGCTCCCAGCCCCCTCCTCCTGGGGCCCTCAGGGATCTCATGAAGTCTTCCTTGGCCCAACCAGGCAGATGCCCCGGGCTCCAGTGGGGGGAGGGGTCTGGGGTCTGGTCCGGGTTCCCCGCTTTCTCTATGTCCCCCCTCCCTCTTTCTCCGCAGTGCGGATAAAAATTGGACTCGAATAAAACCCTTGGTGCCCGGATGGTAGGTGGTGAGACCAGGCCTCTGTGCATGTTGGCACCCCGGGAGATTCAGGAGGGCAGCGGGGCTGGGGTCTTCCTCTGAGGGAGGCGAAAGGCTCAGACTGCTCCTTGGGACCCCAGAGAGAAGAGCTGGCATCCAGGAGCCAGTGTGTCTATCCCCCTGCCTCTGAGCTTGAGGCTAAAACAGGGACCCAAAGAGACCTTCCTCCCAGCCTGGAGGCCGGGTGGACTTTGAACATCCCACGGGGTGGGCTGCCTGAGCCCACACACCCAGGCTACCTTCAGCAGTGGGTAGGGATGGGGTAGAGGGAGGAGACACAGGGTGGACATAGGCACAGGGGACACTCACAACATGGTGGGGTGTCACAGAGTGGTTGGGACACAGCCTGAGGCAGCATGCAGGCATGCATCCTGGCTCCTGTGCCTCCCAGCCATGTGACACACAGCTGAGATGAGGTGGGCAGGAAATATTCTGACAGTCCTCAGCTCAGTGACTGTGACTGCCATAGAGTGAGCATTTAAAAGGTGGCCACAGCCGGGCGCGGTGGCTCGCGCCTGTAATCCCAGCACTTTGGGAGGCTGAGGCGGACGGATCACCTGAGGTCAGGAGTTCGAGACCAGCCTGACCAACATGGTGAAACCCCGTCTCTACTGAAAATACAAAAATTAGCCGAGTGTGGTGGTGGGCACCTATAATCCCAGGTACTCAGGAGGCTGAGGCAGGAGAATCGCTTGAACCCGGGAGGCAAAGGTTGCAGTGAGCCGAGATCGAGCCACTGTACTCCTGCCTGGGCAACAGAGTGAGACTCTGTCTCAAAAAAGAAAGAAAAGAAAGAAGAGGAAGGAAAGAAAAAGGAAAGGAAGGAAGGAAAGAAAAGAAAAGAGGCCAGGCGCGGTGGCTCACCCCTGTAATCCCAGCACTTTGGGAGGCCGAGGCAGGCGGATCACGAGGTCAGGAGATCAAGACCGTCCTGGCTAACATGGTGAAAACCCATCTCTACTAAAAATACAAAAAATTAGCTGGGCATAATGGCAGGCACCTGTAGTCCCAGCTACTAGGGAGGCTGAGGCAGGAGAACGGCGTGAACCCGGGAGGCGGAGCTTGCAGTGAGCTGAGATTGCACCACTGCACTCCAGCCTGGGCAACAGAGCGAGACTCCGTCTCAAAAAAAAAAACAAAAAAACAAAAAAACAAAGGAAAGAAAGAAAAAAAACAAAGAAAAGAAAGAGAAAAGAAAGGAAAGAAATGGTGGCCACTTAGGGAAAACCCCGTGCCTGCCTCTGGCTAGGGACTAGCAGGGTGCCTGGAAAGAGTGGTTTACAGAAGTTAATTTCCTTTTTATTTATTTATTTATTAAAAATGTGAGGGCCAGGCTCAGTGGCTCCTGGCCTGTAATCACAGCACTTTGGGAGGCCAAGGCGGGCAGATCATGAGGTCAGAAGTTCAAGACCAGCCTGACCAACATGGAGAAACCCCGTCTCTACTAAAAATACAAAAATTAGCTGGGCGTGGTGGTGCATGCCTGTAATCCCAGCTACTTGGGAGGCTGAGGCAGGAGAATCGCTAGAACCCAGGAGATGGAGATTGCAGTGAGCTAAGATCACACCACTGCACTCCAGCCTAGGTGTCAGAGCGAGACTCTGTCTCAAAAAAAAAAAAACAAACTTGGAGACCAGGTCTCACTCAGTTGCCCAGGCTGGAGTGCAGTGACACGATCTCCATTCACTGTAGCCTTGACCTCCTGGGCTCAAGCAATCCTCCTACCTCAGCCTCCCTAATAGTTGGGACTACAGGTATGCACCACCATACCCAGCTAATTTTTGTATTTTTTTTTTGGTAGAGACAGGGTTTCACCATGTTGCCCAGGCTGGTCTCGAACTTCTGAGCTCAAGCAATCCTCCCAAAGTGCTGAGATTACAAGCATGAGCCACCGCTCCTGGCCTGTATTTCTTTCTTTTATTAGATCTAAAGAAATACACAATTCCTCCTCCTCCCCCTCTTTCTTGCCTCTAGCCTCTCTCTCCTCCTTCCCCTTCTTCTCCGTCATTTCTCTCTCTTAGAGTGGTGGGTTTTAAGCTTGTTTTGAATCAGGTCTTCTTCGAGAATCTGATGAAGGCTGAGAACCCTCCCAGAAGAATGTGCGCATGCCTGCAGTGTGGCTTGTAACACTGGATCTATCACACACATACTCACTCTGAAGGCTTTTAGCGTCCCACCGGTTAAGAACCCTGGTCCACCTCCAATGAGGGTGCGGCTGAGGTGGCCCCTGCTCCCACTTCTGTGTGGGCCATGACATAGGTGTCCTTGGCCCAGTCCCCAGAGCTGGGGCTGTGTCATGACATGACCCCATTCCAGCTTCTTTTCCCCAAAACTAGAAGGGGCACCTGACCAGTGGCTCTGTTTCCTATCCACGGAAGCTGTTCACAGAAGCCCTGGTGATTGGCCAGGTGCGGTGGCTCACGCCTGTAATCCCAGGCCTTTGGGGGGTCGAGGCAAGTGGCTCACTTGAGACCAGAATGGCCAACATGGTGAAACCCCGTCTCTACTAAAAATACAAAAAATTAGACAGGCGTGGTGGTGGGCGCCTGTAATCCCAGCCACTCTGGAGGCTGAGGCAGGAGAATCACCTGAACCTGGAAGGCAGAGGTTGCAGTGAGCCGAGATCCTGCCATTGCATTCCAGCCTGGGCAATAAGAGTGAAACTCCGTCTCTCTCTCTCTCCTCTCTCTCTCTCTCTCTCTCTCTCTCTCACACACACACACACACACACACAAAGAAAGAAAGAAAAAAAGATAACAAAAAGAAGCCCTCGTGATCTCTGTAACCCTTTCTAACAAGTTCAACAAAACGCCTCAAGGCAAGGGGCTGGGCTACGGGGAAGCAGACTTGGCCCTGTGCTAGAGATGCGTGAAACACATCTGCACATCTGAGTGGCAGCACAGTTGAGGTTGTCCTGCAACTCAGCCTGTCTCACACTGAGCATGGCACTGGGCCTAGGGACTCTGCTGTCTGGCTGCTCCGTCCCCCAACCTCCCATCCCATTCCGTCACTGCCCAGCCTGACTGCCTTCTGCACGCCACAGCCAGGCTGCTCCCAGCCATTGCAATTGCTTCCTTCCCACCCCACCTCAGCACCTGGCCCTACCGGCCTCCTCACTGGCCAGCCTGCCTCATTGCCTTCTCCAATCCCTCCTGCTTTTTTCTTTTCTTTCCTTTTTTTTTTTTTTTTTTTTTTTGCGACAGGGTCTCACTCTGTCGCTCAGGCTAGAGTGCAGTGGCACCATTATGGCTCACTGCAGCCTTGATCTCCTGGTCTCAAGAGATCTTCCTGCCTCAGCCTCCTGAGTAGCTGGGACTACGAGTGCACTCCACTACGCCGTTAATTTTTGCTTTTTTGTTTTCTTGTTTTTGTTTTGAGACAGAGTCTCGCTCTGTCACCCAGGCTGGAGTGCAGTGGCACAATCTCGGCTCACTGCAACCTTCGCCTCCTGGGTTCAAGCAATTCTCCTGCTTCAGCCTCCTGAGTAGCTGGGATTATAGGCATGCACCACCACACCCAGCTAGTTTTTGTGTTTTTAGTAGAGATGAGGTTTCACCATGTTGGCCAGGCTGGTCTCAAACTCCTGACTTCAAGTGATCCACCCACCTCGACCTCCCAAAGTGCTGGGATTACAGGCATGAGCCACTGCACCCGGCCATTATTTTTTGTACAGACGGGATCTCGCTATGTTGCCCAGGCTGGTCTCACACTCCTGGCCTAGAGCGATCCTCCTGCCTCAGTCTCCCAAAGCACTGGGATTCCAGGCATGAACCACCATGCCTGACCACTCCCATTATTTCTAACATGCAGATCTGAACACCCATTCACTCATTCCACAAATACTTATTGAACAATTCCTATGTCCCCTGCAGAGTGGCTGGCTCTGAGGACACAGTACTGAATAAATGAGACAGAACTCCTTGCCATGCAGAACCTGCCTCCTGAGGCCACATCCACCAGCTCACAGGCCTTGGAAGGCCTTCTGAGTGACTCCACCTGGCACGTGCCATCCTTGGCTCCTCCCAGGGCGCCCTCCCACCTTATCTCCCATCGCTGCCCTTGATTCCAATACCCCGAGCCCAGCTGGCGCCCCTCATGCCCTCTCTGCCTCCACGGGTTCAGGTGAGCTCACAGGCCAAGGCCCAGCTCAGCCACCTCCTCCTCCATGCGGCCTTCCTGATGTGCAGCTGCCGTGACTACTCCTGTCTCTGGGGTTCTCTGGGAGCCTGTGTTTAGGGCCCAGTCTCTTCTTCCAGTGATTTATTTGCTAGCATGTTTATCTCTCCCCAAAGCTCTGAGCTTCTGGAGGCCAGGACATGTCTTCCTTGTCTCTGCATCGCCCACGTAGGCCACTTTGAAATGTTTGTTGAATGAGTCATCGAGTGAAGGAAGGAACCCGCAGAGGAACGGTTGCAGAAACTTTGGGGGAGGCCTGGGCACCAAAGGCGAGGCGTGGTGGCGGAAAGCCGACACTAGAGGGCGACAGAGAGTAAGGGAAAAAATGCAGCCAGGACCAACAGGCTTGGAGCAGAGAGATGCCTGGGCCAGGGCTCGTCCCAGCCTGGAAGCCCCAAGCCTTCGTCCTCCATGCCTGCCCTGGCTTCGTGGGGAAGGGGTGGGGAGCATACCAGCCCCCCCCCCGCCCCACCCCGTCTGAACTCAGTCAGCCGACTGAACTCTGCTCTATACCCTGGGGAAAGGGAAGAATAGGACCAGGACGGCCGGCAGGAAAACAGGAAACTCCAGTCCCAGAGCAGCGGGCAGAAGACCGTCCCCAGGATGTGGGCACTTCTCGCCAGAGGGTCCTGAGCCTGGGGCGCACTCTTCTGGTTTGGGGTAAACTTGGTCCTCTCGTGGTCTCTCTCTCTTCAGATAGGGCCCAGGGGAGCCCCCACTCCATACCACGTTTTTCCTTCCAACACATACAGCAGCCAGGAGGCCGGACAGAGCTTTCCGGTTTCCTGTTTTCACAACTGTATTTTCCCCTTTCTCCTTAATCAGTTTCCTACAGCCCCAGACAGGGTGACAGGCCACAGGGCACCTGCCCAGCTTGGCTGTCCCAGCCTGTCCCCCATCCCCTCACCACCCCCAACTTTTTTTTTTTTTTTTTTGAGACAGAGTCTCGTTGTGTCACCCGGGCTGGAGTGCAGTGAGTGGTGCAATCTCAGCTCACTACAACCCCCACCTCCCAGGTTCAAGCAATTCTCAAGCTTCAGCCTCCTAAGAGCTGGGACTTTGGGTTTGCACCACCATGCCCGGCTAATTTTTGTAGGTTTTTTTTTTTCTTTTGAGATGGAGTTTCACTCTTGTCGCCAGGCTGGAGTGCAATGGCACGATCTCGGCTCACTGCAACCTCCACCTCCCGGGTTAAAGTGACTCTCCTGCCTCAGTCTCCTGAGTAGCTGAGATTACAGGTGTGCACCACCACACCTGGCTAATTTTTGTATTTTTAGTAGAGATGGGATTTCACCATGTTGGCCAGGCTGGTCTCGAACCCCTGACCTCAGGTGATCTGCCCACCTCAGCCTCCCAAAGTGCTGGGATTACAGGCGTGAGCCACTGCGCCTGGCCTAATTTTTGTATTTTTAGTAGGAACAGGGTTTCACCATGTTGGCCAGGCTGGTCTCAAACTCCTGGCCTCAAGCAATCCACCTGCCTCAGCCTCCCAAAGCGCTGGGATTACAGGCATGAGCCACCTCGTGCGGCCTGCCTGCCTTTTTTTGAGACGTTCTAGAAGACCCCGGGCCTCCTGCCTTCCTCTCTCAGTTGAGGGAATACTCAGCAAACTGGCCCCATCACCAGGCACCTGCTGGCCTCCAGGCCCCCCTCCACTCACCCAAGGAGGCATCTTAGAGACCCAGATGCCTGGGGGTCTCCTACCTCCCCCTCCACCTACCCAAGGAGGCATCTTAGAGACCCAGATGCCTGGGGGTCTCCTACCTCCCCCTCCACCTACCCACTTTCTAGGGCTCTCTTAAGGGGGAAATCTAAATCTATCTCGGGATAGGAATCCCACTCTCCCGCAGGCTTAAGGAGGACTCCTGCCTCATTCACCCCTTTTCTCCATCTCACTCTGATTTAAAGCAGCGCAGGTCATATCCAGGCTTAGCTGGCCAACAGGGAGGGAACGTTCCCATCTCAGGCCTGGTGAGTGTCTCCTGTCCTCCCCTCACTCCTACCTCCACTGTTTAAAAAATGATTCTATGATACTCGTTAAAGCACGAGCAGGAACATTTTATTCAGGATCATCACAAGAGATATCTAGGCAAGACTGCAATGGGATTGTGCAGTGGAGGAAGAGAGATTGGGCTCAACTCTGAAGAGAGCACGGGCAAGGGAGAATTTATGGCCCAGGAGCAGGGTGGCGTGAGTGGATGGAAAATTACTAAGAGGAAATACTGGGGGGTTCTGGCTCAACTGACCTAGCAGGATTCTAGCTGAAGGCCAGCCAGGGAGATCAGACACCACCTGGGAGATGGTAGAGGATGAGGAACCTGATTGGAGGGTGATCAGATCTCAAGGGTGAGCGGCTCTTGCTAAACAGGTTTCTTGCAAAAACTGGATTTACGAACAGGGCGCAGTGGCTCACGCCTGTAATCCCAGCACATTGGGAGGCCAAGGCGGGTGGATCACCTGAGGTCAGGAGTTCAAGACCAGCCTGACCAACATGGTGAACCCCCATCTCTACTAAAAATACAAACTTAGCCAGGCATGGTGGCTCATGCCTGTAATCCCAGCTACTCGGGAGGCTAAGTGAGGCAGGAGAATCGCTTGAACCCAGGAGTCAGAGGTTGCAGTGAGCTGAGATTGCGCCATTGCACTCCAGCCTGGGCAACAGAGCGAGACTCTGTCGGCGGGGGGGTGGGGAAGACTGGATTTATGCAGAGGGGCTTAGGAGGTTCCAGAGTCTGAGTAAAGTTTGGTCAAACGGGGGATCTTTGTCACCCCTTCCCATGTGCACAGCCCTGTCCTGCAGCATTTAGGCTGTGGAGTGGGTAATGCAGGGGACCTGGAGGGGAGGGGAAGAATGGAGGAGAAACTGTTGATTCACGGCCCTGGAAGGAGACTTAGAACATCCAGTCCAATGGTTTCATTGTACAGATCAAGAAAATGAGTCACGGATGCCGGCCCTTGGCCAAGGCTGCAGTCAAAGACATCCAGGTCCCCAGACTCCAGAGCTAGACAGCCAGAGCGGGAGGGGCGGGAGGACAGATCCCCAGCCCTCCCACCTGGTCCCTCTGTGGCCCCCGCTTCAGTGGTGATGGGGGTGGCATGGCCCCCTCCCAGTCCAGCCAGAAACCAGAGGTCCAGGGAGTGGGGCAGGCTGGAGGTGGGTTTTTAGAAGCGGACTCCCAGAGAGACAGTGTCTAGACGTTTCCAGAAAGACCCAGCGTCCCCTCTACCCCACCCCCGGCGCTCTGATTACTGTCGTCCATATTTTCAATTCCCAGCAGGCCCGGGGGCTGGCGTCATCCATCAGCTGTCAGGCCTCTCCAGGGAGCTCGGGCAGCTGCCTGGAGACTCTGGCACTTTCTCTGAGGCGGGGCCAGTGAAGGCGGGGCTGGTTCAGCCGCAGTTGGCAGAGGCCTGCAGAGGGCGTGGCCAGCATGGTCAAGGCCTTGGGCGCAGGGAAAGGAAGGGGGTTAGTCTTGGGGCTGCTGCTGAGCACCCCACATTTGGGGGCTAGAGATGAGGGGAGGGACCGTCCAATGAAGGACTCCCTGGACCTTGCAGTGGGCAATGAAGAAGGGGAAGGGCCATGACCTGCCCTCTCACCCTCCCCCAACCCCACTCCACGGTGGCTTCTGGGAAATCCCTGGGGCTAGAATTTTCCTTTTTTTTTTTTTTTTTTTTTTTTTTTTTTGAGACAGAGTCTTGCTCTGTTGCCCAGGCTGGAGTGCAGTGGCACGATCTTGGCTCACTGCAACCTCCACCTCCTGGGTTCAAGTGATTCTCCTGCCTCAGCCTCCTGAGTAGCTGGGATTACAGGCACATGCCACCACGCCTGGCTAATTTTTGTATTTTTAGTAAAGACGGGGTTTCACCCTGTTGGTCACGCTGGCCTCGAACTCCTGACTTCATGATCCACCCGTCTCGGCCTCCCAAAGTACTGGGATTACAGGCGTGAGCCACTGCGCCCAGCCTGCATTTTCTTCTCTATCCCAGAAAAACCACCCCTGGCATCTCAGTGCTCTGGATGCTGGAGCCAGCCACAGACTGACAGAGAACAGCTGGGCAGGGGGGCATGTGGGAGCCGCCACCCAGCCCTGGCCCCCTTGCCCAGCTCGGTTGCCCAGTGGGGAGGGCAGAGTGCAGCCTCCTAGAAAAAAGGCACCCGGTTAGGCTGGAAGACATGCACTCCTGCCCCTGTGCCCTGGAAGCCCACAGCCCTCTCTGAACTGTCTGGGAAGTCTCCCCCTTGCTGGATGGAGAATAGGGAGGTCTGAGACCCTTACCAGCTTTGTGACCCTGGGGCCATTCTGACCCTCAGTTTTCTCATCTCAATAAATGGGACTCCTAGCTGGATGCCTTGGCTCATGCCTGTAAGCCCAGGTAGTCAGGAGACTAAGGAGGATTGCTTGAGGCCAGATGTTCAAGACCAGCCTGAGTAACATAGTGAGACCCCCTCTCTACAAAAAATTGTAAAATTGGCTGGGTGTGGTGGCATGTGCCTGCAGTCCCACCTACTCAGGAGGCTGAGCAGGGAGGATCACGTGAGCCCGGAACGTTGAGGCTACAGTGGGTTATGATTGCATCACTGCACTCCAGCCTGGGCAACAGAGTGGGGACCCTATCTATTAAAAGAAAAAAAAAAAAAAGGAAGTTGGGCGCGGTGGCTCACGCCTGTAATCCCAGCACTTTGGGAGGCTCAGGTGGATCATTTGAGGTCAGGAGTTTGAGAACAGCCTGGCCAACATGGTGAAACCCCATCTCTACTAAAAATACAAAAAATAGCCGGGCATGGTGGCGGGAGGCTGAGGCAGGAGAATCGCTTGAACCCAGGAGGTGGAGGTTACAGTGAGCTGAGATGGTGCCACTGCACTCCAGCCTGGCGACAGAGCGAGACTCTGTCTCAAAAAATAAATAAATAAAAAAGGAAAGGAAGAAAAAGTGACTCTGATAGGATACTTTGACGCTCTATAAAGCACATATGTCCGGGCATGGTGGCTCATGTCTGTAATCCCAGCACTTTGGGAGGCCAAGGTGGGTGGATCACGAGGTCAGGAGTTTGAGACCAGCCTGGCTAAGAGAACAGCCTGGCCAATATGGTGAAACCCCATCTCTACTAAAAATACAAAAACTAGCTGGGCGTGGTGGCAGGTGCCTGTAATCGCAGCTACTCAGGAGGCTGAGGAAGGAGAATTGCTTGAACCTAGGAGGTGGAGGTTGCAGTGAGCCAAGATCACACCATTGCACTCCAGCCTGGGTGACAGAGCAAGACTCTGACTCAAAAACAAACCAACCAAAAAAAACAAAAACAAAAAAACCACATAGAACTGGGTAATTCTGATTATTCTAAGGCTCAGTATCCACAATTAAAGGCCCTCGCAGTCACCGTGAGCGCTTACTGTGCACCGAGCACTTTACACACATTCACGCACTTGAAACTGACCACAATGCTGTCAGACGGGCAGGGGCGTTGCTAGCTCTACTTTGCAAATAGGGACATGTGGGCTCAGAGTGGTCACCAGGACAGCAGCACCCACATTCAAGCCCAGCCCTATCTGTCCCCAAAACCCAGTTTCTGCCCTACCACCCACCTCACCCCCATGCTGCCAGAAACCACCCATCTCCTCTCCCTTGTGGGTGATCTAAAAGTCGTCCCTCAAGAACTGAGCCCTTAGCCAGGCTGGTCTTGAACTCCTGACCTCAAGCAATCCACCCACTTCGGCCTCCCAACGTGTTGGGATTACAGCTGTTAGCCACCGCGCCCAGCCCGTGGTGGTGCACGCCCGTAGTCCCACCTACTCAGGAGGCAGGAGAATTGCTTGAACCTGGGAAGCAGAGGTTGTAGTGAGCTGAGATTGTGCCACTGCACTCCAGCCGGCGCAACAGAGCAAAACTCCATCTCAAAAAAAACAAAACTGAGCCCTTGAAGATGAACGTGAATTCCGAGGGAGTGAGCAGAGTGTGTGGGTTTGGTGCCTTGAGTTGCACAATCTCTCAGGCAGCAGGAATAGATCCAGTCCGTCCTGGTTTCAGGCAAGATGAAGGGAGCTTGTGTCTACAAAGGGCTGGCAGCTCCCATCCAGAGCATGGCTGGGCCTGATAGAGCCACACCTGGAAGCATTTATAACCACACCTGACAGCTCCCTCTGGGGTGGGGCACCCCCAGCTCCCGTCTGGGCCAAGGTGAGCAGGCAGAGGCAGATGAGGGCCCTCCCTGGCTCCTGACCTCACCTCGACTTTATACAGCTGGGGATGGGTGGGGCTGGGAGCACTGGGGAGCAAAAACCTGGGGCTTTCTGATGCTGTCCCATGGGGTGTCAACCAGGAGCTCCCAAATGAGACCCACTGGGCTCATGACAATGACCCAGCCAGGGAGGTGAGGTAGAAGGCAGGGGTCCTGTCTGCCTCCCACCATTGGCTCCCGAGAGCCCCAGGAGTTCAGAGGCCTTTCCAGGAGTGATCTCAGATTCATGGTCCAGCCCCAGCTCTTCCCTGATGGGGAGCAGGTGGGTAAGACAGAAAGGCATCTAGGGCCGGTGGCTCACACCTGTAATCCCAGCACTCTGGGAGGCGAGGCAGGTGGATCACGAGGCCAGGAGATCAAGACCATCCTGACTAACACAGTGAAACCCTGTCTCTACTAAAAAAAAAAAAAAAACAATACAAAAAATTAGCCGGGCGTGGTGGTGGGCGCCTGTAGTCCCAGCTACTCTGGAGGCTGAGGCAGGAGAATGGCGTGAACCCGGGAGGCGGAGCTTGCAGTGAGCCAAGATCGCACCACTGCACTCCAGCCTGGGTGACAGAGTGAGACTCCGTCTCAAAAAAAAAAAGAAAGAAAGAAAGGCATCTAGGTCGGGCGCAGTGGCTCACGCCTGTGATCCCAGTGCTTTGGGAGGCCTAGGCAGAAAGATCTCTTGGGGCCAGGAGTTCAAGACTAGTCTGGGCAACATGGTGCGACACCTGTCTCTACAAAAAATTTAAAAATTAGCCAAGTGTGGTGGCACACATCTGTAGTCCCAGTGACTCAGGAGGCTGAAGCAGAAGAATCACTTGAGCCCAGGAGGTCAAGACTGCAATGAGCTATGATCACTCCACTGCACTCCAGCCTGGGCAACACAGCGAGACTCTGTCTCAACAAAAAAAAAAAAAAAAAAGGAGAGAGAGAAAGGCATTTATGAGCTCTCTCTCAAAAAGGAAACTGAGGCTCAGAGAAGGCATGAGGACTTGCTGCTTCCCCAGCTCATCAAGGTGAGTGGCCTGGAGTCTGCCCCGATTCTGGGCCTGGGCAGGGCAAGACTTCAGTGGCCTTGGCTCCCCATAGAAGTAGGAGGAGTGGAGCCTCAGTCCCAGGATAGGGACAGCAAGTACAGTGGGACAGAAGAAGTGGGAGGCCCTGGGTACTAGAGAGGCAGGAGGTTGGCTCTGAGAGCACTTTACCGGAGACAGCAGAAAGCCATTTAATCTCTGTGCACAGCAGTTTCCTTGTCTAAAAACCAGGGATAACAGGGCCGGGTGCGGTGGCTCACACCTGTAATCCCAGCACTTTGGGAGGCCGAGACAGGTGGCTGACTTGAGGTCAGGAGTTTGAGACCAACATGGCGAAACCCTGTTTCTACTAAAAATACAAAAATTAGCCGGGTGTGGTGGCTCATGCCTGTAATCCCAGCACTTTGGGAGGCCAAGGCAGGCGGCTCACTTGAGGTCAGGAGTTTGAGACCAACATGGCGAAACCCCGTTTCTACTAAAAATACAGAAATTAGCCGGGTATGGTGGCACATGCCTGTAATCCCAGCCACTTGGGAGTCTGAGGCAGGAGGATCGCTTGAACCCAGGAGGCGGAGGTTGCAGTGAGCTGAGATTGCGCCACTGCACTCCAGCCTGAGTGATAGAGTGAGACTCTGGCTCAAAAAAAAAAAAAAAAAAAAGACAAAAAAAAAAAAAACAACAACAACTAAAACAGGGACCTAAGTCAGGGGAGAAGGAAGGCTGGAATGGCCATGCCTACAAAGACAGGAAAGAGGGAATGTCAGGGTTGTGGCAGGAGCCTAGGGCAGCACCCTCCCTCCAAGCTGGGAGATAGGAGCCAGGATCCCATTGGTGTTTAGATGGATGAGGTAGGGTCAAGGGGCAAGCTCCAGGCTCTAAGCACTTCTGTGCAGACTCTACTACTTGGAGCTCCCCTCTCCCTCTGTGATGTGGGCATCAAAATCTGCAGAAAGGGAAACTGAGGCCTAGAGAAAGGAGGGGATTTGCCCAGAATGACACAGGAAGTCCAGACTAATTCAAGTTTGCGGCATTTGAGGTTCCTGGCCAGTGTTTCTTTTTCTTTTTTGTTTTTTCTTTTTTGTTTGAGACAGAGTCTCGTTCTGTCACCGAGGCTGGAGTGCAGTGGCGCGATCTCAGCTCCCCGCAACCTCTGCCTCCTGGAATGATCCTCGTGCCTCAGCTTCCCCAGTAGCCGGGATTACAGGCACCCATCACACCTGGCTAATTTTTTGTATTTTTGGCAGACACGGGGTTTCGGCATGTTGGCCAGGCTGGTCTTGAACTCCTGAACCCAGGCAATAAGTCTGCCTCAGACTCTCAAAGTGCTGGGATTACAGGTGGGAGCCACCACGCCCGGCCAACCAGTGCTTCTTAAGGAAAGATACATATAGTAGGAGATGTGACAGTAATCTTCCTCCTGGCCCCTCTCAGCACTGTGCCATGGAGGTTCTGATCTGGGCCAGCTGCGCTGTTAGGGGAAGGGGGAAAATGGCCAAACCCCATGTATTCTCCTTCCTTTTCCCTCTCTTCAATCCCAGGCAGGTAACAATAATTATGATGTACCAGGCTCCGGGCCAAAGTCATCACCTGCATTAGGTCACCAAATCCTCAGGCCAACCCATTACAGTCATGAGTCACTTAATAACAGACACATTCAACAAATTCCTTGTTAGGCAATTTCATCATTGTGGGAACATCTCAGAGTGGACTTACACAAACCTAGATGGTCTAGCCTACTACACACCTAAGCCATATGGTCTAGCCTACTGCTCCTAGGCTACAAACCTCTACAGCATATGACTGCACCAAATATTGAAGGCAGCTGCAACATGAGGGTAAGTATTAGTGTTTCTAAAGATAGAAGATGGCCAGGCGCGGTGGCTCACGCCTGTAATCCTAGCACTTTGGGAGGCCCAGGCGGGTGGATTACTTGAGGTCAGGAGTTCAAGACCAGCCTGGCGAACATGGTGAAACCCCATCTGTACTAAAAATACAAAAATTAGCCAGTGTCGCGGCACTTGCCTGTAGTCCCAGCTACTCAGGAGGCTGAGGCAGAAGAATCACTTGAACCTGGGAGGTAGAGGTTGGAGTGAGCCTAGATCAGGCCACTGCACTCCAGCCTGGGCGACAGAGGGAGACTCCATCTCAAAATAAATAAATAAATAAATAAATAAAACATAGAAGATGTACAGTAAAAACACGGTAATTGTTTTTGTTTGTTTGTTTTGAGACAGGGTCTTGTTCTGTCATGCGGACTGGAGTGCAGTGGCACCATCAGGCTCACTGCAGCCTCGACCTCCTTGGCTCAAGTGCTCCTCCCACCTCAGCCTCCTGAGTATCTGGGACTACAGGTCCACGCCACCATGCCTGGCTAATTTGTTCTGAATTTTAGTAGAGATGGGGTCTCACTGTGTTGCCCAGGCTTGTTCCAGCCTTCTGGCTTCAAGTAATCCTCCCACATCAGCCTCCCAAAGTGCTAAGATTACAGATGTCAGCCACTGCACCCAGCCAGTAATATAATTTTATGGGACCACCTTCATATTTGCTGTCCCTTGCTGACTTACACATCTTTATGCAATGCATGACTGTTACCATCATTATCATCTCTATTTTCCAGATGGGGAAACTGAGGCACAAAGAATCTAACTTGCACAAGTTCATCTGCTTAGTGATGGAACAAAGATGTGAATTCAGGCAGTCTGGCTTCAAAGTCCACACGCCTAACAACCACACCAGATTACTAGATTGCTTTTTTCTTTTTTCTTTTTTTTTTTTTGAGATGGAGTCTCACTCTGTCACCCAGGCTGGAGTACAGTGGTGAGATCTCGGCTCACTGCAACCTCTGCCTTCTGGGTTCAAGCAATTCTCCTGCCTCAGCCTCCCCAGCAGCTGCGATTACAGGCGCCCGCCACCACACCCAGCTAATTTTTGTATTTTTAGTAGAGATGGGGTTTCACCATGTTGGCCAGGCTGGTCTCAAACTCCTGACCTCTGGTGATCCTCCCACCTCGGTCTCCCAAAGTGCTGGGATTACAGGCGTGAGCCACCACGCCCAGCCCAGACTGCTTTATTTTTGTATTTGTATTTATTCATTTACTTATTTTGAGACAGGGTTTTGCTCTGTAGCCCAGGCTGAAGTGCAGTGGTGCAATCCAGCTCACCACAGCCTCTACTCACCGGGGTTCAAAGGATCCTCCTGCTTCAGCCTCTGGAGTAGCTGGGGCCACAGGCATGCACCACCATGCCCAGCTAATTTTTAAATATTTTTTGGTAGAAGTAGGGTCTCACTATGTTGCCCAGACTGGTCTCAAACTCCTAGCCTCAAGGGACCCTTCTGCCTTGGCCTCCCAAAGTGCTGAGATTACAGGCATGAGCCATGCACCCAGCCCCTTTTTAAAATTTTTTTGAGAGACAAGACTTTGATCTGTTGCCTAGGCTGGAGTGCAGTGGTGAGATCATAGCTCACTGCAGCCTCAACTCCTGGGCTCAAGCACCAGACTCCTTTTATCACATTCTATCTCACACGCGTGTGGTTCCAATCCTGCCTCTGCCACTTCTCAGTTGTATGCCCCAACCCAACCTGTCTGGCTCTGTCCTCCTTAACAGAAGGACGGCCCTGGCCACGGGCCACAGCCAGCAACGCTTAAGCACCAGGGCCGGCGAGTGCCCTGCCGTGGCACGGCTCCAGCGTCGCGCTCTCGAATTCATTTGCTTTCCTTAACGAGAGAAGGTTCCAGATGAGGGCTGAACCCTCTTCGCCCCGCCCACGGCCCCTGAACGCTGGGGGAGGAGTGCATGGGGAGGGGCGGCCCTCAAACGGGTCATTGCCATTAATAGAGACCTCAAACACCGCCTGCTAAAAATACCCGACTGGAGGAGCATAAAAGCGCAGCCGAGCCCAGCGCCCCGCACTTTTCTGAGCAGACGTCCAGAGCAGAGTCAGCCAGCATGACCGAGCGCCGCGTCCCCTTCTCGCTCCTGCGGGGCCCCAGCTGGGACCCCTTCCGCGACTGGTACCCGCATAGCCGCCTCTTCGACCAGGCCTTCGGGCTGCCCCGGCTGCCGGAGGAGTGGTCGCAGTGGTTAGGCGGCAGCAGCTGGCCAGGCTACGTGCGCCCCCTGCCCCCCGCCGCCATCGAGAGCCCCGCAGTGGCCGCGCCCGCCTACAGCCGCGCGCTCAGCCGGCAACTCAGCAGCGGGGTCTCGGAGATCCGGCACACTGCGGACCGCTGGCGCGTGTCCCTGGATGTCAACCACTTCGCCCCGGACGAGCTGACGGTCAAGACCAAGGATGGCGTGGTGGAGATCACCGGTGAGCCCCCCTGCTCCTGCAGGGGAGAGGAGGAGGCTAGCAGGGCGGGCAGGGCCGGGGGCGTGCGGTTGAAACGGGGGTCCCGGGGGCCTGGGGAGTTAAACGTTGGCCCAGCACCGGGAAAAACAGGACTCCTGATTCCCTTGCTCAGGAATTGGGAGTGCGGGTCGCTTCTAAGGGCGCTTTCTGCTCTGTAATCCCAGCGCTTTGGGAGGCCGAGACGGGAGGATCGCTTGAGGCCAGGAGTTCAAGACTAGCCTGGGCAACATAGCGAGACGCGCCCCCCCGCCCCGACCCCGCGCCATTACAAAAAAAAAGCAAACAAAAATTTTTTTAAAGATCATCGATGAAGAGAGAAAATGCGCTTTTCTACAGAGTCCCCTTCCCACCCACAGCCCCATCCCCAGATAAGCGGGGAGTTCCCTGGCGCGGTGCCAGTTTCTAGCCGCTGAGTGGGCGTGTGCGCGGCTCCAAGTGCGCCTGCGTACTGCTCACTCCCCAGCTCCGCGCCCTGCTCCGTTCCTCCCAAAACTCTGAATCGAAGAACTTTCCGGAAGTTTCTGAGAGCCCAGACCGGCGGGCACGCCCCCATCCCCAACCCCCTCTGTTAATCCCTACCAGCCTGCAGTCCTGGCTGCTTCCAAGCAGGAGGTGGGGCCTCTGGCCTAGCGGGGCCGAAAGGCAGTCCCCTCCCCCGCAGTCTGATTTCCCTCTTCCCCCCAAAGGCAAGCACGAGGAGCGGCAGGACGAGCATGGCTACATCTCCCGGTGCTTCACGCGGAAATACACGTGAGTCCTGGCGCCAGGTCGGGGTGGGTGGGTGGCGTGGGGGTGGGGTCAGGGAAGAGGGCACAGGGACCCACCCGGTGTGTAATGTAACGCTTGCCTTTCCTCTCTGCACGTCCAGGCTGCCCCCCGGTGTGGACCCCACCCAAGTTTCCTCCTCCCTGTCCCCTGAGGGCACACTGACCGTGGAGGCCCCCATGCCCAAGCTAGCCACGCAGTCCAACGAGATCACCATCCCAGTCACCTTCGAGTCGCGGGCCCAGCTTGGGGGCCCAGAAGCTGCAAAATCCGATGAGACTGCCGCCAAGTAAAGCCTTAGCCCGGATGCCCACCCCTGCTGCCGCCACTGGCTGTGCCTCCCCCGCCACCTGTGTGTTCTTTTGATACATTTATCTTCTGTTTTTCTCAAATAAAGTTCAAAGCAACCACCTGTCACTGGCCCAGGCCCTGGTGTTTGTGGAAGGAAGCCTCAGGCACCTGCCATTTGCTGGCTTTCAGGAGTCATCTTTGCTCAGGCCCGTGCTGGGCCATGTGGGTACACTGGTGTAGGTTGCTGGACACAGGCTGACTCACATCCATAAAGACAGAGGTCTTAGGGCCGGGCGCAGTGGCTCATACCTACAATCCCAGCACTTTGGGGGGTTGAAGCAGGAGGAGTGCTTGAAGCCAAGAGTTCTAGACCAGCCTGGACAACATAGTAAGACTGTCTCTAAAAAATAAAAATTAGGCAGGGTGGTACTGCACGCCTGTAGTCCCAGCTACTCAGGAGGCTGAGGCAGGAGGATCGCTTGAGCCCAGGAGTTGTGAAGGGTACAGTGAGCTAACATCGTGCCATTGCACTCCAGCCTGGGCAACAGAACAAGATCCTGTCTCAAAACAACCAAAAGCCCAGAGAGAAAGAGTGAGACCCCATCTTTAAAAGAAAAAAAAAAAAGGTCATGATTGCAAGGTCACGATTGCAATTAAAACTGTAAGGTGGGGAAGGAGGAGGAAATAAGAGAAGCACCTGAGGCTTGAGTTCTCAGGAGCACCTAGGTTGGGTCCCAGGTGAAGGGGCACAGAGGTAATTGCACCTCAGAGCTGATGGGAGGATTACTATGTCAAAAGCTTGGCATCGGCTTCAGCACACCCCAAGGACACCACAGTGGACCTGGCAAGCTTTGAGATCTCTGTCACCGCCACACTCCCTGAGGCCAGGGCATCCCTGTTGGCAGTCACAAGGGAACTGGCAAGCCGAAATGGGGTGAGAACGGAGCCCGCAGAGTCTCGGGGTGGGGAGATTGGGCAGAGCCCTGGCCAACCGACGGGCTCAGACCTGTGCTGCTGGCTGGGCCAGCAGCTCTTGTTGCCTGTGTTTATTTCCAGCTGGCCTCCCTCCAGGTGTAGACAGGCTTCCAAGGGCCCAGTTCCCCTCTCTCTTGTCTGCCCTTGCCCTAGCTGCCACCCTCTCACCAGGCCCAGGGAAAGTTGAGGTAGAAAGCAGATGGGGGACCAGGCGCGGTGGCTCACACCTATAATCCCAGCACTTTGGGAGGCCGAGGCGGGTGGATTACCTGAGGACAGGAGTTCGAGACAGCCTGGCCAACAGTGAAACTCCGTCTCTACTAAAAGTACAAAAATTAGCCGGGCATGGTGTTGCATGCCTGTAATTCCAGCTACTCAGGAGGCTGAGGCAGGGGAATCGCTTGAACCCAGGAGGCAGAAGTTGCAGTGAGCCAAGATCCATGCCACTGCCCTCCAGCTTGGGGGACAAGAGCAAAACTCCATCTAAAAAAAAAAAACAAAAAACAGATGGGAGCTTTGGAGCTCAGTCCCAAGGTCCTCAAATATTTGAGGGACCCAGAGTCTGAGGCTGTAGCAAGATACTCCCATGTTCAAGGCGGAGCATGCAGTGAGCCGAGATCGTGCCACTGCACTCCAGCCTGGGCGACAGAGGAAGACTCCGTCTCAGAAGAAAAAAAAAAAAAAAAAAAAAAAAAAAAAAATACTCCCATGTTCTTTTCTCAGCCCACAGTCTGACTTTCCCAGGTTCCCTAAGAAGGGTGGCACCCTGCAGGCGAGGGCCTGGAGCATGTCCACACCACCCCCAATATCACCCCCCACCACCTTGCTGCTTTTTTGAGACCAAGTTTTGCTCTTGTTGCCCAGGCTGGAGTGCAATGGCGTGATCTCGGCTCACTGCAACCTCCGCCTCCCAGGTTCAAGCGATTCTCCTGCCTCAGCCTCCAGAGTAGCTGGGATTATAGGCGTGCGCCACCCTACCCGGCTAATTTTTGTATTTTTAGTAGAGACAGGGTTTTTCTATGTTGGTCAGGTGGGTCTCGAACTCCCAACCTCAGGTGATCTGCCCGCCTCAGCCTCCCAAAGTGCTGGGATTACAGGCGTGAGCCACCACGCCCGGCCCCAGCTTCTTTTTTAGGGACAGTCTCCTACTGTCATACAGGCTGGCGTGCAGTAGTGGGATCTTGGTGCACCATACCAAAGTGTTGCAGCCTGGAACTCCTAGGCTCAAGGCATCTCCAGGAGCGCGCCACAAGCCTGGCTGATTTTTTTTTTTTTTTTGGTAGACAGAGTCTCGCTATGTTGCCCAGGCTGGTCTCAAACTCCTGAGCTCAAGCCATCCTCCTGCGTTGACCTCCCAAAGTGCTGGGATTACAGGGGAGAGCTGCTGCGCCCAGCCCAGTCTACTCCCTCGAGTTCCCTGTCCAGAGACCCACATCTGGAGCAGGGTGGGGAGTCAGAGCAGGTCCCAGCCCACGCTCTAGGGCTCAGCTCAGATGATGTGAGCCTGGGGCAGCACCTCTGGGCATAGTGGGCTCTGGCTGGCAGGACAGGACAGGCTGGCCCAGATCTGGGGGTCTCTGCTGGGTGTTAGATTTGTGGAGTCTTTGTGCTGCTTCTGGGGTGGTGGGGCAATTCTGGGCCTCTCCAGGCCTGTCCTGCCTTTTCTTTTTTTTTTTAGATGGAGTCTCACTCTGTCAGCCAGGCTGGAGTGCAATGGCATGATCTCAGCTCACTGCAAGCTCCGCCTCCCGGGTACAAGCGATTCTCAGGCCTCAGCCTCCTAAGTGGGATTACAGGCACCTGTCACCACGCCTGGCTAATTTTTGTATTTTTAGTAGAGTCAGGCTTCCTCCATGTTGGCCATGCTGGTCTCAAATTCTGAAAGAGGAGAATTGCCTGAACCTAGGAGGTGGAGGCTGCAGCGAGCTGAGATTGCACCACTGCACTCCAGCCTGGGCAACAAAGTGAGACTCGGTCTCAAACAAACAAAAAGGCAGGACAGGCCTGGAACTGCCCCTCCCCCCCAGGACGGGTGTTGTCTAGGGCTTGCTGACCTCACAGTCTGTGAGATCAGGCAGCCCCGGGCCTTGGCTGCCCAGGAGTGAATTATTTCCAGGCGCCATCATCACTCCGACTATAGAATCAACAGGATTTGACAGGTGCAGCTTTCGACTGCTCTGTTGAGAGGGTGGAGACAGAAGCAAAAGCTGCCCACAGAAAGGCGACAGGGAACCCCAGAGCTAGGTCCCAAGAGCCTCTTGGTGATGGAGGAGAGCCACCAAGGGACAGGAGGGTTGGGGGAACTGGAGCTCCGGCCCAGGGACAGAGCCCCAAACCACCTCCAGCCCAGGCACAGAGCCCCAGACCACCGAAGCCCTATGCCACCATGGCAGAGCCCAGGGCAGGGCAGGGGTCAGGCTGGCCCCCCCAAACACCTCCCCACCATTCCCACATGCATACACCAGGACCTGGGGGGTTGCAACAGTGCCAGAGGTCACGGGTTGGCAGGGGAGGGAGAGGAGGAAGAAAGCAGAAGAGCAGAGGGATGCGGGTGAGGCTGGGCTTGTCTCAGACAGTCTGGCACTAGCCCTCAAAGCTCAGAATCCCTGATATGGGGGCTAAGCCCCACTGCCATACTGCCCCTCCCAGGGAAATTGCCCCCCAGGGAATATGGGGGGAACCTCTGAGTGTAGCTCCCCTGGGGCCTGGAGGGCATATCAAGACATGGGGGATAGTGAACAGCATCATAGCTCTAAGTGTCCCTGATCTGGCTGGGCGTGGTGGCTCACCCCTGTAATCGCAGCACTTTGGGAGGCTGAAGGGGGCAGATTAGCTGAGGTCAGGAATTCAAGACCAGCCTGGCCAACATGGCAAAACCCGTCTCTACTAAAAATACAAAAATTAGCCGGGTGTGGTGGCGCACGCCTGTAATCCCAGCTACTCAAGAGGTTGCAGTGAGCTGAGATCAGGCCACTGCACTCCAGCCTGGGCAACAGAGCAAAACTTTCAGGAAAAAAAAAAAGTGTCCCTGATCTGTAAATGTGTAGTGGAAACTATAGAAAGGCACTGCAGGCTGGGCGCAGGGGCTCACACCTGTAATCCCAGCACCTTGGGGGGCCTAGGCAGGAGATTTACTTGACACCAGGAGTTAGAGAGCAGCCTGGGCAACATAGCAAGAACTCATCCCTGCAAAAAAAGAAAAAAAAAATTAGCCACATGTGCTGGTGCGCACCTGCAGGAGGATCACTTAAGCCGAAAAGCTAGAAGCTGCAGTGAGTTATGATCACACCACTGCACTCCAGCCTGGGTGATAGTGCAAAACCTTGTCTCAAAAATAAATAAATTTAAGAAAAGCAAAGAAAAGGTGTTTCCGGCTGGGCACAGTGGCTCACACCTGTAATCCCAGCACACTGGGAGGCCAAGGCAGGAGGATTACGAGGTCAGGAGTTTGAAACCAGCCTCACCAATATGGCCAGGCGTCGTAGCACGCCTGTAGTCCCGGTGAGTCCAGAATTCGTGGGTTCTTGGTCTCACCGACTCAAAGAATGAAGCCGAGGACCTTCACGGTGAGTGTTACAGTTCTTAAAGGCGGCGTGTCGGGAGTTTTTTCCTTCTGGTGGGTTCATGCTCTCACTGGCTCAGAAGCGACGCTGCAGACCTTCACCGTTGAGTGTTACAGCTCTTAAGGCGGCGCATCTGGAATTGTTTGTTCCTCCCGGTGGGTTCGTGGTCTCGCTAGCTGAAGAGTAAAGCTACAAACATTCACGTCAAGCGTTACAGCTCTTAAAAGCGGTGTGGACCCAAAGAGCGAAACAACAAAGCTTCCACACTGACGAAGAAGACCCTAAGTGGCTTGCTACTGCTGGTTCGGGTAGCCTGCTTTTATTCGCTTATCTGGCCCCACCCACGTCCTGCTGATTGGTCCATTTTACAGAGAGCCGACTGGTCCATTTTACAGAGAGCTGATTGGTCCGTTTTGACAGGGCTGATTGGTGTGTTTACAATCCCTGAGCTAGACACAAAAGTTCTCTACATCCCCACTAGATTAGCTAGATAGAGAGTGTGGACACAAAGGTTCTCCAAGGCCCCACCAGAGTAGCTAGATACAGAGTGTCGATTGGTGCATTCAGAAATCCTGAGCTAGACACAGGGCGCTGATTGGTGTGTTTACAAACCTTGAGCTAGATACAGAGTGCCGATTGGTGTATTTACAATCCCTTAGCTTGACATAAAGGTTCTCCACCAGACTCAGGAGCCCAGTTGGCTTCACCCAGTGAATCCTGTATGGGGGCCGCAGGTGGAGCTGCTTGCCAGTCCCGTGCTGTGCGCCCGCACTCCTCAGCCCTTGGGTGGTCGATGGGACTGGGCGCCGTGGAGCAGGGGGCGGTGCTTGTCAGGGAGGCTCGGGCCGCGCAGGAGCCCACAGCGGGGTGGGGAGGCTCAGGCATGGCGGGCTGCAGGTCCCGAGCCCTGCTCTGCTGAGAGGCAGCTAAGGCCCGGTGAGAAGTCGAGCACAGCAGCTGCTGGCCCAGGTGCTAAGCCCCTCACTGCCCGGGGCCGGCGGGGCCGGCCGGCTGCTCCAAGTGCGGGGCCCGCCAAGCCCACGCCCACCCGGAACTCGCGCTGGCCCGCAAGTTCCACGCGCAGCCCTGGTTCCCGCCCGCGCCTCTCCCTCTACACCTCCCCACAAGCTGAGGGAGCCGTCTCCGGCGTCGCCAGCCCAGGAAGGGGCTCCCACAGTGCAGCGGCGGGCTGAAGGGCTCCTCAAGTGTCGCCAAAGTGGGAGCCCAGGCAGAGGAGGCGCCGAGAGCGAGCGAGGGCTGCGAGGACTGCCAGTACGCTGTCACCTCTCACCAGCTACTCGGGAGGCTGAGGCAGAAGAATCGCTTGAACGCAGGAGGCAGAGGTTGCAGTGAGCCAAGATTATGCCACTGTACTCCAGCCTGGGCAAAAGAGCGAGACTCCGTCTCAAAAAAAAAAAAAAGAAAAGAAAAAGAAAAGGTGTTCCCCTCCATGCCCCAGTGGACTAATTCGTTTGGGCAGGTACCTTTCCCAGAAACTGGCTGGCCCAACCCTTCAGCTTACAGAGGGGAACTTGAGGCCTGACTGGGACTGCATTTGGCCAGGGTCACCCAGCAGGTCTGGGCAGGGCAGGAGCAGGGTGCGTGCACTCCACCCCAAAGGGTGCACTGTTCTACCCATCAACCGATGCCCTGGGTGCCAGCGCTGAGGAGGCCAGGGATGGAGACCCACGCATAAGCAGAGATCACTCCATTCCTGGCACGCTCCTCCTGGTCGAGACCTCTGGTTCTCTTTCCCTTTCCAACTCGCCAGGTGACTTTGGACCTCGCTTTGCCCATCTAACTGTGCCTCCCAAGGACGAGCCATATTTTCATGGGCTGCTTACAAGAGACAGCCCTGCCAACCGCCAGTTGGTGCTGGGAGAGTTGGCAGTGTGACAAATGCCGGGAATCCCTGGCTTGGCTGAGAAGGGACGGCTCTGGATCAATAACAGACTCGTGGGATGGCCTCGGGCAGGAGCACGAGGGTGGCAGAGCCTCCCTGGCTGGCCTGCAAACAAAAAGCAAGTGTCCAGCCAGGGCTCTCGACTCAGCCCAGGGAGAAAAGAGCACAGCTGGGGACCCTGGGAAAAACAGACTCCCTCTGGGCGGGGTTCCTATAGCATAACAGCCCCTCCCACCCTTCTTCTCAGCTGGGTACAGCAGCTGCCCTGCCTAAGATGACAGTGATGGTATCAGCAGCTGACTCTGGTAGAAGGAAGTCTTCCCCCTCCCTGCCCACCGCCCCAGGACTGAACAAGGGGGCAGAGCCTGCCAGGAGGGATTGGGGTTAAAGAATGAATCAAGGCCAGGCGCAGTGGCTCATGCCTGTAATCCCAGCACTTTGAGAGGTTGAATCGGGAAGATCGCTTGAGCCCAGGAGTTCAAGACCAACCTAAGCAACATAGTGAGTCCCCATCTTTACCAAAAACGTTTTTAAAAATTAGCTGGGGCTGGACACAGTGACTCACACCTGTAATCCCAGCACTTTGGGAGGCTGAGGCAGGTGGTTCATCTGAGGTCAGGAGTTCAAGACCAGCCCTAACCAACATGGCGAAACCCTATCTCTACTAAAAATACAAAAATTAGCTAGATGTGGTGGTGCTTGCCTGTAATCCCAGCTACTCAGGAGGCTGAGGCAGGAAAATCGCTTGAACCTGGGAAGCAGAGGTTGCAGTGAGCCAAGATTGTGTCATTGCACTCCACCTGGGCAACAAGTGTGAAACTCCATCTCAAAGAAAAAAAAAAATTCTGAGCATGGTGGCATATGTTTATAGTCCCAGCTACTCAGGAGGCTGAGGCAGGAGGATGGCTCGAGTCCAGGAGGTTGAGGCTGCAGTGAGCTATGATCATACCACTGCATTCCAGCCTGGGCAACATAGTGAGACTCTGGCTCTACTAAAAATAAGAAATTATCTGGGCACGGTGGTGCCTGCAGTCTGATCTACTTGGGAGGCTAAGGCGGGAGAATCTCTTAAGCCCAGGAGTTCGAAGCTACAGTGAGCTATGGACATGCCACTGCACTCCAGCCTGGGTGACAGAGCAAGACCTTGTCTCTAAAAAAAATAAAGAATTGATTGAGGCGGCAGGAGTAGCTCCATGTTTAGGAAAAAGCCAGCCGGGCGAGGTGGCTCACACCTGTAATCCCAGCACTGTGGGAGGCCGAGGCAGGCGGATCACCTGAGGTCAGGAGTTCAAGACCAGCCTGGCCAACAGGGTGAAACCCCATCTCTACTTAAAAATACAAAAAATTAGCCAGGCATGGTGGCGGATACCTGTAATCACAGCTACCCTGGAGGCTGAGGCAGGAGAATTGCTTGAACCCAGGAGGCAGAGATTGCCATGAGCTGAGATAGCGCCATTGTACTCCAGCCTGGGCAACAGAGCAAGACTCCATCTCAAAAAAAAAAAAAAAAAAAACCAGGGAAAAAGCCCAGGGCTGGGGCCAGACCTTGGTTTGGGCCCGCTGCACCCTGGCGGAGACATGGGCTGGGGTGCAGCCTGGCCCTGGGCTCAGTTTCCATTCTGAGACTTCACTTCTGGGGGACCTCTGGTTGTCTGTTGGTGTTGTCAGTCCCATGCAGGGTGACGATCTAGGGGGAGTCATGAATAGTGGAAGCTACCCAGGTCCCCTAACAATCGTAGGAAGACCAAAGTCCCAGGGGGACTTGAGGATATGCAGATATTTCTGTGCATGACCAACAAGGGCCTGGGTGAGAAAGGCCTTCAGTCTGGCCCCTGACCCCACTAAGTAACCCCTTTTTTCCCTATGTCGTTCTGCTCTCCATATGATGGGCTCCTCAAAGTCCTCTTAGGAATGGCTGGGAGCGTCTATGTCTTCAGGCTGGTGGGACCACAGGATAAGGAGGTTGAAAACTTAATCAGGTGGATGGATGACAAAGAGGTCACTCCCGCCGGGTGCAGTGGCTCACACCTGTAATCTAGCACTTTGGGAGGCCGAGGCGGACGGATCACTTGAGCTCAGCAGTTCAAGACCACCCTGGGCAACATGGTGAAACCCAGTCTCTACCAAAATACAAAAAAAATTAGCCAGGCATGGTGGTGGGTGTCAGTAGTCCCAGCTACTCGGGAGGCTGAGGCATGAGAATCACTTGAGCCCGGGAGGTGGAGGTTGCAGTGAGCCAAGACTGAGCCACTGCACTCCAGCCTGGGTGACAGAGCGAGACTCCATCTCAAAAAAAAAAAAAAAAAAGGTCAGCCAGCGCAGTGGCTCACACCTGTAATCCCAGCACTTTGGGAGGCTGAGGCAGGCAGATCACGAGGTCAGGAGTTCAAGACCAGCCATGACCAACATGGAGAAACCCCATCTCTACTAAAAATACAAAATTAGCCAGGTGTGGTGGTAGGCGCCTATAGTCCCAGCTACTCAGGAGGCTGAGGCAGGAGAATGGCATGAACCCAGGAGGCAGAGGTTGTGGTGAGCTGAGATAGTGCCATTGCACTCCAGCCTGGGCAACAAGAGCAAAACTCCATCTCAAAACAAAAACAAACAAACAAACAAACAAACAAAAAAGAAATCACTCCCTTCTTTGGGTTCACCTACCCTCTCTTGGCCCTCATGCCCTCACTGGACCCCTCGTGAGTTCCCATCTGCCCCACTGATTCTGTCCCTCCCTGACTCAGCTCCACTACCTGACTGTACCCCTCCCAACACCAAGTCCCTCCTCGCACAGGAAATCCGTTCTTTCTTTCTTTTTTTTCTTTTCTTTTTTTGAGACAGAGTCTCGCTCTATTGCCCAGGCCAGAGTGCAGTGGTACCATCTTGGCTCACTGCAGCCTCCTCCCAATGGGTTCAAGTAATACTTGTGCCTCAGCCTCCAGATTAGCTGGGATTACAGGTGTGCACCACCATACCCAGCTAATTTTTGTATTTTTAGTAGAGACGGGGTTGCACCATGTTGGCTAGTCTGGTCTTGAACTCCTGACCTCAGGTGATCCGCCCGTCTTGGCCTCCTGAAGTGCTGAGATTATAGGCATGAGCCACCGTGCTTGGCTTCTTCTTTTCTTTTTGTTTTCTTTTTTAGAGACCAGGTCTCACTCTGTCTCCAGGCTGGAGTACACTAGTGAGATCATAGCTCACTGCAACCTCCAACTCCTGGGCTCAAGCAATCCTCCTGTCCAGCCTTCCGAGTAGCTGGGACAACAGGTGTGCGCCACTATACCTGGTAAGTTTCTAATTTTTTGTAGAGATGCGGGTCTCACTATGTTGCCCAGGGAGGTCTCGAACTCCTGGAATCAAGTGATCCTCCTGCCTCCACCTCCCAAAGTGTTGGGATTACAGATGTGAGCCGCCTCACCTGGCCTTTCTTGGAGTTCACCCGTCTTCCCTGAGCTCCCACCCCATGACTGCACTTCCTCACTTCCCCACTCTCCCCTCCCTTGTTTGAGGCCCCTCCCCTCTCTGAATTCCACCCCACCTGTCTCTGAACCCTGATGCCCAAACTATCCCTTTGTAATTCCTCCCGTGGCCCCAAAGACCCCTCTTCTCCAGGTCTGCCCAGCCTGAAAGCCTTGAACCCTGGGAGCAGCCCCACAGACCGATCCCCTCAGCAGGGGGTAGTGGGCTCTGGGTGGGAGAAAGATAAATCAATCCCCACCCGGGCTCAAGTCAAGATCAGGCAGGAAGCCTCAGCCCCTCCCACACGGAGGATGGAGCTGTGCGCAGGCAGGCCCGAGACTGCCCCCTAGAGGACGCCCTGGGGTTTGCGGACCCACATCGCCCCACTCCCAGGCCCAGATAGGACAGTAAGCGACTGCCCCCTGGTGCCCTCCCAGAGAGGATGAATTCCTCAGGCACCAACACTGCCCAGTCCAGAACCTTCAGGAATCTCTGCCCAGGTTCTGAGCCCTGTAGAGCGCAAACAGGGGCAATTGACTTGGTCTTGGCCAGACGCAGTGTCTCACACCTGTAATCCCAGCACTTTGGGAGGCTGAGGCGGGAGGATCGCTTGAGCCTAGGAATGTGAGACCAGCCTGGACAACATAGTGAGATCCCTTCTCTACAAAAAAAAAAAAAAAAAAAGGAAAAAGTAGCCGGACATGGCATGGCAGTAGGTGCAAACCTACAGCCCCAGCTGCTCGGGAGGCTGAGGTGGGAGGATTGCTTGAGCCCAGAAGCTTGAGGCTGCAGTGAGATATGATCACAACACTGCACTCCAGCCTGGAAGACAGAGCGAGACTCTGTTTCTTATAAATAAATAAATAAATAAATAAATAAATAAATAAATAAATAAAACAAAGAGACAAGCCGGACATGGTGGTTCATGCCTGTAATCCCAGCACTTTGGGAGGCTGAGGCAGGTGGATAACTTGAGGTCAGAAGTTCAAGACCAGCCTGGCCAACATGGTGAAACCCCGTCTCCACTAAAAATACAAAAATTAGCCAGGTGTGGTGACGGATGCTTGTAATCCCAGCTACTCGGGAGGCTGAGGCAGGAGAATTGCTTGAACCCAGGAGGTGGATGTTGCAGCAAGTTAAGATTGTGCCACTGCACTCCAGCCTGGGTGACAAAGCGAGACCCTGTCTCAACAAAAATAAAAAGAGGCCCAGTCTTGAAAAACTCTGACACCTCCCCACTGCCCCTCTCCCCAGCCCCACACCCAGCACGCCTTTAGCCCGGTTCTCCTCTGCCCTGGGCTTCAGTTTCCAAGGGCCTTCAAGCCTCCCTGAATTTCCCTCCTGGAAGACCCAGCCCACTCTCTCTGCCTTGGAAGGGTCTGGCAGCCAAGGCCTGAGCCCGGGCTCCTGCCCCACCCTGTCACACCCTCTGCTGCAGGGGGGTTGACCACTGTTTCCACTCTGATCCTAATCAGAACTGGCACATTTTAGGAGGCACCTGCTAGCTGCCAATCACTCGTTAGCTTATTAAATCCTCATAGCAACCCCACTCCACTGAGCGGCAGCACGGGATCGCAGTTATGGTTGCAGGAACTCATGTCACACTGCCTGGGTTCAATCCCACTTGGCCACTTACTTCTTAGCTGTGGGACCTTGGGCATGTTGCTAAGTCTCAGTTTCCTCATCTGCAAATGATGCAACTATATGAATTAATACCTAAGAAGTATTCTTTTTTTTTTAACTGAGTTTCATTCTTGTTGCCCAGGCTGGAGTGCAGTGGCACTATCTCGGCTCACCGCAACCTCTGCCTCCCGGGTTCAAGCGATTCTCCTGCCTCAGCCTCCCGAGTAGCTGGGACTACAGGTACCTGCCACCACACCCGGCTAATGTTGTATTTTTAGTAGAGATGGGGTTTCTTTTTTTTTTTTTTTTGAGACGGAGTCTCGCTCTGTCGCCCAGGCCGGACTGCGGACTGCAGTGGCGCAATCTCGGCTCACTGCAAGCTCCGCTTCCCGGGTTCACACCATTCTCCTTCCTCAGCCTCCCGAGTAGCTGGGACTACAGGCGCCCGCCACCGCGCCCGGCTAATTTTTTGTATTTTTAGT
Organism: Homo sapiens; assembly: GCF_000001405.40. Taxonomy (NCBI): domain Eukaryota; kingdom Metazoa; phylum Chordata; class Mammalia; order Primates; family Hominidae; genus Homo; species Homo sapiens. The sequence continues at coordinate 76,316,171 of NC_000007.14, forward strand.
AGAGACGGGGTTTCACCTTGTTAGCCAGGATGGTCTCGATCTCCTGACCTCATGATCCACCCGCCTCGGCCTCCCAAAGTGCTGGGATTACAGGCGTGAGCCACCGCGCCGGGCCGAGATGGGGTTTCTTTATGTTGGTCAGGATGGTCTCTAACTCCCGACCTCAGGTGATCCACCCATCTCGGCCTCCCAAAGTGCTGGGATTACAGGCATGAGACACCATGCCTGGCTTTTTTTTTTTTTTTTTTGAGACAGGATCTTGCTCAGTTGCCCAGGCTGGAGTGCCATGGCACCATTACAGCTCACTACAGCCTCGAATTCTTGGACTCCAGCTACCCTCCTACCTCAGCCTCCCAAGTAGCCGGGACCACAAGCATTTGTCAATATGCCTGGCTAATTTTGTAATTTTGGTAGAGATAGGATCTCGCTATGTTGCCCAGGCTGGTCTGGAACTCCCAGTCTCCAGCGATCCTCCTGCCTCAGCCTCCCAAAGTGCTGGGATTACAGGCTTGAGCCTCTGCACCCAGCCACTGTGAAGTCTTTAGAAGGCTGCTGAGAGCCGATAGTAAGCACTCAGTCACTGCTAGACATTTTTGAGGTAGGTTGTATTATTCTCGTTTTACAGATGTAGAAACTGATCCTCTAAAAGGCTAAATACCTTGAGAGGTTATGTCACCTAATTAGGACATGGTGGGATGAGAATCCAAATCCTGAGCTCTTAAGCTTTTGTCCCCCAACAGCCCTTTATTCAGAAAATGAAACATTGGGTCGGGCACAGTGGTTTTCACCTGTAATCCCAACACTTTGGGAGGCTGAGGCTTGAGGTCAGGTACTCGAGACCAGTCTGGGCACCACAGTGAGACTGTTTCTACAAAAAAAATTTAGAAATCAGCTGGGTATGGTGGTGCACACCTATAGTCTCAGCTACTCAGAGCCCAGGATTTGGAGGCTCCAGTGAGCTATGATTGCACCACTGCACTCCAGTACAGCCTGGGCAACAGAGTGACACCTTGTCTCTAAAAAAGAAAGAAAAAGAAAATAGACATTGCTGAGCGACAGAAATCCCACCTTTCTAAACAGTCAGCAACCTCACTGGAGCTGATTTTTAATTCCTAAATCCAGCCTTGATAGTGACTTGGGCAACTCAACTCCCTCTCGGCCTGGGATTATACAACTCTATGTCAGGAGATGGGAAGCGGGGAGACTGGGTGTCTTTATTCCATTTCTGACATCTTTCAGGACTGATGATGGGGGAGGGCCCTGGCCCTGGCTGGCAGCCACTGTTCGATTCAGTTATCATCATCAGGACCGTGGGAGGGAAGGGTATTGGAGCAGAGGACCTTGAAGGGCGCACAGGAGGCTGATGGGGCTGTAACACCTGGGGCATGAGGGCAGCGGAGGTTGGACAGGCAGGTTGGGACCTAGCTGTGGAGGGCCTGGGATACCAAAGAGAGGCAGGACCTGGCCTCAGTGTCGCCAGGACACCAGATCTGCCCCCTCCCTCACTGTTGCACCATGGCTCCCGCGTGTAAAGTGATGGAACCCGTCAGACCCAGGTAGCCACCAGAAACCGCCCAGCTGTTGTGTGCATCGGGGGCCAGGAGTTTCCTCTTCTGCAATCTGGGAACAACGCAGACCTCCCAGGGCTGTTTTCAGAAGCAGAGATGTGTAGGTAAGAAAGGATAGCCAACCAGTACGGGCCGGGACACGAGAGATCACGTCATTATTCAGATGGAGAAACTGAAGGGCAGGCGTGGGACCAAGGGCCCACCACGAGCCCAAGGCTCCATCCTCCCAAGCACGTAACAAAGGTGGAGGCGGAAGACGGAGGAGAGAGAAGCGGGTGAAGTTGGGAGATAAAAGCTCCCCAGTGGCTGGAGGGCGGGATCTGCAACAAATGAAGCCCCGGGGCCGCTAAGCGGGCCGATTTCGGGGCAGGGACCCAGGCCCTAGCAACAGTCCGACCATTGGCGGAGCGGGGACACGCTGGCCTGTGATTGGCTCTTGCCATGCCCGAGGGGAAGGCGGCCGCCCCCGGGGCGGGGCTACATACACAGCCGTGGTCCCGCCCGGCCCACATCCGGGCTTCCGCGTAGTCCGGGCGCCCTGGCCTCTGCACCGTCCTAGAAACCTGTCTTACGTCGAGGAACCCGGGGGACAGAGGCGCGCCAGTGCACGCCGGGGCCAGGGACGAACGGCTCGCCAATGCAAAGGAGGCCCCTCGGGGAGACGGCAGGCAGCAAAAGGCTTCCTTGGCCGGGGGTCTGGGCGTTTGGGGAGGGGAGGTGCTCAGAGATAGGGCCGAGGATGGAGCTCCCAGGTGGGTTGGAGGCGGGGGTGGCTGGGCTCGAGGACGCTGTTGGAGTCCGGGGTCTGGAAGAGGCGATCCCCGGGAAAGCCAGCTTCAGAGCCGGGAAGGGTCGGCAGGGGACCTACTGCAAGAGCCCCCAGGTTGGGGTAGGGAGGGGGCCCAGACCTGGGCCGGGAGGGATGCTGAATCCCCCGACCTAGCTCTGGGGCTTTGCAAACCAGCATCACTGCAGCATTTTGTGGCTCAAGGAATGGGGCAGGGCGGCCAGACCAGCTGTGGCTGGTGCGTGCGTGAGGCCCTGAGGGATGCGGCCAATGCTATTTTGCTGTTTTGTACTTACTCAGTTTCATTTTGGCTCTGTCGCCACTAGGCGAAAGAAATCGAAGTGCTAACATACCACGGGGAGCAATGATTATTACTCAATGTGGCCCCGCCCCAGCAGCGGGAGGTGGCATCTGTTTGACCTTGGAGACTTGGACGGTATTTAGGGAGATTACATGAAAAAAAGACTCACCCCACAATGCTTGCAGTCAGCTACAAGCTGCCTTGTCCTTCATACCTTTTAGCCTTTATTTCCTGAGTCTATCTTGTCTGTTTCTAATGTAGTCTCCTGATTTAGGGCAAGAGAATATTTCTCACTCTTGGTCTGCCCACTACCCACAATCCTTGTCCGAGGATTTACTCGGCAAACTTAGCAGGCAAAACCCCTTGTCAACTTAACACTAAAAAATACCGTCTCTTGGAAGGCAGTCTGCTTTGATAAACCTAATGGAATAAAAAGTGAGTTTGCTATCTGGCTTTAAAGAACATAACCCAGCTGGGCATGGTGGCTCACACCTGTAATCCCAACACTTTGGGAGACCGAGGCAGGAGGATCGCTTAAGCCCAGGCGTTCAAGACCAGCCTGGGCAACATAGTATAGTAAAACCCAGTCTCTACAAAAAGAATTTAAAAATTAGCCAGGCCAGATAGCCCAGCTACTTGGGACGCTGAAACAGGATTGCTTTGAGTCCAGCAGGTGGAGGCTGCAGTGAGCTATGACTGCACCACTGCACTCCAGCCTGGTCAACAGAGCGAGATCCTGTCTCAAAACAAAACAAAAAAACTGACAACCAATGAAACCTCATCTCTAAAATCTGGCTTCAGGTTAAGTGAGTAAAAAGAGGCTTTCTTGTGGCCAGGCACGGTGGCTTATGCCTGGTAATCCCAGCACTTTGGGAGGCCAAGGCGGGCGGATCACGAGGTCAGGAGTTCAAGACCAGCCTGGCCAACATAGTGAAACCCTGTTTCTACTAAAAATACAAAAAAATTAGCCAGGCATGGTGGTGGATGCCTGTAATCCCAGCTACTCGGGAGGCTGAGGCAGGAGAATCAACGTGAACCCAGGAGGCGGAGGTTGCAGTGAGCTGGTATCACGCCATTGCACTCCAACCCCGGGCAATAGTGCGAGACTCCGTCTCAAAAAAAAAAAAGGCTTTCATTTATCTTCTCAGCTCCTACAAGCCAATGAGTGGTAGGGTAATTTGCCGACCACAGTGGGAAGAACTAATTTAACACCAAGATTGTGATTCCCCTAGTGTAGATCCAGTATGAAAGAAGTGTCTCAGGCATGCTTCTGGTTCCTGAGTTAACTCTAGTGAATAAGGTGGGCTGTGCTGTCTCCCCACCTCCCCCAGGCATAGGGGCAGAACAGCTGCAGACCACCAGGACCCAGTGGGCCAAGTGAGGATGTGAGTCAAAGCCAGTGCTTATTAAACCACCTAATACTGTACTTTTCCCATCCAGGGGAGGCAGGAGAGGATTGAGGAGGCAAATCCCCGAGCCCAGAAGACTCCAGTCAGAAAACAAGATGGTCCCCATGGGTAGTGGCCAATCCCTCTGGCCTTTCAGAGCAGTGGCTTTGGCCTTGTCCGCTTAGGTAACAGGCTCTGCTGCTGGTAGTTGCTTAAGAGCACAGAGTAGCCGGGCGTGGTGGCTCACGCCTGTAATCCCAGCACTTTGGGAGGCCGAGGTGGGTGGATCACAAGGTCAGGAGATCGAGACCATCCTGGCTAACATGGTGCAATCCCGTCTCTACTAAAAATACAAAAAATTAGCCGAGCGTGGTGGTGGGTGCCTGTAGTCCCAGCTACTTGGGAGGCTGAGGCAGGAGAATGGTGTGAACCCAGGAGGCGGAGCTTGCCGAGAGCCAAGATCGCACCACTGCACTCCAGCCTGGGTGACACAGCGAGACTCCATCTCAAAAAAAAAACAAAAAAAAAAAAACACAGAGTGAACCAGTGAGAAGGTTAAATGGAGGAGAAAGCAAAGTTCTTAAGACAAAAAAAGTACCCCAACAAGGGCAGGAAACAAGCTAAATGACATAGGCACAGACAACTGGACAAACCCAGAACGTGGGGCCTTGAGACTGTCAAGTAGCCTGGTCTCAAGCCATTATCAGGCCCAGGCGTGGTGGCTCATGCCCATTAATTCTAACACTTTGGGAGGCCAAGGTGAGAGGATCACTTGAGGCCAGAAATTCAGGAACAGCCTAGACAACATACCCATCTTTACAAAAAATAAAAATAGATTTATTGGAAGGCCATGTTGAAAAAAAAAAAAGAAAAAAATTAGCCGGAAGTGGTAGTGCAGCCCTGTGGTCCCAGCTACTCGGGAGACTGAGTTGGGAGGACTGTTTGAGTCCATGAGTTGGAGGCTGCAGTGAGCTCTGATTGTCCAAAGCACTCCAACCAGGGCAACTGAGACCCTGTCTCTTAAAAAAAAAAAAAAATAGGCAAAGAAATCTAATATTGAAATGCAATTAATGAATTTTAATTGGAGTCTAGGTGGTGCGGGAGGGGGATTGGAAAAAGCTATCAAATGCATTCTGAGGACAATTTGGAGAAATTTGCATATGGGCTGATATTAGGGAATTATTAATTGGGTGATAACAGTATGGCGGTTATATTAGAGAATGTCCTTTTTTTTTTTTTTTTTTGAGACAGGGTCTCACGGTTGCCCAGGTTGGAGTGCAGTGGCGTGATGTCAGCTCACTGCAACCTCTGCCTCCTGGGTTTAAGCAATTCTTGTGTCTCAGCTTCCCAAGTAGCTGGGACTACAGGCACGAGCCACCACACCCAGTTAATTTTTTTGTATTTTTAGCAGAGACAGGGTTTCGCCATGTTGGCCAGGCTGGTCTCGAACTGCTGACCTCAGGTGATCCGCCCGCCTCGGCCTCCCAAAGTGGTGGGATTACAGGCGTGAGCCACTGCGCCTGGCCGAGAATGTCCTTTTTGTAAGGAGAAATATGAACATTGGGAGTAAAATGCCAACAGTGACTTTCAAGGTTCCACAACCCATAGAGGAATTTATCTGCCATATCAAGGAGTGGGTCTGTAGCCAATCACTGTAACGTTCTTTTCAATTTTTGTGTTTGGGATTCAAGTGCCCCAATACCACCTAACTACCCTTTAAATGGAATTAAATATTCTAATTCAAGATATCTGTTTTGGGACCACCAAATTTCAACTATCTATATTTAAAATCACAAGGCCAGAGTCACATCAGTGCTCAAAGGCAGCAAAAATCCTATTTCAAGCTCAACCAAATTAGAAGAATGGATGGCAGTAGTTACCTCTAAGAATGGCAATTAATGGGTGATCAGGTAATGGGCATGCTGGGAAGAGTTTCTGATAAACCAGGGGTCTGCAAACTACTGGCCAGAGGGTAAATATGTCAAGCATTGTGGGCTGTATACGGCCGCCTCACACTTTTGTAACGTGTGTGCACTGCCAATTCAAAAAATAAAAACCAGCTGGGCACAGTGGCTCATGTCTGTAATCCCAGCACTTTGGGAGGCTGAGATGGGAGGATTGCCTGAGGCCAGGAGTTCAAGACCAGCCTGGGCAGTATAGCAAGACCTCAATTCTACAAACAATCCAAAAATTAGCCAGGTGTGTGTGGTGGTGGTACGCACCTATGGTCCCGGCGACTCAGAAGGCTGAGATAGGAGGATCATTTGAGCCCAGGAGGTAGAAGCTGCAGTGAGTTGTGATCATGCCACTGCATTCCAGCCTGTGCAAGAGTGAGATTCTGTCTTTCCAAAAAAAAAAAAAAAAGGCCCCAAGTCATAGTGTTCCTCAAATTCCTACGGCCTTTCCTCTCCAATACTCTGGATAACAGGATAACAGAGTGCCACGTGAGTCCCTTACATAACCTGAGATGTCTTGACTCATTGTCTTGCCAGTGTGATCCAGCTACTCTCACCCTAACTCCTCACTGACCACAGCGCTGTGTGGTTAATGAGAGGTACAGCTTGTGGCCATTCAGATTCAACCACGTTTATCCACATCAGAGTTGGAAAATTCAAACCAGTGGGCTAATTAGCAAGCTGGTATGCCACATGTTAATGTTCTGATTAGGCTGGTGACCACTGATTGTCAACTCCTAGAACAGGGTTACCCAGCTAGTGCTCAGAAGGTTGTTTCTCTGAGTAGGCTTTGGGAACTGTGCACCCAGGAGGGAGGTGCCATTCTTAGCCACTCAAATCACCCAGTGAATCAACATGCAGTTTCAGCTGACCAGAGCAGAGGCCAACGCATGTGGTCATCACACATAAATAGAGTGGAGGAAAACTGCTTTCATGCTTTGCTGTACTAGAAGGTCCCACTGAATTACATTTATGGCCTCTCCACTCTACCCCTGACCTGAAGTTCTTGGAATGGAGACCTCTGATGTTTCACACTGTTATTTTTAATCACCTTTCGGACAAAGTATCAGTTTTTGTTTGTTTTTGAGATGGAGTCTTGCTCTGTTGCCCAGGCTGGAGTGCAGTGGCAGGATCTTGGTTCACTACAATCTATCTTCTGGTTCAAGCGATTCTCCTGCCTCAGCCTCCCAAGTAGCTGGGATAAAAGGCGCGTGCTATCATGCCCGGCTAATTTTTGCATTTTTAGTAGAGACAGGGTTTCACCATGTTAGCCAGGCTGATCTTGAACTACTGGCCTCAGGTGATCCGCCTGCCTCGGTGTCCCAAAATGCTGGGATTACAGGTATGAACCACCACACCTGGCCTAGTATCGGTTATTTTTAAAATTCTAGAATGCACTAAAAAAGAGGCAAAAAAGACCTTTACCACTGGTGCCTGATCTACAGACTGATTTAATTCATGTAGTATGAGGTCTTTTTTGTTTATTGTATTTGAGACAAGGTCTTGCTCTGTCTCCCAGGCTGGAATTCAGTGGCGTGATCATAGCTCACTACAGCCTCAACCTCTTGGGCTCAAGCAATCCTTCCACCTCAGCCTCCTGAGTAGCTGAAACTACAGGTGCACACCACCATGCCCACTTAATTTTTGTAGAGACAGAGGTCTCACTATGTACTATGTTGCCTAGGCTGGTCTTGAACTCCTGGGCTCAAGCAATCCACCCAGCTCAGCCTCCCAAAGTTGACAGGCGTGAGCCACCGCACCCACCTAATGAGAACTTTCTTAACCTTATTCTGCTTCTGCCATTCAACTTCAATTCTTTAGGTTCACCCCTTTCCAACTACTTATTTGTGTGATACTGTATTTTTTTCAAATACTTCAAGTGAAACAACATATCACAATAGGCCAGGTGCAGTGGCTCATATCTGTACTCCTAGTGCTCTGGGAGGCTGAGGCAGATCACTTGAGGCCAGGAGTTTGAGATCAGCCTGGACAACATAGTAAGACCCTGTCTCTAAAAAATAAAATGGCCCAGCTGGACGCAGTGGCTCACGCCTGTAATCCCAGCACTTTGGGAGGCCGAGGCAGGTGGATTGCCTGAGTTCTGGAGTTCAAGACCAGCCTGGGCAACACGGAGAAACCCCGTCTCTACTAAAATACAAAAAAATTAGCCAGGCATGGTGGCATGCACCTGTAATCCCAGCTATTCAGGAGGCTGAGACAGGAGAATCACTTGCACCTGGGAGGTGGAGGTTGCAGTGAGCCGAGATCAAGCCACTGCACTCCAGCCTGGGCAACAGAGCGAGACTCCATCTCAAAAATAATTAAGTAAAATGGCCCGGTATGGTAGCACTCCCAGCTACCTGGGAGGCTGAGGCGGGAACACGTGAGCCCAGGAGTTTGAGGCTGCAGTGAGCTATGATCGCACTGCTGCACTCTAGCCTGTGAGACAGAGCGAGACCCTGTCTTAAGAAAACACATATCACAACAGACTGGACGCCTAAGCAGAGAGTACGTGTGACTTAGCTCCCAAGAGATCTGCAAAACAGTAAAACAAAGCTACTCTTGCACCTGTAACGGGACATTACGCCAAAGGAACAAGGGTGAAATAGCGGCAACTTTCAGGGGATCTACCTTCCTTCTTCAGTGACCCTGTTAGAGCAAGCTTGACTGTTCTGATCTTGTTCATATCTGTGCCAAAAGTGTTTTTTTTTTTTTTTTGCCCTCAGTAACTGCAATACTAAAAGTGCTTGGTCAGTTAAGTGCGGTGGCTTGGCCTGTAATCCCGGCACTTTGGGAGGCCAAGGTGGGCGGATCACCTGAGGTCAGGAGTTCGAGACCAACCTGGCCAACATGGAGAAACCCCGTCTCTACTAAAAATACAAAATTAGCTGGGAGTGATGGCGCGTGCCTGTAATCCCAGCTACTCGGGTGGCTAAGGCAGGAAATCGCTTGAACCCGGGAGGCGGAGGTTGGGGTGAGCCAAGATGGCGCCACCGCACTCCACCCTGGGCAACAAGAGCAAAACTCCGTCTCAAAATAAATAAAATAAAAGTGCTTGGTCAATGTGTGCTGAAGAGTTGGTTGCTGCCGCTCGGCCTAGTTTCTTATGGTCTCCTAGCAGTGCAAAAGCAGCCTGGTGTGGGCAGACCAAACTCAGGCAGGCAGATGCGGGTTATCAGTGAGTTACAGCACCTTAGGTATAGCAGTCACTCCTAATTCTACAGCCATACACTTGCAGTGGCACCCAGGGTAGTTCTGGGTGACAAATGAGTCAACGTAAGTGAATTCACTGAGTATATGCCAAAAGCCTATTCACAGTGTGTTATCATTCCTGAAATGTGAATTAATGTTTCTCAGAAAATTAAGAAGCTTGGCCGGGCGCGGTGGCTCACACCTGTAATCCCAGCACTTTGGGAGGCCGAGGCAGGCGGATCACTTGAGGTCAGGAGTTTGAGACCAGCCTGGCCAACACGGCGAAACCCGGTCTCTATTAAAAATATAAAAATTAGCTGGGCATGGTGGTGGGATCCTGTAATCCCAGCTACTCAGAAGACTGAGACATGAGAATAGCTTGGAACCTGGGAGGTGGAGGTTACAGTGAGCTGAGATCGTGCCACTGCACTCCAGCCTGTCACAAAAAAATAATTAAAAGCTATGATCCAGTTATCATTTAAACCTACAACCACACCCACACCCACCCAGGCTAAGAAGTTTGAATAATTTGCCCAGGAATCAAAAGGGGCCATAATTCTGGGAGGATCACTTGAGCCCAGGAGTTCGAGCCCAGCCTAGGCAACATGGCCAGACCCCATCTGTTTTTTGTTTTGTTTTGTTGTTTAAAACGGGCAGGATGGGGCGTGCCATCACTCAAACTCAGGTCTGTGTTTCTCCCCAGTGGTACCCCGGAAAGGCCCTCAGAGATCCAGTTGAACAGGCTCGTTTAATATGAGAAAAATGGAGGCCCAAAAGGTGCAATGGTTTGGTTTTGTTTTTTCAACAGAGATAGGGTCTCAATATGTTGCCCAGGCTGGTCTCAAACTCCTGGCCTCAAGTGATCTTCCGGCCTCAGCCTCCCAAAGTGCTGGGATTACAGGTGTGAGCCACTGCGCCCACCCTAAAAGGTGCAATTTTTTTTTTTTTTTGGAGACGGAGTCTCACTCTGTTGCCCAGGCTGGAAGGCAGTGGTGCAATCTTGGCTCACTGCAACCTCCACCTCTTGGGCTCAAGTGATTCTCCTGCCTCAGCCTCCCGAGTAGCTGGTCCTACAGACACCCAGCACCATGCCCTGCTAATTTTTGTATTTTTAGTAGAGATGGGGTTTCACCATGTTGGCCAAGCTGGCCTTGAACTCCTGACCTCAGGTAATCCGCCCGCCTCAGCCTCCCAAAGTGCTGAGATTACAGGCATGAACCACTGCGCCTGGCCTGGTGCAATGGTTTTTTTAAGTCCCCAAACCCAAATCTGATTCCTGGTTGGAGGCGCTTTCCAGTATCTACTGTCTTTCCCCTTTTTCCTGCCAATCCAACTTCATTGCTTGGGCTGGGGAGGGAAGAGAACACCAACATCTGATCCAACCTTCAAAAGCAAAGGACAGTAAAACTCACACAATGAAGCTAAGGAGCACTGGCGTCAGATCTGTAAGTTTATTTGCTCAATGTACGACAGCTACATAATGACTCACATTCATGATATTCCATCACTGAGGAAACTGCTAAAGATGGTCCGTGTGTGAAATAATTCCTTAGAGAAACACGGAGCTGGAAAAATAATCACTGATTAGACCTTAAAAATAGTTCACTGCATAACATGACAAAAAGCACAAAGGCTCATTCAGAGAACATATTTGTTGTTCTCCAACACTGTAATAGTTATAATTTCACCATGACAAACACCAGACATTAAGATTAAGCTAACACTGGTGTTTCTTTTGCTCCCCCCCTTTTAAAAACAAAATATATAACTGCATGTCACTATAGCAACATCCAAAACAGATCAATTTGTTACAATCACTATTTGGTAGAGCAAACTTTACCCCCAAAAGGAAAAATTAAATTAAAAAAAAAAAACCTTTAAAAAATTTGAAGACTTAATTTTTTTTGTCATAGGAATACATAACACCTACAGTATAAGTTAATCAATTTCAAGCTACTGTATAGAAATACAACACTAGCATGCACAATATTGTATCAATAGAGTAATGGAGGAGTAATCATTTCACTGGAGAGACAGTATCATAGGCAAGTGCATTTCTTTAAAAATAAAGAAAAGAAAAACCATTCAAGCTGCTTAAATATCAAGTCTCCCATTCCCTCTCCGTTTTCAGCCCTCAGGTGTGATTTTTATCTTGCATTATTCTAAAAAGCAGCCAGAGCCAAAGCTGAAATTTAAAGGAAAAATAGGTTTTGTAATTCCAGTAAATCATTTCCAAATGCTACAAGGAAAAACGCAACACTGCTCACTGGACATGAAGATAAATTAGGGAAAGCCCCACCTACCCTGCCCCCCCCCCCCTCCCCCCCCAAATCGTCTTCCTCCCATGGCAATGACTTTAGGCGCCTGTGAGAGGCACAAAAGCGGCAAAGCTTCTTCTACTAGTTCTTCTGGTAGGCTTCACTTAACTGGGACTTTTACTCTAGCGTGAGGAGGGGGCCTCCTAAGGAAAGTCATGCTGGGTAAACTGTGCGATGTTACAGAGCACATTGAGTCTGTGGTCATCGTGGTTCTTCTATCTTCACTGTCACCTGTATCCTGTTACACATACTCAGTTCCTAATTGTAAGCTCAATTTTGGTATTAGCAAAAGCATCTGTCAGTTTTTCCTCAATTACTCACACCTCTTCTTGCCTAAATAAAACAAAGAAACAAAGAAAACAAGTGTGGTGTCATTACACGTCTCGGGAGTTCCTCGTCACTGACTTTATATATATAAAAAAAAGAATGCACATGCGGGCCACGTTCACAGATAGACAGATTCACCCGAAATGAGAATGAGGGCCTTAAGGCTGCCGAAAACAAATGGGTGGAAATAGCAACGTTGTTTCCGTCAATTCCAAATGTGCACTGGCTGCGTGAGACAAGCCAATCTCCAATTCCTATGCTTTTTTCATTAAAAAGAAAAAACTATCTCGAGAGGAAAAAGTTCTGGTCAAATAGGAGTTCAGTGTTTGTTATCTGGTAACAGTTTTTTTATCTTCCTACAATTACTTGGGGAAGGAGTGTCTTCGGGGAGGAAAAACTGACACACTGACAAGGCTCCCGAAATTGGACAGAATGGTTAAGGATATAGCTCTTCCTTTTGGGTTTTTCTACCAGTAGGCTTCTAGCACCTGAATTTTCACACACTGCACCACAGACCTTCTCCAAACGCCTCTCCGACCCCACAGCTTCTGCACCCAGCTGCGTCCGCCAGCACGAGGCGCAGTAGGAAACGCCCCAGTGCAGAGTGGGTGACGGCAGTGTGATCCCTGAGGAGGGAGCTGCAGCAGCTTCAGAAGCGGGATGTTCTCTGAAAATACCAACACGATCCATGACATACAGACCTGAATTTTCTCTATTTTTGTGGCGTTTCACGTTTCTCTCAAGAGGATTAATAATTTTGGTGGTGGATTTACGTTAAGAGGAAAGAAGGACCAAAAAAAAAAAATCCCACAGCCACCTGACCTGAAGTCGCTTTCATTCTCATTTAGCCTAGGAGACCGATCAACAGCAAAACCAACCTGGATAAGGCTGAATAAGGATGTTAAAGCCCAAACAACTAGCAAAGGAAAAGTACACAATCGATGGCTTGATGTTACATATGGCTGTAATGTAGAAATACTGTAAACTGCAATTTAGTGTTAATACTGTCAACTAATCAGAGACTTCGGAAAACTGGCAAGGCCTAAACCATAAGGATGAATGAGACCTCAGGTTCTAAGTCTGTCAGTCTGGGATTTACACTGTTCCATGTCTGTAGGCTACACCCTGGAAAACATGCAGAGCCGAGACAGATGAGATAGAAAGTACCCAAAACGAGAGACGAGAGCGTATGTACATAAAAATCCTTACTGGAACCACAGAACTTACTGAATGAGGGCCATTCCTCTTTAAGTTTTCTTTTCATCTGAAAACCCTATTATCTAGCAATAAGTTAAATTAGAGACAGACAGCTCCACTTGCATGAATCTACAGAACAGTCCAGACGCCAGTGTGAGGCTGCTATTCCAATACCAGCACAGCTAGCCTGACTTTCCACTAGTGGTATTTTGGCAAAAATGTCAAAGAGGCGATCAAAGACAGGACAGGTCGTGGGTTTCTCCCTGGGAAGGTCATCCCTCCCTTTCCCTCCCCCACCCGACCCCCAACTCATGGGAAAAAAATAAAGACTGCAGTAGTAGCATCCGCGTGCGCTGCCAGTTCCCCTGGGGCCTTAATTGTTGCCTTCGCCGCCATCGTCGTCCTGCTGGTCGCTCGTCCAGAGCGTGAGGTTGTCGCGGAGGAGCTGCATGATGAGCGTGGAGTCCTTGTAGGAGTCCTCGTTGAGGGTGTCAAGCTCGGCGATGGCGTCGTCGAACGCGGTCTTGGCCAAGTGGCACGCTTGCTCTGGGGCGTTCTGGATCTCATAGTAGAAGACGGAGTAGTTAAGAGCCAGGCCTAATCGGATGGGGTGGGTGGGCTGCATGTGCTCTTTGCTGATCTCGTGGGCTTCGCTGTAGGCCTTCTCGGAGGACTCCACCACCGTCGCCCTTTTCTCTCCGGTGGCCACTTCAGCCAGGTAGCGGTAGTAGTCCCCTTTCATCTTCAGGTAGAACACTTTGCTCTCGTACTGGGTCTCGCTGCAATTCTTGATCAGGTAGTTATCCAGCAGGCTCAGCACATCCTGGCACACAGCCTCCAACTCCTTCTCTATCTTCTCCCGGTACGCACGGACCATCTCAATCTTCTTCTCATTGCCGTCTGCAGATGTCTTCTGCTCAATGCTACTGATGACCCTCCAGGAAGAGCGGCGTGCCCCCACAACGTTCTTGTAGGCCACAGACAGAAGGTTTCGTTCCTCATTCGACAGTGGCTCATTCAGCTCTGTCACCTGCCAGGAGGAAAGAACAGAGTTGTTATGGTACAGATGGTGTCCACTGGGTTAACTGTATCTTTGAGACACTAGAACAGAGCTCTGTTGAGTAACATGATGAACAGAAGGAAATTACTTTGTGTGGGCTGGGGGAAGGGGGCTGGAGGTGGAGCACACACAAGGGAGGGAAAAGTGCGGCTGGATCAATGGATCAACGGTGTCTGAACCCTGGCTTCCTCCCCAGAAAAGGACACAGGCTTATCACGTGTGTTCCACAAAACACTGTCAAGTCTAGGCCTTAGATGAGAGACTATGAGTACAGATGGTCTAACTCAGTGGTTTTTTAGGAAAACGGACTGACAAATTCCTCCTAATCCTGCCCTGTCTACTAAACTTCAGTCCCATCTCTTCTGGATAAGAAAATACTGAGTCAACTTCAAGCTGACTTCTGAGAAACATGGAGGCCTTTCTGCTCATATGCCAACACCATGTGAATTCTAAACCTCAGGGAGTCCAAATAAGGGGCATAGGATTGAGTCTGATCGCTGTGATACTTTAGCAACCCAGGGAACATGTTATTTGTGGCAGTGGGAGTGTCTGACTGAATACAACTTTACAACCAGCAATACAAAAGAACGAGGCGAGCACAGCGCCTCTAGCTGGGCAACAGGAATCAATGCTTCTCCCAAGATGGCCATTTCTCAAGGCTCCCGCCCTCATCACCCCCAAGGCTAATCACTTTCAGAAGACTAAAGTGGCATCTCAAACCAATGTTGTATATTTTTATGACTACAAATAACTGCTTATTAATATCAGCCAATAATACTAAATTTATTTACCTGGTTTCTATAGTATCAGAGTCATATACTATTACATTACTTGACAACCATATGAAATACATTATTATTATTATTATATTTGACACAGGGTCTCATTCTATTGCCCAGCCTGGAGTGCAGCAGCAGGATCACAGATCACTGCAGCCTCAACCTCCCCAGGCTCAGATGATTCTCCCACCTCTGCCTACCGAGGAGCTGGGACTACCAGCACATGCCAACTGGCTGGGGATGGGGAGAGGAGAGGAGAGGAGAGAAGAAAAGTGGTTACTCCCTGTCCCTTGAGTCCCCATTGTTCCGTGTTGATCAACTGCAGCATCTGTATAACATTATATTACATACAGAGACGACAGGTAGGGACCTAGAATCCAAAAAGATCTACTAAACCAAGCTTATCCAACCTGTGGCCCACAGGCTGCATGTAGCCCAGGATGGCTTTGAATGCAGCCCAACACAAATTCGTAAACTCTATTAAAACACTGAGAATTCTTTTTGCGATTTTTTTTTTTTTTTTAGCTCATCAACTATTGTTAGTGTTAGTGTATTTTATGTGTGGCCCAAGGGAATGTGGCCCAGGGAAGCCAAAAGACTGGACACCCCTGTACTAAACTCCTGGGGCATGGGGGAACTGAACTACCAGGAGACTTTTTTTTCTATGTTTGAATCATTATGTTCAGTATGTTGGCCCATGCCTGTAATCCCAGTGCTTTGAGACACCAGGTGGGGAGGACTGCTTGAGGCCAGGAGTTCAAGACCAGCCTGGCCAACATAACAAGGCCCCATCTCAAAAAAAAAAAAATTTTTTTTCTTAAATTATAAACGGGGGGTATGCTTGGCAAAAGTGATTACAGTCATTACTTCAAGCAGCATCTACTCAGAGATAATTAAATCAAAACATAAACCAAATCATGCTTATTAGTTTATGGCAGGCAATTCATTTTCTGAATGAATGATCAGCAAGTGCTACACGCTCAAATATTCTCTAAACTGATTAGTGGTGTTGTTAAAGTTAACATTTTCCTAGACATTACTGATGCTCTGTTTTAATGCTGGACAACGTTACTCCTACCAGCCGTGCCCTCAGTGAAACAGACTCAAAAGAGGGGAAGAATAGGGGGTGGGTACTACTTGAGTTCAGAGCAGAAGGAAACCAGGAAAGAGATGCTTTGCTCCACCACCTCTTGTTCCCGGCACTTCTGCAAACACTCCTCCTGCATGAATAAACACAGGCACCTCGTGTCTCATTCTGCACTGACGATCTGTCATCCAGCAGACCGCTGTCACTCATGCTGAATTCTGATGTGTCCACAAATAACGGAAGATTGGGCTTTTCCCAGCTCCATCATTCGCTAAGCAATCTTGGGGACAAGCCGCTTCATTTCTCTGGGCTTTGGTTTTCTTATCTGCAAAATGGGGATTTCTGCTTCTTTCATAAGGTAATATACAGGTATATCAGACAAATAAGAAAGTCTTTTTTTGTTCTTTTTGAGACATGGTCTTACTCTGTTTCCCAAGCTGAAGTGCAGAGGCATGATCACACCTCACTGCAGCCTCAAACTACTGGGCTCAAGCAATCCTCCCACCTCAATCTCCAGAGTACCTGGGACTACAGGTGTGCACCACCATGCATGGCTGATTTCTTTTTTTTTTTTTTTTGGAGACAGAGTTTCAAAAAGACCTGGTCTCACTCTGTTGCCCAGGCTGGAGTGCAATGGCATGATGTCGGCTCACTGCAACCTCCCCCCAAGTTCAAGCGATTCTCCTGCCTCAGCCTCCCGAGTAGCTGGGATTACAGGCGTGTGCCACCATGCCTGGCTAGTTTTTGTATTTTTAGTAGAGACAGCGTTTTGCCATGTTGGCCAGGATGGTCTCAAACTCCTGGCCTCAAGTGATCCACCCGCCTCAGTCTATGGCTGATTTATTTATTTCTTTATTTAGAGATGGGGTCTCACTATATCAATCCGCTGGAAGTGCAGTGGCACTATCTTGGCTCACTGCAACCTCAGCCTCCCAGGGCTTCAAGCAATCCTACCTTAGCCTCCTGAGTGGCTGGGACTAAGGCACATGCCACCACACCCAGCTAATTTTTGTATTTTTCTGTAGAGACAAGGTCTTGCCATGTTGCCCAGGCTGGCCTTGAACTCCTGGCCTCAAGTGATCCACCCACCTTAGCCTCCCAAAGTGTTAGGATTACAGGTGTGAGCCACTGCATCCAGCCATTTAAAAATTTTTAGTAGAGACAAGGTCTCACTATGTTGCCCAGGCTGGTCTTGAACCCTTAGTTCAAGTGATCCTCCCACCTTGGCCGCTCAGAGTGCTGGGATTACAGGTGACAGCCATTGTGCCCAGCAAAGTCTTCTTGAAAAAGTAAAATGCTACAGAAACATGAGGAACTACTTTTAAGAATACCCTGAATAATTTTCCTTCATTTTAGTTCTCACCACAGGGGATGTCTACATTTCCTAACGATCTCCCAGCTCATCTTCCTGTATCGAGTGTCTCTTCTCCGTTTCATCCTCTTCTCTATATTAAGCGGAAACTGCCTTAGCTGCCTCACATCGCTTCCTTTCCATAAACCCTAGTTCCATACAGCCTGAAAAAAAACTGCCCAGACTTGGCTTTGGAAGGAGCTGAGCCCTTGGGCGCTGCTGCCACCCATCTCTGGCATACTTTACTGAGTGTGCGAATGCTGAAGACAAACCGCCCCGCGGTGCAGCCCTCATGACTGCCTCCAGTGCAAGGAGAGGCCAGCGTGCCGAAGGCCACAAAGATCAAGTTCTGGCCTTTCCCCTAAATCATGTTGTCCTTATTTCAAGGGCCAGGAGCTATTTAAAGCTCAAATTATCTCACCAGTCCTGGGGGCACTCCTCCTGCCACAAATGAAGTCTCCCAGCAGTGCCCAGAGAGGCAATCTGTACTTATGTAAAGTCTGCCTAGCTGTCCCCAGACACATTGGAACAAGGAGATTATGAAATGCCAGGATCACCTTTGGATACAGTAGCTCGACCACATTTGGAACACGCCCAGATGTTCCCTGCCAGTGAAAAACTAAGTTAGAGGGGAAACCCTTCAGCTCTAAAAAGTCTAAAGAAAAGTTGTTCTGAACACCTTAAATCAAAATTTTTAAAAATCCTTTATCCTTTAGATCATAATTACTTGCATAAGAATCTGTTATTTTTAAATTAAAATAAGAGATCCCCACCATATTAGTTTTAAAGGTCAACAGATAACCTCTTAAAAGAACAAGTTATTCTAATAGTGTCTAAAATGATTTAATCAAGACAGAATGACAGAATGACTATTCAATGTGGGAAGATACGGGATCTTGTATCATTTGGGAAGGGAGGTAACATTTTTCAAAACAGTCATTAAATTTGTTGTTGTTGTTTAAACAGAGACAGGGTCTCACTCTGTTGCCCTGGCTGGAGTACAGTGGTGCAATCACAGCTCACTGCAGCCACGCCACAAACTCCTCTGCCTCAGCCTCCAGAGAAGCTGGGACTACAGGCATCTACCACCACGCCCCCTAATTTTTGTATTTTTTGTAGGGACCAGGGTCACCCTATGTTGTCCAGGCTGGTTTCGAACTCCTGAGCACAAGTGATCCTCCAGCCTTGGCCTCCTAAAGTTCTGGGATTACAAACATGAGCCATTCTGCCTAACCTTCTTCTTCTTTAAAAAAAAAAAGAAAGAAAGAAAGAAAAGAAAAGAAATGGGGTCTCACTCTGTTGCCCAGGCTGGAGAGAAATGGCGTGATCACAGCTCACTGCAGCCTCAACTTCTCAGGCTCAGGTGATCCTCCCACCTCAGCCTCCCATCACACCCTGGTTAATAAATTGTTTCTACGAATGCAACACTTGTAAACATGGTCCCCAAAATTTACTGTCATGGCTGTTGGAAAATGTAGAAAGTTTCAGTTTTTATTCCCCAGAGTTGTATGTTCTGCTTAAAAACAAAGTTTCTGCCTTCTCTACTACTACAAGCTCAAGTTCAAATTTCTTATTTTTATTTTATTTATTTTTTTTGAGATGGAGTCCCACTCTGTCACCAGGCTGGAGTGCAGTGGCACAATCCCGGCTCACTGCAACCTCTGCCTCCTGGGTTCAAGCGATTCTCCTGCCTCAGCCTCCCGAGTACCTGGGATTACAGGCGTGTGCCACTACGCCCAGCTAATTTTTGTACTTTTAATAGAGACGGGGTTTCATCATGTTGGCCAGGATGGTCTTGATCTCCTGACCTTGTGATCCGCCCGCCTCGGCCTCCCAAAGTGCTGGGATTACAGGCGTGAGCCACCGCGCCCGGCCT
Organism: Homo sapiens; assembly: GCF_000001405.40. Taxonomy (NCBI): domain Eukaryota; kingdom Metazoa; phylum Chordata; class Mammalia; order Primates; family Hominidae; genus Homo; species Homo sapiens. Next base: position 76,335,357 of record NC_000007.14, read on the forward strand.
CAAATTTCTTTTGGTGACTTAAAAGATGTTAAAGATAGCTGTAGGTAAAATGGTTAGAAAAATCTATGTTATTCTCACCAACAGTTTAAAAAGTAGAACTCCCCAAATCCCAGCTGCTAAGGAATCAGATGTTAATTAGTGTCAACTATTTTCCCCTAAGAGTTGATGAGGAGAGAAACCTTTTCTACCTAAGATTAGCAACTCTTGAAATTCTTGGAAAGCTACTTAGATGACTTTCTGACCTTAAGCCATGGAGTACCAGGTCATTCACAATTTCCTTATCTACCAAGAACCTTACATTGTAATGGTAGGGACCAGACACAGCCGCTCACCTCTGTAATCCCAGCACTTTGGGAGGCCAAGGTGGGTGGATCACTTGAGGTCAGTAGTTTGAGACCAGCCTGGCCAACATGGCGAAACCCTGTCTCTACTAAAAATACAAAAATGAGCTGGGTGTGGTGTGCATGCCTGTAATCCCAGCTACTCAGGAGGCTGAGGCAGGGGAATCACCTGAACCTGAGAGGTGGAGGTTACAGTGAGACGAGATGGAGCCACTGCACTCCAGCCTGGGCAACAGAGCGATCTGTCCGCACCCCCACCACACCCCCCAAAAAAAAGTTATGAATGCAACTTTGCATTTTTAATCTTCTTAAATAACTCCTCGGGGCTCAAGCAATCAATCCTCCTGCCTCAACCTGGAACTACAGGCATGCACCACCTCACCCAACACATTGATTTAATAAAACTGAAAATCTCTACAAAGAACTGAAGTTTACATCCAAAAAATAAGCCAGGAGAGATGAACAGGCAGAGCACACAGGACTTTCAGGGCAATGAAACTACACTGTGTGATATTCAGGTGGTGGCTACATGCCTCTATAAACTTGTCCAACTCCACAGAATGTAGATCACCAAGAGTGAGCTCTACTGTAAACTGTGGACCTTGGGTGATAATGTTTCATTAATTGCAGTTTAAGTGTACCCCTCTGGTGGGGGCTGCTGAGGGAAGAAGGCTGTGCTTGTGTGGGGCAGGGGGTATATGGGAACTCCATTAAATTTTACTGTGAATCCAAAACTGCTCTAAGAAAGTCTGGCTTTTTTTTTTTTTTTTTTTTCTGAGACAGAGTTTCACTCTGTCACCCAGGCTGGAGTGTGATGGCACGATCTAGGCTCACTGCACCCTCTACTTCCGGGTTCAAGTGATTCTCGTGCCTCAGCCTCCAAAGTAGCTGGGATTACAGGCACCCACCACCACGCCTGGCTAAATTTTTGTATTTTTAGTAGAGACAGGGTTTCACCACGTTGGCCAGGCTGGTCTCGAACTCCTGACCTCAGGTGATCCACCCGCCTCGGCCTCCCAAAGTGCTGGGATTACAGGCGTGAGCCACGGTGCCCGGTCTTTTTTTTTTTTTTTTTTCAACCTAGCAAGTGCTAGGTATGAGACTTGGCTCCATCTTACATTTTCTGTCCTCCTAGAATTTGAGAATATTGTCACCTGAAAGGGCCAAGGGCCATGAAAAAGAGAAATGCAGTGAGTGCTAAATAGAAACAGAAAGAATGAGATGACCAAGTGCAGGATGTGCGCTGCTGTCCATGTTAAGGATACACCATGCAGACAGTGGATAAACCACTGCAAACGGATGGGACACGGTTCTCCTTCATCACAACTCGTTCGAAAGACAACCTATGTTTACTAAGTAATCAACTAAACACTGAAAATAACCTTATGTATCTGAAATAACACGCCTCAAACATGAACTCCCTTCTGTGCAGAAGAGTTAACATAATAGGCTTCAGTCTGCTGTCTTTCGAAAGGCCTGCTTACAAGGCTGGTCTCTGGCTGGCATCTGAGAACTTGGATTTAGGGAGGGTTCCCACCATTCCCTGATAAAGATGGCTCACTGTTGCCAATCTGTTGGTACAAACGATCTGGTTTATATTAAACCTGTTTTCCTTCTGGGAATCTGGATTTGGACATGTGCTAGGCAGGCAGAGGGTACTTAAGTGACCAGCCCCCAGCTGCTCTCTAACAAGACCCCTGGTAGACAGCATTTCTCACATATTGTCACAGCTTGGAATAATGATGCGTATCCCGTGTGATTTCCCTGGGAGAGGACTCTTGAAAGCTTGCGCCTGGCTTCCTCTGATTTTCATCTCCTGCGCCTCTTCCCTTTGCTAATTTTTTTTTTTTTTTTTGAGATGTAGTCTCCCTCTGCCACCCAGGCTGGAGTGCAGTGGTGTGATCTCGGCTCACTGTGGCCTCTGCCTCCTAGGTTCAAGTGATTCTCCTGCCTCAGCCTCCCGAGTAGCTGGGTCTACAGGCGCCCACCACCACACCCAGCTAAACTTTCTATTTTTAGTAGAGACGGGGTTTCACCATGTTTGGCCAGGCTGGTCTTGAACTCCTGAGCTCAAGTGATCCGCCCGCCTCAGCCTCCCAAAGTGCTGGGATTACCGGCATGAGCCACTGTGCCCGACCCCATTTGCTGATTGAGCTTTGCATACTTCCCAGTAAAAAACTGCAGCCATGAGTACAAGTATTTGCTGAGTCCCAGTACATCACCAAGCCTGGAGGCAGTCTTGGGGACTCTCAACACACATTCATTCCAGAAAACTTGATACATGTTTTATAAGTCCGGTGACCAGGGAAAAGATGATTAATGGCCACTACTTATCAAATAATTAATTCATCAAGCATCCATGGACCATCTAGTATATACATCACATTGTATCACAACGTGAAGACACAAAACACTAGTGGGATGTACTCAAGGTACTCAGTCTACACGGAGAAAATACAACTTATTCACATTGGAGTATCAGTCACAGAGGTATTCTTAACATAGCAAACTGCATGGAAACTTGGAGAAAATTTTAATTAGGAACTAACAACTTTAGTTGGGTTTTTCCAGCAGCGATCACCCTGGCTAAAAATTGTGCAGAGGGAAACATTCATTCGAGGAAGAGGAACAGCCTCAGAGTCGTGAAATTTCTACCCAAGGCCAAGCCAAGGTCTCACAGATGAGAGGAGAGCTGGGTGAGGGCCTGGGTTTGGCTGACAGCGCCAAGTCCCACTCCACAAGGTGGGTATTACACTCGCTTTACAGGTGTGACTCAGAGAAATAACATGACTTTTCCCCAGAGTCACCTCATTAACACTCCACAGAGCAGAAAAAACTCCAGCCCTCAGGCTGCAAATCTTGTGCTCTTTTTCTATGCTAAGAGTCTCTGATGATGTAACTTCTGCAACACCACAGAGAACCAGCTAATTTCTCTAATACATGAAAACCTCCAGAGAATTTCTAAGATCAATCTTAGAAACAGAAAATCTCAGTAACAGAAAAATGGAAAAAAGGAACGGAGAAAAGGAAAACAATAGGAAAAATGCTCAACCTCATTCATTCTGTGAATTGTTCTCTGATCACAATGCCAAGGCTTCATTGTGAAGGTGACGGTGTGGGTAACAGGCACGTATCCACTGGTCATGTGCATATGACAGAATTCTAGTTGGCACTAAAAATCACCTGTGCATTCACACGACATTTCTAGAAGGGTCTCAAAACCAGACTGGCTGGGAAGCAGTCAAGGTTGATTAGGTTGAATTTTGTACCGATGACTAGTAGTACTTATTCCAACAAACCCTCTCCACAATTTACCCTGTTATTCATACCTACAATTGAAGCTTAAAGCCAATCTTGAAAGCCAAGTTTTCAGAAAAGCCCAAAGCCAGTAATTTTATATAAACAGTTTATGGATGTATACAACAAACTCAAACCACACTTCTTTGCTTTCTGTGTGTTTTAACTTAGTTGTATAAAAATAATGGTAATAGGCTGGGCGCGGTGGCTCACGCCTGTAATCCCAGCACTTTGGGAGGCCAAGGTGGGCGGATCACCTGAGGTCAGGAGTTCAAGACTAGACTGGCCAATATGGTGAAACCCCATCTCTACTAAAAATACAAAAATTAGCTGGGCATGGTGACGCACACCTGTAATCCCAGCTACTCGGGAGGCGGAGACAGGAGAACTGCTTGAACCCGGGAGGCAGAGGTTGCAGTGAGCCAAGATCACACCACTGCCCTCTAGCCTGGGCAACAGAGCAAGATTACATCTCAAAAAATACATATAAAAATAATAGTAATAATAATGTATAAAAATGATAAAGATACAATGAAGAACAAAGGATACCTTTATACGGTTAGTAATAACATACAGAATACATTCTATACTGTTGACCCTTGGACAACACAGGTTTGAACTGCACAAATCCACTTAAATGTGAATTTTCCTCCACCTCTGCCACTCCTGAGACAGCAAGCCCAATCCTCTTTATCCTCCTGCTCAGCCTATTCAACACGAAGACCGTAAGGATGAAGACTTTTACAATGACCCACTTCCACTTAATGAAGAGTAAATACAGTTTCTCTTATGCTTTTCTTAATAATATTTTCTGCCAAGTGCGGCGGCTCACACCTGTAATCCCAGCACTCTGGAAGGCCAAGGCGGGTGAATTGCCTGAGCTCAGGAGTTCGAGACCAGGCTGGCCAACACGGTGAAACCCCGTCTCTACTAAAATACAAAAAATTAGCCAGGTGTGGTGGCACACACCTGTAATCCCAGCTACTCGGGAGGCTGAGACAGGAGAATTGCTTGAACCTGGGAGGCGGACATTGCAGTGAGCCAAGATCATGCCATTGCACTCCTGCCTGGGCGACACAGCGAGACTCCATCTCAGAAAACAAAACAAAACACACACATACACACACAAACAAAAAACAAACAAAAAGGTTACACATGGGATTTGATTGTGCCCCTAACTCACACATTGTGCAAGGGGCAACTGTATGGATCAGCCCCGTTTCACTAACAATCAATTCTAGTATTTTTCCAGTTTATTCTCTACAAATATAACCTATGGTTTCCAAATATCACCTGTCCTTTCCCATAGTTACAATTTCCTATACTTGAATCATATACTACCTGGACAAGGCCAATGCCAATAATGCTTATGAGCATTTTTTTGTTTTGTTTTGAATTCAATGGAACTATTTCCAGTGGTTTCATTCTTAAATGTCAGCTCTTGGTTTAATTGTATTTTTCTCTATCATGTTAAGAAAGTATCCATTTAGTCCATATTTTTCTAATAAACTTTTGTGATCAGAAATGGATTTTTCAACAAAATTCTAACTCCTCGCCCTCCGGACAATCATTTATGATTAAGTATCATTATTCCTAATTTAAAGAAAATTAAGGCTCAGCGCTGAAGAACAGAACTCAAATACACTGGCTCCAAATCCCACATGCTTTCCACTATACCAGTAGTTCTTAACCAAGGAGGGAGGCTTTTTATAATAATCTCTCCTCAAGCAGCCCTACCCCTTGCCAGTTCAGATGGGAACCATGCATATCTATTTCTCTAGGTTAAGAATTGTAGCAGTTTCTCAAAATGTTTTGTTAGCAGCATTATGACTCAGCAATTCCACTCCCAGATATACACAAGAGAAATAAAAACATAAGTCCATACAAAATTCTTTTTTTTGAGACAGGATCTCACTCTGTCACCCAGGCTGGAGTGCAGTAGTATGATCAGGGCCCACTGCAGCCTCGGGCTCAAGCAATCCTTCTGCCTGAGCCTAGCCTCCCAAGTAGCTGGGACTACAGGCATGTGCCACCAAAGTGATCCTCCCGCCCCTCCCCAGCCCCCTAAAGTGCAGGGGAAGCCACCGCACCTGGCCCATACAGAATCTTGTACAGGGGCTGGGAGGGTTGGCTCATGCCTGTAATCCCAGCACTTTAGGAGGCTGAAGCTGGCAGATCACTTGAGGTCAGGAGTTTGAGACCAGCCTGGGCAACATGGTGAAACCCCATCTCTAACTAAAAATAACTAAAAATACAAAAATGAGCCGGGCATGGTGGCTCGCACCTGTAATCCCAGCTACTCAGGAGGCTGAGACACGAGAATCACTTGAACCCAGGAGGCGGAGGCTGTAGTGAGCTGAGGTGGCGCCACTGCACTCCAGCCTGGGTGACAGGACAAGACTCTTGCCTCAAAAAAAAAAAAAAAAAAAAAAAAAAGAGAAATCTTGTAATGTTCACAGCAACGTTAGTCCTAAGAGCCAAAAGGTGGAAACAATGCAAATGTACATCAAATGAGGAACGGCTGAACAAAACGTAGTGTGATCTATGTAATGGAATATTATTTAGACAGACAAATGATGCACTGATAACATGCTACACCGATGATCTCGAAAACATTTTGCTAAATGGAAGCAGCCAGTCCAAAAGACCGCATATTGTTTGATTCCAGTTACATAATATGTCCAGAATAGGCAAATCCATAGAAATAGAAAGCAGATTAGTGGTTACTTAGGGCTGGGTTGGGAGGGGAGGTGATGGGGAATGACTGCCAATATGGGGTTTCTTTTTGGGTTGATGGCATGTTCTAGAATGTGGTGATGGTTATGCAAGTCTGAACATACTGAAAACCATTAAATTGCACACTTTAAATGGGTGAATCGCATGGTATGTAAACTATATCTCAACAAAGCTACTGAAAAATTGCTGCACTATACGACAGTTTATATAGCACTCTCACACACACCAGCAATCAAACATCATCAGCTCACTTGTTTGAAATATAAAATTCGAAATACTTGATGCTTCTTAATACATGGACTTACACACAGAAAACTCACTGTAATGGAGCACAGACCTCTGGCTCTTACATTTAATCCTCCTCTTGTGACCTCCTACCAACATCTAGTAATGTAGTGCAGGTTATATTTCTCAATATCCTCTCCAAAAAGGTGAACGAAAGGGCTTGTTTAGATTTATGCACAGCTATCATAAAAGAAAGATGAAAAAGGACAGGAAATGTACATGTCCTGCCATGGGTATCTGTCATTATGAAGCATTCGATCCCACCAATACGGAGGAAAAAGTCAAAGAAGAAACACACTAAGAGAACTCACTCTGAAATGCAGATAATCCACACCTTCCTCCCCAAACCAGCACTCCCTTCCTTCTTACAAACCCTGCTGGGTGAAGGACGGTCTCTGACCCTATGTTGCACACTCCTGTGAGAACTTGGTTGAATTCCACCTTCAGAGGTTAACAAGTACTTGACTTCTTCATATCAAGGCTGCTTATTTCCCTACAACTGCCATTCGCTGGCCTTAAGATCTTTCTCTCTTGGGGGCCAGAATGCATTTTTGAAACTGGCGAGACTGGTTCTCATATCCTAGAGTCTTCTCTAACTTTACTCACTGTTTCCATCCCTGTCCCAATCTTCCCCTAAATGCGCTCCTGCTTATCAATACCTTTCAGCCTGCTATTTAGTATATCAGGCTTCGAACCTCCGCTGGGCTACTTTCTGAACTCATCAAACAAACTAGTGACTATTTCTAATTAATTACTAGTTTTATCATAGATCTGACTTGGAAGTGGCGGGGAGAGAGGACTTTCCCACCAAAAAATTAAACTGTTAAAAAAAATTAACCAGCCGGGCACAGTGGCTCACACCTGTAATCCCACCACTTTGGGAGGCCGAGGCAGGAGGATCACCTGAGGTCAGGAATTCGAGACCAGCCTAGCCAACATCATGAAGCCCCGTCTCTACTAAAAATACAAAAATTAGCTGGGTGTGGTGGCAGGCGCCTGTAATCCCAGCTACTTGAGAGGGTGAGGTAGGAGAATCGCTTGAAACCAGGAGACAGAGGTTGCAGTGAGCCAAGATTGCACCATTGCACTCCAGCCTGGGTGACAGAGCAAGACTCCATCTCAAGAAAAAAAATTAGGTTGTTATGTGTAAAAGCTGTTGTAAACTATGGTGTACTGCAGCCGTTTTTAAAAATCAGCTTTATTAAGGTATCTACTGGGTGGAGGCCAGGGATGCTGCTGAACACCCTACAATGCACAGGATGGCCTCCACATTAGCAAAGGATCATCTGCTCCGAATGCACATATTGTGGAAGCAGAAGAACCCTGCTGTGAGTTCTCGATACCCCAGCCACCAGACTCAGACTCTTCCCATCACACCTCTCTCTGCTTCTTCACATTAATATAACGCTCATACTCCACCCCTAGAATCTGGGCTTGGCCATATGAATCAGCATCACCCATGAATCATGGTGGTACCTTAACTCAACAGTCACTTCTGAAAGTGTGCTGAATGACATCAATCTCCACATGATGTACCCATCTGAGATTGTTTTCAAAAAGGGTCCTAGTAATTCCTCCTGATTCTGTCATTCCTTCCACCCACCTCCTTTCCAATATGAATCCAGCCACTCTCATCAAGAGATGGGTTATCTCTCTACCTCCATAATCTGAACTTGGTCATGTGACTTGGTTTTGACTAATGGAGCCTAAGCAAGTATGAGATAGGCAAGGCTTGAAAAGTGCCTGTGAGCTGGGACTCGCTGCTGGGACCTTCCACCACCACGTGAAGAAGCCTGGGTTAACCTGGAGGTGAGAGACTGTGGGTGAGGCCACTGCAGTTCATCCAGTGTTAAATTGTGAGAATTAACAAATATTTGTTTGGGGTAGTTTGAGACAAGCAAACACTAATACCGTATTTCACAGCTCCAAACTAAACTGACTTACGAAAAGCAAATCATACTCAATTCCTATTGAGATGTCAGTCAAAGCCCGAGATCTATCTTTCTCTGCAAGTGTTACTGTTAAGCAACACCTGCACCAAGTGTAATGGAACAGATGAACCTGGGGATCAGGGTACAGGACTTTAAGCAAACAATTAGGAATTTTTTTTTTTGAGACAGAGTCTCGCTCTGTTGCCTAGGCTGGAATGCAGTGGTGCGATATCGGCTCACTGCAGCCTCCACCTCCCAGGTCCAAGAGATGCTCCCACCTCAGCCTCCCAAGTATCTGGGACCACAGGTGCATGCCACCACGTCTGGCTAATTTTTGAATTTTTAGTACAGACAGGGTTTCACCATGTTGGCCAGGCTGGTCTTGAACTCCTGAGCTCAGGTGATCAGCCCACCTCAGAATTAGGCTTGTTAAAACATTTTTAACAATTAGGGCACATGACATGCCTCTACAGCTCACCTAACTCCATATCAGGAAGACACCTCATCAAATGCCTTGAAAAAATCCAGATATACTATGTTCCAGCACTCCCATGGCTGGCAGTCAAAAACCCTATTCCAAAATTAGTTCGATCAAAATTAGTTGAAAAGGTTCTTAAACACACCCATATTGACTCCTACATGATCATCTCTTTCAGGTCTGATCTTTGCTTCTACAATTTCTCCTGGAATCAATGTCATGCTCACTTTAAATGGGGTTATTTATCTGTGTCCAGACCTCTACCACTTCCATTATCCCAAGGCTATTCTCAAAAATGAATTATAAACATTAGTTGAACTCATCAATTGGGACAACTTACCCCAAACCACACTCTTGACCTTATGCAGAATCATTCACTTTTAAAGTCAAACTCTTGTAACCTCCCAGTCCCCACTCTTACCTATAAGACTTACTCTTGAATACTGTCCTTTCTCTCTTAGCACGTTCCCTTCAGGCTTTAGTCCTTCCCTGCAAAGTTCATGGAGACCCAGCAACTCCATTCTTTCTGCAGGCATATCACTGTCTTGTCCTTCTGCTACACCATCCCTAAAATACCCAGATCAATCCAACCCCCTGCCCCTCCTCCCACTCTTGCAGCCAAGATTTAGGTGAGGGAGGGGGACACTGAGAGAGAGAACTAGAGGTTGAAGTCACTACAAACGGCCTGGCAATCCTAGGTTATTGCCTGCCACCTCTTCTTCATAGAGGAACGTGACCATTAGTTAAGCCTATCCTAAGGCTTTTTTTTTTTTTTTTTGGAGACGGAGTCTCGCTCTGTTGCCCAGGCTGGAGTGCAGTGGCACGATCTTGGCTCACTGCAAGCTCTGCCTCCCGGGTTCACACCATTCTCCTGTCTCAGTCCCCCGAGCAGCTGGGACTACAGGCACCCGCCACAATGCCCAGCTAATTTTTTGTATTTTTTAGTAGAGACGGGGTTTCACAATGTTAGCCAGGATAGTCTCAATCTCCTGACCTCGTGATCCACCCGCCTCGGCCTCCCAAAGTGCTGGGATTACAGGCGTGAGCCACCGTACCTGGCCAAGCCTTTCTTCCAAAAGTAGCTGCATTGATCACTGCCTCCTTTGTTGAGTGCCAACAAAAGATGTTTCTTCCCCCTCCATGGATTCCCACTGGTCATTCTATTACATTCTTCTATTGTCCCTCTCCTACTCTTCCCCATTAACATACAGTGAAAGTTAAGATTTAAAAAAATGAGGCCTGGCGCAGTGGCTCATGCCTGTAATCCCAGCACTTTGGGAGGCCGAAGTGGCCGGATCATGAGGTCTTCAAAACCGGCCTGGCCAACATGGTGAAACCCGTCTCTACTAAAAATACAAAAATTAGCTGGGCATGGTGGCACGAGCCTGTAATCCCAGCTACTAGGTAGGCTGAGGCAGCAGAATTGCTTGAACCGGGACCCGGGAGATGGAGGTTGCAGGGAGCCGAGATTGCACCAGTGCACTCCAGCCTGGGCTACAGAGTGAAACTCCGCCTCAAAAAAAAATTTAAAAATAAGTAAGTAAATAAATAAAATAAAAAATAAATGATGCATTTCAATCCCACCTCTTCCTGGTTCTTTCAAAATCAAGGTTCTGGAATTAAGTCTACAATTGTTACCATTTCTTCAATGTTTCACTCCCTCCTCAACCCCACAGCCCTACACAGTCGTCACTGTCTTCCGACCCCAGGCATCCAGTGCTCTTGGTCTTCATCTTAAGTCTGAACTCACAGAGGCATCTAACCCTGATGACCGCTCTTTCCTGAGGCTCTCCTCCCCTTGTCAGCCTTCTTTCCTGGTCTTTCCTTCCTCGTTCCAGTCACTACTTAAGTGCCAACCACTCCCTAGCGCTTTACACTGTGACACAGATGCTACATTTTTTTCTGGGTGACCTTTGTTCTGCATGGTTCCAACACACATGGATACAAAGCGGCTCCCTCTTGAATGTCAGTTCTACCAGGGAAGAGGATATTATATTCTGCAGCTGTTAGGCCAGCCTGGTTATTAGTGGATCCTAAATGTTTCTTTGCTTACACTGTGCCAGGGCACTGTTACGAATGGCGGTCAAATTGACCTGTAGCCAAGTTAATTTGCCTCCACTTAAGTGTTTCCTCAAATTCAGCAGAACACCAGAATTCATCTTTTCCACCATTTTCTCCTCCTCTTTCTTCTTCTATCTCTGGCCACCCATTTCTGCCTCTCCAACCTGCCCTTGCCGTTCTTGTCCAGGTCCCTGAAGACTAGACCTGACAATCTACTCCTCAGCCTCCCCTTGCTCTGCCTCACTGTCCTACTCAGTTTCCACACTGCTGCCTGGGATCTCGCCACACCAAAAATTAGATTATGGTCCTCTTCAGCCTGAAGAGACTCACCATGGCTTAAGAAGAAACAAACCTCAGAAGGCCCTTCGTGAACTGTTTCCTGTTAACCTCTTTCAACTCATTTCCTGCTACTCCCTCAAAAAGCGCACCACCACAGCATTCCCTGAATGCCACCAACAAGGACTAAACAAATCACGCCACCAGTTCTCCTTTTCCATCCTGAAACTAAGCGTCCTATGCCCTCTGCCTGGCTATTCCTTCCTCCAACCTCTCCCCCTCCCTCAAGTTTCCCAAAGACACTGCGCAGGCATCACTTCCTCTAGGAAACCCTCCCTGACGACCAGTGTCAACTAAGCGTCCGTCTCCAGTAGCACAGCACCCTAGGCTTACTTCAATTTCTTTTGTGGAATCAAGATCCCCACAGATGTTCAACAGGACTCCCATCACAACCGTATCTTTCCTAGGATTTTAGATCAGTGCATTTATTTCTTTCACCTGCCTAAAATGTCTACAAAATATTCAAATGCTTACATCCAAATACTCAAATGTCTGCCGGGCACAGTGGCTCATGCCTGTAATCCTAGCACTTTGGGAGGCCAAGGCAGGTGGTTCACCTGAGGTCAGGAGTTCAACACCAGCCTGACCAACATGGTGCAACCCTGTCTCTACTAAAAATACAAAAAAATTAGCTGGGCATGGTGGCATGTGCTACTTGGGAGGCTGCAGCAGGAGAATCGCTTGAACCTGGGAGGTGGAGGTTGCAGTGAGCTGAGATCGTGCCATTGAACTCCAGCCTGGGAAATAAGAGGGAAAATCAGTGTCAGCAAACAAACAAACAAAAAAAACACTCAAATGTCTACGAAAATATCTTATATACAATATAAATAACTAGCATCTCTTTTCTTCCTTTGATCTTCACCCAAATCCTCAAAACATGCTCCAAACTCCAGTTTGCAAATTCCACATAAAACTATATTATTCTGGTTTTTACTTGCTATACAAAAGGTTTTCTCTTCCTCCCAGATCTGTTTCTTTTGAGTGAGGTATCTGCTTCCATTCGGTTCTGAGTGGTACCCTCATGCCTCCTGGCAATATCTCTAAGACTCCAAACAGCAAAACTACAGCACTTACCTCATGTTAAAAATCTCAAGCTCTCCTTTGTTAAATGACATTCAAAAAACACACTGCAATCGTGGGATCGAATGTTTTCTAAAAGAAACCGGGTTACACTTGTATTGAGTAATACATCTTTCAACTGTCCTAAAGGAAATGAGTTCTTCTGTATTTAAACCTAGATGACACGCCACCACCTCAAGGTTAACCAATGGAAAAATTATTAAATATGCAGCAGTTTAAAAGGATTTTCCATGCATCTGCAAGCAATGGAACATATGCTAAAATTAATTGAAAGAGATCAATTGAAACAACAGCTGGTATCCACTTTACCCATGACCCCTTTTCTAGAAAAAACAAAAACTTAAAACAAGAGCCTTAGACTTCGTTTTTTTTTTTTTTTTTTGGAGATAGCGTGTCGCCCAGGCTAGAGTGCAGTGGCACAATCTCAGCTCACTGTAGCCTGTCTCCCTGGTTCTAGTGATTCTCATGCCTCAGCCTCCAAGCAGCTGGGACTATAGGCGCACGCCACCATGCCCGCTAATTTTTTTTTTTTTTTTTTTTGAGACAGTCTCACTCTGTTGCCCAGGCTGGAGTGCAGTGCAAGCTGCGCCACCCCGGGTTCACGCCATTCTCCTGCCTCAGCCTCCCGAGTAGCTGGGGCTACAGGTGACCGCCACCACGCCCGACTAATTTTTTTGTATTTTTAGTAGAGACGGGGTTTCACCGTGTTTGCCAGGATGGTCTTGATCTCCTAACCTCGTGATGCACCCACCTCAGCCTCCCAAAGTGCTGGGATTACAGGTGTGAGCCACCGCGCCCGGCCTAATTTTTGTATTTTCTGTAGAGACAGGGCTTCACCATGTTGGCCAGGCTGGTCTCAAACTCCTGACCTCAGGTGACCCGCCCGCCTCCACCTCCCAGAGTGCTGGGAATACAGGCGTGAGTCAGCCAGCCTCCCAAAGTGCTGGGATTACAAACCATGAGCCTTAGACTTTGAAAAAAAAAATTTTAAGGCAAATTAAACATTTCCACCTTTAAAATCAGAAGATTATCACTTTATAAAACTGTTGTGAAATTAAATGGGAAAAGTACATAAAAATGCTTCCCAAGGTGACAGTAAACGTCAAACTATATTACAATATTTCATCTAAGTGTGTAATTTAAAAAATCTCGTCTTCCCGGCCGGGTGTGGTGGCTCATGCCTGTAATCCCAGCACTTTGGGAGGCCGAGGTAGGTGGATCACGAGGTCAGAAGATTGAGACCATCCTGGCTAACACGGTGAAACCTCATCTCTACTAAAAATACAAAAAGTTAGCCGGGCGTGGTGGTGGGCGCCTGTAGTCCCAGCTACTCGGGAGGCTGAGGCAGAATGGCGTGAATCTGGGAGGCAGAGCTTGCAGTGAGCTGAGATCGCGCCACTGCACTCCAGCCTGGGCGACAGAGCAGACTCTGTCTCAAAAAAAAAAAAAAAAATACCAAAAAGTACCGTTAAGTTTTCCATTGCGGTCCAGACGCGTTTTGGTCATCATTTATTAATACACACACACACACACACACACACAGACACACACACACACACACACACAGCCAGATGATGAAAAGAGAAAACCAAGATCAAAATGCAACAGGGTACCAAAAAATGAAAGTAACAGGTAGTTGTAATTCACTCAGCAAGTGTTTTTGAGAATCTACATGCCACAGCTCCAAATAATGTTGGTAGAAATACATTCTATGTAAGTTGTAAAAATTTAATCTGTTAATGATAGCTTTGTTTGAAGTTGTGCCATATTGTTTGCCCTTCCTCAATAAATAGATCAAGTTCCAAACATCTGAAGTCTTTTTCTACATGGCCAGCAAACGATGAAAAACAAAAACATGCCTGCAGGTGGATCACTTGAGGTCAGGAGTTCGAGATCAGCCTGGCTAACATGGTGAAACCTGGTCTCTATTAAAAATGCAAAAATTAGCCAGGCGTGGTGGTGGGCACCTGTAATCCCAGCTACTGGGGAGGCTGAGGTAGGAGAATTGCTTGAATCCAGGAGGGGGAGGTTGCAGTGAGTTGAGATTGCACCACTGTACCCCAGCCTGGGCAACAGAGCAAGACTGTCTCCAAAAAGCCATCTTCCAAATTGGTAAATAATCCCCGAGGAGGCCAGAAGAGTAAGAAAATACAGATAAAAGACCGATGTGCTGAAAAATGGTGAAGCTGGGTGTACGGGGGTTACTGTACTATTTGTCTTTATTTTGTATGTTTGAAAGTTTCCATTAGTCAAAGGGAAAAAAAAGGCAATCACTCCAAAGAAGCATAAGGGAGATGGGCCCTTGCCTCAAATAAGCTGGCATCGAGCCTACCCCTGCTTCAACCTCATTTTCCTTCCTAGAGGACAAAGGGCAATGGGTGCCTTTTGAATTCTGAAACATGTATACATAATACCTATTCAAACACATCTTTCAAAACTTTCAAGGTCCTGTACTAGTGAGGACCTTAAACATTATTCTTAGCTGGTTTTCCAGCAATTCCCCTCTTGGGTCTGTCTTAACGTACGAATTGTGCCTGAAAGATACCAGATACTCCTCCATGTACAACTCATTTATGGGGACATGACCATCCTAAGTGGAGGAGCTTACTGAATGCCTACTGCTTTTGCACCATCATAAAGTTGAAAAATTGTCAGGTTAAGGTCAGGCGCAGTGGCTCATGCCTGTAACCCCAGCACTTCCAGAGGCCAAGGCGGGCACATCACCTGAGGCCAGGAGTTGGAGACCAGCCTGGCCAACATGGGGAAACCCCATTTCTACTAAAAATACAAAAATTAGCCGGGCGTGGTGGTACATGCCTGTAATCCCAGCTACTTGGGAAGCTGAGGCAGGAGAATCGCTGGAACTCAGGAGGCAGAGGTGGTAGTAAGCTGAGATCGCGCCACTGCACTCCACCCTGAGCAATAGAGCAAGACTGTCTCAAAAAAAAGAAAAGAGAAAAGAAAAATCGTTAAGTTAAACCATCTGAAATCAGGGACCATCTATACCCACACATCAATATTATTTACAATGTAAATTTGGAAACAGCCTGAATACTAAGCAAAAAAATAATTAAATTATGATATATCCACAGGATTATTCAGCTACTGAAAATAATGACAGAATATCATTGAAATGATGTCAAGTGAAAAAAGCAAGGTGCAAAAGAATATAAACTGTAGAAAAAGACACGATGGAAATATCCCTGCATGTGAATCATTATGGTGATTCTTCTTGTCATTTCCCCCCGAAATTTCTAGCATCCTGAAAGGCCACCAACATTTTTGTCTTCAGTAGTCAATCCCATTGTTCACAGCCTTCCAAAGACTACAGACTCCCTTAAATAGGCATGGCATTCCAAGATCCAAGATATTCTAGAATATTCCTTCCCTACTCCCTTGTCCCCACTAGCTTTCCTCGCCTTGGAATGCCCTTTTCTGTTGTTCGTATTCTCCTCTCCTGTTCATTCTTCTCGCCTTTCTGAGTAGGGTCTTTTCAACCTAGTAGGAAAAATAACTTCCAGTCTTAACCTCTATTACACAGATACAAGACCCAATGTGAAGGTTTGAAAATAATAACATCTATTCTCTATAGTAGGGGTCCCCAACGGGTCCATGGCCTGTCACGAACCTGGCTGCAGAGCAGGAAGTCTGTCACTCCCCACTGCTCGAATTACCACCTGAGCTCCGCCTCCTGTCAGATCAGCGGTGGCATTAGATTCTCAAAGGAGTGCCAACTCTACTGTGAACTGCACACAAAAGGGATGTAGGCTGCATGGTCCTTATGAGAATCTAATGCCTGATGATCTGTCACTGTCTCCCATCACCCCCAGACGGGACCATCTAATTGTAGAACAAGCTCAGGGCTCCCACTGATCCTACATTACGGTGAGTTGTATAATTATTACATTACATACTACAATGTAGCAATAATAAAGTGCACAATAAATGCAATGTGCTTGATTCATCCCCAAACCATCCCCTTACCCCTCACCCCACCCAGTCCATGGAAAAACTGTCTTCCATGAAACGGGTCCCTGGTGCCAAAAAGGTTGGGGACCACTGCTCTTTAGCCTACCCAGGCCAGGCGGGCCCTCACATTATAACATACTGCCAATGAGTATGGGGTTATCCGCATGGCTACTCACTATGCTGCACCTCCACTGCAAAGACATGCTCACTGCTTCATGTTAGATTGCTACAAAAGCAGTCTGTATAGAAACAGTCAAAAATTCAAGCTGATTTCTACATTCTTAAAGAACTAGCACCATAGGCATTTTGTTTCCCAGATCTGGGTTTTTTAAATATGGTAGCTTTAGAGTCATATGAGTAATTCCTTTCAGACAGCTCAAGAAATGTAAATCATCTCTACGGCTTCAAAAGAAACCTGGCTTTTTAAAGCCTTCCCCTCGCTCCCTTAGCCATTCCTCACTTCCCTGCCCACGGCAGCTGCTCTTCATACTCAGCTTGCGGCAGGTTGGGGGTGGATCAGTGACTCCTCTTCAGCTACTGTCATTACGTGTTCAGCTGGCCACTGCTGTCACTGTCATACTCCCAACTCGGACACCCCTGCTCAGAGGAAAGCTGGGTACCTGGGTCCCACTCACCAAAATGGGCTTTCTCTCTCCAAAGACAGGTACCCTTCCAAAGGTTAAGAAGCCCAAGAGTTTATTTGGAATAATTTTATTGTTTTAATGTTATGTTAAAAATCTAAATTATGTAAGAACACTCTCTTTCCTATTCACAACCAAAACTTTTTTTTTTTTTTAGAGACAGAGTCTCACACTGTCACCCAGGCTGGAGTGCAGTGGTATGACCTCAGCTCACTGCAACCTCTGCCTCTTGGGTTCAAGTGATTCTCCTACCTCAGCCTCTCTAGTAGCTGGGATTACAGGCATGCGCCACCATGCCCAGCTAATTTTTGTTATTTTTAGTACAGATGGGATTTCACCATGTTGAGCAGGCTGGTCTTGAACTCCTGACCTCAAGTGATCAACCCACCTCGACCTCCCAAAGTGCTGGGATTACAGGCGTGAGCCACTACATCCGGCCCATAACCAAAACTTAATGCCATGCAGCACATATTAGTAGTATTCAACTCAGGTAAAGAAAAGTCTATTTCTGTAGGACACACACTTAACAAGTGAAATGCTGGGAGCAATTTAACTAAGACTTCACCAGTTCTTTAAACAGAAAGAAAAGACTCATGCACATGGTCTTTTAAGATTTACAATTTTTATTTTTTCTACAAAATCATGGTAGCAAACCAATTATTTATAACTATTTACCTTAAAATTAAAGCTTTCTTTTGGGAATTTTTTTTCTTTTTTTCAAGATGGAGTCTTGCTCTGTCACCCAGGCTGGAGTGCAGTGGTGCAATCTCAACTCCCTGCAACCTCCACCTCCCAGGTTCAAGTAATTCTCCGGCCTCAGCCTCCCAAGTAGCTAGGATTACAGGTGCATGCCACCATGCCCAGCTAATTTTTTGTATTTTTAGTAGAGACAAGTTTCACCATGTTGGTCAGGCTGGTCTCCAACTCCTGACCTCATGGTCCACCTGCCTCAGCCTCCCAAAGTGCTGGGATTACAGGCGTGAGCCACCGTGCCTGACCCAGGGAATTTTTTAAATCAGTTTTCGTGTAACTAATTTTCTACCACTCAAATTCATAAATTCATTTAGCAAAATATCAAAATTTTCAAGATTTCTACAAATGACAATTTTAAGTAAAATAATATGTTTTGGTAGTTAATCAAAATGATAGCTGACACCTAAAATGGAATTTGGGGAAGATACAGAAAAATAATTCTGAGAGGAGAGGCCATAAGGCAGCTGGTATTGGTAGCCTTTGTAGAAAGGCAACATTTAGCTGCATTATAATTATAGACCGGGCTGGGTGTGGTGGCTCACACCTGTAATCCCAGTACTTTGGGAGGCCAAGATGGGCAGACTGCTTGAGTCCAGGAGCTCAAGACCAGCCTGGACAACATGGCAACACCCCGTTCCTACAAAAAACGGTACAAAAAAATAGCCAGGTGTGGTAGCATGCTCCTGTAGTCCCAACTACTTGGGTGGCTGGGGCTGGAGGGTCGCTTTAGCCTGTGAGGTGGAGGCTGCAGTGAGCCATGCTCCAGCCTGGGTGACAGAGTGAGACCTTGCCTCAAAAAAAAAAAAAACAAAAAACAAGCAATCAAACGCACACATAATTATAGACTGGAATATCTGGTAAAACACTAAGTAACTTTCAAAAGAAGGCAAAGAGAAGATAACGTTTTATATCATTTAAAAGTAGTATTTCCCTTTGACTACCGAGCATAGAAAGTGGTCCTTGAGGCTGGGCACGGTGGCTCACGCCTGTAATCCCAGCACTTTGGGAGGCTGAGGTGGGCAGATCACCTGAAGTCAGGAGTTCGAGCTCAGCCTGGCCAACATGGTGAAACCCTGTCTCTA
The DNA here is from genome assembly GCF_000001405.40 of Homo sapiens. Taxonomy (NCBI): domain Eukaryota; kingdom Metazoa; phylum Chordata; class Mammalia; order Primates; family Hominidae; genus Homo; species Homo sapiens. Next base: position 76,354,347 of record NC_000007.14, read on the forward strand.
TCAAAACTACAAAAATTCACTGGGCGTGGTGGTGGGTGCCTGTAATCCCAGCTACTTGGGAGGCTGAGGCAGGAGAATCACTTGAACCTGGGAGGCAGAGGTTGCGGTGAGCCGAGATACCACACCACTGCCCACTGCACTCCAGCCTGGGTGACAGAGCAAGACTCCGTCTCAAAAAAATTAAAATAAAATACAATAAAATAAAATAAGGTTAGGACTGCTGATATTGGGAATGGGCAAAGAAGGGAAAAGTAACTACTTTTCCCATCCAGCTCCTGACAGCCACAATGTACTGAATGTCTTGTGCTGGCGTCCCATCAGTTAAGAGCCTCATGCTGCAGGAGCTCCCCAGTCTCAACCCTGCATCCTACTCATTAGGAAACCACTACCACACAGGCGGCAAATCACTGATAATAAAGCCAGCCTTAGGGCTGAAAACGAGTCACTAGAACACCAGCAAAATTTCCATAATCCCCAAAGAGTTAACGATTTGCTCAGATTTCAAGTAAATTGTTCTTATTTATTTGGGTGAACATTATACAGTGTTCAAGTTCCATAACTTTTTAAGTGGAAATACAGTACAAACGTAGCTAAAGCTAATTCCCTTTTTTCAGTTCAGACGCTTGGAAATGAAGACAAAGGGATAGACAATTATCGCTGGCTGTGAGCTGTTGTGGGCACTCCATTATCGACACATTCCTGAATAGGTGCTGAATTCCAGCCAGCTGTAGTCCAGACCGGCATCACTTTTTAAAAATAACCACTTTCTCTCTTCTTCAACATAGGTGATGGCTGCACAACACGGAATGTACCCAATGCCACTCAATTGCACTTGAAATCTGATGTGACTATGTGACAGTTATGTTACGCAACTTTTACCTCGATAAAAACACATCGTTTTCTCCACTCTTTTCAATAATTTAAAGATTGGCTTAATAAATAAGGCTTCCCTGAGTACAAGAGATGAAATCCTACTCTTAGGTTTGCAGTTAATCCAGGACTGCAATGAGGATGAACATTTAGCGCCATGTTGAATCTCAGTAGAATTCAAAAAACACATAGATTTCCAAAATAATCAGAAAAAGCACTTAATATCTGCTTCAGTTACTGGGAAGGCTAACACATGAAAGGCAAGCTGTATGATCTGTATTCTTTCCACGCCCAAGAAGAGAACAATTCAAGCCACATGACTTAGAATAATGGTTGGCAGAACTCCACCTCTGAAGAGTCTACAGAGGTACCATTACTCCATTAGTGATAATAGCTATTGATCTCCTGGAAGAGCCTGGGGGGGAGGGGGAATGGAATATTTAAGATAGAAAGAATTTGAAAGTCTATTGATCCCACTAGGAATATTTAGAAAAATTATGATAGCCTTTTGCCACCTTTGCCCTCCCACCCCTCATTGAGTTAAACTGCTTAACTCAGTAACTTCAACAAAATTAGTAACCCTGAACCTTTTCTCCCCAAGGCAAGTACCAGTAGCCTATTTAAAATATTAACTTCTCAAGAGACTAGTAAAAGTCAAAGGACAAGACAGTATTGTCTAATACGTAGGATACATCTAGGTGTTCACTCTCCTTCAATACAAGACTAAACATCTGTCTTAAAAGACCTAACATTCCTCTTTCCTTCTTTTCAAAATACTGCACAATACAGTACTTCTGTCCTGGTTACCCACAAAGAACTATCATTCTGCACAGATCCCAATAGTGTTAGCACTAGGATAATTTCATTAAACTCAAATAAATTTTAATCCCTTTATCAACAGGATGATTTCGGCCTTAAAAGAGAGCTCACTTGAGTGGTAAGATTGGTTTCTTTCTCTGCAGTTTCCAAATTCTCCACGATGACTTTTATAAACAGGAAGAAAATTTCTTAGGTAGTTGCCATTTTGGAACACCTACTACATTTCTTATTGAATCCGCACAACTTTTTCAAGTATTGTCCCATTTTACAGATGAGGAAAATGAGGGACAGAGCCTATTTCCTTAAAGTCACAGGAAACAGATTTGAAAAAAGGTTTTTATTTTACAAACTGTTCTTTCCTCTATACTGTGAAGGAGCAGAAGCACAAATCTAGTAAAAAACAAACTTCCCAAATCTCAACTTAAAAGGTTTTGGAACGGGTTTTCATTCCCTACTAGTAACTGAAAATGACTCAGTAGGAAGTCATCATTTTTTTAAGGTTTTTATTAAAACCTGCCAAATTAATTATCTGCAATAAACACAAGTATACATCCCATCTGTGCACTAGTGTCATAAACTATATTCTTGTTTAAAATTTCTTTTATTCCATAAATTATCGTTTAAAATTTCTACTTTTATTCCATCATTGCCCAGTATTTTAAATAAATGAGATGAATGTTTAAAAATATAAAAAAGCATCTTATAAACTTTTGTGAGAAAGCTAGCAATAGGGTGAACAAGGCCTAGCTAGAGGTCACAGATTTGCATGTCTAAGGGTAAATGATATCCTTATTTTTTGGACTAATTCTCATCTAGTGGAATATGAAGTGCTCGATTCCACCTGGCTTATCGGCTAATTTCTGCATTACCTTGGATAAATGCCATTTGCACACTCCCTACCAGCCCTTAGGTGCATTGCAGCCTCTGTGTCATTGTGTGTGACATCACTTGGTTGCTATGGATATAGGTGCGAGGTCACTCGCTTTCCTGTGGAACTAGAAATATGGAAAAGAAATATGGAAAAATTATAAGAGTCTAAATAACACGAACTGAAGATATTTCCAATACTGATACCTATTAGAAGTGCAACTTACATCATTTAAGCATTAAAACCTTGTAAGACAGCAACTGTGGCCACAGCAGTATTCCGAATTTCAGAATCAGTTCTCTTCAATAAGACAAAAACCTTTCTTTGTTAACATAGCTGCTTTAAATATAAAGGTATCAGCATTGTCCTCTTTTGAGAACCAGTAAATTTATTCAAGAATTGATCTGTAATATCAATAATGCTTCATTTAAAAGATGTAACACGCAAGGTACACTCCAGCATCCACTTCACAATGGAGATGAATTTGAAAATCTTTGTTACATAAGGCAGGAAATTAAATATTAAGATAGTGGGGGCCCGAAATCATTAGATTAATTTTCTACCTTTCATTTCATAATGCTCAATACTTCCCCCTCCTCTAATATCAAACTGGTTGACAGCCCATTAGATAAATGTGGTGTTACTGACAAAATGGTGCAATACAGGGATGAATCTGCAACCCAGACAAAATGCGACAACTGGCGATCGGTATTCTCTTTTCATCAGCATGAAGATGTACTCGCTTAAACAAAAAAAAGCCTCAGATGCATCTAACAACCAAAAATTTTTAAAAAGACTTTTTCCCCTTTAAAATAACTCCTCCCAGCCTCCACCCAGTCTAGGCTCTCTGCAATATGACAAATGCAGAATCTTCTGGAATGACTTGATACTGCCTCTCACCACGGCTTTGTTTGCACTATCAGATCAGACAGAATATTTTTTCCCCCAACTTATAGGAATTTCAACAGACGCGTGCCTGTATTCAAAAAAGAAACGGCATATGTCACACGAATCGAACCAGTCAGCTACATTCACCACCTTTTAATTTTACAGGCAATACCTACCCTTTTCAATACAAAAACATTAGGGAATAAAATGGAGATGACATGTTGAGAATGATCAATGAAAACGCTAGCGAGACAAACGTTCTCCCTTCCTAAAAGCCGGAGGACTTGCTTTGGGCGAATGGAGAAAGAAGAGCCTTTTGTTAAGAAAAACGTGAGCAAGGTGGTTTCGATTTTGCACCACGGAGCTCAGGTTTTCAAGAGACCCTATACAATGTTTCTGGGAAGATTCTCAGGGATGTGTCGGGACAGACAGTGGGGAAGATTCTGGGGGGGCTGGGGAGGTGGAAAACCGGGAGACCTGCTGAGTGAATGGGAAAGGCGCCGCCCAGACACCAGGGAGAGAAAGAGGAACCGCATCCATGCGGTCCCCCGCCCCCACGCCCAGGCTAGGAGGAGGGGGGAAGTGGGGCACAAAGGATGCGCACGCCTCCCCGCTCGGGTCCCCTGCACCCCTAGAGCCGCGGGGGCCGGAGACCCCGCTCCCAAGTCCAGCCCCGCGGGACCTCGCCCCGGCCCGCGCCCGCGCCGGGCCTGAATGGCAGCGCCGCGGGGCCACGGGGACTCCGAAAAGAGGCCGCGTCACAGCCCGGGTTCCCGTCGCCTCTCGGGACCCTCCCCAGCCCCCCTCAGTGAGCGAGACGGGGCGGTCAACCCGCCATCGCGACAGGGCGACGAAGCCCCGGGCCTTCCACGCCAAGGACCGCGTCTTCGGAGGGGCAGGGAGCGGCGGGGGAGGGGAGGAGACACTCACGTTCTTCATGGCCGCGGCCATGTCGTCGTAGCGCTCCGCCTGCTCGGCCAGCCGGGCTTTCTGCACCAGTTGCTCGCGGTCCACCATCTTCGCGGGGCTGGGTCTGGCCGGAGAAGGAGGAGGACACTGGGGCGGCCTGAAGGGCTTGGAGGGCGCGACTGGAGCCCAAGTGCCGGAGAGGACCGACCCACAGAGCGAGCAGCTGAGGCGGCGGCTGCGCGGAGGAGGCGGCTGGAGCTGCGACCGCGGGACCGGGCGCGAGGCGGCTGCGGCTGCTGTGCGTGCCACTGACGGACAACCCCCTGCGGCCCCGCCCACGCCGCATGACGAAGGCAGGCCCCGCCCACCCGTCCGCAAGCCCCGCCCATGCCCCGCCCGAGCCCGGCCGCGGCTAGAACTCCCCGCTCCCCAGCTGGGCTCACTGCGCGTCTTCCGGGCACCCCGTCCTTTCCCACTGCGCCCCCACTCTCCCCTTTTTTCACTTCACTCCCCAGTTCCCTCACCCCAGCTTCTCCAGTCGCCCCCTTACGCCTCCCCCTTGAGCCTCCCGCCCCGCCAGCCCTCGGACGCATGGGCCCCTGGGAGTTGTAGTGTAACCTGCAGTGCACTGAGGCGCTGAGGAGACCAAGGACAAAGGGGCGGTCAAGACTACAACTCCCAGCGGACATAGCGCGCAGGCGCAGGAGGACGGGGGGGGGTGCTTCGAATCCCGAGGCCGCTGGGGACCCCTGGCGGGGATCAGGGCTGCATCAGTCCCTGCGAGTGCTGATTCACCGCCCCGCCCCATATTCTCCGGGAAATTACGAGAGGAGGGGGCAGGGGCCTCAGTCCTAGACCCTGTTTCCGAGATCACGTAGCAGGTCGTGGTGGGGGAAGGACAGGAGGCGCGTCCATTGTAGATCCAGACTCTCAGTGTGGTGCCTGCCCGCGGGATGGCCGAATTAAGGGGCCAGACCCTGGGGACTGTCACCTCCACCCCCTACGAGCTTCCATTAAACCCCCCACCCCACCTTGAGGCTCTTGGGCCTGAATAGGTGAAAACATGGACGAACGACAAATACCGGCTGGCCACAGTGGTTGATTTCCAGAAAGGATGCAGCTGTCTGCTGGCTGACCCTGGAGAACCCCTTCTTCCTCTCCAGGGTGGAGTGCTAAAGATTGAGTTCAGCTACCAGGAGCCTACTCCACATCTAACTGGGCTGCGTCTAGGGCTTGGTTGTCCAGCCCTTCTCTCCCCTCCTAAGACATACATACCTACTGAGGTCACGCTGATATATTCTCGTTCATATTATTCCACATAGCTTGCAGATAGCATGGGTTTTTTTGCTTTGTTTTGCTTTTTTGTAGAGACGGGGGTCTAGCTTTGTTGCCCATGCTGGTCTCGAACTCCTGGGCTCAAGCGATCCTCACGCCTCGGCCTCCCAAGGTGCTGGGATTACAGATGTGAGCCACCATGCCTGCAGGCCTGATAGTTTTGACTGCACATTTTATTTACTTTATGTATTCAACAATTATCTATGAGAAGCTACTGTGTTCCAAGCCCTATTCTAAGCCACGAGGTACAGTAGTGAACAAAACAGACAAAAATCCCTGCCCAAGAAAATAGGTGAGATATGTACAGTATGCTAGAAGTCAGTAAGGAGTGAGTTTTGAGGTTGCAGTGAGCTGAGATTGCGCCACTGCACTCCAGTCTGGCGACAGAGCAAGACTCCGTTTCAAAAACAAATAATAAAATAAAAAGTTTTTTAAAGGCTGGGCACGGTGACTCACACCTGTAATCCCAGCACTTTGGGAGACCGAGGCGGGCGGATGACAAGGTCAGGAGATCGAGACCATCCTGGCCAACATGGTGAAACCCTGTCTCTACAAAAAATACAAAAGAACTAGCTGGGCGTGGTGGTGCCCACCTGTTATCCCAGCTACTCGGGAGGCTGAGGCAGGAGAATCACTTGAACCCGGGAGTCGGAGGTTGCAGTGAGCTGAGATCCCTCTACTGCACTCCAGCATGGGTGACAGAGCGAGACTCCGTCTCGAAAAAAAAAAAGAAGTGAGCTTTGGCCTGGCACGGTGACTCACACCTGTAATCCCAACACTTTGGGAGGCCGAAGCGGGTGGATCATCTGAGGTCAGGAGTTCGAGACCAGCCTGGCTAACGTAGCAAAACCCCATCTCAACTAAAAATACAAAAATTAGCTGGGTGTGGTGGTGGGCACCTGTAATCCCAGCTACTTGGGAGGCTGAGGCAGGAGAATTGCTTGAACCTGGGAGGTGGAGGTTGCAGTGAGCCGAGATCGTTTCATTGCACTTCAGCCTGGGCAACAAGAGCGAAACTCCATATCAAAAAACAAAACAAAAAAAAAGTGAGCTTTGCAGACTCTGCTGCTGCCAGGAGTACTCTACTACTGGCCATGGTCAATCCCACCGTGTTCTTTGACATTACTATTGAGCCCTTGGGCTGCGTCTCCTTCAAGGTTAGGGGCATGGAAACCAAGAAGCCAAGTGACCTCTCCGGAGCTTGCAGTGAGCCGAGATTGTGCCAGTGCACTCCAGCCTGGGAGACAGAAAAAGACTCCGTCTCAAAAAAAAAAAAAAAAAAAGAAGTGACCTCTCATCTAAACTGTAAAGCCATGTTAACATATCGGAGCTGTTAGCAGACAGTGTTGTAAAGACAGCAGAAAACTTTCGTTCTCTGAGCACTGGAGAGAAAGGATTTGGTTATAAGGGTTCCTACTCTCTCTTTTTTTTTCTTTTCTTTTTCTTTTTTTTTTTTTGAGACAGAGTCTCGCTCTGTAGCCCAGGCTGGAGTGCAGTGGTGCAGTCTTGGCTCACTGCAACCTCTGCCTCCCGGGTTCAAGCGATTCTCCTGCCTCAGCCTTCTAAGTAGCTGGGATTACAGGCGCGCACCACCACGCCCAGCTAATTTTTGTATTTTTAGTAGAGACGGTGTTTCACCATGTTAGGCTGGTCTCGAACTCCTGACCTCATGATCCATCCGCCTCAGCCTCCCAAAGTGCTGGGATTACAGGTGTGAGCCATTACGCCCGGCAAGGGTTCCTACTTTCACAGAATTACTCCAGGGATTATGTGTCAGGGTGGTAACTTTACACACCATAATGGCACTGGTGGCAAGTCCATCTATGGGGAGAAATTCGATGAAGAGAACCTCATCCTGAAGCATACAGATCCTGGCATCTTGCCCATGGCAGATGTTGGACCCAACACAAATGCTTCCCAGTTTTTCATCTGCACTGCCAAGACTAAGTGGTTAGATGGCCAGCATGGAGGTCTTTGGCAAGGTGAAAGCGAGCATGAATATTGTGGAGGCCATGGAGCGCTACGAGTCCAGGAATGGCAAGACCAGCAAGAAGATCACCATTGCTATGGCCGGGCGCGGTGGCTCACGCCTGTAACCTTAGCACTTTAGGAGGCCGAGGTGGGCAGATCACTTGAGGTCAGGAGTTCGAGACCAGCCTGGCCAACATGGTGAAACCCCTGTCTCTACTAAAAATACAAAAATTAGCTGGGCGTGGTGGTAGGTGCCTGTAGTCCCAGCTACTCCAGAGGCTGACGCAGGAGAATCGCTGGAACCTGGGAGGCAGAGGTTGCAGTGAGCTGAGATTGCACCATTGCACTCCAGCTTGGGCAAAAAGAGTGAAACTCCCTCTAAAAAATAAATAAATAAATAAAATAAAATCACCATTGCTGACTGTGGACAACTCTAGTAAATTTGACTTGTGTTTTATCTTAACCACCAGACCATTCCTTCAGTAGCTCAGGAGAGCACCTATCCATCCACCCCATTTGCTCCCAGTATCCTATCATCTTTGTGTTCTTGCTACAGTTCCCTTTGAGTCCCATGATTTTCTTATTCCCTTCCATGTCTGGGTGGATTGCAGAGTTAAGTTTGTGACTATGAAATAAAAACTAAATAACAACAAAAAAATCAATAAGAAGTGAAAAATAAAATAGGAAACATGAAGTGTGGATGAGAATGTGGAATGAAAGAGTTTCCATGGGGGAATATTGCAGGCTCTATGCCAGATGCTGGAGGACCCCTGTCCTCAAGGAATTCAGAGTGTGTTAAGCACTGTAAATATTTTGTTTAAAAAATAACTTCTTTCAGGCTGCATAGGAAGAGATTCTGAAAAGCTTCTCCAGGGAGTTTGGTAACATTTCCAACCCAGCCTTTAAATGAGTGTAGGATTTGAGAGCAGGCAAAGGCACAGGTAGCAAGACTCAAAGGCAAGTTCCTCCCTGACTTATTTATTTATGTACTTATTTTTTAGAGGTGGGGGTCTCACTATGTTGCCCAGGCTGGGGTACAGTGGCACGATCATAGCTCACTGCAGCCTCTAATTCCTGGGCTCAAGTGATCCTCCCACCTCAGCCTCCTGAGTAGTGGGGACTACAGGCATGCACCACCACACCCATCTCCCCTGAAATATTTATTGATAGGCAAAGAATCTGATGTATCTGGTGTCTGGGTGATGGGTAAGGGGCTGGGGATAGAGTCAGGGGCCAGAACATGAGGGGCACTGAATGGCAGCCCCAGGAGTTAAATTTCTATTCTGAAATTAATCGGAAGCCTGTGAAGAGATTTTAACAATGGCAGAAAATGATCAGATTTGGGTTTTGTCTTTTTCATCCTCACCTTGGCTTCTCAGTGCTCAGCAGAGTACCTGGCACATGATAAGTACATAGAGAGAGAATAGGAAATAAATAAATGAATATGGCCAGGTGCACTGGCTTACGCCGGTAATACCAGCAGTTTGGGAGGCCGAGGTGGGCTCATCACCTGAGGTCAGGAGTTTGAGACCAGCCTGGCCAACATGGTGAAATGCTGTCTCTACTAAAAATACAAAAATTAGCCAAGCGTGGTGGCGTGTGCCTGTAGTTTCAGCTACTCGGGAGGCTGAGGCAGGAGAATCGCTTGAACCCAGGAGGTGGAGGTTGCAGTGAGCCAAGATTGTGCCATTGCACTCCAGCCTGGGCGACAGAGTGAGACTGTGTCTCAAAAAAGAAAAAAAAAAGAAAGAAAAACAAGAAATGAATGTAGCTGTAGTCCTAGCTACTCAGGAGGCCAAGGCAGGAGGATTACTTGAGGCCAAGAGTTCGAGACTAGCCTGGGCAACATAGCAAGACCTCATTTCTACAAAAAAAAAAAATTTAAAAATTAGCTGGGCATGGTCATCACAGCTATTTGGGGGCTGAGGCAGGAAGATTGCTTGAGCCCAGGAGTTGGAGGCTGCAGTGAGCAGTGATCACGCCACTGCACTCCAGCCTGGGCAACAGAGCAAGACCCTGTCTCTAAAAGAAAGAAAGAAAGAAAGAAATGAATGAGGGAAGAAAGTGTGCTTTGGGGAGACTGTACCGGCAGGAGGTGGAGGAGATGGACTGAGTGGGGAGAGAGTCTAGAAATAGTTTTCTCCCCCTCCTCCAACAAAAGATCTGGCCCGGACCCTCTTCTCTTACCACACCACCCAGCAAAATGCGATCCTGCTGGTGAATAAACCCTCCCACTTCCTTCTGTCTCTTGCATGAGTGTTCGCCAAGTCATTCCTCTTCCTTTCTCTTCCTCCCTGCAGGGCAGGCCTGAGCTCTTCTGGCCCCTGCATCACTAGTCCGTGGGAATGAGCCCTGACCGCCAACCTGGGTTGCCCACATGTGGCTCAAACAGGTCCATGATTCAAGACCAGATGTGAAATCTCAGGAACTTCCTGGCCCATTTCAGGCTACCTCTCTGACCTCTCCACCTCAGTTCCTTCCCCCAACAGTCTAATGCACAAAGGGGAAAAAAAAAAAAAAAAAACAGCTCAGGCCAAATCTGTTTGGGAAAAAGTAAAATAAAGCAGATGCAAAGAAAAGGATGTTTCACAGCCAAACAGAAATGACATCCGCAGCCTCCACACGGAGCCTCCCCTCCAGTGGTGCAGGGGAGAGTTGGCCCTGTCTTCCTTTCCCTTCTGATTTTGCAGAGCTCTATGCTTCCAGCTGCAGCTGCCCACAGGTCCTGGCTGTTTAGAGGGCGGCTTAAGAGGCATGACGACATCACAAAGAGCAAATGGCTTCAGATCCTGGCTTCCTCCTCCACTGCCTGGTGGTGCAGAAAGAAACCTGGAGCAAGGACGTTAAGAGCTAGCATTCTGGCTTCTGCCTGGCCCCTAGCTCTGCGGGCAAGACCTGTCCCTTCTCTGGGTCTAATATCCCCACCTTGAAAATGTGAGATTAAACTGAAGGAGCACTAAGTGCCCCACCCAGCTGTGATGAGTCATAGTTCTAGATTCAGCATGTTCTTCTGAAATGGAAGCTACTGGCATTCTTTTTTTTTTTTTCTTCTTTTCTTTTTTTTTTTTCTTTTTCTTCTCTTCCTTTTTTTTTCTTTTTTTTTTTGAGATGGAGTTTCGCTCTTGTTGCCCAGGCTAGAGTGCAACAGCACGATCTCAGCTTACCACAATCTCTGCCTCCCAGGTTCAAGCGATTCTCCTGCCTCAGCCTCCTGAGTAGCTGGGATTATGGGCATGCGCCACCATGCCCGGCTAATTTTTGTATTTTTAGTAGAGATGGGGTTTCTCCATGTTGGTCAGGCTGGTCTCGAACTCCTGATCTCAGGTGATCCGCCTGCCTCGGCCTCCCAAAGAGTTAGAGCTGGGATTACAGGCGTGAGCCACAGTGCACGGCCAGTTTTTTTTTTGTTTTTTGGTTTTTTTTTTGAGACAGAATCTTGCTCAGTTGCCCAGGCTGGAGTGCAGTGGCGCGATCTCAGCTCACTACAACCTCCGCCTCCCAAGTTCAAGTGATCTCCTGCCTCAGCCTCCTGAGTAGCTGGGATTACAGACATGTGCCACCACGCCCGGCTAATTTTTGTATTTTTAGTAGAGACAGGGTTTCACCATGTTGGCCGGGCTGATCTCGAACTCCTGACCTCAGGTGATCCACCTGCCTCGGCCTCCCAAAGTGCTGGGATTACAGGTGTGATCCACCGCGCCCAGCTTCACCCCTGTTTTTTAAGACAAGGAAGCAGAGACACAGAGAGGCTGTGTGATCAGCCAAAAATCACACAGCCTCTCCGTGTCTCAGCTAACAGAGCCTGGATTCAAACCCGGGCAGACCTCCTAGACTCTTAGCAGCAAAGGCATTGTTTCCTGTCCAGGATCTACCCTCCTTGGCATCTGCTCAGGAAAGGAGTGACCAACCTGACCGAAGGGCACCCTCCAGCCCCTTCTCCAGCACTGGAGGACATGACCTTTTAAATGCATGCTGTCCGGCTCGGTTGGCAGACATGCAGGACAGCCAGGGACATGATTGTCCTGCTGTTTCTGTGCAGTCATAAATCACCGCAGCCCCATCCCCTGGCTTCTGGCTTCCTCCTGTGGCTGGAAAGCTCCCTGATTAGTGCAGAGGCAGCAGCAGCATCTTCTGAAGCCAAGCAGCAATGCTCCCCGCCCTGTCCTCTGGGAACACTTCCCTGTCACTGCCTTAGCAGGCTGTCCTGCAGCAGAGGCAAAGAATGACAGGAAATCTCTGCAACCTGCCTCTCCTTCTGAGGATCTCAGGCCAGTGGAGGAGGCATGAGCCCAGGAGGCAGGACCCACAGGTTGAAGCACTGGCTTTGCCATTAATCTTCCTGAGTGACCTTGGGCAAATCACTTTGCCTCTCTGGTTCTCAGATTGTGCATCTATAAAATAGAGGAACCAGGTGGATGCGTCTTAAGATCTTCCAGTTTATAGCAACAGCTTTTCAGCTAATGGCCCTGTCTCAGTGTCTTTCCATTCTCCCCAGTGAAAAATCCAAAATATCTTTTTTTTTTCTTCTGAGACAGGGTCATGCTCTATCGCCCAGGCTGGACTAGCAGCCTCGACCTCCTAGGTTCAGATGATCCTCCCGCCTTAGCCTTCAGAGCAGCTGGGAATACAGGCTCACACCACCACGCCCAGTAGAAAAAAATTTTCTATTTTTTTTTTTTTTTTTTGTGGAGATAGGGTCTATGTTTAGTTGTCCAAGCTGGTCCCAAATTCCTGGGCTCAAGCAATCCTCCTGCCTCTACCTCCCAAAGTGCTGGGATTATACATATGAGTCACCACACCTGGGCAGTCTGGGCTTTTTCTTTTCTTTTTTTTTTTTCTTTTCTTTCTTTTTTTTTGAGACAGAGTTTTGCTCTTGTTGCCCAGGCTGGAGTGCAATGGCACAATCTCAGCTCACCGTAACCTCCACCTCCCAGGTTCAAGCGATTCTCTTGCCTCAGTCTCCTGAGTAGAAGAGATTGCAGGCATGTGCCACCACGCCCAGGTAATTTTGTATTTTTATTAGAGATGGGGTTTCTCCATGTTGGTCAGGCTGGTCTCGAACTCCCGACCTCAGGTGATCTGCCCGCCTCGGCCTCCTAAAGTTCTGGGATTACAGGTGTGAACCACTGCGCCTGACCCAGTCTGGGCTTTTTCAAAAGCTGTTCCTTGTGCTGAAAGCTCCTTCTATGCCCACCCCCATTAGACCCAGACCTCCTCATCCTTCAGACTCAGACACTGAGTTGAACTAACCACTCTCTCCTCAGTCCCCATGGGCTCTCCTGCCATGTTCTCTAGAGAAGAGCCCAGACCACCATATAGCACTCAGATGTATATGAGTCTGTCTTCCCTGGGGTCATATTCCTGAAAGACATAGACTCAGTCTGAGCCATCTCTGATCTCCAAGCCTAGCATGGAGCAGGTGCTCAGCGAAGTTGTGTTCAATGAAGGAGACTCTCTGCTTTAAGAAGGGAATCAGGGAAGGCACTGTGGCTCACACCTGCAACCCCATAACCCCAGCACTTTGGGAGGCTGAGGTGGGAGGATCACATGACCCCAGGAGTTGGAGGCTGCAGTGAGCTATGATGGCGCCACTGCACTCCAGCCTGGGCAACACAGTGAGACGCTATCTCAAAAAATTTTTAAAAAACAAAACAAAACAAAACAAAAACAATTTTTTAAAAGGAGACCAGGTGCAGTGCCTCATGCCTATAATCCCAGCACTTTGGGAGGCCAAGGCGGGTGGATAACTTGAAGTCAGGCATTCAAGACCATTCTGGCCAACATGATGAAACCCTGTCTCTACTAAAAATACAAAAATTAGCCAGACGTGGTGGTACACGTCTGTAATCCCAGCTACTTGGGGAGGCTGAGGTTGGAGAATTGCTGGAACCTGGGAGGCAAAGGTTGCAGTGAGCTGAAATCACGCCACTGTACTCCAGCCTGGGTGACAGAGCAAGACTCCTTTAAACAATAAAATAAAATTATCCCACCAAGGGAATGTGTGTCACCATGAAAAAAATGGGCCACTGTCTCAAAGAGACAAGTATGTTCAAGAGGGAGAAGAGCCTGGGCTGCAGTCTTCTCCCGAAACCCAGCTGTGTGAACTTAGGCCAAGTACTTTACCCATCTAGAGCTTGGGTTCCCCAACTGAATCTTAAAGAGAAATCTGTACCATGCCCTTTGAATCGAACTGTGAAATGAACAGCAGTATTCTTCGACTTCGTAGAAGAATCTGGAGTGTTTTGGTACTTGGAATACCAACAGAGGACAAATGACTTGTGGGGGACCCATAGTGGTGGGGATGATGGCAGCCTGTGGTTTTTCTTGTGTGTATGTGGGTGTGTGTGTGTGTGTGTGCGTGTGCACGCATGTGTATGTGTGTGTGCATATGTGTGTGTATTGCAACAGCGTCTCCCTTTGTCACTCAGGCTGGAGTGCAATGGTGTGATCATGGCTCACTGCAGCCCTCAACCTCCCAAGCTCAAGCGATCCTCCCACCTCAGCCTCCCAAGTAGCTGGGACTACAGGTGCACGCCACCACATCCAACTAATATTTTGATTTCTTTTTCAGAGACAATGTCTCTCTGTGTTGCCTAGGCTGGTCTCAAACTCCTGGCCTCAAGCAATCCTCACACCTCGGCCTCCCAAAGTAGTAGGATTACAGGTGTGAGCCACCACTGATGGCTGCTTTTGTTTTTAGAGGACTCCAAGTGGCAGAGAGCCCATCAATTTCAGCTCAGTTCAAGGAAGCGATTTCTCCATAAGCTGGAGCTCTCCAGCAATGGCAGGGGAGTCAGGGGACAGAGACCACTGCTCATGGGTAATGCTGAGCAGTGGTCCTCAGCCTAGCTGTGCATCACAGTCCCCCAACACTTTGAGGAAGCTGATCTAGAATACGGCCCCAGACCCCACCTAGACATAGTGGGTCAGAGTCTCCAGTGCTGAGAGGTCTGAGGATCTGTATGTTTTCAAATCTCTCTGGAGGGTTTGTGCACCACCAGTGGTCTGAAGGAGGCCAGCCTGGGTTGCCTGAAAAGGAAGGAAAACAGCCAGGAGGGGTCCCAGGAGCCGGCTGGAAGGGGTGCAGGAGCTGGCATTTTCTGATGTTGGCCATTCTGCCGAGTCAGCCCAGCACTAATGCTTCCAGAGTGCAAATCCCACTTGGTCATGTAATAGGAACACCAGTGCTGACGCAGCAGGCAGACAGGAGCCCAGGCTGCACCGGGGCAGGAGGTAGGCGCAGACATTCAGCCCCAACTCCTTGCTCTGAGCCTGGGGACAGGCAGGGGCAAAAGGTACCATCTCCACCTCCAGCTTCCAGCACAGTCAAGATGACTCAGAGGCGTGGACCCTGCAGTGCCTTCTAGGTTTCAGAGCCAGCCAGGTGCCCTTCCTGTCTTCCTGGAGTTTGGGATTGCTAAGTTGGAAAGGACTGTAGAGGGACTCTAGTTTGTCCAGGATGGAAATCCCTTATACAGCTCGCCATCTCCTTGTTCTCAGCCCTTCCTAGCACACCTCCAGCCACAGGCAATTTACCATTCCCCAAGGTCACCTCTCCACTGTGGGACAGCTCTCACGTTCCCAGAACCTTCTGCCCGTGCTTTCTTATTCTACCCTCTGGGGTTAAAAGACAAAAAATACGGGCCAGGCGCGGTGGCTCACGCCTGTAATCCCAGCACTTTGGGAGGCCAAGGCGGGAGCATTTCTTGAGCTCAGGAGTTCAAGACCAGCCTGGGAAACATGGTGAAACCCCATCTCTACCAAAAATACAAAAAGTTAGCTGGGTGTGATGGTGCACGACTGTGGTCTCAGCTACTTGGGAGGCTGGGGTAGGAGGATGGCTTGAGCCTGGGAGGCAGAGGTTGCAGTGAGCTGAGATCATGCCACTCCACTCCAGCCTGGGTGACAGAGTGAGACTCCATCTAAAAAAAAAAAAGAAAAGAAAAAGGATAACTTTCCTTCTCCCTAACAACTTTTTAAATTAAAAAAAAATTTTTTTTAACTTGTAGTAGAGGCGAGATCTGACTATGTTGTCCAGGCTTAAGTGCAGTGGTGGGATCATAGCTCACTGCAGCCTCCAACTCCTGGGCTCAAGTGATCCTCCCACCTCAGCCTCCTGAGTAGCTGGGACTACAGGCACCACCATGACCAGCTAACTTGTTTTGTGTAGGGATGAGGATCTTGCTATGTTGCCCAGACTGGTCTCAAACTCCTGGCCTCAAGTGATCCTCCCCACCTTCGCCTCCCAAAGTGCTGGAATTAAAGGTGTGAGCCTCCACTCCCAGCTTCCAGAAGCTTTTTTTTCTTTTTTTTTTTTTTTTGAGACAGAGTTTCGCTCTGTTGCCAGGCTGGAGTGCAGTGGTGCAATCTCAGGTCACTGCAACCTCCGCCTCTCAGATTCAAGCGATTCTCCTGCCTCAGCCTCCCGAGTAGCTGGGGACTACAAGCGCACACCACCACGCCCAGGTAATTTTTGTATTTTTAGTAGAGATGGGGTTTCACCACGTTGGCCAGGATAGTCTCGATCTCCCGACCTCGTGATCTGCCCACCTCGGCCTCCCAAAGTGCCGGGATTACAGGCATGAGCCACCACGCCCAGCCCAGCAGCTGTTAAAGATGACACCAAACACAAAAATTAGCCAGGCGTGGTGGCACGCACCTGTAGTCCCAGCTACTCGGGAGGTTGAGGCAGGAGAATCTCTTGAACCAGGGAGGCAAAGGTTGCAGTGAGCCGAGATCGCACCACTGCACTCCAGCCTGGGTGCCAGATCGAGACTCCACATCAATCAATCAATCAATAATGACACCAGAATGTGTGAAGCCCTTTTGTCCCCACATTGGACACTCTCCAGGAGTGGAGAGTAGGTTTTCACCACGTGCTTCTCTCCATCCATAACGCCTGCTGTGCGATGGAAATGGAAAGATGACCAACGACATCAGTGGCCACGACATGGGGTGCTAAGCTCTCGACACCACCCCCTTTGAGAAATATGAGCCCAGAGTATTACGTAAGGCCAAAGAGCACCTTAGGTCAAGTGAAGGTTTGGCCTCCAGCCCCAGGGTAGCACGATCTCGGCTCGCTGCAACCTCTGCCTCCCGGGTTCAAGCAATTCTCCTGCCTCAGCCTCCTGAGTAGCTGGGATTACAGGTGCCCACCACCATGCCTGGCTAATTTTGTATCTTTAGTAGAGATGGCGTTTCACCATGTTGGTCAGGCTGGTCTTGAACTCTTGACCTCAGGTCATCTGCCCGCCCTGGGCTCCCAAAGTGCTGGGATTACAGGTGTGAGCCACCGTGCTTGGCCAACTGGATTTATGTCTAACCCCGTCTATCAGAGGATGCAGAGGAAGGTAGGTAGGTGAGGGAGGGCACAGAGGGAAGAAGCGAATGACCTGCCCCCTCATGGGAATGAGAAGGAGTGTGGTCTCTGCAAGAGACAGGGTGGGTCAAAGTCAAGGCCCCACTGGAGAAGTTGGAGGGAGCGCAGTTGCCAGGTGGACTGCCCAAGACTGCGGCCATCCATGCTGGATTCAGGAGCCAGGACAGCAAATAGAACCCTAGGGGCCTGGTTCCAACAATGACTTGCTAAATAACCTTAAAGCAATCACTTCTCTTCTGTGGATCTCTGTCTCTCCTTTGCTAAATGAGGAACCAATGATCCATCAGCTCAAAACAAGACACTTGGGTTAATATGAAAACCTTTACATTTTCTTGCCTTTGCCAAAGTTATCTGAACTCCAGCTATCCTGTGCAGATCAGAAGTGCTCAATGATGATGGCTCACGCCTGTAATCCCGGCACTTTGGGAGGCCGAGTCAGATGGATCACTTGAGGTCAGGAATTCGAGACCAGCCTGGCCAACACGGTGAAACCTCGTCTCTACTAAAAAAAAAAAAAAAAAAAAAATGGGCCAGTCACTGTGGCTCACACCTGTAATCCCAGCACTTTGAGAGGCCAAGGTGGGCGGATGACCTGAGGTCGGGAGTTTGAGACCAGCCTGACTGACATGGAGAAACTCCATCTCTACTAAAAACCCAAAATTAGCCAGGTATGGTAACACATGCCTATAATCCCAGCTACTCGGGAGGCTCAGGCAGGAGAATCACTTGAACCTGGGAGGCAGAGGTTGAGGTGAGCAGAGTTGGCGCCATTGCATTCCAGCCTGGCTAACAAGAGTGAAACTCTGTCTCAGAAAAACAAACAAACAAGCAAAAATTAGCCGGGCATGCATCTGTAATCCCAGCTACTCGGGAGGCTGAGGCTTGAACCCTGGAGGCAGAGGTTGCAGTGAGCCAAGATTGTGCCACTACACTCCAGCGTGGGTGACAGAGCCAGACTCCATCTCAAAAAAAAAAAAGTTAAGAAGTGCTCAATGAGCCATGCACGGTGGCATGTGCCTGTAGTCCCAGGTATCTGGGAAGCCGAGGTGGGAAGATCGCTTGAGGTTGGGAGTTCAAGACCAGCCTGGGTAACATGCTAAGACCCCATTTCATAGAAAGAGAAAATGCATACATACATAAAGAGGGCACGATGGCATCATGAGGATTTCCTAGGTTCTGGGGCTGTGGGAGGGCAAGATAAACAAAAGGTCCTGAGAAGCAAAACCTGAAGATGGACTAGCTGTTGACCTTCATTTCTTTTCTTTACTTTTTCTTTTTTTTTTTTTGAGACAGAATCTTGCTCTGTCGCCCAGGCTGGAGTGCAGTGGTGTGATCTGGGCTCACTGCAACCTCTGCCTCCGTCTCAAAAAAAAAAAAAAAAAAAAAAGATTTGGAGCCCCAGCTGGGCACAGTGGCTCACACCTATAACCCCAACACTACAGGAGGCCAAGATGGGAAGATCTCTTGAGTCCAGGAGTTGGAGACCAGCCTGGGCAACAGAGTGAGACCCCGTGTGTATAAAATAAAAAATTCAAAAAATTAGCCGAGTGTGGTGAGCCACACTTGTAATCCCAGCTGCTCAGGAGGCTAAGGCAGGGGGATTGCTTGAGCCTGGGAATTGGAGGCTGCAGTGAGCTATGATTGCACCACTGCACTCCGGCCTGGGTGACAGAGCAAGACCCAATCTCTTAAGGAAAAAAAGGAAAAAAGATTTCAAAACAACTGTTTTGAACAGTAAATTAATGGTCAGATGAAGGAGGGAGGAGCTGATACTGGTGGTGGCTGCGGGCAATAGGAAGGCTTCATTAGGCTGGGAGATGCCTGGGACGGTTTAATTGCAGGAGCCTAGAAGAGAGTGAGGCTGGAGGGTTAGGGGGTGGAGGTGGGAGGGACAGGTGGATAACTGGAAACGGGGAGATCTGGAGCACTCAGGGAGGTTCCACTGAAGTGGGAGGCGAGTGAATGGACTTCTGAGCAGAGAGCAGACAGGTCCCTGGGAACCTGTTTCTCTGAGAAGTGTTTCTCTGAAGTCATCTGCTGAGTCATGGAGGAGGATAGGAGGAGGCTGGAGAACAGGCTGAAGGTTTCCAGGAGCCTCTGGAGAGGGTGGGGAGGACGCTGGGGAAGGACTGGCCGTTGGAGTACCAGCTGGGCCTGGAGACCAGACCCTGAGGGCCCCCCATCTGTGGTTTTCTCCAGGGCCCTCAGCAGCCTGGGCTAGGAGCTGAGAAAGCCAAGGTCAGACCACCCACAGCAAGCAGTGGCCCACTGCGGCCATGAGACTGGGGGATAAGGAGTTCAATATACCGAAGAAGTGAGTGCTCAGATTGGCCAAGGTGGAGAAAGGAAAGAAGGAGGCAGTCAGGGGCTGGAGGCCTGGGGTACCCTGAAGAATAGGTAGAGGGGGACAATGGAGTAGAGGTGCCAGAGCATCAAGAGAGTAGAGTGGCTGGGCACGGTGGTTCACGCCTGTAATTCCAGCACTTTGGGAGGCCAAGGTGGGCAGATCACGAGGTCAAGAGATTGAGGCCATCCTGGCCAACATGGTGAAACCTGGTCTATACTAAAAATACAAAAATTAGCTGGGCATGGTGGCACACACCTGTAGTCCCAGCTACTAGGGAGGCTGAGGCTGGGGAGTTGCTTGAACCCAGGAGGCAGAGGTTGCATTGAGCCGAGATCGCGCCACTGCACTCCAGCCTGGCAACAGAGTGAGACTCCGTCTCAAAAAAAAAAAAAGGAGAGTGGAGAGTGGAGTATCCTGGTTCTGGGAGGTCCCCCAAGATCCACAGAAACCCCTGGGTCTTGGGGGGCTGATATGGATGTGGGCTGAAGCCCAGGTTTGAGAAGGTTCACCCTGACATGCTCTGATGGAAGATGCCATGTGCTGTCAATGTAGGAATTCCCCAGGATGAGGCAGGGGCTGGAGAAGGAGGAAAACTACAATCAGAGACCAAAGGTTTCAGGAATCCCACCTAGGACCAGGTGGTTTGGGCAAAGGGACAGCTCACAGAGCCGCAGAACCTGAGCTTTGAGGAAAGGGGTTTGCCCAAGGTGTCTGGAAGGGGCAGCGTGATAGGTGGGGCAGCCAGGACCTTGGGCTTCCACACCTTTCCATCCTGCCTGGGACAGAGGCCCTGACATGCTCTAATTTCACTTGGTAAGCCTGATCTCTGGGCAACACATCCACCTCTGTAAGATGGGGATAGTGTGGGATTCTTGGGCTTCATAATGAGGGAAGAGGAAGCCAAAGGCTTGAACAGACTGGAGCATGACAATGGGATCCCCCTCCTTTGTAATTTTTTTTTTTTTTTTGAGACAGTCTCACTCTGTCCTCCAGCCTGGAGTGCAGCGGTACGATCTCGGCTCACTGCAACCTCCACCTCCCGGGTTCAAGTGATTCTCCTGCCTCAGCCTCCCAAGTAGCTGGGACTACAGGTGCCCGCCACCACGCCTGGCTAATTTTGGTATTTTTAGTAGAGATGGGGTTTTGCCATGTTGGCCAGGCTGGTCTCAAACTCCTGGCCTCAAGTGATCCACCCTCCTCGACCTCCCAAAGTGCTGGGATTAAAGGTGTGATCCGCCCTCCTTGACCTCCCAAAGTGCTGGGATTAAAGGTGTGAGCCCCAGCGGCTGGCCTGTAATTTTTTTTTATCCACTGGCACATGTAGGCAGCAGAGGAGAGGGACCAGGAAGAGCAGGGGCTGCTGTGATTCCTATGGGGCTGGAAGTCCTGAGGCCATTCCTGGGATAGGAGAAACATCAGGGAGGAAACCTTGAGGCAGACAAAACAAATAACAATAGAGATGAGAAAAGGGTAATGAAAAGAAACAGACACACCATGGTGGAAACAGCCCCAGAGAGAGATGAGGATCCAACAGAGAGACAGACAGGAAGACAGATTGCCGGAGATGGAGACAGGCAAAGAAGGCGCTGAGCGCCTGGCCAGGTGCCCCAGACTCATCCCAGAAGCTGCTGGGATGGACCCAACCTGCGCAAGAAAGACAGCTGCTCAGGGAAGGTGGAGGCCACCAGGCCAGGTAGCTGGGGCATCTCTTCCATCTGCACAAACTGCTGCAGAAAGCCCAGCGGGGTGACCCTGTTTCCCCACACGCAGACGGAGGCAGGCCCCTGAAGGGCTTCCTCCAGGGGAGGATGAGGTCGTAAGATGGGGCTGCGTTGGAAGCATGGACTCTAGTTCCAGCTGTGATGTTTGGCAGCCACTGAGCTCCTTGCAGTCTTTTTTGGTTTTGTTTTTTTGGAGACAGAGTCTTGCTCTGTTGCCTAGGCTGGAGGGCATCATAGTTCACTGCAGCCTAGCTCACTGCAGCCTCAACCTCCTGGGCTCAAGGGATCCTCCTGCCCCAGCCTCCCTAGTAGCTAGGCCCAGTTATTTTATTTATTTGTTTGTTTATTTATTTATTTTTACTTTCTGGGACAGGAGATGGATGAGGAGCAGGGGTCTCCCTGTGTTGCCCAGGCTGGTCTCAAACTCCTGGGCTTAAGAAATCCTCCCACCTTGGCCTCCCAAAGTGCTGCAATTACAGGCATGAGCCATCGTGCCCGGCCCACATCTTGCAGTCTTTATTCTCATCTGTAAAATAGGGACAACCAGCCGGGTGCAGTGGCTCACGCCTGTAATCCCAGCACTCTGGGAGGCTGAGGTGGGTGGATCATGAGGTCAAGAGATTGAGACCATCCTGGCCAATATGGTGAAACCCCATCTCCACTAAAAATACAAAAATTAGCTGGGCATGGTGGCACGCACCTGTAGTCCCAGCTAGTCAGGAGGCTGAGGCAGGAGTCTCACTTAAACCCAGGAGGCAGAGGTTGCAGTGAGCTGAGATGGCGCCACTGTACTCTCGCGTGGCGACAGAGCAAGACTCTGTCTCAAAAAAAAAAAAAAAAAAAGAAAAAAAGAACAACCTCCCCAGTTCTCAGTGATTCAGAGTAAGTCTTCACCTGCCCCATAGAGATGGGGACCTGGGTGAGATGGAGGTATAAGGGTATCCTTCAGGTCCAGCAAGAACTTAAGAGTTAACACATGCCTCCTGCACCCAGCATCCTTCGGCGATGGTTTCAATAGTTTGAAAATCCAGCCAAGCAGTTTGAACTGAGGGTGGTGAGTGGTGAGAATAGGTTGTGATCCCAGCTCCCAGGGCTGCATAATTTTTTTTTTTAGACGGAGTCTCACTCTGTCACCCAGGCTGGAGTGCAGTGGCGCGATTTAGGCTCACTGCAA
The DNA here is from genome assembly GCF_000001405.40 of Homo sapiens. Taxonomy (NCBI): domain Eukaryota; kingdom Metazoa; phylum Chordata; class Mammalia; order Primates; family Hominidae; genus Homo; species Homo sapiens. The sequence goes on from NC_000007.14 coordinate 76,376,628, forward strand.
GCTCCGCCTCCTGGGTTCCAGGTTCATGCCATTCTCCTGCCTCAGCCTCCTGAATACAGGACTGCATAATTTTTAACGATCCCACCAGTGAAGGGCTCCTGTCCATCACCACCTTGTCCCCACGCCACTGCACTCCAGCCTGGGCAACAGAGCGAGACTCAGTCTCAAAAAAAAAAAAAAGTTCAGTGCCTATTAGGTGCATAAAATAATGACACATTGGGCCTGGCGCCGTGGCTCACGCCTGTAATCCCAACACTTTGGGAGGCCGAGGTGGGCAGATCACTTGAAGCCAGGAGTACGAGACCAGCCTGGCCAAAATGGCAAAACCCTCTCTCTACTAAAAATACAAAAATCAGCTGGGCGCAGTGGTATGCGCCTGTAGTCCCAGCTACTCAGGAGGCTGAGGCAGGAGAATCACTTGAACCTGGGAGGCAGAGGTTGCAGTGAGCTGAGATCATGCCACTGCGATAGAGCGAGGCTCCATCTCAAAAAAAAAAAAAAAGAAAAGAAAAAGAAAGAAAGAAAGAAAGACACACCAACGGAAGAAGACTAGGATGCAGGATGCTGGGAGAAGATATGGAGGGAGCCCATCTCCCCTTCCCCAGCTACCCAAATCCAGGTCCTTCAACCCCAGCTAAATGCTTGCTCTTCCAGAAGGCTTCCCAGAACTTCTACTAGGCAGGACCTTTTCTTCTGCCTCTGATGCCCATAACATTTCTCCTGCAAGGTCCCCCACATGGTGTCTTACACAAGGCCTAGGAATGTATGTGCATTATATCCCACTAGGCTGTCTCCTTCTGGGTACAGAGTCCACATCCTGTTCATTTTGGCATCCCACAGCAGCAGGGGATCCGAATTTGGTGGACATGTATTTGTTGTGTGTCTTTGAACCTCAATGTAATTCAATGAATGCATACAGTTTTCGAGCCTCAGTTTCCCCACTTGTAAAATGAGGACAATAATTTTCACTTCCCAGTTGTGGCTGGCCAGGTGGATCAAATGAGATATTGCATGCAAAGTCCCCTGGCTCACTGGAGGCCGTTAAGCACTGCGCAGACGTGGGCTGTTACTAATAATACAGCAATCTCGAGACCGGAGCTGGACTCAGAGAGGCAGGGAGCAAGCGTCCCTCTGTCTGCAGCTTCCCCTCCTGCCTGAGAGTGATGGAGGGACTCTCTGAGCGTGAAACAAACCAATGTGGGCAGCCAGACTGCAGGGGGAAGAGAAGAGGGTGAGAGCCCAGATACTCAGGTTCCAAGGCTGCCTCTAGCTCAGGGTGAGTGACCTTGAACAGATTGGTCCCTTCTCTGAGCATCCAGTTTCTGCATCTGCCAAGAAAAAATAATAATCTCTGGCTGGCTGGCAGCAAGAAGATGAGGCCAGGCCCCCCAAGACAATGTCCAAATATTGTGCAGTCGTGGGGCTGCCGTGAGGTCTGCGGCAATCCCTTTGCAGACATCACCCTTTGTCTTCCAAGCCTTCAATGGATGCAGCAGCAGACCCTCTCCCTGGCAGACCGGACATAATTTCTGACCCAGAGTGGTGCTCAAATATTTGTTGAATGAATGAGAAAATAATTAGCCGGGCATGGTGATGCATGCCCGTAGTCCCAGCTGCTCAGGAGGCTGATGCAGGAGGACTGTCTGAGCCCAGGAGTTGGAGGCTGCAGTGAGCTATAACTGCACCACTTCACTCCAGCCTGGATGACAGAGCAAGACCCTGACTCTAAAAAAAAAAAAAAGAAAAGAAAAAGAAGAAAAAATGAGGGGATAAATGAACAAATAATGAAATGGGGCCTCAGGGAGGGAGCTGTATTCTAATTCTCCTGGGCATGACAGCCCACTTTGGACAGGTCAACAATTCATCCTCTTCTCACTGTCTCTACCACTCCCATCAGGGTTCAAACTAGCTTCTCTCCCTGTACTATCATAGCAGTCTCCAAACTGGATTCCCTACTCCTTACTATCTCTGGATTCCCTGTTTCCCTACTATCTCTTCTCCATGGGATACCCAGGGTGATCTTTTAAAAATTCAAATCTGGCTGGGTGCAGTGGCTCACACCTGTAATCCCAGCACTTTGGGAGGCTGAGGCGGGCAGATCACGAGGTTAGGAAATTGAGACCATCCTGGCTAACATGGTGAAACCCCGTCTCCACTAAAAATACAAAAAATTAGCCAAGTGTGGTGGCACGTGCCTGTGGTCCCAGCTACTCGGGAGGCTGAGGCAGGAGAATCACTTGAACCCAAGAGGCAGAGGTTGCAGTGAGCCAAGACCGCGCTATTGCACTCCAGCCTGGGAGACAGAGCAAGACTTCGTCTCAAAAAAAAACCAAAAAGAATTCAAATCTAGCTGGGCAGGGTCACTTGAGGCCAGGAGTTCGAGACCAGCCTGGCCAACATGGTGAAACCCCACCTCTACTAGTAATACAAAAAATTAGCTGGGTGTAGTGGTACATGCTTGTAATCCCAGCTACTTGCAAGGCTGAGGCAAGAGAATCACTTGAACCCGGGAGGCAGAGATTGCAGTGAGCCAAGATCGCACCACTACACTCCAGCCTGCGTGACAGAGTGAACTCCATATCAAAAGAAATCGAAAAATCAAAAAGCCCCAGGGCCCACTCTGGAGACCCTGCACTCTCATGCCTTTGCTGGGGTGCCTCTAGGCAGCTGATCCTGTTAAGCCCTCACTCTAGTGCACAAGTCTGCGAGTGTACAGGAGCCCCTCCCTTTCCAATCCTGGTTTTATTAAAAATTGGTTTTATTATTTTTTTTTTTTGAGACAGGGTCTCACTCTGTTACCCAGGCTGAAGTGCAGTATTGTCATCATAACTCACTATAGCCTTGACCTCCAAGGCTTAAGTGATCCTCCCACCTCAGCCTCCAGAGTGGCTGGGACTACAGGCACGTGCGACCAACTTGAGTAATTAAAAAATTTTTTTTTGTAGAGATTGGGCGAGGGGTTGGGGGGGGGGGGGGTCTCACTATATTGCCCAGGTTGGTCTCGAACTCCTGAGCTCAAGAGATCCTCCCGCCTCGGTCTCCCAAAGTGCTGGGGTTACAGGCGTGACCCACTGCACCTAGCCGAGGCTTTACAATTTTAACAGGCCTCTCTGGGTTACAAGGGTAAAGACCCCTGAAAACAAGAGTAAATACCCCAGCCTAGCCTTGGTGGGAGGGGGCGGGGTTGGGGGGAGAAAAACGCTCTTTGTAAGTTGCGAGTGGCCGCATAGACTAATAAGGTCGCCTTCACGCCAGGCTTGTGGAGGCCCTTCCTGTCCCTTCCTTCCTGTCCCCGCGTAGGCCGCAGGGCTCCGTGCCCAGGGCCCAGTCAGCCCCGCCCATCCAGTGGCTGGGCCCGGGATGTCCCCAGAAGCCCTGAGGAGTGCGGCGCGATGGGCGGGTTCCAGGGGAGGAGGGGGTGTGGCCTACGCCCTCGGCCCCGCCTCACCAGGACTCTGCAACTGGCTGTGACAGGCTGTGCCAGTCGCAGGCTCTCCAATCAGGAGGCTGCCGTGGGGCCAGGGGCGCGGCTCCGGTTCCCACGCGGGGCGAATTCCCTCTCCCGGTAGTCTCCCCAGCCCCGCCCCGCGCGGCTCCCCGCGGAGGCCGTGACTCAGCAGGAAGGCGCGACCAGACTGGGCCGGCCGGCCGGAAAGGCCGAGTCACTCCGCGCCCTTCCCTGTCCCCCGTGTCTATGCCATCGGGCGGGGAGATCTGTGGGCTGGGGTGGGTGTCCCAAGACCTGGTCCCTGGTCTTTGTATGTGATCCAGAAAAACCTCCGAGGCTTCCCTGGCCTTTAGTTTCTCTTCTGTACAGAGGAGGCAACAATAAACACTTGGAGATTTGGGGATAAGACAGTAAGAGTTACAGGAATAGCATGGAGCTTTGGAATTCCACCCTTCAGGGTGCAGATCTCAGCTGTGTGATCCCGTGCATCCGCTCATTGCAGCCTAGAGCTCCTGGGCTCAAGTGATCCTCCTGTCTCAGCCGCCCCAGTATTTTGGATTATAAGCACGTGCCACCACGTCCTGGCTATTTTTTTTATTTCGTAGTGATGGGGTCTCATTATGTTGTCCAAAGTGGTCTCAAACTCCTGGCCTCAAGCCATCCTCCCTCCTCGGCCTCCCAAAGAGTTGGGATTAGTTGGATGAGGTAGCTCACGCCTGTAATTCCAGCCCTTTGGGAGGCTGAGGCAGGCAGATCATGTGAGGTCAGGAATTCAAGACCAGCCTTGCCAACATGGAGAAACCCTATCTCTACTAAAATAGCACATGCCTGTAATTCCAGCTACTTGAGGCTGAGGCAGGAGAATGGCTTGAACCCGGGAGGCGGAGGTTGCAGTGAGCTGAGATCGCTGCCACTGCACTCCAGCGTGGGCAATAGAGCAAGACTCTGTCTCCAAAAAAAAAAAAGAGTTGGGATTACAGGTGTGAGCCACTCTGCCAGGCAGGAGAGACCTAGGAAAACAAAAAGGGCAATTTTCAAAGGCTAGGTCTCATAGCCACTAGACCGGGATAGCTAGACAGTTCTGCGTTTTCAAAAAATGAGCAAAAGTCTAATGGAAAATGGGCAAAGGACTGAATAGACGCTTTATCCAAAGAAGATAAGTGGTCAATAAGCAGATGAAAAGATTCTCAACATAATTAGTCATTAAGATGCAACTGAAGCCTGGGCGCAGTGGCTCACACCTGTAATTCCAGCACTTTGGGAGGCTGAAGTGGGCAGATCACCTGAGGTCAAGAGTTTGAAACCAGCCTGGCCAACATGGCAAAACACTGTCTCTACTAAAAATATAAAAATTAGCCAGGGGTGGTGGCGTCCGCCTGTAGTCCCAGCTACTCAGGAGGCTGAGGCAGGAGAATCGCTGGAATCAGAATGGTAGAGTTTGCAGTGAACTGAGATCACACCATTGCCCTACAGCCTGGGTGACGGAACAGGACTCTGTCTCAAAAGAAAAAAAAGATGTGAGTGCTAACTAAAACCAGGAGATACCACTTCATACCCACTAGAATAGCAAGAATTTTTTTTTTTTTTTTTTTGAGACGGAGTGTCACCCTGTCACCCAGGCTGGAGTGCAATAGCACGATCTCGGCTCACTGCAACCTCCACCTCCCAGGTTCAAGTGATCCTCCTGCCTCAGCCTTCCAAGTAGCTGGGATTACAGACGCGTGCCACCATGCCCGGCTAATTTTTCTATCTTTGGTAGAGACAAGGTTTCACCATGTTGGCCAGACTGGCCTTGAACTCCTGAGCTCGTGATCCGCCCGCCTCGGCCTCCCAAAGTGCTCCGATTACAGGCGTGAGCCACCAGACCCAGCCAATAATTTTTTTTAAAAAATGAAAATAACAAATGTTGGTGAGGATGTGGAGAAACTGGAACCCTGGTGCACTGCTGGTAGGAATGTGAAATGATGAAACCACTGTGGAAAACTAATAGTTCCTCAAAATGTTAAACAGCATTACTCTGAGGTATATACCCAAGAGAACTGAAAACAGATTATCAAATAGATGCTAGAATACAAATGTTCATAGCAGCATTATTCATAATAGTCAAAAGGTACGAATGGTCCAATGTCCATCAGCAGATGAATGGGTAAACAAAAGGTGGTAAATCCATACAATGGAATATTCTTCCACCATAAAAAGAAGTGAAGTAGGCCAGGTGCGGTGGCTCATGCCTATAATCCCAGCACCTTGGGAGGCCGAAGTGAGAGGATCTCTTGAGGTCAGGAGTTCGAGACCAGCCTGGCCAACATGGTGAAACCCCATCTCTACGAAAAATACAGAAACTAGTTGGACGTGGTGGCAAGTGCCTGTAATCTCAGCTACTCGGGAGGCTGAAACAGGAGAATCGCTTGAACCTGGGAGGCGGAGGTTGCAGTGAGCCGAGATCACTCCACTGCACTCCAACTTGGGTGACAGAGTGAAACTCCCTCTCAAAAAAAAAGAAAAGAAAATGTTCTAAAATTAGACGGTGATGGCTGAACACCCTTGTGAATATGCATTTGGCTTTCTGTATCCATGGGTTCCACATTCATGAATTCAACCACCTATGGATGGAAAATATTTTTAAAACAATAAAAAATAACAATATAATAAAAAGTATACAAATATTGGGAGGTCGAGGCAGACAGATCACTTGAGGTCAGGAGTTGGAGACCAGCCTGGCCAACGTGGTGAAATCTCCTCTCTACCAAAAATATAAAAAATTAGCCGGGTATGGTGGCGTGGGCCTGTAATCCCACCTACTCGGGAGGCTGAGGCAGAAGAATCCCTTGAACCCAGGAGGCGGAGGTTGTAGTGAGGTGAGATCATGCTACTGCACTCCAGCCTGGGCGACAGAGCAAGACTCCCTCTCAAGAAAACAAACAAAAACAAAACAGTATAATAATTGTTTACCTAGCATTTACATCATATGAGGTATTATAAGCAATCTAGAGATGTTAAAGTATGCAGGAGGATGGTGTGTTAGGTTATATGCAAATACTACGCCATTTTATATAAGGGACTAGCGCATCTATGGATGTTGGTATGGGAGTGGGGTCCTAGAACCAATCTGACACTCAGGATGCCTCTGTCACTTACTTCCCAATGAATTCTCATCATCTTTAGAATAAAACGCCTCCCTGTGGCCTAAAAAGCCCTCAGTGGCCTAGGCCCTACCGGCTTCTCTGATTCGTTAGCACATTCTTCTTTGCTCCAATCACAACGCTCCGTGGTTCTTCTGCAGGCCAGGCTAAGTTTCCGTTGAAGGACCTGGAATAGCACTTCCCAAACCGTTTCATAGCCAAAAGGTTCATGGCCATCTCCCTCTTCCTGCTCAGGCTCAGCTCAGACCTCACCTCCTTAGAGGCCTTTCCTGACTACCCAATCCCCACCTTATGACCCTGCTTCATTTTCTTTTCTTTTCTTTTTTTTATTAATTTTTTTTTTTGAGACAGACTATCACTCTTGTTGCCCAGGCTGGCGTGCAGTGGCATGATCATAGCTCTCTGCAGCCTCAACCTCCCAGGGCTCAGGTGAACCTCCCACTCCAGCCTCCCAAGTAGCTGAGACTACAGGTGCGAGCCAGCATACCCAGCTAATTTTTTCATTGTTTGTAGAGACAGGAGAGTCTTGCTATGTTGCCCAGGCCGGTCTCCAACTCCAGGGTTCAAATGATCTGCCTGCCTTGGCTTCCCAAAGTGCTGGGATTACAGGGGTGAGCTACTGCGCCTGGCCTTCATTTTCTTTCTAGCAATAATCACTAGGTTAGATGATCTAGTTAATTGATTTGGTCAATGTCTTATTATTTGTCTTCTTTTTTTTTTTTTTGAGGCAGAGTCTTGTTCTTTTGTCCAGGCTGGAGTCCAGTGGCGCGATCTTAGCTCCCTGCAACCTCCACCTCCTGGGTTCAAGCAAGTCTCCTGCCTCAGCCTCCTGAGTAGCTGGGACTACAGGCACCTGCCACCACACCTGGCTAATTTTTGTATTTTTAGTAGAGACGGGGTTTCACCATGTTGGCCAGGCTGGTCTCGAACTCCTGACCTCAGGTCATTCACCCGCCTCAGCCTCCCAAACTGCTGGGAATACAGACATGAGCCACCATGTCTGGCTGTCTTCTCCTCTTGAAGGTCATCTCTGTCGGGCAAACAGGAACCTGGTCTAGGCCTCTTCTGGCTCTGGAGCTCCAGAGGCCAGCATGGTACTTGGCCTAGTACACAGGGCTTCAGAAATATTTGTGCATGTGCTGTATTCACTTGGCAATTTTTTTTTTTCTGAGATGGAGTCTTGCTCTGTCGCCCAGAGCTGGAGTGCAATGGTGTGATCTTGGCTCACTGCAACCTCTGCCTCCCAGGTTCAAGCAATTCTCCTGCCTCAGCCTCTGGAGTAGCTGGGATTACAGGCGCGTGCCACCACACCCGGCTAATTTTTGTATTTTTAGTGGGGACGGGGTTTCACCATGTTAGCCAGGCTGGTCTTGAACTCCTGACCTCGTGATCTGCCCACCTTGGCCTCCCAAAGTGCTGGGATTACAAGTGTGAGCCACTGTGCCCAGCCTCACTTGGCAAATATTATTTCAGCCTCCACTGTGTGTGATACATGTGCACAAAGTTAGGCACAACAGACACAGCCCTAGCCCTCAGCATTCCACTGGGCTAGTATAGCATACAGTCAAGGCAGTAGTTTTTGTTTTTTTTTTTTAGTTTATTATTATTTTTTTTGAGATGGAGTCTCACTCTGTTGCCTAGGCTGGAGTGCAGTGGCACAATCTCAGCTCATTGCAACCTCTGCCTCCCGGGTTCAAGCAATTCTCTTGCCTCAGCCTCCCAAGTAGCTGGGATTATAGGTGCCTGCCGCCATGCCTGGCTAATTTTTGTATTTTTCATAGAGACAGAGTTTCACCATGTTGGCCAGACTGGTCTCCAAGTCCCATCCTCAGATGATCCGCCCACCTCAGCCTCCCAAAGTGCTGGGATTACTGGTGTGAGCCACTGCACCCGGCCTAGGCAGCAGTTTCATGAAGTGCAAGGGCGAGCATGGTCACTGGGGAGGTACAGAGTGGGATGAGAGCTCCCAGTTCATACCAACAGGGAGTGTCCATGAAGACCATCTGGAGAAAATGAAAGCTGAGACTCTAAGTTAAATAACAGTTGGCTTGGCTGGGTGTGCTGGTGCTCATCTGTGGTCCCAGCTACTCAGGAGGCTGAGGCAGGAGGATTGCTCGAGCCCTGGAGTTCAAGTCCAGCCTGGGCAACATAGCAAGACCCTGCCTGTATTTTTTTTTAAACGGCTGGGTTCAGTGGCTTGGCTGATGCCTGTAATCCCAGCACTTTGGGAGGCCAAGGCAGGTGGATCACTTGAGGCCAGGAGTTCGAGAGCAGCCTGGCCAACATGGCAAAACCCTGTCTCTACTAAAAATACAAAAAATTAGCCAGGCGTGGTGGTGCATGCCTGTAGTCCGAGCTACTTGGGAGGCTGAGGCAGGAGAATCGCTTGAACCTGGCAGTCGGAGATTGCAGTGAGTCGAGATCGCACTGCTGTACTACAGCCTGGGCAACAGAGTGAGACTCTGTCTCAAAAAAAAAAAAAAGTATATGGGAGGATGTACATAGGTTATATACAAATTCTACATAAGTTTATGTCAGGGACTTGAACATCCTGGATTTTGGAGTCCTTAGAGGGTCCTAGAATCAATCCCCCTGAGGAGGCTGAGACATAATTGTACTTTGCTTAGATAGGAAAGAGATTCCGGGGACGGGAAGCTGTGAAGTTTCTCTGGACAACAGAGAGCACTGAAGTGAGTGGTGGCTGGAATGGCTATGACTAGAGCAGAATCCCTGAATGTGGGCTGGGCACAATGGCTCATGCCCATCATCCCAGTATTTTGTTTATTATTATTATTTTTTGAGACAGTCTTGCTCTGTTGCCCAGGCTGGAGTGCAGTGGCGTGATCTTGGCTCACTGCAACCTCCACCTCCTGGATTCAAGCAATTCTCCTGCCTCAGCCTCCGGAGTAGGTGGGATTACAGGCGCTCACCACCACATCCGGTTAATTTTTGTATTTTTAGGAGTGACGGGGTTTCACCATGTTGGCCAAGCTGGACTCGAACACCTGACCTCAAGTGATCCGCCAGCTTCAGCCTCCCAAAGTGCTGGGATTACAGGCGTGAGCCACCGTCCCCAGCCATCAACCCAGTACTTTTGGAGGCAGAGGCAGGAGGATCCACTTTAGCCCAGGAGTTTGAGACCAGCCTGGACAACATGGTGAGACCCTGATCTCAATTTAACAAAAAAAAAAAAAAAAAAAAAAAAGAATTTCCGAATGTGCTGGAGACCATAAGGCAGCTAGAACATTCCAGTCCCTCTGCCCCAGCTCCTTGAATTCTTAGCATTTTCATCTTTCATTTCTCCAGGCCTCGGCCGGGCACGGTGGCTCACGCCTGTAATCCCAGCACTTTGGGAGGCCAAGGCGGACGGATCACCAGGTCAAGAAATCGAGATCATCCTGGCCAACATGGTGAAACCCCGTCTCTACTAAAAATACAAAAACTAGCTGGGCGTGATGGTGTGCGTCTGTAGTCCCAGCTACTCGGGAGGCTGAGGCAGGAGAATCACTTGAACCCAGGAGGCGGAGGTTATAGTGAGCTGAGATTGCGCCACTGCACTCCAGCCTGGTGACAGAGCGAGACTCTGTCTCACAAAAAACAAAACAAAAAACATTTCTCCAGGCCTCATCCTCCGATGACACAGCTCAGAGAACTCCCTGACAAATGGAGACAAAGTCATGACTGCCCGGAGCCGATGGAGTTTGGAGCCAAAGTGTCCACCTCACTCCCTGGCTGAGAGCCATAACCCCAGTTTGGAGCCTGTTGGAGGCAGAATACTGGCCCCTAAATATTCCTATACCCTAATCCTTGGAGTTTGTGCATATGTTCCTTTACGAAGCTAAAGGGATTTTGCAGATGTAATTAAATTAAGGATCTCGGGATGGAGGATTATCCAGGATTACGTAGGTGGGCCTAATATAATCACAAGAGGACTTAAAAAATGGGGGAAGGCAGACATAGAGTCAACAAAGGGAGATGAGAGACCAGGCAAAGTGGCTCACGCCTGCCATCCCAGCACTCTGGGAGGCTGAGGTGGGAGGATTGTTTGAGGCCAGGAATTTAAAACTGGCCTACGCAACATAGTGAGACCCCCCTCTCTGCAAAAAACTTTTAAAAAAAATTATCAGGGTGTCATGGCACACACCTATTGTCCCAGCTACTCGGGAGGCTGAAGTGGGAGGCTTACTTGAGCCTGGGAGGTCGAGGCTGCAGTGAATCATGATTGTACCACTGCACTTCAGCCTGGCTGACAGAGCAAGACTGTCTCAAAGAAAAAAAAGGGACTGGGCATGGTGGCTCACACCTGTAATCCCAGCACTTTGGTGGGTCCAGGTCAGCGGATCCCTTGAAACTAGAGATTCAAGACCAGCCTGGGAAACAGTGAGACCGTGTCTCTACAAAAAATGCAAAAATTGGCCGGGCGAGGTGGTTCACACCTGTAATACTAGCACTTTGGGAGGCTGAGGTGGGTGAATCACCTGAGGTCAGGAGTTTGACACCAGCCTGGCCAACATGGTGAAACCCCGTCTCTAATAAAAATACAAAAAATTAGTCGGGCATGGTGGTGGGCACCTGTAATCCCAGCTACTCAGGAGGCTGAGGCAGGAGAATCGCTTTGAACCTGGGAGGCGGAGGTTGCAGTGAGCTGAGATCATGCCATTGCACTCCAGCCTGGGCAACAAAAGTGAAACTGCATCTCAAAACAAACAAACAAAAATTAGCTGGGTGTGGTGCCATGCACCTGTAGTCCCAGCTGTTTGGGAGCCTGAGGTGGAAGGATCGCTTCAGCCTGGGCAGAGGTTGTAGTGAACTAACATGGTATCACGTCACTGTACTCCAGCCTAGACAACAAAGTGAGACCTTGTCTTAAAAAAAAAAAAAGAAGCCAGGCGCAGTGGCTCAGGCCTGTAATCCCAGCACTTTGGGAGGCCAAGGTGGGCAGATCACCTGAAGTTGGGCGTTAAAAACCAGCCTGACCAACATGGAAAACCTCGTCTCTACTGAAAATACAAAATCAGCCAGGCATGGTGGCGCGTGCCTGTAATCCCAGCTACTCAGGAGACTGAGGCAGAAGAATCGCTTGAACCTGGGAGGCGGAGGTTGCGGTGAGGCGAGACTGTGCCATTGCACTCCAGCCTGGGCAAAAGAGTGAACTCTGTCTCAAAAAACAAAACAAAACAAAAAACCAAAACGGAAGAAAAAGAATTTTTTCTCAGCTGGGCACAGTGGCTCACACCTCTAATCACAGTACTTTGAAAGGCTGAGGCAGGAGGATCTCTTTAGACCAGAAGTTTGAGACCAGCCTGGGCAACAAAGCAAGATCGCATCTCTACAAGAAAAATTTTAAAACAGCTGGGCATGGTAGCATGCGCCTGTGGTCCTAGCTACTTGGGAGCCTGAGGTGGGAGGATTGCTTGCATCCAGGAGTTCGAGGCTGCAGTGAGTTATGATAAGACCACTGCACTCCAGCCTGGGTGACAGAATAACACTCGGTCTCTTAAAAAAAAAAAAAAAACGGCCGGGCGCGGTGGCTCACGCCTGTAATCTCAGCACTTTGGGAGGCCGAGGCAGGCAGATCACCTGAGGTTGGGAGTTCAAAACCAGCCTGGCCAAAATGGTGAAACCCGGTCACTACTAAAAATACAGAAATCAGCCGGATGTGGTAGCGCATGCCTGTAGTCCCAGCTACTCAGGAGGCTGAGGCAGGAGAATCACTTGAACCCAAGAGGCAAAGGTTGCAGTGAGCCGAGTTTGTGCCACTGCACTTGTCAGGGCAACAGAGTGAGACTCTGTCTTAAAAAAAAAAATTTCTTCTCTCTTCTAGTGACTCCAACGCCTTGCTATGTGGCCTTGAGCAAGCCCCTTCCTTTTGCTGGACATTGATTTCTATATATGTGAAAGGAGAGAGGAGTTGGGTTAAGGGACTCACTAGGGGCCGCCATGGAGGCCTGACACTGTGACTCAGCATTTCCAGGATGTGATGGACCTGCTGAGAGCTCTTGGTTGATGCTTTTGAACCGTCCTCCATTCCGAACCCTGTTTCCTCCCAAGAGCCCTGCCCAGAGTCTTTCCTGCTGCCACAGAGAATGCATTTGTGCTCAAACAGTGACTGCAGTTATAAGAGACGGGGGACAATGCTTTATTGACTTGGCACCTATGAACTGGTGGCTACAGGCCCCCAGGGTTCTTCACTCCTGCAAAGTGGAGGCTCTGTGGTGGAGACGGCATAAATCAGAGATGCTGGTTCCAGCTGCAGGGAGGGGCCACTGTCCCTGCTTTGGCCCCTCCCCCAGTCCCCTTGTCCAGCCGAGCACCATCTGAGTTAGTCCAGGCCCTCGCGGAGCAGGGCAGGACAGGGACCCAGGTTCCTCTGCAGCCCCTGAGGGCCCAAGGTAGGAGCTGTAGGCCCCTCCTGCCTTCCCTCTTCTTGGGGATCCCAAGATGGGTTGGGGGAAGAGGAGATACCCCATTTAAAGAGCCCCTGAGCCTCCTGGATCTAGGTCAAGGAAGGCAGAGTCTGGTGCTATAAAAAGAGCCCCACCAAACAGAAGAGTTAGGAATCATCCTCTTCCCCTCGTTTTGGTTTTGGCTGAGCAAAACCACAGGAGCTTTCACTGAATTGGGCTCACAACAGTCGATGACAGGCTGAGGTCACGCAGTAAGTGGACGGGGGTACAGCCAGGCTCCCCCAAGCAGGACTGCACTGTCTAGGTAGGCTCTCTCCCAGGCAAGGGAAGGAGGGGCAAAGTGAACTGTAGTCATCACAAGAGGAGGGCTTCCTGGAGGAGGAAGGGAGGTCACAGCTCCCAGAAGAAGAGGTGGTCTGCAGAGCGGGCTGGGTCATGAAGGCTGGCACAGGACACTGGCATCCTCGCTGTGGTCACAGTTGTGGGCATCCCAGCGGATATGAGAGCAGAGCAGCAGAGCACTTTCTTCCCCACGGCACTTGACATTGTCCAGGAGAATGGGGCCTCGGCCTGGGCCAAAGTGAGCCTCGCCAGGGGCTGCGAGGGCCTGGCCACAGCCCAGCTGGCGGCACAGGACACCGGCTGCCCGCAGGTCCCAAGCATCATCACAGACAGTGCCCCACCGTTGCCCTAGGTAGAGCTCTACACGTCCCTCGCATCGGTGGGCTCCATTGACCAGACGTAGATGCCCTGTGGGGGGACAGGGCTGGGTTGGAAGGGGCTGGTCCATGCCAGGCCACTCCCAAGCTAGGTCAGGTTGGCAGTAAAGAGAGGTCTGAGACACTCTGAGCACTGCCCTAGGAGCCGCTAGATGAAGGCAGACACATGAAATTAAAGTAAGATTGGCGCTGGCTGGGCACAATGGCTCACGCCTGTAATTCCAGCACTTTGGGAGGCCGAGGCAGGCGGATCACGAGATTAGGAGATCGAGACCATCCTGGCTAACAGGGTGAAACCCCGTCTCTACTAAAAATACAAAAAATTAGCTGGGCGTGGTGGCGGGTGCCTGTGGTCCCAGCTACTTGAGAGGCTGAGGCAGGAGTATGGCATGAACCCAGGAGGTGGAGCTTGCAGTGAGCCGAGATCGTGCCACTGCACTCCAGCCTGGGCGACAGAGTGAGACTTCGTCTCAAAAAAACAAAAAAGAAGATTGGCGCTAGGTGCGGTGGCTCATGCCTGCAATCCCAGCACTTTGGGAGGCTGAGGAGGGAGGACTGCTTGTGCCCAGAAGCCGGACAGCAGCCTGGACAACATAGCAAGACCCTGTCTCTAAAAACAAAACAAAACAACAAAACAAAAATTAGCCGGGTGTGGTGGTGTGTGCCTTGTAGTCCCAGCTACTTGGGAGACTGAAGCAGGAGGATTGCTTGAGCCCAGGAGGTCCAGGCTGCAGTGGCCGTGATTGTGCCACTGCATTCCAGCCTGGATGACAGAGCAAGACTCTGTCTCAAACATATATAAGATGGGGCCAGGCGCAGTGGCTCATGCCTATAATCACACCACTTTGGGAAGCCAAGGCTGGTGGATCACTTGAGGTCAGGAGTTCGTGACCAGCCTGGCCAACATGGTGAAACCCTGTCTCTACTAAAAATACAAACGCACAAAATTAGCTGGGTGTGGTGGCACATGTCTATAATCCCACTTACTGGGGAGGCTGAGGCACGAGAATCGCTTGAACCTGGGAGGTGGAGGTTGCGCCACTGCACTCCAGCCTGGGTGACAGAGCAAGACTCTATCTCAAAAAAATAAAATAACAAATAAATAAATAAGATGAGCATCAGTCCAGACCCATAGTCTCAGGACTGGGAGAAAGCGTGCAAACGTTTTTGAGTGATCCGCGACGTGTACTGGGTGCTTCATGTCTGCTCTCTCTCTAGTCCTCTGTTCATAATCCCAGTACCCCAGCCCCAGGCCGGCTGTTTGGAGACTCTGTTACATCCTATTGTGTCCCCTGAAGGTCATCACGGTCTCCTGCACCCCCCTGGGCTCCCAGAACTATATTCTGAATTTTTTCATTGCTCTGCTCAGGACAGGATCCTTATCCCCTCATTCTGATCTCACCTCTAGAAATCTCCAGATTGCTGTAGTTTAAAGCTCACCTCCTTCTTTCTGGACACCATATTCCTACAAAGGAGGCCTGAGACCAACAAAAAGGACAAGACTTCCAGGTCCCGGTGTGAATCTGCTGAGCTTTATAACCTAGGCTGTGACCTCCCCCAATCCAGGTCCTTAAGACCCCGATGCCTCCACCCACTTTCAGGGGATTATGGGCACCTACCGTCCCTGGGCCGAGGAGTGGGCACCCGCGTGGTCTCAGAACCATCCTGCTGGACTTGCAGTCCCAGCTCCTCTGGGCCTGGTTCAGGAAGGACAGAGATAAAGAGGTGGCTCTCACAATGGGAAGCATGTTCCTTAGGGCCAGGTCCCCTCCTGCTCTCCCCAGGAAAGCCTGTCCTAGGGACAAAAAGGACTTCACAGGTTCCTGAAGAACTGCTCCCCTTGATCAGAAATGCGGGTTGTGTCACTGAGTGGGTGCAGTGGCTCACACCTGTAGTCCCAGCACTTTAAGAGGTCAAAGTAAGGCCGGGCATGGTGGCTCACACCTGTAATCCCAGCACTTTGGGAGGCCGAGGCGGGTGGATCACCTGAGGTCAGGAGTTCGTAGACCAGCCTGGCCAACATGGTGAAACCCCGTCTCTATTAAAAATACAAAAATTAGCCAGGCGTGGTGGCATGCACCTGTAGTCCCAGCTACTCAGGAGGCTGAGGCAGGAGAATCGCTTGAACCTGGGTGGCGGAGGTTGCAGTGAGCCACTGCACTTCAGCCTGGGTGACAGACTGAGACTCTGTCTCAAAAAAAAAAAAAAAGTCATGGTGAGAGGATCGCTTGAAGCCAGGAGTTCGAGAGTAGCCTGGGCAACACAGTGAGACCTCATCTCTAAAAAAAATTCAAAAATTAGCCAGGCACGGTGGCATGCCCCTTGTGGTCCCAGCTACTCTGGAGGTTGAGCGGAGTAGGATAGCTTGAGCCCAGGAGTTTAAGGCTGCAGTGAACTATGATCGTGCCACTGCAGCCCAGTCTGAGTGACAGAGCAAGACTCTGTCTCAAAAGAAAAAAAAAAAGAAATAGGTGTTGTGCCTCTCCAAACCTTGGCCCCAAAACAGAACCCTCTGTGGCCAAAACTATGGGAAGTAGGGCCTACTAGCCCTGGGGCACCAAATGAGGGTGAAGATATCAATTCCCACAGCAATCAATGAATTTCACAATGTTCTGCCAAACTGCAAACACCCCTTTCCACTGACTCCGCCCAAAGGTCACACGCTAGCTCTGGTAAGGGTGATCCACTCTCTGCTTAATAGAGTTTTGCGGGGTCTAGATTTAGCCGGGAGCAAACGGCCCCACCCTTTACGGACTTGATGCCTTTCTCGAACTGGGATCGGCCTTAGCCCTGACCTTCGGACACCGCCCCTCACAGCTGCACCACGCGGCGCTCACCAGGCCCCGCCCCATTTTCCACTGCAGAAGGCTCTCCGTTCCGGCCTCGCCCCGCCGCGCAGCCGCAGAGCGGGCGCACGGCGGGGCGGCGCCCCTCTGCGGAGTGCGCATGCTCCCCGGGCGGCAGTGCCGCAAGAGAGGCCTCGCGCGTGGCGCCGCCCCGCCCCTCCCACGCCGCAGTGCGCGGCCCCGCTGTCAGCCTCACCTTCGCTGTCAGCCTCACCTGCGCAGAGCGCTCCCGCGTCCTCGTGGTGGCCGCAGTTGTGCTGGCCCCAGCCCAGGTGGAAGCAGTCGCTCAGGCGAGCCTCGGTGCCGGCGCAGCCCACGTTGTCCAGCAGCACGGGGCCGCGGCCGTAGCCGAAGTGGCCCAGTCCCGTAGCGCCCAGCGCAGGCCCGCAGCCCGCTTCGCGGCAGGCCACGCGCGCGTCCGCAAAGTCCCAGTCATCGTCGCACACGGTGCCCCAGCCCCCGGCGTGCAACACCTCCACGCGGCCGCGGCACGGACCCGGGCCGCCCACCAGTCGCAGCCGTCCACCTGCGGGGCGCACAGGCCCGCGGCCAGAGGGGCTGGGCTGGGGCTGCCGGCTCCCGGCAGAGCCCCAGCCCTACCCTTCCCCATCCCCCGCAGACCCAGGCACCGCCACTTACTTTTCTTCCCCGCGGCCCAGGCGGCGGTGGTGAGCAGTGCTGTCTCCCGGGAAGGCTGGGGGCCAACTCCTGTAGCTGTGGAGACAGGGCATCTAGGGCGTTCGAAGGGGACGAGGAGGCCTTCTGTCCTGCAGCAGGGCACGGGGACGCCTACCAAGACCCCCAACCCTACCACACCCGTACCCCCACTCAGCTGCAACCCCAGAGTCACCACGTTGTCTGGCGCGGGTTGGGATCTCCGGGAAACTTGGTTGAATGAACCGAAAGCTAATTCTAGGTATTATCCTAACTTCAGGCCCAGGGATAGTTCCTATCCTAATTCCAATTGCACTGCTAACCTTGACTCAACCTTCATCTCAATCGACCCCCTCATAAGGTCTCTCAATTCCCAATCTCAGCATCATCCCATTGAAAAAAAAGTTTTTTTAATTTCGAGACAGGGTCTTGCTCTGTCGCCCAGGCTGGAGTGCAGTGGTGCGATCATAGCTCACTGCAGCCTAGAACTCCTGGCCTCAAGTGATCCTCCTGCCTCGGTATTCCAAAGTGCTAGGACTGGTGCGACCCACCATGCCCAGCTAATTTTTTTTTTTTTTTTTTGATACAGAGTTTCGCTCTGTCTCGCCCAGACTGTGGTGCAGTGGCGCAATCTCAGCTCTTTGCAACCTCTGCCTGCCAGGCTTAAGCAATTCTCCTGCCTCAGCCTTCCAAGTAGCTGGGATTACAGGCGCCCGGCTAATTTTTGTATTTTTATTTATTTATTTTTAATTTTTGTATTTTTAGTAGGGATGGGATTTCACCATGTTGGCCAGGCTGGTCTTGAACTCCCAACATCAAGTGATCCACCTGCCTCAGCCTCCCAAAGTGCTGGGATTACAGGCATGAGCCACTATGCCTGGCAATTTAAATATATGTATGTATAATATATATATATATATATATAAAATATGTATAATATATATGATATATATAAATATATAAAATATGTGTATAATATATATGATATATATTATATATAAGATATATATAATATATATAAGATATTTATTTATTTATTTATATTTAGAGACAGGGTCTAGCTACGTTGCCCAGGATGGTCTTTAACTGACCTCAACAGATCCTCCTGCCTGTTTCCCAAAGTGCTGGGATTATAGGAGTGAGCCACCGCCCACATCCCAAATTTTACTTCTGTGCTTTGAAGAAATCTCTTACTGCCTCCTCCCACCCCGCTGAAGTTTTCAGAGCTCTGAGTTTCATCATCCTTGCTCCGTCTGCTCATAATTGTCTCACCCACCTCTGCACCATCTGGCCAAAGCCCTGGCCTGTTAGCCAGGGCCCCCGCCTGTGAATCCAGAACATTCTTCCCAGTTCCCAGCCGCACCCACCATACCCCTACCATTCCCGCCTGGAGGGCTGAGCTCTTTACCGGACGGATCTGTCTGCCAAGCCCAGTCCTCTCTTGTGGCTGAGGATGGCAGTGCTGTGAGCGTTGGGGGACCCAGGCCTAGGGCAGGAGAGAAGGGGGCAGGGTCAGAGGCTGAGATTCTGGTCTCTGGTCAGCCATGGGCTGTCAGGGGAGGATAGGAGGGTCTGCCTGGAGGAGAGAATAGATGTTACTTCCAGGGCTGGTGGCCCAGCCGCAGCGGGGTTCCAAGGAGGCCTGTCCCCACTTTGATAGTGGTTGTAATTCACTTGTGCTGTGAGGTGTACACTTCAGTTTATACAGGGCTGTCAACAGACACGCTTTCATTTCTCTCTAATGTCCCATGTTCTCATCAGAAGTCCTCTGTGTCCAACAGACATGGAGTACAGAAGGCCTTGCCCATCAGGGAGGACCATACACAGGCCTGAGTTCTCATTATCCTCCTCTTTTCTTTTTTTTGAGATGGAGTTTCGCTCTTGTTACCCAGGCTGGAGTGCAATGGTGCGATCTCCGCTCACTGCAACCTCCGCCTCCCAGGTTCAAGCGATTCCCCTGCCTCAGCTTCCTGAGTAGCTGGGATTACAGGCGCCTGCCAGCACGCCTGGCTAATTTTTGTATTTTTTTTAGTAGAGATGGGGTTTCACCATGCTGGCTAGGCTGGTCTCAAACACCCGACCTCAGGCGATCCGCCCATCTCGGCCTCCCAAAGTGCTGGGATTATAGGCGTGAGCCACCGCGCCCAGCCCATTATCCCCCTCTTACAGAGAAAACAGGGCTAGCAGGGCAAGGGCCATGCCCAGGGTTAGCAGGGGCTCTGTCAGGGCTCACTGAGACAGACTTCTGCCCTCCTACAGCCCCTCTTAAAGTGAAAAAACAAAAAACAAAAAAACAACTAATCTCTTGAGTGGGGAATGGGGCAGGAGGGAGGACTCACTCGACTCAGGAGGTGGAGCTCAGATACCGGGCCAAATTGAGGACTAGCTAAAACAGGGATGGGGTGGGAGTGCCTCTCCATGAGATACGCCCACTCGTATGCCATGTCAGTTTACCATTGCCGTGGCAACACCTGGAGTTACCTTTCCATGGCAACGCAGACAACCCAAAAATTACTATTCTAGTTCTTAAAATATCTGCATAATCCACCCCCTAATTTGCATATACTTGAAAGTAAATAGAATTACGACTGCAGACCTGCCTCTCAGCTGCTACTCTGGGCACACTGCCTATGGGGTAGCCCTGCTCAGCAAGGAGCAGGACCTCTGCTGCTGCTGTGCATTGCCGCGTCAATGAAAGCTGCTAACACCAGCTGGCCCTTAAATTCTTTGCTGAGGGAAGCCAAAAACCCTCCTGGACTAAGCCTCGATTTGGGGGCTTGCCTGCCTTGCATTAACTGTGTGACCATGGGCAAGGCTCTGACTCTCTGGGCCTCAGCTTTCCCACCTATACACTGGGAATGATAGCCCTTAGTTTGCTATGAGTTATGAGTTGTGGGCAACCACTTTATCTCTTACAGAGCAGAGTCCATCTGTGAAATAGCATTATTGGCCCTATTATTCCTCTTTGCTGAGAAACCCTCCCAAATTGGAGAGGGCCTAGGTGGGGAGAAAATACTATTATTAGAGCATCAGGATGACAGAGGGGTGTGCTAGGTAATGCTGTGAGCATCAGAGAATGCTGGAATATCTCTGGGGCAATTCTAGAGTGTTACTCCGAGTGTTATCCTAGAGTGTTACTCTAAAGTGGTCCAGGAACAGTACTTGCTGGAACATTCTGGAGGCATTCTTGGGATATTGCTATAGAATTCTCGAGTATTGGTGAAGCAATAGTACAGTTTTTTTGTTTGTTTGTTTTGAGATGGAGTCTGTCTCTGTCACCCTGGCTGGAGTGCAGTGGCGTCAGCTCGGCTCACTGCAACCTCCACCTCCTGGGTTCAAGCGATTCTCCTGCCTCAGCCTCCCGAGTCTCTGGGATTACAAGCATGCACCACCACGCCCGGCTAATTTTTGCCATGTTGGCCAGACTGGATTAGTGCAATATTGTTTCATAGCCATGGAGTGTACCACAAGGAGTTCTGGGATATTCGGAGGCACTTCTAGAACAGGACTGAGATAGAAGTAATTTTGGATGCTGCCTGGAGAGCTCTGGGGAGCATCAAGACAGCCAAAACACCCTCCCCATCCACCTCCCCACCGAAGCCTCCTCCTCCAGCATTGCCACAGGGCCCCGCCCACCTGCCCCGGCCCCGCCCATCGCCCCTAGAGCCCGCACCTGCGCAGAGCGCGCCCGCGTCCTCGTGGTGGCCGCAGTTGTGCACACCCCAGCCCAGGCTCTGGCAGGCTGCCAGGCGGGGCTCGCCGCCTTCGCAGTGCACGTTGTCCAGCAGGATGTGTCCGGTGCCATAGCCGAAGAAGGCGTTGGTGGTGGCGGCCATGGCCGCCCCGCAGCCCAGCTGACGACAGACCACAGCGGCATCCGGCAGCCCCCAGTCGTCGTCACACACGGTGCCCCAC
This sequence comes from Homo sapiens, assembly GCF_000001405.40. Lineage (NCBI taxonomy): Eukaryota > Metazoa > Chordata > Mammalia > Primates > Hominidae > Homo > Homo sapiens. The sequence goes on from NC_000007.14 coordinate 76,397,760, forward strand.
AGGCCACTGTGCAGGATCTCCACTCGGCCCTGACACAGGTTCGCGCCCCCTACCAGGCGTACGCTGCCCTCACCTGGGGATGGGGGCGGGGGTCAGGGCGCATCTCCCACTGGCCTCTGCCCCCGTCCGCACCGCAAGGGCAGCCCGGTGTCCCAGGATCTACAACCCTTGGGCATCTGCTCACCCCGCTGCCCAGGGTACCGCCTCCTTGGTCCAGACTGGGGGTAGCTTGTGGGATCATAGTATCATTTCTGCCTAAAACCAACCCCCCTACCCTGCTCCCTGTCTCCTGGCAGCCTGGGACGTGCTGCCTTCTCATCTACTGCAAATGACATCCTCAAGATACAGCCCCACACCTCTTCCTCCAGGAAGCCTTCCCTGATCTCCTGAGGAACGGGACCCTCTTCCACCTCTGGACTTCTTTGCCTCTTTCACTGTCCCTCTTTTAGAGCACTTTTCATTTTCTTCTTCTAGTCATGATCATCATTCTTGGGCTCATCTGACCTTCCTGTGAGATTAAGCTCCAGTCTCACCGCCCATTCATTTTCTATTTTTTTTTTTTTTTTTTGAGACAGGGTCTCACTGTGTCCCCCAGGCTAGAGTACAGTGGCATGATCTTACTGCAACCTCTGCCTCCCGGGTTCAAGTGATCCCCCTGCCTCAGCCTCCCAAGTAGCTGGGACTACAGGAATATGCCACCACGCCTGGCTAATTTTTGTATTTTTTGTAGAGACAGGGTTTCACCATGTTGGCCAGTCTGGTCTGGAGCTCCCAACCTCAAGTGATCCGCTGGCCTCGGCCTCCCAAAGTGCTGGGATTACAGGTGTGAGCCACCATGCCCAGCCATTTTCTCTAACTTTACATCTTCAATTTGTAATCCCTGTCTTCCCACTGCCTAGGGTAGGGTGTGAGAGACTCCTCTCCCAAAACCCAGGTGGTGCCCACATTATGCTTACGTACTTTTTCCATTCGGCAGTGTCGTAGGAGGTGCTCTACTGGTTAACATCTTCCTTGTTGGGGGCTGCGTTGGCAAGAATTCTGGAAAGGAAGTGAAGTGGATACAGGGGTCTTTCTGTTCTCCATCCTCACACCACGGGGTGTTTAAGGGGCAGGAGGATGGACCCATAAGGTGCTTGCCGCCAGAGCCTCTGGCCACACAAAGAGTCACAGCCAGGAACACTGGGGTATGAGAGGAGAGGGTCCACACCAGAGTCCTGGACTCCTCTAAAGCACGGTTTTTGTTGTTGTTTTTTATTTTATTTTATTTTTTGAGATGGAGTCTTGCTCTGTCGCTCAGGCTGGAGTGCAATGGTGCAATCTCAGCTTGCTGCAACCTCCGCCTCCCTGGTTAAAGCAATTTGCCTGCCTCAGCCTCCTGAGTAGCTGGGATTACAGGTGCCTGCCACCATGCCCAGCTAATTTTTTGTATTTTTAGTAGAGATGGGGTTTCACCATGTTGGTCAGGCTGGTCTTGAACTCCTGACCTCAGGTGATACACCTGCCTCGGCTTCCCAAAGTGCTGGAATTACAGGCATGAGCCACCGTGCCCAGCCTGAAGCACAGTTCTTAAAGCAGTTCACCTCCCTTGGGAACTGTTAGCGATGCAGATTCTCAGGCCCCATCCAGACCTGCAGAATCAGAAACTCTGGGATTGGGCCTCAATCTGTGTTTTCATGAGACCCCCTGATTTTCTTGAAAACTAGAAGCACTGCTCTCAGTTTCCGCTGCAGCTCTATGCCACGTGGAGCGCATGGCCAGTGTGACCCCAATAGTCGTTTTTTTCTTTGTTTTTCGAGACAGGATCTTGCTCTGTCACCCAGGCTGGAGTGCAGTGTCACAATCACGGCTCACTGCAGCCTTGACCCCCCCAGACTCCAGCGATCCTCCCTCCTCTGCCTCCCAAGTAGCTGGGACCGCCCCCAACACCTTGCTAATTTTTCTGATTTTTCGTAGAGATAAGGTACTATGTTCCCAAGATGGTCTCAAACTCCTGGGCTCAAGCAATCTTGCCACCTTGGCCTCCCAAAGTGCTGGAGTTACTGGCATAAACCACCATGCCCGGCTGATTGTCTGGTTTTAAAACTAGGAGAGGGGAACCAGTGGGGTGACTTGGACCTGTAGTTCCAGCTACTGAGGCGGGAGAATCCCTTGAGCCCAGGAGTTTGAGGCTGCAGTGGGCTATGATCACACCACTGCACTCTGGTCGGGACCAAACAGTGAGACCTCATCTCCAAAATCTCTAAAAAAATTTTTTTTAAAGGGAGAGGGGCTCTGCTGGGACAATCAAAGCCTTACATAGAAGCAGTAGTGCTGGTTTTCTTTTGGTCCAAGGTCAGGGTCAGGCAATGACCCAGAAGAATCCCTGGGACCCAGGCTGGGGTTCTTCCCTGGCACCAGGCATTGTAGCCTCTGGCCTGATCTGCATGGAACAGCCTTACCTGTGGGAAGTCCCTTCATTTATCTAGCCTACAGCCCTGCTGCCTGCCACAGTCTGTCTGTCCCTCCAGGTCCCAGGGCTCCACTCACCATCACACAGGACAGCCACATCCTCGTAGTGAAAGCAATTGTGGACGCCCCAGCCGCGGCTGCCGCACTCGCTCAGCGCAGCTTCCTGCCCGCGGCACTCCACGTTGTCCAGCAGGATGGGGCCTCGGCCTTGGCCAAAGGCAAGGGGCCGTGGCACGGGCAGTGCCAGGCCACAGCCCAGCTGGCGACACACTACGTTGGCGTCCACCACGTCCCAGTCGTCATCACAGACGCTGCCCCAGGAGCCACCGTGCATGACTTCCAGGCGGCCCCGGCAGCGGCTGGGGCCCCCCACCAGCCTCAGCTCTGTGAAGAGGGTGGAGCTGGCACCAGGGGGTCACTGAGTCCAACCTCCAGCATGCCCACTCCAGGATGTCCTTTTATTTTATTATTATTTTTTTTGGTAGAGACGGGGTCTCACTATGTTGCCAAGGCTGGTCTCAAACTCCTGGGCTCAAGTGATCCTCCTGCCTTGGCCTCCCAAAGCGCTAGGATCACAGACGTGCACTACGGGACCCAGCCAGGTTACCCGCTTTGCCATGAAGCCATGGGAACCTTGGGATCAATCCCTTCTGGAAAATGGGGAGACTACAGCTCCCCTGAGATGGGGGCATCTAGAGTCAAGGGGGGCTGGTTAGTCATCACTTCCTGTGGTTCCCTGTCTGAGGCTGGAGTACCTGGCGGACAGGTGAGGGTGAGGAAGGGCGGGGTGGGGCACCTACCTTGAAAGGGCAGTGGAGTGGGCTGTAGGGCGCTGGCTGAAACAGAGTGAGGAAGAGCATTGGCCCCTCTGCCCACACCATGGCTCCCTGGTCCCAGGAACACACCCCCCAACTCCCACAGTCCTCAACATTACCCCCATCTTCTTGGACTTCAGTACCCCTGCTTTGCCAAAGCCCCATTGTCTCTTTCTCTGACTGTCCTGATTGGCTTCCCTGCCTCACCCCTCTCCTAGTGGTCCCTGGGCCAACCTAGAGAGATCTGCGGGTGTAAATCTGTAGATCTGCACATCTCAAACTAATGCTAAATCCCATAATGACCCCTGTTACCTACAGGAGTCTCAGCTCCTGAGCTTTCACTACAAAACCTTCTAGAATCTTCTAACCATTCTGACCAGCCTCGCCTTTTTTCTTTTCTTTTCTTTTTTTGAGACAAAGTCTCACTCTTGTCACCCAGGCTGGAGTGCAATGGCACGATCTCAGCTCACTGCAGCCTCTTCCTCTGGGGTTCAAGCGATTCTTCTGCCTCAGCCTCCCGAGTAGCTGGGATTACAGGTGCACACCACCAAGTCCAGCTAATTTTTGTATTTTTAGTAGAGATGGGGTTTCGCCATGTTGGCCAGGCTGGTCTTGAACTCCTGACCTCAGGTAATCCACCCACTTTGGCCTGCTAAAGTGCTGGGATTATAGGTGTGAGCCAACACACCTAGGCAAGAGCTTTTTTCAATTCCCAGCTTGGAGCCCCTTCCTCTGGGAAGCCATCCTGGAGCCCTCAGCTAGAAGTGCTCTCTGTTTCCTCTGAATTCCTGGACACCACATACCCAGGCCTCTTTCAGGGCCTTCTCTGGTAATGTGGCCATGCCTGTCTCAACTCTGTGTCCCCAGACTCTCCGCTCAGAACCTGGTACTCAGCAGATGTTCAGTAGCTCCACCTTAAATGTGTAAATTGGCTTTGGGATTCATCATATTTCCCTCCCTAAAGATTTACCTAGATGAGTCCTTCTACTTCATTCTTCTTCTTCTTCTTCTTTTTAAGACAGTGTCTCAGTCTGTCACCCAGCCTGGAGTGCAGTGACATGATCATAGCTCACTGCACCCTCCAATACCGGAGTTCAATCCATCCTCCCGCCTCAGCCTCCAGAATAGCTGGGACAAGCTCCTGCCACCCTGCCCAGCTATTTTTTTTTTTTTTTTTTGAGACAGAGTCTTACTCCATTCAGGCTGGAGCACAGTGGCATGATCTCATCTCACTGCAGCCTCTGCCTCCTGGGTTCAAGTGATTCTCCCACCTCAGCCTCCCGAGTAATTGGGACTGCAGGCGCACACCGCCACACCCAGCTAATTTTTATATTTTTTAGGTAGAAATGGGGTCTCACCATGTTGGCCAGGCTAGTCTTGAACCCTTAACCTCAAGTGATCCGCCTGCCTCAGCCTCCCAAAGTGCTAGGATTACAGGCATGAGCCACCGCTCCTGGCCTAATTTTTTAATTTTTTGTAGAGACAGGGGTCTCACTTTGTTGCCCAGGCTGGTCTCGAACTCTTGGCCTCAAGTGATCCTCCCGTCTCAGCCTCCCAAAGTGCTAGAATTACAGGTGTGAGCCACCTTGCCTGGCCTTGAGTCTTTCTGCTTCAGCCATCATGTATGTCCTCATTGCTTTCTTTTTTTCTTTTTTGTTTTTCTTGAGACGGAATTTCGCTCTTGTTGCCCAGGCTAGAGTGCAATGGTGCCATCTTTGCTCACCGCAACCTCCCCCTCCTGGGTTCAAGTGATTCTCCTGCCTCAACCTCCCAAGTAGCTGGGATTACAGGCATACCACCATGCCTGGCTAATTTTGTATTTTTAGTAGAGATGGGGTTTCTGCATGTTGGTCAGGCTGGTCTCAAACTCCCGACCTCAGGTGATCCATCCGCCTCAGCCTCCCAGAGTGCTGGGATTACAGGCGTGAGCCACTGCACCCGGCCTTCATTGGTTTCTTTAGGCGAACTCAGTTAATCATTAGGATAATTTATAAGTTAGGCAGGATTTTACAGACAGGGCAACTTCAGGGTTAGTGAGATTAGACAACTTACTCAGGGCCACGTAGCAAATCAAGGGTAGAGCTGAGAGACTACCCAGACAGCCACACTCTTCTTCATCATGCAGTTCTGAGCACGATGCTTGAGAGTGGAGGTGGGAGAGGAAACAGGGAAGTGAAATTTGCCTACCAGGCAAAATGGAAAGCCGGAAAATAATTCCTCACTTGTGGTCCGAGTATGACAGTTCTGACACTTTCCTTATAACCACCCCCTGCAGCCTGTACTTGTGTACGCATTTTACTGATGAAGAAACTGAGACTCCACTTCTTTTTTTTGAGACAGAGTCTCGCCCTGTCACTCAGGCTGGAGTGCAATGGCGCAATCTCAGCTCACTGCAACCTCCACCTCCTGGGTTCAAACAATTCTCCTGCCTCAGCCTCCTGAGTAGCTGGGATTACAGGCGCCCGCCACCATGCCCAGCTATTTTTTGTATTTTTAGTAGAGACGGGGTTTCACCATGTTGGCCGGGCTGGTCCTGAACTCCTGACCTCATGATCCGCCCTCCTCAGCCTCCCAAAGTGCTGGGATTACAGGCGACAGCCACCGTGCCTGGCTGATTCAACTTATTCTTATTTATTTATTTATCTTTATTTCTTTTTGAGACAGAGTCTCGCTCTGTCACCCAGGCTGGAGTGCAGTGGCGTGATCTTGGCTCACTGCAACCTCCACTTCCCAGGTTCAAGTGATTCTCCTGCCTCAGCCTCCTGAGTAGCTGGGATTACAGGTGCGTGCTGCCAAGCCTGGTTAATTTTTGTATTTTTAGTAGGGACGCGGGTTTCACCATGTTGGCCAGGCTGGTCTCAAACTCCTGATCTCAGGTGATCTTTCCGCCTTGGCCTCCCAAAGTACTGGGATTGCAGGTGTGAGTCACCGAGCCCGGCCTTCTTCTTATGTTTGGATAGTCCCTAGGTCATTTGATTTCATCTCTTTTACCAGCTGTCTTTCCAACAGCCATTGGTGAGCACACCCTCTTTCTGTCCTTCCCTGTGCCCAGTGTCCCCTAACTGCCCATTCCATGGGTGCGTTTACCTGTCACCTCCAGTACTGAGCCCTTCATTCCCCAAACTCAGACTCTTAGCTCTTTTGTCAACTCTGGGCAAAGGTCAGCATTGGAAAGAACAACAGGAACGAGCTCATTCACAACCCTCCTCCTACTATAAAGTTACAGCTGGGACAACTGAGATTCAGAAAGAGGAAGTGGCAAGGGCTAACAGGGGAGGACTCACCCAGTGGCAGGAGGAGAAGGAAAGACAGGGCTTGGGGGAGGAAGGGAGGGGCAGCACTCCCATCTCCCAACCTCCACCCCCAGCGCTTCTCATCCAGCTGGGGACCAATTAGCATCTCTGCTTCCTTGTGCATCTAGATGGTGAAGGGTGTTTCAGATGCTCCCATCAAGGCGCCAGGGAGAAGTCACAGTTGGAACATCTGAAATTAAAGATCCCAAATGTTGCTGGGCCTCCCAGCACTTTGGGAGGCCGAGGTGGGAGGATTGCTTGCACCCAGGGGTTTGAGATCAGCCTGGGCAACATAGTGAGACCCCCATCTCTACAAAAAGTTTTTAAAAATGAGGCCGGGTGTGGTGGCTTATGCCTGTAATCCCAGCACTTTGGGAGGCTGAGGCGGGTGGATCGCTTGAACCCAGGAGATCGAGATATAGCCTGGGTAACATGGCGAAAACCTGTCTGTTACCAAAAAATGCAAAAATTAGGCCGGCTGCGGTGGCTCATGCCTGTAATCCCAGCACTTTGGGAGCCTGAGGGAGGCAGATCACTTGAGGTCAGGAGTTCGAGACTAGCCTGGCCAACATGGTGAAACCCCATCTGTACCAAAAATACAAACATTTGCCAGGTGTGGTGGAGTGCACCTGTAATCCCAGCTACTCGGGAAGCTGAGGCAGGAGAATCTCTTGAACCCGGGAGGTAGAAGTTGCAGTGAGCTGAGATCATGCCACTGCACTCCAGCCTGGGCGACAGAGCAAGACTCTGCCTCAAAAAGAAAAAAATTAAATTTTAAAAATACAAAAATTAGTAGATTTTTTTTTTCAGACAGAGTCTCACTCTGTGGCCAGGCTGGAGTGTAATGGCACAATCTCGGCTCACTGCAACCTCCATCTCTCAGGTTCAAGTGATTCTCCTGCCTCAGCCTCCTGGGTAGCTGGGATTACAGGCGTGCATCACCACACCCAGCTAATTATATATATATATATATATATATATATATATATATATATATATATGTATTTTTTTCTTTCTTTCTTTCTTTTTTTTTTTTTTTTTTTTTTGGTAGAGAGGGTGTTTCACCATATTGGCCAGGCTGGTTTCGAACTCCTGACCTTAAGGGATCCGCCCACCTTGGCCTCCCAAAGTGCTGAAATTACAGGCGTGAGCCACCGTGCCAGCCCAGAACATTTCTTTTTTATGAGTCGGGTATGGTGACACATGTCTGTAGCTGCAGCTAATGGGGAGGCTGAGGTAGGAGGATCACTTGCACCAAGGCTGCAGGAAAAAGAAAAAAGTTCCAAGTGTTTACTTCCTAGAGGGGTCAGCTTCAGGGGAAAATGACATTTCCACTTGCCTTTGGCATTCTGAGTGGAGACGACGGCAGAGGCAAAAGCTGGGAGGTGAAAAAGATGCTGCTTGGATGGAAACGCATGAGGAGTCGGTCATGGCTGTAGCTGAGGATGTGTGAAGAGGGCAAATGGTGGGAGAGGGGGTTGGCAGGGTTGGCTCGGCCCAAACCATGACCAGCCCAAGGACTCAGAGATTATCCTCCAGGGCTGCACATTTGATTTTGTTTTCTTTCTTTCCTTCCTTCCTTCTGTCCCTCCTTCCCTCCCTCTCTCCCTTTCTTGCCTCCCTCCCTTTCTTTCCTTCCTTCCTTCCTTCTTCCTTTCCTTTCCTTTCTTTTCTTTTCTTTTCTTTCTTTGATGGAGTCTCGCTCTGTCGTCCAGGCTGGAATGCAATGGTGCGATCTCCGTTCACTGCAAACTCTGCCTCCCGGGTTCAAGCGATTCTCCTGCCTCAGCCTCCTGAGTAGCTGGGATTACAGGCACCCGCCACCACGCCCGGCTCATTTTTTGTAGAGATGGGTTTTCGCCATGTTGGCCAGGCTGGTCTTGAACTCCTGACCTCAGGTGATCCACGCGCCTCAGCCTCCCAAAGTGCTGGGATTACAGGCATGAGCCACCGCACCTGGTCTGTGCATTCGAAATATAGTATTGGTGCCACGGACAGCAACCCACTTAATTTGGGAGGATATAGATACTCATGTATTGTTTTATTTTCAATAATTCTTTTTAAATTGTACAATGCCTTCTAAAAAGGACTCTGGTTTTCCGTTTATCAGAACAATATAGTCTCCCTTTCAAATTAATTAATTAATTTTTTTTACTTTAAAGAATTTTTTTATTTTTTATTTTTTACAGATAGGGTCTCACTCTGTCACCCAGGCGGCAGTGCAGTGGCATGATCATGGCTCACTGCAACCTCCCTATCCTGGGCTCAAAGGATCCTCCCGTCTCAGCCTCCTGAGGAGCTGGAACTGCAGGCTTGCACCACCACACCCAGCTAATTATTTTTCTTTTTTTCTTTTTAGTAGAGATGGGCTCTCGTGCTGTGTTACTCAGGCTGGTCTCAAACTCCTGGCCTCAAGTGATCCTCCTGTCTTGCACTTTTTTTGTTTTTAATACCCCAATCCTAAATCAGAAAAAAAAAAAAATCTTCAAGGCCTTTCCACCCAAAATGGGCCGAGCATTGTAAGCAGCGTTTAGTCTCTCAGACCTTCCTTCACTTTTTTTATGTATTTGTGTGTCATGGTAACTATGATTTACTTAATATTTTTCTCATTTTATTGGCACATTTCTTCTGATTTAAATTATTTATTTATTTATTTATTTTTGGAGACAGAGCCTCCCTCTGTCACCCAGGCTGTAGTGCAGTGGCCTGATCTCAGCTCACTGCAACCTCCACCTCCTGGGTTCAAGGAATTCTTCTGCCTCAGCCTCCCGAGTAGCTGGGATTACTGGCATGTGCCACCATACTCGGCTAATTTTTGTATGTTCAGTAGAGACGGGGTTTCCCCATGTTGACCTGGCTGGTCTGGAACTCCTGACCTCAAGTGATACACCCGCCTCGGTCTCCCAAAGTGCTGGAATTACAGGTGTGAGCCACCAGGCTTGGCCCTGATTTAAATTAACTCTAGGCCAAGTGTGGCAGCTTACTCCTGTGAGCACTTTGGGAAGCTGAGGCGGGAGGATCTCTTTTTTTTTTTGAGACAGAGTCTCGCCTTGTCGCCCAGGCTGGAGTGCAGTGGCACAATCTCGGCTCACTGCACCCTCCACCTTCCAGGTTCAAGCGATTCTCCTGCCCCAGCCTCCTGAGTAGCTGGGATTACAGGCGGGTATCACCACGCCCAGCTAATTGAGGGAGTATCTCTTGAGCCCAGGATTTCAAGACCGGCCTAGGCAACATAGTGAGACCCCATCTCTACAAAACTAAAAAACAATTAGCTGGGCATGGTGGTGCATGCCTGTAATCCCAGTGCTTTGGGAGGCTAAGGCAGGAGGATCACTTGAGCCCAGGAGTTCAAGGCTGCAGTTAGCCATGATCATGCCACTGCACTCCAACTTGAATGACAGAGTAAGACCCTGTCTCTAACTAAAAAGAAAAAAAAAGTGCATAAACCATGAGCTTAGAGCTCAAAGAGCATTCACACCATGTAACCAGTGTCCCAGAAGCCTCTCTCACGTCCCCTTTTCTTGCAGACTTTTAGCAAGGGTCTGATGCATTGTGTGCACTGTGGACTGGTTGGTTGGGGAGAGATGGGAAGCTGGTTTAGAGGCTGATGCAGTTGTCCAGACTCTAGGCCATAGGAGGCAGAGAGGAAGGAGAGATGCGAAGGATATGTGGGAGACTGAACTGGCAGGACTGGGCTACTCTTGGTGTTGGGGGTCAGGGAGCTAGGAGCATCCATTTGGCTCCCAGCCACCCTGATGGGGACTTTGTAGGAGGCGGCGGTAGAGAGGATGGTTCTGTTTGGGCTACACTGAGAGTGGGACTGGGGGACATGGGTGCTTGTCCCAGAAGGAGCTCCCCACCATCCCTCCAACCCCCTCCTCTCTCTGGCTTTACCTGTGCCCTGGTGTACAAAGTCTGGTTGGGGAGAAGATGAAAGCCTATCTGGATGCAGACACAGGGATTTCAACACCCCATTCATGGGGCCCAGGACAGCCCCCAGTGGAATAATCACCTTTTGTCCTCCTTCTGCCTGGACTGGGGACAGCTGGGAGATGGGAGCTGAGAACCATGAGGAGGGGGAAAGACACAGTCCAGTCTTTGCTTGTTGTGGGGGGGCACATAGTTATCTTGGCCTCCTTTTGCCTCCTGGCCTCAGTGCCACCCACTTCTCAGGCTGCTGGGATACTGGCCCCCCAGGCCAGATCAGCCCCCACCCTGGGGACAGGCAACTTCCAGAGACCCTGCCAGGAATCCTCAGCTTCCCCACCTCTATCCCCTGCCACCTCAGCCCAGGCGTGAGGGAGAAGGACCCCCGATCCTGATCCCCACAGATTTCAAATCCCAGGTGACCCCAGAGCCCTCTGCCAAGCCTGCCTCCTACCCTCCCAGCTCCAAGGTGGGCCCCTCCAGTCTGCTCCTGCTTCACGCCCAAGGGAACACTGGCAAGACAAGGCTTCATCCCTCCCTGTCCTTGGTGATTAGGGCTCTTGAAAGCCCTCCCATCCCTTCATATCCCTTTCAGAGTCCATCTGTTGCCTACATTTTCTACAGTACAGCCGGCAGCCTAACACAGCGGTTCATATTGCAGCATCAGCTCCACCATCTCCTAGCTGTATGACCTTCACCTTGCAAAGCCTCACTGTTCTCATCTGTAAAATGGCTTTCGTGATCCACTTACCCCTTATCATTTTTGCCAAGTTCAATGAGCAAATGTTTTCACAAGGCTTAGCCCAGTGTCTGGCCCACTCTAGGTGTGGTAGCTATTGTTATCATTACTGTTTCTCCATCGAGACTGCAGACCCTTGAGGGTGGAAACCAGATCTCATTCAGTGGTTGCCCTTGGCACAGGGTGGATACTCAGGAAATGTTTGTTGAGTGACTGAATCAAGGTGATGGCTACAGAATCATAGAAAACAGCAGCCAGAAGGGGCTTGGGAGATTAACAAGGACAATTTCCCATCTGACCAGTGGGAAATGGTTGCCTCTCTCTCTCTCTCTCTCTCTGTCTCACACACACACACACACACACACACACACACACACATGCATGCACACGCACACACACACAAACACTCCAGCAAAAGTGAAGGATTCATACCTGGGGGAATGTTCTGGGCTCTTTCTGTCCCTTCTTCTACAGTCAATCCAAGATCGAATCACTTTGTCTGCCCCTGGAAGTTTAGGAGGAGGAAGGATCTTCCAAATGGAAATCAACACAGGCGTTTCTTCTTTTCTTTCCACAGCTGGAAGGTGAGCAGAGGCAAAGTCCCTGTCCATGGAGCTGGCTGGTGGCCCCAGCCTGTCCCCATCCGACCTTAGGGACAGCAAGAAGCAAAGGGGAGTGGAGGTGGCCGGCACCAGCTGGAGCGGCCCCAGAAAAAGGGCACCCAGGTGGAGGCGGAGCTATGTGGTTGGGGGAGGCATGGACTCTCAAGGCCAGGCAGCCCCTCCTCCCCCCACAGCCCCCCCACCCCAGGGTTCAGGTTTCAGGAAGGCCTGGATAGGTCTCCACCCCTTTGCAGGGCAGCCAAGCATCCTGATCTTTGGAGGTAGCCCTGATCCAGCCCAGGAGTCCCGCCTGATGATGTCCCGACCCACATCTCAGCTGAGGGTTTGGAAATGGTCCCAGGAGCCACAGTGTATGGAGTGGGTTTCCCACATAGACAGGACCTCACAACCTCACTTGGGGGCTGCTGATTTTGCCTTCTTTTTTTTTCTTTTTTCTTTTTTTTCAGACAGAGTCTCTCTCTGTCACCCAGGCTGCTGGAGTGCAATGGCACGATTTCGGCTCCCTGCATCCTCCGCCTCCCAGGCTTAATCAATTCTCGTGCCTCAGCGCCCGAGTACCTGGGATTACAGGCATGCACCACCATGCCAGGCTAATTTTGTATTTTTAGTAGAGACTGGGTTTCTCCATGTTGGCCAGGATGGCCTTGAAATCCTGACCTCAAGGGATCCGCCTGCCTCGGCCTCCCAAAGTGCTGGGTTTACAGGTGTGAGCCACCGCACCCAGCCTAATTTTGCCTTCTTGTGTAGTTCTTTTTTTTTTTTTTGAGATGGAGTTTCGCTCTTGTTGCCCAGGCTGGAGTGCAATGGTGTGATCTCAGCTCACAGCAACGTCCGTCTCCCCGAGTTCAAGGGATTCTCCTGCCTCAGCCTTCCAAAGTGTTGGGATTACAGGCATGAGCCACTGCACTGGCCAAAAAAAAAAAATGTTGAGAAGCTCCTGAGGATCAAACAAATTGGGGACCAGTCCCAGCTTTTTATGGTGAGGCTGGGAAGACTGAGGCCAAGGGAGGAAAACAGGTGGCATGAGTGTGGGCCCGGCAGGACTTAATTTCCTGACTCCTGGTCATGATGCTGTTTCCTATTTCTTGGAAAAAGAAAGTACTAGATGTACCAGGCGAGGTGGCTCATACCTGTAATCCCAGCACTTTGGGAGGCTGAGGTGGGCAGATCACTTGAGGTCAGGAGTTCGAGACCAGCCTGGCTGACATGGTGAAACCCCGTCTCTACTAAAAATACAAAAATTAGTCAGGTGTGGTGGCGGGTGCCTGTAATCCCAGCTACTCGAGAGGCTGAGGTGGGAGAATCGCCTGAACCCGGGAGGTGGAGGTTGCAGTGAGCTGAGATCGCACCACTGCACTCCAGCCTGGGCAACAGAGCAAGACTCCATCTCAAAAGAAAAAAAAAAAAAAAAAAGAAAAGAAAATACTTGATGGAAGGCTGCCATCACCATGCTGCAAAATCTCCACGCCCCTGCTGCCCGCACCTGTCCTTCCTCCCTCCCTCCTCCCCTGGCCTGGGGAAGCCCCTTCCCTGAAGTCCAGATTCCATTCCTTCCGTCATCTCAGGGACCTCTTTCCCTCCATCTGCACATCTATCTGTCTTCCATGTTCAGCTGCTCCTTCCCAATCAGATTTTTCGGTTCCTAAGCAAGCTCTCGTCTTTCCCATTAAAGCAAACAGTGGCCAGGAGTAGTGGCTCATGCCTGTAATCCCAACACTTCCGGAAGCAAAGGCAGGAGGATCGCTTGAGACCAAGAGCTCAAGACCAGCCTGGGCAACATAGGGAGACCCCATCTCTATAAAAAATTAGAAACATAGCCGGGCATGATGGTGCGCACTGGGCTGTAGTCAGTTACTTGCAAGGCTGAGGTGGGAGGATGACTTGAGCCTGGGAGGTTGAGCCTGCAGTGAGCTATGATTGTGCCACTGCACTCCAGCCTGGGTGACAGAGAGAGACCCTGTTTTAGGGGAAAAAAAAAGAACGATGATGAGTTATTGCCACCCACCTATGAGAATGGTTGAAAAAAAAATAGTTGGTGATATCAAATGCTAGTGAGGATATGGAGAAACTGGGTTCCTCACACATTGCTGATGGGAATGTAAAATGGTCCAGATACTCTGAAATATAGTCTGACAGTGTCTTAAAAATCTAAATGTACATTCACCATATGAACTAGCAATTGTACTCCTGGGCATTTATCCAAGAGAAATGAAAACTTACATCTTCACAAAAAAAACCAGTATGTGAATGCTCATAGCAGTTTTATTTGTAATAGCCAAAAACAGGAAGCATTCAAAATTTCCTTTAGCTGGGTGAGGTGGCGTGTGCCTGTAGTCTCAGCTACCCAGGAGGCTGTGGCAGGAGGATCACTTGAGCCCAGGAATTTGAGACCATCCTGGGAAACACAGTGAGACTCCAACTCTACAAAAATAAAATAATTAGCCAGGCATGGTGATTCTTGTGGACCCAGCTACACGAGAGGCTGAGGTGGGAGGATCACTTGAGCCCAAGAAGTTGAGGCTGCAGTGAGCTGTGCTTGCGTCACTGCACTCCAGCCTGGGGGACAGAGTGAGACTCTGTCTCAAAAAAAAAAAAAAAGAAAAGAAAAAGATAAAAAAGGAATAACTGTTGATGTATGCAACAATTTGGATGGATCCCAAGGGCATTATAATGAGTAAAAAAAGCTAGTCTTAAAGCTCACACATTGTATGATTCCGTTTATAAAACATCTTCAAAATGATGAAATTGCACAGGTGAAAAACAGATTAGTAATGTTTAGGTTTAAGGATTGTGGAGGGCAAGAGTGGGTGTGATTACAAAGAGGTAGTACAAAGGGGTATTTATGATGATGAAATAGTTTTGTATCTTAATTGTATATGATAAAATAACAGAACTATACACACACCTTGTATCATGTCATGTTCTTGGTTTTGGTATTATAATTTTATGGAAGATGTAAACATTGCTGGGCGCAGTGGCTCACGCCTATAATCCCAGCACTTTGGGAGGTCGAGGCAGGCAGATCACCTGAGGTCGGGAGTTTGAGACCAGCCTGACCAACATGGAGAAACCCCATCTCTACTAAAAATACAAAATTAGCCAGGGGTGGTGGCGCATGCCTGTAATCCCAGCTACTCGGGAGGCTGACGCAGGAGAATCGCTTGAACCCGGGAGGCGGAAGTTGCAGTGAGCTGAGATCGCGCCATTGCACTCCAGCCTGGGCAACAAGAGCAAAACTCCGTCTCAGAAAGAAAAAAAAAAAAGATGTAAACATTGAGGAAGCTAGGGTGAAGGGTAACCACACATCCCTATACATTCCTTTCTTTTCTTTTCTTTCTTCTTTGTCTTCTTCTTCTTCTTCTTTTTTTTTTTTTTTGAGACGGAGTCTTTCTCTGTTGCCCAGGCTGGAGTGCAATGATGTGATCTCGGTTCACTGCAACCTGTGCCTCCTGGGTTCAAACGATTCTCCTCCTTCAGCCTCCCAAGTAGCTGGGACTACAGGCGCGTGCCACTGCGCCCAGCTAATTGTTCTATTTTTAGTAGAGACGGGGTTTCATCATGTTGGCCAGGCTGGTCTTGAACTCCTGACCTCATGGCCTCCCCAACTCGGCCTCCCAAAGTGCTGGGATTACAGGTGTGAGCCGCTGTGCCTGGCCTCTTCTTTTTTTGAGACAGGGTCTTGCTTTGTTGCCCAGTATGGAGTGAAATGCTGTGATCACAACTTACTGCAGCCTCAACCTCTTGGGCTCAAGCGATCCTTCCGCCTCAGCCTCTCAGCTTCCTGCGTAGCTGGGACTACAGGCGCATGCCACCACAACTTGCTAATTTCTGTATTTTTTTTTAGTAGAGTCAGGGTTTTGCCATGTTGGCCAGGCTAGTCTCAAACTCTTCAGCTCAAGCAATCCTCCCACCTTGGCTTCCCAAAGTGCTGGGATTACAGGCTTGAGCCACCATGCCCAGCCACCACTTCCTGTGAATCTATAATGATTTCAAAATAAAACTTTTTTTTAAAAAAAAGCCTCAATTGATTTACAACAACAAAACAGACTAATATTTTAATTTTATTTATTCATTTATTTTTTGAGACAAGTTCTCCCTGTTGCCCAGGGTGGAGTGTAGTGGCGTGATCATAGCTCATTGCAGTTGCGAACTCTGAGGTTGAAGTAATCCTCCCACCTCAGTTCCCCGAGTAGCTGGGACTACAGGCGTGCGCCACCATGCCCAGCTAATTATTGTATTTTTTGAAGAGACAAAGTCTCACTATGTTGCCCAGGCTGGCTTCAAACTCTTGGGCTGAAGCAATCCTCCTGCCTCAGCCTCCCAAAGTGCTGGGATTATAGGCATGAGCCACCTCATCTGGCCCATGCTGATTTTTCTTTCTTTCCTTCTTCTTCTTTTTTTTTTTTTTTTGAGACAGAGTCTTCCTCTGTCACCCAGGCTGGAGTGCAGTGGCGTGATCTCAGCTCGCTGCAACCTCCACCTCCTGGGTTCAAGTGATTCTCATGCCTCAGCCTCCCAAGTAGCTGGGATTACAGGTGTGTGCCACCACACCTGGCTAATTTTTGTACTTTTAGTAGAGATGTGGTTTTGCCATGTTGCCCAGGCTGGTCTTGAACTCCTGGCCTCAAGCGGTCCGCCTGCCTTAGCGTCCCAAAGTGCTGGGATTACAGGTGTGAGCCACTGCACCCAGCCCCATATTAATATTTGTATTTGAAAGCAAAAAATTTTAGTACCTCTCTAAGTCACCACCTCAAGGTGTGATAAATGGATTCTGACAAGTGGTTTTTCCTGACATGAGAAGCTGCAGGTGCCTAGGCGGTTGGTTCACTGATTTTCCTCCTCAAAGACCCTTTGGGAGCAGCCTGGCATGACTGGAGAGTGGGAAAATCTGCCTATGGTCTGTAAATGGATTCTCTCTGAGTTTGCCTATTACGGAATGTGTGCTTCTTCAACGCTTCCGCTCCTGGGAGGTCAGTAACACTCAAGTGCTGATGATTCCATTTAGGACAGTTAGGAAAAGACCTTCTCATGCAGGAACAGACTCTGCTTCTACCCCTTCCCTTTCCCCTTCCCCTTCCCCTCCTCCTCCTCCTTTTTTTTTTTTTTTTTTTTTTTGAGACGGAGTCTTGCTCTGTCACCCAGGCTGGAGTGCAATGCTGTGATCTCGGCTCACCGCCCCACCTGCGCCTCCTGAGTTCAAGTGATTCTTCTGCCTCAGCCTCCCAAGTAGCTGGCACTACAGATGCAAGATGAGTGCCACAGTAACCAGCACAACTCCAAATCTTATGCAGCCATGGTACATTTGTCAAAACTGAGAAATTAACATTGGCACATTAATATTAACCAAACTACAGATTTTATTTCAATGAGTATTACCAGTTTTCTCACTAATGTCCTTTTTCTGTTCCAGGAGCCAATCCAGGATACCACATTGCATTTAGTAAGCACATTTTACAATTACGATATAGGCATTAAAAGGTCTGGAACGAGGCCCAGCGCGGTGGCTCATGCCTGTAATCCCAGCACTTTGGAAGGCCGAGGTGGGCGGATCACGTGAGGTCAGGAATTCAAGACCAGCCTGGCCAACATGGTGAAACCCTGTCTCTGCTAAATTAGCCAGGTGTGGTGGCACATGCCTGTAGTCCCAGCTACTTGGGAAGCTGAGGCAGGAGAATCCTTGGAACCCGGGGAGCGGAGGTTTCAGTGAGCCGAGATCGCGCCACTGCACTTCAGCCTGGCGATAGAGTGAGACTCCGTCTCAAAAAAAAAAAAAAAGGTCTGGAATGATTCAGCACAAACTATTAACTATGACAACTATGACAACTGTTACCAATGGCTGGGGGTGGCGGGAGTGGATTTGATTCTTATTTTAGATTTTATTTTATTTTTTATTTATTTATTTTTTTTGAGACAGAGTCTCGCTTTGTCACCCAGGCTGGAGTGCAGTGGCACAGTCTCGGCTCACTGCAACCTCTGCCTCCCAGGTTCACGCCATTCTCCTGCCTCAGCCTCCCAAGTAGCTGGGACTACAGGCATCCGCCACCACAACCGGCTAATTATTTTTGTATTTTTAGTAGAGATGGGGTTTCACCATGTTAGCCAGGATGGTCTTGATCTCCTGACCTCGTGATCCACCCGCCTCGGCCTCCCAAAGTGCTGCAATTACAGGCATGAGCCACCACACCCGGCCTAGATTTTATTTTGTAGGTGATTTTAAACACTCTATAATAAAAAGCAGGCTAGGGCTAGCCGCAGTGGCTCATGCCTGTAATCCCAGCACTTTGGGAGGCTGAGGCAGGCGGATCACTTGAGGTCAGGATTTCAAGACCAGCCTGGCCAACATGGTGAAACCCCGTCTCTACTAAAAATACAAAAATTAGCCGGGTGTGGTGTTGCACACCTATAATCCCAGCTACTCAGGAGGCTGAGGCATGAGAATCGCTTGAACCTGGGAGGCAGATGTTGCAGTGAGCCGAGATTGCACCATTGCACTCCAGCCTGGGCAACAACAGCAAAACTCCGTCTCAAAAAAAAAGAAAGCAGACTGGGTGCAGTGGCTCAGCCTGTAATCCCAGCACTTTGGGAGGCTGAGGCAGGAGGATAGCTTGAGCCCAGGAGTTGAAGACCAGCCTGGGCAACATGGTGAAACTCTGGCTCTACAAAAAAATACAAAAATTAACCAAGTATGGTGGCGCACACCTATAGTCCTAGCCACTCAGGAGGCTGAGGTGGGGGCATTGCTTGAGCCCTGGAAGTCGAGGCTGCAGTGAGCCATGATTGCCCCACTGCATACCAACCTGGGGGACAGTGAGACCCTGTCTCAACAAAATAAAAAGCCAAAATATTGTACAAAATATTTATTTTCCTTAGCTACAGTCAGGGTCACATGCGAGGTGAAACAGGCTATAAATTTTATATATTAGTCAGGCAGGTGGCTCATGTCTGTAATCCTAGCACTTTGGGAGGCTGAGGCAAGAGGATTGCTTGAGCTCAGGAGTTTGAGACCAGCCTGGGCAAGATAGTAAAACTCTGTCTCTACAAAAAAATAGCTGGGTGTACTGGCATGCACCTGTAGTCCCAACTACTCAAGAGGCTGAGATGGGAGAGTCGCTTAAGCCTGCGAGACACAGGCTTCAGTGAGCCAAGATCATGCCATTGCACTCCAGCCTGGGAAACAGAGCAGGATGCTGTCTCTCTCTCTCTCTCTCTCTCTATATATATATACATATACATACATATATACACACATACATATATATACACACATATATACACACATACATATATATACACATACATATGTATACATACATATATATACACATACATATGTATACATACATATATATATATATATATATATATATATAATTTGGCATTTAATGATGAGGTAGTGAAAAGCATCCCCATATACTCCAGAGACCCTTTCCTTTCATATCCCTTTCAGTTTTTGTTTGTTTGTTTGTTTTTGAGATGGAGTTTCACTCTTTTTGCCCAGGCTGGAGTGTAATGGTGCGATCTCGGCTCACCCCAACCTCCGCCTCCCAGGTTCACGCGATTCTCCTGCCGCAGCCTCCCAAGTAGCTGGGATTACAGGCATGCACCACCATGCCCGGCTAATTTGTTGTATTTTCAGTAAAGACAGGGTTTCTCCGTGTTGGTCAGGCTGGTCTTGAACTCCCAACCTCAGGCTATCGGCCCACCTCAGCCTCCCAAAGTACTGGGATTACAGGCGTGAGCCACCGTGCCCGGCCTCATATCCCTAACTTTCATTGCATCCCTTACTGTGCAAAAAATGGGCTAAATCTCAGCCCACTGAGGTCCTTCCAGCTAAAGTCTGGAAACAGAATTAATGAATTCTGGCTGTAGAATTAATGATCATCACTATGTATGTATATGTGTCTGGCACATTCTCAAATTTGTGATTCCTCTTATTTTCCATCACACGCCAGGTATTTTGTCTTCCCAGGTTGACACGTAGAAAGAAAAGTACTATTTATTCTTTTATTCTTTTTTTTTTTTTCGAGACAAGATCTCACTCTTGTCTCCCTGGCTAGAGTGCAGTGGTGTGATCATAGTTCATTGCAGCCTTGAACTCCTGGACTCAAGTGATCCTCCCACCTCAGCCTCCCTAGTAGCTGGGACTACAGGCACACACCACCACACCTGGCTAATTTTACTTTATTTCTTGCAGAGATGGGGTCTTGCTATGTTGCCCAGGCTGGGCTGGAACTCCTGGACTCAATTGATCCTCCCAGCTCCACCTCCCAAAGCACTGGGATTACAGGCATGAGCCACCATGTCTGGCCTTTAATAGTGCTTTCTTTCTTTCTTTCTTTTTTTTTTTTTTTGAGACACAATCTCACTCTGTTGCCCAGGCTGGAGTACAATGACACAATCTCGGCTCACTGCAATCTCCGCCTCCCGGGTTCAAGCGGGTCTCCTGCCTCAGCCTCCCAAGTATTTGGGACTACAGGCACGTAGTCACCACACCTGGCTAATTTTTTGTGTTTTTAGCGGAGACAGGATTTCGCCATGTTGCCCAGGCTGCTGACCTCAGGTGATCCACCCGCCTTGGCCTCCCAAAGTGCTTGGATTATAGATGTGAGCCACTTTGCCTGGCGAATAGTGCTATTTTTTTAAAACACCTACTGAATATCTGAGTGAGTCCATAAAGTCCTTAAGATGGCCAAAATATCGCTTTGGGTGGCTGAGGCAGGCAGATCACTTGAGGTCAGGAGATCGAGACCAGCCTGGCCAACGTGGTGAAACACCTTCTCTACTAAAAATGCAAAAATTAGCCAGGCATGGTGGCACGCACCTGTAATCCCAGCTACTCAGGAGGCTGAGGCAGAAGAATCGCTTGAACCTGAAAGGCGGAGGTTGCAGTGAGCCAGGATAGCACCACTGTACTCCAGCCTGGGCCACGGAGCGAGATTTCATCTCAAAAAAAAAAAAAAAAAAAAAAAAGGCTGGGCACAGTGGCTCACACCTATAATCCCAGCACTTTGGGAGGCCAAGGCGGGCAGATCACGAGGTCAGGCGGTCGAGACCATCCCAGCTAACACGGTAAAACTCCATCTCTACTAAAAATACAAAAAATTAGCCGGGCGTGGTGGCAGGCGCCTATAGTCCCAGCTACTTGGGAAGCTGAGGCAGGAGAATGGCGTGAACCCGGGAGGCGGAGCTTGCAATGAGCGGAGATCGCGCCACTGCACTCCAGCCTGGGCCACAGAGGGAGACTCTGTCTCAGAAAACAAAAGGCCAAAATAATAACACATCTTTGCATTGGAGTTATTTTTTGGATATAGCTCCCCCAATGTACACATTGGGTGTTGTTAACTCAAACAGAAAGTATCAGAGAGACTCTTGAATCTTGGTTTGGTTCCTCATTGGCTGTGCAAACTTGAGCAAGTTCCTTAACTTCTCTGAGTGCTTATTCCCTCAGCTGTAAAATGGAGCAAATAGTGCCTTCCTAGATGAGTGTCAGGATTAAGGGACTCAGTCTAGTCCCTGCCGTATTGAGAATAAGCAATAAATGGTCATTATTGTTATAATAATTTTGGTCATTATTTATGAAAGTGGTCTAAAAAGTCACTTTTTCTTTATGATTTGTGCATTATTTTTGGAGGGTAGGGTCTTATTTAGCAAATATTTTCCAGCTCACTCTGCCCTGAAGATCATATTTTCTTCTCAAAGTTTTAGTTTTGTTCTTTCCCATTCAGATCTTTAATCTATCTAGAATTCATTTTTATGTGGGAAGTGAAATCCAGTTTTTCCCCAGATGGATAATAATTGACACAGCTCCTTTTCTTGAAGAGTCCATCTGTTTCCTCCGTCCGGTATCATGTTTCCACATATGCACGTGGCTGTTTCTAGGCTCTCTCATCTATTCCACTGTTTCTTTTCTGTCCTAACAGCAATGTGTCTTAATTACCATAGCTCTATAATATGTTTTTATATCTGTTAGGGTGTGTGTCTCATGATGTTCTTTTTCTTTCTCCCTTCCTTCCTTCTTTCTTTCTTTTTCTTTCTTTCTTTTCTCTCTCTCTCTCTTTCTTTCTTTCTTTCTTTCGTTCTCTTTCTCTCTCTCTCCCTTCCTTCCTCCCTCCCTCTCCCTCTATCTCTTTCTTTCTTTCTCTTTTTCTTTCTTTTTTCCCCCTCCCCTCCTCCTCCTCCTCCTCCTCCCCCTCCTCCCTTTCTTCTTTTTTTGAGACAGACTCTCACTCTGTCGCCAGGCTGGAGTGCAGTGGCGCAATCTTGGCTCACTCACTGCAACTTCCGCCTCCCAGGTTCAAGCGATTCTCCTGCCTCAGCCTCCCCAGTAGCTGGGATTACAGGCGCGCGACACCACGCCCAGCTAATTTTGGTATTTTTAGTAGAGATGGGGTTTCTCCATGTTGGCCAGGCTGGTCTCAAACTCCTGACTTCAAGTGATCCTCCTGCCTCGGCCTCCCAAAGTGCTGGGATTACAGGCATTAGCCACCACACCCAGCCTCTTCTTTCTCTTCCTCCTCCCCCTCCTCCCCTTCCTCTTCCCCTTCCTATTCCTCTTCCTCTTCTTCCCTCCTCCTCCACCTCCTCCTTCTTCTTCATAGAGATAAAGTCTCACTATGTTGCCCAGCTGTTCCCAAACTCCTGGCCTCAAGAAATCCTCCTGCTTCGGCCTCCCAAAATCGTGTGCTGGGATTATAGGTGTGAGCCACCACACTCACACCAGATGTTCTTTTTCTGCAAAAACCTTGGCTTTTTGATCCTTAGCTCTTCCATATAAATTTTAGAATCAGTTTACTAAGCTCTGCCCACATACAGCTAAAACATGTTGGGATCTTGATAGAAATTACAGATTAATTTTGGGAGAATTGAAATAGTGATGATATTGCATTTCCCATCCATGAACATGGAATACCTCTGTAAATTTAGACATTCTTTACTCTGACTGCCAATACAGTTTTGTTAATTTTTCCTCAAAGATCTTACATATCTTTTTTTGTCTGTTTTATACCTAGGAACTTCATATTTTGTTTTAGCAATTGCTTTTGGAACTTGGTTAACAGCATCGTCTTCTGTCTCACTTGAATCTGACACAGAGAGTTTTTTATGTTTTTGGTTATTTTTTGTTTTACTTTTTATTTTGAAATTAAACTGATGAAAGTTGCACAGATAACACTAAGAAACCTGTTTACCTTTTACCCAGGTTCAGCCAATATAAAGATTGATACATATCCTCCCTCTCTCCCTGTATCTCTTTATATTTATGTCTATATATAACATATATATACACATACATATATATTTCCACGTGTGTGTGTGTGTGTGTGTGTGTCTCCACTTTTTTTTTTTTTTAGTGAGACTAAGTCTCAGTCTGTCACCCAAGCTGGAGAGCAGTGGCACAATCTCAGCTCACTGCAACCTCCACCTCCCAGGTTCAAGTGATTCTCTTGCCTCAGCCTCCTGAGTAGCTGGGATTATAGGCGTGTGCCACCACGTCAGCTAATTTTTTGTATTTTTAGTAGAGATGGGGTTTCACCATATTGGCCAGGCTGGTCTTAAACTCCTGACCTCGTGATCTGCTCGTCTCAGCCTCCCAAAGTGCTGGGATGACAGGCGTGAGCCACTGCGCCCCGCCATTTCCACATTTTTTTGAGATGAGGTCTCACTCTATTGCCCAGGCTGGAATGCAGTAGCATGATCATGACTCACTGAAGCTTAGAACTCCCAGGCTCAAGCAACCCAAGTAGCTAGGTTCCCAAGTAGCTAGGACTACAGCTTCCCAAGTAGCTAGGACTACAGGTGTGTGCCAACATGCCTGACTAATTTCTTTGATTTTGTAGAGATGGGGCCTCACTGTATTGTCCAGGCTGGTCTCGAACTCCTGGGCTCAAGCAATCCTCCCACCTTAGCCTCCCAAAGTGCTGAGATTACAGATGTGAGCCATTATGCCTGGCAGATTTTTAATTTTTTAAAATTATATATATATACACACACATATATATGTATAATTTTTTTTTTTTTTGAGATGGAGTCTCGCCCAGGCTGGAGTGCAGTGGCGCAATCTCGGCTCACTGCAACATCTGCTTCCCAGGTTTAAGCAATTCTCCCACCTCAGCCTCCTGAGTAGCTGGGACTACAGGCATGAGCCACCATGCCCAGCTAATGCCATTAGTTTTTGTATTCTTCCTCCTCTCTTGCAGGAATTTCACCCAGGGACAGCATAGAGTAGGCCATTGGTAAATGCTGTACCTGTCAGTCCTTCATCATCTCCTGATAGGACCCTTGCAGTAGACTTTTGTTGTTGTTGTTTTGTTTTGAGACAGAGTGTTGCTCTGTTACCCAGGCTGGAGTACAGCGGCGTGATCTTGGCTCACTACAACCTCCACCTCCTGGGTTCAAGCGATTCTCCCGCCTCAGCCTCCCAAGTAGCTGGGATTACAGGCATGTGCCACCACACCAGGCTAATTTTGTATTTTTAGTAGAGACGGGGTTTCTCCATATTGGCTTAGGCTGGTCTCGATCTCCTGACCTCAGGTGATCCGCCCACCTCGGCCTCCCAAAATGCTGGGATTACAGACATGAGCCACTACGCCCGGCCAATACTATTCCTTTCATGGCCTCTTTTTCCCACAGGGCTAAGTCCAGCATCTCAGCCTGGCACCCACAGGGTTCTGCCCCGCCCACCTCCCCGGCCTCCTAAATTGCTACTCTCACTCCCAGGGACCTGAGGCTTCACCAGGTTACCTACCCCAACCATGGGTCCTCAGGCCCTCAGTGCAATAGAAATTGACATGAGGTGGCCAGGCGCGGTGGCTCACGCCTATAATCCCAGCACTTTGGGAGGCTGAGGCAGGCGGATCACCTGAGGTCAGGAGTTCCAGACCAGCCTGACCAACATGGTGGAACCCTGTCTTTACTAAAAATACAAAAAGTAGCTGGGCTTGGTGGCAGGCGCCTGTAATCCCAGCTACTCAGGAGGCTGAGGGAGGAGAATTGCTTGAATCCAGGAGGAGGAGGTTGCAGTGAGCTGAGATCGCGCCACTGCACTCCAGCCTGGGCGACAGAGCAAGATTCCGTCTCAAAAAAAAAAAAAAGAAAGAAAAGAAATTAACATGAGGGCCAGGCACAGTGGCTCACACCTGTAATCCCAGCACTTTGGGAGGCCGAGGAGGGAGAATCACTTGAGGTCCAGAGTTCGAGACCAGCCTGGCCAACATGGTGAAACCCCGTCTTTACTAAAAATACAAAAGTTAGCCGGGCATGGTGACGGGTGCCTGTAATCCCAGCTACTCGGGAGGCTGAGGTGGAGAATCACTTGAACCCAGGAGGCGGAGGTTGCAGTGAGTCGAGATAGCACCACTGCACTCCAGCCTGGGCGACAGAATGAGATCCTGTCTCAAAAGAAAGAAAGAGAGAGAGAGAGAGAGAGAAAGAAAGAAAGAAAGAAAGAAAGAAAGAAAGAAAGAAAGAAAGAAAGAAAGAAAGAAAAGAAATTGACAGGAGGCTAAACGAGTTTTCCTAGACAAAGCTTCATTGGAGCTTATGCCCAGACATAAAGGAGGCAGCATGAGAGAGAGAGGGAGAGAGAGGGAAAGAGAGAGGGAGAGAGAGGGAAAGAGAGAGAGAGAGGGAAAGAGAGAGAGAGAGGGAAAGATATAGAGATTTTTCTATCTGACTCTCCAAAAAGAGCCAGGAGGGCTTTTTTATTAGGCAAAGCATGGGAATTTACATCAGGGATAGGGCATGCCGGCTGTGCTGGGCAAAGCACGTGAAGGTATGCAGGTTGGCATTATCTGGTTGCCATGGTTATCTTGAGTTATGGGCCACCTGGTAGTCTGGCTGGTGGCAACAAGGCTGTCAATCAGTTCAGCATTCCTTCCTGAGGTGGGACACTCCACAACCTTGGTTTGATATTTGAATCTCCTAAGGTCAGTTCCTGGGATTCTCTTAAGTAATAGGCATGTTTCCACATGATGATGTCAGTGAAATCGTGGTATGGGTCTGGTGATCACTGGGAATGCAGGAAAGAATGCAGTGGTTGGGCCAGGTGTGGTGGCTCATGTCTGTAATCCCAGCACTTTGGGAGACTGAGGTGGGCGGATCCCTTGTGGTGAGGAGCTGGGCATGGTGGAACAAGCCTGTAATCCCAGTTACTCGGGAGAGTAAGGCAGAAGAATTGCTTGAACCTGGGAGGCGGAGGCTGCAGTGAGCTGAGATTGCACCACTACACTCCAGCCTGGGCAACAGAGTGAGATTGTCTCAAAAAAAAAAAAGAATGCCCTGGTCGGGGTGAGCTGAAGCCAAGCCCCGCTTCTGCTGTGTCTCAGTATGAACTCCGGGGGATTCACCCAGGAATGAAGAACGCAGGGCCCCTTCTCCACCTCTCTTCACACAGCTGCCTCTGCCTGAACTGACCTACCCCCCGGCCTCCCATAAAATAAGGCAGAGACCCATGAAATTCCTCCTGTCTCCTAATTGATACCGCCTCCTTTTTCTCACACTTGGAATGAGCTCCTTATGTCTCAGATCTAATCCCCCTGACTCTTCAATCAAGGGCTTTCTCCTGTGTCCCCCACAGACCTGGGACAGCTCCCTTGCCGGGCTGCGAGCTTCCTAAGGGCAGGGCCAGCAGGGGATCGGAGGGAAGCTGTGATACATTGTGGTGCACCAGGCAGGCAGCACACTCTTTGCAAACTTTTACATGAATACACATGGGGATTTACAAGCTAAAAACTTTCAAGTGGGCTGGGGCGGGCGCGGTGGCTCACACCTGTCATCCCAGCACTTTGGGAGGCTGAGGCAGGAGGATCACTGGAGGTCAGGACTTCAAGACCAGCCTGCCCAACATAGTGAAACCCTGTCTCTACCAAAAATACAAAAATTAGCCAGGCGCGGTGGCGCATGCCTTCCTGTAATCCCAGCTATTTGGGAGTCTGAGGCAGGAGAATCACTTGAACCTGGCTGAGAAGTGGAGGATGCAGTGAAACGAGATCATACCACTGCACTCCAGCCTGGACAACAGAGTGAGACTCTGTCTCAAAACAAAACAAAACACAACAAAAACAAACAAACCACAAACACACACACACACAGCAAAAAAAAACTTTAATGTGGATACACGTGGGGGATTTCCAAGCTAAAAACCAAATTCTGCTGTGGTCATGCTGGGGTGAAGGCTGAGAGTTTGCAGTTCTAACAAGCTCCCAGGTGTTACTGATGCTTCTGGATGGAGACCACTTTATGCAACAAGGGCCCAGCTGGCTAGGGAAGGGAGGCAGCTGAGAAGCTGAGAGCCCAGGTGGCAGCAGCCAGCATCCCACGGGTATAAGATGGCCAGAGGCGGCTGCCTGCTGCTCTGCAGGTACCATGGAGCTGAGCTATAGGCTCTTCATCTGCCTCCTGCTCTGGGGTAGTACTGAGCTGTGCTACCCCCAACCCCTCTGGCTCTTGCAGGGTGGAGCCAGCCATCCTGAGACGTCCGTACAGCCCGTACTGGTGGAGTGTCAGGAGGCCACTCTGATGGTCATGGTCAGCAAAGACCTTTTTGGCACCGGGAAGCTCATCAGGGCTGCTGACCTCACCTTGGGCCCAGAGGCCTGTGAGCCTCTGGTCTCCATGGACACAGAAGATGTGGTCAGGTTTGAGGTTGGACTCCACGAGTGTGGCAACAGCATGCAGGTAAGAGAGGCTGGGGGCCCTGGCTTTGGTGGGAGGATGTTCGAGGCAGCCGGGTATGGGGACTGTGGCCACCATCGGTGGGAGGTGGGGTTGGGTGGATCCCTCTCACTTGTAGGTGGGGAGGTGGCCCAGTTGAGGCCTGAAGCTGGCACTGAGGTCACCGGACCCAGGGCAGCTCCTGCCTCTGATGCCCGACATTGGGTCGATGGGGTGGAGCCAGAGGTGGCCGTGCACTTCAGGCTGGCCCAAGCCACGCCACTCTCTCTCAGGTGGGTTTGTGACACACACAGGCCTGCGTGATAGGATAGCCCTGTGGGTAGCCTAAGGGGCTGTTTCTAAGGCTGGGGGCATTAGGAACTCATCCTGAAGAGACCCAAAGTATACATTATCTTAAAAACAACAAGTGGGCCGGGTGCAGTGGCTCATGCCTGTAGTCCCAGCACTATGGGAGGCCAAG
The DNA here is from genome assembly GCF_000001405.40 of Homo sapiens. Lineage (NCBI taxonomy): Eukaryota > Metazoa > Chordata > Mammalia > Primates > Hominidae > Homo > Homo sapiens. Next base: position 76,425,734 of record NC_000007.14, read on the forward strand.
ACTGGAGGATCACTTGAGGCCAGGAGTTTGAGGCCAGCCTGGGCAACATAGTGAGACCCCATCTCTTAAGCCTTTAAAAAAACTAACTGGGGCCTGGTGTGGTGGCTCACGCCTGTAATTCCAGCACTTTGGGAGGCTGAGGAGTTTGAGACCAGCCTGGCCAACATGGTGAAACCCCATCTCTACTAATAATACAAAAATTAGCCAGGCATGGTGGTGCGTGTCTGTAATCCCAGCTACTCAGGAGGCTGAGGCAGGAGAATCGCTTGAACCCAGGAGGCAAAGGTTGCAGTGAGCTGAGATTGTGCCACTGCACTCCAGCCTAGGCAACAGAGCGAGACTCTGGCTCAAAAAAAAAAAAAAAATTCCACATAGATAAGTGGTATGGGGGCGGGGGCATCATAACCTTGGTGTTAAAGACCTTAAAAGCATCAGTGGGTCCCTGGGGGCAGCTCCAAGGGGGAGAGGCTTAACCTGTGGTACATGCAGGAAAAGACCAAGAAATCCAGGCCAGACCTCCCTTTCCCTAGCCAGTGGGGAAAGAGGCTGCAAGGAGAGGCCTTACGGCAGGGCAGGGCTGGGCACACAGCTCCCCAGCTAAACCCTGATCCCTGGACCAAGTTCCTGTGGTCCCATGGAGGGCCTGTCCTCTCCCGCCTCAGGGGAACCTGGCTCCTCCTCACCTGGGCCTAGACCCAGTAGCTTGCCTGGGATGGGGGCAAGTCCAGCCCCTGGAGCCCTCCGGCCAGAGCTCTGGTCTTAACTGTGGTCTCCTGGGCTCTCTTTGAGGACTCGAGGCCCTTGTTTTCCTGGGGAGGGAGGCCAGAGAGCTGCAGGAGTTACTTGAGGAATTATTCCAGTTTAGAGGCTCACAAACATGTCTTAGATTTACTTGGGGAGCCAGGTGCCTGGCTCCCCCCCCTTCTGTGAAATGGGCTTTAATAGGTTAGAAGCTGATAAGTGGTATTTTTTTGTTGTTGTTTTTGTTTTTTGAGACAGTTTTGCTCTTATTGCCCAGGCTGGAGTGCAATGGCGCCTATAATCCCAGCACTTTGGGAGGCTGAGATGGGAGGATCACTTGGGCCCGGGAGTTTAAGGCCACCCTGGGCAACATAATGAGACCCCCTTCTCTACCAAACACCACACACACACACACACACACACACACACACACAATAGGGTGTGGTGGCGCCTGCCTTTAGTCTCAGCTACTTGGGAGGCTGAAGTGGGAGGATTGCTTAAACCCATGATTTGGAGGCTGCAGTGAGCTACGATTGTGCCACTGCATTCCAGCCTGGAAGGCAGAGCAAGACCCTCTTTTATTAACCCCACCTGTGGAGCTTCTAAAAATCCTGATGTCCAGGCTGCTAAAATAGAAAGGATGTGGGACCAGCTGTGGGTAATAAGGATCTCAGGTGACTCCAATGAGGAGCAAAGCCTGCAAACTCCTTCCTCTGGTGTGGTGTTTCCCAGTTTTGCCCGGTGAGAATCACCTGCGGCTGGCCGTGCGCAGTGGCTCACGCCTGTAATCCCAGCACTTTGGGAGGCCGAGGCGGGTGAATCACGAGGTCAGGAGTTCAAGACCAGCCTGGCCACGATGGTGAAACCTCATCTCTACTAAAAATACAAAGAAGTTAGCCGGGTGTGGTGGCGGGCACCTGTAATCCCAGCTACTCAGGAGTCTGAGGCAGAGAATTGCTTGAACCCGGGAGGCGTAGGTTGCAGTGAGTTGAGATCGTGCCACTGCACTCCAGCCTGGGCAACAGAGTGAGACTCCGTCTCAAAAAAAAAAAAAAAAAAAATACAGCCATGGCCAGTTTCCCAGGTATACAACCTGTGCAGTTCTGTGGGGCCCAGTGCTTAATGGAATGCCCTCTTGCCCTGAAATGGTAATAACTTTTGAATAAGGGGCCCCACGAGCTATGCTGGTTCTGTCTGTGCTGGGGCACTTGCTAATAAGGTCTAGGACTATTCCCTGAAGATCGAGTTTGGTCAGGGCCAGGCAGCCACCTGAGCTCTTGGGCAACTTCGACCTCCTAGGCTCAAGCCATCCTCCTGCCTCAGCCTCCTGAATAGCTGGGATGGACTACAGGCACATGCCACCGTGCCCAGCCAAGTTATGTTTTTGTAGAGATGGGGTCTAGCTCTATTGCCCAGGCTGGTCGTGACTTCCTGGCCTCAAGCAATCCTCTTCCCTCCCAAAGTGCTGGGATTACAGGCATGAGCCACTGCACCCAGCCCTCAAGTAGTTTTTAAATAAGCTCCCTGAGATGAGAGGTGGGGATAGTGAGCTTAGAATAGGTGGTTGGGGGTTGAGTCATGGTGGCTCACACCTGTAATCCAGCACTTTGGGAGGCTGAGGCAGGTGGATCACCTGAGGCCAGGAGTTCGAGACCAGCCTGGCTAACATGGCGAAACCCTGTCTCTATTTAAAAAAAAAAAAAAAAGGCACGGTGGCACGTGCCTGTAATTCCAGCTACTCAGAGGCTGAAGCAGAGAATTGCTTGAACCTGGGAGGCGGAGGTTGCAGTGAGCCGAGTTCGTGCCACTGCACTCCAGCCTGGGTGACAGAGCAAGACTGCATCTCAAAAAAACAAAAGGTGGTTAGGAAGTGACTAAAGTAGGGGTTTCCAGTGCTGGCTCTATGCTAATCACCTGGAAAGGTTGTAAAAATACTGATTCTCAAGAGAATCTCATACCTTCACTCTACTGGGGTAGGGCCTAGCGTCACATTTTTCTAATATTCTAGCAAAATCTTCGAACTTAGGTGTTTGCTATAAAACTCTCTCCCAGGCAGGCCCTGCCTTCTGCAGCCCTATTGGACGATGCAAATTTCCCCAGTAGTACTCACCTGTGCTCTTCCTGCCTCAGGCAACCTCTGAATCAGTCTCCCCCACCTTATGTGAAATGGGCTTGAATAGGTTAGAAGCTGATGTGGGTTGTTGTGTTTTTTGTTTGTTTTTGTTTTTGAGAGTTTTGCTCTTGTTGCCCAGGCTAGAATGCAATGGCACGATCTCCGCTCACTGCAACCTCTGCCTCCCGGGTTCAAGCGATTCTTCTGCCTCAGTCTCCCGAGTAGCTGGGATTACAGGCACGTGCCACCACACTCAGCTAATTTTTTTTTTTTAAGTAGAGATGGGGTTTCACCATGTTGGTCAGGCTGGTCTCAAACTCCTGACCTCAGATGATCTGCCCTCCTCAGCCTCCCAAAGTGCTGGGATTACGGGCGTGAGCCACAGCGCCCAGCCAGAAGCTGATAAGTGTTAACAGCTGGGCACTTCCTGACTGCTTCCTGGCGGCTATCTTGGCCCTGGGCCTCTCCTGAAAGAGGAAACTGTATGTACTGGGGGGCATGGAGGGGGAGTGTCAGAAGGGATGTGTCATGTGCCCTGATGCCTCTATTGCTTGGGTGTTACATGGTATCTGCCATGTGGTTGATCCAGTCTGCCTGTGGTGGTGTCAATATGTGGTGTCAGGTAAAGATTCCGAGGTACAAAGACAGTACCTGTCCTGCCTCTTTCCTGACCAGTGGCAGAGCCTGTGTTCTCTTTTGTAGAGATGGGGTCTTGCTATGTTTCCCAGGCCAGTCTCAAACTCCTGGCCTCAAGCAATCCTTGGCCTCCCAAAGTGCTGGGGTTACAGGCATGAGTCACTGCACCTGGCCTTGACCCTGTGGTCTTTCTGTCCCCTTGTGGGCTGCCCTCCCTGAGCACTCAGGTATGGCTTGGGAGTACCCGGGCAGGTGATGGCCGGCAGCATTAACTTCTCACCTTTCCTCCAGGTAACTGACGATGCCCTGGTGTACAGCACCTTCCTGCTCCATGACCCCCGCCCCGTGGGAAACCTGTCCATCGTGAGGACTAACCGCGCAGAGATTCCCATCGAGTGCCGCTACCCCAGGTCGGTGTGGGACTGACTCATGGCCCCTGGTGCAAAAGCCCCTTGGGTGTGGCTGCAGGCAAGTGGGCTGGCTATGGGCTACAGCTTGCAGCATGGCTATTAGAACTACCTACCGAAGCATTTGCAGCTGTGGTTACTGTACTGCGTGGGATTGTGGGGCCTGCTGAGTCTAGTTCGAGCCCCAGAAGAGTATCAGGAGCCCAACTGCAGCTTAGCGGAAGCTTCAGAGCTGCTCAGCCCTGGTGGTGGTACTATGCCAGCCTCGGCCCTTAGGGTTCAGAAATGGCCTTCCAATAGTGCTAGGCTGGGGCCAGGTGCAGTGGCTCATCCTGTAATCCTAGCACTTTGGGAGGCTGACAGGTGGATCGCTTGAGGTCAAGGAGTTCAAGACCAGTCTGGCCTACATGGTGAAACCCCATCTCTACTAAAAACACAGAAATTAGCCGGGTGTCTATAATCCCAGCTACTTGGGAGGCTGAGGCAGGAGAATTGCTTGAACCCAGGAGGCAGAGGCTGCAGTGAGCCGAGATTGCACTGCTGTACTCCATTCTGGGCAACAAAGCGATACTCCATCGCAAAAAATAATAATAAAATAGTGCTAGGCTGCGTTCTAGAATCTGACCTGGGCGGTGGTGGCCTACTCTTCTGTGGTCCTCAAGCCCCTGGCATCAAGCACGTGCCTGTGAACTCAGGCCCTGAAGTGGGAGGAGAAACTATGGCTCCCAAGGACAACACTGGGTCCTGTGCTGGCCTCAGCATGGGGTGCAGGGGACTTTGTCCCTGCCCTTGAACCAGTCTGGGAGTGGGTATAAGATGATGCGGCCAGGTATGGTGGCTCACGCCTGTAATACCAGCCCTTTGGGAGGCCAAGGTGGGCAGCTCACGAGGTAAGGAGTTCAGGACCAGCCTGGCCAACATGGTGAAACCCATCTCTACTAAAAACACAAAAAAATTAGCCGAGTGTGGTAGCGCGTGCCTGTAATCTCAGCTACTCAGGAGGCTGAGGCAGGAGAATCATTTGAACCCAGGATGCAGAGGTTGCAGTGAGCTGAGATGGCACCATTGCACTCCAGCCTGGGCAACAGAGCAAGACTCCATCTCAAAAAGAAAATGCTAGTGTGAAGTGGGTAGGGAGCTGATACCAGTCAGGACATCATGAGGGATGAGCCATGCCCCTGGGAGGGGTCATGGTAGGGGTTATCCTAGAACAGGATCCTGGAGTGGGGGACCTTGAGGCTGAGATGGCCTGGGCAGAGCCATGTGGCCACACACCCAACGGGAGGGTAGTGTGCCCTTAGTAGGTGACATGCAGCCTGGGGGCTGGAGCCCAGGGACTGGGGTAATGAGGGAGCCAGACAGATGGGCTCACCAGCCTCACCACAGGTGCCCCTCCTGGAATGGGTGAGGACTGAATCTCCACCCAGGGTCACCTGGTGGCTGGTGCTGAAGACAAATGGGAACTAGTGAGAACCAGCTGGGAGGCTGGAAAACTGGGATTCAATGAGGCCTGACCCATGGTTGCAGGGACCGTAGAGGCTGACTCGCAGGAGCTAAGAGCAGTTGGAGGAGCTTGGTGCCTATGTGGGTAGGGGAGATGGAGGAGGATAGAGGAGTCAAGGGCAGGCTGCCCAGTCGGCATGAGGGACTGAAGCTGTCCTGTGACCGTGGAAGTCTGACTTCAGTCTCTGGGCCTGACCCCTGAGGATGGTGGCTCACCTGGTCCATTGGCTGTAGGTAGTATTAGAGAGGCTGGTTGTAGGCTGGGATGCTTTAACCTGGCTCCAGATACCTGAGTCTGGTTATCAATAGATGCATCCATCACTTGGAGTAGCTTCTTCCAGCAGATCCTATGGGGTTAGCAGGGTAGGTATCTGCAGATACCCAGACCTGCTTCCATGGACTTCCCAGTCACTGGTGTGGGTCCAGGCTCTCGGTAGCATCTCAAGACCTAAGGGCCTGTCTTTGATCTCTAAAGGATGGCCTTGGCTGGGCATGGTGGCTCACGCCTATAATCCCAGCACTTTGGGAGGCCGAGGCGGGCGGATCATGAGGTCAGGAGATGGAGACCATCCTGGCTAACGTGGTGAAACCCCGTCTCTACTAAAAATACAAAAAATTAGCCAGGCCTAGTGGCGGGTGCCTGTAGTCCCAGCTATTTGGGAGGCTGAGGCAGGAGAATGGCGTGAACCTGGGTGGTGGAGCTTGCAGTGAGCCGAGATCGTGCCACTGTACTCCAGCCTGGGAGACAAAGTGAGACTCCGTCTCAAAAAAAAAAAAAAAAGATGGCCTTAGCTGATTCCCCTCTCAAGCATCCTGTGGAGTACTGTGCAGGGCCTGCTATCAGACCCCAAACCTGAACCTCTAGGGCTAAAGTATGTGTGGTGGCTTTTGGTTTTTTGTTTAAAAAAAAAAAGTCTTACTCTGCCGCCCAGGCTGGAGTGCAGTGGGGTGCCATCATAGTTCACTGCAGCCTTGACCTCCTGGGCTCAAGCAATCCTCCCATCTCAGCCTCCTGAGTAGCTGGTATGTACTACTATGCCCAGCTATCTTTTCTTTTCTTTTCTTTTTTTTTTGAGATGGAGTCTTGCTCTGTTGCCCAGGCTGGAGTGCAGTGGTGTGATCTCAGCTCACTGCAAACTCCACCTCCGAGGTTCACGCCATTCTCCTGCCTCAGCCTCCCAAGTAGCTGGGACTAAAGGCGCCCGCCACCATGCCCGGATAATTTTATTTTTAGTGGAGATGGGGTTTCACCATGTTAGCCAGGATGGTCTCGATCTCCTGACCTCATGATCCGCCCGCCTCGGCCTCTCAAACTGCTGGGATTATAGGCTTGAGCCACCGTGCCTGGCCTCTTTTCTTTTTTATAGAGATAGAGTCTTGCTATGTTGTCCAGGCTGCTCTCAAACTCCTAGCCTCAGGCAATCCTCCAGTCTCCACCTCCCAAAGTGCTGGGATTACAGGCATGAGCCACCGCACTCAGGTCCAGGGCTCAAGAGGGAGCAGATCTCAGTCTAGAAACCAAACTCCTAGGTTCAGCTGTATCTGTCTTCAGCGGCCCAGATAGCATCATAGCATCAGTTAGGATGGCTAGGCCACTCACAGGTGCAGAAGTTCAGGAGGGTGCAGGGGCAGCCTCAGGCTCAAGGTGTCTGTTCAGCCATCTCGCACCAGCTACCTGGCTGGGCCATAGCTGAGGACCCTGTAGTGGGGTAGCAGTGAGATACTCCCCATCAGTGGGGGCCCAGGTGGGTGTGACCTGAGGCAGGTGTGCACAGCTGCTGTTCTTCTCTCAGGCAGGGCAATGTGAGCAGCCAGGCCATCCTGCCCACCTGGTTGCCCTTCAGGACCACGGTGTTCTCAGAGGAGAAGCTGACTTTCTCTCTGCGTCTGATGGAGGGTAAGAGAAGAAGGCTGGGTGGGACATCTGTGGAAAGACCTGGGCCATCTCAGACCCCTGCCCTTGGCTGTGTCTTTTTTTTGTTTGTTTGGTTTTGGTTTTGGTTGGTTTTGGTTGGTTTTGGTTGGTTTTGGTTGGTTTTTGAGACAGTCTTGATCTGACCTCCAGGCTGGAGTGCAGTGGCACGATCTCAGCTCACTGCAGTCTCCACCTCCTGGGGTTCAAACGATTCTCCTGCCTCAGCCTCCCGAGTAACTGGGACTACAGGCTTCTGACACCACACCCAGCTAACTTTTCTATTTTTAGTAGAGATGGGGTTTTGCCACGTTGGCTAGGCTGGTCTCGAACTCCTGACCTCAGGTGATCCACCTGCCTCAGCCTCCCAAGGTGCTGGGATTACAGGCATGAGCCACCATGCCCAGCTGACTGTGTCTTTCAGAGAACTGGAACGCTGAGAAGAGGTCCCCCACCTTCCACCTGGGAGATGCAGCCCACCTCCAGGCAGAAATCCACACTGGCAGCCACGTGCCACTGCGGTTGTTTGTGGACCACTGCGTGGCCACACCGACACCAGACCAGAATGCCTCCCCTTATCACACCATCGTGGACTTCCATGGGTGAGCACTGGGCTCCCTGCCTAGAGAACCTTCCTAGCAAAATGACCCTAAAGCCACCTGTTTGGCTTTTTGAGACAGTGTCACTCTGTAACCCAGGCTGGAATACAGAGGCTTGATCTCTGCCCTCTGCAACCTCTGCCTCCCAGGTTTAAGTGATTCTCCTGCCTCAGCCCCCCAAGTAGCTGAGATTACAGGTGCCCATCACCATGCCTGGCTAATTTTTGTATTTTTAGTAGAGACAAGGTTTCACCATGTTTGCCAGGCTAGTCTCGAACTCCTGACCTCAAGTGATCCACCCACCTTGGCCTCCCAAAGTGCTGGGATTATGGGCGTGAGCCACGGTGCCCGGCCCACCTGTCTGGCTTTAATACCGTTCTGTTTTCTTCCAAGCTGTCTTGTCGACGGTCTCACTGATGCCTCTTCTGCATTCAAAGTTCCTCGACCCGGGCCAGATACACTCCAGTTCACAGTGGATGTCTTCCACTTTGCTAATGACTCCAGAAACATGGTAAGAGCTTTAACAGCCTGAAAGAAGGCTGAACTTGCAACCTTCATATCCTACTGAATGGGGTCACTCACTAGCTCCACCCCTAAGCAAATGACTTAGAGCTGTGTCCCAGTAACTCAAACTTACAAGTAAAGCCATGAGCTTTAGCGAGGCCTTCAAGCAGAAGGATGAACAATATGAAGCCTTAAGAGGTAGAGGCCGGGCACGGTGGCTCATGCTTGTAATCCCAATACTTTGGGAGGCCGAGGGGGGTGGATCACTTGAGGTCAGGAGTTCAAGACCAGCCTGGCCAACATAGTAAAACCCCGACTCTACTAAATATACAAAAAAAATTAGCTGAGTGTGGTGGTTGGGTACCTGTAATCCCAGCTACCTGGGAGGCTGAAGCAGGAGAATAGCTTGAACCTGGGAGGCAGAGGTTGCAGTGAGCAGAGATTGTGCCACTGCACCTCCAGCCTGAGTGACAGTGAGACTCCATCTCCAAAAAAAAAAAAAAAGGCAGGTGTTAGCCTTCCTGGAGGCTTTCTGCAGGGGCAAAGAAAACCAGTGTGAACTTCGTAGCCAGGGTGGCTTCTTGAACTTGGTCATAGGTTAGGCTAGTGATTCTGAAGGCATCATCCTCAGCTGGAGGGCTTGTTGAAATTGATGACTGGGCCCCAACCCAGGGTTTGATTCAGGTGGTCTAGTGAAGCCTAGAATCTGCATTCTTAAGTGTTGGTTCTGCCAGTCTGGGTCCTCCCCTTGAGAACCTAAACTAGAAAACTCAAATTGACACTAAGAGGGAAGGAGAAGGAAGGAATGAAGATGGGAACTGCCTAATGGCTGAGGTGGGGGAGGGATGCAGTAGGAAGTGCAGGTGCAAGGACCAACATCTAGCCGGGAAGTACTGGTAAGTGGTTAGAAGTAAATTGCCTGGTGCGGTGGCTCGTGCCCATAATCCCAGCACTTTGGGAGGCTGAGGCGGGCAGATCACGAGGTCAGGAGATTGAGACCATCCTGGTTAACACGGTGAAACCCCCTCTACTAAAAATACAAAAAATTAGCTGGGCATGATGGTGGGCACCTGTAGTCCCAGCCACTCCAGGTTCCCAGGTGCAAGTGATTCTCCTGCCTCAGTCTCCCAAGTAGCTGGGAGTACAGGTACCCGCCACCATGCCTGGCTAATTTTTTTGTATTTCTAGTAGAGACAAGGTTTTACCATGTTGTCCAGGCTGGTCCCAAACTCCTGACCTCAGGTGATCCGCCTGCCTCGGTCTCCCAAAGTGCTGGAATTACAGGCGTGAGCCACCATGCCCAGCCTCAAGTAGCTTTTAAACAAGCTCACTGAGATGAGAGGTGAGGCGGTGAGCTTAGAATAGGTGGTTAGGAAGTGATTAAAGTAGGGGTTTCCAGTGCTGGCTCTATACTAATCATCTGGAGAGGTTGTAAAAATACTGATTGTAGAGAGTCTCATACCTTCACTCTATTGGGGTAGGGCATGGTGTCACATTTTGTAACATTAACTAAATCTTCATAGGTGTTTGCTGTAAAACTCCATGAACTTCAGTGTGCACACCATCTAGGTTCTACCACCAGCATTTTTTTTTTTTTTTTGAGACAGTCTCACTCTGTCACCCAAGCTGGAATGCAATGGTGCGGTCTTGGCTCACTGCAACCTCTGCCTCCGGGTGCAAGCAATTCTGCCTCAGCCTCCTGAGTAGCTGGGATTGTAGGCGCCTGCCACCATGCCCGGCTAATCCTTGTATTTCTTAGTAGAGACAGGGATTCATCATTTTGGCCAGGCTGGTCTTGAACTCTTGACCTCATTATCCAACCGCCTCAGCTTCCCAAAGTGCTGGGATTATAGGCATGAACCACCACGCGCCCCCCGCCCCCTTTTTTTTTTTTTTTTTTTTTTTTTTTTTTTTTTTTTTTTTTTTTGAGAGGGTCTCTGTCACCCAGGCTGGAGTACAGTGGCCCAATCTTAGGTCACTGCAACTTCCACCTCCCAGGCTCAAGCGATTCTCCTGCCTTAGCCTCCCAAGTAGCTGAGATTGTAGGCATACGCCACTACTGAGTGCCTGTTATATTTTTAGTAGAGATGGTTTCACCATATTGGCCAGGCTGGTCTTGAATACCCGACCTCAAACGATCCACCTGCCTTGGCCTCCCAAAGTGCTGGGATTACAGGCGTGAGCCACTGTACCCGGCCTGCTAGCATTTTACTGTTATCCTCCATCTACTGACCTACCTTATTCTACTTGGAAATGCATCAAAAGCCACTTAAGCTCCTAGGTGACTCTAATACGCAGCCAGGCTTGCAAACCTCTGAAGCAGAGGCTCATACGTCAGGGTGGCATTAAGGGACAAAGTAGAAACTTTTCAAAGATGACATCGATGCCACTTCACCTCCTCCAGCAGCTGCCTTGTGGGAAGAGAAAGATCAACACACAGATCAGTAGGGTAGCAAAAGGGAAAAGCATCTAATATTGATGAGATGGCCTGAAGCTCTCAGTGGTGGGCCCTGCTTCAGTGGGGCTGGGGATAAAGGAGGGCAGATTTGGGAAAAGAGTCCTGGCCCTCGGATCAGTGACCGATAGCTCCTTAGGGGAGAGGATCCTGGTTGTGGGAGGAAGTCAAGATTGACCTCAGGTGTGGCCATTTGGGAAGAAGATGGAGAGAAGTTTTCACAGAGGTGGTAGCGGTCAGCATGGGTATGGACTGAGGTGGTTTCTCAATCTCTGGGGGTTGAGGGGTAACTAAGACCAGAGAACAGTGCTGTTTAATGGAAGATAGTCTGAGCCCTTGGAGGGCCCCCCTTCAAAGGTAGGATTGATGATGCCTCAGTAGACTATGTCCCATGGCACAAAGAAGGAACAACCCTATTTCAGAGCAATAGGGTGGCTGGGCACGGTGGTTCACATCTGTAATCCCAGCACCTTGGGAGGCCGAGGTGGGAGGATCAGAGTTCAGGTGTTTAAGGCTGCAGTGAGCTATGATGGTGCTATTGCCCTCAACAGAGCAAGACCCTGTGTACTTTTTTTTTTTTTTTTTTTTTTTGGACAGAGTCTCGCTCTGTCACCCAGGCTGGAATGCAATGGCATGATCTCGGTTCACTGCAACCTCCACCTCCTTATTCAAGCCATTCTCCTGCCTCAGCCTCCCTAATAGTTGGAATTATAGGCACTCAATCACCACGCCTGGCTAATTTTTGAATATTTAGTAGAGATGGGGTTTCACTATGTTGGTCAGGCTGGTCTTAAACTCCTGACCTCAGGTGATCCACCTGCCTCAGCAAGTGCTGGGATTACAGGCATGAGCTATCACACTCCCCTCTTTTTTTTTTTTTTTTTGTTTTTTTTTGGGGGGAAATGGAGTGTCACTCTTGTTGCCCAGGCTAGAGTGCAATGGCGTAATCTCAGCTCACTGCAACTTCCCATCTCCCAGGTTCAAGCAATTCTTCCATTCCAGCCTCCCAAGTAGCTGGGATTATAGGCACCTGCCACCATGCCCAGCTAATTTCTGTATTTTTTTTTTTTTTTTTAGTAGAGATGGGGTTTCACCATGTTGGCCAGGCTGGTCTCAAACTCCTGACCTCAGGTGATCCACTGACCTCAGCCTCCCAAAGTGCTGGGATTACAGGCATGAGCCACCACGCCCAGCCTAGACCCTGCTTCTAAAAGGCCGCTATAGGGGAACTGCCCTGGGATCTTAGACTCCAGTTAGCACCAGAAAAACATACTAGGAAAAAGCTAAGGATGAAAGTACATTTCCTTTGTGGAATAGACAACAGGGCCTTGGAAGCTTCTTACTTGCAGGGCAGGTGGCTAAGATGGGCAGCTGGACAACTGCTAAACTGGCTTGTTTCTAAAAGTCTGAATTTACATGGTTTCAAGTTTCTCTGCTGGTGTACTTGGCCACTAGGTGGTGACTGAGGCTTGTGGCTCTGAGGCTTCTGCTGGAAGGTGGCAGAATTGCCATGCTCTGCCCGAGGTTGAGCAGGGAGGAATTTTAGCCCTGCCTGAAATATGAAGGGAAACTGACCTGGGGACGGGCCAAGGCTAGACTGAGCCCTGGCTCTGTCAGAATGGCCCCTAGCCCCAGCAGCAGGATGGAATGTCAGTCTAAAATGAGAAGGCTTGGCCAGGTACGGTGGCTCATGCCAATAATCCCAGCACTTTGTGAGGCCAAGGCAGGTGGATCACTTGAGGCCAGGAGTTCAAGACAAGCCTGGCCAACATGGGGAAACCCCATCTCTACTACAAATACAAAAACTAGCCTGGTGTGGTGGTGGGTACCCGTAATCCCATCTACTTGGGAGGCTGAGGCAAGAGAATCGCTTAAACCTCGGAGGTAGTGGCTACAGTGTACTCCAGCCTGGACTAGAGACAGACTCCGTCTCAGAAAAAAAAAAAAAAAAAAAGGGTAGCGGGGCAGTGCTTACAGGGTAGTTGACTATTCCCTGGGTGGTGGGGGGTCTTTCAGCTCCCAGCAGGAGCTCATATTGGGTTCATTCCCTCGTACTTGTCTAACGAGGGTGGGTAAACGTTTCCCAGAGGCCAGGACTGTCAGGGTATCAGCCTGGTGAGTCTTCTGGTCGTCATATCCCTTACAGGTGAAGGGAGACTGACGTAGGCTTGACTAATAGCAGAGGTATGTGCAAGGAAGAAAAGCCCAGGGAAGCTTGCCCAAAGAGTGAGCCATCAAACTCAAGTCTGGCCGGGCGCAGTGGCTCACGCCTGTAATCCCAGCACTTTGGGAGGCCAAGGCAGGTGGATCACAAGGTCAGGAGTTCAAGACCAGCCTGGCCAAGATGGTGAAACCCTGTCTCTACTAAAAATACAAAAAAATTAGCGAGGCATTATGGCAAGTGCCTGTAATCCCAGCTACTTGGGAGGCTGAGGCAGGAGAATTGCTTGAACCTAGGAGGCAGAGGTTGCAGTGAGCTGAGATCGTGCCATTGCACTCCAGCCTAGGCAACAGCAAGACTCCACCTCAAAAAAAAAAAAAAAAAAAACCTCTTAAGTCTGAAATGGAAACTCCACAGAAGCAAGTCCAAAAGGCTTCTTTATGTGCCCAAGGACCTCAGGTCCCAGAAACAACTTGGTCTTGCCTTAGCTGGCAATACAGTGACTACATCCCTGAAGAAAAGTAGCTTGTCAACTAGTCAAGTGGCAGGTGGCAGCGTCAGAAGCCCAGCTAAGCTGCTAGCTATTAAGGTGTCTACCACTCACCTCGGTCACCTGGGGATGGGCGCGGGTTTAGCAATGCTGAGTTAAGCCCAGGACTGGCCAGGCACGGATAGCTGGCACCTGTAATCCCAGTACTTTGGGAGGCTGAGGCGGACAGATCACTTGAGCCCAGGAGTTTGAGGCCAGCTTGGGCAACATGGCAAAACCTCATCTCTGCAAAAAATCCAAAATTAGCCAGGTGTAGTGGCTTGTACCCGTAATTCCAGCTGCTCATGAGGCTGAGGTGGGAGGATCCCTTGAGCCCAGGAGGTCAAGGCTATAGTGAGGCATCATCATACCACTGTACTCCAGCCTGGGTGACAGGCCCTGTCTCAGAAGCCCAGGGTCAAGCATGCTCAATGATTGGGTAAGTTTGGAAAAGATCAGGGGAATAAGTGGTGGATTCCAGTCTAAAACTAGTTGCTACTTGCTCTAACATTGGGTAAGTGAACCTTTACACCATCTTAGAGATGAGGCTCTTCCTTCCCCCTGTTTATTTTATGAGACAGTCTCACTCTGTCAGCCAGGCTGGGGTGCAGTGGCATGATCTCGGCTCACTGCAACTTCTGCCTCCCAGGTTCCAGTGATTCTCCTGCCTCAGCCTTCCAGGTAGCTGGGACTACAGGTACCCACCACCACGCCCAGCTAACTTTGTATTTTTAGTAGCGATGGGGTTTCACCATGTTGGCCAGGTTGGTCTCGAACTCCTGACCTCAGGTGATCTACCCGCCTTGGGCTCCCAAAGTGCTGGGATTATAGGTGTGTGCCAATGCACCCGGCCCCTTCTCACTCTTTAAAGGGTTGAGGGTTATAAGAGAACTGGTGTGTTAAACTCCCAGGCACAGCCTGGAACTCGGCCTGGAAATAGCTGTTATTCCTTGCAGATATACATCACCTGCCACCTGAAGGTCACCCTAGCTGAGCAGGACCCAGATGAACTCAACAAGGCCTGTTCCTTCAGCAAGCCTTCCAACAGGTGAGGAGGACAGGTGCTCCGTGACTGGAGTAGAAACTGAATCGGCGACCCCTTGTCTATTTCCCCCAATATATTATCAGCAAACTGCTTCCTGCAGGCAACAAAAATCTAAGCTGCTTCTCTTTCATCTCAGCTGGTTCCCAGTGGAAGGCTCGGCTGACATCTGTCAATGCTGTAACAAAGGTGACTGTGGCACTCCAAGCCATTCCAGGAGGCAGCCTCATGTCATGAGCCAGTGGTCCAGGTCTGCTTCCCGTAACCGCAGGCATGGTATGTCACAGAATGGCCAAGAGGCTGTTCATTGTCCCTTACTCAGTTGAGGGTACCTGCTGTCATTTCAGGGTGATGGTATTTTCCCTTGTCCTCCATTAAAACTGTTTGTACCTAGGCCTGCAGCTACCTTTCCCTAACACAAATCTTGGGGTTAAGCAGGAGGGGCTCTCAGCCTTCCACCTCGGTGGCAGCCAGGGAGATCTGCTGTCATCCTAGGCTTCTACTGAGACATAATTAGGCATGTAGGGGAAATATAGCAGTTGTTAAGATAATCTGGCTTGGCATAGTGGCTCAGGCCTGTAATCCCAGCACTTCGGGAGGCCAAGGCGGGCAGGTCACCTGAGGTCAGGAGTTCGAGACCAGCCTGACCAACATGGAGAAACCCCATCTCTACTAAAAATAAAAAATTAGCTGGGCGTGGTGGTACATGCCTGTAATCCCAGCTACTTGGGAGGCTGAGGCAGGAGAATCACTTGAATCTGGGAGGCAGAGGTTGCAGTGAGCCGAGATTGCACCATTGTACTCCAGCCTGGGCAACAAGAGTAAAACTGTCTCTCAAAAAAAAAATAATAATCTGGCCAGAACAGTGGGTTGTGCCTATAATCCTAGCACTTGGGGAGGCTGAGGCCAGGGAAATCGCTTGAGCCCCATGAGTTCTCGACCAGCCTGGGCAACATAGCAAGACCCTGTCTCTACAAAAAAGATGATGTACTAGGGAATCCCTCTTGGGTGACCTGCTTTCTCCGTATGAGAAAGCTGTCTTTTTCTTTTTTCTTCCCCCTCCCCTGCACCAAGATGGTGTCTAGCTCTGTCCTCCAGGCTGGAGAGCAATGGCACGATCTCTGCTCACTGAAACCTCTACCTCCCAGGTTCAAGCTATTCTCCTGCCTCAGCCTCCCAAGTAGCTGAGACTACAGGCATGTGCCACCATGCCCAGTTAACTTTTTTATTTTCAGTAGAGACGGGTCTTGCCGTGTTGGCCAGGCTGGTCTCAAACACCTGACCTCAGGTGATCTGCCTGCCTCAGCCTCCCAAAGTGCTGGGATTACAGGCATTAGCCATCACACCTGGCCGAGAAAGCTGTGTTTTTTTTGTCTAGAAACTGTTTATTAGCCCACACAAAAAAGACAACATATTAGTTTAGCCCACTGAGGCAGAATAAAACCTCCAACCCAGTTCCCGGTTAGGGACTAAGATAACCCTTGGTTGTGTGTTCTCCTTTCACAGTGACAGAAGAAGCAGATGTCACCGTGGGGCCACTGATCTTCCTGGACAGGAGGGGTGACCATGAAGTAGAGCAGTGGGCTTTGCCTTCTGACACCTCAGTGGTGCTGCTGGGCGTAGGCCTGGCTGTGGTGGTGTCCCTGACTCTGACTGCTGTTATCCTGGTTCTCACCAGGAGGTGTCGCACTGCCTCCCACCCTGTGTCTGCTTCCGAATAAAAGAAGAAAGCAATATCTGGTCGTGGTGTGGTGGTCAGATGGAAGGTCAGAATTAGTACTGACTGTGTCGGGTGGGGACGACTGTATACCACCCGCCCCGTGCACTCACATAGCATAGTCCAGCAAGCACTACTGTGTCTCTACTGTAAACAGGGCAGGGTTCATGTCCTTAGACAACTATAATCTATCACCTCCATGGGAACCAACATGGAAACTCTTAGATGAAGGTCAGTCTGGCTGGACCCACCTTACTTCTAGGCTAGCAAAGAATCTTATATCTCTGGCCCCCATGGATTTGACTCTAGACATGGGAGTGGGGAGGAGAGAGCTTCCAGGCCCACTTCTCCAAGGCAAGCAGGCAGGCAGCTCTGTCCAGATGCTAGAGGCCAGAAGGCCAGTCATGACTGGGCCCTCCCAGTAGGGCAGTGATCAGAGCACTGCTTCTGCCTGGTCTTAGCTGTCACCTTGGGCTTGAAGCTATTCTTGGGACATGTTGGTATGAACTTGTCAAAGCTGCAGCAAGGGGTGACTGGCACTCCAAGCCATTCCAGGAGGCAGCCTAATGTCATAAGCCGGTGGTCCTGAGGTGGCTCTGAGGTGGGTACTTTTGCTTTGGGGGTAGGAAGCCTCAGGAGAGCTGAGAACCTGCTTTGGTTTTGGTTTTGTTTTGATTTGTCCCTTTTGAGAGAAAGGTCTGGCTGTGTTGCCCAGGCTGGAGTGCAGTAGTATAGTCACAGCTCACTGCAACCTGGAACTCCTGGTCTCCAGCCATCCTCCTGCCTGAGCTTCCTGAGTTGCTGGGACTACAGGCATGAGCCCCACTGTGCCCAATTTATTCTATTTTTGGTAGGAACTGGGTCTTGCTATGTTCCCCAAGCTGGCCTCGAACCCCTGGCCTCACGTGATCTCTCTCCTTGGCCTCCAAAAGCACTGGGATTATAGACATGAGGCCTCACTGTCACTGGGGGGAGCTGCTTCTCAACCTCCCCCTACCTTTATCGCACTCCCTAAATAGGCTGCTTCCCTCCCCCAGGTTTCAGCCATAGTTCCTAGGAGTGAATAAGGGAATTGTGCCCCAAGGAGGGTGCCCAGGGAACTTGTGCCCCCTTTGCTGGGGAAGGTGTTCATGGTACCTCTGTGGGAGGCTTCACATCCCTCAGTAGTTGGCTCCAGCCTTGCCCCAAACTCAAGCCATTCTCACTCGGGGAAGTTCACTTGCGCTGCAGCATCCCAGCCTGGCTGGCTACTTGCTGTGAGCCTGCCAGTCCTCATGGGCAACATGGGGGTGGCACCTACTGAGCAGGATTAGGCATAAACTGATGAAAGCTGAAAGATGCTCAGGTGCAACTGGCATGGTGCTTATCTCTGGCCCTTCTGGCTGAGGGCAGGGGCTCCAGCGTGTTGACTCGGGTATAGACATGTCTATAGTGCATTCAGAGCAAGGTTTGGGTAGCTTTGGACCTACTGAGAGCAGGAAGGCCTTTGATACTCTAAGTGTGGTCTGTGAACGTTGGCATCACCTGAGAATTTGTTAGAAATGTATCATTTAAAGCCCCATCCCAGACCTAGAAATTTGCATCTTAAATCCCAGGGTGGGGTGGGCATGGTGGCTCACGCCTGTAATCCCAGCACTTTGGGAAGCCAAGGCAGGTGGATCACCTGAGGTCAGGAGTTCAAGACAAGCTTGGCTAATATGGTGAAACCCCGTCTCTACTAAAAATACAAAAAATTAGCTGGGCATCGTGGTGGGTGCCTGTAATCCCAGCTAGCTGGGAGGCTGAAGCAGGAGAATTGCCTGAACCCGGGAGAGGCAGAGGTTTCAGGGGGCTGAGATCGCGCCACTGTACTCCAGCCTGGGCAACAGCAAGACTCCATCTCAAAAAAAAAAAAAACAAAAACCCAGGTGATTTGAGTGGTTAAGGGCACTGAGCCAGGGACTTGTGGCACGAAGGGATTGTTCCGGGTGAGCCGCTTGCGGCCTAAGCAGGTTGTGGTGTGATCTGTAGGGGAGTAACAGGCTGGGGTTCAAAAACGCCAGATACAGTGGTTCAGGCCTGTAATGCCAGCACTTTGGGAGACCGAAGTGGGAAGATGGCTTGAGCCTAGGAGCTCAAGACCAGCCTGAGCAACGTGGTGAGACCCCATCTCTACAAAATATAAAAATTAGCCGAGCACAGTGGTACGTGCCTGTAGTCCCAACTGCTTGGGAAGCTGAGGCTGGAGGATCACTTGAGCCCAGGAATTCAAGGCTACAGTGAGCTGTACTCACTGCTCAGGTCCCAGCCTTGCTGCCTCCTGCTGCGCTCTAGCCAGAGTGACAGAGCAAGACCTTCTCAAAAAACAAAATTGCCTAGGGGTTGCAGAGGTAGGCTTCCTGGAGGTGGTGATCCAGAAGCAAATCCTCAACCATGGGGAGGTGGATGTGGTGGCTCACACCTGTAATCTTAGCATTTTGGGAGGCCGAGGCGAGTGGATCACTTGAAACCAGGAGTTCAAGACCAGCCTGGCCAACATAGCAAAACCCCATCTCTACTAAAAATATAAAAATTAGCCAGGTGTGTGGTGGGTGCCTGTAGTCCCAGCCACTGGGGAGGCTGAGGCAGGAGAATCACTTGAACCCAGGAGATGGAGGTTGCAGTGAGCCAAGAGCGTGCCACTGCATTCCAGCCTGGGTGTTGGAGTGAGAATATCTCAAAAAAAAGAGGGGAGAGAAATGGGAGAATCTGTGCCCTGGGGGCATGGAAGGCCTCAGTGCCTAGTAAAGAGTGGGGCTTGGCCTGGAGAGGGAGGCCTCATGGGCCAGATAAGGGAGATACTGGCCCATCTAAGCATGCGTGTGCCGGTAGACTTTCCCTGTCAAGATGATCAACTGGAATGGCAGAGAATGCGGCCTGCAGGCTGGGAGACATCCTTGAAGCCATATCCCCAGGCCCTAGTCCCATCTGCCACTCTTTTTTTTTTTTTGAAACGAGGTCTTGCTATGTTGCCCAGGCTGGACTCCAACTCCTGGGCTCAAGCATTCCTCCTGCCTCAGCCTCCCAAGCAGCCACAAACCACACCTGGCTTCTTCCTGCCACTTCTAGCTTAGCAGGTAACTTCATCTGTAAAAAGGGGATGACGTGATTTCTTGGGGGAATGAGTAGAGCGCTTGGTAGAATCATGGCTCATGCAAGAGGTCTCTGAGCCGGGCGTGGTGGCTCATGTCTGTAATCCCAGCACTTTGGGAGGCTGAGGTGGGCAGATCACGAGGTCAGGAGTTCGAGACCAGCCTGGCCAACATAGTGAAACCCCATCTGTACTAAAAATACAAAAATTAGCCAGGCGTGGTGGCATGTGCCTGTAGTCCCAGCTACTTGGGAGGCTGAGGCAGGAGAATCGCTTGAACCCGGGAGGTGGAGGTTGCAGCGAACCAAGATTGCACCACCCCGGGCAACAGTGCGAGACTCCGTTTCAAAAAAAAAAAAAAAAAAGGTCTCTGGCAAAATGCTCCAGGCTTGGGGTCCGACGGGTACTTCTACCCCTGACAATCTGTTTACTTATCACCATCCTCTTTTCAGATGGGGAAGTTCTTTCCATCAGGATTATAGCAAGGATTGGTCTTCATGGCACACTTGGCATCCAAGCACGTGTTGTTGGAGCTGTTCTATGAGCCAGGAGACATCGGGGAACGGTTCTTGAAATAAACATCCGTCTCTTCCTTGTACTCAAGTTCTTAGGGGTTGCAACTTTCTGAGAGCTTGTCCTTCATTCAACTTCTTTTCTCAGCAGAAAGAGGAAGTGGCTGTGTCAGGGGAGGGGAGGAGTTATGACTAAGATGTGGCCATGAATGTCAGCTCCCTGCCAGCTCCAGATGGGCCTCAGCAGGATAGTTTCCCTGGGCCTTTGCCAGGAGAGACAGCCTCCAGCAGCAATGTCAGAGGGCTCGGCCTGTCTGCCTCCCAGGGGAACTAGACTGGAAATGAAAGGCAGTGGCAAGCCACTGAGGGTTCTCTAGACTCCATTGCTTAATCCTCCTCTTTCCCTAAAGTTTCCAGAAGCTTCCTATTGCATTGGAAAGCCTCTGTAAACCAACACTTTGGGTGTGGGTTTATTTTTTGAGATGGGGTCTCACTCTGTTGCCCAGGCTGGATTGCAGTGGCACCACCATAACTCACTGCAACCTCGACTTCTCTGGTTCAAACCATCCTCCCACCTCAGCCTCCCAAGTAGCTGGGATTACAGGGGCATGCCACCATGCCCAGCTAATTTTATTTTATTTTTTTAGTACAGACGGGGTTTCACCATGTTGGCCAGGCTGGTCTTGAACTCCTGACCTCAAGTGCTCCTCCTGCCTCGGCCTACCAAAATGTTGGGATTACAGGCATGAGCCACCGCGCCCAGCCAGTTCTCATTCTTCACTGGAGATTGTAGCCAGACATTAGAGAAAACTGGAAGAATCTAGAATCTAATCCAGTCTACAGGTAGATAAATAACTCAAACAATGAACATTACTATAATAACAGGTAAACTATCGTTTTTCTATTGAAATATAATTTTTCTCCCTATAGTCACCTTGAACTCTTGACCTCGTGATTCGCCCCCCTCGGCCTCCCAAAGTGCTGGGATTACAGGCGTGAGCCACCGTGCCTGGCCCTCCTTTATTTTATTTATTTTTTTTTTTGGAGACAGAATCTCACTGTCACCCAGGCTGGAATGCAGTGGTGCAATCTCGGCTCACAGCAACTTCCACCTCCCGGGTTCAAGCGATTCTCCTGCCTCAGCCTCCCAAGTAGCTGGGATTCCAGGCACATGCCACCACGCCTGGCTAATTTTTGTATTTTTAGTAGAGACGGCGTTTTGCCATGTTGGCCAGGCTGGTCTCAAACTCCTGATCTCAAGTGATCCGCCTGCCTCGGCCTCCCGGAGTTCTGGGATTACAGGTGTGAGCCACTGTGCCTGGCCAGAGAACAGATTCTTTTTGAATCTATGCAAATAACCATGTTGCTGTAAACATAAGAATAATCGTTATGCAGCCAACAGACACATGAAAAAATGCTCACATCATCACTGGCCATCAGAGAAATGCAAATCAAAACCACAATGAGATACCATCTCACACCAGTTAGAATGGCGATCATTAAAAAGTCAGGAAACAACAGGTGCTGGAGAGGATGTGGAGAACGAGGAACACTTTTACACTGTTGGTGGGACTGTAAACTAGTTCAACCATTGTGGAAGACAGTGTGGCAATTCCTCAGGGATCTAGAACTAGAATTACCATTTGACCCAGCCATCCCATTACTGGGTATATACCCAAAGGATTATAAATCATGCTGCTGTAAAGACACATGCACACGTATGTTTATTGTGGCACTATTCACAATAGCAAAGACTTGGAACCAACCCACATGTCCAACAATGATAGACTGGATTAAGAAAATGTGGCACATATACATCATGGAATACTATGCAGCCATAAAAAAGGGTGAGTTCATGTCCTTTGTAGGGACATGGATGAAACTGGAAACCATCGTTCTCGGCAAACTATCGCAAGGACAAAAAACCAAACACCACATGTTCTCACTTACAGGTGGGAATTGAACAATGAGAACACTTGGACACAGGAAGGGGAACATCACACACCAGGGCCTGTTGTGGGGTGGGGGGAGGGGGGAGGGAAAGCATTAGGAGAGATACCTAATGTAAATGATGAGTTAATGGGTGCAGCACACCAACATGGCACATGTATACATACGTAACAAACCTGCACGTTGTGCACATGTACCCTAGAACTTAAAGTATAATAATAAAAAAAAAAATCATAAATTGCTTCTAAATTCTGGAGGGTTCAGGTAGAGAGGAAAAGCAAATGTTTTCATTTTTGTTTTCAAAAGTACTTTACCAAATTACTATAAATTATACAAAGCTTAAAAGAAAAAAGTTTCCTTAAATCTGGAAAACAATATTAAAAGAACCCACAATGTTTGACATAAAGCAGCCTTAAAAATCCATAATTCAGCTGGGTCTAGTGGCTTGCACCTGTAATCAGCATTTTGGGAGGCTGAGGTGGGAGGATCGGTTGAGCTCAGGAATTCAAGGCTGCTGTGAGCCATGATCACACCACTGCACTTCAGCCTGGGTGACGGAGCCAAGACCCTGCCATCAAAAAAAAAAAAAGATTCAGGCCCGGTTTGGTGGCTCACACCTGTAATCCCAGCACTTTGGGAGGCCTAGGCAGGCGGATCACCTGAGGTCAGAGTTCGAGACCAGCCTGGCCAACATGGTGAAACCCCCATCTCTACTAAAAATACAAAAATGAGGCCGGGCGCAGTGGCTCACACCTGTAATCCCAGCATCCCAGCACTTTGGGAGGCCGAGGCAGGCAGATCACCTGAGGTCGGGAGTTCGAGACCAGCCTGACCAACATGTAGAAACCCTGTCTCTACTGAAAATATAAAATTAGCCATGCGTGGTGGCACATGCCTGTAATCCCAGCTACTAGGGAGGCTGAGGCAGGAGAATTGCTTGAACCTGGGAGGCAGAGGTTGCAGTGAGCCAAGATCTCGCCATTGCACTCCAACCTGGGCAACAAGAATGAAACTCTGTCTCAAAAAAAAAAAAAAAACGAACCGGGCATGGTGGCGAGCGCCTGTAATCCCAGCTACTTGGGAGGCTGAGGCAAAGGAATCTCTTGAACCTGGCAGGCAGAGGTTGTAGTGAGCCGAGATCACGCCATTGCACTCCAGCCTGGGCGACAGAGTGAGGTTCTATCTCAAAAAAAAAAAAAAAAAAGATTAATAATTATTTTTCATCAGTTCATTCAGTCTTGTAATTAATTCTTGCTGTGATCTGTATTAGCAATTTCACAAACCCATCAGTTTCTTCATTCGAGTTTTGGAATTTTTTTTTTTTTTGACAGAGTTTCACTCTTGTTGCCCAGGCTGGAGTGCAACGACAGAATCTCAGCTCACTGCAACCTCCGCCTCCTGGGTTTAAGCGATTCTCCTGCCTCAGACTCCTGAGTAGCTGGGATTACAGGCATATGCTACCACGCCCAGCTAATTTTTTTGTGTTTTTTTTTTTTTTTTTTTTTTTTTTAGTAGAGACGGGTTTTCTCCATGTTGGTCAGGCTGGTCTTGAACTCTCGACCTCAGGTGATCCGCCCACCTCGGCCTCCCAGAGTGCTGGGATTACAGGCTTGAGCCACTGTGCCTGGCTGAGTTTTGGAAATTTAGTTCAATAGTGTGAACTCAAAGTTATTAGAAACCCGTACTTGTCAGACTTCATTCTTTCCATGAAGCTCCTTGAAGACATAACTCTCTGGGATTATAATTGCCTGCAAGAAGCTTTCAGAAAGACATTAGACTAAAGCAATTAAGTGTGGACATGAAGACTTCAAGTGACCATGGCCAAAACCTGGTCTGAGTCCATGGTAATGACGACATAACTGACAAGAATGTTATTTCTGAACCAAAATTGACTGATACCATTTATACCAAGACACATCAGATTTTTAAATATGTTATACAATTTTTCAGTATATTAATAACATATCCATATAAATATACCTCAAGGTGAAATATTTCTTATTTTGCCAATCCTTCTCTTATAATTTATTTTATGTATTTCTTTTTTTTTTTTTTTGAGACGGAGTCTCGCTCTGTCACCCAGGCTGGAGTACAGTGGCGCAATCTCAGCTCACTGCAAGCTCCGCCTCCCAGATTCATGCCATTCTCCTGCCTTAGCCTCCAGAGTAGCTGGGACTACAGGCGCCTGCCACCACGCCCAGCTAATTTTTTGTATTTTTAGTAGAGATGGGGTTTCACCATGTTAGCCAGGATGGTCTCAAACTCCTGACCTCGTGATCCGCCTGCCTCGGCCTCCCAAAGAGCTGGGATTACAGGCATGAGACACCGTGCCTGGCCTTATTTTTTATTTTATTTTTAAAATTTTTAAATTTTTTGTCCGGGTGCAGTGGCTCATTCCTGTAATCCCAGCACTTTGGGAGGCCGAGGTGGGTGGATCACCTGAGGTCGGACTTCAAGACCAGCCTGGCCAACATGGTGAAACCCGGTCTCTACTAAAAGTACAAAAATTAGCCAGGCAGGGTGGCCGGCGCCTGTAATCCCATCTACTCAGGAGGCTGAAGCAGGAGAATCACTTGAACCTGCGAGGCGGAGCTTGCAGTGAGCCGAGATGGTGCCACTGCACTCCAGCCTGGCCCACAAGAGCCAGACTCCGTCTCAAAAAAAAAAAAAAATTAAAAATTTTTTTGTAGATACAGGAGTCTCGATATTTTGCCCAGACTGGTCTCAAACTCCTGGGCTCAAGCAATCGTCCTGCCTTGGCGTCCCTTGGGATTACAGGCATTAGCCACTGTGCCCAGCCTCATATAATTTAATATATCAGATAAGCCCAGTTGGTTTAATATTTCTTTTTTTGCAGATCCTTTGAGAGGTTCAGGGGTCCTCTGGAACATCCTAAAGTTAGTTTGAGGTCAAAAATACTTAATTTTGATTTTTTTTTTTTTTTTGAGATAGGGTCTTACTCTGTCACCCTGGCTGGAGTGCATGGACACAATCATATCTCACTGCACTCTCAAACTCTTGAAGCAAGTGATTGTCCCACCTTAGCCTCCAGAGTAGCTGGGTCTACAGGCATGTGCCACCACGTCCAGCTAATTTTGTTTATTTTTTGTAGAGATGGGATCTTGTTATGTTGCCCAGGTGGGTCTCAAACTCCTGGGCTCAAGCAATCCTCCTGCCTCAGCCTCCCAAAGTGTTGGGAATTCAGGTGTGCGCCACTGTGTCTGCCTTAATTTTGATTTTTGAAAAGTTTGTCAAATATCAAAGTTTTAAAACGCTTGATCAAAGTAGGATCACAAGTCACTGTGAAATAAAACCAAAGTGAGAAAATATTTGAAAGACAGAAAGCACAATAAATACCCTTTTTTTTTGAGAGGGAGTCTTGCTCTGCTGCCCATGCTGGAGTGCAGTGGTGTGATCTCAGCTCACTGCAACCTCTGCCTCATAGGTTCAAGCAATTCTCCTGCCTCAGCCTCCCAAGTAGCTGGGATTACAGGTGCTCGCCACCACACCGGCTAATTTTTGTATTTTAAGGAGAGACAGAGTTTCACCATGTTGGCCAGGCTGGTCTTGAACTCTTGACGTCAGGTGATCTGACTGTCTTGGCCTCCCAAAGTGCTGGGATTACAGGCGTGAGCCACCGTGCCTGGTCAATTTTTTTTTTTTTTTTTTTGAGACGGAGTCTCGCTCTGTCACCCAGGCTGGAGTGCAGTGGTGTGATCTCGGCTCACTGCAAGCTCCACCCCCCGGGTTCACGCCATTCTCCTGCCTCAGCCTCCCGAGTAGCTGGGACTACAGGCGCCTGCCACCACGCCCAGCTAATTTTTTTGTATTTTTAATAGAGACAGGGTTTCACCGTGTTTGCCAGGATGGTCTCGATCTCCTGACCTCATGATCCGCCTGCCTCAGCCTCCCAAAGTGCTGGGATTACAGGCGTGAGCCACCGCGCCCAGCCCTGGCCAATATTCTTGATGAAACAGATTCTCTGTTTCCTAGGCCAGTTACCTAAAAGGTAAAGAAAAATCTTTTACAATTTTCTTGTAAAGGGTAGATCAATGGTCCACAAAAACTCTGTTGTTGCAACATAGGGGCCCAAATTGTGGCCTTGTATCCATCAGTGTGCTTTTGATATTAATGCTCAGTTTTTAGCCTAGGCAACATGGGAAGACCTCACCGCTACTAAAAGTAAAAATTAGCCAGGTGTGGTGGTGCACACCTGTAGTCCTGTCTACTTGGGAGGCTGAAGTGGGAGAATCACTTGAGCCCAGGAGATTAAAGCTACAGTGAGTTATGATCATGCCACTGCACTCCAGCCTGGGTGACAGAGTGAGACCCTGCCTCAAAAAAAGCTTCAATTTTAGGCCGGGCGCAGTGGCTCAGGCCTGTAATCCCAGCACTTTGGGAGGCTGAGGCGGGCAGATGATGAGGTCAGGAGTTCGAGACCAGCCTGACCAACATGGTGAGACCCCCGTCTCTACTAAAAATACAAAAATTAGCCGGGTGTGGTGGCACACACCCGTGATCCCAGCTACTCAGGAGGCCGAGGCAGGAGAATCGCTTGAACCAGGGAGGTGGAAGTTGCAGTGAGTCGAGATCGAGCCACTTCACTCCAGCCTGGGTGACAGAGTGAAACTATCTCAGAAAAAGTAAACAAATAAAATAAATAAAGGAAAAGAAAGTTCAATTTTTAGAAAATCTTATAAATATTTATGGCTTTTTTTTTTTTTGAGATAGAGTTTCCCTCTTGTCACCCAGGCTGGTGTGCAGTGGCATGATCTCGGCTCACTGCAACCTCCACCTCCTGGATTCAAGCGATTCTCCTGCCTCAGCCTTGTGAGTAGCTGGGATTACAGGCGCCTATCACCATGCCCAGCTAACTTTTTGTATTTTTAGTAGAGATGTGGTTTCGCCATGTTGAGCAGGCTGTTCTCGAACTCCTGACCTCAGGTGATCAGCTCACCTCAGCCTCCCAAAGTGCTGGGATTACAGGCATGAGCCACCACGCCTGGCCGAAAATCTTATAAATAATCCCCTTCTAATTTCGGCCAGCTTAATCACACACCAAATTCCTTTCATGAGATTAATCTTCCACAACTTCTACACTTCCTTAAATCTTTGATTTTGTCCTATACTTCTTCTTTTATATTAGCAATGTACTTTAGGACAGAAATTTACTTTCCTTTCCTCTTGATTTTGACCAAAGTCCTCTCTTATGCAAAATGAAAAATTACTCTTTTTTCAACTTTCTTTACCAAAAATACATCCTCATACTTACAACTTTTTTTCACATCTCTCCTACTTACTGGCCTTCTTCCCACCTTGTTTCTATTTCCTTCCTAAATCCATATTTTGAAACAATCTTTAAATAACCCCCAACTTAAACAAAATTGCTCTTGTTTAACAAAAAACTTATCTCAAAAAACCTAGCACGGTCACCAAGCGTGCTTTGCTTTTCTTTCTCTCTCTTTTTTTTTTTTTTGGAGGCGGATTCTCGCTCTGTCAGCCATGCCGGAGTGTAAATGGCGCGATCTTGGCTCACTGCAACCTCCGCCTCCCAGGTTTTGAGAGATTCTCCTGCCTCAGCCTGCTGAGTAGCTGGGATTACAGTTGCGTACCATCACAGCCAGCTAATTTTTGTATTTTTAGTAGAGATGGGGGTTTTGCCCTGTTGGCCAGGCTGGTCTGAAACTCCTGACCTCAGGTGATCCACCCACCTCAGCCTCCCAAAGTGTTGGGATTACAGGCATAAGCCACCGCACCAGGCTTGATCCCTTTTCTTGAACAACTTATATATCCCAAAGCAACACACCAGAATATTCATTTACAATGAGAATGAAACTATCCCCACAGGAGCGACAAGAACTGCATGCTGGGTTCTGGACAGAAATAGAGTTATAATTAAGCATTCATCAGGCTGCATTTTGGCCCACTTCCTTGTTGCTAAAAGTCAGGTGGCACTAGTTCCTGACCATTGCATACCATTGTTCCTGTAGATAGGATTTCTGACATTAGAGTCATAAGACTGTTTTAAGAATTTATTTGGGGATCTTCTGGGGCTGTATCACAGGGGGAAAAGTGAAATTAAAAAAAAAAAAACACACAATCAATTTGGGCTGGGCGCGGTGGCTCACACCTGTAATTCCAGCACTTTGGGAGGCTAAGGTGGAGGGATCTCTTGAGCCCAAGAGTTAGAGACCAGCCTGGCCAACATAGTGCAACTCCATCTCTACCAAACAAAATATAAAAATTAGCCAGGCATGGTGGTGAGTGCCTGTATTCCCAGCTCCAGAGGCTGAGGTGGGAGGATCACTTGAGCCCAGGAGTTGGAGGCTGCAGTGAGATATGATCCAGCTACTGCACTCTAGCCAGGGCAACAGAGCAAGACCCCAACTCAAAAAGAAAAAAAAAAGGAATTTAGATTAAAAAAGAAAAAGGGCTCGAGTTTGAATGCAGTGGCTCAAGCCTATAATCCCAGCACTCTAAGAGGCTGAGGTAGGAAGATCGCTTGAGCTCAGGAGTTCCAGGCTGCAGTGAGCCGTGATCATATCACTGCACTCTAGCCTGGACAACAGAGTGAGACCTTGTCTCTAAAACAAAACAAAACAAAACAAAACTTGAGAATGGGCCAGACGCGGTGGCTCACGCCTGTAATCCCAGCACTTTGGGAGGCCAAGGCGGGTGGATCATGAGGTCAGGAGTTCAAGACCAGCCTGGCCAAGATGGTGAAACCTCGTCTCTACTAAAAATACAAAAATTACAGCGTACCTGTAATCCCAGCTACTCGGGAGGCTGAGGCAGGAGAATCGCTTGAACCTGGGGGGCGGAGGTTGCAGTGAGCCGAGATCGTGCCACTGCACTCCAGCCTGGGTGACAGAGCGAGACTCCATCTCAAAAAAAAAAAAAAAAAAAAACTTGAGAATGATAGTGTTACAGGAAAGGGGTCCCTACCCAGACCCCAAGTGAGGGTTCTTGGATCTCACGCAAGAAAGAATTCAGGGCGAGTCCATAAAGTGAACGCAAGTTTATTAAGACAGTAGAGGAATGAAAGAATGACCATTCCATAAACAGAGCAGCCCCGAGGGTGGCTGGTTACCCATTTTTATGATTATTTCTTGATGATATGCTAAACAAGGGGTGGATTATTCATGCCTCCCCTTTTTAGACCACATAGGGTAACTTCCTGACGTTGCCATGGCATTTGTAAACTGTCATGAAGCTGGTGGGAGTGTAGCAGTGAGGACGACCAGAGGTCACTCTCGTCGCCATCTTGGTCTTGGTGGGTTTTAACCGGCTTCTTCACTGCAACCTGTTTTATTTATTTATTTATTTATTTATTTATTT
This sequence comes from Homo sapiens, assembly GCF_000001405.40. Lineage (NCBI taxonomy): Eukaryota > Metazoa > Chordata > Mammalia > Primates > Hominidae > Homo > Homo sapiens. The sequence goes on from NC_000007.14 coordinate 76,454,962, forward strand.
ATTTATTTATTTTTTGAAACGGAGTCTCGCTCTGTCACGCAGGCTGGAGTGCAGTAGCGCGATCTCGGCTCACTGCAAGCTCCGCCTCCCGGGTTCACGCCATTCTCCTGCCTCAGCCTCCCGAGTAGCTGGGACTGCAGGTGCCCGCCACCATATCCAACTAATTTTTTGTATTTTTAGTAGAGACGGGATTTCACCGTGTTAGCCAGGATGGTCTCGATCTCCTGACCTTGTGATCCGCCCGCCTCAGCCTCCCAAAGTGCTGGGATTACAGGCGTGAGCCACCGCGCCCGGCCATCACTGCAACCTGTTTTATCAGCAAGGTCTTTATGACCTGTATCTTGTACCAACCTCCCATCTCATCCTGTGACTTAGAATGCCTTAAGCATCTGGGAATGCAGCCCAATAGGTCTCAGCCTCATTTTATCCAGCCCCTATTCAAAATGGAGTTGCTCTGGTTCACCCGCCTCTGACAATAGTAGAAGTTAAAAAAAAAAAATAACTTCTTTAACTCCACTCCAGGTGGCATTTCTTAGTGCCTCTGAAGGTTCTGATCTAGAACCAGCCCCCAGCTCACCCAGAGCAAGGAAAGATCATGAAAACCCAAGCAGAAGCAAGACACTGGGTTCCAGCATCAATGCTAAGGGCTAGAACATTTTCTGATGTTTTGCTTGGAAAGGCAGAATTTGGTTGTCTAGTGCGTCCACTAATTGGCCTCCATCTGACACCCTGGAGGGATGGGCTGATTAGAAGCCACAGCTGCTTTGCTCATTATTTCTGATGAATGGACATCACCTGGCGTCTCCGGTGATGGCGCCAGCTCAGGACCCAGGTGTGACCTGCACAACAAAGAAAAGCAAGATAGCTTTGCAGCCAACATGGTGAAAACCCATCTCTATTAAAAATACAAAAAAAAAAAATTAGCCGGACGTGGTGGCGGGCGCCTGTAATCCCAGCTACTCAGTAGGCTGAGGCAGGAGAATCACTTAAATCTAGGAGGCAGAGGTTGCAGTGAGCCAAGATCATGCCACTGCACTCCAGCCTTGGCGACACAGAGAGACTCTGTCTCAAAAAAAAAAAAAAAAAAAAGATGGCTTTACAGCCCTGAGGAGTAAACCAGTCTTCCCCAAATAATTATCTTATGTAAGTCCCAGCCCCTTGGAACATGTTTTGAAAGGGCTCACCCATCTGGGCAGGTGACTCACGCCTGTAATCCCTGCACTTTGGGAGGCTGAGGCAGGCGGATCACCTGAGGTCAGAAGTTCAAGACCAGCCTGGCCAACATGGCGAAACCCATCTCTACTAAAAATACAAAAATTAGCCAGGCATGGTGGGACACGCCTGTAGTCTCAGCTACTTGGGAGGCTGAGGCAGGAGAATCACTTGAATATGGGAGGTGGAAGTTGCAGTGAGCCGGGATCATACCATTGCACTCTAGCTTGGGCAAGAAGAGCGAAACCCCATCTCAAAAACAAAAGAAAAGGCTCACCCTTTTCACTGGTTCCCTTGTGGCAAATCTAAAATAAGGTACGTGTGCTCGCCGTTCATTCATCTGAAAAGTTTGCAAATACCCTCTACCCCATACCCCACCCCCACGTGTTGTCCTTTTTTTTTTTTTTTTTTATTTGAGACAGAGTCTCACCAGGCTGGAGTGCAGTGGTGCAATCTCGGCTCACTACAAGCTCTGCCTCCCGGGTTCGCGCCATTCTCCTGCCTCAGCCTCCCAAGTAGCTGGGACTACAGGCGCCCGCCACCATGCCCGGCTAATTTTATTTTATTTTATTTTTGTATTTTTAGTAGAGACGGGGTTTCTCCATGTTAGCCAGGATGGTCTTGATCTCCTGACCTTGTGATCCGCCCGCCTCGGCCTCCCAAAGTGCTAGGATTACAGGCATGAGACACCGCACCCGGCCCTTTTTTTTTTTAAGAGACAAGATGTCACCCTGTCACCCAGGCTGGAATGCAGTGGTGTCGTCATAGCTCACTGCAGCCTGGACCCCCTGGGCTCAAGTGATCCTCCTGCCTCAGTCTCCCAAGTAGCTGGGACCACAGGGGTGTCCCACCACACCCAGCTAATTTTTTTATTTTTTGTAGAGATGGGGTCTTGTCTTGTCACCCAAGCTGGTCTTAAACTTCTGAGCTCAAGCGATCCTCCCACTTGGACCTAGCCAGGTGCTGGGATTATGGGTATTAGAGTTTAAATTTCTTTGCTCAACACCACTCCCCATTTTGTGGCCAACAGTCACATTCTTTCTTGGGCCACGTCATTCATTTTCAGTTGCTTCAGAGCACTGGTGGCCCCTTGGGTGTGTTGAACAAACCCCAGCCTTTGAGGAGTTCAAAAAAAAAAAAAAAAAAAAAGACACCATCTCTAGGCGGAAAATTTCAGACAAAGAACCCCTGCCAGGAATATTTCCTGCCGCTGCTCCTGCCACTGCCCCTTAGGCTGTGGACCTTTATGCAAGAACGCAAGTGGCAAACTGCCCTACTGTGTATGTTGTGGGGAGTGGGGGTACTGCCAGAGAAGAGAGAGCCCTATTTTATTTTATTTTATTTTATTTTAAAGACAGAGTCTCACTCTGTTGCCCAGGCTGGAGTGCAATGGCACGATCTCGGCTCACTGCAACCTCTGCCCCCTGGGTTCAAGAGATTCTCCTCCCTCAGCCTCCCCAGTAGCTGGGATTACAGGCGCATGCCACCACGCCTGGCTAATTTTTGTATTTTTAGTGGAGACGGGGTTTCCCCATGTTGGCCAAACTCCTGACCTTATGTGATCCTCCCACCTTGGCCTCCCAAAGTGCTGGGATTAGAGGCATGAGCCACTGTGCCCAGCTGACAGCCCTCTCTAAATCTTTAAAAATTCAGTCAGGCGTGGTGGCTCATGGCTGTAATCTCAGCACTTTAGGAGGCTGAGGCAAGAGGAATGTGTGAGCCCAGGAGTTTGAGACCAACTTGGGCAATATGGTGAGACCCTATCTTGACAGAAAATACAAAAATCAGCCTGGCATGGTGGTGCACGCTTGTAGTCCCAGCTACTCAGGAGGCTGAGGCAGGAAGATCACTTGAACCCAGGAGGTCGAGGCTGCAGTGAGCTATGATCACGCCACTGTACTCCAGCCTGGGAGACACTGTCTCAAAAAATAAATAAATAAAATCTTTAACAATTCTTCAGCTTATCCGCCTACCTTCTGGGGCTTCTTGGGTCTCTTCCCAGAAACTTTCTTCGTCTGTAAGCCCGTTTATTGTATGCAATTGTTTAAAAAACACAAATGGGTGCATATTCTCATATTCTCTACCCTCTATTTTGAACGTTCCTTTTTTTTCTTTTTTTCAGACCGAGTCTCAGTCTGTCACCCAGGCTAGTGCAATGGTGCAATTTTGGCTCACTACACCCTCTGCCTCCCAGATTCAAGCGATTCTCCTGCCTCAGCCTCCCGAGTAGGTGGATTACAGGTGTGCACCGCTGCACCCAGCTAATTTTTGTATTTTTAGTAGAGACGAGGTTTCACCATGTTGGCCAGACTGGTCTTGAACTCCTGATCTCAGGTGATCCACCTGCCTCCGCCTCCCAAAGTGCTGGGATTATAGGCATGAGCCGCCTTGCCTGGCTCAAAGTTCCTTTTTGGTTTAACAATAGATCTAGGCCACTGTGAGTCTTCCTCATTCCTTCTAGGGCTACCTAGTGTTCCGGGGTTATTTAACCAGCCCCCTCCTACCAGGCAGTTCTTTTGTCTCTGGCCCTTTGCTACGTATATTAGTTTAAAGTTCACTTTGCAAGTGGCCAAGCCTGTTTCCCTCATTTCCAGGTTCCCAGGGGGCAGACATCCTGCTGCAATTTCAGAAGTCAGCACACTCTTCTCTCTCCTGTCTAAAATACAAAAGTCCATGCCCCCCACTCTCCCTCTTGATACTGTCCTATTTTACTTCTTTTCACAACCAGAACTCTTTATTTTTCCCAAATAAAAATAGTCCGTCTTTTCAGATTTTAAAAATGGAACTCTGGCCGGATGCGGTGGCCCTCACCTGTAATCCCAGCACTTTGGAAGGCTGCAGTGGGCAGATTACCTGAGGTCAGGAGTTTGAGATCAGCCTGGCTGACATGGTGAAACTCTGTCTCTACTAAAAATACAAAAATTAGCCCGGATGCGGTGGCTCACATCTGTAATCCCAGTACTTTGGGAGACCGAGGTGGGCAGATCACGAGGTCAGGAGTTCAAGACCAGCCTGGCCAACATGGTGAAACCCTGTCTCTACTAAAATACAAAAATTAGCTGGGCATGGTGGCATCCGCCTGTAATCACAGTTACTCGGCAGGCTGAGGAAGAATTGCTTGAACCTGGGAGGCGGAGTTTGCAGTGAGCTGAGATTGTGCCATTGCACTCCAGCCTGGGCGACAGAGCAAGACTCCGTCTCAAAAATATATATATATACAAAAATTAGCTGAGTGTGGTGGTGCATGCCTGTAATCCCAGCTACTCGGGAGGTGAGGCAGGAGAATCACTTGAACCTGGGAGGCGGAGGTTGCAGTGAGCCGAGATTGTGCCATTTCACTCCAGCCTGGACAACAAGAGCAAAACTCGTCTCAAAAAAAAAAAAAAGGAAAATAAAAATCCCTGATAAAGGATCAATGACCTTAGGATAATGTCATTCCAGGTAAGTATCTTTAACTGGGTACTTGGTCCTCCAAGATTCAGAGGACCTTGATCCCCCTGAAACTGTATACATAATATTCAACATACATAGTATGTGCACACATGTGCAAACACTCACATTATCTAAAATTCATCATAATCTTACCCCGGCTTCTCCCCACACTCCTCAGATCCTGCTATAGCCTAGTGCATTTTCTCCTTCCTCACTCCCTTCCCTCCATGTGTCCTCTGCCCTGGCCACCAGGAACTTTGTGCTGCCTCCGGAGTGCATGAGGCACTTTCACATCTCTCTTGCTTTACAAGAGCTTCCCTATGCTCCAACTGGCAAATTTCTCTATGGACTGAAAAACCCACATAGCCTTTATCTGTCTTGTGATGTCTTCTCCCCACCCTCAAGTTAGGCATACCCTTCTATGCCCTCCTTTATCCAAACATTTTCCCCACTATATCGTAATTGTGTGTTTAAGTGCCGGACTTTCCAACTAGATACAAAGCTTTCCCAGGAAAGAAATCCTTTTCTTTTCTTCTTTCTTTCTTTTCTTTTCTTTTCTTTCTTTTTTTTTTTTTTTTTTTTGAGACAGATTCCCACTGTGTCGTCCAGGCTGGAGTGCAGTGGCACAATCTTGGCTCAGTGCAACCTCCACCTCCAGGGTTCAAGTGATTCTCTTGCCTCAGTCTTCCAAGTAGCTGGGATTACAGGCACGCGCCACCACACCCAGTTAATTATTATTATTATTATTATTTTTTTTTTTTTTTGAGACGGAGTCTCGCTCTGTCACCCAGGCTGGAGTGCAGTGGCACAATCTCGGCTCACTGCAAGCTCCGCCTCCCGGGTTCACGCCATTCTCCTGCCTCAGCCTCCCGAGTAGCTGGGACTACAGGAGCCCACCACTACGCCCGCTTAATTTTTTTTTTTTTTTGTATTTTTAGTAGAGACGGGGTTTCACCGTGGTCTCGATCTCCTGCCCTCGTGATCCGCCCGCCTCGGCCTCCCAGAGTGCTGGGATTACAGGCGTGAGCCACTGCGCCCGGCCTCCACACCCAGTTAATTTTTGTATTTTTAGTAGAGACGGGGTTTCACCATGTTGGCCAGGATGGTCTCAATCTCTTGACCTTGTGATCTGGCTGCCTCGGCCTCCCAAAGTGCTGGGATTACAGGCGTGAGCCACCGCTCCCGGCGAGAAACCTTTTCTTTTTCTTTTTTCTTCTTCTTCGTCTTTTTTTTTTTTTCTTTTGAGAGGGATTCCTGTTCCGTCGCCCAGGCTGGAGTGCAATGGCGCGATCTTGGCTCACTACAGCCTCTGCCTCCCGGGTTCAAGCGATTCTCTTGCCTCAGCCTCCCGAGTAGCTGGGATTACAGGCACGAGCCACCACGCCCGGCTAGTTTTTTTTGGTATTTTTAGTAGAGACGGGGTTTCGCCATGATGGCCAGGCTGGTCTGGAACTCCCGACCTCAGGTGATCCGCCCACCTCTGCCTCTCAAAGTGCAGGGATTACAGGCATGAGCCACTGCGCCCAGCCAAGAAACCATTTCTGATTCACCTATTCACTCCCGCACTCCCACTACACAGTAGCTAAATAAATAAATAAATATTAAAAATAAATAGGAAAGAAAGAGAGAAAAAAAGAAAAGAAAAAGACAAAAATTTAAATTTAAAAAGGTTGTGCTCGATGGCTCACACTTGCAACCCCAGTGCTTTGGGAGGCTGAATGAAGCAAGAGGATCGCTTGAGGCCAGGAGTTTGAGATCGGCCTGAGCAACGTTGCAGCATTGCAAAACCCCCATCTGTACAAAAAAGAAAAATAAAATTAATTTTAAAAACAAAAAAAGAGAAACAGTAGCACATGTATGTACTGGCACCATGTATGTACTAGTAAAAACTAGTTAAAATTAAGTCAGTAATTAATGAAGGAATAAGTCAATGAGTGAGCAGGCGAAGGAAGAAAACATAGACCGGAGCAGGTGCGCCTTGGGTTGAGCCCTTCCCCGCTGAGCCCCGCCTTCTGCCCGCCCCTGGGCCCTACCGGGACTACATTTCCCAGAAGGCCGCACGCCCCGGGCATGCGCAGCGGCTCGCTCGGAAGCTGCGACGCCGAGTTTCACTCTGGCTGCCTTCTCCTGAGAGTCGGAGCCACAGCCAGAGCCCTGCCCAGGCCGAGCCGGAGCTGCAGCCCGAGCGCGGTGGTGCCCTCAGCCCCGTCCTCTTGTCCTCCTCAGCCTCGGTGAGAGGGCGGGAAGGCCACCTGCGCGTCGCTAGGGCTGCGGTCCCAGGGGCGCGGGGTGGCGCGGGGAGCCGGAGCCTAGCTGGGACCGGAAGGGGGCGGGCGTGGGTGTGAGGGGGACCGACGGCCGGGGCGGCGGGGACACCCGGGGGTCCCGGGAGATCGGGGGTGTCGGGGGGATCGGTCTCCGGGATCAAGGTCCTGAGGGCGAGAGTTGGGGGACTTGGGAGGCGCCGGCAGCTTTGGACGGGACAGGGTGCCGGGTGCGAAAGGGGACGTTCGGATGAAGGCTGAGGGGCTCGCAGGCGGAGGGGCGCGGTTCCGGGTCGCTCGGAAGGCGCGCACCCCTTCCCAAAGTACCCAGAGGAGGGGGTGACGAGATTGCCACCGGCTCCCTGACGAGGGGTTGGTCCTGCTGGGGTCTACCCCCAGGTGAAGGGACTCACTGGGCCGGGGGTTGTACTTTGGAGGAGTTTGCTTCCTAACTCTGCTTCCCTGCTTTCCTGTGGGGGGTCTTCCCAGGAGTTCCTGGGGCCCTGGGTCACTTTTTGGGGTGCGTAAGGGGTGCCGAAAAAGATTTAGAACTCGGTTCCCTTTTCTGGAGCTGCGCTTTCATCGCGACTGTCTCAGCCAGCTGCCCTCCTCCTCCAAGCTGGCTCCACTTCTCTAAGCGCCAACAGCGATGGAAATAAATAGCATGTGTACAGACGCCTGGACCCTTGAGAAACTCAGAATATTTCTGCATGCCTTCCTAGCTCCTCTAGCGCTCTAGAAGGTAGACTTTCTGGTAGCCACCATCCGGGCTTAAGCCATCCGGATAGCAAGCCCTCTGATTCGGTTGCTCTGTGACCTTAAATATTTACCCTCTCTGGTGTGTTGATTTCCTGGATGCTTAGCTGCCAGACTGGCTTATGAAGTCCTTTTAGAGTTTTCTGTAAAAGGGCTCAGGCCAGGCACGGTGGCTCATGCCTGTAATCCCAGCCCTTTGGGAGGCCGAGGTGGAAGGATCATTTGAGTCCAGGAATTTGAGACAAGCCTGGGAAACGAAGAGGATTCCTGAGATCACTGTCTCTATAAAAAATCAGATGGGCGTGTTGGTGGGTGCCTGTAGTCCCAGCTACTTGGGAGGCTGAGGCAGGAGGATCGCTTGAGCCCAGGAGTTGGAGGCTGCAGTGAGCTGTGATCACACCACTGCACTGCAGCATGGGCGACAGAGGGAGACCCCGTCTCAAAAAACAAAAAACAAACAAACTAAAAAAACGAACTTTTTTTTTTTTTTAAGAAAAGGGCTCAGAGCCAGGCGTGGTGACTCGAGCCTATAATCCCAGCTACTCGGGAAGCTGAGGCAGGAGAGTAGCTTGAACCTGGGAGGCGGAGGCTGCAGTGAGCCGAGATCACGCCACTGCACTCCAGCTTGGGTGACAGAGCAAGACTCCGTCTCCAAAAACTAATAATAATAAAAAATTTTAAAAAGAGCTCAGGGTTTTTTTGTTTGTTTGCTTTTTGTTGTTTCTTCAACCATCTCCTTGATTGTTAAGTGGGTGGAGGAAGACTGTTGTACCTCCTGCTCCACCCAGGCTATTGGAAAATAAATCTGGTGATTTTCAGTCCCCAGGCACAGCACACGGATCCAACATCTGTACCTTTGTTTTTACTAACTGCTGTTTCTTAATTTAAAACCTGATCATCTTCTTCCTCGTTGGCAAAGGTGCCTTGGAATTTGTGTCGCTGAGTCAGCAAGCCTTTCAGATTTGCCCGGTTTTTGTTGTTTGTGGTTTGTATCAAGATGGGAACTCAAACAAGTCATTCCTCCTAAGGAGCTGGTGTCTTCATCCAGAAGGGACAGTTTGTGCCAGCTCTCCAGAGAGAAAAGGTGAGAGCCATGGGGACTTGACCTTGCTGCCTTCTCTATCTGGTGCAGAGAAGGTGGGGATTGGGGAGGGTGGAATTTGAGGTCTGCAGGATAAACGTGTGCCCTGGGAGTTGACTGTTGATTGCCACCTGTCTCAAATAAATTGCAGTGGCGTCTTGCCACTGCTTCTCCTGTTTAACTAACTAGTCTTAGAAGATGCTTTCCACTTTAAGACATGCTTTATGGGATAGAAGACACAAGTCACGATTTCTGCATTTGAAGTGGCAGTTTTCATTTCTTTTGTTGCATAAACCCTTACTGGGTGCCAGATAAGATCTCTGTCTTTTGGGAGTGCATTGTTTGGTGGAAAAGACAAAGCAGAGTCAGTGACAAGGTGTTGTCAGTGTGATATATACTGAGCTGGGAGAAATCACAAGGCTCTCCTACCCACATCCAGAAAGGGGACGGTTAGAGGGAAGGTCAGGAAGGCTCCTGGAAGGTGGTAGTTGAGGGGGGTTGTGAAGGAGGAGTAGGACTTAGAAAGTGGGGCACAGTCACCTGGGAGAGGAGTCAGCGTTTGCAAAGTCATGAAGCTACCGGGACACAGCTGGGCTACTGTAAGTAGCTTAGTATGTAATAGAGGAGGCTGGAAAAGCAGGCAGAGGGCTCTGAGCGAGGAGGGTTATGTGGGCCATGCCAAGACTCGGGAGTGGAAGGATTTTAGGAGATTTCTATGAGGGTCATTTTATTAATTATTTTTTTGAGTTGGGGTCTGCTTCTGCTGCCCAGGCTGGAGTGCAGTGGAGTGATCATAGTTCACCACAGCCTCAAATTCCTGGGCTCTGGGGTAGCTGAGGTGCCTACCACCATACCCGACTAATAATTTTATCTAGAGACAGTGCCGCTCTACGTTGTCCAGGCTGGTCTCTAACTCCTGGCCTCAAGGGATCCTCCCATCTCAGCCTCCCAAAGTGCTAGGATTACAGGCCTGAGCCACCGTGCCTGGCCTCGTGAGGGACATTTTAATGGAGCACACTGGAACATGTGGAATGGGTTTAGACTGGATTATTCGCTTTGTGGCGGTCTTCTTACATACATCATGCCAGCTTCTTCGTGGGGAGAGGCAGGTGAGTGGTTTTGCCCTCAGTTGCTTATAGTCTAGTTGAAGAGATAAAGTGAACATAGAGAACTGAAAAGGAACTTGCTAAGAGGGTGTTTTCTTTCATTCTTTTTGTTGTTGTTGTTTTGTTTTGTTTGTTTACTTTTTGAGACAGGGTCTTACTCTGTCACCCAGGCTGGAGAGCGGTGGTGCAATCTCAGCTCACTGCTCAACTTCACCTCCCAGGCTCAAGAGGTTCTTGTGCCTCAGCTTCCCGAGTAGCTGGACTTACAGGTGCACACCATCATGCCTGGCTGATTTAGAGGGTGTTTGCTTTCTGCTGGGCACATCCAGGCATCGTGGGAAGTGCTGTTTAAATTGGGCCATAAAAGGGTGGGTAAGGTGAGGACAGGGGACCAAGTGGGTGGGATTCAGGGTGAAGCAGAGTCATGGGGGTGGGGACAGACACGCTGATGCACATGGGAGTAGTGGATCCTCATTTACACTCTGGAAGGGAATTGTGGAGAGGGAGGTATAGATGAGGGGATGGAAGGGAAGGGCACCGGCAAATATTGTTGATAGCGAGGGAAGGGCGGTATTGTGATCGGCTTTGACTGTCAGCCTAAGGAATTTGAATTTCATTCTAGAGATCCAGGGGAGGTGTGTAAAAGACAAGATCAGAACGTTAGTTCAGGAAGCTTAATCTTTTCTGCCCCCCCATCTGAGATGTACAAGAGGGTTAGAAAGCAGAGTTGGAGAAGCTGTTTGGGAGGGAGCACTTATTTGTTTTTTTGTTTTGTTTTGTTTTTTTGAGATGGAGTCTCGCTCTGTTACCCAGGCTGGAGTGCAGTGGCGCCATCCTGGCTCACTGCAACCTCCACCTCCCGGGTTCAAGTGATTCTCCTGCCTCAGCTTCCCAAGTAGCTAGGACTACAAGCACCTGCCACCATGCCTGGCTAATTTTTGTATTTTTAGTAGAGACGGGGTTTCCCTCTGTTGGCCAGGCTGGTGTCGAACTCCTGACCTCAGGTGATGCACCCACCGAGGCCTCCCAAAGTGCTGGGATTACAGGCGTGAGCCACTGCGCCCGGCAGGGAGGGGGTAAAGTGAGAGGCATAAGGGTCCCGGCCAGGTGTTAGCAGGGGGCTTCAGAGGTGAGGAGAGAGCAGGGCAGGCAGCTGCTAGGCCTGGGGGAGCGGGCTGCGGAGGACTGAGAATCTGAGGTTTTTCTCTTGGCCGCCTGGGGGAAATCCAGGGGGAAAAGGAGAATGAGGAAGGAAGATGCGTTTGGCCTCAGACGTGTTGAAGGTATTAAGAGGCCAACAGGAAATGAGGCCATGGGCTAGAGAGAAGAGCCCTGATTCATTCCCCAAATGCCTCCCGAAATTCTGTGCGCCGAGGCTTGTGTTTGGCACTTGGAGTACAAAGATGAATTCAGCAGTCTCTTTGGTGTTTGCCTTATCAGCTAAGCTGAGAACAAGATTGATTAGTACACACTCCTCAGTGTTCATGCCTGACCTACTTTTCCTTATTTAGTAAGTTATTTTTAATAAATGTAGTAAGCTCTGGCAATCTAGGCACCCAAAACAAAAGCTGGGATCATGAAACAAAAGTATATATCTAATCTTTTTTTTTTAATTTTAAAAAACTTTAAAAAGTTTTCTACTTTATCAGGTCCCCTTAGAACATCTAATCATTTCATTTGAACTTGTTTTCTGTTCTTACCCTGAGGTAATCATTATCTCCTTTCTTTCATTTTTTTCTTAGTTTTATCTTACATGTGTATTTCTTTGTTTCTCTGTCTCTTTTTTTTTTTTCTTTGAGGCAGAGTTTCACTCTTATTGCCTAGGCTGGAGTGCAATGGCACGATCTCGGCTCACTGCAACCTCCACCTCCCGGGTTCAAGCTACTCCCGATTCTCCTGCCTCAGACTCCGGAGTAGCTAGGATTACAGGCATGCGCCACCATGCCCGGCTAATTTTGTATTTTTAGTAGAGACGGAGTTTCTCCATGTTAGTCAGACTGGTCTCAAACTCCTGACCTCAGGTGATCCACCTGCCTCGGCCTCCCAAAGTGCTGGGATTACAGGTGTGAGGCACCGCGCCTGGCCTATTTCTTTCTTTTTTTAGAGACAGTGTCTCACCTTGTAACCCAGGCAGCTGGAGTGCAGTGGCATAATCACGGATCACTGCCGCCCCAAATTCCTGGGTTCAATGGATCCATCCCCTTCAGCCTCCTGAATAGCTGGGACTACAGGCACAGGCTACCATGCTTAGCTAATTTTTAAAGTTTGTGCAGAGGCAGCTTCACTGTGTTGCCCAGGCTGGTCTTGAACTCCTGGGCTCAAGCAATTCACCCGCCTTGGCCTCCCAAAGTGCTGGGATGATAGACATGAGCCACCATGCTCGGCAGTGTTCATCTTTCGTAGCTATTGCTAGACCATTTCCTGAATGTAGTGCTTATACCAGTATCCACTTTACCAGCAGTGTCCTGTGTCTTGCAGCTCCACAGTCTTACCAACATTTGCTGTTGGCCAAGTGAATGGGTAGAAAATGGAATCTTTGGGAACTTGGTTTCTAGGTCCCTGAGCCCTGCTGCTGAATATCTCCTCTTATGTTTATTGGCATATGTGTTTCCTGTGAAATATTCATGTCTTTTGCCAGTTTTTCATTAGGGTTCTTGGTGCTTTATTTTTTGTTGATCTATAGGGCTCTTTATATATTGCTGATTTTAATCCTTCGTGTCTATTGCAAATATCTTCTCCCAGCTTTTAACCTATTATTCCTCTTTCTTTAAGGTGTCTTCTGTTGATCAGCCATTCTTCATTTTAACATAGCGAAATGTATTTTTTCCCTAGTACTCAGTTTTCTGGGTCTGGTTTGAAGTCTTTTCCTGAACATAACCCTTGCCTTTAAGGAGCGTATGCATTCTCCAGTGGAGGAGACAGATAATGGCACTGAGACGTCATGTGGGCATTGATTGTTAGAAGTGGCCACTTCTGCCTGTGGAGCGGGAGCGAACTTAGGAAAGATCTCACAGGGCAGAGTCTTGAGCTAGGAATTAAGAGATGAGTAAGTGGACAAGTGCGATGGGCATTCTCAGTGGGGGACGAAGGGCATGAAACATCCTGACCTGCCCTGGGCACTGCCAGGAGGTCCAGATGGCAGGAGCTGACGGTTTGAGGGGCTCGGGCAGGGCATCCCGAGGACAGCTTTGGGTGATCTGTATGCAAGGGAATATTGAAGCCATGGGAACAGATCCTGAGGATCCGGGGGGAATGGAGAGAGGAGGGGAGGAGGGGAGAGGGAGGCCAGGGCCTGATTCCCGGATGCAGAGAATGTTATCAACGCCCGGTGTGGCTCTGGGGAGCACCTGGGGCTTCCCAGGGGCGGGTGCTGTTGGCATGCTGCCTGCTGTGCTGTTGGATGCTGTATTTCACCCTTAGGTGTTGGGCAAAGGCTGACATGTCTGCAGAGGGCAGGGCGTGTTGTTGGCAAAGCTAGCCAGAGGCAGAGCACTCTCTCACTTTTTGATAGAGACATGAGTTCAGAGAAGTATTGCTCAACTGTAGGAGTGTGAAAGTACAGTAATAGATGTGAGGGAGGCCACAGGGCAGAGGTCTGCAAACGATGGACCCTCAGCCAAATCTGGCCCACTGCCATTTTTTTTTTTTTTTTTTTTTTTTTTTTGAGATGGAGTCTCACTCTGTTGCCAGGCTGGAGTGCAATGGCACGATCTCAGCTCACTGCAGCCTCCGCCTCCCAGGTTCAAGAAATTCTCCTGCCTCAGCCTCCTGAGTAGCTGGGATTACAGGCACCAGCCACCATGCCTGGCTAATTTTTGTATTTTTAGTAGAGACAAGGTTTCACCATGTTGGCCAGGCTGGTCTCGAACTCCTGACCTCAGGTGATCCACCCCCGCTTGGCCTCCCAAAGTGCTGGGATTATAGGCGTGAGCCACCACGCCCAGCATTTTTTTTTTTTTTTTTTTTTTGAGGCAGGGTCTAACTCTGTTGCCCAGGCTGGAGTACAGTGGCACAGTCTCGGCTCACTGCAGCCTCCGCCTCCTGGGTTCAAGTGATTCTCCTGCCCCAGCCTCCCAAGTAGCTGGGACTACAGGTGCACGCCACTACGCCTGGCTCATCTTTGTATTTTTTTGGTAGATACGGGGTTTCACTGTATTGGCCAGGCTGGTCTCAAACTCCTGGCCTCAAATGATCCACCCACCTCAGCCTCCCGAAGTGCTGGGATTACAGGCGTGAGCTACCGCATTCAGCCCCACTGCCTGATTTTGTTCATAAAGTTATATTGGTATGCAACCCCTCCTGTTTACACATTGTTTATGGTTGTTCTTGTGGTCTAGTGGCAGAGTCACTGCAAAGACTTTTTCTGTCCTTTACAGGAAAAGCATGCTGGCCCTAGCCATAGGGAGTCATGGTAGCTGTGGCCACCCAGAGAGGACGTTCCAGCCACCATTGCAGTTTAGCTGGTGTTGCTAGGTAGATCATGGATCTAGGTCCAGCCTGCAAATATTGCCATCTTTCCTGATTTTCAAGGGAAGCTTGAAATCTAGATTTTTTTTTTTTTTTTTTTTACTGTGAATATTCCTTTTTTTTTTTTTTTTGAGACGGATTCTCATTCTGTCGCCCAAGCTGGAGTGCAGTGGCATAATCTTGGCTCACTGCAACCTCCACTTCTTAGGTTCAAGCAATTCTCCTGCCTCAGCCTCCCGAGTAACTGGGACTACAGGCGCTCGCCACCACACTTGGCTAATTTTTTGTATTTTTTAGTAGAGACAGGGTTTCACTGCATTAGCCAGGATGGTCTCGCTCTCCTGACCTCATGATCTGCCTGCCTCGGCCTCCCAAAGTGCTGGGATTACAGGTGTGAGCCACTGAGCCCGGCCAAATATTCCAATTTTTAAACATCAGCTCAGTTTTTAAAAGCCAAACCTTAGTAACCCAAGCAAAACACATCTACAGGCCAGTTTGTCCGTCGTCAGTCTGTCTTGGTGGGAAAGACAGGAACTCTGGAAACAGATTTGGGTTTTCTCAGTCCCTGGATATCCTTGGGCAAGCTGCATGTCTTCTGGTGACTCACTTTTCTCAGTTGTGGTATGGAAATATCCCGCTTCCCCAGTTGTGAGGACCAACGAGAATTACTAGTCAGGTGGAGGGGCTTAGCACGGTGCCTGGTGCCTGGTAAACCTTTACCTGGTAGCCATTGCTGTTATTCATTTATTTATTTATTTTACACAATAATTTACTTATTGAGAGCCTTCTCTCCCCGCCCTTGCAGTCTCTAGGTCACTTTTTCCACTTGTAGATTTTGTGCACAAGCCCCAGAAAGATGGCTGGGGGCAGGGGCTCTGCGTACTATTCGATGAGACCCATAACGTGGCTGTAACTGTCTTTCTCATACTGCAAGAACACGGCTGGCAGATCCAGCTCCTCGTATAGTGCCTTCACCCGGGCCACCTTCTCGGCCTCCTTCTGCCTGTAATTTTCCTTCAGGATCTGGTACTGTTCTGGAGTGGCCTGTAGCAGACACTGAACCACCAGCCAGCTGCATTTGTTGTCCTGGAAGTCATTGCCAACTCTGCCAGTCACACTGGGGTCCCCAGAGAAGTCAAGGTAATCATCCTGAATCTGAAAGAACTCTTGAATCTCCAGCAGGATCTTCTTGGCACTGGTGTGCTCCTTCTTGTCATCCATTCTTGACATGTACATGGCTGCAGCTACAGGAAGGTAGAAGGAGTAGAAAGCTGTCTTGTACTTGACAACAGATTTGTGCCTTTTTTCGGTGCATCTGCGAAGATCCACATTGCCCTGGGGGGTTGTGATGAGGTCGAGGGTCTGCCCAATCTCAGTCTGATAAGAATTCTGCTGGAAGAGCTCCATCAGGTTCAGGTAATAGGGCTGCTCCCGGCAATACAGCTTCAGCAGGCAGTAGATACATGCTTCCAGAAGGATAGCATCATTGATGGCATCCAAACCCATGCCCAGCTTCTGATACCAGGAGATCTGTCCCTGGCAGGTAAGGGATGAATCCATAATGTCATCTGCCACCAGGAAGAAAGCTTGCAGCAGTTGCGCATACCAGCCCACAGTCGGTGCCCACTGGAGACTATCAGCATCCAGTTTCCTCGGCTCCACCAGCTCCCGGAACGCTACTAGCACCATCAAACCTCGGTGATACTTGCCTCCAATGGCATTGTACTCCAGGACCTCCTTGAGCCGGGCAGTAGCATCTCCTGTCTCTGGGTGCCCCATCTCATCCTCAGTCAGCACCCTAACGATCTGGGAGTAGTGCTGAACGAAATCCTGCTTTGCTTGGGCATAAATATCTGATTTCTGGTTTCCATTCGTTCTTTTTTTTTTTTTTTTTTTTTTTGAGACGGAGTCTTGCTCTGTCGCCCAGGCTGGAGTGCAGTGGCGCGATCTTGGCTCACTGCAAACTCCACTTCCTGGGTTCACGCCATTCTCCTGCCTCAGCCTCCCTAGTAGCCGGGACTACAGGCACCCGCCACCGCGCCCGGCTAATTTTTTGTATTTTTAGTAGAGACAGGGTTTCACCATGTTAGCCACGATGGTCTCGATCTCCTGACCTCGTGATCCGCCCGCCTTGGCCTCCCAAAGTGCTGGGATTACAGGTGTGAGCCACCGCGCCCAGCCTGGTTTCCATTCATTCTGAGGGAGGAGCAAAGGGCTGTGTTCCTGGATGCGGGTTCCTGCTTGGCTGTTATTTATTTTTTTTTAAAGAGACAGGGTCTCGCTCTGTTGCCCAGGTTGGAGTGTAGTGGCACGATCATAGCTCACTGCAACTTTGAACCCCTGGGCTCAAAGCAGTCCTTCTGCCTCAGCCAGTCAAAGTGCTGGGATCACAAGGTGTGAGCCACTGCACCAGGCCTGCTATTACTGTTACCATTACACATCCACTGCTGCCCCTATTACTCCCCTACTTTGCCCTCTGGGTAGGCCCGTAAACCAGGGCTCCACCTTCTGACTGGCTGCAGGTGGTCAGATTGCTCTTGGCCACCCAGGAGCCAGTGGGTTCTTGGTTCTGGAGAAGCTGGTTGACCACAAGGGAATTGTAGGTTACTGGGGCCGGCACCATGGGTGCCCTTTGGAAGGTTCTGCTCTGACCTATCCCTGGAGGCCCCAGCCAGAAGAGTTGTCACTTCCCTTCCGGCCACCCACTGTGCAAGAGACAAATCACATGCTAGTTTCGTGCCATCTTCCAGTAAGACGTGGGAGGCACTGGCCTGAGTGATCCCTTTTCAAGCAAAGCCCCATCTCGCCGTGCTCACAGGACTACTGTCATAGGAACATGGATGGTTTGTTCTTCCATTTTTGTGGAGCTCGGGGATGGGGGGATGTGTCTGCTGTCAGGGAGGTGCCATGGTAAGTTGACAGGGCCTGATATTAGTGAAACTACACTGGGATAGCAGCAGCCATTTAAAGTAATAATGGTAAGACACAGCGGTGGTGGTGGTTTGGTTTATATTTATGACCTTTTAAAAGTGTTTGGCATTTTAAGGGAGGTTTGTTTTTTGTTTTGTTTTTTGAGGCTCATGTTGCCCAGGCTGGAGTGCAGTGGTGCAGTTCTCGGCTCACTGCAACCTCCGCCTCCTGGGTTCAGGGGATTCTCCTGCCTCAGCTTCCCAGGTAGCTGGGATTACAGGTGCATGCCACCATGCCCAGCTAATTTTTGTATTTTTAGTAGAGACGGGATTTCACCATGTTGGCCAGGCTGGTCTCATACTCCTGACCTCAGATGATCCGCCCCCCTCAGCCTTCCAAAGTGCTGGGGATTACAGGCATGAGCCACTGCACCTGGCCAGGAGAGTTTTTTTCTGATAATAGAAGTAATACTTTCTCACTTTAGAAAATGTGAAAAGTTCAGATATATAAGGAAGTCAAACAAAACGTCTCCTATATATGAAGAAGAAAAGAAGCAAGTTTAAAAAAAAAGAAAAAAAAAGGTCTTCTATCGTTTCTCCACTCAAAGACAGCTGTTAACATTTTATTGACTTCTATGGAGTTTGCCCTATGCTTCTGTTTTATGTAATAGAGACAGTGCTGTAGTGAATAGCTTCACGTCAAAATTTTTCTATAATTTTCTGAAGTTAGAGTCTTAATTATTGGATCAAAGGAAGTGAACATTTTTAAACCTCTTGATACATATATTACCAAATTGTTTTCTTTTCCGTTTTTTTTAATAAATAGAGATGGGGGTCTCTCTGTGTTGCCCAGGCTGGTCTTGACCTCCTGGCCTCAAGCAATCCTCTTCCCTCCACCTCCCGAGTAGCTAAGATTATAGGTGTGAGCCACCATGCTCAGCCGCTGATTTTAACTTGTATGTTTTAAACAAAATTTCTAGTAAAGTAGAACATTTCTTTGATATGTTTGTGTCAGGATTTGACTCTCCCAGGTCTTTGGAGAGGCTTTCTAACAAGACATCCCCCGTGGGTGGCCATCTGCCCTGTGAGAAGGTCATTTCTAGTTCCAGGTCACGCACAGTGTGTCAGCTGGTGGGGTGTGGAGTTTCAGGCCCAGGCCTCCTGGAAAGTGCCCGAAAGAGAAACGGCTTAGAAAATAAGGACTTTAACGGTGGTGTGGGTTGAGTTTGGAAAGTTTAGACCATGTTAGTGGAATCAGAGCTGGGAAGAGGTTCTAGAAGTTACCTCCTCTCACTGGTTTCCAGTCCACACTTCTCAGAACTCTCCCATTTTGCAGTCAGGTGCAGTGGCTCACATCTGTAATCCTAGCACTTGAGGAGACCGAGATGGGCAGATCACTTGAGGCCAGGAGTTTGAGACCAGCCCTGGCCAACATAGCGAAACCCCGTTTCTACTAAAAATACAAAAATTAGCCAGGTGTGGTGTGGTGCACACCTGTAGTTCCAGCTACTCAGGAGGCTGAGGCATGAGAATCACTTGAGCCTGGGAGGCAGAGGTTGCAGTAAGCCAAGATCGCACCACTGCACTCCAGCCTGTGTGATGGAAGGAGACTCTGTCTCAAAGAAAAGAACTCACCTATTTTGCAAAGGAGCTTCATGGTTCTCTTGAAGAAAAATAGGAATGGAGGCCACCTCTGTGTCAAAAACAACGTCCCACATTTCTGTGTTTCACTTTTTTTTTTTTTTTTTTTGAGACTGAGTTTCACTCTTATTGCCCAGGCTGGAGTGCAATGGCGCGATCTCGGCTCACTGCAACCTCCACCTCCCGGGTTCAAGCGATTCTCCTGCCTCAGCCTCCCTAGTAGGTGAGATTACAGGCATGTGCCACCACGCCCGGCAAATTTTGTATTTTTAGTAGAGATGGGGTTTCTCCATGTTGGTCAGGCTGGTCTCAAACTCCCGACCTCAGGTGATCCGTGCCTGGCCTACTTTTTTTTTTCTTTTTCTTTTTCTTTTTCTTTTCTTTCTTTCTTTTCTTTTTTTTTTTTTAAGAGATAGGGTCTTGCTATGTTGCCCAGACTGGTCTCAAACGCCTGGCCTCAAGTGGTCCTCCCACCTTGGCCTCCCAAAACGCTGAGATTACAGGTGTGAGCCACCACGCTTGGCCTGTTTTACATGTTGACGGACAGCATATAATCACATGTATAAGGGTTTCTGCTTGTAAAAGTCTGGAAACCCATTCTAACTGCCAGAATCACAGAACCTAGAGAAGGGGACATAACTGCCCTGTGGCCACCCAGTAGCTTTCATCTTCTCTCGGGACGGCAGAGGCAGGACAGCCAGCATTCTGGTGAGGATTGAAGGATTAGTTGTAACAGATTTCAGCAGGTCTGCAGTGATCAGATGGGTTTCTCACATATTGTTAAGTTGAAAGTAGCCGTGGCTCAGTATGAGTTGAGTACCTGTTTAAAATCTGCATTCAAAGCCTTCTTCCCAGAGGCCACAACTGCAGTGAGATCCAAGTGTGTGGCTCACCCGCCCCGGGGCTCACAGCTGGGCAGGGTGATTTCCACTCAAATTCTTGTGCCAGTGCAGATCTTGTTCTAAAGCTTTTCTAAATGCCTGGAGACTAGAAAGACTTTTGGATACTTTTCCCTTTTTCTTTTGGATGAAATTGCATCTCCAGTAGAACAGCAGCATTCCATGGTGCCTCAGCCACGATCCTCTGGACAGAGATTTGTGGCGAAGACCTGACGAGAGACTGTAAAGGAAAAGCAGGGTTTGTTTTTCCTGGTCAAAGTTGTTAATACTAAAAAAAAGAAGAAAAAAAAAACTTTGGCCAGGTGCAGTGGCTCACGCCTGTAATCCCAGCACTTTGGAAGGCCAAGGCAGGTAGATCACCTGAGGTCAGGAGTTCGAGACCAGCCTGGCCAACATGGTGAAGCCGCGTCTCTACTAAATACAAAAAAAAAAATTAGCCGGGCTTGGTGGTGGGTGCCTGTAATCCCAGCTACTTGGAAGGCTGAGGCAGAAGAATCACTTGAACCCGGGAGGCGGAGGTTGCAGTGAGCCGAGATCACGCCATTGCACTCCAGCCTGGGCAACAAGAATGAAACTCTGTCTCAAAAACAAAAACAAAAAAAACCCTTTGATCATTAAAAAGTTATATGACTATTTTAGAACATTTGCAAGTACAGAAAGAGGTAAAGAAAGAATAGCCCAGGTGCAGTGGCTCACACCTGTAATCCCAGCACTTTGGGAGGCTGAGGCGGGTGGATCACTTGAGGTCAGGAGTTTGAGACCAACCTGGCCAATGTGGCAAAACCACATCTCTACTGAAAATACAAAAATTAGCCAGGCGTAGTGGTGCGTGCCTGTAATCCCAACTACTTGGGAGGCTGCAGCAGGAGAACTGCTTGAACCCGGGAGGCGGAGGTTGCAGTGAGCCAAAATTGCACTGCTGCACTCCTGCCTGGCGACAGAGCAAGGCTCCTTCTCAAAAATAAAAAAAAAGAAAAAAAATCCCATAATTCTTTGATTCCAGTGACATTTTAGTGTTGTTCTTTCCAGACTTTTAATTTTTAATTAATTTATTTTTATGAGACAGGGTCTCTGTCTGTCACCCAGGCTGGAGTGCAGTGGTGCAATCATGGTTCACTGCTGCCTCAACCTCCAGGGCTCAAGCAATCCTCCCACCTCAGCCTCCTGAGTAGCTGATACTACAGGCACGCACCACCACAAATGGCTAATTTTTCTAGTTTTTGTAAAGACAGGCTTTTGCTGTGTTGCCCACGCTGGTCTTGTATTTCTGGACTCAAGCGATCCGCCCGCCTCGGCCTCCCAAAGTGCTGGGATTACAAGCATGAGCCACCGCGCCTGGCCCTTTCTTTCATTTTTTAAGACTGATTTGTATTCCATCATTAGAATGTTCCATAATTGGTGCAAGAATTCCTTTATTGTAAAGTGTTTAGGCTGCCTCCAAATTGAGGCTTTTTCCCATGGCCAATTATAATACTAATAATTTTCATAATGAAGAACCGGCATCATTAGGAGCTGGAACAAATTAGGTTTTTAAGCTGCAGCTAAGTGATGGTTAAGCCGAGGCTGCTGCAGAGACTGGTGCACCGACACGCCACTGTATTGTGCATAATTGCTGGGTTCAAGGGGAACGCAGTGGGCGTTTCTGGGCAGTGACTCAAAGGTGCCTGTGCCCCTGGAGCAGAAGGCTCACCCCTCCTTTGGTGTTTCAGAGCCTCTGGGATATTGGGCACCTGAAGAGCTGCAGCCCCAGCTCTGCCCTCAGGGAGTTTCTGTTTTGGTGGGGAGAAGGCCACTGAAACCAGGGAGTGCGGTTGTGTTTGCGTAAGTGCCCTGCGCCGTGCACACAAGGGTAGGTGGAGCCAGCCGTCTCTGGCAAGCTGTGGGTCAGGGGGCCCAGGAGAAGGGGATACCATGGTTGGGTCTGGAAGGATGGGCGTGTTTGCTTGGGGGCTGGTATAGAGGGAGGATCAATTGCTAGAAGGTGGTAAGTGGCTTGGAATGTTCTGGAACTTTCTAGAATTAGATGTAGGTATCAAAGGTGGCGGGCTTGGTGTGAGTAGGAACAGTGGCTGGTCATGGAGGGGCTTGTGTGCCTTGTCATCCTCTGGAGTCTCCAGTACCCTCCTAGGGCCTGGGCCATGGTGCGCCCTCCATTGGGGAGGCTGCGTGCCTTCGTGGAAAGTTTTAGCTGATGTCCTCGCCTGTATTTCCCAGGCTGTTTTTGCAGAGTTGTGAGAGTTGGTTCATCCGGGCCATGAGGACATGTTGGGACATACCCCGTGTGCCGATGATGGAGGCGGCCGTGGCTGCCCGAGAGATGCGTGACACCCAGGAGTAATTGGCTTGGAAGGCAGTCCTCTGATTTGTACCTCATTGTGGTTACAGAAACTTCCAATTGAAGACACTGAGCTGAACCATTCCGCCCGCCCGCCCGCCCGAGGGCACTCCAGGTCTGATCTTCGGGGCAGGTTGTGGGCTTTTGTCGGAGGAATTGGCAGCTCCGTGGCGGGCCTGGCACCCACAGAGCTGCCAATTCCTGTGTTCGGAGTTGTTGCAGGCCTGACTCACCTGTGTTCTCATGCTGTGTACTCAGGGCTGCCCTTGTGGCCGTTCCTCCTTGAGACTGAAAGGGTGGGCAAGTGCTAGGGGTGAGGGGCCAGGAGAGGCAGGGAGGCCAAGATGGGTTGACTCTCTGCTGTATGCCTAGTGCTGTGTGGGCACCTTATACACACCCGTCTGTGTTATCCTCATGAAAAACACTTAGGATACATGTTGATAACTGCATTTTCCCAAAGAAAGCAAGCTTGGAGAGCTTAGATACTTCCATCAAGATGATACAATAGCCAGGCATGGTGGCGCGTGCCTGTAGTCTCAGCTGGGTGACAGAGGGAGACCCCTGTCTCTACAAAAAATTAAGAGATCAGTTGAGTATGGTGGCACATGCCTGTAGTCCCAGCTGCTCGGGAGGTGGAGGCAGGAGGATGGCTTTAGCCCAGGAGACCATGGGGCTGCAGTGAGTGGTGATTGCAGCCACTGCACTCTAGCCTGGGTGACAGAGTGAGACTCGGACTCTAAATAAATAAATAAATAAATAAATAAATAAATAAATAAATGTCACCTTTTATTAAGTAGTGTATGTGTGACCTTGAGTTATTCAGCCAAGGTCACACATACATGACTAAGAGGCAGCACAGAGAACAAACCCAGGTCGGGTCTGGCTCTAAGGCCCATTTTCTTAGCTAGGAGGGCTCAGTCTGAGCTTCACCTTGGGCTTCACTTACAGGCCCTGCTTAAAGAGGGGGAAAGGAAAAGGAGAGAACGACCCTCGTCTCTCAAGCACTATACACCCTCATTGTGACAACACGCCCATGAAGGACCCTGGCCAGTAGGGCCCCCACTGATACAATCTGGTGATTCCCGAGCATACACATCATATTTTATCCCCATTTTGCCAATGAGGAAACTGAGACCCAGGTAGTTACAGTGACGTCCTCATAGTCGCATGGCTTGTGATAAGATGGGGACCCTGGCTTCTGGTGTGGTCCCAGACTGTACTACCCCAGCAAGGTTTCAGTGAGAAGGGTAAGACCACCTTCCCTGGAAGGGAGACAGATGTGGAGCAGCACCTGGAAAGAAGCAGGCCTGGGCTCTGGCATCAGTGTGCACACACACTGCATCAGCTCTGATTTTTTTTTTTTTTTTTTTGTAGAGGTGGGACCTCTTGTCACCGAGGCTGGAGTGCCTTGGGATTATAGCTCACTGCAGCCTCTAACTCCTGGGCTCAAGCCATCCTCCTGCCTCAGCCTCTTGAGTAGCTGGGACTATTGGCATGCACCTCCGCACCTGGCTAACTTTTAAATTTTCTGCAGAGATGGGATCTCACTATGTTGCCCAGGCTGGCCTCAAACTCCTGTGCTCAAACCACCCTCCTGTCGCAGCCTCCCTAAACACTGGCATTGCAGGTGTGAGCCACCACACCCAGTCCCCTTGACCTCTTTCAGCCTTGGTTTCCTGTCCGTAAGTGGGAGAAATGTCACCTTGGCAGTCTGTGCAGCTTAGGAGAGACAAGTACATTTGATGTTGGTTACTAAATGTTGGACCCTGGACCGGCACTCCAACAGCCGGTGCCCTGGGGGGCAGCCATCAGGTGGGGCATTTGCAGGCCTCTTCTTATTCAGACAGCTCCAGGTGCTGAGCGGAATCATTGTCCACATTCACTCTGTCATTCTGAAGCAGTGTGTAGAACATTCTAGAACACTCACCACGTGGCATGCCCCTGCTGGGTCCCGGTGATGCAGCTGTGAATGAAGCAGGCTTGGGGTTGCTGCCACCTGGGGAGGAGCAGAAGGACTGTGGTCACAGCCACACGTGGACGCGGTTACTAGGGTTCTGGTGGGTGCTGTGGAGGGTGCAGAGGGCGTGTGATGGGTCATCCTGAGCGATGCAAGCTGGGCCTGGAGGACGTGGAGTGTTCGCAAGGGAAGAGGGTGGGCTGGAGTGACTGCAAGGAGAAGGTCTCGGGAGGTGGAGCTCGGGATGTGGGGAAGAGCTCCCTGGGCCTGGTGGCCGGTCAGCAGGGGCCAGGTCGGGGAGTGGGTGCAGAGAGCCTTGGAGAGGCCAGAGAGGGGTGATTCGGTGCCCATCTAGGGCTTCCTTTTTGGTTAGCAATGCTTCAGGGCACCTGGGAGACATGAGGAGCTAGAACCTGTGCTGCAGTTCCCAGCTCTGCCCCTGCTCCCTGGGTGTCCCAAACCCTGCTCCTTTCCAAGAAATGTTGGGATCTCATCTTCAGGATGGTGGGTGCTAATAGGGAGGCTGAGGTGGGTGGATCACCTGAGGTCAGGAGTTTGAGACCAGCCTGGCCAACATGGTGAAACCCCGTCTCTACTAAAAATACAAAAAATTAGCTGGGCGCAGTGGTGCATGCCTGTAGTCCTAGCTACTCGGGAGGCTGAGGCAGGAGAATCACTTGAACCTACCCGGGAGGTGGAGGTTGCAGTGAGCCGAGATCACACGCCTGGGTGACAAGAGGGAAACTCCATCTCAAAGAAAAAAAAATACATGCATGATGAAACACACTAAGCAGTTGGGTCAGAGGGGAATTATCAGTAGCAAGAAAGAAGCTGGGCTGGTGACTAGCACCCGGAATTTATGCTCTCTTTCTTCATGGGCCTGTGCGGCGGTACGTAGGCTGCGGGATTGACTTTGAATTCTTCCTGGCTGCCACAGCAAAGAGACAGGATCAGGTTCTTGATTCATGATGCCCTTAAGGTGTTAGGGGAAGAAAAGCAAGCGTGAGACCAGGCGCGGTGGCTCACACCTGTGATCCCAGCACTTGGGAAGGCTGAGGCGAGTCTATCCCTTGAGGCTGGGACTTTGAGACCAGCCTGGGCAACACAGACATCATCTCTACAAAAAGTAAAAAAATGAGCTGGGTGTGGTGGTGAATGCCTATTGTCCCAGCTGCTCTGGAGGCTGAGTTGTGAGGATTGCTTGAGACCAGGAGTTTGAGGCTGCTGTGAGCCAAGATCACACTGCTGCACTGTAGCCTGGGTGAGAGAGTGAGACCCTGTAACCAAAAAAAAAAAAAAATCAGCTGTGGAAAAGCATCACGTGTTTCCCCTGCGCTGAGGCTGATTCTGCAGGGCTACTGATGTGCATTGGTAACTGCTCATGTCTGTCCTGTTCACAGATCTGCCGGAGGCGCTGGGCAATGACCCCGGGACTCCAGGCCAGAGGGGTCTGAAGCTGTTTGGGAAAGCAGCGGGACTCCTTGGGAAGATGGCCATGGCCCCAAGCCCTTCCCTGGTGCAGGTGTACACCAGCCCCGCGGCTGTGGCCGTGTGGGAATGGCAGGACGGGCTGGGCACCTGGCACCCCTACAGTGCCACCGTCTGCAGCTTCATCGAGCAGCAGTTTGTCCAGCAGAAGGGCCAACGTTTTGGGCTTGGGAGCCTGGCCCACAGCATCCCCTTGGGCCAGGCAGACCCCTCGCTGGCCCCTTACATTATTGACCTCCCCAGCTGGACCCAGTTCCGCCAGGACACCGGTAAGACGCTGTCTGCCTCTCGCACATATCTGGGTGCCGCACCTGCTTTCCCACAGGCTCTGCGCCAGGTGTTGGGGTGATGGACGTGACTTACAGAGCTTCTGCTCTCTCCCTGCAGCACACGTGGTGGTGGGTGGGTGCAGTGAGTGGGAACATCCACATAGGTTGAGTGCAGCTCACAGTGGGAGAGGCACTGTGGGAGGCCCTTCCCCTTGTCTTGCAAAGCAGAAATGCCTGTCCCGACCACAGAGGTTGAAGGGTTCCTTTGGCCGGCAGGCCGGCATGGAGGTGGTGCGTCATAGGAGTTCAGAGGGCCCTGTCCCACCACTCAGTGGCTGTGTGCCCTGGGCAGGCAACTGCGCCCCTCTGCATGTGTGCGTTTCTGCTTTTTGGTCTGCGATGTGTTTTGATCTTTTTTTTTTTTTTTGAGACGGAGTCTGGCTCTGTTGCCTAAACTGGAGTGCAGTGGCGCAGTCTCGGCTCACTGCAACCCCTGCCTCCTGGGTTCAAGCGATTCTCCTGCCTCAGCCTCCCGAGTAGCTGGGATTATAGGCATCCACCACCACACCTGGCTAATTTTTGTATTTTTAGTAGAGACGGGGTTTTGCCACGTTGGCCAGGCTGGTGTCGAGCTCCTGACCTCAGGTGATCTGCCTGCCTCGGCCTCCCAAAGTGCTGGGATTACAAGCATGAGCCACCGCGCCTGGACCTGCAGTGTGTTTTGATCAGTATTATTGAGAATGAGGCACCAGTTTCCTCTCGGAGCCATCCCTTACTCTAATCTGGTGGTTGTCACTGGGGGTGATTTTGTCCCCGGGGCCATCTGACAATGTTTGGAGACATTGTTGGTTGTTACAGCTGAGTGGGTGGGAGGTGGGGGTGCTCCTGGCATCTGGTGGGTGGAGGCCAGGGATGCTGCTCGCCATCCGGCAGTGCACTGGGCTGGCCCTGCAGTAAGGAATTATTGGCCCACAGTGTCACCAGTGAGGAAACTTGAAAAACTGGTTTTTCCTTTTTTTTTTCAATTTTAATTTTAGTTTTATTTTTAAAAGTATGGGTTTTTTTTTTTCGTGTTTGTTTGTTTGTTTGTTTTTTGTAAAGACTGGGTCTCCATTGCCCTGTGTTGCCCAGGCTGGTCTTCAACTCCTGAGCTCAAGTGATCCTCCTGCCTTGGCCTCCGAAAGTGTTGGGATTACAGGCTCGAGCCGTCATGCCCAGCCCTGGAAACTATGTGTTTCCAGGAGTGTCGTAGAGTCTGTGAAAACTGTGGCTGTCAGTCAGCTCCCAAGTCGTTGCCTTCACAGTGTGTGAAGTCAACTGAGAAAGATAGCAGACAGGATAAATAATAACATGGAAATTGCATATCGTGGCAGAGAGCAGGAAGTGTTAATCGGGGAATGAAAGTGGCAGGTGTTGTAGAGGTCGATTTGAAGTTAGCTGGGTGTGGTGTCATGTGCCTGTAGTCCCAGTTATTTAGGAGGCTAAGGCAGGAGGATCGCTTGAGCCCAGGAGGTCAGGGTGGCAGTGAACTATGATCACATCACTGCACTGCAGCCTGGGCGACAAAGGGGTACCCTGCCTCTAACAATAAATAAATAAACAAATAGCAGCATGACTGTGTACCTACTGTGTTCCTATTTGTTTATTTTGGCGGTTGAAAAAAGAATTTGAACGTTCCCTGTATCTTGGGGATGCTAGCAGACTAACCTTTTGTTTTCCTTTGAAAATAGGCACCATGCGGGCTGTGCGGAGACACCTGTTCCCCCAGCACTCAGCCCCTGGCCGAGGTGTCGTCTGGGAGTGGCTGAGCGACGATGGCTCCTGGACTGCCTATGAAGCCAGCGTCTGTGACTATCTGGAGCAGCAGGTGGCCAGGGGCAACCAGCTCGTGGACTTGGCCCCCCTGGGGTACAACTACACTGTCAACTACACCACCCACACGCAGACCAACAAGACTTCCAGCTTCTGCCGCAGCGTGCGGCGCCAAGCAGGGCCGCCTTACCCGGTGACCACCATCATCGCTCCGCCGGGCCACACAGGCGTCGCCTGCTCTTGCCACCAGTGCCTCAGTGGCAGCAGAACTGGCCCCGTGTCAGGCCGCTACCGCCACTCCATGACCAACCTCCCTGCATACCCCGTCCCCCAGCACCCCCCACACAGGACCGCTTCTGTGTTTGGGACCCACCAGGCCTTTGCACCGTACAACAAACCCTCACTCTCCGGGGCCCGGTCTGCGCCCAGGCTGAACACCACCAACGCCTGGGGCGCAGCTCCTCCTTCCCTGGGGAGCCAGCCCCTCTACCGCTCCAGCCTCTCCCACCTGGGACCGCAGCACCTGCCCCCAGGATCCTCCACCTCCGGTGCAGTCAGGTATCGTGGGCAACGGCCGCTCGTTTTGTCTGCCCTGTGTTTCCGCTCTTAGCCGGGAAGACTCACCCCAATTCCTGCAGATGCGGCTCCTGCCCCCTAGGTGGTCCTGCCGTGGCATCTCATTTGCATGTGGCATGTGGGTGCCGAGGTGCCGTGGCCATCCAGAGCCTACCTGACCCCTTGTACCTGAGTCCTGGCGGTCACCACACGGGTTAGAATCTACAGTCCTTTCACTCATGATGATTAAGGGCCTCCACATGGAGCAGAGTTAAAGGCCTGTGGCCTCTGCTTGCGGGCTGCATGGCGAGCATTGTGCCCGAGAACACTGGGTCACTGCCTGTACACTGACTCCCGCCTTGTGCCAGGCCCTAAGGACCCAGAGACCAGAGTATCAGCCCTTACCCCTGAGCCCTAGTCTAGTGCAAGGGGCTGTCAGCGCGGTGTGAGGGAGGGCAGAATGTGGAGCACGTGGCAGTGGCTGCAGGTGGCATGGGTGACCTGGCCCCCGTGATGATGCAGCCCAGCCCAGAGTGCCTGGTAGAGCGCTCAGCTCCTTGAGAGAGAGAGAATGATACCACGGGCCCAGTGCAGACCAGAGCGGGTGGCATTTAAAATGAGGAGATTGGTCAGGCACAGAGGCTGACACCTTTAATCCCAGCACTTTGGGAGGCCAAGGCAGGAAGATCATTTGAACCCAGCAGTCAGAGACCAGCCTGAGCAACATAGCGAGACCCCATCTCCACAAAAAAAATTTTTTTAATTAGCCAGGCATGGTGGTACACACCTGTAATCCCAGCTACTTGGGAGACTGAGGCAGGAGGATTGCTGGAGACCAGGAGGTCAAGGCAGCAGTGAGCTGTGATCGCACCACTGCACTTCAGCCCCCTAGGTGACAGAGCGAGACCCTGTCTTAAAGCTGGGCCCAGTGGCTCACGCCTGTAGTTCCAGCACTTTGGGAGGCCGAGGTGGGCGGATCACCTGAGGTCAGGAGTTCAAGACCAGCCTGGCCAACATGGTGAAACCCCATCTCTACTAAAAATACAAAAATTAGCCAGGCATGGTGGCCAGCGCCTGTAATCCCAGCTACTTGGAAGGCTGAGGCAAAAGAATCCCTTGAACCCAGGAGGTGGAGGTTGCAGTGAGCCAAGATCGTGCCACTGCGTTCCAGCCTGGGCAACAAAGAGCGAAACTCCATCTCGGGGGAAAAAAATAAAAAAGATAAAATGAGGAACCCCCCCAGGATTTCCCTGGATTTGGCCAAGGTGAATGGGCTGGCCGTAGCCCTCTGACTGTCTGGGTGACTTGGGGCTTCGTCATTCATTATTGAGAATGTTGGGCTTGGAGCACATTTTGAGAATTCAGAGTGGTAGCTGGGACAGGGCTTTCTGAGAGTGCCCTGGTGCGGGTGGTGAGGGAGTGGGTGGGCCTGGGGCCACCCTGGTCCCAGGGAGGAAATCATCTCCTTTCTCCGCACTGGCCCTGGTCGGCATCCTGCTGCCTCCCTGCTCACCGGCCCACCCCTGCCCACCGCAGCCACGTCAAGGGCTGAAACTTCACAGGGTGGTTGAGACCGCCTTGGCAGCTTCTTGGACCTCTAGTATTTGTTCAGACTGGGTTTCCGAGGACCCTGCCAGCTTGTGTAAGACACAGTGACAGCGCCTCCCGCTCATTGGTTCGTGTCATGTGCCAGGCCCTCCTGAGCAGGCTGCTTGAGTGACTTCACTCATCCCACGATGCTCTCAGGCTGAGCAGTGTTCTTCGCTTACAGGAGAGCACATTCAGGCCCATGAGGTTGGCGACACAGCCAGCAAGTAGCGGAGCTGGGATTCAGCCCAGACCCCAAGAGTGGGCTATCTGGGGCACATGGGGAGTTATTGACATTCCCGGGAAGGCAGGGGGCTCTTTTAATACATTTTAATTTTATTTTATTACTATTTTTAAAGACAAGGTTTTGCTCTGTCACCCAGGCTAGCGTACAGTGGTGCAATCATGGTTCACTGCAGGCTTGAACTCCTGTGCTCAAGTGATCCTCCTGCCTCAGCCTCCTGAGTAGCTGGGACCACAGGTATACACCACCACACCCGGCTAATTTTTCAGTTTTACGTAGAGGCAAGGTCTTGCCATGTTGTCCAGGCTGGTCTTGAATTCTTGGCCTCAAGCAATTCTCTTGCCCCAGCCTTCCAAAGTGCTGAGATTATAGGCATGAGCCACCACACCTGGCCCAAAAGGCCTCTTGAGGGATGAGCTAGGAGGAGGCCAGTAGACAGGAGGGTGATGGGCCTTGGGTGAGTCAGAGTTTTCCGGGGCATCTTCTGCCAGGAGTTGGGGCACGTGCATCTGAGATCTTTCTGGGAGTTGGGAGTATAGGAAGGTGTCATCGGGGCTCTCTGAGGACATAGACATAGGCAAGCCAGGCTCAGGGAGATGCTCCCCCAACTTCCCTCCCTGAGTATCTGGGTCAGCCTGTTTCAGAGAACAGTGTGCTCTATCTGCTGGCCCAGGAGGGTTCTTAGAGGTGCTGGGACTTCTGTCAGCCCTGTTCCACTCAGCTTCCTGGAGCTTCTTAAGTTCTTAGGAATTATTTTGAGGCAAATTTCTAGATAGTGCTAGAGCTGGGATTCTGGAGTTAAGTCATTTAATGTGGATTTGTTCCTTTCTCCTGGTATTGGGCCTCGTTGGTCTTTCCTAAACCATTTCCGTTTCTCCCAGTATTTCTCTGGGGTCCCCGTCCCTGGCCTGAGGGCCCCCAGAAGTGCTGATGTGGGTCCTACCGGTGTGGGCCAGGCAAGTTACAGAAAAGAAGGTGGATGGGCCAGTCTGTCTTCCCTTGGTGCTGGGGTGGGCATGCTGTGGCTTGCCCCACGTTGTAAGTCAGGAGGGAACCAGGCCAGCAGGCTCTGTTAGTGGAAACAGCCTCAAAGGGGCCTGCCTCCTGGGGTAGGTGTAGGTGCATCCTGATTCCTTTGGTTTTCTTGGAGCTGGGAGAGGTGTAATTCACCTGCACGAGCCTATCTACGCGCTGAAAAACAGGCTTTTCCCCTGCCTGATTCGTAGTGAGGCCCCCTGCAGTTAACCCTCCTCTGACGGATGTAGAGCCAGATGGGGCTTAGTAAATACCTGACCTCTTAACCTAGCAGGCGGCAAGGTTCTCACAGCCAAGTGCATGTCAACAGCATCAGGTGAAAGTTACCTTGGATGTGAGGAGGCAGGCAGGGCAGGCAGGGCCCGTCTAGAGCCAGCGCCATGGGCTGGGGAAGCCCGAGAACCGACTTTTTACTGGCAGCCACTGGAAATACCATGTGAGCGCGTGAAATTGAAAAATTTCCTGGAACTCACGTGCACAGCTTCCACGTGCCCCCTGGGAACAGGCCGTGATACAAGAAAGCGTGTCATCTGGGGCTGAGCTGCTGGGTGGCAGTAGATTTCCTGGTAGCTGAAGTTGATCCCTTTAAGCACCAAAACTTGTGTTTTAATGATGTTGGATGGAAATCTTTCCTAAATGTGTCATGCATGCTCTTGTCTCCCTTAATGGAGAGAGTGTGACACTGCTTAGCACTTGGATGGCTTGGGGTGGTGGTTATGACCAGCAGTCTGTCACAGCTCAGCGAGGTGAAGCCTGTGGGCGTTTTGCTCTGTGCTGAATGGCTCAGTGGCCCTGCAAAACGGCGCTCAGCTCTTGGTGGCTTTCTGTTGTGGTGGGCTGCTGCTGCTGCTGCTGCTGCTGCTGCTGCTGCTGCTGCCCTTGCCTCTAAAAGAACTCACTTCCTCTTCCTCCTGCTGCCACCTGTCTTTTGGCTTGTGGGATTGGAGTCATGGGGCCCAGATGGAGCCTTGCTCCTGACTTATGATAGGCCCTCGGTCTCTTTTCTTCTCTATTTTTTTCTTCTTTCTTTTCTTTTTCTTTGTTTTTTGTTTTGTTTTGTTTTAAGAGACAGGGTCTCACTCTGTCACCCAGGCTAGAGTGAAGTGGTGTGATCGTGGCTCACTGCAGCCTCAAACTCCTGGGCTCAAGGGATCCTCCTGCCTCAGCCTCCTGAGTGGCCAGGACTACAGGCTTGTGCCATTGTGCCCAGCTAATTTTTTAAATTTTTTGTAGAGACGGGTCTCACTATATTGCCCAGGCTGGTCCCAAACTCTTGGCCTCCCAAAGCACTGGGATTACAAGTGTGAGCCACCGTGCCCTGCCTCTTCTTCTTTTGAGCTAGTCGGTTTCTGAGGTTGCCTTCTGCTCTATTGTTGCTGTGGTTTTCAGGATGTAGTTAGGGCCCTACAGGAAAGTGCCTGGTGGCCCTTAGGGCCTGGCTTCACCTCCCTCTGCTCCTCCAAGACCTTGGCCCCATGGATATTTGTCCTGGGTCTCACCACTGCCCTGGCGGCCTTTGGGAATCATCCTCACAGGTAGAGGAATTGAGGCTCGGGAAGGCGACTTGCCATGCTCAGCACACACGGCTTTGAGCGGGAGCATACGCCTCTAGCATCGTCTCCAGCCTCTGCAGCTCATGGGACTGGCTGCCAGCCCCAATCCCAGAGGGTGTGGACTTGGAGAGGGGCTTTGGATCTCCTTCCTCTCCGGCCTCCTGGCTTTGCCCCTCGCCCTGCATAGAAAACTCGGAGTCCTCATGTCTCACGTTTCCCACTCTGTCTGGGATCTCCTGGAGATGGTCACAGACAGGAAAGCCAGGGAGGGCCTAATAGGTGGACCAGGAGTTGGGGAGAGGAGGAGGGTGCCTGAGGCCATGACTATAGGGACTTCTCAGAGAAGGACACTTCAGGGGGCAGTTGGTGCCCCCATCTGGGAACGTTCTGCAGGTCCGAGCCCTCTGAGGACGGTGAGGGCGATTGATAACCTCTGAGGTTCCGTCCACCCCTAGGGGCCCCTATCTTGGGAACCTCTGGATCCTTGTACGGTTCAGTTCCTAGAGGTCACAGCAGGGACACACACCGGGGAGGAACTGCGATTATATGGGGGAAGTGGTGACATTTTTAGAGCTTTCTACAGAACATTCTCCTGGTTCCTGCTCTCTATTCGCAGGGTGAGCGCCCACTGGAAGCCTCGCTGTGCTTCTGCTTTCTCCTGTAGTCCTTGGAAGCAAGGACTTCTTGTTCGTTCTTTAGGAACGGAAGCAAACGTTCTCGTTCAGATATGTGCCTCTCCCTGGTGAAGGAAGACCTCACTTCCTGGGATTTTTCTGTGGGATGGAGCAGCCAGGGACCCCATCTCTGGTGGGGGCGGGGCGGAGGGGGGTGCACCATGGGCTTAGAGCCCTCTGGGCCAGTGCTGCCTAGTCTGCTGCATAGCCCATTTGTTTTGTAGACTTGCAGTGCCAAATTTCAGCTTTCTGGGCTCCAACTACGGGCTTGAGCTCAGTGCTGCCCTAGAGGGTCCTGAATGCCTTCACTTATGGAACCTTAGAGTTGCAGAGACCATCAGAGATGATCCACTTTCCTTTAAAAAAAAGAAAAGAGGGCTGGGTAGGGTGGCTCACACCTGTAATCCCAGCACTTTGGGAGGCCGAGGTGGGTGGATCACTTGAGTTCAGGAGTTCAAGACCAGCCTGGCCAATATGGTGAAACCCCGTCTCTACTAAAAATATAAAAATTAGCCAGGCGTGGTGGCGGGCACCTGTAATCCCAGCTACTCAGGAGGCTGAGGCAGGAGAATTGCTTGAGCCCGGGAGGCAGAGAGGTTGCAGTGAGCCGAGATCACGCCACTGCGCTCCAGCCTGGATGACAGAGTGAGACTCCGAGAAAAAAAAAAAAAGTGGGGGGAAGAGTTGAAACCAGCTGAGGAAGGGGAGGAGCATGCTCCAAATGAATGAAACTGAGTGTTCAGTAGAGTCAGGACCTTGACCCAGGTGTCCAGACTCCCTGCCCTTCTTAGCATTATCAGGGCCCCCAGATCCACTACCAGCCTTGCCTTTGGATCGGGAGTAGGCAAGGAGAGCAAGAAGCTGCTCTTTGCTTAGCACGGCCACAGAGGCAATCCTGTTTGAGAACAGTCAACAAACAAACTCAAACAGGCCATGCACAGTGGCTCATGCCCATAATCCCAGTGCTTTCAGAGGCCAAGGTGGGAGGATCTCTTGAGGCCAGGAGTTTCAGACCAGCCTGGACAACATAGCAAGATTCTGTCTCTCTCTCTATATATATAAAATTAGCCAGGTGTGGTGGTGCTCACTTGTAGTCCCAGCTACTCAGGAGGGTGAGGCAGGAGGATCACTTGAACCTGGGAGGTGGAGGCTGCAGTGAGCTATGATCGCACCATTGCCCTCCAGCCTGGGTAACAGAGCAAGACCCCAACTCTGGGCCCAGCATGCTTCCAGTGTGTCACTCTACCGGCATGACCCTACCTCTTAAAAAAAAGAAATATGATGACTTAAGACCAAATGAGTGGCCAGGTATGGTGTCTCATGCCTGTAATCCCAGCACTTTGGGAGGCTGAGGTGGGCAGATCACCTGAGGTCAGGAGTTTGAAACCAGCCTGGCCAACACGGTGAAACCCCTGTCTCTACTAAAAATACAAAAATTAGCAGGGTGTGGTGGCTCATGCCTGTAATCCCAGCTACTTGAGAGGCTGAGGCACGAGAATTGCTTGAACCCAGGAGGCAGATGTTGCAGCGAGCCAAGATCATGCCACTGCACTCCAGCCTGGGCCACAGAACGAGACTCTGTCTCAAAAAATCCAAAGACCAAATGAGTGACTTGAACATAATCATTGTAGGGAACAAAACCCTCATATTAAAAAAAAAAAAAACAACAACCTTTATTTTATGGTAATTAAGTTCCGGAAAAGTTAACAAAAGTAGTTGGGTTTCCATATCTCCCTCATCTGGCTTCTGACATTAACAGCTTTCATAACCATGGTTCAGTTGTCAGATCCAGAAAATTACCACTGGTTGGCTGGGCACGGTGGCTCACTCCTGCAATCCCAGCACTTTGGGAGGCCAAGGCAGGCGGATTACGAAGTCGAGAGATCAAGACCATCCTGGGCAACATAGCGAAACCCCGTCTCTACTAAAAATACATAAATTAGCTGGGTGTGGTGGCACGCACCTGTAGTCCCAGCTACTCAGGAGGCTGAGGCAGGAGAATCGCTTGAACCTGGGAGGTAGAGGTTTCAGTGAGCCAAGATCACACCACTGCACTCCAGCCTGGTAATAGAGCGAGACTCCGTCCCCTCACCCCCCCAAAAAAAGAAAATTACCACTGGTATAATACTCTTAACTAAAGGTTTTTTTTTTCTTTCTTGATTTTTCACCAATTTCCCACTACTGTCCTCTTTCTGTCCCAGGATCCAATCCAGGGTCCCACTTTGCTTCCAGTTCTTATTCTCCCCGTCCTCCTCTGGGCTGGAACAGTTTGTCAGTCTTTATCTTTCATAACCTTGTTACTTTCAAAGAGGTGCTTTGTTGAATGTCCCTTAATTTGAGTTTGTCTTGTTTTCCCATGTTTGGACAAAGATAATGCCCTTTATTATTTCTTTTTTGACAGAGTCTCCAGCCTGGGCTGGAGTACAGTGGTGAGATCATAGCTCACTGCAGCCTTGAACTCCCAGGCTCAAGTGATCCTCCTGCCTCAGCCTCTCAAGTAGCTGGGACCACAGGTGCATGCCACCACACCTGGCTAGTTTTTTACTTTTTAGAGATGGGGTCTTGATTGTTGCCCAGGCTAGATAATGCATTTTTGACATTAAATCCCCCCAAAATGGTGTTGCATCCCTCCCAGAGCATCCTATCGTGGGGTTTATGATACTGACCTGTCTTTTACTGGTGATGACGGTCATGATCATTTGCTAAAGTGGTGTCTGCCAGGATTTTTCTCCTCTAAACAGGTGCTATGAGAACCTGCTTTTTTTTTTTTTTTTTTTGAGACTGAGTTTCTCTCTGTTGCCCAGGCTGGAGTGCAGTGGTGCAATCTCGGCTCACTGCAACCTCTGCTGCCCGAGGTTCAAGTGATTCTCCTGCCTCAGCCTCCCAAGTAGCTGGGATTACAGGCGCCTGCCACCACGCCTGGCTAATTTTTGTAGTTTTAGTAGAGACAGGATTTTGCCATCTTGGCCAGGCTGGTCTTGAACTCCTGACCTCGCGATCCACCCACCTTGGCCTCCCAAAGTGCTGAGATTATAGGCGTGAGCCACTGCACCCAGCCATTTTTTTTTTTTTTTTGAGACGGAGTCTTGCTCTGTTGTCCAGGCTGGAGTGCAGTGGCACGGTCTCAGCAACCTCCACCTCCTGGGTTCAAGTGATTCTCCTGCCTCAGCCTAATGAATAGCTGGGACTACAGCTGTGTGCCAGCATGCCCAGCTAATTTTTTATATTTTTAGTAGAGATGGGGTTTCACCGTGTTAGGATGGTATCAATCTCCTGACCTTGTGATCCACCTGCCTCGGCCTCCCAAAGTGCTGGGATTTCAGGCGTGAGCCACCACGCCTGGCCTGAGAGCCTGCATTTTGATGACACTAGTGAGTATAAAATATCTTTTTTTTTCTTTTTATTTTCTTTATTCACAACAGGTATGAAATGATTGTTTTCAGAGTCTTTATTTTTTTTTTTTTGAGACAGGGTCTCACTCTGTCGCCCAGGCTGGACTGCAGTGATGTGGTCATGGCTCACTGCAGCCTCAACCTCCTGGGTTCAAGCCATCCTCCTGCTTCAGCCTCCCAAGTACAGGTGCGCACCACCACACTTGGCAGACTTTTAAAAATTTTTTTGGAGATGGAGTCTCACTATGTTGCCCAGGCTGGTCTCAAACTCCTGGCCTCAAGTGATCCTCCCACCTCATCCTCCCAAAGTGCTGGGATTACCGGTGTGAGCCACCACACCCCTCCTGAGTCTCTCTGAATTGCCCAGGAAAACAAAACCAAAGGCCTCCACACAGGCACCCAAGGAGCGTAAAAGCGCGAAGACACCTCAGTGACTCCCACTTGGCCATGACGCAGTGTTTCTCCAGCTCTCGTTTCCAATAAGTCAGCGGTGTGCAGTAAGCTCTGCTCTTTTCTCCCCCAGTGCCTCCCTCCCCAGCGGTCCCTCAAGCAGCCCAGGGAGCGTCCCTGCCACTGTGCCCATGCAGATGCCAAAGCCCAGCAGAGTCCAGCAGGCGCTCGCAGGTAGGTGCCTGACCTCGGGCTGCAGAGCAGTCTGTGCCCTGCGGACTTGGTGGGGAGGAAATTGTGATGTGGGGCCTTGTCACCCTCTGGATCCTCAGGGAGAGCCAAAGGGGCTCCCTGGGGGAGCAGTGCCTCTTTCTGGTGATGGTGTCACCCCAGAGTGAGCCCAGGTGCCCCTCCTTTTGCTCTCTGGGTACGTGGGCCTGATGACGGTGGGCGCTCGGGTGCAGACCTTTTCACATCCTTTAACATTTTTGCATTGAATTGCATTATATTTAAATAGTCACTTTCCTGTCCTGAAATACTTTAAACATTTCCTTAAAGGGGCCCTCTGGGGAATTAATAGATCTATTTCGGCTGTAGTTACTCTTACATCTTGAATAAGAGGCACCTTTTGGGTCCAACCAGATCTTTTGCTGTACTAACCATACATCTTACATCTTGGAACTGTTTTGGGTTTGGTTTGGTTTTTTGTGAGACAAGAGTCTCGCTCTGTCACCCAGGCTGGAGTGCAGTGGCGCTAACCCAGCTCACTGAAGTCTTGAACTCCTGGGCTCAAGCAATCCTTTCACCTTAAGGATCCTTAAAAATACCTACTGCTGGCCCCCACACCCATTCTGTTTTAGCAGCCTGGCTAGCAGGGTTTTCAGAAGCTCCACAGGTGGCAGGATTTTTTTTCTTTTTTCTTTTTTTGAGATGGAGTCTCTCTCGCCCAGGCTGGAGTGCAGTGGTGGGATCTCGGCTCACTGCAACCTCTGCCTCCCAGGTTCAAGCAATTCTCCTGCCTCAGCCTCCCGAGTAGCTGGGATTACAGGTGCATGCCACCACGCCCGGGCAATTTTTGTATTTTTAGTAGAGATGGGGTTTCGCCATGTTGACCAGTCTGGTCTTGAACTCCTGACCTCAAGTGATCCATCCGCCTCGGCCTCCCAAAGTGCTGGGATTACAGGCATGAGCCACCGTGCCTGGCCATTTTTTTTTTCTTGTTATAAGAGACAGGATCTTGCTCTGTTCCCCAGGCTGGTGTGCAGTGGTGTAGTCATAGCTCACTGCAGCCTCCAACCCCTGGGCTGAAGCGATCCTTCTGCCTCAGCCTCCTGAGTAGCTGGGATTACAGACACATGCCACCATGCCAGGGAAGTTTTTTATTTTTTGTAGAGACAGGGTCTCACTATGTTGCCCAGGCTGGTCTTGAACTCCCAGGCTCAAGCCGTCTTCATGCCTTGGCCTCCCAAAGTGCTGGGATTCCAGTCATGAGCTGCCACGCCCAGCTGAGGTTATTTTCTAACTTCTGGAAAGTTCGAGGTATGTAAGGAGGTGGATGGCGCCATCGTTGTTCACAGGGTGATGTGGCGGAATTCAATAATGAGTTGGTGTTTTAGGGGAGTTGCTGTCATAGTGGCTGAGAGGGGACAGGCCTGGAGGTAGGGCGGCTGGTGCAGAGCCTGACCTCAGACCTGGGGGCACCAGCCAAGGCCTGACCAGCTTCGAGGCAGTGGAGTGGAGGGGGAGGTTTGGCTTGAAACATTCAGAGGCATGAGCCGTCAGGCGGGGGGTTGTGAGGGGGGATTGGGGGTAGACTGAGGCCTGCTGGAGTGCAGCCAGTCACAACTGAGGAGCAGCCTGGGGCTTGGCGTGTGTGAATTCATTTCGTCCTTAAATCACTGAGGTGGAGGCTTTTGTTCCCATTTTCATTAGAGGAAACTGAGGCTCGGAGAATTTAAAAATTCTCTGCCAGCCCTTGGCAGAGCTGAGACACAGCCCCGGGCCTTCTTGCCTATGACGGTTCAGTGCTGCTGAGTCTAGGGGGAGGTTGGGAGGGGGTGATGGCTGTGGAGTGGCCGTTGGAGCTGTTCCGGGGCAGTGGGATTTGGCTGTGGGCCTCAGAAGAGCAGTCTTGGGTGGAATGGGGTGCCCCTGACCCCTCGTGGGAGCGTGTGTGCCACAGAGACCGTGGGCAGGACTGAAGAGAAAATGAAGGAGCGGCCAGAGAGGTGGGGGCAGGAGGGAGAGGAGCTGGAGTGGGGCAGGGGAGACAGAATGAGCAAGACACACTGGCCAGAAAGTCCCTGCCCACTGAAGTCACCGTGCGGCGCCGTAGGGAAATCACAGTGTACCGTGTGTGCATGTGCGGCCGTGGTGGCATTGGAGACAGGTTGTGGGTAAACAGACGGGGCCCCCACACGGTTCCTCATGGCCCAGCTCCTTCCAGTTCTGGGGCTCTCGCAAGCCTTCGTGGCCAGGCCTGACAGTGAGCGACCTCTGAGGCCATGACACAGATCTAAGTGCTCTGGGTGTGGAGTTAGCACCTGCCCCCTTCCTCTGCTCTTGAGGCTGAAGGTCCTGTCCAGGCTGTGTCCCAAATTGTCCATCCTGTTGTCTGTCCCCGTTGCTCTCAGAGCAATCCTGGAGCTAAAGCAGGTATTTTAACATCCATTTTACTTGTGGGGAAATAGATTCGGGAAGCTGGTTCAGGCCTAAGGAAATAGGAGAGCCTGGAGGCTGTGTAGACTCCTGCCTCCCCCAATTCAAGGCCCAGTGTTGGTACCTACTGGGGGAGCATTGTCTAGGGGAGCAGGGAATGAGAGGAGCCTGGCCAGCACCCCGGAGCCAGAGCTGGAGAGCAGTGTCCTGTCACCCTGGTGTGCTTGTGGGTTGAGGAATTATACCATGCCCGGCTGCGGAGACGAGCGTTTGCGCACAGGCTTTTTGCAGAGAGGTTTATAACCAGGAGGTCATGCTTTGGAAGGACTGAGTGCTGGAGGCACTGCTTCCAGGTGACAGTGCCTCCAGGTGACAGCTCCCCTGGCTGTGGCATAGCCCAGTCCCTCTATCGGGTGGGGGCAGGGACTGTGAGGCTGGAGCCAGGGTCTCCACCCCTCACCTGGTCACAGCAGCGGTCCATCCACAGCTCACACTGCTGCCTGGGGCAGGGATGGGTGTCAGCAGCCTGCCCAGGACTGCTCAGCTGGTGAGGGCTGGCACTGGGCTCGAACCCAGGCTGGGGAGGTCAGAGCGCACAGAGGAGAGGCTTGGATCTCAGCCCTGGCCCTGGGTGTCAGAAGGAGGGGTGTCTGCAAATTGGAAGTGAGAATCAGTGAGTGGGGGCTTCACTCTTCAGGGCTCTGACAGCGGGAATCCTCCCAGATGGGTGGAGAAAAAGGCTGTGGCCCTCCGAGTTATTCAGGTGTTTTGGGGGCTGTCAGGAGTTTGGGGGGCTGTCCCTAGCCCTCCTCCTCTCCAGGCTTCTGGGTTGAAACTTGTGTGTTTGTGACTTGAATTCAGGGGAGTGGGTCCTGCATTGAAAAGGACACGTGTGTCACTCATGCGGCCTCCTGGGGGCTGGTGGTGGCCCAAGGATGTCTTCATTCCTCAGCAAACACAGAGGGCTGCAGGCTTCCCAGGGATCAGGCACTGCCCCAGCGGGGTGCTGGAGATGCAGCTACGGGTGGGACCTCGTGGAACTCGTGCTGAGGGAAGACAGTCCATAGAAACAGAGGGGAGTGCAAAGCAGGAGTCCAGCAGGGTGGGGCGGGAGGCTTGGAGGGACAGGCCCCGTCAGGCAGTGTTCAGGGAAGGCCTGCCCGCTGAGGCAGTGTTGCCGGAGAACCCTGGGTAGGGAGACGTGTCCTGGCCTTTGGTCCTCCCAGACGACGTGGGCAGCGCAGAGGCACCAGATTCTCTTGAGGAAAACTGCACCTGTCCTTGTCCTCTCTCATCTCTCTGCCACCCGCGCCCGCTTGTCCTTCTCTCCACCCGACATTCAGTTCCCACAGGAACCGCATTTGAGCCCAGGAACAAGCTTGGGATGTTGGGGGCATTGAGCTCCCGGGCTCAAACCTCTGTCCTCTGATGCACGCTTTGGTGTCTCCTGCTGAGGGCCACTGCAACTCACCCTGCCCACCTCGGCTCTGCTGCCCAGGCTGGTGGCTGGTCTCCGCTTCTGTCCCCACAGCCAGGCACATGTGCCGGGTTGAGAAGCTTTGTTCTTCTAGTGGGGGCGCAGTGGCTGGCCTGGCCGCCCTTCACCCCTGAGTCACGCCATCTGTTCCTGGATGGGGAGTGGGGTCCAGGAGGACTGGGATTTCTACCAACTCCCCCGGCAGCCGGCTGTGCCCAGCTCCTGAGCCAGGTTCTGCAGACCCTGGAAGCCACCTTAAGAGATGGCTAAGAAGCTCTAGGCTTCCCCTTTCTCTGGAGAGGAGGTGCTTTTGACCTAACTGACCGATGACAGGGAGGACCGGGGAGCTGGCACTATGGAAAGTGGGGTAGGCCGAGGGTGTGGCAGGAACGGGTTCGTCCAGCAGGACACGCTGTGT
Organism: Homo sapiens; assembly: GCF_000001405.40. Classification (NCBI taxonomy): domain Eukaryota; kingdom Metazoa; phylum Chordata; class Mammalia; order Primates; family Hominidae; genus Homo; species Homo sapiens. Next base: position 76,496,573 of record NC_000007.14, read on the forward strand.
CCCAGGAAGCGCTGGGTCATCAGGGAGCACGAAGGAAGCAGTGTCAGAGGAGAGTCCCCCAGGGCAAGTGTGGGGTTCCCTGCAGGCATCCGGCAGTGGTGAGCTCTGGAAAGAGTGGCCGGTCTGTCCCAGCATAGCTGCTGGCCACAGGCCCACCCTTGCCCGAGGGCGCCAGAGCCACAGCCTGGGGCCTTGCTGCAGCCCAGCCCTCACAGTATGGGGATGCTGCAGTGTGGGAGCAGGCCCAGGGGCCACGTTCCTGCCCGCCTACCCCAGCGCTGTCGCTGAAGGCCCTGGCACCCAGATCAGCCAGGAGGGGCATGGAGCACACACAGCACCCAGTGGAGGCTGGAGGCCTAGTAACTCCAAGCCAGGAGGGCCCAGGGCCTCCTGGGGAAGCTGAGCCCTTGGAGCCAGCCCCACCCAGGAGACCCCGTGCCCCGGGCGGCTTCCTGGAGTGGCGTCCTCCGCCCTCTGCTCTCCTGAAGTCACGGGTCCTGCCCCGGTGCCCACCTGCACACTGAGGGCACGGGCTTGTCTGTTGCTCCTATAGAAACCTGTGGGCTCTGGGGCCAGGGCTACCATGAGCCAGGCTGCCCCACCCTCTGATTCCTGGCCTGGGTAGTCCCCAGGGAGACCTGTGCGTCCCCGTGGCCATTGATGGTGTCACATCCTTGGCCTGAGCAGGGTTTGTTGGCGTCACATGCCGAAGGAGTCTTCTAATGTCTCTCCCTCTCTGCGTGTCTGCTCTCACACCCGTGCAGGCATGACGAGTGTTCTGATGTCAGCCATTGGACTCCCTGTGTGTCTTAGCCGCGCACCCCAGCCCACCAGCCCTCCCGCCTCCCGTCTGGCTTCCAAAAGTCACGGCTCAGTTAAGAGATTGAGGAAAATGTCCGTGAAAGGTAGTTCTTGTTCCCAAAAGCTCTCTGGCCTTTGCTAAGCCTCCTTCCGGCCTCGCTGCCTCTGACTCTTCTGCACAGACCCTCTTCCTTCTCTCTGCTCCCTGACTCCTGGGGGAAGGGGCTCAGTGGCCCTTCTCCCTGCCCCCGCTCGGCAGCAGAGGCGGCCCCTGGAAGCTGACTTTCCACCGCAGCCCCAGAGTTCAGCTCCTCTCCTCCAGTCACAGCTGGCATGAGGGGGCTTGTTCTTGAGGACTTTGTGATTTTTGTAAGCAACAAGTTGTGGGTGAGAGGCGGCGCCCGGCTCAGGATGCGGGGACAACCGTCCCTTCCGCCAGGGCCAGCACGTGTCTCGGGAAAGGCCCCCAGACAGCGGCCCAGGTCTGCTGCCCAGGTCTGCTGCCCTGACCCCCAGCCCTGTGTGGCCGCCACGTGGGCTGCTTGAGAGGGGTCCCTCGGTGACCCCTGCCCTGCTCGTTGCATGGCCACAGAAGAAGGGGCTTTAGGACCACAGCAGGTCCAGGGAGTTACAGCAAGACCTGCTCGGAGCAGCCTGTGATGGTCAAGTTCTGAACCTTTCCCAAGCGGGTGCTGGCCCTGCTTCCACCCCTGGGCTGTGGAAGTGTGGACTGTGGCCAGTCCAGACGCTCTTGAGTGGGCGTGGTGGCGGGCAGGGAGGGTGGCCGTGGCCCTGCTGGCCCTCAGTGTCTGTGTCATCTCAGCAGGTCCTCTCGGAGCCTCCGCTTAGCAGAGGGGCTTGGCGAGGTCTAGGAAATACTCGAAGCGCCTGGCATGCGGCAAGGGTGGCTTCCGATCGTGTCCGACCTCCAGCCCACAGGCGAGGAGGTGGGCTCAGGGAGGGGTGGGCCTCGAGCTCCTGCCCCCAGCCCAGGGCTCTGCACGCCCTGCCCTTCCCCTGCCCTGGGGGAGGAGCCAGACTCGTTGGCAGCCCGGGCTGGCAACCTTCTGTGGCACTCGGGTTTACCTGGGAAGGACACGCTCTTGGTGGGTCGCCTGGCTGGCCCCTTCTGAGACACGTGGCTAATGGAAAGCTCCCTTCTGCTCTGAAAAGCTGCAAGGGCTGGGGTGGGTGGGCGGGGGTGGGATGCTGTGCCCGGCCTCACCAGGGCTGGGCAGAGGCGAGGCCCAGGCTCACCCGGAGATGGCTCTGGAGTTGGCAGGCTTTTCCAAAGGAAAAGGCCCCCCTCAGCCTGAGTAGGGCATTCCAGCCACACGGAGGGCGACCCTGAGCTGGGGGCCATCGTTCTGGTCTGGCGTTCTCGCCACCGTGACAGGATTTGGGTTCGGGCAGTCTGTATGGGTGTGTGGAGGTGTGGGGTGTGTGGGGTGTGTAGAGGTGAGGGTGTGTGGGGTGTGTGGAGGTGAGGGTGTGTGGGGTGTGTGGAGGTGTGGGGTGTATGGAGGTGTGGAGTGTGTGTGGAGTGTGTGTGGAGGTGTGGGGTGTATGGAGGTGGGTGTGTGGGGTGTATGGAGGTGTGAGGTGTGTGGAGGGGTGAGGTGTGTAGGGTGTGTAGAAGTGTGGGGTGTGTGAGGTGGGGTGTGAGGTGTGTGGAGGTGGGTGTGTGGAGCTGTGTGTGGTGTGTGGAGGTGTGAGGTGTGTGGAGGTGTGGGGTGTGTGGAGCTGTGTGGGGTGTATGGAGGTGTAGGGTGTGAGGAGGTGTGGAGGTGTGGGGTGTGTGGATGGGGGTTGGGGGGTGTGGTCTTGCCAGCAGTTTCCCTCCAGGTCACAGCAGCCATGCCATCACAGCAATTCCAGCTTGGTTACATATTCGTCTTTCCCGTTTGAGATCAGGGAACCGAGGCTCAGAGGTGGCATGATTCGTTCACAGCAAGAGAACTAGAATTAAACAAACCGTGCCGACTCCAGCCTCCACCCCACCACGCCACCTCCCTGCCAAACTGTCCCCTCCCTGGCCCTTTTTGGTGTAAAGGGAGTTCAGCAGGTGCAGTTGTGAGCCCTCAGGCTTAGAATTCTCTGCAGCCCCTGAAGGCCGTGAGCTTGGATTCAAACCAGAGCCCCTTCTGGTCCTGGAGTCTGGGACGACCGCAGCCCCACCATGACCTTGGGGTGGAGCCCCTGTCAGGAGCGCCTCCACGGGTGGCACTGGGCTCCCCGTCCCTCTTTCACCCCCGCACGGGCTTGGCTGCTGGCTTCTGTGGTTCTGCTACTCCCACTACCTAGAGAACGCCCCGGGCCGCGCCGATCCTCACCAGCTCAGGAGCTTCTTGTCCGTAGGAGAGGCTTTACTGGATGTGGGGTTCGGTGTTTATGGAGATGCAGCCCTTCTCCCTCCAGCTTCGTGCACGTGTGCACAGACAGCGAGTGAGGCCGTCAGGGTGGGCTCCTGCCACGTCTTGGCCCCTCCCCAGAGTCGCTGGACTTAGGAGCTAGTCTGCATGTGACAGACCTTCCCAGTCAGTGGCAGGCGTTTCCCGGGACAGTGTCTGTGTGGCGGTCGGCGTGTGTGCAGCTGCCTGTACATGCTGGACCCCAGACTCCCTTGTCCCTGTGATGTTCATGCCAGGGTAATGCAAGTTGAATCAAATCGTGGTGCCACAACGCCCCCTGGAGTAGTTTGTGCCCGAAGCGGCTGTCTGACTCTTCCGCGCAGCCTCAGAAGCGCCGGGGTCGGTTCCTCACTCAATGTGCGCGGGGATGCGGCTCCCAGGAGACTGTGCTGCTGTTTCTGCTCTTCTGCATCCTCCATGGCTCCTGGGGCTGAGCCGGGTCCCCGGACGGTGGGACTGGGGAAGGCTTTGCCCGACGGAGCTCGGGGCTCTGTGCCTGGCGCTGAGCTCTCCCGTCCCGCACACTGGCCTCCCTGTCTGGGCCCCTCTCGCATTTCCTCCTGGCAGCTTAGACCTCTTCCTTCCCTTCCTCGCCCTCTGGCCTCCTCTCCAGCCTGTGCTCCTCAGGACGCTGCTTATGTACTTCTCTCTTCTAGGAGCGACCCCGAAGCCAGAGCCAGAGCCAGAGCAGGTCATAAAAAACTACACGGAAGAGCTGAAAGTGCCCCCAGATGAGGTTTGTGTCTTGGGACCTTGGCTGCCTTTGTTTCTGTTTGGAAACAACTCCACATGGAAAGGACATCCGCCCCATCTTGCTTGAAGGGTGCTTCCCAGGTGCCTCTGGGTGCCAGGGCCTTGCTCCAGCCCCTTTGGTTTCATCTCCCAGCCTCCCGAGACCCACATCGTTATGGTCTGAGCTTTGCACTTAAGGAGCTGTGGTCCTGAGCAAAGCCCCTCCTCTCCCGGCCCTGGCCTCTCCATAGCCTGATGGCCATCCTGGGAGCAGGAATTCCAGAGACAAGGGATGGGCCAGCCTGCCCCACTCTCCACCTTGCGGATGCTGGTGTAGAAGTGAGGTGGCCTCGTCCAGGTGGCTGTCCTGCCCCCCGGCTATTGGGAGAGCTGGTCAAGGTTCTTATAATTTTTTTATTCTTAAAGACGGGTGCACACTGTCGCCCAGGCTCAGTGCAGTGGCGTGATCACAGCTCACTGCAGCCCTGTCCTCCTGACCTCCTGTAATGAACAGGACCAATCAGACTCCTGTTGCGCTTCCATAGAACCTGAACCTCTACTGAGCCACGTTTTGGGGGCTGCAGCACCACTTTCCCCTGATTTTAGCTGGGAGCCCTGGAGATACTGTTGGGGGAGGGGGTGGGTGAACGGCCGGGAGTACCAGTACCCAGAGATCTTCAGATACTTGGGGGCGGGTGGAAGGCCAGGAGCCCCAGTACCCAGGGACTCTTCACTTGTCTCTTTCTCCAGTCTGTTGAGTCCATGAGAAAAATCTGGTAAGTAAAGGTTTGGAAAGGAGCCTGAACGTCCTCCTCATGTGTCCCACCCCTTCCACAAGCCCTTGCCACATTCCCGCCTGCCCAGCGCTCAGCTCTGTCTCGGCCCTGGTGTCCATCTGGTGTGACTGGGCCGTTTCACCCCAGGCTCCTCCTCTCCAAGCTGCCGTCTGCACAGCCAGCACGCAGCTTGGATCATGGGAGCACTCCCTGCCTGGAACCGCCAGCAGGACCCCCAACTCACACACAGCCCCAAGCCCCTGAGTGTGGCAGCCAGACCCCCGAGGGCGCGCCTCTCCCTGATCCTGTCTCATCTCCTGCTCCCAGCCCACCCCCTGCCAGCTTTAGTGCCCATGAGCTGGCTCCTCGTTCAGAACGTCCTCCTCCCTCTTCCGGGTGCCCACTCTGTGCTTGTCCATCTGGCAATTCCTGTCTCCCTTGTAAGACCCCACGCCGAGGGCCTCCCCCAGGATCCTGCCCTGTCCGTCCTCCCCATTTGGTGGCTTCTGCTGTCATGTCGGGCCTGTGCTGCTGGTAAGCCCTTCAGAGGCACAGGTCCCGGTGACTCACCTGTGTCTCCAGCCTGTGGAATGGACTTTTTTTTTTTTTTTTCTGAGACGGAGTCTCGCTCTGTCACCCAGGCTGGAGTGCAGTGGCACAATCTCAGCTCTGCAACCTCTGCCCCCTGAGTTCAAGCGATTCTCTTGCCTCAGCCTCCCGAGTAGCTGGGATTATAGGCACCTGCCAACACGCCCAGCTAATTTTTGTATTCTTAGTAGAGATGGGGTTTTCCCGTGTTGGCCAGGCTGGCCTCAAATTCCTGACCTCAAGTGATCGGCCTCCTAGAGTGCTGGGATTACAGGCCTGAGCCACTGCGCCTGGCCTCGGAATTGACTTTGACTGCACTTCCAGCATTTCAGCACATGAAAGCCTCTTTTTCCAAGACTGGCCCACGTCAGCCCAGCCCACTGTTGGCGAGCATGACCCATGTTTGGTCTCCTCCAGGACTGCATCATCTGCATGGAGAAGCTGTCCACAGCGTCTGGATACAGCGATGTGACTGACAGCAAGGCAATCGGGTCCCTAGCTGTGGGCCACCTCACCAAGTGCAGCCATGCCTTCCACCTGCTGTGCCTCCTGGCCATGTACTGCAACGGCAATAAGGTGCCCCCACTGGCCCAGGGCGGAGGCGGGTGGCCCGCCCCCACAGTCCTGAGCTGTCCCCTGCAGGGGCGGGAGGGTTCCGGGGGTGGCTGTAGGAATGGGCCTCTGCAAAAGATGGTGCTGGGCGTGGGGCCAGCTTGAAGACCTTTCTAAAGGCCTGGCCGGCTCTCCTAGGCCTGCCCTACTCTTCTAGGTCTGCCCCACACTTTAGAAAGGAGGACCAGTGCGGCTGGTTCCCTCCACCCCTCCAGCCAGGCCTGAGAAGATTCTGGGCTTCTCTGAGCCCCAGGGCACCGCCTCCCCCTCGGCCACTTGTAAGCACCGCAGACACTGTCTCCCTTCTTCCTTACAGCATCCCTGTGCAGTCAGCACAGTGCTCATGAGGGAGAGGCTCAGAGCAGGGGCTGTGCCCAGGGTCACCCCACTGGGAGGTGGGAGCCAGGCCTTGAGGCAGGGCTGATCCTGGGCCCCACAGCAGCCTACACATGAAGAGCCGCGCCCAGACTGACCCCCAGCTGCTCTCCCTGCATCGGCCTTCAGGCGGGATGGGCAGAGTTTAGAGGCTTAGAGAACCGAGTCATGTGGCGCATCGGAGCCTGGCTCGGCCTTCCCTAGTGTCTGCCATCCTGGGCAGCCAGGGCCCAGCTCCGCAGATCAGACGCTGCAAGGCTGTCTATCCGACTGCAAATGCGATTCACCCGTGGAGATTTCTGCTCAGGATCCGAGTTTTCCCACTCGCCACCTGTCTCCTGATAGCATGTCCCTTAACGAAAATGGCATGAGTTGCTGGTGCAAAACAAAGCTTTCCAGGGAAGCTGTTGGAAGCCAGTTTCCGGGCAGGAGGCTGCCAGCAACTCCCTGGGATGGTGGCCAGCCCATTCCCGGGGCCCTTTACCATCTGACGGTGGAGGTGACGGTCTTGGGTGTTCTCAGACTGCCAGCTCAGTGGGTTGCGTCTGCCTCTGTCAGGATGGAAGTCTGCAGTGTCCCTCCTGCAAAACCATCTATGGAGAGAAGACGGGGACCCAGCCCCAGGGAAAGATGGAGGTATTACGGTTCCAGATGTCGCTCCCCGGCCACGAGGACTGCGGGACCATCCTCATAGTTTACAGCATTCCCCATGGTATCCAGGTGAGGGGCCTTCTTGAGTCCCCCACTCCTGGCCACTCCTCTTCCCACCCCGCCCACATCCCAGCAGTCTGCCCCTGGATCAAGGCTGAGGATGCCCATGTGGCCAAGCTCAGGCCCCCAGGTCCCCTAAGGCCAGAGCCATGGAGGGCCGGGAATGGGGAGGCAGTGCCGGGGCTTAGGGTAAGCTCTTAGGGCTGTGGCAGCAAAAGGCTGGCCCTCCACTCTTTCCTGAACCAAGGAAGCCTTCCTAGAGGAGGAGCCATCTTAGCTGGACTTGTTCTGGGCAGAAGGGCAGGCAGTTCAGTGGGAGGAACCCTGCGGAGGGGCTGGAGAAGCGGGGCCACAGCAGGGTGTGCGTCGAGGAACCTTGGGTTGGGAGTGGCAGGGCCAGGCGTGTGGGTGTCAGGAGCCCAGGCACAAGGCCCCAGAGTCCCAGAGGAGACTCAGACGGGCCCTAGCCCTTTCGGTCTCCTGTCTTGAGCCAAGGTGGATCGTAGGGCCTGGGGCAGGGTGGGAAGATAACGGGGCAGCAGGCAGCGGGCACTGGCTGCCAGCCAAGGTCCACCTGTGGTGGATGGAGGCATCTTTTTGTCTTGTTGAACCATGAGCCTTTCCCCTGGTTTCCCTCCACTTCTCCACAGCTCAGAGGGAAATTCAGGAACATTCGGGGTTGGCATCTCGGAGCGGGGGAGGAGCTGGAGCTGTGCAGGGGCCTGTCCCTGTGCGGGCTCTCGGAGCACCCTATCCTGGTGTCTGTTCCTCCCGCAGGGCCCTGAGCACCCCAATCCCGGAAAGCCGTTCACTGCCAGAGGGTTTCCCCGCCAGTGCTACCTTCCAGACAACGCCCAGGGCCGCAAGGTGAGTGCCACCATGCGCCCGGGGGGTGGACGGGGCCCTGACCAGGCGGCAGGAGGCCAGGCGCCACACTGGACTCTGCTTCTGCAGCGGAGGACAGAGGCTGAGGCCGGGCCGAGTGTCTGCTGCTCTTTTCTGGGGACCTGCTGTAGGTACAGGGAGGGCAGCCTGGACCTCACATAGCCTCGAGGGAGGAGGAGAGGCCATCACCTTCCAGCACCCTGCCGGGTGGGGTCAGGAGCTCCTGAGAGTCAGAGTGTGACAGGCAGGGACCGGGGGCTGTGTTAGACCAGGTGACCACGGAAGGCTGGAGCAGTGGTGTCTGCACTGAGACATGAATAGGGACTTTGTGGCTGCAGAGAAGGTTGGGGACGAGCCTTCCAGGAAGGCAGGATAGTGGGAGCCCGTGGTGTGGGTGTGAAGACAGGGTGCCCCCCAGGCCAGCACCAGGGGTAGAGCTGGTTCTGAGCGCCCAGCGAAGCCACGGAGGTGGAGCTGCTGATGGAGCTTTGGAAAAGCTCTGGCCGTGTGAGAATGGGCTTGAGGTGGCGGAGCTGGAGGCGGGGAGAGGGCAGGGAGAGGGCAGGGAGGCCTGGATTCCACCAGGGAGGGTGGGTGGGCGGGCGCTCGTCCAGCAACGGCTGTGGAAGCAGGGAGGACTCGAGCATGGTGCCTGGGCATCAGGACCAAACGGATGGCAGTGCCAGGCACTGAGGCGGGGTGGGCTGGAGCCCAGGTTCATGTGGGATCCTAATGTACTATCCAGTGGGCAGTTTTGGGGTCCCTGCAGATGGGGTGAGTGCCAGGGAGTGGATGAGTCACCTGGGAGGGGCTGGGATGGGAAGAACATGGTGCCAACCCGTGCCTGCTCACTGAGCCCCTCTCACTCTCCGTCCCCTCCTTCCTCTTCCCCCTCCTCCTCCCCGGGCAGGTCCTAGAGCTCCTGAAGGTGGCCTGGAAGAGGCGGCTCATCTTCACAGTGGGCACGTCCAGCACCACGGGTGAGACGGACACCGTGGTATGGAACGAGATCCACCACAAGACAGAGATGGACCGCAACATTACGGGCCACGGCTATCCCGACCCCAACTACCTGCAGAACGTGCTGGCTGAGCTGGCTGCCCAGGGGGTGACCGAGGACTGCCTGGAGCAGCAGTGACCTCGCACCCCAGCACGCCCGCCTCTGGTGGCCACCCCGCTGCCCCATGGCTGGCTGGGTGGCCAGGCAGGAAGTGCCCAGCCCGAGAGGCTGGGAGGTTTGTTGAGGGTGTGGGGTGTGCCCCACCTGAAGCCGGGGCTCCCCCTGCCTGCCTCTCTCTCCTCCTCCCCTCTGGGAATTGGGCAGCCCTGGGCAGTTGTACTCATGGGGGCTTAGGATGCAGCTACCTCAGTGCGCAGGGCCCGTCTGTCCTCTGGGGGCTGCTTCGGGCCCGCGGTGCTCGGGGCCTGGTGTGGGGCGAGTAGAGACTTCCCCAGCCTGGACGGGCGTGGGTTCTGGGTCAGCTTCTTTTACCTCAATTTTGTTTGCAATAAATGCTCTATAGCCAAAGCCAGCAGGTCCTGAGTGTGTGCATGCATGCGTGTGTGCGCACTTGTGTGTGTGTGTGCCCCCCCCCACTTCCTGCATCAGAGCAAGAGGGGGTTCCATGGGCTCATCGGCTCCCATTTGATAACTGAAGAACAGGCCACAGCCAGGCATGGAGGAGCCCACGGTACTGGGCTGTGCGGCCTCCACATGCCCTACACTGATCTCCCTGCCATGCCAGAGGCTGTCACCCCAGAGCACCAGCTGTCACCTTTGTGGCCCTGGGGTTGTGGTTCACAAAATGCCATTCACTTAGGATTGGAGCTGCTGTCTCTGTTTTACTGATGTGGAAACAGGTTCAAAGGTGCAATGACTTGAACCAGGCATGGTGACGCATGCCTGTTATCCCAGCTGCTCAGAAGGTCGAGACAGGAGGCTCACTGTAGTCCAGACATTTGAGACCAGCCTGAGCAAAATTGCAAGACCTCATCTCTAAAAAAAAAATTAGGCCAGGTGCAGTGGCTCACGCCTCTAATCCTAGCACTTTTGGGAGGCTGAGACAGGTGGATCACCTGAGGTCAGGAATTTGAGACCAGCTTGGCCAACATGGCAAAACATCGTCTCTACTGAAAATACGAAAATTAGCCAGGCGTGGTGGCATGCAGCTGTAATCCCAGCTACTCAGAAGGCTGAGGCAGGAGAATCATTCGAACCTGGGAGGTGGAGGTTGCAGTGAGCCAAGGTCGTGCCACTGCACTCCAGCCTGAGCCACAGAGCGAGATTCCGTCTCAAAAAAATAAATAAATAAGCCAGGCATGGTGGCACCTGTCTGTAGTCCCAGCGGTCGGGAGGCTGAGGCGGGAGGATCGCTTGAGCCCAGGAGCTCAAGGCTGCAGTGAGCTATGATTGCACCACTGCACTCCAGCCTGGGCAACAGAGCAAGATCCCATCTGTAAAATCATAATAAAAAGAGACAGATTGAATGCTTGGCTAGGTAGGTGGAATCCAGGCCAGGGTTGATCTGACACCATTCTCAAAGTTCTAATTCTTCCTCCTCTTGGAAGGAGGATCAGATATCCCCAGTCAAGATCTTGCTGCTTGTCCGGGAGGAGTAGTTTGGGCCTGGGACCAGAGGGGGACGGTAGGGCCACCTCATTCATGGCTGTGGAAAGCAGAGGCACTTTGGCCTTGGTGAGCCCCTTTCTCTGTTAAACCTATTTTACAACATGTTGGTATAAAGATGAATATATTAATGTATACTAGAGGATTTTCTCTCACCTAAAGGTTCATTTTTTTCCCTTCTGATTTTAAAAGAAATTAAAAATGTATGTCAGCTCTTATAGTGTGGGCCCAGGGCACTGTGCCTAATGGTAAGTTGGTCCAGGGTAAAAAGGGTAGTGAGGTCTCTCTAGAAGACCCCAGTGTTGGCCGGGTACAGTGGCTCAGGCCTGTCATCCCAGCACTTTGGGAGGCTGAGGCGGGAGGATCACAAGGTCAGGAGTTCGAGACCAGCCTGGCCAACGTGGTGAAACCCCCTCTACTAAAAATACAAAAATTAGCTGGGCATGGTGGTGTGCACCTACAATTCCAGCTAACTTGGGAGGCTGAGGCAGGAGAATTGCTTGAACCCGGAAGGCAGAGGTTGCAGTGAGCCGAGATCACGCCACTGTACTCCAGCCTGGCGACAGAGCAAGACTCCGTCTCAAAAAATATATATAAAAACAAAACCATGAGATGCCACACTACACCCATTACGATGGCTATACTAAAACAAAAAGCAGTGTTGGAGAGGATGTCGAGAAATGGGACCCTCATCCACTGCTACTGGGAATGTAAAATGCAGCCACTTTGGCAAACAGAACCTCAGAAAGCAGCATTAGCATATGACCACAGTTCCACTCCTAGGTACATTCTCAAGAGAATTGAAAATGTGCCCACAGAAGCCTGCGCACGGATGCTCATGGCAGCATTATTTACAGTAGCCCCACAGTGGAAAAAAACAAATTCTGCATCCACTGATGAATGAAAGTGTGATACGTTCACAGGATGGAATATTACTCAACTGTGAAAAGGAATGAAGCAATCACAGTCGAGGAGGAACCTTGAAAAAGTAACAAAAGCCAGACACAAAAGGTCACATGTTGTGTGACTGCATCCTATGAAATGTCCATTACGGGCAAAACCATGGAAACAAGAAGTAGCTTAGTCGTCACTGGGGACGGGAGAATGGAGAGTTACCGTTTAATGGGTGTAGTGTTTCGTTTTGGGGAAGTAAGAAGGTTCTGGAATTGGTGATGGTTGCACAACCTTGTTGATATACTAAAAGCTGTTGGGCGCTGTGGCTCATGCCTGTAATCTGGGCACTTTGGGAGGCTGAGGCAGGAGGATCCCTTGAGCCAGGAGTTCAAGACCAGGCTGGGCAACACAGTGAGACCCTGTCTCTACAAGAAATATATTTTTATTATATTTTTTTTGAGACAGAGTCTCACTCTGTCATCCACGCTGTAGTGCGGTGGTGCGATCTCAGCTCACTGCAACCTCCGCCTCCCGGGTTCAAGTCATTCTCCTGCCTCAGCCTCCCGAGTACTTGGGATTACAAGCACGTTCCACCACACCCGGCTAATTTTTGTAATTTTAGTCGAGACAGGGTTTCACCATGTTCGCCAGGCTGGTCTCGAACTCATGACCTCAAGTGACCTGCCCACCTCGGCCTCCCAAAGTGCTGGGATTACCGCCGTAAGTCACTACACCCAGCCTCAAAAACTATATTTTTAAAAATTAGCAGCTGGGCGCAGTGGCTCATGCCTGTAATCCCAGCACTTTGGGAGGCCAAGGCAGGTAGATCGCGAGGTCAGGCGTTCGAGACCAGCCTGGCCAAGTTGGTGAAACCTCATCTCTACTAAAAATACAAAAATTAGCTGGGCATGGTGGTAGGTGCCTGTAGTCCCAGCTACTAGGGAGGCTGAGGCAGAAGAATTGCTTGAACCCAGGAGGTGGAGGTTGCAGTGAGCAGAGATCACGCCATTGCACTCCAGCCTGGGCGACAGGGTGAGACTCCATGTCTCAAAAAAAAAAAAAAATAGCCAGGCACGGTGGCTCACGCCTGTAATCCCAATACTTTAGGAGGCCAAGGCAGGAGATTTGCTTGATCCTCCCAGGAGTTAGAGATCAGCCTGGGCAACATAGCAAGATCCTGTTTCTATAAAAAATACATTTTTAAAAATTGGCCAGCCGGGCGCAGTGGCTCACACCTGCAATCCCAGCGCTTTGGGAGGCTGAGGTGGGTGGATCACCTGAGGTCAGGAGTTCGAGACCAGCCTCACCAACGTGGAGAAACCCTATCTCTACTAAAAATACAAAATTAGACAGGTGTGGTGGCACATGCCTGTAATCCCAGCTACTCAGGAGGCTGAGGCAGGAGAATCACTTGAACCCAGGAGGTGGAGGTTGCGGTGAGCCAAGATCGAGCCATTGTACTCCAGCCTGGGCAACAAGAGTGAAAACTCCGTTTCAAAAAAAACAAAAAAAAAATTGGCGGGGGTGCCAGGCACGGTGGCACATGCCTGTAATCCCAGCACTTTGGGAGGCCAAGGCGGGTGGATCACTTGAGATCAGGAATTTGAGACCAGCCAAGCCAACATGGTGAAACCCCGTCCCTACTAAAAATACAAAAATTAGCTGGCCGTGGGGCACATGCCTGTAATCCCAGCTACTTGGGAGGCTGAGGCAGGAGAATCGCTTGAACCCAGGAGGCGGAGGTTGCAGTGAGCCCAGATCACGCCACTGCACTCCAGCCTGGACAACAAAGGAGACTCCATCTTAAAAAAAAATTAATTAAATAAATTTTAAAAATTAGCCGGAGCATGGTGTTGTGTGCCTGTGGTTCCAGCTACTGGGAAGGCTGAGGTGGGAGGATTAACTGAACCTGGGAGTTTGAGGCTCCAGTTAGCTGTGAACTGACCTCCCTGGGTGACATATATATATTTAAGCCACTGAGCTGTGAAGGTTGTGAAGGTATGTGAGTTATGTCTTGAAAAATACACACATAGTGAGCGCCAAATCCCGGGAGTAGTGTTTAAGTGGCGGGCTTGTCAGCTGTCAAGGGCTCTGCAGCCCTTTCTCTGAATCCAAGTTCTTCTTCCTGTGGACAGGGAACCCAGGCTGCGAACTGGGAGGATGTGGCCTCGTGGGGGGCAGGGCCAGCGTGCTGTGATGGGGATGGGGCTGGGCAGGTTGGGGCTGCCTGCTACTCCCCACTCCTGACTCTGGGTGGGGACAGAAGGCAGAGGGAGGCTCCTGGCACCTGGGGCACAGGAATCTCAGGCATGTGGTCCTGAGCCTGTTTCCAAAAGCCAGACCCTCCTCCCCAGGGCGGAGAGACTGGGAGGGGCCCCAATCCAGGCTCCGGGATGGCCTGGCTGGCATCTGGGGTTCCAGTGGCCCCTCTCCCTTGGCCCTGGCAGTGGGGCTGGATACTGGCCTGCCTCCCACCAGAGTCCCCCCAGCTCCTCCCTGCTGTGGGCTGGCCTGGGAGGAAGGGGGTGGGGTGCACTTACATTTGCAGGTCTTTCCAGCCCCTGGGGCAGCCTGATTAACCAGCTTCTCCAGGGCCAAGCTGTTGGGGGTGAGGTGCAGCCCGAAGCAGCCAGACCAGCCCCTGAGCCTCCCGGGTGCTGGCAGCTGTCATGGGGCTACCCTGGGGGCAGCCTCACCTAGGGCTGCAGATGCTCCTCCTGGCGTTGAACTGTCTCCGGCCCAGCCTGAGCCTGGGTGAGTGGGGGTCCTGGATGGACGCGTCCAGCCAGACCCAAGGGGCTGGGGGCCCTGCTGGAGTGATTGGACCCTGGGCGCCCGCCCCCCTCCGATTGGGAGAGGCAGCCCCAGGGACCCCCACGCCCGTCTCCGTGGCTCACCTTTTGTCCCCCGTGGCCACAGAGCTGGTGCCCTACACACCACAGATAACAGCTTGGGACCTGGAAGGGAAGGTCACAGCCACCACCTTCTCCCTGGAGCAGCCGCGCTGTGTCTTCGATGGGCTTGCCAGCGCCAGCGATACCGTCTGGCTCGTGGTGGCCTTCAGCAATGGTACGGGGACTGCTGTGGGGCCTGGGTGAGGGTGACGGCTGAGGAGAGTGGTGGGCCCTAGGAGCCCCTCACCAGCAAGCGCCTTCAATGATTGAGCCCCTGTGGGGGCCTTTGGGAGAGTAGGTGTGGATGAATTGGGCTTTATCTAAAGGGGTAATATGTGTATTGAAAAATACACACGTAGTGAACACCAAATCCCGGGAGTAGTGCTAGTGGTGGGTTTGTCAGCTGTCAAGGGCTCTGCAACCCTTTCTCTGAATCCAAGTAGTTCTTCCTTTGGACAGGGAACCGAGGCTGCGACCTGGGAGGATGTGGCCTCCTGTGGGGCAGGGCCGGTGCACTGCAATGGGGCTGGGGCTGGGGCTGGGCAGGTTGGGACTGCCCGCTGCTCCCCACTCCTGGCTCTGGGTGGGGACAAAAGGCCAGAGGGAAGCTCCCCTTCAGGGGTAACAAAGTCGACTGGGTCTGGACTATCTCTGGGGGCCCTGAGGGAGGAGGTGGCATGGGGGGTCAGGGCTGGAGACTGGGCGAACACAGAACCCCCACTCATAAGGACAAAGCTGCTTTCTCCCCTCCCACCTCCATCTGTTCTCTCCTCCTGCAGCCTCCAGGGGCTTCCAGAACCCGGAGACACTGGCTGACATTCCGGCCTCCCCACAGCTGCTGACCGATGGCCACTACATGACGCTGCCCCTGTCTCCGGACCAGCTGCCCTGTGGCGACCCCATGGCGGGCAGCGGAGGCGCCCCCGTGCTGCGGGTGGGCCATGACCACGGCTGCCACCAGCAGCCCTTCTGCAACGCGCCCCTCCCTGGCCCTGGACCCTATCGGTGGGTGGTCCCCACCGGAGCCCTGGGACTGGGGCTGTGCTTGGGGCGGACGCATTGCTGGGACCAGGGATGCTCTCTCTAGCATCTTTCCAGGGAGGGGTCCCCGGCCCCGGTCCTCCCCTTTGCAAGCCCGGGCTCCTTCCACTGTAGAGTCAGCAACAGTGCTCACCCCCGCTGGGGCCGGGCAAGGCCCAGGAGGAGCAGGTGGGCACCTTGGGGAGGCGGGATCTTAGTCAAGGTGGGAGGGGGCAGCTTCCCCAAAGTCTAGGCCCCTGTCCCCCACCACGGGCAGATCTGGCAGGAAACTCGGGGGCCGAGTTCAGACCCAGTCTCGTCGGTATTAGGCAGGGAGCAGGAGAGGTGGCTCCTACCCGCTCTTACAGATGAGGAAACTGAGGCACAGGAGGTCAAGTGGCCTGCCAACATCGGGGTGGAGCCGGGATGGGGAAGCAGGCAGTGTGTCCAGGTCAGGACTGTCCGGACACAGGAGGAGGCGGGGTGACCTCAGGAAGACCAGGCCCAGGGGAAGCCGGGAAGGCAGGGCGTGGTGAGGCTGGAACAGCACCCCGCTCCGCCCAGCCCCCTTCTGCCCTCTCACCCACTCTCCAGGTCCACCCTCTGCCCTCCCCGCTGCCTCACCCTGGCTCAGCCTTCCAGCTCCATGCCCCGCCCCATCCCCCGCAGCCACTCTTTTCAATGCCAACCTGCCAGGTCCTTCCCCGCTTCCCAGGCCTTGCAGAGCTCCCAGCCCTGCAAAGAGACAAACCGAGGCCCTCTGCGGGGCTCCTGGTGCCCTGGGTCCTCAGGCTGCTGGTGATTGAGCCCCCTGCCCCCGGCTACTGCTGCCCCTCTGGGAGGCCTGTGACCCCTGCCCCATGTGCCCTGCTAAGCCACCTTCACCTGCTCTTTTGGCTTGTGACATTTAGGAACCAGGGCCCCTAAACCAGCATCCCCGGCCCAGGTCTGGTGTCTGGAGAGCAATTGCTCGGGGGGATGAGGGGTGGTGGCACAGGCCAAGTGGCTGGAGACATCTCAGGGGATTCTCAGAGCAGGGCCAGGCCATGGGCTGCTGCTCTTGACGGGCACCCCCACTCCACATCCATGGGAGGGCCCCAGAGGAGCTGCCTGGGGCTTGGCCCTGCCCAGGGTGGTCCCAGCCTCTGAAGCTCTCCCCTCCTCCCCCACCACCTCCCATCCCCAGGGTGAAGTTCCTCCTGATGGACACCAGGGGCTCACCCAGGGCTGAGACCAAGTGGTCAGACCCCATCACTCTCCACCAAGGTAGCGCTGGGCAGGAGGGGCGCTGCCCCCAGTGGACTCACGATCTCTCTGGGCCGCCTCTGCTGAGCTGGCCACACCCCTGCTCCCACAGGGCTGGGGGCCTGGAGGCCATGTCCAAGTCGGGCCCAGCCCCCAACAGAACCTCATGCTGGGGGAGTGGGGCACCCAGCCAGCCCCCTCGGCAGGGGCACCATCTCGGCCCATCCGCAAGCGTTTGCCACATTGTGGGCACAGACAGCCTCCCCCCTCCTGTAGGGAGTCAGCCTGTGTCAGCCCCTGCTGGGAGGGAGGAAGAGGGTGTGGAGGAGGTCAGGGTCAGGGTCGGGGCTGGCTGGGGAGGCAGCCAGCTTGAGTTCTGAGCAGACCCCAAGGGGCAAGCGTGAATGTACCAAGCCCAGAAGTTTCGAGTGCCACGGCCCAGGTGTCGGGGGTGGGGGTCTCCTGGGAGACGGCTTCAGAGGTCAGGGGGTGTGGGGTGGAAGTCTTGTCATCTGAAGGCCTTGACTGCTGGGCTCCAGGGAGCAGGGCAGTGGATGAGCACGTGGGTGGGAGCAGCCTAGAAGGTAGGAGCAGGGCGGAGGCTGTGGTCCAGGCTGGCAGAGAACAGATGCTGTGCCGTCCCGAGGAAGAGGGACGGGGGGTGGGATCAGGGGGGCGCCTGGGGATATGAGACAGCCAGACCTTGAAGCTAGGCCAGCGTGGGTGGGGAGGGAGCGAGGGAGGAGATGACAGCCAGCCCTGGGGTCGAGGGGCAGCCCCTCTGAGCAGCTGGTGTGTGTGCAGGGAAGACCCCCGGATCCATCGACACCTGGCCAGGGCGGCGAAGTGGCAGCATGATCGTCATTACCTCCATCCTCTCTTCTCTGGCCGGCCTCCTACTCTTGGCCTTCTTGGCAGCCTCTACCATGCGCTTGTGAGTGGGGACACCCCCTCGGGCCCCTCTCCCACCCAGAACCCCTCTGTTGAATTGGTCCCAGTGTCTGGAAGCCCTCCAGGCATGCCATGGGGTTTATTTTATTTTTGGTAGAGACAGGGACTTGCTATGTTGCCCAGGCTGGTCTGGAACTGCTGGGCTCAAGCGATCCTCCCGTCTCGGCCTCCCAAAGTATTAGGATTACAGGTGTGAGCCACCTTGCCGAGCCCCGTGGTTTCGAGCTGGGCAGCGCCCCTCCCAGGGCCTGTGCAGGGAACTCCCACCCTGAGTATCTCGCACCTCAGGGGTCATTGATGGGGCCAGCAGCCCCTCTGAGGACAGGTTCGGGAGGTCCCGCCTCACTCGGGCCCTGTCTTTTCAGTGTGTCCTCAGCCAAGGCCCTTCTCCTCCCGGGCCTCACCTGCTGTCTGTGGATCCTCTGGTGGTTTAGTAAGCTGACGCCAGGGTAGTCAGGGTGGCCACCTGGAGAGGTGGTCCTCCAATTGGTTCTAGAAGGGAGGAAGGAGGGATCAGAGACTGCAGGTGAGGCCGGGTGCAGTGGCACATGCCTGTAATCCTAGCACTTTGGGAGGCCGAGGTGGGAGGATCACTGGAGGCCAAAAGTTCAAGACCAGCCTGAGCAACATGGTGAAACCCCATCTCCACTAAAAATGCAAAAATTGTCCGGGTGTGGTGGCAGGCACCTGTAATCCCAGCTACTCGGGAGGCTGAGGCAGGAGAATCGTTTGAACCCGGGTGGCGAAGGTTACAGTGAGCTTAGATCACACCACCGCACTCCAGCCTGGGTGACAGAGCCAGACTCCATCTCAAAAAAAAAAAAAAAAAAAGAAAAGAGAGAGAGAGAGACTACACATGAGGGAGCTGGGAGGGAGGAGAGCAGGCCTTGACCCAGCACGTGCCCCATGTGGCAGGGACATATGTCTCTTCCTCCTCCTCTCCCCGCCCAGCTCCAGCCTGTGGTGGCCGGAGGAGGCCCCGGAGCAGCTGCGGATCGGCTCCTTCATGGGCAAGCGCTACATGACCCACCACATCCCACCCAGAGAGGCCGCCACACTGCCGGTGGGCTGCAAGCCTGGCCTGGACCCCCTCCCCAGCCTCAGCCCCTAGCCTGGCCTCTTTGCATGGGGCTGGGGGAGATGGGGCGCTGGGAGTGAGTGCATGGTGCTTTGTCCCAGCTCCTGCACCCACAGGCCCCCTCAGGGCTCCTTGCCTTTCCCCCCCACCAGCACACCCCGTACCCTGCCTGGAATCCCAGCACCAGCCCCCCTGCCTCTCCTCTGCCTTTCTGGTTTCTCTCCCTCTCCAAGCATCTGTAAGTTGCACTCAGGAGGGTTTAGGGGAGGGCCATGGGCAGGCTGGATACCCAGTCCCCACCTCCATCCCCACCTCTGTCTCACCTGACCTCCTGCGAGGGAGGCTGGAGACTGTGTGGACAGGCCGCCCTGACCGCAAGCTTCCAGACCCTGGGAGGAGGCCTGCAGAGGACTGTGCTTTGCCTGATGCAGGGAGCTGGGCCCATCCTGGGGCCTATGAGACCTGAGCCACCCTCCGTCCCCCATCCCACACATCAGTGGCTGGGCGGGGTGAGGATTCAGAGGCATCTCTACTGCCCCTGGGCACAGCACCTTTCTGAGAGTGGGACTCTCCATGGTCATCTGACTACCAATTCTGGCCACCACCTCCAACCCTCTTGTGCATATGGATGGCTCTAGCCCTTATCCACCCCCTCAAGCATTTATTAAGCATCTGCTGTATGCTACATACAGTGTTAGACTTGGGGCTTCAGGCATAGCCGGTCCTGACCTTGGGGAGATGCCTTCTCTAGACCTGAGACGACCACGTGTCCAGATGTGACCTGTTGCTGTCGGGGGTCTATCAGGCCCTTAGACCGTCACCCCAGTAGGCTCTCCAGGACCCAGGAGCCTCCATCACCTGGAAGGACCCTCTGTGCAAAACCTCAAGCGTCCATCTGTGCACAAGGCCGGTGGTTCCCGTCGTCGCCACTCGGGGTCGCCGGTGAGCCGCAGCCAGGCCGCCTCACGGCCAGTGTGCATGCTCGCTGCTATTCGCTGCCCCTTCTGCCTCCGAGGCGGTAGCAGATGCCACGTTGGCGGGGTCGGTGAAGGTCAGGACTCTAGGCCTCCCTCCGCCAAGCCAGAGGGATGAGCAATCACGCCTGAGAGCCCACTGCGTGCCATGCAGTCCGCACAGCCGCAGCGGTTTTCTAGATGGAGAAACTGAGGCTCAGTGACTTGCCCGCTGCACTCTGTCCACGGCCGCTGCACACGCCCCCTTGGGCTGCGCTCCCGGACCTTCTAATGTGACCACGGCTCCCGGCATGCAGGCCCTGCCAGCGGAGGGAGCCCGGTGGTGACCCTTGGTCTGCAGCCCTCTTTGGAGGTGAATAAATGCGGTCTGGAGCCCACCCTGGCCTGAATGGTGCCCCTGCTGGGACAGGAAATTTATGCCGGGAGCCCAGGGCCCTGCTCAGCTTCTGCCCCATGGGGTTACCCTGAGCCTGTCCCTTGATTGCTGTCCCGGCTTGTACTTTGAGGTGCCCCCATCTCCTAGGAAAATCCACACATGTGTTTCAGGGCCAGGTATGTGGTTTAGGTAGTGCTCCCTCCCAAGCAAGCCCTTGAGCCCCTCATCTCTGGAGGCTTCTCCTCCATGCTGCCTGCACCCCCACCAGCCACCAGAACCCCTTCAGGTATAGACAGAAACAGATTCAGTCAAATTCCTTGGTGTCCCAGGTGACGTCTGGCCAGGGGAGCCAGCCCCTTTAAGTTACACTATTGCATGGCTCACACCCGGAATCCTAGCACTTTGAGAGGCTCAGGCAGAAGGATTACTTGACCCCAGGAGTTCCAGACCAGCTGGGGCAACAACATAGTGAGACTCTATCTCTACTAAAAATGAAAAAAAAGATTAGCCAGGGGTGGTGGTGTGCACCTCTAGTCCCAGCTACTCGGGAGGCTGAGGCAGGAGGATCACCTGAGCCCAGGAGTTTAAGGCTGCAGTGAGCCGTGATCGTGCCACCGCACTCCAGCCTGGACAATAGAGTGAGACCCTGTCTTGAACGAACAGGCCAGGCGCAGTGGCTCACACCTGTAATCCCAGGACTTTGGGAGGCTGAGGTGGGCAGATCACTTAAGGTCAGGAGTTAGAGACCAGCCTGGCCAATGTGGCAAAACCCTGTCTCTACCAAAAATACAAAAATTAGCAGGGCATGGTGGTGGGGGCCTGGAATCCCAGCTACTCGGGAGGCTGAAGCAGGAGAATCACTTGAACCCAGAAGGTGGAGGTTGCAGTGAGCCAAGGTCTTGCCACTGCCCTCCAGTTTGGGTGACAGAGCAAGACTCCGTCTCCAAAACAAAACAAAACACACAAACAAACAAAAAAACCCCACCACGGTGGAGCCCAGGTCCCTCTGCCTGGAACTGAGAGAGAGTTAACAGACGGGCTTGGTGTCTCATGCCTGTAATCCCAACTTTGGGAGGCCAGGGCAGGCGGATTACTTGAGGTCAGGGGTTTGAGAGCAGCCTGGCCAACATGGTGAAACCCTGTCTCTGCTAAAAATACAAAAATTAGCCTGGTGTGGTGGTGGGTGCCTGTAATCTCAGCTACTTGGCAGGCTGAGGCAGGAGAATCACTTGAACCTGGGAAACGGAGGTTGCAGTGAGCCGAGATCGTGCCACTGCACTCCAGCTTGGACGACAGAGCGAGACTCCAACTCAAAAAAAAAAAAAAAAAAAAGATAGAGTTAAAAGACCACCTCCCTGTCAGTGACCCTTCAGCAGAGACTGTCTCACGCTGTTCTATCCAGACCCAAGACAGTTGGCTAGGGGCCCGGCCCCGGAGGGGTATGACAGGGAGAAGGAGGGGGCCGTTGGTGTTTGCTGTGTGAAAAGATGAATTAATCCTCCCAGGGTTCAAGGACCAGCTAGGAGCAGGATTGCCATGGCTTTTTTTTTTTTTTTTTAACGTGGAGTCTCACTCTGTTGCCCAGGCTGGAGTGCTGTGGCGTGATCTCTGCTCACCACAACCTCCACTTCCCAGGTTAAAGTGATTCTCGAGCCTTGGTCTCCTGAGTCGCTGGGATCACAGGTGCCTGCCACCACACCCAGCTAATTTTTGTACTTTCAATAGAGATGGGGTTTCGCCATGTTGGCCACAGGCTTTTGCATGTCCTGGGGCCCTTCTATGTTTGTTCTCACTGTCTGAATCCGTGCTGATGCCAGACGCAGCGCCAGGGACTTCCCATTCGAGCCTGCAGCTGCCCCTCCCTTCTGCACAGCCTCTCTGAGCCCACTGAGGAGCTGCCATCACCCTCAGGAGCCACCTGGAACTTGACTTTGGAAACACCCTCTAAACAGATCTTGGAACCTAGGGTGTAAAGACTGAATCATAGTCCAGGAGTCCAGGGGAGGCTACTGGCCCCCACTGAGAGCCAAGGGGGCTTCCTAGGGGTTCTTTCTTTCTTTTCTTTTTCTTTTTTCTTTTTTTTTTTTTTGAGACCGAGTTTTGTTCTTGTTGCCCAGGCTGGAGTGCAACAGTGCGATCTCAGGTCACTGCAACCTCTGCCTCCTGGGTTCAAGCAATTCTACTGCCTCAGCCTCTGGAGTAGCTGGGATTACAGGCGCCTGCCACTACACCCAGCTAATTTTTGTATTTTTAGTAGAGATGAAATTTCACCATGTTAGCCAGGCTGGTCTTGAACTCCTGACCTCAGGTGATCCATCTGCCTTGGCCTCCCAAAGTGCTGGGGTTACAGGTATGAGCCACCACGCCTGGTCCCTGGGGTTATTTCTGAGCTGACTCTTTTTTTCTTTTCTTTTCTTTTCTTTTGAGATCGAATCTTGCTCTGTTGCCCAGGCTGGAGTGCAGTGGCATGATCTTGGCTCACTGCAACCTCCACCTCCCGGGTTCAAGTGATTCTCCTGCCTGAGCCTCCCAAGTAGCTGGGATTACAGGCGCCTGCCATCATGCCTGGCTAATTTTTTTGTATTTTTAGTAGAGACAGGATTTCACCATGCTGGCCAGGCTGGTCTTAAATTCCTGAGTTCAACAGATCCTCCCACCTCAGCCTCCCAAAGTGCTGGGATTACAGGTGACAGCCACCATGCCCGGCCTTGAGCTGAATTTTGAAGGGCAAATGGAAGAAGGAGGCCGAGGCAGGAGGATCTCTTGAGCCTAAGAGTTCAAGACCAGCCTGGGCAACACAGCAAGACCCCATCTCTAAAAAGTTTTTTTAAAAAGAGGGAAGAAGGAGAGAGGAGGAGAGAGAGCTACTCAGAGAGACCAGGGGTGTATACGGTCCTGTTCTGCAGTGGCACCCATGGTGGCCAAGGGGTGGTAGCAGGGATTGTGGGCTGGGAAGAACCAGATCTGAACCAGGGCAGACACAGAGGATTGGAGAGGAAGAGTTGGATTCCAGAAATATGCAGGAGGTGGCCGCAGGAATTGGGAGATAAGGCAGATGGAAGAGGCCATGCCCAGTTTCTGATGTGGCCTGGGCGTGAATGCAAAAATTGGGGTCTTCTGTGCTTTGCAAGTGAGTGCACCACCACAGTTTGCTTTACGGCAAGGCCCCAGGAAAAGGGGTTCTGGGGATGTCATCTTAACGGCAGGTGTGTTCCACAAGAACATTAATACATCGTTAATATTTTTGAAAGACAAGACTGGGCATGGTGGCTCACACCTGTAATCCCAGCCCTTTGGGTGGCTGAGGCAAGTGGATCACTTGAGCTCAGGAGTTTGAGACCAGCCTGGGCACCATGGCAAAACCCCGTGTCTACTAAAAATACAAAAAATAGCCAGATGCGGTGGCTCGTGCCTGTAGTCCCAGCTACTCGGGAGGCTGAGGCAGGAGAATCGCTTGAATCTAGGAGGCAGAGGTTGTAGTGAGCCGAGATCACACCACTGCACTCCAGCCTGGGCAACACAGCGAGACTCCATCTGAAGAAAAAAAAAAAAGAAGAAGAAGAACCCAAGGGAGGGGGCACTGCCCAGCACAGGCACAGTCCCATCAGGCCCTGGGGAGCCATGCCAGGGCGTTCTGCCCAGCACAGTCACACCTAAAAGGGTCCTCAGCCGAACCCCATCCCCTTGAATACCAGCTCGTGACGGCTTTGAGCAGAACATGTCACGGGAACGGCATTGTGCAGAACTTTTTATTAAATGGCATTTAAAATATTCCCCAGGACTGTGTAGTTGGGGAAACACCACAAAATCCATTGGCCGGGAACATAATGGCTCAATGGTTCGAAACAAATGCATTGTTAAAAAGGAAAAACAGCAACTGTTGCGGGGTAATGACTTGCAGATGACTCAGCAGGCCAAACATCAAAGGAATTCGGATGGCAGCAGGTGGGCACAGGCAGCCAGGAAGCACCCCTCCCTCGCTCTCACTTCCAGCGATCGCTTTACCTCCCTGGAGTGTCTAAGCCACCCATTTCTCTCCATCATCCCTGCAATCCCCAAGCAAGAGCCACCTTGGTCTCCCGCTGGGATGTCCGTGGCTCCTCTCTAGCTGAACTCTCCATGTCCACTCCTGCCCGTCGCCCATTCCCCTCTCAGTATCCAGAGGGACCAGGTTCTTTGTTCTTTTTTTTTTTTTAAGATAGAGTCTCACTCTGTTGCCTAGGCTGGAGTGCAGTGGTGTGATCTCGGCTCACTGCAACCTCCAGCTTCAGGTTCAAACGATTCTCCTGCCTCAGCCTCCCAGGTAGCTGAGACTATAAATGTGCGCCACTGTGCCTGGCTAATTTTTTTGTATTTTTAGTAGACGGGATTTCACCATGTTGACCAGGCTGGTCTCAAACTCCTGACGTCGGGTGATCCACCTACCTCGGCCTCCCAAAGTGCTGGGATTACAGGTGTGAGCCACTGCACCCAGCCAGGACCAGGTTCTAAACCTGATCACATCGCACCTCTGCTCCCATAACATTCAGGAACTTCACACTGCAAGAACAGAATCTAGGTTCAGACAGGTGTGGCGGCTCACATCTGCAATCCCAGCACTTTGGGAGGCCAAGGCAGGCGGATCACTTGAGGTCAGGAGTTCGAGACCAGCCTGGCCAGCATGGTGAAACGCCATCTCTACTAAAAATACAAAAATTAGCCAGGCATGGTGATGGGCGCCTGTAATTTCAGCTACTTGGGAGGCTGAGGCAGGAGAATTGCTTGAACCCGGGAGGCGGAGGTTGCAGTGAGCTGAGATCACACCACTGCACTCCAGCCTGGATGACAGAGCGAGGCTCTGTCTCAAAAAAAGCAAAACAAAATAAAACATACCAACATCTAATCTCTATAAAATATTTTTAGAAGTTATCCAGGTGGGCCGGGTGCAGTGGCTCATGCCTGTAATCCCAGCACTTTGGGAGGCCGAGGCGGGTGGATCACTTGAGGTCAGGAGTTCAAGACCAGCCTGGCCGACGTGGTGAAACCCCATCTCTACTTTAAAAAAATACAAAAATTAGCCGATTACAGGCATGAGCCACCCCACCAGGCCATGCTTTCAGTTTTCAAGAAAGAAGACACCATTGTTGCCAAAGGTTTTGGTAATTTGAGAGATACAATGTATGTTTTCTCCATGTGGATCCTAGATAGTAAGGATCTGTTGAATTTGAAGTATCTATCCAGAAGTATTTTGGGTACATGTTTAAGGATTGTAAAACAGTGTTTCTATTTCTGGATATAATAAATGTATTTGTTAATATAATAACTGAACAGATTAGACCCATAAACTATTTACAGTGTTGAGTCATTTCCCACAGTTAAAATCAGGATGAAAATATATAGCTGAATACTTGCTTTGTTTCTTGTAACATTTCTTTAGTACAGAACCTGCTAAGGCCATCAAACCTATTGATCGGAAGTCAGTCCATCAGATATGCTCTGGGCCAGTGGTACTGAGTCTAAGCACTGCAGTGAAGGAGTTAGTAGAAAACAGTCTGGATGCTGGTGCCACTAATATTGGTAAGTTTGGGAGAGTTTTAAGCCACAAGAAATGATTAGTGTGTGTTGTTGTAGTCAAGAAACATTTGTTATTGAAATAAGACTATCAAGTGTTGATGTAGTAATAAACTATTATTTTTAAGTTAAAGTTAGCACCTATTATGTGCCTAGTACTTAGCTAGGTAGTAATAATAATAACGACAGCTTTTCTTGTGTTCTTATGGTGTGCCAGGCAGGTGTTATGCTAAGAATTGCACAGAAATATCTCATTTAATTTGCAGAATAGCTGGGCGTGGTGTCTGACGCCTGTAATCCTAGCCCTTTGAGAGGCTGAGGTGGGGGGATTGCTTGAGGCCAGAGTTCAAGACCAACCTGGCCAACATGGTGAGACCTCATCTCTATTAAAAAAATAAAGCAGGCCGGGTGTGGTGGCTCACACCTGTAATCCCAGCACTTTGGGAGGCCAAGGTGGGTGGATACCTGAGGTCAGCAGTTTGAGACCAGCCTGTCCAAAATGGTGAAACTCTGTCTCTACTAAAAATATAAAAATTAGCCAGACCTGGTGGCAGAAGCCTGTAATCCCAGCTACTTGGAAGGCTGAGGCATGAGAATGGCTTGAACCCGGGAGGCAGAGGTTGCAGTGAGCCGAGATCGTGCCACCGCACACCAGCCTGGGACAGAGCAAGACTCCGTCTCAATAAAATAAAATAAAATAGGCGTGGAATAGTGGCTCACATCTATAATCCCAGCACTTTGGGAGGTGGAGCAGGGCTGATCATTTGAGGTCAGGAGTTCAAGACCAGCCTAACCAACATGGTAAAACCCTGTCTCTACTAAAAATACAAAAATTAGCCAGATGTGATGGTGCATGGCTGTAATCTCAGCTCCTCGGGCGGCTGAGGGAGGAGAATTGCTTGAACCTCGGAGGTGGAGGTTGCAGTGAGCCAAGATCAGATCATGCCACTGCATTCCAGCCTGGGTGACAAGAGCAAAACTCCATCTCAAAAAAAACCAAGAAAAAAAGAAAATAACAAAATAAAATAAACCTAAAAAATTATTAATCCGCTGAGTAACTTTATGAGATAGAACTTATTATCTTCATTTTACAGATGAGGAAATTAAGGAACAGGAAATTTCCTTTTTTTGAGATTATAAAGCTAATAAAATAGGATCCAGGAAGTCTGGTTCCAGAAGCAGTTGTCTTATGTTTTTTTTTTTTTTGAGATGGAGTTTCGCTCTTGTTGCCCAGGCTATAGTGCAACGGCACGATCTCGGCTCACCGCAACCTCCGCCTCCCGGGTTCAAGCAATTCTGCCTCAGCCTTACGAGCAGCTGGGATTACAGGCATGCACCACCACACCTGGCTAATTTTGTATTTTTAGTAGAGACAGGGTTTCTCCACGTTGGTCAGGCTAGTCTGGAACTCCTGACCTCAGGTGATCTGCTCACTTTGGCCTCCCAAAGTGCTAGGATTACAGGCATGAACAACCGCGCCTGTCCCCCTTTCTCCTTACTGGGTATGTTAAAATTATTTCTTTCAAAAGAAAAGGCTGGTCAAAGTGCAACGGTGTTAACCACTAATTGATCACAACCAGTTACAGATTTTTTTGTTCCTTCTCCACTCCAACTGCTTCATTTGACTAGCCTATGGACAAAAAAAAAAAAAGAGGAAAGAAAAAGCTAAACTATTTAATCTGGGCTAGTAAATGGCCAGAAAGGGCTTTATAAAAATGAAATATACAAATATATATATATATTTTTTTAGACAGAGTCTCACTCTGTCACCCAGGCTGGAGTGCAGTGGCACAGTCTCAGCTCACTGCAATCTCTGCCTCCCAGGTTCAAGTGATTCTCGTGCCTCAGCCTCCTGAAGAGCTGGGACTATAGCGTGCACCACCACTCCTGGCTAATTTTTGTATTTTTAGTAGAGATGGGGTTTTGCCATGTTGCCCAGGCTGGTCTGGAACTCCAGGCCTCAATTGATCTGCGCTTCTCGGCCTCCCAAAGTGCTGGAATTACAGGCATGAGCCACCGCACCCTGCCCTACATATACATTTTAATTATAATATCTTTTGGATTCTTTAAAAATTTAAAAAAAATTTTTTAGTTCTTTAAAAAATTCTTTAAAACAATTTTATTTGAAGAGTAATAACAAAACAAATCTCTATTTGTGAATAAATAAACCTTGAGATCATTTATGGTTTTGCAATTCAACCTGAAAAATGAAATCAAAGCTTTTATCAAAACAAAGCATGTTTAGTGCTCTCTGTCTCACTGTCTTTTAGATGCCAAACCTTAGATTTTATGATGACTCCTCAACCGTTTAGATCTTGGTTATCTCAGAGGGATCGTCAGCTTTTTAAGAAAGTTTTGAGAGAAAAGCAAGTGAAGAAAAGCATAGTCAATGCTCAACATCACGGGTCTCTCACTGAACACACCACGCCTGGTATTCTCTCACAGCGATGTCACCATTTCTACCTGCCACGCATCGGTGAAGGTTGGGACTCGACTGGTGTTTGATCACGATGGGAAAATCATCCAGAAAACCCCCTACCCCCACCCCAGAGGGACCACAGTCAGCGTGAAGCAGTTATTTTCTACACTACCTGTGCGCCATAAGGAATTTCAAAGGAATGTTAAGAAGGTACAGTAAATTAATCTTGGTTTTCAAGAGTATTGGTTAATGCACATGAGCAAAAGATTTACTAAAGATGTTTATTCTTCAGTTGATTCTCTTCCCATAATCTATTGAGAAATGCTTTATTTGCATTTCTCGTTAAAGACTTAACATTAAAGACTTAACTTTAGGGTGATTTACTTTTTTCTTTTCATCACATAGTGTTTATTAGGACTGGGCAACATAGTGAGACTCTGTTTCTATGAAAAATTAAAAAAAAAATTGACTGGGCATGGTGGCATCCACCTGTAGTTCCAGCTACTTGGGAAGCTGAAGTGGGAGATTCACTTGAGCCCAGAAACTTGAGGCTGCAGTGAGCTATGATTGCGCCACTGTATTTCAGACTGGGAGACAGAGTAAGACCCTGTCTGGAAAAATATATATACATATATATATTTTATTTTTATTTTTTATTTTTATCTTTTTTTGAGATGGAGTCTCACTTTGGCGCCCTGGCTGGAGTGCAGTGGCACGATCTCGATTCACTGCAACCTCCACCTCCCGAGTTTAAGCGATTCACCTGCCTCAGCCTTCTGAATAGCTGGGATTACAGGTGCGCACCACCACACCTGGCTCATTTTTGTATTTTCAGCAGAGACGGGGTTTCACCATGTTGTCCAGGCTGGCCAGGCTGGTCTCAAATTCCTGACCTCAGGTGATCCGCCCACCTCGGCCTCTCAAAGTGCTGGGATTATAGGCGTGAGCCACCATGCCTGCCTTATGTACTTATATTTTAATGAGACTATTTCTCTTGGTTTTCTGATAAATGAGTTACTGGAACCCTTATGAATCTGAATGCAAAAGAAACAGCTAAATGTTATGTAATTGTTGTGTTTAAAAACCAGATTATAAAACTATCTGTATTATATGATTACGGTTTTATAAAAACAAAACAACGGCCTAAATGTGTATAGTATAAAGGCTGGAAGAGTCAGCACTTTCATGTTCTCAGCGGTTATCCTTGGATGTGAGATCTCATGCACTTTTTGCTCTCTTCTTTGTGCCTTTCCATTTTGTATGTGTATTTTTTACAATCTAAAAAGTTACTTAAACATATGCAGCTAAAAACTTTTTTTACTCGTAAAGCATTTGATGCTAATTTTAACTGTTCTTTTTTAGACAGAGTCTTCTGACTCTGTCGCCCAGGCTGGAGTGCAGTGGTGTGATCTTGGCTCACTGCAACCTCTACCTCCTGGGTTCAAGTGATTCTCCTGCCTCAGTCTCCCAAGTAGCTGGGATTATAGGTATGTGTCACCATGACCAGCTAATTTTTGTATTTTTAGTAGAGATAGGGTTTCACCATGTTGGCCAGGCTGGTCTTGCACCCCTGACCTCAAGTGATCTGCCTGCCTCAGCCTCCCAAAGTGCTGGGATTACAGGCATGAGCCACCACGCGTGGCCTTTTTTTTAAAGCTTTTTTGCAAGTCAGCTAGCAAGAACACAGGAAGAAATACTCAAATCTCCCTTACCCAGCTGGGGGCTATGTCAGGTTTTATAAGCATAGGGTAATGAGTTGTGATTTGATTGGATCTTGCAATAAAGTAATGCTGGGAGGTGTGATCTGACTGGATCCTGCCATGGGGTGACAGCAAAACTCAATCTGATTGGATCCTGGCTCCTGTCATGGAGTGTCCAGTTCTTAAATCAGTCTCAGCTCTTCAGGCCGAGCTTTTAGTTCCCACTCCGTGGTGGCATGCTTGGTTAACCTGGGCATGCACAGGGTACATGCCCTTCAACCTGTGGGTCCATGGCAATTGAAAAACAACTGACAACCTCATTACATAAAAGTTGAACTGAGCCGGGTGCAGTGACTCACGCCTGTAATCCCAGCACTTTGGGAGGCCAAGGCAGGTGGAGGTCAGGACTTCAAGACCAGCCTGGCCAAAATGGTAAAACCCCGTCTCTACTAAAAATATAAATATTAGCCAGGTGTGGTGGTGCACCCTTATAATCCCAGCTATCTGGAGGCTGAGGCAGCAGAATCACTTGAACCTAGGAGGTGGAGGTTGCAGTGAGCTGAGTTCATACCATTGCCCTCCAGCCTGGGTGACAAGAGTGAAACTCCATCAAAAAAAAAAAAAAGTTGAACCAGATTTGGTCTGATGCAGTTACAGATCTACAAACCTCACCCCCACCCTCCTGCCAACACCTTCCACTCCTCATTCTTGAGGGATTAGGGATGGAGGTCATGCTTCTGCTTCGACTTCATGCTGAGCAGGGCACTGAGTCCCCTAAAGTGAAAGGAATGAAACTCTTGGGCTTCTGAGTTCAAATGAGTTCTGGGGTCACCCGGAGTAGCTTGAAAGGCTGGTATTGTTGTAATACAAGCTGAAGGTGGAAGTGTTGGAGCCTGGAGGACAAACAGCTCACCATCCATTTAAATAAATAGGACCAAAAAGTAACAGAACAGTGGCCACGAGGGGCCCCAACAGAGGAAGAAACCAGGTGAGGTGCGGTATAGTGGACTCGACTGCCTTCTAAATCTCAGTTGTTGGCCAGGTGCAGTGGCTCACGCCTGTAATTCCAGCAAAAGAAAAGCCAAGGCAGGGTGATCACGAGGTCAGGAGTTCAAGACCAGCCTGGCAAACATGGTGAAGCCCTGTCTCTACTAAAAATACAAAAATTAGCTAGGCATGGTGGCATGTGCTGTAGTCCCAGCTACTCGGGAGGCTGAGGCAGGAGAATCGCTTGAACCCGGGAGGCGGAGGTTGCAGTGAGCCGAGATTGTGCCACTGCACTCCAGCCTAGGTAACAGAGCAGGACTCCATCTCAGTCAATCAATCAATCAGTCAGTCTCAGCGGTTGAACTACCCTTGACATGGTTCAGCTCTGTATCCACACCCAAATCTCATGTCAAATTGTAATTCCCAGTGTTGTGGGAGGGACCTGGTGGGAGGTGATTGGCTCATGGGGGCCGACTTCCCCCTTGCTGTTCTCGTGATATTGAGTGAGCGCTTGTGGGATCTGGTTGTTTAAAAGCATGCAGCCCTCCCACTTCACTCTCTCTGTCTCTCCTGCTCCAACATGGCCAGACGTGCCTGCTTCCCCTTCGCCTTCTGCCGTGATTGTCAGTTTCCTGAGGCCTCCCCAGCCATGCTTCCTGTACAGCCTGCAGAACTGTGAGTCAATTAAACCTCTTTTCTTCATAAATTACCCAGTTTCTCATAGTTCTTTATAGCAGTGTGAAAACAGACTAATGGCCCTTCTGGTTGAAGGAATGCAGCCATTCTGCTTGTTTGACTATGTCCTTTCTATTCATCTCTATTTCCTGGGAGGTGTTTATCCAAGTGCAATAGGAGGTATTGGTGACCGCACAGTCCCCTCAGTGTTCTGCTAGTAAATAGTTGAAGGTTGATCATTGATCTCCTGCGTTTTCAGTCTGGCATGGAAAAGCCCCCGTGCAACTGGTAAAGATATCAATAAGCACCAGGAGGTATCTAAATCCACCAGGAGCCATAGGCATCACGTTGACGTCCATTTACCAGTCTTCCCTGGCAAGATTCTTCTGAATTGTGCTGCCTTGACCAAAAGAGGTATGGGAGGGGCTGGGCGCAGTGGCTTGTGCCTGTAATCCCAACATTTTGGGAAACCAATTCAGGTGGATCATTAGAGGTCAGGGGTTCAAGACCATCCTGGCCAACATGGTGACATCCCATCTCTACTAAAAATACAATAAGTTAGCTGGGTTTGGTGTTGGGTGCCTGTAATCCCAGCTACTCGAGAGGCTGAGGCAGGATAATCGCTTGAACCTGGGAGGAGGAGGTGGCAGTGAGCTGAGATCGTGCCATTGCACTCCAGCGTGGGCAACAAGAGTGAAACGTCGTCTCAAAAAATAAAACAAAAGTCCGGGCGTGATGGCTCACACCTGTAATCCCAGCACTTTGGGAGGCCAAGACGGGTGGATCACGAGGTCAGGAGTTCAAGACCAGCCTGGCCTAGATGGTGAAACCCTGTCTCTACTAAAAATGCAAATATTAGCTGGGCATGGTGGCATGCACCTGTAATCTCAGCTACTCAGAAGTCTGATGCAGGAGAATTGCTAAAACCCAGGAGGGAGAGGTTACATTGAGCCGAGATTGCGCCACTGCACTCTAGCCTGGGCGACAGAGCAAGACTCCGTCTCGAAAGAAAGAAAGAGAAAGGAAATTCCCCAGGGAAGTACCTCGGCTTATTTCATAAACAGGTACTGAAGGAAGCAGAGGCATGTGGAGGACTTCCCCACCTCGTGCAGCTATTTGGGCCGTGGCATCTGAAATTTCTTATTTCAGAGTCACCCCTTTGATGACCTTGGCAGTGAACTGCAGTCATCTGTTTAGGCCTTTCCATGGCCCACGTCAATGCCGGTATTTCTGTCTGTTGCACATTTGATTTCCTTGTTGTTGGCATTTAGAAGGCCCCCCGTTTCCCAGATCACACCACGGGCATGGACCGCAGAGATTGCATCTTGTGAGTCTGTAGAAACAGTCAAGGCCTTGTCCTCTCTTAGGTCCAGAGCTCAGGTTAATGCAGATTTTCCCGGCCATCTGTGCTGAAGTCCCTGTGGGGAGGCTCCTGGCTGGTTTCCTGTAGGTAGACAGCTACACG
Organism: Homo sapiens; assembly: GCF_000001405.40. NCBI lineage: Eukaryota > Metazoa > Chordata > Mammalia > Primates > Hominidae > Homo > Homo sapiens. The sequence continues at coordinate 76,529,318 of NC_000007.14, forward strand.
TCCTGCCCTTCATTGGCTTCTTTCCATGAAGCTCCTGCCATCTACAAAACATGTCTCCCTTCTTGAACCACATCTCTGTTATTGAAACTCTAGAAGTCGACCGGGCATGGTGGCTATGCCTATAATCCCAGCATTTTGGGATGCCAAGGCGGGTGGATCACCTGAGGTCAGGAGTTCAAGACCAGCCTGGCCAACATGGCGAAACCCCGTCTCTAATACAAATACAAAAATTAGCCAAGCATGGTGGCCACTGTACTCCAGCCTGGGCGACAGAGCAAGACTCCGTCTCAAAAAAAAAAAAAAAAAAAAGAGAAAGAAAGTATCATGCTTTTCTGCATTCTGTGAATTGTTTTAGTGAGTTATTGAACTTGAGGGCATGGTGGGAACCTCCAAATTTGCAGCCAGTTGGTGAGAAGTACATGTGGTCTGAGGACACCCAAGCCTGCAGGTGTGTCTAAAGCGAGGGCAGCCTAGTGGGGGCTGGTGGCCTTAACCTGTGGCATTTGAGGTAACATCAGGGAGTTGACATCAGAATTGCATCACATAGGCTGGGCGCGGTGGCTCACGCCTGTAATCCTAGCACTTTGGGAGGCCAAGGCGGGCAGATCACGAGGTCAGGAGATCGAGACCATCCTGGCTAACACAGTGAAACCCCGTCTCTACTAAAAATACAAAAAATTAGCCAGGCATGGTGGCGGGCGCCTGTAGTCCCAGCTACTCGGGAGGCTGAGGCAGGAGAATGGCGTGAACCCAGGAGGCGGAGCTTGCATTGAGCCAAGATCACGCCACCGCACTCCAGCCTGGGTGACAGAGCGAGACTCCATCCCCCCACAAAAAAAAAAAAAAGACAAAAAACAGAATTGTGTCACACAGGCCAGATGCAGTGGCTCATGCTTATAATCCCAGCAATTTGAAAGGCAAGGTAAGAGGATTGCTTGAGCTTGAGTCTGAGGCCGCAGTGAGCTATGACCACACCACTGCACCCCAGTCTGGGTGACAGCGCAAGACCCCAACTCCAAAAAGAAAAAAGAAAAATCACAAAGAATTGCATGGCAGAGTGCCTGTCTTTCACAGCTTTAACTGCTGAAGGAACTTTCTTTTTTTTTTTTTTTTTTGAGAGGGGGTGAGGAGACACAATCTCTGCTAGTGATTCTCTTGCCTCAGCCTCCCAAATAGCTGGGATTATAGGCGTGCACCACCACGCCTGCCTAATTTTTGTATTTTTAGTAGAGACAGGGTTTCACCATGTTGGCCAGGCTGGTCTCAAACTCCTGCTGGGATCATGGGCGTGAGCCACCACTCCCGGCCACCTTTAGAGTTTTCTTACCACCTGGTTTTCCTCTCTCAATATCTTTCTCTCATTTCCTGCCTTAAAACTCTAGCTTGGCATCTGGGCACAGTAGCTCATGCCTGTAATCCCAGCACTTTGGGAGGCCGAGGTGGGTAGATCACTTGAAGTCAGGAGTTCGAGACCAGCCTGGCCAACATGGTGAAACCTTGTCTCTACTATTTTTACAAAAGTTAGTCGGACGTACAGACGGGTGCCTGTAGTCCCAGCTGCTTGGGAGGCTGAGGCAGGAGAATTTGTTTGAACCCAGAGGTGAAAGTTGGAGGGAGCCGAGGTTGTGCCACTGCACTCCAGCCTGGGAGACAGAGCAAGACTCTGTCTCCAAAACAAACAAACAAAAAAACCCTGTAGCTTGGGATCAGCCTTCTCTTCTATTGTTTTTCTTTAAAAAATAAAAATTAAAAATAGATGTAGATGCTATGTTGCTGAGGCTGGCCTCAAACTCCTGGCCTCAGGTGATCCTCCCGCCATGACCTCCAAAACTGCAGGGATTGTAGGTGTGAGCACTGCACCCAGCCTTATGTTTTTTTCTACATAAAAAACAGCACAGGATTATCTTCCAGAGCTAATAAATATGTTCAAATAACCACAACCCCATTAAGGAAAAATATCACTGGGCAGCAAATAATCAATCCAGACCAATATGATCACAGTTGCTGTGAAGGTGAGAAAAGTTCATTTTTATTATGTTTCCCCAAGAGACGCACTCTATTGTTCTCTTGAAAACACACAGCTCATGTCCTCCTTTAGAACACACATCCTCTTTAAAGTAACATACAAAGATGCCAAAACAAGGTAAAAAATTACATCTGAATTCTCACATTTCAAACATATATGAAATATCAAATAAAAATTTATTTTTACAAGAATTTAGGGGAACTACTACATAGCTATAAATGTAATATATATGTTAACTAAGTATCATAGATAAAAACCATGCTCCCTTCAGCAGCACGTGTAATAATAGATACAAAGATTGAAAGGTAAAAGATTTAGGATGAAAAGAATCCTCTCTTAAAAAGGAAAGCAAAATTATACGTATGTGTATATAACAGTTATAACACCCATCACACAGCTTTATAGAAACAGCATCTATTCAAAAATACCAGTATTTCCAAAATATTTAAAATAATATTTCAAGTAATAATATTCAAATAAATAAATATATTTAATATTTCAATAAATAAAATAATATTTAAATAATTCTATACCCATGTTTTTCAAAATAAACCAATAAATTAGATAGTATATATTAGACGTGTTAGTATATATATCTGAGACATGTTAAAAATCACAACTGAATTCTCACAATTCAGTCACAGACCTAAACAGCAAATAAAAATTTCTATCACCAGAATTATGTTTTTTTCTGGTGGGGAACTACCAATAGCTATAAATAGAAGAGATTATTATGGAAATATCATAGATAAAAAGAGTGCTCACTTCAGGAGCACATATAATAATACAGAAACAAATTTAAAGATAATAAAATATTTAGGATAAAAAGAATTGTCTCTTAAAAATGAAAAGAAAATTATCTTTATGTATATATAACAACTATAACTCTCATCAAAAAACTACAGGAACAGCATGTTTTCAAAAGTACAACAATTTCCAAACTATTTGAAATAAATCTATGAATAATTCAATGGCCAACATTTTCCAAACAAACCAATAAAATGCAGAGTGTGCATGAAGCTATCTGTTACAATCTGTGGCACTGATATTTCACAAAAGAATTCTGTGCCAATCTGAGCCCCTGCATTGTGCCTTCAAATGCTCCTGGACTGTGGCAACCAAGTCCGTAAGAAACAGGACCTCAGGTTCCGCCCCAGGGAGGTTGGCATTCAGCAATATAAAAAGGGTGGTGGTGCCGCAGGAAAGGGTGGAACTGGAAACACTCCTGGTTTCTTACTTTTCTCCAAGGACTCCTAGAAGGACCCCACCCCCCTCCCCCCACCCCTGCTCCCAGGAGGACAACGTGATCACTGTATTCAGCTCCATCAAGAATGGTCCAGGTTCTTCTAGATGATCTGCACAAATGGTTCCTCTCCTCTTTCCTGTTGACTGCCATTAGCATTGGAATAAAGTTCCTGCTGAAAATCCACATCTCCCGTGGGTCCGGTGTTCTGGAAGTGAGAGAGACAATGTCACACTTCAAGGAGGCAGCTCTCTAGACAGGAAGGTTATTCACGTCCCATGTCAAGTCTAGAGTTCAGAGCAATTGAGAAATGCAATTTTATCTGCTGCCTTTCATTCTATACCCTGCTTCTGAACCATCGTGTTCAACTGTGAAACTCACACTTTGGTGACCACGACTCCAAAACTCACTTAATACACCCAAGGTCAGCCCCAGTGATCTGCTTCATAGCAAGGACTTTGGGTGGGTCTGCCCAGGGAGTAGGGCACCCTCAGAGAATGTGGCTTTGGACTTCATCACAGCTGGGGCCTTTTGTGTCACTTAAGATCTAAACTTGTAACCATGCTAGATGTGTTTCTAATGTGACAACATCACAAACCACGAGTCCAGAAGCCTAATCCTTAATCCTACCTCCTCATGATGAAGTCTCATGCTCTGTGCTCACCGTGGTTAGCTGCACAAGATGTAAACCAAAGCTTCACTGAACCCTCGACCCAAATCGGTAACTCAAGTGCGTCAGTCATAATGAACCTCCCCAAACTCAGTATTTATGATTCTTTTTGAGGCAGGGTCTCACTCTGTCGCCCAGACTGGAGTGCAGTGGCAGGATCAGGGCTCCGTGCAGCCCCGACCTTCCAGGCTCCAGCGATCCTCCCGCCTCAGCCTCCTGAGTAGTTGGGAGTAGAGATGCATCCCACGTCGCCTGGCTAATTTTTGTATTTTTGTGGAGAGGGGAATCTCGCCACGTTGCCCAGGCTTGAAGCCGGATCAAGCAATTGGGTTCCTCGGATTTCCAAAATAGACCCCAATATTCTGCCTTTACCCCGGAGGATGCAGATGTACCTTCTCTCAGGCCGATGACCTCAGGCCTCCACGGTCCCTGGAGCTCTAGGAAAGGCGAGCGCGATCTCGCGCCCACACCCAGTGCTCTGGGTCATAAGCCTGGATCTGGAAAAACAAACGCCCTTTGAGAAGACAGGGACTCGCCAGGATACCCCTCTCTCCCCTCATCCAGCCTCCAGCCCACCCGATTCCTCCCCACCTCCTCCACCTCCCCAGGCCCCACTCACCTCCTCCAACTCCTCCCGGGAAACCCAAGCCCTGCCGCTCATGGAACAGAAGAACTGGAACCGAAGTTTCTGGAACAGGGCTATCTGAGAGCGGTTCTTCCTGGCCCTCGGGTTCATGCAACGGCATAACTGGAACCGACGGTTACGGACCAAGGGTATGCGAGAGCGGGTCTTCCCATACAGGAAGTAGAAGATGTTTTGTTTGGGGTCCTCGTCGTCCTCCTCCATGTCATTGGCCAGGTAGCTGAGGACAGAAATCAGGTTGCTGCTCAGGGGCACCACCAGGAGAGGCCTCCGGCTGAGGTCAGCTTCCCAGAGAGGAAGGTAAGGGACCGTCCCTAGCTCAGGACTGGCACCCACCCTGCAGAGAGCCACGCCTTCCTCAGGAGGGCTCTGCTGGACAGAGACCTGATCAAGGGCGTCTCCCACTCCTTCAGGATGGAGACAAAAACCCAACTGGTGGCCGAGAGTGGTGGCTTATGCCTGGAATCCCAGCACATTGGGAGGCCAAAGCAGGAGGATCACTTGAGGCCAGGAGTTTGAGACGGGCCTGGGCAACATAGCAAGACCCTCGTCTCTATTAAAAATATAAGAAATATGCCAGACGCGGTGGCTCATGCCTGTAATACCAGCACTTTAGAAGGCTGAAGCAGGTGGATTGCTTGAGACCAGGAGTTGGAGACCAGCCTGGTCAACACGGAGAAACCCCATCTCTACTAAAAATACAAAAATCAGCCTGGTGCGGTGGCACACCCGTTAGGCCTAGCTACTCAGGAGGCTGAAGCATAAGAATTGTGTGAACCCAGGAGGCGGAGGTTGCAGTGAGTCGAGATTGGGCCACTCCATTCCAGCCTGAGAGGCAGAGCAAGACTCTGTCTCAATAAACAAACAAACAAACAAACAAACTGTCCAGGTGTGGTGGCACAGCCCTGTAGTCGGAGCTAATAAAGAAGCTGAGGTGGGAGGATCGCTTGAGCCCAGGATATGGAGGCTGCGGTGAGCTATGATCTCACCACTGCACTCCAGCTTGGGGGACAGGGCAAGTCTGTCTCAAAAAAATAAAAGAAATTGAATACATTGATATTTTGCCAGGACCCTGCCTTCTACAGGCATCTAGTCTAATGGGACTGGGAGTAATCAAGGCAGATGACCTAATCCCAGTGTCCAGGATGTAACTAGAGAGCTACGGGCATGCAGAAGTTGGAAGATGAGGGAAGGCATCACAGAGGCTGTGGGGTGAACTGACTTCAAGGAATGGGTCCTTCCCTTCAGAGCCACATGTGTGCGGGACACCCAGACAGAAAACACAAACACAAAGTCGAGTGGAGGGCATTTGGAAGGAGCAGTGAAGCCGAGCCAGGAAATACCAAGATGGCGAGCCAGTGTGCTTGTAGAGATTGTAGAGAGGGTAGAATTGACACTGTGGACCCTGGCCTCGATAGAGAAAGGCATCAGCTAAGGAAGTTGTTCAGGTGGGCAGTGAGGTTGTCGTGCTTTGGAAAGATGTTCAGGCTGCACTAGGAAGCCCCCTGGCTTGGGGAGAGACTCCAGGAGACCCCAGCAGGGAGCATTTGACAGTGGATTCAAGTGATGCGAGGGGGACCTGAACTGTGGCCTCTGTCATGGGAACCCAGAGGAGGTCGATGGCGTTTGTGGTTGATGTGGGAAGGAGAGAGAGAGAAGAACCAGAAACGTCTGCTTGCTGGAGGAAGCGGCATGTCCGCTCCTCCACTCCTTTTCTTTTCCCCTTAGGAGCGGTTTATGGTTCCTTTTGTTTTATTCTTTTATTTGTACACTGGCATTGGAGTTTGTTTTTTTGGCTTTTTTTTTTTTTTTTTTTTTTTTTGAGAAAAAGTCTCACTCTGTCACCCAGGCTGGAGTGCAGTGGCTCGACCTTAGCTTACTGCAACCTCCACCTCCTGGGTTCAAAGGGTTCTCTTGCCTCAGCCTCCCGAGTAGCTGGGATTACAGATGCACACCACCACGCCCAGCTAATTTTTCTATTTTTAGTAGAGACGGGGTTTGGCCATGTTGGCCAGGCTGGTCTCGAACTGCTGACCTCAGGTGATCTGCCTGCCTCGGCCTCCCAAAGTGCTGGGATTACAGGTGTATGCCACTGTGCCCAGCCTGAGTTTCTGTTTAGAAACAACAGTCTATGATAGTATAATCCTCTCTTTTTTGTACACAGAGTAAAGAGGACAAATAGGTGAAAGAATAAATGAAAGGCTGGAATCCCACTTCCCCCGCTGTCCCAGGGCATTGGATATTGACGGATAGGAGGAAGCAAACCACTCACAGAGCCAGGAAGAAATGAATGCGTTGGTATTGCCAGGAGGGGAGGCCGGCCCGGCTGAAATACGCTATGACCATAGCCAGGAGATACTGATGGAGAGAAAGGAACACAGAGAGGGAGAGGTCACATCTTGGAAGAGGAAGATTGTGGAGAGGGGGAATGAGGGTCTGGGGAGGGGCTGCCCATCAGAGAAGGGACCTCAGTGTTGGGGTGACTGTACTCATTTGGAAATTGCAGGATGGAGGGGTATTCGAAGGTCAGATGCAAATCCGAGAAGCCAGAGGAAGGGTTTTGGGTGATGCTCCCAGGATGGTGGGCTCCGATGGGATCTTTGGAGGGGGTGTGTCTAGGTCGGCTGGTGTCAGGAGGGTCTTTTGTGTGCCAGGCAGAGAACTGTCCCGAAGAGCTGAGAGTAGAGGGGCTAGGAGCTTCAGGGCTGCGGCCAGACTGTGGCCCAGAGCTCAGATCCCAAAGGACCCATAGGAGAGGCAGGGGCCACTCATTCACTCTGCAAGAGACCAGCAGAATCCTGAGGGAGATGCTGACAAATCATAAAAAGACCAAGAATAGCCGGGAGTGGTGGCTCAAGCCTGTGATCCCAGTACTTTTTGAGAGGTGGAGACAGGAGGATCATGTGAGCCCAACAGTTCGAGAACAACCTGGGCAACATAGTGAGACCCTGTTTCTACAAACATTTCAAAAATTAGTTGAGCATGGTGGCATGTGCCTAGTCCCAGCTCCTCAGGAGGCTGAGGAAAGAAGATTGCTTGAGCCCAGGAATTAGAGGCTGCAATGAGCTATGATCATGCCACTGCACTCCATCCTGGGGAGCAGAGCTAGACTCTGTCTCACAAAAAAAAAATGTGTGGGTGCCAAGACTCAAGACCGTGGGAGCTGGTCGGGCACAGTGGCTGACGTCTATAATCTCAGCACTTTGGGAGGCCAAGGCGGGTGGATCGCCTGAGGTCAGGTGTTCAGGACCAACCTGGCCAACATGGCAAAACCCCGTTTCTACTAAAAACACAAAAATTAGCCAGGCGTGGTGGTTCATGTCTGTAATCCCAGCTGCTTGGAGGCTGAGGCAGGAGAATCGCTTGAACCCGGGAGGCATCGGCTGCAGTGAGTCAAGATCGAGACACTGCCCTCCAGCCTGGGCAACAGAGCAAGACTCTGTCTCACAAAAAAAAAAAAAAAAAAAAAAAAAAAAAAAGACTGTAGGAGCATCTGGTGGGAGGTGGTGGAGGGAGAACTGTGGGTTTGGAAGCTGCGCCCTCCCCCCAGCCATGCGTTGGAACAGGAACAGTTACATGGAGAACAACCTTACCTTGTCCGACACCCTCAGATCTTTGTCCCAGGCCAGGAATCTTTTAATGACAGGATCCTCTGTGATTAGAGAGCAGATGTCAGTGTGAGAAGCAGGACAGGGTTTCCGTGGGAGCAGCAGGGCAGTGAGGAGAAGTGTGCCTCCCGGGGGGAAAGTCTCAGGATTGTGGCCGCGGGTGAGGTGGATGGGAGAGGGGAGAATGACTTTCACTGGGCAAGGGAGAGAGGCTCCTGCTCTGAGACTCCCCTGAGAAGAGGCCGAAGGAGGCCCTGGGTGTGAGAATCTACAGGATGTAGAGCTGGGAATCAGCCAGGACCCCCTCCAGCAGACACGGAGGGACCACTGCAGAGTCATAAAGGAATTCCCATCATTTCCTCATGAGACAGTCACATCAGGGTGTGACCATGGCCTTGGGATCCCCCACTATGGATGGAGACACTTAGGTTTAGAAAAGTCAGTAAGAGACTTTAAGTTTCAGAGGGCACAGCTGAAACCACTTTCTTTGTTTATTGATTTTGTTTTTCTTTATTTGATTTTTATTTTTATTTATTTATTAATTTATTTTGAGACAGAGTCTTGCTCTGTGGGCCAGGCTGGAATGCAGTGGCCTGATCTTGGCTCGCTGCAACCTCTGCCTCCCGGGTTTAAGCGATTCTCCTGTCTCAGCCTCCCGAGTAGCTGGGATTACATGCATGAGCTACTGTGCCCAGCCTTGGTTTTTCTTTTGAGACAGGGTTTTGCTCTGTCACCCAGGCTGGAGTGCAGTGGTGTAGTCATAGCTCACTGCAGCCTCAAAGTCCTGAGTTCAAGCAATCCTCTTGCCTCAGCCTCCCAACGTGCTAGGATCTCAGGCGTGAGCCACTGCACCTGGCCTGAAACCAAGCTTTCTTATCCCAAGTTCTGACCTTTATCAAGTTGACCTAATCCTTTATCATCTCCTAAGTGTCCCTCATGAGTGATCACTTCACATTCCTCCCACATGGAGAGCTCACCCACTGGGGCATATTTTTCCCATTGGAAAAGTGTGGTTATTGGAAGTTTCCTGTTTTTGGAAAGAACAGGATTGGAGGTGCTCTCTGGGGTGTCCTCCTACCAAGCAGCCTGTTGAAGGCCTCGTGGTGCTCAGGGAGCACGAGCGACACTCGCCGTCGCTTCAGCTTCATCTTGAGGCCACACAGCATCTCCACCACCCAGATCTCCTCAGGCTCAGGGGCGAGCACCTTCCGTGGCTCCTCCTCCAACGACTCCTCAGATTCGTCCCACCACTCCCTCTTCCTTTTCCAGCAAAAGGACCTATGCGGGGGGCTGGGATCTACCCCAGGGGCTGAGTAAAGAAACCAGGCCACGGTGTAATGCTTCTGCAGTTGATCACACTAGAGCCCGACCCAAAACCCCAAACCACTCTCCATCCTCCCCAGCCTTGCAGACTGCTGGCTTCTCCAAGCCATCTTTCCTTCTGTCTGTCTCCTCTGCTGAGCTCCATGTGCCGCTCCTTCTCCTCCCCATTCTCCCGTTTCTCTGTCCTCAGAACACTTCCTCATATCCTTCCCTGGTCCCTGGCTCTCTGAGTCTCTCTTTTTTTTTTTTTTTTGTTGTTGTTGTTGAGAAACAGTCTTGCTTTGTGGCCTAGGCTGGAGTGTAGTGGTGCGATCTTGGCTCACTGGAACCTCCGCCTCCTGGGTTCCAGTGATTCTCCTGCCTAAGCCTCCCAAGTAGCTGGGATTACAGGTGCCCACCAGAACGCCCAGCTCATTTTTGTGCTTCTAGAAGAGACAGGGTTTCACCATGTTGGCCAGGCTGGTCTCCAACTCCTGGCCTCAAGTGATCTGCCTGCCTGGCCTCCCAAAGTGCTGGGATTACAGGTGTGAGCCACTGCACCCTGCCTCAGTACCTCCATTCTTCCCACACACCCTCCTCACGTGCTCCTTCCTGACTTCTGGGCCCGCCCTTCCTTCTTTTTTTTTTTTTTTTTTTTTTTTTGAGAGAGCGTCTCACTCTCTCACCCAGAATGGAATGCAGTGGCGCTATCTTGGCTCAAAGCATCCTCTTCCACCTGGGTTCAAGCGATTATCCTGTCTCAGCCTCCCGAGTAGCTGGGATAACAGGCATGCCTGGCTAATTTTTGTATTGTTAGTATAAATGAGGTTTCGCTATATTGGTCTGGTTGGTCTCGAACAACTGACCTCAAGTGATCCACCCATCTCAGCCTCCCAAAGTAATGGGATTACAGGCATGAGCTACCACACCCGGCCTTCGTTTTTCTTTTGACACAGGGTTTTGCTCTGTCACCCAGGCTGGAGTGCAGTGGTGCAGTCATAGCTCACTGCAGTCTCAAAGTCCTGAGTTCAAGCAATCCTCTTGCCTCAGCCTCCCAGCGTGCTAGGATCTCAGGCGTGAGCCACTGCACCTGGCCCGAAACCAAGCTTTCTCATCCCAAGCGCCAACCTTTATCAAGTCTAGCCTAGTCCTCTATCATCTCCTAAGTGTCCCTCATGAGTGATCACTTCTGAGTCCTCCTGCGTGGAGAGCTCACCCACTGGGGGCGTATCTTTCCCATTGGAAAAGTGTGGTTATTGGAAGTTTCCTCTTTTTAGAAAGAACAGGATTGGAGGTGCTCTCTGGGGTGTCCTCCTACCAAGCTGACTGTTGAAGTCCTTGTGGTGCTCAGGGAGGATGGGTGACACTCGCTGTTGCTTCAGCTTCATCTTGAGCCCACACAGCATCTCCACTACCCAGGTCTCCTCAGGCTCAGGGGCGAGCTCCTTCTCCGGCTCCTCCTCAGATTCATCTGACCACTCCTTCTTCCTTTTCCAGCCAAGGGACCTACATGGGGGGCTGGGATCTACCCCAGGGGCTGAGTAAAGAAACCAGGCCACCGTGTAATGCTTCTGCATCTGATCACCTTAGACCCCGACCCAAAACCCCAAACCACTCTCCATCCTCCCCAGACTCGCAGACTGCTGGCTTCTCTAAGCCATCTTTCTGATTTTCTCCTCTGCTCAACCCCATGTGCCGCTCCTTCCCCTCCCCATTCTTCTCTCTCTCTGTCCTCCGAACACTGCTTCATGTCCTCCCCTGGTCTCTGGCTCTCTGAGTCCCTCCTTTTTTGTTTTGTTTTGTTTTGACACAGAATCTTGCTTTGTCACCCAGGCTGGAGTGTAGTGGTGCAATCTCAGCTCACTGCAACATCCATCTCCTGGATTCCATTTATTTTTCTGCCTCAGCCTCTCAGGTAGCTGGGATTACAGGTGCCTGCCATAATGCCCAGCTCAATTTTGTACTTTTAGTAGAGACAGGGTTTCACCATGTTGGCCAGGCTGGTCTCAAACTCCTGGCCTCAAGTGATCCGCCTGCCTTGGCCTCCCAAAGTTCTGGGGTTACAGGTGTGAGCCACTGCACCCAGCCTGAATTTCTCCATTCTTCCCACACACCCTCCTCAGGTTCTCCTTCCTGACCGCTGACCCTTCTTTTCTTTTCTTTTCTTTTTTTTTTTTTTTTGGAGTGCAGTAGCGTGATCTCAGCTCACTGCAACCTCTTCCTCCCAGTCTCAAGTGATTCTCCTGTCTCAGCCTCCTGAGTAGCTGGGATTACAGGTGTGCACCACTACCACTTGACTAATTTTTATACTTTTAGTAGAGATGGGGTTTCACCATATTGGCCAGGCTGGCCTTGAACTCCTGACCTCAGGTGATCCGCCCGCCTCAGCCTCCCAAAGTGCTGGGGTTACAGGCGTGAGCCACCGCACCTGGCCCCCTTCCTTCGTCTTAGTCAATCCTATCCCACCTCTTCTTCCACCAGTCCCCTCACCTGATGATCCCAACACTTCATCATCCACCACCTCCTGGAGGGAGTACCCCGAGGTGCTCCGCTGGGGACTCTGCTCATTCTGGGGGTGAGGTTGACGGCTGGTCGTGATCTTTCCCTTAATCTGTCCCCTCTTACGGAACCTAGTCTCCGTTCTGTCCATGGCCTTCTTCTGGACACTGCTAGGATCCAGAAGAGTATGTTATCAATTCTCAAGCCTAGGAGAAGTCAGGAGTGGAGAACAGCTCTGAGAAGATACTGTTGTCCAACTGATCTCCAGGCACCACGGAGTCCGGTCCCTCCAATCAGGAAGGTCGGAATCTCTGATGTCATCGTTCATGCCAACCTGGCAACCAGTTTGAAAAAAAACACATGTAACTGCCAGGCTGATCTCTTGTCCTGGAGATCCTGGGTGAATGGTATCTCCTGCCACTGTCCCAACCTCAGACCATTGTCCAAAAGCATCTTCGGGGACTCCACATCCCTCTGTTCCCTGTCCCAGCAGAGGCTGTGTCCTCTCCACTCAAAGCCTGAAGCATGTTGGGGTCTCTTCATCTCTGTACATGCCCATTTCAGAGTCCAGGCTGGTGGGAGAGGAAACAGAGTGGGAAAGAAAACTAGGGTAAGCAGAAACGATGAAACCTTATAAGAGTGAGATTATCATGTACAAGAGTGAGATTATCACGTACAAGAGTGAGATTATCATGTACAAGAGTGAGATTATCATGTACAAGAGTGAGATTATCATGTACAAGAGTGAGATTATCATGTACAAGAGTGAGATTATCATGTACAAGAGTGAGATTATCATGTACAAGAGATCCCAGGAATACTGACTTGATGAAAAAGTCACATCAGAGCACTCAGTTTGGCAGAGCTTTTCTGCCGAATGTTTACTCACATTCACTGTCCGAGATTCTATACTGGGGGTACACACGTCCTCTGCCCTAAGGCAATTTTGAGTCCAAGAGACATTTTGAGGCCTAAAGATCATAGGAAACTGCCCCTGAGCTCACACATATTTCCAATGGTGTCCCCAATTTCAGGGAATCCATGGATTACCTAAGCCAGCCCCTCCAGTTCGGCTAAGAAACTCTAGTCTATATATCAAGTTTTGTATCATATGTATTGCTCTGAACTCAGAAATTTCCCTTCCATTTATGGATTCTATGAATAAAATATCACATGTACAAAAAGACTAAGTCGAAAAATTTCAGCTGTGCACAGTGGCTCCTGCTTGTAATCCCAGCACTTTGGGTGGCCAAGGGAGGAAGATTGCCTGAGGCCAGCAGTTCAAGACCAGTATAGGCAACATAGCAAGAGCCCATCTCTAAAAAAACCAAACCAAACCAAATTAGCCAGGTGTGGTGGCTGGCACCTGTGTTCCAACTACTTGGGAGACTCATGTGACAGGAAGATCACTTGAGCCCAGGAGTTAGAAGCTGCAGTGAGCCATGATCTTGCCACTGCACTCCAGTCTGGGCAACACAGCAAGATATTGTGTCAAAAAAATTTTTTTTGATAAAAAATAAAAGAGTTACATGACATTCAGAGACCATCCAAAAAACCTGTGGGTTCCCGGCTGGGCTCAGTGGCTCATGCCTGTAATCCCAGCACTTTGGGAGGCCAAAGTGGGTGGATCACTTGAGGTCAGGAGTTTGAGACCAGCCTGGACAACATGGTGAAACCCCATCTCTACTAAAAATACAAAAAATTAGCCAGGCATGGTGGTGGATGCCTGTAATCGCAGCTACTCAGGAGAGGGCGCTGGAGAATCACTTGAACTCATGGTGCGCAGGTTGCAGGGAGCCAAGATCGCACCATTGTGCTCCAGCCTGGGCAACAAGAGCAAAACTCCATCTCAAAAAAAATAAAGAACCTGCGAGTGAGTTCCCACACGTTTTCCTAATGGGCTGCTGCTTTCCTAGGAGTCTCTCGCTCATAGAAAAGGCACACACTGAAAGAGGAAGCAGATCCCATTGCTGTGGAAGTCCCATTGTTAGGAAGCTCTGCTTTTCTGGAGTTCAAATTCGCATTCATGACGCTTTAAACCGTCAGAGCTGGGTGGGTCCTCCTACAACAAAATCGTTTGCTCTCTCTCTCCTAGTTAACAGGCTTTCAAATATTAGAAGATCAATGTTCTGACCCCATTAAAATTTCTCTTTTGTGGAATGAAAAGCTCTGATTTAACCCATCTTCAAGCCTGGTTTGCATATTCCTCTCTCTTCCGGCCACCTTGTCTAGACACACTACACTGAGGCCGTGCCCATCGTAAATGATGTTGATATGTTGTCAAAAAATTGGCAAACCAGGCGCGGTGGCTCATGCCTGTAATCCTACCACTTTAAGAAGCAGAGGCAGACAGATCACCAGAGGTCAGAAGTTCGAGACCAGCCTGTCCAACATGTTTAAATCCGTCTCTAGTAAAAATACAGAAAAAATGAGCTGGGCGTGGGGGTGCACATCTGTAATCCCAGCTACTTAGGAGGCCGAGGCAGGAGAATCGCTTGAACCTGGAAGGCAGAGGTTGCAGTGAGCCGAGATTGCATCACTGCACTCCAGCCTGGGTGACAGAGCGAGACACCATCGCAAAAAAAAAAAAAAAAGAAAAAAAAAAAAAAAGGCTAAACAGCCCAGGTTTGGTCTGATATGTTCAGAAAAAAGCAAAACAGTCACCTCTCACCTTTTCTTTTCCCGCAGTGATGCAGTTGAATACAACAATGGCTGTAGGTATGCTGCAGAAATATCATTCAAGTGAAACAGAAGGGCTTTCCTAGCCAGACACAGTGGTCACTCCTGCAATCCCAACACTTTGGTTGGCTAAGGTAGGAGGATTTCTTGCGGCCAGGGGTTCAAGGCTGCAGTGAGCTGTGATCCACCACTGCATTCCCGGCTGGGCATCAGAGTGAGGCCTGTCTCTAAGAAAAAAACCCTTCACTCCCCAAAAAAAGGGATTTGCAAATACCAGCCTTTCAGCATGAGGATCACATGGAGGAACATTAAGATACAGATGCTGGGACCCAGCCCTATTGATTGTAATTCAAAAACTGAGGTGGGGCCTGATTTAGCTCCATCATTGGAATCCATTCCGATTTGAAACTCTCTGGGTTGGACAGTTCAAGAGAGATCCTAAAGAAAGCAAAATCACTATGGACTGAAATGAGCAGACAAGGTTTTCTGAGCATGGTGAAATATGATCTGGGCCTCGCTTGGGAGGGCTGTGGCCAGGCCTTGAGTCCTTGGCTCAGTGGGACCTTCTGAAACAGCCTCCAAGCTGCACCCCTGCTTCCTTTGCTTTTGGATGACCCCCTCCAGCAGCTTTGGTGCTGATGGGAATAAGTCGACCTGCAGCGGAAGTTCAGCCCAAGTCTCAGCCCAGCAGCCTCCCCAAACCTGGCCAGGGTCTGGTCATGCTGCCGTCTCTGCGGTTCTCTGTGGAGTTGTGGTTTCTGTACCTTGAAGAGAACTTCCCCTTCTGGGACCCAGAAACCCAGTGAACCCTCAGGAAAAAAGGGAATGAAATTACTGAAGACAACTCTGTGGCAGGGAGAGGGAAAAGAGGCTCTTTGTTTTTGTTTTTTATTTTTTATTTTTTTATTTTTTGAGACAGAGCTTCACTCTTGTTGCCCAGACTGGATTGTAATGGCTCAATCTCGGCTCACTGCAACCTCTGCCTCCCATGTTCAAGCACTTCTCGTGCCTCCGCCTCCAGAGTAGCTGGGACAATAGGCACACACCACCACACCCAGCTAATTTTCGTATTTGTGGTAGAGATGGGGTTTCGCCATGTTGCCCAGGCTGGTCTCGAACTCCTGGCCTCAAGTAATCCACCTGCCTTGGCCTCCCAAAGTGCTGGGACTACAGATGTGGGCCACCGTGCCCAGCCCTCACTGTATGGATTTTCTAAAAAAAAAAAGATTACATTTGTCTTACTTGCCAAAAGGGAAATTAACCTTATCTCCTCTCCTTTTTAAAGAGTATTTCCTTGATAAACCTTGTAATATAAATAACTTCTTTTGTGCCTTTGATATGTACCTAAATCTTTTAAAAAGGTAAATGAACTTCTTGCCAACATTACAACCCAGGAATTTTTTTTTTTTTTTTTTTTTTTTTGGAGACAGAATCTCGCTGTCACCCAGGCTGGAGTGCAGGGGTATAATCTCGGCTCACTGCAACCTCCACTTCCCGGGTTCAAGCAATTCTCCCATCTCAACCTCCTGAGTAGCTGAGACTACAGGCGTCTGCCACCACGCCTGGCTAATTTTTGTATTTTTAGTAGAGACAGGGTTTCACCTTGTTGGTCTGGCTGGTCTTGAACTCCTGACCTCAGGTGATCCACCAGCCTCGGCCTCCCAATGTGCTGGGATTATGGGCGTGAGCCACCGTGCCTGGTCACAATCCAGGAATTTTTTTCTTAAGAGCCTAAGAGTCTTGTCTTTGAAATGTAAACCTGGAGGAAAATAGTGTCCCTATCTTCCTGTTGCCTAGGGAGTTTAGCCTAGGCAACTTGAGCTGTTACTACCTGCTTGTCAAGGAGATGTGAGAAGTTTTATTTTTTCATTGAATACAGGTAATTAACTAGCATGGATGGCCACGTTGATTTCCAGGTGAATTTAGGATGAGTGTTTAAGAATGCATAGCAGGCCAGGCGCGGTGGCTCACACCTGCAATCCCAGCACTCTGGGGGAGGCCGAGACGGGCGGATCACTTGAAGCCACACAGAAATCGAAAGAAGGAGTTTGAGTCCAGCCTGGCCAGTATGGCGAAACTCTGTCTCTACTAAAATACAAATATTAGCTGGGCATGATGGCACATGTCTGTAATTCCAGCTACTTGGGAGGCTTAGGCACGAGAATCACTTGAACCCAGGAGGTGGAGGTTACAGTGAGCCAAGAAGATCACACCACTACACTCCAGCCTGGATGACAGAATGAGACCCTGTCTCAAAAAAAACAAAACAAAAAAAACTGCATAGCAAGTCCTTTTGCATGAGGATGAGTTACTATTTATCTTGAGAGCGTGTATGCAATGGATTGTATCTGCCAGACTATATAAAAAGGACGCTTTGGCCGGGCGCCATAGCTCACGCCTATAATCCCAGCACTTTGGGAGGCCTAGGCGGGCGAATTACGAGGTCAGGATTTCGAGACCATCCTAGCTAACATAACGAAACCCCATCTCTACTAAAAATACAAAAAATTAGCCAGGTGTGGTGGCTCGCGCCTGTAGTCTCAGTTACTTGGGAGGCTGAGGCAGGAGAATCGCTTAAACTGGGGAGGCAGAGGTTGCAGTGAGCCGAGATCGCACCACTGCACTCCAGCCTGGGCGACAGAGCAAGATTTTGTCTCAAAAAAAAAAAAAAAAAAGGAGGGTTTATTTCTCTTTGCATCTCATTAATGGATCACCTGTGATGGGCATCACAGTCTGGTTTAATGCTTATTCAATAATAAAATTGTTTTCTTTATTTTCTGAATTTGTGGAGAGAATATTCTAGGTTAACAGAATAATCTATTTATTTACTTATTTATCTTGAGATGGAGTCTTGCTCTGTCTCCCAGGCTGGAGTGCAGTGGCCTGATCTCGGCTCACTGCAATCTCTGTCTCCCAGGTTCAAGTGATTCCCCTGCCTCAGCCTCCCAAGTAACTGAGACTACAGGCGCGAGCCACCACACCTGGCTAATTTTTTGTGTTTTAGTAGAGACGGGGTTTCACCATGTTGGCCAGGATGGTCTTGATTTCCTGACCTCATGATCCGCCGGCCTCGGCCTCCCAAAGTGCTGGGATTACAGGCGTGAGCCACTGCACCTGGCCTCAGAAGAATTTATTTTTAGTCTTTTCCTTACCAGTTTTTATGAAACAACTGGGCAAGAACACTGTTAGATTTCACCAAAAAATTGTGATGAATCATTGTCTTTATGATCCCATTTTTGAAAATTGACATTTTAATTGTAAACCAAAAATAAAATTCTAAGCCCCCACAACTGACTCAGTGGACTCCCCTGTTGGCCAACAGGATCCAAAATAAACATGGAAAACTAATTTAGGTCATGATGGGAAGGAGGGGGTTGGACATGCCTTGTCATAATTCTCCTCCCGTCAGAGTTTAGGCACAGCTGACCAACATTATGATCTCTATTAGAATAGAGATCATAGGACTGACAAAACAGGCTCTTTTTATCAGTAAGATACCCATCTCCAACCAGACTCTGATATAGCATCACATGACAGATAGCAGTCCCTGAAGTAAATTACAGTATTTTACCCCAAAACATATTTTCTTTGACAAACTTTAAAATAGTCCTGCAAAGCCATCTCTTTGGGGGAAATTTGCATTCTGTAGAGAATCTCTTTCCCTTACAGAAAAGACTCCAGGTCTTTTCTGGAGAGTCTGACACCTTTTAAGATCCAATAAGAGATATTTATCATCTATTCTCCCTGAAGCCTGTTCTGAGGCTTCACCTACATAACAAGAACCTTGGTTTCCACAATCCCCCTTATCCTAACTCAAACTTTTCTTTCTTTTTTTTCCCTCCCTCTTTTTCCTTCCTTCCTCTCTCTCTTTTTCTCTCTCTCTCTTTATTTTCTTCTCTGTTGCCCAAGCTGGAATGCAGTGGTGCCATCATGGCTCACTGTAGCCTCAACTTCCCAGGCTCAAGCGATCCTTCCATCTCGGCCTCCTGAGTAGCTGAGTCTACAGGCATGCACCACCACACCTGGATAATTATTTTTTTTTTGTAGAAGTGGGGGTCTCGCTGTGTTGCCCAGGCTGTCCTTGAACTCCTGGCCTCAAGGGATCCTCCCAGCTCACCCTCCCAAAATGCTGGGATTACAGGCATGAGCCACCACAATGGCCCATTTCTTTATGTAGTCTTCCAGCTGTTCAGCCAACACTTAACTCTGAACCAACTGCCAATCTTTCAATCTACTAGTGACCTGAAAGCCTTTCCTGGCTGACCCAACATATACTTCCCATGTATTGATTTATGTCTTTGCCTGTAACTACTGTCTCCCTAAGATGCATAAAACCAAGCTGTAACCCAACCACTTTGGGCTCACGTTCTCAGGACCCCCTGAGGCTGTGTCACCAGCCATGGTCACTCAAATAGGAGGCCCAGAATAAAACTCTTTACAGACTTTGACTCTTTTTGGTCAACATAACCTAACCCTAAACATAATCCTCCTGGGGAAGGTAAGATCACAGGTATCTCTTCTTCGTTCAGTTTGTATGTGTATGTCCTTATTTCTCTACAGTTTTTAGGCATTCGCTGTGTGATCTAGAAAAGCTATGGAGTCTCGCTTTGTCGCCAGGATGGAGTGCAGTGGCGTGATCTCGGCTCACTGCAACCTCCACCTCCCAGGTTCAAGTGCTTCTCCTGCCTTAGCCTCCCGAGTAGCTGGGATTACAGGCACGCGCCACCACGCCCAGCTAATTTTTGTATTTTTAGTAGAGACAGGGTTTCATCATGTTGGCCACGATGATCTCTATCTCTTGACCTCGCGATCTGCCCGCCTTGGCCTCCCAAAGTGCTGGGATTACAGGCTTGAGCCACCGCGCCCAGCTACAAATTCTATTTTCTTTTTGTTCCTTGGAAAGCATCGCTGGGCATTTATCCTGTCCCAGTATTTGAGTGAAACTTCTCAGCATTTCAGAGCAGTGACCATGATACACCCTTTCCTTTCCTTCTCCTTATGGCAAACTCGGTTCTAACCCAGAGGACTTGGGCTCCAGGACCCAGTAACGCAGCCCTGGACTTGACCCTAAAAGGGAGTAAAGACAAAGGTGAAGTTCAGTCCGGGGTTCAGGGCTGCCAAAGCTCATAGCCTGGAGCTTCTTAACCTTTAGGCGGGGTAGAGACATTTAAGACAGCCCCTAAACTTGGGGAGCGCGTAGGCTCATGGGAAATAGAGTCTGTTACTTGTCCTGGGACCGCGGTGGGTGTCCGGGGAGGCGGACTTCCGGTGCACTCCTGCGCGTGTGCACCTCTCCCTGCGTGCGTGTTCGCGCGTGCGTGCTCGCACATGCGCGCCACCTCCGCACTGCCCTCGCTTCCTGCGCCTGTTCAGGTCATCGCTTGCTCTGGTTCCCAGGCTTTGGCCTCTAGTGGACGAGAATCACCGAGTCTGCGGGGCTAGACGCTGACCGCCCGGGCCAGCACCTAGGCGGGCGGGAGCTGTGCGGCCCAGGGTTCGCGCGGGCCGGGTAGAGGCTCGAGCCAGGACCCCCGAGCGTGAACCCCGGAGCCGGCGGCGCTGGGGCCAGAGGGGCCGGGCGGGAGGTGATGGCGGAGGCGAAGGGGCGACGGGACCTGGGCCTGGCCCGTGTGTGTCCTCAGAGGCCTGGCGCCGGCCGTCGCTGTACGGTGAGCCCCAGGGAGGCGGATCTGGGCCCCGAGAAGGACACCCACCTGGATTTGCCCCATAGGCCCGGCCCGGGCCCCTCGGGAGCAGAACAGCCTTGGTGAGGTGGACAGGAGGGGACCTCGTGAGCAGACGCGTGCGCCAGCGACAGCAGCCCGCCCCGGCCTCTCAGGAGCCGTGGGGCAGAGGCTGCGGAGCCCCAGGAGGGTAAGTCTTGGGTTTTTGGGCCCGGAGCGAGAAGGGCCTGGGTGAAGTCACCGTGTTTTGGGGACCTTAGAGTGTGGGGCAGAGGGAGGGTCCCGATTGCTTGCTGGAGAGACATGTGTTGGGTTCGAGGGCAGGGTCCGGCTGCACCGAACAGGCGCTGCATGGGAAGATCTGGGAGGACGAGGCTTAGGGAGGCGTGGAGGGTGTCACCACCCTCAGCTGCGGACGTCGTCTCCACTCCCCGCTAACCCCTAACAGTCCTTCCTCCTCCTCTCCGTGCTCCAGATTTCGACCGCCTCTAAATGTCCGTCAGCACTTCTATTCTCTCACTTAAGTGTCTGCTGATCCCCCCCTTAGATCTGCCCTGGGAGAATCGTAGTAATGCAGGAACAGTCTGCAGGGATTCTCTCCTGCTGCCTCAGTTGCTAGGGGAAGAGACTGGGCCTTAGCAGGTGGGTGACTTGACCAGGTCACCGGCTTTGTGGGTAGAGCTGCTCATAGTAGAACCCAGGAGACTTATCTCCCAGGCCAGTGTTATTTCTCCCGTATCCTAGTTTTCTTAATAGAAGATTATTAGGTGCCACAATAACTAAGTTCAGTTAGATAATTTAGAAACAAAACCATATTTTATACACATTCATTTCATTTCTGAGAGCTCACCTACTCAATTCCTATGGCCTATTTTATTTTAGGCAGTTTAAAGAGACAATAAGAAAATGCGGGCGGGATGCAGTGGCTCACACCTGTAATCCGAGCACTTTGCGGGGCTAGGGCAAGAGTATCCCTTGAGACCAGGAGTTAGAGACCAGCCTAGACAACATGGGGACACCCTGACTACAAAAAATACAAAAGTCGCCAGGCATGCTGGGATGCATCTGTGGTCCCAGCTACTCAGGAGGCTGAAGTGGGAGGATGGATGGAGCCCAGGAGGTCGAGGCTGCAGAGAGCCGTGAATGCACCACTGCACTCCAGCCTGGGTGGCAGATTGAGACCCTGTCTCAACCAACAAACCACAAAAAACATGAGCCGTATAATGGGAATTTTTTTTCTTTTTGCACCTTGTATTTGATGATGGCAGACTATTTGTAAAAGGAGTCGTGTTACCCATGAGAGTCTAACTCATCTAATTACTACCTGATTATCTTAGAGTTACAGGCGCATGCTTCCCCTATCACTTTTTTTTTTTTTTTTTTTTTGAGACAGTGTCTCTCACCCAGTCTGGAATGCAACAGCGTGGTCTCGGCTCACTGCAACTTCCACCTCCCAGGTTCAAAGGATTCTCGTGCCTCAGCCTCCTGAGTAGCTGGGACTACAGGCATGTGACACTATGCCTGGCTAATTTTTTTTGTTATTTTTAAGTAGAGACGGGGTTTTGCCATGTTGGCCCAGGCAGGCGGATCACTTGAGGCCAGAATTTGAGACCAGCCTGGCCAACATGGCGAAACCCTGTATCACTCTTTTAGACCCTTCTGAGTGTTTGCAGGTTGAGTGTTCACAGGGTGTTAGCCTATTGAGCTTTCTTTTGCGGTTCTTATGCAGGTGATTTCTGCCTTTGCAGGCCGGAGCCCTCATGACTTCAGTGACCTGCTTCTGCCCCTCTAGGTCTATCAGCCACAGTCTCTGCAAGTTTCCAAGAGCAGCAGAAAATGAACACATTGCAGGTGAGTTTTCCTGCTTGTGTATATGTTCCTCAATTTTATTTTATGATGCATTTTAAGAGGTTTGTAAGGATTCATACTTTTTTTTTTCTTTTTTTTGAGATGGAGTCTTGCTCTGTTGCCCAGGCTGCAGTGCAGTGGCATGATCTCGCTTCACTGCAACCTCCACCTCCTGGGTTCAAGTGATTCTCCTGCCTCAGCCTCCTGAGTAGCAGGGATTACAGGCGTGCGCCACCATGCCCAGCTAATTTTTTGTATTTTTAGAAGAGATGGGGTTTCACTATGTTGGCCAGGCTGGTCTCAAACTCCTGACCTCAGGTGATCTTCCCACCTCAGCCTCCCAAAGTGCTGGGATTACAGGCATGAGCCACCAAGCCCAGCCAGGATTCATACTTTAAAATGGGAATGTGGAAATAGACATTATCCTGTAAAATATAGTTAGTGTGGCAGATCAGCACCAAAAATGATTTGTGAAGCTTGTATGTATGGGTAGTATATTTTAAGGCTGTTGAAATTGAGCCGCACCTAGGACTGATATTCTTGGCAGTCATCACAAAAGGAAAGTGCCATCTGTATTAGTCCATTCTCACACTGCTATAGAGAAATAACCAAGACTGGGTAATTTATAAAGTAAAGAGGTTTAATTGGCTCACGTCTGCAGGCTCTATCATAGGAAGCATGGCTGAGGAGGCCTCAGGAAACTTACAGTCAGGTGAAAGGTGAAGGGAAAGCGGGCGCATCTTCCATCACCAGAGCAGGAGGAAGAGGGAACACTGGGGATTACAATTGAACATGAGATTTGGGAGGCAACACACACCGAAACCATATCACCATCCATGACATCGTTTGCATTGATTATAAGGAGAAACCAGTTTTGTTACTTGTGGATTTAAAAGATTTTCTGGGACTTGGAAAAATTTCTTCATTCAAGTTGGTGTAATTGTGGATAGCTTTCCTAACAACAACCATTAATTACTGTAACTTATGGCTTATTCTTGGTGCTTATGTAAGCAGAGGGCCTGCTGCCCAAGGAGAACTTGGTGCATATAATTTTTCCAGGGACGGAAATATCGTGATCCAAGTAAACAATTCTGTTTTTACTGTTGAGTCCTAGATCATGGGGGGAATGAATGACGTGATCATCCGTCAAATATTTGTTCGTCTTTTTGTTCGGGTTGCACAGCAAACAATACAGACAGTTACTCTCTTGTGAAGATTTCCTCATTTCTGTTTCTCATTTCACTTCTCAGTGTTTTCGTTTTGTCCTCAATAAATTAGGTATTGATGGGACGTATTTCAAAATAATAAGAGCTATCTATGACAAACCCACAGCCAATATCATACTGAATGGGCAAAAACTGGAAGCATTCCCTTTGAAAACTGGCACAAGACAGGGATGCCCTCTCTCACCACTCCTATTCAACATAGTGTTGGAAGTTCTGGCCAGGGCAATTAGGCAGGAGAAGGAAATAAAGGGTATTCAATTAGGAAAAGAGGAAGTCAAATTGAAATTTAACTCATCTTTCTTATGTGACTCTAAAGGTCAAACCATACCACCTGAATATTTTTATCCTCTCTGAATATTTCCATTAAAGAGTTTATTTAAAAGAATTTTTAAATCTTCTCATTATGTCTTAACAGCATGATATCATACTCTACTTTTTGACTTCTCCATTTGATATGGAATAAAATTGCATCATATGGCCAAGGCATATACACTTAAAGTCTTCAATTTAGAAGCTTTCCAGAGTCAAACTGAGTCAATCTCTGCTTTAGAAGTCTCCCACAAAAAGGATCCTACATAAATTACTGTGTGTTTAAAGGTTTCTGATTTTAATCTAATAACTGAAATATCAAACTATATTTTAATTCAGGCATTTGGGCATCACTACCACGTGTTCTCATCAGATTTAGGAACCCTGCAGCAAGATTTATCAGTGTCAAAATGCTAAAATCCTAAATTTAGTGCCAGAATCCCTCTCAAATGGCATTTATATTTTGATAGCTTAACCTACTTTGAATCCCCTGAGCATCTTGTCTGTTTTTATTAGTAGATTTTGCTGATCTTTTTTAACTTTTCAAAGGCTCTTTAAATTATCCTAAAGTCATATATTTACCATGAGAAAGCAGGTGTCTTTTTAGAGTGTAGATGCTTAAGTCGCTCATAAAATTAATTTCCTCGGGTTAGGAGAACATTTTGAAACTCTAATTTGAAAAACTCTAATCTGGCTTCTAAAAACACTGTATCAGTATTCAGAAATAATAAAAATGGAAACATAACAACATAATAAATTTAATTTAACCTAGCATAGCAAAAGAGTAGGGCATTTTTGCATAATCAGCTAGATAGTTTTCAGAGGCAAACACAGAGCAGTGGAGACTTTGTTTGGAGACAGCCATTGTTTCAAGAAATGGGTGTTGCCTTGATGAAGCTACCCTTGCTTGTCACTGCAGATCCGTCTCCTGCTATCACCAGCTCTGTGTAACATTGCCTATGCTGTGGACACACAGAGATACTTGACAGTCAGTGGATGAACTCAATAAATGTTATTATTTTTAAATACACAGCTTACTAAACAGATAAATAATCTTAAAATTGAGACTGTTCCAGAAACCAGAATGCATTTTCTTCATACTCATAGCTTTTGTGGTTTACATACATTTATATAATTAGAATGCAATAAAATACATTAAACAGTAAAATAATACTCTATATAATTTAATCTCTGGGGATCCAGAAGGCACTTTAAGCTATTACAGTTTCTCAGAGTCAATGTTATGTACTTTATAATTTTTTATTCTACTGGTAAAACATGGTGATATTGATTAACAGATATTTTAGTAGATATAATATTTTATAAACTGATTTTATTATGTCTTGTTAATATTGGGATAATCAGAATATAGAGAGACTTCTATACATACACATATATTCTATATCTTCATAGCTAGACTTGAAGTATCTCACTTTGATGTTTCTAAAAATAAAGTGAGCACTTTTGTTCTTTTTAATATTTTATTTATTTATGTATTTATTTATTTATTTTTGAGACGCAGTCTTGCTCTGTCAACCAGGCTGGAATGCAGTGGTGCGATCTCGGCTCACTGCAAACTCTGCCTTCCTGGTTCAAGCGATTCTCCTGCCTCAGCCTCCTGAGTAGCTGGGATTACAGGCTACTACCACCACGCCTGGTTAATTTTATTTTGTGTGTGTATTTTTAGTAGAGACAGGGTTTCACCATGTTGCCCAGTCTGGTCTCGAACTCCTGACCTCAGGTGATCTGCCCACCTTGGCCTCCCAAAGTGCTGGGATTACAGGCATGAGCCACTATGCCCAGCCCACTTTGTCCTTCAATTTCTTCCTTCTTCTTCATTTTGACCCCCAGTTTACATCATTAAGTACATAGTCTCGAAACCTCAAAGTATCAGTGTTATCCTTATTTTTTTTTCTCCTTCTCTGAATTTGCCTGATAGTCAAAACCTGTGCCTACTACCACTTAAAGGTTTTTTTTTTCATCTGTCTGACTAGATTGTCCACTGTCTCACCAAATCTTGCTTTGACTAGTAATAATGGCAGTTGAGAGTACTGCCTATCACTTGACCAGACTAGCTAAATGCTGAACATTCATTATAATATTTAAATCTTTAAACCAACCTTGATTTTTATTTTGATTTATGAGATGACTCTACCAAAGGTTAGATTCTGATTTTGGAGAGCTAGATCATAATAGAGTCAGAATTCTGTTCTTAACTTCTACACTGTACTCCAACAACAGTCAAACTGTTACTTTCTCATTCAGGGTAAAATCCTGACCAAACCCATTACTGAAAACCTTCCTTTTTTATCTCAGCTCCCAGTCTCCACCCCATGTATCTGATACACCTGTGACAATGATCTTTTCTCCATATCTAGAAAATATCACCAACTTACAGTGCCGTGTTATGGTATAGGCTCTTATTTCCACTTCCTTTCATCACAGTTCTATTTATTTCTCAATACACAGTTGAAGATCAGTTGAAATATCAATTTCAGCATAACTTCCCATACTTGGGCATAATTTAATAGCTTACCAGACAGTAGCATATAATGTAGTGACTTGGGAGCCAGACTTCCTGGGTTTGAATACGGGATGAAAATTCACCAGTCTTTTGACCTTGGGAAAGTTACTAAACCTTCCTATACACCAGTTTCCTCATCCGTGAAATGAGGCAAATTATAGCACCTACCTCTTAGGGTTGTTATAAACCTTAAATCAGTTAGTACAAGTAAAGGCCTTAGAACAGCACCTGGCACATTGTAAGAAATGTCTAAAGGTTCATTGCTATCATTTATTCATTTCCACATCTCATTCCTAAAATAAAAGGTGTTATAAAATTGCCAGTATAATTAGAAAAAAAATGGGAAAATGTGTTAAAGAAAAATTATAAACAAAATTGAAGAAAATGTAGAATAATACATATATATCTTAGGAGGAAAGCTCTTAAGCATATAGAAAATTAAGAAACTATGAAACAAGATTAACATAGTTGACTATACACAAACTTTAATTGCTAATACAGGCATACTTTGTTTTATGCTTTGCTTTATTGCACTTCACAGAATTTTTTTAGAAATTGAAGTTTTGTGGCAAGCTTGCATCAAGCAAGTCCATCAGCACCATTTTCCCAAAAGCCTGTGCTCACTTTCTGTCTCTGTGTCATATTTGGTAATTCTCACAGTATTTCAAACTTTTAAATTATTATTATATCTGTTATGGTGTTCTGTGGTCAGTGATTTTCCATGTTACTATGGTAATTGCTTTGAGGCATCACAACTCATGCCCATATAAGATGGCAAACTTAATTGATAAATGTGTATGTTCTGACTACTCCAAAGACTGGCCATTCCCCATCTTCCTTCCCCTCCTCAGGCCACCCTACTGCCTAAGACACAACAATATGGAAACTAGGTCAATTAATAATCCTCCATGGCCCTCTAAATGTTCAAGTGAAAAGACTAATGAAGAAGGCATGTTGAAAGTTGAGATAGGCTAAAAGCTAGGCCTCTTGTGCCAAACATTTAGCAAAGATATGAATGCAGAGAAAAAATTCTTGAAGGAAATTAAAAGTGCTACTCCAATGAACACATCAATGATAAGGAAGCAAAACAGGCTTATTCATGATATGGAGAAAGTTTTAGTGATCCGGATAGAATACCAAGCCAGCCACAACATTCTCCTAAGCCAAAGCCTAATCCAGAGCAAAGCCCTAACTGTCTTCAATTCTGTGAAGGTTGAGAGAGGTGAGGAAGCTTCGGAAGAAAAGTTTGAAGCTAGCAGTGGTTGGCTCATAAGGTTTAAGAAAAGAAGCTGTATCTGTAATATAAAAGTGCAAGGTGAAACAGCAAGTGCTAGTGTAGAAGCAGGAGTGAGTTATCCAGAAGATCTAGCTAAGATAACTGATGAAGATGGCTACATTAAGCAACAGATTTTCAATGTAGACAAAACAACCTATATTGAAAGAAGATATCATCTAGGACTTTCATAGTAAGAGAGAAGTCAATGTCTGGTTTCAAAGCTTCAGAGGACAGGCTGATGTGATTCTTAGGGGCTAATGCAGCTAGTAACTTCTAATTGAAGCCAATACTTATTTGCCATTCCAAAATCCCTATGACCCTTAAGAATTGTGCAAAATCTACTCTGCCTATGCTTTATAAATGGAATGACAAAGCCTAGATGATAGCACGGTATACAAATATTTTAGGCCCAGTGTTAAGACCTACTGCTCAGAAAAAAGATTTCTTTCAAAATATTATTGCACATTGACAATAACTTAATCACCCAAGAGCTCTGACGGAGAGGTACAGGGAGATTAATGTTTTCATGCCTGCTAATAAAACATCAATTGTGCAGCCCATGGATCAAAGAGTAATTTTTACTTTCAAGTCTTATTATTTAAGAAATATATTTCATAATGCTATATTTGCCATAGATAGTGATTTCCCCAATGGATCTGGGCAAGGTACATTGAAAGCCTTCTGGAAAGGGTTTACCATTCTAGAAGTCATTAAGAACATTTGTGATTCATGAGAACAGGTCAAAAATCAACATTAACAGAAATCTGGAAGAAGTTAATTCCAACCCTCATAGATTACTTTGAGGGGTTTTAGATTTCAGTGGAGAAAGTCCCTGCAGATGTTGTGGAAATAGCAGGAGAACTAGAATTAGAAGTAAAGCCTGCCTGGGAGGGGAAGGACACGCACCGGAGCCTGTTAGGGGATGGGAAGTAATAGGAGGGAGAGTATTAGGACCAATACCTAATGCATGCGGGGCTTAAAACCTAGATGACAGGTTAATAGGTGCAGGAAACCATCATGGCACATGTATACTTATGTAAACAATCCCACACTTTCTGCGCATGTATCCAGGAACTTAAAGTAAAATTAAAACAAACAAAAAAAGAAGTAAAGCCTGAAGATGTGACTGAATCACTACAGTCTCATGATAAAACTTTAGCAAATAAGGAGTTGCTTCTTATGGATGAGCAAAGAAATAAGTTTATTGAAATGGAATCTATTCCTGGTGAAGATGCTGTGAACATTATTGAAATGATAACAAAATTCTAGAATATTTGATAAACTTTATCAGCAGCATCAGAATTTGAAAAATTTGACTTGAATTTTGAAAGAGGTTCTACTGTAGGTAAAATGCTATCAAACAGCATCACATGCTATGGAGAAATCTTTCATGAAAGGAAGAGTCAGTAGATGTGGCAGACTTCATTGTTGTCTTATTTTAGAAATTGCCACAGCCACCCCATCCTTCAGCAACCACCACCTTGATCAGTCAGTAGCTATCATTGTCAAGGCAAGGTCCTCCATCAGCAAACAGATTAAGACTGGCTTGAAAGCGAAAGTGATCATTAACATTTCTTAATAAAACATTTTCATTAAGGTATGCATTTTATTTTTTAGAAATAATACTATTACATAATTAATAGACTATAGTATAGCATAAACATAACTTTTATATGCACTGGAAAACCAAAAGAATCATGTGACCTGCTTTATTGTGATATTTGCTCTATTGCAGTGATCTGGATCCAAATTTGCAGCTTCTGCAAGGTATGCCTGTGTAGGGAAAGGCAGCACAAACTAAACTACAATAGAAGCGACAGAGCACAGAGCAAAAGAGTATACTTTTAACATATGTGTTAAATAAATGTTTAATACACACATCAAATACAGAACCTCTAGAAGTCAATATAATTTAAAATGCAAACACATAAAATAATAAGCAAAACTCTAAATATTCAACATAAATGATATAAAAATGTCCTATAAACCTTTAAAAATACTTATTTAAATAACCTGCAATAACTTTGCCCCTTAAATAGGGTAAATTTATATAGATCAGCACTAATTTAATTTTGGCATGTATTTGAAGAAATGATAAATATTACACATTGTTTATGATGGTATAAATTGCAATATTATTAAAAGGATACATGGAATCTATTAAAATTTTTGGAAGTGGATATATCTTTTGATTGATTTGATTGATACAGCAGTTCGTCTTTTGTGTGTCTTATACACACATATACATAATATACACTTAGGCAAACACATTTCAGACATTTGGATTGGGATCCTGGCTGCTGCTTCAACCTCATCTAATTTCCTATTACACCTCCTCTCTCTCCCTTTTTGTACATTTGTCCCTCTCTCTGATTTCCACCATCTGTCTTTCCAGTTTACTTTCTCTAGTTCCAGACAACAAAAATTCTTTAATCCCACTGGGATCTCCAATCAATTGATTCAATCAACTTTTCATTATGCCTCAACCCTTTGATCTTCTAATCTAACTTCTCATAACTCAAGATAAATTCCATGGGAAATCCTTAACAATCACTTCCACATATACATCCTTAACTGCCTGCCTCCCTCTTATTGCTTTTACTTGTTTGGAAAAACCACAACTTGGTTAAATCCAGATCACCATTCTCTATGTCTATAATTCTGCAGCTAAACATAGGTAGAGATCAATACACAACCATCATTTCTCATCTTAAATTCATAACCACAAACCTCATAGAGATCTGTTAATGCTAGTCAGGCAATTACACTGTTTCCCATTCCTTTAATTCCTTCACTATCCTGTTTCAATTTCACACCTTTTTCTGCTTTCTTATATGTAAAACACCTCCTCCCTGTCCTTACTTTCAAGTGATCACTGTACATCTTATTTCATGAAGAATATTCAAATGATTAAAAGAAAACATCACAGATTCCCATCACCACGTCTGCCCCCACACCGTTTACAAACCCACACTCCCTGCTGCCCATCTTGTTGCCCCGGGTGAACTATCTGAACTACTATCTAAAGTCAGTTTCTTCCCACGTGCACTACATTCCAGCAGCTTTTACTTAGCAAAGAACATTTTCCAGCAATTTCCTTATCTCTCCTTAACACCATTTTCTCCCCTTTTCCTACTGGATCATTCTCATCAGCATGTAAACAAGTTATTACTTGTTTCCCAACCTGACCACATTTTTCATCTTCCGTCTCCGTAAATCTGATCTGTGCCCCACTATTTATTTCCTGAATTTCTATGATGGCCTTTTACCTGATCTTCCTGCATGTGTCCTCTCACCCTACACAATCTATTCCCAGCATGGCAGTCAGAAACAACCTTTTAAAACAGAAGCCAGGTCTTGCGCCTCCTATTCTGAAATCCTCACTGGTTTCCCCCCACCCCACCCCTCATGTCACTCAGAGTAAACCCTAACTTCGCATGTGCCTGACAGGGTCTTACATAACCTACCCGCCCCCACAGCCCAGACCTCTCTGATCTTCTGGACCATTGTTGTCCTCATTGATCACTCTGCTCCAGCTACAACTGTCTACGGCTCTCCCTCCACCTTCCCAACTGAAGGCTTTTGTGCTTGTTGTTTCTATCCTGAAAATGAACTTCTATAATGTGGTTAACTTTCCCTTATCTCATTCAAGTATTTGCTCAAGTCTTTTTCAGTAAGACAGGCCCTAATCATCTTATTTAAAACTGGAACCTACACTCCCACTCCCTACACTTCTGCACCCATTTACTTTGCTCTGCTTTTTCTTTTTTCATAGAATGTGTCACATTATAATACTATATAGTTCACTTTTTACTATTTATCATTTTATTACCTATCCCAGTCATTACATTTTGAGATTCAGGAGTACAAAAATCTTTGACTCTTTTGTTCACTGATGAAATCACACACACACAAAAAAACCATAAACTATAACCTATAAAAAACCTATAAACTATAAAATAACCTATAGAAAAACATATGATCACAAAAAAACCTATAACCTATCAGCAAGAAAATTGGCATCAATTAATACTTGCTAAGTGAATTAATGTATTTGTGCAAAATATATATACAGAAGCATGTCTGGTGTATCCTTGTTTTATTTTTTATTTTTTTATTTTTTTCAATTTTAACTATTATTAACGAACATTTATACATTTATATGCTTTTCTATTTTCTACACTATTATAAATAACTGTGATGAATATCTTTGTAAGTCTTTGATGATACATGTGATGATTTCCTTAGGACAGATTCTTAGAAGTGGAATTCCTGGATGCAAGAACATGATTTTTCTTTTTCTTTCTTTCTTTCTTTTTTTTTAATTTTATTTTTATTATTTTTTTATTTTATTATTATTATACTTTAAGTTTTAGGGTACATGTGCACAATGTGCAGGTTTGTTACATATGTATAGATGTGCTATGTTGGTGTGCTGCACCCATTAACTCGTCATTTAGCATTAGGTATATCTCCTAATGCTATCCCTCCCCCCTTCCCCTACCCCACAACAGTCCCCGACGTGTGATGTTCCCCTTCCTGTGTCCATGTGTTCTCATTGTTCAATTCCCATCTATGAGTGAGAACATGTGGTGTTTGGTTTTTTGTCCTTGCAGTAGTTTGCTGAGAATGATGGTTTCCAGTTTCATCCATGTCCCTACAAAGGACATGAACTCATCATTTTTTATGGCTGCATAGTATTCCATGGTGTGTATGTGCCACATTTTCTTAATCCAGTCTATTGTTGTTGGACATTTGGGTTGGTTCCAAGTCTTTGCTATAGTGAATAGTGCCGCAATAAACACCTGTGTATGTGTCTTTATAGCAGCATGATTTATAGTCCTTTGGGTATATACCCAGTAATGGGATGGCTGGGTCAAATGGTATTTCTAGTTCTAGATCGCTGAGGAATCGCCACACTGACTTCTACAATGGTTGAACTAGTTTACAGTCCCACCAACAGTGTAAAAGTGTTCCTATTTCTCCACATCCTCTCCAGCACCTGTTTTTTACTGACTTTTTAATGATCGCCATTCTAACTGGTGTGAGATGGTATCTCATTGTGGTTTTGATTTGCATTTCTCTGATGGCCAGTGATGATGAGCATTTTTTCATGTGTTTTTTGGCTGCATAAATGTCTTCTTTTGAGAAGTGTCTGTTCATGTCCTTCTCCCACTGTTTGATGGGGTGGTTTGTCTTTTTCTTCTAAATTTGTTTGAGTTCATTGTAGATTCTGGATATTAGCCCTTTGTCAGATGAGTAGGTTGTAAAAATTTTCTCCCAGTTTATAGGTTGCCTGTTCACTCTGATGGTAGTTTCTTGTGCTGTGCAGAAGCTCTTTAGTTTAATTAGATCCCATTTGTTGATTTTGGCTTTTGTTACCATTGCTTTTGGTGTTTTAGACATGAAGTCCTTGCCCATGCCTATGTCCTGAATGGTATTGCCTAGGTTACCTTCTAGGGTTTTTATGGTTTTAGGTCTAACATGTAAGTCTTTAATCCGTCTTCAATTGATTTTCGTATAAGGTGTTAGGAAAGGATCCAGTTTCAGCTTTCTACATATGGCTAGCCAGTTTTCCCAGCACCATTTATTAAATAGGGAATCCTTTCCCATTGCTTGTTTTTGTCAGGTTTTTCAAAGATCAGATGGTTGTAGATATGCGGCATTATTTCTGAGGGCTCTGTTCTGTTCCATTGATCAATATCTCTGTTTTGGTACCAGTACCATGCTGTTTTGGTTACTGTAGCCTTGTAGTATAGTTTGAAGTCAGGTAGCGTGATGCCTCCGGCTTTGTTCTTTTGGCTTAGGATTGACTTGGTGATGCGGGCTCTTTTGGCTCCATATGAACTTTAAAGTAGTTTTTTCCAATTCTGTGAAGAAAGTCATAGGTAGCTTGATGGGGATGGCATTGAATCTATAAATTACCTTGGGCAGTATGGCCATTTTCACGATATTAATTCTTCCTACCCATGAGCATGGAATTTTCTTCCATTTGTTTGTATCCTCTTTTATTTCCTTGAGCAGTGGTTTGTAGTTCTCCTTGAAGAGGTCCTTCACATCCCTTGTAAGCTGGATTCCTAGGTATTTTATTCTTTTTGAAGCAATTGTGAATGGGAGTTCACTCATGATTTGACTCTCTGTTTGTCTGTTATTGGTGTATAAGAATGCTTGTGATTTTTGCACATTGATTTTGTATCCTGAGACTTTGCTGAAGTTGCTTATCAGCTTAAGGAGATTTTGGGCTGAGACGATGGGGTCTGCTAGATATACAATCATGTCATCTGCAAACAGGGACAATTTGACTTCCTCTTTTCCTAACTGAATACCCTTTATTTCCTTCTCCTGCCTAATTGCCCTGGCCAGAACTTCCAACACTATGTTGAATAGGAGTGGTGAGAGAGGGCATCCCTGTCTTGTGCCAGTTTTCAAAGGGAATGCTTCCAGTTTTTGCCCATTCAGTATGATATTGGCTGTGGGTTTGTCATAGATAGCTCTTATTATTTTGAGACACGTCCCATCAATACCTAATTTATTGAGAGTTTTTAGCATGAAGGGTTGTTGAATTTTGTCAAAGGCCTTTTCTGCATCTATTGAGAAAATCATGTGGTTTTTGTCTTTGGTTCTGTTTATATGTTAGATTACATTTATTGATTTGCATATGTTGAATCAGCCTTTCATCCCAGGGATGAAGCCCACTTGTTCATGGTGGATAAGCTTTTTGATGTGCTGCTGGATTTGGTTTGCCAGTATTTTATTGAGGATTTTTGCATCAATGTTCATCAAGGATATTGGTCTAAAATTCTCTTTTTTGGTTGTGTCCCTGCCAGGCTTTGGTATCAGGATGATGCTGGCCTCATAAAATGAGTTAGGGAGGATTCCCTCTTTTTCTATTGATTGGAATAGTTTCAGAAGGAATGGTACCATCTCCTCCTTGTACCTCTGGTAGAATTCAGCTGTGAATCCATCTGGTCCTGGACCTTTTTTTGGTTGGTAAGCCATTGATTATTGCCACAATTTCAGAGCCTGTTATTGGTCTATTCAGAGATTCAACTTCTTCCTGGTTTAGTCTTGGGAAGGTGTTTGTGTTGAGGAGTTTATCCATTTCTTCTAGATTTTCTAGTTTATTTGCGTAGAGGTGTTTGTAGTATTCTCTGATGATTGTTTGTATTTCTGTGGGATTGGTGGTGATATCCTCTTTATCATTTTTTATTGCGTCTATTTGATTCTTCTCTCTTTTCTTCATTACTCTTGCTAGCGGTCTATCAGTTTTGTTGATCTTTTAAAAAAACCAGCTCCTAGATTCATTAATTTTTGAAGGGTTTTTTGTGTCTCTATTTCCTTCAGTTCTGCTCTGATTTTAGTTATTTCTTGCCTTCTGCTAGCTTTCGAATGTGTTTGCTCTTGCTTTTCTAGTTCTTTTAATTGTGATGTTAGGGTGTCAATTTTGGATCTTTCCTGCTTTCTCTTGTGGGCATTTAGTGCTATAAATTTCCCTCTACACACTGCTTTGAATGTGTCCCAGAGATTCTGGTATGTTTTGTCTTTGTTCTCGTTGGTTTCAAAGAACATCTTTATTTCTGCCTTCATTTTGTTATGTACCCAGTAGTCACTTAGGAGCAGGTTGTTCAGTTTCCATGTAGTTGAGCAGTTTTGAGTGAGTTTCTTAATCCTGAGTTCTAGTTTGATTGCACTGTGGTCTGAGAGACAGTTTGTTATAATTTCTGTTCTTTTACATTTGCTGAGGAGTGCTTTATTTCCAAATATGTGGTCAATTTTGGAATAGGTGTGGTGTGCTGAAAAAAATGTATATCCTCTTTATTTGGGGTGGAGAGTTCTGTAGATGTTTATTAGGTCCACTTGGTGCAGAGCTGAGTTCAATTCCTGGGTATCCTTGTTGACTTTCAGTCTCGTTGATCTGTCTAATGTTGACAGTGGGGTGTTAAAGTCTCCCATTATTATTTTGTGGGAGTCTAAGTCTCTTTGTAGGTCACTAAGGACTTGCTTTATGAATCTGGGTGCTCCTGTATTGGGTGCATATATATTTAGGATACTTAGCTCTTCTTGTTGAATTGATCCCTTTACCATTATGTAATGGCCTTCTTTGTCTCTTTTGATCTTTGTTGGTTTAAAGTCTGTTTTATCAGAGACTAGGATTGCAACCCCTGCCTTTTTTTGTTGTCCATTTGCTTGGTAGATCTTCCTCCATCCTTTTATTTTGAGCCTATGTGTGTCTCTGCACGTGAGATGGGTTTCCTGAATACAGCACACTGATGGGTCTTGACTCTTTATCCAATTTGCCAGTCTGTATCTTTTAATTGGAGCATTTAGCCCATTTACATTTAAAGTTAATATTGTTATATGTGAATCTGATCCTGTCATTATGATGTTAGCTGGTTATTTTGCTCGTTAGTTGATGCAGTTTCTTCCTAGCCTTGATGGTCTTTACATTTTGGCATGTTTTTGCAGTGGCTGGTATCGTTTGTTCCTTTCCATGTTTAGTGCTTCCTTCAGGAGCTCTTTTAGGGCAGGCCTGGTGGTGACAAAATCTCTCAGCATTTGCTTGTCTGTAAAGTATTTTATTTCTCCTTCACTTATGAAGCTTAGTTTGGCTGGATATGAGATTCTGGGTTGAAAATTCTTTTCTTTAAGGATGTTGAATATTGATCCCCACTCTCTTCTGGCTTGTAGAGTTTCTGCCGAGAGATCCGCTGTTAGTCTGATGGGCTTCCCTTTGTGGGTAACCCGACCTTTCTCTCTGGCTGCCCTTAACATTTTTTCCTTCATTTCAACTTTGGTGAATCTGATAATTACGTGTCTTGGAGTTGCTCTTCTCGAGGAGTATCTTTGTGGTGTTCTCTGTATTTCCTGAATCTGAGTGTTGGCCTGCCTTGCCAGATTGGGAAAGTTCTCCTGGATAATATCCTGCAGAGTGTTTTCCAACTTGGTTCCATTCTCCCCGTCACTTTCAGGTACACCAATCAGATGTAGATTTGGTCTTTTCACATAGTCCCATATTTCTTGGAGGCTTTGTCCGTTTCTTTTTATTCTTATTTCTCTAAACTTCCCTTCTCGCTTCATTTCATTCATTTCGTCTTCCATCGCTGATACCCATTCTTCCAGTTGATCGCATTGGCTCTTGAGGCTTCTGCATTATTCACGTAGTTCTCGAGCCTTGGCTTTTAGCTCCATCAAGTCCTTTAAGGACTTCTCTGCATTGGTTATTCTAGTTATCCATTCATCTAATTTTTTTTCAAAGTTTTTAACTTCTTTGCCATTGGTTTGAATTTCCTCCTGTAGCTTGGAGTAGTTTGATCATCTGAAGCCTTCTTCTCTCAACTCGTCAAAGTCATTCTCCGTCCAGCTTTGTTCCGTTGCTGGTGAGGAGCTGCCTTCCTTGGGAGGAGGAGAGGTGCTCTGCTTTTTAGAGTTTCCAGTTTTTCTGCTCTGTTTTTTCCCCATCTTTGTGGTTTTATCTACTTTTGTTCTTTGATGATGGTGACGTACAGATGGGTTTTTGGTGTGGATGTCCTTTCTGTTTGTTAGTTTTCCTTCTAACAGACAGGACCCTCAGCTGCAGGTCTGTTGGAGTTTGCTAGAGGTCACTCCAGACCCTGTTTGCCTGGGTATCAGCAGTGGTGACTGCAGAACAGCAGTGGCTGTAGAACAGCGGACATTGGTGATCCGCAAATGCTGCTGCCTGATCGTTCCTCTGGAGGTTTTGTCTCAGAGGAGTACCCGGCCATGTGAGGTGTCAGTCTGCCCCTACTGGGGGGTGCTTCCCATTTAGGCTGCTCGGGGGTCAGGGACCCACTTGAGGAGGCAGTCTGCCCGTTCTCAGATCTCCAGCTGCGTGCTGGGAGAAACACTACTCTCTTCAAAGCTGTCAGACAGGGACATTTAAGTCTGCAGAGGTTACTGCTGTCTTTTTGTTCGTCTGTGCCCTGCCCCCAGAGGTGGAGCCTACAAAGGCAGGCAGGCCTCCTTGAGCTGTGGTGGGCTCCACCCAGTTTGAGCTTCCCAGCTGCTTTGTTTACCTAATCAAGCCTGGGCAATGGCGGGCGCCCCTCCCCCAGCCTTGCTGCCCCCTTGCAGTTTGATCTCAGACTGCTGTGCTAGCAATCAGCGAGACTCCGTGGGTGTAGGACCCTCTGAGCCAGATGTGGGATATAATCTCCTGGTGTGCTGTTTTTTAAGCCCATTGGAAAAGGGCAGTATTAGGGTGGGAGTGACCCGATTTTCCAGTTGCCGTCTGTCACCCCTTTCTTTGACTAGGAAAGGGAACTCCCTGACCCCTTGTGCTTCCCGAATGAGGCAATGCCTTGCCCTGCTTCAGCTCACGCACGGTGCACTGCACCCACTGTCCTGCACCCACTGTCTGGCATTCCCTAGTGAGATGAACCCGGTACCTCAGATGGAAATGCAGAAATCACCCATCTTCTGTGTCGCTCATGCTGGGAGCTGTAGACCGGAGCTGCTCCTATTCGGCCATCTTGGCTCCACCGTATCCTTGTTTTAATAGAAGAAAACTGTATAATATCAATATTGGAATGGTTAAATACTGTTTTACTCATTATATTGATATTATACATTCATTAGAAGATGACTTAATTAGCCAGGTGTGGTGGTGCATGACTGTAGTCTCAGCTACTCGGGTGGCTGAGGTGGGAAGATGGCTTGAGGCAAGGAGTTCAAGACCAGCCTGGACAACATAGCAAGACCCCATCCATAAAAAAAATTCCCAGACTGACAAAGAAACTTAAAAAATAAAACATAGACTAGGATCTCATTAACAAATTAACATTATATATATATAACAGATGTGAAATAAACTACCAGAAAGATTCTCTTCTACATCATATGTCACCAGGGAAATGTGAGTTAAAACAATGAGATACCACTACCTACCAATTAGAGTGGTCAAAATCCAGAACATGCTGTGGAAAATGTGGAGCACCAAGAAATTTTATCCATTGCTCATGGGGATGCAAAATGGTACAGCCACTTACCAAACTAAGCATACTTTGACCATACTCTCCAGCAATCACACTCTTTGGTGTTTACCCTAATAAACTGAAAATTTATGTCCACATAAAAACTGGCACATAAACATTTATAGCAGGTTTATTCATACTTGCCAAAACATAGAACAACCAAGATGTCCTTCAGTAGGTGAATGGATAAACTTGGTACATCAGGACAGTGAAATATTATTCAGTGCTTAAAAAAGAAAGAAAGAAGCCATCAAGCCATGGAAACATCTAGAGGAAACTTAAATGCACATTACTAAGTAAAAGAAGCCAATCTGAAAGGATATATACTATGTGACTACAACTATTAGACATGCTGGAAAAGACAAAAGATGGAGACAGTAAAATAATTGATTGGTAGTTGCCAGGGTTAGGGGGAGAGAGGGATCAATAGGCAGAGCACAAAGGATATTTGTGGAGGTGAAACTACTCTGTGATATTACAGTGGTGGTACATGTCATTATACATGTGTCCAAACCTACAGAATGTACATCACCAAGAGTGAACCCCAGCGTAAAGTAGGAAATGTGGGTAATGATGATGTCTCAATATAGGTTTATCAACTGTAACAAAAGTATCACTCTGGTGAGGACTGTTGATAATGGGGGAGGCTGAGCATGTGGGGCAGCAGGGGCTACAAGGGAACTCTTGGTATTTTCTGTTCAATTTTCCTATAAAACTAAAACTTCTCTAAAAAATAAAGTCTATTCAAAATTATATATATAATATATTTTTCTCTTTATAAACAGACACTGTAAGAAACATCAAAACTATTTGTAATAGCGCATACGGTTAGGCAGGAGAGGTTTGACAAAGTAGAGAAGGGTAAAAGTGGAATTTTTAATTGATTTTAAATTGTTTGAATTCTTAAAATGATATTCATTTATAGTGTTGATACATTTCAAAAATAAGA
Source organism: Homo sapiens (assembly GCF_000001405.40). Taxonomy (NCBI): domain Eukaryota; kingdom Metazoa; phylum Chordata; class Mammalia; order Primates; family Hominidae; genus Homo; species Homo sapiens. The sequence goes on from NC_000007.14 coordinate 76,568,795, forward strand.
AAATTAGGGCAAAGGAAAAATAAAATAGAAAAAGTACAATGAAATCAAGAGTAACATTAATACACAAGACATGCATATAGAATTCTCTACATTTTCTAACTGTGAGTCATAAAATGGACTCTGATCTTTTCTGCCAACAATGACCAGTTAAATCATGGTGTTAACATGATAGAAAACAAACAAATTATTCAGGAGGTACACATTATTCCTGGCATGAGTACCTAAATAAAAAAATCTATTCTGTGTCTCTATTGAGTGATGTTTGAGCAGCAACTTTAATGCTATCTTTATAGCAACTCAATGCATTTCATTGAGGTTTTTCTTTGTAAATGTTCATGTAGACTGCCAAAGTGCAGCTTGATAATACCTGTCTTGTAGGTCTTGAAGTTTTCTAGGTAGGAACTGGCAATGGGCCACAAAACAATGTGATCATAAAACATGGCTCTGCTATGGTCTTGTTTATTCCAAAAGCCATATTTAGAGTGTCCTAAACTAAGCTACTATTTTTTATTCTGCAAAAGTAGATTCTTTCGTCAAATATTTCAGAAAATTTATATCAAGCCAAGTTAGATGTGTTTCTTTGCCTTTGGGACTTCTTAGAGCCTTTAATATGCAAATATGCATTGTAAATCTTTAAGAGTGAGACAGAAAATATTGTGTTTGTCAAGCAAAATTAAGTCTGGGAGCCTATTTTTGAATGAGTGTCTCCAGGGCTTTGATTCCATAGAGCACACGTCTGGTAAGCAGTATGGCCAGATGGCTCCTCCTTTTAGGTGAGTCTCTACAAATAGGGTTTTGTTATTGTGGCTCTTTTCTTTCAGTGAGGAATTGATAGGCCTTCTCGTGATCCCAGATTTTATTTGTAGGTCTATTATTGTATTTCCTATTTTTGCTGAATTTGATTTTTCTTTACCAATTTCTCTACCACTTTGGAAATGCATCAAGAACAGTTTTTGTTACCTCAGTACCTAATAATGCCAGTGCCTAGCTCAGTATTTATTAACTATTTTTGAAAGAAAAACTAAACATAGCATTTTCACAGGAAGATTATAAATCCATGGAGCATTACAGATAGTTCTAAGGTATTTTAAATATTCCAAGGCTATGCGGAAAGTTAAATGACATCTTTGTTGCTGAAATTATACCATCCCAACATGTTAATAATCATGCTGATCAGTAACTGTGGTTTGGTAGTTGTAGATGTCTTTATAGTAGTTGGAAAACAAATTAATAGACATAGTTTGTTTAATAATTTTTTTCAAATTTGTAGTTAGAAAAAATGAAAATACTTCTGATTGTGAAAAAAATGTTGAAAAATGTATTCAGCTCCTTTACAGAGAGGAAAACTAAGGCTAATGTGGTAAAAGAGACTTGCCTAATATCACACAAACCCTTTAGAGCACAGTAAGTATTAAAACTCATACTTAATCACTTCCATGCAGTAGGTTTTCTCTTTTCTAGACTCTCCCTTTTGCAAGTTTAATGGTAACATTTCTCTTTCTCCTTGTCTTATCTCCTTTCTTTTATTTACATAGCATGTGACATTCTCTTGCATGTTTCAGGTATTTTTGCCATCTCAGGACTGAGAGGCCCTGGCAAACTGGCAGTTGGGTAAGCTGCATTTCCCCTCCTTAATTGATGGGAAGCACTGCCTTTGACAGAGCTGATTCACAGTGATGGGGCTGACTGGCTGAAAACTGGTAGGAGGACTTTGCAACAGCTCTGGGCCAAACCGAGTCCACAGGCCATATGTCTGCCTCCTCCGTCATAAACAGACGACCAAGTGTGCACACTCCCAAGTGTAATGTCACTGGGACCTTATTTGCAAACATATAAACGAATGACATTCAATTATGTTCAGAGGCAATGTTGTCAAAACCACCAAGGAAGCAATTTACTGCTCTTGCACAGTATGTGACTCACAGTGCATTAGCAAGTTTTCATTGCTTAGTTTGTTCAATATGTTTCTGAAGCAGTTCTTTTGCAGCCTGTTGTGTAACCATGATACACACACTTATATAGCATACATAGATAGGATTAAATTAAGGGTTGTTACAGAATTATGTCAAGTGAAAAAAATGTATAATAAAATCGGCTAATTTCTTTGTAGACATTGGCCAATTAAAGGGAGAAAAGCACAGTTTCTACAACTAGTGGAGTAAAGTTATTAGTTGATACCAATGGATATTAGCAGAAAATTGATGAAAGGTTTTAAATTTTTGGCTCTATGGGATTCCATTTTTGCTAAATGATATAATATTCTCATGGTAGGAAAAAAGTTCTCTGATTTACATAAAATGCGGGTATAGCAAAAGCAATGGTATTTTAACTTAACAACAGCCCTCAAAACACCCTTATAATGTTCTTGGAACAAATGCTGTAAAAGCTGAAAGGGTTCATTCCTAGGTGTTCCTATTGGCACTATTACTAGTGCTAATAGAAAGCACCCAGAAAACTGAATCAGGGAGATAAACTATACCTTCACACAATACATAACAACAGTAATAATCATAGTACTTTGCATTGGCATTATGTTTTACAGTGTACATAAACATGAAGTATGCCCTTGAACTTGAGTATATTACATAAAACACAGATGGAGTGGGCAGCTTCAAAGGAAGTATCATCATTATTTATCATTTTTGTCTTTCTCATTTCCAAGGTTAGAAAACTGAGATTTAGCGAAGTTATATGACTTATCCAAGGCTATATCTCAATACTATTGGAATCAAAAGTAGATGTGGCTGAGTCTTCTGAATTCTAGGGCAAAGTGTTTTCTCAAGTAATACTGTCTCAACTGTCAAGAGTACAGTTCTACCTTATAACTGAAACTATCGTAGGTATCAGAAGAGGGACTATATCAGGAGGGCAGGCGGAGGAGCTCCATCATGATGGTCCTAAACCTTGAAAGATGGGTAATGCTTAACTAATACAAGAAAAAAATGAAAGAAATTCTGAGCAAGGCAACACCTTGGATAACGATTAGAAAATTAACATTTGTTGACTGATTTAATAAGTATTAAGCACTCATAAGCACCAGCTAGTGTTCTAGGTACTGCGATTTGGCATTGAGCAAGAGACACCATCTTAGTCTTACAGAATCTATGCTATAAGTGGAATATGGACCCTTAGAAATGAATAACAAAATTTAAAAATTATTTTACCTTCTGTTAAGAAAATAGAGTAAATGGGTTGAAAGTGGTAGAGGGAAGGAGTATTTCAGGCCAAGTCGTCAGAGAAGGCCGCTCTTAAAGATGACCTTGGAGGAGACACCTGAATGATAAGGAATGTTATCATGCAAATGTCCACGGAAGCATTTTCTGGTGGATGAGACCAGTGATGCAACCTGGGAACAAATTTCTTTCTAAGTGTGATAAGAAGACTTTAAGAGGTTCTATGTACTTTTTGAAAAGATCATTATTCCTGCTTTCTTTCATAAGTCCAAAAGAGGTCATGAATGGAAACAGGAAGAGCAGGATTTTTTGGTAGTTCATGATATGTAGGAGAGGTTTACTCAGAGGGAGAAAGGGTGAAGTGAGAGATCAAAGCAAAATCCTAAATTTTTGGCTTGAGTACTTGAACAGATGAGATAAAGAAGGGTATGAACATAAGTAGGTTGTGATGCTGGCCCTAGTTACTAAAAGGGTGTGTATGTTTATGAAGTAGAAAACAACAGCTGGCTCCATCAGGGCTGTGAGTTTAATGCAGTTGGACTCCTCAGACTGGGCCGTGATGAGGCACGGTATAGAACTGAGAAGAAGGGGATCTGCAACTCAGCCACACCTTCTAAACCAACACCCCAATCTCATTTTCATTGTCTGTAAAATGAGGGGTTAGGTCACGTTGACAAAATTTAGCTAATTTTAGGCTCTGAACTCCTTTTAAGAATCTAATCATTACTAACGATTCTCCAGAAAACGAAATTGAACATATGTTTAAAATTCCCAGGCAACACAGAGACTTAAGAACTTCTTGGCTTGAATATTATCAAGGATTACTCCAGTTCGAAGTGTTTGATTCTATACAATACCAAAATAAGTCCCAAATTATAGTGATCTAACAAAACCATATGTGACCATTGCAGTGTGGCAGAGAGTTTTGCTGCAAGTTTGCCCACGTATGTGAACTGATGAAGACCTTCATCTTGTAGCTGCAACATCAGGAATATTCAGCCTCTTTCTTCATTGCATAGTGAGAGAGAGAACCAAAAACCACATAGGGAGTTTTCACTGCCTCTGACTGGAAGTGGCATGCATTCCTTTGAATTTTATATTATTGGCCAGATCTTATCACCTGGCACTTGGCCCCTAACTGCAAATGGGATAGAAAATAGAAAAGAGTATATTTGGTAAACATTATATATTCTCTTTCACATAAGCTTTCTCCTTACACAGATATTTTCATAGCTCAACCAGAAACTTTTGGTTAAATAAGCATAGACTTGTCTAAATAATGGAATACTATGAAGCTGTCATAGGTTTGTAAAGATTGCTAAGGCATAAAAGTCTATTTAAAAAAAGTACAAAGTAGTGTGGATAGTCTGCTGCCACTCATGTAAGAAAGAAGGAAAATGAGAATTTATGTTTGTATTTGTTTGCATTTGGATAGAAAATCTCCAGAGGATAAGCTTAAAAGTGAGTAGTGATGGTGATGGGCCTCTTGGATGGGAAAGATGAGAGAGTGAGAGCAAAACTTTTCATAGTATATGGTCTCATATTATTTTGATTTTTATATGAACATTCTCAGTAATGGAGGGCATCAAAATATCAGTGGCTAATTCCAAAGCTCCTGCTATTACAGAATGACAGCATCCGATGGAGGAGGATGTTCATGTATCACCAAACAGCTCAAGCATGGCTTCATTGCAGTGTAACATGCATCATGTCATGTGTTATTGCTTACTTAACAAACCTCACTCTATCCCACGGATTAATCAAGATAAAGTAGCTAAATATTGCCTGTCTACAGATGAGGTTTCCATTTGTCAAAAGGAGATATAAAACTAAGTAAGGAATTGGTAGATTTTCTCTTCATCCACTCTCAGTGCTAATATAAGAACTTAAAGGGGATTTTTTGGCCGTAATTCAATATGACATTAATGTTAGAAAATTATTCACCTAAATGAACAAAAAGTTTTCCAAAGTAAAAAAATTATCTTGATAATGTAAATTTATATGCTATTCAAACTTGAAATGCATGAAACAATTTTTATGGTAGTATACTTTATTATGAATCGTTTATAATTTTTGAAGCAAAAACAATGTGAAATCATAGTAAATAGTATAAGATTTGGAACTAGACAGATATAAATTCAAATCCTACCTCTACTAATTGTGTTCCTATGGGCTTCTTGCTTAATCTTTTGGAGTTTCCATTTCTCCATCTGTAAAGTGAGGATAACAAAATACTTCATGTAGTTGTGAAAACTGAAATTAGATGTTTAAAACACTTAATACAACATCTGACATAATAAAGCATGTTCCATAGATGTTTGCTATTATTAATATTACACATTGGCCAATTAATCACAACATTTACGAATGAGGTAGATATTATTTCTTTTTCCCAAAGATATGGTGAGATTTTCTGGGCAGATAAGAGGTTCCTTTCATGATTTCTCATAATATATGAAGTTAGAAGGAGTTTCAAGATATGCGAAAACATGCTGAGACAGCATGGACTAGTCAAAAAAATCTATGACATCTGGAACTGCCATTTTGGAAACATGAGCTGTTGTTTAGAGTAAAGATAATATTTGGAAATATACCTATCATATTGTAAGCACTTGCTAAATGAAAGTTTTTACTAGCATTTTGTGGCAAAATGAGAAGATATATAACTGAGACCAGTAAGTTAAGCCATAATCCTAAAAAAAAATCTGTCATTTAGTAAATGGTTCACATTTGGAGAAGGTTAGTAGGGAGTTAAAATGTTTGAATAATTTGCCATTATAGTTACATTTTTACCATATTATTAGACTTCAGTGTTTTGTTTTCTGAAATCTTTCCTCAAAGTTGTAGGCTTTATATAATCTTAAACATGTTTCTTCTTTATTTTTAAGCCCAGTGTATCTCAAGGAGAACTTAATTTGTATGTTTCTGATTCTTTTATAGTTAACTAATTCAAAAGTTATTTTGTAAGAATTCTTTGATGTCCAGAAAGCCTTATCATTTTCTTATAATATATTCAAGGTTTTTTTCCTTTGGAAAATGGAAATCATGTCTTGCTTAAAGTAAATAAACTCAAACACCCAATTTTGGAGGACTGTATCAAATCATATTCTCTCTCTCTCAATTTCTGGTAGTATCTTGGCTTACAGAAATGACCATTCTTGTTCAGGAAAGAATTGGATAGTTTAGCCTTTTTCAAGTTAGTTCAATTCAGTAAACATTTTTTGTTACCTCTGATGTATGGAGAAATATGCACGTTTCCATGGGTGATAGCAATAAAAACGATACAGAAAAATAATATACAGTGCATATCCTCAAGGAGTTTATATTCTAGAGGTAGAGATAGATACATATTAAAGAAATTATAATATTTGACTGAATAAAATATCCAAAAGAGGTAAAAGCAAAATTTTATCTGAATAGTGCAAGAAGAATTATGAATTCAATTTGAGGAACTAAGGAAGGATTTTCATAAAATATATGGAATTCAAGACAGCCTTATTAGAATTTCAAGGATTATTAGAATTTCAGTGAGTGAAGTAGTTGGAGGAGGGTGTCGCTCTCTCAACAAAACCACTTGGGCATAACATAGTAACTTCATAACTCTATTGCTTGTGAAGCCACAAGTTACAGTACTTTGAATGCCAAGCTAAGAGTTCATGTTTTATTTTCTAAGTAATAGAGGAGCCATTTGAATGTCCTTGAGGAGAACACGTAATGCAAATGCAATTTGGGCTTTAGAAAGATTATGCTGATGGAACTGTGAAGGATGAATAAGAGAGGAGGAAATCAAAAGGTTTGGAAACCAAGGCTGTGACTACTTCAGTTCAGTCAAGGGTTAATGAAGAAATAAACTATGGTAGGAGAAAAGTTACAAAACAAAGAAAGGTAGCCAATTATGATTTCTGGATTTTTACTTAAGATGAATGTTAGTTAGAATATAGACTGAGCTGGCTATAACAAGGAGACCTAAAACTAGAGCAAGTCAAACAAGAGATAATTTTATTTTTTTCTTATATAATAGACCAGAGGTAGGGGCATGGCCAGGGTGGAGAAATTACTCTGCCTCATAAGATCATGCATGGTGCTGTTGAAAGAGGAAAATTGTCTCTCAACCACTCTCATTCTGGTCTTTAGAAAGGGGAATGAGGAAGTCAAAAGCAAGAAACTTCCTTTTAGAAAAGTGACCCTAGAATTGTATGCACTGCATGCATTCACATTCCATTCATTGTAAGACTCCAAGAGAATTTTTGATTCAGAGTCTAAAACTTGCTTGTTCAGAGCCCAGAGGTTTTTTCTCAACATTTTGTACTTACACTGTGAGTGGTATTTGAAATTAATTTGGGTAATATAGAGAAGTAGGTTATAGAAAGTGGGTTATAGATCCCATGAATGCGAGGATAAGTAGGAGCCAAATGAATGGGAGGAGGAGAGAAGACCCAAGTGAGGCTGTTTCTTTACCTTGGCTTGAAGCCAGTAGACTGGCCTTGACATGGAGGCTCTGGAACTGAACGTCTTGCCACAGATTTGCCAGTGATGGACTGTACCAGCAGAAGCAGGAGTCCACATGAATCCTACACAAGCACCAGACTCATTTATTACACTTATCGACCCTGGTTTTTAAAATTATGTAAGTATTAGTTTAATGCCTGTTACCTAAATATCTTAAGCTCTATGAGGCCAGGGACTTGGTCTTTTTTGTTCAACATTGAATTCACTTCATATATCAAAGTGCCTGATATATATTAGGAGCTAGATAAACACAGGTATTTTAAATTTATGTTTTAAAAACTTTCAAACCTAGGGAAAATCTGAAACAGTAGTACAATAATTATACATGTTTGCTAAAACTTTTGCTATATTTGTATTTGCATATTTTTCTTTTTCTCTTTTCATCCTGAATCTACTGAGAGTAAGTTGCAAATGTTATGACACTTCCTAAATAATTCAGAAAAGAAGGAAGGAAGAAACAAACAAAGACACACCTGTCTGTTATCCTTTTAATTTCTTTACTTTTCAATTTACCATGTCTTTGTGTTTAATTATCATTCCAAGGATAACTTAAGTAAAATTACTTGGGAAAGTTTTGTTTCATAGATACTTCTAACAAGATAAACTGAAGTCATTTACATGAATGTTATTTCTGAATATTCTACGAAAATAGATTTCATTTCATAATCACTTAAGAAGCTATCATAAATCAAAAGTCTTAAAATTAAATTTTATAAATGTTTAAATGATGCATTTTTCCCAAAGAGTAATTATTAGCTAAATAAAAAGAGAAAGTGCATGCCAAAACGTGAATAGAGTAAAATTGTAATAAAGCAGCTTTTATTCACTTGAGTTTTAGAAATATTCTTCATTGGCTATTTTTGTTTTACTTTGAGAAGTGTGATTTTAAAATTGAGATACTTGTAAATAGAGGTAAGAAAATCATTTTCAGAAGGTTCAGCATATCCTAGAGGATTTCTTTCTTCTAGGGATAAGTTATCGACATTTCGATGACATTCATAGACCGCCCTAGAAGTTAAACATCAATAAACTCAAGACAATTCTATAATTAGACTTTAAGAAGTTGGAAGCGGGATTTAAACCAAGCAAACAAGAGACTTGACAAAGCACAAAACTGATGTTAGGAAAACCTATAGTTGGTATTGCCAAAACACAAGAACACTGTCATTCATAAAGGACCTACTAACTTCCCAGAGACCCAGATCTAGTAAAAGGGCAGAGTAGATATAAAAGCTTATGTTTGACTACAAACAAATACCTTTTCTCTAGTTTAATATACAGCCTCCCAAACACCGAGGAGAATACTTAAATAAGAGAACGGGAAATCCTCTGTTGAGAAATCTCATATATTCTGTCCAGAAAATAAATGGAGACATTATATCGTGTATAAATATTCAATATCAGAATGTTGGCCAACAGATTTGTTCATAGAATAGTACAGTGTATATTTGTTTTATTCCCATACGAGGCTTAAAAGTTCCACACATTACTTACAGATAAATAAATTACATATATATTTTAGCTTTCTAGTTATTCTATTTTACATTCACAGTAACCTTGCAAAGGAAGTAGTGAAACTTTTAGCATTCCCATTTCAAGGCAAGGTAACTAAGGGACATCAAAATTAAATGATTTATCCAGTGTCATTCAGTTTGTCAGCACTGCTGAATTATAGGTAGCCATGTCCCCTGCACACTCTCTGTGTTAAGGATTTTACTGTCTAGGGATTCTGAATGTTCAAGATCTTCTTTGCTATTATTAAAGGAGAGATTAAGCTCAATTAAAAATTACCAAAAAAATCAGCTGTATTGTCATTAGAGGGTTAATCGAAATTTTAATGTTATAGATCATATTAACCTTTTCTAAATAAGAGCACCTTCATCTGAGTTTATCCTTGTCAGACTTGCCCCTTATAACATTAGGCAGACCATGACTCCTCTTCAATCCTAATAGGTGAAGAAGACATCAGGACAGCATGGAAGTGTGTCCACAATTACTCTGGGTTGTCACAAAGATCTTGACTGTTATCTAGGATGACCCTTTTTAGCATTTGAGCGGTCTCTTTAAAAATCAAACGAAATATATGGTCCTCGTTCTCATAAAATAAAACAAAAACAAAGCAAAACTGAAAAGACCAAGAAACAAAAAGGTAAAACAGATACACATGGGATTGTTCATTACCTGTAGGTTAAGAAACCCTGGTCTGGGAATATGAGATTGAATCAGTGTACCAGCTTTGGAACATAGTAAGAACTGAAAGACTAATAGATGACAGAATGTTACAGACGAATTCACAATGAGCCATGAAGGAATAGGAGACCAATGGCAAGGATATAGAAGAACCTGGGCCTGAAATATGCTAGTCCTTCAGTAGCATGACTTAGATAAGGATCTGTATCCCTGGACTCCCCAATTTTTGGGGAGACTATACCTGGACTATTTTATTTGCCTGAACATCTTAAATAAAAATTCAAGGGAAAAGCAGTAAAAGTACATAACACAATAGAGAAATAAATGAAGAAAAATTAAAAGTACTTTAGATTTTCCCAACATGAATAAAGAAAACTGTCTGTAGAGATATCTAAATTATAAAGAGAAGAAAGACATATTTTTTTATCATGGTTAATGGAGTTATAACTAGAAACAGAGAAAGCTATATATGTGTATTTATTTTTATAGGAATGAACATATGTACTCTCTCACAAACAAACACGTGTGTGTGCATATGTGTGTATGTAAGAGATATACCATTTATCTATCTTCCTAGCTCTCTATATAATTCCTTTGACAATATCATTACTAGTAGATTCAGGTACTATCTCTCAAGGGATGTAGTATAAAACATAGCTTTCTCTGTAGAATGAAAAAAATAGACTAGATATGTGTGAGCAGATTGGTGTATGCAATTTCCAAGTAAACTCCAAGGCAGTGAAATACGAAAGTTTAAAAAAACCAAGTTTCCAAAAATATCATAGAATTTCTGAAATATGTATATATCATAGAGTATATTTCTATGTAATCAATTAGTATAAACATGCCAAAAATATTAGCTATTAATTAAATTGGAGCTATAAAATAAGACTATTCATTGAGAGTTTTACATGGTATCTCTGTAAACATGATTAAAGTTCTAACCCATTGTGAGATGAGGAATAGGCTGCCTAGCAACTGTTTTAACTAGTTCCCCTGAGATTCTCAAGCAAAAAATGGGTGTATGGATGGGAGTATTTATTTTTGTTTCTATATTAAAGCTTCTAGATGATTCCTAACTAGTCACTCTCATTGTTTTTCTTCTTTTCATCATCTGAAAGTAATAATTTTTAAAAATAGTAAAGAAAAGAAAGAAGGAAGGAAGGAAGGAGGAAGGGAATGAAGGAAGGAAGGAAGAAAAGAAAGATATATAAGGATCAACATGAGTCATCTCAAGCAATCACTGAAGAATCCAAATATAATAATGCAAATCAAAGTCAGATGCTTCTGTTTATCAAATACAGGCATATACAGCTTTTTGTGTAATGCTCACAAATCAAATTCAAAGTAATGATACTGGCTTAATAAACTACAGGTTCATTGAAATGAATGGCAGGAAAGGTAGCATTTCTTGATTCAGGATGTAAGGGCAACTTTAAAACTCTATAGCTACTTCATGAAACCATACATTGCTAAGAAGATGTTCTCATAAAGAAAACATGGCAGATTAGGTCATTCTCCTCCTTCCTGACTTCCTGGTTAGGTAAAATCACACTCATAAAACACTCCCAGCACATATTCATAGGATGTCCTAGCATGTTCTACCAGGAGAGGGGAGAGAAAGTGTTTGGTGGTGATTCAAGCAACAGTAAGCTATGTAGAGGGTTTTGAGTGTTTCCTTAGAGAGAGAGAGAGAGAGAGAGAGAGAGAGAGAGAGAGAGAGAGAGAGAGAGAGAGAGAGAGAGAGAGGGAGACTTCGTTTTTACTACATAGCTATCATAAAGCCCTTATGAGTTTGAGAGAGAAGAATTAAGAACGGATCTCAGGTTAAATTCCAGAGTTAATGATGTGTTAATGAAGATGTAGGAAGCAAAAATGATTAGTTTAAAAGGTGAGAATCTCAAGCAAAACAAAAGAGGTGGTAGGTCTGGAGTATCACCGATAAGTTACATAAATAAGATGTTTATTAACATACATTACCTATTTATGCAATTATTTTTGTAGCTTTTGACTCCATTCTAAGACTATATTGCTAATAGGGTTTAGTAAACATAGTTTTGCAAACCTACATTATAAAGATGTTTCAACCTCATACATTGGCCTTTACCATCACGTTGAATACAGAAATACTGTTCTCTCTGGAATTTATTGTGAGTCCTGGGTTCATTTACATTTTATCAGTGACCCAACATGAAACATAACATTTACTTTTTGTTTAGTACTTTCCTGAAGCAGACAGGAGAAAGTCATTGAAATTGCTTCAAATTACCTGAGAAATTGCCATAATTTGCAACTTCACAATGCAAGCCTGGATTTCCCAAGTTAGCTCTGATCTCAATGATGAGTTTAAATGCCAGGATGATATTTTAACTATGCAGAGTCATAGGCATACATGAAACTCCATTAGTTTAGAATCTAATGAAGACTTATGTTGACATATCATTCTATGTATTTCAGCATATTATCTACTAAGACATTATAAGAACAAAACCCCCCAAAATTCCATTCTTTTTTGAGGTAGGGTGGCTTTTTCTCTTTTAATATTTTTTTACATTTGAGTTCTTCATGTTTCCTGAAGGTAAATGATGCATGAGAAAACTTGGAATATCTTGACTAGCATTTTAAAAGCATATTAAATATTATTTTCAAAACTGAACTATGAATAGTTCTGCACAACAATTTTCTTGTTGGAAATTCTGATATTTATCCATTTTTCCTTTGATGACCTAGCATACTAATGCTATACAGACTACTTCAATCTTCCCCAAAGTTGTGAAACTCACAATTTCATGAAAGATCAAGGATACAGATACTCTTTGAAGGGGTGATTTATATGTTTAGTGGAAGATGGTTATTTTTTACAAGGACTTTGGATTCTTGTGAATGTAGGTTTTACAACTAAGAATATGTTAGATGTTATTTTTTATAAATTTCATGATAGTCCTAAATTTCATTAATGTACAAATAAAATGATTCCATGGTTAATACAGTCCCAGAACTACCAGAGACCATGTTATTTAATTGCTATAAATCTTCCAAAAACAACAACAGCAAGAAAAAAGTTAAAATTCCTACCTAACGTGGTGTGTTATTTAAAAGGGTACCATATTCATTGCTTTATTCATCCTAGTTTTCTGCAAGAATTGAGAAAAATCTTTACATAGTTGAAGGTTTTATAATGAGGAAAAAAATCAGTAGCTTGCAAGGAAGCTAAAATAGGTTCAATGTTGCTAAACTGATACAAGTTGTACTCTAAAAATGCAACAATCATTGAGAATATCTAGGACAACCTTCTTTCCCCTTTTTTTTATTTTAGGGTAGATCCTCTGTTATGGTCTCACTGCTAGGAACTTCTTCACATTATTTCATAGAAATCTTGTGTAGAGCATAGAAAGAGTTGTGACAGGGTTGTTTTGAAATATGTGCTTACTGGAGCCAAACTGCTAAATTTACCAGCCATCTGACATGAGAAAAATCATTTGATTTTTGTGTGCCTTAGTTTCCTCATCTTTCAATGCAGATAATAATACCCATTGCAAAGATTGCAGTGAGTATTAATATACATAAAGAACTACGGTGTCTGTCCACAAAATATCACATGGATTGTGACATGGCATTATAACAAGCATAATGTTGTGTTGGCAAAATACTGTATCAGTTTTATAATTTAGTGCTTTGAGGTCCACCAAATGTAGTTTTTAATTTATTGAACAAGCATATTTGAGCTCTGAAATAGTTAAGATCAACTCCCTAAAATTATTGGTGCTACTTAGGAGGCCAGAGGTATAAATTGTTACTGTTGTCAATGTTCCACACAAATCACTTAGGATATGTGAATGTCTGCTGGACAGAATTCGACTTCTTTTGTGGGGAACTATCTTTTGTAGGGAAATGGGCTCATCTTTGAAGACACTGTACAACCAAAATCAAATCATAGCAAGAGACCCACTTTATTAATTTGTCCAATTTGATTACTAAGAATTTAACCAGTATTAGCTTCTTTAAACATGCAATATGAAATAATATTTTAATTGCCTGGTATAAGCAATACACCAATTAGGAGATTTGCTGAATGTCCTAGCATTTGTGCATCTTTATAAACACTTCATGGATAGTTCCAATAAGAATCCATTCCATGCTGACTGCTGTGCTAGGGCTACTCACCCAGAGACGTGATAGGGGCTACTCCCCTAAGACCAATTCCTCCTGGCAGGCCACTCACAATCTCACAGCAGGAGGCAGCTAAACACAAAATCAATATTAATATAAAATCAACTGCTATATTTTTAAAGAGTAGTGTTTGGATTACATAAGCAATCATAAAACTCCCGTTGGCTTTAGCAAGAGGTTTAGTCCTGTAAACTCCAAAGGTTTTCTGTGTGTGCTGAGCAGACAAGCATCCTAACAGAATAAGCCAGAACTTTCCTAGCCATCCTAGCATGTTTGTGCCTTGTAAGATATTCCCAGTTACATCCTTTAATTTGCCAAAGGGCAGAAAAAGAATTTGGTAAGTTAACTTTCCCACATGCACAAATTTAACTGCTGTTTTGGTATTCCACACAGGGGCCAGATTGGATGGAAGGGCAAGAGGGCTGCTGAGGGAGATCACTGCAAGTGAAGGCAAAATCTAGTCTGATGGCTCAGACTAAAAAACTTGGCCTGCCAATAAGAGGGAGCAGTGCTTCCAGTGAAAATGTGAGGCAGTGCCTGGCTTTCCCTGCTATACTCCACCCTCCTCCACTCCCTGGACTGCCTGCCAAGAAAGAGAAGGGTGAGCAATAGAGAAGGAAGTGAATCACTAGCACTTCACAAGTGCTGCTGCAGAGGCCTGCCATAGAGAGCTGGCTGAGACCTAGGTGCTCTCCTGCTGATCTGAGAGGGCAGAAAAATAAATAAATAGAAATGTCAAAAAGAGGACAGCAGCAGTGTAGGGAAGGGAGGCAGAGAGGAACAACCCCGGGCAGGAGGAGTGTGGGTCAAATGTGAGAACCAATACCCTCCTTCCCTAGCTAAAGTTGTTCCCCCATCAGCCTCAGTTTCCACCATCTCTGAGGCATTCACAGGAGGAATAACTGGTGTGTTAAAATCCACCAACCACTTATATACAGGAAAGAAAAAAAAAAAGATAGGGTCTTTAATCTTGTTGCAGTAAAGGAAACACAATGGAAGATAAGCGTAGAGCCTCTCGGTGAGAGGAGTGGCAGGTTTTAACAGAGTTTCTGCTTGTGCTGAATTATTGAAGAAGGGCTTAGGGATGTGGAAGCCGATCTGGATACACTGTCAAGAAGAGGGGGCAGTTTAGTTACCGGACATTTCAGTAATCTTTGTTCAGGAGGCCAGATCAGCTAGGCAAGAAAGCAGCAGTAACTCAGAAGTAGCTTCAGTGTGATCTTGGCCACATCCTGTTAGAAATACACTTTGTTTCTGTTGGCCTTGTCAGTGTCCTGTTGGAAACATGGTTAATGTCTTGGCATCAACATCAGAATTCTATTACTAACAGTGCTGCTTTCCGTGGTCTCAAGTAGGAGATCCTTAGGACAAAACTCCAAGGAGAAAAGGAGCAGCAGGCATCAGAATTTTGATATTTTGTTTATTTTATAAATATGGCACATGAGTTTGGCTGGTGAGGCCAATAAAATACAGATTTTGTGTGTGTGTGTCACTAGTGTGAAAAAAGTTGTAGTGGAGAGCTTGGTATGTCAGGCAATGGTGCTAGGAGAGGCTGTCTTTTGGGAAATATTTCATAAAATGGGAAACACTTGGAAGAATTGGTAGTTTGATAAACTCCATAAAAGTGAGTTGAGTGTTGGCCATAGGTGAGAACAGCATGGAAGGAGTGGAGGGAGTGGAGAGAAAAGAATGTGTCCCAGGAGAAATAAAGGGCTGCAATATTTCAATGTACAGAGACCTGAGTATGTTTGGGTTTAGGAGACACTGAGTTACACAGAGGAATAAAATATATGGTCGAAGGTAAAAAGCGGCTTGGGTGAGGCTGGAGACAGAATCTTAAATGGAGTTAATACATTATTCTATATGTTCTTCTGAAGGATCAAAAAATATTATTCTCTAACTTTCCCCAAAATAGTAAGCATCATAAAAGTACTTTTCTAAGACAGTTGATCCGTATGCAATTAGCAAAGTAAAACAGACTGGAAGAAATAAAAATATTACAAAATTGGTAAACTGTTATTCTGTGTTTACATAAGACAAGCTTCCTAAAACACTGCAAAGTGTATCATTTTATTATCTACACAGAGCAGAGAAAGCAAAGGCAAAATGTTAATTATGTTTTATGCTTGCTGCTGGATTCTATTACGTATTTATGATTTTTAAAATTGTAAATACAATGCAAGTACATATTGCTATTATCTTCAGTTTACAAATGAAGAAATTGAGGGCCATTTGGTATAAGTGGTTTGCATGGGATCACAACAATGAAGTGCCACGGCAGTGATTGCAACCCAGGTTTCTCTATTTCTGATGCTATACTATATGTGTTCCAGTAATCCATTTCATCCTATCTTTTGTGTCCACTTAGTTACTATCTACTACAAATTCTACTTTTAAATACTATTTATTTCCTCAAAACAGAAAAAAACATGAAAATTTGTTTATCCTATCTCTTCTTCCAACCACTACGTCATTCTTCTATTAACTTTTCTTTTAAAGAAAAGTCTCCAAAGAGTTGCTCTTTCCACTTCTTCACCTTCCAGTCTCGTTTTTTTTTTTCAATCAGCTTTATTGCAGCATAATTGACATATAATATATACACATCATTGTTAAGTTTTGATCTGTGCATGCACCCACTTAACCGTTACTACAGTTATGAACCAAACTCACCCATGAAAATTTCCTCATGGTTCCTTGTTATTCCTACTTCCTTTCATTATTATGGATTGTAGTTTTCTGTATTTTGGCATTTATGGTAATTTTGTGGAGAATGCAAAATTTGTGTGAATATTACTTTGTTGGTGCTGGTTTTTTTTTTATTTCTATAAATATTCTTGAGCTTCCTCTTGAGATATAGTTAAGTTATATGAGTCTTATTATAAACTTTGTTGCATGAGAAGATAGTAGCATTTCATTTAGGACTAAGTTCACCCCTCTGTTTAAACATAAACCTTCTGAGCAATCTACCTGATGTCCTGTGAATCATGATGTTTTCCATTCTGGCTGTTGAGAACAACACTATTCCTATCCCTTTGTGAGCACTGAAGACTTTTCCCTCATACCCTTTCAGGTGGTTCTTTTCCCAAACTCAAGTAGTTTTCTCACATGCACTGAGCAGTACTCAGCTGTATGTACAAGGGGGACTCTGGAGATTTCTGGGGTTATTTCTTTGTATAGCTCTCTCTACTTCAGTACTGTGCTGTATACATGCCAGCCACCTTGATCTCCCTGCAATTCCAGCTCCTCAACTCAAAGTTCTGTGTTCCACTTGTGTTCCCATTCTGTGGTATAAGAATAAATGCATATTTACTGTTTGTTCCATTTCTGGTACAAAGCAGAGCCTAAAAGCCTTGTAATTTCCTGAGTGATAGGAGTGTCTTTTGTTAATAATAACAAACTTCTTTCAACCACATTTGAATTTATGCTAATGAGGTGACCCTCTTATGGCCGTGAGATAGCTTCAGGGTGGGGGTTGGTTGTCAGAAGAACCAGCCTTCTCATTAGAAGGTTGGAACTTTCAGTCCCTTAACCTCCAGGGAGAGAAGAGGGGTTGGAGATTGATTTCACTCACAAGTGACCACTGATTTAACAAATCATGCCTATGTGATGGAGTCTCCATAAAAAACCCTAACCCATGGGGTTTGAGAGCTTCCAGGTTGGTGAACACATTGAAATGCTGGAAGGGTGGTGCAACTGGAGAGGTCACGGAAGCTCTGCACCCTTTCATCCATACTTTGACCTTTGCGTCTCTTCCATTTGGCTGTTCCTGAGCTTTATAATAAACTGGCAATAGTAACATTAAAATAATTAATCGGGAGACCAATAGGCTGAGACAACTAGCACCTTGGGTTCTTACAGAAGCAAACAAAAACCCAACTCAGTGTCAACAGTAACATGAAACTTAAGCTTAGCTAATCAGCTACTGCCAGTCAACCTCTAAGGACTTCCACTTTAACTAGTCAAATATTTTCTTTGTCATGTTTCCATGCATCCCCTATAAAAGTGTTTGCCTCATGCCCCCTTAATGGAGCACTAACTGCTTGTTTTCTGGTGCTGGCCAATCCATATATTGCTGCATGCTCAAATAAATTCATTAAGATTTTAATTTGCCTAATTTTATCTTTTAATAGTCTGTAAAGCTGTTTCCAGTGTCTGTAAATTGCTACAGCAAATTCTTAACCATGGGGGGATGTCCTGGGAACCCCTTACTTTGTAGTTGGCCAAGCATAAAGGTAGGTAGTCTAGGCACCCCATTAGCAACTGGAGTCTGAAGTGTGGTCAGTCTTGTGGGACTGAAGCTTTCAAACCTATAGAGTCTCATGCAAACTCTCGGTAGTTAGTGTCATAATGGAATTTAATTGTAGGACCTCTGGTTGGTGTAAAAAATCAGAGAATTGGAAAATTGGTTGTTGGTGTTAGAAAACACCCAGGTCTTCCTTGTGCTATGACCTGGAAGCTTTCTCCAGGCAGTAAATAGAGCAATCAAAAGGCTCATGCTTTTTGTCAATGGATCATTGTCTTTCATTTTTTAATGGTCAATGTATTGAGAACTTTTATTTTAAATATTTTGTCCACTTTTTTAGTTGCTTCATGTGGGAGAGTAAGTCCAGTCTCTGTTACTCCCTCTTGGCAGGAAGTGAAAATCCCTTTATCTCTCGAATCTGCAACCCCACAACTTTCCATCCGCAGTCATCATAGATGCTCCTACTGTTTTGTTCACGTGTGATCTTCAAAGGTCAATTCTCAATCCTCGTCTTATTTTATCTACTACTGTCAATTCCCACATAGTTACTTATTTCTCTCCTCCCTTGCTGACTTAGGTTTTCTAGGGTGGCCTTCTTAAAGTGCCACAAATGGGGAGTTTACAATAAACAGAAATTTATTTTCTCCCTGTTCTGGAGAATTGAAGTCCAAAATCAACATGTTGACAGGACTATGCTCCCCTCTGAAACTCATAAAGGAAGAATTCTTTCTTGTCTCTTCCTGGCTTCTGGTGGTTTGCCAGCAATCTTTGTCATTCCTCTACTTGTAGCAGCAGCACTTCAATCTCTGCCTCCAATATCATGTCATTCTCACCTCATGCATCCATGTCTTCACATGACATTCTCTTCTGTGTGTTTCTATCCCTTCTTCTTATAAGGTCACCAGTCATATTGGATCCCTATTCTAATGATCTCCTTTGAATTTGATTACATTTAAAAGATCTTATTTCTAAAGAAGATCACATGCACAGGTACTGAAGCTTCAGATTTCAACATATATTTTGGGAGGACAACATTCAGCCTGTAACACTGATTATTCTATTATACCTTCTTCTGAACTTCTGAAAGTTGAAGCATCCTAGCTGAGTCTTCAGACTTCTTCTTTTGCATACTCCCTCAGTAATAATCTTATCGGGTCCTAAGTCTTTAAACATCACCTCAACATTAAAGTTTCCAAACATTATATTATTGATGCCAATTTGTTTCCTGAATTCCAAATTCATATGTTCAACTGCAAAATCTATATTTCTAACTAAAGAAATCCAAAACAAAGCCTTTTTTCTGATTCCTGCCGACCCTCCCATCAAACATGTCCTTCTATTCTTTCTCATCTTAGGAAATGAAAATACTATTTCTCACTGTTGCTCACATTAAAAATTTGAATAACTTTAAACTTTGTTAAAACCCAGTAAATCTGAAATTTAGCATCCTAAATTTACCATCTAGCATCGTCTGATATCCTTGCCCAGTCATCATTGTTTTTTGTTTCTAATTTAACTTTAGCCCTTGCAATAGTTCTCTAATTGGTCTTCCTGTTTACATTATTACACATTGTATTCCATCATCTGCAAACTAACCACAGTAGTCATTTTCATGTTCAAAACTTTTATTGGCTTCTCATTACACATAGAACAAAGTTCATATTTTTAAACTCTAAACAATATTGTTCTATGTAATCTAGCATTGCATCCTCCTCCTCAATCTCACTTCCTTCCCTTCTTCCTGTTGCTCACTCCACTAGCTTTCTAGCTTCTGTTTGAATAAGTCAAGCACTTTCCTACCTCAAGGGCTTTGCAATAGTTCCTTTCTGCCGGGCACAGTTTTCTCAACCTTCTCATGAATTTCTTTCCACAAATATTCTTTTTTTTTTTTTTTTTTTGATGGAGTCTTGCTCTGTCACCACCCAGGCTGGAGTGTAGTGGTGTGATCTCAGCTCACTGCAACCTCCACCTCCTGGATTCAAGCGATTCTCCTGCCTCAGCCTCCCAAGTAGCTGAGACTACAGGCATGTGCCACCAAACCAAGCTAATTTTTGTAACTTTAGTAAAGACAGGGTTTTACCATGTTGGCCAGGATGGTCTTGATCTCTTGACCCTGTGATCTGCCCGTCTAGGCCTCCCAAAGTGCTGGGATTACAGGGGTGAACCACTGCGCCTGGCTCTCTTCCCATAAATATTCTATAGTTCAATCTCTCTTTTATTCAAATCTGTGTCCCCAAAATCACTTCCAGAGATGACTTAAACCACTGTGTGTCCTGACCACTGTGACTTAAACATCACACCCAGGATTTCTCCAGTTCTCTCTGCTTTATTTCTCCTTATAATTCTAATCCTTTATTGACATTATTTTAGAGATTTTAGAGATATATGTATTTGTTTGCATGATTTCCCCTTTCCTCCATCAGACTGCAGCCCTATGAGGATCAGGATTTTTGTCTGTTTTTAGTATATTTAAAAAATTCCTGCTTAATACATAGGAGTTATTCAAAATATTTCTGAAAATGGAGTAATTTTTATTTATTGATACATACCTAGTATTTATCAGAATGCCTGGCATAATATAGGTTTCAGTAGGTATTTGCTCAATGAATGAAGAGTTTCTTAATGTAAACTGAATAAACAGAAACAAATTATTAGGAAATGTAATTTAGATTTAAAAGGCCTCTGTTGTTTACAAATGAATTCTAATCAGGTAGGTACTAGCAGCTCCTCAGGGAGGTAAAAGCTATCATTTAGAATGTGGCTGCCCTTTCTGGGTAGCTTTTTGTTTTTTCTGATCATAATGGCATGCAAAAAGATAATACAAGAAAGTACCAATGCTAAGGCTTACATTGGTAAAGAGAGAGAGAATATTACTCTTCAGCAATTGTTCATTGTTATCAGTACTGGATTTGATTACGGATATAGGATTTATAGCTCTAAATTTGGAGCTCTAAAGAAACCTTTAGTTTTGAAATAACTGTAAGAATTTGTAACTCTTGAGTTTCCAATATTAAATCATTTTCCCAACTTTTAAAAGTTAGATTCTCCTTTTATCCATAAAATGGTCCTGAATACTTGAAGTTTATTATAATCACATATCTCATGTTAAAACAAAAAAAAAGCTACAATCCCTGAACTAACAATTTTCTTTTTGGGGATTCTGGGCAAGAGGGCTGACTAGAAGCAGCTAATATGCACCAATTTCAAGGAGAGAAGACAGTGTGATCAGTAAACACTAGCTCTTCAACTAGATCATCCAAGAGTAAACTTCGGAATTCATGAAGAAAACAACACAACCCACAGAGAATGGAGAAGCGTGAGATATGACAATTGCCCACCCGGAGTGGTACAGAGCCAGGGGAGGCCCCCACTTCGGGAAAATGGTCAGTGAGTGAGGGTCCCTGGGGACCACACTTCTGCCATGGACCCCTTTGCAATCCTGGGCACAGGAAATACCCTAGGACCCCTCCACCCATGGGAGAGACCACCTTGACTGTGGACTAATGAAGACCCCCAGCATAGCAGAGCTGCCTTACAGAAAAGTGGCCACACTGTTTTCCATGAGGGTCCCCACCCCTGCTACTCCTCACAGGGCAAGGCCTCCTGACCTAGGATCTCAGAAACACCCAACCTGGGCTTTCGG
The DNA here is from genome assembly GCF_000001405.40 of Homo sapiens. NCBI lineage: Eukaryota > Metazoa > Chordata > Mammalia > Primates > Hominidae > Homo > Homo sapiens. The sequence continues at coordinate 76,590,723 of NC_000007.14, forward strand.
CCTGTTGCAGCTCTGCGTTTTCTTGGAACAGAGCTCCCAGGGGTAACAGGCAGGCCTGCAAATTTTGCAGCTCCACAGTCCTCATTCCTGCTGCTCTCAGGATTGGGAGGGTAGTGCAGGGATTAGGGACTATCATGGGCCCCCAGCACAGCACAGCTGCCTTACCAACAAACAGTCAGATGGTTTTCTGCATGGGTCCCTGGCCCTGCTACTCCTCACTGGGCAGGGGGCTTTTTGAGGTGTGCCTGCAGCATAACTACACTGCCCGCACCTGAATACTTCAGTCAGTGGCAGCTCTGCGTTTCTCTGAAGAAAAAAATCACAGAGACATCCACAGCCCCTCTGTCATTGCAGCTGCAGTAGTACTGCCCTTACTGCCTTCAGGCTGGGGAAGGAACAAAGGGCCTGGTTGATATGCCGGCACCTCCAGCATGCCACAGCCACCCTATGAAAAGGAGCTCAGTCTTTCTTCCCTGTGAGTCCTCACCCCCAACTCTTCACCAGGCAGGGCCCCTGGCTCGGGACCACAGAACAGCTGCCCCACCCCAGGCTAAGCATTCTTACTGGTAGTTGCTCTGGGTTTCCCAGGGATGGAGCTCTCAGAAGAAACCAACAGCTTCTCCGCTATGGCTCCTGCAGTGGTTCTGCCCTTGCTGCCCCAGGACTGGGAAAGGAGCAAAGAGTTTGAGGGCTTTACTCACATTTCCAGCATGCCACAGTCACCATACAGATAGGAGTATAGTCACCCCTTCCTGTGAGCCTTGACCCCCAGCTTTTCACCAAGCAGGGTCCCTGGATGAATATTCAGCCACACCCAGCTGAACATTCCCGTTAGCAGGATCCTTGTATTTCTTTGAGGTGAAGCTCCAAGAGGCAACTGAAAACTCCTCTGCCACTGTAACTGCAGTGGTACTTCCTTTGCTGCCTTCAGACTGGGAAAGGAACAAAGACCATGAGTGCTTTAACCACACCTCCAATAAACCATGGCTGCCCTAAAGAGAAGAGGCCAGTCTGTCTCCCCAGGTCCCCTGGTCCCCGCTGCTTGTCATTGGGCAGGGACTCCTGGCTTGAATCCACAACACAGCTGCCCCACCCAGGGCTGATTGTACCAACTGGTAGTGGCTCTGCATATCTCTGCAGTGGAGCCCCAAGAAACAAGTGAAAGTCCTGCTGCCACAACCATTGCCAAGGTCCCATCTCTTGCTTCCTCCAAGCTGGGGAGGGAACATAAAGCCTGAGCTTACCCCAGGGCTGCAGTGTGGATCCTGGGCATGCCAAGCTAAGATCTACAGCCAGCATTCTGGAGGAGCTGACACTTTCAGATCACTAAGAGGGAGCACAGATACAATTGGGAGGAAGTACAGAGGTTCCACATGGCTGAGCAAGAGCCTACCTACTGGCCATTATGCTTCAGCACCATCTACTGAGTCATAGCCCAAACTTCATCACCAAAAACATTTTGCTAATATACCCACCTGTGAAACCAAGGACAAAAATTAGAATTCAGCTACAAATAAAGACCCTGCACAAAGGTCTTGGCCTTCTGAAAACATCCAGAAAAGAAGTCAACTGACGATATTCAAATTATACCACAGTTAAAGGAATATCAGCCTACACAAATGAGAAAGGACCTGACCCGTAGAAGAACTCTGGCAATTCAAAAAGCCAGAGTTTCTCCTTTCCTCCAATTGATTGTGCTGGTTCCATAGCAAAGGTTCTTAACCAGACTGAAAGTACTGAAATGACAGACATAGAATTCAGATATGGATAGAAATGAAAAGCATCAAGATTCAGGAGAAAGTCAAAATTTTATTCTAATCCAAGGAATCTAAGGATTGCAGCAAAACAATACAGGAGCTGAAAGATGAAATGGCCATTATAAGGAAGAACCAAATGGATCTGATAGAACTGAAAAAACACACTACAAAAACTTCATAATAAAATCACAATTATTGTATTAGTTTGTTCTTACACTGCTACAGAGAACTGCCTATGACTGGGTATATTATAATGCAAAGAGGTTTAATTGCCTCAGAGTTCCACAGGGCTGGCAAGGTCTCAGGAAAGTTATAATTATGGTTGAAGGAGAAGTAAACATGTCCTTCTTCACACGGTAGCAGGAAGTAGAATGAGAACTGAGTGAAGGGGGAAGCTCCTTATAAAACCATCAGATGTTATGAGAACTTACCACTGTCACGGGAACAGCATGGGGAAAACTTCCCCCATGATTCAGTTGCCTCCCACCAGGTCCCTCCCACCAGACATGGGATTATGGGAACTATAATTCAAGATGAGGTTTGGGTGGGAACCCAGCCAATCCATATCATTCCACCACACCCAAATCTCATGTCCTCACATTTCATGCCTTTCCAACAGTCTCCAAAAGTCTTAGCTCATTCCAGCATTAACCTGAAAGTTGAAGTCCAAAGTCTCATCTGAGACAAGGGCAAGTCTTTTCCACCTAAAAGCCTGCAAAATCAAAAGCAAGTTAGTTACTTCCTAGATACAGTGGAGGTTCAGCCATTGGGTAAATACACCTGTTCCAAATGGGAAAAAGTGGCCAAAACAAAGGGGCTACAGGTCTCATGCAAGTCTGAAATCCAACAAGGCAGTTATTAAATCTTAAAGACCCAAAATAATCTCCTTTGATTTCATGCCTCACATTCAGGTCATGCTGATGCAAGAGGTGGGCTCCCATAGTCTTGGGGTCCAAATCTCAATTCTTGACTTCTGTGTACCAGAAGGCTCAACAACAAGTAGAAGCTGCCAAAGCTTGGGGCTTGCACCCTCTAAAGCCATGGCCCAAGCTATACCTTGGCCCCTTTTAGCCATGGCTGCAGCAGCTGGAATGCAGGGCACCAAGTTGCTAGGCTGCACACAGCGGGGGGACCCTGGGCCCGTAAAGCCATTTTTTTCCTCCTAGACTTCTGGATCTGTCATGGGAGGGGCTGCCACAAAGGTCTCTGACATGCCCTGGAGATATTTTCCACATTATCTTGGTGATTAATATTTCTCTCCTCATTACTTGTGTAAATTTCTGCAACCAGCTTGAATTTCTCCCCAGAAAATGGTTTTTCTTTCCTATTTAGTTATTGGGCTGCAAATTTTCCAAACTTTTATGCCCTGCTCCCTCTTGAACATTTTGCCACTTAGAAATTTCTTCTGCTAGATACCTTAAGTCATCTCTCTCAAGTTCAAAGTTCCAAAGATCTCTGGGGAAGGGGCAAAATGCCACCAGTCTCTTTATTAAATCATGACAAGAGTCACCTTTGCTCCAGTTCCCAACAAGTTCCTCATCTCTATCTGAGACCACCTCAGCCTGAACTTTATTGTCCCTATCACTATCAGCATTTTGGTCAAAGCCATTCAGCAAGTCTCTAGGAAACTCCACACTTTCCCACATTTTCCTGTTTTCTTCCAAGCCCTCCACAGTGTTCCAACCTCTGCCGGTTACCCATTTCCAAAGTCACTTCCACATTTTCGGGTATCCTTATAGCAGCACCCCACTCTACCAGTACCAATTTACTGTATTAGTCCATTCTCATGCTGCTATAAAGAACTGCTCAAGACTGGGTAAATTATAAAGGAAGGAGGTTTAATTGACCACAGTTCCTCAGGGTTCGCAAGGCCTCAGGAAACCTACAATTATGGTGGAAGGGGAAGCAAATGCCCTACTTCACATGGTGGCAGGAAGGAGAAGAATGAGAACCAAATGAGGGAGAAGCCCCTTATAAAACCATCAGATCTTGTGAGAACTTACTATCATGAGAATAGCATGGGGGAAACTGCCCTGTGATTCAATTACTTCCCACTAGGTCACTCCCACCATACATGGAGATTATAGGAACTACAATTTAGGATGAGATTTGGGTGGGAACACAGCCAAACCATATCAAGTATTAACAGCAGAATTAACCAAGCTGAGGAAAGACTCTCAGAGCTCAAAGACTGGTTCTCCAAAATACAGTTAGACAAAAATAAAGAAAAAATTAAAAAATGAACAAAACATTCAAGAGATATGAGGTTATATAAAGAGAACACATTTTCAACTCATTGGCATCCCTGAAAGAGAGGGGAGAAAGCAGGCAACTTGGAAATCATATTTCAGAATATCATTCACCAAAACTTTTTCAGCTTCACAAGAGAAGCCGACATTCAAATTCAAGAGATGCAAATAACCCCTGCAAGATACTATATCAGATGACCATCCCAAAGACTCATAATTTTCAGATTCTTCAAGGTTGACATGAAAGAAAATATATTAAAGGCAGCTAGAAAGAAAGGACAGGTCACCTACAAAGGGAAACTCATCAGATTAACAGTGACTGTTTCAGCAGAAACACTCCAATCTGAAATAGATTGGGGGCCTATATTCTGCATTTTTAAAGAAAAGAAACTCCAACCAATAATTTCCTACCCAGCCAAACTAAGCTTTATAAGCAAAGGAGAAATAAGACCCTTTTCAGACAAGGAAATATTAAGGGAACCTGTTACAACCAGACCTGCCTTACAAAACGTACTTGAGGGAGTTCTAAACATGGAAAGCAAAGACCATTACCAGCCACCACAAAAACAAACTTAAGTACATAGGTTATGGACACTATAAAACAACCACATAATAAAGTCTGCATAATAACCAGCTAACAACACAAAGATAGGATCCAATTCCCTTCCCCCACCCCCCCGTGAATATTAACCTTGAAAGTAATGGGCTATGTGCCCCAGTCAAAAGGCACAGATTGGCAAGTTAGATAAAGAAGCTAGACTGCAAGACTCAAATGTATGCTGTCTTCAAGAAACCCATCCCACAAATAGTGACACCCATAGACTCAAAGTAAAGGGATGAAGAAAAATCTACCAAGCAAACACAAAACAGAAAAAAGCAGGGACTCCTATTCTTATTTCCAACAAAACAGACTTTAAACCAGTGATCATCAAAACAGACACAGAAGGGCATTGCATAATAATAAAGAGTTCAATTCAATGAGAAGACCTAACTATTGTAAATATATACCCACCCAATGTAGGAGTACCCAGATGCATAAAGCAAGTTCTGAAACACCTACAAAAAGATGTAGATAACCACACAATAATAGTGGGATACTACAACATGACACTGACAGTATTAGGCAGATCATTGAGACATACAACTAACAAAAACATTCAGGACTTGAACTCAACACTTGACTAAATGGGCCTAATAGATATCTACAGAACTCTGCATCCAAAAATAACAGAATATAAATTATTCTCATCTGCACATAGCACATACTCTAAAGTCAACCACATGATTGGCCACAAAACAACCCTCAGCAAATCAAAAAAAACTGAAATCATACCAAACATACTCTTAGACTACAGTGCAATAAACAATCAACACTAAGAAAATTGCTTACAACTATGCAATTACTTGGAATTAAACAACCTGCTCCTGAATGACTTTTGGGTGAACCATGAAATTAAGGCAAACATCAAGTAATTCTTTGAAACTAAACTCTAGTATCCCAGAGATACCAGAATCTCTGGGACACAGCTAAAGCAGTGGTAAGAGGGAATTTTATAGTGATGCCCACATCAAAAAGTTAAAAGGATCTCTAATTCATAACCTAAGGTCACACCTGGAAAAATTAGAAAAACAAGAGCAAACCAACGCCAAAGCTAGCAGAAGACAAGAAATAACCAAAATCAGAGCTGAACTGAAGGAAATTGAGAGATGAAGAGCAAAAAAGATAAATCCAAATTTTAATTTTTTTAAAGAATAAAAAGATTGATAAACTCTTAGCTAGACTAATAAAGAAAAAAATAGGGAGGACCCAAATAGACGCAATTAGAAAAGACAACGAAGACATTACCACTGACCCCACAAAAATACAAAATACCCTCAGAGACAACTACAAATACCTATGCACACAAAGTAGAAAACTTAGAAGAAATGGATAAATTCCTAGAAACATAAGCTCCCAAGGTTGAACAAGGAAGAAACTGAATCCCTAAACAGATCAATAATGAGTTCCAAAATTGAATCAGTTATGAAAAGCCTATCAATTAGAAAAATACAAGGACCAGATGGATCCACAGCCTAATTCTACCAAATGTATAAAGTAGAGCTAGTACCACTTCTACTAAAACTACTCCAAAAAGTTGAGGAGGAGGGACTCTCCCTAACGCATTGTATGAGGCCAGCATCATCCTAATACTAAAATCTGGCTGAGATGCAACAAAAAAAGAAAATGTTGGGCCAATATCCCTGATGAACATAGATGCTAAAATCCTCAACAAAAATACTAGCAAATCAAATCCAGCAGAACATCAAAAAGCTAATCCACAGCAATCAGGTAGGCTTTATTCCTGGGATGCAAGATTAGTTCAACGTATACAAAACCAATAAATATGATTCATCTCCTAAACAGAACTAAAATAAACCACATGAACATCTCAACAGATGCAGAAATGGCTTTCAATAAAATTCAGCATCCTTTCATGTTAAAAATCCTCAACAAGCAAGGCATTGAAGAAACATACATCAAAATAACAAGAGCCATCTATGACAAACCCACAGCCAACATCATACTGAATGGGCAAATGCTGGAAGCATTGCCCTTGAGAAACAGAACAAGACAAGGGTGACCACTCTCAGCACTCCTATTCAACATAGTACTGGACATCCTAGCCAGAACAGTCAGGCAAGAGAAAGAAATAAAAGGTACCCAAACAGGAAAAGAGGAAGTCACACTATCTCTATCTGCAATCTGTTTCTATACCTAGAAAACCCCATAGTTTCTGCCTAGCAGCTCCTAGATCCAATAAAAAACTTCATCAAAGTTTGAAGATACAAAATCAGTGTACAAAAATTAGTAGCATTTCTATACACCAATAACGTTCAAGCTAAGATCCAAATCAAGAACACAATCCTATTCACAATAGCCAAAAAAGGAATAAAATACCTAGGAATACAGTTAATGACAGAGGTGAAACATAAACATCTCTACAAGAACTACAAAACGTTGCTCAAAAGAAATCAGAGATGACACAAACAAATGTAAAAACATTCCATGCTCATGAATAGGAAGAATCAAAATTGTTAAAATGGCCATAGTACCCACAGCAATTTAGATTGAATGCTATTCCTCTTAAAACACCAATTACATTCTTCACAGAATTATAAAAAACTGTTTCAAAATTCATATGGAAACATAAAAGAGCTCAAATATCCAAGGTGATCCTAAGCAAAAATAGAAAAGCTGGAGGCATCACATTACCTGACTTCAAACCATACCACAAGGCCACAGTAATCAAAACAGCATGGTACTGGTACAAAAACAGACACATACACCAACTGAACAGAATAGAGAGCCCAGAAATAATGCCAGACAGCTACAACCACCCAATTTTTGACAAAGTTAACAAAAAACAAGCGATGGGAGCAGGACTCCCTATTCCATAAATGGTGCTGGGATAACCTGCTAGATATATGCAGAAGACTGAAACTAAACCCCTCCCTGACACCATATACAAAAATCAATTCAAGATGGATTAAAGACCTAAATGTAAAACCTAAAACTAAAGACCTTAGAAGGTAACCTACAAATTACCATTCTGGACATAGGTCCTGGGAAAATTTTCTTCCCAAAGATGCCAACAGCAATGGCAACAAAAACAAAAATTGACAAACGGGACCCAATTAAAGTAAAGAGCTTCCGCACAGCAAAAGAAACTATCAACAGAGTAAACAGACAACTTCCACAAGGGGAGAAAATATTTGCAAATTATGATTTGATGAAGATAGGTTCTTCATAGATTCTAATATCCAGAATCTATAAGGAACTTAAATTAACAAGCAAAAAACAACCCCATTGAAAAGTGGGCTAAAAACCTGAACAGACACTTTTCAAAAGAAGACATACATGTGGCCAATAAGCATATGGAAACAAGCTCAACATCACTAATAATTAGAGAAATCAAAACCACAATGAGATACCATCTCATGCCAGTCAGAATAGCTATTATTAAAAAGGCAAAAAACAGCAGATGCTAGTGGAGTTGCAGAGAATGGGGAATGCTTATACACTGCTGGTGGGAATGTAAATTAGTTCAGCCACTGAGGAACACAGTGTGATGACTTCTCAAATAACTTAAAACAGAATTACCATTTGACCCAGCAATCCCATTATTGTGTATATACCCAAAGGAATATAAATCATTCTGTCATAAAGACACATGAATGCAAATGTTCATCACACACTATTTTCATAATAGCAAATATTGCATGTTCTCACTCACAAATGAAAGCTAAACAATGACACTACATGGGTACAAAGAGGGGAACAACAGATACCAGGGACTACTAGGCTGAAGGATAGGGGAGGGAGAGGATTGAAAAGCTACCTAATAGGGCCTGTGCTTATTTCCTGAGTGATGAAATAATCTGTACAACAAAACCCTGTGACATGCAATTTACCTATATAGCAAACCTACACATGTATCCCTGAACCTAAAATATAACTTAAAAATAAATATTTTCTTTTCATTTTTTGTATTACCAGTTTAGTTTTCTTTTTTACCTCTCACTCAGACTGTTGCAATAATCTCCAAGCTGTATTTTGTGCATTTCATTTTCCCCCATCCTATTTATTCTCCACATTGCTTCCTAGATCTTTTTTTTTTTTTTTTCTTTTTTTTTTTTGAGATGGAGTCTTGCTGTCACCCAGGCTGGAGTGCAGTGGCGCGATCTTGGCTCACTGCAAGCTCCGCCTCTTGGGTTCATGCCATTCTCCTGCCTCAGCCTCTCCCAGGACTACAGGCGCCTGCCGCCAAGCCTGGCTAATTTTTTTGTATTTTTAGTAGAGACGGGGTTTCACCGTGTTAACCAAGATTGTCTCGATCTCCTGACCTCGTGATCCACCCGCCTTGGCCTCCTAAAGTGCTGGGATTACAGGCGTGAGCCACCGCGCCCAGCCCTAGATTTTCTTTCCTAAAGGAAAGATGTCAAGCCACTTTCTTGCTTGACAATATTTAGCAGCTGGCTTGCCATTGATTTTAAGATAAGCTCCAAATTCTCCATTGTATTAGCTAGCTATGGTTATATAACAATATTGTAACAAATTTATTGTCTTATTTTTTATGATGTCAGTATTTATGATGTCAGTTTCTGTGGCTCAGGAGTCCAGGGATGGTTTGGCTGTCTACTCTGATTCAGAGTTTCACAAGGTTTACAGTCAAGGTATAGGCTGGTGCTGCTGTTTCAAGCTCTGAAGTTTAACCGGGGAAAAATCCATTTCCAAGCTCATGTGGCTGTTAGTATCTTTCAGCTCCTGTGAGCTGTTGGCCAGAAGCTGTTCTGAGTTCCTGGCTGGCTGTTGACCTAAGACTGCCTCAATTCCTTGTTCCATGAATCTTCCCAATGTGGACGCTTACTTTGTCAAAGCCAGCAAGGGAAAGAGTCTCCTTATAAGATGGAGTTTACAATCTTAGGCAATGCAATCACATCACCTTTGCCACATTCTGTGGGTTAGAACAAGCCCCAGACTCTGCCCACACTCAATGGTAGGGGATTGCATCAGCCATGAATATCACAAGGTCATCTTAGAGTCTGTCTGCCACATTCATCAAGTCATACAATGCCCTTAAAATCTGGTCTCAACTATCCTTCTTTTTTCTACTCCAGCACTGTATATTTTGTCACACTAAACTATTTTTAAGAAATTATATTGAATCACACGAACAACTGTATTTTGTTGGGGGGATTTTTGTTGGGTTTTTTTTGCTTCCAAGTTTTTCTCTTGTTATCTTCTGTGCCTGAATTACACTTCTGCACCTTACCTGGCAAAATTTTACCAAAGACCTTGTGCAAATTTCAGCTCTTCTTAAAACACTCCTGGTTCTACCCGGAAAAATTAATAGCTCCTTCCGAACTGTGTTCCTAAAGCCCTCCCACCGCCTTCCTATCCATTGATTTCATTATGGCATAATTTGGGGTGCTTGCCTAAAATTGTAATTCCAGTAAGAGTAGACAGTGTTTTATCAATACTGAACCCTCAACACCTAGCACAAGATCTTGTACTCGCAAGGACTTGTACATTTGCTAATGAAGTGAACAAATATTGCATTAATTTCAAATGTTTGCTGAACTGAATTTTTGAATGCTGTGTTGACCAAACTACTAGCAGGGCAATGTGTTTCATTCTTGAAAAGTTGTACCTTTGCATTCCAAACACAACCTTGCCTGCTTCCCAGAGTTCCAAAACTAAAGTAAAACATCCAATTAATCAATCAATTACGCAACTGATAAATCAAAGCTAGAGAAGTACTCTAATCAAGCATAACTTATTTTCCTATCTGAGATGTTTTCCACATTTTGTATTTGCTGAAGCAGTGCAAAATGTTGCTGCTTAAAGACATTATGTGACAATCTGTTTTCATTCCTATGCTCTAAAAATTATGAATAGTAATTTTAATATTCTTTATTATTTTTTATATTTTAAATCAGTGTTATTAGTTTTCCCATATTAATTTATTTTAATGACATATATGTAATTTCAAGGTTTGGAAAACTTTAGATAGCAGGTCAAATTCTTTTTAATTCAGTCTGTTCAACTGAGGTCTTTATGGGCTTGGAGTAGATATTGCTTTAGGCTGTATATTAGTCAATAAGCTAGATAATAAAAAATGGAGTATATTTTTCCATTTTAGAGTAATGATGAAAGTCACATAAAGACAATTTCCCAGGTAACTGAAATTAATATTCATTATTGCTAAAAAGTTTTTGTTTTTATTTTCATGATTGGGAGGAAAGCATTTCTTAATTGGGTTATTCATATTCTGGCCTCCTGAACTAGAAGTTCAGATAATTTGAATTTCTGAAATAATTATCAGTCATAACACTGTGGTGTGATATAACCATGCCTTTAAAGCCTGTTACAGGGAATCTATGCTACAGATTGTAACAGCTATGCTTTTCTTATTTATAACTGCTTTTTAACTTACTTTTAAAAATGTAGTTTCTTTCTATCAATGTGCCTGCTTCCAGTGCTGCCTCCTCCACCAACTCTTCTTAGGCATTTCGAAACATATAACCATTGAGGGTATATATGATCCTGACATTAAAATAAATTTATTACAATTTTATTATTATTACTTAGTAGTATTGAACATTTACTGAGCTCTTCCTATTTGCCAAACACTGTTCTAAGTCCATTAGGTGTATAATCTCATTTGTCTTCACAAAGACTATGGGTTAAGGTAAATGGTAGAAGAGCAATAATCTCCTAGACAGATTAAATACTTTATGCAAAGGAAGCCCTGTGGTAAAGAGAGAGTTAGTATGAATAAACATGGAAACAAGTCCAAAAAAGCTGGAGTAAGAAGTGTCTTGGTGGAAATGGATAAAAGTGGGAATTAAAAGGTGTGCAGGGGCCAGATCTTTTAAATGCTCTGGTTCAACCTTACCTTTAGAAACATTCTGTTATACCCATTGAGCAAAATAAAGCATCCTTTCTTCTTTGTTTCTTGAAAACATGACTTCTACTTTGAATGACATTTGGTTGTTTCTGTAATTTATCTTCATTGGCTCTATTAATTTAACTCAAATTAAAACCCCATCTCTACTAAAAATACAAAAAATTAGCTGGGCGTGGTGGCAGGCGCCTGTAGTCCCAGCTACTCTGGAGGCTGAGGCAGGAGAATGGCATGAACCTGGGAGGCGGAGCTTGCAGTGAGCCGAGATTGCGCCACTGTACTCCAGCCTGGGTGACAGAGCGAGACTCTGTCTCAAAAAAAAAAAAAAAAAGAAATACATAAAATAAATTAGAAGGATTGGCAAAATAAGAAATATTTCACCTTGAGGTATATTTATATGGATATGTTATTAATATACTGAAAAATCGTATAACATATTTAAAAATCTGATGTGTCTTGGTATAAATGGTATCAGTCAATTTTGGTTCAGAAATAACATTCTTGTCAATTATGTCGTCATTACCATGGACTCAGACCAGGTTTTGGCCATGGTCACTTGAAGTCTTCATGTCCACACTTAATTGCTTTAGTCTAATGTCTTTCTGAAAGCTTCTTGCAGGCAATTATAATCCCAGAGAATTATGTCTTCAAGGAGCTTCATGGAAAGAATGAAGTCTGACAAGTACGGGTTTCTAATAACTTTGAGTTCACACTATTGAACTAAATTTCCAAAACTCGGCCAGGCACAGTGGCTCAAGCCTGTAATTCCAGCACTCTGGGAGGCCGAGGTGGGCGGATCACCTGAGGTCGGGAGTTCGAGACCAGCCTGACCAACATGGAGAAAACCCGTCTCTACTAAAAAAAAACACACACACACAAAAAAATTAGCTGGGCGTGGTAGCATATGCCTGTAATCCCAGCTACTCAGGAGTCTGAGGCAGGAGAATCGCTTAAACCCGGGAGGCGGAGGTTGCAGTGAGCTGAGATTCTGTCGTTGCACTCCAGCCTGGGCAACAAGAGTGAAACTCTGTCAAAAAAAAAAAAAAAAAAAAAAATTCCAAAACTCGAATGAAGAAACTGATGGGTTTGTGAAATTGCTAATACAGATCACAGCAAGAATTAATGACAAGACTGAATGAACTGATGAAAAATAATTATTAATCTTTTTTTTTTTTTTTTTTTGAGATAGAACCTCACTCTGTCGCCCAGGCTGGAGTGCAATGGCGTGATCTCGGCTCACTACAACCTCTGCCTGCCAGGTTCAAGAGATTCCTTTGCCTCAGCCTCCCAAGTAGCTGGGATTACAGGTGCCTGCCACCATGCCCGGTTCTTTTTTTTTTTTTTTTTTTTTTTTTTTTTTTTTGAGACAGAGTTTCATTCTTGTTGCCCAGGTTGGAGTGCAATGGCGAGATCTTGGCTCACTGCAACCTCTGCCTCCCAGGTTCAAGCAATTCTCCTGCCTCAGCCTCCCTAGTAGCTGGGATTACAGACATGTGCCACCACGCATGGCTAATTTTATATTTTCAGTAGAGACAGGGTTTCTACATGTTGGTCAGGCTGGTCTCGAACTCCCGACCTCAGGTGATCTGCCTGCCTCGGCCTCCCAAAGTGCTGGGATTACAGGTGTGAGCCACCAAACCAGGCCTGAATCTTTTTTTTTTTTTTTTTATGGCAGGGTCTTGGCTCCGTCACCCAGGCTGAAGTGCAGTGGTGTGATCATGGCTCACAGCAGCCTTGAATTCCTTAGCTCAATCGATCCTCCCACCTCAGCCTCCCAAAATGCTGTGATTACAGGTGCAAGCCACTAGACCCAGCTGAATTATGGATTTTTAAGGCTGCTTTATGTCAAACATTGTGGGTTCTTTTAATATTGTTTTCCAGATTTAAGGAAACTTTTTTCTTTTAAGCTTTGTATAATTTATAGTAATTTGGTACTTTTGAAAACAAAAATGAAAACATTTGCTTTTCCTCTCTACCTGAACCCTCCAGAATTTAGAAGCAATTTATGATTTTTTTTTTATTATTATACTTTAAGTTCTAGGGTACATGTGCACAACGTGCAGGTTTGTTACATATGTATACATGTGCCATGTTGGTGTGCTGCACCCATTAACTCATCATTTACATTAGGTATATCTCCTAATGCTTTCCCTCCCCCCTCCCCCCACCCCACAACAGGCCCTGGTGTGTGATGTTCCCCTTCCTGTGTCCAAGTGTTCTCATTGTTCAATTCCCACCTGTAAGTGAGAACATGTGGTGTTTGGTTTTTTGTCCTTGCGATAGTTTGCCGAGAACGATGGTTTCCAGTTTCATCCATGTCCCTACAAAGGACATGAACTCATCCTTTTTTATGGCTGCATAGTATTCCATGATGTATATGTGCCACATTTTCTTAATCCAGTCTATCATTGTTGGACATGTGGGTTGGTTCCAAGTCTTTGCTATTGTGAATAGTGCCGCAATAAACATACGTGTGCATGTGTCTTTACAGCAGCATGATTTATAATCCTTTGGGTATATACCCAGTAATGGGATGGCTGGGTCAAATGGTAATTCTAGTTCTAGATCCCTGAGGAATTGCCACACTGACTTCCACAATGGTTGAACTAGTTTACAGTCCCACCAACAGTGTAAAAGTGTTCCTCGTTCTCCACATCCTCTCCAGCACCTGTTGTTTCCTGACTTTTTAATGATCGCCATTCTAACTGGTGTGAGATGGTATCTCATTGTGGTTTTGATTTGCATTTCTCTGATGGCCAGTGATGATGTGAGCATTTTTTCATGTGTCTGTTGGCTGCATAACGATTATTCTTATGTTTACAGCAACATGGTTATTTGCATAGATTCAAAAAGAATCTGTTCTCTGGCCAGGCACAGTGGCTCACACCTGTAATCCCAGAACTCCGGGAGGCCGAGGCAGGCGGATCACTTGAGATCAGGAGTTTGAGACCAGCCTGGCCAACATGGCAAAACGCCGTCTCTACTAAAAATACAAAAATTAGCCAGGCGTGGTGGCATGTGCCTGGAATCCCAGCTACTTGGGAGGCTGAGGCAGGAGAATCGCTTGAACCCGGGAGGTGGAAGTTGCTGTGAGCCGAGATTGCACCACTGCATTCCAGCCTGGGTGACAGTGAGATTCTGTCTCCAAAAAAAATAAATAAATAAAATAAAGGAGGGCCAGGCACGGTGGCTCATGCCTGTAATCCCAGCACTTTGGGAGGCCGAGGGGGGCGAATCACGAGGTCAAGAGTTCAAGGTGACTATAGGGAGAAAAATTATATTTCAATAGAAAAACGATAGTTTACCTGTTATTATAGTAATGTTCATTGTTTGAGTTATTTATCTACCTGTAGACTGGATTAGATTCTAGATTCTTCCAGTTTTCTCTAATGTCTGGCTACAATCTCCAGTGAAGAATGAGAACTGGCTGGGCGCGGTGGCTCATGCCTGTAATCCCAACATTTTGGTAGGCCGAGGCAGGAGGAGCACTTGAGGTCAGGAGTTCAAGACCAGCCTGGCCAACATGGTGAAACCCCGTCTGTACTAAAAAAATAAAATAAAATTAGCTGGGCATGGTGGCATGCCCCTGTAATCCCAGCTACTTGGGAGGCTGAGGTGGGAGGATGGTTTGAACCAGAGAAGTCGAGGTTGCAGTGAGTTATGGTGGTGCCACTGCAATCCAGCCTGGGCAACAGAGTGAGACCCCATCTCAAAAAATAAACCCACACCCAAAGTGTTGGTTTACAGAGGCTTTCCAATGCAATAGGAAGCTTCTGGAAACTTTAGGGAAAGAGGAGGATTAAGCAATGGAGTCTAGAGAACCCTCAGTGGCTTGCCACTGCCTTTCATTTCCAGTCTAGTTCCCCTGGGAGGCAGACAGGCCGAGCCCTCTGACATTGCTGCTGGAGGCTGTCTCTCCTGGCAAAGGCCCAGGGAAACTATCCTGCTGAGGCCCATCTGGAGCTGGCAGGGAGCTGACATTCACGGCCACATCTTAGTCATAACTCCTCCCCTCCCCTGACACAGCCACTTCCTCTTTCTGCTGAGAAAAGAAGTTGAATGAAGGACAAGCTCTCAGAAAGTTGCAACCCCTAAGAACTTGAGTACAAGGAAGAGACGGATGTTTATTGCAAGAACCGTTCCCCGGTGTCTCCTGGCTCATAGAGCAGCTCCAACAACACGTGCTTGGATGCCAAGTGTGCCATGGAGACCAATCCTTGCTATAATCCTGATGGAAAGAACTTCCCCATCTGAAAAGAGGATGGTGATAAGTAAACAGATTGTCAGGGGTAGAAGTACCCGTCGGACCCCAAGCCTGGAGCATTTTGCCAGAGACCTTTTTTTTTTTTTTTTTTTGAAACGGAGTCTCGCACTGTTGCCCGGGGTGGTGCAATCTTGGTTCGCTGCAACCTCCGCCTCCCGGGTTCAAGCGATTCTCCTGCCTCAGCCTCCCAAGTAGCTGGGACTACAGGCACGTGCCACCACGCCTGGCTAATTTTTGTATTTTTAGTACAGATGGGGTTTCACTATGTTGGCCAGGCTGGTCTCGAACTCCTGACCTCGTGATCTGCCCACCTCAGCCTCCCAAAGTGCTGGGATTACAGACATGAGCCACCATGCCCGGCTCAGAGACCTCTTGCATGAGCCATGATTCTACCAAGCGCTCTACTCATTCCCCCAAGAAATCACGTCATCCACTTTTTACAGATGAAGTTACCTGCTAAGCTAGAAGTGGCAGGAAGAAGCCAGGTGTGGTTTGTGGCTGCTTGGGAGGCTGAGGCAGGAGGAATGCTTGAGCCCAGGAGTTGGAGTCCAGCCTGGGCAACATAGCAAGACCTCGTTTCAAAAAAAAAAAAGAGTGGCAGATGGGACTAGGGCCTGGGGATATGGCTTCAAGGATGTCTCCCAGCCTGCAGGCCGCATTCTCTTGCCATTCCAGTTGATCATCTTGACAGGGAAAGTCTACCGGCACACGCATGCTTAGATGGGCCAGTATCTCCCTTATCTGGCCCATGAGGCCTCCCTCTCCAGGCCAAGCCCCACTCTTTACTAGGCACTAAGGCCTTCCATGCCCCCAGGGCACAGATTCTCCCATTTCTCTCCCCTCTTTTTTTTTGAGATATTCTCACTCCAACACCCAGGCTGGAATGCAGTGGCACGCTCTTGGCTCACTGCAACCTCCATCTCCTGGGTTCAAGTGATTCTCCTGCCTCAGCTTCCCCAGTGGCTGGGACTACAGGCACCCACCACACACCTGACTAATTTTTATATTTTTAGTAGAGATGGGGTTTTGCTATGTTGGCCAGGCTGGTCTTGAACTCCTGGTCTCAAGTGATCCACTCGCCTTGGCCTCCCAAAATGCTAAGATTACAGGTGTGAGCCACCACATCCACCTCCCCATGGTTGAGGATTTGCTTCTGGATCACCGCCTCCAGGAAGCCTACCTCTGCAACCCCTAGGCAATTTTGTTTTTTGAGAGGGTCTTGCTCTGTCACTCTGGCTAGAGCGCAGCAGGAGGCAGCAAGGCTGGGACCTGAGCAGTGAGTACAGCTCACTGCAGCCTTGAATTCCTGGGCTCAAGTGATCCTCCAGCCTCAGCTTCCCAAGCAGTTGGGACTACAGGCACGTACCACTGTGCTCGGCTAATTTTTATATTTTGTAGAGATGGGGTCTCACCACGTTGCTCAGGCTGGTCTTGAGCTCCTAGGCTCAAGCCATCTTCCCACTTCGGTCTCCCAAAGTGCTGGCATTACAGGCCTGAACCACTGTATCTGGCGTTTTTTGAACCCCAGCCTGTTACTCCCCTACAGATCACACCACAACCTGCTTAGGCCGCAAGCGGCTCACCCGGAACAATCCCTTCGTGCCACAAGTCCCTGGCTCAGTGCCCTTAACCACTCAAATCACCTAGGTTTTTTTTTTTTTTTTTTTTTTTTTTTTTTGAGATGGAGTCTTGCTGTTGCCCAGGCTGGAGTACAGTGGCGTGATCTCAGCCCCCTGAAACCTCTGCCTCTCCCGGGTTCAGGCAATTCTCCTGCTTCAGCCTCCCAGCTAGCTGGGATTACAGGCACCCACCACGATGCCCAGCTAATTTTTTGTATTTTTAGTAGAGACGGGGTTTCACCATATTAGCCAAGCTGGTCTTGAACTCCTGACCTCAGGTGATCCACCTGCCTTGGCCTCCCAAAGTGCTGGGATTACAGGCGTGAGCCACCATGCCCACCCCACCCTGGGATTTAAGATGCAAATTTCTAGGTCTGGGATGGGGCTTTAAATGATACATTTCTAACAAATTCTCAGGTGATGCCAACGTTCACAGACCACACTTAGAGTATCAAAGGCCTTCCTGCTCTCAGTAGGTCCAAAGCTACCCAAACCTTGCTCTGAATGCACTATAGACATGTCTGTACCCGAGTCAACACGCTGGAGGCCCTGCCCTCAGCCAGACGGGCCAGAGATAAGCACCATGCCAGTTGCACCTGAGCATCTTTCAGCTTTCATCAGTTTATGCCTAATCCTGCTCAGTAGGTGCCACCCCCATGTTGCCCACGAGGACTGGCAGGCTCACAGCAAGTAGCCAGCCAGGCTGGGATGCTGCAGCGAAAGTGAACTTTCCCGAGTGAGAATGGCTTGAGTTTGGGGCAAGGCTGGAGCCAGCTACTGAGGGATGTGAAGCCTCCCACAGAGGTACCATGAACACCTTCCCCAGCAAAGGGGGCACAAGTTCCCTGGGTACCCTCCTTGGGGCACCATTCCCTTACTCACTCCTAGGAACTATGGCTGAAACCTGGGGGAGGGAAGCAGCCTATTTAGGGAGCGCGATAAAGGTAGGGGGAGGTTGAGAAGCAGCTCCCCCCAGTGACAGTGAGGCCTCATGTCTATAATCCCAGTGCTTTTGGAGGCCAAGGAGAGAGATCACGTGAGGCCAGGGGTTCGAGGCCAGCTTGGGGAACATAGCAAGACCCAGTTCCTACCAAAAATAGAATAAGTTGGGCACAGTGGGGCTCATGCCTGTAGTCCCAGCAACTCACTCAGGAAGCTCAGGCAGGAGGATGGCTGGAGACCAGGAGTTCCAGGTTGCAGTGAGCTGTGACTATACTACTGCACTCCAGCCTGGGCAACACAGCCAGACCTTTCTCTCAAAAGGGACAAATCAAAACAAAACCAAAACCAAAGCAGGTTCTCAGCTCTCCTGAGGCTTCCTACCCCCAAAGCAAAAGTACCCACCTCAGAGCCACCTCAGGACCACCGGCTTATGACATTAGGCTGCCTCCTGGAATGGCTTGGAGTGCCAGTCACCCCTTGCTGCAGCTTTGACAAGTTCATACCAACATGTCCCAAGAATAGCTTCAAGCCCAAGGTGACAGCTAAGACCAGGCAGAAGCAGTGCTCTGATCACTGCCCTACTGGGAGGGCCCAGTCATGACTGGCCTTCTGGCCTCTAGCATCTGGACAGAGCTGCCTGCCTGCTTGCCTTGGAGAAGTGGGCCTGGAAGCTCTCTCCTCCCCACTCCCATGTCTAGAGTCAAATCCATGGGGGCCAGAGATATAAGATTCTTTGCTAGCCTAGAAGTAAGGTGGGTCCAGCCAGACTGACCTTCATCTAAGAGTTTCCATGTTGGTTCCCATGGAGGTGATAGATTATAGTTGTCTAAGGACATGAACCCTGCCCTGTTTACAGTAGAGACACAGTAGTGCTTGCTGGACTATGCTATGTGAGTGCACGGGGCGGGTGGTATACAGTCGTCCCCACCCGACACAGTCAGTACTAATTCTGACCTTCCATCTGACCACCACACCACGACCAGATATTGCTTTCTTCTTTTATTCGGAAGCAGACACAGGGTGGGAGGCAGTGCGACACCTCCTGGTGAGAACCAGGATAACAGCAGTCAGAGTCAGGGACACCACCACAGCCAGGCCTACGCCCAGCAGCACCACTGAGGTGTCAGAAGGCAAAGCCCACTGCTCTACTTCATGGTCACCCCTCCTGTCCAGGAAGATCAGTGGCCCCACGGTGACATCTGCTTCTTCTGTCACTGTGAAAGGAGAACACACAACCAAGGGTCATCTTAGTCCCTAACCGGGAACTGGGTTGGAGGTTTTATTCTGCCTCAGTGGGCTAAACTAATATGTTGTCTTTTTTGTGTGGGCTAATAAACAGTTTCTAGACAAAAAAACACAGCTTTCTCGGCCAGGTGTGATGGCTTATGCCTGTAATCCCAGCACTTTTTGGGAGGCTGAGGCAGGCAGATCACCTGAGGTCAGGTGTTTGAGACCAGCCTGGCCAACACGGCAAGACCCGTCTCTACTGAAAATAAAAAAGTTAACTGGGCATGGTGGCACATGCCTGTAGTCTCAGCTACTTGGGAGGCTGAGGCAGGAGAATAGCTTGAACCTGGGAGGCAGAGGTTTCAGTGAGCAGAGATCGTGCCATTGCTCTCCAGCCTGGAGGACAGAGCTAGACACCATCTTGGTGCAGGGGAGGGGGAAGAAAAAAGAAAAAGACAGCTTTCTCATACGGAGAAAGCAGGTCACCCAAGAGGGATTCCCTAGTACATCATCTTTTTTGTAGAGACAGGGTCTTGCTATGTTGCCCAGGCTGGTCGAGAACTCATGGGGCTCAAGCGATTTCCCTGGCCTCAGCCTCCCCAAGTGCTAGGATTATAGGCACAACCCACTGTTCTGGCCAGATTATTATTATTTTTTTTTTTTGAGAGACAGTTTTACTCTTGTTGCCCAGGCTGGAGTACAATGGTGCAATCTCGGCTCACTGCAACCTCTGCCTCCCAGATTCAAGTGATTCTCCTGCCTCAGCCTCCCAAGTAGCTGGGATTACAGGCATGTACCACCACGCCCAGCTAATTTTTTATTTTTAGTAGAGATGGGGTTTCTCCATGTTGGTCAGGCTGGTCTCGAACTCCTGACCTCAGGTGACCTGCCCGCCTTGGCCTCCCAAAGTGTTGGGATTACAGGCCTGAGCCACTATGCCAAGCCAGATTATCTTAACAACTGCTATATTTCCCCTACATGCCTAATTATGTCTCAGTAGAAGCCTAGGATGACAGCAGATCTACCCTGGCTGCCACCGAGGTGGAAGGCTGAGAGCCCCCTCCTGCTTAACCCCAAGATTTGTGTTAGGGAAAGGTAGCTGCAGGCCTAGGTACAAACAGTTTTAATGGATGACAAGGGAAAATACCATCACCCTGAAATGACAGCAGGTACCCTCAACTGAGTAAGGGACAATGAACAGCCTCTTGGCCATTCTATGACATACCATGCCTGCGGTTACAGGGAAGCAGACGTGGACCACTGGCTCACGACACGAGGCTGCCTCCTGGAATGGCTTGGAGTGCCACAGTCACCTTTGTTACAGCATTGACAGATGTCAGCCAGGCCTTCCACTGGGAACCAGCTGAGATGAAAGAGAAGCAGCTTAGATTTTTGTTGCCTGCAGGAAGCAGTTTGCTGATAATATATTGGGGGAAATAGACAAGGGGTCGCCGATTCAGTTTCTACTCCAGTCACGGAGCACCTGTCCTCACCTGTTGGAAGGCTTGCTGAAGGAACAGGCCTTGTTGAGTTCATCTGGGTCCTGCTCAGCTAGGGTGACCTTCAGGTGGCAGGTGATGTATATCTGCAAGGAATAACAGCTATTTCCAGGCCGAGTTCCAGGCTGTGCCTGGGAGTTTAACACACCAGTTCTCTTATAACCCTCAACCCTTTAAAGAGTGAGAAGGGGCCGGGTGCGATGGCACACACCTATAATCCCAGCACTTTGGGAGGCCAAGGCGGGTATATCACCTGAGGTCAGGAGTTCGAGACCAACCTGGCCAACATGGTGAAACCCCATCGCTACTAAAAATACAAAGTTAGCTGGGCGTGGTGGTGGGTACCTGTAGTCCCAGCTACCTGGAAGGCTGAGGCAGGAGAATCACTGGAACCTGGGAGGCAGAAGTTGCAGTGAGCCGAGATCATGCCACTGCACCCCAGCCTGGCTGACAGAGTGAGACTGTCTCATAAAATAAACAGGGGGAAGGAAGAGCCTCATCTCTAAGATGGTGTAAAGGTTCACTTACCCAATGTTAGAGCAAGTAGCAACTAGTTTTAGACTGGAATCCACCACTTATTCCCCTGATCTTTTCCAAACTTACCCAATCATTGAACATGCTTGACCCTGGGCTTCTGAGACAGGGCCTGTCACCCAGGCTGGAGTACAGTGGTATGATGATGCCTCACTATAGCCTTGACCTCCTGGGCTCAAGGGATCCTCCCACCTCAGCCTCATGAGCAGCTGGAATTACGGGTACAAGCCACTACACCTGGCTAATTTTGGATTTTTTGCAGAGATGAGGTTTTGCCATGTTGCCCAAGCTGGCCTCAAACTCCTGGGCTCAAGTGATCTGTCCGCCTCAGCCTCCCAAAGTACTGGGATTACAGGTGCCAGCTATCCGTGCCTGGCCAGTCCTGGGCTTAACTCAGCATTGCTAAACCCGCGCCCATCCCCAGGTGACCGAGGTGAGTGGTAGACACCTTAATAGCTAGCAGCTTAGCTGGGTTTCTGACGCTGCCACCTGCCACTTGACTAGTTGACAAGCTACTTTTCTTCAGGGATGTAGTCACTGTATTGCCAGCTAAGGCAAGACCAAGTTGTTTCTGGGACCTGAGGTCCTTGGGCACATAAAGAAGCCTTTTGGACTTGCTTCTGTGGAGTTTCCATTTCAGACTTAAGAGGTTTTTTTTTTGTTTTTTTTTTTTGAGGTGGAGTCTTGCTGTTGCCTAGGCTGGAGTGCAATGGCACGATCTCAGCTCACTGCAACCTCTGCCTCCTAGGTTCAAGCAATTCTCCTGCCTCAGCCTCCCAAGTAGCTGGGATTACAGGCACTTGCCATAATGCCTCGCTAATTTTTTTGTATTTTTAGTAGAGACAGGGTTTCACCATCTTGGCCAGGCTGGTCTTGAACTCCTGACCTTGTGATCCACCTGCCTTGGCCTCCCAAAGTGCTGGGATTACAGGCGTGAGCCACTGCGCCCGGCCAGACTTGAGTTTGATGGCTCACTCTTTGGGCAAGCTTCCCTGGGCTTTTCTTCCTTGCACATACCTCTGCTATTAGTCAAGCCTACGTCAGTCTCCCTTCACCTGTAAGGGATATGACGACCAGAAGACTCACCAGGCTGATACCCTGACAGTCCTGGCCTCTGGGAAACGTTTACCCACCCTCGTTAGACAAGTACGAGGGAATGAACCCAATATGAGCTCCTGCTGGGAGCTGAAGGACCCCCCCCACCCAGGGAATAGTCAACTACCCTGTAAGCACTGCCCCCCTACCCTTTTTTTTTTTTTTTTTTCTGAGACGGAGTCTGTCTCTAGTCCAGGCTGGAGTACACTGTAGCCACTACCTCCGAGGTTTAAGCGATTCTCTTGCCTCAGCCTCCCAAGTAGATGGGATTATGGGTACCCACCACCACACCAGGCTAGTTTTTGTATTTGTAGTAGAGATGGGGTTTCCCCATGTTGGCCAGGCTTGTCTTGAACTCCTGGCCTCAAGTGATCCACCTGCCTTGGCCTCACAAAGTGCTGGGATTATTGGCATGAGCCACCGTACCTGGCCAAGCCTTCTCATTTTAGACTGACATTCCATCCTGCTGCTGGGGCTAGGGGCCATTCTGACAGAGCCAGGGCTCAGTCTAGCCTTGGCCCGTCCCCAGGTCAGTTTCCCTTCATATTTCAGGCAGGGCTAAAATTCCTCCCTGCTCAACCTCGGGCAGAGCATGGCAATTCTGCCACCTTGCAGCAGAAGCCTCAGAGCCACAAGCCTCAGTCACCACCTAGTGGCCGAGTACACCAGCAGAGAAACTTGAAACCATGTAAATTCAGACTTTTAGAAACAAGCCAGTTTAGCAGTTGTCCAGCTGCCCATCTTAGCCACCTGCCCTGCAAGTAAGAAGCTTCCAAGGCCCTGTTGTCTATTCCACAAAGGAAATGTACTTTCATCCTTAGCTTCTTCCTAGTATGTTTTTCTGGTGCTAACTGGAGTCTAAGATCCCAGGGCAGTTCCCCTATAGCGGCCTTTTAGAAGCAGGGTCTAGGCTGGGCGTGGTGGCTCATGCCTGTAATCCCAGCACTTTGGGAGGCTGAGGTCAGTGGATCACCTGAGGTCAGGAGTTTGAGACCAGCCTGGCCAACATGGTGAAACCCCATCTCTACTAAAAAAAAAAAAAAAATACAGAAATTAGCTGGGCATGGTGGCAGGTGCCTATAATCCCAGCTACTTGGGAGGCTGGAATGGAAGAATTGCTTGAACCTGGGAGATGGGAAGTTGCAGTGAGCTGAGATTACGCCATTGCACTCTAGCCTGGGCAACAAGAGTGACACTCCATTTCCCCCAAAAAAAAAAAAAAAAAAGAGGGGAGTGTGATAGCTCACGCCTGTAATCCCAGCACTTGCTGAGGCAGGTGGATCACCTGAGGTCAGGAGTTTAAGACCAGCCTGACCAACATAGTGAAACCCCATCTCTACTAAATATTCAAAAATTAGCCAGGCATGGTGATTGAGTGCCTATAATTCCAACTATTAGGGAGGCTGAGGCAGGAGAATGGCTTGAATAAGGAGGTGGAGGTTGCAGTGAACCGAGATCATGCCATTGCATTCCAGCCTGGGTGACAGAGCGAGACTCTGTCCAAAAAAAAAAAAAAAAAAAGTACACAGGGTCTTGCTCTGTTGAGGGCAATAGCACCATCATAGCTCACTGCAGCCTTAAACACCTGAACTCTGATCCTCCCACCTCGGCCTCCCAAGGTGCTGGGATTACAGATGTGAACCACCGTGCCCAGCCACCCTATTGCTCTGAAATAGGGTTGTTCCTTCTTTGTGCCATGGGACATAGTCTACTGAGGCATCATCAATCCTACCTTTGAAGGGGAGCCCTCCAAGGGCTCAGACTATCTTCCATTAAACAGCACTGTTCTCTGGTCTTAGTTACCCCTCCACACCCAGAGATTGAGAAACCACCTCAGTCCATACCCATGCTGACTGCTACCACCTCTGTGAAAACTTCTCCCCATCTTCTTCCCAAATGGCCACACCTGAGGTCAATCTTGACTTCCTCCCACAACCAGGATCCTCTCCCCTAAGGAGCTATCGGTCACTGATCCGAGGGCCAGGACTCTTTTCCCAAATCTGCCCTCCTTTATCCCCAGCCCCATTGAAGCAGGGCCCACCACTGAGAGCTTCAGGCCATCTCATCAATATTAGATGCTTTTCCCTTTTGCTACCCTACTGATCTGTGTGTTGATCTTTCTCTTCCCACAAGGCAGCTGCTGGAGGAGGTGAAGTGGCATCGATGTCATCTTTGAAAAGTTTCTACTTTGTCCCTTAATGCCACCCTAACGTATGAGCCTCTGCTTCAGAGGTTTGCAAGCCTGGCTGCGTATTAGAGTCACCTAGGAGCTTAAGTGGCTTTTGATGCATTTCCAAGTAGAATAAGGTAGGTCAGTAGATGGAGGATAACAGTAAAATGCTAGCAGGCCGGGTACAGTGGCTCACGCCTGTAATCCCAGCACTTTGGGAGGCCAAGGCAGGTGGATCGTTTGAGGTCGGGTATTCAAGACCAGCCTGGCCAATACGGTGAAACCATCTCTACTAAAAATATAACAGGCACTCAGTAGTGGCGTATGCCTACAATCTCAGCTACTTGGGAGGCTAAGGCAGGAGAATCGCTTGAGCCTGGGAGGTGGAAGTTGCAGTGACCTAAGATTGGGCCACTGTACTCCAGCCTGGGTGACAGAGACCCTCTCAAAAAAAAAAAAAAAAGGGGGGGGGGGCAGGTGGCACGTGGTGGTTCATGCCTATAATCCCAGCACTTTGGGAAGCTGAGGCGGTTGGATAATGAGGTCAAGAGTTCAAGACCAGCCTGGCCAAAATGATGAAACCCTGTCTCTACTAAGAAATACAAGGATTAGCCGGGCATGGTGGCAGGCGCCTGCAATCCCAGCTACTCAGGAGGCTGAGGCAGGAGAATTGCTTGCACCCGGAGGCAGAGGTTGCAGTGAGCCAAGACCGCACCATTGCATTCCAGCTTGGGTGACAGAGTGAGACTGTCTCAAAAAAAAAAAAAAAAAATGCTGGTGGTAGAACCTAGATGGTGTGCACACTGAAGTTCATAGAGTTTTACAGCAAACACCTATGAAGATTTAGTTAATGTTACAAAATGTGACACCAGGCCCTACCCCAATAGAGTGAAGGTATGAGACTCTACAATCAGTATTTTTACAACCTCTCCAGATGATTAGTATAGAGCCAGCACTGGAAACCCCTACTTTAATCACTTCCTAACCACCTATTCTAAGCTCACGGCCTCACCTCTCATCTCAGTGAGCTTGTTTAAAAGCTACTTGAGGCTGGGCATGGTGGCTCACGCCTGTAATCTCAGCACTTTTGGAGGCCGATGCAGGTGGATCACAAGGTCAGGAGTTCCAGACCAGCCTGGCCAACATGGTGAAACCCAATCTCTAGTAAGAATACAAAAGTTAGCCGGGTGTGGTGGCAGGCACCTGTAATTCCCAGCTACTCAGGAGGCTGAGGCAGGAGAAATGCTTGAACCCAGGAGGTAGAGGTTGCAGTGAGCCGAGACTGTGCCATTGCATTCCAGCCTGGACTGCAGAGCGAGACTCCAACTCAAAAAATAAAAGCTACTTGAGGCTGGGCATGGTGGCTCACGCCTGTAATTCCAGCACTTTGGGAGACCGAGGCAGGCGGATCACCTGAGGTCAGGAGTTTGGGACCAGCCTGGACAACATGGTAAAACCTTGTCTCTACTAGAAATACAAAAAAATTAGCCAGGCATGGTGGCGGGTACCTGTACTCCCAGCTACTTGGGAGACTGAGGCAGGAGAATCACTTGAACCTGGGAACCTGGAGTAGCTGGGACTACAGGTGCCCACCATCATGCCCAGCTAATTTTTTGTATTTTTAGTAGAGGGGGTTTCACCGTGTTAACCAGGATGGTCTCAATCTCCTGACCTCGTGATCTGCCCGCCTCAGCCTCCCAAAGTGCTGGGATTATGGGCACGAGCCACCGCACCAGGCAATTTACTTCTAACCACTTCTAACCACTTACCAGTACTTCCTGGCTAGATGTTGGTCCTGGCACCTGCACTTCCTACTGCATCCCTCCCCCACCTCAGCCATTAGGCAGTTCCCATCTTCATTCCTTCCTTCTCCTTCCCTCTTAGTGTCAATTTGAGTTTTCTAGTTTAGGTTCTCAAGGGGAGGACCCAGACTGGCAGAACCAACACTTAAGAATGCAGATTCTAGGCTTCACTAGACCACCTGAATCAAACCCTGGGTTGGGGCCCAGTCATCAATTTCAACAAGCCCTCCAGCTGAGGATGATGCCTTCAGAATCACTAGCCTAACCTATGACCAAGTTCAAGAAGCCACCCTGGCTACGAAGTTCACACTGGTTTTCTTTGCCCCTGCAGAAAGCCTCCAGGAAGGCTAACACCTGCCTTTTTTTTTTTTTGGAGATGGAGTCTCACTGTCACTCAGGCTGGAGGTGCAGTGGCACAATCTCTGCTCACTGCAACCTCTGCCTCCCAGGTTCAAGCTATTCTCCTGCTTCAGCCTCCCAGGTAGCTGGGATTACAGGTACCCAACCACCACACTCAGCTAATTTTTTTTGTATATTTAGTAGAGTCGGGGTTTTACTATGTTGGCCAGGCTGGTCTTGAACTCCTGACCTCAAGTGATCCACCCACCTCGGCCTCCCAAAGTATTGGGATTACAAGCATGAGCCACCGTGCCCGGCCTCTACCTCTTAAGGCTTCATATTGTTCATCCTTCTGCTTGAAGGCCTCGCTAAAGCTCATGGCTTTACTTGTAAGTTTGAGTTACTGGGACACAGCTCTAAGTCATTTGCTTAGGGGTGGAGCTAGTGAGTGACCCCATTCAGTAGGATATGAAGGTTGCAAGTTCAGCCTTCTTTCAGGCTGTTAAAGCTCTTACCATGTTTCTGGAGTCATTAGCAAAGTGGAAGACATCCACTGTGAACTGGAGTGTATCTGGCCCGGGTCGAGGAACTTTGAATGCAGAAGAGGCATCAGTGAGACCGTCGACAAGACAGCTTGGAAGAAAACAGAACGGTGTTAAAGCCAGACAGGTGGGCCGGGCACCGTGGCTCACGCCCATAATCCCAGCACTTTGGGAGGCCAAGGTGGGTGGATCACTTGAGGTCAGGAGTTCGAGACTAGCCTGGCAAACATGGTGAAACCTTGTCTCTACTAAAAATACAAAAATTAGCTGGGTGCAGCAGTGCACACCTGTAATCCACCTACTCGGGAGGCTGAGGCAGGAGAATCGCTTGAATCTGGGAGGCAGAGGGTGTAGTGAGCCAAAATTGCACCATTGCACTAGCCTGGGTGACAGACTGAGACTCGGTCTGAAAAAAAGAAAAAAAAGGAACGTTCAAAATAGAGGGTAGAGAATATGAGAATATGCACCCATTTGTGTTTTTTAAACAATTGCATACAATAAACGGGCTTACAGACGAAGAAAGTTTCTGGGAAGAGACCCAAGAAGCCCCCAGAAGGTAGGGGGATAAGCTGAAGAATTGTTAAAGATTTTATTTATTTATTTTTTGAGACAGTGTCTCCCAGGCTGGAGTACAGTGGCGTGATCATAGCTCACTGCAGCCTCGACCTCCTGGGTTCAAGTGATCTTCCTGCCTCAGCCTCCTGAGTAGCTGGGACTACAAGCGTGCACCACCATGTCAGGCCGATTTTTGTATTTTTTGTCAAGATAGGGTCTCACCATATTGCCCAAGTTGGTCTCAAACTCCTGGGCTCACGCATTCCTCTTGTCTCAGCCTCCTAAAGTGCTGAGATTACAGGCATGAGCCACCACGCCTGACTGAATTTTTAAAGATTTAGAGAGGGCTGTCAGCTGGGCGCAGTGGCTCATGCCTCTAATCCCAGCACTTTGGGAGGCCAAGGTGGGAGGATCACATAAGGTCGGGAGTTTGGCCAACATGGGGAAACCCCGTCTCCACTAAAAATACAAAAATTAGCCAGGCGTGGTGGCATGCGCCTGTAATCCCAGCTACTGGGGAGGCTGAGAGAGGAGAATCTCCTCAATCCAGGGGGCAGAGGTTGCAGTGAGCCGAGATCGTGCCATTGCACTCCAGCCTGGGCAACAGAGTGAGACTCTGTCTTTAAAATAAAATAAAATAAAATAAAATAGGGCTCTCTCCTCTCTGGCAGTATCCCCACTCCCCACAACATACACAGTAGGGCAGTTTGCCACTTGCGTTCTTGCATAAAGGTCCACAGCCTAAGGGGCAGTGGCAGGAGCAGCGGCAGGAAATATTCCTGGCAGGGGTTCTTTGTCTGAAATTTTCCGCCTAGAGATGGTGTCTTTTTTTTTTTTTTTGGAACTCCTCAAAGGCTGGGGTTTGTTCAACACACCCAAGGGGCCACCAGTGCTCTGAAGCAACTGAAAATGAATGACGTGGCCCAAGAAAGAATGTGACTGTTGGCCACAAAATGGGGAGTGGTGTTGAGCAAAGAAATTTAAACTCTAATACCCATAATCCCAGCACCTGGCTAGGTCCAAGTGGGAGGATCGCTTGAGCTCAGAAGTTTAAGACCAGCTTGGGTGACAAGACAAGACCCCATCTCTACAAAAAATAAAAAAATTAGCTGGGTGTGGTGGGACACCCCTGTGGTCCCAGCTACTTGGGAGACTGAGGCAGGAGGATCACTTGAGCCCAGGGGGTCCAGGCTGCAGTGAGCTATGACGACACCACTGCATTCCAGCCTGGGTGACAGGGTGATATCTTGTCTCTTAAAAAAAAAAAGGGCCGGGTGCGGTGTCTCATGCCTGTAATCCTAGCACTTTGGGAGGCCGAGGCGGGCGGATCACAAGGTCAGGAGATCAAGACCATCCTGGCTAACATGGAGAAACCCCGTCTCTACTAAAAATACAAAAATAAAATAAAATAAAATTAGCCGGGCATGGTGGCGGGCGCCTGTAGTCCCAGCTACTTGGGAGGCTGAGGCAGGAGAATGGCGCGAACCCGGGAGGCAGAGCTTGTAGTGAGCCGAGATTGCACCACTGCACTCCAGCCTGGGCAACAGAGTGAGACTGTCTCAAATAAAAAAAAAAAAAAAAAAGGACAACACGTGGGGGTGGGGTATGGGGTAGAGGGTATTTGCAAACTTTTCAGATGAATGAACGGTGAGCACACGTACCTTATTTTAGATTTGCCACAAGGGAACCAGTGAAAAGGGTGAGCCTTTTCTTTTGTTTTTGAGATGGAGTTTCACTCTTCTTGCCCAAGCTAGAGTGCAATGGTATGATCCCGGCTCATGCAACTTCCACCTCCCATATTCAAGTGATTCTCCTGCCTCAGCCTCCCAAGTAGCTGAGACTACAGGCGTGTCCCACCATGCCTGGCTAATTTTTGTATTTTTAGTAGAGATGGGGTTACGCCATGTTGGCCAGGCTGGTCTTGAACTTCTGACCTCAGGTGATCTGCCTGCCTCAGCCTCCCAAAGTGCAGGGATTACAGGCGTGAGTCACCTGCCCAGATGGGTGAGCCCTTTCAAAACATGTTCCAAGGGGCTGGGACTTACATAAGATAATTATTTGGGGAAGACTGGTTTACTCCTCAGGGCTGTAAAGCCATTTTTTTTTTTTTTTTTTTTTTTTTGAGACAGAGTCTCTCTGTGTCGCCAAGGCTGGAGTGCAGTGGCATGATCTTGGCTCACTGCAACCTCTGCCTCCTAGATTTAAGTGATTCTCCTGCCTCAGCCTCCTGAGTAGCTGGGATTACAGGCGCCCGCCACCACGTCCGGCTAATTTTTTTTTTTGTATTTTTAATAGAGATGGGGTTTCACCATGTTGGCTGCAAAGCTATCTTGCTTTTCTTTGTTGTGCAGGTCACACCTGGGTCCTGAGCTGGCGCCATCACCGGAGACGCCAGGTGATGTCCATTCATCAGAAATAATGAGCAAAGCAGCTGTGGCTTCTAATCAGCCCATCCCTCCAGGGTGTCAGATGGAGGCCAATTAGCGGACGCACTAGACAACCAAATTCTGCCTTTCCAAGCAAAACATCAGAAAATGTTCTAGCCCTTAGCATTGATGCTGGAACCCAGTGTCTTGCTTCTGCTTGGGTTTTCATGATCTTTCCTTGCTCTGGGTGAGCTGGGGGCTGGTTCTACATCAGAACCTTCAGAGGCACTAAGAAATGCCACCTGGAGTGGAGTTAAAGAAGTTATTATTTTTTTTTAACTTCTACTATTGTCAGAGGCGGGTGAACCAGAGCAACTCCATTTTGAATAGGGGCTGGATAAAATGAGGCTGAGACCTATTGGGCTGCATTCCCAGATGGTTAAGGCATTCTAAGTCACAGGATGAGATGGGAGGTTGGCACAAGATGCAGGTCATAAAGACCTTGCTGATAAAACAGGTTGCAGTGATGGCCGGGCGCGGTGGCTCACGCCTGTAATCCCAGCACTTTGGGAGGCTGAGGCGGGCGGATCACGAGGTCAGGAGATCGAGACCATCCTGGCTAACACGGTGAAATCCCATCTCTACTAAAAATACAAAAAAGTAGCCGGATATGGTGGCGGGCACCTGCAGTCCCAGCTACTCGGGAGGCTGAGGCAGGAGAATGGCGTGAACCCGGGAGGCGGAGCTTGCAGTGAGCCGAGATAGCGCTACTGCACTCCAGCCTGGGTGACAGCAAGACTCCGTTTCAAAAAATAAATAAATAAATAAATAAATAAATAAATAAAACAGGTTGCAGTGAAGAAGCCGGTTAAAACCCACCAAGACCAAGATGGCGACGAGAGTGACCTCTGGTCGTCCTCACTGCTACACTCCCACCAGCTTCATGACAGTTTACAAATGCCATGGCAACGTCAGGAAGTTACCCTATGTGGTCTAAAAAGGGGAGGCATGAATAATCCACCCCTTGTTTAGCATATCATCAAGAAATAATCATAAAAATGGGTAACCAGCCACCCTCGGGGCTGCTCTGTCTATGGAATGGTCATTCTTTCATTCCTCTACTGTCTTAATAAACTTGCGTTCACTTTATGGACTCGCCCTGAATTCTTTCTTGCGTGAGATCCAAGAACCCTCACTTGGGGTCTGGGTAGGGACCCCTTTCCTGTAACACTATCATTCTCAAGTTTTTTTTTTTTTTTTTTTTTTGAGATGGAGTCTCGCTCTGTCACCCAGGCTGGAGTGCAGTGGCACGATCTCAGCTCACTGCAACCTCCGCCCCACAGGTTCAAGCGATTCTCCTGCCTCAGCCTCCCGAGTAGCTGGGATTACAGGTATGCTGTAATTTTTGTATTTTTAGTAGAGACAGGGTTTCACCATCTTGGCCAGGCTGGTCTTGAACTCCTGACCTCATGATCCACCCGCCTTGGCCTCCCAAAGTGCTGGGATTACAGGCGTGAGCCACTGCGTCTGGCCCATTCTCAAGTTTTGTTTTGTTTTGTTTTAGAGACAAGGTCTCACTCTGTTGTCCAGGCTAGAGTGCAGTGATATGATCACGGCTCACTGCAGCCTGGAACTCCTGAGCTCAAGCGATCTTCCTACCTCAGCCTCTTAGAGTGCTGGGATTATAGGCTTGAGCCACTGCATTCAAACTCGAGCCCTTTTTCTTTTTTAATCTAAATTCCTTTTTTTTTTTCTTTTTGAGTTGGGGTCTTGCTCTGTTGCCCTGGCGAGAGTGCAGTAGCTGGATCATATCTCACTGCAGCCTCCAACTCCTGGGCTCAAGTGATCCTCCCACCTCAGCCTCTGGAGCTGGGAATACAGGCACTCACCACCATGCCTGGCTAATTTTCATATTTTGTTTGGTAGAGATGGAGTTGCACTATGTTGGCCAGGCTGGTCTCTAACTCTTGGGCTCAAGAGATCCCTCCACCTCAGCCTCCCAAAGTGCTGAAATTACAGGTGTGAGCCACCGCACCCAGCCCAAATTGATTGTGGTTTTTTTTTTTTATTTCACTTTTCCCCCTGTGATACAGCCCCAGGAGATCCCCAAATAAATTCTTAAAACAGTCTTATGACTCTTTAATGTCAGAAATCCTATCTATAGGAACAATGGTATGCAATGGTCAGGAACTAGTGCCACCTGACTTTTAGCAACAAGGAAGTAGGCCAAAATGCAGCCTGATGAATGCTTAATTATAACTCTATTTCTGTCCAGAACCCAGCATGCAGTTCTTGTTGCTCCTGTGGGGATAGTTTCATTCTCATTGTAAATGAATATTCTGGTGTGTTGCTTTGGGATATATAAGTTGTTCAAGAAAAGGGATCAAGCCTGGTGCGGTGGCTTATGCCTGTAATCCCAACACTTTGGGAGGCTGAGGTGGGTGGATCACCTGAGGTCAGGAGTTTCAGACCAGCCTGGCCAACAGGGCAAAACCCCCATCTCTACTAAAAATACAAAAATTAGCTGGCTGTGATGGTACGCAACTGTAATCCCAGCTACTCAGCAGGCTGAGGCAGG
This sequence comes from Homo sapiens, assembly GCF_000001405.40. Classification (NCBI taxonomy): domain Eukaryota; kingdom Metazoa; phylum Chordata; class Mammalia; order Primates; family Hominidae; genus Homo; species Homo sapiens. The sequence continues at coordinate 76,623,709 of NC_000007.14, forward strand.
AGAATCTCTCAAAACCTGGGAGGCGGAGGTTGCAGTGAGCCAAGATCGTGCCATTTACACTCCGGCATGGCTGACAGAGCGAGAATCCGCCTCCAAAAAAAAAGAAAGAGAGAGAGAGAGAAAGAAAAGCAAAGCACGCTTGGTGACCGTGCTAGGTTTTTTGAGATAAGTTTTTTGTTAAATAAGAGCAATTTTGTTTAAGTTGGGGGTTATTTAAAGATTGTTTCAAAATATGGATTTAGGAAGGAAATAGAAACAAGGTGGGAAGAAGGCCAGTAAGTAGGAGAGACGTGAAAAAAAGTTATGAGGATGTATTTTTGGTAAAGAAAGTTGAAAAAAGAGTAATTTTTTATTTTGCATGAGAGAGGACTTTGGTCAAAATCAAGAGGAAAGGAAAGTAAATTTCTGTCCTAAAGTAGATTGCTAATATAAAAAAAGTATAGGACAAAATCAAAGATTTAAGGAAGTGTAGAAGTTGTGGAAGATTAATCTCATGAAAGGAATTTGGTGTGTGATTAAGCTGGCCGAAATTAGAAGGGGATTATTTATAAGATTTTCGGCCAGGCGTGGTGGCTCATGCCTGTAATCCCAGCACTTTGGGAGGCTGAGGCGAGCTGATCACCTGAGGTCAGGAGTTCGAGACCAGCCTGCTCAACATGGCGAAACCCACTTCAACTTCTTTTCTTTCTGTAATTAGAAAACTATTCCATTTTCATTAGGTTATTTTACAAACCACATAAGGAATTTTTTTTTTTTTCAGACAGTCTCGCTCTGTCACCCAGGCTAGCATGCACTGGCATGGTCTCGGCTCGCTGCAACCTCCGCCTCCTGGGTTCAAGCAATTCTCCTGTCTCAGCCTCTGGAGTAGCTGGGACTACAGGCACCTACCACCACATCCAGCTAATTTTTGTATTTTTAGTAGAGACGGGGTTTCACCATGTTGGCCAGGCTGGTCTCGAACTCCTGACCTCAGGTGATCCACCTGCCTGGGCCTCTCAAGGTGCTGGGATTATAGGCGTGAGCCACCTTGCCCTTCCAGGAAATTGGTTTTAATCTCATTACTGATAAAACTACCAAACTCTAGTTTTCATTTTTCTTTCCCAAGCATTTCCTTCAGCACAATTAAGACACTAGAACTGGTGGGCCGGGCGCCGTGGCTCAAGCCTGTAATCCCAGCACTTTGGGAGGCCAAGGCGGGCAGATCACGAGGTCAGGAGTTCGAGACCATCCTGGCCAACATGGTGAAACCCTGTCTCTACTAAAAATACAAAAAAATTAGCCGGGCATGGTGGCGGGCGCCTGTAGTCCCAGCTACTCGGGAGGCTGAGGCAGGAGAATGGCATGAACCTGGGAGGCTGAGCTTGCAGTGAGCTGAGATCGGGCCACTGCACTCCAGCCTGGGGGACAGAGACAGACTCCAACTCAAAAAAAAAAAAAAAAAAAAGACACTAGAACTGGTGGTTACCCAAATAACTGAACACCACAAAATTCCGACCAGAAGACTTAGAGCCTTCTTTCTTGAAAATAAACTTTTAACACGTTTCTACAGAAGCATGAGGCTAACATGGCTAATAGCTGTCAGCTTATCTCTGCTACTCACAGAAAAGGTAAATTATGACATCGATCTAACCTGTGCCTTGAAATGATCAGCATTAAAACCCCTGTTATTAGGTTCTTTCATGAAAGCCAAAGAAGGAGGCCTATGAAGGCTCACAAACTGGAGGTGGCCTCTGTATCTTTACGGGAATGTCTACATCTCATCCCATAGGAGTCCAAGCGGGAAACTGGCTTAGTACTCTCCTGAGCCTGTTACCTTCTTTTATTTTCCTGGCCATCAAGGAATATTTGGTCTTCTTCCTCCACTGTCCTTTTCTTCTTCTTCTCTTTGAGGGCACTCAGTACAGTCTCCTTTGCACATGGGTCTGGGGCATTACTTGATGGTGAGGACAGTGTTGAGCTGATTATCTGCTCTGGTCTATAATGAAAGACAGGATTCTAGCAGTAAGATATTTTAATTCCCATGCCATATCAGAAATGGAAATCAGAAGCTAACCAACAAGCCAAAGTATAATTTATACACTCACAACAGTTCCCCTTAGCAAGTAAAGCTACTTTTTCGTTAACGGCAAAAAGTGAAAAACAAACGGTTTTACTAGAATTTGGTATTTCTCATTCAAACAAGCAGATTCGTCCTTTCTTTTTTGCGTTGTAGTCATGTTGTCATAGGAACAACTGGAGAAGAATAAAGTGGACACGAAAAGGGAGAGTATTCTTCCAACGATAATACTCACATCGCAGAACGCGAAAATCTTCTGTCAGGAGGGGCGATCCTCAGAGTCACTGGGCTACACACCATCCTGGAGTTGCGAGGGGACAGCACAGCCTTCTTGTGATAACCATTCCAGCACACTGTGGGAAGTACCCCCGGACAGGAATACTGGGCCTGATGGATCGGATAGCGTCTTCGAGGTGTTATTACAAACCGATCTGGTAAAGTCCCACGATCCCTGCAGAGAATGCGAGACAAATCATGGAAACAAAGTATAAAAGAATGTCAAAATTTTAGACGGTTAAAAACCCACCAGTTAAGACATTTTCCAAAGAACTTAAGTCTCTTTCTACGCAACACAGAACACGTTGTTTTTATGGCAACTTTCCCCTATTCCATCTAAGAGCAGAGAGTGACAGCTGCTTAACAGCTGTCTCAACAATGGATTGCAACAATTTGAGAGGGAAAATCTAAATCTAGACTAAATCTAGACTGCACTAAAATTCGGGGAGTTTTTAGAACTGGAAAGAAGGGAATCGTTTTGGCAACACATCTCACACCAAGCAAGAGTCAGAGGCCAGGAGACGGCTGGCACACACCAAGGTGTTAAGGAGGGCAAAACCACACACAATTCCCTTCGGATTTGATGAAAAAGCAAATCGGATTTAAAAGTCCTCGATTTCAAGCCAGCCGAGCCAAAGGATGATCTGGGAAAATCAGCGCATCTCACCGTGGGGAAGGCCTCCCGGAGGGTCGGAGAAGAGGAGTGGGGAGAGAGGGGTAAAAGTGGTGAACGCGATGGGTCGGCGGGGAGGGCGGTGTGGAGCGCGGCGCCGGGCGGGCGGGCGGCGGCCAGGCCTATTCCGCAGGTCCTGGCCCTCCGGAGCGGGGGCGGGCTGCGGCGGCCCGGGCTTGCCCAGGTAACTGCCCATGAGGAGCAGTTCGGCAGGGTCAGGTCCTTCGAGCAGGGTCCGCGGCTCTAGGAGGTTTCCGTTGGCTGTCGACTTGGCCGGAGGCGAAGCGAACAGTGTTCGCCGATGTCGCGCCTTCTGAACGAAGGAGGACAAGGGGCGCGAACCTCGGGGCTCGCGGCTCAGTCCCCACCAGGCCGCGGTAGTCCCCACGGCCAGCCAGGCCAGCGCAGCCGCAGCAGGCACGAGGTACAGTAGGAGGCCGACCAGCGACAGGCCGAGAAGCGCCGCCCCGGCCGGCCCTGACACTCGCTATCGGCCGCCGCCGCTCGCCTGCTCCAGCCGCCGCAGCCGCCGGAGACATCGCGGCTCCGCGCCGCGGAGGAGACTTAAATATCCCAGCGTGCACCGCGCCACGCGTCGCGTCATCGCGCGCCCGCCACGTCATGCGCGCGCGACTCGGGGAGACGCTACAGCCCGGCAGCTCCCGAGACACAGCTGTTTTGGAAAATGCTGCCTGCCTTCAACGCCTGTTTCTGACTCTTGCGGTTTCCCGCATGGCTCCCAGCGAGACGATCCCGTCCGGGATCCCATCCGGCTCCCATCCGGAGGCGATCCCGTGAAAGGATCGCGTCCAAAATAAAAGGGCCCGAGACCTATGCTTATGTAATTCCTAATCCGTGATCTTTTCTAGGGGCTGAACTCCCCTCCAGCACAGCCTGTTACCAGGTGCTTTTCACAAACGCCACTGGCGGCTGAGTTTTCCCCCCCACTTCCATTTCTACTTTACAAGTTGATAACGTGGGACGATTACCTACCAAATTTCACATCATGGCCCAGACATCGGGTGGATTTTGAGGCTCTGTGATCGATTTATACCTATGCTAAAGTTATCGGTCTGAGAAAGTAGATTAGTGGTTGCCTAGGGCTAAGGAGTGGGTTTGGGGGTGGGGAATAGAAAATGACTGCTTATGGGTATAGGCTTTCTCGTAGCAGCATAAACATAGTTTAAAATTAGATCGTGTTGGCGGTTGCACCACCCTATGAACTGTATGGTTTGTGAATTATATCTTCATAAAGCTGTTTAAAAAGTCTGGTAGTCTGCCAATACACTTTGGTGTAGTTAAGTTTCCTCAGACATTCATTCATTGATTTATTCATTCCATTGTTTATATACATTAAAGAGATTAAGGGGGAAAATAGAGGATCTCTGATCTTTATAAGCTCTGTTTAGTAAGGAAGATGTGTAAGTAAAAGATTGCAATTCAATGTTATCAGTGTGATAACGGGAACAAAAAAAGAGGCCAGACGCAGTGGCTCATGCCTGTATTCCCAGCACTTCGAAGGCGGAGGCGGGCGGATCACCTGAGGTCAGGAGTTCAAGACCGGCCTGACCAATATGGTGAAACCCCGTCTCTACTAAAAATACAAAAATTAGCTGGGCATGGTGGCGCGTGCCTGTAGTCCCAGCTACTCGGGAGGCTGAGACAGGAGAATTGCTTGAGTCCGGGAGGTGGAGGTTGCAGTGAGCCGAGATCATGCCACTGCACACTCCAGCCTGGACGACAGAGCGAGTCCATCTCAAAAAAAAAAAAAAAAAAAAAAAAGTTGTGATAAAGGGGAAGGAAGGCAGGGAAGTGCTCCTGGAGCTGAGAGGTCTGGCAGGTTCAAGGAAGATGAAGGAGCACTGTGCAGAAGTCCAGAGATGGAATTGTTCAGTATCGCTGGAGATTAGGGTGTTTTGGGGATAGAAAAGTTGGAAAGGTATAGATGCCTCTGGGGCAACTCAGAGAGATGAGAAGAAGGTGCAGTTTGGGTTCCAGATCCTCCCCAACCCAGTGCCAAAGTAATTCTTCTATTTAATATACTGTGATTTCACATAAGACTTAATTTGAAAAAAAAGGGGGGGGGGCGGAGGGGGGACTGTGTTGCTTAAGAAAAAAATCTCAGTATCAGTAGACTAGTGGGACAAAAGCCAGGCTGCCCTGGGTTGAACAGTGACTGGAAGGTGAAGAAATGGAGGCAGTGACTGCAGACTCCCTACTCAAGAAACCTGGGTAATAGGGGAAGAAGAAACATAGTGTCTAGGTCAGTAGGGGCTCTTTGAACTATTGTGTGTGGCTGGAGTTAAGTGGAGGAGCTACACATAAAAGCCGTCAGGGTACAGATGTCCTGAAACCAAGCAAGATGACTGAGAATTAATGTAAATAGAGAGGTCCATAGCCTGAGCCCTCGGGGCACTCCTGTGTTTAGAGGTAAAGAGATGAATACACAAAGGGCACAAGTCATGTAGGAAATATAGATAAATATGACTACATTAAAAGTTAGTACTTCTGGGCCGGGAGTGATGGCTTACACATAATCTAGCACATTTGGAGGCGAGGCTGGTGGATTGCTTTGAGCTCAGGAGTTCGAGACCAGCCTAGGCAACATGGTAAAACCCAGTCTCTACTAAAAAAAAACACAAAAATTTGCCTGGTGTGGTGGCATGTGCCTGTAGTACTACTCAGGAGGCTGAGGCTGGAGAATCGCTTGAACCCAGAAGGCAGAGGTTGCACTGAGCTGAGATCGCACCACTGCACTCCAGCCTGGGCAACAGAGTGAGATCACACACACACAAAAAGTTAACACTTCTGTATGGGAAAAGACAAGATACACATCTAAAAGACAAGCCAAGACTGGGAAAAACAACGTAACACATATAACCAAAAGAGGATTCATAAGTAGAATTTATAAAGAACTCCAAAGAATCAATAACAAAAAGATGACCCAACTTTTAAAAAGGACAATTGATATAAAAAAGCTATCGAATGGGAAACACAAATACCTAATAATATATACATATGTGCATATACGTACATACACATATACATTTAACCTCACTAGTAATCTAGGAAAGACTAACAATATTTTGCACTCATTTATACACTAGAAAAATTAATTTAACAAGATCAAGTCTTAGCATGGATGTGAAACAAACAGAACTCATGCCGTTGTGGATATATGAAACAGTACAATTTGGAAAGCAATTTGGCAATAACTAGTAAAAAATAAGGGTGAAGAAGTATGTATCCTATAAACCCGCAATCCCATTCTGGGTAGATAGTCACTGAAGCATTATTTGTATCACAGACAATGTGAACACACTTCATGGGTAATGTCTATCAACACAAGGATGGGCAAACTGGTATAATTCATATAATAAAATACTATAAAGCAGCTGAAAATTAATCCTTCCAGCTGCAGGTTAGTCCTCCCACCATAAACAACTGTAGACATGGACAAAATGTATTGATTAATAAATTTGTTAAAAAAAAATCTGGCAGTCTGCTGATCCAGACTTTGGTTTAACTCATGCTGTGGTGGATATATAAAACAGTACAACTTGGCAACTACTTTCAGGCAGAGGACAACAGGAAGCAAAAGACTGATCCCTAAGTGTAAGGAAACTTGTGAGATGAGCCCCAAAGTCACCTAGTTCCTCTACCTGGGGATCGTTTCCCAACTGCAGTGCAGAGAGCTGGAGTCTGAGCACAGTAGGGAGATCCCGCTGGGCTGAAGAGGCAGAGATGAGGAGGCAGAGATCAGGCTGAGACAGCTGAAATGGCAGAGAAATGGGGCAGAAAAAAGAAAGGAGGGCACTATGCAAAGAGGGAGTTCTAGAAATCTATGCATGACGCAAACCCACGGCTGAAGGCTGGAGTGATGGGTAATTTCATGTGTCAACTTGAAGGGACCATGGGGTGCACAGATACTTGGTTAAACATTTATTTATGGGTGTATCTATAAAGGCATTTCTGGATGAGATGGTCTTTTATTTATTTACTTATTTTTATTTTTTGAGATGGCGTGTTGCTCTTGTCGCCCAGGTTGGAGTGTAGTGGTGCGATCTCAGCTCACTGCAACCTCTGCCTCCCAGGTTCAAGCGATTCTCCTGCCTCAGCCTCAGTGGAGTAGCTGGGATTATAGGCACCCGCCACCACACCTGGCTACATTTTTGTATTTTTAGTAGAGACTGGGTTTCACCATGTTGGACAGGCTGGTCTCAAACTGCTGACCTCAGGTGATCTGCCTGCCTCAGCCTCTCAAAGTACTGGGATTATAGGCATGAGCCACTGTGCCCAGCCTCTTTATTTTTTTGTAGAGATGGGGGTCGCCACAAATCAGACTGGAAAAACTCACAATTTATAGGGCTCTGTGTGGAGTACTCAAGCACCCCAGGAATGGGAAAGAATCAGTCTTAGATTGAGCATTGCTTTGGACCCACCTAATGAATCATCAAAACAAGACCTGAAAGGATCCAACTTTTCAATGATCTTAAATACATCCCAAAACAAAGCTCAAGAAAATGTATATAGGAATAAAAAATTGGCTGGGCGCGGTGGCTCACGCCTGTAATCCCAGCACTTTGGGGGGGCCGAGGTGGGTGGATCATGAGGTCAGGAGATCGAGACCATCCTGGCTACCACGGTGAAACGCCATCTCTATTAAAATACAAAAAATTAGCCAGGCATGGTGGCGGGCGCCTGTAGTCCCAGCTACTCGGGAGGCTGAGGCAAGAGAATGGCGTGAACCCGGGAGGCGGAGCTTGCAGTTAGCCGATATGGCGCCACTGCACTCCAGCCTGGGCAACAGAGCGAGACTCCGTCTCAAAAAAAAAACAAAAAAAAACAAAAAAAAATGACCATTACTCAACAAGGTAAAATCTCCAATGTCTGGCATCCTGGCATCCTATTACTAGGCATATAAATAAGCAAGAAAACACAGCCCATAATAACAACCAATCAATCCTTATTTTGATCCAAACCAACCCCAAACTGACACATATTAAAATGAACAGAGAAAGACATTAACATTAATTTTAACTATATCCCATATGTTTACAAAGTTGAGACATGGAAAAATATTAGAAGAAATAATGGCCAAAAATTTTCCAAATGTAATGAAAAATATAAACCCACAGACCTGAAGCTCAATGTCAAGTACAAGAAATACAAAGAAAACTGTAACAAATCACATAATCAAATTGCTCAAAACCAATGATATAGATCAAATCCTGAAGGCAGCTGGGAAAATAGTACATGTTATTTTACACAGGAACAAAGATAAGAATGATACCAAATTTCTTGCCAGAAATAGTGCAAGTGAGAGACAACAGCAGTGCAACTTGATCTTTAAAGTGCTGAAGGCAAAAACTGCAAACCTAGAATTTTATGCCCAATGAAAATATATTTTAAGAAAGTTAAATAAACATATTTTCAGACACATAAAAGCTGGCAGACACTTTGAGAGGCTGAGCTGGGCAGATCGCTCGAGCCCCAGAGTTCGAGACCAGCCTGGGCAACATAGTGAGACCCTGTCTCTAAAAAAAAAACAAAAATTAGGCCGGGAGCGGTGGCTCACGCCTGTAATCCCAGCACTTTGGGAGGCCGAGGCAGGCAGATCACGAGGTCAGGAGATCGAGACCATCCTGGCTAACACGGTGAAACCCCGTCTCTACTAAAAATACAAAAAAAATAGCCAGGCGTGGTGGCAGGCGCCTGTAGTCCCAGCTGCTCGGGAGGCTGAGGCAGGAGAATGGTGTGAACCCAGGAGGTGGAGCTTGCAGGGAGCCGAGATCGCGCCACTGCACTCCAGCCTGGGCGACAGAGCTAGACTCCGTCTCAAAAAAAAAAAAAAAAAAAAACCAACCAAACAAACAAAAAGAACACAAAAATTAGCTAAGCGTAGTGGCACATGCCTGGAGTCTCAGTTACTCGGGAGGCTGAGCTGGGAGGTTCACTTGAGCCTGGGGGGTTTCCTTGAGCCTGGGAGGTCGAGGCTCCAGTGAGCCATAATTGTGCCACTGCATTCCAGCCTGGGTAACAGAGCGAGACTCTGTCTCAAACAAATAAATAAAAAGCTGAAAGAATTCATCACCAACAAACACAGTAAGAAATGTTAGCGGATGTCCTTCAGGCAGAAGAAAAATACCAAATGGAAATCGGGATCTATACAAAGGAATGAAAGGCATTGAAAATGGTAACTACATATATTTATATGTGCCTGTTTTTCCTTATTATTTAAATCTCTTTAAAATATAATTGAGGACTGATATCAGCAAAAGGGCAGAGTAGACAGCTCCAAGCTCCCATCACCCAACAGAAACAGAAAAAAAAAAAAAAAAAAAAAGGCCAGGCGCAGTGGTTCACACCTATAATCCCAGCACTTTGGGAGGCCGAGGCAGGTGGATCACCTGAGGTCAGGAGTTTGAGACCAGACTGACCAACATGGTGAAACCCCATCTCTACTAAAAATACAAAATTAGCCAAGTGTGGTGGCACATGCCTGTAATCCCAGCTACTCGGGAGGGTGAGGCAGGAGAATCGCTTGAACGGGGAGGCGGAGGTTGCAGTGAGCCGAGATGGCGCCACTGCACTCCAGCCTGGGCAACAAGAGTGAAACTCTGTCTCAAAAAAAAAAAAACCAAATAATTATTAGAAACAACTCTGAAAAACAGCCAAAGCCTTACAACAACCAAATGAATGCTGAATCAAGAAAAAGGCAACTTAAAAAGGAAAGGTAGAAAACCTTTGTGGCAATGTTTTTTAAGAGACAGGATCTTGCTCTGTTGCCCAGGCTGGAATGCAGTGGCGTGATTGTGGCTCACTCTACCCTTGAACTCCTGGGCTCAAGTGATTCTCTCACCTCAGCCTTCCAAGCAGCTGGGACTGCAGGCGTGAGCCACCGCACCTGGCTTCTACGGGAGTCTTGAAGACAGAAGGCTGCATTCGCAGTGTGGGGCCTCTTGGCATTCCACAGGGACGGGGCGGACCTTACCTTCAAATTACTGGTAAATCTGCTATCGCACGTCTGAGGGCTACTGAGGGAATGATGTAGACGCCTGTCTATTTGCTGGAAACTCACTGAGGCTGGAAAAGTGGTGAGCATTGCTCAAAAACATTGCAAGGCAAACAATCTACACAGGACTGGGGCAAAACCTGACAGTTGAGACTCACAACACTCCACTGTTCTCTCTCTTTTTTTTTTTTTTTTTGAGACTGAGTCTCACTCTGTCACCCAGGCTGGAGTGCAGTGGCACAATCTCAGCTCACTGCAAGCTCCACCTCCCAGGTTCATGCCATTCTCCTGCCTCAGCCTCCCGAGTAGCTGAGACTATAGGCGCCCGCTGCCACGCCCGGCTAATTTTTTTGTATTTTTTAATAGAGACAGGGTTTCACCGTGTTAGCCAGGATGGTCTCGATCTCCTGACCTCGTGATCCACCCACCCGCAGACTCCCAAAGTTCTGGGATTACAGGTGTGAGCTACCATGCCCGGCAACAGTAGGGGAAAGAGCTGAGTTCCATTCTCTGGTGTCCTTAAAGAACAGGAAGAAATGCCAGAGATGGCCAGGCACGGTGGCTTATGCCTATAATCCCAGCACTTTGGGAGGCTGAGGCAGGCAGATCGCCTGAAGTTAGGAGTTCGAGACCAGCCTGGCCAACATGGCCAGGCCCGTCTCTACTAAAAATACAAAAATTAGCCAGGCGTGGTGGCAGGTGCCTGTAATCCCAGCTATTAGGGAGGCTGAGGCAGGAGAATCGCTTGAACCCGGGAGGTGGAGGTTGAGTGAGCCGAGATCGTGCCACTGCACTCTAGCCTGGAGACAGAGCATGACTCCATCTCAAAAAAACACAAAAGAAACAAGCAGAAATGCCAGAGACGTGCAGAGAAAAGGTCACATGAAGACACAGCAAGAAGGCAGCTATCTGCAAGCCAATGAGAGAACACTCTGAAGAAGTCAGCCCTGCTGGCACCTTGATCTTTGACTTCTGGCCTCTAGAATTGTGAGAAAATAACTTCCAGCTGTTGAAGCCATGGTCTGTGGCATTTTGCTATGGTAGCCCGAGCAAACTAATAGAGACTTCCTAAATCCGAGAAGGAAAGCTGGGGAGAATTCCTCTGAGAAAGCAGGAAAGCTGGGGAGAATTCCTCTGAGAAAGCAGGAAAGCTGGGGAGAATTCCTCTGAGAAAGCAGGAAAGCTGGGGAGAATTCCTCTGAGAAAGCAGGAAAGCTGGGGAGAATTCCTCTGAGAAAGCAGGAAAGCTGGGGAGAATTCCTCTGGGAAAGCAGGGCAGTCACAAGCACTCAGTTGTTACACGGGCTTTGCCCAGGGCAGGATGCTTGCTCAGAAACACCTGACAAAGACCTAAGTTTTCACCTTGGCCTGATCACGAGGGTCAGTGCAGGCCTAGCTAAGTGCTGAAGGAAAGCTGTGGTGCAAAGGCAAACTTCAAAGACTGGGAGAGGTACTTTCTTCCATTTTTAGCTCCTAGTATTCAAGGAAATCTCTTACCAAAATGTGAGCTGAACACATGCTAAAAGAATCAGAGACTTCAGTGACCACACATGAAAATGATAAATCTTTGCAAAAATAGTTTGGAAGTCACTAAACGTATGTACTACTACAGCCTTCAATGATTAAAAACAGACACACTCACAAATACATAGCAAATAAAATTAGAAGAATCATCTAAATGCCAGAGTTACTACCTTGCAATATTCAAATGTCCGTGTTTCAATGACAATCGCAAATCATGCAAAGACAAGGGAACGTATTCAAAGTAACAAAATAAATTGATGGAAATCAGCCCTTAGGAAGCCCAGATATTGGACTTAGCAGACAAAGACTTTTTAAAAACTCTATAAATCGTGAAGGACCTCTTCAAGGAGAACTACAAACCACTGCTCAAGGAAATAAGAGAGTACACAAACAAATGGAAACACATTCCATGCTCATGGATAGGAAGAATCAATATTGTGAAAATGGCTATACTACCCAAAGTAATTTACAGATTCAATGCTATTCCCAACAAGCTACTGACTGTCTTCACAGAATTAGAAAAAACTACTTTAAATTTCATATGAAACCAAAAATGAGCCCATATAGCCAAGACGATACTAAGCAAAAAGAACAAAGGTGGAGGCATAACGCTACCTGACTTCAAACTACACTACAAGGCTACTGTAACCAAAACAGCATGGTACTGGTACCAAAACAGATATATAGCAATGGAACAGAACAGAGACCTCAGAAATAACACCACACATCTACAACCATCTGATCTTCGACAAACCTGACAAAAACAAGCAATGGGGAAAGGATTCTCTATTTAATGGTGCTGGGAAGACTGGCTAGCCATATACAGAAAACTGAAACTGGACCCCTTCCTTAACACCTTATAAAAAATTAACTCAAGATGGATTAAAGACTTAAATGTAAAATCCAAAACCATAAAAATCCTAGAAGAAAACCTACGCAATACCATTCAGGACATAGGCATGGGCAAAGTCTTCATGACTAGAACACCAAAAGCAATTGCAACAAAAGCCAAAATTGACAAATGGGATCTAATTAAACTAAAGAGCTTCTGCATAGCAAAAGAAACTAGCATCCAAGTGAACAGGCAGCCTACAGAACGAGAGAAAATTTTTGCAATCTACCCATCTGACAAAGGTCAGATCCAGAATCTTGTATATTCTTGTAGATCCAGAAACTACAAGGAACTTAAACAAATTTACCAGAAAAAACCAATTAACCCCATCAAAAAGTGGGCAAAGCGCCAGGCACGATGGCTCACGTCTGTAATCACAGCACTTTGGGAGGCCAAGGCAGGTGGATCACCTGAGCTCAGGAGTTCAAGACTAAAAATACAAAAATTACTGAATTACTCTACTAAAAATATAAAAATTAGCCTGGCATGGTGGTGGGCACCTATAATCTCAGCTACTTGGGAGGCTGAGGCAGGAGAATCTCTTGAACCCAGGAGGCGGAGGTTGTAGTAGGCTGAGATCGCGCTGCTGCACTCCAGCCTGGGTGACAGAGTGAGAGTCCGCCTCAAAAAACAAAAAGGCTGGGTGCAGTGGCTCACACCTGTAATCCCAGTGCTTTGGGAGGCCAAGGCAGGCGGATCACCTGAGGTCAGGAGTTCAAGACCAGCCTGGCCAACATGGGGAAATCCCATCTCTACTAAAAATACAAAAAATTTAGCTGGGTGTAGTGGTGCACACCTGTAATCCCAGCTACTAGGGAGGATGAGGCAGAAGAATCACTTGAACCTGGGAGGTGGGAGGCGGAGGAGGAGCCGAGATCGTGCCACTTGCCTAGGCGAGTGAGACTCATCTCAAAAACAAACAAAAAAACAGTGCATGTTGGCTAGTTTGTTAATCAATATTAGTTAGTTATTAGCTCCGAATAGATGTCAGGTAATATGGTAGGCACTGATGACGTATTCATGACACAAAGCTGGTCCCAATGCTAGAATGATCTTTGTTCGAGATCCAGGTTGCTGCTGCCACTAGAGGGCAGCCGAAGCTCATCTGTAATGGCACAGTAATGGTTAACCCCAACAATCTAACATTACCAGGGAAGAACTGTCCTGAAGGGCAAAGTACCAAGCTACCTAAAGTTTGTATTGATTCTCTCAAGACTATTGCTAACAAAATGGTAAAATGGGTCAAGTTTGTGTTTGGAACCCCTAGCCTCTCATCTCTTCACCCTCTTCCCTGAAGAGGTGGAGAGAATAATACAGGTACCACCTGTAAGTAAAAAGTGTGGCAGAAACAGTCAGTTGCATCTCTCACCAACAGGTGGGTCGGGGGGGGAGGGAGAGGAGATTCCTGGAGAGGAACGGATCAAGCTAGGAAGCACAGAACTGCAGGCCAGAGACAACTCTGGAAGCAGAAACAGGTGTGTGCTTCCAGGCGCACAGACACCAACTGTGTGACACCCACACCTTCTACTCACAAACTCACTATTGACAGTGCACCACCACCTGCTTTGTGCAACACAGGAAACACCAATAAACACTGGAGACAGTGTCAGGCCAGGCATGGTGGCTCACACCTGTGCTCCCAGCACTTTGGGAGGCTGAGGTAGGAGGATCGCTTGAGGCCAGAAGTTCAAGACCATCCTCAGCAATACAGAGAGACCCTATCTCTACAAAAAGTTTAAAAAAAAAAAAAAAAAGATACAGGCCAGGCGTGGTGGCTCACGCCTATAATCTCAGCACTTTGGGAGGCTGAGGCAGGCGGATCACCTGAGGTCCGGAGTTTGAGACCAGCCTAACCAACATGGAGAAACCCCAACTCTGCTAAAAATACAAAATTAGCTGGGCATAGTGGCGCATGCCTGTAATCTCAGCTGCTTGGGAGGCTGAGGCAGGAGAATCGCTTGAACCCGGGAGGCAGAGGTTGTGGTGAGCCGAGATCATGCCATCGCACTCCAGCCTGGGCAACAAGAGCAAAACTCGGACTCAAAAAAAAAAAAAAAAAAAAAAAGACACAGTCTCATTCCTTAATGAGTATAAAGAAGTAAAGTGTTTCAGTTACTAATTGCATAAGAAACCAATCTAAAACATAGTGGCAAAAAACAATCATTATCATCAGGGATTCTGTGATTCCAACAGGCCTGGCTTGTCTCTGGTCCACACGACATGTGGGGCCTCAGCTGGGAAGACATGGAGTCTTAAGTGTGATCAATGGGAGGGGGCTGGAATCATTTAGAGGCATCTTCATTCACAAAACCAGGAGCTGATACTGGCTGTCAGCCAGGACTTCAACTGACCTGTGGGCTGGAACCTGTCCATGTGGCCCCTCGCAATCTCCCCATTTGGGCTGGTTTGGGCTTCATCACAGTCCAGCAGCTTACTTCTAAGTGCAAGCATTCCATGACAACACAGCAGAAAGGCATGACATTTTTACAGTGCAGCCTGGCTATCTCATAGCGTCGCTTCTGTCCTACTTTATTTATTGGTCAGGGCAATCACAAAGATGTGCATAGGCTCAAGGAAAAGAGACATACCCCCGACCACGCGATGGAAGAAGTGACAAGGTCATGTTATGAGAGGAGTGTGTGGGATGGGAGATAGGGCTGTGGCCACCTGCAGAAAATAGCATCTGCCACAGGCTGTCATGGAAGCGCAGGATGGGGATTTAGCCTACCTGAGGGGTCAGTCAGCAAAGGCCTCTGGGACGAAGTGAGATCTTCGGCTGAGGATGTGAGGGGCTAAAAGGAGACTGAGGAAGAGTTTCAGGGAGAGGAATCAATGAGACTGGATTCCAGAGAGAGGCTGGTGAGTTGGATGGTTTGCTTCAATATGATGGCAATACAGAGGGCAAGGAGACTGGTGCAGGAGGAGAGAGAAGGTGCCATGTGCTCTGGGTGGCGCTCTGTGCCGGACCCCCTTAGAAGAGGAGCAGCCTCCAGTCAGCGGTGTCCCAGGAACACAGAGGCTGGAGAGGACAATGGCAGCCAATCCCTGCTCCCAATCTGGTGACAGTAGGGAAAAGCTGCATGGTCTAGATCCACCCTGCTCCCTGGCCCCAGTATAGAAGATCAAATTCAATCTGCCCAATCTTATCCAGATAAAGTAAAGGAAGACTGGAAAAAAGAACTAATCCAAAGCTCCATCTGCCCATGATTTTCTCTGCTGATGCCGGAGGCAGCTATGGATAAAGAGATGGCACACGGCATGTCCCGACGCAGTGGAGGTGGGGAGACCCTGCAACTCCACAGGGAAGGAGTGAAGTTGCTGCCACCTGGGCATCAGCTATTCTCTGCTCTTCTGCCTCATCCTCAATTCAGACCATGATGGAGCTGATTTTCCTCCATTTTATACCTTGGATTGAATGGTCTCGAGCTGCTGGTCTTGTCTCCAGAGTCACATCCAAGAGGTTTGTCTTTCAAATAAATGCTGTGTATCAATGTACAGTGTATATAATTAATGTATGATATCAGACTAAATTATAGATAAGACAAGAGATGAAATTAGAGTTAAGTAGGGACCCGATGACGAAGAGCCTTGTAAATCAGGGAGAGTCTGGTTCATGTGCTTCTCCAGACACAATTTCAACACGGCTGTAAGCATGTACCACTGATGACACGGACACTGAATTACCCGCCGTGCTGGTCTGTGGCTCTCAAGTTTTGCTCATTCTGCTTCTGCGGGAAATGCCTTGACGCACCTTGGGAAAACTCACTTAGACCTTTTTTTGAGATGGAGTCTCGCTCTGTCGCCAGGCTGGAGTACAGTGGCGCGATCTCGGCTCACTGCAACTTCTGCCTCCCAGGTTCAAGCGATTCCCCTGCCTCAGTCTCCCAAGTAGCTGGGACTACAGGCATGCACCACCATGCCCGGCTAATTTTGTGTGTGTATTTTAGTGGAGATGGGGTTTCACCATGTTGGCCAGGATGGTCTCGATCTCCTGACTTCATGATCCGCCCGCTTTGGCCTCCCAAAGTGCTGGGATTACAGGTGCGAGCCACCGCACCGGGCCAGAAAACCCACTTATCTTTTAAGATTCAGCCCAACTGTCACCACCTCTGGGAACCTGTCCTCAGCCCCAAACATATGGCCACCCTCCCTTTGGGGTCCCCGCTCGCCCGTGTCTATTTTCATTACATTCCTATCAGTTTACTGCACTGTGCTGCATATCTACCGTGTCTATTTTCATTGCATTCCTATCAGTTTACTGCACTGTGCTGTGTGTCTATTTCTCCCACTCTGGCCTGTGGGCTCTTTGAAGACATGGGCTGTATCTCGCCTATCTTTTGATCCCTCACATAGGATATGGTGCGTGGCGAGCACTCACTAAAGGTGTGCAGAGTACTGCATGAGGAAAAACTTCATCCAGGCCAGGCGCAGTGGCTCATGCCTGTACTCCCAGCACTTTGGGAGGCCAAAGAGGGAGGACTGCTTGAGCCCAAGAGTTCAAGATTAGCCTGGGCAACATAGCAGAGATCTCGTCTGTACCAAAACAACAACAACAACTAGCTGGGCATGGTGGCGTGAACCTGTAGTCCCAGCTACTCAGGAGGCTGAGGCAGGAGGATCCCTTGAACCCAGGAAGTCAACGCTGCAGTGAGGTATGATCGCTCCACTGCACTCCAGCCTGGGTGACAGAGTGCAACCCTGCTCTTAAAAAAATAGGAAGTTCATTTATAAACAGAAGTGAACAGGAATCTGACTCTTGTACTTTGGTGGGAGTTTGGGTTATCTTTTACTTGAGGCTGAGGCTATGCCAAAACTAGGGATGTAATAACAAGCACCATGTACCGAGTGCTGCTTCTGTGCCACAGGCTCTCCTACATGCTTGCCACACATTCGTCTATTTCATCCTCCCAATAGTCCTACTCCATGTCCAGCAAGGAGTGAAAAGGCTGAGGCGAGTCACAGGGAGAAGAGGGCCCCAGTGAACAGACGAAATGAGGAAGAAGATCTGGAGAGGTCGCACGAGCCAGAGCGCAAAGGCACAGTGGCTGCGGTGCAGGCTCTTTAGCAAGGTGCTTTGGGCTGGAGATGGGGTTTTACTGCCTGTTGCGAGATGGGACATGAGACACAATCAACATGCAAACGGGTAGGATGTTTCATCACACGGAAGCAAAATGTATTGCCGCTAAAATGAGAAGTAACACCCTGAAGGTTATCAAGACAACAATTTTCAATGCCAAATGTTGTTTCCAGTTCCATAGGAGATGGAATAAGCACACCCATTACATTTCTCTTCTAATTACAACTAAAACCCCTGTTCAAAATACATGAAGCAGCTGGGCACAGTGGCTCATGCCTGTAATCCCAGCACTCTGGGAGGCCGAGGCAGGTGAATCACCTGAGGTCAGGAGTTTGAGACCAGCCTGGCCAACATGGTGAAACCCGACCTCTACTGCTAATACAAACATGAGCTGGGCATGGTGGCAGGCGCCTGTAATCCCAGCTACTCAGGAGGCTGAGGCAGGAGAACTGCTTGAACCCAGGAGGTGGAGACTGTATTGAGCTAAGATTGCACCACTGCACTCCAGCCTGGGCAACAGAGCCAGACTATCTCAATTAAAAATAAATAAATAAATAAATAAATAAATAAATAAATAAATACATGAAGCAACAATCCAATCAATCAAACCAACAAATTCTGGAAAGGTAGAGAAGAGAAGGGCTGACCCAGTGGTGAGTTCCCAGGGTGGTTTGATGGTTTGTTCTTTGGCCTCCTATATACCCTGTCTTATCTGTTAGAGCGGAGTCTACAACCAGGAAATCCCAGTGCCCCCTTCATCCCCCAACCCCCACAAAAGGAGCCTCATCTTTCGAGCCAAATGACAGCGAAGAGGGCGGCCCTGCGGGACAGTGCCCTTTTGACTACACACACCCTACTCTAGGAAAACAGCCTGAAAAAAGCTGCACCTTCCCCTGCCCCAGATACTGTAGACACTGTGGAACAAAGACCTGTTGACCCTCCCCACCTTGGGCCAACACAAGCAGAGGTGGCATCTCTCCCCTCTCCACCAAGCACTGGCAAGACTGTGTGGAAGGGCCCTGCTGACCATCCACAACCTGCACAAGACTGAACCACAGTAACAAGGTGGCACCCCATCCTCTCTCAAAGACAGTGAGGAGCTAGAAGCAAGGATTCTCCAACCCATTTCCCGTTCCCCGTCCCACCCACCGCAGAATACTCCTCTCTAATCCTAATATAACGTCATGTACATTTCTGTTACATTCGGATTAAAGACAAGTTCTGTTTAATAATAACTCCAAGAACAGTTGATATATATTTTTTTTCTTTTAGAACAGGAGTGAAAGTTTATTAAAAAGCTTTAAAGCAGTAAAGAAAGGAAGGAAGGGAAGGAAAGTACACTTGGAAGAAGGCCAAACCCAGTTTTCATATTTTATTTTCGCATTGAGAATCAGTCAGATTTACTTCAGCCTCAAAAGTGTGTTTATGTAAAATTAAATGAGCACTAGCAGCAAGCTGCACTTTTTTTTTCCCAAATGGGAAACGGGTTAAATATGTGTAGGAAGTCCTGGGCCATGCCCTCCAAGTGCCCATGTGTGAAAACAACCAGGATCAACACAGCAAAAGCTCTGAGAGCTCAACGGCAATGTGGAATACTCTGAGGTTTCAAACTGGCCTCCAGGGCTGGGTGCGGTGGCTCATGCCTGTAATCCCAACACTGTGGGAGGCCGAGATGGGAGGAACACTTGAGCCCAGGAGTTCAAGATCAGCCTGGGCAACAGAGTGAGACCTTGTCTCTACTAAATATAAAAAATTAGCTGGGCGTGGTAGTGTGTACCTCTGGTCCCAGCTACTCAAGAGGCTGAGGAGGAGGAGTGATTGAGTCTGGGAGATTACAGCTGCAGTGAGCTATGACTGGGCCATTGCACTCCAGCCAGGGCAACAGAGCAAGACCCTGTCTCCAAACAACAACAAAAACAAAAACAAATTGGCCTCTGGGTTGCACAAAGGTGGGGGAGGCCAGAGGAGCTCTGCAAAAACTTTGAAAACTAAATTGATCTTAGAACCAGAGCCCTGCTGGCCACAGAAAGTGCATCCTGAATCTAAACAGGTTGAGTGCCTGCTAATACAGAATATTTAAACAGGAACTACAGTCTCATAACATAACACTCAAAGTGTCCAGGATAAAATTAAAACTTACTCCTCATACTAAGAACCAGAAAAATTCGAACCCAGAAAAATTACTCCTCATACTAAAAACCAGAAAAAATCTGAATGAGGAAAGACAATTAACACTAAGATGACAAAGATGTTGGAATTATTGCATAGGGATTTTAGATGAGCTATCTTATAAATGGCCCAAGAAGTAATTATGAACACTCTCGAAACACACTGAAAAATATAACGTCTCATTGAAGATATACGGAAGAACTACATTGTAATTTTAGAACTAGAAATTACAATAACTAAGTAAAAAACTCAATGGGTGAACTCAATAGCAGAATGGAGATACAACAGAGAAAAAAATTAGTGACCTTGATGATAGAGCAGCAGAAATGATTCAATCTGTATCGTGACAATCTTGCCATAAGAAAAAAAATTACGTAGAAATAATCCCATTTGACCAACAGAGAGAAAACAAATAGAAAAAAAAACTGAACAATGAGACAGCAGCAAAAGCTCTAACATTCATGTCACTGAATTCCCAGAAGGAGAGGAAAAAGAGTGCAGTGCCCAAAAAACATCTGAAGAGGCCGGGCGCGGTGGCTCATGCCTGTAATCCCAGCACTTTGGGAAGCTGAGGCAGGAGGATCACTTGAGGTCAGGAGCTCAAGACCAGCCTGGTCAACATGGTGAAACCCCATCTCTACTAAAAATATAAAAATTAGCCAGGCATGGTGGTGCATGCCTGCAATCCCAGCTACTCGGGAGGCTGAGGCAGGAGAATCACTTGAACCAGGGAGGTGGAGGTTGCAGTGAGCTGAGATCACACCAGTGCACTCCAGCCTGGGCGATGGAGTGAGACTCTGTCTCAAAAAAAAAAAAAAAAAAAAAAAGGAAATGAAGAAAAATCCAGAGAGATTTTTTTTCAGAAGAAAAAGTATAAAAATTAAATTAAAAAAGAGAAATTTAAAAAAGCAGTAAGAGGGTAAATATCTGGGTGAATATAATCTCGAGTTTAAAAATTATATTTGATGGGCAAAAGCAAAACCATAACATTATCTCAGTGGTTCTCAATGAATGTAGAGGTGATATTCAAGACAACAATACCATAAAGAAGGGCAGAGGGGCCTAGAAAGCAGTAGAGTTTCTACATTCCACTTGAATTGGTAAAAGGTTGATACTAGCCAATGATCATAAGTATGTATAATATAATCTCTACAGCCACCTATAAAATCCTATACAAAAATATATACTAAATGGCATACTGAATTGATTTAGCACGGCATATGAAGTTAAATGGCATACTAAGAAATGTCTAAGTACCCCATAAAAAGGCAAGAAAAGGGAAACAGGTATAAAAAAACCCAGAGGGAACAAGTAGAAAATAGATAATAAAAACCCGTCCAAAATTAAATATAAATCTTCTAAACACAGCAATCAAAAAGGTTGTTGGAATCTGTTTTTTTAAAAATGACTCATGGCCAAGTGTGGTAGCTTATGCCTATAATCCCAGCACGTTAGGGGGCCGAGGCGGAGGGAATCACTTGAGCTCAGGAGTTTGAGACCAGCCTGGGCATGATAGCGAGACCCCATCTCCACAAAAAGAATAAGAAAAAAAAAAGATTAGCCAGGCATGGTGGCACACACCTATAGTCCCAGCTACTCGGGAGGCTGAGGTGAGAGAATCACTCAAGCCCAGGAGGTCAAGGCTGCAGTGGGCCGTGACTGCACCACTGCACTCCAGCCAACAGAGTAAGACTCTGTCTCAATAAATAAATAAATATCAATAGTCACATAAGATGGCAGAGTAGGAAGCTGTAGTGTAGAGATCAGTCCCTTCACTGAAGCAACCACTGAGCTAGAAAGAGTGATTGGAATCAGCTCTTTTGGAATTCTGAAACATGACCAGGAACTCCTAACAACCAGAGACATACTTAAACAATGAAGAGAGAGGCTGCTGATCTTCACGAGTGAGTGGCATGTGCCAACCAGCCAACACTCCCCCATTCCTGAGCCTGAGTTCCCGAAGCAGCTGGCTGATGCCAGGGCGAGCAGCAGAACTCTGTCCTCCAAAACCGTGGGTTCTGCACCTTGGTGGGTCCAATGGGTCTCTGAGGACCAGCCCGGATGCTTGCCTTGGTTTATTTGGCCCTCTCAGCAACAGTGGCTTCCCCAGGGACATCCTTCAGAAGATTTTATTAAAGAGACAAAATCCTCCTCTGCCCCACCCCATTTAAAGCCACCTATTTAAGGAAATCCATGTTAGGTGGCTGGCTGACTGCAGAGATAATGAAACAAATTTCAGTGACCACACAAGCACAAGGAAGAAACACTTTGCAAAAATAGTTTGGAAAAGTAACAAAAGGGGAGCTCCAGACCTCAACAAGCAAAACCCAGCAATCCCAGGTGTCTGAGAGAATCACATTTTGAGGGTCATTACATTGTAACACTTAAAATGCAACGTTCTCAACAAAAAACTACAAAATATACAAAGAAACAGGAAATAGGAAGCTTAGACCATTCACAGGAAAAAAACAGCAAAGAAAATCAGCAAACAATACAATAACTGAACACCATCATCGACCAATGGAACCTAACTGACATTTACAGGAGACTTCACACACCAACAGCAGGGTACACATTCTTTGCCCATGGAAGATTCAGCAAGATTTACCAGAACCTGGGTCATAAAACAAATGTTTTTCTGAGATGGAGTCTCTTTCTGTCACCCAGGCTGGAGTGCAGAGGTGCAATCGGCTTACTGCAACCTCCGCCTCCTGGGTTCAAGCAATTTTCCTGCCTCAGCTTCCAAGTAGCTGGGATTACAGGCATGCACCACCACGCCTGGCTAATTTTTGTGTTTTTCAGACGGGGTTTTGCCATGTTGGCCAGGCTGGTCTCAAACTCCTGACCTCAGGTGATCTACCTGCCTCGGCCTCCCAAAGTGATGGGATTACAGGTGTGAGCCACCATGCCCGGCCAAAACAAATCTTAAGAAATGTAAAATAACTGAAATCATACAAAATATGTTCTGTGACTGTAAAATAATTAAACTAAATCAATTTAAAAAAGAAACCAGAAAATCTCTAAACACATGGAAATTAAATACACTTCTAAATAATTCATGGGTCAAAGAGTGAGTCGCAAGGGAAACTGGAAAACATATTGAATTATGTAAAAGTGAAAATATAACATGTTGACTGGTATCAGCAAAAATGGCAGAGTAGGTATCTCCAAGTCCCCATCCCCCCACAGAAACATTGATAAACCAAGCAAAACTGTCTGAATCAACTTCATGAGAACTGTAGAAAAATAATCAAAATAATCAAAGGTTTACAATAACCAGATCATCTGATGTGGCTCTTTGTCCCCAAGCACATCTCATCCTGAATTGTAATCCCCAGGGGTCAAGGAGGGACCTGGTGGAAGGTGACTGGATCACGGGCGCGGTTTGCCCTATGCTGTTCTCGTGATAGTGAGGGAGTTCTCACGAGATCTGATGGTTTTTAAGTGGCAGTTTCCCCTGCACTCTCCCCTCTCTCCTGCCAGCCAGTGAAGAGGGTACTTGCTTTCTTGTTAGCTTTCCACCATGATTGTAAGTCTCCTGAGGCCTCCCCAGCCAAGTGGAACTGTGAGTCAATTAAACCTCCTTTCTTTATAAATTACCCAGGCTCAGGCAGTTCTTTCCAGCAGTGTGAAAACTGACTAATACTCCAAATGAACACTGAATCAAGAAAAAAGCAACTTCAAAATGGTAGGAAAACTGGGTTATTTTACTTGCCCTTGCCCCACAACCTTCCATGGTTCAGTGGGAACCTTGAAGATGGCAGCCCACATTCCCAGCGTGGTTTCTGGTATTGAAGGCAGCAGAGCAGACCTTATTCTCAAAGCATTGTGTTTTCCTGTTCTCAGCTGCCTGAGGGCTGCCAAAAGAACTGATACAGGGCAGCTGCCTTTGTTTCACCTAACCCAGAACTCACACAGGGCAGAAAAGTGGCTACACAGAGGGTATTCCTTGAAAACACTGTAAATCAAATGCATACCCTGCTGATGCCTAGGCAAAAGATTACAGTTGAGGCAAACTATAGGTGTGCTGACAGCATGGGAGAAGAAGCTGTGGAGAGTTTCTATGGGAAATTTGGGCACTGAAATTCGGACCTGCCCATGTGTACTATGGAATTTCAGTAGCCATGCACATGCTGAGTGCAGAGCACATTCTCAGAATAGACCTGAGAAAGGATGCTGAGCTTTCATCTGTGGCTCCTCTCCATCCTCCCTGCAGGCAGGGAGTAAAGCCTAGGGCAAAGCTGTACACAGACTGGGCCGGGTGCGGTGCCTCACGCCTGTAATCCCAGCACTTTGGGAGGCTGAGGCGGGTAGATCACTTGAGGCCAGGAGTTCGAGACCAGCCTGGCCAACATAGTGAAACCCCGTCTCTACTAAAAAATACAAAAGTAAGCCGGGTGTGGTGGAAAATTAGCCAGGCGTGGCGGCACAAGCCTGTAATCCCTGCTACTCAGGATGCTCAGGCAGAGAATCACTTGAACCTGGGAGGCAGAGGCTGCAGTGAGCCGAGATCGTGCCATTGTACTTCAGCCTAGGCGACAGGGCAAGACTCCACCTCAAAAAAATAAATAAAAAGTTGTACACAGACTGGCTAAGCCCTGAAGGACTGCTCCAGTGCCCCAGCACAGTGGCAATCCACAAAGACGGAAAGAGCTGGGTTTTTCTTTTTTTTTTTTTTTTTTTACCTTTGGCTTCTGGCATTCAAGAAAATCTCTGTTAAAACACTAGTTGAACACAAGCTAACGGCAGAGAGACTTTCAGAGACCGCACATGTAAAAGAAGACACACTTTGCAAAAATGTTTAGAAAGTCACTGAACAAACAGCTACAGCCCACAGCAAAAGCAAACCCAGGGGTGGTGGGGAGGATAAAATAATTTCCAGTTACCCCATTATAATACTCAAAATGTCTGATTTCCTTTTTTGAGACGGAGTCTTCGCTCTGTCATCCAGACTGGAGGGCAGTGGTGCGATCTCGGCTCACTGCAACCTCCACCTCCCTGGTTCAAGCAATTCCCCTGCCTCAACCTCCTGAGTAGCTGGGATTATAGGCGCATGCTACCGTGTCTGACTGTTTTTGGATTTTTAGTAGAGATGGGATTTCACCATGTTGGCCAGACTGGTCCTGAACTTCTGACCTCAGGCAATCTGCCCACCTCGGCCTCCCAAAAGTGCTGGGATTACAGGCGTGAGGCACCACGCCTGGACTCTTTTTTTCTTTTTAATTTTACTTTTTCTTTTTTTGGGGAAAAGGGATTAGAGGTGTGAGTCACTGTGCCTGACTCCAATTTTCAAAAAAAAATTACAAACCATGCAGTGACATTAAGAGAGTACAGCCCATTCACAAAAGAAACAAATTGTCTTTAAGGAAGCACAGACATTGAAAGTACTAGACAAAGACTTTAAATCAGCTGTCTGAAATCTGCTCAAAAAGCTAAAAGAAACGATGAATAAAGAGTTAAAGGATACAAGGAGAACAATGTCTCAACAAATGCAGAACATCAATAAAGAAATAGAAAATATTATAGACAGGTGAGGGGCAGTGGCTCATGCCTGTAATTCCAGCACTTTGGGAGGCTGAGGTGGGCAGATCACCTGGGGCCAGGATTTGAAGACCAGCCTCAGCAACATGGCGAAACCCCCTCTCTACAAAAAATGCAAACAATCAGCCAAGTGTGGTGGCATGCGCCTGTAGTCCCAGCCACTTGGGAGGCTGAGGTGGGAGAATTGCCTGAGCATGAGAAGTCAAGGCTGCAGTGAGCCAAGATTGCACCACTGCACTCCAGCCTGGGTGACAGAGTGAGACCCTGTCTCAAAAAAAGAATTTATTATAGACAAACTAAAGCTTAGAGAAAAAAAGAAAGGAAAAAAATAGAAATTATTGAAAGGAATCAAAGTCTGAAGCTGAAAAGTATACAAAAATTAGCCAGGCATGGTGGCGGGCACCTGTAATCCCAGCTACTCGAGAGGCTGAGACAGGAGAATTGCTTGAACCCAGGAGACAGAGGTTGCAGTGAGCCAAGATCGCACCATTGCACTCCAGCCTGGGTGACAAGAACGAAACTCCATCTCAAAAAAAAAAAAAAAGAAAAGTATAGAAATGGAAATGAAAAATTCACCAGACTATTTCGAATTCATTAGAGCAGATGGAAGAGAGAGTCACTGAACACATGAAGACAGGTAGATGAAACTATCCTGCCTACAGTTCTTTTTTTTTTTTGGATGGAGTTTCACTCTTGTTGCCTAAGCTGGCAAGCTGGGGTGCAATGGCGTGATCTCGGCTCATTGAAACCTCTGCCTACCGGGTTCAAGCAATTCTCCTGCACTGTGCCAGGCCCGACTCAGGCTACTTTTTTATTTTTTTTTTGTAGAGATGGGATCTCACTGTGTTGCCAGACTGGTCTTGAACTCCTGGTCTCAAGCGATCCTCCTACCTCAGCCTCCCAAGGTGCTGGGATTACAGGCATGAGCCACCACACCCAGTCCACATACCATTTTAAAGTGTTACAATTCAGGCTGGGCACGGTGGCTCACGCTTATAATCCCAGCACTTTGGGAGGCCAAGGCGAGCAGATCACCTGAGGTCAGGAGTTCAAGACCAGTCTGGCCAACATGGTGAAACCCCAATCTCTACTAAAAATACAAAAGTAGCCGGGCATGGTGGTGCATGCCTGTAATCCCAGCTACTTGGGAGGCTGAGGCAGGATAATTGTACAAACAAACAGCCCACAACAATTCTCTAATGGTGAGGGAGTAAATAAGTGACCGATAATGCTGGAGGAAGAGGAAGTGAATGGGTCCCCAGTATAGGTTAGAATGAAAAAATCCCTACCAATGTAAATCAAATATAAAATAAACAAAAGAGTTCATGTATGTGTGCGGGAAGGAAAGTGATATTTGGGGGTTGGGAGGTGTCACTGAGGGTACCGAGTACATATAAACAACTCTTTAGTCACTCCCAAAGGTCTGGGATGAGCATTTTTTAACATTTGATACTCTACTAACTTACCTGGACTATGTTGACATGGAAATTCACCTCCCGTTATCCACAGCTCCTCTCCCTGCTCCAACTTAATGATGACGTTTGGCTTGGTGATATCATATCTTGTTAATGGGAAAAGAAGAAGGACTTGGGCAAGTTGCTCGGCTTCAGAATCTCTGAAGTACAAGATGTTGCCACCTCATAAGCTGCATAACAGAAATGCTCCATTTTTTACCTTATCAAAGATAGAACCTTTCAATGAAGAATAATATAAACACTGCAGCTAGTGCCCACAAGGAATTAAGTGGTGTTGTCACTTATTTCTTCAAACTCAAGCATAAAACCCCATTCAACTGAGAGCATTCAGAAAGCAAGCTATCCTCACCCAAGGAAACTAGATGGCTGTAGTTCTCCAACATCACATCCCCGTATGTTATCTTCTCATCAGGGTCCAGTTGCCGCCACTCCTCCTGGGTGAAATCCACAGCCACATCTTTGAATGACACTGGCCCCTGTAATGGCAACATGATCAGAATTGGGAGATATGGAAAAGGGATAGGGGGATAACATTTTACAAAGCTCACTGGTGAAGTTAACCATGAACATCGTATACCTTATTTTATGTTACAGATTATGGAAGGGAAATCATATTGGAAACACATATCCTTTGGGGTCCTTTATATATATACAAAAATAAAAACCCAAAACACCCACCTCGGCCTCCCAAAGTGCTGGGATTACAGCAATGAACCACTGCACCTGGCCAAAAAATTTAAAAATTTTAAAAATAAAATAAAAAATAAGGCCAGGCACGGTGGCTCATGCCTGTAATCCCAGCTCTTTGGGAGGCTGAGGCAGGCGGATCACGAGGTCAGGAGTTTGAGACCATCCTGGCTAACACGGTGAAACCCCATCTCAGTTATGTTATGGAGACTGGCTTATGCACAAATCTTTCTAATGGTTATATATAAAGCACTTGAAGTCTCTATTATTTTATAATAGGCAATACCTAGATAAATAATGAATTTAACTCAAAAGAGATGGGGTCAAATTGTCCCTCTTTGCAGACGACATGATTGTATATCTAGAAAACCCCATTGTCTCAGCACAAAATCTCCTTAAGCTGATAAGCAACTTCAGCAAAGTCTCAGGATACAAAATCAACGTACAAAAATCACAAGCATTCTTATACACCAACAACAGACAAACAGAGAGCCAAATCATGAGTGAATTCCCATTCACAATTGCTTCAAAGAGAATAAAATACCTAGGAATCCAACTTACAAGGGATGTGAAGGACCTCTTCAAGGAGAACTACAAACCACTGCTCAAGGAAATAAAAGAGGATACAAACAAAATGGAAGAACATTCCATGCTCATGGGTAGGAAGAATCAATATGGTGAAAATGGCCATACTGCCCAAGGTAATTTACAGATTCAATGCCATCCCCATCAAGCTACCGATGCCTTTCTTCACAGAATTGGAAAAAACTACTTTAAAGTTCATATGGAACCAAAAAAGAGCCCGCATCGCCAAGTCAATCCTGAGCCAAAAGAACAAAGCTGGAGGCATCACACTACCTGACTTCAAACTATACTACAATGCTACAGTAACCAAAACAGCGTGGTACTGGTACCAAAACAGAGATATAGATCAATGGAACAGAACAGAGCCCTCAGAAATAACGCCGCATATCTACAACTATCTGATCTTTGACAAACCTGAGAAAAACAAGCAATGGGGAAAGGATTCCCTATTTAATAAATGGTGCTGGGAAAACTGGCTAGCCATATGTAGAAAGCTGAAACTGGATCCCTTCCTTACACCTTATACAAAAATCAATTCAAGATGGATTAAAGACTTAAACGTTAGACCTAAAACCATAAAAACCCTAGAAGAAAACCTAGGCTTTACCATTCAGGACATAGGCATGGGCAAGGACTTCATGTCTAAAACACCAAAAGCAATGGCAACAAAAGCCAAAATTGACAAATGGGATCTAATTAAACTAAAGAGCTTCTGCACAGCAAAAGAAACTACCATCAGAGTGAACAGGCAACCTACAAAATGGGAGAAAATTTTTGCAACCTACTCATCTGACAAAGGGCTAATATCCAGAATCTACAATGAACTCAAACAAATTTACAAGAGAAAAACAAACAACCCCATCAAAAAGCGGGCGAAGGACATGAACAGACACTTCTCAAAAGAAGACATTTATGCAGCCAAAAAACACATGAAAAAATGCTCGTCATCACTGGCCATCAGAGAAATGCAAATCAAAACCACAATGAGATACCATCTCACACCAGTTAGAATGGCAATCATTAAAAAGTCAGGAAACAACAGGTGCTGGAGAGGATGTGGAGAAATAGGAACACTTTTACATTGTTGGTGGGACTGTAAACTAGTTCAACCATTGTGGAAGTCAGTGCGGCGATTCCTCAGGGATCTAGAACTGGAAATACCATTTGACCCAGCCATCCCATTACTGGGTATATACCCAAAGGACTAGAAATCATGCTGCTATAAAGACACATGCACACGTATGTTTATTGCGGCATTATTCACAATAGCAAGGACTTGGAACCAACCCAAATGTCCAACAATGATAGACTGGATTAAGAAAATGTGGCACATATACACCATGGAATACTATGCAGCAATAAAAAAGGATGAGTTCATGTCCTTTGTAGGGACATGGATGAAATTGGAAAACATCATTCTCAGTAAACTATCGCAAGAACAAAAAACCAAACAATGCATATTCTCACTCATAGGTGGGAATTGAACAGTGAGATCACATGGACACAAGAAGGGGAATATCACACTCTGGGGACTGTTGTGGGGTGGGGGGAGGGGGGAGGGATAGCATTGGGAGATATACCTAATGCTAGATGACGAGTTAGTGGGTGCAGTGCACCAGCATGGCACATGTATACATATGTAACTAACCTGCACAATGTGCACATGTACCCTAAAACTTAAAGTATAATAATAAAAAAAAAAGAATCTTCAAACCTAATGCCTAGAACATTTTATCAACATTAAACTTCTATTTAAAGTTTATTCTTAGCTATCTATAAGAAACGTTTACAGGAAGCAGAAAAGATAAGCTCTTTCTAAGTTAAAAGAGTATATTTGCAAATTGAACTTTCAAAAATTGATAAAGCAGTACACACATTTATTTTTAGAAATTGAAGCTGCAAAGCTAAGCAATTTCCTACTATGACATGTGTGTTGGACAGTGTAGGGCATAGCAATGATTAGTGATTTTCAGCAGCCTTTCTTGAATAGGCATTGAAAATAGCTAAACAAAAAAAGAGAAGTGAGCTGAATTCTTGGAGTGAATATTTTGGAGTGAATTATAAAACAGAGTTCTTGCAATAATGCATGTAAATTAAAAATAGGTTAGCAAAGCATGAGTAAAAATAGTCAATTTTCAAATACTTTTCACAGCTCTCCGAGTCTGACATATTTCTCTGGCTAAAAGGGAAGAAACATATCGGCACTCATGTTGGGAAGACCTTAGAACAGCAAAGTACTAAAACTTGCCAAACCAACTTCAAGTGGCTTTCTTGTTAGTGCAATACACACTGCACTGAGTTCCTGAGCATAATATTTCCACCCTTTCCCATGGAGTCTGCTTAAATTTGAAGATTTTTTTCTGGTAGGTGTATTGTCCTTAATTTTGGAGGAAGTTTTAAAAAGGTGGATTAATGTTATATATGCTTCTGAGAATATTATGCAACCATGAAGCTTTGCACTTCAACATAAATGAATCCCAAAAAGAGCCAGATGAACTGTTGGCTGGGAGGCAGAGCCTTAGGATGTTTCAAATTCATTGTGACTTCACATAAAGGTACTCTCTGGAGTATGAAAGTCAATTTTACAGGTGTAAAATAAAGGAAAAGAAGACAGTCTGAAAGTCAAATGAAATTCCAGGACCACCTGTATTTCAGTGAGGTAAGTGTTATAATAAAGTGTTATGGGTAGATACATAAAAGACAACTAATTTAGAGTAAAAATAAATTGGGGGACTATTAAGAGACTGTCTTAACGTGGAATGAATTTTACAGAGTCTTTATGGTAACATTTGTAGATAAAAATTAGGTTAGTAAAGCATAAGTAAAAATAGTTAATTTTCAAATATTTATCACAGAGCTCTCTAGTTTACATTTAATAATATATTCTGTTGCATTGGATTGATATGCACAGGATTATTTTGTCTCCACGTAGGGGTAGGAAAGAAAACAAATTTGTTTTGCAATAGCCCAGTTTAATAGAGGTGGTACAAACTTTAGGAAGTATTTTAATTTTAGTTAAATTGATCCAGGTTAATTTGGAGACAGTTATGAAGCACATACAAATTACAAATCATAAAATGGTAATTGTATTTGCAGTTGTAAGAACCCAAAAGATTTAAGCTCCATTAGCTAAGAATAAAATGCTGATAACCATGAGTCGCAGCCATGGTTTGGATGTACTCAGAAAAGTTAACTACGTAAAAAATGTCACCTTCTTATTCAGCATATTAGCTCCCTGGGTGTTTTCAAGACATATCTGCTGGCTTTTCTTTTAAAATTACACTTCCCTTAGCTACGCTGTGATATTACAGCTATGGAAGAGTGAGCTGGCTTCACCCTGCCTCATGCATCATCAGCCGAACTGTCAGTAAAGTGCTAATTGCAGAAACTTTATTACTTGAGGTGATACTGAACCAGAGAGAACACAGCTTGATTTTTCATAATCTAAACTTTGCAATGTGAGCAATTAGAAAAAAAAAAACTTTCCTTTTTGTTTCAATTTCTAAGCTAAGCAAAATTAAAATGGATGTCATTGACAGTAAAATAGAAGCTTAAAAATGTTGTCCTTCTAGGTGACTTTATAACTTAGTATAAAATCCCATTAACCCCTTTTTATAAAAATGCATAATTTGAAGCTTAACAGCACTTGCAATTCTATGACACATTTGGCTACCTGTAATTGGTGAAAGACAGAACTTTATTTTCTGCTTCTGTCATTTTTGTATTTTTTGTAGAGGAAATATACTTCAAAGATATGCTTTATATATACTCTCTAAATTTATATATTTCCTGTGGGATCTGAAATATTTAAAGCACCTTTAAACACTATTTCAGAAAATGGGTTTGCAGGTAGCACAAGGAATTTCCTCTAGAAATATAAAAATAGATGAGGATGGTTTAATGGAAAATTTATTGGAATAGACGCATGGAATGTTGGGACCATTTTTAGGGCAAATTCCATGGGGAGTGATTAGAAAAATCAGCAAATATAATTCCATGTGAAATCCTTGGGGAAATTCAGTATACAATAAAACACATGAGTGGGATATCTAAATCAGACCTAAGGGTCTAAAAAGAAAACAAACCTATGATAGCCTCTTAAGGAGGAGAAATAATTAGGGACAAGATGGTAGAAAAGGCAAAGAAAGGAAAAATAGTTTTCTCAGTGTAGGAAACAATGTACAACATCCTTGGGATTATTTCTCCTTTTTATGGTTGTAATGTAGAAAGACTGAAAGTCAATAGGAGTAAATTCTACTGATTAAGTGGGTGGTGTGGATTAGAAGGACACTGGCCTATAAAGTTAACTGTGCAAAATCTTGAAAGGGCTTGCGAGCCACGCTAGAGAATTTCAAATTGATCAGAAGGGCAATAGGAAATCATATAGGGTTTTGCATAGGAATTTAACATGAGCAGATTTGTATTTTTTAGGGGTCAGTCTTATTGACATCTGGAGAGTTGCCTGGAGAGAGACAAGGCTGAAAATAGGGAAACCATTAAAAAAGCTATTACAGCAATCCACATAGGCTATGATCTAAGGCACAGCTGGGGTGGTAGCAGAAGGAACAGATGAATTTGAAAGATACTTAGGAGATAAAATCAACAGGTAAATGACTAGGTGTGTGAGGCAAGAGAGACGGGAGATTCAGAAATGGCACTTGGGTTTCCGGTCAGGACAACAGAATGGACGGTAATGTAATTTGCTAGAACACAGGAAAGAGAGTGGGTTTGGGTAATAAAGGTGATTTCAGCCATGGACCTGTTAAGATTTCCTATGAGATTTACATGAAATTAATGTAAGTTGAATAGTGGATCACGAAATATAAGCCAGATGGAAAGGAAGTAAAAAGAGAAAGTTGATGATAGGAGGAAAGGAGAGGGGTCAAGATTTGGAAGTATCCATAAATTACATGGACAAGTGTGGAGGAGTAACCACTAGAGGTCCGAGTTGGTAAGAGATTATGCTCAGAAAGTGGGATGTCTGCATTCATGAATTCAGAAGTAGACATGTCCTGGTGAAGACAAGTGCACAGGTGGCTGTGGGAGTGGTTGGCTGAAGTGGAGTTAAGGTAAGGGTCCTTGGAAATGAGGCACTAGCAGCTCAACTCAGTGCTGGGGTTTCACTTTCCTGGAGTTCATGCTGCTATTTCATTTGGAACTCAGATGCTTTTAGGGTACTGAGTATGTTTTCACTAATATCTGTACCTTAATATTTGTGCCCATACACACAGGGGGTCATGTATAAAATTCTTTGGTGGGTGATTCTGCTGTATCTAATTATCTCATGGAGAAAATGGAACTTACTGAAGAAAAGAATGGCAGCTCTTCTGCAAATAAATAAGCAGATACACATAAGCTTGTAATACATTACTGTTAAAACCAGAGAAAAGAACCTGCTTTATAATTAATTTAATTAACATATTCACCACTATTGGATTCAGTTTAATTTAATAAAATTTGGTTTAAAAGTGCTGGCATAGATAAAACTAAATGTTTATATAAACAAGCATTTGAACAGCTGAGGGAAAAGATTGATCGTTGAGGGCTAAAGGTTTAAGAGCCTTATAGAAGATGGAACAATTGATCTGAACCTTAGAAGATGGGTTAAAATCTAAACTAGGGAACCTATACTATATACTAATTATACATTTAATAGGCTTGGGTTCGAATCCTGACTCTGCCTCTTTCTGGCTGTAAGCCCTTCTTCAAATTAATTAATCTTTCTAAAAATAAATGTTCTCATCTGTAATATAAAAATATTAATAGTCTTACTTATAAAATATAAGTACATTTAAAAGCTTTTGTCCTGTAGTAATTGACTGAAGTACAAGCACTAAAAATGTTAATCATCAAAAGCATAAAGATTATATAATATAGAGGTTATATATAGAGAAGAAATTAATATATTTTAAAACTGAACATTTTTGTTGTGAAAAAAATTATAAAAAATTTAAACAGAATTAAAAATGCATTTATTGTATCCCAAATATTGGCAAATGATATCATCAGAATATACCAGATGGTTGATACCATTAGTGTTGCCCAATAATTGTTTATTTTCATTTATCAGTACACAGATAATTATGCTTTCCTTTCTACTTGAAGTTAGGTGTGGCCAGTGATTGGTTCTGGCCAGTGAAATGTAAGTAGAAATATCTCCTTCAATAAAGCACTTAATTACTTGACCTTAATTCTCCAATTCTCTTCTGCCATGCAAACCTCTAAGCCTGGTGTTAAAATGGAATTATCAAAAAATGTAGAACATTCAATAACCTGGTTGTTTGAGCTCCAGATTTCTAATTCACATGTGCTGACCATGAGCAAGAGCCAAATGGGCATTGTTTGTTATGCCACATAATTTAAACTGTACTAACTGATACCAGTTATAAGGTTCTCTATCTCAAATGAGAGAATAGATTGAGAGAAAGCCATGTTATCTTTTATCTAGGCCTGGGCAGACATATATTAACTGCGTTGATAAATAAATATGTGTCAGACACATATTGATAAATCAAGAAGAAAATAGTAAAGTTAAGATATATAATAAATGGTAACATAATTTTATCCTCCTAACAAATACATAGACAATGATGTAGTTAACATTATCCATATTAAATAGTTTATCATCTTAAAAATCATTTTCTAAGTTTTTAATTTCATGTGACACAGATAGCATTTCCTCTTTCCATGTTGCCTCCCTTCTAAGAGCTATAGTCTGAGACCAATAATATAGCATAGGTTAAGTATGAAGCAAACAACCTGTTAAATATATCAGGGTTCTAGGTATGATGAAACGCATGATAAAAGGCACAATTAGGAGTGAGAAACACATGATGAAATAAACCTAAATGCTCTTTCTACTTGGTGGGTAGCTTGATGGGTTCCCCTTCCCTGATAGAATGAAAAGTATTTGTTGAGAAAGTAAAACATTATTGACATTTGAATACATAACGGGAAAGGGCTAAGACACAAAAGGGTGTTTATGGCAATCATAGGTAATGTCTCAACTCAAAATGTGGAGAAGGTTACCGTAGTGAAGTCTTCAAACTGTCATCTAGGTATCTAGGAACCACAGGCAGTAAGGATTGCGTCTGGATGTTACTGTGCCTCTGATGATACCACTGCCATTTCAGTAGAGTGGATCTCCATGTCAAGTGGATCTATGCTAAGAGTCCTTGGCACAGATTTCTGATCCCTTCAATCCTGAAGAATTGGCATGAATAGTTCCATTTTGCTTTGTGGCAATAGTTCTGACTCTGAAGTCAACCCTAATCACGAAATATCTCTGTGAATTGAAAGTGAACAAGAGATGTCAATGAAAATTCTCAGTGCTTCTCAGAACTGTAAGGCCTCCAAAGAAGTGTAAATTTAGGAAGGCTATGCAGAAAATGGCAGGAGGATGACGGTTCATTCTCCACCCTATAGCAGAAGTGATCTTTGAAATGTTGGTCTGCTCATATTATTTCCACTGTTACTTAAAACCCTTCAATGGCTTTCCATTCCTCTTAAATTGATGGCCATGAAGAACTTCAAGATAAAAAGATAAAATGACCCAAAAGACAATAAATGATGTGAACACTGTCTACCTTTCCAGCTCTTCTCTTATTATTTCCTTATCATTTCCTTCCCTGGAGCCATCACTCTAGATCAGCCATGCTTCCTCCCACCATGAAGATCTTACACATGCAATTATCTCTACCAAGATGTTTTTCCTTCCCTTCCCTTCTTAGTAGTTCACACTGCTTATCTCTCAGCCACATGTCAGCTATCATTTCTTATGGAGTCTTATATTACTCCTTGGCTAAGTCACATCCTCCTGCAACAGGGTTTTGTACCACTGAGGACCTCCCCTTTGTGGTCATTGTCAGAATTGAAATTTAATAATTGTGTAGGCATAATTCATTGATGGATATTTGTTGTTATACATATTTTTTTATTTTGCTAGAAGGTAAACACTACAAAAACAAGAGGATATATAGGTTTCCATTTAGCTTCTTTTGCCAGTGTTTGCTGAAGGGTCAAACAAGTGGCAGATTTTGAATACATATTGGTTGAATAAATTAATATTGTTGAACACTACGATGATACCCTAATGAACAGATGTGCCTTCTGACTCACTTAAATGCTTAAAATAAAAGTCAAGGTATTTTGGAGGGTGTAGATGACACAGACATCCTTCAAAATGTTGCAGTTCACTATTCAGAGAAAAATGTGGAATCTGATGTTAGTCTTTTAAGTTGAGGGAAGGAGAGTAAACTGTCAAAGCAGTGCTTGTCATGGGAATTTTTTCTTTGCCACGGTTCATAAATGAAAGGTAAGGAATGAGTCACCATGTTGATAGTGCATTCAACCTCTCAGATACTCTGCAAAAAGGATTTTATACATTCTGGCTTAATTAGGATCCTTAGGTAATATCTTAGTCTAAAAAACTAAATACAGTGGTTAACTAGGTCCTCTGTATATTTCAGTCAGTATTGCAGATTATATTTTGGAGAAGTCTTAGTACTTTTTCTTGCCTTAGAAAGCACCATGGTAGTGGACATCACGGAACCTTTTCCAATGATTCAGAACACTGTGATGCCTCATGGTTGTCATCTTGTAAATCAGTTATTATGGGAAATAGAAATATAAATTTAGAAGATAGAGCAGATTGAACCAAATGACCCTTGGATATAACTTGAAAAAAGTTCTGTTTAAAACCTTCCAGGAGCTTCCAACACTTAGAATGATATCCCAGCCTTTACCAGTGCCCAGTACCCTGGAATCTGGTTCCTCCCTGTCCATCCAAACTACCTTCCTGCTGTTCCCACACCTGCCAAATTCCATCCCTCTTTCTGGAAAAATCTCCCACTAGAACTTGAGAAGCTTCAGTCACATCATTTAGATTTCTGCTTGATAGCTTCTCCTCAGAGAGGCTTTCCTTGAGATCCTGTGGAAAATACCATAGTAGACAACCTGGTCACTGTCTATCACATGAGCCTACTTTATTTTCTTTATAACCCTTACTACTTATTGAAATTATATTATTTAGGGTGTGTGTGTGTGTGTGTGTGTGTGTGTGTGTGTGTTTTAATTTTTATTGTTCATCTCCTGGACTAAAATATATGCTCAAAGAGTAACAATATTTACTCTATTCTCTGTTTTATCCCCAGTGCTTAGAAGAACATATGGCCCAGATTCCACACTCAGTATATAATTCTTGAATGAAAAAGAGAAATGAATCAAGGGCCTCTGATTCCATGAAGCCCTCCCCAACTGCCCACCACCCATGACATACATCACTTAAGCAGATTGATCATTCCTCTCCTATCCCATTAACAGTTTACATTTCTTGGGCAGGCAGTGTCTAAGACCTTTATATATGTTGTCTGATATTATTTGTCAGGCTGTCAGACTGCCTGATTCTGACCAAGGAGAACAGAAAAACAGGTAAATTTTAGTCTCACGAGGGTCTTTAGAACATATATTAACCATGCATTCATGTAAGCATTTATAAACAGCCTTACAAGTAGAAGAATTCCAAGAGTACCCTTTTGGAATTTAGACATAAAACATTATAATGCCTTTTGGAACAGCTAAAGTCAGGTAACACCCAATTCCATACTGGTTGTGTGAGTGTGTGTGTGTGTGTGTGTGTGTAATTGTTTGTGGACATGCAGATGAAATACAACTTGATTTATTAAATAACTCCAGACCTGTGTCATAAATTTCCTTTCTACACTTGCGCCCTTTGACCCTAATGTGCCAAGGTTATACAGTGGAGATAAAAGCACCAAGGACTTCATCTGAATACATGAATATGCAAACAGGCAAAAATATGCCCTATGCACCTGAGGAACTACAGGGAAAATATGTCTGCTGTATTTCTCAGGACTTTAATTTTCAGAGACATCTCTAGGACTAGATAGGACAAAAAGAATTACTGGCCAAACTAAAACAGCTAAGGGCAAGGCAAACTGAAGTGTAGCATAGCCCTCCAATATAAGGCATCTGAGCCAGGTACTTAACATGCTATCAGGATTCTTATAGGGATGTATGTGTTAATTTTTCTCAGTCCAAATCATTTATGTCCACTGACAAATGGGGAATAACTGGGCTTAAAAATCTGTAAAATTAAATCTAAAAATGATTTTTAAAATAATAGTATTCTGTCCACAATTCAACAGCAACAATTATTTTCATCAGTCTAGCAAAAGACAATTTTTTTAAAGGTACTTTAGGTAAAATTTTCATAAACTATTTTGGTTTCAATGATGCTGTATTGATACCATCGTTGGTTTCTGCAATTATTTAATCTAATTAACTTGAGTTCTCCCTAATGCCTTAACCAAAAATATGTATTAAGCATAGTATATGTACAGTATTGAACTAACTTTCTGATATAAATAATACTAAAGAAGTTTGGACAAGAGAAACATGTTCCCTCTTCAGGACAGGGCATTTCAAACAGGTGAAGAATCAGAGTTTAGTTTGTTTGTTTCCCCAGTCCATCAGAGACCAATATTTTTGTAAAGAGAAAAAAAAAGTGAATTACTACAAAAATAAAATAAAAAAGACATCCAAAATACAAGTCTAAATTATTTAGTTTTTGATTTATCAGGGATAAAATTACATTTCAATAAATATAACCAAAACAACATTTCATAGGAAAAAGGGAACTATGGAAACTCTTCAAATTGTTCATTTAAAATGTGTATGTAGGTAGAGAATCACTATTATGCCCATATTTTTTTTCTTTTCTCAATTGTAACTGAACAAACAGTTATATGTAAAACAATTCCCGTGCCAAATACATTTTTGCACATCTTGAATGAATACCATGGACATCAATATTTAAAGTTTTCAAAGGTGGCAAATGAACATATTTCTTACTTCCTCATTTATCTAATTTAAATTGGATTAATGAATTTCTAAATTTTGATCTTCACTTCTGTACTTATTTTATCACAAACCATAACAAACAGCAAGAATGTAATAAGAGAATTAGACCTTCCCCACAAATTCTTGCTGCTGTGGCCTCTTGAACTCTCTTCTCTGTCTCCTCAATTCAGCAAGACCTTAAATCTGGTGCTGCCAGTTGGAAAATGCTTCCACAGAGTTAGTGCCTGTAATTGTAGGCCTCACTTTGTTTAATAGCCTTCTCGCATGGATCATATTCCTGCACTATCTGTTGAATTCCTGCAATAAATGTCTGAAAACATTTGTTTCATATTTTTCCCCCTATTCCCTAGTTGTTTAAGAAGGAAAGGTAAATTCAGCTTGACTAGGAGCAGAAGTTCCATATCTTGCATACATTCTACACTGTTATATTTTCATTATAAATCACACCAAAATATTTTCTACTTTGCTTGATTTTTTTTACTTAAACCTTGAAATACTAAGAAATGTATTATTTAATATTATGCAGTTGGGAAGTTTCTAATTTTATTTTTATTATTGACTTCTAGATTAATTTCTTCTCATAGCATAACTGAGTAACTTCAATCCTTAGATATTGTTGAAGCTACCTTTTTGGCCTAGCATATGGTTAAATTTCATACATGTATACTTAATATATACCTTGCTTTCCGCAGGTGTTGTGTTTTCTATATATCGATTAGTTCATGTTTAAAAATTTAATTATTCGTACCATCTCATTTTTTGTTTTGCCAGTTCTATCAGTTATAGAGAGAAGAGTGTTAAATAATTGCAGATTTAGACCAGGCACGGTGGCTCACGCCTGTAATCCCAGCACTTTGGGAGGCCGAGGCGGGTGGATCACGAGGTCGGGAGATTGAGACCATCCTGGCTAACACGGTGAAACCCCGTCTCTACTAAAAATACAAAAAATTAGCCGGGCGTGGTGGCAGGCGCCTGTAGTCCCAGCTACTTGGGAGGCTGAGGCAGGAGAATGGCGTGAACCCGGGAGGCGGAGCTTGCAGTGAGCTGAGATCACACTGCTGCACTCCAGCCTGGGCGACAAAGTGAGACTCCGTCTCAAAAAAAAAAAATTGCAGATTTATTCTTTTCTTTTTTAGGTTCTGTAGTATGTAGCTATGGTAGTGGATGAATACCCATTTGGTATTGTGCTATCTTCCTATTGGATAGACTCTATATTTTAAAATGTCCCTCTTATCTCTAGTCATTGTCTTACTTTGACTTACATTAATTAGCACAGCAGAACTAGCTCTCTGTTGGTTAGTGATTATCATGCTTTCTTCCATTATTTCACTTTCAACCATTCTGCATTCTTATATTTAAAGTGTATTCTTATAAACAATATATAGTTGTTGTTTTATATCTTAAACATAATTGTTTTTTCCTTAATAAATTTGATCTATTTTCATTTAAAATAATAATGGATAGAGCTGTGATTATGTCTGCTATCCTGCAAAGTCCCTTTTTAACTGCTTTCTTGATGACTTTTGATTTTGTCAAATATTGTGAGAACGTTTTTCTTATATTAACTCATTAACTACAACTACTTTGTAGTGATTACCCTAGAGAGTATATAACTCATTCTATACTTATTACAATTTAAAACAAGCTATTATTTATCACTTTCATTATACTACTTGAACCATAGACCTTTTAACTCCATTACTCCCCAACTTCATTTTGCATTCTTATTACTTTTACAGTGGACACATCTTTTAAGATTTTGCTGATGCATAATGTTGGCTTAAATATTTCCTGTTGCCTAGTTGAACTAAACATATCATGATAGTATTTAGTGAGGAAATGTGTCTGATACCAGAAATTGAATTCAATTTATTAAAGATTTCTTGGCATCTGTCAAAAAGTTCATCAAAATTTTCCGCTTTGCCCGTGTAATATGATTGATTATGGAAATCTATTTTTGAATAATGAAAAATATTTGAATCTTCTCAGAGACTATCACTTAATAATGGTACTTTCTGAATTTAAAGCTCTGATGAATTTGACTTACTAATATCTTTCACTTTGTATCTCTCTATCTATAACCTAAATTTGTCTGTAGATTGCTGTATCTTTTTTTGTTCTGTTTATTTAATATTTATTACAAGCTTGCTAACAGCATCATCCTAGCTTAAAAAATTAATTAGAAAGTTTCTGTTCTTTTCTCCGTGTCTTGGAAGGGATTGAAAAGCAAAGAAATTGTGTCTTCTTAAAAGTTTGCAGCACTGTTCACAATAGTCAAATTATGAAATCAACCATTAATGTGTCCATCAAAGGATGAATAAATAAAGAAAACGTGATAATATATTCACAATGGAATACAATTCAACCCTTAAAAAGGGAGAAAGTCAATCATTTGTGACAACATGAATGGAATTGAAGAACATTATGCTAAGTACAATAACCCAAACATAAAAAGACAAATACCATATGTTCTTACTTATATGTGGAATCTAAAACAACTGAACTCATGGAAGCAGCGAGTAGAATGATAGTAACCAGAGGCTGGGGGTGGGGTAGTGGGGAAATGATAGTGAAGCCTCAGTAAGGAAGAATAACTTTGATTTTTTTTTGACTAATTGCCAACATGATGAATATAGCTAATAATTAATTTATATATTACGATATCATAACAAGTAAATTTCTAATGTTCTCATCACAAAAGAATATTAAGTATTTGAGGTGATGGATATGTTTATTAGCTTAATTTAAACTTTTCATATTACATTCAAAAATTATAATGCCACTTTTTACTTCATAAATATATACAACTATAGTTCATCAATATATCATAAAATAATTTTTTTAAGTTTGTAGAAACTCAACTATGAAACCATCTGGGTCATGAAACTATTTGAACAATTTCTTTATTCTGTATAATAACCTAACTTTATGACAAAAAGTTTACTATTTCACTTAGTGTTTAAATGTCTTAAGCACAATTTCATGTATGTAATTAATCTGAAAAAACATTTCTATGACAGTGATTGTATCACCTTTCATACACTAATATTGTGAATTACTATTCTCACGCATTTTCCCATGAGTATCTTTTAGAGATTTATCTATTTCATTATAGTTCTTAAATAACTAGCATTAGATGTATTTTCATTTCTAACTTCCCTTACTTATGTTATTATCTTTACAACTTCCTTTCTACTGATTTCATAGTGATCGAGGCAGGAGGCAGACAGATGCCCAGGCAGATAGGGGCAGGTCCCAATGAAACCCAATCTTCAAGTTGGAAACTGTTCCTGGTAAATCCTTGGACCCCATTAAGAACCTGCCTTCCTGTTTCATGCACTATCCTCTGACCTTGATCCCCATCCTTCACGTATTTTACATATCCCTACCCTTTCTTAATTGTTTTTCTACACTGTAGTGCCCATCTTTGAATGGTGTTCTTCACTTTGACCTTTTTTGCATACTCACAAACAAATCAGCACACACTCCCTATTCTGAGCTCATAAAAAGCCCCAGGCTCCACCACATTAGAAAACCTTCCTGTCTTCAGGTAGGAGAACCACCCCACCCCTCCCGTGTCACCTGTTTTTGCTGAGAGCTTTTCTTTCCCTTAAATTTTACTCCACTCACTCTTTGAGGTTTGCGTGCCTAATTTTTCCTGGTCATGAGACAATAACCCAAACCGAGCTGAGCTAAAAGAGCAAACATCCTAAATCAATAGGAGTTAATTCAGTGTACTTTCTTATCTCCCTGTTAATATTTATTGCTGCGAACAAACTATAGGAGATTTTGCAGCTTAAAACAACACCCATTTATTAGCTCACTGCAAGTCAGAAGTTTGCGTGACATCACTGGTTTCTCCTCTCAGTGTATCATAGGGCTAAACTCAAGGTGTTGGTTATGCTGAGTCTTCTTTGGAAGTTCTGAGGAAAAATCAGCCTCCAGGATCATTCTTGTTTGCAAAATTCATTTCCTTCCTCTTGTAGGAATGAGGTCCTGGTGTTCTTTTTGACTGTCAACCCAGTAGCTTCTCTCAGCTTCTAGAGTCCCCCCACATTCCTTGCTATGTGACCTCTCCGTCTTCAAGCCTGCAACACTGTATTCAATCTTCAAGCCTATAACAATATGTTCAATCCTTCCTATGCTTTGAATCTCTGACTTCTTGTCTCTTACCTCTGGACCCAGATTTAAAGAGATGACATGGTTGAGCCAGGCACAATTTTCCTATCTTAAGGTCAGCTGGTTTTAGACCCTAATTTACACTAGCAAAATCCTTCACAACAGCATCTAAATTGGTATTTGATTGAATAATGGGAAAAGGTGTGTGTTTATCAACAGACAGAAATCTTGGGAGTCTCATAGAATTCTGCCTACCACATTTCTATGAGTGGCATATTTAGCTCATTTATTTTTATTTTCCCTATTTTGCAGGCATAAATTTTCAGAGTGCATATCATATTTGTCTGTGTTTCCTACTTTTTGATATATTCTGTCTTGAGAAGTTGATATCCTCTTTGACTCAAGAGTTCTTTAGGTTATTATTTTTGGTTCCTATGTGATTTAATATGTTCCTTAAGTAATGCTTTTGTTATTAATGTTTTTATTTCACTGAAATAAGATAAGTAGAATTGTTATGATTTATTCTTTTCCTTTTGAGTTTTTTTAAGACCCAGGATATAATCAATATTTAAAAATACCTCATGAGTATTTGAAAATATTTTTTAAAAATATATATTTTCTGCCTAGGAACTAAAACATTAATTATATTATTCAATTTCTTAATTTCTTCATTTGATTTCTGATTATTTTATCTTCAGAAAGTTTGAAAAATAATTATTTTCCCATTTATTTTTTATTTTGAACATTTAATATAGTTCAGAGATATATTATTTGTCTCATAGATGACTTTTGATAGCTAAATCTTCATGTTACAGTACACCTTTTATCCTCATATAATACCTGACAACATGCTAAACAAAGAATTGCTATGATGATTATAAATGATGATATTTGTACAATATGATATTGCCACTAATGCTTTTATTTGTAATTTTCTTTATGTCACATTATTTTTCATTTTGTATATTATTTAGCTATCAGTCTTCATGTATTTTCGTTGTTTTTTGTTTTGCAATCTAATTCCCGAGTTTTCAAGTAGTAGGGTTTAACACTTTTTTTTTTTTTCAGTTGGGCTTGCTTCTGTTATCTACTATATATTTTATGCTCTTAAGTTTTCATGCTATTCCCCAGTCAGTTCACTGATTTTGCTATACTATTCAAAGTTTCTTTCGTTTTTGTTTTCTAGTGATTTGAGAATAATATACCTATGTTTATTCTACCAGTGATTTATCTTAAAATTTTGAGCATAAATGTATGAACATACATGAACTCATTTTTAAATTTATTTTCCTCTAGCAATAGAGAATGATCTTTTTAATAAAATAAAACCAATAATCTCATTTTCCCACTTAATGTTCTTTCTATTTTTGAAGATAAAAGTCAAAATTTTAGCTTAGACATGAAGGCCCTTCATTAACTGAGT
The DNA here is from genome assembly GCF_000001405.40 of Homo sapiens. Lineage (NCBI taxonomy): Eukaryota > Metazoa > Chordata > Mammalia > Primates > Hominidae > Homo > Homo sapiens. The sequence continues at coordinate 76,668,102 of NC_000007.14, forward strand.
GATGTCTCTTTCTCTTGCGTTGTAACTTCTGTTCTCCTTCTCTTTAGCTATGTTCTGTTGTTTCAGGATTCCGACATTCACACTGCTGTTATGCAAAATGCTGTTTTTCAAACTGAAATGCTTGTGCTTCTCTTTTACCTGCTAAATTCTATTCAAACTTCAACATTCAGTTCAAATAATTATGTCCCCTGGAAAACTTTTCCTAGTCACATTCTCCATGCAATCTGATTTTAAAAACCCTCTCCTTCACTGATGTGGCACTCTGTAGATACCCCATCACAGGACCTATCATCTTGCCCTACATTATTAGGTTACTCATTCATCTTCTCTTCTTCTTGGAGCTCAGTAAGGGCAGGGGCTTTGTCTTATTCAGCTTTGAGCCCTCAGAATCTAGTGCTGTCCTTCACATATTTGTGGTACTTACAAATATTTGTTTACTGAATTAAGTATATTAGACAAATATCACCAGTGTTTGCCCATTTTTGGCTCAAATATTCAGAAATTTCATTTATGTTTATAAAATACACAATGTAATTTTCTGATTTATTCTGAAGTACCAGAAACAAAGAAAAAATAGAAAACCGAATATATTATAATGTAACCAATGAACTTTAGCTAACAATGTATCAGTATTGGTTCATCAATTGTAATAAATGTATTATACAAATGCAAGATATTAATAATAGAGGAAACTGGGGTAGGCAAGTACATATGAGAACTTTCTGTACTTTCTGCTCAATTTTTCTATAGGACAAAACTGCTCTAAAAGTAGTCTTATAACTAAAAACACCTGTTTATATATTTCAAAATATATTCAATATTATAACTGAATATACCTTACCTTACTATTTAATAATAGCTCTTTTACATATTAATTTAACTAACATATTGAACACCTCTATGCCCATAAGACAAGTGAGAGACCAAGTGTTGCTTGCTACATATTGTGATAAGCCCTGTCAAGACAGTATTTTTTGAGAGCACGTAGGAAACCTATCAATCCTAGACCTGGGTAGGTGATCCAAGATTCCATGATGGAAGTGACACCTCCAAGGAAGCCTGAATGATGAGAAGGAGTTTATGAGTAAAGAACTAAAAATAAGGAAAATAGAACCTGGAGAATTAAATCTGATCCTGTTTCAGAGTTTGAACTTTAATCCAGAGGTAATGTGATGCCACTGAAAAGATTGTTAACATGTACATGACATAATCAGATTTCCTTTCTAGAAGGATTACTTTGGATGCTACAAAGAGGAAAGTGGATGAGAAATAGGCAAGATCAGATGGTATCAAAGCAAGGAGACAACTTATGAAGCTTTTTTGGCCATCTAGGCTAGGAATGATGATTCTCTAAAATGGAGTAGTATCAATAGGAATAGGGTGATGAGAATTTCACAGCAGATCAGGAGATAGATGGATTGGATACAAGTGAGAAGGAGGCATTCAGGGTGATTCTTCAGTCTTTAACTATTCAACTGGGTGGATGTCCTCATGCCATTTTCAGAGAGAGAAAAGATAGAGAGTAAATTTGGGTAAAGGAATTGAAAATGAGTTACATTTGGGATTTGAAATATCTGCAGAATATGCAAATGAAGACCTCCAACTGAGAAATGAATGTGGAGATCCTGGCCTATGTAAGGGAATTGGGTCATTAAAAGACAGTAAGAATTGTCAGACTATCTCAATAACTGAAGAAAGGGGTGTGGGCAAATTAGCAACTGAAGCATTGGATATTTTCCCCACTATAGAGATATAGAGAATTATTACTTCGGAAATACAACAACAACAAATATTTTCTAGTTGAGAAACTTCATAGATGTTTATACCATATTTTTCTCTTTGGTGATAAAGTGATTTTAGAAGTAATTTATATTTATTTTTAAGTTGGCATTACATCTTTTTGAAGATACCAGGATATTTACTGTAGAATCTCCAGGCTGCCATCCATATAATGGATCCCAAGGACCTTATCACTTTCTTGACAGTAAGAATGTGTGTACTTTAATGAAGTTGTTATCAATTCCATCAGATGTAATACTTACTTTGATAATAAATAATGTGGAATGCTCCCTCTACTATCCTGAAATTAAATATACACATAATACCTACACAGATAATTAAAAAATACAGTGCCCTAAATGTAGTATAAAGGAGGAGTAAAGACAACTAATAAAGTTAATATTTCTCTAAAAAACTGCTCAACGTAACAGCACTAGAAGACATAATGAAATAATCAGATACTTAAACCCCTAGGTGTAATTACAATGAAGTTGTAGCTATAAGTGAAGGTTATGTAAACTTCAGAAAGCCATGTGTTTATTCTACTTAGTTCACTGCTATTTCCTTTGTACCTGGAGCTATGCCTGAAACATGGTATGTGCTCAGTAAAAACTTTATTAAATAATTGAAATAATAAATTCAAGTGTTCCTTATGATTTTAAATACCACTAGCAGCACTGCTGTCAGTGATGTGATGTTTCAAAATGTGGATCAATTCTCAGTGAATTTCCAAGCAATAGTTTGCCCAGTTGTTGCATTTAAGTATTATTACTGGTTTAATTGTAAATTGTTAAGTACTAATCCATGAGAATAATCACTAATCTGAACAAATTTCTTTAAAATAGCTTACTATTAAGTACTTTACTTAAATCAGCAATAATGAATTTGCACTAATTGGTCACCTATTATGTACCTGATAGTAGAGATTGTGCTCTCACACCTGTATATCTTTACCCTTGGAGAGGCATTTACTACATAATTTTTGAGTAAATGATTTCTTGCAACAATTCTGCTTTGTGAGTGTTTTGCCACTTTTAAAAAATTGTCTTTCTGATTGCTATGTTTAAGATTTGATTACTATGTTCTATTACTGATATTTGAAGTAACTTAACAGAACTATCTGGTTTATTTATCTACAAAAATATATATTTTACCCAGCAATTTAAGACTATGTTTAACTCATCATTATTTCAATAAGAAATGAAAAATACATTAAACTTATATTTATCATAGTCAGTTCCCTGCCCATTTCCCTTTGGGTCCTTTATCTCTTCTATGAGTGGCAGTCTGACTCCCCACCCATACTGCCATCTGTACTGGAAGGCTGTCCTCTGTTTCCAGAACCTTCTTTGCCAATGCACAGCTGACCAGAAATGTCTGGGGGCTAGCATGTCTCTGAGAGCCTTTGCCAGTGGGTTTAATACCCTAGGTTGCTCATCTTGGCAAGAATAATCCTGAGGCATGTCTTTTCACCTTTTCTCAGAGCTGACCTGGGGATTGTGCTCCAGAACAACTTGACGGCCTGCTTTTCCCTTCCTGTATCATCTCCACAGTCCTCTGCTTGTTTTTCCTGCAGCTCCCAAATAAACAAAGGGTGTATCATCCTTTTCTCAGGGTCTGATTCTCTTAGGGTCACCTAATTAAAGGAGTTAGAAATTGTTCTAGGAAACAGATCCTCAGAGAGAACTTTGGGGTTGGGTCTTGGGGCTGGCCAGATAGCAAAAGACTGCATTGCTGGTGGTAGTCGGGATAATGATAATCTTTGACATTCTATAGCATAACCATTAATGCCCTTTTCACCAGTGGTGAAATGAAATGGAATATCTGTGGAAGAGGATGCAATATCACTGATATTTAAGAGGTATGGTGGCAACGGTCATTACAGACTGTGGAATTCTTTCGTTGTTTTAAAATTCTATTAATAAGCGAAATTAAAATGCTGACAGGCTCAAATCCGAAAACAGATACCTTTTCCCGGTGGGGTGGGAGGGGCCAAAGGGGATCTTTGACAGTATTTAAAGATTCCTTCATCTCCTGCAACTAGAGGGCAGATCAGGACAAAAACTAGACCCAGCACCTAATTGTGAGAGTAGGTGAGTTACAGAGAAGGCATGATTCCTAGTACTTATGTCTCCTCTGCTGAATAAAGGGCCTAGGTGCAAAAAGAATGTGCCCTGGCTACCTGGGAGGGGAATATCTGAGCAGACACACTTGAGAATACTTAATCCCCCATTCCCTTGAATCCTCCAAGGCTGCAGAAGAGGTCTGCTTCTCTTGCCTGGAGACCTTGCAGAGGCCTCTGCTGAGATGGATGCTTCCCCCAAGTTGATAATGGAATTTTCCAAGATTTCCCTCCACTTCCCCTCATCATTTCTAGACTAATAGCTGGTATAAAGTTTAGTAAATTACCTCCTCTGGGAAGAAAGGGATTCTTCCATCCCTCACCCCCTCAAAAAAAAAACTATAGTTCTTGCAAATATGTACTGACAGGGCCCCAGGAATGAGTTTTGAGGGCACTAGATGAATGGAGGGAAGGTGTTGAGTGGCATGCAGAATATAAAGCTATACAGGGGAGAGTTTGTAAATATAAGAAACAATCTAATGGTACAGTATGCAACATACTGACAAGGACACCTGGAGCTTGTTCTAATTTGCTACTAAAATGGCTCCCTGAAGCTTGGGGAAAAAAATGCTGGCCTCTAATAAATGGATGGAGATGCTGAAATGCCTTGGCAGAATAGTGTGGAAGAATTAAAAATCCTTAGAGAGGTAGGCGTGCTAGAATGAATTTATTCACTATCTGACCTATTTCTCAATGAGAGCCCAGAGGACTCTCCACTTAGTAAATCAATATGGGATGAGCTAGTAAGGATGGCACCAACACTGTGTCCTTTCTAAGCCAGGGTCGATGGAGGGGACACTGCTTTGGAACTGGACTCCCCAGAGTCAATGAGGACAATAGGATTCAGGCACAGCAGAACCCTGAGGCTGGCATTAAACATTAAAGAAAAATTGTAAGTAGCTACCAAAGTGTAGCAAAGCTGCAATGGCAAACACATTTGTATTTTGCAGCATCTAATTATGATTTTTACGTAAAACTTAATACAAACCTACCTACATTCATTATCATAAACTTAACTGCATATCAGTATCTTAAAATAATCTTCCCATATTAAATGTTTGTGAAAAAGAAATCAATTCTAGTCATCAGAGAGCCCTTGTAATAAATATGCAAGAAAAACAAATTATTGACATTTCCTGGAAAGGTGAACATTAATTTTGTTATACAAATTTCATGACTGAATATTTAGTATTGATCTTTCCAGGCCAGAGTTTTTTTCAACTTTATTTTTATCTTCAAATTTTTACTTTCTTTAACATGTGTCTTCATGATATTGAAGCAGCGTCATTTGTCTGGGGTGATACAGAGGTTCGTTGTCTCATGGCCACAGAAAACTAGGACATGGACACGCGAAGAGTGAGGTTCAGAGCAGAAGTTTAATAGGCAAAAGAAAGAGAAGAGCTCTCTTCTGGGTTAAATGCAGCAGGTTTTATAGATGATCCTGAGGAGACAGTGTCTGATTTACATAGGGCACAAAAGATTGGTTGGACCAGGTATGTCATTTGCATAGGGCACAAAAAACTAATTAGGACTAGGTGTGCCATTTGCATATGGCGCAAAAAGCTGGCCACCCCCACCCTGATCTTTTATTATGCAGACGGATTTTCTACCTTGCCAGCGCCATGTTGCCTGTTTGTTTACTGTACACCTGGTGACAAAGAAAAGGGAAGATAGAGCCTCCATGTTGAACCTACCTGGCCCCCAGGTAGCTCTTTTCTATTGGCACAGCTGCTGGCATTCACCCATGCAAGCTTCCAGCTTGCTTATCTATGTCTGCAGCTCAATTTTTCAGGCTGCTCTTTGTTAGAAAAGAAATGATTTGGGGGCTGCTTTTTGTTAAAAAGGGAAACTGCACCAAGGACTCTTGCCCTTACTATCTGCCTAAACAGTTTATTTCTATCTCCTGTATCAATATTCCATGCTTCTCTGATAGAAAAAAGTATGTATGCATGTGAGTATGAGATGTTACCACTGTTCACTAACAGGACTGAAGATATTACCACTGTTCACTAACAGGAGTAAATTGATTTATATTCTAGTAAGAAACGCATATAACAAACCATCCCAGTCCCTTTTTGGGTATTTCTTGCCTAGGAGCCACTTTATGCCAAGAGAAGTGATTTATTGGCATTATAGTGTTAAATATTCCCCCATTCTGCTTAAGTGGCCGTATTTAAATGAAGTTTAAGTACTCCAGAACCTGTGGAAGCATTAGCAGTCAAGTGGGCCAGTGCTTTCTATTTTTCAGTGTGTGTATTTGGGTAGTAGATGGCATGCATTTGTACTTATGTGTGAGTCTTCCTGTGTATTCTAGTGTTCTCAAGGCATAACAAGGTACACATTTTATCAGGTTTACTTAATATTTTTGGCTGGTAGACCCCCTATTAAGGTGATTATTTTCATTTTAAAATTAATATAAATTTATTTTGGGAAATCCAAAAATATATCTTGTTTAAAAATATCACGAACATCTTTGCCTCTTTATAGTAATCCAAGTGTGTTTTAACTCACTTCTTTGTTTATTTGTTGTATTTATATATTTGCTTTTTATAGTGATTATGCAACTCCAAACCCTTCCTTTTCATTTATGAAAATGATATATATATATATATTTTTCCAAGAGCTAGCGTCTCTTATATAATATTTAATGGCATTATAAAAGCTCACCGAATGTATATACTATAATTACTTAGCCATGATTCTATCATAAACAGAGATTCTGTATCAGTCAGGGTTCTCCAGAGAAAGAGAACCAATATAGATATATAGAGAGATACAGATATAGAAACAGATTTATAAAGAGATTAATCATGAGGAATTTGCTTACTTGATTTTGGAGACTGAGAAGTCCCATGATCTGCCCTCTGCAAGCTGGTGACTGAGGAAAGCCAGTGAGTTAGTTCTAATCTGAGTCCAAAGGCCTGAGAACCAGGAGGCTGATGGTATAAGTTCTAATCCAAGTCCAATGTCTGAGAACTGGGGAGAAGATGGTATAAGTTTCAGCTCAAAGGCAGGAGAATATGGATGTTCTAGCCCATCCAGTCAGGGAGAGAGAGTGAATTCTCCATTTCTCTGCCTTTTTTCTTCTATTCAAGCCTTCAACAGATTGAATGCTTCCCACCCACGTTGGGAAGGGAGATCTTCTTTCCCCAGTCTATTGATTCAAATGCTCACCTCATCCAAAAACAGGTATTTGTTTAACCAAACATCTGTGCACCCCTTGACCCAATCAAGTTGACACATAACATTAATATCACAGGACACAATCCTACTGATTGTTCAGAATTATTCTGTCATCAGTATTTGTGCTTATTTTATCTTTTTGTTCATGTTTCAGAGTTTATAATTAATTTCTTATAATAGATTTCCAGATATGGAATTACCAGATCAAATTGCATAATTAACTTTAAATTTTCAGCTGGGCACAGTTGCTCTTGCCTGTAATCCCAGCACTTTGGAAGGCTGAGGCAGGAGGATCACTTAAGCCCAGAAGTCGGAAGACCAGCCTGGGCAACATAGGGATTCTCTGTTGCTACAGAAAACTTTCTAGAAATTAGCTGGGCGTAGTGGCACACACTTGTGGTCTCAACTACTTAGGAGGCTGAGATGGGTGAACTCATGAGCCTGGGAGGTTGAGGATGCAGTGAGTTGTGATTGTGCCATTGCACTCTAGCCTGGGCAACAGAGTCAGACCCTGTGTCAAAAGAAAAATCATAATTGTCTCAAATTATTTCTGGAATAATTTTATCATACTATATTTGACCACACATTTATTATTATGTACGATTTCATATGCTTAATTTTAATAGAATAAAAATTTATATTTCATTTTCCCCATGTGCTTATTAACGATTTATATGTTCTCTTTCTTTAAACATCAGATCATATTCCTTGGCCACTTATCTATTGGAATTATAGGATTTTTTGATTGATTTCTGAAGTCTTCATTTATTAATATTGTTACTATTAATAATATTGATATTTCATCTAATGTGACCTACTTAATTGTATTAACTTTGTATTCTTTTTGAACAAGGTTCTAACTTGATGTACCAAAAATCCATTTTTACTGTAATATACTTAAAATGATAACCATCTCATTATCTTGTGATTTAATGAATTATTATTTTTATTTCTCCCTGAATTCATGTTTGAATGTTTGCATCTCATATCTTATTTTGGAATAATATATGAGTTGAGTATATAAATTCATTATTTTCTAAATAGCAAACTGATTACCAAAACAGTTTTATTAAATAATCTGTCTCCTTCTCACTGGTTTGTGATACCTCTATGACTGTAGTAGTTCTCATGGAAGATAAGGTCTAATTCTTATAAATATGTTTTGTAGTGTTCATCGAGGTCTATCTAATTTTGTTAGTACCATGTTCACTTAAGTATTATAGTTTTATAACATTTGATGTCTATTATGTCTTGCTCCTCATTTTAATTTTTTGAAAACTAGCTCTCCTCATATGATTTAACATATGGAATTTGAAATTTTAATTTCCAGTTTTTCAAAAATTATTTCTTTTATTTATAATGAAATTACATTAAATAAATAAAATAATTTAGCATGAAGATATATTTAAATATACATCCCTCTTGCTTGAAGCATGGTGTATCTATCCAACTTCTTAAGTCTGCTTTAATTCTCTCTATATTTGGTAGTTTTCATTAAATATACACTAGACGTGTTTCATTGAGGTTACTTTTAGGTATTTTGTTACCACAAATGGGAATGCAATTATAGGCAAAGCAAGCAGAAACATACGGCTTTGATGAAAGCTCTAATCTCAACACTGTCCATATATATTTGACCACATCATTAGACCTATAAAAGTTTGCATTCAGGCAATACTCCAGATTTTATTTGATCTCATTTCTTGTTTTGAGCCATCTGGCAAGTATTCACAATTATTGATGGCAAGAATTTCTCAAACTGGATCAATAAAATGTCTTCCTTCCTAAATCCCAGTGGAATACACTGAGGACTGTGGGGAAGCTGATTTACTTAAAGATTCCGACAGTTCTGTAGAGGAAGTAAGAATGGAGGAACTAAAAGCTCTGTCACAGGCTCACTGTTCCATCTATACTTTCCCTTCCTCATCTCATTCTCACCCTGAGCACCAACCACCATATGATGTAGCTGCTGTCCAAATATAAATTTCTAGTCCAGGTCCTCTGATGAACCATAGCATAAATATATCTTCACTCAGACAAGCTCAATTTGTCCAAAACTGAACTCAAAATAATTTTGCTCAAGTAGGTTACTTCTGCATTCTATATGGGCAATGGCACTACTATCCCCCCAGCTGGTTATGCCTAAAAGAGACTATCTTAGTTTTTTGTTCCTTTTTATTTCCCCAAGAGTGTAGTCTCCACGTCTCCTTAACATCTCCTTAGTGCAGAACCTCCTCTGCATCCTATCTGCTACTGCCTTGGTTTAGGGCCCCGTTTTCCCTCTCCCAGGCCTGAGCAATAGTTTCCCCACACTTCCTCCTCTATAGTCAGCTACTCCCACCATCTATCCTTCCCACTTTAGACAAAGGGAACTTTCTAAGAAGCAAATCATTGTTGTTGACTTTTTCTCCCTTCCAAAATACTTCAATGGCTCATTATTAACTTAAGGAGAAAAAGTATTCTATTTACCTGGACAACTATATAATATCTTGCGTATTACTCATCCTGCTAAGTAACCCTTAGTTAAGTGAAAGCATTTGCATTGCTAAGGTAGTAACAGGAAACAGAGTGAAAGAAAATAGTCTGCCGAGCCTGGTGGCTCATGCCTGTAATCCCAGCACTTTGGGAGGCTGAGGCAGGTGGATCACAAGGTCAAGAGATCGAGACCATCCTGGCCAACATGGTGAAACCCCATCTCTACTGAAAATACAAAAATTAGCTGCAAGTGGTGCGGGCACTACTTGGGAAGCTGAGGCAGGAGAATAGTTTGAATCCAGGAGGCAGAGACTGCAGTGAGCCAAGATGGCGCCACTGCACTCCAGCCTGGCAACAGAACGAGATTCCATCTCAAACAAAACAAAACAAAACAAACAAATAAAATAGTCAATAATCAGGCATTGAACATTCAGCTAGGAAACCTGAGGGAATCAGCACAGTTTATACCAGAATCCAGCTCCCACTCCGGGAGAGATAAGAAGAAGACTACTACTGAGGCTTAGGACAGTGTAGAGGAATGAGGAAAAGCGACCTAAAATTTTCGTGTCTGGGAGAAGAGGGAATGAGCAGTGGCTGAGGGGAGCAGGAGGTCAGCATGGAGAGAAATAAGGAGACAGTTTTGGTGGCCAGCTCAGGGGCTGTGTGAAATCATTGAATGGGAGTCTCACCAATGGCAGAAGCCAAGCCAATGCCTGATTTTTGTGCTTACCTTCAAACTGCCTGTTCCTCTTCTTCCTGTCTTCAGTGGTTTTCCATCAACAGCATGCCATTTGTGGTTCATTCAGAAAAATGGCATTCTGGCCCCATGACTTTGCTTACTTTTTATACAGGCCACTTGGCATGGCCATTCTCCAGTCCCTTTTAATGGTCCAAAACATTTAGAAGACTAAGAAACAGAGAGTGAAGTGAAATTAAGTCCTGAAAGAGCCTTGTGTATCAGGGAAATCCTCAGCACTCCTACTTGGAGGGACGGCACTGCGATTAAAGCACTTCAGTGACATGTGCATACACTTAGCTCTCCAATGTGACCTGTTCCTGTGACCTCCCTTGCTTCAACCTAGTCACCTGTTCTAGTTACCCGTAGATACACCAGGTGGTGGGAAACTTTGACAACTTCACCAGCACTCTTCCTTCTACTGAGAAACTCCCTTCCCTATCCCACATAATTTTCCAGTGCACACGTTAATCTTGCAAGATCATATCTTTTTAAAAAGTGTCTGTCTCTTACCTTGTCATACACATGTAAATAAAAAGGTGCAACAAAGTTTTTGGGTATTGACCCTCCCCACCATTCCACCCACCCACCTCCACTCACCTGTGGCTCCAGCCTCCGGAGCTTATCCATCTCTCTATTACAACAAGTACTCCTTCAAGCAAATGTTGAATAAATGAATGAAAGGACAAACAAATAAATCTGTTCTGTCAATCCTTAACAGCCAGCTGAAGGCTTAAATCAGAGAACTTAAATTGCCCCTGAAATAATCACTGCAATCTGTACTACTCTTCAGACAATTCCCTATTTCTGTCAACCTACCCCTAACTCAATATTTAACTGATTTCTAACTTTGTGTCTCAACTACGTGATGCTTTCCAAAACTAGAATTACCTTGGCAGCTAGGTTTACAGACTTCAAAGAAACCTGATGCTGCTATGGATGGAAATAGGGGGCAAGCTGGTTTGTGTGGTGAGTGCCAAGGTTAAGTAAATAGACATAGTGGAGCCAAACATTCACCTGCATTTCAATATGATCAGATTTACACACACACACACACACACACACACACTCTTAAAGTTAGCGATTTATGCTATGAGAATGAGAATATTTTAGACTTGAGGAAACTCAAATTTAATAAAACCTGTAAGATGGCTGGCTATGACTTTATGTAAGCTGAATAAACATATCTTCATTCAGACTGATACTTCTGCCTTTCTTCTTTGAGTCTCTAATCATCCAAAGCCAACTTTTCAGTTCCTGAATGCTACAAATTATCTTCTATGAAAGTCATTGTTTTGTCTATGAAGCTTATCATAACTTCAGGGAATTTCACATTTGCATTTCTGATGGACTACAGTCTAAGGTGTTAGAAAATTGGTTTCAGCTTTCCCCACCTTTTTTTTTTTCCACTGTGAAGCAGCTCATTACAAAATAGACACATTTCTAAATCAAATACTCGAGTTATTATTGATGCATGTAGAGAATAGAGATGATTTGGTTAAGAAATGCCTAAAAGTTACCTTCTTGTTCCCATGATTTTCTAGTTGATTGAATGATTTATATGCTCAATTCCAAATTTAAATGTATGGTTTTTAATCATCATGATATAGTTAGTGGAAGGCTTTTAACCTTTACATTTAAGAAGCCCTTAGTACAACTCAAGCTTATTGACTTCTAAAGCTTAACATACAATATTTTTAAATGATTCAAGTCTATACATTTTATAGGTCTATAGTTTGAGCAATAGTAGAAGAATGTTTAAAGAGCCACTTGTTTTCCAATTACTGTATTCATGGCTCCAAGATAGGCATGAATCCCCACCCTAAAAACAAAACATGAAAAATTGGCATACTTTGAGTAGACTACCTCTGTAAAGTATTAAAATCTCCAAACCCAAAGCGACTCTAAGACTCAGTATAATTCATTTATTCGATGGCACTATAATGGGATTTCTTGCACAGTGAGAAGCAAGCAAATATTATCTTCTTTAAGTTCTTAAATGTTTTATTTAGTATCCCTAAATTAGGAAGGGAAACTAAACATTCACATAATCAAATATATAGGAGGGATCTGTATATTCTGTATTTTTTGAAGTTTTTTCTACTGGCAGATAGCATCTCATTTTGCTGTGACGGGCATTAAGACTGTGATTTTGAGATATGGTCAACCAAAACTTCATGCAACTAATTCCATGCAGATAGCACCTCATTTTGCTGTGACGGGCATTAAGACTGTGATTTTGAGATATGGTCAACCAAAACTTCATGCAACTAATTCCAGGGTTTATAGCAGAAAAGAAATTGTTGTGTACCTCTCATTACAACTCTTAACTATTTTTAAGGTAGCTTATATGGTTGACTTAGGGAAAAGGATGAAGATCCAGAAGAAAAATAGTGAGACTTCAGGTGATAGAGAAAAAGAGTTACAAAATGTTCTAAAAGGATAAAGCCCAAAGGCTGTAGAGCAACACAGTAATATTAAATCCTGGATTAAAGTGAAATGATTTAGGAGACTTTATAAGACATATCTGCAAAGCAATGCCTTTAGAAATATTTATTTAGTGAGCCTAATTATGTAAAATACTGAGAATTGGTGACAAAGTACAATATTGTCTCTTCAGATATATATTTAACAAAATTAGGGAGTTTTGAGTTCGAGCATTTATCATCCTACTAAAGCCTTTAGCACATAGTTAATTCCATGGCATGTATTATCCTGTCTTCCAGAGACAAGTACAATGGGATTAAGGAGGATGAATGGACTGTCTCACTTAGCCTGGGAGATTCAGGTGAAGTTTGTGCACAGACTTGAAAGAAATGCAGAATTTCCTAGGGTAGGCAGGAGATGGGGCTTGCGGTGAGGGAAGTAAATTTCAGAAAAAATATCATGTGCAAAAAAGGTACACTGGTATGAGACAGCATGGTGTCTTTAAAAACTGTAGAGCAGTATTCCGATAGCATTTAGTTTAACTCCATCATTATATTTTTAAGCTATTTTTTGTACTATACTTCTAAAACATGTTTCTATCCTAAGCGAACTTACACAAACACCATAACAAGGCAAAATTTGGTGCTAAAGTATAAGCCATAACACTACAAAGGCAACGCATACAGGAGATTTGATATGAGTGTTTTGTACATATTTCAATTATTAGCACAGGGTTAGATATAATTCATCACTCAAAACTGATTGTTTTACTTGTACAGAAGCCAGTATGACTGAAGCTCTCTTTTCAGTCAATTAATGTCCACTTGCCTGCCAGTTTTTACCATACATACCTGTGCCCTCCATGAAGCTAATTCCCCAACTGTTTAGGAAATTCAAATGGAACTCCTAAATAGTTCACACACAGCTTTTGTTAATAAATTACCCAACATATTTCAACCAGGTCAGGCTTCACAGCTATACATTTTTTAAAAAGTGTAAATTAACTCTTGACAAGGGAAATTCAAAACCATTCAAAGGCAAAGCCTGTGAATGAGACAAAGGATGAAAGGAAAATAGATGAAGTAATGCAATAGCCAGCTGAGGAGGAAAGGATGCCAAGTAGCTGTGACACAACAGCATGAAGCAAAGTGACTTCATTAATACTCTGCAAAGTACCAGAATGCTGCACAAGACAACACTTCGTTTCCAAACCAAACACAACCAGAGTTTACCACTATTGATTTTAAGTAGCAGCTGCCTAATTGCTAGAAAGCAGATACTTGAGCAGTTGTTGAGATATGCAAATGCAAATAAGCATTGTCACAAATATATCTGTATCACAGCGAGTATGGCTTTTGGTTTAGTTAGTTACACAATGACTGTGATATTTAGCCATCAGAGTAATTGAACTTTATAAAGTAATCAGCAGTAGCAAACAGGTATATAAATAGCAGTTACTTAGATGATAGTCAAATCACAATTAAAAAATATATAAAGAACTTTATTACTGTGCTTTTATTTCCTAATTTTAAAAACATTTTAATCTATTCCAACAATAATTTACTTTAAAATGATAATCTTTGTCACAAGAATGTTTATTCTATGAATATTTACTCAGCATCTTCCATGTTAAGTGTTTATGATGCAAAAAACAAAAATTTTCCTACAGTTATTTCTGTGTTGCTGACGTTAAAAGAATTCATAGAATAAACAGCTTAGGGAAAAATGATAAATGTGTAATCACACAACTCCTTAGCATCGTTAAATATGTATCTGAAGAGACCATATTATATTATTCAACTCCCTCAAATTTAACAATCTAAAATAGTGATATATTTTGGCTGGTGAAAATTTTAGACTTGACATTCTACTGTGGATTATCAATTTCAAAGAATTACATTGCCAAGAATATGCTACAAATAATGTTCATGTTATACTGAACCTAATCTAGTTTTGCCTCCACAAGTTCAGAAGATACTTCCAATCCTTTGTCAGCAAAAGCATCCATTTTAATTGAGCATTCTGTTCCATTTACTGTATATTTAAGTTGTTGTTATTACATAGCAGGAACTGTACTAGGAGAAGGAGACAGAAAGGTGGTGACATACTTTTCCTTTCATGGGGAAACAGTCTAATGGAGAGAAGGACAAGTAAGAAACCACAAAGTGTATTTTGGTAAGTGTTTTGAGAGGAGCTCTTGAGGCTCAAAGGAGGAGTTGTTGGTTGGGTCCCCTGAGAAAGCAGGCCTTGAAATAAGGACTTGAATAGAATTAGTTTATTTGGGAAATGATTACAGGGAACAGTAGTAGGGAGCGAGGAAGCAAGACAGGAAAGAGATAGAGTCAATTAAAGGTGCGTTGTCCAGCAAGTTCCCACCTGGCTGGCTGAAGCCTAATCCAACTGGGGAAGTTTGGGAAATGGTGTAAGACACAGTCTCAAATTTATCACACCTAAGGGAGAGGGATTTGGAGTATTTATAACTGCCAGCAGTCCTTGGTTGCAGTCTATTCAGAAAGGTATTAATTCTCTTACGCTTATGATTTGCAAAGGAAAAGAAAGTCCTCAGACCAAAACAATAACAGCAACAACCAAAAACTGTTTTCGTTTGGAAGGAGGACCAGAAGGAAGGAATAAGGGTCAGGCACTGACTCTACAGGTACTCACTGATCTCTTTGTTATGACTATGGAGTTTTCTTTACTTTATTCCCACATTTTTTCACTGCACTGGGACCTGCATTTTTTTTTTCTGTTTTGTCATTTGTCACGTTTGACTTTCTACTTTTCCTTAGTTAGATCGTGAGACCAATCACAGAAATTATTTATTTATACATTTTCAAAATGTCTTTTCCTCTCCTACCCTTCTTCATGCTATTTCAAAAATTACACCACTGGATACATTTAAATGTTCTTCCTGTTTTGCATCTAAACCCAGCAGTGAACTATCACTAGAGAAAAACACCTGACTTCAGTGAACACCTGGTCTCAGATAAATTCATGACCACAGACCTCAAGTAGGTGCTGAGCACAGCCCCGCCATCCTCTTGCTACCCCCATCCTCCACTCCCAAACTTGACTATTTCATAATGGCTCCATGGTCAAAGTTTGATAACCATGCCTCAGCTGATAGTCTTGCCTCCTATTTCACTGAGGAAATGGATGCTGTCATAAAACAAAATACTTCATTTTATCACTAACAATTCTACCTAATTATCATTATCTATGCCCATGAACTCCATTTTCCACCTGTTACAACTGATGAACTTTATTGCTACGGCCAAAACTTCCAATGATACACTGGATCTCATCCCTTTTTTTGTCAACTCAAGAACTTTATTCCTACAGTTATCCATCTTTCCTAAAACATATATCTCTATATTTGTAGGATTAGTTTCATCAGCATTTGAACATACTCTAGGAAGTACCACAGTAATGTGAGCTTTAGTAATTAAATACCAAACTAAATAGCATTTCTAAGCCTCAGTTACTTCATCTATCATAAAGAATAATAAAATCTACCTTTTTGGATTATTGTTAGCATTAAATAAAATGAAGCATAAAAAGCTCCCAAAATATATGACATTGGTTAATACTTTATTATTAATATTCTATTACATAGCTAAATATAACAAAGCTAAAATATTGTCTTCTCTCAAGCATATCTTGATTTGTACATTCATTCTGGAACAGATACTCAGACTCAAAGCTCACTGGAGAGCAGAATGAGTATTCCAAAAATGGCCATCATATGTCTGGACCCATATTCTCTTCTAGAACATTGCCCCTACTCCATCAAGAAGTTGAGTGTATGTACTTCTCTCTGAACCTGGGTAGGTCCTTATGACTTTTTGACTTTTTCAACTGATATGGTATGGCAGAAGCAAAGCTGTGTACATCTAAGGCTAGGCATTAAAAGGGGATAGTGCATCCACCTGGTGCTAGTGCTCTCTCGCTCTCTCTCTTTTCTCCCTCTCTCTGTCTCTTTCTCTCCTTCTCTTAAAATGATCACCCCTGGAAATGAGCCAAGTAACCCAGGCTACTTGGACCAGCCCATGTTGAAAGA
Source organism: Homo sapiens (assembly GCF_000001405.40). Classification (NCBI taxonomy): domain Eukaryota; kingdom Metazoa; phylum Chordata; class Mammalia; order Primates; family Hominidae; genus Homo; species Homo sapiens. The sequence goes on from NC_000007.14 coordinate 76,684,884, forward strand.
ACAGAAGTTCCCACTCTGTAGTCATGGCTATGCTTTACAGCTGACAGAGCACCACCTTGCCTGCTGTGTGAGTGAACCATCTTAGAAGCAGATCCTCCAGTGTTCAGATGACTCACATCATCTGGTGTTGTATAGATATGGCTTTTACATAATGACACAAACTCAATATTTTTAAAACATTTATTCATGGAGTAACACTGCCAACTTGGACTGTGAGAGCAGAGACACTAAAAAATGAAAAGGGGTCTTTAGACTCCAAATTTATACAAGCAGGAAGCAGACTGAGAAAACTACTTCATCAAACACATGTTACATATTATGGAAGAGGAAGGATAATTCAGAAGCAGAACCAAGAATTTAAAGACCAGACCCAAGAGCCATGGAGCTGACATGACAAAGTGCCACAGACTGGGTGACTTAAACAACAGAACTTGATTTTCTCACAGTTTTGGAGGCTAGAAGTCTGAAGTCGAAGTGTCAGAAGGGTTCGTTTTTCCTATGGCTTGACTTCTTGGCTTATAGATTGCTGTCTTCTCCTTACATCTTCCCAGTGGTCTTTCCTGTGTGTGTGTCTGTGCTTAATTTCTTCTTCTTAAAAGAATGCCAGTCATATTGGACAAGAGCTACCCATACAACCTCATTTTAATTAACTCTTTAAACATCCTACTCCTGATGAAGAGTAAACTGAGGCTCAATAAAACCTTAAAGAGTTTATTTGAGCAAGCAACAATTCATGAGTTCGGTAGCTCCAAACCAGAAGTGGTTCAAGAGCTCCAATGAGGAAATGCAAGGAGGAGGCTTTTATAGGATGAATACAGAGGGAAAGCAAAGAAAATATTTGATTGAGTACAATTATACAATTGCCTTCTTTGGCCTATCCCATTGGAAAGTCTCTAGTTTTACAATTATAAGTTTATCGGCTACTTCTGATTGGTTGAGCTTAAGCTCTGCTTTTCTTTAATACAGGCATTTACAAGAAGTAGCTCAAGTTAAGTTTCACTGATGTTTGCAAATCAAGCAAGGTTTAAGTCATTTATGAGGCCTCACTGGTTTCATCTTCTCAGAGATTTTTTAGGCCTTGTCTCCATTTTAAGGTATTTTAACACTCCAAATACAGTCATATTCTAAGGTACTTGGGATTGGGATTTCAGCATATAAATTTGTGGGGACACAATCCAACCCATAACACCACTGCTTTGGGATTTCTTCTTACATGGTAATAGATAATCCAAACATCCCCTGTTTCCTGATAATATCCTAAATTGTTTACACAGCACTTCTGGAAGTGTCCTTTCTCATTCACTTTTGAACCATTTAAGGACTAGGACTTTACTTTGTGTTTCTGTAGTCTTCATGCATAGCACAAATTTCACAATCAAAGCAGCCCTGGCACATAATAGGTCTTCAATAAATGTTTCATGATTAAATTCCTCAAAGGCCGCATCATGCTCTCTAAATGTTTTTTCAATGTGCATCTCTTAGAATGGTCTACTGTCATCTATTCTGTGATGGAAGAGGCAGTGTCACTTTTTTTGGCTAATAATTGTCAACTCAGCATTCAAAGCCCTGCAATTTGACTCCAGTCTATCTTTCTTGCCTCATTTTCCACTTCCCCTTACCACTTGCACTACACTTCAACCCGTCTTGGCCATAAGCTCTTTCTTCATCATGTTCCACATTTTTTCCATTGTTGGCTATGAATAAGTGGGCAAATGTGCAGAGGTCTACTTCCTTTTGGATATTTTTCTTGATTCCTCCTAACCATCTAAGATAATTGTTGTTTCTGGTAAACGCTTTTACACCATTTTGTACTTTGGCACTCACCTTATTCTATCATGTAATTCATTCATATGTAAACTCCTTCTACCTTAGTTCTCAGATTGTAAGCTGCTGTAAGGAGTGCTTCATGTTCATATTTACACTCCCTGAAGTCCTCAGAAGAACATCTGTAGCTTAGTAGATCCTCAAGTATATGTTAAACTGCCTTAAATTGATTAAAAACTAACTTAAGTCATCTCCCCTTATGGATATTAAGTATATTGACTTTAAAGGGTTTTCTTGCTGCTACAAGTCATAACAGTAAATAGATGTAGAGAGAAATGTTTACAAGGACTATAATTAAGCAAAATAGGCTTTCTCTGACTTTTGCAAGCAAACTAATTTGTGTGTATATCATTTAGAATTGATTAAAATTTTAAATTTAATATCTGAAATTATTTGATTATTTTGGTTCTTGTGTTATAGTTATTTCTTCTGATATCTGATCTGCTATGATGATGTAGGATAATCTCTTCCAACTTGATTTACAAAACTTGTTTTCAATTGCTGTACCACTCACTTCCTCAAAGGTTGCCTCTCATATCTCCTCATCATATATACCTCTTCAAATTCAATCGAGATTTCAATTCTTCTCACTTCTCCCCAACCTGTGAGTACCACTTTGTTGCACTGTAAAAATGCATAAGAACTCCTTCACATTATTTGAATTTTGCAATATATTATGTATTCTCAGAAAAAGCACTACATTGACACCCATAGTGTTGAACTACATAATTTTAAAAAGAGCTGATTTGAGTACAAAATAATTATTTAACTGACTACTTAATATCTAAGTATATCTTTCACTTAAAACAACTGATAGAATTTCTTTGACCAACACCAGCATCTCATGTGACTTAGTAAAAACATTTGTATATTTAGATACTGGCAACAGAAAAATGGCTTGGAGATTTCTCAGCAAAACTATTCTGTTTCAGAAATGTTTTGTTTCATATTTTATTAGTATATAATTATAATACTCTAAATGTCAGTTACAAAAATTAAATGAATAGTTGTGTTTTTGAATATTTACCACCTCTTGGTGTTCTGCTCAATAATGTACAGTGTGACTAAGTATAGTAACTCTATGAGTGACTATACAGAATTTCATACCCTTCTCCTCAAAGAGTGGTTAAAATACTTGGAGAACATCTCCATTCTTTAATAGATGTTAGAAAAAATCACTTTAAAAAGTCCTTTAGATTTAATAATTTAAAAAACGGGAACTCCTTTTTAGCAAAAATTTGATTATAAGGGTTTTTTAAGTTTCCACTATTATTGAATGTCAGTTAATTCTTAATTCATTCTTCTGTATCTTCTGAAAAATGTGGCAGTGAAAAAAATTTCAATCAACCACAATTACATGTCTACCAACCCAATAATCATTAAGTTAATTAACCTTTAAATTCAAGAATCAACTAAAAGGAAATGTTCATTGAAATCAGTTTTTAAACAAAATTAAAAGTAAGATTCCAAGCCAATATTTTTTGGTTAAAGTTTTTAGCTTTCAAATTCAGATGATAAAGCAAACTAAATGAATAAACTATGTCTTTCAGTAGCTATAACCCTAGTTCATATAGTAGGAAATTATTGTCATGCTACATGATCAAGTCAACTAAAGTGCCTAGGAACATAGGAGTTATTTAGTCAGTCCGATCTAGACCGTTTTGTTAAGTTCCAGAAAGTATAGAATTTACTTAATTGGCACCCTGATAAATGGTTCTCCAATCTAATTGGTATAATTACCAAAAGGCAGGTACAGTGTAATGTATTTAAATGACTCAAATCAATAGGTTCATGGAATATCTTTTTCATTTAAAGAGAGTTATTAACTTATTCAATGTAGTCTACTACATATCAATATCTAGCTCCAAATATATTCTAGTATACCTTGTCTCCAGATCTATGATTAAGAAAGAGATTATAAGTGCTTTCTATGGTTTTCATCTATCTGGAACAAAATTGAAAACTTAGCAAAGGGAGATTCTTTTCAACTAAAATTTATCAGAGCTGCGCTGAATATACTTTCTTGTTTACCAAGAACTGTGTGATGATACTTAAATAAATGATTATTTCCATCACCTATCAAAATGTTCGAAGCCTTGATTTTCATCTGTCCTATTATAGTCCATCTATTGTCTTCTCTGATGCACAGTATCATGAAGAAAAAGTTAAGAATTATTATGAAGGAAGTGTCTTCTTCCCTTCAGCAGGAAAGATGAATGTTTTACTCATGAAAGTTATGAGGTAGAAAAATAGCTATTCCATTTTGTTTTTCACTTTTGATATGATATAAATTTCAGTGGAGACCTTAGAGATTCATAAGAAAGAAAATGAAAAACAAAGTCCTCAAAAATACTTTTTTTTTTGTCAGAAGAGCATCATTATTTTTAAGTTTCTCACAAACTTGTTTGTTCTGTCTCCAGTACTTTGATCTCCTGGTAATTTTAGAGTAATTGAGAATATTTTCTAACATACGTGTCAACATAATGAAGGAGCTGGGACCTAAATGAAGAAGCGACAGAATTTACAGTGGCTTTGAATGCTGGTTCCTGAATGGATTTGCTTGACTGCAATTCAATCTTTTTTGTGGCTCAAGGCTCACTCACCTCTAAAAGGTACTTTGTCAGAATCGATTTAAATCAATTTCTGTGGAAATTAAAATTAAATATGGTATCCCTAAGATTCTTGCATTTATTTCAATTTTTAAATTATTGATTTATACATGATTTTTATGCCCCTATCATTATATGAACATTTATATAATTAGTGCTGATAACCAATATGCAATTTCATTTCTTTCTCTGAGATAGCTTTCATTACATTTACTTTTCACTTCAGAATCTGGCATTCCAGTCTTCTTGAAGCTTAATTCTTTTATTGAAATTTAGTTATAGATATCCCATGATATTCTCTCCCTGGAAGTTGGTATTATAAGCTTGTTATTGTTTGTTTAAAGTTGGCTATAGAAGGATATTCTTCCCCAGTTTGTCTTTAGAGGTTAGAGCTTATCAATTTTTTTTTTTAAGAAATTTGGGGAGGTTGTTTCACTTGTGATCGTCAAAAGTTCTGAGTTTCTTTTGTTGTTGTTGTTGTTTTTGTTTTTGTTTGTTTGTTTGTTTTTGAGACAGTCTCGTTCTGTCGACCAGGCTGGAGTGCAGTGGCACGATCTCGGCTCACTGTAACCTCCACCTCCCGGGCTCAAGCAATTCTCCTGCCTCAGCCTCCTGAGTAGCTGGGATTCCAGGTGTGTGCAAGTTCTGAGTTCTTTAAAGCTTTTTAAAAAGGATTTTCTAAATGTTTTTCTCTTAGGAGATTTAGAAATTTTATCTATATTTCATTGCATTGCAATTACATCTGTGTCCTGAAACATTGGTTATTCTTCCGGGTTTTGATGGTTACTAGATGAGTGTGTGTGTGTGTGTGTGTGTGTGTGTGTGTGTGTGTGTGTGTGTTATGAACAATGCTAGATTATTGGGGAAAATCAGAATAATTTGAATGCCATCACACTATCCACAGGAAAGGCATATTTGTTTATACAAAATTGTCACAAAGAGAAACGAGAAAATCTTTTGTGATCATGCAGGACCAGAAAGTGATAAAAATATATGGTTCTGTAGAAATAAATGTTTAGCTGGAAAGAAATTGGCAGTTTTCTTCTTTGTATTTGCTACCAAATTTCTTCAACCTTAAAGTTTTACAAAATTGTTGATACACAGGAAGAAATGAGAAAAGAGAATATAGGAGAATTTATTTTAGCCAGTGAGAAATTTTAGAATTTGGTGGATATAATGTATAATATAACTATAAATTCAAAACTGTACTTGTCTGTGATATCATTAGTAGAATCTTTTAGAAATCAGGATTTTAAAAATATTAATATTTGTAAAATTAACATTGACACTTAATACAAAACATACATTACCTTGTTATGTTGCTGCATATCCAGAGTGTAAACTAATGATGAAAATCATAATAATGATCACAATCATGCTAACAGAAAATAACATTTGTTGGGTTCTTACTCTTTAACATATTACCTACCGTTTCTCATTGAGTTTTGTGGAGATAGTATGCTCAATGATTTTACTAGATAAGAAAACATTACATCACATATCTCATACAATTTCTTACTGTTAAAATTAAGTATGATGACTAAAGTAATTATAAAATTCTGTTCTCAAATGCACATTATTCACACACACAATATTTCTTTTGTTTGTTTGTTTGTTTTTGTTTTTGTTTTTGTTTTGCGACAGAGTCTTGCTCTGTCTCCCAGGCTGGAGTGCAGTGGCCTGATCTCAGCTCACAACAACCTCTGCCTCCCGGGTTCAAGCAATTCTCCTGCCTCAGCCTCCCGAGTAGCTGGGACTACAGGCGTCTGCCACCATGCCTGGCTAATTTTTGTATTTTTAGTAGAGACGGGGTTTCACCATATTGGCCAGGCTGGTCTCGAACTCCTGACCTTCTGATCCGCCCGCCTTGGCCTCCCAAAGTGCTGGGATTACAGGCGTGAGCCACCACGCCCAGCCCACACAATATTTCTTAAAATGTTATGGATTTATATTTTATCTTTTTAAATCCACCATTAAGGTAAATGTATTCACCAGACCCTTAGGGTTTCAGCAAAGAACGTGAACTTTTCTCAATTCATTTGTTTATTCACTGGTAATATTTCATATTGAAATTGAGAAGACGAGAGAATTATGATAAAAGTCGCTTTTGTCCAGTCAATGCTATTAAGCGAGTTAACCATAGACATTCTCTCAAATCAGCTAATAGAATTGTATTTTCAGTGGATATTTTTAATTGCATTAAATACAAAAGATATAAACTAAATTATTCATCCTAATTATACAAAAAAGATGATAAACTTAAGCAATATGACTATCTGTATAATTCACTCAGAAATTAAGATTTTCAAATCACCAACAGTTTAGATCAAAACAAAAGGTATAAATAAAAGGCCTCTAACGGTATCAACTACCTCCTAAATTTCAATAACAGAATCTTTTATGAAATTTAAATTAATACGGCATTATTGAATATACACGAAGCAGAATAATCCTTAAATATATTTGTGCCGATCTGGTTTTGGAGAAAGTTTTAAACTTTATGAAGTCCTAATATATAAATTGTTTTTATATTATGGAATACTTACAAATATCTAATGAGCTATCTTGGCGACGAGACCTAAGTCTAAACATAAAATTTATTTATGTTTCATGTATGTCTTATGTACATCACCTGAAGGTAATTTTATACAATATTTTAAATAAATTTGTTCATGAAACAAAGTTTTGATGGCATTTTATTATGACCTGTCACCGAAGATCAAGTAAGAAATTTTCCGATGGCATGTAGGTGCTCAATTTTAGATTTTAGAGTATTCTGGATTGGGGGCATTCCTAATCCAAAAATCTGAAATCCAAAGTGCTACAAAATTTGAAACTATACACACCAATACACAATACACACACATATATATATTTAGTTTCCTGACATGTGTGCCTGTATATGTGTGTGTTGCTTTTACAGACCATGTCTTTGTGTTGGACATGTCAGTTTAATATGCCTGCCATATCCCAATTCCATTTAACATAATTTGTCTTCTTCGAACTCTTAAAAGAGATATGCAACATACCAGCTGACCTCACATGAATGGTTATAGATACAGGCATGCCTCATTTTATTATTATTTTATTTATTGCACTTTGCAGATATCACTTTTTTTTTTTTAACAAATTGAAGGTCTGTGGCAATCCTGCATCCAGCAAGTTATTGGCATTGTTTTCCAACAGCATGTGCTCACTTCTTGTGTTTGTGTCTCATTTTGGTAATTATCACAATATTTCAAACTTTTAAATTATTACGTTATGGTAGTCTTTGATGGTGGTCTGTGATCATTGATCTTTGATATTACTATTGTAATTGTTTTGGAGTGCCTGCCATGAGCCACACCCATGTGGATTTAATAAATGTTGTGTGCATTCCAACTACTTTGCCAACTGCTCTCTCATCTCTCTCACTCTCCTTGGGCTTCTCTATTTCCTGAGAAAAATTGAAATTAGGCCAATTAATAACCCTATAATAGCCTCTAAGTCATGGGTGTTCAATCTTTTGGCTTCCTTAGGTCACATTGGAAGAAGAATTGTCTTGGGCCACACATAAAATATACTATCACTAATGATAGCTGTTAAGCTAAAAAACAAAATCAGAAAAAAACTCATAATGTTTTAAGAAAGTTTACGAAATTTGTGTTGGTCAACGCATATCCTGGGCTGCAGGCTGAGCGTTGAACAAGCTTGTTGCAAGTGTCCAAGTGAAAGGAAGAGTTGCATATCTCCCTCTCACTTTAAATTGAAATCTCAAAATGATTAAGCTTAGTGAGGAAGGGATATTGAAAGCTGAGAAAGGCAGAATGCTAGTCCTTTTGCATCAAGCAGTTAACCAAGTTGTGAATGCAAAGGAAAAGTTCTTGAAGTAAATTAAAAGTGCTACCCCAGTGAACACACCAATGATAATAAAATGAAACAACTGTATTACTGATATAGAAAACATTTTAGTGGTCTGGATAAAAGATCGAAACAGCCACAATAGTCTCTTAAGCCAAACTCAAATCCAGAGCAAGACCCTAACTGTCTTCAATTCTGTGAAGGCTGACAGAGGTGAGGAAGCTGCAGAAGAAAAGTTGGAAGCTAGAGGAGGTTGGCTCATGAGGTTTAAGAAGCTATCTCTATAACATAAAAGTCTAAGATGAAGCAGCAAGTGCTGATGCAAAAGCTGCAGCAAATGATCCAGAAGATCTAGCTAAGATCATCGAAGAAAGTGCCTACAGTGAAGAACAGATTTTCAGTGCAGAAAAACAGCCTTCTGTTGGAAGAAGATAGCATCTAACACTTTCATAGCTAGAAAGCAGAAGTCAATGTCTGGCTTTTAAAGCCTCAAAGGACAATCTGAGTCCCTTGTTAGGGGCTAATGCAGCTGGCAACTTGATGTTGAAGCCAATGGTCATTTATCATTCCAAAACTTCTAGGACCCTTAAGAGTTATGCTAAATCTACTCTGCTTGTGCTGTATAAAATGGAATAACAAAGCCTTGATGGCAACACTTCTATTTACAGCATGGTATGCTGAATATTTTATGCCCTATATTGAGACCTACCCTTCAGACAAAAATATTCTCTTAAAAAATATTACTGCTCTTTAACAATGAACCTAATCACCCAAGAGCTCTGATGGACACATACAAGGAAATCAATGTTGCATTCATGCCTGCTAACAAAACATCCATTCTACAGCACATAGATCAAGGAGTAATGTTTGCTTTGTAGTCTTATTATTTAAGAAATATTTTAAGGCTATAGGGCTATAGCTGCTATAGATAGTGATTACTTTGATGGATCTGGGCAAAGTAAATTGAAAATCTTCTGGAAATAATTCACCATTCTAGATGCCATTAGTGATTTCTGGGAAGAAGTCAAAATATCAACATTTGTAGAAGTTTGGAAGAAGTCGATTCCAGCCCTCATGGATAATTTTGAGGGATTCAAGACTTCAGTGGAAGTCCCTGAAGATGTGGTGGAAATAGCAAGATGAATTAGAATCAGATGTAAAGAATTAGAATTAAAATTAGAATTAGATATCATGCCTGAAGATGTGACTGAATCACTGCAGTCTTCTGATAAAACGAACAGATGAGGAATTCCTTCTTATGGCTGAACAAAGAAAGTGATTGATTTCTTGAGATGGATTCTACTCCTAGTGAAGATACTGTGAACATGTTTTGAAATAAAAACAAATTATTTAAAATATTTCAAAAACTTAGTAGATAAAGCAGTGGCAGAGTTTGAGAGGATTTACTCCAGTTTTGAAAGAAGATCTACCATGGGTAAGATGCTATAAAAGGAAATAGCATGCTACAGAGAAATCTTTCATGAAAGAAAGAGTCAATAGATGTGACAAACTTCATTTGTTGTCTTATTTCAAGAACTTGGCATAGCCATCCCAATCTTCAGCAACCACCATTCTGATTAGTCAACGGCCATCAACATGGAGGCAAGACCCTCCACAAGCAAAAAAATTACATCTAATTGAAGGCTTAAATGATTGTTAGCACTTTTTAACAATAAAGTATTTTTAATTAAGGTTTGTACATTGTCTTTTAGACATAATGCTAGTGCACACTTAATGGATTACAGTAAGTGTAAACATAAATTTTTTATCAACTGGGAAACCAAAAAATCATCTGACTTACCTTTCTGCAATATTTGCATTATTTGGGGGTCCGGAATTAAGCCTGCAGTATTTCAGATGAATGCCTATAATTAGACTGGAGTGTATATTTGATTCTAGGAGATCCAATCAATAGTCAATCAGTTTTTTCTTTATCAGAAATAAGAGGCAGAGAAACTGTATTCTGAAGGCAACAGGTTCTGCGTTGGACAAGTTATGTAAAAGTTTTGGCCTGAGCTGACAACATTGCAAATTATTACAACCTCCTAAATGATGAATAAACAGAAAGGGTGGGCAGGGAAAATTCAGTTGTAGACTAAAAGAGTGGAACAGACTCTAAGAAGCAAGAAACCTGCAGGATCAGAAAGATGTGAAGCTAAAGTACTTGTTTTAAGATGCCTTGGATCCTATGAGTCCACATTTCCTTTTCAAATCTTTTAAAATTTTCAAAAGAAGACATTTATGCAGCCAAAAAACACATGAAAAAATGCCCACCATCACTGGCCATCAGAGAAATGCAAATCAAAACCACAATGAGATACCATCTCACACCAGTTAGAATGGCAATCATTAAAAAGTCAGGAAACAACAGGTGCTGGAGAGGATGTGGAGAAACAGGAACACTTTTACACTGTTGGTGGGACTGTAAACTAGTTCAACCATTGTGGAAGTCAGTGTGGCGATTCCTCAGGGATCTAGAACTAGAATTACCATTTGACCCAGCCATCCCATTACTGGGTATGTACCCAAAGGACTATAAATCATGCTGCTATAAAGACACATGCACACGTATGTTTATTGCGGCATTATTCACAATAGCAAAGACTTGGAACCAACCCAAATGTCCAACAATGATAGACTGGATTAAGAAAATGTGGCACATATACACCATGGAATACTATGCAGCCATAAAAAATGATGAGTTCATGTCCTTTGTAGGGACATGGATGAAATTGGAAACCATCATTCTCAGTAAACTATCACAAGAACAAAAAACCAAACACCGCTTATTCTCACTCATAGGTGGGAATTGAACAATGAGAACACATGGACACAGGAAGGGGAACATCACACTCTGGGGACTGTTGTGGGGTGGGGGGAGGGGGGAGGGATAGCATTGGGAGATATACCTAATGCTAGATGACGAGTTAGTGGGTGCAGTGCACCAGCATGGCACATGTATACATATGTAACTAACATGCACATTGTGCACATGTACCCTAAAACTTAAAGTATAATAATAATAAATAAAATAAAATAAAATAAAAATTCACCCAGCCTGTTTTTCTTGGAATATTTTGAGTGGGCATTTATTCTTTACAACTAAAATGATTTTCTTTTTTGGCTTTTCTTTCATTAGATAAGTGTATACATCTTGGAAAAAAATTAGCATATCAGGACAAAGTTACATTTATACAATTATATTTCATTATTTTTCACTAAAAACATATGTTACTATAAAGCAGGTAGCAGAGTTTATCTTGGAAAAGAAAGGCAATACAATGATGGTCTTTAAATGTGGATGGAGAGGCTCCAAGGCATGCCAATGTGTCCTACGGCATGACACAGCTGCTGGAGGAGGCAGAGGTGAGGGTAAGAAACAATGTAAAATATTATAAGGGAGGTGACTCAAACCACATGGAGTATGTGCACATGTGTGTAAACATGGATAGAACTTATGTTTCTAACAAAGTGATTCATTTTCTGAAGTCAGGGACTGTTTTATTCTCTTGTACTTCTCAATGTCTTGAATAGCAATAAGTCCATAGAAGGAGCCAAATAAATAAGTGAATCTGAGTTTTGCCTTCCTCAATGACCTTGGGCAAACTGTTTAATCTTGATTACAACACAAATATTTTTTATAGCTATAATAAACTATAGCTGTGTTGTGATTGGAATAGATGAATGAATGAATGAATGTTTTTTCAGAACCTGTTAGTACCAGCATATTAGCAAGGTTAGCAAACAATCCTAAGCCCTCCAAATCTAGGGCTTTCTCACTCCCCTATCCCCGCAAAAAGATGGATTTCTTACTCACCTCACATGATAGCTGCAAATAACTGCTGGTCTGCTCCATGTATTTTCTCCATCATGGAATCCAGCCTGAAGGTGAAGCTCCTGTCTCCCACATTGCTGATCTGGTGGCAGAGGGAAAGGAGCAATTGAATAACAACGTGATTATGCTTTAAGTTGCTGCTCAGCAATGTCATAAGTTATTTCTACTAACACGTACATTGACCAAAGTCAGTCACCTGACTCAATGGGATGAACTTACAAACCACTCACAGAAACTAATACTGCAAATAACATGGCAATGAGAAGTAGGATATGGAAAGACCCAAGACATTTCTGGATTAGGTATTGTTCCCTGAAAGCAAAACATCTTCAGTTCTTTATTTGTCATGGATCTTGGAACTGACGTCTACAAAGACCTTCTTTTTCCATTCTCTTCCTCGGCCATATCTGAAGAGGTTATTAAAGGATATGCCCTTCTTGGTGGCTCAGATGGCTTTGCAGCCTATTTTCTGCCTGTAAAAGTTTGGATCTCCATATGGGGTTATAAGATAAAATATAGTGTTCACTGTTAAATTTGAATTTTGATAAACTACAAATAATATTTTAGCATAAGTATGTCCTAAATATTGCATGAGATATAATTATACTAAAAATATTATTTGTTATTTATTTGAAATTCAAAGTTAATTAGGCATTCTGTATTTTTATTTATTACTCTGGACACCTTAGTACTCAAAGGGAATTTCAAGTCTCAAATAATTATAGTCTGTTTAATTTAGAGTGCTGGCACAACTCTCTCAAAAGCATAGTAAGATTTTTATTTATTTGATACCAGTTTCCAGTGCCAATGTACACACTTTTTCCCCCTAAAATAGGCCTTTCTCTCTAGTTTTAGCTGCCAGTCATTTAAACTTAGCAAGATTCTATGGGAAGGTCTTACTCTGAGTCTCCTTTTGAGTAATTTTGACCAATTGGAAAGATTGAATGGGTGCCACATTAGTTATTTCTGAGTTTTAATAATAGGCTTTAGCTTCCTTAACACCCAATTTGGTCTTTGTCTTGAGGCTGAGTGTTAACGAGCCTTTGTCACTAAAATTTCACAATGTTACGTTTTACTGACAGAAATGTAAAGGAATTACACCTCTTGTCTCTGTTAGTAAACTGGCCAATTCTTTCTTTTCTCATCTTGTTCTTCAAGTACCTTATCAAATGCTGCCAACATTACATGAGTAGCTTTCTGTTTTCCAACGTCTCCACGTACAGCTCAAGCTCATACAATACATTGCCTGTCTTCTAAGTAATTACAAGCAACAATGATATTAAATGTTCCGCTTATACATATGCATAATGAGTTGTCTTGCATCCCATCAACAATAAATACCCTCTTAGACAACTACCCCGTTCAAAAGCCAATGGCACATATACTGGTGTTCTGTTTCAGCAGAACACAGCTTACATGTTCCATTTTATTAATTAGTTAATTTTGCTAGGTTACACTGTACTCTGACAAAATCTTAGTGGCTTACTACAACTAAGGGTTGTCTTACTCCAGATCTCAGCAGAAAGGCTTTCAATTTTTCCCTGTTCAGTATGATGCTAACTGTGTGTTTGTCATCTATGGCCGTTGTTATTTTAAGGTATGCCCCTTCTATACCCAGTTTATTGAAGGGTTTTAATATAAAGGGAGGTTGAATTTTCTTGAATGCTTTTTCAGCATGTATTGAAATGATCATATGGATTTTGTTCTTGGTTCTGTTAACGTGATGTATCATCTTCATTGATTTGTGTATGTTGGACTCATTGCACCCTTGTGATAAAGCCCATTTGATCATGGTGAAAATCTGTTGTTGCATTCAGTTTGCTAGTATTTTGTGGAAGATTTTTGCATTTATATTTTTCAGTGATATTGGCTTATAGTTTTTGTCCTTGTTGTGTCCTTGTCTAGTTTTGATAAGTGAGTAATGTTGGCTTCATATAACAAGTTTGAAAGTATTTCCTGCTGTTCGATTTTGATTTTGAAGAATTTGAATAAATTATTATTAGCTTTTCTTTAAATGCTTGGTAGAATTCAGCCATGAAACCATCGGGTCTTGAGCTTTTCTTTGGTGGGAGACTTGTTTTATGGCTTCAGTCCTTTACTTGCTATTGGTTTATTTAGGTTTTCTAGTTCTTCATGGTTCAATCTTGGTAGTTGCATGTATCCAGGAAATTAACCATTTCTTCTAGGCTTTCCAATTTGTTGACTTATAGTTGTTCATAATAGTCTCTAGCGATTCTTTGTGCTTTCAGCTGTTATGTCTCCTTTTTCATTTCTGATTTTATTGGGTCTTTTCACTTTTTTTCTTAGTCTAGCTAGAGATTCGTTGATTTTGTTTGTCTTTTCACAAAAAACAATTATTAGGTGTTAGTAAAGCAACTTACTTGTATGGAGAAATTTTATGTCGGAGAATAACAAGAGCTATTATATGTGAAGGTAAATAATAAAAATTATTTAAAGATTTCTTGTAAATTTAGACTTTTTTCTGCAGAATACGTGGAGGCAAGTAGTGTCTTCATGAAACCAGGCTCTTAAGATACTGAAATAGTATCAACGTGTTGAGTATTAAAAAGTGACACAATTGAGTGGTACTATGCCACTTCAGTGTACTGAGGAAGTAAATGTTAACTTTGCAATTGCTATATACTGTAAAAAAAGAAAGAAAGAAAGAAAGAAGACAACTAGAAGATTATTATATAGTTGGCACGTGTCTTAAGTCCTACCTGAGATTAGAAAGTTTCATTGAATTTTTCTGGCTAAAAAAATTAAATTAAATCAATTATAAAAGTATTCTACTTACACTTGTCATTTTAGCATCAATGGAATTAGAAAAAAAAAGTACAGTGACTGAAAAAAATCTTGCAAAATAAAGCTAATATTTAAAAAAATTTTGATTCCTTGAAACCTCCTCAAATTACGACTTTGTGCCACCTCATTGCGAGTCATTAATCAATGCACACTTAACCAAGAAAATAAACTAAAAATTAATTTTGTGCATTGAAAAAAATCCAAATCGACTTGTCAGTAAGAGAACTAAACTCAATTCTAAATCGCATGTGTGAAAACAAAGAGAGGCATGAAATTTTAGGGTCTGTCACATTAGCTGAAGATGTCTTAACATGAATGTGCCACTGTTGTTAAATGAGAGCAGGAAAAGGAACTAGGAGTTTTCAAATATCAATGTCCATTGCTTTTCAGAAACAGCATGTACAGACTGGGTTTACTTGTGCTATGTCCATCAAGATACTCAAGTTACTAGAATCTTACATTTTGGAGTCTCACTTATAGAAGGACCTTGCCCTGAAAGAAAGGTGAGGGGAAATAACTTCAGATTAAGGTGCAGGAGACCTGAGCTATAATTCCTGCTCTGCCACTTATCATGTCTAGGTCTTCTGGTAAGACTTAATTTACCTCTGTCTCAGTGTTCTCTGACAGGAGGGAGTTCGACTTAGTTCAAAAATCACAAAACAACGATGGAGATTTCACCACTTTCTTCTTTTTACATTGGATTAAATAAACTATTATCTAAAGATTTGGGGTCTTCATATTTCACACAGAAATATATATTGAGTAGCAAAATCTTAAAAGAGTATTAAACATCTTCTAAAACATGACACTGTGAAATATCCCAGAGAAACTTTAATTATATGATTATCTAAATACTTGATGGTCTAGAGTCTCTATTAAATTGATTAAATTTAATGATTAAATTTTAAATACCCTCAAATATTAGCCACACAACAAAAAGAGCACTTGAGTAGTTGTTTCCTACATTCAGCTCTGAAATATGCCAAATCTGTGTTTATAAACACAGCATCACAGAAATGGACCTGCAGTTGAGGATATGAACTGGAAAGACCAAAATTTAACAGGTAATCCTAGCCTAATTTGTTGAGTGCTCACTATGTTCTAGGCACTATTCACATTTCACATTAATTAACTTATTTAATTTTCTACAAACTTTCACATAGGGTATATTTGTGATTCTCATTAAGTCTGACAGGCACTGTTGATCTGAGTTAAGTCTCTAATTCTGGGCATCCAAGGCCTCTGTCCTCTCTTTCTTCATCTCTTATTGTTTTCAAGATGAGATGAATTAAAATTCTTATTTGTTATGCATTTGGCATACCACCACTCTTCCTGCTCATCTGTGCTTATAAGATTTTACCCTGCTTGCATAAGTGTTCATGAGCCCTCAATTTTGAACAGCTGTGAGGAAGGCTGGTTAACTATTTGTAAACACCACCCAATGATGCTTGACAGTGATGGCAGTCTTGCAGAATACTGAAGTGCTATTTTACTGGGAGTGATAATGAGACTGTCTTGTCCAGAGGTCTGGTTATTACACCAATACTAAACATTATCATTTAGTTGTCTGGTGTAAAATAATGAATTAGTCCCATATATTTTATGAGGCTATATCCACATTTTTTTCATAACAGAAAAAAATGGTATATACAGCTATGAGTTTTATTGATATAATTCAAATTTACACCATTACTGAGTTTTCTAATTATCTGCCTTGGTTAGCTTTCAGAACAAATACAGAATTTATATTGTGAATTACTCCTTCTTTTACTAAAAAAAAAGTCTTTTTATCGAGTTGTTGGCATGACGTGATTACTAACTAGTAGTTATATATATATATTTATATATATATAAAACTACTCATATATATGCATATATATATACATATGAGATTATTTGAAGTAGAAAGTAGGTTTTCTAGGAAAAAATAAAAAATAAAACCAAAGAAAAATAGAGTTAATAACCTTTACAAGAGTAATATGATATTTAATTATATAAATGACATACTATTCATATGTTTTATGTCATACAGTATTAATGTATATTATACATAATAATACATTTTTCTAAAGACCCAAATATTTTTCCTATATGGTCCATAAGCTTAGAAATAACAATTGCTTTTATTATATCAAATTACAAGCTAGCTCTAAGAAGTCACTCTTACTAATTAGGGTTGAATAACGAAGACAATTACAATTGAAAAAGGGCATGGCTTCTAATGAGAGATCAGTAAATAGTTGTTGAATAAATGTATAAAAAGTTATGAAAGCTTCCACTTTTTTTCTAAGAGCATGTAGCTTGTTAAGTTGCAAAGATGCAAATGAAAGCTGTGTTTCTCATTGCAATTCAAGACCTGTGCTGCTCCCATTTTTATGCATGTAGCTTTATATACCTAAATCTTTTTTTATGTTACTAATATCATTTTGTAGATTTCTATGTAAAGTTTGTGCACACTTTTCATAAAGTATGCACATTACTAAAGTATTTATAAAGTTGTTGCTGATATGAATGAGACTTATTTTTCAATTTTATTCTCCAACTGGTTATGGTAGGAATGAAAATAATATCATTTATATTAAATTCTCTTATTTATTCTAAAGTGTTTTGAGTACCTACTATGTGCAAGGAACTATGCTAGGAATTGGGATAAGTGGGAAAAATACAAAGAATCTGTCTTCAAGGAGCTTTTGGCCTACATGGGCCAATAACCCTGTCTTGAGTGAGGGCAGAATGGAAGAATTGTAATTGAGACTGTTGAGACAATTATCCTGTGGCATTCTTGCACCTCTCTATATCTCGATAGCAGAGGTACTGACTGCCTTTGTCCCAACTATCTTTTCAATGATATTTGTACAGTGAATAGACTTGGAAGATATAGTATCTCAGTCCAGAGCGAAGACAGGCTTGCTTATAGTCTTAGAAGTATAACCTCTCTCTTGGCAGCAAAAGGTAGACATGCTTATTATTCATTATAAAAGTTGGGCTCCCTAAGCTCAAGGTTTCTCTCCTGAAATGCAACAGGTATGCAGGTGTCACTTTAACCCTCTTGGCATCACCCTATGGGAACAGAGGGTCAGAGAATCAGAGAAAATACTAAAACTCTGCTACTGCTATTGCCATGATTAATAAATTTTTTTCCCTGACCCAGGAATGTCCCATCTTCTGCCAGCATCTATAAAACTATTGAAGCCTAACTTGTTAGCTTGCAAGTAGAGTAAACTATCAAACTTTTTAAAGTTTTTGACATGGATCTAAAGTCAAAGTAGGACATAACCAAGCCAAAGCAGGCCAGGGGTAAGGACTTCATAAAGAGCATTGTAAAAAAAGGCCATCACATTTATTGGCCTGGTTTGTTCAGCATCACAGAAATGGAACTGCAGTTGAGGATATGAACTGGAAAGACCAAAATTTAACAGGTAATCCTAGCCTAATTTGTTGAGTGCTCACTATGTTCTAGGCACTATTCACATTTCACATTAATTAACTTATTTAATTTTCTACAAACTTTCACATAGGATATATTTGTGATTCTCATTTTATACCCGAAGAAACAAAGGCAAAGAAAAGATAAGTTACTTGTCCACAGTCACATATTTAGTTAGAAGTAGAATCAGAATTCAAACTCAAGATGCATGACTCTAGAGTCCCTGGCTCTTGACCTTAGACTTTATATCTCAAGATGGACTTGAATCGAGGCCATATCATAAAAGTCTTGTAAAGCACACTTAGGACGATAGACTTCATGCTAGGAAAATGTGTGCTATAATTTGGATGTTTGCCCCTCCAAATCTCATGTTGCAATTTGATCCCCAGCGTTGGAGGTGGAGACGTAAAGGGGAGTGTTTGGATCATGGGGGTGGATCCCTCATGAATGGCTTGGTGAGTTCTTGCTCTATTAGTTCCGACAAGAGCTGATTATGAAAAAGAGCCTGGCACATCCCCACTGTCTCTCTCTTGCTTCCTCTCTCTCCATATGATTTCTGCACAGGTCTGCTTCCCTTTGCCTTCCACAATCAGTGGAAGCAGCCTGAAGCCTTCACTAGAAGCAGATGCTGGTGCCATGCTTCTTGTTCAGCCTGCAAAACAATGAGCCAAATAAATCTCCTTTCTTTATGTATTACCCAGCCTCAGGTCTTCCTTTATAGCAACACAAATGTACAAAGACAATAGGTAACCACCAAGAGGCAGGGAAATGACCTGACAGTGGTAAACTTTGTACTCTGGAAAAGGACAAATATCAGAGGCAGTGTAGAAGCTGCTGCAGTAGTCTAGGTTACAGACAATGATCACAAGAAGTTAAAAAGACAATTTGGGATCCCTTTTATAAGCTTTTTTTTTTTTTTTTTAAATCTGTAGCACCAAGAACAATGTATAGTAGCAATATGTACTCAGCTGATACATTTCAAATCAATAAATTAATCTGGTCACCATCTTAAAACCTCTAATTCTAATAATATGAGTGTGCATTTGGTAAAATGTATACAAATGTGTAAGCATATGTGCACAAGTATGTTTGTAAAAATTTTAAGACGCAAGTAATGGCAAAACTGAAAGACATTTCATTCAATTTTCTCTGATGTTGAGCTTTGCAGTTGGCATAATGCTAAACCCCCTTAACTTGAAATCTCATGAAATGCTGTTTTATAAGCAGTGATGTTGGTCCTTGGATATAACCACATGTCCTGCTGCAGCCTGGATCTTGCATCAGGCAATTCCACAACTTGAACTGGGTAATTTTTGTCAAACCATGGTTAGTTAACTTGGGCCTTTTTCTTAAACTGGAGCTTGCATTGGCAATCTAGATTTCCTGTTTTTTTGCAGCCATAACATGCAACGGTGAAAGAAGCAAAAGTCTGGTCAGAGGAAAAACCAAAAGTCCGGTCAGACTCTTTAAGAGTAATAGGACTCTAAGTTCTGACCAGATTTTGGTTTTTCCTCTTATGAAATACAACTAAATAAAAAGTTTTCTTAGATTAAGATAAGACATCAAGTTTCTGATTTACAGCAGATAGAACCTCAGAGAAAAGGATGCTTCACATGACACTGGACTGCATTTGCATTACACTGATTATTTTGAGAGAACTGAAATAAAAATGATGTATTTAATCAATTAAAATTTTATTTTAATTAATTTTAATTTAGTTAGATAATTTCATTTAATTGATACATTCAATTAATATATAATTTAATTAATATTTTTACTTAATTAAAATGTAATTATTTTAAAATATGTAACATATTTCTGTATCACTAGCCTCTTAGAGAAGGCCATATTTTACACATATGTGAAAAGTTCTTTGAAGGAGAAATTCAATATCATTATCCATATTATTTATGTGTTTTGGGAAGGGTCAGGACAAGGCACTAGGGTTGACATCATTATCCATTGCGGTGGTCACTTGACTTTCCTTATTTAATTTTATTTAAATTAAAAATATTGGTTGGATGCAGTGGCTCACACCTGTGATCCCAACACTTTGAGATGCCAAAGGGGGCAGATGGCTTTGAGCTCAGGAGTTCAAGACCAGCCTGGGCAACATGGTGAAACCCTGTCTCTAAAAAAAACACAAATATTAGTCAGACATGGTGGCTCATGCCTGTGGTCCCAGCTACTCAGGAGTCTGAGGTCAGAGGATCCCTTGAACCTGGGAAGCAGAGGTTGCAGTGAGCCAAGATTGTGCCACTGCACTCCAGCCCGGGTGACAGAGTAAGACTCTGTCAAAAATAAAATAAAATAAAATAAATAAAATGGAATAATCTTTGAATTCTAACCTAGACTCTTACCAGGTGGAAAAACTTATCTGGAATGAAAATAAAATTAACTGAGAATTACCTCTGTGTTAGGCATTATCCTCGGCATTGTTGATTATTTCACTATACCTGAAAAATATTACAAGTCAGGCATTTTTTTCCTCAGTATTATTTTAAGGTGGAATTTAGAAAGAAATGACAACTAATAAGTCAAAAAAACTGAATGTTGGCAATAAGTTCATATGACTCCATTGAACAAAATTGTTCATTCTGTTTGAAGTTATACATTAATCAATTTTTAAATTATAATGCCTTTTATATTTTTGCCTTTACAATAAGTAATATTCTAGTTTTCTTTATTATATTTTTGTCAAACAAAATCAAAAAGTAAAATTTTAAAAATGAGAATACTTTGTTTGATTCTATGTAAATAAATATGACAACCTAAAGAAAATATGCAACTTTTTAGAGTAAATTAATTACAAAAATGAAGAAAACATTGAAAACTAAACAAAAAAATCATATATAAAATTAATAAACATGGCAGAGTAACACTCGGATAGTGAGGTAATGAAGGTTTTAAGTTAAATGTTTAAACCTTCAGAACTTAAACCAACCAGTTGTGCTAATTCTATTTACATTATTAAAGAGAACTAAGAAATTCAATGCTTGCCAACATCTTTTATAAAAGCAGTAGAACATTGATACCAATACCTGCCAAAGGCAGGTTGACAAAAAAATCTTTCAAGCTAATTTTTGTATGTTAATACACAATCCAAAATAAAATTATATTTTAATGAACTATTAGAATAATCTACAAATATTTGAAAATAATATACCCTATAAACAGTTTATAAGTGGAATGCAAAGATGGTTCAATATTAGAAATTTAATGTAATTAGTTATGTCAATAAGTTAAAGTGAAAAATATGTATTTTTCATAATACGGTATTAGTTAAGATAAAAGTTAAACTGCAAGACTTTAAAGTAACACCAGACTAGGATGCAAGATGAACAAATTAGTTAAAATAGTGTGCACTGAAAACAAAAATATTCCATGTGTTACTGATTTTGAAAAATTTCAAAGTACTAGAGAACAGAAATAAAAATACATCTTGAATAACTATGACCTTTCGTCTAGAAAAGATTGATAACATAAGAGGCTTTTGTTTTTGTTTTGTTTTATCCATAAATAATTTGTTATGACACATTATCTTGAGGAATTACAGAAACATTAGCATAAAAGAGTTTAAGTCTACAAATTAAAAAATTAAATTCTACAAGTTATTTTCCATGTATGTCTTAGAAGAACTGCACAAAGGAGTACCAGATTTATTTAATAAGTAAATAGAAATAAGCCAATATAAATTCTAGAAAGAATATTATAGCTGACATATATATATATATATATATATATATATATATATATATATATATATATTTTTTTTTTTTTTTTTTTTTTTTTTTTTTTTTTTGAGACAGACTCTCACTCTGTCACCCAGGCTAGAGTGTGGTGGCATGATCTCTGCTCACTGCAACCTCCACCCCTTGGGTTCAACCGATTCTCTGGCCTCAGCCTCCCGAGTAGCTGGGATTACAGGTGCCTGCACCACGCCTGGCTAATTTTTGTATTTTTAGTAGGGACAGAGTTTCACCATCTTGGCCAGGCTGGTCTTGAACTCCTGACCTCATGATCCACCAGCCTTAGCCTCCCAAAGTGCTAGGATTACAGGCATGTACCACTGTGCCCGGCCAACATTTATATATTTTTACCTGACACTCTTTCTCTTAAAAAGAGAGACAGAGAGAGAAAGGAAGAAGGAAAGAAAATCTCACTTCCAACCCTGATTCATATGAAAAATGACTCCATACTTATAGTATCCCATTTCTTCCCCTTCCAACCCTGATTCATATGAAGCATGACTCCATATTTATACTACCCCATTTTTCCCCTTGGCCAAAGGTTAAATGAAAGATGGGCTCAAGATCCAAGTTATGACTATTAATGTTTCCTCTTTAGTAAATTGACAGAGTACAGTGGTATTCCAGTCCCAGTTAAAGCTGGATTCTTGAAGAGGAAATGGAAGTGTAAAAACTGGAGAGCCTCAACACACCTTTCATATTTTTCATTTTGTACACTAGAATGTAGAGAAAGCTGGTCTGTGAAGAGAAACACTGATAGAGATGAAAAGAAAACAGCCATATAATGACATGGAGAGTAAGATAGGAAACGAAAATGAGGTTTTCCACAGTAGGGTGAGCCCTGGCTCCAGACAATTGTGAGCTAAAATGCAATTTCTCACTTGGTTTGTGAAATATCCCAGAATCCTTATATTTAATATTACATTGTGGTCTCAGAAATGGGTGTAATATTTTTCAAAGTTTAAATTATATATTTTATCATCACTTTAAATTATAATATTTTTGACTTTCATTCATTCAATCCTAGGGTTTCCGTGATTCTGGAGAAATTCTGAAATAATCTGAACAAAGTTGCCAAGTGTTTGTGGTAAATCAGGGTTTGGTGTCCCAATAAAACAATAGATTTGAAATCCAGACTTAAATAAAAGACAAAAGAATTTACAAATTCCAAATTTTCTTACAAGTTAAAACATTTTGGAGATCTGAATTTTATGTTTTATTATGTAGAATATAGGTGGAAAGAAAGCAACTACAGGCTATTCCAGAGAAAACACATATGTGAGTCTGTAGACTGAACAGGGTAGGAGAGAGAGAGAGACAGGGGAAAATAAAAAAGTAGGAGGCAAGATACCAGTGTCTTTAGTTCTCCATTTCATCTCAATCTGGTTCACTATAGGATAAGCCTCAAGATGAAGATTGAGCAGTGATGGAAAGCCCCAAGAGAGGGATGGAGGTGGGGGTGGCTAAAAGAAAAGGAGGCTGGGGCCCTACAACCTATTGGGACTTGAGGAGGCCACTTGGCTGAATATCCCACAACAATAGTAAGCAACCGCAGCTGAGTAATGATGGCTAAATGTTCGTAGATAGTCCTCCACCCTACTCTCACCTTTGATTCCACACATTCTAAACCTAATGAGGGAACTGTCTCAAAAGTCACTGTGTGCCCACAATGGGGAAGAGAGAAACCACTGGGTAATTAGGAAGGGGTCAGATGAATATCATGATGGAGCTTCAGCAGAACAGCAGTGGCAGGGGAAGCTGAAGTGGAGCCATGTCAGAACAGTGTAACCTGTTTGTACAAGGAAAAGGACCTGCAGGCACTCACTGTGCAGAAAAAAAAAACAAAATAAAACATAAACATGACTTTCATCTGTCATAGATGTCAGAAGTAGATGAGCAACAACCAAGTGGGACAAAGGACATCCTAGGGGACACCACTACTCAAATTTGAGATTTTCTGATGCCTCATGCTATGTCCAGGTACCATCTTGGCTAGGAGAAAGGGAAAAACAAACCATTTTAAAATGAAAGAGATGAGTTACCTTTAAATGACAAATTTAAAATACCATCTATCCTGGCTCCTCCCACCACCATTAAAGAGAATCCAAGTTTCAGAAAATTAGATAAAAAGAATATGACTTTTTTCAGGTATAAGTTCAGCATATGTGAAATTTAACCACTTACCCTACAGTAGTAACACATGATTTCTCTTAAGGCCAAAGTTCTAAGAAATGCCAGCACTGAGCAGAGAAAGAGGAGGCTGTTTCTGTTGATCCCAACCCTATATCAGAAGGGATATTGTCGTGGCTATGATAACTAGTAGCAAGACAGCGGCCATCCCTACACTTCTGTTATGTGGCAGCATGATCATTATTACATAATTAAATTGTTTATGTTTTACACATCTGTTTTGTTCTATGACAGATTATCACAAATACTCTTTGGTTATCCTTGGTTAAAGACCATTAGTATTTAATCAAATAAGTTTAGTGTAGATAATTCTTACTTTTAAGCAATTTGTTGAATTAAATCATTATGAAGATCAGAATTCCAATTTGGACATTTGTTTTCTACCTTCAGTTATGATTTTATAGTGTAGTTGTGGGGAGTGTCTTCAAGGGAAAGAAATAACATAAGTTCAGTAAATTCAGGTCAATGGTTTATATTGAACTCAACTGGTAGTAATGAAAAAAAATATCCTTCCAACTCATGGCCTTCCTATGAGCACATGTGAAATAAGTTGCTTGCCTAGTGAAAATCTCAAGGTGACTGAAAACATGCACATCACAATATACTCCAGTGTGCATGTTCTAGGACATGTGTTAGGTAGTCTTGGTGAATAAGCAAGGTAACACAGTATTCTTAAGCACTCCTCCACCATTCAAGAAAAGATGAGTGCAGAGCTAGGGGGCAGTCATGGGTCAGTGTCAATGAAAAGTGAAGAAAGTGAGGACCTGAACTTTCTATTCTGCAGGTCAGTTAGGTCTTGCTGAGTCAGTTAAGACCCGGCTAGTCATCAACATCTCAGAGCAAGGTCTGCTCAGCAGGACTTTGCAGACTCTGCAAGTCCTTAAGAAATGGGTTCTGAAATGTCCAATAATAGCCACTGTAATTAAAGCAACTCCTACTCTTAAGATGCTTGGGGTATTTTGATAAATTGAGAAGTCTCTAAATCAATTATCTGTGCAAGATCTCTGAATGTTCAAATAGCAATTTAGATTGTTTTAAAAATCTGCTTTGAGTGTCTGTGCTGGGCCAAATCTGATGTTGATCCCATAAATTGCCTTCTTCCCCTTCAAAAAAATCACACCTAAAAAGAAAGCGCTGGAACAGTCTCTTTCGAAAGTGATTTCATTATATCTTGGCTATTAATGATGGTTACAGTGTGTGAGATATTAAATCATGACCCTGTAAGATTCTGGAACTTTTCCTCAGCCAGAATGTCATTTTATTTTAATTCTTTAAGGTTGCACATTTTTTTATCCTAATGTAGGATTTGGTGGACTGTAATTAAACGATGGTCGATGGACCTAAATTTTATGAGCAATTAGATATACTGTATTTGCTTTTTTTACCCCTCTACTGAGAATATATGCTGGCTTTGTGGAATCACTAAGATGTATCCCTCTGCCCCCACTTGCTTTTTAGTTCCTGCTCAGTGCAAAGAACACACAGAATTCTGCAATGATTTTGTTCTATTATTGCTTGAAATATCTACTTCACATTCCACTGGAGAAATTTAATGAATACAGGAATGTAAAGTACCATTTAAGCATTTTTTCTATGTTCTCTTCACCTTTTATGTTTCTTTCACTGTATAAACTCCGTCCTCTTCCTGAAATTCCACTCCTTTTAACTGACACACAAAGCTGAAAATGGGCAGGTTTCAAAAGCCTAGAACATCTTATACTCATGCAAGAATATAAGAGACTTATTGTGACATAACTTTTTTTTTTTGAGAAGGAGTCTCTGTCGCCCAGGCTGGAGTGCAGTGGCGCGACCTCTGCTCACTGCAAGCTCCGCCTCCCGGGTTCACGCCATTCTCCTGCCTCAGCCTCCCGAGTAGCTGGGACTACAGGCGCCCGCCACCACGCCCAGCTTATGTTTTGTATTTTTTAGTAGACACGGGGTTTCACCGTGTTAGCCAGGCTGGTCTCGATCTCCTGAACTCGTGATCCGCCCGCCTCGGCCTCCCAAAGTGCTGGGATTACAGGCGTGAGCCACCGCACCCGGCCTATTATGACATAACTCTTTAGATACATTCAATATTTTTTAAAATTAGAAAACAAACCCAAATCAGAATTCAGGATTCAAAATAACAAGGAAATTTGCATTGACAGATATAAGCTACTGTCACAACAGGGCCAAGTATCTTTTCTCCAAATTATTTATTTTTAGTCATTTTCTTTAAAACATTTACTCATATGATTGTTGTATTATGGTACCTATGTCCTCTTGGGAATAGGCATTGATGAGACTTATTAAATATTATTTCATCAATAATTATGTGGCTTCCATACCTGATGATGGACACAGCTGGAAGATCATTTTCATCATTATACTTCTTTTCAAATTATTTTTTATAATTTAAAAAATTATAAATAAACATTGCTGCTGTGCTGTGATCCCAAAGGGCATTATGAAAAATAGATACACACACAAATATAAGCACATATCCAATTTTACATATTATATATTATTACTAAGGGAAGGGAATATATATTATATATTGCTAAGGGACGGGAATACATATTATATATTGCTAAGCCTCTGAGGCTCCTACCACTCTTGATTCCCATAGCAACATAGTTGTTGGATCAGTCAAAACCCCACAGAGACATGCAAAAGTTCACATCTTTTATGCTGGACCTCCTCAGGATACTCTAATTTGCTACAGCTGTGCCCATGCCCATTCACTCCTAGGTTCTTGGCAAGCCCAGCCTTGATGGTTGACAGGTGTGGGAGCTACTGGCTCAGGGGAAAGAAAATTAACCCTATTTCTGCCAGAACCCACCCTACAATAGTTAACACATAGTTTCTTTTATAATCAAATT
This sequence comes from Homo sapiens, assembly GCF_000001405.40. NCBI lineage: Eukaryota > Metazoa > Chordata > Mammalia > Primates > Hominidae > Homo > Homo sapiens. The sequence goes on from NC_000007.14 coordinate 76,712,027, forward strand.
TCTAACAATACCGCCCTCAACAGAGAAACAAGAGGCTGATTCATTATTCTTACACTCGAATAAGGAGAATCTTCATTTCTCACCATGATCAACCAGTATAAATTTTTTAATCAGTCAGAAAGCTTTCTAGTCCTAAAAGCACTGGGACCCATGATTATCACTAAGGATATTACTTAGAGGTGGAAAGATGAAGATATGAACAGCTGGTTTAGTAGTCACAGCAGAAGACCTTGAAATATCCCTAGAAGAGAAGATTTTAGGTTGTTTGGCTTATTTGGAGAAGAAGAGAAAGCCACTGCTCTGTTCCTCCTTTGCATTTTTCCCTCTTCAGAAAAGCAGGCTCTTATAAATTTTTTAAAATAATTGAGCCATTTTGAAATGGTATATTTTTGACCATTTTAATTATTTGATTTGTTTTCGTTTCTGCCTTGTGCACAGTCAGAGGTAAACTAAAATGGCTTGTGCTGGTAGTGGGCCATCGTAAAAAGCTCAGATGACAGTGGGAAATTGCTTTTGTGATGAAGGGAAACATTAATAAAAGCTTCTCTCATGTTTACCCTTTTAAATTGGCCCTAGAGGAGTTATTTAAAGTACCCCATTGGCAGTGGTTGGCTGATACCTTAGGTGTGAAATGTTCTCTGTCCATAGGTGGTAGTTGAGTTTGGAAATATCTACCTTTTTCTGACCTCGTTTGGTTTATCATTGAAGTTTCATTTAAACTCTTTTGTCCTCTTGTGATATGGTAAAGGCCTTAAGTCTTTGCTCATAAAGAAAATATTGTTGTGTGTCTAAGAAAATGTCACATTTTGTGTCCCACAAGGGTCTTAAGATACTAAATCATTCTACCTGTGGCATCAGGGCTTCAATAGATGCAACTGGCTAGGGATTTTATTTTATTTTTTAATTTACAAGAAAGGTAACCAAAGCAAAATCAAAGTAGGTTTTTTTGTTTTTAATGTGAATTTCCTACGCTGCCCTATATTCAACTACACATATGAGATACCCAAGAAAGTGCACTAAATAACTTTTATAGCTCATTTGGGAGTCCTTCCGTTGAGTCAGAGAGTAAGAAAAGATTCATGTGGTTCAGCTGTCCAAGGGTACTGAGCGTGAGAAACCAGCACAAAGTGAAGGCTCCCTTAGGATGGCCTCTCTTATTCCCACTGCTGTGCCATTCCACAATGCTTGTCTTCTCACCCTCAGCAGTATGACAGGTGCTACACTCAGAGCATCTGCAAAGACAGTTAGTAGAAGATGAGATCTTTTATAGAAACTCAAATGTCCTCTCTGGAGGATTCAGTTGATAAGGGTACATAGTTGGTATTCTATTTAACTTTACTTTGGTTTTGAATCTTGAAATTTTCTGCAGTGAAAGGGGAGGGGAACTTTTATCTATTCAGTAGCCTCTGAGGGCCAAGGACTTACATTAATTTTTTTGATCACTTGGTTTTTCACAACAAATTCATAAAGTATAGGTGTTTATCTGCATCTAATTTTGTAGATAAGGAAATTCCAACCATAAAAGGTTAAATTTTCTCTCACCAGGCAAATGTGTGAGAACCCAAATGTTTATTCTGATCCAAGACCATCTCTGTTTTCTGTATCAAGCTTTCTCCTCTGGAGATAAAAATAGGAAAAATGTAATAATTTTTTAAGCAACATGTCATATGATGAGTCTTGAATATTTTCTAATTGAACTTTTCTTCTTGGAACATAGAAGGAAATGACCTATAGAGAAAAAGGGACTAGCACCAAATCACACAGTTCTTTTTGTCTCTTTTATGAGTTTAAATAATATACTCTTCTCTAATCAAGTTTTTTGTATAATTTTTATAAAATTTACTTAGAATAACAGTTAGATGAGCTTTGACAACACTAGTGTAATCAGCATCACAATCAAGTTCATAGAACATTTCCATCACCCAGAAACTTCCCTTGTATTTATTTGCTGTCATTCTCCAACCTTTTACTTTAGACATCACGATAAGCTTTATGTCACTATAGATTAATTTTTCTTGATCTAGAATGTCATGTAAATAAAATCATGTAGTGCACAGCTTCCTTAGCTTGCCATAATGCTTCTTATATTTGTTCATGTGGTTGGGGTAACTTAGTGGTCTTTTTTTTTTAACTGTTAGTAATATTTCATCATACGCATATACTACATCTTGTTTCTCCACCCACTTGCTCGCTCGTTGATGGACATTAGTATGGTCTACAGGGTTTTTTTGCCTATTGAAAACAAAGCTTCTGTAAACATTTCAGTGCAAGGAATTTCATGTCTCTTAGGTAAATAATTAGTAGTAGAGTTGATTTGGTGTATTGTCAAAAAATGGACAAACTGATCTCCCCAGTGGCTATTCAATTTTATATTCCTACCAGCAACATATGAGACTTACAGTTGCTCCACAACCTTGAAAACACTTGCTATTTTCAATAGTTTTAATTTTAGCCATTCTAGTAGGTATAGAGCAATATCTCATTGTGGTTTTACTTTTATTTCTGTAAGGCCTAGAAAGAGTGAACCTCTTGTTTTGTGTTTGTTAGTCATGAATGTATCTTTTTCGGTAAAATATTTAGTCAACTATTTTGCCCATTAAAAAAAAATCTGGTTGCTAGTTTTCTTACTGAATTGTAAGAATGATTTTTATATTTTGAATATAAGTCCTTTGTCAGATATATGCAATGCAAATATGTCCACCTCATCTTTAGGTTGCCTTTTTATCTTCTTGATGGTAGTCTTCAAAGAAGAGAAGTGCTGTATTAATTTTGATGAAATCAAGCTTATCAGTTCTTTTTATTTACAGTTTTTTGCATCTCATCTAAGTAACATTTACCTAATAAAAGATCGCAATAATTTTGTCCTATGTTTTCTTCTGGAAATTTTAAGCTTTCTAAAGTTTTTGAGTTTATTTCTGTGTATGGCATGAGGTATGGGTTATGGTTCATTTTTTCCACAGGGATAGGAATTTTTTAAAAAGATTATTTTTCCCCATTGAATAAATGCAATATCTTTTTTAAAAAATCTATTTACTATGAAAGTGTCTATTTCTAAACTCTTAATTCTGTTGCATTGATCTACCTGAATCCTTACAACAATGCTACACTGTTTTGATTACTGTAGCTTTTTAAATAAGTATTAAAATAAGGCAATACAACTTCCTTCTGAAAATGGCTTCAGCTATTTTAGGTGTTTGCATTTTCATAAAAATTTTAGAAACAGTTTGTCACTGCTTTTCTTTTCTTTTTTTCCCTTTTTTTTTTTTTTTTTTTTGAGACAGCATCTTGCTCTGTCACCCAGGCTGGAGTGCTGTGGTGCAATAGCAGCTCACTTCAGCCTCAACCTCCCAGGCTCAAGCAATCCTTTGACCCCAGCCTCCTGAGCAGCTGGGATCACAGGCCCATGACACCATTCCCAACTAATTTTTTTTTTTCATAGAGAAGGGGTCTCCCTATGTTGCCCCAGGCTGGTCAAATTCCTGGGGTCAAGCAAGTCACCTGCCTCTGCTTCCCAAAACGTTGGGATTGCAGGCATGAACCACTGCACTCAACAGCTTGTCAATTGTTTTAAAAAGCATGACTGAATTTTTACTGGGATTGTATAGCATCTATATACTAATTTACATTTCACTTATATTTAAAGTATCTTTTAATTGTTCCAACAGTGTTTTCAGTTATTCACTGTGTACATCTTGAATATATTCTGTTAAATGTATTCCTAAATATTCCATGTTTTTGTATGCCATTATAAATGGTATATTTTACTTGAAATTGTATTTTCTAATTATGTCTTGCTAGTTTAGAAATACACTTGCTTTTTATATATTGCTCTTTTATCCTAAGATCTTGTTAAACTCATTTATTTTAAACATTTTGGTTATTGTTGATGATGATTCTTTATAATGTCCTATATACACAATCATGTCATCTCTTCACAAGGACAGTTTTATTAATGCCTTCTAATATATGTATCTTTTATTTCATTTTTCTTTTCTTCTTGCACAGGCTAGACCCTCCACTATAACACTGAATAGAATTAGAGAAAACAGCTATCTTGCCGTGTTCTCTATCATAGAAGGAAGCATTCAGAATTCCACTACTAAGTATAATGGTCACTGTAAGTTTTACATACATACCTTTCATTAGGTTGAGAAATTTTTTCTCTAAGCCTAGTATGCTGATATTTTTAAACTTAAATGAGTGCTGTATCAGGGGAACCTGCCCCCAGTATTTCAACCTAGGTTCTTTCTATTTTCCCTAAGTGTAGGTCAGCCTGAGAAATAAAGAGAAACAGTACAAAGAGAGGAATTTTACAGCTAGGCCTCCAGGGATGACATCACATATTGGTAGGTCCGTGATGTCCACCCGAGCCACAAAACCAGCAGGTTTTTATTAAGGACTTGAAAAGGGGAGGGGGTGTACAAACAGGGAGTAGGTCACAAAGATCACATGCTTTAAAGGGCAATAAAGATCACAATGCAAAGGGTAAAGCAAAGATCACAAGGCAAAGGGCAAAATCAGAATTACTGATGAGGGTCTATGTTCAGCTGTGCGCATATTGTCTTGATAAACATCTTAAACAACAGAAAACAGAGTTCGAGAGCAGAGAACCAGTCTGACCTCAAATTTACCAGGGTGAGGTTTCTTCCCCACCCTAATAAGCCTGAGGGTACTGCAGGAGACCAGGGCATATTTCAGTCCTTATCTCAACTGCATAAGACAGACACTCCCAGAGCAGCCATTTATAGACCACCCCCCAGGGATTCCATTCTTTTCCTAGGGTGTTAGTATTATATTCCTTGCTAGGAAAACAATTTAGCAATATCTCTCCTACTTGCATGTCCATTTATAGGCTCTCTGCAAGAAGAAAAATATGGCTCTTTTTGCCCGACTCCGCAGGCAGTCAGACCTTATGGTTGTCTTCCCTTGTTCCCTAAAATCGCTGTTATTCTGTTCGTTTTCAGGGTGCACTGATTTCATATTGTTCAAACACACATGTTTTACAATCAGATTTCTACAATAGTGGTCCCGAGGTGACATACATTCTCAGCTTACGAAGATAACAGGATTAAGAGATTAAAGTAAAGACAGGCATAAGAAATTATAAGAGTATTATTAGGGAAGTGACAAATGTCCATCAAATCTTCACAATTTATATTCAGAGATTGCAGTAAAAACAGGCGTTAAGAAACTATAAAAGTATTAATTTTGGGAACTGATAAATGTCCATGAAATCTTCACAATTTATGTTCCTCAGCCGCAGCTCCAACAGGTCCCTCCGTTCAGGGTCCCTGACTTCCCGTAACAGTGCTGCACTTTTTTCAAAATTTGTTTCTCCATATATTAACATGATAAAGTGGTTTTTCTCTTTTATTCTGTTAATATATTAGATTACACTGATTATTTTTCAAATATTAAGTCAGCTGTTTATTCCTGAGATATACCTCAATTGGTATATATTTGATATTTTGTTAAGGATTTTTAATTCTGTGTTTTTGAGGGGTATTGGTCTGGTTTTCATACAAGCACATGCTTATCTTGTGAAATAAGCAGGGATTCTTCCCCTCTTCTATTTTCTAGAAGACTTTGTATATAATTGATATTGACTGAAATCTCTTAAGCCATATGAGCTTAGACTACTGTTTATAGGAAAAACTTAACTATGGATTCAATGTATCTATATATTAGGACAGGGCTTTGGTTGTTCTTTTTTTTCCTTTATCTCAAATTTTTAAATTTTGTACCTTTGAATGAATTTGTACATCTCATCAAAGTTGGAAATTTTAGTAGGATATATTTGTTCATCATAGCCCCTTATTATCTTTTCAGTGTTTGTAGGATCTGTAGTGAGAGCTACTGCTTTGTTCCTGATACTGGTTATTTCATTGTCTCCTATTCTTGACCAGATCTCTCTTAAAACCAGATTTTGCTTTCACTTATTTTTCTATTACCTGCTTTCCATTTGATCATTTTTCTGCCCTTATAGTCAATATTTCCTTTCTTTAAACTCATTTTGAGTTTAATTTGCTCTCATTTTTCCAGGTTATAAAGCATTTTAAGCAACACATTTTCCTCTAAGGAAACAGCCTTACCTGTATCCTACACATTTTAAAGTTGTGTTCTTATTTTTATTTAGTTCAAATTATTTATGAGAAATTATGTTTTACAGGGATATTGTTTAATTTCCAAATATTTGTTGATTTTCTACATATTTCTACTGATTCCTAACATAATTATTTTGTGTTCAGAGACCATGTTTTATAATATATCAATATTTTTAATTTCTTAACACACTTGAAAAGTTTATGATATAACTTAGAGGATGTATTATGTACACTAAAAATAATATATCTTTTCCTGCTCTTAAGTAGTGCTTTATATAGACCTATCAGTTGCAATAGGTAAAGTTGGTTGATAGTATTTTCAACTTTCTTGTTAAAAAATACAATTTAGAAGTATTTTTCAATACTATCTCAAGTATTTTTGAGTTATCTGTATCTTTACTGATTTTTGTCTACTTATGCTATCACTTATTGAAAAAGAATGTTGAAATCTGCAACTATCAATGTGGATATGTCTATTTCTTCATTCAGGTCTATCAATATTTGTTTCATGTACTTTGAGTTTCTTTTATTAGATGCATACACATTTAGATAAGTTAATAAAGATTTTTATTCTTCCTTGATTATTTAAACCTTTGTTATCATGAAATTTACCTCTTTATCCTTGGCAATTTTCCTTGGAATGTAGTGTACTTTGATGTCAATACAATCATTCCAAAAGTTTTATGCTTAGTGTCTGTATAATATATATTTTTCCATCTGTTATTGTAAATTATCTGTTTCTTTTTACCTAAAGTAAATTTCTTGTATGAGCATACATTTGGGTCTTGCTGTTTTACCTGGTCTGAATAAACTCTGCCTTTTATTTGGAGTGTTTGATCCATTTACACTTAATGTAATGAATAATAATTAGATAGTTAGATAAGTAAGTTTTCTATGTCTTTTTCTTGTTTTTGTTTTGCTCCTTTGCCTTCTTTTAATTCGATATTTTTTATAATTATATTTTGTCTCCCCTAGTGATTTATATGTTAGCTGTGTGTGTATATGTGTGTATTTGCTCTAAGGTTTAAAGCACTCATCTTTAATTTATCAATTCTACCACCAAGCACTGTTATATCACTTCACATTAATCAAACTTATAATAGTTTACTTATTTTTCCCTACTCTTCCTTGTGCTATTGTTATCACAATGGTCTAGTGCCTCCAGTTAGGAAGCTATGGTAATCATAAAGTTCATGCTATGATTCTTTTGCCTCCTATTAATATAAAAAATTCCAGTTCAGCTTGCTTTCAAATGTCTGGAGTTTTTTTTTTTATAATGCTTTTTCTGTGTCTTAGTTATCTGAAGTGGGAGTGCAAGTCAGTCTTGTCAGTTAGCTTTACATGATCAAAAGCAAAATTAACTTTAACATGATATATTCTTTAGAAATAATATCTTCATAAACAAAAAATAAATTGACCTGTCAATAATGCTAGCTCTGAGATAATATTTCAGCTGTATTAAAAGGTTTACATTAAGATTTGCTAACTTTACTCCAACTATGATCAACAAATCATTATAAATATTTTATAACTCATATTTATGTTAGAAACATATGGTCATAGGGGAAAAATTAGAATATATAGATGAAGAAAAAATGAAACTTTCCTCTTATATCATACCTAGACATGCAGATTAATATTTTGCTGTAGAATTTGAATAGGTATAGTTCATATATTCTAAAGAATTCATATTAGAAATTTTGAGAACCATAGGCACAGACTATGACCAAATAAAAACCAAAAACCAAAAACACCTTCTCATATTCCCACCTCCACCTCTGACTCCTTAATTTAGATGGTCATTACTTCCACCTAAATTATAGATACACTTAGCCTCCTACCTAGTTTTTGTCATCAGTTTTGTTTTTTCGTACCTATTCTCATTTTGATCAGAAGGATTTCAATCATACTTTATCATTCCATCACTTAAATTTCCTCAACGAATTCTCACCAAGATTAAATAAATTCTCAACTTCTCAATATAACACACAACATTTTTTGGCTCTAATTTCATCTCTTCTTATTTATTACAAAGCATTACAAACTCTAGCCATTTTGAGCACACATATGTGGTAAATGCAGCACCCATCTGCTGTTTGTTCTCTGAATACCCTCCGTACAACCCCACCACTAACTCTCTTTCTCACACACTTACTTGTCTTACTGTTTCTTCTTCCTGCTTTACAACTGATGCCTAGGGTTCCATTGTTGGAACACTAAGTATGTGGGAGTTATTTATATCCTATTGCTCAAGGTCATCACCAAGGTCTGATTGCAAATATTCAAAAATTGCAACCTCAGGCATAAATGGGTTAAGATGAAGTTCAGGCATCTGTTTGCTTTAGGCTGGGTTAGTTGTATTTATTTATTTATTTATTTATTTATTTTTTGCTCCCACAGTTGCCAGTACACTCATGGTTCTATGATAAAATATTGTGCTGTGGTCTAATATTTTCCTTACTTCTTTGTCTCTCTCACTAGGTTGTGAGTTACTTGAGAGCAGATATTATGTTTTCCATTTTTTAATCACTAGGGTGCAGTAGACCATCTGGCACATATTAACTACTCAATATGTATTTGTTGAATGAAATAATTAAAACCATTACTCATGTGATAATCAAATTGGCACTCTTGATTTCACTGGCACTTTATGTTAGACCTCTATATTCTTTATCTGTATCTACAAGACAACATCAATGGTAAGACACATCCTCCAATAATATTATGTGATTCTAGCTAAAAGGAACATAAGAAAAATTGTAACTTTTTTTCTACTTTTCACACTGAAAACTGTGACATCTATTAAAATACTTTTACCCAAAACCAGAAATATAAAAGTGTATATTCAATAATAAATATTAGGAAATTGATGTCTACAGACATGTTTCAAACATCTCATAAAAGCTCTTTTTTCTTTTGCCACTTCCAAATTAGGACCGTTCTTGTTTTTGAATTCAGCTCCAGGTATTCAATTTAGTCTTCGAGAATTAAGTCTTAATTATCTCAGTGATCATCTCACTGCCTTGCATTCTCAATTTAGCAATTGATCACAGAGTGAGCACAACATAGCATTTGGACATAAAAATCAACTTTAAGTTTTGACTACAATCCACTCAGTGATTTAAGCACGTACTGTGGTCTGAGTCCAAAAATATTTCATATTGATAACAGAGGAACTTTTGTGATTCGTTTCACCTTCAAACTCCAGAATATTAGTATCCCTTAACAAAAACAATTTGTATTGGATAAAAATGTTTGGTATAAATTAGGACTCTTCACAGTTCAAATAATAATAATAGTAATAATTAGAAAACCCAACCTCACCTAACAATGAATGTTTAATGATATGAGTGATTTGTTGGCTAATATAACCAGAAGTTCCAGAGGATGAATGGATTATATTTGGCTCAGTTTAGCAGCTCAGTATTACCATTAAAGATCCAGTTTAATTTTATTTCCCTGTATTCCATAGTACTAGCATTATCCCAGCACTGACTTTCTTCATGGTGTCAAAATGACTTATAGTTCCAGACTTCATATCTTTATGCCACATCTTTCAGAATGAAACAAAAGTTGGCTACAAGTAGGTCTTTGAGAAATCTGAAAATCATCTTTCCTAGAAGCATAATTATTTTTGAAGCTTGACTCAACTTGGCCCTTTTATTTGATCATATGCCCATTCCAGAAAAATTATCTGTCAACAAAGAAGTATCATATGCTAACGGTATAGATTTTAGGTCCCTGAATCAATTACTATTGTGGCATAGGGTTACCTCAACAGGGTTAGACCTATCAAAAATCATCTCTGGATCATGGAATGAGGCAATTACCCCTAACCCAAAACCAGGCCGTTTTTAAATAGCTAGGAAGAAAAGTGAGTCTTGGGGATAAAACATGGAAATTTAGAACCAGAGCTGGAAGTGATGAATTCAAACATTTTTAAACAAAAATAAAATTCCTTAAAATTAGGGTTGACAAATTTATTGAATAAAAATACTTGGCACCCATTTAAATTTGATTTTCAGATAAACAACAATTAAATTTTAGCATAAGTATGTCCCATGAAATTGTACTTGAAATCTCATTTAGACTGCAATATATGAGTTATTTAAAATACATTGTTTTTGTAAAAGTACAAAAAAAAGACAACTTTTTATGGGAAACAAAATAAATAAAGATAAGACAAAGACTGGCTGTAGTTTTCATTTGATTATTTCAGTCAGTGACCACACATACATCCAGTAATTATGGGAATGTTAGGTAGGAAAGTCAGTTCAATGCTCCTGGTCTTAATGAAGAGGACTCATCCCTAAGTACTACAGAAGGCTCACTCTGCCTTCTTACTGATTACTAAAATTGGGAACAGTTTGCTCAGCTCTGGGAGGAAGTTGCCTCTCATGTATAAAGGGCAGTCTCTGCCGTTGCAGGCAAGAGGTATCTTGACCCAGTCTGTTTGACTGGATGGATAGGCTCTCTAACTCTGAGCTTCAGACTTAGGAAGCCCATTTCACTCTAACTCTAAAAAAATTGCTTTAAACTTAGATTTAATTAATAATAGGTGTGGGCCGGGTGCGGTGGCTCATGCCTGTAATCTCAGCACTTTTGGAGGCTGAGGCGAGTGGATCACAAGGTCAGGAGTTTGAGACCAGCCTGACCAACATGGTGAAAGCCCATCTCTACTAAAAATACAAAAATTAGCTAGGCGTGGTGGCACGCACATATAATTCCAGCTACTCGGGAGGCTGAGAAAGGAGAATCACTTGAACCTGGGAGGCGGATGTTGCAGTGAGCTGAGATTGTGCCATTGCATTCCAGGCTGGGCTATAGAGTGAGACTCAGTTTCAAAAAATAAATGAACAAATAAATAATAATAATAATAAGGGTGATAGTCCAGGCCCCATCTTTTACTCCGTTGTGCTGTTTATATTTTCACCCTTGATTGCAGAACTTTATAGGGAAGTTTATATGCCCTCCTTAGAAAATTCAACCCAAATTATTCTCGCTAATTTATATGTACTGGAACTAAGAGGTTATCAATATATGCTACCTATTTATATAAATGGCATAAATTTTGGAGTGTTTACTGATTTAGACTTTTTGAAATAAAGTTTAACCTTTATGGGATAATATTAAACATAAGTTCCCCATTTTTAATTTATTACAATAAATAAATTATATACAATTAGTGGATATAAATATTGAGAGTGTTTCTGAGGATATATAAAAATGGCTGCATCATGACAATTACTCTCAGGAATCAAAAGAGAAGTGGCACTGAAACAGGTGAAAGAGGAAGTAGGGACAATATAATGTAATAGACAAGAGGTATGGACCTGAGATATTTAGCTGAATATGTGTACAAATTCACATGTCTGGACTCTGTTCACAACCACCAAAAAACAACCATCCCAAAGGAAGACAAAACATTGTTCTAGAAATATAGGGATGCCAGGTGGAAAGATGAATATGGAAGTGTTTGCAGCAGGCTTTACAATGCTAGTGATGTGCTGTAATTTGAATTGCCACCTTGAGTGGGTTTTGCTTTTCTTACCACTGAAGTTTAGATGACCTGTGACGTGGTTTTTCAAAATTAACAAAACAAGTACAGAGACAGAATCATCCAGAAGCTTTCAAGGATATTACATTCTGGACATGAATTCATGAGATAGGAACCACCCTCAGAAGTGGGAACTTTTAAAATAAAGCTATTGCCTCAGCCCATGGTGGGAAGTTTACAAAACCAGCTGCACTTTGCATCTCTGGGTCTAACAAAGATCACATATCAAAGCTTCATGACCAAATTAATGTGTAGCTTATCCCCCTCCCCAAGGTCTTTCCCTTGGTTTTATTATTACTGACAATATTGTAAGAGCAGTGTGAAATGGCCAATTCACACATGTGCCACGTTTTGCACACTGCCTGAACCTGCTGGAACATGATTTTCCTAAGAATGATGACAGTAATAAACATCTTCTGGCAGAGGCTTGCAAAACCTGCACCCATTTTAGTCACTCAGTAATGGCTCATAAAATTCTTTGAGAACTGCAGGAGAAAAACAATGTACATACTCATGCATAAATTAAAACTAGAAGTGCCAGCTCAATGGAACTCGACTTCTCACACTCTGGGACAACTGTGGAGCAATTAAAAATAAACAAACCCATCAGATGTAGGTACAGCCAACGGTCATCAGAGAAAGTGCTCTCTGTTTGAGATCAAACCATTAACCAGTGCCTTCCTTGAGCTGATTCCCTCTTTGGTCTGTGAAAATATTCAGGATACTTTACATAATCCTTCCTGATGAGTTCTCTTACAAAGGCAATGTCAATGTGAATGGATGAGAAGAAAAATGCTCATCTTGATTTCCCTTTACATTTAAGGATCATTTTCTGCACAAAATGTAATATAAGCATAAACATTCCTGATTCCCTTCTTTACATAAAAGTTTCAAGTTTGAGCTCTGTCATTTTCATGGGTGAACAATTCAGAAATGCTCTTTATTTTGTCAAGTTTTAAAGAAAGAAAATAATCAGAAATACCTAAAAAATATTCTCATAGAACTCAAAAAATCATTAGTTCATAGAGCATTTCTAGCAATACTTTAGAATCATTTTCTCAGCCCTGCTCACTATGAGTAGGACTCTTTACAGTTTTCAGAACTGAAAAAAAAAAATCGGTTTTATGGTCAAGTTTCCATACTTGTCTTAGCAATTGAAATCTTATTCTACAGTTATTTGGAACGTTCTCAGGTGGAAAGTAATGGGTACCAGTTTTATCTGTCATCTAACATAATATTTGGCAGTTGATACAATGTGGTGTATTAATACTCCCCTCAAATAGCAAGATGATAATTTGGGAATTTTTCCCCAGATCTGGAAGCAGGTTTAGTTGGTCCTGGGATAGTCCCAACCAACTTGCCAGAGATTGCTTTAGTCATGGTCATGTGACCAATTCTGGACAACAAGCCATGCCTTGAGGTTTATGACAGGCCCTTGGGAAAGTTCTTCCTTGCTTTTAAGAGAGAATAGGAAAGCTTTATATTTCTCCCCAATGGTTGTGAATGAGAAAACATGTAGCCCCTATTACTTTGGGCATTTGTCTCAAATCTATGAAGAAATGAGATAAAGCCAATTGAGAGAGAGTCCAATGGGAAGATTTTTGAGGTGCTAGTATTAGTCCGTTTTCATACTGCCATAAAGAACTGCCCAAGACTGGGTAATTTATAAAGGAAAGAAGTTTAATTGACTCACAGTTCAGCATGGCTGGGGAGGCCTCAGGAAACTTACAATCACAGCAGAAGGCAAAGAGCAAACAGGTACCTTCTTCACAAGGCAGCAGGAAGGAGAATAGTGAAGAGCAAAGGGGGAAGAGCTCCTTATAAAACCATCAGATCTCATGAGAACTCACTCACTATCAAGAGAACAGCATGGGAGAACCACCCCCATGATCCAATTACGTCCACCTGGTCTCTCCCTAGATATATGGGGATTATGGGGATTACAATTCAAGATGAAATTTGGGTGGAGACACAAAGCCTAACCATATCAGTGGTGGATTAGCCAACACTAAACCCTACCTATTTCTGATTTCCTTTTGTATTAGCTAGTAAGTAATCTGTTCTTTTAAGTCATTGTTTCAGGTTTTGTCACTTACAGTAAGAGGCAGTTCAAAAGACTTAAGAACTTTACAAAATGTCCTTTCTTATTACACAGTGACTTATGGGGTGGAGGGTTGCAGATGCTCAGTTGTTAAGTGTATGGACCAAAATGACATATGGCAAAGAAGCAGGCCCATTAGACAATGAAAGAATAATGATGTAAGAATGGCAGGCTCTTTGTCTCAGAGAAGTGGCTACACCTGATAAGAATCCCAGTTCTACCACCCATGTGTAGGCCCTCACCAAATTTTTCTGCAACTCTCTAGGGTTTAATTTCTAATATTTTTTTCTCTATATCCTCCTTCTTGACTCTGCACCTGCTATTTTCAATTACAGCCCATCCACCTCACTTGTTGTGTGAGCGCACACACACACACACACACACACACACACACACACACCACATCACAGAGTATTCTGTGATGGTGGTGTCCCAGATGATTTGGGGAATCACAGGAAGGGAAAGTGAGTCCTTCCTGTATAAATAACTGCATACATACTTTCTGTTTTTTCTCTTGTCTCTTCTTACCTATTCAGAGCCACCTACCAAATTCTTTTTATGTTTTATGCACATGAATTTTATCCACTCCTAGGACATAAAACTTCTTTATTTCTACTCTAAGCAATACGCCAAAGAATTTTCCCAATAAATGTTGATCTTCTTCTACAAGGACTCCTTTTCCAACTGCAAAATATATATATACACACACATATATATGTGTATATATTCATATATGTATATATACATATATGTATGTATATATATATTCCCATTGAAAAGTGCACTTCTTTTTCAAATTTATGTGAAAATTGGCTTAATTAGGAGGAAGATGTTCTTAGGATACTGCACCTACAAAATAAAATTCCCAAATATGACCAGGAGCATCCTTCTGAATCAGTGTGACTCTCAACTCCAAATGAAGTTTAGGTTTTGCCTGACCCCTTCCCAAGTAGAAAATGTTTCTCAGGCAACAGGGGCTTTTCCCACAAAAAAGGTCAGTTTTGGGATTAAAGAGAGGTACAAATGAATGGTTTTAGGAGTAGATACATCTTAGGTAAGAAATAGAGAAAAGGATTCATACAAGAACTGTAAGGCTCTGAATTCCCAGGAGAGTATGTAGAGCACTCAGTCCTGACAGTAAGCACCCTCTTTGAATAAATAGAGTCCTGCTAGATGGCAGGATTCCAAGCTGATGCTTTGAGAAGAAAGACCTCTGGAAAAACCTCACAATATTAATAAATACTTGTCATTAGATAATTTCAGCTGCAAAAAATGCTTCAAATGTCTCTTCCAATATAATTCACCTTTGTTCTAGATATCAAAGATCTCAGAAAAGCAGTTAAGACTATGATGTATAAGTCAGCACTTAAAAGATCTTACCTTTTAATTAAAGGTTATAAAAATTATTCACACTCAAAATATCAACTCAGAAAAAAAAATCTCACAATTTGGGCCAGTTTTGTTATCCTTTAGATAGCACTGAAGTATTTGCTTATTGCAATAGTATAGAGTGTTTCTATACAATCACATATTTTTGCAGATATAGAGGCAGCACACACACAGTTGTTGATTATTAATTTTCAAAAAGAATATAATTAATAGCTTGGAATCACAGAATGAAGAATGTAATTAATAGCCTGGAATGACAGTATTGTTGAGTGCTAAGAAAGCTATGGTCTTCAGACTGGCGAAAGTGGCAAAACCGCATCTCTACAAAAAATATAAAAATTAGTCGGGCGTGGTGGCACACAACTGTGGTCCCAGCTACACAGGAAGCTGAGGCAGGATAATCGCTTGAACCTGGGAAGCAGAGGTTGCAGTGAGTCACTGCACTCCAGCCTAGGCGACGAAGCAAGACTGTGTCTCAAAACAAAACAAAATGACAAAACAAACAAACAAAAACACCTATGATCTTGTTTTGGTTCTAAAAGTTTCAAACTTTACCTTTCCCAGGATGCCTTAGTTTTCTCATTGGTAAATGAGGTAACTGGGTGTTCTGTTCGTTATGTAACTCACAGTTTTAAATTATTAGATCTGATTTTAATGAGCTTGAAAATACAAATCAAGGTATCTAATCTCTTTTGCTCTCAGGTTTTTCAACTATAAAAGAGAATTGTAAGATACCAGTAGTGAGTGTATGCATATAACATCTGGAGCCCTTTTTGGAGAACAATGCTTACGCTCTCCCCAACTCCTGCCCCACCCCTGGCATCTCGGTTCCACCGTAAACTCATTATTAGTTCAGGTGGTTTGAGAGAAGTTGATCAGGTTCTGTCAAGGGAAACACATGACCTGTCCTGAACAATCTGACCAGTGATTAGCCATGGCCATTGTTACAGAAATAGATATTTGACCCAGGCTATACCAATTAATATTCTCTTAAGACTTTTGCTGGACCTAACCAGAAACAAAACTCCCTTTTTCTGAGGTGTAAGCAATGAGAGAAATTTGACTTCAATTTGCCATTGGCCACGTTGCCACTACTTGTAGTGAGAATGAAGGTAAGGTGGGAGCTGAGAGAGAGAGAACATTTCATTTCGAATCCCAGAATTCAAATGCCTAAAGCCTATTTTTTGCTTGTTTGTTTCATGAGCCAATAAATTTTCCTTTTCCTTAAGGTACTAATTTTCCTTGGATTTCTGTCACTAAACACTGAAAATATTGACAGACATATTACCTTAGAAATTTATGAAACGTGGGAGGAGCCAAGATGGCCGAATAGGAACAGCTCCAGTCTACAGCTCCCAGCGTGAGCGACGCAGAAGACGGGTGATTTCTGCATTTCCATCTGAGGTACCAGGTTCATCTCAGTAGGGAGTGCCAGACAGTGGGCACAGGTCAGTGGGTGCGCCCACCGTGCGCGAGCCGAAGCAGGGCGAGGCATTGCCTCACTCCGGAAGCGCAAGGGGTCAGGGAGTTCCCTTTCCGAGTCAAAGAAAGGGGTGACGGACTCACCTGGAAAATCGGGTCACTCCCACCCGAATACTGCGCTTTTCCGACGGGCTTAAAAAACGGCGCAGCGCGAGTTTATATCCCACACCTGGCAGGGAGGGTCCTACGCCCACAGAGTCTCACTGATTGCTAGCACAGCAGTCTGAGATCAGACTGCAAGGCAGCAGCCAGGCTGGGGGAGGGGCGCCCGCCATTGCCCAGGCTTGCTTAGGTAAACAAAGCAGCCGGGAAGCTCGAACTGGGTGGAGCCCACCACAGCTCAAGGAGGCCTGCCTGCCTCTGTAGGCTCCACCTCTGGGGGCAGGGCACAGACAAACAAAAAGACAGCAGTAACCTCTGCAGACTTAAATGTCCCTGTCTGACAGCTTTGAAGAGAGCAGTGGTTGTCCCAGTACGCAGCTGGAGATCTGAGAACGGGCAGACTGCCTCCTCAAGTGGGTACCTGACCCCTGACCCCCGAGCAGCCTAACTGGGAGGCACCCCCAGCAGGGGCACACTGACACCTCGCACGGCAGGGTACTCCAACAGACCTGCACCTGAGGGTCCTGTCTGTTAGAAGGAAAACTAACAAACAGAAAGGACATCCACACCAAAAACCCATCTGTACATCACCATCATCAAAGACCAAAAGTAGATAAAACCACAAAGATGGGGAAAAAACAGAACAGAAAAACTGGAAACTCTAAAAAGCAGAGCGCCTCTCCTCCTCCAAAGGAACACAGTTCCTCACCAGCAACAGAACAAAGCTGGACGGAGAACGACTTTGACAAGCTGAGAGAAGAAGGCTTCAGACGATCAAATTACTCTGAGCTATGGGAGGACATTCAAACCAAAGGCAAAGAAGTTGAAAACTTTGAAAAAAATTGAGAAGAATGTATAACTAGAATAACCAATACAGAGAAGTGCTTAAAGGAGCTGATGGAGCTGAAAACCAAGGCTCGAGAACTACGTGAAGAATGCAGAAGCCTCAGGAGCCGATGCGATCAACTGGAAGAAAGGGTATCAGCAATGGAAGATGAAATGAATGAAATGAAGTGAGAAGGGAAGTTTAGAGAAAAAAGAATAAAAAGAAATGAGCAAAGCCTCCAAGAAATATGGGACTATGTGAAAAGACCAAATCTACGTCTGATTGGTGTACCTGAAAGTGACGGGGAGAATGGAACCAAGTTGGAAAACACTCTGCAGGATATTATCCAGGAGAACTTCCCCAATCTAACAAGGCAGGCCAACGTTCAGATTCAGGAAATACAGAGAACACCACAAAGATACTCCTCGAGAAGAGCAACTCCAAGACACATAATTATCAGATTCACCAAAGTTGAAATGAAGGAAAAAATGTTAAGGGCAGCCAGAGAGAAAGGTCGGGTTACCCTCAAAGGGAAACCCATCAGACTAACAGCGGATCTCTCAGCAGAAACCCTACAAGCCAGAAGAGAGTGGGGGCCAATATTCAACATTCTTAAAGGAAAGAATTTTCAACCCAGAATTTCACATCCAGCCAAACTAAGCTTCATAAGTGAAGGAGAAATAAAATACTTTACAGACAAGCAAATGCTGAGAGATTTTGTCACCACCAGGCCTGCCCTAAAAGAGCTCCTGAAGGAAGCGCTAAACATGGAAAGGGACAACCGGTGTCAGCTGCTGCAAAATCATGCCAAAATGTAAAGACCATCGAGACTAGGAAGAAACTGCATCAACTAACAAGCAAAATCACCAGCTAACATCATAATGACAGGATCAAATTCACACATAACAATATTAACTTTAAATGTAAATGGACTAAATGCTCCAATTAAAAGACACAGACTGGCAAATTGGATAAAGAGTCAAGACCCATCAGTGTGCTGTATTCAGGAAACCCATCTCATGTGCAGAGATACACATAGGCTCAAAATAAAAGGATGGAGGAAGATCTACCAAGCAAATGGAAAACAAAAAAAGGCAGGGGTTGCAATCCTAGTTTCTGATAAAACAGACTTTAAACCAACAAAGATCAAAAGAGACAAAGAAGGCCATTACATAATGGTAAAGGGATCAATTCAACAAGAAGAGCTAACTGTCCTAAATATATATGCACCCAATACAGGAGCACCCAGATTCATAAAGCAAGTCCTTAGTGACCTACAAAGAGACTTAGACTCCCACACATTAATAATGGGAGACTTTAACACCCCACTGTCAACATTAGACAGATCAACGAGACAGAAAGTCAACAAGGATACCCAGGAATTGAACTCACCTCTGCACCAAGCGGACCTAATAGACATCTACAGAACTCTCCACCCCAAATCCACAGAATATACATTTTTTTCTGCACCACACCACACCTATTCCAAAATTGACCACATACTTGGAAGTAAAGCTCTCCTCAGCAAATGTAAAAGAACACAAATTATAACAAACTATCTCTCAGACCACAGTGCAATCAAACTAGAACTCAGGATTAAGAATCTCACTCAAAACCGCTCAACTACATGGAAACTGAACAACCTGCTCCTGAATGACTACTGGGTACATAACGAAATGAAGGCAGAAATAAAGATGTTCTTTGAAACCAACAAGAACAAAGACACAACATACCAGAATCTCTGGGACGCATTCAAAGCAGTGTGTAGAGGGAAATTTATAGCACTAAATGCCCACCAGAGAAAGCAGGAAAGATCCAAAATTGACACCCTAACATCACAATTAAAAGAACTAGAGAAGCAAGAGCAAACACATTCAAAAGCTAGCAGAAGGCAAGAAATAACTAAAATCAGAGCAGAACTGAAGGAAATAGAGACACAAAAAACCCTTCAAAAAATTAATGAATCCAGGAGCTGGTTTTTTGAAAGGATCAACAAAATTGATAGACTGCTAGCAAGACTAATAAAGAAAAAAAGGGAGAAGAATCAAATAGATGCAATAAAAAATGATAAAGGGGATATCACCACCGATCCCACAGAAATACAAACTACAATCAGAGAATACTACAAACACCTCTACCCAAATAAACTAGAAAATCTAGAAGAAATGGATAAATTCATCGACACATACACTCTCCCAAGACTAAACCAGGAAGAAGTTGAATCTCTGAATAGACCAATAACAGGATCTGAAATTGTGGCAATAATCAATAGCTTACCAACCAAAAAGAGTCCAGGACCAGATGGATTCACAGCTGAATTCTATCAGAGGTACAAGGAGGAACTGGTACCATTCCTTCTGAAACTATTCCAATCAATAGAAAAAGAGGGAATCCTCCCTAACTCATTTTATGAGGCCAGCATCATTCTGATACCAAAGCCTGGCAGGGACACAACCAAAAAAGAGAATTTTAGACCAACATCCTTGATGAACATTGATGCAAAAATCCTCAATAAAATACTGGCCAAACGAATCCAGCAGCACATCAAAAAGCTTATCCACCATGATCAAGTGGGCTTCATCCCTGGGATGCAAGGCTGGTTCAATATATGCAAATCAATAAATGTAATCCAGCATATAGACAGAGCCAAAGACAAAAACCACATGATTTTCTCAATAGATGCAGAAAAGGCCTTTGACAAAATTCAACAACCCTTCATGCTAAAAACTCTCAATAAATTAGGTATTGATGGGACATATTTCAAAATAATAAGAGCTATCTATGACAAACCCACAGCCAATATCATACTGAATGGGCAAAAACTGGAAGCATTCCCTTTGAAAACTGGCACAAGACAGGGATGCCCTCTCTCACCACTCCTATTCAACATAGTGTTGGAAGTTCTGGCCAGGGCAATTAGGCAGGAGAAGGAAATAAAGGGTATTCAGTTAGGAAAAGAGGAAGTCAAATTGTCCCTCTTTGCAGACGACATGATTGTATATCTAGAAAACCCCATTGTCTCAGCACAAAATCTCCTTAAGCTGATAAGCAACTTCAGCAAAGTCTCAGGATACAAAATCAATGTACAAAAATCCAAGCATTCTTATACACCAACAACAGACAAACAGAGAGCCAAATCATGAGTGAACTCCCATTCACAATTGCTTCAAAGAGAATAAAATACCTAGGAATCCAACTTACAAGGGATGTGAAGGACCTCTTCAAGGAGAACTACAAACCACTGCTCAAGGAAATAAAAGAGGATACAAACAAATGTAAGAACATTCCATGCTCATGGGTAGGAAGAATCAATATCGTGAAAATGGCCATACTGCCCAAGGTAATTTACAGATTCAATGCCATCCCCATCAAGCTACCAATGCCTTTCTTCACAGAATTGGAAAAAACTACTTTAAAGTTCATATGGAACCAAAAAAGAGCCCGCATCGCCAAGTCAATCCTGAGCCAAAAGAACAAAGCTGGAGGCATCACACTACCTGACTTCAAACTATACTACACGGCTACAGTAACCAAAACAGCATGGTACTGGTACCAAAACAGAGATATAGATCAATGGAACAGAACAGAGCCCTCAGAAATAACGCCGCATATCTACAACTATCTGATCTTTGACAAACCTGAGAAAAACAAGCAATGGGGAAAGGATTCCCTATTTAATAAATGGTGCTGGGAAAACTGGCTAGCCATATGTAGAAAGCTGAAACTGGATCCCTTCCTTACACCTTATACAAAAATCAATTCAAGATGGATTAAAGACTTAAACGTTAGACCTAAAACCATAAAAACCCTAGAAGAAAACCTAGGCTTTACCATTCAGGACATAGGCATGGGCAAGGACTTCATGTCTAAAACACCAAAAGCAATGGCAACAAAAGCCAAAATTGACAAATGGGATCTAATTAAACTAAAGAGCTTCTGTACAGCAAAAGAAACTACCATCAGAGTGAACAGGCAACCTACAAAATGGGAGAAAATTTTCGCAACCTACTCATCTGACAAAGGGCTAATATTAAGAATCTACAATGAACTCAAACAAATTTACAAGAAAAAAACAAACAACCCCATCAAAAAGTGGGCAAAGGACATGAACAGACACTTCTCAAAAGAAGACATTTATGCAGCCAAAAAACACATGAAAAAATGCTCATCATCACTGGCCATCAGAGAAATGCAAATCAAAACCACAATGAGATACCATCTCACACCAGTTAGAATGGCAATCATTAAAAAGTCAGGAAACAACAGGTGCTGGAGAGGATGTGGAGAAATAGGAACACTTTTACACTGTTGGTGGGACTGTAAACTAGTTCAACCATTGTGGAAGTCAGTGTGGCGATTCCTCAGGGATCTAGAACTAGAATTACCATTTGACCCAGCCATCCCATTACTGGGTATATACCCAAAGGACTATAAATCATGCTGCTATAAAGACACATGCACACGTATGTTTATTGCGGCACTATTCACAATAGCAAAGACTTGGAACCAACCCAAATGTCCAACAATGATAGACTGGATTCAGAAAATGTGGCACATATACACCATGGAATACTATGCAGCCCTAAAAAATGATGAGTTCATGTCCTTTGTAGGGACATGGATTAAATTGGAAATCATCATTCTCAGTAAACTATCGCAAGAACAAAAAACCAAACAATGCATATTCTCACTCATAGGTGGGAATTGAACAATGAGATCACATGGACACAGGAAGGGGAACATCACACTCTGGGGACTGTTGTGGGGTGGGGGGAGGGGGGAGGGATAGCACTGGGAGATATACCTAATGCTAGATGACGAGTTAGTGGGTGCAGCGCACCAGCATGGCACATGTATACATATGTAACTAACCTGCACAATGTGCACATGTACCCTAAAACTTAAAGTATAATAATAAAAGAAAAAATAATAATAAAATAAAATTAAAAAAAAAGAAATTTATGAAACGTTTAGTTAGATACACTGTGCAAAAGGGTTGTTTAAAATGCAAGTAACTATGCAAATATATGACAGCTACTAATATTTTTATTTTTCTACAATAAAATTTAGAAAAATACTTTTACATAAGAATAAAATGCTATCTTAATCAAAAGCAGTTACAAAACACCTAATTCTGTTCACTGTTATCCTCGAGGCTTTAGGGAAATTTGTTTTATTTATTTCATTGTCAAGAAGCCCAGTTAATAGCTATGGATTTGTTTCTATATTATCCAGTCGCTAAGTAGGAAGTAGGAATACATTTTCCTTACCTCGTAATATAGTTTTCACTGTCTTTTCTAGCATGCTTATAACACTTCATGCTTTTAGAAGAAAGGTGCTAAATGCTAAGAATTAGTATTCAAGTGACTTCAATAAGAATGAAAGTAGAGAGTTTGTAAGGTATGCTAAATCTACAAGATTTTAAATAGGGTCTCACAGCTTTAACCCACAAATTCTGGACTAACCCACTTCAACAAAGAGTAGTTTCAAAACCTAGTTTGCAAAATGATTACATGGTTAATGCAGGATTAAATTTTCTTTCAATTATAAGACTGAATCTGGAAAATACTCTACAGAGAATGAAGGAAAAAATAAATCCTGCAAGAGGTGCATTTGGTCTAAAGTGCTTTTAAATATGCTTCTTAATTGCTGGGGGCTATTTTGCTCTTCATCTAATCATTGTCTGAATTACTGAAGGTCAACTTATCTGATAAAATAGGTGAGCTTTGTGGTAATGAAGTCAGATAATGTCTTATATTCGTGTCAGGGTAGGCATCAAATGGGCAATGTATTTAACTATTAGTATGGAGTTTGCAGACTGGAATACTTTCATCTAGGTTTTTTATATGAAGCCAGTTCATTGAAATAAGTAAAGGTTTCAAAATGGGAAAGCATATAAGAAACTGTGGCTTTAACTGTTTAATAAAATTGCTTGCTATTTAAGTAAAGGTAATTAAAAGTGTAATGCCGTGGAACTATTACGCACCTACTCAAAAACGCGTGGATTTTTGTTTTGTGAAAGAGCCAATATCTTGAAGAAGGGGTAGGCTTCACAATGAGAATCCCATAGATACTTTTAAAGAGCTGGAGATTAACTCATTTAAATAAACAGTCATTTTATGGCTTTTTCACCAGGGAGGCCAGCATTTCCTTGGGGTTCTTGAATTAGGGAGTTCCACACCAAGGTTCTGTAAATTAGCTATGTGGGTATTCATATTATCAACACCTTCACCGCAGCAGGAGGCCCCACATGGGCAAAAATCAAAGAAATGTAGTAATCTTCTGACTATAGCAGATTACTCTGCTATAGTACTTTTGCTTCTGCCTAGAGCACTTTTGGTTTTGCTTTGCACCTGACTTTTCAAAAAATATTTCTTTAACCACTATTTGTTTGATTCTGAGTAACATGTATTGGAAGGCCAAGTCTATCTGCATGCCTTTTCAGGTGTTATTCTGACAGAGGAGTTTTTATACATGTTGGTTTTATAGCATAAAATATGAAAATTTATAAAACTGCTCAGTACAAGTTTAAGGGCAGGTTTCTGTAAAACACAGAGATATTTTAAATGAAATATACAAATGTACTGGCTCCTTCATGATTTTTTTACATGAACTAAAGCAAAGCTATATTCACATATGAAAAACATCCAATTTCATTTCATCCTCCCCTCCCCAACATATGGTAAGTATTTCCTTGGTTTCTAAATCTGATGCATTTCCAAATACACTTGGGGAAGAAGTGTAAGTTACTATACTTCCATCTGATTTTTCTCAGAGAAATTTGTACAACATAAGTTTTACAGAATGGATGAGTTTTATTAAAAGAAAGAGCATTTGTCCGTGCAATGCCTAAAAAACCTGTGAAAGTGCAGGTCATAGAGAGAAACCATGGTATTATTTGCTGGCTTTCTGTCAACAAGAAACTTTTCCATCCTCATGTATATCCTGAAGTCAAGTGCACATTTTTAGTAGCAATGGTCCATGAGAAAGCAATAGGCTATCCTGGGTGTCTGGGCCACTGGGTTGGTCAATTAAAGGAGACTGTTGAGTCATGCATTCTACCTTGTCACATTTGTCTGGTTTTGTTTTTCTATAGAAAATCAAAGCAAACAAAGCAGCTCTCAGTAATGCATTCTAAAATTGTCATGAATTAACTGACCTCTGTAGAAATGTCCTTTTCCTGGGTCAATTCAGCAATTTTGTCCTGCTTATTGTTTTCTAAATACATCAGTTTCATTTTGTGTTGAACATCAAAGCCCTCATGATAAGTACTATGTTTAACTACAAGGCTGAGTTGCTCAGGACCTGACAAGTCATGAAGCATTAGTAGATGATTGGTTCTTCCCGTCTTGGAACTCAGCCTAATACATACAGTATTTAAATAGGGAAATCGCCATTGACTTTGTAATCCCTTGTGTGACACTTGTTCTGTGAACAGATAAAGGAGAAGTAAGTCAAATACACATTTGTTGGGAAGTCTCCACTGTCTCTTTTCTCCCCAAAGGCAGGAACTGTCAGCATTGGTGACCTCAAGCTAGCCCATGTTCTGATATTATGGTGCACATTCCCAGGGAGGATTATTTGGAAGGACTTTTGTGAAGGGAAACATTTCAGCTGCTTTTTACAAGCACTGATTGCCCAGGACAAAGTAACTGACTGCTACAACATTGAAGCTGAAGGACATAAACATACTATAATATGTTTTGTCATAAACAATCACAGATTAAGGCCCTCTTCACAGGTGATTGAACAAAATGAATAACAGAATGGAGACTTGTATTCTAATGCTTGTTGCTCATGTAAACTCATGTTCTGCATTTTAGAATTTGTTGAAGCCATAGCTTCTGCTTTGGGAATAAGCCACATTAATCAGGTCATTCCTTTAGGTGTATTCTGAAGTAGCTACTTTTGGTGATTAAACTTCACATATTATATTAGGTAACACAGCATGCTGTTAACAGCATGTTATCAGTAAAGGCAAGAGAAAGCATTTATTTTAGATAAAGCAGGCTAACGTCTGTCAACTATAACACTGCTCTCTGATATCAAGGTAAGAGTAAGCTACAGAATGCCATCAGCAATAGCAAACATATGCTGAGTGCCTACTATGTGCTGGGCAATATATCAGATGCTGAGAAGAGTTATATTATAATTCATAAGGGATATAAAATAGCAAGCAATTCAAAGTAGTAAATAGATAATCTGCCATATATTTTAGAAATGTATTAAGACAGAAGTTGCTCTAACATTTGAGAGTTAAAGCAACTAAAGTCCTTGCCATTTATGAGACTTGATCAAGCATACATAGTCTGTATGAAGTTTTGAATAAATCTGTTATTCTATCATCTATGTAGTGAGAAACTAGGAAAATAAACCAGGAGTTTTGAGATCTTTAATCCAAGAGATACCTTGTAGTTTGGGCACAAACTAGCTTTCCAGTTTTTTTCTTCTGGGACTAGTATTATTTGCATTTAAGAGCTTCAAGGAAACTTTGACTGATA
This sequence comes from Homo sapiens, assembly GCF_000001405.40. Taxonomy (NCBI): domain Eukaryota; kingdom Metazoa; phylum Chordata; class Mammalia; order Primates; family Hominidae; genus Homo; species Homo sapiens. The sequence continues at coordinate 76,738,089 of NC_000007.14, forward strand.
ACTCCAAATATGAGTTTTAAGCTAGCATAAAGTATCAATTTTTAAGCAATAGACATCATGATATTTTTCATCGCCTTTCACATGATGGCATAAGTGAAGCCCAAATGGAAGTTCAATGATTCCATTTCAGCTATAAAAGATTCAGGAAGATTAGAACCTCAGTGACTTTCTTGTATAGTGATTTTTTAAAAATATGTTTTGCTGAACGAGAGGGCTGTCATGAATTAAATGCAACTCTGCATTTAGTTAGTATTCAATTCTATTCTTCCAATAAATAACTGGATGAAAATCATTTAAAGAAAAGCCCTTCTCTTTAAGGAAACATCTTTAGACCATTTTTATGAGATTTCTCTAGCAGACCAACTTGCAACTTCTAGAAAAATAACCCAAACCATGTAAATGTACTAAAGAGAGATCTCCAGGGAAGCACAACCTCTTAGTTCTGTCTTTATACAGCTCGTGGTGAATATGGAGTAGAAGAAAATTGTGGTTTCAACAGAATTCAAACATTATTGTATCGGATCTGAAAACATTTATTCATTAAGGCTAAAATAAAGGAAAACATTTTGAAAAATAACAGCCAGTAATTTATGTCTGGCTGGGCTAGATCTAAACTTGAGTTCTGGCCATTTTCATGTATGTTATCGTGAATATTTACCATGACAACATCTGCATAGCATTACCTACTCACTTCTGAGTATTTAATGTACATACTCTTAATAAACATGTTCCTTGTGGTCTGTTATATATATTTTTAAGACCACATTAAAAGAATCAGAAGTGGAAGAGATATTTTCAAAAACTTAAACATGGACATTTCTCATATGGAGTTTTGAAAATGTGCAATATTTGCTTTAATAACCAGAGACCATATTATAAAATGCCTGTAGAAACACAGTGAATGAAAAAGTCTCTAACTTTAATGGTTTCAACAAAGTGTTATATTTTAGGAAACAATGAAATGGAACTCCTATGAATATAGATAGTAGAAAGAATGGAGAAAGTGTGTATCTATTCATTATTTGATGGAGTCCTGATATTTTCTTGTAAAGTAGCTGTAAAAGAAGTCCTAATATAAATCTGCAAGTGAAAAAGGAAAGCATGACATCAGTCTCTCTTATAGTTTTGAAAATGCTAAAGCAAAATCAAACTGACAAAACTTGAAGAGCTGCTGCTAAAATTGGCATAATAGTGTTTAATTGAAAAATAATGTGATGTAAGGTAAATAATCAGAAGAGCACGTTTCCAGGATTTCTTGCCCTCAAAGTAATACAGATAGGACAGTACACATATACGGTTATCAGTTTGGAAGAACACTTGAATGAAGGCACTGAAAAGACAGAAATAATGGTGTCTTCTTTTGCTTTGAAGCTTCCTGATTGGAATGCAGTCCTTTAGGGTGGGAGAATCTGCTTTATTTAGAGAATAGCAATTCAAACCATTCTTTTCCACTGGAAATATTTGTCACAGGAAGATTTTCCCATAGTAAAAGTGTTTTGTTAATAAACTTTTTTTTTTATGTTGAGGTCCCTTACATGTAACTAACTGGAACCATGCTTTAGCCAAGGTTTTAGGCAAACCTCGGCCTTTGAATTGTACAGGCTTGACATGTCATTGCAGAGACACGTCACACTGCATTATGCTGTCGCTTTGCATCCCTTGGCATTTCACTGACATACTGCAGGCTCTTGTTCTACTTTTTTGTGCTGCTTTCCACGGTCCCCATTACAGGCTCCAAGACCCAACAACTCCTGCAAAAATTGATAGCATTTTTTTTGCCTGTGAACAATCACTTCCTTATTTGAATGACTTTAAAAAAATGAGCCTTTGGTTCTTAGTGTATGGAAAAAAAGTTTACTTAGGGTGCTTTCAGCCTATTCAAATCACCAGCAGCTCTCTGTATCCAGATGTAAAGCGGGGATTCCAAATCTGCAGAAATAAACTGCATGAAACATATTAAAATAAAAATAAGTTGATTTAAGTAGGATATAAAAATTAGGTTTAAAGCGCAAATATAGGTAATCTCCTTATGAAAAATACAGTATTTTATGATTACAGAAGTTACTCATTTTTATAGTAGGGAGCTTTGGCAGGAGAGGAAAGTAAGCAAAATGAAAAAATTAAAAATCGTGTAATTCCCACATTTAAAAATAGCTGCCCATCATTTTGTCTATTTCTATTTATATCTAGAGCGATACTGACATGTAATGCACACACATAAATGATATCACATGCAAAAAAATTTTAACAAGAAATTATATTATAAACATGTCCCCGGTCATTAACATTTGTGTAAAACATTATGTCCATGTATTCTTATTGTTTGTGTGGTTATGCTATATTTCCTTAAGATAAATTTCTCAAAGAAGAATAACATTTATCTAGATGGATATTTACCAAATTCCACCTCACTCCCTCAGAATTTGATGCCTCTTTCCCAGGTCCTTATGAACATTCTCAATGACAGTGTTTAAAAGTGTTGGTTTTCCCTTTTCTTCATCAACACTAGGTATTGCCATTTGTTAGCATAAAGAGTATAATCTTTGCCATTCTGATATATAGAAAAACAGTTACATATCACTTTAATTTGTATTTCTTCAACAGCTAGTAGAGCAAAGTCTTTTATTACATGTTTCTGGTCATTTGTAATTGCTTCTGGCAACAAACAAACAAAAAACCTTAAGCAATTTTTTAAAAGCCCATGACATTTTATTTTAAAGGTCCATTTTAAAGCAAAAAAGTAAAATTGAATCATTGCCATAATCAGATTACTTTTAATTAAAGCATTTCACACCTAGAGCCCTCTTGGGAAGGTATGAAGTTTTTACTTCAACTAATAATCCATTCTTCTGTAACCTAAATGGTTCCTATTTGAACAATGAAACATGCATTATTCCTTTAGGACACATGATCAGTAGCCTCGGGATAAAAACAAAACCAGAAATATTCAGTGTTTGGATCATAAAATCTGTCTCTTCTCCCCAGCCCCACCAGTTTCTGTGGTATATCATTATGGTTCTTTCTCTACAGCTTTCTGTATCTCCCTATTTCTAGCTTCCTTTTTCATTTCAACTTTTATTTCATATCTCTGCAGTCCCATGAAGTAAGTTCAAAGTCTTGCTTTCTTACATATGGGATACTTTGGAATTGTTTTTCCTTAAGTTTTATTTCTTGCTCCCAGTGAGAACAACACAGATGACTAAAAAATGAGATTGCATTTCTTCAATTATTGCAGAAAAATACCTATCTCATATGCACATTGAAGATTTTTAAAGATTTATCTTTTTGAAGTAATAAAACAGAAGATAACTGCTGTAGACTTTATCATATGCTAGGAACTTTTATGCAGTATTTCATTTAATACACACAGAAGTGATATGAGATTGAAGCTATAGCTCCCATTTAAGAGATGAGAGAACTGAGGCCTGAGGACTTAGGTAAATGGAATTAAGAATATCTAACCCAAGGGTGTTTTTTACATAGGAATCAAAACAATGTAAGTGAAAGTGTGTGTGTGTTTCTGTGTGTGTGTGTATGTGTATGTGAGTGTAGCACATAATTAAAACTGAAATATATTGTTAAGTAAGTGCTCACTTAAATTCTCTGCCAGGAAAGCAAAACAGAAGTTTCCTCATCTCTTCAGATGTTCGTCTGTTTTGTCTTTATTTGTCTCAAATCTTTATTCACTTTGTTAAAGATGTTTCATAGAAGTATCAATATTTATCTGCCTTTCAAGGCTGCTCCTAACCCACTTACCCATTCACCCAAGAGCAGAGTCCTTGGGTGAAATGTTATACACTTAAGATATATATCCCAAGAACCATGACAAACAGGATGTTGGGTTGTATAACATACGCTGCTTCCAAATGTAGCCTTGGAAAATAATTTTTTTTTTTTTGAGATGGAGGTTCTCCCTGTTGCCTAGGCTGGAGCACAGTGGCAAGATCTCAGCTCACCGCAACCTCCGCCTCCTGGGTTCAAGCAATTCTGCCTCAGCTTCCTAAGTAGCTGGGATTACAGGCATGTGCCACCACGCCCGGCTAATTTTTGTATTTTTGGTAGAGACAGGGTTTCGCCATGTTGGCCAGGCTGGTCTCGAACTCTTGAGCTCAGGTGATCCACCCTCCTCGGCCTTTCAAAGTGCTGGAATTATAGGCGTGAGCCACTGTGCCCGGCCAGAAAATAATTTTTTAAAAATAGTTTAAAAACTTTATTTTACTAATTCTTAGTAAGGGAAGTAATGTAATGTAAATGCACACAGTATTTTAAAGTTTACAAACCACTTCTATGTATCTACTTGACTCTAATGACTTAGACAAGAAGGCGTTATTTTCTTTCTTGAGTTGACGAAACTATAGCACAGAGATAAAGTGACTTGGCAAAGGCCTTATCCAGCTAGAAATGTGCAATTCCAGACTTGCAATGGGGTCCTCTGAACTTAAATCATAGTTAATCCCTTACCTTTTTCTATGCCTCAGCAGTAGTACTCATTCATCCATTTATTCATGCTTTCAGAGAATAATTGTTGGGCACATAGTATGTATTAAGGTCATAGTAAGACTTGAGAGTTAGGGGCATGAAAAACCTAGCCTTTACTCTCTTGGAACTTGCAGTCTAGTTCATGGTTTCTACATTTAAACCCAACTAGATTATATCACAATATATGTTCCAGAAGTGTCCCAGATTTGGAAGAGTGGAGGAAAGAGGATCCATGCGTCTGTGTAGAAAGAAAGACATCTTTAGGACTGAGTCAGATTTTAAAGGATTTGTGGTTTGTCAGGTATTAAGGATAAGGAAGCTATTCCTAGCAGACCTAATAGCACATGAAAAGTCATGACGAAAATGTCTGATGGGGTATCTGTAGCAGGATGGGCTAGAAAGTTGGCTAAATAAAAGGGACTGAGATGAACAATATGACATGAGTTTGTAGATATAGTCAAACCAGATTATGGGGGCTTGAAATCCTAGCATAAGTACATGAGTTCTATATCATGTAGTGTGGATGTGCTCACATGGATAAGTGTGTGTGTGTGTGTGTGTGTGTGTTTCTGTGTGTGTTGGAGGGAGGGAAGGGTGTAACAGTTTTTGAACACTCCTATCCATTATCTTTAAATAAAGAACCTCATTTACTCTTCATGCCAAGCCTTTTCAGATGGCATTATTATTCCCAGTTGCAGTTGGGAGAATTGAAGCTTAGAGAGTAAAAAAAAAAAAAAAGTCCATGGTTACCCTGCTTACAAATTACAGAACTGGTGTTAAACCCAAGGTATATCTGAACCCGTTGCCCATGCTCTTTGTACTGCACTACTAAAGATTTTTTTTTAAAGTAGAAGACCAATATAATTAGACATATGTTATATAAAGATAATTTGCAACATTTTAAGAGAAATGTGTAAAGATGATTGTCCAAGTGAGAAGGGATAGATGCCTGAAAATAGAGATAGTAGGTGGATTTGAGAAATACAAAGAAGGGTTTGGGGAATGATCATAAAGAGCTATGTAGGATAACAACTGAGAATAAATGACTTTTTTTTTTAGCTTGAATGGCTGTTATAATGTGTTGTCACTTATTTACTGGAGAAGATTCAATTATTACTAGAGGACATTCATGGGGAAAAAAAGAGATTTGGACCAAAAAAGATGTTATTAGTTTTTAATATATCAAGGATGTACTCCATGAGTGACATTTGTTACCGATTACTAGAAACAGAAGTGAGGACAGATGCCAGGGTCAGTAATAGGCATTAATGTGGAGATAATCATTGAAGTGATAGGCATGAGTGAGCTCCTTTAAGGAGAACACGAGAAGGAAAGACAAAAGATCTAGAATTGGGGGAAAACCTGATTTTAAGATGTAACATAAGATTTGTATATTTTAAATCATGGTAGATTTTTATAGAAGAAATCTTGATCAATATTTTAAAAAGAAAGGAAAAAATATAAAACATATTGCTAGAATGGACACTAAATAACATGTCAGGAATAAGATCACAAATATCAATAATTATAAGAAAATGTAAAAACATTTTATTTGTTCATTAAAAAAAAAAACAAGATTGTCATAAAGACCAAAAGGAATATGTGAGCTGTATGCTATTTACACAGAGGTGCAGCTGAAAAAATAAAGAAACAAAAATGTTAAAATAAAGAAAGAAACAGATATGGAATAGGCCATTGTAAATGAAGGAAAGCAGAACTAGCAGATTCAATATCAGTCAAAGCAGAATTTAGGGCAAAAACTGCTGAGTGGGAGAAATAAGAATTTATCATTTTAAATAAAAGTACAATTCACAAAACTTACATGACCAATAAAATATTAGTGTGTAGAAAATATACTATTAAGCATAAATCAAGTTAAATATGTTAGATATTGTGAGAAAACTATCCCTAACCATGTTTTCCCTGTACTCTCACACCACAACAATTATTAACACAGAAGACTTCTGCGTCCACATGAGTGGAGGTTTTTTTCCCAACACACCAAGCAGCGGTCACCAGTTGGGTGTCCTCTAATTCAGTCTCGATACTATCTAACCAGAGACAGTGTCAGATGTGACAGGTTGACAAGTTGAAGGCTCACTTCCCTAGGACTCCCCTCCCCCCACACCACTGACACCAGTCACGCAAGTTGGGCCTCTGGAACTTCTGACAGACCGGCTTCAGGTTGGGGTTCCCATGACCCCCTCTTTCGGTTCGATTAATTTGCTGGAGCGGCTCACAGAACTCAGGGAAACACCTACTTATATTTATAAGTTTATTATAAAGGATATTGCAATGGAAACAGTTGAAGAGAAGTGTAAAGTGAGGTATTATAAAAGGGCTATGGAGTTTCCCCGCCCTCCCTGGGCTCACCACCCAACAGGAACGTGTTCAGCTATCCTGAAGTTCAATGAACCCTGTCCTCCTGGGTTTTTATGGAAGCTTCATGATGTCAGCATTTCTTCCTCCAGGTATAGGATGAGACCCTCTCATGGGAGAGGCTTAAGGCCCAAATTCAGAAAGGCAGGGAAATATTAGAGTTCTGCCTGGGGGCAGGCGAAAGGAGAGCAAGAGAAGGTCAGAGGCCTGCCCCTGAAGCCCCACACACCCAACATTATAACAAAAGGCTATAATAAGGGCTATAGGAGTTATGAGCCGGGAGCCATGGATGAAAACCAATCTGTATCATAACACCGCAGATGGAAGGAGAAGTAAGGAGAATCTGACAGAACCGTAATCATACTGAAAGACTTTAAAATTTTCTCTCTGAATTTTCTAGACCAAGATGGCAAGAAATATATGATACTAATAATAGATAATTAAATAATATAATTAATACATTTGATGAGTGTTTTTATGTGTAAAATTTAACAAACAGAAATTCACATTATGTAAAAATTCATTTTGGAATGTGGTCGTTTGACCATAAGGAATTAAAACTATGAGTCACAAAAATGCTAACCACTTAATAATAAAAAATCTAGTAAGTTAAGATCTAAATTAGCACTTTAATTTACTCCTGACTTAGACATAGACACTGAAAATGCAGACTAGTTAAATTAGGCACTGTATTAAATCTATGTCTCAAAAACTTCACAATGCAGCTAAAGCAACATTCAAAGGAAAATTGATAAAATGTATTTGTTTCAAATAAGGTTGGCAATAATCAGTAAACTGCAGAAGAAAATAAGTTTCTCAAAACCATATGAATTTGATGCTAATGTTACCTTCATCTTATAAATGAATTAATTGTGGCTCAGAACCTATAAAACCAATAGAAAATGACCAAAGACTTTGGAGTTAGATTTTTTTTTTTTCTTTTTTCTTTTTTTGAGACGGAGTCTCGCTCTGTCGCCCAGGCTGGAGTGCAGTGGCGCAATCTCGGCTCACTGCAAGCTCCGCTTCCCGGGTTCATGCCATTCTCCTGCCTCAGCCTCCCGAGTAGCTGGGACTACAGGCGCCCGCCACCACGCCCGGCTAATTTTTTGTATTTTTAGTAGAGGCGGGGTTTCACCGTGTTAGCCAGGATGGTCTCGATCTCCTGACCTCATGATCCACCCGCCTCTGCCTCCCAAAGTGCTGGGATTACAGGCGTGAGCCACCGCGCCCGGCCTGGAGTTAGATTTTAAATGGAGTCCTGATTGCACCGCTTACTACCTAGGTGAACCTGAGAAAATTGCTTATCCTACATGAATCTCACTTTGTTCAGAAAAGTAGAGAATTTTGTTGTGATTAAACAATATTATCTGTGCAAACTTCTTAGAACTGAGCCTCTCATATGGGAAGCCCTAAAAAAATTCTATTTACGAGGTAAAGCACAATTTACAATCTCAAAATACAGTAGGCAGACAAACTTGCACTTGAACTCCTATTAATCATTACACTATTCTTTTGACATACCATAAATATATTGGCAAAGAAGTTTATGAATCACTACTATAAAACTATGTTAAATCAAGAGCAAGGCCATGTTACTGGATAAAAAGTATAGATTTTGATTCTCCCCAAATTAATCTATAAATTTAACACCTTCCCAATCAAAATCTCAGTACTTTGAGGAGGAAAGGGACTTAATATTTAGCAGTTTTTCATAAAAAATAAATCTGTGGCCGGGTGCGGTAGCTCACGCCTGTAATCCCAGCACTTTGGGAGGCCGAGGTGGGTGGATCACGAGGTCAGGGGATCGAGACCATCCTGACCAACATGGTAAAACCCCATCTCTACTAAAAAATACACAAATTAGCCAGGTGTGGTGGCACGTGCCTGTAATCCCAGCTACTTGAGAGGCTGAGGCAGGAGAATCGCTTGAACCCAGGAGGCGGAGGCTGCAGTGAGCCAAGACCACTATACTCCAGCCTAGGCAGCAGAGTGAAACTGTCTCAAAAAAAAAAATAAAGAAAGAAAGAATAAATTTGTAAATATAAATGGAGGGAGAGAGAGACTCCTCTTTTAAGGAAACAGTAATTATAGCAATGTGAGTTTGCAGAAATAGGCACTCAGGCAAATGAGAAAATAAAATTATAGAAGCAGACCTCAGTATAAATGGAAATGTATCATATTTTAAGAGTTTTATTCTAAATCAGTGAGGAAAGACCAATGAGTGTTATTGGAAACTTGTTAAATTCTTACCTCATACCATATTTCAAGGTAAAATTTTATTAAAATTTAAATACTGACGAAATAATGAAAGCTCTAGGGTAGTAGATAGTGAAATATATCCTATAAGTACCAAATTGACAGGAACCATTCTACCTCAAAACAAACTTCTACTTCACCAAAACAAAATAAACAATTATAACAATACAAATCTCATGCTATAAACTATCAAAATATAGACAGCAAACTGGTAAATTATAGTAACCATGTATGTGACAAAATAGGTTAAAATCCTTAATATTTAAAGATCTCCTAGGGCATCAAAAAGCTAAATGCCTTTTTCCTGGCTCAATTTCAGCAGTAGACAAATGGCTTATAGAGAATATTATTAAAAGAAAACACTTAAATGTCCAATAAATTTAGAAAAAATATGTTTGGCTTCAATAGTAACTATATATATTATATATATATATAATATATATATTATATATATATTATATATAGTATATATATATAATATATATACTATATATATTATATATAGTATATATTATATATATAGTATATATATATTATATTATATATATATATATAAATTTTACTTTTAAGTTCCAGGATACATGTGCAGAACATGCAGGTTTGTTACATAGGTATACGTGTGCCATGGTGGTTTCCTGCACCTATTGAGCCGTCCTCTAAGTTCCCTCCCCTCACCCCCCACCGCCCAACAAGCCCTGGTGTGTGTTGTTCCCCTCCTTGTGTCCATGTGTTCTCATTGTTCAACTCCCACTTATGAGCAAGAACATGCGGTGTCTGGTTTTCTGTTCCTCTGTTAGTTTGCTGAGGATGATGGCTTCCAGCTTCATCCATGTCCCTGCAAAGGACATGATCTCATTCCTTTTTATGGCTGCATAGTATCCCATGATGTATATGTACCACATTTTCTTTATCCAATCTATCATTGATGGGCATTTGGGTTGGTTCCATGACTTTGCTATTGTATAGAGTGCTGCAATAAACATATATGTGAATGTGCCTTTATAGTAGAATGATTTATATTCCTCTGGGTATATGCTCAGTAATGGGATTGCTGGGTCAAATGGTATTTCTGGTTCTAGATCCTTGAGGAATCACCACACTCTCTTCCACAATGGTTGAACTAATTTACATTTCCCCCAACAGTGTAAAAGCCTTCCTATTTCTCCACAGCCTTGCCAGCATCTATTGTTTCTTGACCTTTTAATAATCACCATTCTGACTGGCATGAGACGGTATCCCATTGTGGTTTTGATTTGGATTTTTCTATGATCAATGATGTTGAGCTTTTTTTCATGTTTGTTGGCCATGTAAACGTCTTCTTTTGAGAAGTGTCTGTTCATATCCTTTGGCCACTTTTTGATGAGGTTGTTTTCTTCTTGTAAATTTGTTTACGTTCCTTGTAAATTCTGAATATTAGACACTTGTTAGATGGGTAGATTGCAAAAATTTTCTCCCATTCTGTAACCATATATTTTAATCAAATCAGTAATAAAATATAAATTTCGGGGTTTCAGTAATGAAAAAGAATAACAATCACCATATTATATGAAGTGGGAAAACTAGTTGCCCAATACACTTTGCTGAGACTAAATAACTTACCAACAGTTCTATGGGCTGTTTATGTAATTATTTATCAAAAATTTAAATTTACATCACTCTTAACTTTAAAAATTCTACGAATAGATATTATACTAGGGAAGTCTATCCGTTAGGATGCTTTTGAAGGCAAATAACAGCATACTTAACCTCATATTAGCTTAAACTATAAAGTGAGTTTAATAGGTCTATCTTAGACAACAGTATCTTGCTTCAAGTTAGGTGTGAATTAACAGCTCAAGAGATAAAATGGCAACAACATTTCTTCCTCTGATTATATCTGCTTCATCTGCATGCAGTTTTGCATTGGGCAATAGATCTTGTGTTTCAATACTGATTGGTATGAATTCCAAAAGGAACATTATTCTAGGTTCAAATCCAGCAAAGAATAAAAATTCTGCTTGCTTTATAACTAAACTAAAAGTTGTGAAATTGAGACTTTGGGTTATCTGACTCAAACCATGTATGATACATATGTACATTATATATATATATATATATGTATGTAATGATACATACATACAATACAAAGATTGAATTATATATGTATCAGTTTATACTTTTGTTCTTATTTCAACTGTAATTTTTTTCAAGTGATGGGAGAGAATTGTTAAAATTATATCTGAGTTAGACAAAGAGTATTCCCACCAACATTTTTCTCCCTCATCCTTCTCCTCTTCCTTTCCTAATTACAGACATATCTCTTTTTTATTGTGCTTCATTTTATTGCACTTCACAAATACTGTGCTTTTTACAAATCAAAGGTTTGTGGCAACCCTGAGTCCAGCAAGTCTATTGGCACCATTTTCCCAATAGCACGTGCTCACTTTGTGTCTCTGTGTCACGTTTTGGTCATTCTTACAATATTTTAAGCTTTTTCATTTCATATTTAGGAAAAATATGTTAGGCTTCAATAGTAAATATATATTATATTTACTATTATGGTATAAGTATGTTATGTTGTGGTTATCTTGTGGTGACCTGTGATCAGTGATCTTTGATGCTACTATTGTAATTATTTTGGGGTATCAAGAAGCATGCTCATGTAAGACAGTGAACTTAATAAATGTGTGTTCTGACTGCTCTACCAACTAGCCAATGCAATCTCCCATCTCCCTCCCTCTCCTCTGGCATCTCTATCTCCTGAGACACAACATTTAAATTAGACCAGTTAATAACTTTACAATGGCCTCAAAGTGTTCAAGTTAAAGGAAGAGTCACAAATCTCTCACTTTCAATCAAAGGCTAGCATGATTAAGCTTAGTGAGGAAGGCATGTCAAAAACCCAGACAGGCCAAAAGCTAGAGCTCTTGCACTAAACAATTAGTCAAGTTATAATAAAGAGGAAAAGTTCCTGAAGGAAATTGAAAGTGTTACCCTAGTGAACAACATGAATGAAAAGAATGTGAAACAGCCTTACTGCTGATATGGAAAAGGTTTTAGTGATCTGGATAGAAGATCAAACCAGGCACTCCCTTAAGCCAAAGCCTAATCAAAACAAGGCCCTAACTGTTCAATTCTATGTAGTCTGAGAGAGGTGAGGAAGCTGCAGAAAAAAAGTTGGAAGCTAGAGGAGGTTGGCTCATGAGGTTCAAAGAAAAAAGCCACCTTCATCACATAAGAGTACAAGGTGAAGCAGCAAGGGCTAATGTGGAAGCTGCAAGTTATTCAGAAGATCTAGCTTAGATAATTGTTGAAGGTGGCTACACTAAATAACCAATTTTCAATGTAGACAAAATAGCCTTCTATTGAAAGAAGATGCTATCTGGGACCTTCATAGCTAGAGGGGAGAAGTCAATACCTGGCTTCAAAGCTTCAAAGGGGATGATGACTGCATTAGGGACTAACGCAGCTGGTAATAAAGTTGAAGCCAATGTTCACTTACCATTCAGAAAATCCTAGGGCCCTTAAGAATTATGCTAAACCTACTCTACCTGTGCTCTATAAATGAAACAAGAAAGCTGCAATGACGACGTGGTTTATCAAAGACTTTAAGCCCACTGTTGAGTTCTACTGCTTAGAAAAAATATCCTTTTCAAAATATTACTACTCATTGAAAAGGCACTTAGTCACCCAAGAGCTCTGATGAAGATGTACAAGGAGATGATTGTTGTTAACATGCCTGCTAACATATTTATTCTGCAGCCCATGGATCAAGGATTAATTTTCACTTACAAGTCACTCTTTAAGAAACACATTTTGTAAGGCTACAGTTGTTGTAGATAGTAATTCCTCTAATAGATCAGGGCGAAGCCAATTGAAAACCTCCTGGAAAGAATTCACCATTCTAGATACCTTTAAGAACATTTGTGACTTATGGGCAGAGGTCAAAATATTAATATTAACTGCAGTTTGCAAGAAGTTAATTCCAACCCTCATGGATGACTCTGAGGGGTACAAGACCTCAGTGGAGAAAGTCATTGTATTTGTGGTGGAAACCTCAAGAGAACTAGAATTAGAAGTGGAGCCTAAAGAAGTGACTGAATTGCTGCAATCTTATGATAAAATTTGACCAGATGAGAAGTTGCTTCTTACGGATGAACAATAAAAGTGTTTCTTGAGATGGAATCTATTCCTGGTGAAGATGCTGTGTATATTGTTTAAATGACAACCAAGGATTTAGAATATTACATAAACCTTATTTGATAAAGAAGCAGCATAGTTTGAGGGGATTGATTCCAATTTTGAAAGAAGTTCTATGGATAAAATGCAAGCACACAGCTTCACATGTTACAGAGACATCTTTGAAAACTTCATTGTTGCCTTATTTTCAGAAATTGCTACAGCCACTCAACCCTGAGCTACCACTACCCTGATCAGTCAGCAGCCATCAACCTCTAGGCAAGACCCTCCACCAGCAGAAAGATTACAATTTGCTGAAGGCTCAGATGTTTGTTAGCATTTTTTAGCAATAAAGTATTTTTAATTATGATATGCACATTGTTTTGCAAACATGTGTTTGCACACTTAATAGACTATAGGTAGTGTAAACATAACTTTTATATGCACTGAAAAACCAGAATTTCGTGTGACTTGCTTTACTGTGGTGGCCTGGAACCAAACTCAGTATCTCCAAGGTGTGCCTGTATTGGTTTTCAGCACTTTGACTATAATGTGTGTAGGTGTGGTTTTCTTTGCATCTATCCTACCTGAAGAGTGTTGGATCTCTTATATCTTGAGTTTGAAATTTTTAATTAAATTTAGAAATTTTTCAGCCATTGTTTATCTGGATATATTTTTCTGAACCATTATCTCGCCCTTTTTCTAGGACTCTAATTGCAGATATGCAGAATGGCTTGATTTAGCTTCACAGGTCATTCTGGCTCAATTTTTTTTTTAACTTCTGCTGTCTGTGCTTTAGTTGAATATCTCTTGGTGCGTCTTCAAGTTCCTTAATCCTTTTCTCTTAAATATTCAATCTGCTTTTAATCCTCTTGAATGAATTGTTTGCCTTTTTCAGTTCTGGAATTTCCATTTAGTTCTTCTTTTGAGTCTTTATATCTCCACAGAATTCTTCATTTTTTCACTCATTATATATATCTTTTCTTTTATTTAATACATTTTAATATTTAAAAGTCATTGTTTGCTAATCACACCATCTATAATTGTTTCTGTGACTTTCTCTATAATGTCTTCCTATCCAAATAGACCAAAAACTTTACAACACAGAGATTATGATTGGCTGTTTCTCTTCTTTATCCAAGAGTAAATACCTAATATGTATTTGTTGAGTGAAGGAATGAATCAAAGAACAGTCCTCTAAGCACCACAAGCTTTACAAGTGCAATGCCATAAAAAATGCTCATAAAGACACTTGTAACAAATTTTTGAACCAAGCCCCAAATATAAAAATGGTTCCAGTGGCATATATATTTTTCAATATTAAAGTTATAGTAATGGAAGTCATTTTACTCAAATGCTTTTTAATTTTTCATAGTTGATACTAACATAAGGATTTTTTTGTCTGGTAGTGCCATAGATGGAGCAGAGTGAAGCAAGATAAAGCCTGTTGATTTTTCAATTCTTGTAGTTTTCCTAAGCTTGCAGGTGAGTAGTCATCATTTTTATGATTCTCTTTTTCAAAACCATCCACAATATTTTCTGTGGTTCCTGTGTGATTCATCTATAGTAGGTTGTTCATGTAAAGACCACATAACTGCAATTGGCTATTCTCTCTCTCTCTCTCTCAAAATTTAACTGGTAAAGCAGCATAAAGCAACACAAATCTCAGTGAGACGCCATTAAGTATACCTGATCTTGGAAGCTACTTTCTTTAAATACATTTAGAATTTAACCTGACTGTAGGTTTCAGAGTCCATATCAAATCCCATGTGGAAGTCAGCCCCTTTGAAAAATTCTCATAAGTTTACCAGTGGACAAGAATAACGTAGTTAAAAAACAAAAGTGTGCCAAGTAGAGTCAGATGACAAATCTCCAGTATCCAGTATATTTTTAAAAATATGTTACTCTATTTGAACCAAAGGTATGGAGCTGGGAAATTCCAACAATAAAATGACTATGGCAGTTCCTCTGATCTGAAGGGGATACGTTCCCAGAGCCCCAGTGGATGCCCAAAACCACAGATAACAGTGAACTCTACTGATGCTATGTATTTTTTCCTATATATACATACCTATGATAAAATTTAGTTTATAAATTAGGCACAGTAAATATTAGAAAAAGTAACTAATAGTTAAATGAAACAATTTTAACAATATATTGTAATAAAAGTTATGTGAATGTGGTCTGTCTCTCTCAGAAGATATCCTATTGTGCTGAACCACAGGTAACTGAAGGTACAGAAAGTAAAATAGTGGGTGGGGGTAACTATCCCATGTATATCCTGGCACACATAGCCCTGGCTACACATAGCAATGTCTCAAGGATCAAGTCCCTAACTCCTTTTATTTTATACTCCAGACTTTCTGCCTTTCTAAGAATCTTGAAAAATAAGAGACTGCATTTTGTTTTTGTTTCATTAAAGGCGGGTGTAGTGAATGTTTATAGAATATCAATAATGTAGTTTGTAGCTTTGCATAATTAAAGGCACCCCTTATGTTAATAAAATTACATGAAAAGAGGCAGTACAAAACAAAGCATTAATATGTTCACACATTTGGTCTTATTTCAGGCAAGCTTAATTACAAAGACATGGGTGTCTGCTACACCTATAAAAATATTTTTTGTCACTTAGAGCTATCAAGCCTTATACCCATTTATGATATTAGTGAAAAAGAGCAAACATCATCATAATGGCCCACCAGTGAATACTTGCAGCCATGGCTGTGTAGACTATGAATCTGCAAATAGAAGCATATGTAAATGAACAAAGACTTTCCACACACACGCAAAAGAAGATAATATGTTATTCTCTGTGTCTATGTTAAAGTGCCAACCAACAGAAAAAGCTGAGGAGATTCATTTCTCACGTGCATCATTAGTGTCAGATGCAGCAATTGTGATAATGCAAAATCCACAGTTGCTTTAAGTCAGAAAACCCAGACTGAGTTCTAGCTTCTCCCGTTCCTCACTTCATGCCATTGGGCAAGACACTTAACTTCTCTGAGCCCCAAATTTTTAATTTTTGAAGGTTAAATCAATAATTTATAAGTCACGCACTTGGTATGAGGACTATACAAAAGTTACATAGTGATTTATATTTATGTTAATAATTTTTAATATCTAGTGTCTGACACATATTATGCAGGTAACAAATATTTATTCCACTTCCTCCTCTTGTCTGACAGAATTGTGAAGATCAAGTGAGGTAGTATATATGAATGAACTTTATATGAAAGAGATAAAATATAGCTATTTTCCTTGTTGTTGCAAAGAATATGAGCACACTAAGTTTCTACCTAGGAACAAACAATTGAACTGTGATTCATTTTAAGTTTACAAGATAGTTCAGGGCTGGATTTTTTTTTTTTTTTTTTTTTTTTTTGAGACGGAGTCTCGCTCTGTCGCAGGGCTGGATTTTAGATAGAGAGCAGCAAAGCTCACAATGTTTTTGGATAAAATTTACCCTGAGCATCCATTCAGAGAGTGAACTAACTCTGAGACAATCACAGGCAATTGGGACAGCTTTTGGGACTATAATATGCATATGAGTCCCGAGCATGCTGTTCCTTACATATGCAGAATAAACAATTGCCTACATAAGATTTGAAGCAGGTACTATGCAATCCCTATATTTCCATAAATAGCCAGGTTCCAAAGTGCCTTATATTCCATCAAGGGAGATTCATTTTACCATCATTGGTATAGGGGTTACGGAAAATTACAGAAATTAAAAGCACTTTGTAAGCCATTATTCACTTAACAAACTAGACTGATTATCACCTTCATCACTGTCACCATTGCCATCAATTGGTTCTATTCCCAACAAATTACGTCTGGTTGAGAAAATAGGTAAAATTCATTCACACAAAAATGTTAGGTAAAGGACAGGAGAGATCAAGATCACTATTTGCCTTGCTTTGGTAAAATACTGGGTAAAAAGGGTGACCTAAAATATGGAAGGAGTCAGAAGAAAAAAAAAATTGGTACCAATTGTAACATTTGTTAATAATCTACCAAATAATGGGCTAAGCTCATTACATGAATTATCTTATTTAAGGAATTAGTTAAGGGATGATTTAGCACATTTACAAATACTTTATAAGAGAATTTGGAGATACTAATGCTCTCCGGATATAAAGCTTGGAATTTCATTAGCCATCATAAGCTTATAAAGTAAGCTACCCTGAGAACAATGCTGGCACCCCAAGCAGGGCAGAGTCAAGAGAATCACAGATACATAGTGTCACTGCCATGATTAAGGGACATGTGAAGCTCACCATATTCTCTTATTCCCCATTAATGTGCACTTCGTGAAAAGTAAACTATAAAATGTAAATAAATAGCATAGGGCCTGCCTGGATGCTATATTTGGCTTGCTCGACCCCTCCAAATGTCATATGGAAATTTTATCCCCAGTATTGGAGGTGGGCCTAACTAGAATTGTTTGAGTTATGGAGGCAAATCCCTCATGAATGTCTTCATCTTACTTTATTAGTTACCAAGAAAGCTGGTTGTTAAAAAGAGCCCAGCACCTCCCCCACCCTTTTCCCCTCTCTCTTGCGTCCTCTCTCCCTTGCCATGTGATCTCAGTACACACCAGTTCCTCTTAGCCTTTTGCTGTGAGTATAAGCAGTCTGAAGCCCTCACCCAAAGCAGATGCTGGCATCATGCTTCTTGTACAGTCTACAGAACTGTGAGCTAAATAAACCTTTCTACTTTATAAATTACCCAGCTTCAGGTAGTCCTTTATAGCAACACTAAATGGACTGAGACACTGGCCTAATGCCTGTAAGGTTTTGCCTATGTATAACCTTATTATGAGAATATCACCTATTCCTTGTGTATACCCACATTGTTGAAATCCACCCATTCCAAAGTATGTCCTTCAAAGAGTGGCACAATTTATATCTAGAAAAAAATTAACATAAGAAATAAGTACTTAAGAAAATTGTCTTCCTTAAATTATAATCTATTTAAAGAGTGTGGGATGTGTGTCAACTTGACTGGGCTACAGGTGCACAGACATTTAGTCAAACATTATTCTGATCGTGTCTGCGTGGATGTTTCCGATTAGATTAAATTTAAATCAATAGATGAGTAAAGAAGATTGCCCTCTCCAGTGTGGGTGAACCTCATCCAATCAATTGAAGACCATAATCAAACAATAAGGCTGAGTAAGAGGGAACTTTCTTGCCTGAGTGGTTTAAGCTGGGACATTGGTCTTTTCTTGCCTTCAGACTCAAAATGAAACATCTGCTCTTTATGGCTTGAGCCTGTTGGCTTTTTGACTAGAACTTACACCATCGGGTCTCCTGTTTCTTAGGCCTTCAGATTTAGAGTGGAACTATACCATCATCTCTCCTGTGTCTCCAGCTTTCCATGTGACCATAGAACCTCTCAGACTCCATAATCATGTGAGCCAATTCTCTATAATAAATTATATATATAAATGATATGTATATTATATTATATATCTATTACTATATATAATTTTATATGTAAGTATATATTAGCTACATATTTTAAATTATGTGTATAATGAGATATTTATTTATTTATTTATTTATACATATCCTGTTAGTTCTGTTTCTCTGGAGAACTCTAACACAAGGAGAGAATCTTGGTTTTTAGTTAGGTGAAGCAGCTTGATTAGACTAACCCCCCTACTGATAACAACTATAAACTAAGGAAATAATAAAGAAAACAATCATGGAAGTCATTGGAGAATGACCAAAAGCAGAACCTAGAGAGGGTATCACCCTTATCAAGAAGGAAACACACTAGGAGGAGATCCACAAGCAATACTTATATTTTCCCTCAGGTTGCTACTAGTCTTGTGGCTCACGAAGGGATAGAGCTCAAACAAAAAGAAGAAACTCTATTGATCTGGGAAGTATTTTTCTTTTTTCTTTTCCTTTTTCTTTCTTTCTTTCTTTCTTTCTTTCTTTCTTTTTTTTTTTTTAGTTCAGCGCCACTAGAACAGTGGGAAACTAGTAAGGGAACACCTCAGAAAGATGCAGCTACAGAAGCAGCAACTGCAAATATGCACACAAATTCCCCTCAAATCCTGAATTGACCCTGAATTGCACATAGATAAGGCAAGGTTTCAGGGACACTAGCAGAAGGATACAGGTGGAAGGTTTAAAGAACTTTCCGAGATTTCAGTAGCTGCCCATTACTGGACAGACAGAGATTGGAGTTGGAGTCTTGTCAAGTTAGAAAGGCTTAGTAAATACCTTGCATTTTCACTTGACACCAAACTCTATATCCAGTGGCAAAAGCAAAACAGAAGTAGACTTATCCCAACAAAGGCCCAAACCAAGTTTCCACCCATAATTAAACTGCTCACTAGAATAAAACAAATCATCCTTCATAAAAGACTTTTTAAAATGAAAAGATAAAAAATGGGCAAAGAGATGGGTACATTTTTGGAAAAGGTACAAACTGTAAATGAACTACATGGAAATCCTAGACTTGAAAAAGAAGCATGTGAAATAAGAAATTTATTGGATAAGTTTACCAACATATTTAGCACAACAAAAGAAAGGATATATGAGGCTGAATCACAGAAAGATAAAAAGAATTAAGACAAATGAGCAAACCCTCAATGACTTGTGGTATAAAATCTAAAATACATGTAATCAGAGTCCCAGAAATAGAAGATAAAGAAAAAGGGTAAAAAGTCACTTTTTCAATACATAGATACAGGAAGATCAGAGCACCCCAAGCAAGAAAAATATTTAAAAATACAAAAGAAAACAAAAGAATAAAAATAGGCAATTTGGAACCAATCTTACATAAACCAAAGAAAAGAAAAGAATATCTTAAAATTGGTTGAGGGAGGGGGAACTATTGCTTACTGGGGAACAACAGTAAGAATGACAGCATTAGGAGATCGAAGATAAGAAAACAATTTTTAAAGTGTTATAAGAAAAAAAAATGTTAGCCTAAGATGATATAAACTGGGAAATTGTCCTTAAGAGATGAAAGCCAAATAAATACATTTGCAGAAAAATCAAAATCTTGAGAATGTGTTGCATATGGATTTGCGCTCCAAGAAATGCTACAGGTTCCTCAAGTTGAATGGAAATGATACCAGATAAAACTACAGTTGTCCCTCAATATCCATGGGAAATTGTCTCCAGGACCCCCTGGGATACCACAATTCACAGATGCTTAATTCCTTTATATAACAAGTGTATTATTGCATATAACCTACACATTTTCTCTTGTATACCTCAAATCATCTCTAAATTACTAATAATACCTAATACAATGTAAATGCTGTCTAAATAGTTGTTACACTGTATTGATTAAGGGATAATGACAAGAAAAAAAGTCTATACAGTTCAGAACAGACCCAACAATTTTTTTCAAATATTTTCCATCTGCATGTATATGAATCCACAGATGCAGAATTCACAGATGAGAAGGGCCAACTGTACAGATCTCTGAGAAGAAATTTAATAACGAATATGTGGGTAGTAATAAATATTTTTTTCTTAAATTCTTTGGAAGTTAACTCACAGTTTAAATAAAAACAGTAATTTTTTTTTGGTGAGGCTTATAATAGATCCAAAGTAAAATTCATTATAACTATAGCATAATAGACAGGAAGTGTGTAAATATAATAAATTACAATGTTGCAAGGTTCTTACTCTTTCCACATATTGCAAGATTCTTACTTTTTCCACAAGGTAGTAAAATATTAATCCATAGGAGTCTGTTGTGTGTGTGCATTGTAATATCTAGAGTAATCTGTCGACAAAATAATGTAATGAAGGGACTCTAAAAATCAAATAGGACAATAAAATGAATCCTAAACAATACTCTGCTCAAAATAAGTCAGTAAAAGGAAGAACAAAGATCAGAGGGTGCACATACATAAAACTTAGCAAGATAGTGAGTGATAAGCTCAATCACATCAATAAGTGTATTAAATGTAATGAATAAAACACTCTAATTATATTTGTCAATAAATCAATGTAAAAATAATTTAGTTTGCCCAGATCAAGATAATAGATTAAATACAGACATTTAATTTCTGCTCATTTCCTGCCTTATATAAGCCTACTAAAATTAGAGTAAAAGTGTTTTATTTTTCTTTTTGCCCCAAATGGTTTTTTGGGTGTTAATCCCTAAATCAAAGAGAATATGAAAGGACACAATGGCATTAAAGATATATATATTTTGGAAAGTGAGAAAAAAGAAAGAAGAATAAATTATCAATGGCATAAGTCAAGAAGATGTCATAGAACTGAAGGACATAGACATGAGCTCCCAGATGTAAACAGCTCACCAAGCAACTAGTACAATGGTTGTGAATTAACCCACATCATTGTGAAATTTCAGAGTGCTGAAGGCAAATAGAAGGTGCTACTGGCTTGCAGAGAGGCAAAACAAAAACAAAAAACATTTTTTATACAAAGGTATGGAGGCTAGTTGATGGAAGTTTTTTTAAGCTAGAAGACAGTGGAGCAAGTCTTCAAAATTCTAAGCAAAAATGATTTCTAATCTAGAGTTCCATACTAATGCCTAATAATTTTACTTCTAATGTAACATTTTTAATAAGCTACTGAAAACAGAATCCAATAATTTAAACAACAACAAAAAGTAACCAAGAAGGAGAAATACAAGAAATCTAAGAAATAGGGAATCCATTACAGGATGGAAGTTAAAGGAATCCACAGGATGACGGTAGAGGAAAAGCCAACTCATATTCATTTGCTACGTAGCAGGTCAGAAATCTCCCAAAGAGATTTTTCTTTTTTTCAAGAAAATAATGGGTAGAATATTTAATAGGATTTAATCTAGTAAGAATAAAATTGTGTACACCAGTTAAGGAAGGTTTGGGTTTGAAATACCAAGAGAACATAAAATACTAAGACAAAAAAAGTAATCCATCAGCAAGGGCAAATGACCAGACCAAGCATATGCCATGTCTGCTAAAACGGCAACAAGCCAGTCTTAACAATGAAGCTAGTTCGTGAGGGAAAATCATGAAAATTATGGAGACAGGAGTGGTAGTCGGGTTTAGTTTACTTATTGTTCATCACATTCTTGGAGAACACACAGAAATCTAATGGAGCTGGAAGTCAGATTCTGTGTGAGAGACTTTAAAATTACATAATTAGGGAAAAATCATGCAATTTAAAGGATACTGACTCTTACTGGTATAAGAGACTAGCATCCAACAGCAACACAATATGGAAACCAACCCTATTTTATAAGCAACCTATTTATGTATGGAAATCACCTACCTTTCTAAAATGTTATAGGCATCCTCTGAGGTGGCCCACTAATGATAGGCACTTCCTGATGTTCATATTTTTTGTTTAATCTCCCATTCTTTGAGTATAGGCTGGACTTATTGACTCACTTCTAAGGAATGGAATGCTGTGGAATATCACTTTCTAAACTAGGTTATAAAAAGACTGTGGCTTCCATCTTTGGTTCTCCCTCTCCCTCTGTCTTGTTCACTCCAGGGGAAACCAGGTTCCATGTCATGGGGCAGCCCTGTAGATCAGCCCACATAGTTGAACTTGGAAACAGATTTTCTAAATCTTACCAAGAGTCACATGTGTGAACTTGTAAGTGACTCTCCCCCAAGTCAAGTTTTGAAATTACTGGACTCCTTGATCACATCCTGATAAGGGAGTAAATCATCACCCTCCAGCTCAACTACTCCTCCTTATGACTCACTGTAACTGTGAAGTAATAAATCTTTTTGCTTTCAGTTGCTATGTCCTGGGGAAATTTGTTATGCAGCAATAGACAGCTAATACACCTAGTGGGATCAGAAAGCTGGGCTTCAGGCCTTGTAGTTACAGCTTATATGGTAAGGTGAATGGCTGACCCAATTTACCCCCTCAGCTTTCTACCAAAATTGATTGCCTTAAGCACTCAGTTATGACCAGTTTTCATAGAATTTTATAGAAGGCCACCTTGCAAAGAAGTCTTAGACAAACTAATCTTTGATTCTCAGTTTAAACCTTCTCTGTGATCACAAAAGGGGACTTCATAGATCAGAAAGATCTATAGACATCAGACGTATAGATCAGATTAGAATACACTAACATGTCAGCAACTTGTAGTTGCAATGCTAGTCACAAATATGATTATGATAAACTCTGGAGGATGGATAACAGAATACATAGGAGAAGAAACATTTCAAAAAATACACTTGAAGCTCTCCTCTATGTCAGACTGTGGGAGCTCTGACCTGACTAGAGAAAAGGTCCCAACGTTCTTACTTGGGTGCCTTATACAAACATCCTTCCTGTTACTCTATTTGGGACAATGATTCTCCCACTTTTCCACTTGTTGATAGCCTCTATAAAACATAATGCTGGTAAGGATGTAACACTTCTTCATTGGCCAATATTGAAAAGCCATTCCATTGTATAAAACTACCCTTGCAAAAGAATCTTAGCTAGCCCACGGTGACTCCAAGTCCCAGACTATCTAAATGGCCATTTGACTTAGCTTGATGTAAAAAAAATCTATATTATAGTCAGATTAATCACCCCTACATGGGGATAAAATATAACTGAGGTTGTGGATTATTTTGACTTTCACTATCAGTGCCCTTTCCTTCAGTAAGATAACTTGTCTGAACCACAGGGGCCAGAAAACAAGCCCTGGAAAACTCGCAGTGGCCAGATAATCAATTTAAGGCAGCATATTAGAGTCTCCTTTGGCAGACAGGGGAGCATCATGTATCTACATAGAAAGAACCACATGGAAGGGGCACATTGTCCCATCCAGAGAGTGCCATTTATAGTCCTAGGGTCCAGTCACTGGCTGCTCTCATAGATGTTACATTTTAGTGGGTAAGACAGACAATAAAGCAAAGAACCATTTCAAAGAGCTGTGAGTGCTATGAAGAAAAAAACGGGTTATGGGTAGAGAGCAACTGAAGAGGGTATGTGGGAGATATTAATAGGGTTGCCAAGACAGGTCCCTCTAAAGGAATGATATTTGAGCTCAGAGCTAGTCATACAAAATCTTGGAGAAAATATTCCAGATGGCAAGCAAGCAAGTTCACAGTCAGGAAGAAGTTTGGTATGTCCCTGAAACAGGAAGCTACTATGACTTGAAAGTAAGTGGGAGAGTGTGTGAAAGAGTTCCAAGGGCAAAGGGCCATGTAGAGCCTCGAATGTTTGGGTAAAATTTTTAATTTTAATTTTGCGTATGAGCTGAAACCACTGGGAAATTTTTAGCAGAAAAGGAATAGGATCTCATTCAAGTTTTTAAAAAGATGTCTTTCTGTCTTGGTTGATAATTGATTCCAGAGCATGAAGCAAAAAAGTCCAGGCTGAGGTGGGCAGATCACAAGGTCAGGAGATAGAGACCATCCTGGCTAACACAGTGAAACCCCGTCTCTACTAAAAATAAAAAAAATATTAGCTGGGCGTGGCAGCGGGCACCTGTAATCCCAGCTACTGGGGAGGCTGAGGCAGGAGAATGGCGTGAACCCGGGAGGTGGAGCTTGCAGTGAGCCGAGATTGCACCACTGCACTCCAGCCTGGGCAACAGAGCAAGACTCCGTCTCAAAAAAAAAAAAGTCCAATGAGTAGACCATTGTGGTAGTTCAAACCAGAGACGATGGTGGCTTGGAATAAATAAGAACAGTGGCATGACAATCTGTAGACTGGGTTCCCAAATATTTTGGGGGAAAAACTTTAATAACCTGCTGATAGACTGGAAATGAGGAGAGAGAGAAAGCGAAAAATCGAAAAATGATTCTCAAAGATTTACTTTGAGAAGGAGGGAGCTGGTAGTAGAGAAGGTGAAATAAAGCTTACTGTTTTTCATCTATGCAATACTGAGATGCTATTAGTCATCTAAATGAAGATGTCAAGATGAGGGGTCAGTTGAGGTGAGAAACCGAATAAAAATTCAGGGCTTGTGATAAAAATTAGAGACTTACCAGTGTATCAGTGGTGTGTAAAATTGTAGAAGTAGATGAGATTAATAAAGAAAAAAATTCGTTACAAGAATCATTGGATAGATTTAGGGATCATGGCAGATGGGAGGCAGGACTAGATTGCTCCAGACACAGCAGTATGCGGAGGCTCGCATTGTGAATTTTAGCTTCAGATCGACTGCAAGAAAAAACCAGAAATCCCAAGAGGACCCACAGACCCTCTGAAGGAAGCGGACTACTCCTGCAGGACCCAGGAGACACCCTAAATACTGTGAGTGCCCCAACTGCAGAAGTGGGAAAGGGAGAGCCTCCTCTCCCAAACACACACCCCCACTGGAGAAGCTGAAGGTCTGTTTGCGGGAGAAGTTTCCGACTTTACTTGGAGCTGAGTCAGGTTAGAGAGCCAAGCTGAACAAAATACAGGGGTAGAGGAAGCAGCAGAAAAGCTCTGGGAGCTTGCTGGGTCCCCACGCAGCCTATTGCTGCCTGGCACCATAGGGATCCATCAGGAGGGTGGCCAGAGAAGCCGAGGGTAAAACTCCACAGGCAGAAGGAATTCTCTAGCTGACCTTTGTAACAATTTGAACAGAGTGAGAAGCCTCCTGGCCAGAACTTGGGAGAGGGTGTGAATCCGGCTTACAGACTTCACAGGTGGAGGAAGAACTAAAGCCCTTTTCTTTCACAACTGGGAGGTGGAAAGCCTCAGGCAAGTTTTCAAGCCTGTCTCACCCTCCACCTGGAAACAGACTTGGGGCTGTTGCAGGGGGCATGGTGGGAGTGAGACAAGCCCCTCGATTTGCATGGGAGCTGGGTGAGGCCTGTGACTGCCAGCTTTCCCCCACTTCCCTGACAACCTGCATGACTCAGCAGAGGCATCCATAATCTTACTAGGTACACAAGTCCAATGACCTGGGAATCTCATCCCCAGCAGCCAAAGCAAGACCCGCGCAAGAAGAGTCTGAGCTCAGAAACACCTAGCCCCATCCCCACCTGATGGTCCTCCCCTCCCCACCCTGGTAGCAGAAGACAAAGGGCATATAATCTTGGGAGTTCTAGGGCCCTGCCCACCACTGGTCCTTCCCCACACTACTACAGCTGATGCTTTCTGGAAAGCACCACCTCCTGGCAGGAGGCCAAGCAGCACAAATATAGAGCATTATACCACCAAAGCTAAGGACCCTCATGAAGTCCATTGCACCCTACACCATCTCCACTGGAATAGGTGCTGGTATTCACGGCTGAGAGACTCATAGACAGTTAACATCACAGGACTCTGCCTGGAGCCAGGTAGACTTGCTGGGTGGCGAGACCCAAAAGAGAGACAACAATCACTGCAGTTCGGCTCACAGGAAGCCACATCCATAGGAAAAGGGGGAGAGTACTGCATCAAGGGAACACCCCGTGAGACAAAAAATATCTGAACAACAGCCTTGAGCCTTAGAGTTTCCCTCTCACAGAACCTACCCAAATGAGAAGGAACTGGAAAACCAACCCTGGTAATATGATAAAACAAGGCTGGTCAACACCCCCCACCCCCAAAATCACACTAATTCACCAGCAATGGATCCAAATCAAGAAGAAATCCCTGATTTACCTGAAAAAGAATTCAGGAGGTTAGTTATTAAGCAATCAGGGAGGGACCAGAGAAAGGCAAAGCCCGAAGCAAGGAAACCCAAAAAATGATACAAGAAGTGAAGAGAGAAATATTCAAGGAAACAGATAGCTTAAAGAAAAAAACAATAAAAAAATTCAGGAAACTTTGGACACACTTTTAGAAATGTGAAATGCTCTGGTAAGTCTCAGCAATATAATTGAACAAGTAGAAGAAAGAAATTCAGAGCTCGAAGACAAGGTCTTTGAATTAACCCAACCCAACAAAGACAAAGAGAAAAGAATAAGAAAATATGAACAAAGCCTCCAAGAAGTCTGTGATTATGTTAAATGACTAAACCTGAAAATAATCGTTGTCCCTGAGAAAGAAGACAATTCTAAAACCTTGGAAAACATATTTGGGGGAATAATCAACAAAAACTTCCCCAGTCTTGCTAGAGAACTAGACATGCAAATATGAGAAGCACAAAGAACACCTGGGAAATTCATCACAAAAAGATCTTCACCTAGGTATATTGTCATCAGGTTATCTAAAGTTAAGACAAAGGAAAGAATCTTAAGAGCTGTGAGACAGAAGCACCAGGTAACCTATAAAGGAAAACCTATCAGATTAACACAGATTTCTCAGCAGAAACTCTACAAGCTAGAAAGGATTGGGGCCTTATCTTCAACCTTCTCAAACAAAACAATTTACAGCCAAGAATTTTGTATCCAGTGAAACTAAGCATCATATATGAAGGAAAGATAGTCATTTTAAGACAAACAAATGCTGAGAGAATTTGCCACTGCCAAGCCACCACTACAAGAACTTTAAAAGGAACTCTAAATCTTGAAACAAATCCTGGAAACACATCAAATCAGAACCTCTTTAAAGCATAAATCACACAGGACCTATAAAGCCAAAATACAAGTTAAAAAGCAAAACCAAAACCAAAAAAAAAATTAAAAAAAAAGTACACAGGCAACAAAGAGCATGATGAATGCAATGGTACCTCACATTTCAATACTATCATTGAATGTAAATGGCCTAAATGATCCACTTGAAAGATTCAGAACCGCATAATGGATAAGAACTCACCAACCAACTATCTGGTACCTTCAGGAGACTCACCTAACACATAAGGACTCACATAAACTTCAAGTAAAGGGGTGGGAAAAAGGCATTTCATGCAAATGGACACCAAAAGTGACTGGGGTGGCTATTCTTGTATCAGACAAAACAAACTTTAAAGCAAAAAATCCCAGCACTTTGGGAGGCCGAGGCGGGTGGACCATGAGGTCAGGAGATTGAGACCATCCTGGCTAACACGGTGAAACCCCGTCTCTACTAAAAATACAAAAAAAAAAAAAATTAGCCGGGCATGGTGACGGGAGCCTGTAGTCCCAGCTGCTCAGGAGGCTGAGGCAGGAGAATGGCGTGAACCCGGGAGGCGGAGCTTGCAGTGAGCCGAGATCACGCCACTGCACTCCAGCCTGGGCAACAGAGAGAGACTCCGTCAAAAAAAAAAAAAAGCAACAGCAGTTAAAAGTGACAAAGGAGGACATTATATAATGCTAAAAGTCCTTATCCAACAGGAAAATATCACAATCCTAAGCATATATGGACCTAACACTGGAGTTCCCAAATTTGTAAAACAGTTACTAATAGACCTAAGAAATGAGATAGACAGCAACACAATAATTGTGGGGGACTTCGGTATTCCACTGAGAGCACTAGACAGGTCATCAAGACAGAAAGTCAACAAAGAAACAATGGATTTAAATTATACCTTGAAACAAATGGGCTTAACAAATATATACAGAACATTTCATCCAACAACCGCAGAATACACATTCTGTTCAACAGCACATGGAACTTTCTCCAAGATAGACCATATGATAAGCCATAAAACAAGCCTCAATATATTTAAGAAAATTGAAATTATATCAAGCACTCTCTCAGACCACAGTTGAACAAAACTGGAAATCAACTCCAAAAGGAACCTTCACAACCATGTAAATACATGGAAATTAAATAACCTGCTCTTGAATGAGTATTGGGCCAAAAACAAAATCAACATGGAAATTAAAAATTATTTGAACTGAATGACAATAATGACACAACCTATGAAAACCTCTGGGATACAGCTAAGGTGGTGCTAAGAGGAAAATTCATAGCGCTAAATGCCTATATCCAGAAGTCTGAAAGAATACAAACAAACAGACAACCTAAGGCCACACCTCAAATAACTCGAGAAACAAGAACAAAACAAACTCAAACCCAGCAGAAAAAAGGAAATAACCAAGATCAGAGCAGAGCTAAATGAAATTAAAATAAAAAAATACAAAAGATAAATGGAAAAAAAGCTGGTTATTTGAAAAGATAAATAAAATTGATAGACCATTAGCAAGATTAACCAAGAAAAGAAGAAAGAAAATCCAAATAACCGCACTAAGAAACAAAACAGAAGACATTACATCTGACACCACTGAAATACAAAAGATCATTCAAGGCTACTATGAACACCTTTAGGCCCATAAACTAGAAAGTCTAAAAGAGATGGATAAATTCCTGGAAAAATACAATGCTCCTTGCTTAAATCAGGAAGAATTAGATACCCTGAACAGACCAACAAAAAGCAGTGAGATTGAAATTGTAATTTAAAAATTACCAACAAAAAAAAGTCCAGGACCAGATGGATTCACAGCAGAATTCTACCAGACATTCAAAGAAGAATTGGTACCAATCGTTTTGACACTATGCCACAAGAGAGAGAAAGAAGGAACCCTCCCTAATTCATTCTATGAAGCCAGCATCACCCTAATACTAAAACCAGGAAAGGACACAATCAAAAAAGAAAACTACAGACAGATATCGTTGATGAACATAGATGCTAAAATCCTTAACAAAATACTAGCCAACCAAATCCAACAACATATCAAGAAGATAATTCACCATGATCAAGTGGGTTTCATACAAGGGGTGCAGAGATGGTTTAACATACACAAGTCAATACATGTGATACACCACATAAACATAATTTTTAAAAAAAATCACATGATCATCTCAATAGATGCAGAAAAAACATTCAACAAAATCCAGCATCCTTTATGATTAAAACCCTCAGCAAAATCGACATACAAGGGACATACCTTAATGTAATAAAGGCCATCTATTACAAATCCACAGCCAACATAATACTGAATGGGGGAAACCTGAAAGCATTCCCTCTAAGAATGGGAACAAGACAAGGATGCTCACTCTCACCACTCCTCTTCAAAATAGTACTGGAAGTCCTAGCCAGAGCAATTACACAAGAGAAAGAAATAAAGGACATCCAAATCGGTAAAGAGGAAGTCAAACTGTCACTATTGGTGACGATATGATCGTTTACCTTGAAAACCCTAAGAACTCCTCCAAAAAGCTCCTAGAACTGATAAAAGAATTCAGCAATGTTTCTGGATATAAGATTAATGTACACAAATCAGTAGCTCTTCTATACCCCAACAGTGACCAAGCATAGAATAAAATCAAGAACTCAACTCCTTTTACAATAGCTGCAAAAACAAACAAACAAACAAACAAACAAAAAAAACTTAAGAATATACCAAACAAAGGAGTTGAAAGACTGCTGCAAGGGAAACTACAAAACACTGCTGAAAGAAATCATAGATGACACAAACAAATGGAAACGCATGCCATGCCCATGAATGGGTAGAATCAATATTGTGAAAATGACCATACTGCCAAAAGCAATCTACAAATTCAATGCAATCCCCATCAAGATACCACCATCATTCTTCACAGAGTTAGAAAAATCAATTCAAAAATTCATATGGAACCAAAAAAAAAAAAAGAGCCTGCATAGCCAAAGCAAGACTAAGCAAAAAGAACAAATCTAGAGGCATCACACTGCCTGATTTCAAACTATACTATAAAGCCATAGTCACCAAAACAGTGTGGTACTGATATAAAAATGGGCACATAGACCAATGTAACAGAATAGAGAACCCAGAAATAAACCCAAATACTTAGAGCCAACTGATCTTCAACAAAGCAAACAAAAAATAAAGTGGGGAAAGGACATCCTTTTCAATAAATGGTGCTGGGATAGTTGGCTAGCCGCGTGTGGGAGAACGAAACTGGATCCTCATCTCTCACCTTATACAAATATCAACTCAAGATGGATTGAAGACTTAAACCTAAGACCTGAAACTATAAAAATTCTAGAAGATAACATTAGAAAAACCCTTCTAGACATTGTTTTAGGCAAGGATTTCGTGCCCAAGAACCCAAAAGCAAATGCAATAAAAACAAAGATAAATAGCTGGGACAAAACTAAAAGAGTTTTTGCATGGCAAAAAGGAACAGTCAGCAGAGTAAACAGACAACCCACAAAGTGGGAGAAAATCTTCACAATCTATACATCTGACAAAGGACTAATATCCAGAATCTACAACAAACTCAAAAAACAAACAATCCCATCAAAAAGTGGGCTAAGAACATGAATAGAAAATTCTCAAAAAAAGACATGCAAATGGCCAACAAACATATGAAAAAATGCTCAACATCACTAATGATCAGGGAAATGCAAATCAAAACCACAGTGTGATACCACCTTACTCCTGCAAGAATGGCCATAATCAAAAAATCAAAAAACAGTATATGTTGGTGTGGATGAGGTGATCAGGGAACACTTCTACACTGCTGGTGGGAATGCAAACTAGAACAGCCACTATGGAAAACAGTGTGGAGATTCCTTAAAGAACTAAAAGTAGAACTACCATTTGATCCAGCAATTCCACTACTGCATATCTACCCAGAGGAAAAGAAGTCATTATTTGAAAAAGATACTTGCACATGCATGTTTATAGCAGCACAATTTATAATTGCAAAATTGTAGAACCAACCCAAATGCCCATGAATCAATGAATGGATGATGAAACTGTGGTATATATATACATGATGGAATACTACTCAGCTATAAAAAGGAATGAATTAACAGCATTTACAGTGACCTGGATGAGACAGGAGACTATTATTTTAAGTGAAGTAACTCAGGAATGGAAAACCAAACATTGTATATTCTCACTGATATGTGGAAGATAAGCTATGAGGAAGCAAAGGCATAAGAATGATATAATGGACTTTGGGGACTTGGGGGGAAGAGTGGGAGGGGGGAAAGTGATAAAAGACAACAAATATGGTGCAGTGTATACAGCTCAGGTGATGGATGCATCAAAATCTCACAAAGCACCACTAAAGAATTTACTCATGTAACCAAATACCACCTGTACCCCAATAAATTATGGAAAAATAAAACAATAAAAATTTCTAAAAAATTAAAGATAAAAAAATGAGATGATTTCTTTTTTTAAAGAATCCTTGGACATTTCAGTTAAGGTAAAACAATTCCTGGGGTTTTCACATCTGAGTCATTGAGTCGTCAAAGCAAAAAGAGGCCTCCTCAGTAAACAATGTATTAATATTTAGGTAACTCTGTCTTTGAGAACCTAAAGTTTCCAAACTCTTCATTTATGTAAACTTACTGAGTGACACCAAGTCAGTGTAGTTTCCTTTATGTAGGTGACTAGTATTTTCTTTAATATTGTAATTATCAGAAGAGACAAAAGGAATTGCTCTGTTAAATCTGTATCTAAAGATGGTGGTATGGAGGCATGGCTTTTTAACATAATGGCTTAGTCTTGTTGATTCATTTTAGAAAAGAGATTACCATAAAATATGTGGTAAATTGGAGATTCTCAATAACGACTACTTTAAATATTTTCTAAATAAGTATTCACACGACTCTTTTCCATTGAAGCTGTTAGTACCTGTTCATTAGTACCTGTATAAATGTTCTAACACAAGCAGCTGTACAACCAATGCTAAATGAAATAAAAACTGACACATTTCAGAGAAGTCTTGTGTTCTTCTCACCTACTTTTGAAGATTGAAGATTATTCTGTTTTCTTCTTATTATATCAAAAGAGGTATATTTCCTTTCTTTTTTCTTTCTTTCCTTTTTTTTTTTTTTTTTTTTTTGCAGAGAAAACTCCAAGTATTTTTTGCAAGGAAAAGTTGATGATACTGATGATGATGGTGATGGTGATGGTGGTACTGATTAGAGTGCTGATGGTAGTAGTCCTGGTGAGTGTTGGTGATCATAGCTAATCATCACTGAGATACTACTGTATTTCAAGTGCTGAGATAGGAGCTTAAACTGTGTTCTCACAACACAACAAAATGCAAATTATTTACTTTTTTTGCAGATTAACAAAATGAAGATGAAACACAGTAAATTACTTTTTCAAATTACTTGACTGGTAAGGCTAGGATCCACATCTTGGTCTATTTAACGCCAAAGCATTTATTCCCTTACACTTTTTCATCCTGTGCATCAATCTATTAGAGTTCTTGTCTTTATGTTAGTCATACTCTTATGTTTAAAAGCAAATGAAGATAATTTCTAAGTCAAATGTGTGTGTACGTGTGTTTACATTTCTAAGGATACTGAGACAATTGCTATACAAAATCCAAAGGAAATATGGCTTCACAAATTGTAGTAGATGTCCCAACTGTATTCCCTGAGATCTCACCATTGTAAGGAACTACTGGGCTTCCAACTGCCTGAAGGTACCACAACATCAGATCAGAAAGTGTTAAAATATATTCTACCCCCCACCCCATGCCCAGTATCTCTCAACCAATGTTAGATTTAGTATGCAAATCCTTAGCTCCTTTGCCCCTGGTCTGAGCTAACTCTTAGGCACTTGTCATATATGACCCCAGAGTTCCCACTTGAAATTGCCATTTACCTTGCCGTACTGGTAACTGGCTTGAAAATATACTCTTTATTTTGTGCCTTTTCTTTTCTGCCTCAGTTCTCCACTCTCCTAACAATGCTTCCTGGGATCTCCGGCCAAGTAAACCAGTACTTTTCAAACCCTAGCCTCAGGGTCTACTTCTAAAAGAACTCAAATTAATCTTTCTCATGTATGTCCATGTTTTTATTCTGGCTTGAAAATTTTGGGTTACCTATTGAGATTGTACAGCAAAGAAAATATTTGAGCAGATTGCAGGCAGTATTATATCCACCATGGTACTCTCCCTTCATTTTTAATGAAATAGAGTTTCAACTATGTTCACTGCATTCTCAATCCCTAGTTACTAGAGCTGAGACAGCTTTGCCTTTAAACTAAAGGTTATTTGGATTTTTGGGCCACGAACAGTGCAATGCTTGGAACTTCCTATATTTATCTGGTGCAAAGTCCTTTATGTGTGGTAAACAAGAGTCTAGGGCTCTATGGACTCTCACTTTTCATCATAGTTGTTATAGCACTCCTGACCTCAGCCTAGAATTGTGAGAATACAGGGCTGCTCCCAAACAAGTGAGGCTGAGTTATTTTGTTTACTTGACACTTTTGATAGAAGAGAGAGGTTTCATTCTAAAGGACTCATTCCTGTAGAAATTTGATTTACAGACATACCCCAGATATATTGTAAGTTCAGGTCCAGACCACCACAATAAAGTGAATATCACAATAAAGTGACTGACACAAAATTTTTGGTTTCCCAATGCATATAAAAGTTATTTTTACACCACGCTGTAGTCTACTAGGTATACAATGACATTACATATAAAAAATACATATCTTAATTTAAAAATCCTTTATTACTAAGAAATGCTAACAATCATCTGAGCCTTCAGCTAATTATAATCTTTTTGCTGGTGGAGGGTCTTTCTTCAATGTTGATGGCTCCTGGGTAATCTGGGTGATAGATACTCAAGGTTGGGTGGTTGTGGCAATTTCTGAAAATAAGGCAACAGTGAAGCTTGTCACATTAATTGACCCTTCCTTTCATGAAGATTCTCTGTGCATGTGATACTGTTCAATAGCATTTTATCAGCACTAAAACTTCTTTCAAAATTGGAGGCAATTTTCTCAAAACCTGCCACTGCTTTACCAACTGAGTTTATGTAATAGTCTAAATTCTTTGTTGTCACTTCAACAACATACACAGCATTTTCACCAGGAGCAGATTCCATCTCAAGAAACACTTTCATTGCTCATCCATAAGAAGCAACTTGTCATCCAGTCAAGTTTTATCATGAGATTGCAGCAATTCAGTCATTTCTTCCAGCTCCACTTCTAATTCTAGTTCTCTTGCTGTTTCCACCACAACTACAGTGACGTCCTCCACTAAGTCATTCATAGAGATTGAAATTAACTTCTTCCAAATTCTGGTTAATGTTGATATTTTGACCTCTGCCCATGAGTCTTAAATGTTCTTAATGGCATCAAGAATCATAAATTTTTTTCCAGAATATTTTCAATTGGCTTTGCCCAGGTACATTAGAGGAATCACTAACTATGACAGCTGTACCATTGCAAAGTGTATTTCTTAAAGAATAAGACTTGAAATTCAAAATTACTCCTTGATCCATGGGCTACAGAATACATGTTGTGTCAGCAAGCATGAAAACAACATTCATTTTATTGTACATCTCCATCAGAGCTTGTGGATGATGAGGTGCCTTACCTTTAAGAAATAATATTTTTAAAGGAATTCTTTTTTCTGAGTAGTAGGTCTCAACAGTGGGCTTAAAATATTCAGTAAACCATCATGTAAACAGATCCAGGCTTTGCTGTTCCATCTATAGAGCACAGGAAGGTAGATTTGGCATAATAATAAGGACCCTAATATTTTTGGGATGGTAAATAAGCATTGGCTTCAACTTTAAGTCACCAGCTGCATTAGCTCCTAACAAGAGAATCAGCCTGTCCTTTGAAGGATTTGAAACCAGGCATTGACTCCTCTCTAACAATGAAAGTGCCAGATGGCATCATCTTCCAATAGAAGGCTACTTCGTCTATATTGAAAATCAGTTGTTTAGTGTAGCCACCTCCATCAATATCTCAGCTAGATCTTCTGGATAACTTGCAGCTTCTATAATCTGCACTTGCAGCTTTACCTTGTATTTTTAAGTAATGAAGATGACTTTTTTTTCCTGAAAACTCATCAACCAACCTCTGCTTGTTTCAAACTTTTTCTTCTATAGCTTCCTCACTTCTCTCAGCCTTCATTGAAGATTAAAGGCTTTCTCTAATCATCAACCAACCTCTGCTTGTTTCAAACTTTTTCTTCTATAGCTTCCTCACTTCTATCAGCCTTCATTGAAGATTAAAGGCTTTCTCTAAATTAGACTTTGGCTTGAGGAAATGTTATGGATGGTTTGATCTTTCTAGACCACTAAAGCTTTTTTCCATATCGGCAGTAAGGTTATTTTCTTACAATTTGTGAATACCCTGGAGTAGCACTTTTAATTTTCTTTTCCTCTGCATTCATAACTGGGCTAACAGTTTGGCTCAAGAGGCCTATCTTTCAGCCTTTCTGGGCTTTTGACATACCTCTCTCACTAAGCTTAATCATTTATATCTTTTGATTAAAAGTGAAAGACGTGTAACTACTCCTTTCATTTGAACACTTAGAGACCATTGTACGGTTATTAATTGTCCTAATTTCAATATTGTTGCACCTCAGGAAATAAGGAAGCCTAAGAAGGAGAAGAGAGATAGGGAAACAGCCAGTGGGTGGAGCTGTCAGAACACATACAACATTTATCATTTTAGTTCACTGTCTTATGTGAGCATGGTTTGTGGCACCCCAAAACAATCACAATAGGAACATCAAAAATCAGTGAAAACAGATTACCATAATGGATATAATAATAATGAAAAAGTGAAATATTGTGAGAGTTACCAAAATGTGACAAAGGGGCAGGAAGTAAGCACTTGCTTTTGGCAAAGTGATACTGATAGACTTGCTGGATACAGTTTCTGCACACCTTCAATTTGCAAAAATTGCAGTATCTATGAAGTGTAATAAAGTGAAGTGCAATAAGGTGAGGTATGCCTGTACACAGTGTAGCACTTAGATGTAATTCTGAATGATTCTGGCTTACCTTCACTCACATTTCTTTATTCCATAAAATTTTTAACTCATTTTATCATTTGTTTTATAAGATAGCTAATAGGATATTCATTAACTTATTTACAGTAGTGGACAATGGTTTGTTTATAGTAAGCTCATTTTTTGCTGCTGTATAATTAAACATTTTTTTTCTGAATTTAACTTACCCTGAAGGCATTATTGGAGAAAATGCATCTACAGTATTTACATTTGTAACTCCTTTTTAAATTTACTAGCACAGGGAAATTTTATTCTTTTTAACACATCTTGGGTTTGGTTCTTTGTCTCTGGATCAAATAGAGATCACAATTACTAGACTATTTAATGTCCCATATGAATTTCTCAGGCTCCTTACTCTCTGAGAATTCATCTGCACAATTTAACCACAGGAAGAAATAAACATTTCTTTGGATTTATGAGAAGTAAAATATTCAAACCTCAACTGAAGAAACATTCATATCATCTGGGTATGTTCAAGAAAAAAAAATGTAAGCCAGACCATCCAACAACACATTAAAAGAGATAGTCATTTCTCTCATCTTGGGGCTGGAAATTTCTTTTCCAACTGACGTTTCCAACATGTGAAATATAGCTGCCATCACATTAACCAGATATACAGCACTCTGAGCTGAAAGCATAAATTGTACACATCTTGCTCCCAGTAGCTGTGAAAAGGAAACGTAGGTGCAAGGTCAACAAGAACCCCTCCTATAGAAGAAGTCTGCAAATTGAGAGGGGAATGGGAGATCCTGCTATTGCTGGGATGGTCCTGTTTTTTGTCAAGCTATGTCATGGGACCAAGAGGCTCAGGAAATGAGCAGGAAGATTTTGTTCTGGATGAAAAGGACTACTTCATGTAGTCTTTGACATACTTTGAAAGGGAGGATGGAATAAGGGAGAAACAGCATCACATTTAATGCCTGGCTTTACCATTTACCAGCTGTGCAACCATTTAAACACTTGAGCAACAATTTAAACACTTGACCCTTGGTTTTCTCAACTGTGCTGTAGAGGATAATCATTACTTCTTTAACCTACCCCTACAGAGATTTTGTAGGGAATAGATGGCATGATGTATGGGAAAGCACATTGTGTATTGTAAAACTGTAAGCATGCAGTAATTATAACGATTTACTTTTATTGACCCTGTAGTGCATGCTAGATATTCTTCTCAGGGTTTCATATAGTACCTCATTAAATCCTCATGGCGAACTTTGAAAAAGGTACTATTATTATTTTCATTGTACATTTCAGTAACTTGAACAAGGTTACAGGACAAGTAGAATATGGCAGAGATGGAATTTGAACTCAAGCAATCAAATTCAAAAGACTATACTCTAAAGCAATGGCACTCAGGGAGTGATCCATCAGTGCCTGTGCACAACAAGGTAAGTGCAGAAATTGAGCACAAGTGTTTGAAAACTTATGTAGCTTTTTGATATTGTCTCAATGT
This sequence comes from Homo sapiens, assembly GCF_000001405.40. Classification (NCBI taxonomy): domain Eukaryota; kingdom Metazoa; phylum Chordata; class Mammalia; order Primates; family Hominidae; genus Homo; species Homo sapiens. Next base: position 76,776,309 of record NC_000007.14, read on the forward strand.
CAATATGTGATCATTTTTATAGTAATCTGTGTTAATTGTCATTTATGAAATATTGGTCCACAATGGATTGAAAAGAATAAGAACTCATATTTCATCACAGATGGTTCTAAAAGCATTGTTCTGAAACACTACACTATAAGGTTGTAATTGATTTTGTTATTGGAATATCATGGGCAACTTGTAAGACAGACTTGCTAAGAGAATTAGAAGCTTTATAAATAACTATATCTAATTGAATATTCTTATGAATATTATAAAGATAAACAATAATTTATTAAACTAAAATCAGGTTTTTGAGATCAGTACTCCGGGTCTGGCCAAATTTCTCCACTTTCTTTCCCTCTTTTTCCTGCTCTGTACTTTAGACACAGTACTACCAGAATAGTAGTTTTTTTACAAAACAAATATTCTATAATATATAAATAGTATTGGGGGAGCACAGGGGAGTTTGATCTCTAGGAGAAAGAGACTTGCACTGGCCACAATCGCAAATATCCCCCAAATAAAAAAGGGGGGAAATGAACAACTGTTATTAGAAAGTTTGTATCTAATCAATCATGGAATAAATGAAAAACATCTTTATTACACCTGAGATTTTATAGCAATGCTTAGAAATATATTGAAATTCCATTTTTCTCCATGAGACAGTTTCTAGGTCTGACTTGTTTAGAATAAATGTTTGATTCTTTTACTTTCACTGAAATCTTCTTATATATCAAACTTATTTCATTTGCTCAAAGAATTGCCATTTTCTCTTCTGCATTTTTTTTCATTCAAATCCCACCTCAAAGGAAGAAATTCTGATAAAATAAGAAATTCCTAGAGATTATTTTAATATCTATTCTGGGTTACATATGAAACCCATTGTTCAAGGCTTGTGGAGCACTTACATAAAAACCAGTTTCAGTCAGAAATTGATCATAAGCATCGTTGTGCAAAGAATATAATATCCAATTTGGTGAGAAGAACAAATGAACATATAAGCTTGAATTAAAAATAAATATAAAATTTAAAACGTAAGTTACATTTGGAAATTTTGGTCCAAGAATAAATGTCTCCATGAAAGATATAGAAAGGAGGTTGATTTTTTTTTTTGAAACATTGGGATTTATTTATCTTTCTCTTCTAAAGATATATAGTTTCTTTTTAGCACAACAGTCAAGACAGCACCTTGGGCTCTCAGAGATGGTAAATTCTACTCTCAGTTGCTCCATTAACTCAATATATGACCTTGGAAGTTTCTCTAAGTCCCTTGGTGCCTCAGTTTCCTTTTCTATCAAATACATATGTCTGAAATAACTAAATCACTTCACACTGCCTTTAAGGAAAAAATAAAACAGGAAAAGAGAAGAGAATAAAATATCTGAGATCAAAGAAAGTTGGCATCTAAATGCCACATATCAATTGAATTGTAACATGTATGAAACTTAAATGGGAGTAAATAACAGTAACAAAAATGAGTTGAATTTTAATATGTATTAAACTTCAATGGGAGTAAATAACAGTAACTTAAATGGGAGTAAGTAATGGTAACTATTATAGATTATTGTAAAGTACTTAACAGGGGGCTCTGGCACATAGTAAGCCTCAGTAAACTTTAGATTTTACTCTTGTTTTCATTATCATTCCTATTATGATAAAAATCAAGAGTCAGGGTAGCAGAGTGTGAGTGTAGTGGGGAAGAGGATTTACTCTAGGAAGTAGACCTCGTAGAACTGAAGGAGGAGCTAGAGGAGTTCAAGTTTGGAAAGGGAATTGGAGGATTGGAGAAAGGGTTGTCAATCAGTCAATCTATGAACCAAGGCCATCAATTCATCAAAACTAATATTGCCAGACCCAACAAATTAAAAAGTACAGGATGCTCAGTTCAATTAGAATTTTAAATAAATTCTTTTTTTTTTTTTTTGGATGACTATGTCCCTGCAGTGGAGGACTATGTCTTTGAAGATAAAATGCCACGATTAATTCTCTAACACATTCAGGATTGTCTTTACTAGGAGATAATAGATTATTACCAATATTTCACTGCTATAATTAACTCTTGCATTATTTGGGACATACTTATACAAAAATATTTATTGTTTATCTGAAATTACAATTTAAATAAATGTTTTATATTTTACCTGTTAACCTTAGACTATGAAAGGAAAGTTCTTAGGGAGACTCATGGGAAGTTTATCTTCTCTGTCCTTGTCTCACCACTGTAGGTCCACAACCTGGCATTTAGTGGTAGGCCTGGAGCTGCTCTTGGTCAACAGTGTCAGAAGTTGGGAAGAAGAGCTGCATATCAAGCAGAAGAGAATGAGAAGAAACAGGAACCCACTTCTGCATCTGTCTATAGCAACATCTGACTATAACGACCTTCAAAAGATAATGGCTGTTGCTTCATTTCCAACCCTCCAAATCTCAAGCAAGTATATCTTTGGGCCAACTGTAACCTATAACTCTATAGGGAAGAGGTTTCTGAGAACTCTGTGTCACAGCTTAACCATACGAAGACAATACAAACCATCCCGATGATGATGATGGTTGGTAATAATGAAGAAAATAATATGAGTGTTTTCTCAAGGAAGGCTACTTCTTGATGGCAGTTCTGGGAGACATAAGAGAAGTTTTATTTTTACCCAAATGGTTGGTAAATAAATTACTGTGTGACATGACAGAGTTCAAGTTATATGATATAGTAGATTCACATTATGCCAAAAACTATAAGCCTCCCAGACACAGCCCAGGAATTCATTTTGAGAGCTATCATAGGCTTCTGAATGTGCTACCATCTATGCTCTTAATTTAAACCTTAATTTGCTGTGTGGACGACAGACTACTCTGAAAAAAACCCCAAATGCTTCAGTGCAGGACTATGTGTCGTGGATAAAGTAACAAAATTACATATTCAACCCATTATGGCCATCCTCTTGTATGGGAGATGCAGATTGTTACCAATATTTAACTCTTATAATTAACTTGAATAAATTTCCTTACAAAATAAATATGTACACTTGTAAATATTCCATTATAGTATCTTTCTTAGTGTAGATATCCTGGAGTAAAAGCAAAATATTTACAAAACAAGGTAACAATTTTTAAAGCAAAATATCTATTATCAAATTGTTCTCCAGATAGGTATTACCAATTACACACCCACCAGCCCAGCAGTGTGAAAATATCACATCTCCCACACCCCCATCCACACCCACGTGGAAAATTATTATTAAAAATTAATTTTTACCAACTTGAGAGGGAAATGGTCTTATTTTAATTTTTTCAGGGGTGGATTCATATGTTTACTAGATATGTATATGTATCCTTCTATGAGATACTTGTTAGGTTATTTCCCATTTCTCTGTTGTGGCATTAATTTCTTTTTCTTGTTAATAATGCTCCCGAAGTTTTATGTCAGTCTTTTCATTTGTTTATAGTATTTTATGGCAAAGGATTTTCTTAATTAAGTGGTTGTAGTCAAATCTGCTAGTTTTTATCTTTGTTTTCAGTTTGCAATGTCATGTATAGACATGGCTATCTACCACCAAAAGTATTTTAAAAAGCAATGTGTAGGTTTTCTACTTTTGAAGAATGTGCATTTTCTACTTTTGAAGTATGTGCATTTTCTACCAAAGTCTTTGGTTTGTTTGATATGTGCAATGAAGAAAAATATCTAACAATACCTTAAGTTTTCTCAAATAATATTCCAATTATCCTAATATCCTTTGTGACTTAAACTTCCTATTCTGACTTAAAAAGACTTTTATCATAAGTGCTCTACTTAATCATAGCCTTAGCACATAGTGTGAGTCCTAGAGTCAGACTACAAGGTAATTACTGTCACTTACAAGCTGTGTGACCTTAAGTGATTTAATTTAATCATCCTGTGACTAAGTTTTCTAATCTGTAAAATTGGAATAATGTGAGGATAAAATTATCATAAGGATTAGCAAGCTGAATTAACACGTGTAAAGCTCATAGACGACTGCCGGGCACATAGTGAATACTCAGGAAATATTACTGGTTGTTGTGTAGCAAGATGTACAATGAAACACTGGTACAATTTCAGATTTTGGGTTTTGAGGACCGGGCTTAGAGGGTCACCTTGGAGAGAATCTTGTAGAGTCCCACATCTACCCTCTGCCTCAATGAGATACGATCCTCCACTTTGATGAGATATTACCACTTAGAGAACTTGCTACATGTCAATCCCTGCTATGGAGAAAGTAGACTTTTAATCTAATGCAGTAGACTTGAAATCATTCGAATGTGAGAGAAGAGCTGGAGTCAGAAAGAGGTAAAAAGAGGGCCTGAGACTATGCCTTAAATTGTTAATATATTTAAGGGATAGAAGAAAGAACAGGAGAACTGTTAGAGAAGATAGAAAGAAATTGTTTCCTGGATCAAAAACAGTTCTAGACTGGACTGTGTCTCCCACCCCTTTAAATTCATGTGTTGAAGCTCTAGCCCTCAATGGGACTGTATTTGGAGATAAGACCTTTAAAGATGTAATTAAAGTTAAATGAGGTCATAAGAGTAGGGCCCTAATCCAATAAAGCCTGTGTTCTTATAAGAAGAGGAAGAGACTTCAAGGATGCCTGGAAAGGCCATGTGAGGACACAGCTGGGCAGGGGCCATCTGCAAGCCAAGAAGAGAGCCCTCAGGAGAAACCACACTTGCTGACACCTGGATCTTTGCTCTCCAACCTCCAGAATTGTAAGAAATAAATTTCTGTTGTTCTAGCCACCCAGTCTGTGGGATTTTGTTATGGCAGCCCTGGCAGACTAATATAGGATCCAAGAGAAGAGAGAGTTTGAAAAAGGAGGGAGTGATTGATTGTGAGAAGTGCTGCTGAAAACATAACAATAAAGTAAGCTGAGAACTTAAGTGTCTGTTGGATCAGGAAATAAGAAGTCATTGTTAATTTTGACAAGAACATTTTAATGGACTGATAGAGGCAGATTGCAGCGGATTGAAGACTAAAGAGCAGGATTCACATAGAAAATATGGCAATATTTCAAATCATCAAAATGACAATATGGCTGAGTAGGCGTTGTATAATGAATAAAGAACTTCATAATTAAATGCTTATTCGCAACTTTTAGTCTGAACATCTTTTGCTGTAGGAGATCTTGCCAAATTGATTCCCTTCGTACTTCCCAGTCCAAATCTAAATTAGTCACTGCTATTACATATATGTTACCTTATCATTTTTAAATTGTAGTCTGTATCATAGTTACTTATACTTCTGCAGTTACTTAATTTTCTCTCTCACGAGGCAGTAAGCAATGTGAGAACAAGGATCATATTTGGTTTATTCCATTATCTATGGTTAGAACATAGTGGACATTTAATATGCATTAAATAAAACTAAAATTCATTCAACAATATGTCATTAAAATCTTTACATGTCAAATATATCATTTTACTGACTGGATTTTATGTATACATGTAATTTACACCAGCCTTTCCTACTATAAATTATACTATCTGGAATTGTTTAGCCAGTTAAGGATTAAATTCTGCATAAAATTTAACTTTTTTCTTTTTTCTCCAGAAAAACTGTTTTGACCCTGGGCTTTTTTTGCAAGTAGTTTTCTAATTTTCTAAATAATTTTTTGGCCTGTCATGGTAGCTCATGCCTACAATCCCAGCACTTTGTAAGGCAGAGGTGAGAGGATGGCTTGAGGCCAGGAGTTTGAGACCAGCCTGGACAACATAGTGAGACCTAACTCTATATATTAAAAATACAAATAAAAACATTAGCAGGGCATGGTGGTGCACGTGAGCATGAGACGTCGAGGCTGCAGTGAGCAGTGATTGCGCCACTGCACTCCAGCCTGTGCAACAGAGTGAAACTCTGTCTCGAAAGAAAAAGAAAAAAAATTTTCATGGTAATTGCCTTATTCAAGTTTCCAGCTCTAGTTGTACATAGCATTCTCATTTTTAATCTGTGTTAAGTAATTATTTCATATTCTTAATTCTAACTTTGATGGCTTTTTTCCTTTAAAAAAACTTTATTGAAGTATAATTTACATATAATAAAATGCACCTATTAATTTGTACAGTTTGATGAGCTTTCACAAATGCCACCACCATAAACAAGATATAGAACACTTCCATCACTCAGAGAAGTACACTCATGCCCCTTTGCAGACAATCACTTCTACCTCTGCCCAAGGCAACCACTGATATACTTTGTCAATTTAGATGAAGATCTCATATAAATTGAATCATATGGCACATATTCAGCAGAACATGGTGTCACAGGAATTCATCCATGTAGTTGTATGTATCAGTAGTTGATGCCTTTTTATTGCTGCATAGTATCTTTCCAATAAAACATTTTATTCTTTTCAAAGAATAAAAAAATTCTTTACAAACAATTGCTTATCCATTCACAAGATGATAAATATTTAGGTTATCATCAGGTGCTTGAGTTTTCTATTGCTATTGTAACAAATAAACACAAACTTGATGGGATACAACGATACAAATTTATCATCTTATAGCTCTGGAGATAAAAAGTCCAAAATAAGTTTCATGGTACTAAAATCAAGATGTGGCAGGACTCCGTTTCTTCTGGATGTTTAGAGGCAGTGTTTTCTTTCTTTTTCCAGCTTCTAGAGGTTCCCACATTCCTTGGCTCCTAGGCTCCTTTCATCTTCAAAGCCAACACATCTTTCTCATAGCTTCTTATCTCTGACTTGACAATGTCTCTTTTTTGCTCATAGGTAGCCTTGTGATTACATTGGGCTTACCCAGATCCAGGTCATCTAGGATAATCTCTCTACCCAAGATCTTTAACGTAATCACACCTGCAAAGTCCCTTTTGCGAAGAAAGGTAATATATTCATAGTTTCTGGAGATTAGGCCTTTCCAGGCAAAGAGGTGGAAATCTTTGTGGGGCCATTTTTCTGCCTCCTACACAAGGTAAAGGATATTATGAGTGAAGCTATGGTGAACACGCATGAACAAGTCTCTTGTGAACATAGGTTTTTATTTCATTTAGTGGTGGAAGTGCTGAGCTGGATGGCAAATATATGTTTAGCTTTATGATAAACTGCCAAATAGTTTTCCAAAATGGTTGCTCCATGTTACATGCTCACTAACACTATTTGAGATTTCATTGACTCCTTATCTTTTTCAATACTCAATATTGTCAAACTTTCAAATTTTAGCCATTTAGTGGGTAAGGAGTAGTGTCTCAACTGTGGTTTTAATTTGTATTTTCTTGATGACTAATATGTTGAGCATCTTTTCCCATGATAACTGATTACACATATATATTTTTGTGTGAAGTATGTGTTCAACATTTATGCCCATTTTCATTGTTTTTTGTTGTCTTGTTAAATTGTAAGAAATGTGTGTGTGTGTGTGTGTGTGTGTAACAAGTGTTTTTTGAGATATATATATTTTGAATATTGCCTCAAAGTCTTGGGTTTCTCTTTTTCTTAACTAAATATCTTTCTATGAGCAAAACTTTAAACATTTGGTGTAATTTAATTTTTCATTTTTTTCTATTATTGTTAGTGAGTATATTGCGTAGGATACCATCATGATGATGATTTTTTCCTACCCTCCCACAATCTGTTTTGTATTTTAGCTTTTACATTTAGTCCTGTGATCCATTCTGAGTCAGTTTTTGTGTACGGCCTGAGGTAAGGGTGAAGGCCCATTTCTTTTCCATAGTAATACCCAGTTGTTTCAGCACTATTTATTGAAATTACTATATTTCTGTTATTGATATGCATTGGCAACTCTGTAGAAAATTAATTATAGTATTGTACTTAGCATTTTAATAATATTTTAAATCCTTTTGTTAAGTATGTATTGCTTATATTTTCTCTTTATATGTTTCTTTTGACTGTCTTTCTAATACATAACTATTTAATAAACATGTCAAAATCAGCTGGATTTTTCACTATTTTTAAATCTTGGATTTATAAGTCAATTCTATAATTTTTCTCTCTTGCAATTATGCAAGGGATTATGGGAATTGATTATAAACCTGTTATGAAAAATATTAGAATTTAATAAGAGAGAAATTGAAAGATAATATATAAAAGTCTGTAATTGCCTATGTTCAAATAATCACCATCAGAATACAGAATATTAAAAAATGTATGTTGTTTAAAAAACAACGGAAAGTGGTAAAATAGATATAAATTTTACAAGTATTGCATCAGACATAATTTAAAAAGCTATAAAGAAGTATAAATGAGGATTCAAATAACTGAAAATCTATCCTATGCCTTTGAATAGGAAGATATAATTGCATCATTATGTCACTGTTCACTAAACTCATATATATATTCAATGCAATCCTAATTAACAAACCAAGAGGATTTTGTTGTCATTTACATGCTTTTCACCTTGTAGTTTTTAGATTTATATTTGATTTTTGTACCTGTAGGAAACTAAACAATTTATATTAAATTCACCTTGAAAATAAATATGTAGAGGCTAGGACGTTTTCTAATAATGGAGAAAATTAGAAAAATCTAATAATGGGGGCAGACAGTCATAGAATTTAAAAATATATTATTAAATAAAATAATTTTTAAAACCTTAGCACTAGAAATGAATATATTTATAATGGCACCAGAAATGAGTTAGACCAAACAATAAAACAGAGTAAAGGATAAAGAAAGAGACACACACGATTGGCTTTAGTTTATGGTAATGATGGCACTGTAAATTAGTAGGGAAGATAGGGATAATTCTATAAATCATATTAAATAAATGTAAAGATAAGTCATCATTCTTTAAAACAAGATAAATTTTTGATGGAACAAAGATTTAAAGCAAGCATAAAATTTCTAGAAAGAAAGCACTGTGCATTGATTTATAATACTGAAATGAGAAAGATCTTTCTAAATTAGACATGAAAACTAAACACCTTTACAAAGATTTGATAACATTGACTACATTAAAACAAACGGACAAAAACTTACCATAAACAAAGTCAAAAGGCCCACAAGAAACTGGAAAAGAATTTTGCAATATATGCAACAGACACAAAACAAATTTTCAAAATTTTCAAAATGCATATATAAAATCTTGAAGAAAAATCTGCAAGAGCTATAAACAGGCAGTATAGAGAAAAATATAATGAAATGTGCAATAAATGTCTGATGAGATATGGAACCCCACTCACAATTATATAAAATAATTAACTCATTCAACAAATTTATTGAGTATTTCTTCCATGTTGGGAAAACAGCCATTAACAAAATAAACCCAAATCTCAGCTCTAATGCTGCTTACATTCTAGTAAGCAAATAATAGACAATAAACAAGATAAATGAATACAATATAATTTATTAGATGAGGACTGAGTGCTGTGGAGAAAATAAAGCAGAGAAAGGAGAAAGGAAGTTCTAAGGGGAGGGAGGAGTGCTGCAATTTTCTATATGATACCCAGGCACGACCTCCAATAAAGGTAACAATGGGGTACATTTCACAATTTCACACCTAATGGAAATGTGTGTGTGTGCTGCAAAATATATGTTCAAGAATGTTTATAGTATCATTATTTGTAACAGCAACAACTGGAAACAACCATATCTATCAAGTCTATCAATACTAGAATAAATAAATATTTTGGTATATTCACACAATGAAATCGCATGCAACAATAAATCTGAATGTGCTACAATTACAAGAGAACAATACGTTGGAATCTCAAGAACATATTTGAAAGTGAGGAATTCATATTTCAGAGCCTTCACTGTGTGGCTCCATTTAGATCAAGGTTAAAACTAGGCAAAACTAAAAATAAGTTTAGAAGTTAGGATAGCAGTTACCTTTGAGTAGGAGAGAGATCGTAATAATTACACTGTGCATGAGGATGTCTTTAGTTTACTAAGAGTGTTCTATTTCTTGGCCTGAGTAATGGTCACACAATTGTTTTCTCATGGGACAATTCATTGAGCTGTGCAATTGCAATTGCAATTTATGCACTTTTCTTTATGTCTGTTACATGTCAGTTTGAAAAAAAAATAAAAAGAGTGATTTAATTTTCTTTTTCTGGATGCCTAAGATTCTTTCATTATTCTTGACGTTTAAAAACTGAACCAGCCATTTTTATCTTTTCATTAACTTTTCCTGCTACTCAGTGAACACTTTGATCTGTATACTTGGGCCTTTCACAGGTCAGAGAAGCTTCTTCATGTTTTCCCTCTTTTCTTTAATAAGAAATATTACACTTCATTGGCTCTCTTGTCTCTGGTCTTCAATTTCTACCATATTCGTTCCTATTGTCTTTGTGTCTGAATATTTCTGCTGCACTTTAAGAGTAATTACCATTTGTCTTTCAAATTATTTATTTGATTTTCAGAATTATCAATTCACTTCTGAACTTTTTACTGCTAGTAATTTTCTTTCTGAAATTGCTTTTTAGTTTCCTAATATGGTAGTCATTGAGGCTGTTCACATGTTTTTAGCTTTGTTTTGTTTTGTTTTTTAGGTTGTAGAGAAGGTACTGTTCCCATTGAAATCAGTAACGGCCATGTGACCTGATTTGACTCATGAAATGTAAGTGGAAGATGAATGTAGACTTTATGTGCAGAGGCTTTAAGAGTTATGAGATAATTGTCATACTCTCGTTCATAATCTTTGTACCTCAGTGATTAGCAACACTCACTGTCATGACTTCTTCATCATCCTGGGTCCTAGAGTGAAGTCCTAGAGCCCATTATCAACTCATGCTAAATATGTAGGATAAGCAAGAAATAAGATCTTCCTGCTTGAAGCCACTGATATTTTGGACTTTTTGTTACTGCAGCAACATCATGCCTAGCCTGACTGATACATGGTATATAATCATTCCTAATATTTTCCTAATATTTGTAATTTATACAATTTCATTTGTTTGCTTACTATCATAATTATATAATTATACAATAGTTACTTATACAATTTTATCTGTTTACTGTCATAATTATTCCAAAAATTGTGACCAGTTTCTTCATATTAATTGCCATCATCTCTTTTCTTACAGTGTGGACTTTTTCATAGTCTCAATGGGATGTTTATCTAAAATGCATACATTCCTAAATGAAGAGTGCCCTTGTCTTCACTGTATATTGTGTTATTGTTAGAACTTTCAAACATGCTAAAGAAGCTGATAAGTCTAAGTTCACATCAACAATTACATTATTCAACGACCTGAGAGAAGTGAAGCCAGGTTGAGTGTAGTCCCAGTAGAGAGATGTTTTCTGTGTTCTCTTTCTTTTGTGTTTAGTAAAGGTACTTCACCAGAGGTCAATTTTCTGTACCAATTTCTGTTTGGCTGGAGCAGATTCCAGCTGTGTCTGTGCTTGGTCTCCCACCTGATGCCACCACATCAAAGGGAAGCCCATATTACACTGGAAACAAGGCCCTGCTTCCCTGCTGAGTTTTGTGTTTTGTGACGTTCCCAAGCAAAATTCGAAATCTTCCTGTTTCAATTTTTGTAATGTTTATCATTAAAATAATACTCTCACATGTGAATAAATCAAATACTAAGATTAGCCTATCCTAATTTCTATACCTCCTACCCCCATACGTGTTTAAACCTGTAGTCCCACTCTCCAGGAGAAACCTCTTTTTTTTTAATTGGTAATATAGGTGTTAATTTTTGATATTTTAAATATCTCAAATAAAGAAAAAGAAAGAAATAAAGTAAAATTACTTGTTAAAAATCAGTTCAAATTAAAATTCACTATAATGGTTAAAACAGCTAACATGTATTGAATGATTATGCTCTAGGCACTGTGGAAAAACCTCTTTAACATGTCCCTGTTACCTCCAACATACTAAATAATAAACTTACATCTCTGTAACTTTATTTAAACACTCCGGACAGGTATTGATTGATTGCCTACAATTTTTTTAAAAAGTTTTGCTAAGTAAACCTTTAACCCACTCCACTTCTCTTCTCCATGCTTAATAGAACCATTTCTTGCAATTCTTCAATTTGTCGTTAGATTATATTTAATATTTCAAATATTAGTGTGCTTACATTTGCTTCCACATTCCCTCTACCATTTCACTTCCCACTGTCTGTGTGCTATTCTTTTACATTTATACCAGATTTTTTTTGGTTAATATATTCATTTAGTTCTGCATCACCATCTAAGTTCTTACACAATTTTTCCATGAGTTAAGCAAAGTTGAAAACCATTACAACATTATTACATTATTATGTTATTATGAATGTGTGCTTGTTATATTTCCTTTCGTATATGAATAATACAAAAACTCCTAAGCCACCTAGAAGAGAATGTTAGGAGCACCAAGGCAAAGACAAATTCTCTTATATTCCAACAATTGCTTCAAATCAATTGTTTATATGTAACTTATTTTTTTCCTCAAATTTCATATTGCCATTCATTTTCTTTTGAATCACATGCTTTATCATACCTCCACTTTGTGCCATCCCCTCAATCACAGAGTCCCCTGCATGACATCTTCTTTTCTCTTCATTGGTCTCCCTCCCAGAGCCCAGCATTCTCCTATGGCACTCTAAAACGACCACCTTAAAGCCGGATGGACCACTGTCATCCTGAGATTCCCCTGTATTGCTCTGCTTCTTTGTCCTTGTGTTTTTGTATTTCTTGGTCTTCTCCTTCATTTTGCTAGAGTACACCCTCAGATTTTTACATTTACCAAAATGTAAAGAGATTCGGGAGGTGTGGCTGCTTGTTTCATGACGTGGGACCTAGTTATCTTCTCCTCAACATCCTTTCTCCTTTTCTTACTAAGGAACAGAATTTGATTTTTTTTTTCTTGGGCTGCAAAGTGCCCAAATAAAGATGCAACCTTGCAGCTAGGTATGTTCAATAATTTAAGGAGGCATTGTTGGGTGCAATTTCAGGGAACACTTCTTTGATGGGTTAAAATACCTGGTAAGCGCTCCATAGACAAGCATGCACCTACTTCTAACTGGAACGCAGATGTGATAAGAGGAACTCCAACAGCCATTTGAAACATGAGGTAATCTTGTGAACAGAAGCCATGCACTAAGGATAACAAAGAGAGGAGCCAGGCACTAAGAAGTCTGGGAAGCTGATGACATCATAAAACTGCTATACTAGCCCTGTTACACTATATTGTACTTAAAACATAGCTGCCACTTACTTAAAAATATATTTTACAAGGGAAAGAGAAAAATTTATATGCAATTTAAGTAACTTATTTCTGATCTCAGTTGCTAGCTACTGAATGCAATTACATATTGAAAATGGTGATAAAATTTCTGGGCTCTTAAACATCTAAAAATACCTCAATTCTGCCCTCATGCTAACTATTTTTGTGATTACAGATTTCAAGGTTGAAAATTACTTTCCCTCTATGCTGTAGCCATTTCTCTGTTCTCTTCTAGCATTAATTGTTGCTGTCGAGAATCTGATGCAAGTTTGATTTTCATTTCTTTGTGGGAAATTGTTTTCTCCTCTTTAAAAAGTTTGGAATCTTTACGATTTTCTTGATGTTTTAAAACTTTACAAGAATGTATCCAGATGTGGGTTTCGTTTTCATTTCCATTCTTTGTACAAGGCACTCAGTAATATATGACCTAAAGATTTATGTTCTGTAACTCAAAGAAAGTGTCTCCTATTATTTCTTGGATAATGTTCGCCCTTCCATTTTCTTTGTTCTGTATGTCTACTTGTCAGTTACTGGACCTCTGCATTTGTTTATTAGGTTCCATCCTTTCCTTTATGTTTTTGGTTCTACTTTTATTTCTTTACATTCTGGAAGATTTCCTGTATATTTGAAGCAGCTTTCTTGACTTTTTAAAATTTTAGCAATTCTATTTTTAATGTCTAACATCCCATTAAATGTTAGTAATTCTATTTTTAATGTCTAACATCCCATTCTTACATTATAGTAGTTACTTTTCATAGCATCCTATCATAATTTTATGGAACACAATATCTTCTCAAATATCTGTGTGAATATTAATTAAAGGTATTATATTTTGGTGTTTATTGACATTAAAATATTTTCTACTCCTTGTTTACTCTGGGAAAACTTTTAAAAATCTTTGTTCTTAAATTTTTATATGTGTCTTATAATCTTTGATGATTTTTACACGAATAGGACTAGGTAACCACGTGGGTATTTTCTGCATCTGTAAGGAGCTAATTTTCTCACTATGTCTCACCTTGTTTCTCCCTGAGCAGAAGGTCCAGCCAGGAGGGTGGGAAGTGTGAGAATGGTATAGTGCACGCAGACATTGGGTCCCCAAATTACAGAATGAGGAGGGTCACCAACACCACACTTAAAAGACTTGACTTTTCTGGATGGCTACTTTAATTTTGGTATGGAAGAGATTTGACTCGTGGTAAATACCAGACTGTCTTCACTCCACAACACGGATATGGGAGGGAGAAAAGGGTGCCAATAGGAGTAGTTATTTTGTTGCTCTCTTCTATCATACTCACTAACTATGGGGCAGAGTCTCTCTGGGATTCACTGCATCAGTTGGTTTCCCTCTTCTCTGCAGCCATCTTTGTACAATTGACCATTCCTTTCCTGTCTTTCAAAAATGTATTGAAAAATCTCATCCATCAAAATTTACTACCCAATCAGTTTTCTTCTTTTCTTCTCTATTATATATTTAATCCTTTTGTTTTTCATTCTTTTATTTTTGTGAACAGAAGTACATCATGTTGCCCTAGATTCTATATTCAAAGGAGCTGATTCATGCCAGTAAAACAGAATCCAAGTGGTATGTTCCCTGAGTTCTTTCTGTATCTCCAGCCCTCTCTTTTGGTCAATAAGCTTTCATTCTATGTGACACAGACTCAACAAATAGTTATTGATTTACTTCATTAAAATATTCAGAGTTAGACAAAGTTTTCGGCATGCCTCTACCCCAGGGTTTAATGTTGTCAGTCTGTCTGTCTCCCCATCTCTTGAATCAGTATTCTTTTTTGCCTTTACTCTCATGATGCCACTAGCAGCTCCAGGCTTACATCAATGCAGGATTAAGTCTAGAAGAAGAGTTCCCCAGAATACAAGCAAATTTGCCATTCTTAGTTTATTTGCATTCCTGTTACAGTCTCTGTGGTGAGAGGATTATAATGTTCTCTGCAGTATAAAGGAACTGCATCTCTAAACCATTTCTATCAGCCAAAGGGATTCAATGCTCTGAGTGCCCACTCTAATACCAGGGGTGGTGTTGCTGACATTGCTAGTTTCATTGAAAATTCATTTTCCCTTTCTTCCCTTATAAATATAACTCTTGGATTTTAGTTGGCTTCATGGCTTCATTTCCCATCCTTCCTTAGAGCTAGATGTATGCTCATGGGTGTATTTTGATCCATAGCATGTAAGAAGTGTATATGCCATTTCAGGGAGGATGGCAGTGCAACAAAAGTGATGGAATTTAGATCTGGAATACCAAAGGGCTTATTGCCAGTCCTGGTCACTCATCTATCTTAATTTACATGAAAAATAAATTTCAATCTGTTTCAGCTGTCTTGGGTTTTCTGTAATTCACAGCTAATTATTTTTTTCTTTTTTCTTTTTCTTTCTTTCTTTTTTTTTTTTAAGATGGTGTCTCGCTCTGTCACCCAGGCTGGAGTGCAGTGGTACCTTCTTGGCTCACTGCAACCTCCACCTCCTGGGTTCAAGTGATTCTCCTGCCTCAGCCTCCTGAGTAGCTGGGACTACAGGCATGTGCCACCACGCCTGACTAATTTTTTCTATTTTTAGTAGAGATGGGGTTTCACCTTGTTAGCCAGGATGTTCTCAATCTCCTGAACTCGTGATCCGCCCACCTCATCCTCCCAAAGTGCTGGGATTATAGGCGTGAGCCACCGCTCCTGGTCAGCTAACTTTTTTTTCAAGTAGAGATACTGTCAGTTCCATCCCAACCACACGGACATTGACAACTGACATAAGTAGCTCAGGAAAAAAAAAAATAGTAATAATCAGAAGTTCTAAATTTACTCCAAATGTTTGGGGCATTATTACTGGCCAAGTAAATGCAAAAGATGAGGATGCAATATATACAGATAAGGTCACAAACGGAGGATTCCTGGATGAACTTTTGTTGAAGCAGTTACCTTACAGTAGGAGGTATTGTGTGTTAGTCCTCACCGCCAGCATTTTTTTGACCCCATCTACATGCACTTAGTAGATAGTCCTTGATGTGTCTGCCTTAAGGAAACCATCCTTCTCTAGTTTTTAGTGCATATGTTGGCTTTCACCTATTTTAATACTGTTTGTCATTATAAATTGAATTTTAGCCCCTACCCTCACCCTTACCTGGAAGTCTATAAAACATTTTCTCATAAACTTTTGTAACACAATTCAATTATTAAAACCAATTATACTGTTTAAAATAAAAGCCTTTAGAAGGCTTGTCAGCTACTTGATATATATAATATTTAAAGGAACTTCTTCCCTTTTTAGTTTCTTTAGAGTATAATTAGTTTCTCTAGAAAATGCCTGGATTTTTGGAAAAGGAAACTACAAGTAATTTTTTTAAAACCAATATCCCTATTCAGACAACCAAAATGAAAACTCCTCTCTAGCATTTGGATTTATCTTTTTTAAAGAAATGTGTTTCTTGTATTATGATAAATCCTGAAATTTAAAATGTCCATTAAATAAGAAACACCTTATGAAGACAAACCTGAAAATAGACTGCGACTAGCAATTAAGAAAGCAGGAATTGACACCCAGCTATCTTGCTCACCACTATGTGACCATGAAAGAGTTATTGGTGGACTTGAGATGTTTCACAGCCACGTCCCTTTTTGTCATGGTAAGAATCAAGCTGTCCCAGTCATCTATCCCTATCCGTGTGCAAACCTCCATATTCCTCTGAGTTTCTTTTCTTCAAACCTCCAATCTTAGCTCTCTCTTCCACTTTAACTTTTTCCTATGAGATCTCTGATCTAAAGAAAATAAATTCTCCTACATGCTCAGTTTCCACAAGCCTCTCTCTTCACCTTCTTCCTTCAGCCCTCCTCCACCCCTCCCATAACAATGCCACCTCCCCGCACACGTGCGCATCTTCTCCCTCATTCCAAGTTTGTTCTTTGAGCTCATGGATACATGATTGGCTCCCTGATTCTCTCCTACCCACCCAGTCCCTCTATTAGGACTATTCTTTGTCCTTCCATCTTAACACTCAAGGTCCATAACTCTAATAGATATGCAATTGAAACTGATATTTTCAATGCAGGCACTCCTTTGTTTCATAGAACTTACCTGGAACACATCATCTTTCAAAAACTCTACTAATATCTGCCTATGCTAAAAACTAAAGAAGGAAATTATATCTGCATAAATTCATGCCATTAAATCTTTAAGGTTTCAAACTGCAAATAAGTTTGAATCCTTTCCAATGAATCTATCCCCTTCCTCCCAGTGTGTATATCACATCATAATAATTCAAGTCTTGAATCCCATGACTCCTCCATCTCCTTTAGGAGAAAATGAAGGCTGCAGTATAGGAACTAGACTTATTCTCTGCCCTTGACCCTACGGAGTCAGTTGCATCTGCAAACAACTTCCTCCTCTTCGTCCATCACAGAAGTAGTATCCACATTTCCACGTAAGGTGGCATCCTGGGTCCTGCTTCTTCCTGAATCCTTGAAGATTTGAATCTATCACTTATTATCCCCTCTAGTATTTCCAATATCTCCTTATATCCTGGTCTTTCTTGTGATTGTCTAAACATATTCAAGGCTCACCTATATTAGAACAAATAAACAAACTTCTCCTGACCCTGTGTGCTTATCCCTCTACTGTCTTTTCTCTCCTTCCACTGATACACTAATTTCTTTGAAGTGATGCCTGCACTCACTGTTGCCACCTTCTTATTCTCCAGGTATCTTTAACTCACTGATCTATCCTTTCACCAAAACTGTTCTCACCAGGGTCATCAGTGGTCTCTGCTGTTAAATCCAGTTATTTATTTTTTTTTCTTTCTTGACTTCTGCAGCATTTGAAATGATAAATTATTTCCTCCTTCTTGAGACTCTGCTCCTCATGCCACTTGATACCATAATTTCACATTTTCTAATAATTCTCTTGCATCTATTGCTCAGATTTTTATAAAGACATCTCTCCTTCAATAGTTATACCTCTGATTTTGTAGCCCATGTTCCTGTCTTTATTTTTTTCTCTTCTAACTCTGAACTGTTGGTTTCTAACCATTTCAGGAATCCGTTAAAAGCCAAGAATATGTCAGGAAAACAAACATATGCGATGATTTGTTTATAAAATGTCAGAGTTTTTATCAACTTTCTAAAAGTCTTCCATGGATCCCACTTCATGCATTCTCTCACATGTTCACATTCCCTGTCATGTTTTCAGGAACCACTCATATGCTATTTATTCACTATCACTGTCTCCAGCCATGACTGCCACCTTCCTACCTAGCTCTATTTGAATGTTCTCCCACATAGCTCGTCCTCGTTCTGTCCAAAATGAAACCCACCAGCTTCCTTCCTGTAAACTTGATTCCACCCTTACCACTGGAGCAAAAACTCCATAAGCCAAAAGATCTTCTCTATCTTTTATGGCTTTACTTCTAAACCCAGAGGAGTGCCTGGCACATGATAGGCACCCAATAAATTTTGGCTGAATGGAGGAATCAATGTGTTTTAGCTCAATAGATGGCTCTATTATTTAAGCACTTGACAAACTATAAACCTGAGTCTGCTTCCTTCCCCACAAGCCTGAGTCATTTTGTCTCTAGCTTCTTAATTTCACTTTTTTTTTTCTGTAGTGCTATAATGGCCTCCTCACTCCCTCTGTCCTTACATCCTCTATTCCATGTGTTTTCAATATTGCTAGAGTAATCTTTCTAGAGTGCAAATATGTTTATGCCCCTTTCTTCTTAATTTTTTTCCAGAAATTCTGCATGGCTTTTCAGAAAGTTCAAATAGCATAGAACAGAGGCCTATAATGGTCTTGCTTGTGCTTTCCTTCCATCTATCCCTCGCTGCTTTTCCCTGATACAGATTCTATGCCTGACCTTGCTACAAGAACAACTAATCTTGCTTTCCTGAACCTGTCTTGTTCTCTTCAACTTCAGGCCATTGCTCATGGCTTTCTGCTTGGAATATTAAATGTGTCCGCCTCTCTCGAAGTCACTGCTCAGGACTCCTGCCATATGCCCTTTCCATGGCTGCTCCCTTCTCACTCTCCAGTCTGGAATAAAACTCTTTTCTAAATGCTTTCATGGTACCCTGTTCTCACCCTTATCCTAACACCTGTCACATTGTGATTTAATTGTTTATGACAGTCACGTCACCTCATTCTCTACTAAAGGGTAACTTTCATCATTGCAAAAACTGTCTTATTTATGTTTGCTTCCCTTGTGTTTAGTACAGTGCTCAATAAATAGACACGGAGCCAATTAATCCCATCGCTATCAGCTTTTGTTCTCTATATGGTCCGGTTCTCCCAGATGAAATTTTCAATATTTTGGATTCATTTCACGCATTTCACTGCCACTTTCCAAGTAAGCCTGGGTCATGGAAGATTTCCCTAATGCAGGAAATGAATAGAATAAATGCGTACATAGATTGTATGCCGTGGTAATTAAATCATTAGTGCTGAACAGTGGTATTGAGACTGGACCATGTTAACATATGTTTTTATTCATTAGAAGCAATAAGTAAAGATGAAACCTAGTAATTATAGACTGTGAATACAAAGGAGTTATCTGGGTGGTCTATCATAAGTCTTGAACAAAGGAAAGCAAAAGGCAAACACCAGTATTTCTCCAGACTTCCTTAGTAAATATGATACTGGCATTCTGATATTCTGTGCTAATTTTAAGAATCAAACTGGTAGTATTTTTGTATGTGTAATGCCATTGTTTCAGGCATTCATTTTCAGTTTTGTTCACTTTTTTTGGTTCTCTCTTCAACTTCCCATCCTTATCTTTCTCTGCCTCCCAAACCCTCCCCCTCACGACCCTGATATCCTCAGCCCAAGCTCTCACAGTCTCCCTCTACCATTCTCCTCCTCCAAGTCCTTTACCTCCTCCTGTCTTACCTTGCCCCACTCCACCAAATAATGCCAGATTCATGTGGTGAAATGTTTGTGTTACCAAATGTATTACATTTTTATTTCCACTGATTGTTTTTTTAAAATCATATATTGTGAACATATTTGTTATAAAATATCAGTATTACCGGTGGTATTTTAGTAATGCATTAAAAAATGGGGTGATTTAAGATATACACCTCTATAGTGATGGAAGTATTCTTGCCTCTATCCAGGGCATCCCTAAGTAATCAATAAATTAATATATTTAAAATAAAAGGAATTTGTTTGATACATCAGTTCCTTGTGGGTAAGTGGAAAATTTGTTATCAAACGAAATACGTAAATGAGCAGTAAAGGAGCTCTGTTATATGTGGCATGGAAAAGCACTAGTAAGATATTCTCAGACTGCTCATAGACAAGAAAATCAAGAACAATCTTTTCAATAGACATGAATAGGTGAGTTCAACGAACAACCTAAACCTAACCTAATCTTAACCATCCTCAACCTAATCCCACCAAAGAGATGAGAGAATGTTTTTCCTTTAAGTCACTGAAATATGGCTTCCTCTTTACAGCTGGAAAGACTATAACTATGTTTGCATATTCCAATGGCTTCGAGGATCATCAGAGCTCAGGGCATGGAAAGACTGCAGTGTAAACTCACTCATTCATTGCATAGGCAAAGTTTTCTTCTGGCCTCTTCAGTGACTTAACAAGTTCTGGCTCAATACAGTATAAATCACACATGACACCTCTTCTGAGACAGCAGTATCAGGTGTGAGTTGGGGTCCTCTAGTAGAGTTGTAAAGGGATCAGAAAGTTCTGAGCTGTGGGCCTGAACAGCTGGTTGGTGGTGGCAACAGCAGCTGTCATGAAGAAATGCCTTTCCCCCAATGTGCTTCCCTGGCTCTCCTGTCCCCTTTCTTGTCAATAGCCAGTCAACATGTATTGATTGTGCAGAGGCTAAGGGCTTATTCTTCTGTGCATGCTTATCCATCTGCCCCTTTTCTTTTGACTTACATTGTCTCTCCAGGGTTTTATTTCGTTTTTATAAACATCTTTCTATCTGCCTGCTTCTTCTCACCATATGGCAATTCTGATATGTATTTTTTGTTGGGGGGAATGTGAGACAGAAGGAGAGGAGAAAGAGTCCCTAATGACACAAGATTTAGAATACTTATCATAAGAGTGGATGGTTTAATAAATACTGCTTTCTTCAGCATGATTTTAATCAGATGACTACTAAACTTCTTTTCAAAAAAAAAGACTAATATTCATAAAAACAAATGTTGTCTACAGCCAATGTTTCTAACTCTTACCTGTCAACATTAGACAATTCAATCTGACTTCTTGCCTTCCTACTCCAATAAAACCATTTTTTCCAAGTCACAAATGACTTCCACATAAATCTAAAGAGCATTTTTCAATTCTCATCTTACTACACTCCTCAGCAGCATTCCAGACTCTTAATCATGCCTCTTTCTTGAAATATCACGTGGCTCTTATGACTTCATACTCTCCTAGATTTCCCCCTCTCTCTGCAACCACATCTCAAGCTCTTTCAACAGCTCCATTGTTTCATTTAAGCTGTAAACATTGGGATTGTCCAGAACTTTTCCCTCACTCATCTTATCATCTCTTCTCTACTTACTACTATCTGTAATTGACCTCATCCAACTTTGTGGCATTAAATACAATCTATTTGCTTACAGTTCCCAAAGTTCTATCTCTAACTAAGATTTCTCTTTTTGAGCACCAGACTTTATATCTGACTGCCTTCTTGACTGCTCTACTTGGATTTAATCTGAATGAAACTAAACTCTCAAAGAACCCCAACAACCTTTTCCTCACTCACCCTGCTCATCTTGGGAACCCATCTCCTCACAGTTGTTCACATCGGAAATATAGGAGTCACTCTTGATTTATTTTCCTTCCATCAATTTCTAAATGAAATGCTTCTGTAGAAAATTGCTTTTACCTTCCAACTACATCACTAATTCACTTTTTTTGTTTTTTAACATTTTTCCCTGTCACCGCTATAGTCTAAATACTGTCTTCTCCAGCATGGAATATTTCAGCAGTTTCCTAAGTCGTCTTTTCCATTCATGCCCTCCCAATTATTTTTTTTTTAATCTAGAAAGCATCTATAATGAGCAGTAAAATGTTAAACCCTGAGGATGTCACTGTCTGGCTTATAATTCTTCAGAGCCTTCCTACTGAACTTGTAATAAACTTCACTCTCCTAAACTTGCCTCCATGTTCCTCAGTGATCCAGACCTGCTGATTTCTTTGTTTTTATCTTGTGGCCCACACTCACTCAGCCCCAGCAGACTCCCCTGGCTATTCTCCCCATATGCTGTTTCCTCCATCTAGAAAGCTGTGCCCTCTACTCTTCATATCCAGGCTTCTTCTCATCCTCCAAGTGTCATCTTACATGTCAGTTTCCCAGAAGAACCTTCCTGACAATCCAATCTAAATTAGTTTGTCACTCACCTTTTTGTAGTCTCTATCATACTATTTTTCTTCATAGAGCCTATCACAGCTTGTGTTGTGTGTGTGTGTGTTTTAACAACCACACATGTCTAGTTTAAACAATCATACAACTAGTGCCTAACAATTTACCTGGCAGTGAAAATGCTGCAGTCCCCACCATCATAATCATTAAAGATAGACTAGTGTTGTATTAACACGGATGATCTGTATACAGTATGGACAATAAGCATGCATAAGGTCACAGTAGAAGTTTGGATAACTGGTATCAATCATAGGGTAATTTGAGAATATAGTGAAAGCAAAGCAGAGAGGGAAAGTATAGAAGAAAAGGGAGGACTATGGTATGTGGGCAACCCTGGGGATCAAAGTGAAAATAAAGAAGATGCAGTAATTCACAGAAAATCAAACCCAAGGAATAAAAAACTAGATTCAGGCATGTTTTAATATACTGGAACATCTAGCCCAGTGTTTCAGGATGGATGTAAAACATCACTTCTGAAATAATGCCGACAATTCTGTTCAGTCTGTTTAATTAGCTTGTTAAATTCACGATATTCAGTTTAGATCATGGTAGATCTAAATTAGGGAATGCTCTGGAGGAAATACCATGAGTTGAAAAAAATCTCCTCTCTCCTGATAGGGATCTGCCTTAAGCTACTGAAGGTGCCAGGGCCCTGGAGGAATCCTCAATGTCTGTGGTAAATGTTTTGGTGGGCTAGGTAATACCCAGTTCATATAGCCAAGCAGTTTGAAGATTGAGCCCAGCTCAGGTGGTGGACCCTACTTAGCCTAAACCTGTAATGGTCATCCCTCAAGATTTCACATTTAAGCCATGGAAATTGGCTAAAGGAGTAAGCATGTGACCTTATTTGGGCCAATCAAATGAAAGTAAAAAATTTGGAGGGATTCTGGGAAATGTTTCCTTATTAGTAGTTGAGAAACACAGGAAGGTATAATATTCTTCCCTCAGACTTTGTTGCATGCAGATGTGAGGTCAGAGACTGGTTACCACTTTAGGATAAAACCAGTGCCCAGAGGAAGGGAGAGCCAAGGGAATTTCAGGGGAAAGAGACTCATCACCAGAAAGAGCAACCCTAAATCAGGCCTTCTTTAGACTCCCAGTTAGGAGGGCAATGAATATTTTTGTAGGTTTAGCCAATTTAAATTTGACATTCTCTTATTTGCTATAGAAAGCATCTTAACTAATAAAATGTCCAAGAAATACATGTATGAGGAGGGAAAAAAAAACACCAGGTAGGCTGTTTATAAAGGCAAATTTTGGAAGGTGGCAGGATGATCTGTTATCTCCCCACACTCCAGCCTTTGGGTTACAGTGGGGAGAAAGCTGCTGATAGTTTCCTGACCTCAATGGTTCAAGCTGTAGCAGAACTAGAATGGGCCAGGTAGTGACTATATTTCTCTCATGTTTGCTGAACAAGGACACTTTATTACCCTAACTTTCAGTGGACATTTTTAATTTTCCTAAATGAAGAAAAAAATGCAAAAAAAGAAAACACACATGTAAGTTTAACCACATTCAATAAGCATAGCACTTGTCATCAGATAATTGTAAGACATTGTAAAAATAATTCTAATGGCACTTATAATAACAACAACAATAGAAATATCAACAATAATAGCAAACATTTAGATAGGCCTTACTATGTGCTGGACACCATTCTAAACACTCTCAATGTAATTAACTCCTTCAGTCTGCATATGAAGTAGGTATTACCAGTTTGTTAAAATTACTGATAAGGAAACCAAGACAGAGGAAGTTAAATGACTTGTCCACGGTCATACCTCCATTAAATGGAAGACCCTGTTTTCAAAATGACCATTGTATTCTAGAAGCTAGGGCTTTTAAGCACTAACCAAGATTGTCAGTTATTGTGGGTATATAAATTGAAAGAGATGATGAAAAATTGCTTTTGTGTTCAGGGAGCTCACAGTTTGTTGTGCTCTCTGTAAGCTCAGCCAGTAATAAGAATACTTGCTTCCAGTTTTAAATACAGTAGAGACAATGTCTATATTATGTTATGTCATACATTCCACAATATTTTTGTGACTGTTGGCGATTTCTTATTGATTGCTTTGTCAATATAATTTTATATTTATGCCACCCAAAACCACTTCTCATTTTCAAGCTACATTAAAATAATAAAGGACATAAACTGCAATAAGCATTTCTAGGGGATTAAATATTTTCATCACTAATTTTACCCTATAAGAGCATGATACATGCTTCATTTAAAGTTTTAATTACCAACAAAATTTTATGTTTTATTATTCCAGAGACATATGAAGCAGTTTTATCACATGAGCCTTAAGTATCCTCTAAGAATCAGCAAAAAAGAGATTGTTTCCTAGGTCTACATAACCGATGGCTACATTATTATCCATAAAATCATTCGAGAAAACTTCATGTGTGGCAGTATGAGCATGTAGACTGTAAAATATCAAAAATGACTCTATTTCATATGCTAACAGGAATAGTCCATCATGCAGTTTAACCTGGGACATTAGATAGCTTTAAGTCTTTTAAGCCTAAGTGAAGAAGGGTATTGCATTAAAACTCCCCTCAAGCTTCCCTGCAGACACTTTGAGCATACCATCCCTATCATCTTGGAGAGTAGATGTAACTAGGTAACTTCCCCAGCTGCAGTAAACATTTATATATGTTGGTCTTCTGCTCCCAGAGGCTTCCCAAGCTGCTCTGTCAAATCTGTTAATGTAGAATAATCAAGCCAAGAAGAAAGACTGCAAGGAACTGAGTGCAAATCAAAAATGAAGCAGAGAAGACAGGAGTAAGAATGAAAATGATTAAAGATCAATTGATCGTCATACATAGAAATGGAATTGTTCACATACAAGGACTTAGAAACAAAATCCTCCTTAAATGAGGAAAAATATACAAGTCATTTTGCATAGGTCCTAGGAGAAGGGATTTTACATATTGATACTGCTTCTTTACAATACCATGCTTCCTTCCAGTGGTTAATATAACAGAAGTGCATATCTTGAAAGCTCAAAGAAGTTCTTGGAAGTATAGGAACATTTAACGTTAAGTTGTGATTTGTGGCGAGTACATTTGAAAAATATTAATTGATATTTATTTATTTGAAAAGTCTTGGTTTGGCTTAACAGCCTCTCTGCACAATTAGGATATCCAGTTTCTCTTATAAGGGAACAAACTTTGGAATCTTATCTGATTCCCCTTGTCTGACCCCTATACTCACCATCACTGGAAACTTTTTTTTTTTTTTTTTTTTTTGAGACAGAGTCTTGCTCTGTCACCCAGGCTTCAGTGACATGATCTCAGCTCACTGCAACCTCCACCTCCCTGGTTCAATCAATTCCCCTGCCTCAGCTTCCCGATTAGCTGGGATTACAGGCACGTGCCACCACACCCGGCTAATTTTGTTGTATTTTTAGTAGAGACAGGGTTTCACTATGTTGGCCAGACTGGTCTCAAACTCCTGACCTCAGACAATCCACCTGCCTTGGCCTCCCAAAATGCTGGGATTACAGGCGTGAGCCACCATGCCCAGCCCACTGGGAATATTTAATTCCTATTTGTTGCAGTAAGAGCTTGTGTGTCAGACACAGAAGCTATCATTTTTTATCCTATCACTGTTAACTATGTGATAGTGCATAGGTTTAATTTCAAGAAGCATCAGTTTTATTACTTAAAAAATGCCTACCTCTTTATTTTCAGAGTGTTCCAGAGTCCCTGAAATAAATAGGTGAGAGCACATGGACATTTGGTAGGCCCTCAAAACACATTGTTATCATTTCTTCCTTCCCTCTTTTTCTTTTTTTCCCCAAATTCTGGAAACAATCCTGGATTTCATGTTTTAGAGTGGCAAACAGATGAAGAAAATGACATATTTTATAGTATTTTCCATTCAAGCATTGCAATTATTACTTTATATGTACTCTCATTTAATCACTGATGTGGTCTCGCTGTGTCCCCACCCAAATCTCATCATTGTGGCTCCCATAATGCCTATGTGTCATGGGAGGGACCTGGTGGGAGGTAATTGAATCATAGGGGCGGGTTTATCCTGTGCTGCTCTTGTGACAGTGAAGAAGTCTCACAAGATCTGATGCTTTTATAAAGGGCAGTTCCCCTGCACATGCTCTCTTGCCTGCTGCCTTTGCTCCTCCTTTGCTTTCCACCATGATTGTGAGGCCTCCCCAGCCAAGTGAACTATGAGTCTAGTAAACTTCTTTTTCTTTATAAATTATCCAATCTTGAGTATTTCTTTATAGCAGTATGAAAATGGACTAATACAATCACTAAAATAGCCAGTAATGTAGTTATTGGTATCCCTATGTTACATACCAGAAAGTGAGGTTCAAAACGTTCTACTAACTTGTCCTAGACCATTTATTTATCTAAAAATATTTGCTGAGTGTTTGCCATGTTCTAATCATTAAGCAGGGGCCATAGACACAAAGATGACTTTACTAAGGTTTCTGTCCTCTACAAGATCTCACTGTGGTAAAGGACGGGGGAACAGACAGTATTAATACACTGTAATAGAGGCCAAGGCCAGAAGAGGCAAAGCCCTCTGACTCATTTTACTACACCAGCCTGACTCTTGTGTTCAATAATATTCTATCGATCTAACTCTTAGCTATTCATAGTGTAAGTGGGATCTTGCTTTTTCCCCTGGGACTCACCCCCTCTTCAGAGGCATATCTCTTTTTAGGGTAGTATATCTTCCCAGAGCACAATGCCACACCTTTACCTTCGCTACAACACATCACCTGGTTTCATCTTTTCCCCTGGATTCATCTACCCAATGTAAATATGCATCTAAAACTTCCTATGTATCAGGCTTTATGCGATGCTCTAAAGATAAAATATATACATGAGAATAATTTTTTAATTGCTGTGCTTGACAAGTTTAGAATATTAAAAGGGAAGACTGTCATTGAACAGATAAGAAGAGGAAAATATCATAGATACTGAAATAGAGGTATGTAAGAGATGAAGTCAAACAGACAAATAAAAAAGCTAATCTGTATTCTCTGCTTTGTGTTACAGTGGGTTAAGGAAAAAGATGAAGGG
This sequence comes from Homo sapiens, assembly GCF_000001405.40. Lineage (NCBI taxonomy): Eukaryota > Metazoa > Chordata > Mammalia > Primates > Hominidae > Homo > Homo sapiens. Next base: position 76,803,874 of record NC_000007.14, read on the forward strand.
TTTTGTTGTAATATGTTGTGATTGAGTTGATTGTGGTACATGCCAGGGTCCTGTTCAGGTGGATATTTAGACCTTGAACTCAGGGGAAACATCTTGCTTAGAGATATACTTTTTAGAATATTTATAGGTGTCACTTAAAGATATGAAAAGGTGGATTGCCCAGAAAAGTTGAGGAAGAACAGGACAAAGATGAGCAATGACAGAGAACCAGCCTTTGTGGGGGACACCCTCAACCACAATCAGAAGCTCGTCCACAGCCCCCAGTTTTGTAACAAAACCACATACCAGAAAAGGGTTGAATGAAGTCTATTCATAATACTGTTAAGAAAATTCACTGAATTGAAAATTTTTATAGTTTTTATTAAAGCCAATGAGAAAGAGAAACAGATGAATGAAAAACTATGAATTCAAGACCTCAACTCATATCTTAGTGCTCCATAAATGCTTTAGTTTATGAGTCAAATAGTGATATTTTAATTTCAAGGTGGGATCTTCAAAAGCTTTATAAATATTATTAGCTGTATAGCTGTAACTGTTATCATTTTAGCACCTAACTCATACAATTAACCTTTTTTTCTTTCAAATCATCAGCATATTAAAATACTACAGTGATTGGTTGAATTCTATTCTCAATCTGTTTTGAGTAAATGTGCTAATCTTAAAAGAAAAAAATGATACTTTGTATTTCTTATCTTTCAGTAATTAAAACAAATAATCTAATCGTTACATTTTTGCTACATAATTTGTTTTTTTTTTTTTAATTTGAAAACTTACCCCTAAGGGGGAAAAATATTCTTGCTTCAACCTTTTTACTAAGACCTAGCCTTCAAGAGAGAATTATAGGAAATAGGCCATTAGGTGTTTTGAAGATTGCTTAATGCAGCAGTTCCCAGGGTCTTATGCTGAGATAGTAAGTACCCAGGGGTAGTATTATGGGGTGGGAGAAAGCATAGTTCATGGTAAAAATAGGTTTGGAATAGCCTTAAGTTAAAAAGAGTACTGTAGGCTTCTCAGAGCCTTTAATGGGCTTGTGTTCATGTCAAATTCTTTAGAAAAAAACTGGCTTAAAAGTACTGATCAAAAGACCATAGAAGATAAAAGAAAAAAAAACATGGCAGAAACCAACTTGAGTGATGCAGTCAGATAAAATGAAAAGCAGAAATGAAATGACAACCTTAGCCTGGGTGTGTAGCTAGAGAGACAGAAGGTGAAGGTCAATTTCACTGCATTACAAATAAAGCCTATGTCTGACTTTCAGGGAAATTGCTGTTGGCTTTATCAAATGTCTCTTGGAGTCCACTTCCCCCTCTAAGTAGAGGGACCTAGTCTCTTTCCTGCCACTGCATCTCCAGTGCCTAGAACAGTGTCTGTCACAGAGAAAATGCTAAAACATTATTTATCAAATAGAGTGAATAATAAATAAATGACAGTTAAAGCATAATAACTAAAATTATATAATTTGGAGACTTCAATGGATGGCCCACTTGTACAAATGAAGACTTCCAGGTGTTTCCTAATCCTGTCTCTATCCTGAGGGATTATACCTAAGGGGTTTTCCACAGGAAAAGTTTGCACAGCCTTGGCAACCTGCCACTGCACGTGAAGGCACAGTCAAGAGTGGTTATTTGTGAGAAAACAATAAGATTTGAAGAGAGTTTGACTGTCCTTTGCACAGTATATTTTTGCTCATTAAATAATGTTAATTTTAAGCTTAACCCTAAAGCTTGGATTTTTATATTGATATTGCCTCACATTTATAAAATAGTTTTCAGTTCTCTTCCAAATTGATTAGCTCTATCAGTCATGAATAAAATGACAAAATAGCCCATTGCATAAAGAGGGAAAAAAAGCAAATCATGTGAATGATTTTCCCAAGGTCCCAGAATTATTTTACAGAAGACCCAAGATTAGAACCAAGGTCTTCCAACTTCTCTATTCATCGTAACACACAGAAGAGTGAACATGAATTCCATCTGGTTTGAGAAATCCCCTGACTTGCAGTGGAATGGAAACTTTCTTTTAAAAATAACCTCTATTTAAAAAGAAGTCTACATGACTAATTCTCTTAAAATAATAAAACAATAATAAGACCACATAAAAGTCATCTAAAAAGCCTGGTGAAGAGAAGATCAAAGATGCTTATGTAACGACAAGATAGAAGCCAAGCTTCAGAATTCAAAGCTTTTGTGAGCTCTAATCATTTTGCTTGCATTCATAAAATCTTAAACATTTTCCCTCTATTTTTTGATGTATAATATTCAATCAATTGTAATGGAATGTAAGTGGAGAGGGCTGGTAATGGCTCCTAAGCATGAAAGTGAAACCATGGCCCATGTGCAGCGCTGCCGCCCAGAGGGGAGAGGCAGCCTTTTCCTTCGTATCCGGATCCTTTTAGAAAAGAGATATGGCCTGCGACTGACTGGTGCCACTTTTATTCCTTTTCTTATAAGTTAATTGAAATAGAAGGGCTTTGTTTTTTCCCCTTTTCCACTCTAAAGTCAAAGGCACTGACTAGGTTCACTGCTGGGCTATAGATGTGTGTGTTCTTTTTCAATAGAATTGTACATTTCCTTATAAATATATGTAATATATAATATATATGTAATAGATATTAAAGGGATGGGGGACCATTCTGTGACATCCTGGGCAATAGCATTTTCCCAGTTTATTGAGATTTTTGAATTGCAAGTGGGATTAAATCTTCATGACTGACTCACTTCTTATGCTACTGCACAAAAGCTGAGGGAGTTGACATTTAAACTCATGTGATTAAACAATTCATAAGTCTTTTAAAACTGTACATTTTGACATGAAAAGAATGCAAAAATATTCACAAGCTACTTAGCTAGTGAATTAGGAGCTTTTAACAGAAAAAGAAAATAAAAGAAGGCTTTTTATTTTTTCAAAGAAGTGGTTGTATACAACCACTTTCTCAAGTTTTCTGGTATGTATTTATGAGATTAAATGTATAAAAGAATGTGGTGTCTTCAAGCAGTTAAATAACAAGCTCCTGTTGAGAAAACATCTTGTAGCAACAAAAGAGCTTTTAATTCCAAATTTAATAAATGGAGGGAGGGGAGCTTTTGATGGTAAGAAATGGAAAAGACAGAAGAAAGAACATTTGAGGGATGGTGGAGGGTAAACAAAACAGCACTCAGCCTAGAAGGTATTCATTTTCTGTCCTTAATGTAAGGAAAACCATAAAAACATCTGCAGTTGAAGATTCAGAAAATTTTCACAGAGAACATTGGGTTTTTATAAACAACAAAAAGAGTCACATCAAAATTTCCTTCCTTGAAACATTTATGTAACAGGAATTAGGAATAGGAATCAAAATGGTTTTGTTGTGAATAGTTAAGGCAGAGAGTATCTGCATTTTGTATTACTGAGAAGATCCTGTAGAGAGTATATCCCTTTTGTCACAAAGGAGAGATTGGTTCATCATGTGCCATCATGGGTTCCAGGACTAGGACATTTAAATAAAGGCACATGCAGAACAAGGTTAGTGAATGAAGAGGACAAGAGCAGACATCCAGTCAGTTACCACGATGATAGAGGATGGTGATTGCCACCAAAAGTCATAACGAATGTTTTGCATGTCACTTATAATTTCATATATATGTGTGGTATTCCCCAGCCAATATTCAGCTTATCTTGGTTAATCTCTTTTTGTGTCTTTTTTAAAGCTCCTAATTGAAAATGTTTTTGTCAAGATTTGTTAAAGAAAAAAGTATTCTATGAAACATTATGTTTATTAAAGAAAAATACATCCAGCCAACATTGTTATTTTCATCCTAGCCTGAGTGAAAAATCACATAAGCATATCACTTAGAGGATGATTTTTAAACAGAGTCTATTATTATTTGAATGACTTCACTCCAATCCAAAGCACACTGGGAACTGTAAAATGTTACAGACGCTATTTCATCATAAAGGCAGTGTGTTATGGGGGAAATCATTCTTAGCTGTATGGGAGAAGACATGACTCCCGACCCAGCCACTCATTGACCAACTATGTCGCAATGGGAAAATCACTTATAATCTGATACTTTTCTTATCTGTAAAAAAAGAGAAGAGAATTATTCTATATGCTGGGACTAAAGAGAATAATGAGTGAAATAAGGCATATGACTATTATTATTTTTGTTATTATCAGCATAAATAAAACTCATAGCACTTTGTAGTCTACAAGTTACTTTCAATTGCTTTATTCTATTTAATTCTCACAGCAACTCTCTGAAACAGGTTTTATGGTCTCCATTTTTCAGATGAGGAAATGGAGTCAAAGAGGTCAGCACCTGTGTGATATGATCAGGAAAATAAAGTGCCAGGACTAAAATTCTGATTTTCAGATGCCCTACATCATGACCCACTACCCCAAATCATTTCATTATAAATATTCTAGTTTCATACTACCTTACAGAGTCAACAAGGGATGTTAGGCATTCCACATCTACCTGAATAATTCCAGCAATTGGGGTACCCTTTCCTCCTGAGGAAACCCATCTGTATGTCACTATTCTCATTTTTTAAAAGTTCTCCTTTCTCTTGATCCAAAATCCAACTCTTTGTAACTTCTGCTTATATTTTTCTATTTCTGTCTTCTAAGAATGTACAAAATAAATGAAATTCCTTTTCAACTGAATGACTTTTGAGTTACTCCAAACTTTTATCTCTCTTCTGGAAACTAATCCTTTCTAAAATACTTAGAGGATACACTTGCTAGTCTCCTCATCACAATGATTTTTTTTTTAACTCTGGAAATATATTAGTTGTCAAAGGCATCTTTTTGTTGTGTCCAATATAGCGCTTATAATATTGTGTTTGATTTTATGTTAATTTATCTATCTCTCCTATTAAATTATGTGCTTCTTCAAGGTGGAGAGGGGATCATAATATTTATTTTTTATTTGTTTCCCTGAGACCTAATATAAACCTTGGAACATAAAAAACCTTTAATATTGCATGTTAAATTAGTACACTAAAATATTAATTGAATTTAACCCTAAGCAGCATCCCCAAAATTGATACTTAATTATAGAAATTCAATTTATAGAGTGAAACAGGCCACAGTTCAACTTGATCATTTCTTTAGTCAAGGCTATGATGTAATAACGGGCTCTTAATTTGCAGAAAGGAGGTAGACACTGTCCTCCAAAGCTAATGGTAGAATCTAAAAAGACTTCACAAGAGAAGTGACAGGCCATTTTATCTGGAATTGGAAGAAAAATTATGCTTTTATGTAAAGCAAAAGCAGTAAGAGTTTAATTCTACAAAATACATTGGGACTATATTATGTAAAGTTTTGGAAATTGGAAAAAAATGGCTAGGACTTTACCTGCTAGACAATAGTGACAAGCAAAAATTGCTAAGCAGACAAGTTATGTGATATTAATGATTTCAAATATGTCCCTGAAGCTGACAAACCCATTCTAAATGTTTTTCAGCTTTCCCAAATCGAGATGACGAGCACCTGAATAAGATTATTGACACTCTGAAAGGGGAGCAGAGGTGAAAGTCATGGACATGACAAAGAGGGAGGGGAAGTGGTGCTTTTGGGGTGCTACATGAAGGTTAAGGACATGCACCAAATAATGGAAGGACTTTACTCCGTTAATTTATTCATTTAACAAATATTTATTAAATCTTTACTACAGATATGGTTCCTGTTCTTATGCAGCTTACAGTGTAGTGCAGGAAAGGGCACGATTTAAAAGGAATAAAAGTAAGGTGGGATCAGTTGTAAATTGGGCCAGCTTCACAGGCACTCGGCCAGTACAGTCACACAAGGCCGTATGCTCAGAAGAGCCAAGCTCTTGGAGTTTAATGTTCTGCAGTCATTGTCTTGAAATGTTTAATACTTTTATCTTTAAATCTGTGTTTTATAATTACCATCCAATGAGACAATGGAGCTTGTGTTGGAGGTTTGAAGCTTCAGCTTTCATGCAGTTCTGGCTTTCCCTTCCTCTCCCACCTCTCCAGGAAGGTTCTTAGCTGCCTGCTCTCTGCATCCTGGTGTCCCAGGCCCTGTCTGGCCTTCCCCTTCCTGCCCCAACCACTGCCACCCTCCAAGTAAGTGGCAATAGGTCTCAGTAGCAGAAGGAGTCCTGTCCTCTGCCATTGCCTCCAGAGGGTGCCTGGGCATGAGCACAAGGACAGTTGAGTGGATGCACACCTAATGGCATCTTGAAGGCATGGGGGTGCTGGTGGGAGCAGCGGGAATCCGTGCCTCAGAGGGCAGTGCCCTGGCAAATTCGGTAGGTGACTTGGTGGGTGCCTCACATCTACCCTCTAGCAAGCATGTCCCAGAAGGGGGATTGTAATTTCCTGGGGGTTTCTTATCCACTGTGTATGGAGACGGTGGCCCATGGAAGGGAAGATTGATTTCCCCTGTGACAGTCAGGGCTTGAATTCTTGTTTTGCACAAGGATCTGCAGACAATATAGCAGGCCCTGATTATAAAACAGCTGAAGTTAGGGACAGTCTATAAGTACCTAACCCGGTAGGGAGTGTGGAGGCCTCATAGTTTCCCCAGACATTTAATCTGAGACTATATCTAAGAACTGGTAAGAGTTATCCAGGCAGAAAGGAGGATGAAGAAAGTTCCAGAAAGAAATAACATATGAAGGCCCAGGGTTGAATCGGAGCCCAGAAAGTGTTCCAGGAACTAAGAGAAGTTGAGTGTGATGGGAATGGAAATGGTGAGCAACATGGAGGCAAATGGCAAGTCACGGTTAGAGCGGAGGTCAGCAGCTCTGCCATACAACAAAAGGGCTTGGGAAGATAGCTGGAGGAGTAGCAAAATTAAAGAGTGTTGTCTCCCAGTGTTTGCTGTGTTTAGGATCCATCTTACCTACCCTGTGCCTGTAGAGTCCATTTTTGACATTTAAATAATGGTTGTTACAGTATTTTCTGTAATATGTCATGTGGCTGGAATGAGCCCATCATCCTCCCATTGTCGAACTTAGATCCTGGATCCTTGTCACCTATGAATGTGATGAAAAGTGCCCTTTTTCCTCAGATTTCTGCAAGCTGCATATTTTGAAGAAAAGTGCTCATCATGAAATCAAACAATCACAAGTTTATCTTGTGCTTCATCGCCAGCCTCTACTGAGAGAAATACTGTAGTTATTTCACCCAAACTCTCCCTGGGAGATTGTGTTATGCAAAAGCTAAGTGAATGGACCTCAAGAGTGTACCAAAAAAATGTCTCCAAGTTGCAACAAAGCATATTTTTCAGAACTGACATAAAGTCGATTTTTTTCCTTAGTAAGGATTGTTTTTATCACATTGACATTTAGTTTATTAGAGCTAACTTTATAAGACCAGTTCCTAAAGAGCTTTTTACCTAAATCTGTTGCCATTTTCTATAGATAAGATGAGAAAATGCTGAAAAAGTATGGTTTTTCCCTCAAAGATTATTCAAAATAAAATCACATCATCAGTTCTTTACCACCAGGAAGCGGCATAATTACCTCAGACTTTCAAGGAAACAGGTATGCCCAGCAATTGGTTTAATTTAGGCTTAGAATTGTTTTCTTCATCCAAATTGCTAGTTCATCTTCTCTATCCTTGATATACTTTTTAATGGAAAAGAATCTATTTCTATTATTGACTTGTAAGAGTATAATTGAAAAATAATTAGCAAGGCTTTTACAAATGAATGCAGGAAAGAGAAAAGATATATATATATATATATATATATATATATATATATATATATATATATATATATATGTATGTATGTATATACTTCAAAAGTAGTTTCCAATAAATGCCACTAGTCTGGTATCCAATAAATGCCACAAAAAATTAGAAAAGAGAACTAACTTTTGTGGCACTTTTAACATGCACCAGACAAGTTAGATATGATTATTCCAACTTAATATTCACAGCATCCCAATGTTACCCAAAAGAAAATGAGACAGAAAGGGTTCAATAAACTTGCCCCATCTCACATGAGATTTACTGATAGAGCCAAGCCTTAAATTCAAGTGTATCTTATCGTAAATTCCTTGTCTCTTCTGTCTCATGTTAAAACATTGAAAACTAAACTGGAGTAGAATTCTGTGATTGAAGTATAATTTGCAATAAGAAAGTCATGTTATTTATTTAGTCAATAAGAAAGACTTTAAATCAATGTATTTTTGCCTTAGTGTAATAATTATTGGATGCATAGTGCTTAACTAGCTTTATCAGTATCTATAATATGATTTGTTTAAATCATGTCTTTAACTTTTGTTTTAAGTTCAGGGCTACACGTGCAGGTTTGTTACATAGGTAAATTGCATGTCATGGGAGTTTGGTGTACAGATTATTTTGTCACCCAGGTAATAAGCATAGTGTCTGATAGGTAGTTTTTGTTGTTGTTGTTGTTTTGTTTTGTTTTATTTTGTTATTGAGATGGAATCTCACTTTGTTGCCAGGCTGGAATGTAGTGGTGCGATCTCGGCTCACTGCAACCTCCGCCTCCCGGGTTCAAGCGATTCTCCTGCCTCAGCCTCCCGAGCAGCTGGTAGTACAGGTGTGTGCTACCATGACCAGCTAATTTTTGTATTTTTAGTAGAGATGGGGTTTCACCATGTTGGCAAGGATGATCTCGATCTCTTGACCTCGTGATCTGCCTGCCTTGGCCTCCCAAAGTGCTGGGATTACAGGCGTGAGCCACCGCGCCCAGATGATACGTAGTTTTTTTTATCTTTAATTTTCTCCCACCTTCCACCCTCAGTAGGCCCCAGTAGCTGTTGTTCCCTCCTTTGGGTTCACATGTACTCGTGTTTAGCTCCCACTTATAAGTGAAAACATGTAGTATTTGGTTTTCTGCTCCTGTGTTACTTTGCTTAGGATAATGACCTCCAGCTCCATGCATGTTGCTGCAAATGACATGATCTCATTTTTTATGGCTACATAGCATTCTATAGTGGATATGTACCACATTTTCTTTATCAAGTCTACCACCGATGGTCAATTAGGTAGATTTTATGTCATTGCTATTTGAATAGTGCTGCAATGAACATATGCATGCATGTGTCTTTAGGGTAGAAAGATTTATATTCTTTTGTGTATATATCCAATAATGGCATGCTGGGTCAAATGGTAATTCTGTTTTGAATTCCTTAAGAAATCACCAACTGTTTTCCACAATGGCTGAACTAATTTACATTCTCATCAGTAGTGCATAAACATTCCCTTTTCTTCACTACCTCACCAGCATCTGTTATTTGTTAACTTTTTAATAATAGCCATTCTGACTGGTGTGAGATGGTATCTCATTGTGGCTTTGATTTGCATTTCTCTAATGATTATTGATGCTGAACATTTTTTCATATGCTTGTTGGCTGCAGATACGTCTTTTAAAAAGAGGCTGTTCGTGTCCTTAGCCAACTTTTTCATGGGGTTATTTATTGCTTGTTAATTTGTTTAAGTTCCTTATAGATTCTGGATATTAGATCTTTGTCAGATGCACAGTTTGCAAAATATCTTCTTCTGTTCTGTAGGTTATCTGTTTACTCTCTTGATAGTTTCTTTTGCTGTGCAGAAACTGGTTAGTTAAATTAGGTCCTATGTGTCAACTTTTGTTTTTGTTACCATTGCTTTTGGTGTCTTCATCATGAAGTCTTTGTCAGGGCCTATGTCCAGAATGGCACTTCCTAGGTTATCTTCCAGAGTTTTTATAGTTTTAAGTTTTACATTTAAGTCTTTAATCTATGATGAGTTGACTTTTGTATATGGTATAAGGAAGGGATTCCGTTTTAATCTCCTGCATATTGCTAGCCAGTTATGACAGCGCCATTTATTAACGAGAAAGTCCTTTGCCCATTGCTTGCTTTTGTCACCTTTGAGGAAAATCAGATGGTTGTAGGTGTGTGGCATTATTTCTGGGTACTCTATTCTGTTCTATTAGTCTATATGCCTGTCGTTGTACCAGTACCATGTGGTTTTGGTTACTGTAGCTGTGTAGTATGATTTGAAGATGGGTAACTTGATGCCTCCAGCTTTGTTCTTTTTGCTTAGGATTACCTTGGCTACTTGGGCTCTTTTTTGCTTCCAAGTGAATTTTAAAATAGTTCTTTTCTAATTCTGTGAAGAATGTCATTGGTATTTTGATAAAGAATAGCATTGAATCTGTAATTTGCTTTGGGCAGTATGGCCATTTTAACCATATTAATTCTTCCTAGCCACGAGCATGGAAAGTTTTTCCATTTGTTGTGGCATCTCTGATTTCTTTGAGCAGTGTTTTGTAATTCTCATTGTAGAACTCTTTCACCTTCCTGGTTAGCTGTATTTTTAGATATTTTATTCTTTTGGTGGCTATTGTGAATAAGATTGCATTCTTGATTTGGTTGTCAGCTTGGATGTTGTTGGTGTATAGGAATGCTGGCAATTGTTGTACATTGATTTGTATCCTGAAACTTTGCTGAAGTTGTTTATCAGATCACGGAACTTTTGGGCAGAGACTATGGGGTTTTCTAGGTATAGAATCATATAACCTGCAAACAGAGATAGTTTGACTTCCTCTCTTCCTATTTAAATGACTTTTATCTCTTCCTCTTACCTGGTTTCTCTGCCTAGGACTTCCAATTCTATGTTGGATAGGAGTGGTGTGAGTTTTGTCTTGTGCTAGTTTTCAAGGGGAAAGCTTCCAGCCTTTTCCATTCAGTATGATGTTGGCCACTGGTTTATCATAGATGACACTTACTGTTTTGAGGTATATTCCTTCAATGCCTAGTTTGTTGAGGGTTTTTTACGTAAAGGGATGTTGGATTTTATTGAAAGCCTTTTCTGCATCTATGGAGATGATCATGTGGTTTTTGCTTTTTGTTCTCTTTATGTGATGAATCACATCTATTGTTTTGTGTATGATGAACCAACCTTGCATCCCAGTATAAAGCCTACTTTATTGTGATGGATTAGCTTTTTGATGTGTTGCTGGATTTGGTTTGCTAGTTTTTGTTGAGGATTTTTGCGTCTATGTTCATCAAAGATACTGGCCTGAAGCTTTCTTTTTTTATTGTGTCTGTGCCAGGTTTTGGAAACAGGATGATGCTGGCCTCATAGAATGAGTTAGGAAGGAGTGCCTCCTCCTGAATTTTTGGAATAGTTTCAGTAAGAATGATACCACCTCTTCTTTATACATTGGGAGAATTCAGCTGTGAATTTGTCTGGTTCTGGACTTTTTCTAGTTGGTATGCTTTTTATTACTGATTCAATTTCAGAACTGATTATTGATCTCTTTAGGGATTCAATTTCTTCCTGGTTCAATGGAGGTCATATATTTCCAAGAATTTAATCATTTGTTCTAGATTTTCTAGCTTGTGTGCATAGAGGTGTCCATAGTAGCCTCTGACTTTTTTTTGTAACTCTGTGGGGTTGGTTACAATATCTCTTTTATCATTTTTGATTGTGTTTATTTGGATCTTTTCTTATTTTTTTCATATCAGTTTAACTAATGATCTATCAGTCTTATTTATTCCATGCAACAACCAACTCCTGAATTCATTGATCTTTTGTATGTTTTTTCACATCTTGTTTTTTGAGCTTTTTGTTTTGTTTTGTTTTGTTTTTAGTTGTCCTTTGATTTTGGTTATATCTTATCTTCTACTCGCTTTGGGGTTGGTTTGCTCTTCTTTCTCTAGTTCCACTAGGTATGATGTTAGGTTGTAGATTTGAGATTTTTCTAACTTTTAATGTGGGCAGTTAGCACTATAAACTTCTGTCTTAACACTTTCTTAACTGTGTCCTAGAGATTTTGTTATGTTGTATCTTTGTTCTCGTTAGTTTCAAAGAATTTCTTCATTTCTGCCTTAATTTCATTGCTAACCCAAAAGTCATTCAAGAGCAAGTTGTTTAATTCGCATGTGATTTCATAGTTTTGAGCAATTTTCTTACTGTTGATTTCTATTTTTATTGTGTTGTGATCTGAGAGTGTGGTGAGTATAATTTTTTTTGAATTTGCTAAGGATTGTTTTATGGCCAATTGTGGGGTCAATTTTAGAGTATGTGGCCTGTGCAGATGAAAAGAATGTATATTCTGTGGTTTTAGGTGGAGAGTTTTGTAGATGTTTTTAAGTCCATTTGGTCAAGTGTTGTGTTCAGGTCATAAATATCCTTGTAAGTTTTCTGTCTTGATAATATGTCTAATACTGTAAGTAGAGTGTTTAAGTCTTCTACTATATTATATGGTTATCTAAGTCTCTTTGTAGGTCTCTAAGAACTTTCTTTAGGAATCTGGGTGCTCCTATACTGGATGCATATATATTTAGGATAGTTAGGTCTTCTTGCAAATCGAACCCTTTACCATTATGTAATACCCTTTAATTTTTAAAATATCTTTGTTGGCTTAAAGTCTGTTTGGCTTAAAATCTATTTTGTCTGAAATTAGTATACTAATCCTTGCTTTCTTCTGTTTTCCATTTGCCTGGTAGATTTTTCTTCATCCCTTTACTTTGAGCCTATGGGTGTCATTGCATGTGAGATGGGGTCTCTTGAAGGTAGCATACCATTGGGTCTTGCTTCTTTATCTAACTCACCACTCTGCCTTTTGATTGGAGCATTTAGCCCATTTATATTCAAGGTTAATATTGATATGTGTAAATTTCATTCCTTCATCATGTTGTTAGTTGGTTACTATGCAGACTTAATTGCATGGTTGCTTTACAGTGTTAATAGTCTATGTACTTAAGTGTGTTTTCAAAGTGGCTGGTAATGGTCTTTCCTTTCCATATTTAGCACTCTGTTCAGGACCTCTCATAAGGCAGTTCTGGTGGTAATGAATTCCCTTAGCATTTGCTTGTCTGAAAAGGACCTTATTTCTCCTTTGTTTATGAAGCTTAGTTTAGCTGGATATGAAATTCTGGGTAGGAGTTTCTCTTCTTTAGGAATGCTGAATCAAGGCCCTCAGTGTCTTCTGGTTTGTAGGGCTTTTGCTGAAAGGTCCGTGGTTAGACTGATGGGGTTCCCTTGGAAGGTGTCCTTCCCCTTCTCCCTAGCTGACTTTGGGAATCTGTTTACTATGTGTCTTGGAGATGGTCATCTTCTGTAGTACCTTGAAGGGGTTCTTTGCATTTCCTGAATTTGAATGTTGCCCTCTCTAGTGAGGTTGGGGAAATTCTCATGGACCATATCCTGAAATATGCTTCCAAGTTACTTGCTTTCTCTCCTTCTCTTTCATAAGTGCCAATAAGTCATAGATTTGGCCACTTTACATAATCCCGTATTGCTTAGAAATATTGCTTATTCTTTAATCTTCTTACTTTATTTTTGTCCAGCTACGTTATTTTGGAAAACTGGTCTTCAAGCTCTGACATTCTTTCCCCACCTTGGTCAACCATATCCATGCAGAACTATGGTAAAGATTACATACCAAAAATCAGAACAATTTCCATTTACCGAATGCTGACCATCATATTATGCTCGACATTCATGAATATCCTCTGTTGTGGAAAGCAATAGTGCAGTTTGAAAAAAAAAATCAATGCTGCTACCTGAGGGAAAGGCAAGTGAGATGGACTTTGAAAGGGAAAAGAGAAAGTGAACCCAAAGGTCCAAGGTCAAGTATACCCTCCAACAGATCAGAGAAAAGATGAAAATACAGAATGAGTAAGGTTGTGTGAAATTTAATGAAGAAAGAAAGCAAAATTGCAGTAGCAATAGTATCACAAGAATAACCCATAAGTGTGAGTGTACCTGCATTCACCCTGAGATGCACACCAAACCCAAACTTCCCTTCTCCCAACTAAATAATCACAAGTTCTTTATCTGCCTCCAATTAGATGCTGAAGGATAGAGAAAAAAGCAAAGAAAAGTCTAAAGTTCAAAACATAATGCACAAAACATTTTATGACTGCTTACTACTTGCTGTATCCTGGTGATAAAGAGAAGCAGTAGAAAGAAAATCACACTAGGAAAAGAGATCTGAGAGTTGAAAGGCAGCTTCCCAGAATCAAGCCAAGTATATGTTTTCATGTTATTTGTGTTGCATGCTTCCACTTTAAGTCATAGGTACTTGCATGTCAAAGGTACTCTGTAAGCACTAAGTGAATCAAACAGAATGAAAGGGGAGAGGGAAGATGAGATTCATTTAGAAGAAGAAATAAGAAGGCAATTTACTTTTGCATAGGTGGGAACATAGTTCAGGGCTCTTTACACTGGCTAAAAAGGAAGAAAAATAATAAAGAGAGAAGGGTTGCCAATCACACAAATGTAAATGTTCAAAGATATATGAGATTTGAGGTGGAAGATGTATGATCGTATGTGTGATTTCCTCAGTGACAGGAAATATCAGATTTATGAATATACTATGCTCCATTTTCATCTGTAAGAGGAATTTGAAAAGGAAATATTATTTTGGGTCATGACTTGTCTTCTGCATATAATAAAAATAGTTTGAAGACTTTAACTACATAACTAAAAAAAGTATAAAGGAATTTGATGTGTGCTGGGCAGAAGGTGGGGGGCACAAAAAGTAATATGTGGACACATTTAGTCACAAACAAATCCAAAATATAGGCATGAAAACTGTTTATTAATTCCTCGCTGCATGACAGAAGTGGCTTAATATACTCTTTCCAGACCAAAGCATCTTTATCTGCAAAATGAGAGGATTAAATTAGGTTATCTCTAAGTTCATTTAAAATTGTTTTAAAACAATCTATGTAGATAAACAGAGTAGCAGTCTGCAATGTATTTAAAAGGAAATGGACTAGTCAAGTTGGCAAGATCTATGTGAAAGAATTATTGTTGTGCTATATAAAAAAAGATTCTGCCTTTTTAAATAAGACGAGTAATGACAAATTAATTTTCATGCAGGTTGAAAATGTGGCAGATGTGTATGGAGAATGAGAAAATTCCTGTTATAATAGAGATGACTTAAATTATGAGGATGGTAAAGAAGAGGGAATGTTTTCTGTCCTTTCAAGATGTCAAAGCTTAATTGAACATGTTTTTAAAAATGAAAATAAAAATCTCAGTGCAAAGAATACATTTACTTCTCTAGTAGACTATTAATTGCAGAATCGCAATACATATGATCTCCTTCTTCTTTGTTAACCAAGTCTCAATCACATTTGGTTAACAAATAAAATACTACACTCCCCGTCATCCCTTGTAGCGAAATGAGCTTATAAGTCTAAGTCCTGCCCAGTGAGATGTAAGCTTACTATTTTGTGACAGTCTTTCTGGGAAGGCTGCTTAAAGGGAGCCAATAAGTCAAGGAGAAAGGATAATCGTTTATCCTTCCCCACCTCTTCCTGCTACAACAGAAGGGATGGCTGGAGCTATAGCAGCCAATTTAGACTATAGATAAACTCAAAGAAGGAAGCTCCATGCTAAAAATGGAATATAGGAAGAAATAGACTGTATCACCGATAACGTCCTCGTGCCACCAGAATGATTTATCTTCAAACTTCTCTTTTAACTGAAAAAAAAAGTAAACTTCTGTTTTGATTAAGCCACTCTCATTTTCATTATTATTTCCTTCCCTGGTTATACACATTTAAAGCTTATTCCAACTGATTTAGTACTTGGAAGTAAGTTTCTTCAAGTATCAGAAACTAAAATGTGGCACTAAATGTGTAATGGAAGCAGAGCTGCATAGGTGCATAGCAATGACTCAGATAATGAAAGCCAAAAATCTCATGATCTTTATAATAAATCTACAAAATATTTAGTCAAGTCATCACCTGCTACACATTGGAAGCCAACCACATGCTGCCAAAGGCTACATATAGTATTAGGAGAAATGGTAAAATATTGGTATGGGTTGTCAGAAAAATCCTAGCATGACAAATTCGAGGTGGAACTAACTACCTGGCCAGTCTCAGAGTTGAAACGGAAAGACATGCACCTTTGCTAAGGAAGGTACTCTTTGCCTGTAACCCACAATCTCAGTTGACTGAGAGTCTGGTAATTTGAAAACTTTCATGGTTGAAAAAGCCAACTGCCTATACCCCAAATTGAAACAGTTAAAAGAAGCGTCTGAAAATTCTAGGCTTAGCGATAAATATGACTTTTGCCACACCATACAAAAGTTGTGAGCCTGCTGGCAAAGATAATGCATTACTTCATATGTTCTCAATGCAGCAGACAGCAAGCTGAAAATTATTTAGATGCACAGAGCACAGAGGTCTGTAAATAAAAGACCAGGGTCTTCAAGCTTAATAATTCCATTTACCCAAGGTCATTGACTGTTTATTCACACTTGGAGATGACCAAAAAACAACTACGCTGAAAGTCTGTCATACTTTTTAGGGTATCTTATTGTCCAAAACTAATCCAGTGGGTCATGAACCCGTACTAAAAGGAAGTGGCTTGCTACATATGTGCAGTCCTTAGTGAAGATATTCTCCTGAATGTCCATTTCAGATGTGGCCACAGAGGACAACAGAAAAGGAAGACCCTCCTGAAGAGCAAATCCAGGGGCCACGAAAGAAAATGAACAAGAGAATTTTTATTGAAGAGCAGAACCTGGGACTGCCAGATGGACCAACTAAAGAACTCACTTCACAACTAGGGCAGTGAGTCCTCACCATTTCTTCTCAGCAAGAGTTGGCTGCTGTAAAATCAGAGAGATTATTCATGCCTTATGGTTAATAAAAGTATCTATAGGTAACTGAACCTTGAGGAGCCAAATTGAGGCCTGATGAAGGAGACTGTACATCATCCAGAGAGAATGAACTTGGAGCAGGATGCAAAGACTGCAGGGGAGAAATCAGGGTTTTTCTGCTGGAGGAAGAAGCAGAGGGTACATAGACATAAGGTATCCAAAGAAGCCCACTATAGAAGCTGGGACAGATTGCATACTTATTCTCAATTCTTCACTCCTCCCTATGCAGTAGAGCAGAGAAAATCGAGTATACCTGTGACTTGCTTTGACCAGTGGAAAGTTAGAGGGGACAAGAGCACAGGCTTTAAACATGCCCATATGGGACTTCTGTGCCTACCATGAGAACATGCCCCATAATTGTTAATGCAGGGAGAATGAGGAGATGTGGTGCAGACTCTTAGCCAATCCCAAGAGCTGGGTTCAAGGGTAGCCAACACTCATCCTAGAGAAGTGTCCCCTCTGACCTGCAGACACATGGCCAAGAAAAATCAATGCATGTTGTTGTAAACCATTGCATTTCAAGGCTGTTTGTGATGCAGCATCCTGGCTAATAAACCAGCCAGGTCTATTCTAACAATTGTAGCTCAGAGTAAAGAATGTGGGCATCTCATCAGCAGACATGATCACTAAAAAGACAGAGAAAAGATACAATGAGAAAACTATAAGCAAACTCTTGGAAATCCAACGAACAAAATAGAAGAAAGAAGAAAGATTAAGAAATTTCTAGAAACATCCTACAGTGGTCGGGAAGACTGAGATATTAAGCCTAGGAGATAAAAATGGACAGGCAGATTCATATCATGCTTAAAAAGAAACTGCAAATGATTGAGAAGTTTTTTTTAAAGTGGAACTATTTCAAAAGTAAGAAATTAGTAAAGGGACAAAGTTGTTAATGCACCATAAACAAGTGATCAAAAGCAGAAAAAAAAATGAACTGCTGTGGAAATGGACACAGTGTGATCCTATTTTTAGTGGACTACTTGAGTTTTTTAAAAAATTAGGAGGAAGGTAAAAGGTTCAGAAAATAGAAACAGAAGTGTAAATAATACTATGAAATGGGCCTAGCTGAAACAGCTCACTTTTCAAAAGAATACATTAAATGAAGAATACAGAATGAGATCCTTAAAAAAAGAAGTCAGGAAAGTATTACATAGAGTAACTGCAAAGGCCTTCTCTCCTTATAACACGGAAATTGATGTATTTGAGAATAAGGGTATTAAAAAAGATCTTTAAGAGTCTACAGGAAATAGAAGAGCTAGGACAAAGCATGGATGTCATGTAGAATATTTTATGATAAACTGCTGACCTGAGCCAATAATTCTTGGGCTGGGGAAAAAAACTGTTTCTCTATAGATAGGTGGGTGGGGGTGAGGGTGGGGAGGGAAAATTGTAATGCTTACTTTCTAAATAGATTTCAAAGGAATGCGGGAGAACACAAAGAGAACTAGCTTGCATTGTTTTTTTTAATATTAGCATTTTGTTGATAAAACAGAAAGCAGGAAGAAAAATAATGAATCATGCATATAGTAATAAAAAAGTGTGGTAGGTGATTAACGTGTTAAGAGTCAAGGGAAGAACTCATCAGAAGAGTAAAAGAAGAGAACTGAAAAGCAAAGGGGGACAATCAACAAAATGTGAACATACAGTTTATACGAGGAATGCAATCATACAGGTACCAATAACTCAGTTGCAAGGAATAATTGAAATATGCACATATATAAAAAGTACACATACTTTGTATAACTTGAAAAACATTTGAGGATCAAATAAAATAATGTATTCGAAAATATTTATAAAAAGCATGAAGTTTTCTACAGACAAATTAGTGGGTGCAATACTGAGCGCTACTCCTTGAAGGTGAACAACATAGAAATATTGTTCAGTGCAACTCAACAAATGTTTATTTAACGACTGCAATGTACTGAGCAAATTTTAGGCTCTGGTAAGACACATCAGTAATGAAGACAAACATATGCATTAACTATATCAAGCAGGACAAAGGGCTCTAAAGAGAATGAATGCAGTTCTCCAAACAGAGATCTCTGCTGTCACTATTGAATATCTTGTAAACTCTCCAGAAACGTGTATGTGCAAGCATGTGTCTGTTTGTGCATATATATATATGTGTATATTTTAATGCTACACATTTGAAGATACCTTATTACACTATTCATGACTTTGTGATTTTCTCTTAACACAGCAATTTGGAGATTACCCCCTTTCAGAACATAGAGAGAGCTACTTCATTTCTCCCAATAGCATATTTTATTGCATGGTTGTGCCATAATTTATTGAATTACTGGCCTTTAATGAACAATTATGCCATTTCCAGTCCTTTCTTATTCATGTAATGCTTATTCATACTGTGCTTTACATATGGGCTAATATACCTGTTAACACAAATCTTGAGAAGTGAAATTTCTGTCACCCGGCAAGTGAATTTTTAATTTTGATACATAGTGCCAAATAGCCTTCAAAGTGAAACATTCACTTATATTCCCACCAACAGTGCACAAAATTGCTTTTGTCCTCAAACTTCCTGCCAATGCCATTTATTATCAAACCATTTGATCCTTGCAAGTACAGTAACTAAGAAGCTATCTCATTGCTGTTTGAATTACAAACTACAAATCTCATTGTAGTTTAAAATACAAACCATAATGGTCTTATTATGAGCAAATATGAGTAGGTTTTTACATATTTAAAACTCTTTTGAGTTTCTCTTACTGTGAATTATCTGTCTATAATCTTGGCCTATTTTTAAAAATTAATAAGTTAGAAGAAATGAGCCAATTTTCATATATCTTGGCAGGTTTTTCCAGTTTCTTATTTTCCATTCAAATTTATTTATGGTTGTTTTAAACCATTTTGACATTTTGATCTTTTTTTAATTTTGAGATTATTGTAGATTTATTTGCAGTTTTAAGAAATAATACAGAGAGAATTCCATATACCTTTCACCATTTTCCCTCACTGGTAACGTTTTGCATAACTACAGGACAATGTCACAAGTAGGAAGTTGACACTGACACAATGCATCTACCTTATTCAGATGTCAGATTTACATTCACTTGTGTGTGTGTGTTAGTTCTACACAATGTTGTCACAGTGCAATTTCCTGTGTGCACTACTGTGGTCGAGATACAGACTTGTGTTTCATCGCAAGGATTCCCTTGCTACCCTTTTCTATTCACAGTCCCTCCTTAAGCCCTGACAAGCACACATCTGTTCTCCATCTCTATAACTTGGTCACTTCAAAAATGAATGGAATCATGGAGTCTGAATGGAATCATGGAGTATGCAATATTCTGAGATTGGCTTTTTCCACTCAGTGTAATTGTCCTGCATTTGTAAAAAAATTGGCATTTCGAATTTTGGTACTATGCTATTTAGCTTAAGGTTCATACCAAACTTTAATTGTAGATTTAAACTTTTTCATTGTCTTTCGTTTGGTAGTTTCATGCAGTTTTCCCTAAAGTGGACCTTGTATAATTTTAATAAAATTACTCTTGCTTGCTTTTAGTTTTAATTTGTTTACCTATATTTTGCTTCCTGCCTTTATTGATTTTAGATGAATATCATAATAGCACCTGTGTCATTTTGTGGTCCAAATTGGTGGTCTTTTAATGAGCAATTTTATCTCATTGATATTTACTGATATGGCAATTAGCTGTGGCATTTTATTTCAAGTTCTACTTTCTGTATTTAATGCCATTTATTTTTGCTATATTGTCTATATTTCTTGTATTTGCATGTTTTACTTTTATAATTTGGAAAGCATATTCTCTTCTTCAGATTTTCTGGTAGTAACATAATATACACATAATATACACATATAAATATATATGTATACATTTAAAGAAAGGACATGAGAAATGCACATACAATTCTGCAAAAGAACAAATAGAAAAAAGGTAAGAACACATCAAAATATTTAGTCGTAAAAGACATGAAAATTATAAGAAAACCCTTCTCTGAGAATTCAAAGAAATTTTTTAAAAAGTCTTCTGATACATATATATGTATATATGTATGTGTATATATGTACACATATGTGTATATATGTGTATACATACATGCATATATGTATGTGTATATACATGTGTGAGTATATATACATGTATGTAGTATATATACATGCATATATATGTATGTGTATATATACACATATCTATGTATATATGTATATGTATATGCATGTATATATGTACATATATATACACATATATATGTATCAGAAGACTTTAAAAAATTTTCTTTGAATTCTCAGAGAAGGGTTTTCTTATTTTCATGTCTTTTATGACTAAATATTTTTGATGCGTTCTTACCTTTTTTCTATTTGTTCTTTTGCAGAATTGTATCTGCATTTCTCATGTGCTTTCTTTCTGTTTGTCTTTGTTATTTTTGTTGTTTTTCCCCAGGCCAACTATGCATTAGAGGATAATGTTAGAAAGCACATCAGTGGAGTGAGTTAGATATTCAGGTAGCTTGCATTCAAATTTGTGTCTTGAAATGTTTCCCAACAAAAGACTGTCCTAGAATTTGATTTTTCTCTGGGATAAACTTTCCATATTATGCAATCATGTTTGCCACCAGATTTTATGCAGTAACTTGGAGTTTATTTTACTTTTGTATATCAAATAATCAACTGAAAGATTGCTTGCTAACATTTTCCCTCCCACTCAGCTAGAAGGATTGATGTATTGTTTTGTTTTGTTTTCTGCTTTTTCTGTTTGTTTGTTTGTTTGTTTGTTTTGCAAAGAGAGGTGTGTAGGCACTTTACTAGCTCCACCTTCTCTGACATTCTTTTCTGCCCAGCAAGGTTAGTGATGCCCCAGACTCTGACACAGCAGCTAAGCGCTTGCTGTTCCAAAGTGGCCCTGATGACATTTCAGAAAGTGTAACTTACCTTTGGATAATTCTGCGTGCTTTCTGTGAACATGGAGGCACACACCTCCTGCTGCTTTCCTCATTTTAACTAGATTTAAATTTCATAACACTTTTACAGCCCTCCAGGTTTTCATTTCTGCTTCTTTGTTCTCTGTTTTGGTTTTAAGTTGGTTTCAAAGAACGGGGCAGAAATGTCTTTACTCTGCCATCTTTAATTGGTTCCTGTACTCTTTAATACATTTTAAAATTAAAGCCAGAGAAAGAATAATTAAACTTCCATGCTGCAACCCATAGAAGTTCCAATTTCTTGTGTATACAGACTCTCTCTCTCTGCATTTTTAAGAAGTTCCATACACTTTTAGGAAGACTTACTGTCTTCTCCACCAACCTGAGACACGTACCCCTACAAGGGTACATGAAATTCCACTCAACATTCTGTGAGTTCACACCAAAGATTCATAAGGCTACACATTGTTCCTTCTATCATTTTCTAAAAGGATTTTCTTCTCATATTTTCTTGTATGGTTATAAATAACATGTTCCTGTTCACAGTTTGTATTTAGAACATTTGCTAGGCATTTTGTTTTCAATCATAATCCTTAGAGCCTTGAAACAAACAAATCACATATACTGTATAGAATGATATCTGCTTGGTATTTCTGCCTTAGGAAATAATGTTCATTTTTGAGGCTTCATTTTAATGTACAGCAGAATTTAGTGATATCACAATCCCCTACACAGTTCTAGTAAAACTAAATGAAACAGTGTGAAGCTCCTAGCTTTATCTGAACTCCCATGTCTGAAATCTGTCATTTGTTGGTGTTTAGTTTGCCTGGAATGTTTGTTTACCTACTGCCTGTTGACTAGCTTCCAAATCCTCTTGATGAGTTGATTTCATAACAGCTGAAAATAACATTGCATTCCTCACCTGTAACAGGTGGTCCCCAAGTGGCTGTCCATCTTCCCTTGTGTTCTCTGCTGTGAACTGTAAATCATGTCAAGAAACGACAACCCATTAGATGACATGATCTACCATCACTGCGAGGAGCCACCCGTCACAACATGCACACACTTTATCCATCCTATGCGCAAATAATAAATTTGGTCAAAAGATTGCCATTTCATGTTCTGGAAAACATGAACTTATGTGAGCTTATACATAAAATATTTTAATCTATAATCTCATGTATATGTCATTATGTCATATTTCCCAGAATTCAGCTGCCAAAAATAACATTAAAGAAGTAGTTCATGTCAGGTAAGATGAGAATGCCCCATAAATACTGATTCTGAACCTCTAGCAGCCATACATATGTTAATTCATTATTCCACAAATATTTTGTGCACATATTCTGTGCCAAACACTGTGCTAGGTCCGAAGAATACCAAAATTAATCATTACAAACTCAGAGTCCAAAGAAAAAGGCAGACTCACAAATAAACAGCTGTAAAAATGTGTGTTGCTCTATTTGGAGGTATTACGTAGACATTAGGGAGAGAGCATCTGTATTAGTCCATTTTCACACTGCTGATAAAGACATATCCGAGACTGGGCAATTTACAAAAGAAAGAGGTTTATTGGACTCACAGTGCCACGTGGCTGAGGAGGCCTCACCATCATGGCAGAAGGTAAAAGGCAAGGAGAAGCAAGTCACATCTTAACATGAATAGCGGCAGGCAAAAGAGCTTGTGCGGGGAACCTCCACCTTATAAAGCCATCAGATCTTGGGAGACTTATTCACTATCACGATAATAGCACAGGAAAGTCCTGCCCCCATGATTCAATTACCTACCACCAGGTCCCTCCCACAACTTGTGGGAATTCAAGATAAGATTTGGGTGGGGACACAGCCAAACCACATCATTCTGCCCCAGCCCCTCCCAAATCTTATGTCCTCACATTTAAAAACCAGTCATGCCTTCCCAATGGTCCCCCTAAGTCTTAACTCATTTCAGCATTAACTCAAAAGTCCACAGTCCAAAGTCTCGTTCGAGACAAGGCAAGTTCCTTCCACCTATGAGCCTGTGAAATCAAAAGCAGGTTAGTTACTTCCTAGATACAGCAGTGGTACAAGCATTGGGTAAATACAGCCATTCCAATAGGGAGAAATTGGCCAAAACAAAAGGGCTACGGACCCCATGCAAATCTGAAACCCAGCAGGACAGTCAAATCTTAAAGCTCCAAAATGATCTCCTTTGATCCCATGTCTTGCATCCAGGTCAGGCTGATGCAAGATGTGGGTTCCCATGGTCTTGGGCAGCTCTGCCCCTGAGGCTGTGCAGGATGCAGCCTCCCCTCCCTGCTGGCTGCTTTCATGGGCTGCCATTGAGTGTTTGTGGCTTTTCCTGGTCCACAGTGCAAGCTGTCAGTGGATCTCCCACTCTGGGGTCTGGAGGATGGTGGCCCTCTTCTCATAGCTCCACGAGGTGGTGCCCCAGTAGGGACTCTGTGTGGGGGCTCCAACCCCACATTTACTTTCTGCATTGCCCTAGTAGAGGTTTTCCATGAGAGGCCTGCCCCTGCAGCAAACTTTTGCCTGGACATCCAGGCATTTCCATATAGCCTCTGAAATCTAGGCAGAGGTTCCCAAACCCCAATTCTTAACGTCTGTGCACCACCAGGCTCAACATCAGGTAAAAGCTGCCAAGGCTTGAGGCTTGCACCCTCTGCAGCCATGGCCTGAGCTCTACATTGACACCTTTCAGCCATGGCTGGAGCAGCTGGGATGCAAGACACCAAGTCCCTAGGCTGCACACAGCATGGAGACCCCAGATTCGACCCACTAAACCATTTTTCCTTCTAGACCTCCTGGCCTGTGATGGGAGGGGCTGCTGTGAAGACCTCTGACATGCCCTGGAGACAGTTTCCCCATTGTCTTAGAGATTAACATTTGGCTACTTGTTACACAAATTTCTGCAGCTGGCTTGGATTTCTCCTCAGAAAATGGGATTTTCTTTTCTATCACATTGTCAGGCTGCAAATTTTCCAAACTTTTATTCTCTACTTCCCTTATAAAACTGAATGCCTTTAACAACACCCAAGTCACCTCTTGAATGCTTTGCTGCTTAAAAATTTTTTCTACCAGATATCCTAAATCATCTCTAGCAAGTTCAAAGTTCCACAAATCTCTAGGGCAGCAACAAAATGCTGCCAGTCTCTTTGCTAAAACATAACAAGAATCACCTTTGCTCCAGTTCCCAACAAGTTCATTTCCATCTGAGACCAACTCAGCCTGGACTTTATTGTCCATATCATTATCAGCATTTTGGTCAAAGCCATTCAAGAAGTCTCTAGGAAGTTTCAAACTTTCCCACATTTTCCTGTCTTCTGAGTCCTCCAAACGGTTCCATCCAATCTCTTCCTGTTACCCAGTTCCAAAGTCACTTCCACATTTTTGGGTATCTTTTCAGCAGTGCCACACTTCCCATACCAATTCACTGTATTAGCCCATTTTCACACTGCTGATAAAGACACACCTGAGACTCAGCAATTTGCAAAAGAAAGAGGTATTGGACTTACAGTTGAACATGGCTGGGGAGGCCTCATAATCATGGCAGAAGGTGAAAGGCAAGAAGGAGCAAGTCACAATCTTACATGGAGGGGGTCAGGCAAAAAAAGCTTGTGCAGGGAAACTCCACCTTATAAAGCCATCAGATCTTGTGAGACTTATTCACTATCCTAAAAACAGCATGAGAAAGCCCTGCCCCCATGATTCAGTTACCTACCACCAGGTCACTCCCACAACATCTGGGAATTCAAGATGAGATTTGTGTGAGAACACAGCCAAACCCTATCAGCTTCATTCTGGGGTCAGGTGGTAGGGACAACACAAACACCAAGATAAGTTCCTTTGGAGATATGGCATGAGCTGAGGCTTATAGGATGAATAAGAAGTATGCTTGGTAAAAGAGTTCAGGCAGGAAGGCATTGGGGAGTGGCATTTCTTGGTAAAGGAGTTCAGGCAGGAACACATTGGGGAGTGGCATTTATTGTATAGGGGAAGGAGCAAAGGTATAGAGTTGAGAAGGAGGTTAGAACACGCAAGGAACTACGAGCAATACTACAGGAGTTTACTTAGTGATGCTGGGGCCAGTGAGATATGTGGAGCAGTAAGCAAAAGGCAAGGTTGAGGAGCACTCCAGGAACAGTACGTAGGAAGCCAGGCTGGATCCTGTGGTCAGGAGCTTCTGAAGAGCTTGCTGTTGTGGATATTTGCTTGCACTTAAATAACTTTTGTATTAGTCTGTTTTCACACTACTGATAAAGACACACCCAACACTGGGTAATTTATAAAGAAAAAGAGGTTGAATGGACTCACAGGTCCACATGGCTGTGGGGGGCCTCACAATCATGGTGGAAGGTGAAAGCCATGTCTTACATGGTGGCAGGCAAGAGAGGATGAGCGCCAAGCAAAAGGAGAAACCCCCTATAAAACCATCAGATTTCATGAGACTTTTTCACTACCATATGAACAGTATGGGGGACACCGCCCCCATGATTCAATTATCTCCCACCAGGTCCCTCCCACAATACATGGGAATTATGGGAGCTAAAATTCAAGATGATATTTGGGTGGGGACACAGACAAATTATATAAGCTTTATTGAGGTTTAATTTACATCTTAAGATTCACTTAGGTGAACAATTCAATGATTACTATTAAATTGACAGAGTTGTACAATCCTTAACACAATACAGGTTTTAGAATATTTCCATCATTCCAGAATATCCCTCATAGCCATTTATAGTCACTACTGACTCCTACCTCCAAGAACCAGGCAAATGCTCATCTGCTTTCTATGTCTATAGATTTGTCATTTCTGGACATTTCACATAAATGGAATCATAGAATATGTAGTCATTTGCATCTGGTTTGTTTCATCAGGCATCAGGTTTTTTTAGATTTACCCACGCTGCAGTATGTATCCATAGCATATTTGTTTGTATTGTAAAATAGTATTCCATGGTATGGATATAACATCATTGGCTTATCTTTTCACCAATTGATGGGCGTTCAGATTGTTTCTATTTTTTGGTTAATATGACTAATGCTGCCACAAGCATTCACATGCAAGTCTTTACACAGACATGTTTTCATTTCTCTTGGGTAGATATTTAGGGATAGAATTCTTGGGTCATATGGTAAATTTATGCTTATCTGCTTAAGAAATTGTCAAGCTATTGTGAAAAGCAGCTGCATGATTTTACAATCCCATCAACAATGTCTAGGGTTCTAGTTTCTCCTAAGGAGTTTTAACGAGACGGATAATATGGCTAGATTTGTGCTTTAGGTAAATCAATCTGATAGCTACTAAAAATGAGACTGAAAATAATGAGCCTGTTTAGGAAGATGTTACAATAATCTAGGTGAGATCTCTACTACGATTCCCAACTAGACCATTGGAGGAGAAGATTATCTCAGAAGAAGAACAATGCTGCTGAATAAGAACAGGTGATTTGCTTCCATCAGTTGCTCAGCCTTGGGAACGTGACTTACCGTGGTGTGAGGACAAAGCAGGTACCTGCCCGCCAGCCAGATTAGCTGAGGAAAATACACTTCAGGTATGTAAGCTTATGCCTTCACATCTGAAATGTCCTGTACTAACATATACACCCTCAAACTTTCCAACACTTATACTATCACTGTGTCATTTTTTCCTGGTTCACCAACTGCATACTGGACACAGTGCTGCACATGCTATTGGGTATTTTTCCTACTTTAGAGATTATGTTCATTTGGTTCTAAGGATAATTGCAAGAATATTGTTGTGCTATAAGTAAATAAATGCTATGTATTTATAAATTATGTGTTAAAATTATACTATTTCTATTGTTAGCACACACAGTATTAAGTCATGTGGCCCAAATCTCATATTTCATAGCATATTATGGTTTTATTAGGATACAGTAAATTAATATTTCAGTGAGAAAGTATTTGGAAGTACCCATAAGCCTTATCAACAGCTCATCCCAATGTTTCCCTTCAAACAGCCACGTGGAATTTGTGTAAATGAGTCTAAATGAATGATAAGGACAATATGATGTTTGAGTTAAAATATCTTTTGAAACTGAAAATGAGCAGCTAGCCAAAAAAAATCTGTCACTTTAAAAAGATCAGGAAAAAGTCTTAATTCTGCCATTGTGCAATGTATAGCATGTAACTAAGAACAATATCTAAGGACAACAAATATAAATATTGAAGGAAGTTGAGTAATATTTAATTAGATTATACTATATTTGGTCTAGGAATAATAAACCTGTAAAATTATCTACACTATGAAACTAAGCTCTGTATTATAACATATAAATGAGTTCTCTGATCTTTTAAAATATGTATTTCTAACAACCTTGTAAATGATTAATATTTCAAAATACTGCTACTACTGCTGCTACTACTAGTAATAACAACAATTTTGAATAGCCTTGAATGTCTTAAAAGTTGTAAAATATAATTTTATTCATGATGATTAAGTTCCATGTGAATAAGAGAAATAAAATGACTACAAATATTTAACCAAAAATAAAAGAACAGAGGGTTTGTCAAAAGAGACCAATTTACTTATTAAATAGAATGACCATACATTACAGTTTCCTGGAATGAAACACTTTTATAACTATTGTCCTGATGGCCAATCCAGTTTAGCATTTTGTCCTTGATTGCTTTACCTTTCAACAAAGTATTATTATCAATGTTATGATTATTGTTATCATTAATGAAAATAAGCCAGATGGACTTTTACAACCTCTACTTCATACTCCCAATCTTTGTTATAATCATGTCTAAGTAGCACGAGACAAATTCAGGGAATGCAGTTCTCACCTTAAATGGGAGTTAATCTTAAAGAAGACCAGCAGTAATAACCTATCTCTTCCCATTTCAGACTCAACGTAACCAATACCTGCCTTTCAAGGAAAACTCATATGGGGCTCACTGACGAAACAAAGCGAGTTTGCAAAAAAAGATTTGACATAGTCAATTCTTTGTACTCTTCAGTGATGGCAGCTGCCTTAGTGGAAAATGTGGGAAATTACAGATTGGGGTAGGTGAATTGAAGATAAAATTATTTATTTTTGTTGTTATAAATACAAATTTTGATATAATATAGCATCATGTGTAAAACAATTTTCCTAACTTAAGAAATATGTGGAACAGAAATATTTGAAATGTGGTGGTGTACAAGGAAGTGAGCTTGAAGAAAAGAGGGTCCCAAAAATTCACGTTTTACACCAAGAGAAATAAAACCGTAGTAGTCACAATTTATGAATATTTTTACACTTGTATATATATACTTGTGTATTTGTGTGTATACGTATTTGCAACTGAATTATAAACTTTAATGATTAAGCTGATTTGAAATAATTTTAGGAAATACTTTAGTATGGCAATACATACTTGGTCTTTTTGTTGCCCATAATCAATTAGATTTGAGAAATAATTAACCTTTGAATAACCTCTTTGCAAATTTACTTAGTTATCCTAGCAAAGTATTAAATATTTTGTAAATGAGTCCTGACATTTCTGATTGTATGTTTTTCAAAATTGTTGGAAATCTTTAAACAAAATCCTGGAGCATCCAAATTTCAACTACTAAAGATTATAATTTTTTGAGCACCCATATTTCAAATATGAAAGCTTTTGGCAAATTGCATTTATTGAAAATAAAGCTTTCATACAGGAAGATATTGATAGCTCTTAAAAAGCAAGGGATACATTGAATTGATTAGATGATAAGTGGGCAAATGGTATGGAGGATGTAATTTTAAAATTCTCTAAGAGCATATTGAAATGTATTAACTTTTAGGAAGAATTTTGATGAGCCCCTATTTTTCAGTAAATTTCTTTTTAAACTTGTATTACATTTTATTTTGTCTCTATTTTTTGTTATTATTATTATACTTTAAAGTTCTGGGGTACATGTGCAGAATGTTCAGGTTTGTTACATAGGTATACATGTGCCATAGTGGTTTGCTGCACCCATCAACCCATCATTTACATTAGGTATTTCTCCTAATGCTATCCCTCCCCTAGCCTCCCACCCACCAACAGGCCCAGGTGTGTGATATTTCCCTCCCTGTGTCCATGTGTTCTCATTGCTCAACTCCCACTTATGAGTGAGAACATGCGGTGTTTGGTTTTCTGTTCTTGTGATAATTTGCTGAGAATGACAGTGTCCAGCGTCATCCATGTTCCTGCAAAATACATGAACTCATCCTTTTCTATGGCTGCATAGTATTCCATGGTGTATATTGCCACATTTTCTTTATCCAGTCTATCATTGATGGGCATTTGGGTTACCTCCAAGTCTTTGCTATTGTGAACAGTGCTGCAATAAACATACATGTGCATGTGTCTTTATAGCAGCATGATTTATAATCCTTTGGGTAAATACCCAGTAATGGGATTGCTGGGTCAAATGGTATTTCCAGTTCTAGATCCTTGAGGAATCACCACACTGTTTTCCACAATGGTTGAACTAATTTATATTATGTACCATTATAGAATGAAAATGAAGTCAATGATTTGATGGTAAAGAGCTGCATATAATATGACTAATACTAAAATAATAAATAATTTTATAAGAACTGAGGTATAGGCCCACCAGCATAATCAATCTAATTATAACTATTTCAAAAATTCTATTATTCTAATTATTCAACTATCTGCATTTACTATCAAAAATGCTTCAGCTTGAGAATAAATGATATGATCATCCCAGTTTTGATCAAGTAACTATTGGTGGACACTTTTGTGCAACTAGATCCTAAAATAATAAAAGCCTCTTTTCTTCATCATGATAGAAATAAAAATTCCTCTTTCCAAGTGTCTCTTTATGCTCATCCTACAGGAAATTCAATTAAAGATATTATACAATACTGGATGTTAAGGCTCTCAATCAAATGTTGCCATTTATTTCATTAAATTGTCTTCGTAACAGGCTAATTAAATTATTGCCCAGTTTAGAATGTAATTTCTATAGCTTATACAACCAAACTTAATATCCTTAATAATTCAAAAACAGCTATATTTTTATACTTGAAAATTGTTTCTGCATGTTGAAGATTACAGATTTGCAAATGTTCTGGCAAGTGTGAGCCTCTTTGAAAGTAGATCATATCCTTAAATGAATAGCAAATAAATCACAGCCACAAAATTGCGTATATTGCATTTTGCAACTGATAGCCTCTTAGCTGCTCAGACTGTTATTTAAATAAAATGAATAATTAGAGCAGAAAACTGAAGAGAAGGTGTTATTTTTATCTCTGTACTCAATAGAATGTTTTCAAGACAAAAATTAGTAAGGAGCATGCTTGCTCAATTTCTTTAACTTTAAATCAATGTTTACTCTCTGAACACTTATATTGTAAATGTTAAGTAGAGGCTTAGAAACTGATAATACTAATAATAAAAAATGAAAAATTGAGTAGGCTATCCAGTTATTTGCCAATGTTTAAAAGCTATTTGGCATATTATTGGCACAATTTAGCTGACATAACTCAGGTGCTTAATTTCATTAATTTCAAGATAGTCAAAACATTTGGCATGAAGATTAAAGGAAACTCAAAATATAAACAGAATTAAAATAACATCATAAAAATAGTAGTTGCCGAAATAATGAAAAAAGTGTTAATAGCAATAAATTAAGGCACACATCAATCAATATGAAAACATACTATAAATGATGTGAACAAAAGATACAAGTTAAAGAGGCAAACAGTCAATAAATATGCGAAAAATTAAACTCACAAATAAATAAATGCAAATTAAAGTATAAGCATAATGAAATTTTTGCTCTCCAAATTAACAAATAATTTATTATCTCATTTCTCTCTGTGGACAAGAATATGAAAAAGATATTCTGATAACCTCCTGGTGAGGCAGCAATTTAGTATAATTTTTTGAAAAGTAATTTAAGGCCAGGCGCAGTGGCTCATGCCTGTAATCCCAGCACTTTGGGAGGCCGAGGTGGGTGGATCATGAGGTCAGGAGATCGAGACCATCCTGGCTAACATGGTGAAACCCCGTCTTTACTAAAAATTAAAAAAAAAATGAGCCGTGCGTGGTGGCAGGTGCCTGTAGTCCCAGCTACTTGGGAGGCTGAGGCAGGAGAATGGCATGAACCTGGGAGGCGGAGCTTGCAGTGAGCCGAGATCGCACTACTGCACCCCAGCCTGGGTGACAGTGCAACCCTCCATCTCAAAAAAAAAAAAAAAAAAGAAAGAAAAGTAATTTTAAAATACATATTAATAAAGATATTATACAGTATCTTTGTATGTCTTTGACCATATGTCTATTTATTTTAAAAATCCATCCCTAATTATCAGAAATGTGAACAAAGATTTATGCATAGTGATTTTACCGCTTTTTAGTTATAAAAATAAATCCTGAGTATGACCTAAATGTACAGCAATAGAGTAATAGTTTAATTAAGATGTATTCATAGAATGTAAAAAGTATTCAATGATATGAAACTTCTTTATTTTTAAGTGAAAAATGATGGCAAAAATATATACCTCCAATGTATCTATGTCTGTGTCTATCTAAATATGTTCATCTATCAATGTATCTGTAACCCTTTATGTTTACAAAATTAAAACTTAGAAGACTATATCTCAAAATGTCATTTCTTATTTGCATCACTGTTTTGACAATGAAAATGTATATTTCCTTTACAATTTGAGAGACATTTTACAAAAAAATTAGTCCAAATTTTGTTTAAAATGTTAAGAGCAGCATAAGTTTTGTAGGACTTTAAAGTAAGAAAGTAAATTAAGGTTTTTCATAAGATAGCAATTAACTGGTCATTTTAATCTAACCAGTAAATTTGAATTAATTTGCTGCTAATGGGTTTGCTTTAGTTTAAAAGTATATGGAGTGCCTTAGACTCTTCAGGCTACTATAATAATATACCATAAACTGGGTAGTTTATACACAACAGAAATTTATTTCTCACAGGTCTGGAGGCTGAAAAATCCAAAAACAAGGCTCTGGAAGATTCTGTGTCTGATAAGGGCCCACTTTCTCATTCATAGATGGAGCCTTCTCACTGTGTCTTCACATGGTGAAAGGGATGAAGGTGCTCTCTTAGGCCGCATTTATAAGGACACTACTCTCATGACCTAATCCCATTTATGAGGGCTCTATCATCATGACCTAATTCGCTCCCAAAGATACCACCTCCTGATTCGATTATCTTCATGGTTAAGATTTCAACACATGAACTTGGAGGAACACAAACATTCAGATCATAGCATGGACTATTTGTTATTAGTATTATTATTATTTCTTAATTACAAGTTTAATTAAAGGAACCAATAGCTAGGGAATACAGCCAAGTTTGTTTACAAGTATGAAGAACCACCAGTGCTACAATCACAAAAAATAATCTATGAAACCACTGTTGAAAATATTTTTATGTTATATTGCAAAAATCACTGAATTTATACCAGTGTTTATGGCAATATTTGCCCAATTTACAATCGGAATTATGTTGGTACTTTTTTATATGTCAAAGAGAATACAAAAGTCGCTTTGTCCTTATAAAATATAATCGGTAGATTAAATTTTAAGCTCACTGAAGTACAAATAAGCTATCTAGATAGTATAAAAACTAGTTAGAAAAAAATTTCAAACAAACTGTTGGTTTGAGTTTTTTTCTTCACAGTATATAAACATTTAAATAAAAAACTTTAAAATAAACTTCACACCCAGTTTTCTCATGTTTAAGAAAGTCAGTACAAAGTAGTAGTTAATAAAGCTGGATAAGAAGCAGATTACCTGGAACTAAGTTCTGCTCTGGCACTTATAAATTGTATTATTTAGGGCAAGTTATTTAACTTCTCTGTTCTTCAGTATCCTCATCACCAAACTGGGAATAATAATTGTATCTACATTAAGGGATTATTTTAAAGATACAAAGAGCTAATAAAATGTAAAGCACATAAAAGAGTACCCAGGACACAGTAAGAGCTTAATCAATACTAACCTTAATTATTGTGCCCTCAGTCTACACTCATACTTTTCACAGCAAATCTTGAGTGAATAGTATTTACTTTTTTTCATTCATTTCAGAAGCATTTGTTGAGTACCTAACAATATTTGTAATTTTGAAGGCAAATGTTGGATAAGCCCTGGTGGGGAAAAAAGACAAATGTAACCTATTCTGACCTCAAATAATGCATGGCTTCATGATAGAGAGAAGGATCCTATAAAAAAAAACAAACAAACCAAAAAAGTTTTGGAAGTACAGAAATGTACTGGCTGCAGAGGAGCAGGCAAGACATAGAATCTAGGCAGGGGGTTGGGATTAGGAAGGGCTAGTCTCTGGGAAAATCATTCATGCTCTGGGGTTCAAACAATGCATTGAATTGTCTTGAAAAATAAAGTGAAATAGATATACGGGGGAAAAATAATCCACACAGGCACAGATGCAAAAGAGATTGTGATGCATTTGAGGAAATGGAAGAAAACTGATTTGGCTAAGTTCAGGATACAGGTGGGAAAGAGAATTGTGAAAATTGTGGCTGTATAACTAAGGAGAGGTCAGATTATGAAGAGCCTTCAAGTAGAGTAAACGTATAATTTATTGTTGTACCAAACTATCTTTGCAAGTGAGGGGGAGAATACTAATTATTTTACCCAGAACACAAGCATAAAACAAAAATCTCCATAGTGACTTGGAATGTATAGTACTTCTAGGCCATGATTACTTTCATCTATGCATCTATGTTCTCTCCATCTTTTTTTTTTTCTTTTTTTGAGACAGAATCTTACTCTGTTGCCGAGGCTGGAGTGCAGTGGTAAGATCACAGCTGACTGCAACCTTGACCTTCTGGACTCAAGCAATTCTCCCACCTCAGCCTTGCAAGTAGCTGGGACTACAGGCACATGCTGCGACACCTAGATATGCATTTAATTTTTTGTAGATATGGGGACTCACCATATTGCACAGGTTGTTCTTGAACCCCTGTGCTCAAGTGATCCTCCTGTCTCAGCCTCCCAAAGTGGTGGTGTTACAGGCATGAGCTACAGTGCCCATTGGCATCATTTTACCTTTACCTTGGGTACATGTATGTGTTGCATAAGGGAGCAGGGAGCACAGGGAGAGGAGAATCTCACAGGCAAGGGGGTTCTGGTACCAGATAAAGGAGATAGATACAAAGATAAGCCAAACCACAAATGCTTATTCAGCATTCTTCCTGAACTATCTTTCCTCCCCTGAAACTCCTTTTTCTTTGTTTTCTTCTTGTGTCTTTGATTACTTTTTTCAATTTCCTCCATGGGGTTCTCTTTTTTAATACGAATTTTTTTCTTTGCTTATTTTCTTTTCTCTAACTGTATGTAGAGAGATATGAAGGCAAACATAACCCTCCCTACAGTGTCAATTTCAATCTTATTTTAATGGTTCCTGAATGTTTCTCTTGGTACTGAAACCAGCCCAACTTCCTCACAGAACTGATGTTTATAGTTTTTAGATAAACATAAAAATTGACTCAACCAATCTTAAAATGTAAAACTTAAATTTGCCTTATCTGAGTTCCTTTCTCAGGAAACCCACTCTCAGGACTCCCAAATAATCCATAAGTATCTCTGAGTGACTTTTAGGTGCCCAGTAACTATAGCCTTTTTCACAAATCAGGGTCTCATATCTAATGCTGGGTCCAGTAAGAGACTTTAAACTTCATCTTAGGCCCTCCAATATGACTATAATATTTGCATGTCACTAAAATATTGTGGTGTTAGGAAGGAAGAAGGACAAGAGAAAAATTCAAAGAAGGAACTTGAAAACATTTTTAAAGTTCTATGTAAGGAATTCCACAAAAACACCTTTTATATTTTTTTCCTGCAAGAATAAGAAAATCCAACGCAAAATTGCTTAAGCAATAAGCAAAATGTATTATTTCACATATTAGGAAGTCTAAAGTTTGAAAGGTTTGACAGTTAGATAATTCAGTGGCATATTGACATCATCAGTGACCTAAGTGTTTTCTATCTTTATGACCTGTCATCCTCAGTGAATTGCTTTGCCTTTTATGGACCCAAGATGACTGTAAAATGTAGAGAGGCATAAATGCAGTCTTTCCTTCTATGGGTCTCCTTAATGGACTTTATCCAGATGGTTCCCAGCAGATGTCTCTTTTCAGCCTATTTACCAGAACTGTGTGACAAGACCAAGCCAACACTATCAAGGAGAATGTTCTTGATCTGATTCTTTTAACCCATCTTTATTTACTTCTTGGAGCTAAAAATAATCCAGAGTGCAGGGACACGAGATACCTGAACAAACCTGAGCTTCTATTAATAAAGAAGGTGGAAAATAGTGGTTTACAGGAAAACAGCAGTATCTGCTACATTCTACATTCATTCTAGGTTATAAAACAGTTCCTCACGACAGAGCTAGACAGGTGTAGAACCATACACGATCAAGATGCAGCAAATCAAAGAGCTGTGTGTCTAAGCATCTGAAATCCATCTTTGACAATGACTATATACATGATATGAAAAAAATTTTAAAAGGTTAAGTGATAGACTGATTTGAGTTGAATCTAAGCCGCTCTTCATATTAGTTGTTCTATTCCTTCTTATGCTCCTCACTAAACCTCAGTTTCTTAATCAATAGTCGGATAAAAATAGAAAAATAATGAGAGGAAAGTTCTCTGTGGTAACACTTATATGATTCTGTAGTAGTCTGACTGTTTGTGCCTTTACCTTATGACACTATAAACTTAATAGACTTCCAACTCCCAGTCCCACATATAAGGAGCTTAGAAGCCACCACTCCATCGTAACAATAGGTAAAAAGCTGAACAAACTGAAAAGTCAACAATTCTTTTTAGATCCATAAAAGAGGTGAAGATCCAGGCAAACTAGTGGCTCCAAGATTAGAGAGACACACAGACAAATACAGAAAGGGGAGTCATGGCTTATCTAAACAGAGACTTACAAGTGGAAACCACTGCAGGAACTAGTGCCAGGGTAGAAAAACCTAAACTGTAATTGATGAATTGCTGGAGAATCAGCGTGGACAAGTCAGAGTTTACAGCTCCAGAAGGACCTAAGCATAAGGGAGACTCCATACTTTTGTGTCTTTTATCTCTAAGAACTTGACCCAGTAAATATTGGATAAAAATTTCTTTGTGCTTTCAGCAAAGTGAGGGGAAAATGAATCATTTTGAAGCATGCTAGAATACTCTCTTCTTAAAAAGGCCTCCCTGAAGAAAAACTAATTAACTAGACCCTAATTTCATAGGAGTATTATCATAGTCTAACTAACCTGGAGGAAAGGAGATACCCGACTTCAGCCAGGTCTATTATTCCACAAGGCAGAAGGAAAATACCAATGTCCAGCCCACTGTAGCCATCTTGTCCCACCTAAAAGCAAAGAAAAAGCTGAGATATACTTATGAAGTACAGTCTAGAGGCATAGGATCCCTGAAAGACTTGGAACTAATCATGAGACTATGAACATTTCTCCTCCCACACCTTACCACCACATTATAAATACTTATTTACAAAAAGCTAGTTCCTTGAAAAGATCAGTAAAATTGATAAGCCTCTAACCAGGCTAAGAAAAAAAGAGAGAGGACACAAGTTACTAAGTAAAAGAAATAAAAAAGGATATATCACTATAGATCCCATGGACATTAAGAAGAGAACGAAAGGGCGGGCGTGGCAGCTCACACCTGTAATCCCAGCACTTTAGGAGCCTGAAGTGGGGGGATCATGAGGTCAAAAGATCAAGACCATCCTGGCCAACGAGGTGAAACCCCATCTCTACTAAAAATACAAAAATTAGCTGGGCGTGGTGGCATGTGCCTGTAGTCCCAGCTACTTGGGAGGCTGAGGCAGGAGAATCGCTTGAACCCAGGAGGTGGAGGTTGCAGTGAGCTGAGATCACACCACTGCACTCCAGCCTGGTGACAGAGTGAGACTCCAACTCAAAAATTAAAAAAAAAGGGAGAGAATAAAATAATACTATGAACAGCTCTATGTCCACCAATTTGATAACCTAGAGGAACTAAACTAATTCCTTGAAAGACACAATCTGTGAAAACTCATGCAAGAAGAAGTAAATAATCTGGATAGGGCTATACTTTTTCAATAAATTGAATCAATAACACATAACCAGTCAAAACAGAAGGCATCAGGCCCAAATTTATTCACTGGCAAATTCTACCAAACATTTAAGGAACAAATTGTATTAATTCTCTATAATCTCTTTCAGAGGATAGCAGAGTAAATGCTTCCTAACCCATTCTATTAAGCCACTATTACCCTAAGACTAAAATCAAACAAAAACATTATAAGAAAAGAAAACCACAAATAAAGATCTCTCATGGACATAGATGTAAAAATCCTCAACAATATATTAGCAAATTTAATCCAACAATGTATGAGAAGAATTATACACCATTACCAAATGGAATTTATTCCAAGTGTACAAGGTTGGTTCAACACTTGAAAATCAATTAA
Source organism: Homo sapiens (assembly GCF_000001405.40). Classification (NCBI taxonomy): domain Eukaryota; kingdom Metazoa; phylum Chordata; class Mammalia; order Primates; family Hominidae; genus Homo; species Homo sapiens. The sequence continues at coordinate 76,841,839 of NC_000007.14, forward strand.
TATAATCCAACACATCAACAGGATATAAAAAAAAAGATCATATTAATAGATGCAGAAAAGTCATTTGACAAAATTCAACATACATTTGTAATAAAAAAAAACTCAGTAAACTAAGAAGGAAATGTTCTCAACTTGATAAAGAATAGCTACAAAAAATTTACAACTAATATCATACATAATGGTCAGCAACATTTCCAAAAAGATCAAAAAAACACAAAGATGTCTCCTTTCAGCACTCCTTTTCAGCATTATATTAGAAGTCCTATCTAATGTAATAAGACAAGAAAAATAAATATAAAATGTGTACAGATTGGGAAGAAATAAATAAAACTATCTTTCTTTGCAGATGACAGGAACATCTATGTAGGGTATCCAAAAGAATCAATTAAAAAAACTCCTGTAACTAATAAGGGATTAAAGCAAGTTTGCAGGATACATGGTTAATAGACAAAAGTCACTTGTCTTCCTGTATGCCAGCAGTGAACAAGTGGAATTTGAAATGTAAAACACAATACATCTACACTAGCACCCCCAAAATAAAGCTTGCAGGTATAAAGGTAACAAAATATGTACAAGATCTATCCAAATGTAGAGAAAATAAATCAAAGAACTAAATAAATGGAGAGAATTCCATGTTCATGGGTTGTACAACACAATGTTGTCAAGATGTCAGTTATCCCCAGCTTGATCCATAGATTCAATGCAATTCCATTAAAAATCCTAGCAAGTTATGTTGGGGATATCAAGAAATGAATTCTAAAGTTTATATGAAGAGGCAAAAGATCCAGATAGCCAATATAGTATTGAAGGAGAAGAACAAAGTTGGAGGACTAACACTACTTGACTTCAACATTTACTTTAAAGCTACAGTAATCAAAACAGTGTGATACTGGTAAAAGAATAGACAAATAGATAAATGAAACAAAATAGAAAGCTCAGGAATAAGCCCACAAAAATATTGTCAGCTGATCCTGAGAAAGGAGAAAAAGGCAATACAATACAGAAAGAGTCTTTTCAACAAAGAGTGCTGAAAAAACTGGACATCCACATGCAAAACCATGAATCTAGATAGAGATTTTGCATTCTTCATAAAAACTAGCTCAAAATGAATGACAGAACTGAATGTAAAATTCAAAACTACAAAACTCCTTGAAGATAACATAGGGTAAAAAATAGATGGCTGTGGGTTTGGCTATGATCTTTTAGATACAACACCAAAGCTATGGTCCATAAAAGAAATAATTGATAAGCTGGACTTCATTAAAATTAAAAGCCTCTGCTCTCTAAACAGAAAGTGTCAGGAGAATTTGAAGACAAGCCACAGAGGAAGAGAAAGTGTTTGTAGAACAAACATCTGACAAAGGATTTTATTCAAATTATTCAAAGAATTCTTAAATCACAATAAGGAAACAGCCTGATTTAAAAATTGGCAAAAGACCTTAACAGGTGCCTCACCAAAGAAAATATACAGATGGTAAGTAAGCCTACCAAAACAGGTTTCACATCATATGTCACAAGGAAAATGCAAATAAAACAATAATTAGATATTACTGTATACCTATTAAAATAGCCAAAATCCAGAACACTGACACCACAAAACGCTGGGAAGGATATGGAACAACAGGAACTTTTATCCATTGATGAAAGGAATGTAAAATGGCACAGCCACTTTGGAAGACATTTCAGCAGTTTCTTATAAAACTATACATACTCTTACCATGCAATCCAACAATCACTTTCTGTGGTATTTATCTAAAGGAGTTGAAAACTTATGTCCACACAAAAACCTGCACACAAGTGTTTGTAGCAGCTTTACTTGTAATTGCCAAAACTTGGAAGTAACCAAGATGCTTTTCAGTAGATGGATGGATTAATAATTCAGCCAATGGAATATTCAGTGCTAAAAAGAAATGAGCTGCCAAATCATGGAAAGACATGAAGAAAGCTTAAATGCATATTACTAAATGAGAGAAGCCAAACTGAAAAGGCTGCATATCCAATGATATGACATTCTGAAAAAGGCAAACCTATGGAGACAATAAAAAATAAAATCAGTGGTTGCCTGGGGAGGGGGGCAGGAATGGAGCATAGAAGATAGTTAAACTACTCCCTATAATTCTATAGTGGTGGATACATGTCATTATACATTTGTCCAAACCTATACACAAGGAGTGAACCCTAAATTAAACTATGGACTTTGGGTGATAATGATGTGTCAATGTACGTTTATCAATTGTCACAAATTTGATACTCTGGTGAGGGTTATTGATAATATGGGAGGCTATACATACACAGGGGCAGGGGAAATACAGGAAATCTCTGTACTTACCTCTCAATTTTGCTGTGAACCTAAACTACTCTAAAAAATACAAAAAAAAACCTCTTTCTAAAAAAAAACTCTTTAAGTTGAGGAATGTATCTTCTTCATTGTGTCCCCGGTAGCTAGTACAGTGGCAGAATTGATGGCTTTTAAGTATAGCTAATGACTGAAGGAGCATGTTATAAAATATTTATTAAAGCCTGTTCTATAATATTTGGCAGGTAATAGACATTTAATAATTATTAGATCATAGCTGATGATTTGACTCTTGACAGAACTAATTGCTACTTACATTTAAATAATGCTAATTAGAATGACAGGCTATTGGAAAGCATGCAGAAGAAACATATGGAAGTTAATAAACCTAGAGTCAAGGCCTGCCCTTCTCACAGTTATTCAACCCTAATAAATAGCTTTCTCTTGCTGACTCTCAGTTTCCTCACTTATAAAACGAGCACATTACCTACCTCATAACGCTGTTGTGATGTTGTGATGACTAAACATTTCTTACAGTTACTAAGTGGCTCTATGATCACTTCAATAAAACTATGTGCCAAGTTTCTATGTAATGATAGCCTGAGAATCCCCAAAAGTATTGGTTGCTTTCCGACCAGTCAATAATAGCTTACTAATTTATCTGGGATCTCATGTGACTTGCTTCGTCTGTTCCAATAAATTTAGCATAAATTCAATTTGTTCAAAACCCACTACTACTACTACTATCTAACATTTCTAGTATGGCTACTTTGTACTAGGTTCTTTTCTAAGTATTCCATGCATTCATTCATGGAAACACTTTTATTATTACATTTTGCAGTTGCTAAAACTGCATTTTACGTAAGACAAAATTATTTTCCTGTGTTTATACAGTTTGTGAGAAGCAAAAGCAAGTTGTATACCCAAGTTTGCCTGATTCCAGAGTCAGGTTAGTTATCCACCATATTATAACAACACTCAGGCAAAGTTTACATGTCTAGTTAATGTCAATAATGGTATAAACAGGAATTAGGTAATAGGCCATTTTTGGCTCTCTTAGTGAGATAGTAATTAAACATTTTAGCTGAAATTTCTCTTTACTATAACATACCACTTGATAAAGCATACATTAATTCTAGTCTGGTTTTGCTGTTGAGAAATTATCTACATTTACTACCTTATTATAACATATTATTCTTTTCATTTTAAAAATGGCCATTAGGTTTATCTTACTTATAATACAAAGTGTACTTTATTTATTTTTTAACTTTTATTTTAAATTTAGGGGTATATGTGCAGGATGTGCAGGTTTGTTACATAGGTAAACTTGTGTCATGGGTATTTGTTGTACAGATTATTTCATCACCCAGGTATTAAGACTTGTATTCATTAGTTATTTTTTCTGAGTGTATTTTAATAGAAAACTAAACACTAATGAAATCACTGAAGATATCATAGGAATATAAAACCCTCAAGAGATGATTTAGAGTTTTCCATTTTCAGTTCATGGAAGGCAAGGTTTCCACTCAACAGAGAAAGTACAAAATGGCAGTCATCAGGACTAAAACATTACAACTGTAGAAGTTACACAATGTAAAGCTTCTGATATTATAGGCACAAATTACATCATGAAACCATTTCACTAGAGCACATTAGTAAACTCAGTTTCCAACGGATTTCCCTTGGGGCCCTCGCCGTATTGAAACAATCACTATCTTAAGAAGAAAAATGTGTTCATTTGTTCCCATGAACCAGCACCTAGCATACCTGTCTTCCACATCATAGGTATCCAATAAATGTTTCCTGAATAAGCAAATGAAGAATGAATGAATGAATGAATGAGGAAATAGGGAATTCAAATTTCTTCCAGTCTTGAAAGGATTGATAGTCTATGTGGACAGAGCATAGATGTAAATAGATTTTTAAGAAAACAAGGTGCAGACATGAATATTTAAAGAACTTTCTAAGGACTACAACAATTGATAGAAACTATCTCAGAGATCTGTGGGGCAGGATGTAACTCCGAAGGCTTGCTATCCACTTATAACCTCTTCCACTGGCTAAGGGAGACAGTAGGGACACACTGCATAGAAACAGGAAGAAAGCAATAATTAATGTTTTTTAAAGAAAACCATTAATAGTTAATTAAGAATTAAGGGCCCATGGTCTCTGAGGTTGGAGTCATTTCAAAGTACTAGAAAAAATGAGCATAGGGAAGAAATCATATTCATAAGTACCTTGCTCTAATATTTCCAAATGTACATCAAGAGAAACTGTTGCAACTTGCTGACTTTAAAATTCTAGCCTTCTCTGGCTTCATGAAAAACTTGCTAGCCTCCTGCAAAGTTACAGTTCAATCTGCTTCACATTGGGTAAAACAATACCCAAGGTACAGAGGTGCTGAAAGGCTTAGTTATTGTTAGTTATGGGAGTTGACAATCTTGAATAAAAAGCACTCTTAGTGCAAAGTAGAATTGTAATCAGTGTCATTGTCATTTGAACCACATTGTTTGCAGTGTAACCAATTGTGAAACCAACATAAATTCAAAAACTAAATTAGAAAAACAGATGCTTCTTTTGTTTGGAGATTTTAGTCCCATCTAGCCATATTGTATATCATTTTCTTTGACTTACACCACATAGAAAGAAAAATCAGAGAGCATAATACAAAAATGCAGAAACATATTTAGCAAATTTGTGGATTTCATAAGTCATTTATAAACTTTGGATTTACAAACAATTTCAAAGGCTTTTGAAAATATTTTTTTTTTTTTTTTTTTTTTTTTTTTTTTTTTTTTGAGACGGAGTCTCGCTCTGTCGCCCAGGCTGGAGTGCAGTGGTGGGATCTCGGCTCACTGCAAGCTCCGCCTCCCGGGTTCACGCCATTCTCCTGCCTCAGCCTCCCAAGTAGCTGGGACTACAGGCGCCCGCCACTACGCCTGGCTAATTTTTTGTATTTTTAGTAGAGACGGGGTTTCACCGTTTTTTTAGCCGGGATGGTCTCGATCTCCTGACCTCGTGATCCGCCCGCCTCGGCCTCCCAAAGTGCTGGGATTACAGGCGTGAGCCACCGCGCCCGGCCTGAAAATATTTATACACACAAGAATCTCTATAATACTACATATAATTATACCATGGCTTTTCCAAAGCATATTCCAGAGATAGACTTTCGGCAGAATATCAAGTTTCCTATTTGGGGTTTGTCTTGGAGACAGTGAACAATTTATTTTTCAGTCTCTGTCTCCACTGATGCTTGTGATTAAGATAAATACATTGGTGCAATGAGAGAAAAGAGATTTATCTTGTACATAATTTCTAAATTGACTTGTGACATTAGGAAGTCGATCTACCCAGAGTGGAATTTGTTTCTTCAGTTCACTGAAGTTCAGTTCTTCAGTTCACTAAGTTCCAACTAATTTTTGTTTCTCCACAGTCTCAACTATTTTTTAAGGAAATTGCGAAGTTCACTTTTAATGTTTCTGAACTACCAGACTTCCTATGATTTAAAAAATAACAACTGTAAATTTGCATGAAATCTTTGGCATTATATACTCAAGTATAGCTTCAATTCTGGGCCAATATACAATGCTGATTTGTGTAGGACAAATATCTAGAAAAATAGGTATTTTTGAAAAGAAGATAAATACTCTACCAATGCAAGTTCAAGATGAAATAAGAGCTACATGCACACACACACACAAACACACACACACACACACACACACACATCCATCTGCATCACATATCTCATAAGCACTAAGGGAAAAAAAACACACTTTTGTGTTTATGATGTTAATTTTAAGCAATCAAAAGTATAAGCAATAACATATGTTTTGCCAAGTTTACAGTACACCATTGTGGTTATAAGCATAGGGATTTAAGCTTTGTTTTCAATAGTCTGAGGTGCTTGCATTTTGTTTATATCAACATTTTACTTCCAACAATTTTTTTAAAAGTCATCTTATTTGTAGTCTAAATAGTTCTTGGTAAAACACAAAATCTCTTAGTGAGTAGCAAATCGGGGCCACTAAAAATAAATTTCCTCTTTGTTGCAAATGAGACAAAAACTGTTGTATTTAGACTGTGGGGGCAGTTAACAAGGTCTAGGAAACCTCAACCTGCTACCCCAAACCTTTTGTCTGACTACGTGGATAAGAACAGATGACAGGAGAGTGGGTGGCTTCCTGGAGAGAACTTGGGCTTTAACTCTTATTAACTGTATTTCCTAGTAGAGTAGCATCTGTGCATACTAGATGTGTAAGCTTCAACAAATGATCTTGCCCTGAGTCTGTTTTATTGTCTGTAATATGGGTAAAATATTATATTTTTATGAGATTAATTTAAGGATTTGATGGCACAATGCATGCAGAATCATTAGCATAGAACATATACTTGATATTTCTCAATTCTTCTTGATTTCCCCTTCCTGTCTTTCTTTCCTCATTTTCAAACAAATCAAAATAAAACTGAAAAAGTATAAAGTATATCACGGGAAAATTTAGAATAAAATATATTTTATTTTTTTCTCAACATTAGAAAGTCAACTAAAAAATGAGCAGCTATCATACCAATACATCGTTTAGTATAGGGTAGTCAGTTGACCCACACAGTAATATTAAGTCAATTCAGCTGTCTTTGAATAAAAGGAAAGAGTAAGCAAGCAAAAGAAAGAGAGAAAGAACAATTTAATAATTACAGAGGATTCTTCCCACCATTCTAATAATGAATGGAGTATGAATCACCTAGCAAGCAAGAGATGGCAGACATGATTTGGCTTTCCATTCAATCATCACCCATCATTGAAAGATGCTTATTTTCATTACAATATGACACCTAAATTCATGCCAACTATTTCATCTGAAACTCAACCAAGAAAATGGCAATCTGTTCTAATGCTGAAGGAAAATACTGGTTTTCTAGTCTTCAACATGACCTTTCAGAGAGATTTTCAATGGACCTTTTAAATATACATATATATGATTTTCTTCACACTTCATAACTTTAGAGCTTAAATTCACATTTGTCACTCTACTGTACTAATATTTAAGTACACAACAGAATTTAACATTGTATTATCATTAAGGAGCATATTAGAAAGTTAAAATATTCTATAAAATATACTATATAAGCAATACATATGTTCAGATAATTTGTACTTTTGGTTATTAAAAAGAATTTTTAACAATAGGTCATCAAATTTTTGTAGTTGAAGAAATATTTTCAGATTTTGCGATTTAGAATTGAAATTTCAAAAGAACATAGACAGTAAAAGTAAATATTAGTGAAATATTGAACTAATTAGAGGGAAGCCAACTGAGATATTTCTAAAACAAACAAAAAAACTAAGTGTATTTACTACATTTGTAGGGTAATGGGGAAGCCAAATAATTTTCATGGGTTTCAGAATGAATGATCAAGGTGGAAAGCATAGAAAAATACTTGGGAACACCTGATAAGCAAAGAGTACCAGCCCCATACACACACTTACATGCACCATACACACCCACCTGTTACTCAAGTTTTCAGAAGTGAAGCCACCAAAAGATTAAAATAAATATTGGTGACAAAAGATAGGTGCTGCTGGAGTAGATCAAGGTTAATGGAGGTCCTTGAACTCTTTGGGATATCAAGACCAAAAATAAAAGCTTCCTTTGAAGTTTGTTATCTGGAGAATCAGACAGACTTCTTACTCTTCCCTGGTTCTAGGGACCATGTGACAATTTATGGCAAATGACATTAGATATTAATCTTTGATATTTAGTAGCATAGATCATAAGCCTTTTTCAAATCAGGTAGCTAGAATCATATTTTCAAAGTACAAGCCCTTAATTTCCGTAATAGCTACAAAAGGTGGAGGAGGACATTTTATTGAGATTATTGTTAGCCAGCCACCCACACACATGGGATCCAAAGTATAGTGTTCTTTGCTTCATATTCAAATCTAAAATCCAGCACATACTGAGCCCATAGTGAAATGTGTTTACATACACCCAACAGACGAAAGGGAGGCAACAAAGGAGACTGAGAAGAAATGGCTAGGATTTTCAGAAACAAAATTAGGAGGCTGAGGTAATCACTTGTCTCTTCAGGGATCTGCTACTTCTTGAAGAGGATTTATGGGATGTTACAGGTTTCTGAGGCTTACCCTCTGTTGTCTATAACTGCTTATTCATGCAGGACAAGAGAAGAAGGTTAATAAGTACCCTCAGGGATGTAATACTGAAGGACTTTGGCCCTAGGTAAATAAAAACTCCACCATTTTGTTCATTTTAAGGCTGGAATTCTGGTAGATAAGTCAGGTAATGTGCAGTGAAGAGCTATCTATATCCAGATATCATAGAACAGATTGAGGTGTCCTAGACCATGGCTCAAGATATTGCAATGATGGCATAAGATAGTTGGTCAAAGAATGAACAATACAAGAGCTGAATAAACATAAAATAAAATGTAGGAGAAGAAAAGGAAGCCATCTTTAATACCAGTTATTATAAAGAACAAAGAATGTGAGTGAGAAAGATAGCTCCTTGTAATTCAGAAAAAGAAAGAAGCAAATGAGAAAAGAGGACATAATCAGAACTTGAGGTCAATCAGCATAATAATTTTAGGGTATGGGTAATCAACAGAGTAAACTTACAGTCTTATTAGATAAAGGGAACTACATACTATGAATAATAAAGCACTTATGCCATGTGCCTCAAGCTTAGAATCCAGAATTGGAAGTGCATAACTTAATGGAAAAAGTCCACAGAAAGTATACAAAGCTAGATAGATCTATATGTCCATGAAATATAAATTTGTGAGGAAATCCATGAATCAGAAAATGGCTGCAAGCTGGCAGAGTCTTATTGGAAGCAAAGAAAAGAAGGCATACAAGTAATATTTATTTATGTGGGACACTTAAAGCTTTTCAGCCAGAGAAAATGGAAAATGCATTACTGTCATATATCACAAAGCACATATAAAAGCAAAATATGGTAAAGATGGTGAGCTTTGGTTATCCAGATTTATTAGTTTTTTATTGCTCTGTAATGAGTTACCACAAACTTAGTGGCTTTAAAAAAACACCCATTTATTTGCTCAGGATTCTGTAGGTCAGAAATCTGGCACAGTGTTGGCATGTTCTCTGGTCAGGATGTCACAATGCCAAAATCAAGGTGTTAAACTCAATTGCCATTTGGACCCTGGGATAGAATCCACTTCCAAGATCATTCAGGTTTTTGGCCAAATTTAGCTCCTTGTGGTCTTAGGACTAGGGTCTCTGTTTTCCTTGTTGACTATCAGCCAGTGGCTGCTCTCAGCTCTTAGAAGCCATCTACATCCCATGCCACCTGCCACCTGGTTGCCTTCATCTTCAAACTAGCAACTGTGTTTTGCATCCATCTCCTGCTTTGAATCTCTGACTTACTAGTCTGTGAGCAGACAGAGAAAAATTTAGTTTTAAAGAGCTTGTGTAATTACATTAGGCCCACCCTATCTTAAGGTCAACTGTGCCAAAACTTAATAATGGGAGTAAAATCCATCATATTCAGAGTCCCAGGAACTAGGCAGGGAATGAACACGAGGGGGTGGGAAATCTCGAGGGCCATCTTAGAGTTCTGCCTACCACAGTGGACATCTGTCGTGGGTCTTCCTCAGCAAAAGCAGAACAAATGATCACTGGTGACGTGATAAACTACTGACTTCTCCATAAGGCATGTGAGCCTCCCTCTGCTCTGCTCTGCTGTAGTCCCTTGGGATACTATATCACTCTCTCGTGCTGCCCTTAAGAGAAGCAGTACCAAATTGGAACATGTTTAGAGATAAAAAATGTTCTTGCAACTGTGTATAGAAGGAAAGCCTGAAGGGTCTGAGGGTGTTTAGTGTGTAGGATAGGGGTCATAGAGACAAAATTAATTATTTTATTGATTTAAAATATTTGCAGTGTTGCCACAAAGTAAATATTCACTGTGGGTCTTTAAGGTGTACAGTAACAATGAATAGGTGAAGGCAACAAGAAAGAATTCTAGTGAGAGACATAGAAGGAATTACTAGGAAAAAAATTATGGAAAATCCCTGGATATACCTAGCTACTTTATCAGATACTTTATTCTTTAGAATATAGGTAACTAGAAATTAAAGAATAAAATGAATTTATGATCAAATTGGTAAAAGAAACTCTAGGTTAAGCAAGTAAGCAGCCTTTTCCTCCCACTGCAGGATTTCTCAAAGACTTTATTATGGTCCGTAATTCTCAGAAGGAAAGATATGGCATGCAAAATGTTTCAGGTTAATAGAACATCAAACATATTTTTTATTTAGACACCTTTAGGACTGGTATTTTACAAACTTTGCTTGGTAAACTGCTGTGTGTTATGGGGAATTTGTGTATCAGAGAGTGGTTCAACATAACCACTGCAATCTCTTTTTCTATTTCAGGACACATTTGGGTACTTAGCTAGAGCTGAGTCATCTTTATTAATGTGAGCTGAATATCTACACAGCAGCCACAGAAAATGAGTGGTACCTATTTGAATGCCTATGGGACTTAACTGGATTATATATATTCTCACAGAAATTAGTTAGAAAACGGTGCTCAAAACTTTGCCTCCTCAAAGTATAAGTAACTGGATGAAAGATCACCTGAGCAAAATCAATTGTGAAAAACTTGTTCCAGATTCAACAAAAATTATTAACAATAGTATATTAGTTCATTCTCACACTGCTGATAATGACATACATGAGACTGGGTAATTTATAAAGAAAAAGAGGTTTAGCGGACTCACATTTCCACTTGGCTGGGGAGGCCTCACACTCAGGGCAGAAGGCAAGAGGCACATCTCACATGGCCTCAGGGAAGTGAGAGAATGAGAGCCAAGCAAAAGGGGAAACCCCTTATAAAATCCTCACATGTCGTGGGACTTATTCACTACCACGAGAACAGTATGGGACAAACCACCCCCATGATTCAATCATCTCCCACCGGGGTCCCTCCCACAACACAAGGGAATTATGGGAGCTACAATGCAAGATGAGATTTGGGTGGGGACACAGCAAAACCATATCAAATAATGATGGAAATTAAGAAATTATTGTGATCTGCTATTCTCAGTAAATAATTCAGAAAAAATCTCAATCTTCATGATTTGTAAATAGTTGAAAGCTAGTGCACTTAATCAGCTTGGGAGCTGCATCTTGGCTGTTCTCATAAATCTCTTGTTGAGGAAGTTCATTGCTATAAAAATGTTAGAGGTTTTCCCTATTGCTTCTTTGAATACTAATCATTCCACCTTCCTTTTATATAACACTTTGACGAAACGAAGCTAGGACTATCCTGATATGGTGAAATATTTCTCATAGTAGATTCTCTGAGCTTCATTATAGAGAATGTTGCAGTCCAATAAATTCAGCAGGTTTTGTCATTTTAAAATTTTTATTAAAAAATCTTTAAGATAAAATATAACTAACTCTTCTTAGCCTCAGTATACCAAAAAGCAGATATTAGTAGGAAAAAAAAAATATAAGGGAATACCTTCCGAAAGAATCTCACAATTCCTGAGCTGAAAAAAAGTCTTCTATATTCTTAATTCCAGCTAAGCAGGTAAAAAAATCTAGTACTAAAGAGATAGCAAGGTGTGACTGGAGCCCAGGCCATCTAACTCAGTCCAGGTCTCTTACATTAGGTTTTAGTTTTTGTAACTTTGTTCTATTATCTATACTCCTCATTATCTTTTATGTATGTGCGTGTGAGAAATATTGTACCATAAATATGATAAATTTATTTTGTAATTATCTGTCATTATATAATCAAATGTCAAATAGTCAAATGTCCAAGGTAGACATATTTAGTTATAATATCATTTCTAGTAGCAAACCTTGAAATCTCTAATCATATGTTCTCCATATCTATTTCTCTTCACTGATGACTGATTTTTTTTTTACTACCGTCAACATCAAAATATATGGAAAATCCATTATTTCAAAAGAGCAATTTCAGACCAATTTTCAACAGAAAAGTACTCAAATAATAGGCTCTAATGTTCTTACATGAATACTGTATAAATGTGTCCATCCCTGCAGAAGTTCTTATCATATCCTGCAAAATAGCAAAGCTATCAGTTACTTTCGGTAAAGAAACAATTTCCATTTTACTCTAGGCCTGTCTTTTGGGTTACATCAATGTCTGTAATTCACATTTCTAATTTTAAGTTAATAAAATTTGATATTCTTCCTGTTAATCATTGTAAGCATGGGGGAGGATCTGAAAAAACGTGAGATGGGGAAGACATGTTTTAATAAGAAATTCCTAAATGGAACTTGATTTTTTAAAAAAGAACTTGACACAAATAAAATATTCTTAAAAATAGAACATCTCAATCTGTCCAAAGACAGGTAATATCCATGTAAAAATTCTCATATTAACCCACCAATGTCCTTCAGCCTGTGTTGAGAAGCACCAACTCTCAGGTTGGGGGAATAGTTTATCCTCCCAGGTCCACTCAATTCTTGGCCTATAGGCTGAGATTGCCACCTGGGGAGCCAATTAGTGCCAAATATGTTGGTGGTTTTCTGATGTAGGAAAATCTCCCCTAAGAACTGGACTGAGATGAGCCATCAAATGATAGTGACTTTCAGTCACTAATGATCTGGAATTTAGATAGAGACTTTTAATTGGGTTACCAAGCAACCTGCAAATATTTTGGTGATACCTGCTGAGTCAATTGGGTAGTTTGTAACCCACTCTTCTCTGATTATGTAATCTTTGATATGAGTACATTACATGTTATAAATGATCAGCATGGTTTTTTTTTCTTTGTCATTAGCCAAGAAAAGACATCACTGAGTCTTTTGTTCATTCCTTGCATTATGTTTCCATGTGTCCAAAAGAGGGTACACAGAGTAAAGAGTGGTTATAGGGAATAGAGAATAAGTATTCATTAAGCCATCTTCTTATGCCCCAGTCTTCTGCTAAGTAGAGTTAGACCTCGTGACATCAGAAAAGGCTACAAGCAATTGTTTTGTAAATCTTATTTCCACTTAATTAACAGAGCTGGAATTTCATGTCTGTTTCTTAGATCATTTTTTAAAACATAAGAAAGTGAAATGTGAGTGTATTGTTATATGGTTTTATTTTACCAGAGTTTTATTTTCAAATAAAACTTTCAAGAAAAATAAATTCTGCCTCTCGTTGTTTCCAGATGCCTCTGTCAGTTGCTGTGGTCCAGCATATTCACTTTTTCCTGACTGCTCCTGTCATTTCCTTCTGTCTTTCTTGCTCAGCTGCCTCACATGGGTCTCAATCAGTTCCTTAAACTACAACCTTGAGTTGTCTTGCCCCCGTTTGGGGTGGGTATTATTTTTCCCAGTGCTACTGTTCTGCCCCTCTGGCTTTTAGGTAACATTTCACATTGGCTTTCAACCTTACACGTCGCCAGATACACAGTGGGCTCTTCAGAAATGCTGCCTTTTCCCTTTGACATGTGTGTGTGGTGTAACTTTCCCACTGTAGACGAAGCAGTGGCCAGACCTTTCCTTCTCCCAGCTTTTCTTCTATAGCCAGCTTTTCCTTTCTCACTCATTTGAACTCTTTGCTGGTAGGTATTCCTATGGGAAGGTGTGCACTGATGGTCTGGCTTTGTGTTTCTTTGAGAGCTTTCTCCTCTCCCTTTGAGAACTTGTACCACGTGAGAAATAACATCAGTAGACCTAACTTTTCCATTCCTAGTTGTATTGCAAATGCAAGCAGTCGAGCAAATGATAACAAATCATAGTGCTGTTTCAAAGGTTGCATTCACAGGACACTTAGAGCTCTCGACTGCATTTCACCAATGAGGAAACCGAGGGCCCAACATGTTAAAAGGCTAGCAAATGTTACATAATTAATAGAAAGTGACTGGGAATTAAATCTTGTCTATAACTCCTAATCACATGTTTTGTACGGTACCTCATGGTGTCTCATTTGATCACTGTATTCCTGATCCAGTTTCACTTGTCACTATGTGTTCTAAACAGAAGTTAAAGTGGCAGCAGATTCGACATGTTTTATATAGAGAGATTTCATTCATAAAATACAAAATGAATGACAATATTATCAAGAAGGGAAATTGAAATAAAGAGAAAAAGTCATGTGAAACATATTTAGTTGTGAGTTGAAGCTCTAAATGCTTATACAAGAGGAAAGAATGTCCCATGTCATTTTATGTATCATATACCTGTGAACCACTGTCACCCTGCACACCAAAGTGTCAAAAATTAAGTGGGAAAAAATCATACACCTAACAAGATGTTCTTTCAAAGGATTATCCTATTAGGTTTGGGGTTGGAGAAACACCTTTCTGTTGTATCTCAACTTAGCACTGGGGCTTGGGAAGGGGTCTAGGGAAAGCCCACCTCTTCCTTACAAACTTTCCCAAATGTGAGTTTTATGTTGAGTCCCTTATAAGATTATTTCCAAGTTCCTTTTGAGCTGAATGATCAGCTGGGTTCCCATTAAGAGCCTTGGCAAAGAGAATTCTTAAATGTGAGCTTGCCAAAGTATGAAATGTGATTTCTGATAGTTGTTTTTCCTTTTTCATTTTTTTCCTCCTCCTTACTCTTCTCTGACCAGCCTGAAAAGTGATACAAACCAGGCTGGGAACTACATGCTTGCAACAGAGTAATACCCTAATTATCATCCTCTTAGTAAGGGCTGCTTTTGACAGGTGTCAATTAGATTTAAATGGTTGGCTGTGCTGTTGGGTTCCTTTACTTTCCCTTTTTTTCTACACTGTCATTCCTTGAGGTAGGGTTAAATGCTGACATCCCTTTGTGCTTAACCAGAGATAACTATCAAAGCAATGTATAAATTACAGCTCCAGTTACACTGATGCTTAGGAGGCTCATCCACCTCTAATGACAAGATATCCAATCAACCTGGGCTATAGTTTTGTGAACAGAGTTGTGAAGTTTGGTTAATGAAATCTCACATTTCACATGGTTCCTGACTGTATTTTTAGATACTCTTACAAGTAGGATATCCTAGTTAGTTATTCTATCTTTTTATCTCTTGCATGAATAAATTACAGAGTTCTGCTTCTTATCAAAGAAAGCATTCACTCATCATCTGGGAAACACAAAACACTTTTTAGACCATAAATTATTCCTAAAGAAAATCTTAGATGAGTTGGGTACTCCTTGTTGTGTATGTATATGTGTTTGTGAGAGAGAAAGAATGTCTGCTTGATGGCATTCATTCTAAATGATCATAGACAGACTACCCGATTGTCATCTTACCTGTCAGTCCTTAAAGCAAACTACCCTAGAATGCAAACAAGCAAGCCACCACCAAAAATATCCTTTCCAACTCCTTGACCAACCACTGTGAATGACCGAATACACCCAGTTCCTCCTATGGCATTTTCTTCCGGCTTACTGGCAGAGAATGTGATTTCGTGGTAGACTGGTAGACGGTTGGAAAATGACCCCTTATAATGATGGAATTTACATAAATAAATGCTGATAGCACAAAACAGATAATATGCTGTGGGTATCATCACAATAAGTTGTCTCCCACTGACACAGAGTCTAAGTTGGAAGCACACAATTATGCAAATCAAACTAATGCCAGTTGCTCATTACTGTCATGGTGGTAAAGGCAAAAACATATCCTCCATAGACAGCTCGAGACGGGGCCACAAGCCAAAATGTTTGGTTTTGCTGACACAGTAACTGAGTCAACAAAAATAGGATATAATAGTAATACATCAGGGGAACCCACATCAGGGTAGACCTGAAGCTTAATGGACTGTGAATCCTATGTCTGTGCAGAGCACCCTTTCACTGGTATTGACCCATAATACGTCTGCTTCCACATTTGCCGATTATGTAGAAATAGATTACAGAAGCAAATTTTTTTAAGACCTGAAATGTCTGCAAGATATTCTATTAGCTTTTCCTAAAACAGATGATATGACATTTGTAAATACTTAAATAATGTCACATATCCCAGGCTAAAACACTTCCCAGAATATTTCAAAGTACCTGCTGCTGTTTGATCTAGGTTTGTCCTGAGTTCTCATTATGGCACTGAAGATGTTTTCAAACAATAGAATGCTCATTTGCCACATAAACATCTTTCCTATCTTTAAAAAAAAATAGAAGAGCTGTCACCAGGAGAATATTTAACCCTGAATATTTCACAGAACCTTGAAAAAAAATTTGGCCCTATTGTAGGTTAGTGAAGCAACAGGTGCTGACCCACCAATTTAATCCATTTCTCTTCTGAATGACAGGGTAACATGTGGTGGATTGATGTTATAAATGGCCCTGATGCTTCACCCTTCATGATATTCATGCCCTTTGCCACAAGATTTTGCTGCTCTTCTCATCAAGAAGTATCTTTCCTTGCCCCTTGGCTTTGAGTCTAGTCATGTGACTTGTCTTGGCCAATGGGATGGAAGCAATTTTGCCAGAAGCAAACGCATAGAAAAGCATCTGCACACTGCCAAGTCAGCTTATGCTATAAGGACACTGTCTAGGAAGAACATGCTTGGCCTTGCTTGCTGGAGGGCAGGAGACACATGGAAGAGAGCTAAGTTGTCCTACTAAGGCCGGCCTAGGCCAGCCAACAATGAGCCAGCCCCTGGACAGCTGAGTGAGCTCAAGTCAGAACCAACTAAATGAGTCCAGCCTACATCATCCACAGATTCAGGAACTAATAAATGCTGAATGCTTTAAGCCCTTGAGTTGTATACTGTTTGTTAAGCAGCATTATTGTGTTAACAGACAACTGGAGAGTTTTCACAAAGTTTTACAATATCAAAAAAATACAAGAAAAATATACCCTATAAATAATGCAAGAAAAGATTATTTAGTCACCAGATTTAAAATACAAACACGGGAAAAATGGAAATTAAATCACAATGAGACACCACTTCACACCTGCCAGGGAGAACTATAATCAAAGATAGACAATAACAAATGTTTGCAAGGATATGAAGAAATTGGAGCCTTTGTATGTTGCTGTTGGGAATATAAAATGGTGCAGCCACTTTGGAAAACTGTCAAACAGTTCCTCAAAATGTTAAACATAGCAATACTCCTCCTTGGTATTTACCCAAGAGAAAGGAAAACCTAGGTCCATGCAAAAACTTGCACAAATGTTCATGAGAGCATTACACAAATGGCCAAAAAGGAAACAATTCAAATACGGATCCACAGATGAATGAATAAACAAAATTTGGTATATCCATACAATAAAATATTACTCAGCAAGAAAAAGGAATGAAGTACTGATATATGTGATGATATATGAGTCTTGAAAACATTATGCTGAATAAAAGTAGCCAGTCACCAAAGCCCATGTATTGCCTGACTCTATTTATACAAAATGCCCCAAACAGGCAATTCTATACATAAAGAAGACAGATTGATCATTGCAGATGTGGAGGGCATGGGAATTAACTGCCAAAGAGTACAAGGGGTTTCTTTTCAGGTAATAAAAATGTAAACGTAGATCACAGTGATCACGGTGATGGTTACACAGCTCTGTGTTATGCTAAAACTCATTTAATTGTCAATAGGTGATTTTTATACTATGGGAATTATATCTCAGTGAAGCTGGTAAAAATTACATAAACACTTCAGCCTCATCTTCTGACCAAAACATGGCTTGTTTCTTGTTTTAGGCTCTCTTATATCTACCTTCTTGATTGGAAGCTTTAAAGTGAAAACAGAACAAATCAAAAGTCTTAGTATTGCTTCTTTAGAATCACACACGTATTTGCTGTATTTGACACATTTGAAAAGTGAAATAATGAAGAATTTTTGATGTTCTATAATAGACACTGATTTTTCACAGAACTCCAGCTCTGTCTTTCATTTTCATGTTTTCTGTGATACTCATGCTCGGCTTGCTCTTAAAACTCACCTGTGAAAAAGAAAGGGCACTACTTGCCACATCTTAGGTTTGCATATCAAGGCCAACTTCAGTGTGTAAACGACACTTGCACCAGGCATGCTTGGAGCTGTTCCCAATTTCGTGTTCACAGCCTCTCCTCCAGCAGCAGGTTTGAGGTTTAACTTGCCCAGTTGTGAGAACTGAGTAAATAGACAGCCCGCAGTGCTGTCATCTAAGTTACCTCTTCTGGAACCCCCACTCACTGCTCCCGCCACAGCTTTTCTTCAGCTCTTCATGATTTTTGCCTAAATTACCACATTTTCTGGACTAGCTCACTTGCTTCTGGTTTCACTCCCCTCGAGTCCACTCTCCTAATTGCCCCCAGAGTGATGGTTGTGAAGTGGGTATCCTGGCCATTTCATACCCTTACAAAAAACAATTCTAGTGGCTTCCAATCCATACAGATAAAAGAAAAAATTTCATAGTATAACTTGGAAGGCCTTTCATAATCCGACAGCCGCGGGAAATCTTGCCACTCCCTCCCCTTGGAGCTAATAAACATTTGCTGTTCTCTCTCGTGCCTTCAAATAAGTGCTCCCTTGTCTTTATGTGTGGTAGAGGAGAAGAAATTAAAATTACAAATAAATTAAATATATTGGGAGAGACAGAAATGGGGAGTTGCTGCTCAACAGGTATAAAGTTTCATTCATTCAAGATGAAAATGTTCTAGAAATCTGTACAACATTGAACTTAGCGTTAACAATACTGTACTGCACACTTAAAAAATTTAAGAGGGTGTATCTCATGTTATATATTTGTTACAATAGAATAGATGAATTTATAAATATTTATATAGATTTGGATATAGCTTTACTGACCTCTCTTCACTTGATAAGCCCCCTCATCCTCTTGCAGTCCTTTTAGCACCAACTCTGCCAGGAGGCCTTTCTAAATCTGAGATTTGTGTCCTCTCGTATTTTAAGCTACTGGATCAGAAACTACCTGTCCTAAACCCACCTGAGCAAAGCACCCTCGTCCATGTTGCCAGCAGTGCTCTATGTACACATGTACACATCACACAGCATTATCATTCCTGGGTTTTATTTTTCTGTAAACTTTTTGCATAGCCAATTGTTGCCAGTCCATATAATGTCTTTCTTTTATTACTGTAATTCATTTTAATTAGTTAATTCCTGCATCCTCATTTTTTCCTGCCATTACTCTCTCCCTATAGCCACCTGCTGTATAGCATTCTTTGGATTCATAAACATGTATGGATTCTTGATTGTGGATAAGACTGTGAAAATGTCTGCGTATTTTACACATAATTGCTATTCACCTGTCTCTCTGCTGCTGAATTGGAAGCTACTTGAGGAAGGGAAACCAGCCTTTTCCCAACCTGAACACCTTGCACAGTGTCTGATTCCCAGTAAGAGCTCAATAAATGAGTGTCAAATCCATGCATGACATGATACATTAATGAATTAAAAGCCCTACATTTTAGTTTAATTTCTAATAATCTTGGTGGGCTTTACAAGTTTTATCTCTCTTGCTACAAATCTAACCATGAGAACTTGCAATAAGCGCTAAAAATCTTAAAATATGAGACCATTTGAATCTCAGCCTCTTTTGCTGCCCATGTCTTCCTTCTCTGGCATGTCCCTGAAGCACTCTGTCCCAACTGATACTAGTAGATATTTTAGACCATCTAGTGGACAGTAGCTTAAATGTTTGACAGATTTCTACTTCTTTCTCAAAATGGTTGCTGATTAATAGCTGAAAGGATCAACCCCAGAGGGAACCTGAGGTTTCCTACCTGCCCAAAGCCAGCTTTCACATTCCCATTTCCCACCAGAGGACTGCAAAGATTTTTCCCTTGACTTTGAAATAACACTTGGTTTTACAGTCTGCTTGCCTGTGGTTTAGGAACCGAGCATGTCAGCACTCCTTTTTACTGCCTCAGTGCAGCAGCAAATGTGTTCTGTTCTCTCCTTTCAAAAGTGAAGATTGTATTTTAAAATCACTCTTGCCCCTAGGGAGCCACTCACTCCTAACTCCCTGACAGGCCATGAGGACCTCAAAATTAAGAAAGATGTCCAGAAATGTGAGTTTGTACAGAAAGGACTAGAAAACCACCCAGACATGTAACAGCTCGGTTACGTGCCTGGCTTCTGTCAGGAGAAATGTGTGTCTGAATTTTCAGGCTCATAATAGACATGTACAGCTAACCGACTTTTATTTTGCCTCTGTCATATTGATCTATCAGTGAATCTATAATAGAAGATGGGAGCTTGGAAAAGTAAAAAGTAATAACCATTGAGATGGATAGCCTGAGCAGAAATGTAGTTTCATGGGGACACTTAGTGCAAAGAACTGTAGATTCATGTCAAGGGGGCACAAGTATCCCCTTCAAAGCCAACTGTTAAAAACACCTAGTGCACAGATGACCTGCCTTCAGAATATGATATGTTTCTGTATTGATTTTCAGAGTTTCAGAACAACAGGAAATAGCCAAATGAAAGTTTCTTTGCAGAGCACTAAAAGTAATTTACCTTCTGCCTTTGATTTCAGCTTCAGATTTTGTTTTATGGTGCAAAGTACAAGTGCTTATTTTAAAAAATTCATTTCTAACTTATGGTGGAAAGCAGCACCAGAGACCAAGGAAGTGTGGAGCAAGAAATGAGCCATGAAATGAAACAAAGCAAAACCCCCCAAATTGCATCAATGGAGTTAGTGGTAAGTCATTACACAATGAAGTTTGTCTTTTAAGCACAGGCCCACTGATTGGCAGGCAGGATTTTACCATTATCAGAATGAGGAGCCTATAAAATGCCCAAAACTGTGGCTTTGAAGTCATCTATATTTAGCTTCTGTAATTCCATCTTTTGTACATCCCTTTGCATGAAAAATAAAGTGTCATATTCAAATAAAATTGGCCTTCCAGGACAGAAGAAAACACAGTTTACTTTCCAGTACAAGTTGGTACCATTTGCACATGTTTGGTCTACAATAAGTACTAAGCATGGGGCAATACTAATAATTTGTGAGTCTTGACTAGACCTCTTTTTTTAAAGAGATTATTCACTTTATATTCAAATAAATTTGGTTTATACAGTATATGATGATGCAAGGAAACAAGTTTCAGCTTATTCAATGCCCAAACTTGAAATTTATTTGTTTCCATTGTTTTCTTCATTTGGGGCTTTAAGAAGTTGCATTAAGCAGAGTTCTGGCAAGAAACAGAACTCAAAAGAAGCAATTAAAGAGTTTCAACAGAGGCACAAAGCATGGGCAGGGTTAAGGGAATTCAACCAAGGAGGGTGAAACAAGCATTCCTGAGGCTCCCAACCACCACCACGTCTGAAGTGAAGAGAGAAGGGAATGTTTAAAGAGTCCATGCAGCCTGAGTCTGAAGGGAAGGCCACCCAACAGGAGCTGGGGCCGATGGAAGAGGAGCTCAGACACTGCCAATCCATGAACCGAGGGAACAAACACCCCGACTTTTCTTTCTTCATGTCTTCTAGCTTCCTACCAGGGGCTCCTATTGGGTGAACCCCACTGAAAACCAGATAAAAAAAGCTTAGTTTCACAGTCTATTCATATCAGCCTGCTGAAACATACAGCCAAGGGAGAAAGCCCCAGAGTGATCCAGAAGGGCACATTAAAAAAAACAAACAAAAACGAAACAAAACAAAACATTGTATCATAAGAGTATTTTATTCTAGATATGTGCTCTATACTCATAGAACTGGCAATATAATTGCAATTCTTCAACTTCAGCAGAAAAACAAAAATGCAGCTTTTTGCTGCACATATGACATACCCTGACCAAGTTAAGAGAGAGATTCGGCTTTGGGAAGAACAAGGATGAAGTAAGAGTATCTATAAGTGGGAGAAACTGTTAAGATCTTCCGAAATAGAAGTTAAACGAAATTAAACAAAGCAGAACAAAAGCAATGGATATCTGTTAACCTTTGCCTTCCACTTCTTAGCAAATAAAACATTACAGCAAGCATAAATACTGTGAAAATACTCCCAGGAGCCATGGGAATAACTAACCTCTTCCTCACTCTCTGCTCAAAAAACTCTCCTAATCAGACTATTGGAATATGCCCCCTAGTTAGTAAGAAAAACAACAGGAAACTGGGATTTGCTTTAAAGACATTTAATCATAGACTATATTTTAAAATGTGCATTATATCCACAAAAAGAGTGATATCAGTATCATATGTTTGTCAAAACAAGGTTAAAATGTATATGAACTTTTGACTTTTCCCTGTCCAAATCACACCCTTGTAAGGAGCCCATTTTATTGTAAACATTTAAATCTGTTAGGTATTAGATATGAGCTCAGTTATTTTTGTTTTGTGTATTTTTTTATTCACAGATGTTTTTATTATGCTTTCTGCAATCAAATGATCTGGGTTAGAATTAGAGGATTAGAATGCCATTGGATCTTACTTTAAAAATACAAATTTATCTATTTTCATTAGGAACCTGACATTCTTATCCAGAAAATTTACATTCCATACTGAATCCAGGTATTATGTAACACATATTGGTTGTATTTTTTTAAAAAAAGTAACAACTACTTCCCTACATAGATAAAATATCTATCCATTATCCACCTATCTATGAATCTAAATTTACAATGAATCAAGTGCCAAAAATAGCCTAGCCTACTTACAGAGTTCTCTCTACAATTGCCAGTCACTGGAAAAATATTCACAATCCTTTAAGTCCATTAGGATGGTTGGTTCTCACTTCAGATAAAATGATAACTATGTTCTGCCCAAATTTGCTTTGCTTTCATTCTTTGCTTGCACTCTCAACAAAAACAACTTTTTAAAGCTTGAATATTTCATGAACAGTTTTGAATGGCTTCAATTGTTCTGTATTTTTAAAGTGCAGATAACTGTAGGAAAAATATATAGCTAAAGATGTCTCTCGAAGTATGTTGACACTCCAATTTCATTAGAACAGGATTAAAATGTATATTTACATGTTGTGTGTAAAGAAAATACCAGCTTTACAGTGGTAAGTATATATGTGAAGGACTCATTTCAGCATATGACTATACATACACCCACATACACATGCATAGACATAAACACAGACACACATATGCACACATATAAACATACACTTACACACATAAATGCACATATACATACATACATACACATACATATACATAGATATATACACATACACCTATATACATACTCATACATAGCCAGCCATAAACACATACATAATACAAGTACACAAACACACATATACACACATACACATAGGCATACACACATATATACACACATACATACACACATATCACATGCATACAGATAAACACATGCACACATACACAAACACATACAAATGAACACATATACATACGGACATACACACATATACACATACACATACATATACACACACACATCCACATCCATACTCATGCTGACCTGGGATAGGACTGTGAAGAAAAAAGATAGGATTTGAAATCAGAAAGTTGGCATTCAAACCTGATTCCACCTCTTCTTAATTATAATCTTAAACCTACACTACCTTTTACCCTATCAATTACTTCTCTAGCAACTCCCCTGAACCCTGTGCTCTCATCCATAACTTATATATTTGTAATTCCCTGAACTCTCTGTATAGGCATCTGCCATCACTCATTTGCTTCCTAAGTACCATTGCCTTAAGTTCGCTCATCACTTGATTTTGTTAACTTGTCTCTTGTTTCAAGTCTCAGCTAACTTGTCACCTTCTCTAGGTTCCCCTCTTGAATTTCTCCAAACTGAGTCAGATGACTGCCTCACTCTTACTCTCCTGTGGCCACTGTACATATCTCCTATATCACAGTGCTATCCCATTGTCTTTTGAATTTCTGTTACCTTGCATGTCTTCTCCACTGGATCAAAATTCTTTGGAGGACAGCACCTTTTTTGTCTACTTTCATATTTTCAGTACCTTATATGGCACATAGTTAGAATTTCAATGAGAGTTTTATGAATAAATGAATCTTGAACTCACTGAATTTAACTTTTGACTCCCAGCCTCACCAAATCTTTAGGTACTATCCTTTCATAAAGAAATGAGGGAACATAAAATTCCAAGTGTTTCAGAAACATGCTAAAGTAAACAACAGAAAGAGTGGAGCAGAAGTTAAACCCAAGGCTGTCTTACTTCAAAGACTGTACTGTGTCATGTTCCCTTTCCAGGTAGTTCTCCAAACCTCTGTTTATCAGAGAAATGGGGCTAAGAAAACTGCCCACCCTACAAGGCTGATAAAAAGAACCAGAGAAATCATGTTAGTTAATAATTTGGAACAGAGTTACAGAAAAGTCTAACTTTTTTATTTTACTTTTACAGAGGAAATATCTGTAAATAGCACAGAGAATAAGTGAATCCGAAGAGATTTCCTGGACACGTTTCCTTACCCCAACTTACACCAAAGGTTCTCTTTACCAAGCTCTATCTGGCCACCTTAGTTTCCCCCTAGCATGTGTGCTAAGCACAGATGCACTCCTAGAGTTTATATAAACCAGCACTGACAAGGAAAGTATAGAACCAGAATGAAGAGTATGAGGCTCAGGAAGGCTGCTCATTCTATTTGTCTGCAAAATGCCATCAGTTTGCAGTTTAAAGAGAGAACAACATAAGTAGAGCAAAGTTCAATTGCTCTCCAATTAGCCCTAATTAACGAATTGAAAGCTGTTTGTATATAACCAAAGATACCTTTTGTTTTGTTGTTGTGGTTCAGCAATTGAGATGAGTAGTCCAAGTGATTAGTAACTACCAGAGAAGAAGGCAATTTGGGGACAAGTACATGCAATTTTAGTACTGTTTTATGGGGTAAATAATGAGTTTAGAAATGTTTTCACTATTTTAATAAGAAAAAAGAATTTTAACAAACATGGATTATTTGTAGCTATCCAAAGGCAATAAAATCCAAGGCAATCTATGGAAATTAGTCCCCCATTTTTGCAAGACAAACGTGTGAATCAATTGTATTTTCCAATGCTCTGTTGAGAGGAGGTATCTCAGAAACGCAAAATGCATTACTTCATATTAGCAATGCCATTCCTACTGACAATGTAACTTTCAGTGGCTCTAACTCGAGTCCAAACACACGTTTTCCACAAGAGTCCCATGGGAACTTGCAATCACCTTTTCATACCCCTAAGTTGGTGCAGATCAGGAGCAAGCCCCCCTGGATGCTAAAGCAGGAGATCCTTCTCTCTCCTTCTTCCCCAACTGTCGTGTCTATAACTTACAAAATCAAAATGGAGTTTTTAGAAACAGGATGCTTGGACTGAAGACAGGAACGTGGGATGGGGCCCTGACAGGAGCAGGAATCACATGCAACTGGAGGGGTCATCAATGAGGGCCAGGAGCTGTGTGCTTCCTTTCACACTGTCTATCCATCAGTAATTTTCACCTGGTGCTCAGTCATTTTCTATCTATTATAACCAAATTCCCAGCCAGCTCAGAATGGGCTGGCCTTGAATATCCCTGTCTTTACTGAATTCTTTCTTTCTTAACTGACGCTTTGTGGTTGAACAGATGCATCCCAGATGTGCAAAAAATAGTTCACATTCACAGAGAATAAAGTCCTGGCTCATTAAAGGGAAGACAACATTCCGTCCTGGCTTAGAATACCAAGATAGCATTTCCCAGAGTTGACAGCGAATTGGAAAATTTAACAAAAGCCATAGAAATACTTCCTGGGTCACCAAGAAAGTCATAACAAGAGAATACCATTGATATGCCACCCAGTTCCAAGGGCTTCCCTTGGCACTTAGCCTCCTAGCCATTTCACACATACTCACCTTTCCTGACTCCTAGTTAGACCTCGTGTTGGTACCCATATACCTTTTTTTCTGGTTCAGAAAGGCTGGCCCCGAAAAGCAGTAGCAAAGCTCTAGCTCTGCGTGGTGGCAGGTGCCTGTAGTCCCAGCTACTCAGGAGGCTGAGGCAGGAGAATCGCTTGAACCTGGGAGGCGGAGGTTGCAGTGAGCCGAGATCGTGCCACTGCACTCCAGCCTGGGTGACAGAGCAAGACTCCATCTCAAAAATAAATAAATAAATAATAAAAAGATAAAAAAGGAGGAAGGTGAAATGGGTGCATGCCTATCCTTCACTAGGAAAGCGATTATAGTGGTCTGGGAAAACAGAATGATGCTGAAGTTACTTGAGAAAGGAAGTACCACCATTTGCTGTGGCCGTAATCAAGTCTGTAAAGGCTGCAAAGGGTCTGAGCATGTTCCTCCAATTATCAAAAACCCATTCACAACTCAGGAACTCTCAAGAGGTTCCTCCCTTCTCTATTGCCACTTACAGACCATCTTGCTCAAAGTGATGCTAGAAGTGCTGGCAAAGAGAACATCTTCACTGGAGTGTCTTGGGAGAAAAATTTCTTTGCTGCACATTTCTTAATAAAATTCAATTATGTAAAATGAGGAGAGAGTTGACTAAAGAAGATAGAATGAAAAGGAACCATTGCACAAAGATATGTTTTTATTTGACCAACAGGCTTTATTTTGATTCCCCAATCTTCTGGAACTCAGACTTTCTCAGCAAACAATTGCACTGCCCACTGAGAGTAAACAGCAAACCTGCCAATATCACAATATACCCTGAGATGAACACGTGTGAGGGAAAGACTTCATATGCCAGACATAATCCTGATGGTTCCCAAATACACACTGGTTCCCAGATAAAGTCTGGTGACTGGCTAATGCTTTTCACTGTGATTAAAAGCAAATACTTTAAAAAATATTTAATGATTCATTATTATATTTTTCTGAGTGCTTAAGTCTATTGTCTCATTATTGTTTGTTTATTCGTAGTTTGGGAAAATTTTGTTGGGACAAGGTAACAAGATAGATCTCAGCTACAGCCAGAAGTCATAATGTTCAGACACACATTAATTCTGTGGACAATATGAGAAAATGGGAGCAACAATTACCCTATAATTAGGGTTGTGAACTGGGGAAGGGCAATGTCCAATATCACAGAGGGAGGGTTGAAAGAAACTAGAGATTTGACAGAAAGTGATCAAGCTCACAAACGTATCTATCATTGCCTCATTTTTTAATGTTTTAGGTGAATGAATTTGAGTTTCTGTGTTGAGCAATGACTTGAATATTTCATCTCACTCATGTAGCCCTTGTCACAAATTATTTTTCCTACTTTAGAATCTACTGGACTGCTATAAAATAAAACTCTAATGCTTGGAACAACAATAACAGAAACCAAAATTTTATGCTTTGTTCTTTTACAGGCCCCTTCAAACCCCAGGAACAGGTGCTTTAAATTAGGCTGCCGAAGGCCAGTGGGGCCTGGCTTTATTATACTTTGGTAAATAATAGTCACTGTTGTCATCAGAGTTCTCTACACTTCCAGAAAATGTCACTAGCCACATGTCAGCAGGGTTCTTTGTCTAATTTCTACAGCTAAGGTGGCAAGAAGGTTATTAGAAGTAATAGCAAATTTAAAGTTTTATTAGCAGTAAACTGCAAAAGCTAATGGTGATGCCAACACTAGATAAAATCATTGTCACAGTTAATTCTGAACTCCTTATTTCAAGCTTAATAATAGGAAACTCAATGGAAAGGATATTACACGCCCCATATCACTCATGAGTGCCTCAGGCCTGAGTAACTTGTTATTTTGCTCATGAGTGAAATAAAATGCAGATTATACTGCCTGCTATCAGGGGCATTGTTTTAATTGAGGGTGAATGCATGGTGATGAGGGGGGCTCCGAGTAGGTTCTCATTTTTGTAAATGTTATGAGAATATTCTTCTCATTTGTAACTGTGACTCAGCACATCACCTTTCTATTACTTGTGGGGGTGTGTGTGTGCTTTTAGAGTTACCTTTGTTTCAGCTCCAGAGAAATGAAAGCAGCTGGGGAGATGGGAGGGTAGCATTTGGTGCTTCTCACCAGCATTTCTGCAAAAGTGCCTCTCCAGCATTCTAGCGCCTTTGTCTTCAATCCCTCAGTCTACAGAGGCAAACAATGGAATATCTGTGTTGCTCTGTTTGTCTCATTCCAATCCTGTATGCCAGCACACACACACACACACACACACACACACACACACACACACACACACAAAGCCCTTCCACTCTGATATACACTCCCGGCCAGGAATAAATAATACAAGATGCACTCCTCTGTGCTTTACATTTACTAAGAAAATAGGTGTTTCCGAGAATCAAGATCACGTGGGATTTTGTGTTCTTTTTCTAAAGTATGTTGCTCTTTTTTTCAAACAAGTTGAAGTGATTTCTGATCCTATGCCACAAATCATCCAAATGGGCTGCCTTGAGAGCCACGCATGCATTCCTGCTTTAAGGGGAGCCTTCCATTCACTTGACACGGACTGTCTGTAATTATGCAGGGCTAACTTCAGGCTGCAGTGTGCGTGGAGACGACTATTTTGAAGCAGGTCCTATTCCCTTTGATTGAAGTTGAAATCCTAAGACTTCCACAGCCGAGATCATTTGTGCCTCTCTGAGTTTCAATATTCCCTTTGAAATATTTGTCTGATGATACACCGTATGGACAGAGCCTCCTACAGTTCAGTTTCTGAGCAATTATCACTCCATGGCAATTTGACTTCATGTAGCAGTGGAGAAATAAAATACTTAAGGCTGCTGCCAGCCTGCCTAACAAAGCTTTTGCATAAGTTAAAGACTCAGAAAGGGGTGGGAAACAGTAGTTAAACCTTTGCTTTATCTTTTAAGTTTGTAAAACATATAAAATCTGAGTTCAAAATCTTAGAGGTTGTGACAGACTTCTCCATTAGCAGGTGAAATTAGCCCCCAAATTATAATCTTGATTGATTCAATAATGTTCAACTAGTAGTGGAATGAGTTTTATTTTGAATAATTTCCTCACTCCTGTTTCTCTGCATCCTATTTCAGTTTGCAGTCTGTCCTTTAAATGGCATTTCCTTTTTGCCAAAGCACCAAGCTGTGAATTTATTGAGAAATGGGTGTGTTTACAATAAGACTATGCCATTACCAATAAGTCCCATTCATATCAGAAAAAATTAAACATTATATTCCTAAATTGTAAACAAACAGTCCTAAATTCCAGAGATTATTATTCCCAGAAAGGCAAAGTACAGAGCCAAGAGAATTTGTAAATATGTACAACTTTACAAGATTGATATGGACACCGATGCATGTTGCGCTCATCTCCACTTATTTCTTATTCATACACATCATTCTTATGTTTGACAATGAATATGGTATTGTGGCACTTGAAATCCTTTTTTTATTAAAAAACAGAAAGAATGTCAGCCAGTTAAACATGATATTAGGATTTCATCTTATTTTTTTGTTTTGTTTTGCAGCAAGAGAATTTAAAAGAACCATCAATCCTCTCTAAAAGGTACTTTTAATAAATTGGCATACCTAATTTTGCATGGATGCCATGATGTCTGGCCTGCTTCTATTTGGAGTCTCTTGGGATCTATACAGATTTTTAATAGTCATGAGAACTTGTCTTGTACTGTGGATTGTAGAATTGTCTTCTATTATAGTCAGCTATCCACTCTATTTAAGACAGAAGTTTCTTTTGCTGCTTTCTTGGAGTTGTTTGATGGTTTATGAATACATAAAAATCTGTTGGTAATTATAGGTTAACGTAATTAGCAAACATTTTAAACTTAATGTTTTCCTAGGAACAGTTTTTGTCACTTTTTCATGATTGTTTAAATATTATATCTTTAAACTCTGTAATAATTTCATCTAAGCAAAAGCCTTGATCTTTAAATCATTTGATGAACCTTAACTATCCATGATTTGTTTCAAAACTAAGTCCACACGGAGACTTCACTATGCCATGTGCCTCATCTAGTTATTAAATGTGTGATACGCGTGCTTCTTAATGTGTGCATATTAGCTATTTTTAAATTATAATTTTACCATGAAGAAATGAATAAAACTTCCAAAAATGTCTGTCTCAGTGGAATGTACACTATCGTAGGGAGATACGTATATATATAGTATATTGGTTGGTGATAAGTGTCATGGAGAAAAATCAGGCAGAAAAGATAATGTTTAGGGAGAGCCTCTCTGAAAAGATGACATTTGCACAAAAGGCCCCAAAGGAAGTAAGGAAGCAAGCCATGCAGCTAGGGATGCCATGCAGCTAGCCATGTTCTAGGCAGAGGGAAAAGCAATTGTCAAAGCATTGAGACAGGGGCCTCCCTGGAACATGTGAAGAGTATCAGGGAAGCCAATGTGGCAGAGGCAGTGGGAGTAAGAAAAAGAGAACTGCAGTGGATGAGATCAGAGAAATGGTGATGGTAGAGAATGTGTGTGTGTTGGGGGGGCATCCATTGAGTGGCTTCTACTCTGAGTCAGATGAACAGCTTTCAAAGGATCCTTAGCAGATAAGTGATGTGATCTGCCTTATGACTTAGAAAAGAAAACCTGAGCTACCCTGAGAATAGACCCTCGAGAGAAAAAGGGAAGGAAATAGACGAGTTAAGAAGCTGTTGAAATAATGCAGATGAGAGATGAGGAAGGTTTGTATTATCAGTAGAGATGGGATGGAGAAGTTACATTCTGGATATATTTAGAAGCTGGGGTAGATAGGATTTGCCAACAAATTGGATTAAAAATGTGAAAGAATGAAAGTCAAGGATAATTCCAAGTTTTTAATCTGAGCAAATGGAAGGTCAGAATTGCCATTTATTAAATGGAGAAAAGTTTGGGAGAAGCAGATTTGGTGGAGGCAAGTGGATAAAGGTTTGAACATTTAAGGATGGGGTTGAGTAAGCAATTGCATCTAGAAGTCTCTATGTCAGGGAGACAGCTTTTGCTTCAAGATTTTGAGGCCATGAGAAGAAGAGAAGAAGTCCAAAGGCTGAGTTCTTAGACACTCATTGTTTAGAGTTCAGGGAGATAAGGAGAACCCAGCAAGCAAGACTAAGAAGAAATGATCCGTGAGGAAGGACTGGATTCAGGAGAGTGCTATGTCTCAGAAGCCAAGTGAAGAATTAAAGAAATGAAGCATGACAGTAAAACTTATACATTTATTTCTAAATAAAAATAATCTATTCATCAAAATAGCACGACATTTAATGTGTCGATAAATATATTTAAATTTAAACAAACAAATTCTACTTTGAAATCTAAATTGAGTAGTATAATTGTTGATTAAAACACTCAAGAGATTATATTCAAATCCCTACTTTATTTATTTTACAGTGCCATGAACATTCAAAAGTTTGACCCAATTCTCTTGAGATTCCAAAAATTATTTTCAAATTCTTTTGGTCTTTTTATAGTGTAATATGTATGAAATATCATGTTTGCTCTGGGGTACAGTATTGTTTTTAATGCTGGGCACTGTAAAAATTCTCAAATTTTAGAATTCCTAAGTATCTGCTTTTTGTTTGTTCTTGGTTTATATTTTCTGATGTCAAAGGTCTCATATTTGCATGCCTATTCTAGGCATGGATTGTGGGAGTCTGAGCTTTAAAATAGTCCACAAGAATCATTTTGTGATTTGGGCTTTATCTACTGCCTTTAATTTTAGGCATCAATTTTGAAGTCATATCAGTAGCCTTACCACTTGAAGTACCACCAAGTAGGAGGCTAATTTTATCTAAGAAAAGTGTTTCTACTTCCTTTGTTTTTGATTTTGGTGAAGACATAGAGGGGATAGGAGGATAAAGTAGAAAGAAGTGATTTGGCAACTATCCTATTAGTTTAAATCATAATTAGACCTAACTGCATAATTCAGAACCCAAGTTGAGTCTCCTAGCAGCTCCCTTAGGGGCTCTGGGGCTGTCCCATCACAGAAGCCCTCCACTGAACTTCCTCCCCAGTTGCTCCCATGGGCACGTTGCCTTGTGTCAGAAGTCAGAGTATGTCTTCTTCCAGCTTGAGTTTCTAGCTTCTAAATATTTGTAGCAGACTTTAAGTGGCAGGATAAGTGGATAAATGAGGAATATATCACAGAGACTCACAAAACTGCTCAGGCCCAACTAGTGCCTATGTTATCAGCTCCTCCAATCTCTGTACTTTTCCTTTGCTAGAGACATCACACCCACAACTGCTTTTCAATGCCCTTGCCACAAGGCTCTGAGTTCCATGGGGACCCATGTCTTATACATTGTTATATTCCTGGTATCTGACACCATATCAGGCATACTAAGATACTTTTAAAATAAAGCATGAGAGGCCCAAACTACCTTGTTTAAAAAGGCAGAAAAAAATTGTAAAGAAGGATGACAAGGCGTGAATATTTTTCAAGTCACAATCATAAAAATTTTTATAAATTGTTATTGATATATAGATTATATATAATCTATTTATATTAGATTAAATATAATCTGGCAAATAAATTAATGAATGGATCTCATATAGTTTATTTTAAGTAGAATTCATAGTACTGAGGAGAAGTAAAATCACCAGATACAAAATTAACAGATGTTTTAGTAGCCCAAAGTGTGGAGTAGGAAGTATACGTTAGTCCATTCTCACACTGCTATAAAGATACTACCCGATACTGGGTAACTTATAAAGGAAAAAGGTTTAATTGACTCGCAGTTCCACATGGCTGGGAAGGCCTCAGTTAACTTACAATCATGATGGAAGGTGAGGGGGAAGCAAACTTGAACTTTTCACATGGCAGCAGGAGAGAGTGCTAGCAAGAGCAGGGAAAACTGCCTTATAAAACCATCAGATCTTGTGGGAACTTACTCACTATCACGAGAACAGCACGGGGGAAACTCTCCCTCTTAATCCAACCACTTCCCACCAGGGCTCTCCCTACAACAATGAGGGATTACAATTCAAGATGAGATTTGGGTGGGGACACAAAGCCTAACCATTTAAGACATCTTAGAATTCTACCTACCTCAGTAATCTTGAGAGACAAATATCTGTTATTTTCACCTTTGAGGAAACTAAGATTTCAAAGATTTAGCTGACTTGCCCAAGGACGTCTACCTGAGAAATGTTTCTTACTAGGAATGTCCCCAGGAGATATTCGGCAATGTTTGGAAACATTTTTGGTTGTCACAAATGGGAAGAAGCTGGAAAACTTTTAGCTGGCCCAGGTTAAAATTCTATTAGCATGTAAGAAGAAAAGAAGATATCAAAAAAGAAGGAGAGAACATATCAAAGTTGCTTCATAATTAATATAAAGTCAGATGCTCCAGGAGATGTCAAATAATTTGCCCATGATCTGATGATGGTCAACTTACTCACCATTACCTTGTTCTTTCCAGTAATGATAACTCACACTTTTCTTCATAGCCTAAATGAAAAAGAATAACATAAAGCAAGACTCAACAAACTAAGGGTCTTCTTGATACTAATAATAAATTAGAAGTTCAAGTTCCCTATGAGATTAACAGGCTCCTTTAGAGAAAGCACATTATTAAGTACATGTCCTTCTAAGTGATCAAGATGTAAGTTTTCCTTGCAGTATAATGCTTTTAGGCGGAGAGGTAACAGACTCCAGAGACCGGAGGGAGACACAGGATGAGAAAGGGAGGCAACTGTTATGATGTGCTATACACAAATGTGTGACAGTCTCACCCCATGAAGGCTCACAGCTCTCCAGTTCCTTTTGATGACTGCCTGTGTGGCCAAAGTTTAAAATAGACTTAGTATAAGTGAGTGCTGTGCCACAGGAGGAGATGGAAGAGGATGAGAAAATTACAAAGTACAATGTAGACAGCTTAGCTAGGAAGATGATGTTGACATAGATGATAGATCAATCGATAGATAGATAGATATAAAAATGGAAAACAGGCCCTTTCCTCTTAGGCACTACATTCTCTGGGACCTTTTTCAAGACCATGTGAGGTCAGCATTACTAGCCCCATTAACAAATGAGAGACAAAGAATGCTAAATATCCTGATGTAGGCAGCAAAGCCCCTACCTATTCCATCTGGCCCAGTTGCCTCTATAGGCTTACTTTGTATCACTCTCTTTCTCATTCATTCAGCTCCAGCCACACTGGCCACCCTGCTGCTCCTCAAATGTACCAGGCACATTTCCATGGGGCCTTTACACTAACAGCTTCATCTGCCTGTGGTGCTCTTCCCTGAAGATCTACAGGGTTCATTGTTTTTCTTTAGGTGTCTTCAAATGTCACCAGTTCCTCTCTCCCTCTTGATATTCCTCTACTCCATTCCCTGCTTTACTTCTCTTTAAAACATTTCTCACCATCATATTCTACATCACCCATCTATTCCAATCCTGCCCCCAACAACAAAATAACCTGATGTAAGAGCTTGCATGTAGGCAGTGTATTTTGCAAGTAATGCCAAGGAACAAAAATGGGAAAATGGGAAGAGTGAAAAGAGAACAAAAGCAAAGCTAATCTAGCAGTGCATTATCAAGTTGGTGACAAATGTGGGTAACTAGGGCTCAATATGATTAGGGGTCCTCTGAAAGTCCTGCATAACACATGTCAGAATTGTCTACCAGAGTTACAGGCTTCTATCTCCTATTCTTTAAGGGTAATCCCATGGCTGTGTTAGGAAAGATTCAGAATGGCTGAGCGGGTTCCCATAAGTGTTCCACACAGAGGAACGCTAGGGCAAAAGTTGGAGTGAGGTGTTAGCTGGTCACACCTGCAATCAGCTAGTTGTGGTACCAATGTCTGGAATAAAATGGTCAACCAAGAGGTTGTGAGGTAGGATATAAGAGGTTCATGAAAGAGTCCAGCTTTTGCAACACTGAGACTTCTCCCAGAGCCTTCAAGGCAGTGTGGCCAGTACTGATTTCTACAATAGACTCGATAAAGAAAAGCTATTTGGGAAAGGGAGTCCCTGCTACCACCAGGCCGTCACTGATATTAACCATCTTTTTTCCTCCTCCAATGTCATTCTAAGTTTTCCCTATTCTTAGTCACCACTCCAGTTGGTCTAAACTGCTTTGTCTGGAGAGATGGCTCAAACCATCATCTACATGGGGTTAGAAACCTTTATTACTACACCACAGTCAGGTCATTGTCTTTACAATAGTCCGTTTTCTGTTATCATCTGGACAGCCCCAAGGAAGCTCCTGGTTTCTACACCTGCTCTTCCATGGTACCACCAAGCAGCACCACCACGAGGAGCAACCATAGCTCCTCATTCAAATCAGGCTCAGTTATCCCCACCAACGTGATGACTTCCTTCTGCTTTTGGGGCCACTTGCATGAGAAGCCCAAAATGGCCAACAATGGTCATAGTTCCAAGACTATGACTTATTCTGTCCTCTAGTGAAGTATCCTCCTGCCATGGTAGAAATCAGAACTCCTAATCCATCAGAGCCTAGATTGTAGGAAGGAGAAGCACAGACATCACTAGTAAGTATGAGTGATAACCATGGGGCCAATCTTTTACTTCATGGTTTCTAACCCATGTATTCTAGCTTTGGGGAGGTCACAGCACCATATGTTGGCCATTAATTTGGGGCATACACACTTCCTGAGGAAAGCATTCCAAGCCTACATAGTGTAGTCCCTAAACTGGCACCTCGGCCAAGCCCCCAATATATCTTCCCATCATTCTTTGAGGAAGCCACACCACTGTAGGTAAGACCCAGTACTTTTCACCATTGTATTCCAACATGTAGATTAGTACCTGGCACGTTCATCACTCTGAATATATGAATGAATTAATCAACCAATTATTCTCTTTAGATTAACTGAGACATTCAAAATCAAAAAACAAAGAGGTTGAAATTCATTATAAACTCGTACCTCACATTATTAAAGCTTGAGGAATGATCTCTTAGATACAAACGTAATTAGCTTCTATGATGTTGAAAAATAAAATTAGGAAAATTGAAAAATTCACACTTTCGTAATGTATGTGGAATTAATCTATTAATATAAAAACCATACTTATTTGGCATACCAACAAATCATACACTTGGCAACATAGGGGTACAAATTCACTTATTTTTCTTTGTCCTGAACACTAATGAATTTCGTGTATGAAAAACTTCATTAAGAAACATTGTTTAAAAACAAATTGTCAAAACCCGACTCTACCAGATTAAATGTATGTTAAAACATTTAAGATGACATTTATTGCATCAATTTTTTAAATAATGCTTGAGAAAGCTGTGAACATAACTTCATAGCCCAAAACCTTCTTCTCTTTCCCTTTGTAGCATATTTCTCCGATAATGTATTTTGCCTACTGCTACCAAAGTACCAGAAAATAATGCCTAAAAGACCAAAATGAAGTGTTTCAGAATTAAGGAGAAAGTTGTAAATTTGTAATGTTTTAGACACATTTCAGTTTAGCGCTTGATAGATCATGTCGGGTTGGTTGCGAGAGGGATTTCAAGGGCTTGGGAAAATAAAGTCAGTGTATGTGTAGTTTCATTTTTGAGAGAATCACTTTATTACTGATCACAGGACAGTTGTTGAGCTCTGACAGCTCTAAGTGCTGAAAACATTAGAGAAGGTCCATTTTTTTGTTTTTGCCCAATTATGAACTGTAACTTGGTGAGAGAAGCAATAGAATCTATTTACCTAACCTAATGGTAATGCTTCATTTTAACTAAAATGTCAACACATAGTGGTCTCTGCACGTATTTCACCAGCATCTAAATTCCACCATGGGGTTCAAATTTTTTAAATGAAATCTTAGACCCTTGGTAGAAAAAGAGCCAAGGATTTATATATCAATGTAAAAATGGCCTATCTTAAAATATACTTATCACAAATATAAGAAATTCCTAAAATTTGGGGTTTTCTTCTATGGCTTTCTCAAAGGTCAGAATGCAATGTTTCTATTCAAATGAACAATTCAACTAGTTAACTAATACGAAGCCCCTTTTCTTATCTTCTGCTAACCTCTCACCTTTGAAATCAGTTGTCTAACTTCAAGTGTTGCCTTCCCAATTAATGAAGTTATCTACACAATTTTCAAAATGTGACTCCATGTCTATGAGTTTGTTGTTAATATTACTGGAAAGACAATATAATGTGAAACAATAGCAAAAAGCAAAAATTGAAGGCACTAGCACCTTCTTTGTGGGACAGGAAAACTAACAAAACTTGGTGATTTGTATTAACTCAGGACCACAGTAATCTCATAAAATGGCTCTTTCTTGGATTTTGCAAGATGGTTTCATTATTTAGTGCACCAATCAAAAAGATAGCCAAGTTTTTAATCCAGGCCAATTGAAAGCAAACAATCAATGCAATTAAGAAACTAGGAAAAAAAGGAGAAATTCTGATGTCCAGCACATATATTAAACTTAATTATATTTTTCATGATAAAGTAAATTTGCTCAGTGGAGTCTCAAAGTATGTTATTGTTATAAATTATTTTAAAGTTTTCAAAGATAACTTTCAAAATTAAAGTTATAAAAGATGACTCCCATTTTCTCATTTTCCTCCTCAGTTTTTAATGAGCATACATTTCTCACTTCATCCATTAAGAAATGTTTGTGGTTTAAAAGTTCATGTTGACTGCAAAAATGGTGATAGAAGAAAGCTCTGAGGATATTGCTATAAAGTTAATAAATCATCTTCACTCATCAACTATCTTCAACCCGCACAAGTTATAAAGGATTATTTTGTTAGCACCACAGGGTACACAATTTAAATTTAGAGAATCAGCCCTAGCAGAATAAGTTTGAATTCTGGAAGCTTCTAGGTCCCCTTGCCTTTAAACATTATACGCTTCAGAGTCCTTACATTTTCAATTGACAGAGAAACAGAAAATCATTCTAACGTTTACCGTAGCTTTTCCCTCTAAGGGCTTCTTGCAAAGAATTTGCATGTTGCAATTATACCTCAAATTAGAGATTTGAGTTTCCCTGCCTGGTCAATTATAAGACCCTTGGCCTTACCAGAGAATGAATACACGCTCTCAACTTTGCAAAGGTCTGAGTCAACAGCTTGTTGGGCTTTGAAGAACCTCAGCCGTTTTTGCGGCTGGAGCTTTTTCTCCTTTTCGTGTTTCAGGACCACTGCTGGTTTTCATTCATCTTCATTCAGTGGGTTTCATGTGACATTTTGGGGCTGGAAACATAATGTGTCAGAAGATAGCTGCAGCTTCCTACTGCGTTATTGTTTCCTTTGTCAGAAGGTGAGTGAGCACAAACATTTTCCAATTGCTCTGATTTTCAGACAGGTTTAGATCTACTGAGCCATCACTGATGCACACGCCTATACCATTTAGAAACACTTGATATAGATTTCAGAAGAGATTTCTAAGTTCAGTTCTATACAAATAAATGTACTATCATTTATCCTTTTTCCAGAAGAGGCAGAGATTTCATATCCTCTCCTTGGTTTACCCCGATCAGTATAAAAGGAATAGATACGGTGCTTCAAAAACACTTCTCATTTGGGTTCAAAAACAGCAGCTCACCTTTCTGCTGGAAGCAAAACATTATCATGATCAACAGAATCTGTCTGTTGGGATTCAGTTCTGCAATCCTTTCATGGATCAAATTCCCATCAGAATCAGAATTAAGTCCTAAGTGAAAACTTAAATTACATTATAATACTCAGCCTCATAAGTTCCACCAAGGCTTTGCCAAAGGCATTGAATGATTTATGATAAACTTCAGAACCTCAGTCCCCTCTTCCCAGGGTGTCTTCAATTAATTCTTTGAAGAACTTTACTCTTGATTCCTTGTTGAACTGAAGTAATAAGGGGTTTAAGGCCTTTATATTTTTCCTCGAACTTTCTCTTCTTAACTTAGAATATCTGCAAGTGAAATATAATTGATTGGATCTTTCTAAATCTGTCTTTTATAAAATTATGGTTAAATATTATCTTATTCCTGCAGAATTTATATGACTTTTAAGTATAAATCTCTATGTCATCTTAGTTATAAAAATCATATCATTAGAAATTGCCAAAATGCATTACACTTCAGCCTGAAGAGTAAGGTTCCTTTCAGTTAGAAAATAGCTCCCCAGGAAATTCCATGTTGGTCTGTATTTGATTCCCCAGCCGCTTGGGATGCAAATGCATGCCATTGACTGTAATAAGAATTGGATGTATGTCTATAGGTAGACTGTAAAATTTTAAAGTTTGATTTGTCTCCTCATATGGAGAAACTGAATCCTAGGAAAATTTAGAGACATTTCCTAGATCACACATTTCATTAAGGTTAGTGTGGGTTCTCTTTCTATTATGGGGTGTGGCATCAGAAAAATGTGGTTTTAAACACTGGGTCAACTAGTAATATGCCTTATATAAGTCATGGCATAGTCTACTTAGTGATGCCATGAATAACCCACTGAGCTTCATATTCTTAACTAGCATATTCTTAACTTATCTATATTCTAAGATAGCTGAGAAGATGAAAAAATATGTATATAAAAATTCTGGCCCCAACACGCATTAAATGATGGTAAAGATTATAATTGTTGATCTTTTTATGTAACTAACCTCCTAAAATTATCTTTCTGCCCTTTTCTCCCTGATTCATTCTTCACACAGCTTATGGATTAACTATCTATAGCACAGGTCTTAGTATGATTCTCTTTACTTTAAATATTCTCAATGGCTTCCTATCATCAATGAAATTATCTTAAAATTTCTCACCCTAAATTGCAAAGCCCTGCGTATCAGGCTGCAGCCCACCTTTCCAAAAATCATTTTAACTGTTTTTCTGTAATTACACTATTTTCATGTCTAGCTAAATTGGTTTACATTCCACAGACAATTCTCCAAATTTCTAAAACCAAAATTCCATCTCCCCTATAAGCGCTTTATTTATTCTTCCAACCAGATGCAACATTTCCCACAGAAGTGGGGAAGAGAAAGGAAAAAGCACCTACTGAATATATTTTCTGTGCAGAGTTCTTTCTTCTGTGCTGGGCACTTTAAATTTGTTATTTCATTAGTGCTTCTCTTATGACATGTTATCTTTTGTTATAACAAAAGACATGTTTGTTGTTGTCCATTAAAGCTGTCCATTAAGGGCAGAAATAATGTCTTAATCTCTAGCATAGAATATTTACAAGTAGAAGGACTTAGGGGGAAAATGCAAACTGAACACCTTAAATTATTATCAATAAAAGCACTAGCCAGAATGAGGAGTTGAGGGGCATTTGAAGCAACTTGGAAAACCATGGCAGCTTATTTGGGGTAGAAAGGCCCTCTTTTATCCATCATAAATCATCATCAGATTTATACTTTGTTAGCAAAAGGGGGCTGAAGTACAACATGTCATATAGTGTGTTGCAATTGTAACAGGGCCTCACTCTTCTTTCTTCTTCCCAAGGCCTAATCAGTTACATAAAAAAAGAAAGAAGAGAGGAGACGAGAGAAGAAAAGAGAAGACAAGAGAAGAGAAGAGAAGAGAAGAGAAGAGAAGAGAAAAGAAAGGAAAAGAAAAGAAAACAAAAGAAAGGAAATTACCACGAAACCAGTCCTGGAAAATGTAAAATGTTACTTGCATCATCATGTGAAAAAGCTCAAAAGATGGAAAAATATTTTCTAAGTACATTTATTTGGACATAACATAAGTATCTTCCAACATATTTTAGCGATGGAAGATGTGGTGAATTGAAAAGATGAGTTCAGCTCTACATATGCTTTATGGTCACAAGTTGCCACTTTTAAAACATTTATATACTCTTATGCATATCATATAACTGAACATGAATGTTAGCATCTAAGTATATGTATCTGATGAAAATGCCAGAGTTATAAAATCTTTTTTATGTTTTTTTAATCACAAAAATATCAAAATGCACCTTGGTTTTAGGGAATAATTTTCTATCACTGGTCCTGAGAACCTCTAAAATTATGGAACAATCGTTCCAGACTCTCAATACCATTAAGTTCAATGAACTATAAACTCCAGGGCAAAGAACACAGCTTTTTTGATCAACAATGTATATTTAACGTCCAAGCTTAATGACTGAAGAAAGTAAACTCCCTAAAAACATAAGTTTTTTTTTAATGAATCAAAAGAAAAGGAAAAAGAAAAAGATATTTAGAAAGGACCCATAGTTTGTCATCTGAATGCAGCAGACATTTAAAATGGACTCTATCTTTTCAAGAATATGAAATCTACTGACCCCTTTCAAGGGGTTCCCCCACCTTTCATTGCCTCCCTCAGCAGAGGGGTTGCTGGATGCCATTACTCAGGGAAACAGTTTTGATTCCTTCCTGATCGCCTATTATCTCTCTTGTTTTATTGAACCAGGGTCTCTCTGCACCCTGGCAGAAGCTGGCAATTCATCAGGATACCATTTAGGGAATCACTGTGATGCTTAGTTTACAGTCCACAAGGCAGCTACTGGGAGAATCTGGATCAATGTGTTTTATGCCTCTGAAATTTGGGCAGCAAAGAAAGAGTGCTTCAGTTATAAACATGCAATGTCCATAGTTCTCATCATCCTTCTGAACAAGCAGAAGCTCCCCTTTTCTGAACCCAAATGGAGCAATCCAATTACAAAGTCATTAAATCCCGTTATAAGGTGGTTCATAGGAGTTCCTGTTTCCAGCAAAAGCCTTTTCTGTGTTCATCCAACATATATTCTGGCCTCTTGCACTCAGTTTACAAGGTTTCTAATTAAGCTCCAGAGAGGATGATATAGTTCACTGAACTGAGTCACTATGCTACAACTGGGAAAGAAGAGGCATTCCTATTTTATCAGAAAAATAAACACTTTAGTTTCATTTCCTCTGCCACACATGTTATCTCTTTGTGCTGTCACAACATTTTTTATAGGTTTTTATTTCAAAGGATTACCTTGAGATTACTGTCAACGCAAGCCAGAGAGACATCTCCATACAGAATATAGGGGTAATATTTTTTCTCCTAAAACATCCTGCTACAGACAATATAATATCATATAATATCACCGAAATAATCTCCCCTATTGAGAGCAAAGAGACAGTTTTCAATAGTACTTTGGTACAAAATTTGAGGAAAATAAAATGTTTATCAGTGACAAAAATACAATTTACCAGCTTGATTTTTAAGTCAAAAATTTAACCTTTTAAACGATTTCAGAAGCTCCGCTAATTTCTACTGTTCCTTGTAACATCTGTAGGCAAAATACAACATGCTGGGTCATAATTCATAGCTTGGCAAGAAAATGTTGCTTAAAAACATAAAGGTCCTTTTCTTTTTATGCAGAGGAAAACATTTTAGTTATTATTCAACTCAAGTAAATGCTCATAACCATGGAATTAAATATTTCTGAAGGGTTCATTCCTGAGCTTTCTTCTGGGTTGAATTAGGCTTTCTCAGAACTATACTTCATGTCACCCACATGTCTTAAGAACTGGTGCCTTCTGCTCAGCTGTGCATTTTTTTGCAGACATGCCGGATATCTACGCAGTAAGTGCTCTGAAACTTCAAAGAGACACAGAGCATTCTGTGCTTTCTCTTCCCACCATTCCATGTAAACACCATGAATAACCAGACCATTCTTATGCCAAAAGGCCCTGATGGCTTGACTTTTTGGTCCGTTAATTGTTCACAATCACTCCTTGCCTGTATTGTGCTTGGTAGGACCACCTTTCTGCAGCCAAAATCCAGCCACTTACCACTGCATATACTTCCTACAGCAGAATAGATACTGACCAAAGCCTAGTAGAAACCTGCATGGCATCCTGTCTCTTAATACTTAATGCTACCATGCCCTCAGAGTATTCTTATTCAGAATCTAAACAAGCATGTATTCAGAGGCTACAATGTATCAGGCATTGGTGGTGTTAGCAGTCATAGTTCAGTGAATGGGAAGAAAGATAAAAATCCATGCCTCCCAGTGACTTTAAGTCCTGGTAGGGACAAATACAGAAGATAAGTAAATAAACAAGATAACTGTAGATAGTAATAGGCTCTGTAGGCAATAAACCTCAGGATAATGTGATAGAGAATGACTTGGGGATTGGTAATACCCAGATGGGGAGCTGGAACACCGTCCAGGGCAGATGGCATTTGAACTGAAACCTGAAGGAAAAAAGAATCTGGACAGCCTCAACACCAGATCAAACAGTTTTTGAAACATAGAAAACAAGAACAAAGCCCCCAGTGGGTGAGAGGAACTGAAGAAGCCTAGTAGGATGGAAGTATAATGATACTCATACACTGGAGAATATTGCTAAGCGCAAACAATTCTAAGCTTGTGAAAGTTCCTTGTGATTATTCTATATTTCTTTGAATCATATTGATGAAAAATTCTTTGTAATAATTCCCATCCAAATGTGACTTCTTGGGTGCAAACATAATTTTCACAACTTATTTAAAAGCCTATTTAACTTTGCCTATAGCATGCTTCACAGAAATAGTAACATCCATCTTACAGGACTTTCATGAAGACTACTATGTACGGCAGTCCTCACTTTTTTCCTGCTCAAAATCCTGTCTCCCTTTCCTTTTAAAAGAACACAGACTTTGTTCGTGACCATAATGTGTTCTCCTTAAAACTACATGCATGCATGCATTCCTACACATATACCCACAACCTCACCACTGCTTGCAGCTAGTGAGTTGGCAAGTATGGCACACATAGCACAGAGATACTAATGAGATGTGAATAGAAGATAGATCTTAAACTCACGCATTGTATTTCCCTTTACTGTTCCCTGTCTGGAAAATGAATGTGATGCTAAAAGAAAGGCAGCCTTCTGTGACCCTGAGGTAGCTATGAGAAGTTGCATATTTGGAATAGTTGAATGGACAG
The DNA here is from genome assembly GCF_000001405.40 of Homo sapiens. Taxonomy (NCBI): domain Eukaryota; kingdom Metazoa; phylum Chordata; class Mammalia; order Primates; family Hominidae; genus Homo; species Homo sapiens. Next base: position 76,885,660 of record NC_000007.14, read on the forward strand.
CTTACAGGAGCTGTGTTCTACATAGATACATAGTTGTATGTAGCCAAATGCAGAATTATATGTAAAGTGCCACAAAACAAATGTAAGGTAAATAGTAGTGTAAGGCCTTCATTATCATTTATATTACTGGTGTGTTTTAATGAAGCATTGAATTTATTTACAGAAAAGGATGCTAAGCTGAGATATTTTAAAGTCAAGCTATATAAGAATTTGAAGGGATATTTAATATAATATCTGCTTTTCCACCAGCCATCAATCTCAGCAAACTCACACAGGACCAGAAAACCAAACACTGCATGTTCTCACTCATAAGTGGGAGTTGAACAATGAGAACACATGGACACAGGGAAGGGAACATCACACAGTGGGGACTGTTGCAGGGTGTGGGGGCAAGGGGAGGGAAAGCATTAGGACAAATATCTAATGCATGTGGGGCTTAAAACCTAGATGACATGTTCATAGGTGAAGCAAACCACTATGGCACAAGTATACCTATGTAACAAACCTGCACGTTCTGCATATGTATCCCAGAACTTAAAGTAAAATTTAAAAAACAAATAAATAAAAATAAAATAAATTAAAAAAAAATCTTTTTAAAAAGTAACACACCTAGTAGCTATTTACTTCCATAACTATTGTATTTTCTTGCCGTGCCAAAATATCTGGCATTGTAAGAATGCACAATTAAATATCATTCATTTACTGACCTAGTATATTGCCAGCAAAGAACATGAAGACATATTCTGCTATTGTTTTTCTTTCTACCACTGATGGTGGCACCAGGCATTTCTCCTATATTCCAAATAAATAATAGAAAATACCTTTGCAGCCATATGAGCGTTTGGAAATTATCCTAGCAATCTGGCAAGAGCAAGGAGGTTGACCTGGCCTGCAATGATACGAACTTAGGGGCTCCTTGTGGCCTAAACTTGTACCAGGACAATTCTGAGATCAACGTTACCACTGTCAATGAGATAGAAGTCTTCTACACAAACAAATGTCTGCTGCTCAAAGGCCTAGTCAGTGTACACCATCTCCCATAAGAAACTTCCCACAGGAATCTTTAGTAAACAACTAAACAGCACTATCCACAATAAGCAGTTGTTATTTATTAATGACCTATTATTTCACCAAACTTATAGTATTAAAATTGTAATTAGTAGTTGCTATCCATTAAGTACCTATGAGCCTAGCACCATACAATACAGTATACATTGTCCTTAATCTTCATATTACTTAATAATATGATTAATAATCCCCAAAATATGTAAAATTAATTGAATTAGCATACATAGGAAAAATTCAAATGCATTCTAAAATTTCTTTATTAAAATAAGCTAGATAACTATGTGGTCAAAATGCTGTCATCTATTACCTACGTTGACTTATTGATGAATGTGTGTAGATACTTTGTCACTGGGTCACTTATGTCTTGCTGCTTATCCATGTCTGCAGAATTTTGCAGAGTTCTTCCAGGAACCGCCAGGCTTTCTCAGGATAAGATATATCAGATGCATTCAGTGTGATCAGACACATTGGGGTACATTTCACCCAGAGGTGTACCTGCTGTTTGTAATGCTGCTCAGGATTTGTGCCTACAAACATGGGAATTCTGATAAATTCTATCTTACACAATTCCCATAAAAATATATGTTGTGGGATTATGGTTACACTTATACTTTTCAGGTATATTCCTAATAGGAGAGACCCATCATTTTGACTAGGCATCTACAAAAACTTAACTCTACCCCTGTCCCTTACAATTTTTCATGTTTAATGTTTAGAAGAGTTTTCAACAGACCATCTTCTAGCTCCAGATATTTCACCTTTTCTCTGCCACTACCCAAGTATTTTTCTATTTCTTTAATTTTTTAAATTAAACTTTTTTTAAGTAAATCATAGATCCACATGCAATTGTAAGAAATAATATAGAGAGACCCATTTCTTCCATATGGCAACGTCTGGCAAAACTATTCTATAACATCGCAACCAGGATATTGATGTTGATACAGTCAAGATTCAAAGTACCACCATCACCACAAAGACCCCTTATGGTGTCCTTCTTCCCTCCTGCCAGACCCACTTCCCTCCTGCCCCCACCTCCTCCTTAACCCTGGCAACCACCAACATGTTCTCTATTTCTATGTTTTTATTTTTTCAAAGATTTTATATAAATGAAATCATACAATGTGCAACTTTTGGTGACTGCCTATTTTCAGTCACCTGAATTTTCTGGAGCTTCATCCAGGCTGCTGTGTATATGAATAATTTGTTCCTTTTTATTACTGAGTAGTATTCCATGGTATGAAAATACCGCCCAACTATTTTTATTGCCAAACTCTGTAGTTCACATTCATATCACAACATGACCTCCACCCCAGCACCTTCATGACATGATGCCAAGTAAGTCAACTTAGTGGGCAAAAGGAATGTTCCTTACAGGTATTCAAATTCAGTTTAGCAATGCCCGAATTATATTTGGAAGTTTTTAAACATTCCAAACTTCATCTCCAACTCAACTTTCTCTTAGTAAAATGCAAAAGTTAACTAATTTTTAAAAGAAAGAAAAGAAAAAGAAAAAATTATGTTGCCACTCCAATCCTGCCTGATATGAAGGGAAGTATGGCAGAGGGGAATACAGCGTGGAAAGAGACAGTGGTCTCACACAATTATGGTTAAAATATTTTACACTTATAAATTATGTAGCAGTCTGTGCTCAGATGAATACATGGCTAGGGCCTCTTTTAGGAATCTTGAAAGAGGTCAGAGGAAGCATGGGACCTGGAGCATAGGGCTCTTTAGAATAAACCTGCTTCAACTTTCAAATTGCCTATATGTTAACAGGATCTCTCTTGTTAACTGGAGAAGCTGCCATGCTTATCTCACCAGGCACAAAAATGCTTCCAGCCAAGTCTTCACAATTGCCCTGAACAGGTAAAATGAAAGATACCCACACTTGAGGCTGATGCCCCAGAATACAAATTATTAATGGGTACAAGACCTATTAATGACTTGAGTCTGTAGAGAGCACCCAGAAAAAGAAAGAGCTCTTGATGTCTCACATAAAAAGACGTTTTAATTATTGAACATTTAGTGGCAGGGGTGAGGGAAGGGGAGTGTGGGAGGGCCCAGGTGGAAAGCAGAAATTTTCCTCTACGACTCTCTAGCAACAGCAACTGCCAATGACAACAGCAGCTATGTGTTGAACATTTGTTCTGTGCTAGTACTGTCAATTCATTTAAGTCATAAAACAATTCTTTGAGGCAAGTACTTTATTATGTCCATGTTTAAAAGTCAGACTTATTAAGGTATAATTTATTTATCCTTTTTACTGCAAGCCTCGAAATCAGGTAGTGTAATTTTGCTAGGTTTGTAATTCTTTCTCAAAATTATTGGTCAGTCTTGGCCTTTAGCTTTTCCATATAAAATGTTATATCATCTTATGAGTTTTACTAAAAAGCCTTCTGAAATTTTGACTATTGTCGCATTGAATCTTTGATGAATTTGGGAATAAGTGATATCCTAAAAATATTGAATCTTCTTAACCATGAATATAGTATATGTCTCCATTTATTTGGGTCTTTAATTTGTCTCAGCAACATTTTGACATTTTTATCAAACAAATCTTACAGATACATTGTTAGATGTATATCTAAACCTCTCATGACTTTGATAATATTTAAATGATATCTCCAATTTTCAATTGTTTACTGCTAACAATTGATTTTTATATTGATTTGTTTACTGTGACCTTGCTAACCTCATTTTATTAGTCCTAGTAGATATTTTTGTAAATTCCTTGAGATTTTCTATAGAAAGAATTATCCTGTTTGTGAATAGAGACACATTCATTTATTTATTTTTGATCTGTATGTCATTTATTTATTTCTCTTGTTATAATTTACTTGGTATAACCTCCAGTGCAATGTTGGAAAGAAGTAGTGAGAGTAAACACCCTTACCTTATGCCTGACCTTGGGAGGAAGGTATTCATTCTGTCTTTTACTATTAAATCTAATATTAGCTGTGGACTTTTTGTAGATATCCTACATCAGATTGAGGGAGTTTCCTACTATTCCTAGTTTGCTGAGAGTTTTATAGTTGAAAACTATTTTCAATAGTTGCATAATTCATTGTTAACTAGAATATGGTCTATGTTGGTGAGTGTTTCATGTGTACATAAGAATTATGTGTTTCCTGCAACTGTTAGGTGGAGTGCTTTCTAAATGTTAAGTAGATTCATATTATCAAGTAGGTTAGTGTTATTAGAATCTGTTATCCAGGTCCTCTATATTCTTACTAAAATTTTGTCTACTGATTCCATCAGTCAATTAGATAGCAAAGTTAAAATATCCAACCATAATTGGGATATATCTATTTCTCTTTTATGTTTTATCAGATTTTTGCTTTCCATATTTTGAAGCACTGTTATGAAGTGCATACAAATTTACAAATTATTATTTTTTCTTGGTGAATTCGCTTCTTTATGTTATATGTCTCTTTACTTCTGAAATTATTGATTAGCTATTACAATATATTTTTCACTCTTTTTCTTTCAACCCATCTATGTTGTTATATTTTAAGGTTTTGTTTTATAGACAGCATATGATGTATTTCTGCTTTTTGATTCTATCTTAATATCTATGGTTTTTAACCCTTTATTATATTGCTATTTGTTTTATTTTTCCTTTGTCTAATCTGTTCTTTTTAGTTTTTCTCTGTTTTCTTCTGCTGTATTTTATTTTATGACTCCATCTTATTCCCACTTTGGTTTATTAGGTAAACATCTTTATTTTTTCAATTTTTTTAATGATTACTGTACCGTCTAAATTATATTTTTAAAATTTATCCAGTCTATCTTCAAATGATATTTCTCCACTTTAGATACCATTAGAAACCCTGAAACAGTATACTTTTATTTCATCCAGTCCATTCTTTATGAAGTTGCTGTAATGCATTTCATATCTATATAAGTGATAAACCCCATATTGAATGTTGATATTTTTTCTTAAGTTTTTCATTTTTTTATTAAAACAGTTCAAAATTAAATCAAATTCTTTTGTATTTATCTTCATTTTTACCACTTTTAGAACTCTGTATGTCTTATGCAGATCAAAAGTTTCACCTAGTATTATACTCTTGCTTGAAGAACTTACTTTGACAATGCTTATAGTACAGGTCTACAGGCAATGAGTCCTCTCAGATTTGTTTTGTTTATTTTTTGTCTTTATTTTTATAAAGATATTTTTACTGGATAGCAAATTCTGAATTGGCAGGTTTTTCCCCTCCAAGTACTTTAAAGTTGTAACTCCATTGTATTTTAATTTGCATGATTTCTGCAAAAATATTTGCTATTGTTCTTAGTTTTGTTACCTTATGTATAATGTGTTTTGTTGTTTTTCCTTTTGACTGCCATAACATTTTCTCTTTGTTTTGGTTTGCAGTAGTGTAAGTGTAATGTGACTAGGTATATTCTATTTTATCTATCTATCTATCTATCTATCTATCTATCTATCATCAACTGATCAATTGATTGATCTATACTTATACTGCTTGGGATCACCTGGGCTTCTGGAATTGAAAATTTGTTGACTTTCATTATTTTAGAAAATTCTTACCTAGTCTCTTCAAAATTTATTCTGCCAAGTTTCTCTCTCTTCTTGTCTAGGACTCCAATTACACACATATTAGACTATTTGACATTGCTTCATAGCAGCTGGATGCACCATTATGTTTTCTTCTCTTTATGTTTCCATTGATATATCTTCTAGTCAACTGAGTCTATTCTCTGCTCTGTCCAGTTTGCTCATACACCCACTGAAGGAATTTTTTATTTGTGACATTTTATTTTTTTATTTTGACCCTTTGCACATGACACATATTTCATATAGTTTTCATCTCTGCTGAAATTACTCATTTGCTTACATATGTATAACATCTATCCACGAAATCCTTTAAAATATTAAACATAGTTTATTTAACGTTTCTATCTGATAATGATGTCTGGATCATCTATAAATCTGGTTTTGCTGGCTACTTTATACCTTGACAGTAGGTTGCTTCTCCCTCAATATCTCTTTCTCTCTCTCTCTCTCTCTCCCCACCCCTGACCAATGAGTATGTGTGTATCTTGTAATTTTTGGTTTATTGCTGAACATTGTGTTTAAAATAATATAGACTGAGGTAAACAGTCTTTATCCTGGAAAACAGGCATGCCTTTTATTTTCTCATGCCATTCATATGCATGTCATGTTGGGAAGGTTTAGTCAGTCTAATCAGTTTTTGAGCTTGGTTTGTGTTTTGTTATTGCCATGGTAACCTTCATTCCAGCAATAACTTCACATTCCACTAGCATTTCACTGTCGATACCTTGTGCTTAATTGGATTTTGTCATAGGAGGATTTTCCCCTGTGTTCTTGCTCTATTCTCAATTTTTAACAGTCCTTGTATGCTTATGCCATTTAGGAGTATCTCTTTATACTATTGTTCTGTCTTAATTATTATTTTGCACATTGTTCAAGGTGTGATGGGTAAAGTGGGTAGTTTTCTATTATCTTGACCCAGCCTCACACTTACGTAAGTCCTGGGTGTCTAGACCTTGAGAATGGAGCTCTCTCAGTGTTCCTGCCCATCCTCATGGTAGCCAAATGTTTCCCTTATTTCTGTAGGAAGGTGGGGGAGCTGGGTGGGAGAGAATACTGTTATTTCCCCCTGTGCATTGTATCATCTCAAAATCCTGGGTCCTAGCAGTGTTTTTTCCTCTCTCTCAAGGAATATAGATTTTGTTTTCATTCCTCTTTTGGTTCCAATTTACCCCTGCCTATTTCTATTGGCAGGGGTTTTCTTAGCACTTCTGCAGTAGTACACTGCTATTGCTTATTACTCAGTACAAACCTTCTGGTTGGAACAGGCAGCTTTTGCTTCTATTCCTTCCTCCTTTCCTTTTCCTGGGACTGGAAGTAGTTGAGTTTTTAACTCCTCCTCCAGAAGCAAACTACTTTGCTTTTACCTTCTCCCACAGGCAGTAGTTCTTTGCCAGGGTGCTAGGAGAAGAAGGAGTTACCCACCCCTTTTCTGGGATCAGAAAAAGGGAGACAACCAGTATTCATTTGAGAGAAATATGAAGATGCACCATTGAGGGTGTTCACTTAGTTTTCCTCCCCTTCCCTGAATACTTTCTGTGGGCACAAGTAGGGCCTGTAAATTTAAAAAATACTTAGAAAGTACAGACTTCACACATATCTGAAGTCCTGGGGATTCTACTCTATCATATTAACTTTACACTTGGCCTTTTAAAACGTGTTAAAAATTTTGGCTATTTTCTCCTTACTGGCTGTAATTGACAGTCACCTCTTTCTTTCATAATCTTCCAAAGGTGAAATGGTTTATTTGACTAATCTCTTTTTGGAGGGAGTTTCTCAGCCTTTGAAAATAAGATTCTGTGATTAGAAGCCTTGTCTCTTTATTTTTTATTTTTATTTTTTTTTGAGACGGAGTCTCACTCTGTCACCCAGTCTGGAATGCAGTGGCACGATCTCGGCTCACTGCAAGCTCCGCCTTCCAGGTTCATGCCATTCTCCTGCCTCAGCCTCCCAAGTAGCTGGGACTACAGGTGCCCGCCACCACGCCCAGCTACTTTTTTGTATTTTTAGTAGAGGCAGGGTTTCACCGTGTTAGCCAGGATGGTCCCGATCTCCTGACCTCGTGATCTGCCTGCCTTGGCCTCTCAAAGCGCTGGGAATACAGGCGTGAGCCACTGCGCCCAGCCGTCTCTTTAAAAGAGTAATGTTTTCACAGATTTTGTTGTTATTTTTGTTGGTAGAGTAAAATGACATTCTCTTGCAGCTTTCTACATTTTTAGCGAAAAGGGAGACAACCAGTATCATTTTATATGAGAAATATGAGACTTGGAGAGGCCAAGTAACTTGCCGTGTATCGTAATCTATTAAATGTTAAGGCCAACATTTAAGCTCAGATTTTTCTGAAATAAAAGCCTATTGTCTTAAACATCACACTGCAATATATCTTGTGTAATCTTCTCATCAAAAGTACGTATTTGAGGTGTCTAATTAATTCTAGTCAGACCCAACTGTTTTCCTTTTTATTCCAAATGAGCACTGGAAGCAATGTTAAAACTATTCAACGAGTCAATACATTTTCTATCCTAAGTGCATCTAGAGTACAAGATTTTTTTTCTTCTTCAGGTGAGTATGCCTAGAAAATCTAAGCCCTTCTCTGATACCTCAGCCATTTTGGAAAGTAAATGCTCAGCACTTTTGCCATTATTAAATAGGCTTGGGTAACTCTAAAAATTTCTACTAGCGCTGCCTTGTAAAAATGCACAGGCAAGCCCAATGAGGACATCATGTGATCACAGGAGCTTGAGCTTAAAAAGAGAGGACAGCTTCAGGGAAGAAGAATTCTGCATCAAATTGGGGAAGGCAATGGAGAGGCAACTCGGAACAGATGGCACAACAGAAAGTAGCTTAGTAGGAACTGATATTGTTACCAGAGAAAGTATCAAAATCAAAGGCAGAGGCAAAGATAGAAGCTAGAGCACAGAGAATGGTCAAGAAAGGAGGACAGAATTAGGCTTTTGAAAGAGGTGGAAAAGTGGTTTGGAAGAGATCTACAAATGTAAAATATATCCTTCTAGTCACCTGCAGAAGCCATCCTGGTAGTTAGGAACCTGTGAGAGTCTGATATGCAGCCAGATGGCCCTCACACCTTGGCCAGACATGTGTTTATACAGTAAATTCTATCTCATAAACCACTTTCTCATGTTATCTTATTTGAAATTCATGGCAATCCTATGTAGCAGGGACAGAAGATATTGTTAGTTCCATTTACCAGATGAAAACCCTGAAACAGAATGTTCATAATTCATCAGATTTTCCAACCATACCTGCACTCATAGATCATGACATAAACAACAATGCTATTTTTTCATCAGTCTGATCATGCATATTTATGTGTGTATATTTACTTCCAAGGTGTCTACAGAGTTGCACACACTCTCTGAATGTTGCTAAGATATATAAATGTGGTTACTTTTAAAAATCACAAGAAATCCATTAATGATTCATTCCATTTAACAAATTACAACATGATAAAAGGGAAGAAATTTAAAAGGAAGAATTCTCTCCAAAGTTCAAGCAACAAATTTTCATGTGATGTTGGGAAAAGCAAAATGTTTTACAGCTTTTAGAGGCGTAAATCAAAACCTTCCCACTAACACTTACAACCATTTTGAGGTTTTATTAAAGAAAAAAATTATCTGAAAATTCATTACTTGGATGATAAATAGGACTAGAAAGAAAGAGGAAAGGCCTGCATGTGGTAAGTGGAAGGCATTGATGAATATTTGGAACATTCTTTTCTTAAGCCCCTCTATAAACTGTTTTCCTACATCATCTTTAAACTGCACAGATGGGTTCATGAATCTGGCTCCCTCACTATAGCAGGACATTCTTACAGGCAGGGTCTGGACGGATTCACTTTTTATATCCTAAGTGCCCAGCAGAGTTCCTAAATGCAGTAAATGTTCACTAATATTTGGTGGATAAAAAATGGTGCCATCACAAAACACACATATACACACAAGTACATATACTCACATAATAGTAGCACCCATACCATTCCATAAATGTATACACTTTTATATATACCTAATCCATATGTATGTATATGCACACATATTTTCATCTATATAATGGGCTATATATCATTATAAATAATACAGAATCATGTAGGTGTTGTTGCTATGTGAGTATGTGTATACTCATATAAAAGTATGTTTCATGCACTTGTGTGTATATGTATACATATATGTATATAGTCATTTTATCTTTGAATTTTTCACATTATATTTTAATCTCAAATAAGCTTTAGTGAAAGTGAGTTATAACAATGAGAATAACTGATTTTAGTCTTGACTAATGAGAATCTCAATTAAAAATGTAAGTCTGAAGCATAGCATGTCAAATATACATATGTTTATATAATATAAATTATTTTGGAGGTCCCCGATACTTTTCATTACCTGATCACAATTACAGGTAATTGAAAGTTATTAGAAACTAAGCATAAAGCTGTGCACTCCCGACACCACAAGACCTCCAACCCACTAGTCAGCTAAAACCACTTTCTGATATACTCTGCACAATGACCCTGGTGGCTGTCAGCTCTTTCCTGCTTTCCTGCTTCCCTGGAACCTGACAGGGCCCCAGTGATGATTTACCTATGTCATGTTATGTAGTCCACAGCTTGACTGAGGTCTTGTTCTGATTCACAGCGGAGTGTTGAACAAAGTCTGTCTGGAATAAACTGAATGCATTCAGGAAAATTTCCTTCTCGTTCATTCATTTATTTCCTCATTCTCAAACATTGAGCATCTGCAATGTTACAGATACTGCATTAAACACTCGGGTCACAAAAGTGAATGAGGCACAGTCCCTGTCTAACTGCTGCTGAGGTTTCCACAGTGACATTTTCTTAAACCCCAACTTATACAGGGTGTTTTCAGAGTGGGATTGTACATGTTCCAAACCCAAGTGATTTTGTTTAATAATTTTGACCATCAAAAATCCAGTTTGAAAAATGAACCAGAATACAAATATACAACATTTAATGACAGAGAAAAAATAAAGGCATACAGTTTTTTAAAGAAATATTTCATCCTTTGAAGAATACTGAGAAATCTGAGTTCAAAGGTGATGTGAGCATGCTTCAATCATGACTATACACAACAGAATCTGTACTCAGCTCAGTATTGGCTAGAGAAGTTCTCTTTCCCTCATTTAAGCCAAGACCAGAACTCCAAGGCTGAGGCTTGACATAGGTGTACTGTAAATGAAGTGTTAATGAGATGGAAATTCTCCAAGTTGCTTTTGAGTCTCACTCTATATCAGTGTAGACCTGCCTAAAATATGTAAGAGCTGAGAATCCTTTTGAAATGATTCCAAACTCTTGAGTCTGAAAACCGAGCTGGGAATTCCTTTGTAACAGTTTTGTGGGTTATTTTGGCACTTTGGTTTATAATCCTAGCTGGACCCCATCTGAAGTTCTAAAGCCCATAAAATAAGAATGAATGGACAATGTAAATAAGCCAAATTTGAGAAACTTCAGACCCTGCTTGGCTGAATGTTTCTGTTAATCTACCTTGTCTGTGCTGGTAGAACTGCCATTTTGCTATAACTCCTTTGTAAATAAGAAACTTTTCTTCTCATCAGGCAGGGGATCTTTCTCTTCAAAGGCTGTGATGTATTATACTATATTGAAATTAAATTGTTTGGATATGTTTTGCTGAATACTGATAAAACTATGATATAAAGCGTATTATCCTTAATCAAAGGTTACTTTTATTTGCAGATTTTAAAGGCAACAAAAATTTTTATTTGACAGGTTCTAATAGTTCTAGTTTGGCATACCTGCACATTTTTATTGTATCCTGGGAACAGGCATAAATCAACTGATTTCCCACAGACAAATAAAAGTGGTGGAGTAATATAGTTCCTGGAATTTAACACTTCATGGTCAGGAGGTCACATATGCTAAGTTGCTTATTTACACGCCTCTTAAAGTTTAAGTCTGTGGGCAAGAGACATGAAGCAATGTGACTTACTATATCAATGAAGAATGTATTGTTCTTTTTCTTCGGGTAGATAAAATTAACAGTGTTGGAACAGCAGATCACACAAGAATGTCATCAGAAACATCAGCCATTTTTTCAAATGTGCTTGCTTGATGATTCTCTTTGTTATTACAATCATCAGTTTTAAACAATGAGATTTATTAAACATTTTTTTAAGTGGGGAAGAGAGAGTTAGTGTGTACCAATCATTGACATATTAGCTGGCATCTCGAAGCCTAAACTTGCAGTTAGGCCAATGTAGCCAGAATGGAGGTGATGCAGCAACCCAGGTGCCTCCTCCGGCCCTCACTTTTGCTGCCAAAACTGATCTTACAGCCCACATGTTACAGATGGTGACTGTAAACTGGAGAGATAGCCATTTGACCCACATTTAACTATGATACAAGATAAGCGATAGTTATTTTCACAGCTTTCCATATAAAGGATTTTGATGAGAACAAAGTTATATACAAACAAAGTTCATTTACGCAACACAATTGTATTGAGATCCCAGTATGTAACTAGTACTAAACACTTCTTATACATTATTCCCTTTTCACATGCTCACCCATTTAAAATTTCACAGCATTCTTCAGATCAGTATATTAAGGCTTAGAAAAGTTTTGACTTGCTAAAGACACATAGTTAGAAATCAAATGAGTCAAGATTTGAATCCATATCTCCCTGCTCAGCATCTACACTTTTCTTCGCTGGAGAGTACATTGGAAGCCTAAGCTGATCACATTCCATTAAACCTCAAGTCATTTTGAGCCCAAGGCTTCAGTTTCTTCCTTTAGAAATATATCTCCCTTCAAATATACCTGGAATTTACAGGTGAAACACTGGCAAATTAATAAAGGAAATTACATCAGTGCCCTAAGAAAGGCAGGCCAAGAGTGCTGGTAGGAACCATAGAAGCAAGAAAACCCCTGCAGCTTTATCAGAGTCCACATGCAGTTACTTATTGCAGCATTTAAAGCCTTAAACCCTTGTCCCTTACCTGGTGGCCTCACTGGATCCAGCAACAAGGAAGGAGGCTGGGCATGGTGGCTCACGCCTACAATCCCAGCACTTTGGGAGGCCGAGGTAGGCGGATCATCTGAGGTCAGGAGTTCAAGACCAGCCTGGCCAACATGGTGAAACTCCATCTCTACTAAAAATACAAAAATTAGCTGGGCATGGTGGCACATGGCTGTAATTCCAGCTACTTGGGAGGCTGAGGCAGGAGAATCACTTGAACCCGGGTGGCACAGGTTGCAGTGAGCTGCGATCACACCATGGCACTCCAGACTGGGCAATAAAATGAGATTCCATCTCAAAAAAACAGCAACAAAAAAAAGCCAGCATGGTACGCCTGTAATCCCAGCACTTTGGGAGGCCTAGGCAGGCGGATCACCTGAGGTCAGCAGTTCGAGACCAGCCTGGCCAACATGGCGAAACCCTGTCTCTACTAATGATACAAAAATCAGCCGAGCATGGTGGTGGCACGTGCCCGTCATCCCAGCTACTGGGTTGGGAGGCTGAGGTAGGAGAATCGCTTGAACCCAGGAGGCAGAGGTTGCAGTGAGCCGAGATCACGCCAAGGAAGGAGGTAGAAGGAAGGGTTTTCTTCCTTCCATATTAAGGAGGCCAACTGCATTGCCAGGACTCTCCCGGAGGCAAACTGAAAAATGAAGCTCTTTCTGTTTTTCTATGCAAATCGCAATGCTGAACTTTCTGAGACCTGGCATAATGCAGTCACATGTCTTGTTTTTGCATTCAGAATATTGTCTTTTCATAGTCTTTCAGAATATGTTAAGGAGGTTTCACTATATATCACAAATCATGGTTTAAATTTCAAAGCATTAGATAAAAATGACCTTACACTGCATTTGTAGATGTCACTCTCAAGCCATCCCAATGTAGTTTCCATGGGAACTAATGTACATCAAAGAAGAAAGAGAGAGAAAGAGAGACTGTAAGATCAAATTTTTAGTTCCTGCCTCCTCTTTTTCTGGGAAAACCAAAATGAGCCCCATGTTAAATGCTGTTGAAATTAGATACTGAATCTTATCTTCTATGTGAATGCAGCTTTTTGTTTTTTTCCTCCTAAGAAGGAGTACTACCTATATGGTCATGCACAATTTTTCCATAGAGTCCATCCATATAATTTATAAGTTGTATTTACAGCCTCAGAAGGCACATGTGCTTATTTAGGAGGAGAGTCAACATCATCCATTATTACTTTGTTTTCAAGTTGCTTTCAGAATTATTATTATTACACAGATTTACAACTTGTTGAGAATCCACTCTATGGCAACCATGAGTGAAAGTGGTTCGTGAATGAAAGTTTATAGTCACGTAAGAACACATTCCTAGATTGTCCTCTGTTGGTGTAGTGTCTTTCATAGTCATATGCCAGACAGTGTAACATGAGTAGCTGTCATTAGCTTCCCATCCAAAAAGAACAGTTACCAAACAGTATTGTTAAAAAGAGCATGTTACAGCTATTATTCTTTTTTTCTTTTTTTTGAGACAGAGTCTTGCTCTGTCGCCCAGGCTACAGTGCAGTGGTGCCACCTCGGCTCACTGCAAGCTCCGCCTCCCGGGTTCAAGCGATTCTCCTGCCTCAGCCTCCTGAGTAGCTGGGACTACAGTCACGTGCCACCACGCCTGGCTAATGTTTTGTATTTTTAGTAGAAATGGGGTTTCACAGAATTAGTCAGGATGCTCTCAATCTCCTGACCTTATGATCCACCCACCTCAGCCTTCCAAAGTGCTGGGATTACAGGAGTGAGCCACCGCGCCCAGCACAGCTATTATTCTTAAATCCAATGCCACATATCAAGGCCAACTTTATCTACCTCTGTCTCATAGGACTCACCTGGGTTATAAAATAAATTCAATACTTTAATCGGGGGGTGGTTGGAGAGAGACAATGATATATTATATTCTCAATTATAATTGAGAATGGTGATATAAAATGTATTTGTAGCCTGTAGATAATTAACTAGAAAAACAGGTGATCATGTGGTTTAAAATAACAATTAATTTAAGAACTTAAAATAAATGTTTTTAAAAAGATATATAATAGTATTATATGTCTTAATAATTATATTTATTAAATATAATAAATATTACTATTATACTATATTTACAATAGTATATACTATTATATTTATATTTATAAATATGTTATATAATAGTTATATTTATATTATATATTATATTACATAATAATATATAAATATAAATATAATAACTATATTATAAATATAATAGTTATAAAGACAATATGACAAATAAATATTAACCATTTAATTTATATCAGTCACTACCCTAAGGATTGTTCTTTTATCTAATACATTTTATTCTAATAACTCTGTTAATTAGGAATTCATGTTCCCATCTAACAGATTAAGACATTGAAGGACAAGAAGGTCAAATAAAGGGCTGAAAAAAATCTCGTAACTTCTAAGTGAACCAGGCAGTTTCCAAAACCTGCCTCTTAGCTATTATGCTATAAATATTTGAGAAAAGTATTTACATTGACAAATAACTATGAAGTTTTTAGAACTTATGAAGATCATGGTGAAGAAAAAACTATTTGTAACATTAATTATCAAATTGTTTATTCCTTTCTGAAATCATTTATTCAATATCATTTATTTGCAGATAATAGGTACCAGGCATTGAGAAATTCAGAATGAATAAGAAAATGGAATAAACAAAGGGTTATAAAAAAATCTAGGATGGGTTATTCATTTTAAAAGAGAATGGAGCTTAGGTAAAAAAAAGCAAAAATATACACAAGGCCTTGAACATTCTAACATAATGAGCAAGTCATACCCTGCCAGATCCATGAGAGTGGATGACAGGATGTGCTGGAAAGGAACATGGGAAGTACCTAAAATGAAAAGGACCTGAAATGTAATTCTAAAGATTTCGTCTAAAAGAAATGGCAAGTTGGCAGATAATTTTTAAATTCAAGTGTAAATAATCTGATAAGTATTTTAGAAAGCTGACTGGATGGTATAAAGAGGGTGGATTAGAGAAGGAAAATATGGGTGGCAGGGAGATCTATGAGGGTTTTGTGATGGGTTGAATGGTGTCCTCCCAGGAGATATGTTGAAGCCCTATTTTTGGTACCTGTGAATATGACTTCATTTGGAAATAGGATCTTTGCAGATGAAATCTAGTTAAGATGGGTTCATTAAGGTGGGCCCTAATTCAATATGACTGTTTTCCTTATAAAAAAAGGAAAAGACGGAGAAACAGGGAGAAGAATGCCACATAACAATGAAGGTAGAGAATGGGGTTACACAGCTACAGACCAGAGAACATGAAGGACTGTCACCAACACCACTGCTAAGAGAAGGGCACAGAACAGATTCTCCCGCAGAGCCTTTAGAGGAAGCAAGACCCTGTCAACAGCTTTTCTGAGTTCTAGCCTTCAGAACTGTGAGAGAATAAATTTCAGCTTATGGTACTTTTTATATGACAGCCCAAGGAAACTAACACAAGTATTGGTGGAACACTTCTTCAACAAATAGCACTTGAATTAAGGCAGCGGCACTAAAAATGGAGAGGAGGAGGTATGTGGTAGACCAGGGATATATTTGCTAAAGGACAAACGAAGTAATGAGACTTAGAAACAGAATGATGGAGCCACAAAGAATGCCTGAAATGGTAATAGGATACATGCTTGAATGTTGATGGGCCCCATTTCCACAAGCCTCCAAATCTGCTTCTAGATCCCATTCGAGCAAGGGAGGATTTGTTAAGAAGAAAGGCCTTTTGAGAGCACCAGTCCCTCCACCAGCCAGTCTAGTCCTAAGAGCTCTGAAGGCCAACCTTGGAAGTGGTTTAGGAGGGAAAATGTAGGACCCAGGATTTCAGTTGCCAAGCCGGAGAGCAGGGGACCCAGGAAAGAATATTGGCATTCACTTGATTTTTCCATCTTCTGATATAACCTTCAAATGTTAATAGTGTGTCGAAGAATTTATTGGAAGTGAGAAACAAGAAAACAGTGAGTCTAACCTAGTCATTCTAGAATTGGGAGGTAATAGAAAAGAGAGAAATGGGAAAGTTGCTCAAATGCAAGTCCAGTGAATCAGAGAGAAAAGGCTCAAAGCAGCAGAACAAAGCTTCAATAAAGAGATATTGTGACTTGGAGAGATGGCCTTTTGTCCTTTGTTCTATTACCGGTCAGAGAATGGGGAGCACACCCAAGCCTGAGACAACAGCTCTGCTAAGTGCCCTTGAGAGGGCACGGTGGGGTCAGCACCAAAGCCAGACCACTAAAGAGAAAAAGAGAGAAAGACAGGATTGCAGAGGAGAAATGAGAATGGCAGAAAAAATAATTTTTTAAGCCAAAAGGAATCAGAGAAGAGCAGAAGTGCCTCTAGGATAAAGCGTAGCAGGCAGTTAGGGAAAAAGGGCTGTTAATTACCTTGAAGCTCTGACTACATTAGAAAGCCTCGCAAGACAGTCGTTGCTTGCACGGGCAGGTAGAGAACTTTTCCTGTCCATTGTTCTTCTGAATTATAAATCACTGACCTCTTTATGATTTCTAAAGGGAAAATGACTTCAAGCTTCTTAGAGTTCCCCTAAGGCATTCTCTATATTCAATATAATATGGGAAGCCCTGGGTTTGTCTTTGTATGTTTCATCTGCAGTGACCTGAAATCTTCATAACCCTCTTCCTTTCTCCACTTATCAACTAAGGGGTGGTTGGCAATAAGGATGGGTGGGAGAGAAAAAAAAACAGAATTTGAGGAGGAGAGCATTTAAACCCTCAGACTGTGTGTTCTGTGACATCAAAGACTGGCAACATTCTAAAGGTAAATGTAACTATGCATCCCTTTGGGATTTTCAGATATCTTGTACAATCTATTTTATTCCTCTAAACATGGAGACTATAAAGCTGTGTGGAAATCAATAGTTTAATTCATTCATTCAACAAACAGGTGGTGAGTGCTCATCATAACAACCACATCTAATAGCTAACATGTTGAATGATTATCACACATCAACTACTATGCGAAGTGCTTTTCATGGTTTATGTCATTTAAGTATCACAAATAATACTATGAGATAGGTGCTCTTGTTATGTCCACTTGACAGATGAAGAAACTGAGGCCCAAGTCCCAGTCCTAAGATGAGGCAGAGCTATGTTAGAATTCAGGTAATATTACTCAGGAGGCCATGTATTAAACCTCTTTATAACATATCCCTGTATCATATCTGCATTAGGCATAGAAGACTCAAGGGTTATAGGGTTTCAGAGAAGGGAAGGGCTGAAGGGAGTTAATTAGGACAGGCTTTAGGCAAAAGGTGATACATGATGTTAGCTTTGAAGAAGAGGCAGATTTGAGTCAGCAGAGCGTGAAATCAAAGGCTCCCAGGTAAGGAATGGGAAAGCACGTGAGTGTAGTCCAAAGTCAACATAAGACAAAAGGCATTGTAGATAATGAGGGGACAATTTCGACCAGAATGGTGACCCTATGAGCAGTAAAATAAGTCCGAGAAGATTGAGTTAGCCATTGGAGAGAAGTGTCTGACATGTTGGTGTTGGAAAATAGAAAATCTTGGTGGTTTTCTTAGTCTAAGCAGTGTTGAAGGTAACAGCAGTGGTACACAGGATGAATTACACTAATAGAAAGCCTGGCACCCAAGGATTTCAGCTAGGGTTTGTAGAAAGATAGAATTATATGAGATGTGTTCTAAAGCAAAAGTGATAGGACTTGTTCTCTGTGACATATTGAAATAAAGTATATGAACTGATTATACCAACAATAACTAACTTTATTGAGCATATACTGTGTCCTATAGTGGTTTACATGTAATCATAGATTAATTCTCATAATAGCACCACGATTTAGAATTAAAGGAAGGCCCGTTCTAATCCTAGGATTTCTTTCGTTATCTATTGAAGACAATGAAAACAGTAATTCTTTAAATAATGTTGTGTTATGGGGGTATTATGATACCATTGACAGGAGTGAAATAGTTTGGAAGTTTAGGAGCAGAAAAGGACAATTTTGACTGAAGGCAAGTAAACCAATCAGGGGCAGTGTAACTCATTAGGTCGTCATAATAATAACTATTGTTATTATTATTTATTTTGATTCGACTATGAATCAAGATGTCCTGCAGATACCAAAATCAGTGGCTGCTCAAGTCCCTGATATAAAGTAGCCTGCCTTGACTACCCTTCTTTTTATAATTATAATTATTATTACAGCTAATTACTGCATGCTTATTATGTACCAATGTTCTAAACATTTCACATGCCATAGCTCAGTTAAGATAGTAATAATTATAGTGTTCACTATTACAATAATAAGAGTTTATATTTACAGTGCTGATAGTGTTCCAGGCACTGATATGTTTTTAAATAGATTAACTCATTTAATCATCACAAAACCCACATGAAGTAGATACTAATATTCTACCTTCACTTTACAGATGAGGACACTCTGGTCCAGAGAATTTAAGTAACTTAACCAAGATCACAAAACTAATGATTGGCAGTGTCAGGATTGAGCCCAGATTCTCTGGCTGTAGATTCTATTCTCTTAACAACTGCTCTACAAAATCATGAGCTTTGGGGTCAGGCAGGTCTGGGTTGCAATCCCAACCTTGTTAACTTACTACTAGTGAGAACTTCGGTATGCTCCTTTTTTGTGTCTAAGTCTCAGTTTTCCCATAAGCAAATTTCAAGATAAGATAACAATAGTACTTTTCATGCAATAATTCCTATGAGATTAAGCTCTCCTACCCTTCTCTGTGCTTATTACATTGCTTCAAAACAGGAAGTCTTCGGTGTGTGTTTTACTAATGAATGAATAAATGAATAAAGCACTTATCATCCATGCTGCACAATTAACATTTTGTTGTATGCTACTTTATATTATTTAACTTTTCTGTGCATGTACTTTTCTTGTCAATCCAGCTAGATTATATGCACCCTAGGACTAAACCACATGCTTTTTACTTTAATATGTACCCAGTTCTCTGAACAGTGATGTGCACATAGAAAGCTTCTCAATAACGATGACTCCCATGAATGAAGCATTTACTATGGCCTAGACATTGTGTTAAGTATTTAGTCTTCATAGCGACCCTAGATAGTAAGTACTAATGTTAATTCCAATTTACAGAATAGGAAACTATGCCTTAGTGAGCTAAAGTGATTTTCCAGTGGCCACACCATTAGTCCATACAGAGTCAGATTAGATTGAGCTCTACTTATCTACAGAAGTCCTGGGCTTGATCACCATGCTGTACTAGCTTGGTGTTAAAGCCCTGATTGATGGGTAATTTGACAAGAAGTCAGAGCCCATTATCACCTGCCTTTGGAAGGGAATTTCCTGCATCTGAAGTTCTTGTCTATTTGGCCCACTTGGCTCAACCACCTAGTTCACGGCTTTTCTGTAGATTTCTCCTCTTAGCACTCCCTCAACAGGCACAAACCACATATCCAAGTCAGGGATGCCATAAACAGTGGCTGCTGCTGTGGCTGGCCCACAGAGCATGGAAGCAGGAATACTCATGAGCCCCCTCTGTCATCTCAGTATATTATGGCTTCAGCATTCTCTTTGCTTAACAACCTCTGGCTGATCCACTGTGAAAATTGTGTGCAATAGTCTTCAAAATTTCTAATTTCATACCTGTGGTGAAGTAGCCTTGCGGCTGGTCAAAGAGAACACCTTTAAAGCTGACAGTGGAAAAAGCCTTGGCTCCTAACCTTCTGCAAAACTGTTTTTACTACTTCATGCAAGCTGTTATTGGTGTCTTTATTTAGGCTGTATTTCTTCATTTCAGCGTCTATGTTTAGCAGTTATATAAAGGAGCGAAATGGGTTTAATGGCCTCAAGTGGCAAAGCAGTGACATGTGGTCCTTCTTGGAGCAACAAAAGGTCAAAAGACTGTGGAGGAGACTTCTTGTTTCCTGGTGACTAGGAGTCAAATTTCTTTTATCTGTCTGAGTCAAGGGGAAATGATGTTCCTTTGAAAGTCTCATCTTGTAGGTAGAGTGTAACAGAGTAGGAAGGTAGGGAAGGTTCCTTAAAGGGCCATGCAGATAATCTCATCTGTTGATTTGTCCTATTGTGGGTGATACAGACTCACATTCCCTTTCTGGAGAAGGGAGGGTTTTAATTAAAACTAAATAGATATCCACTGGGTCTGGGTATGTACATAATCTAGAAACTGTGGGCTTCTCAAGGCCTCTGCATTCAGCATCTCAAGAAGTCCTATGGGTACCAATTGATCCATCCTGGAATCACTCTCCTCTGCTTGCATGGGACTTGCCTTTCTGCCCTCCTTCCTTAGCACTCCCACCAGGCTAGGTATGAGCCCCGAGTAAGGAGCCCTGGTCTGATTCCAGCTTCTTTCTCTTATTGACTCTGTGATTTCAATAAGATATTTGACTTTACAAGTTCTGCGTCTTCATCTGAAGACGGAGACTATAATGAAAATACAAACCTTATGGATTTATTGTGCAGAGTAGAAGGACAAAGTATACAAAATGCTTTGGATAATTGTTATCTAACATCAAAATTTAGGTTCACATACCTGATGCACAGTAAGCCAAACACTGACACATCAGCATAAATGTTTATTCAATTTGGCCAAAGTGAGAGGGCAGGAAAGACAGTCTCTAAAGTCCAACCTTCCTTTACACATAACTGGGGGCTTCTATGAGTCAGGTAGGTATACAGGAAATGGGATACCCCAAAGACCAAAGCTGTTTATGTCTCTTGGCCTGATCAGACTTCTGGATGCCATCAAGGTTTGTGTGACCTAAGGTTCATTTTTCTTCTCCAAAAAAAATACAGTTTATCAATCTTGCAGGCCAGGGGTGTAAGGATATGAAGTTACTAGTGACTACCTTCTACCAAAATGACTATGTGCAAGCAAGCATGCATGGAGGCAGAAAAAGGCAAGGAAAAGAGAAAACTAAGTAAAACAAACATCTT
Organism: Homo sapiens; assembly: GCF_000001405.40. Lineage (NCBI taxonomy): Eukaryota > Metazoa > Chordata > Mammalia > Primates > Hominidae > Homo > Homo sapiens. The sequence goes on from NC_000007.14 coordinate 76,907,256, forward strand.
ATGATTCTTATAATAAAGACTCAGTTACACAATAACGTTGTGCACACTAAAATCCCAATGAATGGGTGCTGTTAGTATAGGCAGCTGGCATATTTTTCCCTAGACCAATCAGTCTTGTATTTCTGTTTCAAGGCAGCCTGCACAGATTCTCCAAAGCAATTCTCAGCTTATTCATAGTAGAATCAAAATAATCAGGTGAAAGAAAAATTTATTCATAAATTCTTAATCAAAGCTTCCGCTGTACCCACCCTGAAGCAGTATGAGCACTAAAACCATCCTATTTCTTTTTATTATACTTTAATTTCTAGGGTACATGTGCACAACATGCAGGTTTGTTACATATGTATACATGTGCCATGTTGGTGTGCTGCACCCATTAACTCGTCATTTACATTAGGTATATCTCCTAATGCTATCCCTCCCCCTTCCCCCCTCCTCATGACAGGCCCCGATGTGTGATGTTCCCTTTCCTGTGTCCAAGTGTTCTCGTTGTTTAATTCTCACCTATAAGTGAGAACATGCGGTGTTTGGTTTTTTGTCCCTGCGATAGTTTGCTGAGAATGATGGTAAAACCAGCTTATTTTTACCATCTATTAAATGGGACAAAAACTTCAATACTTCTACAGTTGTTGTATACAATTAAATAATCTTCTAAATCCGATTGTCCCTCCTTCTCTTCTTCTCCTTTGATAAACAACACACCTCTCTGCATAGAGCAACAGAACTTCCTTTTGATTCTGGCCCACAACTTCCTATGTACACCTCGTTTGTAAAGAAGCTCATCTAAAGTCAACCAGCAAACGATGGGCCCTCCAACTCTGATAGCCTGTCACCAGCCCTAAGCTGCCAGGCTTCCTTTGAGTGTCTGTCATTGGTGAGATATAGGGACGTGTGACCATTTTGCCATGGCTCTATGTTGCTGAACCAGGTGGGGGTGTGAGTGGCAGTGGGGCAAGTGGATCCTTTTGATCATTAGTTATTTTTGAGTATTGACTTTAATTTGTAAAATTTCCCATCTTAATCTCTGCCCTAGTCTCTAAGCAGATCCCAGGGCATTGAGGAGAGTTCAGGTATGCCAGCATGTTTTGGTGTTTTTCCAATGCCAAAATAATATTTTGCCCACTGAATTCACAAGTGTTTTAGATGGTCATCCAGTTTTTGTATTGACCCCTCCTAAAGAGGTAACAGTTATCCCTTGGTATCAATCAAGGCATGGTTCCAGGACCTCCCTTGGATACCAAAATCCATGGTTGCTCAAGTCCCCAACATAAAAAAGGTGTAGTATTTGCATATAACCTACACACCTGTGTGTATATTTGCATATAACCTGTGTGTAGGTTCTCCCCTTTCCTTTAAATCATCTCTAGATTACTTTTAATCCTAATACAATGTAATTTCCATGTAAATATCTGTTACACTGTATTGTTTATGGAATAATGATAAGAAACAAGAAGTCTATACATGTTCATATAGATGCAAAATTTTTGAATATTTTCAAGCCATGGTTGTTTGAACCTGTCATGTGGAACCAAGGGATACAGAGGGCTGACTATATTTTAAAAAATGAAAGAATATTCTTTGACCACAGCAGGGGGCTACTGGCATTTGGGGATGGGGACAAAAATGTTAAATACTTTGCAATAAGAACATTAACACACAGTGAAAATTGTCATGTCAATGCTCCCTTCGTTGGGAAAGCTGCAATTAGTTATACCTTTTCTCTCTCCTATTAGAGAAATCAACCAAGCCAAGCCTGAGTATCTCAGAATCAGCATCCTTCAGACTCAAATTTGAGTCCTGACTACTCAACATCTATAAGCGTTAAGCACTTACTTTGTCATTCAATACTCGTTTAATCTCCTAAAAGAACGGCAAGCTTCTTATTATTGCCCCTACTAGTGGAAAAAATAAAGCCAGAGAAAGCAAAGATTCTAACACTGAGCCCAGCACAAGTCTACCACCTTATGCTGTTTCTATGACGTTAACTTTATAGCATGATCTGGATTGCTAAAAATGTTCAAGTTTGGGCCTTATAACAATAGAAAGAGGACTATATAAAACTACAGTAAGACTAAAAGTAGCTAAAACATATTACAAAAATAAAAAACTGGAGTACCTCGATTATATACAAAAGAGCCTTTGAAAAATGTCTAGGTGAATTTTTGTCTATGTACCTATGTTGACATCACAAAATAACAACTATCAATTCAAAACTCATTCCTTCTATATGTTTTTCTCATATCGATTTTAATCAAAAGGCTTAACTTGAATATTAATCTTTCATGTCCTCCTTATCTATTTGACCCTCTGGAATACTGCTGAGTAATGTGGCATTCACAAGAATATTACTGTGTCCACTTAAGTGATTTAAAATGTATTCTCAATAGCCAAAGTGTCCTCCTGACTCTTTGAAATTCAGCCATCCTATGTTTCAGATGGCCTTTCACTTGGGCTTTTAAACCACTTTACAGACATCTCTTTATTCTCCTTTATTTTATAAATTGGGAAATAGATCAAATAGAAGTTAAGTGGCATATAGAGGTCAATGGCAGATTACTGGAAGACCCAGGGAAAGGTATCACCCTTGACTCACCTAGAGTTATCCCTCAGATAATTTAACATTTCTTCAGAAGACTGAGGTAGCCTCTGAATGTAGGAGGCAGACTAAAAGATTATTTTTTTTCATGAGGCTGCCTCAAGCAGATTCACATTTAATTGTGATTCAACTGGCATCTCCTTTCTTGCTGCCACAAAATATCTATATTGAAATCAGGTTGACTGTTCATCTTTTCTTTCTGTTACGTCTGCTAGGGATCAATAGAGATAAAAATATTTGGAGCTTTGTGTTCAATCTAAGTTCCTGCATGCAGTTGCTTGATAGAATGATTTTGTAAGGAAGCAAGTAACCAAAGTATTTTTGCAGTGTTTTTGATAAAGGACTGCTCTTTGCTGGTGTCCTCCTCTCCACTACTAATTGACAAAACATCTTGAGGAAAACATCCATATGTTTAAATTATCCTTAAAAGCTCTATTGGCATTAAAAAAAGACCTCCGTTTTGATAAAGATTCCAATAACTATTTGGCTTTTGCAAGTCCAGCTTTATGACTAGAAATTTCTAGATCAAGAGTCTGCAAACGATGGTCTAGAACCAAATACAACTGCTGTCTGTTTTTGTAAGTAAGGTTTTATTCGAATACAGTCTTGCTTGCTCATTTAAATATTGTCTAGGCTGCTTTCATGCTACAATGGCACAGTGGAATAGCTGGGATAGAGACTATATGGCCCGCAAAGTCTAAAATATTTACAACTTCACTATTTACATAAAAATTTGTCAACAACTGTTCTACATTAAACAATATATCAGCCCTGGCAGATGTAACTGGTTACCTTGAGTATCTCATAGCATGTATGCAGTGTAATTTTCAAGTTCCCAAACAAAACTTTCCAAAAGCCATTTCTTAAGACCACACACTGTAGAGTCAGATCCACCAAGTTTTGAATTATCTGAACAGAGCTTTGCAAATGTCAAACCAGTATAGTAGATGATGACGATTTTGCTGAAAGATCACTCCACTTTCATCAGGGGAAACAAGCTATTGGGAATATATTTTAGGACCTCAATTTTCCACACATTGCTCTAATTACTAGAGTGCTATAGATGCATATCTCTGATTTACAGTCCGCCAAGTCAAGATTTCTGAATTTCTTGGCATAAGTTTGGTAGTACAGTATTACTTTGATTATGGCTTCTTATATCTGGCATAAAAATATTCCCTTTGTGCATATTCTTTTTAGATACAGTACAAAAAAAAGTATGACTCTTCCTTTTTTCTCTCCCTTTACTTTAGGAAAAGCAGCTGTGAAGTCATAATTATGTTCACTTCCCACTGGCAACTGGCAAGCCCTTTATTTTTGTGCATTCGGAACTCACCAAGAATAAATAAAGTCCATTCCCTCCTTGAGGGGCTATTCTGCCATTCCATCTAGGATTTAAAAGTTTGCCAATTCCTAAAACATCTATTGTTATCAATAGTCTTGTGTCTTTCACAAAGCGGACTTTACAAAATAAGGTAAGGGGAAAAATGTCAAAAGTACATGAAAAAAATCATCTCTAAGAAAGAGCAACAAATCTGCTAGCTCTTAAGAACTTATAATTATCATTGCTGGTTAATTGGTATTATAGATTACCCAGTTCTGACATGTAATTTTCTAACACAAAGAGGTTTCTATCATGTTACATTGTGCTTTGCATTTAGGGACTTTTTATTTTACATTTACACACTAAAGAACGAAGGGCAGAAGTCTTGAAATATGCAAGGATTTAGATAATGAATTGCATCCTAAATTTAGAAAATATATCAGACAATACAGATGATTCATTGTAGAATTTGTAATTCTGGAAAGGCAAGTTTTGGGGACCATTGTTTATAAATAAGCTAACTTTTATTGGCTCAGATCTGGATAAGTACCAGAAGCATTAACGAACATTTCTTCAGCTGCACACGGACCTTCAAAAAGTTCTAAAACAGGGTATGTTATTATGTTTTACAGGAAGATGTGTTTAATATTTGTAAGTCAATATGGATAATAACACTGATTTAAATGGACTGATAGATGCATTTGTCTTTTAATGTCTATTATAATAACAATTGCCAAAAGCCTATGAAAAATTCAACATTTACTTGTTGATTAGTCTGTTTTTGATTCATATATGCAATTAATTCTTAAGTGAAGTTTTTCAGAGACACTAGCCTCTCCTTAAAAGGCAACCATGTTCACTTGAAAATGTGAACAGACTATAGATTTGAGATTCTGGCTTCACGCTTTGTCCTGGGAAGCAACCTTGGATTTGGAATTTAATGGCTTCCTGGCTATCTGGACTGTGAAGAAATGCTTCTGAGGGGAGACAGATGTTTGTCTGAAACTCTATTGTTTAAAGAGCTGGACTTTGTCTGTAACAGCAGGTATGAAGATCAGAAAGAAAGATTGGGAGCCCAAATGAAGGCATTAGTACTTTGTAAACATAGACCTCATGCCGCAGTCTGGGTGGATTGATGATAATGCTACAAAGAAAAATGCAGCAAAGGAAACTTAGGAATGAACCTAAAAGACACAGTGTCTTAGTAAACTAAAACGAAAGTAAAAGGAGACCTTCAAAGCCCACTGCTTGTAAGATGAGCTTCTTTTTTGAATATTATTCCTTAAAGGACACCACACACACCCAGGTGAACTCATGGAATTTGCATTAAATAATTGATAACTTTTTGACATTTATTTGAAGTTTCCTTCCAGGAAAAAATGGTTCAAGTAGCACTCTGGCATTATTTCATAATTAAGCAGCCTTTTGCATGTACCATATGCAACCACCAAATCTAAGGTCCTGTGTTATGTAGCCTTTCCAACCTTTCTAAATCTCAAGTTTTCAGTAAATTTAATGTTTTCTTTAGAGAAAAAGACAGTGAGAGACAGGCAGTGTCCATTTGAACTAGCAAATAGTCTGACCAGATGACGAGTCTACTAGCTCTTCTAGTAGCTGCTGCAACCAGCAACTTAGTGGGGGCAACATCCTCAGCCATGCCACGTGGGCTTTGCCTGAAGACAATAGATAACAGCCAAGAGGCAGACAAAGAAAATATGTGTAAAAACAATGGTAAATAAAGTAAATAAAATTAACGAATTAGATAAATGAATAAAAATAAAGAGCAAAAGCAAATGTCAACATGCATCAATTCCCCATCCAAATTACATACCTCATGTAATTTTTGTAAACATTTTGTAAGATTTACCTTCTTGATTTATCAGCAATCATTCTGGTTTGCAATAAAATAATACCTGTAAGTGGTTTAATTGGAACTGCTGCCACTGCTTGAGATTTATGAATTGGAATATTACATGATAATCCACAGGATCACCTTGCTTTCCTATTGCTGAAGTTTGCCTCAATTCTTCCTTCCATTCATTCATTTACTCAACAAGCCTCCATTGAAGGTCTGCTATAATTCACATAGGGGTCCCCCTCCCTTAAGAATTGCAAATTATACATGCAAGAGAAAATATTGTTTTCACTTTTTAAAAATTATTTCATTTCTATTTTTAAAAAGAGATTGTTTTCAGACAGATGGGCTACCCTGTACATTTTTTACTTTGACAAGTACATTCTGCAATGTTTTGTGGGAGAACTGAGTTTATCCTTTTGTTAACTTCAAAAGGTCAGGTATGTGCCTCAATCCTCATTTGTTTCTATTACAAACATCTTAGGAATCCATAAAGTTATATAAACTTTCAAATACTTTGATATTTGATGAGCAAATCTATGTTCATTCTGTTCATAACCTTTATGACATACCAAACACCAACCATTTTATCTCCAAATTCCACAAATGAAGGGGTCATTATCACCCACCAAAAAGCGGTTTACAAAGATTTTAACAATGTATAAACAATCTTGCTTGAAACTAATGAACTCTTACAATCTTTCTGTCTTTTTTTAAAATTTTTGCCATTACTTGTTAAAGAAAGTGACCCTATTGGATCGTGTTTTCACGTAATAAATTTTCTGCGAAATTTACTGTTTAGTCCTTGGAGGCATATTACTAAAAATCAAATTGGATTTTCTTCTGAAAGAAGGTTACAGAGTGTGACTTCATGAGTGGAAGTATGTTATGGCTAAAGAGCCCATATTTCATGCTGTAATATAGCCAAGTTACATTGGTATATATATTCCTTGGCCATTGAAACAATGTTAAACAATATTTTTCTTTTGTCTAAGATACAGTTAGTTAAGCTGTCATTAAAAAATAAACAAATTGATAATCAGAAAAAAAAATCAGAGCAAAGCAAGCTGTCAAAGGTTGGCTGTAAATCCAGCACAAGGTAAAATGTGGCTATTTTAAAAAGGGCAACTTCTTCCTAAGATAACTGTTTTTTTTTTTCTCTGCTTAAAATAGTCATTGAGGGATATTCAATTGGGACCAGAGAAAGGGGAAGCCAGAATCATTCATCAGGCAGATACTTTGTGTCAGTTATAAACAGTATATTTCAAAATTAAGTATGAGAAACTCCAGGAGGAGATTAGACATGAGGAAACAAGCTCAGTAAAGCTAAGAATCTTGCCTATAGTCATCTGTGCAGTAAGAATACACTATGACTATTACAGCTAAAATATCTTTTTAAATGCCAGGTATTTTCTATTCTAATTCTTAGAACAAATTAGAGAACTGAGATTTAGAGTGGCCCCCTCCTCTGCCTAAAAGCACTCCAGATCTGGTCATTTAATCTCTTTGGTATGCCACTTGTCCCCAGGGAACCAAACTAACAAGTTTTTCTTCTGGTGTGCTCTTTAGCAAAAATGTAGAGTCATCAGACATTAGTGTGTTTGTTGCCAGCTTCGTGTGTGTGTGTGTGTGTGTGTGTGTGTGTGTGTCCCTCTCTCCCCTGCACTTCCAACTGATTTAACTTTCCACTTGTAGGTGGGTGTAGCTCAGAGAAGATCAAGAAATATTGCACTCCCTCTACTCAATATTGTGGAACAAATTAAAACATGTTCAATAGTTGTGTACCTACAATAGGTAGGAGAGCTAGGGGCTGGGGATTCAAAGATGGCAAACACAATTTATGCTCCTAAGCAAATACACAAGCTCAGCAATGGGATAGACAGGATCAAGTAAGACTGAATGTGCTGTGCTATAATTTGGGCACAGATCACATCCTCTTAATGCACAAAGAAAGAAAGAACTCCAACAATGAGAGGAGAATGGATGGGAGGGACTGAGGCAAACTTCCTGATGCCTGTAACATTTGAACTGATCTGGAAGGATGATTATAAAGGATTTTAATTGACAAAAACAATGGTGGAAGAGACTGCATGAGCCAGTGCAGGAACATTCTTACATTCTAATTATATTCTTATATTCTCATATTCTCACAGGACATTATCTTTACCAATGTTAAATGATTAAACTAGGTAATAAACAAGGCACACAATGATCAAAAGAAAGGGGCTCTGGGGATGAACATTCTGCCTTTAATCACTAATGGTGTGGCCTAAACTGTGGGGATTAACAATGCTCTGTAATACCCCTAACTATGCAATGGGGATAAGAAGAACCTCTCCTCCACCTGGGCATTCTTTATTGTTGTCTTCATAAAGACTTAGGTGTATGGAAAATTGGGCCCAGTGACTGACATATGACAAAGCACTTGAAACATGATTCTATTTTTATCATTATTAGTTCTACCAATAATAATTATATACAATTAATAGAAATAATTCGCTTCCCCAAAATCAAGAAGATAGAATTTTAATATAAAATAAAGTTTTAAACTAAGGATATTTTTCTTCACTAGTAGAATTTTTGACTCAGCATCAGCTGGCAAAACGATTTAGGAAAATTAAGGAAATGTTCTAGCATACTCCAAATCACATGATGTAGTTGCCTACATATTCCAAAGGCTTTCATTCTTTGCTCATTGGCATCCATATTTCCACAGAAAAGGTTTGCAAGCTCAGGGCATCATGCTAATGTCTAAGACATTCCATCACCATTAAGGGACTTTAAAATTATTCCTAGTGACAACAATATGGTTCTTTGTGTTATTAAGTAAATCATGGAATAATAAGAACAGGAAGAACACTATCTCGTTCACTAAATAAATGATCACTATCATTAAAGAGCTATTAAACCAAATTCTATCAGGTATTTTTTTAAAGATGTGTTCATTCTTTCTACTCACTTGCTAAATAAGAAAGAAGAAAAGCTCAAGAGTCTTTAAGCAGAAGCTCTGTTCTGCAGCTCACAGAATGGATTAACACCAGCTGGAAAAATCTGGGGAAAGTAGGCTAATCCTTGCTAAGTTGGTGGCCCTATCTAGCTGCTGCAGAAGCTGCAGCATCTGGGACTGGCTTTTACTCCCAACTGGCTTCACCCTTCCCCTATAACTCTTATCCTAATGTTATTCAAAGAGAATTCCATCATTTGCCCTGATATAAGCATCAGGCACACAAAGTCAACCCACAGACACTCCTGCCTATCCCTAGAAATTTTGAAAGCTCCAGTATCTGTTTAGCACTAGTAAATCATTTCCTGCTTGGTCAATCCATATTTTACTTTGCGTATACAGCCTCTACTTTTATCCAGTTATATTTAATTAATAAAAATAATTCCTGTCTTCCAACTATACCAAGGAAAATTTCTTCATCACACCATTTTAGAACATTTATTTACAACATACGGAAATACAATTATATCTTTAAGTTAACAACTTGTAACTGAGATAAGAAGGCATTGCTTCTCTGAGTTTATTTTGTTAGAGCTGTTCTTTTTTTTTTTTAAAGGAAGCTTCTGCTCAGAAAATGTGAAAGAAATAATCTATCTCAAGACCTTGCTGTTCTTGACTGTTCAAAAATTCTTTAAATAAAATATAATATGGAAGCTGTGCTCTGCATGTCGAGACCATTTCACTGTTGAGCCTTCACAGCCAGAAAACAGGCTCAAAATAATTAGACTTGAACAAAATCACATTATTTACTTTTTGCTTTAATAAGGAGGTGATTATTAGAAGATGAACCATGACTACCAAGATAGCAGGTATAGATTCTTTTTAACAAAATTAATTTAGATTATATTCACTATCTTAAGATACTTATGCACATAAATCATATCTCTCTACGTATTTTTGCATGAAACATAGAGTATATGAAATAAAATGAATGCAATGAATAGAAATTTAATCATATATTTACCTGAATTATTAGATTATTCATAAATAGCTTATTAGAGGCAGTAAAAGTCGACAGAGAATGATTGCAATAGGCAGATGTGATGTAAGTCTGTGATATTTTAGAAGAAATTTTCCTGTAAATCACACATGAAAGATGCAGCCACTCATGCTGGACAACTGCCTGGTGTTCCCAAGAAACATAGGGACAACCAAAGGGCACCTCAGTAAGTTTATACTGGACCATAGATAATAAACTCATCAACAAACACCAGATTTTTGTTCTGGAGAAAAAGATGAAAGCTTTTGAACAGTACTAGTCATCACCAAGGAAACTGTGGTGGAGTAAAAAAATTTTAAGAAGATATCAACATTGCAGTAAATCAACCTAACCTGGAAATGTGTTTGGTGACAAACTGAATTTTCCTAGGTGTCGGCAAACTAACTCTTTTAAGGCCCCACTAGGGGCCTTAAGTGATCTACTCCCCAATTCTTCCATAGATGCACAAAAATACTAACTGATCTATTCATTGTGTGTCTTTAGAAATGCAGACATTTAATGGGTTACGAAGCTTAACTGCTAGACACATTCATTAGATGTGAACAGTTAATATGTAGTCATTTCTGTTGGCTTCTAAAATATCCTCATCACTCTTTTGAGACATAGCAGCTCATCCTAGGCCAATGATATCAACCATGGCTGTACTGTGAACTGTAATCCAGTATCTTTCTCTCAACACCTCCTCTCTTCTCAGCTAAGGGTGTTGTATATTGAAGATGCTCTGCTTTTCCCTCTGACTTTCATCACTTAAAACTTTGTTGATTTCACCTGAGGCAAATTGACAAATATTTTTAATCATCTTTCACCTTTCTTTCTCACTTCCAACTCTTCTCCAATTGCCTGACTGAAATTTCTATTCCTTTTCCTGTTTTTTTCCTACATATTTCAGAAATGGCCCTGATTTGAGCAGAAAATATTAAGAATAATGCTAATAAAAACACATTCATGTTTTCAAATGTAATTAAATTTTAAAAAAGTTTTATGCTCAAACATTTCTAGAAATATCCTAAATTACATTTCAGAAGTTTTATAAACTATCTCAGCTATTTCTTTTCCTCTTGAAGTGAATATTTTATCATCATACATATTCAAAATAAATAAAATACTATGTTATTCAATTATTATGTTACCATACTACTGCTGTTTTAGTTCATTCAGCTATAACAAAATATGACAGACTGGGTGGCTTATAAAGAACAGAAATTTGTTTTACACAGTTCTGGAGGCTGGGAAGGTCAAGGTCAAGGCACTGGCAGATTTGGTGTCTGGTGAGGGTCCACTTTCTGGATCATATATAGTGCCTTCTCCTTGTGTCCTCACATGGTCAAAGGGGTGAGGGGTCTCTCTTGAGCAGGTTTTATAAGAGCACTAATCTCATTCCTGAGGGCTCTGACCCCATGACCTAATTATCTCCCAAAGTAACCACCTTTTAATACCATCCCCTTGAGGGTTAGGATTTTAACATATGAATTTGGTGAGGACACAAACATTCAGACCATAGCAATTGCCTTTTTCTCATAACATATAAACTCTCAAACTATATTATATGGTAATTAGACTTTAGAAATTAGTTTTAAAAATCTAACTACAATGTTCAAACAACGAATTCACTAGGAAACTTTTAGAAAATAACTGATTTCTAAGTTGGAGACATACTATGTAACTGTATTAAGTCACAAAGCTCAAATTCAGTTTTTCTATTTGACTTCAGTGTCAAGATTCTTCACATTTTGCTAGGCTACTTACTCTCCATGTTCAAGTTATCTCTAATGACTATATCGAAATAGAACACAGATGAAAGCAAAAATAGAAACACAGATGAAAGCAAAAATAGAAATTGAACCACAAACATGAAACAGGTAACAAACAGAAAATGTCTCTGAGAAATGCCTTATAATTCTAAAATAAATTTGGAACTAGATTTTTGCAGAATACTGCTTAAGAAATTAAATTGTAAAACATAAGGGAATCATTTGAATAAGCCATTAATAAGATTAATGGAAAATAATTTATTCTCATTTTATCTCTAGATGCCATGTCCAGCCAAATAAATGAGACTGAACTTCATGGTTGTTGTTTTTACTTCATCCCGGCAAAAGAAATGAAATTAAATATAAAAAGCAGATGACCAAATAAAGTCCAAATGAATTAAGTATTGCTCCTAGTATAACTCACAGTTAATATAAGTTGACTATCCTCTCTGTAGACAACACTTTTCATCAACATTTTTCACCATACAGCTAGACCTCAACTAACAGTCAAGTGTCAAAAAAATGAATCACTTTAGAAACCATCTTAATAATGAGACAATTGACTTCTGGTACCCAATTTAGAACATCTACAAAAGGAGTGGTGAGCAGATTTCCACTCTGATGCAAAATCTTATTCGTTGGGCATTGATAGCTGAGTGCTGTGTTAAGGATTCTGAAGTGGTAAATCACAAAGAATGCTGTCAACACACTTAGTAAATAGTTAACACAGGACTTCTCTAGTATTAAAATTCATAATAGTGGCCAGGCGCAGTGGCTCACACCTGTAATCCCAGCACTTTGGGAGGCCAAGGTGGGCAGATCATGAGGTCAGGAGATCGAGACCATCCTGACTAACATGGTAAAACCCTGTCTCTACTAGTCTCTACTAAAAATACAAAAAATTAGCCAGGCGTGGTGGCGGACGCCTGTAATCCCAGTTACTCAGGAGGCTGAGGCAGAAGAATGGCATGAACCTGGGAGGCAGAGCTTGCAGTGAGCCGAGATCGCCCCACTGCACTCCAGCCTGGGTGACAGAGCGAGACTCTGTCTCAAAAAAAAAAAAAAAAAAATCATAATAGCAAATAAATGGCATTCACGTTATACCATCTCCTTTTTTGCTCATGGCAAGTAGTGTAATCCCTGCCAGAACATGGGAGGAGACAATGTAACACATGTGCCATTCATTTACTCAGAGGTATACAGTGTCTTTCCTTATGTGTTACCAAGTTTAGGCTGTCTGCACCCCTCTGTGCACTGTTTTTTGGAGACTGTTCCAATGTCACTAGGTAAGATGCTACCCCCTGTGATATAGCAAGACATATTTTGTGCCTAGAGTTACAAGGAAAATCTTTTTTTTTTCTATAGAAACAAGACTAGGCATGACAAGTATATGTAGTTTTATTTGTTCAACAAATATTGAGATAATACACTATGGTTAGTACTGATGTATATACTAACCACAGTGTATTATCTCAAAATTAGATATGTATACAAAGTTGACCCTTGAACAATGCGAAGGTTAGGGAGGCTGACCTACAGTACAGTCAAAATCTGTGTATAATTTTTGACTCCCCCAAAACTTAACTGCTAATAGCCTACTGTTCCTTGGAAGCCTTGCTAATAACATAAACAGTCAATTAACACATATTTTGCATGTTATATGTATTATATACTACACTATTACATTAAAGTAAGCTAGAGGAAAAAATATTAAAATCACAAGACAATATATACTCACTATTTATAAAGTGGAAGTAGAGCATCATAAAGGTCTTTATTCTTATCACCCTCACACCGAGTAGGCTGAGGAGGTGGGAGGAAGAGGAGGAATTGGTCTTGCTGTCTCAGGGATGGCAGAGGCAGAAAAAAATCTGCATAGAAGCGGACCCCCTTTGTCCAAGCCCTTGTTGTTAAAGGGTCACCTGTACGTCTAATTTTACCATAGTCTTTTTGATGATTTCAGGTTTAATATTGAAACTTTGGCTAAAATTCACCCATGGGAAAAATAGAAAGTACCATGGATTTTTATATAAAAGGAGTCCTGGCTATACTATTTACAAAGCATGCTAACATATCACTTTTCTTCTCTGAGTCTTCACGTTTTCTGAATATCAAAGGTTTCAAACTTCAGAGAGCTGTATGGGACAAATCAAATAAGACATTAAAAACGCGTTCTGGAGAGTAAAAATGCTAGCAGATACAGGTGTCTCAACTTACTTGTTACCTTCCATTTCTGTCCCCTACTCACATTGCTTTCTTTTCTGTAATTGTGTTTAAAGCTGTCCAAAGAGACTCTCCAAATGCTGGGCTCTCTGTCTGGAAGTTTCAAATGAGGCTTTTGGATGTGCATCTTTTTCTCTGAGGGTAGGATTGGGGCAAGAAAGAAGGTGATTTAAGTGTACTGGTTGCCTGGGTGACAATTAACTGGGTATTGCTTTTAGGGAGTCATACAGAAAAATAGAAAAGACCAGTAAAAAATGCCATCCTAGTTTGAATGCTGGATGTAGTGAAGGGGGTTTTGATGAAGAAACTGTTGAGGATCAACTGAGATTAGAACCACTTGGAGAATTAAAATTTTAATAAGGAGGCATTACTTTAAAGTGAGGGGAGGGATTTATCCTAACTGATGCCTTGTTAAAAAGAATAACACAGAGTAAATAGTCCTAAGAACAATTGCAATCCTTTGTAGTCTGTAATTTGTAATTGCTGCACATAATTTCAGTTAACAGGCCATAAGAGGAACAGTCACAAATACCAAGAAAGGTACATACGGAGATAATTCCAACCAAGGTGAGCACAGCCTACACATAAACAGGATGTAAGTACCGCAAGTCACCAAAACTACACTCAGGAGAAAGTGCTCGTTATTAACAGACAGTGGATTAGTTTCAATATCTACACCAGGGGTCATCAAATAGGCCCACAGGGTGGTCCTGGATTTGCAAACACAGCTTTTTGTTGTTGTTGTTGTTGAGATGGAGTTTGGCTTTGGCTTTTGTTGCCCTGTTGTCCAGGCTGGAGTGTAATGGCCCGATCTTGGCTCACCACAACCTCTGCTTCCCAGGTTCAAGCGATTCTCCTGCCTCAGCCACCTGAGTAGCTGGGATTACAGGTGTGCACCACCCTGCCAGGCTAATTTTGTATTTTTAGTAGAGACGGGGATTCTCCCTGTTGGTCAGGCTGGTCTCAAACACCCAACCTCAGGCGATCCACCCACCTCAGCCACCCAAAGTGCTGGGATTACAGGTGTGAGCCACCACACCCGGCCGCAAGTAGAGTTTTACTGGAACACGGCCATGTCTCCTCATTTGCTATTGTCCAGTTGCTGCTTCCACACTACCAGGACAGGGCTCAGAAGTTGTGATAGAGATTGTGTGGCTGGAAAAGCCTAAAATATTCAATGTTCTGGCCCTTTGAAGAAAGTTAACTGAATCAATCTAGACTGTTACACTTACAGTGAAAATAATTAAGGATTAGGAGTTGGAAGGATAACTCAATAATTCCATTCATTTGTGATGTGTATTGTCATTATTTCATTCAATCAGCAAATAACTGTGATAACATGTGCAAGGAAACATGGGAGATGCAAAAGTTTAGTAAAGCAGGTATCCTGCTATAGTGGAGAGAGCTCAGGACTATGCAGACCTGGGCTTGAAACCCAACTTGAATGGATTAAGTGGCTTTGAAGGAGTTACTTGGACTCTCCTTAAACCTCAGTTTTCTTGATCATTTCACATCATCATTTCATAATCACGATCATTTTCTATGGGCATATCTATTCAAAATCTCTCTATCAGATCCCCCAGTCAATATGGAGATTGTGGTAGGCACCAAGACAGGAAGGTGTGATTTAGGATCAACTGGATTTATAATTTTAAAAGAATTTATTTATATGACTGATGTTTTGTCTGGTGGAGCCTGAAGTAACTATGCAAAATATCTTTGTATTATTACTGCTTGTTTATGTTACTTATATAGTTATATTATTTCCCAATCAATTTCATCTTTTGTATTTTTCTCTTCAAAAGTTTTGGGCTTTACAATCTCAAAACACATTTTCATCATTCACATATTTAAAAAGTGACTTTTTTCAGAGTTTTGTTATTGAAGCAGTGATACAAAACTGGTTGACTTTTTTTCTGGGGCAGAGGAGAGAGTCACCAAGTCAATTGAATTAATCATTTACCTCACCACCATATATACCAGACACAGATAAGACAAACTGACTTTTATAAAATCCCTGCAAACCCATCATTACAAACATTAACTGGGTCAATTTCACCTGAAGGCAGGATTACTCTTTCCTATACCAATTTTGGATTTCCCAGATTAACCCGTTTTTTGTTTTGTTTTGTTTTTTTTAAGAAGTGTGGCATTAGCAACATATTCAAAAGTCTAAATGCTTATAAGCTGCTTTGAAAAACACATTCAAAAGTAGAAACAAGGTTTTAGGGAAGCAAAGATAGGAAACATGAATGAGGGTTTAGTAAACATAGCATAAGACACTTGTTATCGAGGCAAAAGGATTAATTGAGCAGTAACATCATCAGCTATGGTTGGACAGAGGAGTGGAGATACCAGAAGTGCTATATCCCTGCACAAATAAGGAATCTATTTTCAGTTTAGACTCCAAGCAGGAAGATACTGCTGCTGCCTCTTGAAGTACTTCGTTCTTTTTCTCTGAAGCTTGAAAAGTCACTTTACCCAGGAGTGGTGAATCTGGGGTGCTGTTTCTGTACCTCTTCACGCAACTTGATTGGCATATAAAGATATTGCTATAGGTCTCTGGGTACTTCAGTTTCTATTGCCTAAAATATGCTTCCAAAATTAGAAAATATGAGCTTAACTCTCGTAACAGCTGAAGAAGAGCTTACAACCTTAGAAGACATAGCTCTGTAATTCTGAAATAACTCAAAAACTATTTTAAAATTTCTTCTTCTCCAGTCTTCCTTCTTCCAACACATAACATTTTCCCAAGGGAAGGCTTGTAAAAGCTTCTCAACAGAGAAAACTCTTAGGAAAGAAATGGAAAATTATAGCCATATCAATGAAACCTAAAAATCAGGCAAAATACATAAAAGGGAAAGAGATGTTATTCCTCCAGATTTATACATTCACATCTTAACTGATGAAAGCTTCTCTGATAGAAGTCTGCCCTGACCCCCTGACATGACATAACCTCCACAGTCATTTTTTTCACAATCATTTCTTATATTCTCCTGCTTTATTGTCTTCATAGCACTCTGTCACTATCTGAAATAGTTGTTCTGCTTGCACCGTTACTGACAATTCCTCATCCCCCATTTCAATGTAGACACTGAAATCAGAGCCTCTTCTCCATTTAGCTTAGTGTCTAGCACATACTACACATTGAATAACATGTGGTGAATGAATGAATGAATGAGATGTTCCATGGCAGAGTTCATCTCCCACCTCTGGTTGATATTCAGTCCCAGCAAGGATGTGCAGCTATCAAGAAGTAAGCACACACTCCAATCTTACATCTTTGGGGCATTCTTCTTCGGACTGTTGCAAAAAATTTCCTTGTAATGTATACAGAGAGCAACTGAAAACTCTGAAACTCTAACGCATTAGACAAATATAGATCTTTTAATGAATACTTTTATTTAATAACCAGAATAGCCCTTAGGTATTGTCTAATTCACAGCCCTTTATATAGCAATGGAGAAATTAAAATTAAATGGCTTTTTTTTCCAAGGTCACAAGCTAGTCTTAGCTTGAGCCAGTATGAAATGCCACGTCTCTGAACTCCTAGCCTGGTGCTCATTTTACTGGAGCCAAGAAGATACCTTCATTGCTGGGCAAAGGAATGAACAATGATTGAGTACCTAACACGTTTCTAGGCACTTTGTTAACTGGTTGTGGTAGACAATGTGTGTTGCTGACCCAAGCACCATTTCTTCTTCCTTTCTTCCTTACAGAATCCCAAATTTTTAAAGTAAGCATCCCATCAGTAGCTCTAGAGTCAGATTCTGTCTAGTCTAAGTCATTTCATGCTTAGCAGGTCCCATTACAACAGCCACTGGTCCAGGGGTGGCCACGTAATTTAATTTGGTTCAATCGAATTGAAGGAAAAGAAATGAGCCATGCCTGGAGGACATGATTCTCTTCCCACCTTCCCCTTTCCTCTGCTAGTTATAAACAGGGCGATCTACAGCCCAATGGCTGCCTGTAGCCATCTTGTGGCCATAAAGAGATTCATCTTTAGGATGAAATCACTGCTGAAGATAGTAATGTCTATATTTATATTAAGGGTCAGTAAACTCTGCAAAGAATCATATAGTAAATATTTTAGCATTGCCAATCTGATGGTCCTTGGTTCCTGCAGCAACTATTCGACTCAGACATTATAGTGCAAAAGTCACCAGAATGACATGGCTATGGTTCAGTAATATCTTGTTTTCAAAAAAAAAAGTCATCGGGCTGTTTAAATCATTGAACCTTTTTGACATCATTGAGCCACATATTTCATCATTCCTTGAGCTTATCCTGCACATTAACTCCCAATATTTGAGATGATCAATTTCCTTATGATTTAAACTGGCTTTAGTAAGATAATTTTTAAATGTTATTACTAAAACCAAATCAATATAATTAATTCAGCATTTATATACATTATTACTCATAATATTCACAAAACTCCCATAAAGCTGATATTAGTAGACTCATTCTTAAGATAAGAAAATAGAACCAAAGTTTCAGAGTCTTTGAAAATACTGGTTCAAAAACCGGCATTTGAACCTATATGTCTAATCTTCTACTCTATGATGACCCAACTCCCAACTATCTATTCCTCAGCACTTAAAAGTGGAAGAACAGTAGCTGCTTCAGTAAAGTTCCAAACCCACCACCAGCTTATCAAACAGAAAATGATTTCATGCAGGGAAGTGTGCACTTAGAAAGTCTTTTGAAGGGCTGGAGGAATGGATGTCAGTGGACTGCCCCTGAATTTTTAGTTTCTAGGTCATACCATTATATGTGAAATCCAAAAGTCAGGCAGTGGCTACTGCTATCAGTTCCTACCACTGTAGCCACCATAGCCTCCTCACACCAATGGCTCCCCAGAATGTCATGTTGAACCACTATAAACTTCATAACTGTCAAATTTTACCCGTAGCTACAGCTGCATAAAAATGGCCTCTGCCTCACTTCTGATTTCCAAATCTCTTACAAGTGCATGTAAATGACTCTAGCTGCAAAGGAGTTTGGGAAGTATACTTTTTAACCTCTCCAATAGGAGGATCAAATGGAGATTGGTAAGACTTCTCTTCAGAAGATTGACTAAGGCTTCTCCCTAGAATGTCTGGCATGTGTATCTCCCATACCTGACAAAGAATGAGGGCTTCAAGACAGCTAAAAAATTTTGAACAAGCTTTAAAGGACTATTTTCTCATCCCCAGTCCCATCAGCTGAGCCAGAATAATGACTTCATAGTAATTTTTCCCTGTACCTTTGAGGGAAAGTAATGCATTCATTATTGGAATAAAAGTGGTTCATGTGTATAAATCTTGCCCTTGGCAAAATAAATTATCAAAGCTCATGCCAATGGGAGAGATGGCAGGTCCATGATGCTAAGAGCCAAGTTCCATAAAGTGATAGGGAAGCAGCTTTCTTTTATCCAAAAGAATTTATGTTTTATGGCTCAGTGTTGGTGAGGTATTGATCTTCCAAATGAGACACTGTGGCCACTGTAAATAAATTCAATAGATGTGTAGTTGGCCTAAGAATATAACCTCAGTTATTTAAAACATGTGGCACTTGATGCAGATCACCTTCCAGTGTCCTGTGTGGAAGAATGGAGCTTCCACCCAGTACAAAGAGTACTCTGGGACTCCATGCCTAAGCTCCTTAATTAGCATAGTACATGTTTGGGGGTAAATAACTCCACCTCTCTCAATCTTAATTTCCACAGCCCTGAAATTTGGACATGATAGTATGGGAGGATTCATGAGAAAATGTGTGTGGAATGATTTGAACTTCTTGAAGAATACATACTCAGGAATACTGCTATTTGTGATGAGATAGTGTCAGATGCATAAATTTGGGTTCTTTGAATTACTGGCATACAGGAAAATAGCAAATCTAGGTCAACAGAGACCTTTTTCTCAGACTGCCTTTACTATGAATAAAACACAAAGGAACTTTTCTAACTTTCTCAGAAAAGTGTCAACTTCTATAATTATTTCAATAAATAATCTTCCTCCAGGAGGATATAATTTTAAGGTGTGTGCAGTGTCCTTTTAAAGACAGGTTTGTAGGTCTCACTTTCTTTTATTTCCAAGTTATCCCCTGGCAACAAGGGCTGTTTATGTGGAGTATTAAACAAGCTTCAGGACTGTGCACAGAACTCACTCCTATTATATCTTATTTTAATCTGATATTACCAAACTTCCCATGAACTAAAAAAAAAAAAACCCATAAATTTTAAGTCCAGTGAGATTTCTGTTTTCTCTGGAAATTAGAGAGCTGAACTGTGTTTTGTGTGAGATCATCCAACAGTTTTTTTAAAAAATCTTACTTCAGAATCACATTGAAATCATTATGTCTTCTGGAAACCAGCTGATAGCCAAAACATTTATTTAAATTGTTTATAAAATGGGTGGGTGGTATTTCATAATAGTTATTGGTTTACTATGCATGACCTGTTGATCTACCTGTTGAAACCATTATTTTAAAATATATTTCCCCCAAAAATGCTACTTCTGTATATTTGTTTTTATCAAATATAAATTTACCTAGCTCTTTTAAGACACAGATCTCACCCACTGAATTATGACTAACATGAATTTTGGAAATTGTCCTATTTTGATATGTCAGGAGAGAACGTTTTACTAGCAGGTTTCATTAGCCAAGGTGGACCAGTGGGTATTTTCTGACATTGCAAAAGCAGCTTCAAAGTGCCACTTTCCTTTCCTTTCCAGGATGGGTCAAATAAAACAACTCTACTCCATTCTGTAAGAGATTCAGGCACAGAAAGGAGAAGATACTGGGCTGCTGACACATTTTCTATTCATAAATGCTTCTGTTTATAGTAGAAAATATGACATTCACCATGAGCTGACCAGCCATCAGTTCTGACATTTATCAGCGTCACTTTAGAAACCCATGTGGGAAGGCAGAAAAGCAGAAGGGAACAGAAACTCACATGCCACTTGTAGCAGAATGCTTGTGCCATCCTGACTCCCCCTCTCTGAAAGCCTGACTGTGCACCATCCTCCTTGATAACAACTACCAACCACTGAGCAAGCCTGCGGTAGGTTATGTAGGTTCTAGGGGAAGGGGATACAAAGCTATGTTGGACACTTGGAAATGCTTAGAATCCAGTCGGGGAGCCAGCACAGGAAACAGAAACATCTGAATGCATAGCCAGCTACTGGCCCTCTACATGTATAGCCAGCTAATAATGTGTGTGTGTGTGCATGCACACACACATGACTAGAAGAGGCATTGTGCCTGGCAGTGAAATGACAGAGGAAAGGCATTTATTGTATGAGGGAAATAAAAGTAGGGAAGTGGTATCTTAAGAGCAAAACATACAGTCTATTCCTTCCACTCCAAATAATTGAATGCTTCTGAATGTGCATTCCAAATTTTGAGATTAAATGAATAAGGCCAACCTGCTGCTGATGGCCACAGTCAGAAAGGAGGGAAGAGACCACCCAACCCAGGACAGGAAGTGGAGCAGACTTCATCTGGAACTTGGGAATGCCTGCCTCCATGAAAAAAAGTGTAAGTGAGATTTCCCCCTTTTTGATCCATCTTCAACCACTTGATAAATTTTCACAAAATCAGTAATTTCCCAATGTGGTTGTGATGGAGCAGGGTAGCTTCCTATTTGCAAGCATTGGGTTAAGCATCTATGTTTTAAAAGAATTAAACATATTAATATAATACTGTCCCAATAGTGCTTACAAAACGTGTGTGGGAGACACACTGCTGAGTTTCAGGAAATAAACATCCCTTAACACAACACATTGTAATCAAAGAAGCATATTCACAAAACGTTAAAACTTTTTGCCAACTTCATGCCAGCAAGCCCAGAGGGAGAGAACACGTATGCTCTTTTTCAATAGAGTATCACATTATAGACCCATTCAATAAGGTCTGTATGAGTTCATTTGTTTCCAGATAAAGATTTCTGTGTGTGGGGAGACTTAACAACAACCACAAAAAAAGGCTTCGTGGAGAAGGGAACAAATTAGTTGGTGTTTTAAAAGACAGAAGTATGTAGACAGTGAAAGAGGAATTTGCAGGAAATGTGGTGGGAAGGGTACCAGTAAATCTTAAACTGAGGGAAGAGCTCAGGCGAAACCTCCAGTGATCTTCACAATTCTCAGGAGAATGCTTATACATGATTTGCACACAAAATATTGAATTTGAAAAAATCTTATATTGAATTCCCAAGCCACTTGTAGAATGCAATGTGGCACACTAATGTGGTAGAAGGGACATAAAACAAACAAACAAACTCCCTGCACAAATACCCATGGGAAAGGAAGAACAGCCTCACAGAACTTCAAAAAGAGAAAACAAAGAAAAAAAATCTCATTTTCCAATGTATGCAAACATTTATTTTCTGAGCAAAGACAGGATTACAAGTAGGCAGAATATAAGATTTGAAAAGCAAAAGGAAAGGTTACATCTCCCCACCACCTACCACCCACAAACCAGTTCATCCACAGGCAAGCTGATACTGAGACTCTACAACTACATATTTATACTTTTGACTTAAATGTGGCCTTCTCTTGAACAGCAAATAATCCCAAGATTTACAAATTAAGCCACATGAGGCATTTACACATTAAAGAAATGAATTTTTAAGTCTTTCTTAAGACAGAGATTTTTGGGTTTGGAAGACAGAGAAAGAATGAGAGTACTTAGGGGAAGATGGCATGGGTTAGGGGTGACATTTAGGATGAAGTGAAGAGACAAGTTATAGTAGCTTAATTCATAGATTAAAAGGAAGACCTTTATAGGAATCTGGTTGTATAGCTAGGAGCCAAACAGCCCCTTCCTGATCAAAAATGTTTTCATCTAGTCTTTTACAATAGAAATTTGTTTATCTTGTTTTAAAGTATTCTTTATGTCATGCATGTAAATACCAATAAGGTATTTAAATATTCCCATATTGACAAGTATCGCTTTGCTTCTAATCTTTTTTTTTTTTTTTTTTTTTTTTGAGATAGGGTCTCACTATATTGCCCAGGCTGGTCTCGAACTTCTGGGCTCAAGCTATCCTCCCACTCCACTTCACCATCCTGAGTAGCTAGGATTATAGGCACAAGCCACCTCACCTGGATTTGCTTCCAATCATTTTCTATAAGCAAAATGTTACATGAAAATACTTGTATTTATATCTTTGTAATTTTGTGCAAGAATTTCTAAAAGAAAAAATCTTAGAAATCCTAGAAAAATCCCAAGTCAAAAGGCACTTGTATATATAATTTTGAAAGGTCTTGTCATATTGCTCTCCATAGAAGATACACCAATGCATCTTCCCACCTGCAATGTATAGAACACCTGTGTCCCCATATTCTTTTTTCTTTTTTTTTTTGAGACGAAGTCTTGTTCTTGTCACCCAGGCTAGAGTGCAGTGGCACGATCTTGGCTCACTACAACCTCCACCTCCCAGGCAGAGAATCAAGAGAATCAAGTGATTGTCCTGCCTCAGCCTCCCCAGTAGCTGGATTACAGGCACCTGCCACCACGCCCGGCCAATTTTCGTATTTTTAGTAGACACGGGGTTTCACCATGTTGGTCAGGCTGGTCTCAAACTCCTGACCTCAGGTGATCCGCCTGCCTCAGCTCCAAAAGTGCTGGGATTTCAGGCATGAGCCACTGCACCTGACCTGTGTCCCCATATTCTTGCCAACATAGTGTATTATCAAACTTGTTGATCTTTGCCAATCTGAAAAGCAAAAGTAGTATTCCCTTACAGTTTCAACTGCTTTTTACTTGACTTACAGTTTATCTGGGTAGAAAATTTAGGGATCACATTCTTTACAGGTTGTGGTTATTGCTTCAAAAGACTCTAGCATTTTATATTAATGTAGAGCTAATAAGGATGACCTGATTTTTCTTCCCCTAGAAGGGTCTTTAACCTTTTGCCTGCTTGAGGAGTCCTTTATTATATTTCAAGTCCAGTAGTGTTAACAGAATATGTCCTTTAAATATATAGACTTAGATCTCCTTTTATAAATAAGTCCTCTTGAATTATATTTTCAAATACATTTGAATCATCCACCACTTTTCTAAACTCTACAAGCTCATATTTCTTTCCGTAGTCTTCTCATATCTTTCCTGAACTCTTACATGAATTTTTTGTGCTTTTATTTTATGAAAGCAGTTGCTTTAAGTCTTATTTTAATTTCATTGATACATTTAGGAACAACTTTTATTGTTCTGTGAAAAACGGGTTTGTTTTCCAGAGATTATTCTGTAACTGCCATTTGGTTTTTATGTTCTCTTTAAAAATGACAATACATACTATGCTAGTTTTTGTTGTTTTTAAGAATATACCTTTTTCATTTGACTAAAAATCCTTGACCAGCTCTTTCCAGAAAATGTGGCAGGGGAACAGAGACATGTTCAAGTCTAAAAAGACAGAATTATATATGTTATTTCAATTTTACTTCGCCCCAGTCTACCAAAATCAATTCTGCAGAGCTGCTCACAATGTGAAATTTCCTTATGTCCTCTACCTCACTGATACTCTACCTGCAAATGCAGCTCATCTGTGAACATGGCCCATAAAGATTTCCCTCTCTATTTCTCCTCAGAATCAGACTCAGGGAATTTCCCACTAAGAGTCCCTAGACCTTGGTCCTGTTGTAAAGAAAAACGTGCCGTTTTGCAATAGGTTGTGCCACTTAAGTTAGAAAGGAATGCTTTGCCAACATTTTCTGAGCTCTGAAGTTATGACCATTTTTTTCCAGTGTCTCTCTCCACTCACACCTGTTTCACCTTGACTGATTTGGGGTGCTCGCTTCTTATTTTGCAATTCAGAGATTTAAGTAGTCTGCTGGTTTCAACCAAAAATTTAACTTTTTTGCTTTTTATTTT
Organism: Homo sapiens; assembly: GCF_000001405.40. Lineage (NCBI taxonomy): Eukaryota > Metazoa > Chordata > Mammalia > Primates > Hominidae > Homo > Homo sapiens. The sequence continues at coordinate 76,931,869 of NC_000007.14, forward strand.
TCTGGTTAGTTTTTAATAATAATTGAAAGAAAAAAATAAGAAATGGTCATTTTAATCAGCCACCATAAAACTAAATTTTTTAATGTTTCTTTAAGGGAATATTTTAACTATATTTTGTTTCTTGTATTGTAATTGGTCTATTTAGGTTATCTACTTTTCTTGAGTCAATGTTAGTAATTTACAGTTTTCTAGAAACTATGCATTTCATCTGGATTCTAGATTTTTTTAAAATGTATATGCTATTTTACATATATTTCGTTACATGTATAATGATTACATATATGATAAAAATGATATATGTTATTCTTTTTATTTTTAAAAAGTTCTCTTTATTTGTAATTATATCCCCTTATCTTCTTTCTTCAACTAACTTACAAAGTAGATTGGTACAGATTACCAGATACTTTTCAATGTTGTTTAATTCATAATTTTTTCTTTGCAAATTCTGATTTACTTGCATTTTACTTATTATTTTCCTTGATTTAGAGTACAATACTTTATATTAAACTATGTTGTTTTCAATTAAGCATTTTGGGGATTGTGAAATTAACTCTGAATATTGCTTTTATTGTATCTCGGAGGGATTGATGGTTAATATTCTCACTGTTTGTTTTTAAAAAGTTTCTAACACCAATTTTGATTCTCTGTTTATTGTCACTGTTATGCATTTTTTAATTTCTATGGTAAATGGATTTAATTGGCTATTAATTCATTGTTCTTTTCTAAATTTACGCATGTAGTTTAATGATATAGTCTGAATTATATCCATTTGGTATTTTGTTTTTAATTTCTTGAGATGATGATTAATGACTAATGTCTAGTAAATTATTTCAGATATTTCATTAATGTTAAAAATAATGTATATTCTTAGCTTAAGTAACATATTTCTATGTTTAGTAAATATATGTTGTTCATCATGTTTTAAAAATTTCCTGTATTCTTAGTTTCCAAGAAAAAAGCATTAAAGTGCCATAGAATATTAAAGAGCAATTAAAAGAATGAAGATCTCTTCATATGCTGGTAAGAAAAGTCTTCCATATGTTTAGTGTTAAACTAAGTTTGGAACATCTACAAGTCTTTGCCCAAATACTCTCAGTGAAGCTTGCCTGGCCATCTTATTTAAAATTGCGGCACTCCTCACCACACACACAAACTTCTCACCCCTCTTCCTCTGCTGTGCAATTTCACCGCATTGCCATCTTCTAAGATGTTACATGATTTGATATGTGATGCTTATTGCTCATCATCTGCTTTTCTCCACTGGAATGGAAACTTCACAAGCCCAGTAGTTTTTGCTTCCTTTGGTGACCAATGTGTCTTGGTGCCTGTACATGTGGGTGCTCAGTAGTTACAGGTTGAAAATATTAGTACGTGCATTACGGTAATTCATGTAAAAACAAAACCACAAGCTACTTTGGAAACAAGTATATGCAAATGTATAGAAAAAGATCTGGCAGTACACTCACCAAATTATTAACAGTGTTTGATTTGAAGGTGTGACTGAAAAATCAAGACAGCTATTACCTTTTATCAGATATCTTTCCATTACCTGCTAAATTTCATACTTAAAGAGTATTGTCTTTGTCATTGCAATGTTAAAATTTTTATTTGGAATAATAAACCATTCAGAAAACAATTAAATATTTTGATAACAAAGAGTAATAGATGAGGACTATCCTTGACATACATGAAAATACACTATAAGATTCCAATCATTCAATTAGAATGGTATTGATAAGAGAACAGACCTACAAATCATGGAACTAAACAGATATCTGATATAGATTACTTAGCATATGTAAGAAAGTACCACATAACAAAAGAGACCTTTCAAATCAGTGACAAATAGAAGGATATAGGAATAACTATTAGCTTTTGGAAAGACAGGGTAAAACAATGTAAATTTTCACTTTATATATAAAAATATGAGTAGATTTGTGAACATGAAACATAGCACTCAGCACAGAAAACATCATAAATAAAATTTAAAGTCCAATATTGTCTTAGAAAAAATTTTGAACAAACATAAAGACATTAGGTTGAGATCCTTATTAAATCAAGGTCACTAATGAAAAACACTAAAACTCTAGTAAATAGACCAAGCTCTTAAGTATGTAGAACTGATTCAACTATAAACCACCAGTTTGTTTCTCTGATTTAATGGGACAAAAGGCACTTGCAGATGGTTACTTTATACAGAGTGACTCTATGAACAAAGTCTGTGGAATCCACAAACAGCACACTTGCAGAATTTTGAAAAAGCTTTGAGATTGTGGGAGTACTGCCCTTTACATAAACTGAGACTTCCCACATTTATTTTTATTGTAGTTTAAACACAATTCAAGGATGCTAGTTCAATGACAAATCTGCACGAAGTAAACTGGGACAAGAGGTTATTCAATTGCCCAGAACAGGAAGAATTTGTCTCTCTATCATCCCTGTCAATAATAATTAGCCCTTTCTGAAAAGGGTGTTGTAGATACACAGTCAAAATGATCCTTAAAGGGAGGATATAATTTGGCTTACAGAAATCCATTACCAACAAATAACTGCTTGTGGAGGAAATATACAACAAAGCACCACACTTGGAAGTGATAATCACAGTAAATAGCATCCCTAGCCTAGATTGGGTCTTATATAAGAAACTATCATATTGCCAATTAACAAGTATTTTCTCAGTGTGATGACACTTTGAAATGGCTAAATACAAAATTGGGAGGAGAAAAGAAATTGCTTAGTCTCCTCCCTACCCCTCATCCCCTGCCTCCACAGCTCCCCAAACTACACAAGAGAAAACTCAATAATTCTGTAAGAATGATTTTCCTGGCTCAGTTTTATAAGAGACTTAGAAATAATACAACATCAGTTTATAAACCAGACAGGGCTTGGCCTGCTATGTCAACATAGAAAATCAATCCAGGAGTCCCAACCCTGCTTTGTGGCCTTTAGGGCTGCTTCAGAAATCAATTCCCAAGAAGGATAAAAGGTCACTGCCATGGGGCTCAGGAACACATGCCTCAAATTGCCAGCTGCAGAGCTCAATTCCCCCAGGGACTTGGCAATTTCGGCTCTAAATGTGGATTCACAAGGGAGAGCCATCCTGACCAAGCACATATGCTCTTTTGAGGTAGTGGCCATTTTCATGCCGACATTTTTGAGGCCCTATCATGGGTCAGGACTGAGCTGAGGCTTTCCATGCATTGCCTCACTGAATCTCCACAATAACTCCTGTATGAGTCCGTTTTCGCACTGCTGTAAAGAACTGCCCAAAACCGGGTAATTTATAAAGGAAAGAGGTTTAATTGACTCACAGTTTTGCACAGCTGGAGAGGCTTCAGGAAACTTACAATCATGGCGGAAGGCGAAGAGGAAGCAAAGACTTTCTTCCCATGGTGGAAGAAAAGAGACAGCGTGTATGTCAGTGCAGGAAAAACTACCATTTATAAAACTATCAGATCTCATGAGAATTTGCTCACTATCACAAGAACACATGGGGAAACCATATCTATAACCCAATCACTTCCCACCAGGTCTCTCTCTAAACATCTGGGGATTACAATTCAAGAGGAGATGTGGGTGTTGACACAAACCCTAACCATATCAGCTCTTGAGTAGATGCTATCATTATCATCATCCCCCTTCACAGAAGGGCACAGAGGGACTTAGAGCATGTGGCTGGCCAAGGTACTAATCTACCCAGTGAAGTCAGACCTTTTAACCTTTTTCTGGTATGTTTGTATTCATTCACTGGGGCTGCCTTAACAAAGTACCACCGATTGGGTGGCTTATTCAACAGAAATTTATTTTCTCACATTTTTAGAGGCTAGAAGTCCAAGATCAAGGTGGCGTCTTCTGAGACTTCTCTATCTGGCTTGTTTTTTTCCTTTGTCTTCATATGATCTTCCCTCTGTACCTGTCTGCTTCCTAATCTCTTCTTACAAGGACACCAGTCCTATTGGATTAGGGCCCACTTTAATGACCTCATTTAACCTTAATTGCTTCCATAAAGGTCCTACATCCAAATGCAGTCACGTTCTATAGTATTGAGGGTTATCACTTTAACATATGAGTTGGGGGGAGCACAACTCAGTCCATCACATTCTCTATTATTGTAATTGTTCAGATCCATTTATCTCTTATAAACCAATGATCAAAACCTGTACATCCAACTCTCTGCCCATCCCATAAGAAATACCTGGTTGTGGCTGGAGAAAGAGCTACAATATACTGGCTGGTCTCACTTGGCATGTTCTTGACATTCAGGATAGGCGGAGTGACCCAGCAATCATATAGACACCATCCATTCCAGTGACACTCAAACTTCAGCGTGCATCAGAATCCCTGCAAGGCTTGCTAAGACACAGACTGCTGCGCCTACCTCAGAGTTCCTGATTCATCAAGCTGGAAGTAAGGCCTGAGATTTTTGCATTACTAACAAGTCTTCAGGTGATACCAATGCTGCTGATCTGGAGACTGCCTTTGAGAGCCACTATTCTATCTCTTTCCCAATCAACTGTCCTTTCTCACCTCCCTTTTAAATCTCCAGCACCTGCTCCCTCATGTTCATTCTCAATGCACAATCTTTTTTTCTCCTTCACTGACAGAGGTGAAACAATTAAAAGAGAATTTCCCCAGTCTCTCACTACTGCACCTGCTCACCCTCCCACAAGCACGTGTACTCACTGTGCTTTTCTTGCTGTTTTGAAAGGTGAATTGTCTGTGGTCTTTCTAGAGCCAATCTCTTCACATGTGCACCAGATTCCAAGCCCTGCGGCCCACTCAAGGGCATCCCTGCATGTCTTCTCCCATCTCTTACCTTGTCAACTCTTTCCACTTTTTGAGTCATCCTCCTCAGCACAAAAGATTGTTACTCATTTATCTTAAAAAGCAAAAAAACTAAGCCAACAAAAACAAGAAAAAACAGAAATAAAACCTTTTACTGGACCCTCTCTCCCTACCAGGTATGACTCCATTTCTCTTTGCCTTTGCAGAAAAACATTTAGAAAGGGGGTCTGTATTAATTCTATCCAGTTCCTCTCCTCTCATTCTCTCACAGACCCACTGAAATCAGGTCTTAACTCTCAACAAAATTGCTCTTACTGAGGTCTCAGATAAACTTCAGGTTGCTAAATCTCATGGCTCACATTTGGTCCTCTCACATTTTACGCCCCTTGACAGAGATGACACCACTCCTTGATACTTTTTTTTTTTTTTTTTTTTTTTGGCTTGTAAGGCTTTCTAATTCACTGGTTGCTAGTCTCAGAACTTTGTGAATGATTTATCTTTGCTTATACCTCTTAGTCCTGGACTGACTTGCCCCAGATTGTAGTTTCTTTTTTTATCCACTCTCCTTCCTTTGGGGATCTCATCCAGTCTCCCTCTGTATGCCCTTTGTTGCCAAATTTACATCTCCAGCCCTGGATGCTCCTTTGCCTCAGACTCCAAAACTATATTCAAAGTCTCTCATTTAGATCATTCAAACTTTTCAAGAGTGACTCCTGATCTTCTCCCAAATATCTGAGCTGCTCAAAGCTTTCCATCTCAGTAGATGAAAAATTCACCCCTCTAGTGCTTAGGTCAAAAATCTTTGAGTCACCCTTGTTTCCTCTCTTTATTACTCCCCCCACTGCACATCCGATTCACCAGGAAGTCTTCCTGTGTTTACCCTAAACATAATTCAGAGACCAATTACTCCTCACCGCCTCCATGGCTATCACTTTCGTCAGACTTGCTACATTTTAGCAATCGTCTTATAACTGTTTTCCTATTCCCACCCTTGCCTCCTTCCATTCTATTGCCCACAAAGAAACATAAGTGATCCTTTTGAAACATAAGTCAGATCACGGCATTTCTTTCCCAAAAAGAAATGCAAGTGTCTAAATTCTTCGCCTACCTCAGGGTAAAAGTCCAAGTTCTTATATGGCCTTTAAAGACCTCTGTGTACTCTCCTCCTCCCTCCATTAGTTCTCTGATCTTCCCTTCTTCTTTTCTTCCTCATCCTACTCTGCTCCAGCCACGCAGTCTTTCTGGCTATTTCTTGAACATAGTAAACATGATCCCTCCTCTGAGCTTTGAGTTGTTTCCTTTGCCTGGGAAATTCCATCTGGAGACTTCCGGGCTTGCTCACCTATATAGGCAAGTCTGTACATGAGACCTGCTCTGACCACTCAATTTAAAATGGCAGCAAAATCCTTCCTGGCACCCCACCTTTAAAATGGCAACAAAAGCCTTCCTGGCACCTTTCCTTTCTAGCTTTGGACCTATTACATAATCTATGTATCTTTTGTGTTATCATCTGCCTTCCCCGCCAGTATGTAAACTCCACAAAGGTTGAGATTTTTGTTTGGTTCACTGATGTATCCCAAGGACACAGTTCAGTATCTAACTTGCAGTGGAAACTCACCAAGTATTTATCAAATTATTTGATAAATGAATGTGATGATAAATGAATGTGACTGTAAAATGATACTTTATAGTCACTGGAGAAATCAGTCTCTGACATCCCCAGGAACAAAATCAACATTCTTTGGAATAGTCATTGATAAAGGGTTCATAACTTTTTGTGCCATGGACTTCTTTGGCAGTCTGTAGAAGCCTATGAACCCCTTCACAGATTAGTATTTTTAAATGTACAAAATAAAATCAATAAACTACAAATGTAGTAAATTATTTTATCAGAACATTTTTAAAATTATAAAACAAATTTGTAGCTAATAGTAATACACATACTTCGTTATCCATTAATTGACAACATCTGGTAGTGGTTCTAATAACGACCATAATTTTGAAGTACTGATGTCTAGACTGATATTTCAAGATGTCTGTAATAACTCTAACGTGATACGAATGTATCTGTAATTTCCACTGTGAATAAAGTCACTGGTACTGCCAATAGCACCATGGTTTCTTGCCTATATTCATAAATGAAGGAAATGTTAAATTTTAGCTAGTTAAAAAAAAAAAATGAAAATGAGGTTGTATTTTCTACAGATACTTAAATGAATGCTTTGGAAACACTTGTAAGGAGTAGAAATAAAAGCAGAAAGACTTTCCCCTTTCTTACTCCCCCAGAAGGTGCTACTGAATTGTTGCAGATAAGGAAATTGTAAGATAATTGAAAAAATGATAAAAATCTGGAAGAATTCTGTGCCAAGACTGTTTTTGCTTTCGCAAGTGTCTAAATTCTTGTTCTACTTTAATAGAATCAAATCTGCAAATTATCAGAGTGATGATGTACATGGTTCATATAAAGCAGACAATGTGGAACTCCAAGTATCTGAACAATCAGATCAAAATACCCAGACTACATATCAAGAAAGCAGGCTGAGTGTGATGGTTCATGCCTGTTATCCCAGCACTTTGGGAGGCTGAGGCAGGAGGATTGCTTAGGAACTCAAGACCGGCCCAGGCAACATAGCAAGACCCTTCTCTACAATAAGAAAGAAAAGAAAAAAAATAGAAAAGAAAAGAAAAAAACAGAAAAAGAAAGAGCTGGGCATGGTGTCACTTGCCTGTAATCCTAGCTACTAGGGAGGCTGAGGCAGGAGGATCCCTTGACCGCAGGAGTTTGAGGTTGTTGTGAGCTATGATTGTGCCAGTACGCTTCAATCCAGGCAACAGAGCGAGACCCTATCTTTTAAAAAAATAAAATAGAAAGCAGTGCCTCCATGTGCTTCAATGTGCATTTATGTATTTAAGATAAAATAAACTTTTTATGATGTATATTTATAATTTCCTATCATTTTTCACTCACAGTTTTGTGGTTTTCTCTTTCTTTTCTTTTCTTTCCCTTTCTTTTCCTTCCCTTTATTTTTCTTCTTCCTTTTTTTTTTATTCACCAACTACCCACCTTCCCTAATTCGTAGGTTAGAAGGATTTCTCTACAGTTCTTTCTCTTTTTTCCAATCTCTTCTGGATGTTTCTTTGTCTCAAACTACATAGACATTGTGGAAATCAGTATCTTCATTTCAAGTCTAGGTGGGTCAAATTTGATTCTCTTGTATTTTCACTCTTAAAATAGCATCTTGAACTTTCACCTGTGATCCATCTATAAGGATCAAATGTAAGGACTTCAAGAGGGCATCTGCCCAATAATTTCTGTATACCCAGTACAGCAAACAGGGTGGTATTGTTGATGTGTACTCAGTGCATACAATAGTATAGTAGTGTTGTATATGCTTTGCAGAGAGTAGCATTATTGTTGTATCAGCACATAGGACAGGACAGTTTTATTGCAACATAACCAAAACATAGGTTAAATGTTAATGTTGTTGTACACCCAGTGCATAGAACAACATAAAATTGTTGTTATATGTTCAATGCAAACCACAGAGTAGAATGCTCAATTTTTGTTGAATGACATAAATGAATTAAATGGACACAGCATCACCTACATGCCTCACCTACAAAGGCCTAACTTGTAATGGGATTACTATTGTTGTTTTAATAAATTAAGCAACGAATACAGTTTCAAAAAGTACTTAGCTTTATTTTTCAACACAGTAAATATGAATATAACCCATATCAGTAAAAGTTGTTTGGGGTCTTCAATGATATCTTAAGACTATAAAGAGGTCCTGACACCAAAAGAGGGAGAAGCACCGCAATCTTGCATGCTCCTGGCTCCTGAGAGGTTATTGCAGTCTGCCATACTATTGTATTTCCAGTACTTACATGGTGTTTTGGCAAAACCTGAGCATGTGTTGTCAAGTGGCTGATGAGGATGTGATTCTGAGAAAGGCACCACGAGATAAAAGATATGAATCTCAGCTGGGCGCGGTGGCCCACACCTATAATCCCAACACTTCAGGAGGCTGAGGCGGGCAGATCATGAGGTCAGGAGATCGAGACCATCCTGGCTAACACAGTGAAACCCCGTCTCTACTAAAAATACAAAAAAAAAAATAGCTGGGCATGGTGACAGGCACCTGTACTCCCAGCTACTGGGGAGGCTGAGGCAGGAGAATTGCTTGAACCCAGGAGGCAGAGGTTGCAGTGAGCCAAGATCATGCCACTGCACTCCAGACTGGGTGACAGAGTGAGACTCCAACTCAAAAAAAAAAGAAAGACACGAATCTCTTTAACGTGAGTAAGGTTTAGATTTTTATCCTCGTAGAAGAAACAGCAACGCAGAGAATAGACAAATCTACCAAGGTCTCAATTCCTACAAGTTCCCCCAGCTGCTGAGTGTGAAGCCCCACGAGGTTCTTTGAAAAGTGTTCCTTTGCCAGTCTAAACTGTTCTGGGACTTCATTATAGCAACGCCTGCTCACCACAGGCAAGGAACCAGCAATCTGATGAAGGATTTATTGAAAATGTGGGTAAATCAGAGTTTTTGTTCCCATGTGAATGATTCCCCCGGCAGGCTTGAGCTTTAGAAGCTCTATAAATACTTACTAAGTAATTAATTGATTGACTAAAGAAATAAATGAAAAAAATAACAATAATTATAAATCGAGGAAATGTAAAATATGTATTATTGTCACAATGGATGAAAATATCCCAAAAGAGATCATTTGGTTGTGAGTTAGGTTTTAAAGTATACGCAATATTAGAAATGAATAATTGAAGATAGTTTCAATAATTTTAAAAACTACTGCCCAATGGTAAAAGATATAAAAGATTATGTAATTTACAAGGCAGATGTCCTATATCTCTTGAATTATTTTAGACTGGGACACAAAAAGCCCAGGCAGTCAAGATGATATTAAATGATTCAAAAATAGCATTATTTCAATTAAACAAATAAATGCCCACAAGACCTACACAACAAGCTGAAAAAGTTAGGTGCTTATCACATCAGGATTCTGTACTACCTTCCTTTAGGAAAAAAATATTATTGAAATACTAAATTGTATTGAAACATTGTTTTTAAAAGAATTAGGCAATGCATGGAACATACTTTTGAGTCTTTTTCCCTGAGTTTCAAAACACAATTCAGTTGTTTCCTTTCCAAGAAGTCAAACAAATATTGTTATTTACAAACTAGGCAAATAGCATCAAGAGAAGAAAATATATTTCTTTTTACTTTTTCTGCCACTGAAGATCTACTAACACTAGCAGAGAAGACCATTAATACATAATAAGGCCACATTCAATGCCCCATGATTTTTATTATTCTACATCAACTTAAACAGGGGAATTCTAATTCTTTTGACTATGCACTTCCTCTTTTTCCATTTTCTTTTTTTTTTAATTAATGTTAAAACTTTCAGAGCTACAATATTGCAATCTATTCTTTCAAAGCACTATTTGCCTATTAAAAGAAATTCCACCAAGTTCAGACATTACCTTAGCAATACAGTAGAATATTTCTCTACTAATAAAAAAATCAACTCCTGCAGTTTTAACCAACACCTATGTGTAAATAGTCTTCTTATTTATATCACATTTACAACATTTCCGCTACTCAGTTAAGGTGCATAAGAGCAGAAACTGTGACTTCTCAGCACTAGGACCTAGCCAGATAGTCATTGCCCTGTTCAAAATAAGTTTAACAACTGTTAAATGACAAGTTTAGATGGTGCCATCTGAATCCTCCATAAGCACTGCAAATTCAGCATTTCATTCTCCCATTCTTACTTATCTGTGTTGATTGCTTCACCACCTACCCATTTGTTAAGGTCAAAAATGTTGGCTTCATCAATGGCTGTACACTCTCCTCCCTTTGAAATTCTTACCCTATTATTTGCCTAGTCCTACAGATTCTCTGCGAATTCTCTATTACTACACAAATTTAGCTTTCATTATTACTCATCAAAATATTACTTTTGTCTCTTTCATTGTCACCAATAGAATGCCTTCTCTACCTTCTCCAACCTATTTCATTATAAAGCTAGTTGTGCTTGCTTTCTAAAAAGTGGATATGCTTTTGCTTTCCTCCCAGTTTCCCCTCTGTTTAGATTTTTAATGGCTCCCGATTTTCTGTATTATCTAAATGCTCAGCATGTCCTACTGGACTTCACTACTACCTTTAAATAACAGCTCCCCGACCAGCTCTTGCCTAGACTCTCCTTGTGCCTTATATGAACAACAAATGTCTCTGTCTTAAGTTGGTTTCCCCAGAAGCAGATTCTGAGACAAAGATTTGAGTACCGGTGCTATATTATTTGGGAAATGATCCCGGGAAACAACAAATGTCTGGAGAGAGATAAAGAGAAGGAAAGAGAACCAATAATTTGTGCCTTGTCAAGCAGGTGTTAGAGGTAGGGCAACTGAGTTCAATCTCATTGGGGAGTCCTAAAAGATAATGAGGAACACTCTTCCTTATTATCCAACCCCAACCCCTCCTGCCTCCAAGGGCAAGGAAGGTAGAGTGTGTATTCTCCAATCCATTTGTCACTGGCCAAGAACTGCTACTGCATACATTCATCACTTACCATTTCCAGCCTGCCCAATAAAAAGAAAGTCTCAGGTAGAGAGTTACAGGTGATTCTAGCAGAATGCCAGAATGACATGGGTAGGCATTGATGCAGGACTGATTTTATGCACATACCACACAGCCTCACGTATACACTATTGTTGTACATAAACTGTTACTTGTGTAGGAACTCTCATTGTTGTTGTTCCAGTGAAATTCTACTCAATCTTTAAGCCCAATGTCAAAAGTCACTCTGATTCCATTTCTGAGGAAGAATTAATGATTCCTCCTGTACTTCCATAATACTTCCTTGGAGATTAAGATTTCAACTTGTACTCATGGTTCCACCTTTGTATCACTATGCAATGCAGTAATCTCCATTTGACAAATCAGGAAACAGTCAGAAAGATCATGCCAGAAATTACATGATTCCTAAAAGTTGGAGTGTGGAACTCCAACCTAGCCCTCTTAAAAATCTACTTTGCCCAATAAATCAGATATCCTCAACCTGAACTGACTATGTATCTGCTATATTAAATAATTAAAGACCAACTGGCCTAAATAAATGCCCTGCTATTCAGAGAACCAGCACTGCAATGTGGAACAGATCTACCTGCCTTATAAGCAAGAAGTCCAGTTTCTCCTTCTTCAGGCTCTTCACTCCTCTGGACTGTTCATAATCATGAGGGTTTCACAAACCAAAACAAGAACCTTACAAACTTCCACACTCAAGCCTGCAAAGACCCAGTATCTCAAGTAAGCACTTCCATTGGGTCTTGTTGCAGCATGGTGGACAATGGAATGTGGCCCCACAGTCTATTAGTCAATATTGGTCTCCTGCTATGGTCATCTCACTGCTCTAGATGCTTTCCAGCTGTTCTTCAAGGAAGCACACTGAAGCAGTAAGTGCTCAGTCCTTTCAGTCTCCTACACAGTCAACTCAGGGTGTTCTTAGTTCCAGGCAGCAGGACAGAATGGTTCAAGCACCTGTCACTTCGTATGAGTAGTGCTCTTTTTCCTTCCCTTCCTTTGCTTCTTATCCCCATCTCTTGAGCCATCATGTCAATATCACACTGGTTGTTCTTTTTAACTCTATTTACAGGTATGAATCTCAGCCCACAAATTCAGGTGAGCAAGAAATCTACAGTCTTTACATTATAAAACTTTATTTTTTGTTGTAAGAGCCGCCTTTCTCGCATGACTAGTGGGAAACTTAAACTCAGTCCCATTCATGATTTTCTGTCCCTTAGTGGGTTCTCAGAGAGTGCCTTGGGATTAAGGAGTGGGATCTCTCTTATCCTTAAGCATCTGTCCACACACAGACAGCTACTGAGACACCCTCTGTCTTTCTCCACACGGCCCCTCTGGCATGCTGGCTCACTCCTGCCAGGCACACTTGGGACATAAAACCTTTCTCTGAGTTTGTCCATGGAAACCATCTTCTCAAATACCCCATACAGTCATTTCCTCTCAGGGGTTTTCCAACACTCAACCTTACTTCTGTTGACTGAGGCCTTGGTCTCTACCACACAGGGACTTTTACAAACTATCTTGCTTTCTCCTTGCAAGTGGAGACACATCTCTCTAGTCTTACAGGCTTTAGTCCAGCTCTCCCTACTGCTTCTGGCCAAGATACTCTGTCCAGCCTGCCAATTCTCTCTTTTCTGTGGGGCTTTTAAAGGACAGATAAACTAACTAATAAAAAGCCAGAAATATTGGAGTGCCATTTGTTCTTTCTGCTTTTTAACACCCCTTCCCTGAGTTGAATGAGAGGAAGAGATCCCTGAGTTGAATGAGAGGAAGAGAATCAGAGATTCAGGGAGAAAACAATTCTAGATTAATATTACAAATGATTTCTCCAGATATACCTAGAAACACAAAGAAATAATTATAGCCATTTCATCCCATTGGGGTTGTTAACTCTGTCCTTACTCTACTTAAGCTAATATCCTAAATCCTTGTGCACTAATATCCTCTTTATATCCCACTTCCTCTCCAAAATATATCCTCTTTCCCTGCTCCTGTTCTTGTAGGAGTAATTCCAGAAGGCCCTGACCATCGCTCCCCTTTTAGGGAGGAATTGCTCCCTAAAAGTCCAAGGTGGTTTTCTGGCTACAAATGTATTCTCTAATGGGATAGTCTACATGAAACAACAGAAAACAAAATTAAATGTGTCAATTGATGTAACTTGATAAACCTTAATATCAACATATTTGCTACCAAAGGATGTGGAAAAAGGAGCAGGTGGAGATTAACCAGTGATTAGGAAACAAAATTCTGAGTCAGAACCTGGTCTTCTGTTTCAAACTTTATCCCTTCATCATAAAATACATGCATGTTTCTAGATAACGCAACCCTTTACTCTTTTCCAAAAGGGGAAAAATATCTCTGTGAGTGTCTATTCCTAAATTCTAACAAGTGTCATCTTAGAAAACAAACAAAAAAAAATTAGAAAATTGCTGAACAATCCTGCTAGCTGCTATTCAGTTATGAAGATCATAGTCATTCTGTTCGTGAGATACTCTAGAGATGTTATTCAGAGGCTGCTTAGGAGAAAAAAAAGAAAAATGCAAACTGTTAGATCTCAGTTAAATAACTGAGTTTATTGCAATTTAAGCTAATAGTTATTCAGTATTCAGTCAACTATTTGGTGCAAACAAATAAATATTCTTCCACTTGTTAGTCCCTAGGGGCTTTCTTAATCCTATCTGAATTTACTTTCTGTGAATTTCTGAGTAATCAGAAGTTATAGGTTGGATACATCTTGTGCTAGGGACACCCATGGTGTAACTGCTTCATTTTTTCTTTTCATTTCAAAGGAAATGGTCCATCCAAAGTGAAAATTGTTGTGTTTTATTTTTTTTTTTGGTGGTAGAGTATATTTTCCTCTTTGTTGGTGTTGTTATTGTTGCTGTTGTTTTAATCAGATAGTTATTTCAAACAGAAGCAATCAAGTTCCTTTTTTCACTGCCATCTCCCTCTACCCTTCCTACTCAATCCATGCTGTTAAGAAAATATCCTTGTTAGTAATGTGACATAAAGCAGCCTTAAAAATCCATAATTCAGCTGGGTCTAGTGGCTTGCACCTGTAATCACAGCATTTTGGGAGGCTGAGGTGGGAGGATCGATTGAGCTCAGGAATTCAAGGCTGCTGTGAGCCATGATCACACCACTGCACTTCAGCCTGGGTGACAGAGCCAAGACCCTGCCATAAAAAAAAAAAAAAAGATTCAGGCCCGGTTTGGTGGCTCACACCTGTAATCCCAGCACTTTGGGAGGCCTAGGCAGGCGGATCACCTGAGGTCAGAGTTCGAGACCAGCCTGGCCAACATGGTGAAACCCCCATCTCTACTAAAAATACAAAAATGAGGCCGGGCGCAGTGGCTCACACCTGTAATCCCAGCATCCCAGCACTTTGGGAGGCCGAGGCAGGCAGATCACCTGAGGTTGGGAGTTCGAGACCAGCCTGACCAACATGTAGAAACCCTGTCTCTACTGAAAATATAAAATTAGCCATGCGTGGTGGCACATGCCTGTAATCCCAGCTACTAGGGAGGCTGAGGCAGGAGAATTGCTTGAACCTGGGAGGCAGAGGTTGCAGTGAGCCAAGATCTCGCCATTGCACCCCAGCCTGGGCGACAGAGTGAGGTTCTATCTCAAAAAAAAAAAAAAAAAAAGATTAATAATTATTTTTCATCAGTTCATTCAGTCTTGTAATTAATTCTTGCTGTGATCTGTATTAGCAATTTCACAAACCCATCAGTTTCTTCATTCGAGTTTTGGAATTTTTTTTTTTTTTTTGACAGAGTTTCACTCTTGTTGCCCAGGCTGGAGTGCAACGACAGAATCTCAGCTCACTGCAACCTCCGCCTCCCGGGTTTAAGCGATTCTCCTGCCTCAGACTCCTGAGTAGCTGGGATTACAGGCATATGCTACCACGCCCAGCTAATTTTTTTGTGTTTTTTTTTTTTTTTTTAGTAGAGACGGGTTTTCTCCATGTTGATCAGGCTGGTCTCGAACTCCCGACCTCAGGTGATCCGCCCACCTCGGCCTCCCAGAGTGCTGGGATTACAGGCTTGAGCCACTGTGCCTGGCCGAGTTTTGGAAATTTAGTTCAATAGTGTGAACTCAAAGTTATTAGAAACCCGTACTTGTCAGACTTCATTCTTTCCATGAAGCTCCTTGAAGACATAACTCTCTGGGATTATAATTGCCTGCAAGAAGCTTTCAGAAAGACATTAGACTAAAGCAATTAAGTGTGGACATGAAGACTTCAAGTGACCATGGCCAAAACCTGGTCTGAGTCCATGGTAATGACGACATAATTGACAAGAATGTTATTTCTGAACCAAAATTGACTGATACCATTTATACCAAGACACATCAGATTTTTAAATATGTTATACAATTTTTCAGTATATTAATAACATATCCATATAAATATACCTCAAGGTGAAATATTTCTTATTTTGCCAATCCTTCTCTTATAATTTATTTTATGTATTTCTTTTTTTTTTTTTTTTGAGATGGAGTCTCGCTCTGTCACCCAGGCTGGAGTACAGTGGCGCAATCTCGGCTCACTGCAAGCTCCGCCTCCCAGGTTCATGCCATTCTCCTGCCTCAGCCTCCAGAGTAGCTGGGACTACAGGCGCCTGCCACCACGCCCAGCTAATTTTTTGTATTTTTAGTAGAGATGGGGTTTCACCGTGTTAGCCAGGATGGTCTCAAACTCCTGACCTCGTGATCCGCCTGCCTCGGCCTCCCAAAGAGCTGGGATTACAGGCATGAGACACTGTGCCTGGCCTTATTTTTTATTTTATATTTAAAATTTTTAAATTTTTTGGCCGGGTGCAGTGGCTCATTCCTGTAATCCCAGCACTTTGGGAGGCCGAGGTGGGTGGATCACCTGAGGTCAGGACTTCAAGACCAGCCTGGCCAACATGGTGAAACCCGGTCTCTACTAAAAGTACAAAAATTAGCCAGGCAGGATGGCCGGCGCCTGTAATCCCATCTACTCAGGAGGCTGAAGCGGGAGAATCACTTGAACCTGGGAGGCGGAGCTTGCAGTGAGCCGAGATGGCGCCACTGCACTCCAGCCTGGCCCACAAGAGCCAGACTCCGTCTCAAAAAAAATAAAAATAAAAATAAAATAAAATTTTTTTTGTAGATACAGGAGTCTCGATATTTTGCCCAGACTGGTCTCAAACTCCTGGGCTCAAGCAATCCTCCTGCCTTGGCGTCCCTTGGGATTACAGGCATTAGCCACTGTGCCCAGCCTCATATAATTTAATATATCAGATAAGCCCAGTTGATTTAATATTTCTTTTTTTGTAGATCCTTTGAGAGGTTCAGGGGTCCTCTGGAACATCCTAAAGTTAGTTTGAGGTCAAAAATACTTAATTTTGATTTTTTTTTTTTTTTGAGATAGGGTCTTACTCTGTCACCCTGGCTGGAGTGCATGGACACAATCATATCTCACTGCACTCTCAAACTCTTGAAGCAAGTGATTGTCCCACCTTAGCCTCCAGAGTAGCTGGGTCTACAGGCATGTGCCACCACGTCCAGCTAATTTTGTTTATTTTTTGTAGAGATGGGATCTTGTTATGTTGCCCAAGTGGGTCTCAAACTCCTGGGCTCAAGCAATCCTCCTGCCTCAGCCTCCCAAAGTGTTGGGAATTCAGGTGTGCGCCACTGTGTCTGCCTTAATTTTGATTTTTGAAAAGTTTGTCAAATATCAAAGTTTTAAAACGCTTGATCAAAGTAGGATCACAAGTCACTGTGAAATAAAACCAAAGTGAGAAAATATTTGAAAGACACAAAACACAATAAATACTCTTTTTTTTTTTGAGAGGGAGTCTTGCTCTGCTGCCCATGCTGGAGTGCAGTGGTGTGATCTCAGCTCACTGCAACCTCTGCCTCCTGGGTTTAAGCAATTCTCCTGCCTCAGCCTCCCAAGTAGCTGGGATTACAGGTGCTCGCCACCATACCGGCTAATTTTTGTATTTTAAGGAGAGACAGAGTTTCACCATGTTGGCCAGGCTGGTCTTGAACTCTTGACGTCAGGTGATCTCACTGTCTTGCCCTCCCAAAGTGCTGGGATTACAGGCGTGAGCCACCGTGCCTGGTCAATTTTTTTTTTTTTTTTTTTTTGAGACGGAGTCTCGCTCTGTCACCCAGGCTGGAGTGCAGTGGTGTGATCTCGGCTCACTGCAAGCTCCACCCCCCGGGTTCACGCCATTCTCCTGCCTCAGCCTCCCGAGTAGCTGGGACTACAGGCGCCTGCCACCACGCCCAGCTAATTTTTTTGTATTTTTAATAGAGACAGGGTTTCACCGTGTTTGCCAGGATGGTCTCGATCTCCTGACCTCATGATCCGCCTGCCTCAGCCTCCCAAAGTGCTGGGATTACAGGCGTGAGCCACCGCGCCCAGCCCTGGCCAATGTTCTTGATGAAACAGATTCTCTGTTTCCTAGGCCAGTTACCTAAAAGGTAAAGAAAAATCTTTTACAATTTTCTTGTAAAGGGTAGATCAATGGTCCACAAAAACTCTGTTGTTGCAACACAGGGGCCCAAATTGCGGCCTTGTATCCATCAGTGTGCTTTTGATATTAACGCTCAGTTTTTAGCCTAGGCAACATGGGAAGACCTCACCGCTACTAAAAGTAAAAATTAGCCAGGTGTGGTGGTGCACACCTGTAGTCCTGTCTACTTGGGAGGCTGAAGTGGGAGAATCACTTGAGCCCAGGAGATTAAAGCTACAGTGAGTTATGATCATGCCACTGCACTCCAGCCTGGGTGACAGAGTGAGACCCTGCCTCAAAAAAAGCTTCAATTTTAGGCCAGGCGCAGTGGCTCAGGCCTGTAATCCCAGCACTTTGGGAGGCTGAGGCGGGCAGATCACGAGGTCAGGAGTTCGAGACCAGCCTGACCAACATGGTGAGACCCCCGTCTCTACTAAAAATACAAAAATTAGCCGGGTGTGGTGGCACACACCCGTGATCCCAGCTACTCAGGAGGCCGAGGCAGGAGAATTGCTTGAACCAGGGAGGTGGAAGTTGCAGTGAGTCGAGATAGAGCCACTTCACTCCAGCCTGGGTGACAGAGTGAAACTATCTCAGAAAAAGTAAATAAATAAAATAAATAAAGGAAAAGAAAGTTCAATTTTTAGAAAATCTTATAAATATTTATGGCTTTTTTTTTTTGAGATAGAGTTTCCCTCTTGTCACCCAGGCTGGTGTGCAGTGGCATGATCTCGGCTCACTGCAACCTCCACCTCCTGGATTCAAGCGATTCTCCTGCCTCAGCCTTGTGAGTAGCTGGGATTACAGGCGCCTATCACCATGCCCAGCTAACTTTTTGTATTTTTAGTAGAGATGTGGTTTCGCCATGTTGAGCAGGCTGGTCTCGAACTCCTGACCTCAGGTGATCAGCTCGCCTCAGCCTCCCAAAGTGCTGGGATTACAGGCATGAGCCACCACGCCTGGCCAAAAATCTTATAAATAATCCCCTTCTAATTTCGGCCAGCTTAATCACACACCAAATTCCTTTCATGAGATTAATCTTCCACAACTTCTACACTTCCTTAAATCTTTGATTTTGTCCTATACTTCTTTTTTTATATTAGCAATCTACTTTAGGACAGAAATTTACTTTCCTTTCCTCTTGATTTTGACCAAAGTCCTCTCTTATGCAAAATGAAAAATTACTCTTTTTTCAACTTTCTTTACCAAAAATACATCCTCATATTTATAACTTTTTTTCACATCTCTCCTACTTACTGGCCTTCTTCCCACCTTGTTTCTATTTCCTTCCTAAATCCATATTTTGAAACAATCTTTAAATAACCCCCAACTTAAACAAAATTGCTCTTATTTAACAAAAAACTTATCTCAAAAAACCTAGCACGGTCACCAAGCGTGCTTTGCTTTTCTTTCTCTCTCTTTTTTTTTTTTTTGGAGGCGGATTCTCGCTCTGTCAGCCATGCCGGAGTGTAAATGGCGCGATCTTGGCTCACTGCAACCTCCGCCTCCCAGGTTTTGAGAGATTCTCCTGCCTCAGCCTGCTGAGTAGCTGGGATTACAGTTGCGTACCATCACAGCCAGCTAATTTTTGTATTTTTAGTAGAGATGGGGGTTTTGCCCTGTTGGCCAGGCTGGTCTGAAACTCCTGACCTCAGGTGATCCACCCACCTCAGCCTCCCAAAGTGTTGGGATTACAGGCATAAGCCACCGCACCAGGCTTGATCCCTTTTCTTGAACAACTTATATATCCCAAAGCAACACACCAGAATATTCATTTACAATGAGAATGAAACTATCCCCACAGGAGCAACAAGAACTGCATGCTGGGTTCTGGACAGAAATAGAGTTATAATTAAGCATTCATCAGGCTGCATTTTGGCCCACTTCCTTGTTGCTAAAAGTCAGGTGGCACTAGTTCCTGACCATTGCATACCATTGTTCCTGTAGATAGGATTTCTGACATTAGAGTCAGAAGACTGTTTTAAGAATTTATTTGGGGATCTTCTGGGGCTGTATCACAGGGGGAAAAGTGAAATTAAAAAAAAAAAAAACACAATCAATTTGGGCTGGGCGCGGTGGCTCACACCTGTAATTCCAGCACTTTGGGAGGCTGAGGTGGAGGGATCTCTTGAGCCCAAGAGTTAGAGACCAGCCTGGCCAACATAGTGCAACTCCATCTCTACCAAACAAAATATAAAAATTAGCCAGGCATGGTGGTGAGTGCCTGTATTCCCAGCTCCAGAGGCTGAGGTGGGAGGATCACTTGAGCCCAGGAGTTGGAGGCTGCAGTGAGATATGATCCAGCTACTGCACTCTAGCCAGGGCAACAGAGCAAGACCCCAACTCAAAAAGAAAAAAAAAAGGAATTTAGATTAAAAAAGAAAAAGGGCTCGAGTTTGAATGCAGTGGCTCAAGCCTATAATCCCAGCACTCTAAGAGGCTGAGGTAGGAAGATCGCTTGAGCTCAGGAGTGCCAGGCTGCAGTGAGC
Organism: Homo sapiens; assembly: GCF_000001405.40. Classification (NCBI taxonomy): domain Eukaryota; kingdom Metazoa; phylum Chordata; class Mammalia; order Primates; family Hominidae; genus Homo; species Homo sapiens. The sequence continues at coordinate 76,952,238 of NC_000007.14, forward strand.
CGTGATCATATCACTGCACTCTAGCCTGGACAACAGAGTGAGACCTTGTCTCTAAAACAAAACAAAACAAAACAAAACAAAACTTGAGAATGGGCCAGACGCGGTGGCTCACGCCTGTAATCCCAGCACTTTGGGAGGCCAAGGCGGGTGGATCATGAGGTCAGGAGTTCAAGACCAGCCTGGCCAAGATGGTGAAACCTCGTCTCTACTAAAAATACAAAAATTACAGCGTACCTGTAATCCCAGCTACTCGGGAGGCTGAGGCAGGAGAATCGCTTGAACCTGGGGGGCGGAGGTTGCAGTGAGCCGAGATCGTGCCACTGCACTCCAGCCTGGGTGACAGAGCGAGACTCCATCTCAAAAAAAAAAAAACAAAAACTTGAGAATGATAGTGTTACAGGAAAGGGGTCCCTACCCAGACCCCAAGTGAGGGTTCTTGGATCTCACGCAAGAAAGAATTCAGGGCGAGTGCATAAAGTGAACGCAAGTTTATTAAGACAGTAGAGGAATGAAAGAATGACCATTCCATAGACAGAGCAGCCCCGAGGGTGGCTGGTTACCCATTTTTATGATTATTTCTTGATGATATGCTAAACAAGGGGTGGATTATTCATGCCTCCCCTTTTTAGACCACATAGGGTAACTTCCTGACGTTGCCATGGCATTTGTAAACTGTCATGAAGCTGGTGGGAGTGTAGCAGTGAGGACGACCAGAGGTCACTCTCGTCGCCATCTTGGTCTTGGTGGGTTTTAACCGGCTTCTTCACTGCAACCTGTTTTATTTATTTATTTATTTATTTATTTATTTATTTATTTATATATTTTTTGAAACGGAGTCTCGCTCTGTCACGCAGGCTGGAGTGCAGTACCGCGATCTCGGCTCACTGCAAGCTCCGCCTCCCGGGTTCACGCCATTGTCCTGCCTCAGCCTCCCGAGTAGCTGGGACTGCAGGTGCCCGCCACCATATCCAACTAATTTTTTGTATTTTTAGTAGAGACGGGATTTCACCGTGTTAGCCAGGATGGTCTCGATCTCCTGACCTTGTGATCCGCTCGCCTCAGCCTCCCAAAGTGCTGGGATTACAGGCGTGAGCCACCGTGCCCGGCCATCACTGCAACCTGTTTTATCAGCAAGGTCTTTATGACCTGTATCTTGTGCCAACCTCCCATCTCATCCTGTGACTTAGAATGCCTTTACCATCTGGGAATGCAGCCCAATAGGTCTCAGCCTCATTTTATCCAGCCCCTATTCAAAATGGAGTTGCTCTGGTTCACCCGCCTCTGACAATAGTAGAAGTTAAAAAAAAAAAATAACTTCTTTAACTCCACTCCAGGTGGCATTTCTTAGTGCCTCTGAAGGTTCTGATCTAGAACCAGCCCCCAGCTCACCCAGAGCAAGGAAAGATCATGAAAACCCAAGCAGAAGCAAGACACTGGGTTCCAGCATCAATGCTAAGGGCTAGAACATTTTCTGATGTTTTGCTTGGAAAGGCAGAATTTGGTTGTCTAGTGCGTCCACTAATTGGCCTCCATCTGACACCCTGGAGGGATGGGCTGATTAGAAGCCACAGCTGCTTTGCTCATTATTTCTGATGAATGGACATCACCTGGCGTCTCCGGTGATGGCGCCAGCTCAGGACCCAGGTGTGACCTGCACAACAAAGAAAAGCAAGATAGCTTTGCAGCCAACATGGTGAAACCCCATCTCTATTAAAAATACAAAAAAAAAAAAATTAGCCGGACGTGGTGGCGGGCGCCTGTAATCCCAGCTACTCAGTAGGCTGAGGCAGGAGAATCGCTTAAATCTAGGAGGCAGAGGTTGCAGTGAGCCAAGATCATGCCACTGCACTCCAGCCTTGGCGACACAGAGAGACTCTGTCTCAAAAAAAAAAAAAAAAAAAAAAAGATGGCTTTACAGCCCTGAGGAGTAAACCAGTCTTCCCCAAATAATTATCTTATGTAAGTCCCAGCCCCTTGGAACATGTTTTGAAAGGGCTCACCCATCTGGGCAGGTGACTCACGCCTGTAATCCCTGCACTTTGGGAGGCTGAGGCAGGCGGATCACCTGAGGTCAGAAGTTCAAGACCAGCCTGGCCAACATGGCGAAACCCATCTCTACTAAAAATACAAAAATTAGCCAGGCATGGTGGGACACGCCTGTAGTCTCAGCTACTTGGGAGGCTGAGGCAGGAGAATCACTTGAATATGGGAGGTGGAAGTTGCAGTGAGCCGGGATCATACCATTGCACTCTAGCTTGGGCAAGAAGAGTGAAACCCCATCTCAAAAACAAAAGAAAAGGCTCACCCTTTTCACTGGTTCCCTTGTGGCAAATCTAAAATAAGGTACGTGTGCTCGCCGTTCATTCATCTGAAAAGTTCTAACAGTTTGCAAATACCCTCTACCCATACCCCACCCCCACGTGTTGTCCTTTTTTTTTTTTTTTTTTATTTGAGACAGAGTCTCACTCTGTTGCCCAGGCTGGAGTGCAGTGGCGCAATCTCGGCTCACTGCAAGCTCTGCCTCCCGGGTTCACGCCATTCTCCTGCCTCAGCCTCCCAAGTAGCTGGGACTACAGGCGCCCGCCACCATGCCCGGCTAATTTTATTTTATTTTATTTTTGTATTTTTAGTAGAGACGGGGTTTCTCCATGTTAGCCAGGATGGTCTTGATCTCCTGACCTTGTGATCCGCCCGCCTCGGCCTCCCAAAGTGCTAGGATTACAGGCATGAGACACCGCACCCGGCCCTTTTTTTTTTAAGAGACAAGATGTCACCCTGTCACCCAGGCTGGAATGCAGTGGTGTCGTCATAGCTCACTGCAGCCTGGACCCCCTGGGCTCAAGTGATCCTCCTGCCTCAGTCTCCCAAGTAGCTGGGACCACAGGGGTGTCCCACCACACCCAGCTAATTTTTTTATTTTTTGTAGAGATGGGGTCTTGTCTTGTCACCCAGGCTGGTCTTAAACTTCTGAGCTCAAGCGATCCTCCCACTTGGACCTAGCCAGGTGCTGGGATTATGGGTATTAGAGTTTAAATTTCTTTGCTCAACACCACTCCCCATTTTGTGGCCAACAGTCACATTCTTTCTTGGGCCACGTCATTCATTTTCAGTTGCTTCAGAGCACTGGTGGCCCCTTGGGTGTGTTGAACAAACCCCAGCCTTTGAGGAGTTCAAAAAAAAAAAAAAAAAGACACCATCTCTAGGCGGAAAATTTCAGACAAAGAACCCCTGCCAGGAATATTTCCTGCCGCTGCTCCTGCCACTGCCCCTTAGGCTGTGGACCTTTATGCAAGAACGCAAGTGGCAAACTGCCCTACTGTGTATGTTGTGGGGAGTGGGGGTACTGCCAGAGAGGAGAGAGCCCTATTTTATTTTATTTTATTTTATTTTAAAGACAGAGTCTCACTCTGTTGCCCAGGCTGGAGTGCAATGGCACGATCTCGGCTCACTGCAACCTCTGCCCCCTGGGTTCAAGAGATTCTCCTCCCTCAGCCTCCCCAGTAGCTGGGATTACAGGCGCATGCCACCACGCCTGGCTAATTTTTGTATTTTTAGTGGAGACGGGGTTTCCCCATGTTGGCCAAACTCCTGACCTTATGTGATCCTCCCACCTTGGCCTCCCAAAGTGCTGGGATTAGAGGCATGAGCCACTGCGCCCAGCTGACAGCCCTCTCTAAATCTTTAAAAATTCAGTCAGGCGTGGTGGCTCATGCCTGTAATCTCAGCACTTTAGGAGGCTGAGGCAAGAGGAATGTGTGAGCCCAGGAGTTTGAGACCAACTTGGGCAATATGGTGAGACCCTATCTTGACAGAAAATACAAAAATCAGCCTGGCATGGTGGTGCACGCTTGTAGTCCCAGCTACTCAGGAGGCTGAGGCAGGAAGATCACTTGAACCCAGGAGGTCGAGGCTGCAGTGAGCTATGATCACGCCACTGTACTCCAGCCTGGGAGACACTGTCTCAAAAAATAAATAAATAAAATCTTTAACAATTCTTCAGCTTATCCCCCTACCTTCTGGGGCTTCTTGGGTCTCTTCCCAGAAACTTTCTTCGTCTGTAAGCCCGTTTATTGTATGCAATTGTTTAAAAAACACAAATGGGTGCATATTCTCATATTCTCTACCCTCTATTTTGAACGTTCCTTTTTTTTCTTTTTTTCAGACCGAGTCTCAGTCTGTCACCCAGGCTAGTGCAATGGTGCAATTTTGGCTCACTACACCCTCTGCCTCCCAGATTCAAGCGATTCTCCTGCCTCAGCCTCCCGAGTAGGTGGATTACAGGTGTGCACCGCTGCACCCAGCTAATTTTTGTATTTTTAGTAGAGACGAGGTTTCACCATGTTGGCCAGACTGGTCTTGAACTCCTGATCTCAGGTGATCCACCTGCCTCCGCCTCCCAAAGTGCTGGGATTATAGGCATGAGCCGCCTTGCCTGGCTCAAAGTTCCTTTTTGGTTTAACAATAGATCTAGGCCACTGTGAGTCTTCCTCATTCCTTCTAGGGCTACCTAGTGTTCCGGGGTTATTTAACCAGCCCCCTCCTACCAGGCAGTTCTTTTGTCTCTGGCCCTTTGCTACGTATATTAGTTTAAAGTTCACTTTGCAAGTGGCCAAGGCTGTTTCCCTCATTTCCAGGTTCCCAGGGGGCAGACATCCTGCTGCAATTTCAGAAGTCAGCACACTCTTCTCTCTCCTGTCTAAAATACAAAAGTCCATGCCCCCCACTCTCCCTCTTGATACTGTCCTATTTTACTTCTTTTCACAACCAGAACTCTTTATTTTTCCCAAATAAAAATAGTCCGTCTTTTCAGATTTTAAAAATGGAACTCTGGCCGGATGCGGTGGCCCTCACCTGTAATCCCAGCACTTTGGAAGGCTGCAGTGGGCAGATTACCTGAGGTCAGGAGTTTGAGATCAGCCTGGCTGACATGGTGAAACTCTGTCTCTACTAAAAATACAAAAATTAGCCCGGATGCGGTGGCTCACATCTGTAATCCCAGTACTTTGGGAGACCGAGGTGGGCAGATCACGAGGTCAGGAGTTCAAGACCAGCCTGGCCAACATGGTGAAACCCTGTCTCTACTAAAATACAAAAATTAGCTGGGCATGGTGGCATCCGCCTGTAATCACAGTTACTCGGCAGGCTGAGGAAGAATTGCTTGAACCTGGGAGGCGGAGTTTGCAGTGAGCTGAGATTGTGCCATTGCACTCCAGCCTGGGCGACAGAGCAAGACTCCATCTCAAAAATATATATATATACAAAAATTAGCTGAGTGTGGTGGTGCATGCCTGTAATCCCAGCTACTCGGGAGGTGAGGCAGGAGAATCACTTGAACCTGGGAGGCGGAGGTTGCAGTGAGCCGAGATTGTGCCATTTCACTCCAGCCTGGACAACAAGAGCAAAACTCGTCTCAAAAAAAAAAAAAAAAAAGGAAAATAAAAATCCCTGATAAAGGATCAATGACCTTAGGATAATGTCATTCCAGGTAAGTATCTTTAACTGGGTACTTGGTCCTCCAAGATTCAGAGGACCTTGATCCCCCTGAAACTGTATACATAATATTCAACATACATAGTATGTGCACACATGTGCAAACACTCACATTATCTAAAATTCATCATAATCTTACCCCGGCTTCTCCCCATACTCCTCAGATCCTGCTATAGCCTAGTGCATTTTCTCCTTCCTCACTCCCTTCCCTCCATGTGTCCTCTGCCCTGGCCACCAGGAACTTTGTGCTGCCTCCGGAGTGCATGAGGCACTTTCACATCTCTCTTGCTTTACAAGAGCTTCCCTATGCTCCAACTGGCAAATTTCTCTATGGACTGAAAAACCCACATAGCCTTTATCTGTCTTGTGATGTCTTCTCCCCACCCTCAAGTTAGGCATACCCTTCTATGCCCTCCTTTATCCAAACATTTTCCCCACTATATCGTAATTGTGTGTTTAAGTGCCGGACTTTCCAACTAGATACAAAGCTTTCCCAGGAAAGAAATCCTTTTCTTTTCTTCTTTCTTTCTTTTCTTTTCTTTTCTTTCTTTTTTTTTTTTTTTTTTTGAGACAGATTCCCACTGTGTCGTCCAGGCTGGAGTGCAGTGGCACAATCTTGGCTCAGTGCAACCTCCACCTCCAGGGTTCAAGTGATTCTCTTGCCTCAGTCTTCCAAGTAGCTGGGATTACAGGCACGCGCCACCACACCCAGTTAATTATTATTATTATTATTTTTTTTTTTTGTTTTTGAGACGGAGTCTCGCTCTGTCACCCAGGCTGGAGTGCAGTGGCACAATCCCGGCTCACTGCAAGCTCCGCCTCCCGGGTTCACGCCATTCTCCTGCCTCAGCCTCCCGAGTAGCTGGGACTACAGGAGCCCACCACTACGCCCGGCTAATTTTTTTTTTTTTTTTTTTTGTAATTTTAGTAGAGACGGGGTTTCACAGTGGTCTCGATCTCCTGCCCTCGTGATCCGCCCGCCTCGGCCTCCCAGAGTGCTGGGATTACAGGCGTGAGCCACTGCGCCCGGCCTCCACACCCAGTTAATTTTTGTATTTTTAGTAGAGACGGGGTTTCACCATGTTGGCCAGGATGGTCTCAATCTCTTGACCTTGTGATCTGGCTGCCTCGGCCTCCCAAAGTGCTGGGATTACAGGCGTGAGCCACCGCTCCCGGCGAGAAACCTTTTCTTTTTCTTTTTTCTTCTTCTTCGTCTTTTTTTTTTTTTCTTTTGAGAGGGATTCCTGTTCCGTCGCCCAGGCTGGAGTGCAATGGCGCGATCTTGGCTCACTACAGCCTCTGCCTCCCGGGTTTAAGCGATTCTCTTGCCTCAGCCTCCCGAGTAGCTGGGATTACAGGCACGAGCCACCACGCCCGGCTAGTTTTTTTTTGGTATTTTTAGTAGAGACGGGGTTTCGCCATGATGGCCAGGCTGGTCTGGAACTCCCGACCTCAGGTGATCCGCCCACCTCTGCCTCTCAAAGTGCAGGGATTACAGGCATGAGCCACTGCGCCCAGCCAAGAAACCATTTCTGATTCACCTATTCACTCCCGCACTCCCACTACACAGTAGCTAAATAAATAAATAAATATTAAAAATAAATAGGAAAGAAAGAGAGAAAAAAAGAAAAGAAAAAGACAAAAATTTAAATTTAAAAAGGTTGTGCTCGATGGCTCACACTTGCAACCCCAGTGCTTTGGGAGGCTGAATGAAGCAAGAGGATCGCTTGAGGCCAGGAGTTTGAGATCGGCCTGAGCAACGTTGCAGCATTGCAAAACCCCCATCTGTACAAAAAAGAAAAATAAAATTAATTTTAAAAACAAAAAAAGAGAAACAGTAGCACATGTATGTACTGGCACCATGTATGTACTAGTAAAAACTAGTTAAAATTAAGTCAGTAATTAATGAAGGAATAAGTCAATGAGTGAGCAGGCGAAGGAAGAAAACATAGACCGGAGCAGGTGCGCCTTGGGTTGAGCCCTTCCCCGCTGAGCCCCGCCTTCTGCCCGCCCCTGGGCCCTACCGGGACTACATTTCCCAGAAGGCCGCACGCCCCGGGCATGCGCAGCGGCTCGCTCGGAAGCTGCGACGCCGAGTTTCACTCTGGCTGCCTTCTCCTGAGAGTCGGAGCCACAGCCAGAGCCCTGCCCAGGCCGAGCCGGAGCTGCAGCCCGAGCGCGGTGGTGCCCTCAGCCCCGTCCTCTTGTCCTCCTCAGCCTCGGTGAGAGGGCGGGAAGGCCACCTGCGCGTCGCTAGGGCTGCGGTCCCAGGGGCGCGGGGGGGCGCGGGGAGCCGGAGCCTAGCTGGGACCGGAAGGGGGCGGGCGTGGGTGTGAGGGGGACCGACGGCCGGGGCGGCGGGGACACCCGGGGGTCCCGGGAGATCGGGGGTGTCGGGGGGATCGGTCTCCGGGATCAAGGTCCTGAGGGCGAGAGTTGGGGGACTTGGGAGGCGCCGGCAGCTTTGGACGGGACAGGGTGCCGGGTGCGAAAGGGGACGTTCGGATGAAGGCTGAGGGGCTCGCAGGCGGAGGGGCGCGGTTCCGGGTCGCTCGGAAGGCGCGCACCCCTTCCCAAAGTACCCAGAGGAGGGGGTGACGAGATTGCCACCGGCTCCCTGACGAGGGGTTGGTCCTGCTGGGGTCTACCCCCAGGTGAAGGGACTCACTGGGCCGGGGGTTGTACTTTGGAGGAGTTTGCTTCCTAACTCTGCTTCCCTGCTTTCCTGTGGGGGGTCTTCCCAGGAGTTCCTGGGGCCCTGGGTCACTTTTTGGGGTGCGTAAGGGGTGCCGAAAAAGATTTAGAACTCGGTTCCCTTTTCTGGAGCTGCGCTTTCATCGCGACTGTCTCAGCCAGCTGCCCTCCTCCTCCAAGCTGGCTCCACTTCTCTAAGCGCCAACAGCGATGGAAATAAATAGCATGTGTACAGACGCCTGGACCCTTGAGAAACTCAGAATATTTCTGCATGCCTTCCTAGCTCCTCTAGCGCTCTAGAAGGTAGACTTTCTGGTAGCCACCATCCGGGCTTAAGCCATCCGGATAGCAAGCCCTCTGATTCGGTTGCTCTGTGACCTTAAATATTTACCCTCTCTGGTGTGTTGATTTCCTGGATGCTTAGCTGCCAGACTGGCTTATGAAGTCCTTTTAGAGTTTTCTGTAAAAGGGCTCAGGCCAGGCACGGTGGCTCATGCCTGTAATCCCAGCCCTTTGGGAGGCCGAGGTGGAAGGATCATTTGAGTCCAGGAATTTGAGACAAGCCTGGGAAACGAAGAGGATTCCTGAGATCACTGTCTCTATAAAAAATCAGATGGGCGTGTTGGTGGGTGCCTGTAGTCCCAGCTACTTGGGAGGCTGAGGCAGGAGGATCGCTTGAGCCCAGGAGTTGGAGGCTGCAGTGAGCTGTGATCACACCACTGCACTGCAGCATGGGCGACAGAGGGAGACCCCGTCTCAAAAAACAAAAAACAAACAAACTAAAAAAACGAACTTTTTTTTTTTTTAAGAAAAGGGCTCAGAGCCAGGCGTGGTGACTCGAGCCTATAATCCCAGCTACTCGGGAAGCTGAGGCAGGAGAGTAGCTTGAACCTGGGAGGCGGAGGCTGCAGTGAGCCGAGATCACGCCACTGCACTCCAGCTTGGGTGACAGAGCAAGACTCCGTCTCCAAAAACTAATAATAATAAAAAATTTTAAAAAGAGCTCAGGGTTTTTTTGTTTGTTTGCTTTTTGTTGTTTCTTCAACCATCTCCTTGATTGTTAAGTGGGTGGAGGAAGACTGTTGTACCTCGTGCTCCACCCAGGCTATTGGAAAATAAATCTGGTGATTTTCAGTCCCCAGGCACAGCACACGGATCCAACATCTGTACCTTTGTTTTTACTAACTGCTGTTTCTTAATTTAAAACCTGATCATCTTCTTCCTCGTTGGCAAAGGTGCCTTGGAATTTGTGTCGCTGAGTCAGCAAGCCTTTCAGATTTGCCCGGTTTTTGTTGTTTGTGGTTTGTATCAAGATGGGAACTCAAACAAGTCATTCCTCCTAAGGAGCTGGTGTCTTCATCCAGAAGGGACAGTTTGTGCCAGCTCTCCAGAGAGAAAAGGTGAGAGCCATGGGGACTTGACCTTGCTGCCTTCTCTGTCTGGTGCAGAGAAGGTGGGGATTGGGGAGGGTGGAATTTGAGGTCTGCAGGATAAACGTGTGCCCTGGGAGTTGACTGTTGATTGCCACCTGTCTCAAATAAATTGCAGTGGCGTCTTGCCACTGCTTCTCCTGTTTAACTAACTAGTCTTAGAAGATGCTTTCCACTTTAAGACATGCTTTATGGGATAGAAGACACAAGTCACGATTTCTGCATTTGAAGTGGCAGTTTTCATTTCTTTTGTTGCATAAACCCTTACTGGGTGCCAGATAAGATCTCTGTCTTTTGGGAGTGCATTGTTTGGTGGAAAAGACAAAGCAGAGTCAGTGACAAGGTGTTGTCAGTGTGATATATACTGAGCTGGGAGAAATCACAAGGCTCTCCTACCCACATCCAGAAAGGGGACGGTTAGAGGGAAGGTCAGGAAGGCTTCTGGAAGGTGGTAGTTGAGGGGGGTTGTGAAGGAGGAGTAGGACTTAGAAAGTGGGGCACAGTCGCCTGGGAGAGGAGTCAGCGTTTGCAAAGTCATGAAGCTACCGGGACACAGCTGGGCTACTGTAAGTAGCTGAGTATGTAATAGAGGAGGCTGGAAAAGCAGGCAGAGGGCTCTGAGCGAGGAGGGTTATGTGGGCCATGCCAAGACTCGGGAGTGGAAGGATTTTAGGAGATTTCCATGAGGGTCATTTTATTAATTATTTTTTTGAGTTGGGGTCTGCTTCTGCTGCCCAGGCTGGAGTGCAGTGGAGTGATCATAGTTCACCACAGCCTCAAATTCCTGGGCTCTGGGGTAGCTGAGGTGCCTACCACCATACCCGACTAATAATTTTATCTAGAGACAGTGCCGCTCTACGTTGTCCAGGCTGGTCTCTAACTCCTGGCCTCAAGGGATCCTCCCATCCCAGCCTCCCAAAGTGCTAGGATTACAGGCCTGAGCCACCGTGCCTGGCCTCGTGAGGGACATTTTAAAGGAGCACACTGGAACATGTGGAATGGGTTTAGACTGGATTATTCGCTTTGTGGCGGTCTTCTTACATCATGCCAGCTTCTTCGTGGGGAGAGGCAGGTGAGTGGTTTTGCCCTCAGTTGCTTATAGTCTAGTTGAAGAGATAAAGTGGACATAGAGAACTGAAAAGGAACTTGCTAAGAGGGTGTTTTCTTTCATTCTTTTTGTTGTTGTTGTTTTGTTTTGTTTGTTTACTTTTTGAGACAGGGTCTTACTCTGTCACCCAGGCTGGAGAGCGGTGGTGCAATCTCAGCTCACTGCTCAACTTCACCTCCCAGGCTCAAGAGGGTCTTGTGCCTCAGCTTCCCGAGTAGCTGGACTTACAGGTGCACACCATCATGCCTGGCTGATTTAGAGGGTGTTTGCTTTCTGCTGGGCACGTCCAGGCATCGTGGGAAGTGCTGTTTAAATTGGGCCATAAAAGGGTGGGTAAGGTGAGGACAGGGGACCAAGTGGGTGGGATTCAGGGTGGAGCAGAGTCATGGGGGTCGGGACAGACACGCTGATGCACATGGGAGTAGTGGATCCTCATTTACACTCTGGAAGGGAATTGTGGAGAGGGAGGTATAGATGAGGGGATGGAAGGGAAGGGCACCGGCAAATATTGTTGATAGCGAGGGAAGGGCGGTATTGTGATCGGCTTTGACTGTCAGCCTAAGGAATTTGAATTTCATTCTAGAGATCCAGGGGAGGTGTGTAAAAGACAGGATCAGAACGTTAGTTCAGGAAGCTTAATCTTTTCTGCCCCCCCATCTGAGATGTACAAGAGGGTTAGAAAGCAGAGTTGGAGAAGCTGTTTGGGAGGGAGCACTTATTTGTTTTTTTGTTTTGTTTTGTTTTTTTGAGATGGAGTCTCGCTCTGTTACCCAGGCTGGAGTGCAGTGGCGCCATCCTGGCTCACTGCAACCTCCACCTCCCGGGTTCAAGTGATTCTCCTGCCTCAGCTTCCCAAGTAGGTAGGACTACAAGCACCTGCCACCATGCCTGGCTAATTTTTGTATTTTTAGTAGAGACGGGGTTTCCCTCTGTTGGCCAGGCTGGTGTCGAACTCCTGACCTCAGGTGATGCACCCACCGAGGCCTCCCAAAGTGCTGGGATTACAGGCGTGAGCCACTGCGCCCGGCAGGGAGGGGGTAAAGTGAGAGGCATAAGGGTCCCGGCCAGGTGTTAGCAGGGGGCTTCAGAGGTGAGGAGAGAGCAGGGCAGGCAGCTGCTAGGCCTGGGGGAGCGGGCTGCGGAGGACTGAGAATCTGAGGTTTTTCTCTTGGCCGCCTGGGGGAAATCCAGGGGGAAAAGGAGAATGAGGAAGGAAGATGCGTTTGGCCTCAGACGTGTTGAAGGTATTAAGAGGCCAACAGGAAATGAGGCCATGGGCTAGAGAGAAGAGCCCTGATTCATTCCCCAAATGCCTCCCGAAATTCTGTGCGCCGAGGCTTGTGTTTGGCACTTGGAGTACAAAGATGAATTCAGCAGTCTCTTTGGTGTTTGCCTTATCAGCTAAGCTGAGAACAAGATTGATTAGTACACACTCCTCAGTGTTCATGCCTGACCTACTTTTCCTTATTTAGTAAGTTATTTTTAATAAATGTAGTAAGTTCTGGCAATCTAGGCACCCAAAACAAAAGCTGGGATCATGAAACAAAAGTATATATCTAATCTTTTTTTTTTAATTTTAAAAAACTTTAAAAAGTTTTCTACTTTATCAGGTCCCCTTAGAACATCTAATCATTTCATTTGAACTTGTTTTCTGTTCTTACCCTGAGGTAATCATTATCTCCTTTCTTTCATTTTTTTTCTTAGTTTTATCTTACATGTGTATTTCTTTGTTTCTCTGTCTCTTTTTTTTTTTTCTTTGAGGCAGAGTTTCACTCTTATTACCTAGGCTGGAGTGCAATGGCACGATCTCGGCTCACTGCAACCTCCGCCTCCCGGGTTCAAGCTACTCCCGATTCTCCTGCCTCAGACTCTGGAGTAGCTAGGATTACAGGCATGCGCCACCATGCCCGGCTAATTTTGTATTTTTAGTAGAGACAGAGTTTCTCCATGTTAGTCAGACTGGTCTCAAACTCCTGACCTCAGGTGATCCACCCGCCTCGGCCTCCCAAAGTGCTGGGATTACAGGCGTGAGGCACCACGCCTGGCCTATTTCTTTCTTTTTTTAGAGACAGTGTCTCGCCTTGTAACCCAGGCAGCTGGAGTGCAGTGGCATGATCACGGATCACTGCCGCCCCAAATTCCTGGGTTCAATGGATCCATCCCCTTCAGCCTCCTGAATAGCTGGGACTACAGGCACAGGCTACCATGCTTAGCTAATTTTTAAAGTTTGTGCAGAGGCAGCTTCACTGTGTTGCCCAGGCTGGTGTTGAACTCCTGGGCTCAAGCAATTCACCCGCCTTGGCCTCCCAAAGTGCTGGGATGATAGACATGAGCCACCATGCTCGGCAGTGTTCATCTTTCGTAGCTATTGCTAGACCATTTCCTGAATGAAGTGCTTATACCAGTATCCACTTTACCAGCAGTGTCCTGTGTCTTGCAGCTCCACAGTCTTACCAACATTTGCTGTTGGCCAAGTGAATGGGTAGAAAATGGAATCTTTGGGAACTTGGTTTCTAGGTCCCTGAGCCCTGCTGCTGAATATCTCCTCTTATGTTTATTGGCATATGTGTTTCCTGTGAAATATTCATGTCTTTTGCCAGTTTTTCATTAGGGTTCTTGGTGCTTTATTTTTTGTTGATCTATAGGGCTCTTTATATATTGCTGATTTTAATCCTTCGTGTCTATTGCAAATATCTTCTCCCAGCTTTTAACCTATTATTCCTCTTTCTTTAAGGTGTCTTCTGTTGATCAGCCATTCTTCATTTTAACATAGCGAAATGTATTTTTTCCCTAGTACTCAGTTTTCTGGGTCTGGTTTGAAGTCTTTTCCTGAACATAACCCTTGCCTTTAAGGAGCGTATGCATTCTCCAGTGGAGGAGACAGATAATGGCACTGAGACGTCATGTGGGCATTGATTGTTAGAAGTGGCCACTTCTGCCTGTGGAGCGGGAGCGAACTTAGGAAAGATCTCACAGGGCAGAGTCTTGAGCTAGGAATTAAGAGATGAGTAAGTGGACAAGTGCGATGGGCATTCTCAGTGGGGGACGAAGGGCATGAAACATCCTGACCTGCCCTGGGCGCTGCCAGGAGGTCCAGATGGCAGGAGCTGATGGTTTGAGGGGCTCGGGCAGGGCATCCCGAGGACAGCTTTGGGTGATCTGTATGCAAGGGAATATTGAAGCCATGGGAACAGATCCTGAGGATCCGGGCGGAATGGAGAGAGGAGGGGAGGAGGGGAGAGGGAGGCCAGGGCCTGATTCCCGGATGCAGAGAATGTTATCAACGCCTGGTGTGGCTCTGGGGAGCACCTGGGACTTCCCAGGGGCGGGTGCTGTTGGCATGCTGCCTGCTGTGCTGTTGGATGCTGTATTTCACCCTTAGGTGTTGGGCAAAGGCTGACATGTCTGCAGAGGGCAGGGCGTGTTGTTGGCAAAGCTAGCCAGAGGCAGAGCACTCTCTCACTTTTTGATAGAGACATGAGTTCAGAGAAGTATTGCTCAACTGTAGGAGTGTGAAAGTACAGTAATAGATGTGAGGGAGGCCACAGGGCAGAGGTCTGCAAACGATGGACCCTCAGCCAAATCTGGCCCACTGCCATTTTTTTTTTTTTTTTTTTTTTTTTTTTTTTGAGATGGAGTCTCACTCTGTTGCCAGGCTGGAGTGCAATGGCACGATCTCAGCTCACTGCAGCCTCCGCCTCCCAGGTTCAAGAAATTCTCCTGCCTCAGCCTCCTGAGTAGCTGGGATTACAGGCACCAGCCACCATGCCTGGCTAATTTTTGTATTTTTAGTAGAGACAAGGTTTCACCATGTTGGCCAGGCTGGTCTCGAACTCCTGACCTCAGGTGATCCACCCCCGCTTGGCCTCCCAAAGTGCTGGGATTATAGGCGTGAGCCACCACGCCCAGCATTTTTTTTTTTTTTTTTTTTTTGAGGCAGGGTCTAACTCCTGCCCAGGCTGGAGTACAGTGGCACAGTCTCGGCTCACTGCAGCCTCCGCCTCCTGGGTTCAAGTGATTCTCCTGCCCCAGCCTCCCAAGTAGCTGGGACTACAGGTGCACGCCACTACGCCTGGCTCATCTTTGTATTTTTTTGGTAGATACGGGGTTTCACTGTATTGGCCAGGCTGGTCTCAAACTCCTGGCCTCAAATGATCCACCCACCTCGGCCTCCCGAAGTGCTGGGATTACAGGCGTGAGCTACCGCATTCAGCCCCACTGCCTGATTTTGTTCATAAAGTTATATTGGTATGCAACCCCTCCTGTTTACACATTGTTTATGGCTGTTCTTGTGGTCTAGTGGCAGAGTCACTGGAAAGACTTTTTCTGTCCTTTACAGGAAAAGCATGCTGGCCCTAGCCATAGGGAGTCGTGGTAGCTGTGGCCACCCAGAGAGGACGTTCCAGCCACCATTGCAGTTTAGCTGGTGTTGCTAGGTAGATCATGGATCTAGGTCCAGCCTGCAAATATTGCCATCTTTTCTGATTTTCAAGGGAAGCTTGAAATCTAGATTTTTTTTTTTTTTTTTACTGTGAATATTCCTTTTTTTTGAGACAGATTCTCACTCTGTCGCCCAAGCTGGAGTGCAGTGGCATAATCTTGGCTCACTGCAACCTCCACGTCTTAGGTTCAAGCAATTCTCCTGCTTCAGCCTCCCGAGTAACTGGGACTACAGGCGCTCGCCACCACACTTGGCTAATTTTTTGTATTTTTTAGTAGAGACAGGGTTTCACTGCATTAGCCAGGATGGTCTCGCTCTCCTGACCTCATGATCTGCCTGCCTCGGCCTCCCAAAGTGCTGGGATTACAGGTGTGAGCCACTGAGCCCGGCCAAATATTCCAATTTTTAAACATCAGCTCAGTTTTTAAAAGCCAAACCTTAGTAACCCAAGCAAAACACATCTACAGGCCAGTTTGTCCGTCGTCAGTCTGTCTTGGTGGGAAAGACAGGAACTCTGGAAACAGATTTGGGTTTTCTCAGCCCCTGGATATCCTTGGGCAAGCTGCATGTCTTCTGGTGACTCACTTTTCTCAGTTGTGGTATGGAAATATCCCGCTTCCCCAGTTGTGAGGACCAACGAGAATTACTAGTCAGGTGGAGGGGCTTAGCACGGTGCCTGGTGCCTGGTAAACCTTTACCTGGTAGCCATTGCTGTTATTCATTTATTTATTTATTTTACACAATAATTTACTTATTGAGAGCCTTCTCTCCCCGCCCTTGCAGTCTCTAGGTCACTTTTTCCACTTGTAGATTTTGTGCCCAAGCCCCAGAAAGATGGCTGGGGGCAGGGGCTCTGCGTACTATTCGATGAGACCCATAACGTGGCTGTAACTGTCTTTCTCATACTGCAAGAACACGGCTGGCAGATCCAGCTCCTCGTATAGTGCCTTCACCCGGGCCACCTTCTCGGCCTCCTTCTGCCTGTAATTTTCCTTCAGGATCTGGTACTGTTCTGGAGTGGCCTGTAGCAGACACTGAACCACCAGCCAGCTGCATTTGTTGTCCTGGAAGTCATTGCCAACTCTGCCAGTCACACTGGGGTCCCCAAAGAAGTCAAGGTAATCATCCTGAATCTGAAAGAACTCTTGAATCTCCAGCAGGATCTTCTTGGCACTGGTGTGCTCCTTCTTGTCATCCATTCTTGACATGTACATGGCTGCAGCTACAGGAAGGTAGAAGGAGTAGAAAGCTGTCTTGTACTTGACAACAGATTTGTGCCTTTTTTCGGTGCATCTGCGAAGATCCACATTGCCCTGGGGGGTTGTGATGAGGTCGAGGGTCTGCCCAATCTCAGTCTGATAAGAATTCTGCTGGAAGAGCTCCATCAGGTTCAGGTAATAGGGCTGCTCCCGGCAATACAGCTTCAGCAGGCAGTAGATACATGCTTCCAGAAGGATAGCATCATTGATGGCATCCAAACCCATGCCCAGCTTCTGATACCAGGAGATCTGTCCCTGGCAGGTAAGGGATGAATCCATAATGTCATCTGCCACCAGGAAGAAAGCTTGCAGCAGTTGCGCATACCAGCCCACAGTCGGTGCCCACTGGAGACTATCAGCATCCAGTTTCCTCGGCTCCACCAGCTCCCGGAACGCTACTAGCACCATCAAACCTCGGTGATACTTGCCTCCAATGGCATTGTACTCCAGGACCTCCTTGAGCCGGGCAGTAGCATCTCCTGTCTCTGGGTGCCCCATCTCATCCTCAGTCAGCACCCTAACGATCTGGGAGTAGTGCTGAACGAAATCCTGCTTTTCTTGGGCATAAATATCTGATTTCTGGTTTCCATTCGGTCTTTTTTTTTTTTTTTTTTTGAGACGGAGTCTTGCTCTGTCGCCCAGGCTGGAGTGCAGTGGCGCGATCTTGGCTCACTGCAAACTCCACTTCCTGGGTTCACGCCATTCTCCTGCCTCAGCCTCCCAAGTAGCCGGGACTACAGGCACCCGCCACCGCGCCCGGCTAATTTTTTGTATTTTTAGTAGAGACAGGGTTTCACCATGTTAGCCACGATGGTCTCGATCTCCTGACCTCGTGATCCGCCCGCCTTGGCCTCCCAAAGTGCTGGGATTACAGGTGTGAGCCACCGCGCCCAGCCTGGTTTCCATTCATTCTGAGGGAGGAGCAAAGGGCTGTGTTCCTGGATGCGGGTTCCTGCTTGGCTGTTATTTATTTTTGTTTAAAGAGACAGGGTCTCGCTCTGTTGCCCAGGTTGGAGTGTAGTGGCACGATCATAGCTCACTGCAACTTTGAACCCCTAGGCTCAAAGCAGTCCTTCTGCCTCAGCCAGTCAAAGTGCTGGGATCACAAGGTGTGAGCCACTGCACCAGGCCTGCTATTACTGTTACCATTACACATCCACTGCTGCCCCTATTACTCCCCTACTTTGCCCTCTGGGTAGGCCCGTAAACCAGGGCTCCACCTTCTGACTGGCTGCAGGTGGTCAGATTGCTCTTGGCTACCCAGGAGCCAGTGGGTTCTTGGTTCTGGAGAAGCTGGTTGACCACAAGGGAATTGTAGGTTACTGGGGCCGGCACCATGGGTGCCCTTTGGAAGGTTCTGCTCTGACCTATCCCTGGAGGCCCCAGCCAGAAGAGTTGTCACTTCCCTTCCGGCCACCCACTGTGCAAGAGACAAATCACATGCTAGTTTCGTGCCATCTTCCAGTAAGATGTGGGAGGCACTGGCCTGAGTGATCCCTTTTCAAGCAAAGCCGCATCTCGCCGTGCTCACAGGACTACTGTCATAGGAACATGGATGGTTTGTTCTTCCATTTTTGTGGAGCTCGGGGATGGGGGGATGTGTCTGTTGTCAGGGAGGTGCCATGGTAAGTTGACAGGGCCTGATGTTAGTGAAACTACACTGGGATAGCAGCAGCCATTTAAAGTAATAATGGTAAGACACAGCGGTGGTGGTGGTTTGGTTTATATTTATGACCTTTTAAAAGTGTTTGGCATTTTCAGGGAGGTTTGTTTTTTGTTTTGTTTTTTGAGGCTCATGTTGCCCAGGCTGGAGTGCAATGGTGCAGTTCTCGGCTCACTGCAACCTCCGCCTCCTGGGTTCAGGGGATTCTCCTGCCTCAGCCTCCCAGGTAGCTGGGATTACAGGTGCATGCCACCATGCCCAGCTAATTTTTGTATTTTTAGTAGAGACGGGATTTCACCATGTTGGCCAGGCTGGTCTCATACTCCTGACCTCAGATGATCCGCCCCCCTCAGCCTTCCAAAGTGCTGGGGATTACAGGCATGAGCCACTGCACCTGGCCAGGAGAGTTTTTTTCTGATAATAGAAGTAATACTTTCTCACTTTAGAAAATGTGAAAAGTTCAGATATATAAGGAAGTCAAACAAAACGTCTCCTATATATGAAGAAGAAAAGAAGCAAGTTTAAAAAAAAAAAGAAAAAAAAAGGTCTTCTATCGTTTCTCCACTCAAAGACAGCTGTTAACATTTTATTGACTTCTATGGAGTTTGCCCTATGCTTCTGTTTTATGTAATAGAGACAGTGCTGTAGTGAATAGCTTCACGTCAACATTTTTCTATAATTTTCTGAAGTTAGAGTCTTAATTATTGGATCAAAGGAAGTGAACATTTTTAAACCTCTTGATACATATATTACCAAATTGTTTGCTTTTCCGTTTTTTTTAATAAATAGAGATGGGGGTCTCTCTGTGTTGCCCAGGCTGGTCTTGACCTCCTGGCCTCAAGCGATCCTCTTCCCTCCACCTCCCGAGTAGCTAAGATTATAGGTGTGAGCCACCATGCTCAGCCGCTGATTTTAACTTGTATGTTTTAAACAAAATTTCTAGTAAAGTAGAACATTTCTTTGATATGTTTGTGTCAGGATTTGACTCTCCCAGGTCTTTGGAGAGGCTTTCTAACAAGGCATCCCCCGTGGGTGGCCATCTGCCCTGTGAGAAGGTCATTTCTAGTTCCAGGTCACGCACAGTGTGTCAGCTGGTGGGGTGTGGAGTTTCAGGCCCAGGCCTCCTGGAAAGTGCCCGAAAGAGAAACGGCTTAGAAAATAAGGACTTTAACGGTGGTGTGGGTTGAGTTTGGAAAGTTTAGACCATGTTAGTGGAATCAGAGCTGGGAAGAGGTTCTAGAAGTTACCTCCTCTCACTGGTTTCCAGTCCACACTTCTCAGAACTCTCCCATTTTGCAGTCAGGTGCAGTGGCTCACATCTGTAATCCTAGCACTTGAGGAGACCGAGGTGGGCAGATCACTTGAGGCCAGGAGTTTGAGACCAGCCCTGGCCAACATAGCGAAACCCCGTTTCTACTAAAAATACAAAAATTAGCCAGGTGTGGTGTGGTGCACACCTGTAGTTCCAGCTACTCAGGAGGCTGAGGCATGAGAATCACTTGAGCCTGGGAGGCAGAGGTTGCAGTAAGCCAAGATCGCACCACTGCACTCCAGCCTGTGTGATGGAAGGAGACTCTGTCTCAAAGAAAAGAACTCACCTATTTTGCAAAGGAGCTTCATGGTTCTCTTGAAGAAAAATAGGAATGGAGGCCACCTCTGTGTCAAAAACAACATCCCACATTTCTGTGTTTCACTTTTTTTTTTTTTTTTTTTTTGAGACTGAGTTTCACTCTTATTGCCCAGGCTGGAGTGCAATGGCGCGATCTCGGCTCACTGCAACCTCCACCTCCCGGGTTCAAGCGATTCTCCTGCCTCAGCCTCCCTAGTAGGTGAGATTACAGGCATGTGCCACCACGCCCGGCAAATTTTGTATTTTTAGTAGAGATGGGGTTTCTCCATGTTGGTCAGGCTGGTCTCGAACTGCCGACCTCAGGTGATCCGTGCCTGGCTTACTTTTTTTTTTCTTTTTCTTTTTCTTTTCTTTCTTTCTTTTTTTTTTTTTTTTTAAGAGATAGGGTCTTGCTATGTTGCCCAGACTGGTCTCAAACGCCTGGCCTCAAGTGGTCCTCCCACCTTGGCCTCCCAAAACGTTGAGATTACAGGTGTGAGTCACCACGCTTGGCGTGTTTTACATGTTGACGGACAGCATATAATCACATGTATAAGGGTTTCTGCTTGTAAAAGTCTGGAAACCCATTCTAACTGCCAGAATCACAAAACCTAGAGAAGGGGACATAACTGCCCTGTGGCCACCCAGTAGCTTTTATCTTCTCTCGCGACGGCAGAGGCAGGACAGCCAGCATTCTGGTGAGGATTGAAGGATTAGTTGTAAGAGATTTCAGCAGGTCTGCAGTGATCAGATGGGTTTCTCACATATTGTTAAGTTGAAAGTAGCCGTGGCTCAGTATGAGTTGAGTACCTGTTTAAAATCTGCATTCAAAGCCTTCTTCCCAGAGGCCACAACTGCAGTGAGATCCAAGTGTGTGGCTCACCCGCCCCGGGGCTCACAGCTGGGCAGGGTGATTTCCACTCAAATTCTTGTGCCAGTGCAGATCTTGTTCTAAAGCTTTTCTAAATGCCTGGAGACTAGAAAGACTTTTGGATACTTTTCCCTTTTTCTTTTGGATGAAATTTCATCTCCAGTAGAACAGCAGCATTCCATGGTGCCTCAGCCACGATCCTCTGGAGAGAGATTTGCGGCGAAGACCTGACGAGAGACTGTAAAGGAAAAGCAGGGTTTGTTTTTCCTGGTCAAAGTTGTTAATACTAAAAAAAAAAGAAGAAAAAAAAACTTTGGCCAGGTGCAGTGGCTCACGCCTGTAATCCCAGCACTTTGGAAGGCCAAGGCAGGTGGATCACCTGAGGTCAGGAGTTCGAGACCAGCCTGGCCAACATGGTGAAGCCCCGTCTCTACTAAATACAAAAAAAAAAAATTAGCCGGGCTTGGTGGTGGGTGCCTGTAATCCCAGCTACTTGGAAGGCTGAGGCAGAAGAATCGCTTGAACCCAGGAGGCGGAGGTTGCAGTGAGCCGAGATCACGCCATTGCACTCCAGCCTGGGCAACAAGAATGAAACTCTGTCTCAAAAACAAAAACAAAAACAAAAAAAACCCTTTGATCATTAAAAAGTTATATGACTATTTTAGAACATTTGCAAGTACAGAAAGAGGTAAAGAAAGAATAGCCCAGGTGCAGTGGCTCACACCTGTAATCCCAGCACTTTGGGAGGCTGAGGCGGGTGGATCACTTGAGGTCAGGAGTTTGAGACCAACCTGGCCAATGTGGCAAAACCACATCTCTACTGAAAATACAAAAATTAGCCAGGCGTAGTGGTGCGTGCCTGTAATCCCAACTACTTGGGAGGCTGCAGCAGGAGAACTGCTTGAACCCGGGAGGCGGAGGTTGCAGTGAGCCAAAATTGCACTGCTGCACTCCTGCCTGGCGACAGAGCAAGACTCCTTCTCAAAAATAAAAAAAAGAAAAAAAATCCCATAATTCTTTGATTCCAGTGACATTTTAGTGTTGTTCTTTCCAGACTTTTAATTTTTAATTAATTTATTTTTATGAGACAGGGTCTCTGTCTGTCACCCAGGCTGGAGTGCAGTGGTGCAATCATGGTTCACTGCTGCCTCAACCTCCAGGGCTCAAGCAATCCTCCCACCTCAGCCTCCTGAGTAGCTGATACTACAGGCACGCACCACCACAAATGGCTAATTTTTCTAGTTTTTGTAAAGACAGGCTTTTGCTGTGTTGCCCACGCTGGTCTTGTATTTCTGGACTCAAGCGATCCGCCCGCCTCGGCCTCCCAAAGTGCTGGGATTACAAGCATGAGCCACCGCGCCTGGCCCTTTCTTTCATTTTTTAAGACTGATTTGTATTCCATCATTAGAATGTTCCATAATTGGTGCAAGAATTCCTTTATTGTAAAGTGTTTAGGCTGCCTCCAAATTGAGGCTTTTTCCCATGGCCAATTATAATACTAATAATTTTCATAATGAAGAACCGGCATCATTAGGAGCTGGAACAAATTAGGTTTTTAAGCTGCAGCTAAGTGATGGTTAAGCCGAGGCTGCTGCAGAGACTGGTGCACCGACACGCCACTGTATTGTGCATAATTGCTGGGTTCAAGGGGAACGCAGTGGGCGTTTCTGGGCAGTGACTCAAAGGTGCCTGTGCCCCCGGAGCAGAAGGCTCACCCCTCCTTTGGTGTTTCAGAGCCTCTGGGATATTGGGCACCTGAAGAACTGCAGCCGCAGCTCTGCCCTCAGGGAGTTTCTGTTTTGGTGGGGAGAAGGCCACTGAAACCAGGGAGTGCGGTTGTGTTTGCGTAAGTGCCCTGCGCCGTGCACACAAGGGTAGGTGGAGCCAGCCGTCTCTGGCAAGCTGTGGGTCAGGGGGCCCAGGAGAAGGGGATACCATGGTTGGGTCTGGAAGGATGGGCGTGTTTGCTTGGGGGCTGGTATAGAGGGAGGATCAATTGCTAGAAGGTGGTAAGTGGCTTGGAATGTTCTGGAACTTTCTAGAATTAGATGTGGGTATCAAAGGTGGCGGGCTTGGTGTGAGTAGGAACAGTGGCTGGTCATGGAGGGGCTTGTGTGCCTTGTCATCCTCTGGAGTCTCCAGTACCCTCCTAGGGCCTGGGCCATGGCGCGCCCTCCATTGGGGAGGCTGCGTGCCTTCGTGGAAAGTTTTAGCTGAAGTCCTCGCCTATATTTCCCAGGCTGTTTTGCAGAGTTGTGAGAGTTGGTTCATCGGGCCATGAGGACATGTTGGGACATACCCCGTGTGCCGATGATGGAGGCGGCCGTGGCTGCCCGAGAGATGCGTGACACCCAGGAGTAATTGGCTTGGAAGGCAGTCCTCTGATTTGTACCTCATTGTGGTTACAGAAACTTCCAATTGAAGACACTGAGCTGAACCATTCCGCCCGCCCGCCCGCCTGCCCGCCCGCCCGAGGGCACTCCAGGTCTGATCTTTGGGGCGGGTTGTGGGCTTTTGTCGGAGGAATTGGCAGCTCCGTGGCGGGCCTGGCACCCACAGAGCTGCCAATTCCTGTGTTCGGAGTTGTTGCAGGCCTGACTCACCTGTGTTCTCATGCTGTGTACTCAGGGCTGCCCTTGTGGCCGTTCCTCCTTGAGACTGAAAGGGTGGGCAAGTGCTAGGGGTGAGGGGCCAGGAGAGGCAGGGAGGCCAAGATGGGTTGACTCTCTGCTGTATGCCTAGTGCTGTGTGGGCACCTTATACACACCCGTCTGTGTTATCCTCATGAAAAACACTTAGGATACATGTTGATAACTGCATTTTCCCAAAGAAAGCAAGCTTGGCGAGCTTAGATACTTCCATCAAGATGATACAATAGCCAGGCATGGTGGCGCGTGCCTGTAGTCTCAGCTGGGTGACAGAGGGAGACCCCTGTCTCTACAAAAAATTAAGAGATCAGTTGAGTATGGTGGCACATGCCTGTAGTCCCAGCTGCTCGGGAGGTGGAGGCAGGAGGATGGCTTTAGCCCAGGAGGCCATGGGGCTGCAGTGAGTGGTGATTGCGGCCACTGCACTCTAGCCTGGGTGACAGAGTGAGACTCGGACTCTAAATAAATAAATAAATGAATAAATAAATAAATGTCACCTTTTATTAAGTAGTGTATGTGTGACCTTGAGTTATTCAACCAAGGTCACACATACATGACTAAGAGGCAGCACAGAGAACAAACCCAGGTCGGGTCTGGCTCTAAGGCCCATTTTCTTAGCTAGGAGGGCTCAGTCTGAGCTTCACCTTGGGCTTCACTTACAGGCCCTGCTTAAAGAGGGGGAAAGGAAAAGGAGAGAACGACCCTCGTCTCTCAAGCACTATACACCCTCATTGTGACAACACGCCCATGAAGGACCCTGGCCAGTAGGGCCCCCACTGATACAATCTGGTGATTCCCGAGCATACACATCATATTTTATCCCCATTTTGCCAATGAGGAAACTGAGACCCAGGTAGTTACAGTGACGTCCTCATAGTCGCGTGGCTTGTGATAAGATGGGGACCCTGGCTTCTGGTGTGGTCCCAGACTGTACTACCCCAGCAAGGTTTCAGTGAGAAGGGTAAGACCACCTTCCCTGGAAGGGAGACAGATGTGGAGCAGCACCTGGAAAGAAGCAGGCCTGGGCTCTGGCATCAGTGTGCACACACACTGCATCAGCTCTGATTTTTTTTTTTTTTTTTTTTTTTGTAGAGGTGGGACCTCTTGTCACTGAGGCTGGAGTGCCTTGGGATTATAGCTCACTGCAGCCTCTAACTCCTGGGCTCAAGCCATCCTCCTGCCTCAGCCTCTTGAGTAGCTGGGACTATTGGCATGCACCTCCGCACCTGGCTAACTTTTAAATTTTCTGCAGAGATGGGATCTCACTGTGTTGCCCAGGCTGGCCTCAAACTCCTGTGCTCAAACCACCCTCCTGTCGCAGCCTCCCTAAACACTGGCATTACAGGTGTGAGCCACCACACCCAGTCCCCTTGACCTCTTTCAGCCTTGGTTTCCTGTCCGTAAGTGGGAGAAATGTCACCTTGGCAGTCTGTGCAGCTTAGGAGAGACAAGTACATTTGATGTTGGTTACTAAATGTTGGACCCTGGACCGGCACTCCAACAGCCGGTGCCCTGGGGGGCAGCCATCAGGTGGGGCATTTGCAGGCCTCTTCTTATTCAGACAGCTCCAGGTGCTGAGCGGAATCATTGTCCACATTCACTCTGTCATTCTGAAGCGGTGTGTAGAACATTCTAGAACACTCACCACGTGGCATGCCCCTGCTGGGTCCCGGTGATGCAGCTGTGAATGAAGCAGGCTTGGGGTTGCTGCCACCTGGGGAGGAGCAGAAGGACTGTGGTCACAGCCACACGTGGACGCGGTTACTAGGGTTCTGGTGGGTGCTGTGGAGGGTGCAGAGGGCGTGTGATGGGTCATCCTGAGCGATGCAAGCTGGGCCTGGAGGACGTGGAGTGTTCGCAAGGGAAGAGGGTGGGCTGGAGTGACTGCAAGGAGAAGGTCTCGGGAGGTGGAGCTCGGGATGTGGGGAAGAGCTCCCTGGGCCTGGTGGCCGGTCAGCAGGGGCCAGGTCGGGGAGTGGGTGCAGAGAGCCTTGGAGAGGCCAGAGAGGGGTGATTCGGTGCCCATCTAGGGCTTCCTTTTTGGTTAGCGATGCTTCAGGGCACCTGGGAGACATGAGGAGCTAGAACCTGTGTTGCAGTTCCCAGCTCTGCCCCTGCTCCCTGGGTGTCCCAAACCCTGCTCCTTTCCAAGAAATGTTGGGTTCTCATCTTCAGGATGGTGGGTGCTAATAGGGAGGCTGAGGTGGGTGGATCACCTGAGGTCAGGAGTTTGAGACCAGCCTGGCCAACATGGTGAAACCCCGACTCTACTAAAAATACAAAAAATTAGCTGGGCGCAGTGGTGCATGCCTGTAGTCCTAGCTACTCGGGAGGCTGAGGCAGGAGAATCACTTGAACCTACGCGGGAGGTGGAGGTTGCAGTGAGCCGAGATCACACGCCTGGGTGACAAGAGTGAAACTCCATCTCAAAGAAAAAAAAATACATGCATGATGAAACACACTAAGCAGTTGGGTCAGAGGGGAATTATCAGTAGCAAGAAAGAAGCTGGGCTGGTGACTAGCACCCGGAATTTATGCTCTCTTTCTTCATGGGCCTGTGCGGTGGTACGTAGGCTGCGGGATTGACTTTGAATTCTTCCTGGCTGCCACAGCAAAGAGACAGGATCAGGTTCTTGATTCATGATGCCCTTAAGGTGTTAGGGGAAGAAAAGCAAGCGTGAGACCAGGCGCGGTGGCTCACACCTGTGATCCCAGCACTTGGGAAGGCTGAGGCGAGTCTATCCCTTGAGGCTAGGAGTTTGAGACCAGCCTGGGCAACACAGACATCATCTCTACAAAAAGTAAAAAAATGAGCTGGGTGTGGTGGTGAATGCCTATTGTTCCAGCTGCTCTGGAGGCTGAGTTGTGAGGATTGCTTGAGACCAGGAGTTTGAGGCTGCTGTGAGCCAAGATCACACTGCTGCACTCTAGCCTGGGTGAGAGAGTGAGACCCTGTAACCAAAAAAAAAAAAAAAAATCAGCTGTGGAAAAGCATCACGTGTTTCCCCTGCGCTGAGGCTGACTCTGCAGGGCTACTGATGTGCATTGGTAACTGCTCATGTCTGTCCTGTTCACAGATCTGCCGGAGGCGCTGGGCAATGACCCCGGGACTCCAGGCCAGAGGGGTCTGAAGCTGTTTGGGAAAGCAGCGGGACTCCTTGGGAAGATGGCCATGGCCCCAAGCCCTTCCCTGGTGCAGGTGTACACCAGCCCCGCAGCTGTGGCTATGGCAGGATGGGCTGGGCACCTGGCACCCCTACAGTGCCACCATCTGCAGCTTCATCGAGCAGCAGTTTGTCCAGCAGAAGGGCCAACGTTTTGGGCTTGGGAGCCTGGCCCACAGCATCCCCTTGGGCCAGGCAGACCCCTCGCTGGCCCGTTACATTATTGACCTCCCCAGCTGGACCCAGTTCCGCCAGGACACCGGTAAGACGCTGTCTGCCTCTCGCACATATCTGGGCGCCGCACCTGCTTTCCCACAGGCTCTGCGCCAGGTGTTGGGGTGATGGACGTGACTTACAGAGCTTCTGCTCTCTCCCTGCAGCACACGTGGTGGTGGGTGGGTGCAGTGAGTGGGAACATCCACATAGGTTGAGTGCAGCTCACAGTGGGAGAGGCACTGTGGGAGGCCCTTCCCCTTGTCTTGCAAAGCAGAAATGCCTGTTCCGACCACAGAGGTTGAAGGGTTCCTTTGGCCGGCAGGCCAGCATGGAGGTGGTGCGTCATAGGAGTTCAGAGGGCCCTGTCCCACCACTCAGTGGCTGTGTGCCCTGGGCAGGCAACTGCGCCCCTCTGCGTGTGTGCGTTTCTGCTTTTTGGTCTGCGATGTGTTTTGATCTTTTTTTTTTTTTTTTTTTTTTTTTTTTGAGACGGAGTCTGGCTCTGTTGCCCAGGCTGGAGTGCAGTGGTGCAATCTCGGCTCACTGCAACCCCTGCCTCCTGGGTTCAAGTGATTCTCCTGCCTCAGCCTCCCGAGTAGCTGGGATTATAGACATCCGCCACCACACCTGGCTAATTTTTGTATTTTTAGTAGAGACGGGGTTTTGCCACGTTGGCCAGGCTGGTGTCGAGCTCCTGACCTCAGGTGATCTGCCTGCCTCGGCCTCCCAAAGTGCTGGGATTACAAGCATGAGCCACCGCACCTGGACCTGCAGTGTGTTTTGATCAGTATTATTGAGAATGAGGCACCAGTTTCCTCTCGGAGCCATCCCTTACTCTAATCTGGTGGTTGTCACTGGGGGTGATTTTGTCCCCGGGGCCATCTGACAATGTTTGGAGACACTGTTGGTTGTTACAGCTGAGTGGGTGGGAGGTGGGGGTGCTCCTGGCATCTGGTGGGTGGAGGCCAGGGATGCTGCTCGCCATCCGGCAGTGCACTGGGCTGGCCCTGCAGTAAGGAATTATTGGCCCACAGTGTCACCAGTGAGGAAACTTGAGAAACTGGTTTTTCCTTTTTTTTTTCAATTTTAATTTTAGTTTTATTTTAAAAAGTATGGGTTTTTTTTATCGTGTTTGTTTGTTTGTTTGTTTGTTTTTTGTAAAGACTGGGTCTCCATCGCCCTGTGTTGCCCAGGCTGGTCTTCAACTCCTGAGCTCAAGTGATCCTCCTGCCTTGGCCTCCGAAAGTGTTGGGATTACAGGCTTGAGCCGTCATGCCCAGCCCTGGAAACTGTGTTTCCAGGAGTGTCGTAGAGTCTGTGAAAACTGTGGCTGTCAGTCAGCTCCCAAGTCATTGCCTTCACAGTGTGTGAAGTCAACTGACAAAGATAGCAGACAGGATAAATAATAACATGGAAATTGCATATCGTGGCAGAGAGCAGGAAGTGTTAATCGGGGAATGAAAGTGGCAGGTGTTGTAGAGGTCGATTTGAAGTTAGGTGGGTGTGGTGTCATGTGCCTGTAGTCCCAGTTATTTAGGAGGCTAAGGCAGGAGGATCGCTTGAGCCCAGGAGGTCAGGGTGGCAGTGAACTATGATCACATCACTGCACTGCAGCCTGGGTGACAAAGGGGTACCCTGCCTCTAACAATAAATAAATAAACAAATAGCAGCATGACTGTGTACCTACTGTGTTCCTATTTGTTTATTTTGGCGGTTGAAAAAAGAATTTGAACGTTCCCTGTATCTTGGGGATGCTAGCAGACTAACCTTTGGTTTTCCTTTGAAAACAGGCACCATGCGGACTGTGCGGAGACACCTGTTCCCCCAGCACTCAGCCCCTGGCCGAGGTGTCGTCTGGGAGTGGCTGAGCGACGATGGCTCCTGGACCGCCTATGAAGCCGGCGTCTGTGACGATCTGGAGCAGCAGGTGGCCAGGGGCAACCAGCTCGTGGACTTGGCCCCCCTGGGGTACAACTACACTGTCAACTACACCACCCACACGCAGACCAACAAGACTTCCAGCTTCTGCTGCAGCGTGCGGCGCCAAGCAGGGCCGCCTTACCCAGTGACCACCATCATCGCTCCGCCGGGCCACACAGGCGTCGCCTGCTCTTGCCACCAGTGCCTCAGTGGCAGCAGAACTGGCCCTGTATCAGGCCGCTACCGCCACTCCATGACCAACCTCCCTGCATACCCCGCCCCCCAGCACCCCCCCCACAGGACCGCTTCTGTGTTTGGGACCCACCAGGCCTTTGCACCATACAACAAACCCTCACTCTCCGGGGCCCGGTCTGCGCCCAGGCTGAACACCACGAACGCCTGGGACGCAGCTCCTCCTTCCCTGGGGAGCCAGCCCCTCTACCGCTCCAGCCTCTCCCACCTGGGACCGCAGCACCTGCCCCCAGGATCCTCCACCTCCGGTGCAGTCAGGTATCGTGGGCAACGGCCGCTCGTTTTGTCTGCCCTGTGTTTCTGCTCTTAGCTGGGAAGACTCACCCCAATTCCTGCAGATGCGGCTCCTGCCCCCTAGGTGGTCCTGCCGTGGCATCTCATTTGCATGTGGCATGTGGGTGCCGAGGTGCCGTGGCCGTCCAGAGCCTACCTGACCCCTTGTACCTGAGTCCTGGCAGTCACCACACGGGTTAGAATCTACAGTCCTTTCACTCACGATGATTAAGGGCCTCCACATGGAGCAGTTAAAGGCCTGTGGCCTCTGCTTGCGGGCTGCATGGCGAGCATTGTGCCCGAGAACACTGGGTCACTGCCTGTACACTGACTCCCGCCTTGTGCCAGGCCCTAAGGACCCAGAGACCAGAGTATCAGCCCTTACCCCTGAGCCCTAGTCTAGTGCAAGGGGCTGTCAGCGCGGTGTGAGGGAGGGCAGAATGTGGAGCACGTGGCAGTGGCTGCAGGTGGCACGGGTGACCTGGCCCCCGTGATGATGCAGCCCAGCCCAGAGTGCCTGGTAGAGCGCTCAGCTCCTTGAGAGAGAGAGAGAATGATACCACGGGCCCAGTGCAGACCAGAGCGGGTGGCATTTAAAATGAGGAGATTGGTCAGGCACAGAGGCTGACACCTTTAATCCCAGCACTTTGGGAGGCCAAGGCAGGAAGATCATTTGAACCCAGCAGTCAGAGACCAGCCTGAGCAACATAGCGAGACCCCATCTCCACAAAAAAAAATTTTTTTAATTAGCCAGGCATAGTGGTACACACCTGTAATCCCAGCTACTTGGGAGACTGAGGCAGGAGGATTGCTGGAGACCAGGAGGTCAAGGCAGCAGTGAGCTGTGATCGCGCCACTGCGCTTCAGCCCCCTAGGTGACAGAGCGAGACCCTGTCTTAAAGCTGGGCCCAGTGGCTCACGCCTGTAGTTCCAGCACTTTGGGAGGCCGAGGTGGGCGGATCACCTGAGGTCAGGAGTTCAAGACCAGCCTGGCCAACATGGTGAAACCCCATCTCTACTAAAAATACAAAAATTAGCCAGGCATGGTGGCCAGCGCCTGTAATCCCAGCTACTTGGAAGGCTGAGGCAAAAGAATCCCTTGAACCCAGGAGGTGGAGGTTGCAGTGAGCCAAGATCGTGCCACTGCGTTCCAGCCTGGGCAACAAAGAGCGAAACTCCATCTCGGGGGAAAAAAATAAAAAAGATAAAATGAGGAACCCCCCCAGGATTTCCCTGGATTTGGCCAAGGTGAATGGGCTGGCCGTAGCCCTCTGACTGTCTGGGTGACTTGGGGCTTCGTCATTCATTATTGAGAATGTTGGGCTTGGAGCACATTTTGAGAATTCAGAGTGGTAGCTGGGACAGGGCTTTCTGAGAGTGCCCTGGTGCGGGTGGTGAGGGAGTGGGTGGGCCTGGGGCCGCCCTGGTCCCAGGGAGGAAATCATCTCCTTTCTCCGCACTGGCCCTGGTCGGCATCCTGCTGCCTCCCTGCTCACCGGCCCACCCCTGCCCACCGCAGCCACATCAAGGGCTGAAACTTCACAGGGTGGTTGAGACCGCCTTGGCAGCTTCTTGGACCTCTAGTATTTGTTCAGACTGGGTTTCCGAGGACCCTGCCAGCTTGTGTAAGACACAGTGACAGCGCCTCCCGCTCATTGGTTCGTGTCATGTGCCAGGCCCTCCTGAGCAGGCTGCTTGAGTGACTTCACTCATCCCACGATGCTCTCAGGCTGAGCAGTGTTCTTCGCTTACAGGAGAGCACATTCAGGCCCATGAGGTTGGCGACACAGCCAGCAAGTAGCGGAGCTGGGATTCAGCCCAGACCCCAAGAGTGGGCTATCTGGGGCACATGGGGAGTTATTGACATTCCCGGGAAGGCAGGGGGCTCTTTTAATACATTTTAATTTTATTTTATTACTATTTTTAAAGACAAGGTTTTGCTCTGTCACCCAGGCTAGCGTACAGTGGTGCAATCATGGTTCACTGCAGGCTTGAACTCCTGTGCTCAAGTGATCCTCCTGCCTCAGCCTCCTGAGTAGCTGGGACCACAGGTATACACCACCACACCCGGCTAATTTTTCAGTTTTACGTAGAGGCAAGGTCTTGCCATGTTGTCCAGGCTGGTCTTGAATTCTTGGCCTCAAGCAATCCTCTTGCCCCAGCCTTCCAAAGTGCTGAGATTATAGGCATGAGCCACCACACCTGGCCCAAAAGGCCTCTTGAGGGATGAGCTAGGAGGAGGCCAGTAGACAGGAGGGTGATGGGCCTTGGGTGAGTCAGAGTTTTCCGGGGCATCTTCTGCCAGGAGTTGGGGCACGTGCATCTGAGATCTTTCTGGGAGTTGGGAGTATAGGAAGGTGTCATCGGGGCTCTCTGAGGACATAGACATAGGCAAGCCAGGCTCAGGGAGATGCTCCCCCAACTTCCCTCCCTGAGTATCTGGGTCAGCCTGTTTCAGAGAACAGTGTGCTCTATCTGCTGGCCCAGGAGGGTTCTTAGAGGTGCTGGGACTTCTGTCAGCCCTGTTCCACTCAGCTTCCTGGAGCTTCTTAAGTTCTTAGGAATTATTTTGAGGCAAATTTCTAGATAGTGCTAGAGCTGGGATTCTGGAGTTAAGTCATTTAATGTGGATTTGTTCCTTTCTCCTGGTATTGGGCCTCGTTGGTCTTTCCTAAACCATTTCCGTTTCTCCCAGTATTTCTCTGGGGTCCCCGTCCCTGGCCTGAGGGCCCCCAGAAGTGCTGATGTGGGTCCTACCGGTGTGGGCCAGGCAAGTTACAGAAAAGAAGGTGGATGGGCCAGTCTGTCTTCCCTTGGTGCTGGGGTGGGCATGCTGTGGCTTGCCCCACGTTGTAAGTCAGGAGGGAACCAGGCCAGCAGGCTCTGTTAGTGGAAACAGCCTCAAAGGGGCCTGCCTCCTGGGGTAGGTGTAGGTGCATCCTGATTCCTTTGGTTTTCTTGGAGCTGGGAGAGGTGTAATTCACCTGCACGAGCCTATCTACGCGCTGAAAAACAGGCTTTTCCCCTGCCTGATTTGTAGTGAGGCCCCCTGCAGTTAACCCTCCTCTGACGGATGTAGAGCCAGATGGGGCTTAGTAAATACCTGACCTCTTAACCTAGCAGGCGGCAAGGTTCTCACAGCCAAGTGCATGTCAACAGCATCAGGTGAAAGTTACCTTGGATGTGAGGAGGCAGGCAGGGCAGGCAGGGCCCGTCTAGAGCCAGCGCCATGGGCTGGGGAAGCCCGAGAACCGACTTTTTACTGGCAGCCACTGGAAATACCATGTGAGCGCGTGAAATTGAAAAATTTCCTGGAACTCACGTGCACAGCTTCCACGTGCCCCCTGGGAACAGGCCGTGATACAAGAAAGCGTGTCATCTGGGGCTGAGCTGCTGGGTGGCAGTAGATTTCCTGGTAGCTGAAGTTGATCCCTTTAAGCACCAAAACTTGTGTTTTAATGATGTTGGATGGAAATCTTTCCTAAATGTGTCATGCATGCTCTTGTCTCCCTTAATGGAGAGAGTGTGACACTGCTTAGCACTTGGATGGCTTGGGGTGGTGGTTATGACCAGCAGTCTGTCACAGCTCAGCGAGGTGAAGCCTGTGGGCGTTTTGCTCTGTGCTGAATGGCTCAGTGGCCCTGCAAAACGGCGCTCAGCTCTTGGTGGCTTTCTGTTGTGGTGGGCTGCTGCTGCTGCTGCTGCTGCTGCTGCCCTTGCCTCTAAAAGAACTCACTTCCTCTTCCTCCTGCTGCCACCTGTCTTTTGGCTTGTGGGATTGGAGTCATGGGGCCCAGATGGAGCCTTGCTCCTGACTTATGATAGGCCCTCGGTCTCTTTTCTTCTCTATTTTTTTCTTCTTTCTTTTCTTTTTCTTTGTTTTTTGTTTTGTTTTGTTTTAAGAGACAGGGTCTCACTCTGTCACCCAGGCTAGAGTGAAGTGGTGTGATCGTGGCTCACTGCAGCCTCAAACTCCTGGGCTCAAGGGATCCTCCTGCCTCAGCCTCCTGAGTGGCCAGGACTACAGGCTTGTGCCATTGTGCCCAGCTAATTTTTTAAATTTTTTGTAGAGACGGGTCTCACTATATTGCCCAGGCTGGTCCCAAACTCTTGGCCTCCCAAAGCACTGGGATTACAAGTGTGAGCCACCGTGCCCTGCCTCTTCTTCTTTTGAGCTAGTCGGTTTCTGAGGTTGCCTTCTGCTCTATTGTTGCTGTGGTTTTCAGGATGTAGTTAGGGCCCTACAGGAAAGTGCCTGGTGGCCCTTAGGGCCTGGCTTCACCTCCCTCTGCTCCTCCAAGACCTTGGCCCCATGGATATTTGTCCTGGGTCTCACCACTGCCCTGGCGGCCTTTGGGAATCATCCTCACAGGTAGAGGAATTGAGGCTCGGGAAGGGGACTTGCCATGCTCAGCACACACGGCTTTGAGCGGGAGCATACGCCTCTAGCATCGTCTCCAGCCTCTGCAGCTCATGGGACTGGCTGCCAGCCCCAATCCCAGAGGGTGTGGACTTGGAGAGGGGCTTTGGATCTCCTTCCTCTCCGGCCTCCTGGCTTTGCCCCTCGCCCTGCATAGAAAACTCGGAGTCCTCATGTCTCACGTTTCCCACTCTGTCTGGGATCTCCTGGAGATGGTCACAGACAGGAAAGCCAGGGAGGGCCTAATAGGTGGACCAGGAGTTGGGGAGAGGAGGAGGGTGCCTGAGGCCATGACTATAGGGACTTCTCAGAGAAGGACACTTCAGGAGGCAGTTGGTGCCCCCATCTGGGAACGTTCTGCAGGTCCGAGCCCTCTGAGGACGGTGAGGGCGATTGATAACCTCTGAGGTTCCGTCCACCCCTAGGGGCCCCTATCTTGGGAACCTCTGGATCCTTGTACGGTTCAGTTCCTAGAGGTCACAGCAGGGACACACACCGGGGAGGAACTGCGATTATATGGGGGAAGTGGTGACATTTTTAGAGCTTTCTACAGAACATTCTCCTGGTTCCTGCTCTCCATTCACAGGGTGAGCGCCCACTGGAAGCCTCGCTGTGCTTCTGCTTTCTCCTGTAGTCCTTGGAAGCAAGGACTTCTTGTTCGTTCTTTAGGAACGGAAGCAAACGTTCTCGTTCAGATATGTGCCTCTCCCTGGTGAAGGAAGACCTCACTTCCTGGGATTTTTCTGTGGGATGGAGCAGCCAGGGACCCCATCTCTGGTGGGGGCGGGGCGGAGGGGGGTGCACCATGGGCTTAGAGCCCCTCTGGGCCAGTGCTGCCTAGCCTGCTGCATAGCCCATTTGTTTTGTAGACTTGCAGTGCCAAATTTCAGCTTTCTGGGCTCCAACTATGGGCTTGAGCTCAGTGCTGCCCTAGAGGGTCCTGAATGCCTTCACTTATGGAACCTTAGAGTTGCAGAGACCATCAGAGATGATCCACTTTCCTTTAAAAAAAAGAAAAGAGGGCTGGGTAGGGTGGCTCACACCTGTAATCCCAGCACTTTGGGAGGCCGAGGTGGGTGGATCACTTGAGTTCAGGAGTTCAAGACCAGCCTGGCCAATATGGTGAAACCCCGTCTCTACTAAAAATACAAAAATTAGCCAGGCGTGGTGGCGGGCACCTGTAATCCCAGCTACTCGGGAGGCTGAGGCAGGAGAATTGCTTGAGCCTGGGAGGCAGAGAGGTTGCAGCGAGCCGAGATCACGCCACTGCGCTCCAGCCTGGATGACAGAGTGAGACTCCGAGAAAAAAAAAAAAAGTGGGGGGAAGAGTTGAAACCAGCTGAGGAAGGGGAGGAGCTTGCTCCAAATGAATGAAACTGAGTGTTCAGTAGAGTCAGGACCTTGACCCAGGTGTCCAGACTCCCTGCCCTTCTTAGCATTATCAGGGCCCCCAGATCCACTACCAGCCTTGCCTTTGGATCGGGAGTAGGCAAGGAGAGCAAGAAGCTGCTCTTTGCTTAGCACGGCCACAGAGGCAATCCTGTTTGAGAACAGTCAACAAACAAACTCAAACAGGCCATGCACAGTGGCTCATGCCCATAATCCCAGTGCTTTCAGAGGCCAAGGTGGGAGGATCTCTTGAGGCCAGGAGTTTCAGACCAGCCTGGACAACATAGCAAGATTCTGTCTCTCTCTCTATATATATAAAATTAGCCAGGTGTGGTGGTGCTCACTTGTAGTCCCAGCTACTCAGGAGGGTGAGGCAGGAGGATCACTTGAACCTGGGAGGTGGAGGCTGCAGTGAGCTATGATCGCACCATTGCCCTCCAGCCTGGGTAACAGAGCAAGACCCCAACTCTGGGCCCAGCATGCTTCCAGTGTGTCACTCTACCGGCATGACCCTACCTCTTAAAAAAAAGAAATATGATGACTTAAGACCAAATGAGTGGCCAGGTATGGTGTCTCATGCCTGTAATCCCAGCACTTTGGGAGGCTGAGGTGGGCAGATCACCTGAGGTCAGGAGTTTGAAATCAGCCTGGCCAACACGGTGAAACCCCTGTCTCTACTAAAAATACAAAAATTAGCAGGGTGTGGTGGCTCATGCCTGTAATCCCAGCTACTTGAGAGGCTGAGGCACGAGAATTGCTTGAACCCAGGAGGCAGATGTTGCAGCGAGCCAAGATCATGCCACTGCACTCCAGCCTGGGCCACAGAACGAGACTCTGTCTCAAAAAATCCAAAGACCAAATGAGTGACTTGAACATAATCATTGTAGGGAACACAACCCTCATATTAAAAAAAAAAACAACAACAACCTTTATTTTATGGTAATTAAGTTCCGGAAAAGTTAACAAAAGTAGTTGGGTTTCCATATCTCCCTCATCTGGCTTCTGACATTAACAGCTTTCATAACCATGGTTCAGTTGTCAGATCCAGAAAATTACCACTGGTTGGCTGGGCACGGTGGCTCACTCCTGCAATCCCAGCACTTTGGGAGGCCAAGGCAGGCGGATTACGAAGTCGAGAGATCAAGACCATCCTGGGCAACGTAGCGAAACCCCGTCTCTACTAAAAATACATAAATTAGCCGGGTGTGGTGGCACGCACCTGTAGTCCCAGCTACTCAGGAGGCTGAGGCAGGAGAATCGCTTGAACCTGGGAGGCAGAGGTTTCAGTGAGCCAAGATCACACCACTGCACTCCAGCCTGGTAATAGAGCGAGACTCCGTCCCCTCACCCCCGCAAAAAAAGAAAATTACCACTGGTATAATACTCTTAACTAAAGGTTTTTTTTTTCTTTCTTGATTTTTCACCAATTTCCCACTACTGTCCTCTTTCTGTCCCAGGATCCAATCCAGGGTCCCACTTTGCTTCCAGTTCTTATTCTCCCCGTCCTCCTCTGGGCTGGAACAGTTTGTCAGTCTTTATCTTTCATAACCTTGTTACTTTCAAAGAGGTGCTTTGTTGAATGTCCCTTAATTTGAGTTTGTCTTGTTTTCCCATGTTTGGACAAAGATAATGCCCTTTGTTATTTCTTTTTTGACAGAGTCTCCAGCCTGGGCTGGAGTACAGTGGTGAGATCATAGCTCACTGCAGCCTTGAACTCCCAGGCTCAAGTGATCCTCCTGCCTCAGCCTCTCAAGTAGCTGGGACCACAGGTGCATGCCACCACACCTGGCTAGTTTTTTACTTTTTAGAGATGGGGTCTTGATTGTTGCCCAGGCTAGATAATGCATTTTTGACATTAAATCCCCCCAAAATGGTGTTGCATCCCTCCCAGAGCATCCTATCGTGGGGTTTATGATACTGACCTGTCTTTTACTGGTGATGACGGTCATGATCATTTGCTAAAGTGGTGTCTGCCAGGATTTTTCTCCTCTAAACAGGTGCTATGAGAACCTGCTTTTTTTTTTTTTTTTTTTTTTTTTTTTTTTTTGAGACTGAGTTTCTCTCTGTTGCCCAGGCTGGAGTGCAGTGGTGCGATCTCGGCTCACTGCAACCTCTGCTGCCCGAGGTTCAAGTGATTCTCCTGCCTCAGCCTCCCAAGTAGCTGGGATTACAGGCGCCTGCCACCATGCCTGGCTAATTTTTGTAGTTTTAGTAGAGACAGGATTTTGCCATCTTGGCCAGGCTCGTGTTGAACTCCTGACCTCGCGATCCACCCACCTTGGCCTCCCAAAGTGCTGAGATTATAGGCGTGAGCCACTGCACCCAGCCATTTTTTTTTTTTTTTTTTGAGATGGAGTCTTGCTCTGTTGTCCAGGCTGGAGTGCAGTGGCACGGTCTCAGCAACCTCCACCTCCTGGGTTCAAGTGATTCTCCTGCCTCAGCCTACTGAATAGCTGGGACTACAGCTGTGTGCCAGCATGCCCAGCTAATTTTTTATATTTTTAGTAGAGATGGGGTTTCACCGTGTTAGGATGGTATCAATCTCCTGACCTTGTGATCCACCTGCCTCAGCCTCCCAAAGTGCTGGGATTTCAGGCGTGAGCCACCACGCCTGGCCTGAGAGCCTGCATTTTGATGACACTAGTGAGTGTAAAATATCTTTTTTTTTCTTTTTATTTTCTTTATTCACAACAGGTATGAAATGATTGTTTTCAGAGTCTTTTTTTTTTTTTTGAGACAGGGTCTCACTCTGTCGCCCAGGCTGGACTGCAGTGATGTGGTCATGGCTCACTGCAGCCTCAACCTCCTGGGTTCAAGCCATCCTCCTGCTTCAGCCTCCCAAGTACAGGTGCGCACCACCACACTTGGCAGACTTTTAAAAATTTTTTTGGAGATGGAGTCTCACTATGTTGCCCAGGCTGGTCTCAAACTCCTGGCCTCAAGTGATCCTCCCACCTCATCCTCCCAAAGTGCTGGGATTACTGGTGTGAGCCACCACACCCCTCCTGAGTCTCTCTGAATTGCCCAGGAAAACAAAACCAAAGGCCTCCACACAGGCACCCAAGGAGCGTAAAAGCGCGAAGGCACCTCAGTGACTCCCACTTGGCCATGACGCAGTGTTTCTCCAGCTCTCGTTTCCAATAAGTCAGCGGTGTGCAGTAAGCTCTGCTCTTTTCTCCCCCAGTGCCTCCCTCCCCAGCGGTCCCTCAAGCAGCCCAGGGAGCGTCCCTGCCACTGTGCCCATGCAGATGCCAAAGCCCAGCAGAGTCCAGCAGGCGCTCGCAGGTAGGTGCCTGCCCTCGGGCTGCAGAGCAGTCTGTGCCCTGCGGGACTTGGTGGGGAGGAAATTGTGATGTGGGGCCTTGTCACCCTCTGGATCCTCAGGGAGAGCCAGAGGGGCTCCCTGGGGGAGCAGTGCCTCTTTCTGGTGATGGTGTCACCCCAGAGTGAGCCCAGGTGCCCCTCCTTTTGCTCTCTGGGTACGTGGGCCTGATGACGGTGGGCGCTCGGGTGCAGACCTTTTCACATCCTTTAACATTTTTGCATTGAATTGCATTATATTTAAATAGTCACTTTCCTGTCCTGAAATACTTTAAACATTTCCTTAAAGGGGCCCTCTGGGGAATTAATAGATCTATTTCGGCTGTAGTTACTCTTACATCTTGAATAAGAGGCACCTTTTGGGTCCAACCAGATCTTTTGCTGTACTAACCATACATCTTACATCTTGGAACTGTTTTGGGTTTGGTTTGGTTTTTTGTGAGACAAGAGTCTCGCTCTGTCACCCAGGCTGGAGTGCAGTGGCGCTAACCCAGCTCACTGAAGTCTTGAACTCCTGGGCTCAAGCAATCCTTTCACCTTAAGGATCCTTAAAAATACCTACTGCTGGCCCCCACACCCATTCTGTTTTAGCAGCCTGGCTAGCAGGGTTTTCAGAAGCTCCACAGGTGGCAGGATTTTTTTTCTTTTTTCTTTTTTTGAGATGGAGTCTCTCTCGCCCAGGCTGGAGTGCAGTGGTGGGATCTCGGCTCACTGCAACCTCTGCCTCCCAGGTTCAAGCAATTCTCCTGCCTCAGCCTCCCGAGTAGCTGGGATTACAGGTGCATGCCACCACGCCCGGGCAATTTTTGTATTTTTAGTAGAGATGGGGTTTCGCCATGTTGACCAGTCTGGTCTTGAACTCCTGACCTCAAGTGATCCATCCGCCTCGGCCTCCCAAAGTGCTGGGATTACAGGCATGAGCCACCGTGCCTGGCCATTTTTTTTTTCTTGTTATAAGTGACAGGATCTTGCTCTGTTCCCCAGGCTGGTGTGCAGTGGTGTAGTCATAGCTCACTGCAGCCTCCAACCCCTGGGCTGAAGCGATCCTTCTGCCTCAGCCTCCTGAGTAGCTGGGATTACAGACACATGCCACCATGCCAGGGAAGTT
Source organism: Homo sapiens (assembly GCF_000001405.40). NCBI lineage: Eukaryota > Metazoa > Chordata > Mammalia > Primates > Hominidae > Homo > Homo sapiens. The sequence goes on from NC_000007.14 coordinate 76,991,514, forward strand.
TTTTATTTTTTGTAGAGACAGGGTCTCACTATGTTGCCCAGGCTGGTCTTGAACTCCCAGGCTCAAGCCGTCTTCATGCCTTGGCCTCCCAAAGTGCTGGGATTCCAGTCATGAGCTGCCACGCCCAGCTGAGGTTATTTTCTAACTTCTGGAAAGTTCGAGGTATGTAAGGAGGTGGATGGCGCCATCGTTGTTCACAGGGTGATGTGGCGGAATTCAATAATGAGTTGGTGTTTTAGGGGAGTTGCTGTCGTAGTGGCTGAGAGGGGACAGGCCTGGAGGTAGGGCGGCTGGTGCAGAGCCTGACCTCAGACCTGGGGGCACCAGCCAAGGCCTGACCAGCTTCGAGGCAGTGGAGTTGAGGGGGAGGTTTGGCTTGAAACATTCAGAGGCATGAGCCGTCAGGCGGGGGGTTGTGAGGGGGGATTGGGGGTAGACTGAGGCCTGCTGGAGTGCAGCCAGTGACAACTGAGGAGCAGCCTGGGGCTTGGCGTGTGTGAATTCATTTCGTCCTTAAATCACTGAGGTGGAGGCTTTTGTTCCCATTTTCATTAGAGGAAACTGAGGCTCGGAGAATTTAAAAATTCTCTGCCAGCCCTTGGCAGAGCTGAGACACAGCCCCGGGCCTTCTTGCCTATGACGGTTCAGTGCTGCTGAGTCTAGGGGGAGGTTGGGAGGGGGTGATGGCTGTGGAGTGGCCGTTGGAGCTGTTCCGGGGCAGTGGGATTTGGCTGTGGGCCTCAGAAGAGCAGTCTTGGGTGGAATGGGGTGCCCCTGACCCCTCGTGGGAGCGTGTGTGCCACAGAGACCGTGGGCGGGACTGAAGAGAAAATGAAGGAGCGGCCAGAGAGGTGGGGGCAGGAGGGAGAGGAGCTGGAGCGGGGCAGGGGAGACAGAATGAGCAAGACACACTGGCCAGAAAGTCCCTGCTCACTGAAGTCACCGTGCGGCGCCGTAGGGAAATCACAGTGTACCGTGTGTGCATGTGCGGCCGTGGTGGCATTGGAGACAGGTTGTGGGTAAACAGACGGGGCCCCCACACGGTTCCTCATGGCCCAGCTCCTTCCAGTTCTGGGGCTCTCGCAAGCCTTCGTGGCCAGGCCTGACAGTGAGCGACCTCTGAGGCCATGACACAGATCTGAGTGCCCTGGGTGTGGAGTTAGCACCTGCCCCCTTCCTCTGCTCTTGAGGCTGAAGGTCCTGTCCAGGCTGTGTCCCAAATTGTCCATCCTGTTGTCTGTCCCCGTTGCTCTCAGAGCAATCCTGGAGCTAAAGCAGGTATTTTAACATCCATTTTACTTGTGGGGAAATAGATTCGGGAAGCTGGTTCAGGCCTAAGGAAATAGGAGAGCCTGGAGGCTGTGTGGACTCCTGCCTCCCCCAATTCAAGGCCCAGTGTTGGTACCTACTGGGGGAGCATTGTCTAGGGGAGCAGGGAATGAGAGGAGCCTGGCCAGCACCCCGGAGCCAGAGCTGGAGAGCAGTGTCCTGTCACCCTGGTGTGCTTGTGGGTTGAGGAATTATACCATGCCCGGCTGCGGAGATGAGCGTTTGCGCACAGGGTTTTTGCAGGGAGGTTTATAACCAGGAGGTCATGCTTTGGAAGGACTGAGTGCTGGAGGCACTGCTTCCAAGTGACAGTGCCTCCAGGTGACAGCTCCCCTGGCTGTGGCATAGCCCAGTCCCTCTATCGGGTGGGGGCAGGGACTGTGAGGCTGGAGCCAGGGTCTCCACCCCTCACCTGGTCACAGCAGCGGTCCATCCACAGCTCACACTGCTGCCTGGGGCAGGGATGGGTGTCAGCAGCCTGCCCAGGACTGCTCAGCTGGTGAGGGCTGGCACTGGGCTCGAACCCAGGCTGGGGAGGTCAGAGCGCACAGAGGAGAGGCTTGGATCTCAGCCCTGGCCCTGGGTGTCAGAAGGAGGGGTGTCTGCAAATTGGAAGTGAGAATCAGTGAGTGGGGGCTTCACTCTTCAGGGCTCTGACAGCGGGAATCCTCCCAGATGGGTGGAGAAAAAGGCTGTGGCCCTCCGAGTTATTCAGGTGATTTGGGGGCTGTCAGGAGTTTGGGGGGTTGTCCCTAGCCCTCCTCCTCTCCAGGCTTCTGGGTTGAAACTTGTGTGTTTGTGACTTGAATTCAGGGGAGTGGGTCCTGCATTGAAAAGGACACGTGTGTCACTCATGCGGCCTCCTGGGGGCTGGTGGTGGCCCAAGGATGTCTTCATTCCTCAGCAAACACAGAGGGCTGCAGGCTTCCCAGGGATCAGGCACTGCCCCAGCGGGGTGCTGGAGATGCAGCTACGGGTGGGACCTCGTGGAACTCGTGCTGAGGGAAGACAGTCCATAGAAACAGAGGGGAGTGCAAAGCAGGAGTCCAGTACGGCGGGGCGGGAGGCTTGGAGGGACAGGCCCCGTCAGGCAGTGTTCAGGGAAGGCCTGCCCGCCGAGGCAGTGTTGCCGGAGAACCCTGGGTAGGGAGACGTGTCCTGGCCTTTGGTCCTCCCAGACGACGTGGGCAGCGCAGAGGCACCAGGTTCTCTTGAGGAAAATTGCACCTGTCCCTGTCCTCTCCCATCTGTCTGCCACCCGCGCCCGCTTGTCCTTCTCTCCACCCGACATTCAGTTCCCACAGGAACCGCATTTGAGCCCAGGAACAAGCTTGGGATGTTGGGGGCATTGAGCTCCCGGGCTCAAACCTCTGTCCTCTGATGCACGCTTTGGTGTCTCCTGCTGAGCGGCCACTGCAACTCACCCTGCCCACCTCGGCTCTGCTGCCCAGGCTGGTGGCTGGTCTCCGCTTCTGTCCCCACAGCCAGGCACATGTGCCGGGTTGAGAAGCTTTGTTCTTCTAGTGGGGGCGCAGTGGCTGGCCTGGCCGCCCTTCACCCCTGAGTCACGCCATCTGTTCCTGGATGGGGAGTGGGGTCCAGGAGGACTGGGATCTCTACCAACTCCCCCGGCAGCCGGCTGTGCCCAGCTCCTGAGCCAGGTTCTGCAGACCCTGGAAGCCACCTTAAGGGATGGCTAAGAAGCTCTGGGCTTCCCCTTTCTCTGGAGAGGAGGTGCTTTTGACCTAACTGACCGATGACAGGGAGGACCGGGGAGCTGGCACTATGGAAAGTGGGGTAGGCCGAGGGTGTGGCAGGAACGGGTTCGTCCAGCAGGACACGCTGTGTCCCAGGAAGCGCTGGGTCATCAGGGAGCACGAAGGAAGCAGTGTCAGAGGAGAGTCCCCCAGGGCAAGTGTGGGGTTCCCTGCAGGCATCCGGCAGTGGTGAGCTCTGGAAAGAGTGGCCGGTCTGTCCCAGCATAGCTGCTGGCCACAGGCCCACCCTTGCCCGAGGGCGCCAGAGCCACAGCCTGGGGCCTTGCTGCAGCCCAGCCCTCACAGTATGGGGATGCTGCAGTGTGGGAGCAGGCCCAGGGGCCACGTTCCTGCCCGCCTACCCCAGCGCTGTCGCTGAAGGCCCTGGCACCCAGATCAGCCAGGAGGGGCATGGAGCACACACAGCGCCCAGTGGAGGCTGGAGGCCTAGTAACTCCAAGCCAGGAGGGCCCAGGGCCTCCTGGGGAAGCTGAGCCCTTGGAGCCAGCCCCACCCAGGAGACCCCGTGCCCCGGGCGGCTTCCTGGAGTGGCGTCCTCCGCCCTCTGCTCTCCTGAAGTCACGGGTCCTGCCCCGGTGCCCACCTGCACACTGAGGGCACGGGCTTGTCTGTTGCTCCTATAGAAACCTGTGGGCTCTGGGGCCAGGGCTACCATGAGCCAGGCTGCCCCACCCTCTGATTCCTGGCCTGGGTAGTCCCCAGGGAGACCTGTGCGTCCCCGTGGCCATTGATGGTGTCACATCCTTGGCCTGAGCAGGGTTTGTTGGCGTCACATGCCGAAGGAGTCTTCTAATGTCTCTCCCTCTCTGCGTGTCTGCTCTCACGCCCGTGCAGGCATGACGAGTGTTCTGATGTCAGCCATTGGACTCCCTGTGTGTCTTAGCCGCGCACCCCAGCCCACCAGCCCTCCCGCCTCCCGTCTGGCTTCCAAAAGTCACGGCTCAGTTAAGAGATTGAGGAAAATGTCCGTGAAAGGTAGTTCTTGTTCCCAAAAGCTCTCTGGCCTTTGCTAAGCCTCCTTCCGGCCTCGCTGCCTCCGACTCTTCTGCACAGACCCTCTTCCTTCTCTCTGCTCCCTGACTCCTGGGGGAAGGGGCTCAGTGGCCCTTCTCCCTGCCCCCGCTCGGCAGCAGAGGCGGCCCCTGGAAGCTGACTTTCCACCGCAGCCCCAGAGTTCAGCTCCTCTCCTCCAGTCACAGCTGGCATGAGGGGGCTTGTTCTTGAGGACTTTGTGATTTTTGTAAGCAGCAAGTTGTGGGTGAGAGGCGGCGCCCGGCTCAGGATGCGGGGACAACCGTCCCTTCCGCCAGGGCCAGCACGTGTCTCGGGAAAGGCCCCCAGACAGCGGCCCAGGTCTGCTGCCCAGGTCTGCTGCCCTGACCCCCAGCCCTGTGTGGCCGCCACGTGGGCTGCTTGAGAGGGGTCCCTCGGTGACCCCTGCCCTGCTCGTTGCATGGCCACAGAAGAAGGGGCTTTAGGACCACAGCAGGTCCAGGGAGTTACAGCAAGACCTGCTCGGAGCAGCCTGTGATGGTCAAGTTCTGAACCTTTCCCAAGCGGGTGCTGGCCCTGCTTCCACCCCTGGGCTGTGGAAGTGTGGACTGTGGCCAGTCCAGATGCTCTTGAGTGGGCGTGGTGGCGGGCAGGGAGGGTGGCCGTGGCCCTGCTGGCCCTCAGTGTCTGTGTCATCTCAGCAGGTCCTCTCGGAGCCTCCGCTTAGCAGAGGGGCTTGGCGAGGTCTAGGAAATACTCGAAGCGCCTGGCATGCGGCAAGGGTGGCTTCCGATCGTGTCCGACCTCCAGCCCACAGGCGAGGAGGTGGGCTCAGGGAGGGGTGGGCCTCGAGCTCCTGCCCCCAGCCCAGGGCTCTGCACGCCCTGCCCTTCCCCTGCCCTGGGGGAGGAGCCAGACTCGTTGGCAGCCCGGCTGGCAACCTTCTGTGGCACTCGGGTTTACCTGGGAAGGACACGCTCTTGGTGGGTCGCCTGGCTGGCCCCTTCTGAGACACGTGGCTAATGGAAAGCTCCCTTCTGTTCTGAAAAGCTGCAAGGGCTGGGGTGGGTGGGCGGGGGTGGGATGCTGTGCCCGGCCTCACCAGGGCTGGGCAGAGGCGAGGCCCAGGCTCACCCGGAGATGGCTCTGGAGTTGGCAGGCTTTTCCAAAGGAAAAGGCCCCCCTCAGCCTGAGTAGGGCATTCCAGCCACACGGAGGGTGACCCTGAGCTGGGGGCCATCGTTCTGGTCTGGCGTTCTCGCCACCGTGACAGGATTTGGGTTCGGGCAGTCTGTATGGGTGTGTGGAGGTGTGGGGGTGTGTGAGGTGTGTGGAGGTGGGTGTGTGGGGTGTGTAGAGGTGAGGGTGTGTGGGGTGTGTGGAGGTGAGGGTGTGTGGGGTGTGTGGAGGTGTGGGGTGTATGGAGGTGTGGAGTGTGTGTGGAGGTGTGTGGAGGTGTGGGGTGTATGGAGGTGGGTGTGTGGGGTGTATGGAGGTGTGAGGTGTGTGGAGGGGTGAGGTGTGTAGGGTGTGTAGAAGTGTGTGGGGTGTGAGGTGGGGTGTGAGGTGTGTGGAGGTGGGTGTGTGGAGCTGTGTGTGGTGTGTGGAGGTGTGAGGTGTGTGGAGGTGTGGGGTGTGTGGAGCTGTGTGGGGTGTATGGAGGTGTAGGGTGTGAGGAGGTGTGGAGGTGTGTGGTGTGTGGAGGTGTGGGGTGTGTGGAGGTGTGGGGTGTGTGGAGCTGTGTGGGGTGTATGGAGGTGTAGGCTGTGAGGAGGTGTGGGGTGTGTGAAGGTGTGGGGTGTGTGGAGGTGTGGGGTGTGTGGAGGTGTGGGATGTGTGGGGTGTGTGGAGGTGGGTGTGTGGGGTGTGGAGATGTGTGAGGTGTGGAGGTGTGTGGTGTGTGGAGGTGTGGAGTGTGGGGTCTGTGAAGGTGTGAGGGGTGTGTGGAGGTGTGGGAGTTGTGTGGCGATGTGTGTGGGGTGTGTGTGTGGAGGTTGGTGTGTGGAGGTGTGTGGTATGTGGAGGTGGGGATGTGGGGTGTGTAGAGGTGAGGGTGTGTGGGGTGTGTGGAGGTGCGTGGGGTGTGTGGGGGGTGTGGAGGTATGCGGTGTGTGGAGGTGGGTGGTGGTGTGTGGGGTGTCTGGAGGTGTGTGGGGTGTGTGGTGTGTGGAGGTGTGGGGTGTGTGTGGTGTGTGTGGACGTGTGGTGTGTGTGTGGAGATGTGTGGTGTGTGGAGGTGTGGGGTGTGTACAGGTGTGGGGTATGTGGAGATGGGGTGTGCAGGTGTGTGGAAGTGTGCAGGTGTGGAGGTGTGCAGGTGTGTGGGTATGTGCAGGTGTGGGGTGTGTGGTATGTGGTGTGTGCAGGTGTGGGTATGTGGAGGTGTGGGGTGTGTGGAGGTGTGTGATATGAGGAGTGGGGTGTGGAGGTGTGGGGTATGTGGAGATGGTGTGTGGAAGTGTGTGGTGTGTGCAGGTGTGGGGGTGTGGAGGTGTGGGGTGTGTGGAGGTGTGGAGTGTGGGGTGTGTGGAGTTGTGAGGTGTGGGTGGAGTTGGTGTGTGGTGTGGGATGTGTGGAGGTGGGTGTGTGGAGGTGTGTGGGATGTGGAGGTGTGGGGTGTTTGGAGGTGTGTGGGATGAGGTGTGGGGTGTGTGGAGGTGTGGGATATGCGGGGATGTGTGGGAGGTGTGGGTGGAGTTGGCTGTGCGTGGGGGGGTGTGGGTGTGGATTGGGGTGTGTGGTGTGTGTATAGGTGTGGTGTCTTTAGGTGCGGGGGGTGTGGATTGGGGTGTGGTGTGTGTAGGTGTGTCTGTAGGTGGGGGTGTGGGTGTTGGTGTGTGTGTGGAGGTGTGGGGTATGTGGGGGTGTGTGGAGGTGGGGGTGTGGGTGTTGTGTGGGGTGTGTGTGGGGTGTGTGGAGGTGTGGGGTATGCGGGGATGTGTGGAGGTGTGGGGTTGTGGGTGGAGTTGGGTGTGTGGGTGTGGAATGGAGTGTGTGGTGTGTGTATAGGTGTGGTGTCTTTAGGTGTGGGGGGTGTGGATTGGGGTGTGGTGTGTGTGTAGGTGTGTCTGTAGGTGGGGGTGTGGGTGTTGGTGTGTGTGTGGAGGTGGGTATGTGGGGGTGTGTGGAGGTGAGGGTGTGGGTGTTGTGTGGGGTGTGTGTGGGGTGTGTGGAGGTGGGTATGGGGGTGTGTGGAGGTGTGGGGGTGTGGGTGGAGTTGTGTGGGGTGTGTGGAGGTGTGGGGTATGTGGGGGTGTAGGTGGAGTTGGGTGTGTGTGGGGGGGTGTGGGTGTGGATTGGGGTGTGTGGTGTGTGTGTAGGTGTGGTGTCTAGGTGTGGGGGCTGTGGGTGTGGATTGGGGTGTGTGTGTGTAGGTGTGTCTGTAGGTGTGGGGGGTGTGGGTGGAGGTGTGGGGTGTGTGGATGGGGGTTGGGGGGTGTGGTCTTGCCAGCAGTTTCCCTCCAGGTCACAGCAGCCATGCCATCACAGCAATTCCAGCTTGGTTACATATTCGTCTTTCCCGTTTGAGATCAGGGAACCGAGGCTCAGAGGTGGCATGATTCGTTCACAGCAAGAGAACTAGAATTAAACAAACTGTGCCGACTCCAGCCTCCGCCCCACCACGCCACCTCCCTGCCAAACTGTCCCCTCCCTGGCCCTTTTTGGTGTAAAGGGAGTTCAGCAGGTGCAGCTGTGCGCCCTCAGGCTTAGAGGCTTAGAATTCTCTGCAGCACCTAAAGGCCGTGAGCTTGGATTCAAACCAGAGCCCCTTCTGGTCCTGGAGTCTGGGACGACCGCAGCCCCACCATGACCTTGGGGTGGAGCCCCTGTCAGGAGCGCCTCCACGGGTGGCACTGGGCTCCCCGTCCCTCTTTCACCCCCGCACGGGCTTGGCTGCTGGCTTCTGTGGTTCTGCTACTCCCACTACCTAGAGAACGCCCCGGGCCGCGCCGATCCTCACCAGCTCAGGAGCTTCTTGTCCGTAGGAGAGGCTTTACTGGATGTGGGGTTCGGTGTTTATGGAGATGCAGCCCTTCTCCCTCCAGCTTCGTGCGTGTGTGCACAGACAGCGAGTGAGGCCGTCAGGGTGGGCTCCTGCCACGTCTTGGCCCCTCCCCAGAGTCGCTGGACTTAGGAGCTAGTCTGCATGTGACAGACCTTCCCAGTCAGTGGCAGGCGTTTCCCGGGACAGTGTCTGTGTGGCGGTCGGCGTGTGTGCAGCTGCCTGTACATGCTGGACCCCAGACTCCCTTGTCCTTGCGATGTTCATGCCAGGGTAATGCAAGTTGAATCAAATCGTGGTGCCACAACGCCCCCTGGAGTAGTTTGTGCCCGAAGCGGCTGTCTGACTCTTCCGCGCAGCCTCAGAAGCGCCGGGGTCGGTTCCTCACTCAATGTGCGCGGGGATGCGGCTCCCAGGAGACTGTGCTGCTGTTTCTGCTCTTCTGCATCCTCCATGGCTCCTGGGGCTGAGCCGGGTCCCCGGACGGTGGGACTGGGGAAGGCTTTGCCCGACGGAGCTCGGGGCTCTGTGCCTGGCGCTGAGCTCTCCCGTCCCGCACACTGGCCTCCCTGTCTGGGCCCCTCTCGCATTTCCTCCTGGCAGCTTAGACCTCTTCCTTGCCTTCCTCGCCCTCTGGCCTCCTCTCCAGCCTGTGCTCCTCAGGACGCTGCTTATGTACTTCTCTCTTCTAGGAGCGACCCCGAAGCCAGAGCCAGAGCCAGAGCAGGTCATAAAAAACTACACGGAAGAGCTGAAAGTGCCCCCAGATGAGGTTTGTGTCTTGGGACCTTGGCTGCCTTTGTTTCTGTTTGGAAACAACTCCACATGGAAAGGACATCCGCCCCATCTTGCTTGAAGGGTGCTTCCCAGGTGCCTCTGGGTGCCAGGGCCTTGCTCCAGCCCCTTTGGTTTCATCTCCCAGCCTCCCGAGACCCACATCGTTATGATCTGAGCTTTGCACTTAAGGAGCTGTGGTCCTGAGCAAAGCCCCTCCTCTCCCGGCCCTGGCCTCTCCATAGCCTGATGGCCATCCTGGGAGCAGGAATTCCAGAGACAAGGGATGGGCCAGCCTGCCCCACTCTCCACCTTGCGGATGCTGGTGTAGAAGTGAGGTGGCCTCGTCCAGGTGGCTGTCCTGTCCCCCGGCTATTGGGAGAGCTGGTCAAGGTTCTTATAATTTTTTTATTCTTAAAGACGGGTGCACACTGTCACCCAGGCTCAGTGCAGTGGCGTGATCACAGCTCACTGCAGCCCTGTCCTCCTGACCTCCTGTAATGAACAGGACCAATCAGACTCCTATTGCGCTTCCATAGAACCTGAACCTCTGCTGAGCCACGTTTTGGGGGCTGCAGCACCACTTTCCCCTGATTTTAGCTGGGAGCCCGGGAGATACTGTTGGGGGAGGGGGTGGGCGAACGGCCGGGAGTACCAGTACCCAGAGATCTTCAGATACTTGGGGGCGGGTGGAAGGCCAGGAGCCCCAGTACCCAGGGACTCTTCACTTGTCTCTTTCTCCAGTCTGAGTCCATGAGAAAAATTTGGTAAGTAAAGGTTTGGAAAGGAGCCTGAACGTCGTCCTCATGTGTCCCACCCCTTCCACAAGCCCTTGCCACATTCCCGCCTGCCCAGCGCTCAGCTCTGTCTCGGCCCTGGTGTCCATCTGGTGTGACTGGGCCGTTTCACCCCAGGCTCCTCCTCTCCAAGCTGCCGTCTGCACAGCCAGCACGCAGCTTGGATCATGGGAGCACTCCCTGCCTGGAACCCCCAGCAGGACCCCCAACTCACACACAACCCCAAGCCCCTGAGTGTGGCAGCCAGACCCCCGAGGGCGCGCCTCTCCCTGATCCTGTCTCATCTCCTGCTCCCAGCCCACCCCCTGCCAGCTTTAGTGCCCATGCGCTGGCTCCTCGTTCAGAACGTCCTCCTCCCTCTTCCGGGTGCCCACTCTGTGCTTGTCCATCTGGCAATTCCTGTCTCCCTTGTAAGACCCCACTCCGAGGGCCTCCCCCAGGATCCTGCCCTGTCCGTCCTTCCCATTTGGTGGCTTCTGCTGTCATGTCGGGCCTGTGCTGCTGGTAAGCCCTTCAAGGGCACAGGTCCCGGTGACTCACCTGTGTCTCCAGCCTGTGGAATGGACTTTTTTTTTTTTTTTCTGAGACGGAGTCTCGCTCTGTCGCCCAGGCTGGAGTGCAGTGGCATAATCTCAGCTCTGCAACCTCTGCCCCCTGAGTTCAAGTGATTCTCTTGCCTCAGCCTCCCGAGTAGCTGGGATTATAGGCGCCTGCCAACACGCCCAGCTAATTTTTGTATTCTTAGTAGAGATGGGGTTTTCCCGTGTTGGCCAGGCTGGCCTCAAATTCCTGACCTCAAGTGATCGGCCTCCCAGAGTGCTGGGATTACAGGCCTGAGCCACTGCGCCTGGCCTCGGAATTGACTTTGACTGCACTTCCAGCATTTCAGCACATGAAAGCCTCTTTTTTCCAAGACTGGCCCACGTCAGCCCAGCCCACTGTTGGCGAGCATGACCCATGTTTGGTCTCCTCCAGGACTGCATCATCTGCATGGAGAAGCTGTCCGCAGCGTCTGGATACAGCGATGTGACTGACAGCAAGGCAATCGGGCCCCTGGCTGTGGGCTGCCTCACCAAGTGCAGCCACGCCTTCCACCTGCTGTGCCTCCTGGCCATGTACTGCAACGGCAATAAGGTGCCCCCACTGGCCCGGGGCGGAGGCGGGTGGCCTGCCCCGGAAGTCCTGAGCTGTCCCCTGCAGGGGTGGGAGGGTTCCGGGGGTGGCTGTAGGAATGGGCCTCTGCAAAAGATGGTGCTGGGCGTGGGGCCAGCTTGAAGACCTTTCTAAAGGCCTGGCCGGCTCTCCTAGGCCTGCCCTACTCTTCTAGGTCTGCCGCACACTTTAGAAAGGAGGACCAGTGCGGCTGGTTCCCTCCACCCCTCCAGCCAGGCCTGAGAAGATTCTGGGCTTCTCTGAGCCTCAGGGCACCGCCTCCCCCTCGGCCACTTGTAAACACCGCAGACACTGTCTCCCTTCTTCCTTACAGCATCCCTGTGCAGTCAGCACAGTGCTCATGAGGGAGAGGCTCAGAGCAGGGGCTGTACCCACGGTCACCCCACTGGGAGGTGGGAGCCAGGCCTTGAGGCAGGGCTGGTCCTGGGCCCCACGGTAGCCTACACATGAAGAGCCACGCCCAGACCGACCCCCAGCTGCTCTCCCTGCATCGGCCTTCAGGCGGGATGGGCAGAGTTTAGAGGCTTAGAGAACCGAGTCGTGGCGCATCGGAGCCTGGCTCGGCCTTCCCTAGTATCTGCCGTCCTGGGCAGCCAAGGCCCAGCTCCGCAGATCAGACGCTGCAAGGCTGTCTATCCGACTGCAAATGCGATTCACCCGTGGAGATTTCTGCTCAGGATCCAAGTTTTCCCACTCGCCACCTGTCTCCTGATAGCATGTCCCTTAACGAAAATGGCATAAGTTGCTGGTGCAAAACAAAGCTTTCCAGGGAAGCTGTTGGAAGCCAGTTTCCGGGCAGGAGGCTGCCAGCAACTCCCTGGGATGGTGGCCAGCCCATTCCCGGGGCCCTTTACCATCTGATGGTGGAGGTGACGGTCTTGGGTGTTCTCAGACTGCCAGCTCAGTGGGTTGCGTCTGCCTCTCTCAGGATGGAAGTCTGCAGTGTCCCTCCTGCAAAACCATCTATGAGAGAAGACGGGGACCCAGCCCCAGGGAAAGATGGAGGTATTACGGTTCCAGATGTCGCTCCCCGGCCACGAGGACTGCGGGACCATCCTCATAGTTTACAGCATTCCCCATGGCATCCAGATGAGGGGCCTTCTTGAGTCCCCCACTCCTGGCCATTCCTCTTCCCACCCCGCCCACGTCCCAGCAGTCTGCCCCTGGATCAAGGCTGAGGATGCCCATGTGGCCAAGCTCAGGCCCCCAGGTCCCCTAAGGCCAGGGCCATGGAGGGCTGGGAATGGGGAGGCAGTGCCGGGGCTTAGGGTAAGCTCTTAGGGCTGTGGCAGCAAAAGGCTGGCCCTCCACTCTTTCCTGAACCAAGGAAGCCTTCCTAGAGGAGGAGCCATCTTAGCTGGACTTGTTCTGGGCAGAAGGGCAGGCAGTTCAGTGGGAGGAACCCTGCGGAGGGGCTGGAGAAGCGGGGCCACAGCAGGGTGTGCGTCGAGGAACCTTGGGTTGGGAGTGGCAGGGCCAGGCGTGTGGGTGTCAGGAGCCCAGGCACAAGGCCCCAGAGTCCCAGAGGAGACTCAGATGGGCCCTAGCCCTTTCGGTCTCCTGTCTTGAGCCAAGGTGGATCGTAGGGCCTGGGGCAGGGTGGGAAGATAACGGGGCAGCAGGCAGCGGGCACTGGCTGCCAGCCAAGGTCCACCTGTGGTGGATGGAGGCATCTTTTTGTCTTGTTGAACCATGAGCCTTTCCCCTGGTTTCCCTCCACTTCTCCACAGCTCAGAGGGAAATTCAGGAACATTCGGGGTTGGCATCTCGGAGCGGGGGAGGAGCTGGAGCTGTGCAGGGGCCTGTCCCTGTGCGGGCTCTCGGAGCACCCTATCCTGGTGTCTGTTCCTCCCGCAGGGCCCTGAGCACCCCAATCCCGGAAAGCCGTTCACTGCCAGAGGGTTTCCCCGCCAGTGCTACCTTCCAGACAACGCCCAGGGCCGCAAGGTGAGTGCCACCATGCGCCCCGGGGGTGGACGGGGCCCTGACCAGGCGGCAGGAGGCCAGGCGCCACACTGGACTCTGTTTCTGCAGCGGAGGACAGAGGCTGAGGCCGGGCCGAGTGTCTGCTGCTCTTTTCTGGGGACCTGCTGTAGGTACAGGGAGGGCAGCCTGGACCTCACATAGCCTCGAGGGAGGAGGAGAGGCCATCACCTTCCAGCACCCTGCCGGGTGGGGTCAGGAGCTCCTGAGAGTTAGAGTGTGACAGGCAGGGACCGGGGGCTGTGTTAGACCAGGTGACCACGGAAGGCTGGAGCAGTGGTGTCTGCACTGTGACATGAATAGGGACTTTGTGGCTGCAGCCAGACCCAAGGGGCTGGGGGCCCTGCTGGAGTGATTGGACCCTGGGCGCCCACCCCCCTCCGATTGGGAGAGGCAGCCCCAGGGACCCCCACGCCTGTCTCCGTGGCTCACCTTTTGTCCCCCGTGGCCACAGAGCTGGTGCCCTACACACCACAGATAACAGCTTGGGACCTGGAAGGGAAGGTCACAGCCACCACCTTCTCCCTGGAGCAGCCGCGCTGTGTCTTCGATGGGCTTGCCAGCGCCAGCGATACCGTCTGGCTCGTGGTGGCCTTCAGCAATGGTGCGGGGACTGCTGTGGGGCCTGGGTGAGGGTGACGGCTGAGGAGAGTGGTGGGCCCTAGGAGCCCCTCACCAGCAAGCGCCTTCAATGATTGAGCCCCTGTGGGGGCCTTTGGGAGAGTAGGTGTGGATGAATTGGGCTTTATCTAAAGGGGTAATATGTGTATTGAAAAATACACACGTAGTGAACACCAAATCCTGGGAGTAGTGCAAGTGGTGGGTTTGTCAGCTGTCAAGGGCTCTGCAACCCTTTCTCTGAATCCAAGTAGTTCTTCCTTTGGACAGGGAACCGAGGCTGCGACCTGGGAGGATGTGGCCTCCTGTGGGGCAGGGCCGGTGCACTGCGATGGGGCTGGGGCTGGCGCTGGGCAGGTTGGGACTGCCCGCTGCTCCCCACTCCTGGCTCTGGGTGGGGACAAAAGGCCAGAGGGAAGCTCCCCTTCAGGGGTAACAAAGTCGACTGGGTCTGGACTATCTCTGGGGGCCCTGAGGGAGGAGGTGGCATGGGGGGTCAGGGCTGGAGACTGGGCGAACACAGAACCCCCTCATAAGGACAAAGCTGCTTTCTCCCCTCCCACCTCCATCTGTTCTCTCCTCCTGCAGCCTCCAGGGGCTTCCAGAACCCGGAGACACTGGCTGACATTCCGGCCTCCCCACAGCTGCTGACCGATGGCCACTACATGACGCTGCCCGTGTCTCCGGACCAGCTGCCCTGTGACGACCCCATGGCGGGCAGCGGAGGCGCCCCCGTGCTGCGGGTGGGCCATGACCACGGCTGCCACCAGCAGCCCTTCTGCAACGCGCCCCTCCCTGGCCCTGGACCCTATCGGTGGGTGGTCCCCACCGGAGCCCTGGGACTGGGGCTGTGCTTGGGGCGGACGCATTGCTGGGACCAGGGATGCTCTCTCTAGCATCTTTCCAGGGAGGGGTCCCCCGACCCCGGTCCTCCCCTTGGCAAGCCCGGGCTCCTTCCACTGTAGAGTCAGCAACAGTGCTCACCCCCGCTGGGGCCGGGCAAGGCCCAGGAGGAGCGGGTGGGCACCTTGGGGAGGCGGGATCTTAGTCAAGGTGGGAGGGGGCAGCTTCCCCAAAGTCTAGGCCCCTGTCCCCCACCACGGGCAGATCTGGCAGGAAACTCGGGGGCCGAGTTCAGACCCAGTCTCGTCGGTATTAGGCAGGGAGCAGGAGAGGTGGCTCCTACCCGCTCTTACAGATGAGGAAACTGAGGCACAGGAGGTCAAGTGGCCTGCCAACATCGGGGTGGAGCCGGGATGGGGAAGCAGGCAGTGTGTCCAGGTCAGGACTGTCTGGACACAGGAGGAGGCGGGGTGACCTCAGGAAGACCAGGCCCAGGGGAAGCCGGGAAGGCAGGGCGTGGTGAGGCTGGAACAGCACCCCGCTCCGCCCAGCCCCCTTCTGCCCTCTCACCCACTCTCCAGGTCCACCCTCTGCCCTCCCCGCTGCCTCACCCTGGCTCAGCCTTCCAGCTCCATGCCCCGCCCCATCCCCCGCAGCCACTCTTTTCAATGCCAACCTGCCAGGTCCTTCCCCGCTTCCCAGGCCTTGCAGAGCTCCCAGCCCTGCAAAGAGACAAACCGAGCCCCTCTGCGGGGCTCCTGGTGCCCTGGGTCCTCAGGCTGCTGGTGATTGAGCCCCCTGCCCCCCGGCTACTGCTGCCCCTCCGGGAGGCCTGTGACCCCTGCCCCATGTGCCCTGCTAAGCCACCTTCACCTGCTCTTTTGGCTTGTGACATTTAGGAACCAGGGCCCCTAAACCAGCATCCCCGGCCCAGGTCTGGTGTCTGGAGAGCAATTGCTCGGGGGGATGAGGGGTGGTGGCACAGGCCAAGTGGCTGGAGACATCTGAGGGGGATTCTCAGAGCAGGGCCAGGCCATGGGCTGCTGCTCTTGACGGCACCCCCACTCCACATCCATGGGAGGGCCCCAGAGGAGCTGCCTGGAGCTTGGCCCTGCCCAGGGTGGTCCCGGCCTCTGAAGCTCTCCCCTCCTCCCCCACCACCTCCCATCCCCAGGGTGAAGTGATACCCTGTCTTGAACGAACAGGCCAGGCGCAGTGACTCACACCTGTAATCCCAGGACTTTGGGAGGCTGAGGTGGGCAGATCACTTAAGGTCAGGAGTTAGAGACCAGCCTGGCCAATGTGGCAAAACCCTGTCTCTACCAAAAATAGAAAAATTAGCAGGGCATGGTGGTGGGGGCCTGTAATCCCAGCTACTCGGGAGGCTGAAGCAGGAGAATCACTTGAACCCAGAAGGTGGAGGTTGCAGTGAGCCGAGATCTTGCCACTGCCCTCCAGTTTGGGTGACAGAGCAAGACTCCGTCTTCAAAACAAAACAAAACAAAACACACAAACAAACAAAAAAACCCCACCACGGTGGAGCCCAGGTCCCTCTGCCTGGAACTGAGAGAGAGTTAACAGACGGGCTTGGTGTCTCATGCCTGTAATCCCAACTTTGGGAGGCCAGGGCAGGCGGATCACTTGAGGTCAGGGGTTTGAGAGCAGCCTGGCCAACATGGTGAAACCCTGTCTCTGCTAAAAATACAAAAATTAGCCTGGTGTGGTGGTGGGTGCCTGTAATCCCAGCTACTTGGCAGGCTGAGGCAGGAGAATCACTTGAACCTGGGAAACGGAGGTTGCAGTGAGCCGAGATCGTGCCACTGCACTCCAGCTTGGACGACAGAGCGAGACTCCAACTCAAAAAAAAAAAAAAAAAAAAAGACAGAGTTAAAAGACCACCTCCCTGTCAGTGACTCTTCAGCAGAGACTGTCTCACGCTGTCCTATCCGGACCCAAGACAGTTGGCTAGGGGCCCGGCCCCAGAGGGGTATGACAGGGAGAAGGAGGGGGCCGTTGGTGTTTGCTGTGTGAAAAGATGAATTAATCCTCCCAGGGTTCAAGGACCAGCTAGGAGCAGGATTGCCATGGCTTTTTTGTTTTTTTTTTAACGTGGAGTCTCACTCTGTTGCCCAGGCTGGAGTGCTGTGGCGCGATCTCTGCTCACCGCAACCTCCACTTCCCAGGTTAAAGTGATTCTCGAGCCTTGGTCTCCTGAGTCGCTGGGATCACAGGTGCCTGCCACCACACCCAGCTAATTTTTGTACTTTCAGTAGAGATGGGGTTTCGCCATGTTGGCCACAGGCTTTTGCATGTCCTGCGGCCCTTCTGTGTTTGTTCTTAATGTCACAATCCGTGCTGATGCCAGGCGCAGCGCCAGGGACTTCCCATGCGAGCCTGCAGCTGCCCCTCCCTTCTGCACAGCCTCTCTGAGCCCACTGAGGAGCTGCCGTCACCCTCAGGAGCCGCCTGGAACTTGACTTTGGAAACACCCTCTAAACAGATCTTGGAACCTAGGGTGTAAAGACTGAATCATAGTCCAGGAGCCCAGGGGAGGCTACTGGCCCCCACTGAGAGCCAGGGGGGCTTCCTAGGGGTTCTTTCTTTCTTTTCTTTTTCTTTCTTTTTTTTTTTTTTTTTTTTTTTTTTTTGAGACCGAGTTTTGTTCTTGTTGCCCAGGCTGGAGTGCAACAGTGCGATCTCAGGTCACTGCAACCTCTGCCTCCTGGGTTCAAGCAATTCTACTGCCTCAGCCTCTGGAGTAGCTGGGATTACAGGCGCCTGCCACTACACCCAGCTAATTTTTGTATTTTTAGTAGAGATGAAATTTCACCATGTTAGCCAGGCTGGTCTTGAACTCCTGACCTCAGGTGATCCATCTGCCTTGGCCTCCCAAAGTGCTGGGGTTACAGGTATGAGCCACCACGCCTGGTCCCTGGGGTTATTTCTGAGCTGACTCTTTTTTTTTCTTTTCTTTTCTTTTTCTTTCTCTTTTTCTTTTTCTTTTTTTTTCTTTTTCTTTTTCTTTTTCTTTCTTTTTCTTTTTCTTTTTCTTTTTCTTTTTCTTTTCTTTTCTTTTCTGATGGAATCTTGCTCTGTTGCCCAGGCTGGAGTGCAGTGGCATGATCTTGGCTCACTGCAACCTCCACCTCCCGGGTTCAAGTGATTCTCCTGCCTGAGCCTCCCAAGTAGCTGGGATTACAGGCGCCTGCCATCATGCCTGGCTAATTTTTCTGTATTTTTAGTAGAGACAGGATTTCACCATGCTGGCCAGGCTGGTCTTAAATTCCTGAGTTCAACAGATCCTCCCACCTCAGCCTCCCAAAGTGCTGGGATTACAGGTGACAGCCACCATGCCCAGCCTTGAGCTGAATTTTGAAGGGCAAATGGAAGAAGGAGGCCGAGGCAGGAGGATCTCTTGAGCCTAAGAGTTCAAGACCAGCCTGGGCAACACAGCAAGACCCCATCTCTAAAAAGTTTTTTTAAAAAGAGGGAAGAAGGAGAGAGGAGGAGAGAGAGCTACTCAGAGAGACCAGGGGTGTATACGGTCCTGTTCTGCAGTGGCACCCATGGTGGCCAAGGGGTGGTAGCAGGGATTGTGGGCTGGGAAGAACCAGATCTGAACCAGGGCAGACACAGAGGATTGGAGAGGAAGAGTTGGATTCCAGAAATATGCAGGAGGTGGCCGCAGGAATTGGGAGATAAGGCAGAGGGAAGAGGCCATGCCCAGTTTCTGATGTGGCCTGGGCGTGAATGCAAAAATTGGGGTCTTCTGTGCTTTGCAAGTGAGTGCACCACCACAGTTTGCTTTACGGCAAGGCCCCAGGAAAAGGGGTTCTGGGGATGTCATCTCAACGGCAGGTGTGTTCCACAAGAACATTAATACATCGTTAATATTTTTGAAAGACAAGACTGGGCATGGTGGCTCACACCTGTAATCCCAGCCCTTTGGGTGGCTGAGGCAAGTGGATCACTTGAGCTCAGGAGTTTGAGACCAGCCTGGGCACCATGGCAAAACCCCGTGTCTACTAAAAATACAAAAAATAGCCAGATGCGGTGGCTCGTGCCTGTAGTCCCAGCTACTCGGGAGGCTGAGGCAGGAGAATCGCTTGAATCTGGGAGGCAGAAGTTGTAGTGAGCCGAGATCACACCACTGCACTCCAGCCTGGGCAACACAGCGAGACTCCATCTGAAGATAAAAAAAAAAAAAAAAGAAGAACCCAAGGGAGGGGGCACTGCCCAGCACAGGCACAGTCCCATCAGGCCCTGGGGAGCCATGCCAGGGCGTTCTGCCCAGCACAGTCACACCTAAAAGGGTCCTCAGCCGAACCCCATCCCCTTGAATACCAGCTCATGACGGCTTTGAGCAGAACATGTCACGGGAACGGCATTGTGTAGAACTTTTTATTAAATGGCATTTAAAATATTCCCCAGGACTGTGTAGCTGGGGAAACACCACAAAATCCATTGGCCCGGAACATAATGGCTCAATGGTACGAAACAAATGCATTGTTAAAAAGGAAAAACAGCAACTGTTGCGGGGTAATGACTTGCAGATGACTCAGCAGGCCAAACATCAAAGGAATTCGGATGGCAGCAGGTGGGCACAGGCAGCCAGGAAGCACCCCTCCCTCGCTCTCACTTCCAGCGATCGCTTTACCTCCCTGGAGTGTCTAAGCCACCCATTTCTCTCCATCATCCCTGCAATCCCCAAGCAAGAACCACCTTGGTCTCCCGCTGGGATGTCCGTGGTTCCTCTCTAGCTGAACTCTCCATGTCCACTCCTGCCCGTCGCCCATTCCCCTCTCAGTATCCAGAGGGACCAGGTTCTTTGTTCTTTTTTTTTTTTTTTTTTTAAGATAGAGTCTCACTCTGTTGCCTAGGCTGGAGTGCAGTGGTGTGATCTCGGCTCACTGCAACCTGCAGCTTCAGGTTCAAACGATTCTCCTGCCTCAGCCTCCCAGGTAGCTGAGACTATAAACGTGCGCCACCGTGCCTGGCTAATTTTTTTGTATTTTTAGTAGACGGGGTTTCACCATGTTGACCAGGCTGGTCTCAAACTCCTGACCTCAGGTGATCCACCCACCTCGGCCTCCCAAAGTGCTGGGATTACAGGTGTGAGCCACTGCACCCAGCCAGGACCAGGTTCTAAACCTGATCACATCACACCTCTGCTCCCAACATTCAGGAACTTCACACTGCAAGAACAGAATCTAGGTTCAGACAGGTGTGGCGGCTCACATCTGCAATCCCAGCACTTTGGGAGGCCAAGGCAGGCGGATCACTTGAGGCCAGGAGTTCGAGACCAGCCTGGCCAGCATGGTGAAATGCCATCTCTACTAAAAATACAAAAATTAGCCAGGCATGGTGATGGGCGCCTGTAATTTCAGCTACTTGGGAGGCTGAGGCAGGAGAATTGCTTGAACCTGGGAGGCGGAGGTTGCAGTGAGCTGAGATCACACCACTGCACTCCAGCCTGGACGACAGAGCGAGGCTCTGTCTCAAAAAAAGCAAAACAAAATAAAACATACCAACATCTAATCTCTATAAAATATTTTTAGAAGTTATCCAGGTGGGCCGGGTGCAGTGGCTCATGCCTGTAATCCCAGCACTTTGGGAGGCCGAGGCGGGTGGATCACTTGAGGTCAGGAGTTCAAGACCAGCCTGGCCGACGTGGTGAAACCCCATCTCTACTAAAAAAAAAATACAAAAATTAGCCGATTACAGGCATGAGCCACCCCACCAGGCCATGCTTTCAGTTTTCAAGAAAGAAGACACCATTGTTGCCAAAGGTTTTGGTAATTTGAGAGATACAATGTATGTTTTCTCCATGTGGATCCTAGATAGTAAGGATCTGTTGAATTTGAAGTATCTATCCAGAAGTATTTTGGGTACATGTTTAAGGATTGTAAAACAGTGTTTCTATTTCTGGATATAATAAATGTATTTGTTAATATAATAACTGAACAGATTAGACCCATAAACTATTTACAGTGTTGAGTCATTTCCCACAGTTAAAATCAGGATGAAAATATATAGCTGAATACTTGCTTTGTTTCTTGTAACTGATTTCTTTAGTACAGAACCTGCTAAGGCCATCAAACCTATTGATCGGAAGTCAGTCCATCAGATTTGCTCTGGGCCAGTGGTACTGAGTCTAAGCACTGCAGTGAAGGAGTTAGTAGAAAACAGTCTGGATGCTGGTGCCACTAATATTGGTAAGTTTGGGAGAGTTTTAAGCCACAAGAAATGATTAGTGTGTGTTGTTGTAGTCAAGAAACATTTGTTATTGAAATAAGACTATCAAGTGTTGATGTAGTAATAAACTATTATTTTTAAGTTAAAGTTAGCACCTATTATGTGCCTAGTACTTAGCTAGGTAGTAATAATAATAACGACAGCTTTTCTTGTGTTCTTATGGTGTGCCAGGCAGGTGTTATGCTAAGAATTGCACAGAAATATCTCATTTAATTTGCAGAATAGCTGGGCGTGGTGTCTGACGCCTGTAATCCTAGCCCTTTGAGAGGCTGAGGTGGGGGGATTGCTTGAGGCCAGAGTTCAAGACCAACCTGGCCAACATGGTGAGACCTCATCTCTATTAAAAAAATAAAGCAGGCCGGGTGTGGTGGCTCACGCCTGTAATCCCAGCACTTTGGGAGGCCAAGGCGGGTGGATACCTGAGGTCAGGAATTCGAGACCAGCCTGTCCAAAATGGTGAAACTCTGTCTCTACTAAAAATACAAAAATTAGCCAGACCTGGTGGCAGAAGCCTGTAATCCCAGCTACTGGGGAGGCTCAGGAATGAGAATTGTTTAAATTTGGGAGGTGGAGGTTGCAGTGAACCGAGATTGTGCCACTGCACGCCAGCCTGGGGACAGAGCAAGACTCTGTCTCAAAAAAATAAAATAAAATAAAATAAAATAAATCCTGGAGTAGTGGCTCACATCTGTAATCCCAGCACTTTGGGAGGCTGAGGGGGGCTGATGCTTTGAGGTCAGGAGTTCAAGACCAGCCTAACCAACGTGGTAAAACCCTGTCTCTACTAAAAATACAAAAATTAGCCAGATGTGATGGTGCATGGCTGTAATCTCAGCTCCTCAGAAGGCTGAGGGAGGAGAATTGCTTAAACCTGGGAGGTGGAGGTTGCAGTGAGCCAAGATCGATTGTGCCACTGCATTCCAGCCTGGGTGACAAGAGCAAAAGTCCATCTCAAAAAATTAAAAAAAAAAAAAAAAAAAAGGAAAGAAAAAAAAGAAAATGACAAAATTAAAAAAAAATTATTAATCTGCCAAATAACTTTATGAGATAGAACTTATTACCTCCATTTTACAGTTGAGGAAATTAAGGGACAGTAAATTTCCTTTTTTTGAGATTATAAAGCTAATAAAATAGAATCTAGGAAGTCTGATTCCAGAACCAGTTCTGTTTTTTTTTTCTTTTTTTTTTTTTTTGAGATAGAGTTTTGCTCTTGTTGCTGAGGCTGCGGTGCAATGGCACGATCTCAACTCACTGCAACCTCCACCTCCCAGGTTCAAGCGATTCTCCTGCCTCAGCCTCACAAGTAGCTGGGATTACAGGCATGCACCACCACGCCTGGCTAATTTTGTATTTTTAGTAGAGATAGAGTTTCTCTACGTTGGTCAGGCTGGTCTCGAACTACTGACCTCAGGTGATCCGCTCGCTTTGGTCTCCCAAAGTGCTGGGATTACAGGCATGAACCACTGCGCCCGGCCCCCGTTCTCCTTACTGGGTATGTTAAAATTATTTCTTTCAAAGGAAAAGGCTGGTCAAAGTGCAACGGTCTTTACAACTAATTGATCACAACCAGTTACAGATTTTTTTGTTCCTTCTCCACTCCAACTGCTTCACTTGACTAGTGTAAGGAAAAAAAAAAAAAAGAGGAAAGAAAGAAAATGCTAAACTATTTAATCTGGGCTAGTAAATGGCCAGAAAGAACTTTATAAAAATGAAATATACAAAATGACACTAGTATGTTTAACTAAAGGTATAGTTACGACACTTAAATTTGCACGTTATAAATAATATCAATATAAAAACTGATAGCGTGGGTCCATTTTTAATAAATATATAAATATTTTAAACTTTCTAGATCTAAAGCTTAAGGACTATGGAATGGATCTCATTGAAGTTTCAGGCAATGGATGTGGGGTAGAAGAAGAAAACTTCGAAGGCTTAAGTAAGTTAACTTTCTAATCCTATTATAAAATAATTGGGCCACATGTCTTAGAATTTTGAGTAACACTGTCTTGGGAAACACAAAAACAGTTTTTTAAAGCCAGTTACTAGATATCATGTATATTTGTTGTTATAGCACTTGAGATATCTTAGTCCTTACTTTACAGTCTCTTTCAGCTCTGAAACATCACACATCTAAGATTCAAGAGTTTGCCGACCTAACTCGGGTTGAAACTTTTGGCTTTCGGGGGAAAGCTCTGAGCTCACTTTGTGCACTGAGGTGATAAAATATTTTTATCCATTCACTTGACCCCTTAGAAAAACCTCTCTGAAAATTAATTGGAATCATTATTATTTACAATTTTCTATCTCAATATCTCAGCTTCTAGCTTCTGAATTCTGTTTTGTCTCACTGCCAATCTAAGTCCTAGTACTTCTGAAATGTGAGCAATAAATGAATGAAATGAAGCAAATAGTATTGTTTAAAAAATTGGTTACCCTTATTAAAACAGTAACTTCTCAATTTGAACATAACATATAGATAATAAATGATAGTTACCATTGGTTTTCATTATCAATTTTTAGGGAAACATTTCACCAAAGCACTATTTAATTATAGCACAGATACTAAATTTTTATAAATAATTACATGCACACACACATATATATACATATATATACATATATGTATACATATATACATATATATATATACATATAGACATATATATACATATATACATATATGTATACATATATATACATATATACATATGTGTATACATATATATACATATATACATATATATACATATATACATATGTGTATACATATATACATATATACATATATATACATATATGTATACATATATGTACATATATACATATATACATATATATACATATATACATATATATACATATATACATATATATACATATATATATACATATATATATATATTTTTTTAGACAGAGTCGCACTCTGTCACCCAGGCTGGAGTGCAGTGGCACAGTCTCAGCTCACTGCAGTCTCTGCCTCCCAGGTTCAAGTGACTTTCGTGACTCAGCCTCCTGAAGAGCTGGGACTATAGCGTGCACCACCACTCCTGGCTAATTTTTGTATTTTTAGTAGAGATGGGGTTTTGCCATGTTGCCCAGGCTGGTCTGGAACTCCAGGCCTCAAGTGATCTGCCCTCCTTGGCCTCCCAAAGTGCTGGAATTACAGGCACGAGCCACCGCACCCTGCCCTACATATACATTTTAATTATTATATCTTTTGGATTCTTTAAAAAAATTTTTAAAAATTTTAAAAAATTCTTTAAAAAAATTCTTTTAAAAAATTTTGTTTGAAGAGTAATAACAAAACAAATCTCTATTTGAGAATCAATAAATCTTGAGATCATTTATGGTTTTGCAATTCAACCTGAAAAATGAAGTCAGAGCTTTTATCAAAACAAAGCATGTTTAGTGCTCTCTGTCTCACTGTCTTTTAGATGCCAGACCTTAGATTTTGTGATGACTCCTCAACCGTTTAGATCTCGGTTATCTCAGAGGGATCATCAGCTTTTTAAGAAAATTTTGAGAGAAAAGCAAGTGAAGAAAAGAGTAGTCAGTGCCCAACATCACGGATCTCTCACTGAACACACCATGCCTGGTATTCTCTCACAGTGATGTCACCATTTCTACCTGCCACGTATCGGCGAAGGTTGGGACTCGACTGGTGTTTGATCACGATGGGAAAATCATCCAGAAAACCCCCTACCCCCACCCCAGAGGGACCACAGTCAGCGTGAAGCAGTTATTTTCTACGCTACCTGTGCGCCATAAGGAATTTCAAAGGAATATTAAGAAGGTACAGTAAATTAATCCTGGTTTTCAAGAGTATTGGTTAATGCACACGAGCAAAAGATTTACTAAAGATGTTTATTCTTCAGTTGATTCTCTTCCCATAATTTATTGAGAAATGCTTTATTTGCATTTCTCATTAAAGACTTAACTTCAGGATGATTTACTTTTTTCTTTTTATCACATAATGTTTATTAGGACTGGGAAACATAGTGAGACTCTGTCTCTATGAAAAATTAAAAAAAAAACTGACTGGGCATGGTGGCATGCACCTGTAGTTCCAGCTACTTGGGAGGCTGAAGTGGGAGGATCACCTGAGCCCAGGAACTTGAGACTGCAGTGAGCTATGATTGCGTCACTACACTTCAGACTGTGAGACAGAGTAAGACCCTGTCTGGAAAAATATATATACATATATATACATTTTTTTTATTTTTTATTTTTATCTTTTTTTGAGATGGAGTCTCACTTTGGCGCCCTGGCTGCAGTGCAGTGGCGCGATCTCAGTTCACTGCAACCTCCACCTGCCAAGTTCAAGCGATTCTCCTGCTTCAGCCTTCTGAGTAGCTACCATTACAGGCGCGCACCACCACGCCCGGCTAATTTTTGTATTTTCAGTGGAGACGGGGTTCCACCATGTTGTCCAGGCTGGCCAGGCTGGTCTCGAATTCCTGCCCTCAGGTGATCCGCCCACCTCGGCCTCTCAAAGTGCTGGGATTACAGGCGTGAGCCACCATGCCTGACCTTATGTACTTATATTTTTATGAGAATATTTCTCTTGGTTTTCTGATAAATGAGTTACTGGAACCCTTATGAATTTGAATGCAAATGAAACAGCTAAATGTTATATAATTGTTGTGTTTAAAAAGCAGATTATAAAACTGTCTGTATTATATGATTACAGTTTTATAAAAACAAAACAGGCCTAAATGTGTATAGTATAAAGACTGAAGAGTCAGCACTTCCATGTTCTCAGCGGTTATCCTTGGATGTGAGATCTCATGCACTTTTTGCTCTCTTCTTTGTGCCTTTCCATTTTGCATGCGTATTTCTTATAATCTAAAAAGTTACTTAAACATATGCAGCTAAAAACTTTTTTTACTTGTAAAGCGTTTGGTGCTAATTTTAACTTTTTTTTTTAGACGGAGTCTTCTCACTCTGTCGCCCAGGCTGGAGTGCAGTGGTGTGATCTTGGCTCACTGCAACCTCCGCCTCCTGGGTTCAAGTGATTCTCCTACCTCAGCCTCCCAAGTAGCTGGGATTATAGGTGTGTGTCACCACACCCAGCTAATTTTTGTATTTTTAGTAGAGATGGGGTTTCACCATGTTGGCCAGGCTGGTCTTGCACCCCTGACCTCAAGTGATCTGCCCACCTCAGCCTCCCAAAGTGCTGGGGTTACAGGCGTGAGCCACCACGCCTGGCTTTTTTTTTTTTAAAGCTTTTTTGTAAGTCAGCCAGCAAGAACACAGGAGGAAGTACTCAAATCTCCCTTACACAGCTGGGGGCTATGTCAGGTTTTATAAGCATAGGGTAATGAGGTGTGATTTGATTGGATCTTGCAATAAAGTAATGCTGGGAGGTGTGATCTGACTGGATCCTGCCATGGGGTGACACCAAAACTCAATCTGATTGGATCCTGGCTCCTGCCTGGGGGTGTCTGGTTCTTAAATCGGTCCGAGCTCTTCAGGCTGAGCTCTTAGGTTCCACTCCACGGTGGCACGCGTGGTTAACCTGGGCATGCACAGGGTACATGACCTTCAACCTGCAGGTCGATGGCAATTGGAAAACAACTGACAACTTCATTACATAAAAGTTGAACTGATTCGGGTGCGGTGACTCACGCCTGTAATCCCAGCACTTTGGGAGGCCAAGGCAGGTGGATCACCTGAGGTCGAGGAGTTCAAGACCAGCCTGGCCAAAATGGTGAAACCCCGTCTCTACTAAAAATATAAATATTAGCCAGGCGTGGTGGCGCACCCTTGTAATCCCAGCTACCCCAGAGGCTGAGGCAGCAGAATGCTTGAACCTAGGACGTGGAGGTTGCAGTGAGCTGAGATCGTGCCATTGCACTCCAGCCTGGGTGACAAGAGTGAAACTCCATCAAAAAAAAAAAAAGTTGAACTAGATTTGGTCTGATGGCAGTTACAGATTTACAAACCGCGTCCCACCCTCCTGCCAACACCTTCCACTCCTCATTCTTGAGGGATTAGGGATGGAGGTCATGCTTCTGTATCGACTTCATGCTGACCAGGGGCACTTAGTCCCCTAAAGTGAGAGGAATGAAACTCTTGGGCTTCTGAGTTCAGATGAGTTCTGGGGTCACCCGGAGTAGCTTGAAAGGCTGGTATTGTTGTAATACAAGCTGAAGGTGGAAGTGTTGGATCCTGGAGGACAAACAGCTCACCATCCATTTAAATAAATAGGACCAAAAAGTAACGGAACAGTGGCCACGAGGGGCCCCAACAGAGGAAGAAACCAGGTGAGGTGTGGTATAGTGGACTCGACTGCCTTCTAAATCTCAGTGGTTGTCCGGGTGCGGTGGCTCACGCCTGTAATTCCAGCAAAAGAAGAGCCGAGGCAGGGTGATCACGAGGTCAGGAGTTCAAGACCAGCCGGGCAAACATGGTGAAACCCCGTCTCTACTGAAAATACAAAAATTAGCCAGGTGTGGTGGCGTGTGCTGTAGTCCCAGCTACTAGGGAGGCTGAGGCAGGAGAATTGCTTGAACCTGGGAGGCGGAGGTTGCAGTGAGCCGAGATTGTGCCACTGCACTCCAGCCTAGGTAACAGAGCAGGACCCCATCTCAGTCAATCAATCAATCTCAGTGGTTGAACTACCCTTGATATGGTTCAGCTCTGTATCCCCAACCAAATCTCATGTCAAATTGCAATTCCCAGTGTTGAGGGAGGGACCTGGTGGGAGATGATTGGCTCATGGCGGCTGACGTCCCCCTTGCTGGTCTCGTGATAGTGAGTGAGCGCTCATGGGATCTGGTTGTTTAGAAGCATGCAGCACCTCCTGCTTCACTCTCTCTGTCTCTCCTGCTCCACCATGGCCAGAAACGTGCCTGCTTCCCCTTCGCCTTCTGCCGTGATTGTCAGCTTCTTGAGGGCTCCCCAGCCATGCTTCCTGTACAGCCTGCAAAACTGTGAGTCAATTAAACCTCTTTTCTTCATAAATTCCCCAGTTTCCAGTAGTTCTTCATAGCAGTGTGAAAACAGACTAATGGACCCTTCTGGTTGAAGGAATGTAGCCATTCTGCTTGTTTAAGTATTTCCTTTCTATTCATCTCTATTTCCCGGGAGGTGTTTATCCAAGTGCAATAGGAGATATTGGTGACTGCAGAGTCCCCTCAGTGTTCTGCTAGTAAATAGTTGAAGGTTGATCAGTGATCTCCAGCATTTTCAGTCTGGCATGGAAAAGCCCCCATGTAACTGGTAAAGGTATCAGTAAGCACCAGGAGGTATCTAAATCCACCAGGAGCCATAGGCATCATGTTGATGTCCATTTACCAGTCTTCCCTGGCAAGATTCTCTGAATTGTACTGCCTTGGCCAAAAGAGGTATGGGAGGGGCTGGGCACAGTGGCTCACGCCTGTAATCCCAGCATTTTGGGAGACCAATTCGGGTAGATCATTAGAGGTCAGGGGTTCAAGACCATCCTGGCCAACATGGTGACATTCCATCTCTACTAAAAATACAAAAAGTCAGCGGGGTTTGGTGTTGGGTGCCTGTAATCCCAGCTACTCGGGAGGCTGAGGCAGGATAATCACTTGAACCTGGGAGGAGGAGGTGGCAGTGAGCTGAGATCTCGCCATTGCACTCCAGCCTGGGCAACAAGAGCGAAACTTCATCTCAAAAAATAAAAAAAGAAGTCTGGGTGTGGTGGCTCGTGCCTGTAATCCCAGGACTTTGGGAGGCCAAGATGGGTGGATCACGAGGTCAGGAGTTCAAGACCAGCCTGGCCTAGATGGTGAAACCCTGTCTCGAGTAAAAATACAAATATTAGCTGGGCATGGTGGCACACACCTGTAATCTCAGCTACTCAGAAGTCTGAGACAGAAGAATTGCCAAAACCCGGGAGGGAGAGGTTGCAGTGAGCCGAGATCGCGCCACTGCACTCTAGCCTGGGCGACAGAGCAAGACTCCGTCTCGAAAGAAAGAAAGAGAAAGGAAATTCCCCCAGGGAAGTACCTCGGCTTATTTCATGAAGAGGTACTGAAGGAAGCAGAGGCATGTGGAGGACTTCCCCACCTCGTGCAGCTATTTGGGCCGTGGCGTCTGAAATTTCTTATTTCAGAGTCACCCCTTTGATGACCTTGGCAGTGGACTGCAGTCATCTGTTTAGGCCTTTCCATGGCCCGTGTCAATGCCGGTATTTCTGTCTGTTGCACATTTGATTTCCTTGTTGTTGGCATTTAGAAGGCCCCCTGTTTCCCAGATCACACCACGGGCATGGACCGCAGAGATTGCATCTTGTGAGTCTGTAGAAACAGTCAAGGCCTTGTCCTCTCTTAGGTCCAGAGCTCAGGTGAATGCAGATTTTCCCGGCCATCTGTGCTGAAGTCCCTGTGGGGAGGCTCCTGGCTGGTTTCCTGTAGGTAGACAGCTACACGTCCTGCCCTTCATTGGCTTCTTTTCATGAAGCTCCTGCTGTCTACAAAACATGTCTCCCTTTTCTTCTTGAACCACATCTCTGTTATTGAAACTCTAGAAGTCAGCCAGGCACAGTGGCTATGCCTGTAATCCCAGCACTTTGGGAGGCCAAGGTGGGCGGATCACCTGAGGTCAGGAGTTCAAGACCAGCCTGGCCAACATGGCGAAACCCTGTCTCTAATACAAATACTAAAATTAGCCAAGCATGGTGGCCACTGCACTCCAGCCTGGGTGACAGAGCAAGACTCTGTCTCAAATAAAGAAAGAGAAAGTATCATGCTTTTCAGAGTTCTGTGGGTTGTTATGGTGTATTATCAAACCTGAGGACGTGGTGGGAACCTCCAAATTTGCAGCCAGTTGGTGAGAAGTACATGCGGTCTGTGGACACCCAAGCTTGCAGCTGCATCTGAAGCGAGGGCAGCCTAGCGGGGGCTGGTGGCCTTAACCTGTGGCATTTGATGTAACATCAGGGAGTTGACATCAGAATTACGTCACACAGGCCAGGTGCAGTGGCTCATGCTTATAATCCCAGGAATTAGAAAGGCAAGATAAGAAGATTGCTTGAGCTTGAGTCTGAGCCCACAGTGAGCTATGACCGCACCACTGCACCCCAGTCTGGGTGACAGCACAAGACCCCGACTCCAAAAATAAAAAAGAAAAATCACAAAGAATTGCATGGCAGAGTGCCTGTCTTTCACAGCTTGAACTGTTGCAGGAACTTTCTTTTTTTCTTTTTTTTTTTTTTTCTTTTGTGATGGAGTCTCGCGCTTTCACCCAGGCTGGAGTGCAGTGGCGCGATCTCTGCTCACTGCAGGCTCCGCCTCCTGGGTTCACACCATTCTCCTGCCTCAGCCTCCGGAGTAGCTGGGACTACAGGCGCCTGCCACCGCGCCCAGCTAATTTTTTGTATTTTTAGCAGAGATGGGGTTTCACCGTATTAGCCAGGATGGTCTTGATCTCCTGACCTCATGATCCGCCCACCTCAGCCTCCCAAAGTGCTGGGATTACAGTCCTGAGCCACCGCACCTGGACTTTTTTTTTTTTTTTTTTTTTTTGAGAGGGGTTGGGGAGACATATTCTCTGCTAGTGATTCTCCTGCCTGGTCTCGAACTCCTGCTGGGATCACAGGCGTGAGCCACCACGCCCAGCCACCTTTAGAGTTTTCTTACCACCTGGTTTTCCTCTCTCAATATCTTTCTCTCATTTCCTGCTTTAAAACTCTAGCTTGGGGTCTGGGCACAGTAGCTCATGCCTATAATCCCAGCACTTTGGGAGACTGAGGCGGGTGGATCACTTGAGGTCAGGAGTTTGAGACCAGCCTGGCCAACATGGTGAAACCTTGTCTCTACTATTTTTACAAAAGTTAGTCAGACGTACAGGCGGATGCCTGTAGTCCCAGCTACTTGGGAGGCTGAGGCAGGAGAATTTGCTTGAACGCGGAGGTGAAAGTTGCAGGGAGCCGAGGTTGTGCCACTGCACTCCAGCCTGGGAGACAGAGCGAGACTGTCTCCAAAACAAACAAACAAACAAAAAAACCCTGTAGCTTGGGATCAGCCTTCTCTTCTATTGTTTTTCTTTAAAAAATAAAAATTAAAAATAGGCTTCAAGTGATCCTCCCGCCATGACCTCCAAAACTGCTGGGATTGTAGGTGTGAGCACTGCACCCAGCCGTATGTTTTTTTCTACATAAAAAACAGCACAGGATTATCTTCCAAAGCTAATAAATATGTTCAAATAACCACAACCCCATTAAGGAAAAATGTCACTTGACAGCAAATAATCAATCCAGACCACAATATGATCACACTCACTGTGAAGGTGAGAAAAGTTCATCTTTATTATGTTTCCCCAAGAGATGCACTGCACTGTTCTCTTGAAAACACACAGCTCATGTCCTCCTTTAGAACACACATCCTCTTTAAAGTAACATACAAACATGCCAAAACAAGATAAAAAATTCCATCTGAATTCTCACATTTCAAACATACACTAAATATCAAATAAAAATTTATTTTTACAAGAATTTAGGGGAACTACCACATAGCTATAAATGTAATATATATGTTAACTAAGTATCATAGATAAAAACCATGCTCCCTTCAGCAGCACGTGTAATAATAGATACAAAGATTGAAAGGTAAAAGATTTAGGATGAAAAGAATCCTCTCTTAAAAAGGAAAACAAAATTATATGTATGTGTATACAACAGTTATAACACCCATCACACAGCTTTATAGAAACAGCATCTATTCAAAAATACCAGTATTTCCAAAATATTTAAAATAATATTTAAAGTAATAATAATATTTAAATAAATAAATATATTTAATAAATATTTCAATAAATAAAATAATATTTAAATAATTCTGTACCCATGTTTTTCAAAATAAACCAATAAAATAGATAGTATACATTAGACGTGTTAGTATATATATCTGAGACATGTTAAAAATCACAACTGAATTCTCACAATTCAGTCACAAACCTAAACAGCAAATAAAAATTTCTATCACCAGAATTATGTTTTTTTCTGGTGGGGAACTACCAATAGCTATAAATAGAAGAGATTATTATGGAAGTATCATAGATAAAAAGAGTGCTCGCTTCAGGAGCACATATAATAATACAGAAAAAAATTTAAAGATAATAAAAGATTTAGGATAAAAAGAATTCTCACTTAAAAATGAAAAGAAAATTATCTTTATGTATATATAACAACTATAACTCTCATCAAAAAACTCTACAGGAACAGCATGTTTTCAAAAGTACAACAATTTCCAAACTATTTGAAATAAACCTATTAATAATTCAATGGCCAACATTTTCCAAACAAACCAATAAAATGCATAGTGTGCATGAAGCTATCTGTTACAGTCTGTGGCACTCATATTTCACAAAGAATTCTGTGCCAATCTGAGCCCTTGCACTGTGCCTTCAAATGCTCCTGGACTGTGGCAACCAAGTCCATAAGAAACAGGACCTCCAGGTTCCGCCCCAGGGAGGTTGGCATTCAGCAATATAAAAAGGGAGGTGGTGCCGCAGGAAAGGGTGGAACTGGAAACACTCCTGGTTTCTTACTTTTCTCCAAGGACTCCTAGAAGTACCCCACCCCACCCCTGCTCCTTGGAGGACAACGTGATCACTGTATTCAGCTCCATCAAGAATGGTCCAGGTTCTTCTAGATGATCTGCACAAATGGTTCCTCTCCTCCTTCCTGATGTCTGCCATTAGCATTGGAATAAAGTTCCTGCTGAAAATCCACATCTCCCCTGGGTCCGGTGTTCTGGAAGTGAGAGAGACAATGTCACACTTCAAGGAGGCAGCTCTCTAGACAGGAAGGTTATTCACGTCCCATGTCAAGTCTAGCTAGAGTTCAGAGCAATTGAGAAGTGCAATTTTATCTCCTGCCTTTCATTCTATACCCTGCTTCTGAACCATCGTGTTCAACTGTGAAACTCACACTTTGGTGACCCTGACTCCAAAACTTAATACACCCAAGGTCAGCCCCAGTGATCTGCTTCATAGCCAGGACTTTGGGTGGGTCTTCCCAGGGAGTAGGGCACCCTCAGAGAATGTGGCTTTGGACTTCATCACAGCTGGGGCCTTTTGTGTCACTTCAGATCTAAACTTGTAACCGTGCTAGATCTGCTTCTAACGTGACAACATCACGAACCACGAGTCCAGAAGCCTAATCCATAATCCTCCCTCCTCATGACGAAGTCTCATGCTCTGTGCTCAACATGGTTAGCTGCACAAGATGTAAACCAAAGCTTCACTGAACCCTCGACCCAAATCGGTAACTCAAGTGCATCAATCATAATGAACCTCCCCGAACTCAGTATTTATGATTATTTTTGAGGCAGGGTCTCACTCTGTCGCCCGGGCTGGAGTGCAGTGGCAGGATCAGGGCTCCCTGCAGCCCCGACCTCCCAGGCTCCAGCGATCCTCCCGCCTCAGCCTCCTGAGTAGTTGGGAGTAGAGATGCCTCCCACATCGCCTGGCTAATTTTTGTATTTTTGTGGAGAGGGGATCTCGCCACGTTGCCCAGGCTTGAAGCCAGATCAAGCAATTGGGTTCCTTGGATTTCCGAAATAGACCCCAATATTCTGCCTTTACCCCGGAGGATGCAGATGTACCTTCTCTCAGGCCGATGACCTCAGGCCTCCACGGTCCCTGGAGCTCTAGGAAAGGTGGGCGCGATCTCGCGCCCACACCCAGTGCTCTGGGTCATAAGCCTGGATCTGGAAAAACAAACGCGCTTTGAGAAGACGGGGACTCCCCAGGATACCCCTCTCTCCCCTCGTCCAGCCTCCAGCCCACCCGATTCCTCCCCACATCCTCCACGTCCCCAGGCCCCACCCACCTCTTCCAACTCCTCCAGGGAAACCCAAGCCCTGCAGCGCATGGAACAAAAGAAGTGGAACCGATACTTCCGGAACAAGGCTATCTGAGAGCAGTTCTTCCTGGCCCTCGGGTTCATGTAACGGCATAACTGGAACCAAAGCTCACTGAGCAAGGGTATATGAGAGCGGGTCTCCTCGTACAGGAAGTAGAAGATGTTTTGTTTGGGGGCCTCGTCGTCCTCCTCCATGTCATTGGCCAGATAGCTGAGGACAGAAATCAGGTTGCTGCTCAGGGGCACCACCAGGAGAGACCTCCGGCTGAGGTCAGCTTCTCAGAGAGGAAGGTAAGGGACCGTCCCTAGCTCAGGACTGGCACCCACCCTGCAGAGAGCCACGCCTTCCTCAGGAGGGCTCTGCTGGACAGAGACCTGATCAAGGGCGTCTCCCACTCCTTCAGGATGGAGACAAAAACCCAACTGGTGACCAAGAGTGGTGGCTTATGCCTGGAATCCCAGCACACTGGGAGGCCGAAGCAGGAGGATCACTTGAGGCCAGGAGTTTGAGACAGGCCTGGGCAACATAGCAAGACCCTCGTCTCTATTAAAAATATAAAAAATACGCCAGACGTGGCTCATGCCTGTAATCCCAGCGCTTTGGAAGGCTGAAGCAGGTGGATTGCTTGAGACCAGGAGTTTGAGACCAGCCTGGTCAACACAGAGAAACCCCATCTATACTAAAAATACAAAAATCAGCCTGGTGCGGTGGCACACCCATTAGTCCTAGCTACTCAGGAGGCTGAAGCATAAGAATTGTGTGAACCCAGGAGGCGGAGGTTGCAGTGAGCCAAGATTGGGCCCCTCCATTCCAGCCTGAGAGACACAGCAACACTCTTGTCTTGATAAATAAATAAATAAATAAATAAATAAATAAATAACTGTCCAGGTGTGGTGGTACAGCCCTGTAGTCGGAGCTAATCAAGAGGCTGAGGTGGGAGGATCGCTTGAGCCCAGGATATGGAGGCTGCAGTGAGCTATGATCTCACCACTGCACTCCAGCTTAGGGGACAGGGCAAGTCTGTCTCAAAAAAAAAAAAGCAATTGAATACACTGATATTTTGCCAGGACCCTGCCTTCTACAGGCATCTAGTCTAATGGGACTGGGAGTAATCAGGGGAGATGACCTAATCCCAATGTCACATTATAATAGGATGTAACTGGAGAGCTACGGGCATGCAGAAGTTGGAAGACGAGGGAAGGCATCACAGAGGCTGTGAGGTGAACCGACTTCAAGGAATGGGTCCTTCCCTTCAGAGCCACATGTGTGCGGGACACCCAGACAGAAAACACAAATGCAAAGTCAAGTGGAGGGCATTTGGAAGGAGCAGTGAAGCCAAGCCAGGAAACACCAAGATGGCGAGCCAGTGTGGTTGTAGAGATTGTAGAGAGGGTGGAATTGGCACTGTGGACCCTGGCCTCGATAGAGAAAGACATCAGCTAAGGAAGTTGTTCAGGTGGGCAGTGAGGTTGTCGTGCTTTGGAAAGATGTTCAGGCTGCACTAGGAAGCCCCTTGGCTTGGGGAGAGACTCCAGGAAACCCCAGCAGGGAGCATTTGACAGTGGATTCGAGTGATGCAAGGGGGACCTGGACTGTGACCTCTGTCACGGGAACCCGGAGGAGGCTGATGGCTTTTGCGGTTGATGTGGGAAGGAGAGAGAGAGAACAACCGGAAACGTCTGCTTGCTGGGGGAAGTGTCATGTCCGCTCCTCCGCTCCTTTTCTTCTCCCCTTAGGAGCGGTTCATGGTTCCTTTTGTTTTTTGTTCTTTTTTTTTTTTTTTTTTTTGAGACTATAATCCTGTCTTTTTTGTACACAGAGTAAAGAGGACAAATAGGTGAAAGAATAAATGAAAGGCTGGAATCCCACTTCCCCCGCTGTCCCAGGGCATTGGATATTGACGGATAGGAGGCAGCAAACCACTCACAGAGCCAGGAAGAAATGAATGCGTTGGTATTGCCAGGAGGGGAGGCCGGCCCGGCTGAAATACGCTATGACCATAGCCAGGAGATACTGATGGAGAGAAAGGAACACAGAGAGGGAGAGGTCACATCTTGGGAGAGGAAGATTGTGGATATAGTGGAATGGGGGTCTGGGGAGGGGTTGCCCATCAGAGAAGGGACCTCAGTGTTGGGGTGACTGTGCTCATGTGGAAATTGCGGGGTGGAGGGGTATTCGAAGGTCGGATGCAAATCCGAGAAGCCGGAGGAAGGGTTTTCGGTGATGCTCCCAGGATGGTGGGCTCCGATGGGATCTTTGGAGGGGGTGTGTCTAGGTCGGCTGGTGTCAGGAGGGTCTTTTGTGTGCCAGGCAGAGAACTGTCCCAAGGAGCTGAGAGTAGAGGGCCCAGGAGCTTCAGGGCTGCAGCCAGACTGTGGCCCAGGGCTCAGATCCCAAAGGACCCATAGGAGAGGCAGGGGCCACTCATTCACTCTGCAAGAGACCAGCAGAATCCTGACGGAGATGCTGACAAATCATAAAAAGACAAAGAATAGCCGGGAGTGGCAGCTCAAGCCTGTGATCCCAGTACTTTTTGAGAGGTGGAGACAGGAGGATCATGTGAGCCCAACAGTTGGAGAACAACCTGGGCAACACAGCGAGACCCTGTTTCTAAGAAGATTTCAAAAATGAGTTGAGCATGGTAGCATGTGCCTAGTCCCAGCTCCTCAGGAGGCTAAGGAAAGAAGATTGCTTGAGCCCAGGAATTAGAGTGAGCTATGATCATGCCACTGTACTCCATCCTGGGGAGCAGAGCTGGACTCTGTCTCAGAAAAAAAAATGTGTGGGTGCCAAGACTCAAGACCATGGGAGCTGGTCAGACACAGTGCTGACGTCTGTAATCTGAGCACTTTGGGAGGCCAAGGCGGGTGGATCACCTGAGGTCAGGTGTTCGGGACCAATCTGGCCAACATGGCAAAACCCCGTCTCTACTAAAAACACAAAAATTAGCCAGGCATGGTGGTTCATGTTTGTAATCCCAGCTGCTTGGAGGCTGAGGTGGGAGAATCGCTTGAACCCAGGAGGCATCAGCTGCAGTGAGTCAAGATCGAGACACTGCCCTCCAGCCTGGGCAACAGAGCAAGACTGTGTCTCACAAAAAAAAACAAAAACAAAAACAAAAAAAAACTGTAGGAGCATCTGGTGGGAGGTGGTGGACGGAGAACTGTGGGTTTGGAAGCTGCGCCCTCTCCCTGGCCGTGCGTTAGAACAGGAACACAGTTACATAGAGAACAACCTTACCTTGTCCGACACCCTCAGATCTTTGTCCCAGGCCAGGAGTCTTTTAATGACAGGATCCTCTGTGATTAGAGAGCAGATGTCAGTGTGAGAAGCAGGACAGGGTTTCCCTGAGAGCAGCAGGGCAGCGAGGAGAAGTGTGCCTCCCGGGGGAAAGTCTCAGGATTGTGGCTGCGGGTGAGGTGGATGGGAGAGGGGAGAATGACTTTCACTGGGCAAGGGAGAGAGGCTCCTGCTCTGAGACTCCCCTGAGAAGAGGCCGAAGGAGGCCCTGGGTGTGAGAATCTACAGGATGTAGAGCTGGGAATCAGCCAGGACCCCCTCCAGCAGACACGGAGGGACCACTGCAGAGTCATAAAGGAATTCCCATCATTTCCTCATGAGACAGTCACACATCAGGGTGTGACCATGGCCTTGGTATCCCTCACTATGGATGGAAACACTTAGGTTTAGAAAAGTCAGTAAGAAACATTAAGTTTCAGAGGGCACAGCTGAAACCACTTTTTTGATTTTTGATTTTGTTTTTCTTTATTTGATTTTTATTTTTATTTATTTATTAATTTATTTTGAGACAGAGTCTTGCTCTGTGGGCCAGGCTGGAATGCATTGGCCTGATCTTGGCTCACTGCAACCTCTGCCTCCTGGGTTTAAGCAGTTCTCCTGTCTCAGCCTCCCGAGTAGCTGGAACTACAGGGATGAGCTACTGTGCCCAGCCTTGGTTTTTCTTTTGACGCAGAGTTTTGCTCTGTCACCCAGGCTGGAGTGCAGTGGTGCAGTCATAGCTCACTGCAGCCTCAAAGTCCTGAGTTCAAGCAATCCTCTTGCCTCAGCCTCCCAACGTGCTGGGATCTCAGGCGGGAGCCACAGCGCCTGGCCCAAAACCAAGCTTTCTTATCCCAAGCACCGACCTTTATCAAGTCTACCTAATCCTCTGTTGTCTCCTAAGTGTCCCTCATGAGTGATCACTTCAGAGTCCTCCCGCATGGAGAGCTCACCCACTGGGGCATATTTTTCCCATTGGAAAAGTGTGGTTATTGGAAGTTTCCTCTTTAGAAAGAACAGGATTGGAGGTGCTCTCTGGGGTGTCCTCCTACCAAGCAGCCTGTTGAAGGCCTCGTAGTACTCAGGGAGCACGAGCGACACTCGCCGTCGCTTCGCCTTCATCTTGAGGCCACACAGCGTCTCCGCCACCCAGGTCTCCTCAGGCTCAGGGGCGAGCTCCTTCTCTGGCTCATCATCAGATTCATCCAAACATTCCCTCTTCCTTTTCCAGCCAAGGGACCTACGTGGGGGGCTGGGATCTACCCCAGGGGCTGAGTAAAGAAACCAGGCCACCGTGTAATGCTTCTGCAACTGATCACGTTAGACCCCGACCCCAAACCCCAAACCACTCTCCATCCTCCCCAGCCTCGCAGACTGCTGGCTTCTCCAAGCCACCTTTCTGACTTTCTCCTCTGCTCAACCCCATGTGCCACTCCTTCCCCTCCCCATTCTTCCCTCTCTCTGTCCTCAGAACACTGCCTCATATCCTTCCCTGGTCCCTGGCTCTCTGAGTCCCTCTTTTTTTTTTTTTTTTTTTTTGTTTCGAGACAGAATCTTGCTTTGTCACCCAGGCTGGAGTGTAGTGGTGCAATCTCAGCTCACTGCAACATCCATCTCCCGGATTCCATTTATTCTCCTGCCTCAGCCTCTCAGGTAGCTGGGATTACAGGTGCCTGCCATAATGCCCAGCTCAATTTTGTACTTTTAATAGAGACAGGGTTTCACCATGTTGGCCAGGCTGGTCTCAAACTCCTGGCCTCAAGTGATCTGCCTGCCTTGGCTTCCCAAAGTGCTGGGATTACAAGTGTGAGCCACTGCACCCAGCCTGAATTTCTCCATTCTTCCCACACACCCTCCCCAGGTTCTCCTTCCTGACCTCTGACCCTTCTTTTGTTTCTTCTTTTTTTTTTTTTTTTTTTTTGAGATAGCATGTCACTCTGTCACCCAGACTGGAGTGCAGTAGCACGATCTCGGCTCACTGCAACCTCTTCCTCCCAGGCTCAAGTGATTCTCCTGTCTTAGCCTCCCAAGTAGCTGGGATTATAGGCACACACCACTACCGCCTGGCTAATTTTTGTACTTTTAGTAGAGATGGGGTTTCACCATGTTGGCCAGGCTGGTCTTGAACTCCTGACCTCAGGTGATCTGCCCGCCTCAGCCTCCCAAAGTGTTGGGGTTACAGGGGTGAGCCACCACGCCTGGCCCCCTTCCTTCATCTTAGTCAATCCTATGCCACCTCTTCTTCCTCCAGTCCCCTCACCTGATGGTCCCGACACTTCATCATCCACCACCTCCTGGAGGGGGTACCCTGAGGTGCTCCGCTGGGGGCTCCGCTCTTCCTGGGGCTGCGGTTGATGGCTCATCATGATCTTTCCCAAAATCTGTCCCATCTCACCAAACCTAGTCTCTGTTCTGTCCTTGGTCTTCTTCTGGACACTGCTGGGATCCAGAAGAGTGTGTTATCAATTCTCGAGGCTGGGAGAAGTCAGGAGTGGAGAACAGCTCTGAGAAGTTACTGTTGTCCAACTGAACTCCCAGGTGCCGACAGAGTCCGGTCCCTCCAATCAGGAAGGTCGGAATCTCTGATGTCATCGCTCATGCCAACCTGGCAACCAGTTTGAAAAAAAACACATGTAACTGCCAGGCTGATCTCTTGTCCTGGAGATCCTGGGTGAATGGTATCTCCTGCCACTGTCCCAACCTCAGACCACTGTCCAAAAGCATCTTCAGGGTCTCCGCATCCCTCTGTTCCCTGTCCCAGCAGAGGCTGTGTCCTCTCCACTCAAAGCTTGAAGCGTGTTGGGGTCTCCTCTTCTCTGTACATGCCCGTTTCAGAGTCCAGTCTGGTGGGAGAGGGATCAGGATGGGAAAGAAAAGTAGGGTAAGCAGAAACGATGAAACCTTACAAGAGTGAGATTATCATGTACAAG
Source organism: Homo sapiens (assembly GCF_000001405.40). Classification (NCBI taxonomy): domain Eukaryota; kingdom Metazoa; phylum Chordata; class Mammalia; order Primates; family Hominidae; genus Homo; species Homo sapiens. The sequence continues at coordinate 77,031,111 of NC_000007.14, forward strand.
AGATCCCAGGAACATTGACTTGATGAAAAAGTCACATCAGAGCACTCAATTTGGCAGAGGTTTTCTGCCGAGTGTCTACTGACATTCACTGTCCGAGATTCTGTACTGGGGGTACACGCGTCCTCTGCCCTAAGGCATCTTTGAGTCCAAGAGATATTTTGAGGACTGGAAATCATAGGAAACTGCCCATGAGTTCACACATATTTCCAATGGTGTCCCCAATTTCAGGGAGTCCACGGATCACCTAAAGCCAGCCCCTCCAGTTTGGCTAAGAAACTCTATATATCAAGTTTTGTATCATATGTATTGCTCTTAACTCAGAAAATTCCACCATTTATAGCAGTGGTTTATTTATTTATACCATTGAAGGAAATGGTTTATTTATGAATCTATATTATGGATATTCTATAAGATACTGGGTGTACAAAAAGACTAAGTCGAAAAATCTCAGCTGTGCACAGTGGCTCATGCTTGTAATCCCATCTCTTTGGGTGGCCAAGGGAGGAAGACTGCCTGAGGCCAGCAGTTCAAGACCAGTATAGGCAACATAGCAAGAGCCCATCTCTAAAACAAAACAAAACAAAACAAAAAATTAGCCAGGTGTCGTGGCTGGCACCTGTGTTCCAACAACTTGAGAGACTGAGGTGGCAGGAGGATTGCTTGAGCCTAGGAGTTAGGGGCTGCAGTGAGCTGTGATCGTGACACCGCACTCCAGTCTGGGCAACACAGCAAGACCTTGTGTCAAAAAATTTTTTTAAATTAAATATAAAAGAGTTTCATGACATTCAGAGACCATCCAAAGAACCTGTGGGTTCCGGCCAGGCACAGTGGCTCACGCCTGTAATCCCAGCGCTTTGGGAGGCCATAGCAGGTGGATCGCTTGAGGTCAGGAGTTTAAGAGCAGCCTGGCCAACATGGTGAAACCCCATCTCTTCTAAAAATACAAAAAATTAGTCAGGCATGGTGGTGGGTGCCTGTAATCCCAGCCACTCAGGAGGCGGGGACAGCAGAATGGCTTAAACTTGGGAGGCGGAGGTTGCAGTGAGCCAAGGTCACACCATTGCACTCCAGCCTGGGCAACAAGAGCAAAACTACATCTCAAAAAAAAAAAAAAACAAACAAAAAGAACCTGTGGATGAGTTCCCACATGGCTTCCTAACGGGCTGCGGCTCTCCTAGGAGTCTCTCGCTCATGGGAAAGGCACAAACTGAATGCGGAAGGAAATCCCATTGCTATGGAAGTCCCATTGTTAGGAAGCTCTGCTTTTCTGGAGTTCAAATTTGCATTCATGACGCTTTAAACCGTCAGAGCTGGGTGTGTCCTCCTACAACAAATCACTTTACTCTCTCTCCTAGTTAACAGGCTTTCAAATATTAGAACATCCATGTTCTGACTTCATTAAAATTGCTCTTTTGTGGAATGAAAAGCTCTGATTTAACCCGTCTTTAAGCCTGGTATGCATATTCCTCTCTGTTCCGGCCACCTTGTCTAGACACACTACACTGAGGCAGTGCCCATCTTAGATGATGTTGATACATTGTCAAAAAATGGGCAAACCAGGTGCGGCGGCTCACACTTGTAATCCCAGCACTTTTGGAAGCTGATGCCGACAGATAACCAGAGGTGAGGAGGTTGAGATCAGCCTGGCCAACATGGTGAAACCTGTCTGTTTTTCTGTAAAAATACAGAAACAATGAGCTGGGCGTGGGAGTGCACTTCTGTAATCCCAGCTACTTGTGGGGCTGAGGCAGGAGAATCACTTGAACCGGGAAGGTGGAGGTTCCAGTGAGCCGAGATCACGACACTACACTCCAGCCTGGGCGACAGAGTGAGTCTCCGACTCAAAAAAAAAAAAAAAAAAAGTGCCAGACAGCCCAGGTTTGGTCTGATATGTTCAGAAAAAAGCAAAACAGTCACCTCTCACCTTTTCTTTTCCTGCAATGATGCCGTTTAATACAACAATGGCTGTAGGTCTGCGGCAGAAATATCATTCAAGTGAAACAGAAGGGCTTTCCTGGCTGGACACAGTGGTCACTCCTGCAATCCCAACACTTTGGTTGGCTAAGGTGGGAGGATTTCTTGCGGCCAGGAGTTCGAGGCTGCAGTGAGCTGTGATCCACCACTGCATTCCAGGCTGGGCATCAGAGTGAGGCCTGTCTCTAAAAAAACCCTTCACTCCCCAAAAAAAGGGATTTTCAAATACCAGCCTTTCAGCATGAGGATCACATGGAGGAACATTAAGACACAGATGCTGGGACCCAGCCCTATTGATTGTAATTAAAAAACTGAGGTGAGGCCTGATTTAGCTCCATCATTGGAATCCATTCAGATTTGAAATTCTCTGAGTTGGACAGTGCAAGAGAGATCCTAAAGAAAGCAAAGTCACTGTGGACTGAAATGAGCTGGCAAGGTTTTCTGAGCGTGGTGAAATATGATCTGGGCCTCGCTTGGGAGGGCTGTGGCCAGGCCTTGAGTCCGTGGCTCAGTGGGACCTTCTGAAACAGCCTCCAATCCGTGCCCCCACTTCATTTGCTAGTGGATGACCCCCTCCAGCGGCTTTGGTGCTGATGGGAATAAGTCAACCTGCAGCGGAAGTTCAGCCCAAGTTTCAGCCCAGCAGCTTCTACACACCTGTCCGTGGTCTGGTCATGCTGCCATCTCTGCGGTTCTCTGCGGAGTCGTGGTTTCTGTACCTTGAAGAGAACTTCCCCTCTGGGACCCAGAAACCCAGTGAATCCTCAGGAAAAAAGGGAATGAAATTACTGAAGACAACTCTGTGGCGGGGAGATGGAAAAGAGGCTCTCTCTCTCTTTTTTTCCTAATATTTTGAGACAGAGTTTCGCTCTTGTCACCCAGGCTGCAGTGCAGTGGCTCCATCTCGGCTCACTGCAACCTCTGCCTCCCAGGTTCAAGCGATTCTCCTGCCTCAGCCTCCCGAGTAGCTGAGATTACAGGCACCCACCACCACTCCCGGCTAATTTTTGTATTTTAGGGTTTCGTCATGTTTGCCAGGCTGGTCTTGAACACCTGACTTCAAATGATCCACCCGCCTCTGCCTCTCAAAGTGCTGGGAATACAGGCATAAGACACTGCACCCGGCCTGTTTTTGTTTTTTAGAGACAAGGTCTCTGTTGCCTTGGCTGGGGTGCAGTGGTACAATCAGCTCTCTGTTGCCTCCTGGGCTCAAGCAATCCTCTTCTCTCAGCCTCCCAAGTAGCTGAGACTACAGGTGCATGCCTGTAGTAGATATAGCATCTTGCTCTGTTGCCCAGACTGGTCTTGAACTCTTGGTCACAAGCGATCCTCTTGCCTTGGCCTCTCAAAGTGCTGGAATTACACGCGTGAGCCATTGAGCCCAACCAGATAAGATGATCTTTAAGGGCCCTTCCCATGGTACCATAATCCAAGTCAGCGAGACTGTGGCTATAGCAAGTTTAACATAACCAGATACGCTAGTATTATGGGCTGCATGGTGTGCCCCCCACCCCTAATTCATGTATTGAAGCCATGACCCTCCAGACCTTAGAGGTGACCTTATTGGAACCAGAGTCTTTACAGAGGTGATCAAGTTAAAATGAGGTCACTAGAGGCCAGGCACGGTGGCTCACACCTGTAATCCCAGCACTTCGGGAGGCCGAGGCAGGCAGATAATGAGCCCAAGAGACCGAGACCATGATGTCCAACATGGTGAAACCCTGTCTCTACTAAAAATACAAAAATTAGCCAGGCGTGGTGGTGTGGGCCTGTAGTCCCAGCTACTCAGGAGGCTGAGGCAAGAGAATCGCTTGAACCCGGAAGGCAGAGATTGCAGTCAGCCAAGATCATGCCACTACACTCCAGCCTGGGTGACAGAGTGAGACTCTATCTCAAAAAAATAAAAATTAAAAAACTAAAAACCTACAGTACCGCCTTTTACATAATGCAATGGTTTGGTAAGCACATGCACCCCAGGGAGGTAGTGGCAGATTCAGTCAACCTTCCCAGCAGCGTGGAGACGCAGTCAGGCATAGCAGGTGTTGATGTGGTTTGAACCCACAGCTTGGCTCAAATCCACACTCCCCTACTTAGTACCGAGTGAAGCCACTTACCCTCTAAGTGCCTTACTTTTCTTTTCTTTTCTTTTTTCTTTTTTCGAGACAGAGTCTCGCTCTGTCACCCAGGCTGGAGTGCAGTGGCATGATCTTGGCTCACTGCAAACTTCGCCTTCCAGGTTCAAGCAATTCTCCTGCCTCAGCCTCCCAAGTAGCTGGGATTACAGGCGCCCACCACCATGCCGGGCTAATATTTGTATTTTTGATAGAGATGGGGTTTCACCATATTGCCCAGGCTGGTCTCGAACTCCTGACCTCAAGTGATCTGTCTGCCTCGGCCTCCCAAAGTACTAGGATTAGAGGCATGAGCCACCACACCTGGCCACTTTTCTTATCTATATTTGTTATGTGGATGACTTGTGTTAACGCAAATAAGATGCTGCTCGTCATCTTTAAAGAAAATAGGTGGCAACCTGTTATAGCAAGTCCTGTTTTTATTTGTACTTATGAGGCTTTAATTAAACGCTAAGAATTAAAATGCACATAATAATAGACTTTACCTCACAAACTGGCTTCAATTATTCGATGAGACTTACATGTATTACTTAAATGAGGTTAAATTTAACCTTTTAAAAATGATTTATTGTGGCTGGGCACAGTGGCTCACACCTGTAATCCCAGCACTTTGGGAGGCCAAGGCAGACGGATCACTTGAGGCCAGGAGTTGAAGACCAGCCTGACCAACACGGCAAAACCCCATCTCCGCTAAAAATACAAAAATTAGCCAGGCATGGTGGTGCACACCTGTAATCCTAGCTACTCAGGAGGCTGAGACACAAGAATCGCTTGAACCCGGGAGGCAGAGGTTGCAAGGAGGTGAGATCACACCACTGCACTCCAGCCTGGGCAATAGAGTGAGGCTCTGCCTTAAAACAAAGAAAAATGATTTTGGGGGATGATGGGGTGTCACTATGTTGACCAGGCTTGTCTCAAACTCCTTGCCTCAAGCAATCCACCCACCTCAGCCTCCCAAGTAGCTGGAACTACAGGCGCATGCCACCACGCCTGGCTAATATGTGTGTGTGTGTGTGTGTGTGTGTGTGTGTGTGTGTGTGTGTGTGTGTAGAAACAAGGTCTTACTGTGTTGTTTAAGCTGCTCTCAAACTCCTGGGCTCAAGTGATCCTCCCACCTCGGCCTCCCAAAGCATTGGAATTACAGGTGTGAGCCACCTCACTGAGCCCTCCACCTTTCAGCTGAACGCAGAAAAGTACAATCTTTTAACCCAAAGCGTTCCTCACACTTAGGGTCAGGAAGAGCCCTTCATGCCCTGGAGGCAACTACTAACCCTCTGCTAAACACTCTGACTCTGGGTGTGAGAAACACACCTACTGTGCCCCACATATTTTTCCAAATACAACTTAATTTAGCCTTCACGACAACCCTGGAGTGAAGGATCATTAACTTTATTTCATAGATGTGGAAACTGAGACTCAGAGGCAGGAAATGACCTCCTTCTGGAGGCTGCAAATTCTTTGATGCTCCTTTGATCAACAGGTGGGAGCTGGCCAGAGGTGGTGGCTCACACCTATAATCCCAGCACTTTGGGAGGCCAAGGTGGGAGGATTGACTGAGGCCAGGAGTTTGAAACTAGCCTGGGCAACATAGCAAGACCTCATCTCTACAAAAAATACACAAATTAGCAGGGTGTGGTGGTGCACACCTGTAGTCGCAGCCACTCGGGAGGCTGAAGTGGTAGCATTGCTTGAGCCCAGGAGGTTGAGGCTGGAGTGAGCCATGATCAAGCCACTGCACTCCAGCCGAGGAGATGGAGATAGACCCTGTCTCAAACAACAACAAAAAAATAGGTGAGGATCAGCCAGGCATGGTGGCTCACGCCTGTAATCCTAGAACTTTGGGAGGCCAAGGTGGGAGGATTGCTTGAGGCCAGGACTTCAAGACCAGCCTGGGCAGCCTAGCAAGATCCCATCCCTTAAAAAAAAGTTTTTAGGCTGGGCATGGTCACTCATGCCTGTAATCCTAGCACTTTGGGAGGCCAAGGCAGGCGGGTTGCCTGAGCTGAGGAGTTTGAGACCAGCCTGGGCAACATGGTGAAATCCTGTCTCTACTAAAATACAAAAAATTAGCCAGGTGTGGTGTTGGGCACCTATAATCCCAGGTACTCAGGAGGCTGAGGCAGGAGAATTGCTTGAACCCAGGAGGCAGAGGTTGCAGTGAGCCGAGAGCGCGCCACTCCACTCCAGCCTGGACAACAGAGCGAGACTCCGTCTCAAAAAAAAAATGTTTTTAATTAGCCAGCTGTGATGATGCATGCCCATGTCCCAGCTACTTGGGAGGCTGAAGCAGGAGGATTGCTTGAGCCTGGGAGGTCAAGGCTGCAGTGAGCTATGATTGCGCCCCTGCACTCCAGCCTGGGCAGCGGAGGGAGACCCTGTCTGAAAATAAAAAAAGAGGTGGGGGCCTATGACCCCCCCTTTAATTTTGGCCCAACCTTAGTAACAGGATAGTCATTGAGTAGGGCAAAAGTGATGTTATGATGTTTTTCAGCCTCCAATTTACAGTCTAAAACATGTCTTGGGTAAACACAGCAAGACTCCATCTCAAAAAAAAAAAGAAAAAGAATCAGAAGTGAACCTGTAGCCTGTAGTGTGTTGCCAAATAAACTTATTTTTAGAGATACTTCTTTCCATTTTCTGTGAGGTCATCTGCAGTTTCACATGGTAGACAGACTTAGGTGAGATTCTTAGCAACATAGAATGAAGAGTAAAGAGGTTTGTTTATTTCACAAGGGTTTATTGAAGGCCTACGATGTGTTAAATGCTGTAGGAAATACCCACTGATTTCTCTTTTCATGGAGGTTTCCCGCCTTCTCTTAACGAGTGATCAATTAAACTGTTTACTGGGAACTTGCTAAGTTAATGAACACACGGGATACATTCTTTGGATGAGCAGACATTGGTTGGGCAGAGGGGCAAGAGGAGAGCAGTTTAGACAGAGACCTGCTTATACACTGTAGTGTCTAAAAGAGCTTGTGATGTTCAGGAAACAGTTGTTCACTGTGCTGCAATATAGGGGACGGCCAGTTGCGGTGGCTCACACCTGTAATCCTAGTGCTTTGGAAGGCCAAGGCGGGCAGATCACCTGAGGTCAGGAGTTAGAAACCAGCCTGGCCAACATGGTGAAACCCCATCTCTACTAAAAACACAAAAATTAGCTGAGTGTAATGGTGGATGCCTATAATCCCAGCAACTTGGGAGGCTGAGACAGGAGAATCACTTGAACTTGGGAGGTGGAGGTTGCAGTGAGCCGAGATCATGCCATTGCACTCTAGCCCAGGTGACAGGGTGAGACTCTGTCTCAAATAATAATAATAATAATAATAATAATAATAATAATAATAATAATAATGTAGGGGACTTGATGAAGGGAAAGGATTAGAGAGATTCTGAAAAGAAGGTAGTTTGGGGCCCAGTGATGACTAGATTTTAAGTTTCATATAGTAGGAAGTGGGGCACTAGTAATTTTTCAAGCAGAAAAATTATTTGACCAGATTCGTGATTTCAAAAATAGCTCTGGTGATAGAGTGGAGGATGGGTTGGAGCAGGGAATAAGGGGAAATGAAACCGTTATAAAACTCTTAAAGTGGGCTGGGCATGGTGGCTCACGCCTGTAATCCCAGCACTTTGGGAGGCTGAGGCGGGCGGATCACGAAGTCAGGAGATCGAGACCATCCTGGCTAAAACGGTGAAACCCTGTCTCTACTAAAAATACAAAAAATTAGCTGGGCATGGTGGTGGGCGCCTGTAGTCCCAGCCACTCAGGAGGCTGAGGCAGGAGAATGGTGTGAACCCGGGAGGCAGAGCTTGCAGTGAGCTAAGATTGTGCCACTGCACTCCAGCCTGGGCGACAGGGCGACAGAGCAAGAATCCGTCTCAAAAAAAAAAAAAAAAAAAAAAAAAAAAAAAAAAAACCTCTTAAAACAAGTACAGCAAGAACTTTGAGGGTCTTTGCTAAGACAGCAGCTGGCAGCTTCAATTTGGAGTAGGGTATCAAAGGCAACTGTGTATAAGGAATAGTTATATAACTGGTATCCAATTTCTGAGATGATTTTGACTTAAACATTGTGTATTTCCCAGCATACTGTTGGTTTTTCTAATTATGTGGGAAATTATGTTGCTTTTACTTTTTTTTTTGCTCATTGCCCAGCCTAGGGTGCAATGCTGCAATCTCAGCTCACTGCAACCTCCGCCTCCCAGGTTTAAGTGATTCTTCTGCCTCAGCCTCCCAAGTAGCTGGGATTACAGGCGCCCACCACCATGCCTGGCTAATTTTTTGTATTTTTGGTAGAGACAGGGTTTCACGACGTTGGCCAGGCTGGTCTCAAACTCCTGATCTCAAGTGATCCGCCTGCCTCTGTGTCCCAAATTGCTGGGATTACAGGCATGAGCCACCGCACCGGCCATGCTTTCAGTTTTCAAGAAAGAAGACACCATTATTGCCAAAGATTTTGGTAATTTGAGAGATACAATGTATGTTTTCTCCATGTGGATACTAGATAGTAAGGATGTGTTGAATTTGAAGTGTCTATCCAGAAGTATTTTGGGTACTTGTTTAAGGATTGTAAAACAATGTTTCCATTTCTGGATATAATAAATGTATTTGTTAATATAATAAATGAATAGATTAGACCCATAAACTATTTGCAGTGTTGAGTCATTTCCCACAGTTAAAATCAGGATGAAAATATATAGCTGAATACTTGCTTTGTTTCTTGTAACTGATTTCTTTAGTACAGAACCTGCTAAGGCCATCAAACCTATTGATCGGAAGTCAGTCCATCAGATTTGCTCTGGGCAGGTGGTACTGAGTCTAAGCACTGGATGAAGAAGATAGTAGAAAACAGTCTGGATGCTGGTGCCACTAATGTTGGTAAGTTTGGGAGAGTTTTAAGCCACAAGAAATGATCAGTGAATGTTGTTGTAGTCAAGAAACATTTGTTATTGAAATAAGACTATCAAGTGTTGATGTAGTAATAAGTTATTATTTTTAAGTTAAAGTTAGCACCTATTATGTGCCTAGTACTTAGCTAGGTAGTAATAATAATAACGACAGCTTTTCTTGTGTTCTTATGGTGTGCCAGGCAGGTGTTATGCTAAGAATTGCACAGAAATATTTAATTTGCAGAATAGCTGGGCGTGGTGTCTGACGCCTGTAATCCTAGCCCTTTGAGAGGCTGAGGTGGGGGGATTGCTTGAAGCCAAGAGTTCAAGACCAACCTGGCCAACATGGGGAGACCTCGTCTCTATTAAAAAATAAAGCAGGCCGGGTGTGGTGGCTCACGCCTGTAATCCCAGCACTTTGGGAGGCCAAGGCGGGTGGATACCTGAGGTCAGGAATTCGAGACCAGCCTGTCCAAAATGGTGAAACTCTGTCTCTACTAAAAATACAAAAATTAGCCAGACCTGGTGGCAGAAGCCTGTAATCCCAGCTACTGGGGAGGCTCAGGAATGAGAATTGTTTAAATTTGGGAGGTGGAGGTTGCAGTGAACCGAGATTGTGCCACTGCACGCCAGCCTGGGGACAGAGCAAGACTCTGTCTCAAAAAAATAAAATAAAATAAAATAAAATAAATCCTGGAGTAGTGGCTCACATCTGTAATCCCAGCACTTTGGGAGGCTGAGGGGGGCTGATGCTTTGAGGTCAGGAGTTCAAGACCAGCCTAACCAATGTGGTAAAACCCTGTCTCTACTAAAAATACAAAAATTAGCCAGATGTGATGGTGCATGGTTGTAATCTCAGCTCCTCAGAAGGCTGAGGGAGGAGAATTGCTTAAACCTGGGAGGTGGAGGTTGCAGTGAGCCAAGATCGATTGTGCCACTGCATTCCAGCCTGGGTGACAAGAGCAAAAGTCCATCTCAAAAAATTAAAAAAAAAAAAAAAAAAAGGAAAGAAAAAAAAGAAAATGACAAAATTAAAAAAAAATTATTAATCTGCCAAATAACTTTATGAGATAGAACTTATTACCTCCATTTTACAGTTGAGGAAATTAAGGGACAGTAAATTTCCTTTTTTTGAGATTATAAAGCTAATAAAATAGAATCTAGGAAGTCTGATTCCAGAACCAGTTCTGTTTTTTTTTCTTTTTTTTTTTTTTTTGAGATAGAGTTTTGCTCTTGTTGCCGAGGCTGCGGTGCAATGGCACGATCTCAACTCACTGCAACCTCCACCTCCCAGGTTCAAGCGATTCTCCTGCCTCAGCCTCACAAGTAGCTGGGATTACAGGCATGCACCACCACGCCTGGCTAATTTTGTATTTTTAGTAGAGATAGAGTTTCTCTACGTTGGTCAGGCTGGTCTCGAACTACTGACCTCAGGTGATCCGCTCGCTTTGGTCTCCCAAAGTGCTGGGATTACAGGCATGAACCACTGCGCCCGGCCCCCGTTCTCCTTACTGGGTATGTTAAAATTATTTCTTTCAAAGGAAAAGGCTGGTCAAAGTGCAACGGTCTTTACAACTAATTGATCACAACCAGTTACAGATTTTTTTGTTCCTTCTCCACTCCAACTGCTTCACTTGACTAGTGTAAGGAAAAAAAAAAAAAAAGAGGAAAGAAAGAAAATGCTAAACTATTTAATCTGGGCTAGTAAATGGCCAGAAAGAACTTTATAAAAATGAAATATACAAAATGACACTAGTATGTTTAACTAAAGGTATAGTTACGACACTTAAATTTGCACGTTATAAATAATATCAATATAAAAACTGATAGCGTGGGTCCATTTTTAATAAATATATAAATATTTTAAACTTTCTAGATCTAAAGCTTAAGGACTATGGAATGGATCTCATTGAAGTTTCAGGCAATGGATGTGGGGTAGAAGAAGAAAACTTCGAAGGCTTAAGTAAGTTAACTTTCTAATCCTATTATAAAATAATTGGGCCACATGTCTTAGAATTTTGAGTAACACTGTCTTGGGAAACACAAAAACAGTTTTTTAAAGCCAGTTACTAGATATCATGTATATTTGTTGTTATAGCACTTGAGATATCTTAGTCCTTACTTTACAGTCTCTTTCAGCTCTGAAACATCACACATCTAAGATTCAAGAGTTTGCCGACCTAACTCGGGTTGAAACTTTTGGCTTTCGGGGGAAAGCTCTGAGCTCACTTTGTGCACTGAGGTGATAAAATATTTTTATCCATTCACTTGACCCCTTAGAAAAACCTCTCTGAAAATTAATTGGAATCATTATTATTTACAATTTTCTATCTCAATATCTCAGCTTCTAGCTTCTGAATTCTGTTTTGTCTCACAGCCAATCTAAGTCCTAGTACTTCTGAAATGTGAGCAATAAATGAATGAAATGAAGCAAATAGTATTGTTTAAAAAATTGGTTACCCTTATTAAAACAGTAACTTCTCAATTTGAACATAACATATAGATAATAAATGATAGTTACCATTGGTTTTCATTATCAATTTTTAGGGAAACATTTCACCAAAGCACTATTTAATTATAGCACAGATACTAAATTTTTATAAATAATTACATGCACACACACATATATACATATATATACATATATATACATATATATACATATATGTATACATATATATACATATATGTATACATATATATACATATATACATATATACATATATATACATATATACATATATATATACACACACACATATATATATATATATATATATTTTTTTTTTTTTAGACAGAGTCGCACTCTGTCACCCAGGCTGGAGTGCAGTGGCACAGTCTCAGCTCACTGCAGTCTCTGCCTCCCAGGTTCAAGTGACTTTCGTGACTCAGCCTCCTGAAGAGCTGGGACTATAGCGTGCACCACCACTCCTGGCTAATTTTTGTATTTTTAGTAGAGATGGGGTTTTGCCATGTTGCCCAGGCTGGTCTGGAACTCCAGGCCTCAAGTGATCTGCCCTCCTTGGCCTCCCAAAGTGCTGGAATTACAGGCACGAGCCACCGCACCCTGCCCTACATATACATTTTAATTATAATATCTTTTGGATTCTTTAAAAAAATTTTTAAAAATTTTAAAAAATTCTTTAAAAAAATTCTTTTAAAAAATTTTGTTTGAAGAGTAATAACAAAACAAATCTCTATTTGAGAATCAATAAATCTTGAGATCATTTATGGTTTTGCAATTCAACCTGAAAAATGAAGTCAGAGCTTTTATCAAAACAAAGCATGTTTAGTGCTCTCTGTCTCACTGTCTTTTAGATGCCAGACCTTAGATTTTGTGATGACTCCTCAACCGTTTAGATCTCGGTTATCTCAGAGGGATCATCAGCTTTTTAAGAAAATTTTGAGAGAAAAGCAAGTGAAGAAAAGAGTAGTCAGTGCCCAACATCACGGATCTCTCACTGAACACACCATGCCTGGTATTCTCTCACAGTGATGTCACCATTTCTACCTGCCACGTATCGGCGAAGGTTGGGACTCGACTGGTGTTTGATCACGATGGGAAAATCATCCAGAAAACCCCCTACCCCCACCCCAGAGGGACCACAGTCAGCGTGAAGCAGTTATTTTCTACGCTACCTGTGCGCCATAAGGAATTTCAAAGGAATATTAAGAAGGTACAGTAAATTAATCCTGGTTTTCAAGAGTATTGGTTAATGCACACGAGCAAAAGATTTACTAAAGATGTTTATTCTTCAGTTGATTCTCTTCCCATAATTTATTGAGAAATGCTTTATTTGCATTTCTCATTAAAGACTTAACTTCAGGATGATTTACTTTTTTCTTTTTATCACATAATGTTTATTAGGACTGGGAAACATAGTGAGACTCTGTCTCTATGAAAAATTAAAAAAAAAATTGACTGGGCATGGTGGCATGCACCTGTAGTTCCAGCTACTTGGGAGGCTGAAGTGGGAGGATCACCTGAGCCCAGGAACTTGAGACTGCAGTGAGCTATGATTGCGTCACCACACTTCAGACTGTGAGACAGAGTAAGACCCTGTCTGGAAAAATATATATACATATATATACATTTTTTTTATTTTTTATTTTTATCTTTTTTTGAGATGGAGTCTCACTTTGGCGCCCTGGCTGCAGTGCAGTGGCGCGATCTCAGTTCACTGCAACCTCCACCTGCCAAGTTCAAGCGATTCTCCTGCTTCAGCCTTCTGAGTAGCTACCATTACAGGCGCGCGCCACCACGCCCGGCTAATTTTTGTATTTTCAGTGGAGACGGGGTTCCACCATGTTGTCCAGGCTGGCCAGGCTGGTCTCGAATTCCTGCCCTCAGGTGATCCGCCCACCTCGGCCTCTCAAAGTGCTGGGATTACAGGCGTGAGCCACCATGCCTGACCTTATGTACTTATATTTTTATGAGAATATTTCTCTTGGTTTTCTGATAAATGAGTTACTGGCACCCTTATGAATTTGAATGCAAATGAAACAGCTAAATGTTATATAATTGTCGTGTTTAAAAAGCAGATTATAAAACTGTCTGTATTATATGATTACAGTTTTATAAAAACAAAACAGGCCTAAATGTGTATAGTATAAAGACTGAAGAGTCAGCACTTCCATGTTCTCAGCGGTTATCCTTGGATGTGAGATCTCATGCACTTTTTGCTCTCTTCTTTGTGCCTTTCCATTTTGCATGCGTATTTCTTATAATCTAAAAAGTTACTTAAACATATGCAGCTAAAAACTTTTTTTACTTGTAAAGCGTTTGGTGCTAATTTTAACTTTTTTTTTTAGACGGAGTCTTCTCACTCTGTCGCCCAGGCTGGAGTGCAGTGGTGTGATCTTGGCTCACTGCAACCTCCGCCTCCTGGGTTCAAGTGATTCTCCTACCTCAGCCTCCCAAGTAGCTGGGATTATAGGTGTGTGTCACCACACCCAGCTAATTTTTGTATTTTTAGTAGAGATGGGGTTTCACCATGTTGGCCAGGCTGGTCTTGCACCCCTGACCTCAAGTGATCTGCCCACCTCAGCCTCCCAAAGTGCTGGGGTTACAGGCGTGAGCCACCACGCCTGGCTTTTTTTTTTAAAGCTTTTTTGTAAGTCAGCCAGCAAGAACACAGGAGGAAGTACTCAAATCTCCCTTACACAGCTGGGGGCTATGTCAGGTTTTATAAGCATAGGGTAATGAGGTGTGATTTGATTGGATCTTGCAATAAAGTAATGCTGGGAGGTGTGATCTGACTGGATCCTGCCATGGGGTGACACCAAAACTCAATCTGATTGGATCCTGGCTCCTGCCTGGGGGTGTCTGGTTCTTAAATCGGTCCGAGCTCTTCAGGCTGAGCTCTTAGGTTCCACTCCACGGTGGCACGCGTGGTTAACCTGGGCATGCACAGGGTACATGACCTTCAACCTGCAGGTCGATGGCAATTGGAAAACAACTGACAACTTCATTACATAAAAGTTGAACTGATTCGGGTGCGGTGACTCACGCCTGTAATCCCAGCACTTTGGGAGGCCAAGGCAGGTGGATCACCTGAGGTCGAGGAGTTCAAGACCAGCCTGGCCAAAATGGTGAAACCCCGTCTCTACTAAAAATATAAATATTAGCCAGGCGTGGTGGCGCACCCTTGTAATCCCAGCTACCCCAGAGGCTGAGGCAGCAGAATGCTTGAACCTAGGACGTGGAGGTTGCAGTGAGCTGAGATCGTGCCATTGCACTCCAGCCTGGGTGACAAGAGTGAAACTCCATCAAAAAAAAAAAAAGTTGAACTAGATTTGGTCTGATGCAGTTACAGATTTACAAACCGCGTCCCACCCTCCTGCCAACACCTTCCACTCCTCATTCTTGAGGGATTAGGGATGGAGGTCATGCTTCTGTATCGACTTCATGCTGACCAGGGGCACTTAGTCCCCTAAAGTGAGAGGAATGAAACTCTTGGGCTTCTGAGTTCAGATGAGTTCTGGGGTCACCCGGAGTAGCTTGAAAGGCTGGTATTGTTGTAATACAAGCTGAAGGTGGAAGTGTTGGATCCTGGAGGACAAACAGCTCACCATCCATTTAAATAAATAGGACCAAAAAGTAACGGAACAGTGGCCACGAGGGGCCCCAACAGAGGAAGAAACCAGGTGAGGTGTGGTATAGTGGACTCGACTGCCTTCTAAATCTCAGTGGTTGTCCGGGTGCGGTGGCTCACACCTGTAATTCCAGCAAAAGAAGAGCCGAGGCAGGGTGATCACGAGGTCAGGAGTTCAAGACCAGCCGGGCAAACATGGTGAAACCCCGTCTCTACTGAAAATACAAAAATTAGCCAGGTGTGGTGGCGTGTGCTGTAGTCCCAGCTACTAGGGAGGCTGAGGCAGGAGAATTGCTTGAACCTGGGAGGCGGAGGTTGCAGTGAGCCGAGATTGTGCCACTGCACTCCAGCCTAGGTAACAGAGCAGGACCCCATCTCAGTCAATCAATCAATCTCAGTGGTTGAACTACCCTTGATATGGTTCAGCTCTGTATCCCCAACCAAATCTCATGTCAAATTGCAATTCCCAGTGTTGAGGGAGGGACCTGGTGGGAGATGATTGGCTCATGGCGGCTGACGTCCCCCTTGCTGGTCTCGTGATAGTGAGTGAGCGCTCATGGGATCTGGTTGTTTAGAAGCATGCAGCACCTCCTGCTTCACTCTCTCTGTCTCTCCTGCTCCACCATGGCCAGAAACGTGCCTGCTTCCCCTTCGCCTTCTGCCGTGATTGTCAGCTTCTTGAGGGCTCCCCAGCCATGCTTCCTGTACAGCCTGCAAAACTGTGAGTCAATTAAACCTCTTTTCTTCATAAATTCCCCAGTTTCCAGTAGTTCTTTATAGCAGTGTGAAAACAGACTAATGGACCCTTCTGGTTGAAGGAATGTAGCCATTCTGCTTGTTTAAGTATTTCCTTTCTATTCATCTCTATTTCCCGGGAGGTGTTTATCCAAGTGCAATAGGAGATATTGGTGACTGCAGAGTCCCCTCAGTGTTCTGCTAGTAAATAGTTGAAGGTTGATCAGTGATCTCCAGCATTTTCAGTCTGGCATGGAAAAGCCCCCATGTAACTGGTAAAGGTATCAGTAAGCACCAGGAGGTATCTAAATCCACCAGGAGCCATAGGCATCATGTTGATGTCCATTTACCAGTCTTCCCTGGCAAGATTCTCTGAATTGTACTGCCTTGGCCAAAAGAGGTATGGGAGGGGCTGGGCACAGTGGCTCACGCCTGTAATCCCAGCATTTTGGGAGACCAATTCGGGTAGATCATTAGAGGTCAGGGGTTCAAGACCATCCTGGCCAACATGGTGACATTCCATCTCTACTAAAAATACAAAAAGTCAGCGGGGTTTGGTGTTGGGTGCCTGTAATCCCAGCTACTCGGGAGGCTGAGGCAGGATAATCACTTGAACCTGGGAGGAGGAGGTGGCAGTGAGCTGAGATCTCGCCATTGCACTCCAGCCTGGGCAACAAGAGCGAAACTTCATCTCAAAAAATAAAAAAAGAAGTCTGGGTGTGGTGGCTCGTGCCTGTAATCCCAGGACTTTGGGAGGCCAAGATGGGTGGATCACGAGGTCAGGAGTTCAAGACCAGCCTGGCCTAGATGGTGAAACCCTGTCTCGAGTAAAAATACAAATATTAGCTGGGCATGGTGGCACACACCTGTAATCTCAGCTACTCAGAAGTCTGAGACAGAAGAATTGCCAAAACCCGGGAGGGAGAGGTTGCAGTGAGCCGAGATCGCGCCACTGCACTCTAGCCTGGGCGACAGAGCAAGACTCCGTCTCGAAAGAAAGAAAGAGAAAGGAAATTCCCCAGGGAAGTACCTCGGCTTATTTCATGAAGAGGTACTGAAGGAAGCAGAGGCATGTGGAGGACTTCCCCACCTCGTGCAGCTATTTGGGCCGTGGCGTCTGAAATTTCTTATTTCAGAGTCACCCCTTTGATGACCTTGGCAGTGGACTGCAGTCATCTGTTTAGGCCTCTCCATGGCCCGTGTCAATGCCGATATTTCTGTCTGTTGCACATTTGATTTCCTTGTTGTTGGCATTTAGAAGGCCCCCTGTTTCCCAGATCACACCACGGGCATGGACCGCAGAGATTGCATCTTGTGAGTCTGTAGAAACAGTCAAGGCCTTGTCCTCTCTTAGGTCCAGAGCTCAGGTGAATACAGATTTTCCCAGCTGTCTGTGCTGAAGTCCCTGTGGGGAGGCTCCTGGCTGGTTTCCTGTAGGTAGACAGCTACACGTCCTGCCCTTCATTGGCTTCTTTTCATGAAGCTCCTGCCATCTACAAAACATGTCTCCCTTCTTGAATCACATCTCTGTTATTGAAACTCTAGAAGTCGACCGGGCATGGTGGCTATGCCTATAATCCCAGCATTTTGGGATGCCAAAGCGGGTGGATCACCTGAGGTCAGGAGTTCAAGACCAGCCTGGCCAACATGGCGAAATCCCGTCTCTAATACAAATACAAAAATTAGCCAAGCATGGTGGCCACTGTACTCCAGCCTGGGCGACAGAGCAAGACTCCGTCTCAAAAAAAAAAAAAAAAAAAAAAAAAAAGAGAAAGAAAGTATCATGCTTTTCTGCATTCTGTGAATTGTTTTAGTGAGTTATCGAACTTCAGGGCATGGTGGGAACCTCCAAATTTGCAGCCAGTTGGTGAGAAGTACATGTGGTCTGAGGACACCCAAGCCTGCAGGTGTGTCTAAAGCGAGGGCAGCCTAGTGGGGGCTGGTGGCCTTAACCTGTGGCATTTGAGGTAACATCAGGGAGTTGACATCAGAATTGCATCACATAGGCTGGGCGCAGTGGCTCACGCCTGTAATCCTAGCACTTTGGGAGGCCAAGGCGGAGAGATCACGAGGTCAGGAGATCGAGACCATCCTGGCTAACACAGTGAAACCCCGTCTCTACTAAAAATACAAAAAATTAGCCAGGCATGGTGGCGGGCGCCTGTAGTCCCAGCTACTCGGGAGGCTGAGGCAGGAGAATGGCGTGAACCCAGGAGGCGGAGCTTGCATTGAGCCAAGATCACGCCACCGCACTCCAGCCTGGGTGACAGAGCGAGACTCCATCCCCCCCCCAAAAAAAAAAAAGACAAAAAACAGAATTGTGTCACACAGGCCAGATGCAGTGGCTCATGCTTATAATCCCAGCAATTTGAAAGGCAAGGTAAGAGGATCGCTTGAGCTTGAGCTTGAGCCTGAGGCCGCAGTGAGCTATGACCACACCACTGCACCCCAGTCTGGGTGACAGCGCAAGACCCCAATTCCAAAAAGAAAAAAGAAAAATCACAAAGAATTTCATGGCAGAGTGCCTGTCTTTCACAGCTTTAACTGCTGCAGGAACTTTCTTTTTTTTTTTTTTTTTTTTTTTGAGAGGGCGTGAGGAGACACAATCTCTGCTAGTGATTCTCCTGCCTCAGCCTCCCAAATAGCTGGGATTATAGGCATGCACCACCACGTCTGCCTAATTTTTGTATTTTTAGTAGAGACAGGGTTTCACCATGTTGGCCAGGCTGGTCTCAAACTCCTGCTGGGATCATGGGCGTGAGCCACCACGCCCGGCCACCTTTAGAGTTTTCTTACCACCTGGTTTTCCTCTCTCAATATCTTTCTCTCATTTCCTGCCTTAAAACTCTAGCTTGGCATCTGGGCGCAGTAGCTCATGCCTGTTAATCCCAGCACTTTGGGAGGCCGAGGTGGGTGGATCACTTGAAGTCAGGAGTTCGAGACCAGCCTGGCCAACATGGTGAAACCTTGTCTCTACTATTTTTACAAAAGTTGGTCGGACGTACAGACGGGTGCCTGTAGTCCCAGCTGCTTGGGAGACTGAGGCAGGAGAATTTGTTTGAACCCAGAGGTGAAAGTTGCAGGGAGCCGAGGTTGTGCCACTGCACTCCAGCCTGGGAGACAGAGCAAGACTGTCTCCAAAACAAACAAACAAAAAAACCCTGTAGCTTGAGCCTTCTCTTCTATTGTTTTTCTTTAAAAAATAAAAATTAAAAATAGATGTAGATGCTATGTTGCTGAGGCCGGCCTC
Source organism: Homo sapiens (assembly GCF_000001405.40). Taxonomy (NCBI): domain Eukaryota; kingdom Metazoa; phylum Chordata; class Mammalia; order Primates; family Hominidae; genus Homo; species Homo sapiens. The sequence continues at coordinate 77,050,182 of NC_000007.14, forward strand.
AAACTCCTGGCCTCAGGTGATCCTCCTGCCAAGACCTCCAAAACTGCAGGGATTGTAGGTGTGAGCACTGCACCCAGCCGTATGTTTTTTTTCTACATAAAAAACAGCACAGGATTATCTTCCAGAGCTAATAAATATGTTCAAATAACCACAACCCCATTAAGGAAAAATATCACTGGGCAGCAAATAATCAATCCAGACCAATATGATCACAGTTGCTGTGAAGGTGAGAAAAGTTCATTTTTATTATGTTTCCACAAGAGACGCACTCTATTGTTCTCTTGAAAACACACAGCTCATGTCCTCCTTTAGAACACACATCCTCTTTAAAGTAACATACAAAGATGCCAAAACAAGGTAAAAAATTACATCTGAATTCTCACATTTCAAACATATATGAAATATCAAATAAAAATTTATTTTTACAAGAATTTAGGGGAACTACTACATAGCTATAAATGTAATATATATGTTAACTAAGTATCACAGATAAAAACCATGCTCCCTTCAGCAGCACGTGTAATAATAGATACAAAGATTGAAAGGTAAAAGATTTAGGATGAAAAGAATCCTCTCTTAAAAAGGAAAACAAAATTATATGTATGTGTATATAATAGTTATAACACCCATCACACAGCTTTATAGAAACAGCATCTATTCAAAAATACCAGTATTTCCAAAATATTTAAAATAATATTTAAAGTAATAATAATATTTAAATAAATAAATATATTTAATAAATATTTCAATAAATAAAATAATACTTAAATAATTCTATACCCATGTTTTTCAAAATAAACCAATAAATTAGATAGTATGTATTAGACGTGTTAGTATATATATCTGAGACATGTTAAAAATCACAACTGAATTCTCACAATTCAGTCACAAACCTAAACAGCAAATAAAAATTTCTATCACCAGAATTATGTTTTTTTCTGGTGGGGAACTACCAATAGCTATAAATAGAAGAGATTTTTATGGAAGTATCATAGATAAAAAGAGTGCTCGCTTCAGGAGCACATATAATAATACAGAAACAAATTTAAAGATAATAAAATATTTAGGATAAAAAGAATTGTCTCTTAAAAATGAAAAGAAAATTATCTTTATGTATATATAACAACTATAACTCTCATCAAAAAACTACAGGAACAGCATGTTTTCAAAAGTACAACAATTTCCAAACTATTTGAAATAAATCTATGAATAATTCAATGGCCAACATTTCCAAACAAACCAATAAAATGCAGAGTGTGCATGAAGCTATCTGTTACAATCTGTGGCACTGATATTTCACAAAAGAATTCTGTGCCAATCTGAGCCCCTGCATTGTGCCTTCAAATGCTCCTGGACTGTGGCAACCAAGTCTGTAAGAAACAGGACCTCCAGGTTCCGGCCCAGGGAGGTTGGAATTCAGCAATATAGAAAGGGTGGTGGTGCCGCAGGAAAGGGTGGAACTGGAAACACTCCTGTTTTCTTACTTTTCTCCAAGGACTCCTAGAAGGACCCCACCCCCCTCCCCCCACCCCTGCTCCCAGGAGGACAACGTGATCACTGTATTCAGCTCCATCAAGAATGGTCCAGGTTCTTCTAGATGATCTGCACAAATGGTTCCTCTCCTCTTTCCTGTTGTCTGCCATTAGCATTGGAATAAAGTTCCTGCTGAAAATCCACATCTCCCCTGGGTCCGGTGTTCTGGAAGTGAGAGAGACAATGTCACACTTGAAGGAGGCAGCTCTCTAGACAGGAAGGTTATTCACGTCCCATGTCAAGTCTAGAGTTCAGAGCAATTGAGAAATGCAATTTTATCTGCTGCCTTTCATTCTATACCCTGCTTCTGAACCATCGTGTTCAACTGTGAAACTCACACTTTGGTGACCACAACTCCAAAACTCACTTAATACACCCAAGGTCAGCCCCAGTGATCTGCTTCATAGCAAGGACTTTGGGTGGGTCTGCCCAGGGAGTAGGGCACCCTCAGAGAATGTGGCTTTGGACTTCATCATAGCTGGGGCCTTTTGTGTCACTTAAGATCTAAACTTGTAACCATGCTAGATGTGTTTCTAATGTGACAACATCACGAACCACGAGTCCAGAAGCCTAATCCTTAATCCTACCTCCTCATGATGAAGTCTCATGCTCTGTGCTCACCGTGGTTAGCTGCACAAGATGTAAACCAAAGCTTCACTGAACCCTCGACCCAAATCGGTAACTCAAGTGCGTCAATCATAATGAACCTCCCCAAACTCAGTATTTATGATTATTTTTGAGGCAGGGTCTCACTCTGTCGCCCAGACTGGAGTGCAGTGGCAGGATCAGGGCTCCGTGCAGCCCTGACCTTCCAGGCTCCAGCGATCCTCCCGCCTCAGCCTCCTGAGTAGTTGGGAGTAGAGATGCGTCCCACATCGCCTGGCTAATTTTTGTATTTTTGTGGAGAGGGGATCTCGCCACGTTGCCCAGGCTTGAAGCCGGATCAAGCAATTGGGTTCCTCGGATTTCCAAAATAGACCCCAATATTCTGCCTTTACCCCGGAGGATGCAGATGTACCTTCTCTCAGGCCGATGACCTCAGGCCTCCACGGTCCCTGGAGCTCTAGGAAAGGCGAGCGCGATCTCGCGCCCACACCCAGTGCTCTGGGTCATAAGCCTGGATCTGGAAAAACAAACGCCCTTTGAGAAGACGGGGACTCGCCAGGATACCCCTCTCTCCCCTCATCCAGCCTCCAGCCCACCCGATTCCTCCCCACCTCCTCCACCTCCCCAGGCCCCACTCACCTCCTCCAACTCCTCCCGGGAAACCCAAGCCCTGCCGCTCATGGAACAGAAGAACTGGAACCGAAGTTTCTGGAACAGGGCTATCTGAGAGCGGTTCTTCCTGGCCCTCGGGTTCAAGCAACGGCATAACTGGAACCGACGGTTACGGACCAAGGGTATGCGAGAGCGGGTCTTCCCATACAGGAAGTAGAAGATGTTTTGTTTGGGGTCCTCGTCGTCCTCCTCCATGTCATTGGCCAGGTAGCTGAGGACAGAAATCAGGTTGGTGCTCAGGGGCACCACCAGGAGAGGCCTCCGGCTGAGGTCAGCTTCCCAGAGAGGAAGGTAAGGGACTGTCCCTAGCTCAGGACTGGCACCCACCCTGCAGAGAGCCACGCCTTCCTCAGGAGGGCTCTGCTGGACAGAGACCTGATCAAGGGCGTCTCCCACTCCTTCAGGATGGAGACAAAAGCCCAACTGGTGGCCGAGAGTGGTGGCTTATGCCTGGAATCCCAGCACACTGGGAGGCCAAAGCAGGAGGATCACTTGAGGCCAGGAGTTTGAGACGGGCCTGGGCAACATAGCAAGACCCTCGTCTCTATTAAAAATATAAGAAATATGCCAGACGCGGTGGCTCATGCCTGTAATCCCAGCACTTTAGAATGCTGAAGCAGGTGGATCGCTTGAGACCAGGAGTTGGAGACCAGCCTGGTCAACACGGAGAAACCCCATCTCTACTAAAAATACAAAAATCAGCCTGGTGCGGTGGCACACCCGTTAGGCCTAGCTACTCAGGAGGCTGAAGCATAAGAATTGTGTGAACCCAGGAGGCGGAGGTTGCAGTGAGTCGAGATTGGGCCACTCCATTCCAGCCTGAGAGGCAGAGCAAGACTCTATCTCAATAATCAAACAAACAAACAAACTGTCCAGGTGTGGTGGCACAGCCCTGTAGTCGGAGCTAATAAAGAAGCTGAGGTGGGAGGATCGCTTGAGCCCAGGATATGGAGGCTGCAGTGAGCTATGATCTCACCACTGCACTCCAGCTTGGGGGACAGGGCAAGTCTGTCTCAAAAAAATAAAAGAAATTGAATACATTGATATTTTGCCAGGACCCTGCCTTCTACAGGCATCTAGTCTAATGGGACTGGCAGTAACCAAGGCAGATGAGCTAATCCCAGTGTCCAGGATGTAACTAGAGAGCTACGGGCATGCAGAAGTTGGAAGATGAGGGAAGGCATCACAGAGGCTGTGGGGTGAACTGACTTCAAGGAATGGGTCCTTCCCTTCAGAGCCACATGTGTGCGGGACACCCAGACAGAAAACACAAACACAAAGTCGAGTGGAGGGCATTTGGAAGAAGCAGTGAAGCCGAGCCAGGAAATACCAAGATGGCGAGCCAGTGTGCTTGTAGAGATTGTAGAATTGACACTGTGGACCCTGGCCTCGATAGAGAAAGGCATCAGCTAAGGAAGTTGTTCAGGTGGGCAGTGAGGTTGTCGTGCTTTGGAAAGATGTTCAGGCTGCACTAGGAAGCCCCCTGGCTTGGGGAGAGACTCCAGGAGACCCCAGCAGGGAGCATTTGACAGTGGATTCGAGTGATGCGAGGGGGACCTGAACTGTGGCCTCTGTCATGGGAACCCAGAGGAGGTCGATGGCGTTTGTGGTTGATGTGGGAAGGAGAGAGAGAGAGAAGAACCAGAAACGTCTGCTTGCTGGAGGAAGCGGCATGTCCGCTCCTCCACTCCTTTTCTTTTCCCCTTAGGAGCGGTTTATGGTTCCTTTTGTTTTATTCTTTTATTTGTACACTGGCATTGGAGTTTGTTTTTTTGGCTTTTTTTTTTTTTTTTGAGAAAAAGTCTCACTCTGTCACCCAGGCTGGAGTGCAGTGGCTCGACCTTAACTTACTGCAACCTCCACCTCCTGGGTTCAAAGGGTTCTCTTGCCTCAGCCTCCCAAGTAGCTGGGATTACAGATGCACACCACCACGCCCAGCTAATTTTTCTATTTTTAGTAGAGACGGGGTTTGGCCATGTTGGCCAGGCTGGTCTCGAACTGCTGACCTCAGGTGATCTGCCTGCCTCGGCCTCCCAAAGTGCTGGGATTACAGGCGTATGCCACTGTGCCCAGCCTGAGTTTCTGTTTAGAAACAACAGTCTATGATAGTATAATCCTCTCTTTTTTGTACACAGAGTAAAGAGGACAAATAGGTGAAAGAATAAATGAAAGGCTGGAATCCCACTTCCCCCGCTGTCCCAGGGCATTGGATATTGACGGATAGGAGGAAGCAAACCACTCACAGAGCCAGGAAGAAATGAATGCGTTGGTATTGCCAGGAGGGGAGGCCGGCCCGGCTGAAATACGCTATGACCATAGCCAGGAGATACTGATGGAGAGAAAGGAACACAGAGAGGGAGAGGTCACATCTTGGAAGAGGAAGATTGTGGAGAGGGGGAATGAGGGTCTGGGGAGGGGCTGCCCATCAGAGAAGGGACCTCAGTGTTGGGGTGACTGTACTCATTTGGAAATTGCGGGATGGAGGGGTATTCGAAGGTCGGATGCAAATCTGAGAAGCCAGAGGAAGGGTTTTGGGTGATGCTCCCAGGATGGTGGGCTCCGATGGGATCTTTGGAGGGGGTGTGTCTAGGTCGGCTGGTGTCAGGAGGGTCTTTTGTGTGCCAGGCAGAGAACTGTCCCAAGGAGCTGAGAGTAGAGGGGCCAGGAGCTTCAGGGCTGCAGCCAGACTGTGGCCCAGGGCTCAGATCCCAAAGGACCCATAGGAGAGGCAGGGGCCACTCATTCACTCTGCAAGAGACCAGCAGAATCCTGAGGGAGATGCTGACAAATCATAAAAAGACCAAGAATAGCCGGGAGTGGTGGCTCAAGCCTGTGATCCCAGTACTTTTTGAGAGGTGGAGACAGGAGGATCATGTGAGCCCAACAGTTCAAGAACAACCTGGGCAACATAGTGAGACCCTGTTTCTACAAACATTTCAAAAATTAGTTGAGCATGGTGGCATGTGCCTAGTCCCAGCTCCTCAGGAGGCTGAGGAAAGAAGATTGCTTGAGCCCAGGAATTAGAGGCTGCAATGAGCTATGATCATGCCACTGCACTCCATCCTGGGGAGCAGAGCTAGACTCTGTCTCACAAAAAAAAAATGTGTGGGTGCCAAGACTCAAGACCGTGGGAGCTGGTCGGGCACAGTGGCTGACGTCTATAATCTCAGCACTTTGGGAGGCCAAGGCGGGTGGATCGCCTGAGGTCAGGTGTTCAGGACCAACCTGGCCAACATGGCAAAACCCCGTTTCTACTAAAAACACAAAAATTAGCCAGGCGTGGTGGTTCATGTCTGTAATCCCAGCTGCTTGGAGGCTGAGGCAGGAGAATCGCTTGAACCCGGGAGGCATCGGCTGCAGTGAGTCAAGATCGAGACACTGCCCTCCAGCCTGGGCAACAGAGCAAGACTCTGTCTCACAAAAAAAAAAAAAAAAAAAAAAAAGACTGTAGGAGCATCTGGTGGGAGGTGGTGGAGGGAGAACTGTGGGTTTGGAAGCTGCGCCCTCCCCCCAGCCATGCGTTGGAACAGGAACAGTTACATGGAGAACAACCTTACCTTGTCCGACACCCTCAGATCTTTGTCCCAGGCCAGGAATCTTTTAATGACAGGATCCTCTGTGATTAGAGAGCAGATGTCAGTGTGAGAAGCAGGACAGGGTTTCCGTGGGAGCAGCAGGGCAGCGAGGAGAAGTGTGCCTCCCGGGGGGAAGTCTCAGGATTGTGGCTGCGGGTGAGGTGGATGGGAGAGGGGAGAATGACTTTCACTGGGCAAGGGAGAGAGGCTCCTGCTCTGAGACTCCCCTGAGAAGAGGCCGAAGGAGGCCCTGGGTGTGAGAATCTACAGGATGTAGAGCTGGGAATCAGCCAGGACCCCCTCCAGCAGACACGGAGGGACCACTGCAGAGTCATAAAGGAATTCCCATCATTTCCTCATGAGACAGTCACATCAGGGTGTGACCATGGCCTTGGGATCCCCCACTATGGATGGAGACACTTAGGTTTAGAAAAGTCAGTAAGAGACTTTAAGTTTCAGAGGGCACAGCTGAAACCACTTTCTTTGTTTATTGATTTTGTTTTTCTTGATTTTTATTTTTATTTATTTATTAATTTATTTTGAGACAGAGTCTTGCTCTGTGGGCCAGGCTGGAATGCAGTGGCCTGATCTTGGCTCGCTGCAACCTCTGCCTCCTGGGTTTAAGCGATTCTCCTGTCTCAGCCTCCCGAGTAGCTGGGATTACATGCATGAGCTACTGTGCCCAGCCTTGGTTTTTCTTTTGAGACAGGGTTTTGCTCTGTCACCCAGGCTGGAGTGCAGTGGTGTAGTCATAGCTCACTGCAGCCTCAAAGTCCTGAGTTCAAGCAATCCTCTTGCCTCAGCCTCCCAACGTGCTGGGATCTCAGGCGGGAGCCACTGCATCTGGCCCAAAACCAAGCTTTCTTATCCCAAGCGCTGACCTTTATCAAGTTGACCTAATCCTTTATCATCTCCTAAGTGTCCCTCATGAGTGATCACTTCACATTCCTCCCACATGGAGAGCTCACCCACTGGGGCATATTTTTCCCATTGGAAAAGTGTGGTTATTGGAAGTTTCCTGTTTTTGGAAAGAACAGGATTGGAGGTGCTCTCTGGGGTGTCCTCCTACCAAGCAGCCTGTTGAAGGCCTCGTGGTGCTCAGGGAGCACGAGCGACACTCGCCGTCGCTTCAGCTTCATCTTGAGGCCACACAGCATCTCCGCCACCCAGATCTCCTCAGGCTCAGGGGCGAGCACCTTCCGTGGCTCCTCCTCCAACGACTCCTCAGATTCGTCCCACCACTCCCTCTTCCTTTTCCAGCAAAAGGACCTATGCGGGGGGCTGGGATCTACCCCAGGGGCTGAGTAAAGAAACCAGGCCACGGTGTAATGCTTCTGCAGTTGATCACACTAGAGCCCGACCCAAAACCCCAAACCACTCTCCATCCTCCTCAGCCTCGCAGACTGCTGGCTTCTCCAAGCCATCTTTCCTTCTGTCTGTCTCCTCTGCTGAGCTCCATGTGCCGCTCCTTCTCCTCCCCATTCTCCCGTTTCTCTGTCCTCAGAACACTTCCTCATATCCTTCCCTGGTCCCTGGCTCTCTGAGTCTCTTTTTTTTTTTTTTTTTTTTTGTTGTTGTTGTTGAGAAACAGTCTTGCTTTGTGGCCTAGGCTGGAGTGTAGTGGTGCGATCTTGGCTCACTGGAACCTCCGCCTCCTGGGTTCCAGTGATTCTCCTGCCTAAGCCTCCCAAGTAGCTGGGATTACAGGTGCCCACCAGAACACCCAGCTCATTTTTGTGCTTCTAGAAGAGACAGGGTTTCACCATGTTGGCCAGGCTGGTCTCCAACTCCTGGCCTCAAGTGATCTGCCTGCCTGGCCTCCCAAAGTGCTGGGATTACAGGTGTGAGCCACTGCACCCTGCCTCAGTACCTCCATTCTTCCCACACACCCTCCTCACGTGCTCCTTCCTGACTTCTGGGCCCTTCCTTCCTTCTTTTTTTTTTTTTTTTTTTTTTTGAGACAGCGTCTCACTCTCTCACCCAGAATGGAATGCAGTGGCGCTATCTTGGCTCAAAGCAACCTCTTCCACCTGGGTTCAAGCGATTATCCTGTCTCAGCCTCCCGAGTAGCTGGGATAACAGGCATGCCTGGCTAATTTTTGTATTGTTAGTATAAATGAGGTTTCGCTATATTGGTCTGGTTGGTCTCGAACAACTGACCTCAAGTGATCCACCCATCTCAGCCTCCCAAAGTAATGGGATTACAGGCATGAGCTACCACACCCGGCCTTCGTTTTTCTTTTGACACAGGGTTTTGCTCTGTCACCCAGGCTGGAGTGCAGTGGTGCAGTCATAGCTCACTGCAGCCTCAAAGTCCTGAGTTCAAGCAATCCTCTTGCCTCAGCCTCCCAGCGTGCTAGGATCTCAGGCGTGAGCCACTGCACCTAGCCCGAAACCAAGCTTTCTCATCCCAAGCGCCAACCTTTATCAAGTCTAGCCTAGTCCTCTATCATCTCCTAAGTGTCCCTCATGAGTGATCACTTCTGAGTCCTCCTGCGTGGAGAGCTCACCCACTGGGGGCGTATCTTTCCCATTGTAAAAGTGTGGTTATTGGAAGTTTCCTCTTTTTAGAAAGAACAGGATTGGAGGTGCTCTCTGGGGTGTCCTCCTACCAAGCTGACTGTTGAAGTCCTTGTGGTGCTCAGGGAGGATGGGTGACACTCGCTGTTGCTTCAGCTTCATCTTGAGCCCACACAGCATCTCCACTACCCAGGTCTCCTCAGGCTCAGGGGCGAGCTCCTTCTCCGGCTCCTCCTCAGATTCATCTGACCACTCCTTCTTCCTTTTCCAGCCAAGGGACCTACATGGGGGGCTGGGATCTACCCCAGGGGCTGAGTAAAGAAACCAGGCCACTGTGTAATGCTTCTGCATCTGATCACCTTAGACCCCGACCCAAAACCCCAAACCACTCTCCATCCTCCCCAGACTCGCAGACTGCTGGCTTCTCTAAGCCATCTTTCTGATTTTCTCCTCTGCTCAACCCCATGTGCCGCTCCTTCCCCTCCCCATTCTTCTCTCTCTCTGTCCTCCGAACACTGCTTCATGTCCTTCCCTGGTCTCTGGCTCTCTGAGTCCCTCCTTTTTTGTTTTGTTTTGTTTTGACACAGAATCTTGGTTTGTCACCCAGGCTGGAGTGTAGTGGTGCAATCTCAGCTCACTGCCACATCCATCTCCTGGATTCCATTTATTCTTCTGCCTCAGCCTCTCAGGTAGCTGGGATTACAGGTGCCTGCCATAATGCCCAGCTCAATTTTGTACTTTTAGTAGAGACAGGGTTTCACCATGTTGGCCAGGCTGGTCTCAAACTCCTGGCCTCAAGTGATCTGCCTGTCTTGGCCTCCCAAAGTTCTGGGATTACAGGTGTGAGCCACTGCACCCAGCCTGAATTTCTCCATTCTTCCCACACACCCTCCTCAGGTTCTCCTTCCTGACCGCTGACCCTTCTTTTCTTTTTTCTTTTCTTTTTTTTTTTTTTTGGAGTGCAGTAGCGTGATCTCAGCTCACTGCAACCTCTTCCTCCCAGTCTCAAGTGATTCTCCTGTCTCAGCCTCCTGAGTAGCTGGGATTACAGGTGTGCACCACTACCACTTGACTACTTTTTATACTTTTAGTAGAGATGGGGTTTCACCATATTGGCCAGGCTGGCCTTGAACTCCTGACCTCAGGTGATTCGCCCGCCTCGGCCTCCCAAAGTGCTGGGGTTACAGGCGTGAGCCACCGCACCCGGCCCCCTTCCTTCGTCTTAGTCAACCCTATCCCACCTCTTCTTCCACCAGTCCCCTCACCTGATGGTCCCAACACTTCATCATCCACCACCTCCTGGAGGGGGTACCCCGAGGTGCTCCGCTGGAGACTCTGCTCATTCTGGGGGTGCGGTTGACGGCTGGTCGTGATCTTTCCCGTAATCTGTCCCCTCTTACGGAACCTAGTCTTCGTTCTGTCCATGGCCTTCTTCTGGACACTGCTAGGATCCAGAAGAGTATGTTATCAATTCTCAAGCCTAGGAGAAGTCAGGAGTGGAGAACAGCTCTGAGAAGATACTGTTGTCCAACTGATCTCCAGGCACCACGGAGTCCGGTCCCTCCAATCAGGAAGGTCGGAATCTCTGATGTCATCGTTCATGCCAACCTGGCAACCAGTTTGAAAAAAAACACATGTAACTGCCAGGCTGATCTCTTGTCCTGGAGATCCTGGGTGAATGGTATCTCCTGCCACTGTCCCAACCTCAGACCATTGTCCAAAAGCATCTTCAGGGACTCCACATCCCTGTGTTCCCTGTCCCAGCAGAGGCTGTGTCCTCTCCACTCAAAGCCTGAAGCATGTTGGGGTCTCTTCATCTCTGTACATGCCCATTTCAGAGTCCAGTCTGGTGGGAGAGGGAACAGAGTGGGAAAGAAAACTAGGGTAAGCAGAAATGATGAAACCTTATAAGAGTGAGATTATCATGTACAAGAGTGAGATTATCACGTACAAGAGTGAGATTATCACGTACAAGAGTGAGATTATCATGTACAAGAGATCCCAGGAATACTGACTTGATGAAAAAGTCACATCAGAGCACTCAGTTTGGCAGAGCTTTTCTGCCGAATGTTTACTCACATTCACTGTCCGAGATTCTATACTGGGGGTACACACGTCCTCTGCCCTAAGGCAATTTTGAGTCCAAGAGACATTTTGAGGCCTAAAGATCATAGGAAACTGCCCCTGAGCTCACACATATTTCCAATGGTGTCCCCAATTTCAGGGAATCCATGGATTACCTAAGCCAGCCCCTCCAGTTTGGCTAAGAAACTCTAGTCTATATATCAAGTTTTGTATCATATGTATTGCTCTGAACTCAGAAATTTCCCTTCCATTTATGGATTCTATGAATAAAATATCACATGTACAAAAAGACTAAGTCGAAAAATTTCAGCTGTGCACAGTGGCTCCTGCTTGTAATCCCAGCACTTTGGGTGGCCAAGGGAGGAAGATTGCCTGAGGCCAGCAGTTCAAGACCAGTATAGGCAACATAGCAAGAGCCCATCTCTAAAAAAACCAAACCAAACCAAATTAGCCAGGTGTGGTGGCTGGCACCTGTGTTCCAACTACTTGGGAGACTCATGTGACAGGAAGATCACTTGAGCCCAGGAGTTAGAAGCTGCAGTGAGCCATGATCTTGCCACTGCACTCCAGTCTGGGCAACACAGCAAGATATTGTGTCAAAAAATTTTTTTTTGATAAAAAATAAAAGAGTTACATGACATTCAGAGACCATCCAAAAAACCTGTGGGTTCCCGGCTGGGCTCAGTGGCTCATGCCTGTAATCCCAGCACTTTGGGAGGCCACAGTGGGTGGATCACTTGAGGTCAGGAGTTTGAGACCAGCCTGGACAACATGGTGAAACCCCATCTCTACTAAAAATACAAAAAATTAGCCAGGCATGGTGGTGGATGCCTGTAATCGCAGCTACTCAGGAGAGGGCGCTGGAGAATCACTTGAACTCATGGTGCGCAGGTTGCAGGGAGCCAAGATCGCACCATTGTGCTCCAGCCTGGGCAACAAGAGCAAAACTCCATCTCAAAAAAAATAACCTGCGAGTGAGTTCCCACACGTTTTCCTAATGGGCTGCTGCTTTCCTAGGAGTCTCTCGCTCATAGAAAAGGCACACACTGAAAGAGGAAGCAGATCCCATTGCTGTGGAAGTCCCATTGTTAGGAAGCTCTGCTTTTCTGGAGTTCAAATTCGCATTCATGACGCTTTAAACCGTCAGAGCTGGGTGGGTCCTCCTACAACAAAATCGTTTGCTCTCTCTCTCCTAGTTAACAGGCTTTCAAATATTAGAAGATCAATGTTCTGACCCCATTAAAATTTCTCTTTTGTGGAATGAAAAGCTCTGATTTAACCCATCTTCAAGCCTGGTTTGATGGAGGAATAGGGGCTGGTCACCTGCATTTCCCCTCCCTGCACAAAGTCCTGGGCCCAGATCTGGGGTCTGTCTCTGCTGAGGGTGGGGTGAACCAGGAAGCACCTCCCTCTACATCTCCTTGATGAATGGGTATAATGGTTGCCATGGAACTGGGGCTTGTTTGGTGACCTGGGGCTGGGTGGGCCTCTGAGAGCCTTTATAGCTGATTGCCTTTTGGGAGAGGGCAGGTGGGAGCCCCACCCTGTCTCATGAGTCACCCCAAAGGTGCATGGGCAGGCAGGTGCTGGGGAATCGGCTACTCCCCAGAGCTTGGCGTGGCCATCCCTCTGGCCCCTCTGGGAGTCTGGAGCCCATTCCCTCACACTGGTACTCACTGCAGCTGGGGACATCTGCACTAGGAAGACAGGACACGGCATGGAAGCTGGCCTCTGCCCAGAAGCCATGACATTCTGGTCACCAGCCTGATGTTATAAAACGAGTGTCATGGCCGGGCATGGTGGCTCACACCTGTAATCCCAGCACTTTAGGAGGCCAAGGCGGGTGGATCATGAGGTCTGGAGTTCGAGACCAGCCGGGCCAACATAGTGAAATCCCGTCTCTACTAAAAATAAGAACATTAGCCAGGTGTGGTGGCACATACCTGTAGTCCCAGCTCCTCTGGAGGCTGAGGCAGGAGAATCACTTAAACCCAGGAGGCAGAGATTGCAGTGAGCCGAGACGACGGCATTGGACTCCAGGCTGGGCAACAGAGCATGACTCCGTCTCAAAAACAAACAAACAAAAAAAACGAGTGTCACCTGGGGCTACTTGGCCAGACACAGAGAGCAAGGAGACATCCCTATTATCTGTCAAAAATAATTGTTGGGGCTGAGCACAGTGGCTCATGCCTGTAATCTCAGCACTTTGGGAGGTCGGGGCAGGAGGACTTGAGGCCTAGAGTTTGAGATCAGCCTGGGCAACATAGCGAGCACCCCATCTCCAGAAAAAATTTAAAAATTGGCTGGGCGCAGTGGCTCATGCCTGTGATCCCAGCACTTTGGGAGGCCGAGGGGGATGGATCATTTGAGGTCAGGAGTTTGAGACCAGCCTGGCCAACATGGTGAAACCCCGTCTCTACTAAAAATACAAAAATTAGCTGGGCATGGTGGTGGGCACCTGTAATCCTAGCTACGTGGGAGGCTGAGGCAGGAGAATCGCTTGAACCCAGGAGGCGGAGGTTGTAGTGAGCTAGGATCATGCCATTGCACTCCAGCCTGGACAGCAAACCTAGACTCCATCTCAAAAAAAAAAAAGAAAAAGTAAAAAATTTAAAAATTAGATGGGCATGGTGACATGTGCCTGTAATCCCAGGTACTAAGGAAGCTGAGGTAGGAGGATGACTTGAGCCTGGGAGTTCGAGGCTGCAGTGAGCTCTGATCGCACCACTGCACTCCAGCCTGAGTGACACAGCAAGACCCTGCTTCAAAAAAAAAAAAAAAAAAAATTACTGGACACAATTATTGTGCCAGACCCCTAGGTTAACAGTGAGGATTCAGTGGGAGAACTAAACAGATAAACAGATCCAGTCCCCGCCCTCAGAGAGTTACAGTTTAATGGGAAAAAGAGACATTCACCAAAGAAGGACACAGCCCACTAGTGAGTTACACTCGAGAGGGATCATTTACAGAACAAAGCAGACTATAAAAATACAGCGATTGGCTGGGCGCAGTGGCTCACGCCTGTAATCCCAGCACTTTGGGAGGCAGAGGCGGGCGGATGACTTGAGGTCAGGAGTTCTCAACCAGCCTGGCCAAAATGGTGAAACCCCATCTCTACTAAAAACACAAAAATTAGCCAGGCGTGGTGGTGGGCACCTGTAATCCTAGCTAGTTGGGAGGCTGAGGCAGGAGAATGAATCGCTTGAACCCAGGAGGTGGAGGTTGCAGTGAGCTGAGACCGCACCATTGCACTCTAGCCTGGGCAACAAGAGCAAAACTCCGTCTCAAAATACATACATACATACATGCATACATACATACAGGGATTAAAATAGTCTAGTACTGACACCTGAACAGACAGATTGATCCAAGAAATGAAACAGAAATTCCAGAAGTTGACCTGAATACACACATACACACACACACACACACACACACACACACACAGGAAGGCGTGAAAGACTCCATGACCCTCAAGGTATAAGATGCATTTTTTTTTTTTTTTTGAGACAGGGTCTCACTCTGTCACCCAGACTGGATGCGGTGGTGCACTATCCCAGCTCAGCTCTACCCTCCATCCCCCCAACCTCCCCCAACCACCCTCAGCTCAAGCAATTCTCATGCCTCAACCCTCAGCCTCATGAGTAACTGGGACTACAGGCGTGCACCACCATGCCCAGCTAATTTTTGTATTTTTAGTAGAGATTGGGCGGGGTGGGGGGTGGGGTGCGGGTTTCACCGTGTGGCCCAAGCTGGTCTCAAACTCCTGACCTCAAGTGATCCTCCCGCTTCAGCCTCCCCAGGTGCTGGGATTACAGGCATGAGCCACCGCACCCAGCGGGGACAGGACAATTTTGCCAGCTGGAGAAGGGGTGGCCCCCAAATGTCCCCTTCACCACCCTCCTGCCTCTTCCTTCAGAACACTTTTTCCCTGAAGCCCTCCTGGATAGCCCCCTACCCACATGCCTCAGCATTGGGAGGTGGGGAGTGTGGGGGTCCCCCTTGCTCCTCAGCCCCATTTGGAGTAATGTCCTGTGCAGCTGAGCTCACAACTCCTCCTCCACCTGTCCCTCCACCCGGTGTCACTGGCAATTGCTCACTTCCTGGGCCTGCACCCACTCAGCTCCCCTATCCCTGGGCACCAGCCTCAGCCAGCTCCCATGTCGACTAATGACCCTTGTCCCTCCCCTCAGCTGCCTCTCTTTTTTCTTTTTTTTTGCTTTTGAGACAGAGTCTGGCTCTGTCACCCAGGCTGGAGTGCAGTGGCGCGATCTTGACTCATTGCAACCTCCACCTCCTGGGTTCAAGCGATTCTCGTGCCTCACCCTCCTGAATAGCTGGGATTACAGGCACCCGCCACCATGCCCGGCTGATTTTTGTATTTTGGTAGAGACGGGGTTTCACCATGTTGGCCAGGCTGGTCTCGAACTCCCGACCTCAGGTGATCCGCCCGCCTCAGCCTCCCAAAGTGCTGGGATTACAGGCATGAGTCAGCGCACGCAGCCCATCTTAAGCTTTTTTTTTTTTTTTTTTTTTGACGAGGTCTCTCTCTGTCATTCAGGCTGGAGTACAGTGGTGCCATCTCAGCTCACTGCAACCTCCACCTCCCAGGTTCAAGCGATTCTCCCCGCCTCAGCCTCCTGAATAGCTAGGACTACAGGCGTGCACCACCACGCCCAGCTAATTTTTATATTTTTAGTAGAGACAGAGTTTTACCACGTTGGCCAGGCTGGTCTCAAACTCCTGACCTCAGGCGATCCATGCACCTCGGCCTCCCAAAGTGCTGGGATTCCAGGCTTGAGCCACCGCCCCTGGCCCATCTTCACTATTTTTAAGTGGACAGCACAGTAGTATTAACTATATGCACATCGTTGTGCAATAGATCTCTGGAACTTTTTCACCTTGCAATACTGAAACCCTACACTCAACAAACAACTCGCTTTCCCTGCCCCGCTCCAGCCCCTGAAAACTTCTACTCTCCTTTCTGCTTCTGTGAATTGTACTATTCCAGATACCTCCCATAGGTTGAAGCAACCACTATTTGTCTTTCTTTGTAACTGGCTCATTTCACTTAGCATTATGTCTTCAGGTTTCATCCATCTTTTAGCATGTGTAAGAATTTCCTTCCTTGCTTTGTTTGTTTGTTTGTTTGTTTGTTGAGACTGAGTTTCACTCTTGTCACCCAGGCTTAGAGTGCAATGGTGCGAACTTGGCTCACTGCAACCTCTGCCTCCCGGGTTCTCTTGCCTCAGCCTCCAGAGTAGCTGGGATTACAGGCGCCTGCCACCATGCCCGGCTAATTTTTGTATTTTTAGTAGATATGGGGTTTCACCATGTTGGCCAGGCTGGTCTCGAACTCCTGACCGCAGGTGATCCACCCACCTCGGCCTCCCAAAGTGCTGGGATTACAGGTGTGAGCCACCACGCCTGGCCTTGTTTTTGTTTTTGTTTTTGGAGACAGAGTTTTGCTCTGTCGCCCACGCTGGAGTGCAGTGGTCCGATCATACCTCACTGCAGCCTCCCCTCCTAGGCTCAAGCAATCTTCCTGCCTCGGCTTTCTGAGTAGCTCAAACTACAGACACACACTGGTCATGAAATCCTTGCCTAAGCCAATGTCTAGAAGGGTTTTTCTAATGTTATCTTCTAGAATTTGTACAGTTTCAGGTCTTAGATTTAAGTCTTTAATCCATCTTGAGTTGATTTTTGTATAAGGTGAGAGATGAGGATCCAGTTTCATTCTCTTACATGTGGCTAGCCAGTTATCCCAGCACTATTTGTTGAAAAGGGTGTCCTTTCCCCACTTTATGTTTTTGTTTGCTTTCTCGAAGATCAGTTGGCTGTGTTTGGGTTTATTTCTGGGTTCTCTATTCTGTTCCATTGGTCTATGCGCCTATTATTATACCAGTACCATGCTGTTTTGGTGATGATGGCCTTAAAGTATAGTTTGAAGTCAGGTAATATGATGCCTCCACATTTGTTCTTTTTGCTTAGTCTTGCTTTGGCTATGGGACTCTTTTTTGGTTCCATATGAATTTTAGAATTGTTTTCTCTAACTCTGTGAAGAATGATGGTGGTTTTTTGATGGGGATTGTGTTGAATTTGTAGATTGCTTTTGGCAGTATGGTCATTTTCACAATATTGATTCTACCCATCCATGAGCATGGGATGTGTTTCCATTTGTTTGTGTCATCTATGATTTGTTTCAGCAGTGTTTTGTAGTTTTCCTCATAGAGGTCTTTCACCTCCTTGGCTAGGTATATTCCTAAGTACTTCATTTTTTTTTGCAGCTATTGTAAAAGGGGTTGAGTTCTTGATTTGATTCTCTGCTTGGTTGCTGTTGGTGTTTAGAAGAGCTACTGATTTGTGTACATTAATTTTGTATCTGGAAACTTTGCTAATCCTTTTATCAGTTCTAGGAGCTTTCTATAGGAGTCTTTAGGGTTTTTGAGGTAAACAATCACATCATCAGCAAACAGTGACAGTATGACTTCCTCTTTACCAATTTGGATACCCTTTATTTCCTTCTCTTGTCTGACTGCTCTGGCTAGGACTTTCAGTACTGTGTTGAAGAGGAGTGGTGAGAGAGGGCATCCTTGTCTTGTTTCATTTCTCAGAGGGAATGCTTTCAACTTTTCCCCATTCAGTATTATGTTAGCTGTGGGTTTGTCATAGATGGCTTTTATTACATTGAGGTATGTCCCTTGTATGCCGATTTTGCTGAGAGTTTTAACCATAAAGAGATGCTGGATTTTGTCTAATGCTTTTTCTGCATCTATTGAGATGATCATGTGATTTTTGTTTTTAATTCTGTTTATGTGGTGTATCACATTTATTGACTTGCATATGTTAAACCATCCCTCCATCCCTGGTATGAAACCCACTTGATCATGGTGGATTGTCTTTTTGATATGTTGTTGGATTCGGTTAGCTAGTATTTTGTTAAGAATTTTAGCATCTGTGTTCATCAGGGATATCAGCCTGTAGTTTTCTTTTTTAGTTGTATCCTTTCCTGGTTTTGGTATTAGGGTGATGCTGGCTTCATAGAATGAATTAGGGAGGGTTCCTTCTTTCTCTGTCTTGTGGAATAGTGTCAATAGGATTGGTACCAATTCTTCTTTGAATGTCTGGTAGAATTCTGCTATGAATCAGTCTGGTCCTGGACTTTTTTGGTTGGTAATTTTTAATTACCACTTCAATCTCCTGCTTGTTATTGATCTGTTCAGGGTATCTAATTCTTCCTGATTTAAGCTAGGAAGTTTGTATCTTTCCAGGAATTTATCCATCTCTTCTAGGTTTTCTAGTTTATATGCGTAAAGGTGTTCATAGTAGCCTTGAATGATCTTTTGTATTTCTGCCCCCATTTTGTTTCTTATTGAGGTTATTTGAATTTTCTCTCTTTTTTTCTTGGTTAATCTTACTAATGGTCTATCAATTTTATTTATCTTTTCAAGGAACCAGCGTTTTGTTTTTATCTTCTGAATTTTTTTGTTTGTTTCAATTTCATTTAGTTCTTCTCTGATCTTGGTTATTTCCTTTCTTCTACTGGGTTTGGGTTTGGTTTGTTCTTGTTTCTCTAGTTCCTTGACGTGTGACCTTAGAATGTCAGTTTGTGCTCTTTCAGTCTTTTTGATGTATGCATTTAGGGCTGTGAACTTTCCTCTTAGGAGGAAAGGTGGCCTTTGCTGTATCCCAGAAGTTTTGATAGGCTGTGTCACTATTGTCCTTCAGTTCAAAGAATTTTCAAATTTCCATCTGGATTTTGTTTTTGACCCAGTGATCATTCAGGTGCACATTATTTAATTTCCATGTATTTGCATGGTTTTGAAGGTTCCTTTTGGAGTTGATTTCCAGTTTTATTCCACTGTGGTCTGAGAGAGTGCTTGATATAATTTCAACTTTCTTAAATTTATTGAGGCTCATTTTGTGGCCTATCGTATGGTCTATCTTGGAGAAAGTTCCATGTGCTGTTGAATAGAATGTATCCTGCAGTTGTTGGATGGAATGTTCTGTATATATCTGTTAAGTCCATTTGTTCCAAGATATAGTTTAAATCCATTTTTTCTTCATTGACTTTCAGTCTTGATGACCTGTCCAGTGCTGTCAGTGGAGTAATGAAGTCCTTCACTATTATTGTGTTGCTGTCTGTCTCATTTCTTAGGTCTATTAGTAACTGTTTTATAAATTTGGGAGCTCCAGTGGTAGGTGCATAAATGTTTGGGATTGTGATATTTTCCTGTTGGACAAGGTCTTTTAGCATTATATAATGTCCTTCTTTGTCTTTTTCTTCTTCTTCTTTTTTTTTTTTTTTTTTGAGACGTAGTCTCCCTCTGTGGCCCAGGCTGGAGTGCAGTGGCGTGATCTCAGCTCACTGCAACCTCTGCTTCCCGGGTTCAAGCAATTCTGCCTCAGCCTCCCGAGTAGCTGGGATTACAGGTGCCCACCACCACGCCTGGCTAATTTTTATATTTTTAGTAGAGACAGGGTTTCACCATATTGGCCAGGGTGGTCTTGAACTCTTGACCTCAGGCAATCTACCCGCATCGGCCTCCCAAAGTGCTGGGATTACAGGCATGAGCCACTGCACCTGGCCCTTCTAGTCTTTTTTAACTGCTGTTGCTTTCAAGTTAGTTTTTCTGATATAATAGCTACTCCTGCTCGCCTTTGGTGTCCACTTGCATGAAATGCCTTTTTACACCCCTTTACCTTAAGTTTATGTGAGTCCTTATGTGTTAGGTGAGTCTCTTCAAGCAGCAGATAGTTGGTTGGTGAATTCTTATCCATTCTGCAGTTCTTATCTTTTAAGTGGAGCATTTAGGCCATTTACATTCGATGTTAGTATTGAGATATGAGGTAGCATTCCATTTGTCATTTTATTTGTTGCCTGTGTACTTTGGTTTTTTGTTTTTGTTTTTTAAATTGTATTTTTGTTTTATAGGTCCTGTGAGATTTATGTCTTAAAGAGGTTCTGTTTTGATGTGTTTCCAGGATTTAAGATTTAGAGCTCCTTTTAGCAGTTCTTGTAGTGGTGGCTTGGTAGTGGTGAATTCTCTCAGCAATTTTTTGTCTGAAAAAGACTGTATCTTTCATACACAATGCCTAGTTTCGCTGGATACAAAATTCTCGGCTGATAATTGTTTTGTTTGAGAAGGCTGAAGATGGGCCCCAATCCCTTCTAGCTTCTAGGGTTTCTGCTGAAAATCTGCTGTTAATCTGATAGGTTTTCCTTTATCAGTTACCTGGTGCTTTTGTCTCGCAGTTTAGATTCTTTCTTTTGTCTCAACTTTGGATAACCTGATGTCAATGTGCCTACGAGAAGATCTTTTTCCGATGAATTTCCCAGGTGTTCTTTGTGCTTCTTGTATTTGGATGTCTAGGTCTCTAGCAAGGCCAGGGAAGTTTTCCTCAGTTATTCTCCCAAATATGTTTTCCAAGCTTTTAGATTTCTCTTCTTCCTCAGGAACACCAATTATTCTTAGATTTGGTCATTTAACATAATCCCAGATGTCTTGGAGGCTTTGTTCATATTTTCTTCTTTTTTCTTTGTTGGATTGGGTTAATTCAAAGACCTTGTCTTCAAGCTCTTAATTTCTCTCTTCTACTTATTCAATTCTATTGCTGAGACTTTCCAGAGCATTTTGCATTTCTATAAGTGTGTCTGTTTCCTGAAGTTTTTATTGTTTTTATTTATGCTATCTATTTCATTGAATATTTCTCCCTTCACTTCTTGTACCATTTTTTGGATTTCGTTGTATTGGGCTTCATCTTTCTCTGGTCCCTCCCTGGTTAGCTTAATAACTAACCTCCTGAATTCTTTTTCAGGTAAATCAGGGGTTTCTTCTTGGTTTGGATCCATTGCTGGTGAGTTAGTGTGATTTTTGCGGGGTTGTTAAAGAGCCTTGTTTTGTCAGAAAACCAACACAATTTTCTGGTTCCTTCTCATTTGGGTAGGCTCTGTCAGAGGGAAGGGCTAGGGCTGAAGGCTGTTGAGATTTTGTCCCATGGGGTGTTCTCTTGATGTAATACCATCCCCCTTTTTCTATGGATGTGGCTTCCTGAGAGCCGAGCTGTGGTGATTGTTATCTCTCTTCTGATCTAGCCACCCAGCAAGTCTACCAGGCTCTGGGCTGGTACGGGGGTTGGCTGCACAGATTCCTGTGATGTGAACCGTCTATGGGTCTCTCAGCCATGGATACCAGCATAGTATTTCGGGTGTCTCTTGGGTCCTGCAGGAGCAATCTGCTTCCTTCAGAGGGTCTGTGGGTCCTCTTAGGTTTCCTGATTTATTCCTATGGTTGTTCTGGAGCTAAAATGCATGACACGAGCCTCTACACGCTGCTCTGTCCGTCCGAGTCAGAGCCGCAATCTAGTCTTTTAAAGGGCTCTCTCCACCTTTAAAAACCCTTACCTATAAGCCATCTGAGAGTTCAAGTGTTAAGTATAATCTGCCTGATTCTCCTTGCTTGGTCCCTACAAACAAAGGCTTTCCCTTCTCTTGCTACAAGCCTTGGTTTAGATATGGTATAGATACATAGTCTTATTACGCTGGGCGAGTGGACCTCCGTTTGGTTCAATAACAAAATCTGAACTGAGGAGAGTTGTGATTACACTATTGCATTTCATCATAAATATTTTCCTTGTTGAATCCAAGCACACAAAGTACAGAATGATCCTCTTCCTCAGTACAGTTTTTCCCTCTGTTATACTAGTACCATGATATCCTCAGCTGAAGAAAAGGTGCTAGATGCTCTGTACCATCTGATCTTTTTGTCAGGTGCTTTTCTGATGCAAATTATTCTCTGAATTCTTATCTCTCCCTTTCACTCTGAGCCATAATCTTGTCTATGTCCTGGAGCTCATTGCGTTTTTCCCAGAACACAGTTGAGTATTCAAGGACCTCCCGTAAGCTTTTTCCCTCTTCTTCTCTTGCTATATTTTCAATATCACAACCCCATTTTAATTAGCTTTGATAAGCTGGTTAAAATCTCTGAGTTCAATTGGTAAATCCCTGTGTTAACTCTATCTCTTCATCAATAAGGGGTTCAGCTTATTTAAACTGTTCTTTTTCTGTGCCTATGCTGCATTTGGTAGGTCGTGATTTTGAGGTACCTTGTACCCAGTTGCTTTTCTGTAATACAGAGTTTCTTTTTCTAGTAATTAAAATAAATGTTGGGCCAGATGCGGTGGCTCACGTCTGTAATCCCAGCACTTTGGGAGGTCAGGGTGGGCAGATCACCTGATGTCAGGAGTTTGAGACCAGCCTGGCCAACATGGTGAAACCCCATCTCTGCCAAAAATACAAAAATTAGCTGGGCGTGGTGGCAGGTGCCTGTAATCCCAGCTACTTGGGAGGCTGAGGCAGGAGAATTGCTTGAACCTGGGAGGCAGAGGTTGCAGTGAGCCGAGATTGTGCCATTGCACTCCAGCCTGGGCAACAATAGTGAAACTCTGTCTCAAAATAAAATAAATAAATAAAATTTAAAAATAAAATAAAATAAATGTGGAGGAAAGAACTGGAAATCCTGAAATTTTTGTTTTTTCAACTTTTTCTTCTTTTTTAATACAATTTAGCACCAATAATAAAGCATCAATAATAGTAAGGCTTTTCTACATATCTGAGATCTCTTCCTTAATATATTATTTATCACCTCCCCAATAATATATTTGTTACTTATGGAGTGAAAAGCCTTCAACCTATTTCCTTTTGCAGCAATAGAGGCCAAGCACAGTGTTACTGCTCTCAAGAAAAAGAACACACAAGCAATTTCAGCTTAGAAACAATACTTAAAAGGGAGGACAGTTTATAAAATTCCATCTAGGTTGCTTGAAAATAGCTTTCTCTATCTTGCCAATAAGTAATTTACTGAAACTTCTTTGTACTTTGACCTGAATCTGTGGAGACTCTATTCTATTAATAATTTGTAAAGTTTATAAATTCCTTCCTACAAAAGTTTTTCAACATATATTGGAATCTGGGGTTTCAAAAGCCTTCCTCCTTATTTACTTCTCTTTGCCAATTAAAATCACACACTGTTTCTTTGACCAAGAAATGGGAAAATGACTACTCTATCCCTATACACTGTGGCTTCCACTAAGTGGGAGGAAAGGCTTCCTAGGACATGTGTTTAACTCTGTAATTTGCTCTCGAAACTGCTGCCCCAATGTACCCAAATATATGAATCTCTATGTTCTTTTTATTTAACCCAAAATATACCTGATCTATTCTGCACTAAATATCAACAACAAAGACAGGGCTCCAGGAAGTAACTTGCAGAATTGTCTTGTTTAAAAATAGGATTAACAAGCTTCTTGGTAAGGTGAGCTTTTTCCTGCCTCCCTCCCCACTCCCACTTCTAACCCTGTAACATTCTTTGTTTATGTACATTTGGTTCAGAGGGATACTTCTGCTGCTGCCTTATTATTAATAATAGCAGATTAAACTTCAGTGCCTCAGGGTTGGAGGATTCTCTTTTATACTACAAACACTTTGGGCCGCCCACTATAGGAAGTGCCATGCTAAGTATATTAGGGAGGTTCAAAAGATGTGAAAAGACACACCAGTGCTCTCACAAAGCTTACCAACTCACTAGGAAAATAAATCATACACTATGAAACAACATGAAAGTAATTACTCTGAAATTTTATTATTTTTAACACATACATTTCACAAACAATACCTTTAACACCACATACAATTCCATAACAAAATATTTTAATTTTGTCAACGTTCTTTTTTGTTTGTTTTTTGAGATGGAGTCTCGCTGTGTCACTCAGGCTGGAGTGCAGTGGTGCGATCTCGGCTTACTGCAACCTCCGCCTCCCAAGTTCAAATGATTCTCCTCCCTCAGCCTCCTGCCTCAGCCTCCCGAGTAGCTGGGACTACAGCCGCGTGCCACCACACCCAGCTAATTTTTTTGTATTTTTAGTAGAAATGGGGTTTCACCATGTTAGCCAGTATGGTCTCTATCTCCTGACCTCATGATCTGCCCGCCTCAGCCTCCCAAAGTGCTGGGATTACAGGCGTGAGCCACCGTGCCCAGCCTCAACGTTCTTTAACTTTTTACAATCTTCTCTCAACAAAAGTGTAACCCAAGATACCTTGACAAGAAATCTTCCAGATAAATATTTTTGAGCTAGTTTCAATGATGCCTATCCACTAAATTTTCTCTCAAATACTTGCAATAATAATAAAGTCAACAGTACTCTAGGCAAGAGTATACTGAGGAAGTACACAATTAATCAGTTCTTCCCAAAAAATAATCGTAATAGTTTCTTCCTCAAATCTTTTCTTCTGCAATGTCTAATCTCATCCATTGTATTTTTCATCTCAGACACTGTAGTTTTCATTTATAGAAATTCAATTTTGGTCTTCTTTTTATATCTTCCATGTCTTAAGTGTTTGAACAAGTGCAATACAGTTATAATAACTTTTATTTTCCTTCTCTGCTAATTCGGTCATCTATATCAGTTTTGGGTTAGTTTCAATTATTCTCTTCATTATAACTCATGGGTTTTTTTGCCCTTTGCATGTCTGATAATCTTTGATTCAATGCTAGACAGTGAAACCACCTCTGCAAAAATCATAACTGAGAAAATTATTACAGTGAAAGAGATCTGACATAACCAGCTCCATCTTGCTTCTAATCACCAAGCTGTCCTTGTTCATTTCTAGGTACAGGCTGAACTAACTTTTGGGAGGAATTTAGTTTATAGTTTAGCTTTGAAACCAAGACAATAACAGCCATTTCCCAAACAAACTCCATTCCTGCCTGGGGACTAGACTCCCTTTTCAGGACAACAAATTAGCCAAAAGATTAGAAATT
This sequence comes from Homo sapiens, assembly GCF_000001405.40. Classification (NCBI taxonomy): domain Eukaryota; kingdom Metazoa; phylum Chordata; class Mammalia; order Primates; family Hominidae; genus Homo; species Homo sapiens. The sequence continues at coordinate 77,074,993 of NC_000007.14, forward strand.
GTGGTTTAGGAGTCATGTAGCTGGAAGCTGCCCAAATTGCTAAACCTCCCCAAATTGCTCCTGCGGATAACATCACTATTGTAAAACCTAAGATCAGTGCTTGAAATATTTTGCAGACCCTAAACTCAGTCGATCGGCTGGCATAACCCAGATTGATAAGCTGGCTCATCTGGTCTTGTGGCCCCCAGTCAGGAACTGACTCAACACAAAAGGACAGCTCTGACTCCCTATGATTTCATCTCAGACTGACTAATCAAAACTCCTAACTCACTGGCCCCCTATCAAATTATCCTTAAAAACTCAGATCGTCAGATTCTCAGGGAGACTGATTTAAGTAATAATAAAACTGGTCTCCTGCATAGCCAGCTCTGCGTGAATTTCTCTTTCTCTACTGCAATTCCCGTCTTGATAAGTTGGCTCTTTCTAGGCAGTGGGCAAGGTGAACCTGTTGGATGGGTTACAACATTGTGAATTTTACTTTGTTGGGTGCTGGATATTTTTGTATTCCTGTAAATCTTGAGCTTTGCTCAAGGATGCAGTTAAGTTACTTGGAAATAGTTTAAGCCTTTCATCTCTTGCTTTTATAATTTGTTAGGCAATTATAGAGTGGTGCTCAGCCTAAGACTGATTGTTTCCCACTACTAAATGCTCTACCCAATGCCCCATGAGTTATGATTTTCTTTCCAGTCTGGTGGGAAGAACAGGCATTATTCCTGGACCTGTGTGAGCACCAGGTTCTATTCCCTCTGGTACTTTGTCCTGTGAACCCTGTCTTGATCTTTATCGACTCCATCTTGATCTCCCTAACTCAGGGAGTGTTCTAGACTCCAGAGCAGTTCCCTTTTCCCGTACTGGAGCCTGGAGACTCTCTCAAGGCAGTAAGCAAGACTCATCTTGTTTGTTTCCTGTATCTGCTTAATTTTTAAATTTTTTTGTCATTGTTTCAGGTGGGAAGGTAAGTCAGACCCTTTAACTCCATCCTGCCCAGAAGACTTCATTATTTTTCTTTCTCCCTCTCCCTGCCTTCTTTTCACCCTCTTTTTTAACTTATTTTGAAATAATTTCATACTGACAAGTTACAAAAACAGTAGAGAGAGGTTCTGTATACCCATCACTCAGTTCCCCTAATGGTGACAGCTTCTATAAGTATACTGCACTATCAAAACCAGGAAATTAGCTGGCAAATTAACTGGACTATAGACCTTACTCAGATTTCACCAGTTTTTACATGCATTCATTTTTCGGGTATGTCTTTGTATATACTCATGACATTTTATCTATCACATATATAGCTTCATATATAACCATCATTTTAATCAAGATATGGAACTGTTCTGTCACTACAAAGGAAGTCCCTTGTCATGTCCCTTTAAAGTCATACTCTCCTTCTCCTTCCCTAACCTATGGCAACCACTTGTCTATTCTCTACATCTTTAATTTTGTCGTTTCAACAATGTTATATAAATGGAATCATAGAGTATGGACCATTTTGAGATTGGCTTTTTTCACTCAGAATAATGCCCTTAAATTCCCTTCAAGTTGTTTACATCAACAGATTGTTCCCTTTGTCGGTGAATTACCTTATGTGGACATACCATGAGTCATATGAACATTCAGTAATGGAAGGATATTTAAGTCATTTCCAGTTTTTTGGCTATTACAAATAAAGCTGTGAACATTTGTGTACAGGTTTTTGTGTGAACATAAGTTACATTTCCCCAGGATAAATGCCCAGGAATATAAATGCTAGGTGATTAATGGTAGTTTCTTTTTTTTTCTATTTTTTTAAGAAACTGCCAGACTGAGTTATAGAGTAGCTGTATCATTTTACATTCCCACCAGTAATGTAGAAGAGATCCAGTTTCTCTGCACACTTGCCAGCATTTGAATAATCAGTATTTTTAATTTTTGCCATTCTAGTAAGTATGTAGTATTTTATTCTGGTTTTAATGTGCATTTCCCTAATGGCTAGTGATGTTAATATCTTTTTGTGTATTTATTTGCCATCATATATCTTCTATGGTTGCACTGTTTCTTAAAAGTTACAAGATTAAACTTCTGTGTGCACGAATCATGTTTTCTTCACTACTGGGGATAGTTCACTTAGGATAAGGATTTGGCTATGGTTTAATATTTCTTGAATGACCAAAATAAATACAAAGACAATAATAAAACAAAACCCCACAGGCATCACAAACAGAACTCATAATGCTCTGAGATTGGGGCCTGCACTTTGAACTCTAGTCTAGGGATCAGCAAACTATAGCTCACGGGCCAAATCTGGCCAGGGGCCTGTTTTTGTATGCCCTGAAAGCTAAGAAGGGCTTTTACTTTTTTTTTTTTTGAGACGGAGTCTCTGTCACCCAGGCTGGAGTCCAGTGGCATGATCTCGGCTCACTGCAATCTCTGCCTCCTGGGTTCAAGCAATTCTCCCTGCCTTAGCCTCCCGAGTAGCTGGGATTTCAGGCACCCGCCACCACACCCAGCTAATTTTTGTATGTTTAGTAGAGACAGGGTTTCGCCATGTTGGCCAGGCTGGTCTCTAACTCCTGACCTTAGGTGATCCATGCACCTCGGCCTCCCAAAGTGCTGGGATTACAGGCGTGAGCGACCGTGCCCGGCCGGGCTTTTACATTTTTAAAGGGTTATTTAAAAACAAAAAAATATATGCAACAGAGTCCATATGTAATCTGCTAAGTCTAACATATTTACTATATGGTGTTTACAGATAAAGTTTGCAGATGAATGGAAAGAAAACCTGATCTTCTTTTTTGGGGCAAACATTAACAACATTGACATCTGATTACCCATGATACTCTCAAGATCTTATTCTTTAACAAAAAGGTGGGGAAATAAAAACACCATAAAAGCGGCCGGGTGCAGTGGCTCACGCCTGTAATCCCAGCACTTTGGGAGGCCGAGGTGGGCGGATCATGAGGTCAGGAGGTGAGACCAGCCTGGCCAATATGGTGAAACCCTGTCTCTACTAAAAATACAAAAATTAGCCGGGCGTGGTGGCGGGCGCCTGTAGTCCCAGCTACTCAGGAGGCTGAGGCAGAAGAACCCCTGGAACCCGGGAGGCAGAGGTTGCAGTGAGCCGAGATGGCGCCACTGCACTCCAGCCTGGGTGATAGAGAGAGACTCCGTCTCAAAAAAAAAAAAAAAAACCATAAAAGCACTATGACGTGAAAACAGTTCCTACATTAACTCCCTGTCAAAGTACTTTTAAGCAGATAGCTATAAGCCTTAGAGCATTCTTCATTCTGTTATTGAATTTCTTCCATCTGGTCCTGAAATATATATACATTGCTGACAAATTCATGTGCTATAAGCTTTGAAAAACCAAAAACTTTAGTGGGTTCTAAAATCAGAGCTATTTCCAAGAGTCAGTCACATCAAAAGACTGGATTTTTCCCAATTTGGAGAGAAAACAGTGTCTCTAGATTTTTAAAGTGGCATCTTATGAGCTTAGTCCCATTTCAACCTCTTTTCCAACCCATGAACGAGTATTCCACTATAAATAACAATTCCATTGTATGTTATTACCCTCTGTCCTTTAGACAAGCTAAGAACTCTTTTCTGACTTGGTGGTTTATTTTTATCCCAAATGAATTTATGTTGTATATGCTTTATATTTCCAGTTTTACTAAAATGAGGTAAACCCAGTAGTGCTAGCTTCCCTACTATCCAGACAATGACAAACACCAATCCGTTCACTGGCAACGCACTTTACCTCTAATATTCTTTGAACATTTAAACATCTAAATTGTGGAGTTGTAAAGACCAAAGGACTTTGTACAACATGCATACCTGGGCTTGGAGACTTGATGTTTACCACAGTCAAGTTTCATATCTAAGTTGATGAACCAAGTCTAAAACCTAATAGAGAAGCCAACTTATTAGAAGCATCTTACCTAAGCCACTCACAACATGTTAAATTTGCCACACATGGGTAGAGGACAAAACTTAGAATCAAGACTCTCATGAAGATTATAGAATGCAGCCCCAATACACACTTGTGCATAGCTTTTTAGTAGGTAAATGTTTCAGCCTGAGAGTCTCAGGTTTCCTTTTGACCTCAGAATAGCACATAATACGTGTAAATCATGGTAGGAATTATACACCTGAGTTTATTTATCAGTGACAGCAATAGCAAAGGAAACCATGGAGCAGGAAATCAAATAAAATTATAGAGCTGACACATCAAAACCCTGTGGGAAGCTGGAACCTAAGGGAATAATTTTACTGGCATGGCTTCTTGCAGAGATTATCCAGAAGTCATGCTGCAGATAAAATCCAGGCTCTTAGCAATAAGAGTATTTCTATTTTTATCCCTCATGGGCTCTATGAGGAAGGCCAAGATGAGCTGAGCTCAGCTGCCTATAATAATAGCTCACATATAAAGCTGCTTATTATTTCCAAAATTTGGTTTCAGATTGGAAATCTCCATAGAAAAAAGCAATCTGCCCTGATTTTCTAGGCCTCTTAAATTATTTCATCCAGTTGATACATAAGGCCTGTGGCTGACTGGGTACCAAACAGTTTTAAAACCAAAATGAAATATGGAAGTTTCTCTTAAACCCAATCACCTGTTCATACTCACAGCTCCCTCCAGAGACTGCTGCTCTCTTCACCTGAGGTCCATTATTACTTTAATGGATTTAATTTGCTATCAGAGACAACATACAGATCCATCTGGGGACCAACCTCATAGGGTAGTCTGTGCTACTCTGCAAAACGATGCTTGATCAGTACCTAGATTCTTCCACCGTGAACAGGAAATAAACTCATCATTCTGCGATTTGGCCCTTCCTGCTTCAGGAGGTGGGGCCGGAGTATAAGCCATAATAACAAGTAACACACAAAAAGAACTCAGTAGGCTAAGGCGCTTCATAATAACCAATGAGGTAAGCATGCATCTTCCTCATAGCATTCATTCATCTTTATATTCAAGCAAAAGTTACTGAAGGCCTATTTATTTGCTGAGTTTAAGATAGCTCACTATGGAGTCCAGGCCCCTGTACTCCTTCTGCTGAATTACTGCAGTAACCTCCTAAAAAGCAAAAGTTGTTTTTTTCTCCTTCATCCACCATTGTTCTTTCTCATCTATCCCCACTCAACATTCAGAGTGATCTTTCTAACACAAAAATCTGATTATGTGAACCCCAAGTTAAAACCTTCCAAGGGCTTCCCAATGCTCTTAATATAAAATCCAAACTGTCCCATATGATCTGACCTCTCCCAAACTCTCCAGCCTACTTTTATGCCACTTTCCCCTTTACTCTCTATAGTTTGGCCATATTTGACTCCTCTCACTTCCTCACCCCTGTGTTCTCACAGTACAATGTACATACGTTTATAACATTGATCCCACTGTACTGTATTCTCTGGTTTGCCTTTCCTCACTAGAATGTAAGCTCCTCAGAAGGCAGTGAGACCATGCTTTATATTACCCTTGCACTCCTAGTTTCCGGCAGTGTTGACTCAAACATTTGTTGAGTAACTGAGCAAATAAAGAAAAATAGAAAAGACAGGAGAAGGAAGAGGTAGGCTAGGGGAAGATAATTTTGTTTTTAAACATTAAGTTTTAGGTGGCACTGGTTTAGTGGAATAGAAATGCACAAGAACAATAGAGATCAGGTCTGCATGTATTGACTTGGAAGTTATGTACATAGAAATAATGACTGAAGTTGTGAGAATAGTTTTAAAACAATCTAAATTTTAGAAAGGCATATGATTCCATGAATAAATGAATAAAAATATGACAAAATAGCTTTAGCTTATAATTCAAACATGCTTACATATGCCAATAATTTTGGTTATGCTATGATTCAGAGCACAGTTAAACAAACTTGTATTATTGTTTTAGATTATTGGGACCAAAAATAGGTAACTCTCTTGGCTCCTTATCAAATTCAAGCATTAGATCACAAGTTGATTCTCACTATATTTGATACCCAGTCACACACTGCATAATTATGTTTCAGTCAACGATGAACTACAGAAATGATGGTTGTCCCATAAGATTATAATAGAGGTAAAAAACTCCTATCACCTAGTGACTTCGTAGCCATCCTAATGGTTGTTTAAATGCAATGCACTACCTGCATTTGTGGTGATGCTGGTGTAAACAAACCCACTCCACTGTCATAAAAAAGTATAGCACATATGTTATGTGTAGTTCATAATACTTGATAATGAGAATAAATGACCGTGTTACTGATTTATGTATTTACTATACTTTTTATCGTTAGAGTGTATATCTTCTGCTTATTAAAAAAAAAAAAAAAAGTTACGATACAACAGCCTCAGGCAAGTCCTTCAGGAAGTATTCCAGAAGAAGGCATTATCATCACAGGAGATGACAGCTCCACGTGTGTTATTGCCCCTGAAGGCCTTTCAGTGGGACAAGATGTGGAGGTGAAAGTGATACTGACATTCTTTACCCAGTAAAAGCCTAGACTAATGTGTGTGTTTGTGTCTTCGTTTTTAACAAAGTTTAAAAAGTAAAATTTAAAAAAATTAACAATTTTAAAAACAGAAAAAAGCTTACAGAATAAAGATAGACAAGTATATCTCTACAGCTGTAAAGTGTGTTTGTGTTTCAAGCTAAGTATTATTACAAAAGAGTCAAAAAGTTTTTTATTTTATTTTATTTTTTTCTGAGAGGGAGTCTCGCTCTTGCTCAGACTGGAGGGCAGTGGCGCGATATTGGCTCATTGCACCCTCTGCCTCCTGGTTTCAAGGGATTCTTTTTCCTCAGCCTCCTGAGTAGCTGAGATTACAGGCGCCCGCCACCACGCCCGGCTAATTTTTGTATTTTAGTAGAAATGGGGGTTTCACCATGTTGGTCACGCTGGTCTGGAACTCCTGACCTCAAACGATCTGCCCACCTCGGCCTCCCAAAGTGCTGGGATTACAGGCGTAAGCCACCGTGCCCAGCCTCAAAAAATTTTTTAAAATGTAAGTTTATAAAGTAAAAATGTTCTTTGGGAAGTTGAGGTGGGAGGATCACTTAAGGCCAGGAGCTGAAGACAAGCCTGGGAAACATAGCAAGGCCTTGTCTCTGCTAAAAACTTTTTAAAAATTAGCTGGGCATGGTAGTGCACACCTGCAACCTAGCTACTAGGGAGGCTGAGGCAGAAGGATCACTTGAGCCCAGAGTTTGAGTTTATAGTGAGCTATAATTGCACTCCAGTCTATGCAACAGAGAAAGCAGCTATCTCTAGAATAAATAAAGTAAAAAAGTTACAGTAAACTAAGGCTAATTTATTATTGAAGAAACTTAAAAATAAATTTAGTGTAGCCTAACTGTACAGTGTTTATAAAGTCTATAGTAGTAATGTCCTAGGCCTTCACATGCACTCACCACTCATCATACTGACTCACTCAGAGCAACTTCCAGTCCTACAAGCTCCACTTATGGTAAGTGCCCTATACAGGCGTACCATGTTTTATCTTTTATACCAGATTTTTACTGTACCTTTTCTATATATAGATATACAAATACCATTGTGTTACAATTCCCTACAGTTTTCAGTACAGTAGCCTGCTGTACAGGGTGTAGCCTAGGAATAATAGGCTACTACACAGCCTCAGTGTATAGTAGGCTGTACCATCTAGGTTTGTATAAGTTCACTCTATAATGTTCACATGACAACAAAATTGCCTAATAACACATTTCTCAGAATGTATCTCTGTCATTAAGTGATGCATGACTGTACTTAGATTTTCATCAAATTTTTGCCACTTAACTATGGGTTTGCCCATTAAGTGGCATGCAGTTATATCTGGGAGTGTATAGGTATTATTTTTATTCCTGTTATGTTTTTTGTTAATATTCTATGAATTTTAACAGACAACTTTCTTAATTTTCACGACATATAAAATGAATACCTAAAACTGAAATTTGATCTTATGAAGACCACCCTCCCCTACTCCCCAATTCTTCCTTTTTCTAGTTGGCATCTCATGGATTTAGCTTGTAGCATTCATCCCTATACACGGTCTAATTGCAATGTCCTCCTTGATGCCATTCTGGTAAAATTTAAAGGAAAACTTCACCAGCATTAATTTTTTTATTCATTAAAACAACAAACCTTGGCCAGGTGCAGTGGCTCATGCCTATAATCCCAGCACTTTGGGAGGCTGAGGTGGGCTGATCACCTGAGGTCAGGAATTTGAGAGTAGCCTGGCCAACATGGTAAAACCCTGTCTCTATTAAAAATACAAAAAAAATTAGCCAGGCATGGTGGTGCATGCCTGTAGTCCCAGCTACTCAGGAGGGTGAGGCAACAGAATCGTTTGAACCCGGGAGGCGGAGGTTGCAGTGAGCCAAGGTCACGCCACTGCACTCCAGTATGGGCAATAGAGTAAGACTCTGTCTCAAACAACAAAAAAACCAACCAATGACAAACCTTAAAAAAATAGTATCAGCCACCACTGTAGCCAGATATAATGAAAAATGTACAAAAACGATTCACATTTGTGCTACTGAGAATTTGTTGTTCTGAAAGAGCAAGTTTAAAATGTACATACCAAACAAAATTCCGATTTACTCCAGTCACACGAAGTTAGTTTTAAATTTTGCACTATAATATATGTATTCAGTTTAAGTTCGAGAATTAGAAAACAGCTCTTCTAGAAAATTTAAAAATCAATTTTACCCAATGACAGGACTAATGAGTCTTCCTAAATGATTTAATGAGGTCTTTTTAAACAAAATGTCTGCATCATATTAATGATAAGCAACTAGAAGAAAAAAAGATGTCAAACATGAGGACATAATAATGGAAAAATATAAAAAAGCTAAAATTTCCGTTAAGTGTACCACATTTCTACTTATGTATGGAGAATGGCTATTCATCTGACAGAGCAAAATGCAGCCTCCTTACCAGTCACTGTTACAACATCATCTTTACGAGCTTCAGCCATTTCCTGAACATGGACTTCTGAGTTCACATCAACCTCTTTCCCTGATAACTGTAAATGAGCTTGAAGTGAAGATGGGACCTTGACAATAATAGAACCTGTAATAAATATAATGGAGAGCTTAGTAATATAAAGAAATCAAAAGTACCAGAGTCTATTATAAATTTGACTGACAGGGTAGCATTGCTCCTGAGACACTGTTTTTACTCCTCAGCATACAGTATTTATTTAAACCTTTTCCTTATTCCCAGGTGCCCAAAGTTTCCTTACTCTCGGCATTCACAGTAACTTCTGTCAAGAATATGGGTTATTAGCACATTATTAACTACTAGATCTGCTTTTGCCAATAGTCCTACACAGCTCATCCAACACCAGAAAGTGAGTAATTTACTACACATGTAGCTTATAGATAGGATTTGCCATTGAGCATTTAATATGAGCCAGACCCCTAATTACATTATGTTTTAATCCCCATATTAACTTTATGAGGTATTATTATCGCCCCGATTTTATAGATAAGAACTTGCTCAAGTTCCCACTAGTGCTCGTGCTGGAACCTAGACTCAGCTCAATAATTACAAAGCCCATGCTTTTTTTTTTATTATTATACTTTAAGTTTTAGGGTACATGTGCACAACGTGCAGGTTAGTTACATATGTATACATGTGCCATGTTGGTGTGCTGCACCCATTAACTTGTCATTTAACATTAGGTATATCTCCTAATGCTATCACTCCCCACTGCCCTGACCCCACAACAGGCCCCGGTGTGTGATGTTCCCCTTCCTGTGTCCATGTGTTCTCATTGTTCAATTCCCACCTATGAGTGAGAACATGCGGTGTTTGGTTTTTTGTCCTTGCAGTAGTTTGCTGAGAATGATGGTTTCCAGCTTCATCCATGTCCCTACGAAGGACATGAACTCATCATTTTTTATGGCTGCATAGTATTCCATGGTGTATATGTGCCACATTTTCTTAATCCAGTCTATCATTGTTGGACATTTGGGTTGGTTCCAAGTCTTTGCTATTGTGAATAGTGCCACGATAAACATACGTGTGCATGTCTTTATAGCAGCATGATTTATAATCCTTTGGGTATATACCCAGTAATGGGATGGCTGGGTCAAATGGTATTTCTAGTTCAAGATCCCTGAGGAATCGCTACACTGACTTCCACAATGTTTGAATTAGCTTACAGTCCACCCAACAGTGTAAAAGTGTTCCTATTTCTCCACATCCTCTCCAGCACCTGTTGTTTCCTGACTTTTTAATGATTGCCATTCTAACTGGTGTGAGATGGTATCTCATTGTGGTTTTGATTTGCATTTCTCTGATGGCCAGTGATCATGAGCATTTTTTCATGTGTTTTTTGGCTGCATAAATGTCTTCTTTTGAGAAGTGTCTGTTCATATCCTTTGTCCACTTTTTGATGGGGCTGTTTGTTTTTTTCTTGTAAATTTGTTTGAGTTCATTGTAGATTCTGGATATGAGCCCTTTGTCAGATGAGTAGATTGCAAAAAATTTCTCCCATTCAGTAGGTTGCCTGTTCACTCTGATGGTAGTTTCTTTTGCTGTGCAGAAGCTCTTTAGTTTAATTAGATCCCATTTGTCAATTTTGGCTTTTGTTGCCATTGCTTTTGGTGTTTTAGACATGAAGTCCTTGCCCATGCCTATGTCCTGAATGGTATTGCCTAGGTCTTCTTCTAGGGATTTTATGGTTTTAGGTCTAACATTTAAGTCTTTAATCCATCTTGAATTAATTTTTGTATAAGGTGTAAGGAAGGGATCCAGTTTCAGGTTTCTACATATGGCTAGCCAGTTTTCCCAGCACCATTTATTAAATAGGGAATCCTTTCCCCATTGCTTGTTTTTGTCAGGTTTGTCAAAGATCAGATGGTTGTAGATATGCGGCGTTATTTCTGAGGGCTCTGTTCTGTTCCATTGGTCTATATCTCTGTTTTGGTACCAGTACCATGCTGTTTTGGTTACTGTAGCCTTGTAGTACAGTTTGAAGTCAGGTAGCGTGATGCCTCCAGCTTTGTTCTTTTGGCTTAGGATTGACTTGGCGATGCGGGCTCTTTTTTGGTTCCATATGAACTTTAAAGTAGTTTTTTCCAATTCTGTGAAGAAAGTAATTGGTAGCTTGATGGGGATGGCATTGAATCTATAAATTACCTTGGGCAGTATGGCCATTTTCACGATATTGATTCTTCCTACCCATGAGCATGGAATGTTCTTCCATTTGTTTGTATCCTCTTTTATTTCATTGAGCAGTGGTTTGTAGTTCTCCTTGAAAAGGTCCTTCACGTCCCTTGTAAGTTGAATTCCTAGGTATTTTATTCTCTTTGAAGCAATTGTAAATGGGAGTTCACTCATGATTTAGCTCTCTGTCTGTTATTGGTGTATAAGAATGCTTGTGATTTTTGCACATTGATTTTGTATCCTGAGACTTTGCTGAAGTTGCCTATCAGCTTAAGGAGATTTTGGGCTGAGACAATGGGGTTTTCTAGATATACAATCATGTCATCTGCAAACAGGGACAATTTGACTTCCTCTATTCCTAATTGAATACCCTTTATTTCCTTCTGCTGCCTGATTGCCCTGGCCAGAACTTTCAATACTATGTTGAAGAGGTGTGGTGAGAGAGGGCATCCCTGTCTTGTGCCAGTTTTCAAGGGGAATGCTTCCAGTTTTTGCCTGTTCAGTATGATATTGGCTGTGGGTTTGTCGTAGATAGCTCTTATTATTTTGAGATACGTCCCATCAATACCTAATTTATTGAGAGTTTTTAGCATGAAGCGTTGTTGAATTTTGTCAAGGCCTTTTCTGCATCTATTGAGATAATCATATGGTTTTTGTCGTTGGTTCTGTTTATATGCTGGATTATGTTTATTGATTTGCATATGTTGAACCAGCCTTGCATCCCAGGGATGAAGCCCACTTGATCATGGTGGATAAGCTTCTTGATGTGCTGCTGGATTTGGTTTGCCAGTATTTTATTGAGGATTTTTGCATCGATGTTCATCAGGAATATTGGTCTAAAATTCTCTTTTTTTGTGTGTCTCTGCCAGGCTTTGGTATCAGGATGATGCTGGCCTCATAAAATGAGTTAGGAAGGATTCCCTCTTTTTCTATTGATTGGAATAGTTTCAGAAGGAATGGTACCAGCTCCTCCTTGTACCTCTGGTAGAATTCGGCTGTGAATCCATCTGGTCCTGGACTTTTTTTGGTTGGTAAGCTATTAATTATTGCCTCAATTTCAGAGCCTGTTATTGGTCTATTCAGAGATTCAACTTCTTCCTGGTTTAGTCTTGGGAGGGTGTATGTGTCCAGAAATTTATCCATTTCTTCTAGATTTTCGAGTTTATTTCCGTAGAGGTGTTTATAGTATTCTCTGATGGTAGTTTGTATTTCTGTGGGATCGGTGATGATATCCCCTTTGTCATTTTTTATTGCGTCTATTTGATTCTTCTCTCTTTTCTTCTTAATTAATCTTGCTAGTGGTCTATCAATTTTGTTGATCTTTTCAAAAAACCAGCTCCTGCATTCATTGATTTTTTGAAGGTTTTTTTGTGTCTCTATTTCCTTCAGTTCTGCTCTGATCTTAGTTATTTCTTGCCTTCTGCTAGCTTTTGAATGTGTTTGCTCTTGCTTCTCTAGTTCTTTTAATTGTGATGTTAGGGTGTCAATTTTAGATCTTTCCTGCTTCCTCTTGTGGGCATTTAGTGCTATAAATTTCCCTCTACACACTGCTTTGACATACCAGAGCATACCAGAGATTCTGGTATCTTTGACATACCAGAGATTCTGGTATATTGTGTCTTTGTTTTCATTGGTTTCAAAGAACATCTTTATTTCTGCCTTCATTTCGTTATGTACCCAGTAGTCATTCAGGAGCAGGTTGTTCAGTTTCCATGTAGTTGAGTGGTTTTGAGTGAGTTTCTTAATCCTGAGTTCTAGTTTGATTGCACTGTGGTCTGAGAGACAGTTTGTTATAATTTCTGTTCTTTTACATTTCCTGAGGAGTGCTTTACTTCCAACTAAGTGGTCAATTTTGGAATAAGTGCGGTGTGGTGCTGAGAAGAATGTATATTCTGTTGATTTGGGGTGGAGAGTTCTGTAGATGTCTCTTAGGTCTGCTTGGTGCAGAGCTGAGTTCAATTCCTGGATATCCTTGTTAACTTTCTGTCTCGTTGATCTGTCTAATGCTGACAGTAGGGTGTTAAAGTCTCCCATTATTATTGTGTGGGAGTCTAAGTCTCTTTGTAGGTCTCTAAGGACTTGCTTTATGAATCTGGGTGCTCCTGTATTGGGTGCATATATATTTACGATAGTTATCTCTTCTTGTTGAATTGATCCCTTTACCATATTATGTAATGGCCTTCTTTGTCTCTTTTGATCTTTGCTGGTTTAAAGTCTGTTTTATCAGAGACTAGGATTGCAACCCCTGCCTTTTTTTGTTTTCTATTTGCTTGGTAGATCTTCCTCCATCCTTTATTTTGAGCCTATGTGTGTCTCTGCACATGAGATGGGTTTCCTGAATACAGCACACTGATGGGTCTTGAGTCTTTATCCAATTTGCCAGTCTGTCTCTTTTAATTGGAGCATTTAGCCCATTTACATTTAAGGTTAATATTGTTATGTGTGAATTTGATCCTGTCATTATGATGTTAGCTGGTTATTTTGCTCATTAGTTGATGCAGTTTCTTCCTAGCCTCGATGGTCTTCACAATTTGGCATGTTTTTGCAGTGGCTGGTACCGGTTGTTCCTTTCCATGTTTAGTGCTTCCTTCAGGAGCTGTTTTAGGGGCGGCCTGTTGGTGACAAAATCTCTCAGCATTTGCTTGTCTGTAAAGTATTTTATTTCTCCTTCTCTTATGAAGCTTAGTTTGGCTGGATATGAAATTCTGGGTTGAAAATTCTTTTCTTTAAGAATGTTGAATATTGGCCCCCACTCACTTCTGGCTTGTAGAGTTTCTGCCAATAGATCAGCTGTTAGTCTGATGGGCTTCCCTTTGTGGGTAACCCGACCTTTCTCTCTGGCTGCCCTTAACATTTTTTCCTTCATTTCAACTTCGGTGAATCTGACAATTATGTGTCTTGGAGTTGCTCTTCTCGAGGAGTATCTTTGTGGCATTCTCTGTATTTCCTGAATCTGAATGTTGGCCTGCCTTGCTAGACTGGGGAAGTTCTCCTGGATAATATCCTGCAGAGTGTTTTCCAACTTGGTTCCATTCTCCCCATCACTTTCGGGTACACCAATCAGATGTAGATTTGGTCTTTTCACATAGTCCCATATTTCTTAGAGGTTTTGTTCATTTCTTTTTATTCTTTTTTCTCTAAACTTCTTGCTTCATTTCATTCATTTCATCTTCCATCACTGATACCCTTTCTTCCAGTTGATCGAATCAGCTACTGAGGCTTGTGCATTCGTCACATAGTTCTCATGCCTTGGTTTTCAGCTCCATCAGGTCCTTTAAGGACTTCTCTGCATTGATTATTCTAGTTAGCCATTCATCTAATTTTTTTTCAAGGTTTTTAACTTCTTTGCCATGGGTTCAAACTTCCTCCTTTAGCTCAGAGTAGTTTGATTGTCTGAAGCCTTCTTCTCTCAACTCGTCAAAGTCATTCTCCATCCAGCTTTGTTCCGTTACTGGTGAGGAGCCGCGTTCCTCTAGAGGAGGAGAGGCGCTCTGATTTTGAGAGTTTCCAGTTTTTCTGCTCTGTTTTTTTCCCCATCTTTGTGGTTTTATCTACCTTTGGTCTTTGATGATGGTGACGTACAGATGGGGTTTTTGTGTGGATGTCCTTTCTGTTTGTTAGTCTTCCTTCTAACAGTCAGGACCCTCAGCTGCAGGTCTGTTGGAGTTTGCTGGAGGTCTACTCCAGACCGTTTGCCTGGGTATCAGCAGCGGAGGCTGCAGAACAGCGGATATTGGTGAACAGCAGATGTTGCTGCCTGATCATTAGTCTGGAAGTTTTGTCTCAGAGGAGTACCTGGCTGTGTGAGGTGTCCATCTGCCTGTACTGGGGGATACCTCCCAGTTAGGCTACTCGGGGGTCAGGGACCCACTTGAGGCAGTCTGTCCATTCTCAGATGTCCAGCTGTGTGCTGGGAGAACCATTACTCTCTTCAAGCCTGTCAGACAGGGACATTTAAGTTTGCAGAGCTTTCTGCTGCCTTTTGTTTGGCTGTGCCCTGCCCCCAGATGTGGAGTCTACAGAGGCAAGCAGGCCTCCTTGAGCTGCGGTGGGCTCCACCCAGTTCGAGCTTCATGGCCACTTTGTTTACCTACTCAAGCCTCGGCAATGGTTGGCGCCCCTCCCCTAGCCTCGCTGCTGCCTTGCAGTTTGATCTCAGACTGCTGTGCTAGCAATGAGCGAGGCTCCGTGGGCATAGGACCCTCAGAGCCAGGCGTGGGATATAATCTCCTGGTGTGCCGTTTGCTAAGACCATTGGAAATGAGCAGTATTAGGGTGGGAGTGACCCGATTTTCCAAGTGCTGTCTGTCACCCCCTTTCTTTGACTAGGAAAGGGTACTCCCTGACCCCTTGCGCTTCCCGGGTGAGGCGATGCCTCGCCCTTCTTCGGCTCACGCTCGGTGTGCTGCGCCCACTGTCCTGCACCCACTTTCTGACACTCCCCAGTGAGATGAACCCGGTACCTCAGTGGGAAATGCAGAAATCACCCGTCTTCTGCGTCGCTCACACTGGCAGCTGTAGACTGGAGCTGTTCGTATTCGGCCATCTTGGCTCCACCCCAAAGCCCATGCTTTTAACCACCATGGTATTTCACACACTCCTACCTCATCGTAGTACAGGACTTGTGACCTCATTATTATAACACAACTAGAACACTGAGCTCTTGTGCTTTCAGATGTGCCTTGTGTGTAACAAAAAATAACAATAGAAAAGGATTATTTGAATTCCAACTCACTAATGTTTCTTTTGAGTAGATTACAGGCTTTTGGATACCTAAGGTAAGACACTCAACCTGTATTTCCATACAACCTGGCTGTAATTCAAGCTTCTAAAGGAGTAAATCAGGAAAAGTACTCTGTTAGGTATGGAATCATTTTTCGAATTATGTGGGTTGCAGCGTAAATTCACCAACACACTCCTATTTCAGAAGTTTTTCTTCCTGTTTTTCATTAAATAAAGTAGGTAAAAGGCCCCTGCCATAAAGCATTAACCCCACCTCTGTGGACAAAGATAGTTAGGATGGGGTTTAGAATGCATTTACTTATGGGTCGTGGTTTTCCTTCCAATCTGGCTAACATCAGCTTAAGCTTCCTTAAGTAATTTCTTGGTCTTCCTAACTGGAGCTAGAAGTTTGAGATAAACATGATGAACTGTTCTATTCTAAAAAAAATTAGGGAACAATGCATATTACTAGAACTAGTTTATTTTATTAAGAAATAAATTGCAGCCAGGCACAGTGGCTTGTGGCTGTAATCCCAGCACTTTGGGAGGCCAAGGTAGGTGGATTGCTTGAGCTCAAGGGTTCGAGACCAGCCTGGACAACATGGTGAAACCCTGTTTCTACCTCCCCCAGCTCAAAAAAAAAAAAAAAAAAAAAAAGCTGGGTGTGGTGGTGCACAACTGTAGTCTCATCTACCTGGAAGGCTGACCTCCCAAGCTTAGGCGATCCTGATGAGGCTGCACTGAGCCATGACCTTGCTGCTGCACTCCAGCCTGGGTGACAGAGTGATACCCTGTCTCAAAAACAAAAACAAAAAACCAAATTTCTTTCCAGGGTTCAAATGTAAACTACAGACAGGAGATTCCCATAACAACATATGAGGGCTTTAGGAAAAAACAAAACAAAAACAACCCTGGAAGATTTCAGGATAAATAGAGGACACGTTTTTCTACCAAACATACTTTCAAAAGTAGAAAATCATGGATTTAAAAAACTTTTTTGTAGGGCTTGATATGTCTAAATGTATCAAGTTTCAAGTGTGCTAACTTTATGAACACTTGTCTCTGTTCTTAAATGCATAACATGATCTTAAATTTTTCAGATCTTTAGAAATGTTAAGCAATGCAAAGATTTCTACCCCATCTCCCTCCACATCTTTAAAAGCCAAAAACCACCTACCAAAACTCCATTACTGTTTGTGAATGAAGAATTTTCATGACTTGAAAACCTTCCTAATGTCCCATCTTTAACACTTTTTTAGAAAGGAGGGCTCTTGTTGTGTTCTTTAACCTCTTTTCACATCATTAACTTCTTCATGGTTGACATCAGTACTATCCTCTTAAAAATTCAAATGTGAACTAACAGCATCATTTATTGAAGGCATATTATGTTAAAATTAGTGATTTTCCCAAGGACAAAATGTTAAGTGGAAAAGTCAGTACTCAGATTCAGGTGTGACTCCCAGGCCCAAGCATAGCCTGGAACGAATTAAGAAGGTCACCATATTAATTTTCATAAGGTGAAAGAAAACAAGCATTATATATTTTTCCACATCAGAAAATGTTGAAGACCTAAGAGACTCCAGTGGCTGGCTCTGAACCCTACAGCAAGACAGTGGCAGAGTTGGAATGGATTCTGGATGTCTTTGCTAACCATTAAGAAAGAGTTACTGAATAACTTTCCATTACTCTTAAAAAGTTACTGTTCCCAAGTGTATTGAGAATTCGGAGATCTGAAGTAAGACAGAAATCTTTGTTTTCAGTTGTCTTTAAGCTTTTGCCAGTAACATGGTCCCAGTAGAAGAAAACATAAAACTGTAATCCTAATCAAATTTTGCAACATCAAATACTATTTCAATAGTTTCAAATACTATTCCAATATTGTTCCAGCAATATTCCAAATAATACTAAGAAATATTTTAAATGAATAAAGACTAACAATCTTCAAAAGTTTTACAGTTTTCTGTTTGTTTTATTTTGCCTACTGTGCAAAACATTAAATTATTTGTATGTAACAGCTGCTTATTCAAAACTTTGTTCTTACTCTGTTACTAGTTATATTAACAATATATCCTTCTTCTCTTTGGATCTTTGTGATAATGGAGTACAGTTATATGACTTACATGCCATTTATAATTTTCCCTGAAGCGTATTACCTGAAGCTCTTAGATTTAGTGAGGACATAAGTTTATCCTATTTTAAAGGGAGAAAATATGATATTGAGAAGTCACACCGGTGCATCAGCAATAACTGAGGTTTCAGACCTCTGTGTTTTGCAGTTTTGACACTGACAAATTCTAGAGATGGATTAAAAAAAACTATTACATCAATATGGTAAAGCAACTACTAATAGCAGGAACAATCAGTCTCTGTGAGGAAATATTTTCCTTGTTAAACATCTGGCCAACATGCAAGAGCTGCTAGACTATTTAAAAAATTTTTTTATACAGAGCTACAGTTCTTAACTTTCTGCAGCCAAGCCACTTCAGCCCCTATGGCCAACCTACTTCACCCAAGCCACTTGTCAACACATATGTGTACATCCATGTGTGCAGAAGAACAGACAAATTCATATTTATCTTTCAGATGAAAAGTATACCATTTTAAATGAAAGAGTTGGACTCAGAATAAGTTGTGTCAGAAGTTAAATGATAGAGACATATCATAAGTCTTGATACTTCAAGAGACTAAGTAATCACTTTAGAGGACCTTTCTGTGTGATACCTTTATTTAAGGATCACACTTTGAAAACTGTTACTCTACACTGATTGCCTGAGAAGTTCCTTTTACAGGCTGGCAGAGAAGCTTCCAAAAGAGTGTATGGCAGTGTTTTTCCTTCAAAGATTATTCTATTTCAGAATAGAATAAACTGAAAAATCCACAGAGTAACATTTAAAAATTCCATAATAACAGTCAAAATATTACATTTTTGTTTGTACTACAAAGGGAAAGATAGTCTGCATGGCCATCTATCCCAAAAGTTGTAAAGATCACTGGTCTAGAAAGCTAGCAGACCAGTGCCTTTAAATTAGGTTCTATCAGAAGATATTTTCTTGAAATCACTATGTCAGTATAGATAATTTGACCATCTGTTTCCTGAGTGTTACATAAACCTTCCTTACATCATATGTCAAAATAAAACATTCCAGTTCACTAACCTTTATGGGATTTCAATTCCACTTTCCCCAGTTGGCTGACATAAACATCTATGGCACCCTGATTAGTTGAGGCTTTTAGACATCCAGAAGACGAATCTAGGAAGAAGAAAAAACCATAAGTAAAATAACTCTTACTTGATAAATGGAATTACAAACTTGAAATAAAAGGCTCTGCTTTAGCATTAGGATAAGGGGCTAAGAATCTTGCAAGGTTTAGTATTTTCCTCATAACAATGCCATTGTTTGCACTTAAACGTAAACAGTTATCAGAAACCTAGAAATCTATTAAACAACTAATTTAAAAATCTTTATCTATATTAACCTGAATAACTTATCTCTAAACATTTACTCTAAAACTTTATGAGTAGGAAGGAGAGTCTGCAAGTAATGGTTCCTTTGACCACTAAGCATCATTGATATATTTAGTTTTTTATCATGTTGATACATTTAGTAAACTTTCAATAATTACCAAAGAATTCTACCTCATGTATAGTCACATACAAGCAGTAGCAAGGCTGACAAAAATCAAAACCTCTCATAATTTCTCCTTGTAGCAAATTTGCTGATACTAAGAAGTGCTCCTAATAGTAAAAGATTACTCTACATAAAGTTGTCGCATTTCTTTTTTTTTTTTTTTTTTTTTTTTTAGAGACAGGGTCTTGCTATGTTGTCCAGGCTGGTCTCTGACTCCTGGGATCAAGCGATACTCCTGGGATTACAGGCACAAACCCACTGTTCCTGGCTTGCTGCATTTCTTTAAGGGGCAGAAGGGCAGGGTGGAATAATTTGAAGAATAGCTTGTTTATATCTAATAGTTCTTTTCAAGTTTCTGGAATTGAACAGGTATCTTTAAGTGAGGATAAGAAAATAATAATTAAGATAACCCTGATTTGTCATTCAAATTTCCCTATGTGGTCGATGACCCCACTTTTGAATCAACCAGTATCTCAAGTTCAAGGGAAAACAGTCAAAATAAGGAAGTAAGGAAATGAACTTGAAGAGTTAGTGCTAAGTGGTTTTTCCTTCTTCTCTTTCTCCCATGGCAATTGAATCTTTAATTTAATATTCTATCTGACTGCCTGGAGAAAGCCAAAGCATATTCTTTTTAGAGAGGCCTCTTAAAAAGCATATTTTATCAGGAGGTTTTATTACTTCAAAGTGGAAACAAAGTAGGGAGTGTGGTGAAAACTATGCCAAAAATTATACTGTTTACAAAACAGAGAGAGAAAACATTTGTGTGTGTGTGTGTGTGTGTGTGTGTGTGTGTGTGTGTGTGTATATAGGAGCCAACATTTTTCTTTTAAAAAAATGTTAACTGACTTCAAACAAAGACAGTAAATTTGGAATAAACTTTAAAATCTGGCTCCAAGATCATTTATAATAATTTATTTCCAATCTATACTGGAAAATGCCCTTTATCAGACTCAATTTATTTAGTTTTCAAGTGTCAAAAGTTAACACTGACATTGGGAAATGAAAACACTAGAGATAAATGACACAGAATAACTGGACAAAATGAACATTTCACTGCTTACGTACCAACAGAAACTCCTTTTTAAACCTCTTACCGCATCCTAAAAGAAGCCAAGTAAAAATTACATTATGCTAAAAAAAAGAAAAGCGTAATACACAAGGTGTGTATTATTCCAGTTTGAACAAAGTAAAATAGCTGAAACATTAGTGTGATTTCTCGCTTTCTCAAGGAGGGAAAAAAAACACAGAATTTTTATGTGGCTCATAAATAATACTTTCATTTATTTTTCCCTCCAAATGAGAAATAAATGACAGCTAAATAATTATATCCTAGGCCACAAAGTAATTATATCCTCGTGTTATCTGTATTGATCTCTAATGATGGCTCATCCCTTGGAGGCTGTTAAAAAATAAAAAAATGAAAACGCAAGATGTTTTCAAGAAAGAAGGCAAAGGTGATATTTTAAAACTATGCAGCAAAACAAGCCCTCCTATTTTTTTTGTTTAACACAAATTATCAGAACTAAAATTAATTATCAAGAGTAAAATTAAGGCTTCATCCACAGAATTTCATTCTTTTGGAGTTTACATAATGGAGAAATTCTATGGATCTGGGAGAAAGTCCTGTAGATCTAATATATAGCACAGTGACTGTAATTAACAATACTGTATTGTAAACTTGATATTTGCTAAGAGAGTAAATCTTAAACATTTTCATCATACACATAAAATGGTAATGAGGTGAAGTGACAGATATGTTAACTAAACGGACTGTGGAAATCATTCCACAGTATATATGTATATCAAATCATTATATTGCATGTATGCCTTAAATATATACGGTTTTGTCAATTATGTCTCAATAAAGTCAGCAAAAGCCAAAAAAAAAACCACACCACAAAAGAAACCAAAATAAATCTACATTGTAACGTGATTAGCTCAGTGCTTGGCACATGGGCACTGAGTAAATGATAGATATTTTAAAGAAAGGGCCAGGTGTGGTGGCTTATGCCTGTAATTCCAGCACTTTAGGAGGCTGAGGTAGGAGAACTGCTTGAAGCCAGGCATTTGAGACCAGTATGGGTAACAAAGTGAGACCTTGTCTCTATTTTTTAAAATAATAAACAAGTAAATAATGTTAAAAGAAAAATCAGTCAGTATAGTTGGTCATATTAATAAAAGAAAAATGATCATTTCAATAAATTCAGGAAATGTGTTTGACAAAATTCAACACTCATTCACGATCAAAGAAAGTAAAAAAGGAGAAACTTTTAAGCAAACAAGGAATAAAAGATTACTCTCCCAATCTGATAAAAGGCATCTGTTAAAAATCTATAGCTAACATCACACTTAATGCATTCCCCCTAATATTGGGGACAAGGATAGGGATCAAGTGCAAGGAATCACACTCTCATCACTACATTCAACATTATACTGAAGTTCATAGCTAGTCTGATAAGGCAAGAAAAAGAAAAGTAATAAAGATAGGAGGGAAAGAGGTAAAACTCTATTTGCAGTTGAAAATGTCTGCTCAGCTAGAAAAGGATTCTAGATTTGAGAAAACCGCTATTAGAATAAATTTAGCAAGGTCACAAGATACAAGGTCCATTTATAAAAATCATTTGTATTTACATATATCAGCAGTAGACAATTAGAAGCAAAGTCTTAAAAACTGTCTCATTTATAACAGTGTTAAAAACACAAATGAATTTAACAAAAAAATGTGCCAGACCTCTACATTGAAACTTACAAAGCAATGCTGAGAAAAATTAAAGAAGACCTAAATAAATGGAGAGAGCTACCTACCATGTTCATTAATTGGAAGATACAATGTGATTCAGTGCAATCCCAAACATAATCAAAACTGTATTTTTTGGTAGAAACTGACTGGAAAATCAAAGGACCTATTATATCCAAAGTAATCCTTAAAAGGAACAAATTTGGAAGACTTCAACTACCTGATTTACAGACTTACCAAAGTTACAGTAATCATGATATTGTGGCACTGGCATAAGGCTCACCAAATAAATCAATGAATTAGGAACAAGAGATCAGACATTGAGCCACACTTATATAGTCATTTGATTTTAGACAAGGATGCTAAAGTAATCCATCAGAGAAAGGAAGTTTTTTCAACAAATGATGATATAAAAAAATTTTAAAACTGACAATAATAAATGTTGATGAGGATGTGGAGCAACTGAAATTCTCATACATTGTTGATGAGAGTATAAAGTGGAACTCTGGGAAAAGGTCTGGTAGTTTATCATAAAGTTAAACATAGAACCTACCTAGTCAACTCAGCAATGCCATACCTAAGTATTTACCCAAGAGGAAAAATATATATACATCCATAAAATGACTTACATTAATATATTCATAGCAGCTTTATTTACAGTTGCCAAAAAATTAGAAATAGCCCAGGTGTCCATCAACAGTAGAATGAACAAATTAAGCCTTCTAATAGCCTGCTTTCACTTCTGAACCCTTCTGGTACATTATGAAATAACAGCTAGATTGTTCTTTTAAAATATAAATTATATATCACTTCCCTAACATCCTGTTGTAGTTGGAATAAAGTCTGAACTCTTACCCTGTCTACAAGGTCCTAAGATCTAGCCTTACTTACCTCATATCCTACCACTTTCCTCATAAGCCAGCCTTCTTTCCCTTGAAAATAGTAAACTTCCATTTTCAAGGCCTGCACTTGCTGTTCCTCTATCTAGGGAGCCTGTATCCAGAATTTTATATAACTCTTTCTCATTTTTCTGGCTTTGGTTTAAATGTACCCTCTCCAGACCACCCCCAATTGCCTAACTGAAGTAGCTTTCTTTTTCCCCAATCTCTATTCAGTTACCCTTTCTTATTTCTTCATTGTACTTACCACAAACTAAAATTACCTTTTGTTATTTATATGCTTGTTGTCTTTCTTCCCAGGGCTCAGAGAAGGTGAAGTCTCTGAGCACAGAAACTATGTCCTGTTGACCAATATGTTCCCTAGTACCTAAAAGAATTCTTAATACATGGCAGGTACTCAATAAATACATGTTGACTAACTAGTTATTGGTATTCACAAGGTTGTCTTCAAATGTTAACACATTTGGAGCCCAATAAACAGTGACATTATTTATATCTTTCTTTCAAGGACTTAATTTAGATATTTGAAGAATTCAAGAAATTTGTAAGATCTTTTTTTCTTTCTTTTTTTTTTCTTCAGAGAAGTTTAGCAAGAAATATAAGACATTTCTTAATACCAGCTCAGGCAATTTTCTTCGAGTGGACATAATTAGTACATTGGTTCTGCCTATATTTGACTTGTGATCCTGTCAAGTTCATCAGTTAAACTGTAGAATTCATTTATTCTAATAAAGTCATCACAAATATACCCATTTTTAAAAGTGGACAAAATACACGAACTAGTAGCTTAGTACGTACCTACTGTGATGTTACCCATCTCGCTTTGTAATGTTATATTACCTGCCAAAAAGAAAAAGATACTTTTATGTACTAGAGACAATCTAGAAAGGAACTGTGATACATAGCAATGCTAAAACATGGATGAATATCTACAATGTTATTTTTGTTGGCAATTTTTCCCAATATCACAAGTCCAGTCAAAGATTGAGCTGTAGTTCTGAAATAACTGGCTTAGGTATCTCTGCAAACCTTCTTTCTCTACTACCAAACCTTAAGCTTTTATAGCATAACTACAAATCACCATAACTGCTGGCACAGAGGAAAAACAATACTTCTAAAACCTGTAAGTGAAAAAAATTACTGAAATGTAGTCACTGTACATTTTCAACCTAAATATCAATGTATTTATCAGACCACACAAAGCGAAGTTTTCAACCAAGTAACACTAAAATATGGTATGGAAAAAAAGAATTACTTTTATTTTTCAGGCCACTTGCCATGTCTATTAAATTAAAAGTAGTTTCTGGGCCAAGAATTAAAGTGGTTTGAGATAGGAATAATGAATACATGGAGGTATGACTAGCAAAACAGAACAAAGAAGCTTCAAAGATTTCCGTCTTAGTGAAAATATGTTTTCCATGATAAGTATGGAATATTGCAACCATTCTTCCCAGCCCCTTTCCCCTAATACCAAAAGTAGTAGGATTATTCTTCATATGTGTGTTTGTACGTGTAAGTATTCCTAGAATCAGGAACTCATATTTATTCTACTGAAAATATAAGCAATAATGTTATCTCTTCTAAAATAATTCCAAAACTACACTAAAAAGTAAAGGAATAACTTTGGCCTCAGAATTAATCTTCAGTAAACTCATTTTATCTCATTTCATATACCTTATGAATACTGACTTGTATCAGTATCTGGGAAAAACCAAAAAAAGGCACTGGATTCATTTACTCAATAGCCAGATGCGCCTAATTGCAAAAATCCATCTGAAGGTCTAATATACCATCATATTTCCTGTGAGTATATGAACAAGGAGTATATTTGTGTATGAATAAAAACTTGGTTTGTGTACTGAAGCTTATAAGATTACTAATTTTTTTTTTCATATTTTAGATTCAGGGGATACATGTGCAGGTTTGTTACCTGGGTATATTGTGTGATGTTGAAGTCTGGGGTACAAATGATCCCATCACCCAGGTACTAAGCATAGTACCCAATAGTTTTTCAACCCTTGCCCCGTCCCTCCATCCCCCATCTAGTAGACTCCAGTTTCTATTGTTGCCATCTTTATGTCCATAATTATCCAATGTTTACCCCCCACTTATAGGTAAGAACATGTGGTATTTGATTTTCTATTCCTGTGTTAATTCGCTTAGGATAATGGCTTCCAACCGCATCCATGCTGCTGCAAAGGATATAATTTCATTCTTCTTTATGGCCGCATAGTATTCCATGGTGTATATGTACCACATTCTCTTTATCCAGTCCACCACTGATGGGCACATAGGTTGATTCCATGTCTTTGCTATTGTGAATAGAGCTTCAGTGAATATGTTGAGTGCATGTGTCTTTTTGGAAGAATGATTTATTTTCTTTTGTGTATATATCCAGTAATGGAATTGCTGGGTTGAATGGTGGTTCTGTTTTAAGTTCTTTGAGAAATCTTCAAACTGCTTTCCACAGTGGCTGAACTAATTTACATTCCCACCAACAGTGTATGAGTGTTCCCCTTTCTCCACAGCCTCGCCAGCGTCTGCTGTTTTTTTACTTATTTTTAATAATAGCCATTCTGACTGGTGTGAGATGATATCTCATTGTGGTTTTGATTTGCATTTCTCTGATGACTAGTGATTTGGAGCAGTTTTTCATGTTTGTTGGTTTCTTGTACGTCTTCTCTTGAGAAATGAGCAAAATGTCCTGTCTTTTGCTCATTTTTAATAGGGTTATTAGTTTTTTGCTTATTGATTTGTTTAACTTCCTTGAAGATTCAAAGGAACAAAGGATATTAAACCTTTGTCAGATACAGAGTTTGCAAATATTTTCTCCCATTCTGTAGGTTGTCTATTTACTCTGTTCATAATTTCTTTTGCAGTGCAGAAGCTCTTTCATTTAATTAGATCCCAATGAGGCAAGTCTAGGAGGACAGGAATCACATCTTTCTTATTTAGCTTCATACCTGGGAACTTTGCACAGTGCATAGTACATAGTAAACACAATTATTTTGTGAACAAATAAAAAGTTTGGAAAAGTAGGTAAAGAGCAACCTGTGGTAGAACCACAGAGTGCTAAGTCTACTGACTATCCTACACCAAAAAAGTTAGTGAAGAATTTCAAGATGGATAAAAATACAAGAAAACCATGCTTTAAGGAGATTCACCTAGTGTGAGACAGTGGGTGTTTCCATTCTCAGCATTCTCTTTACTGCTTGTTGTGGTTTGAACGTTCCCACAAAAGTTCATGTGTTGGAAACTTAGTCCCCAGTGCAGCAATACTGTGAGGTGGGACCTTTGGGAGGTAATTGGGTCATGAGGGCTCTACCCTCATGAATGGATTAACCCATTCATGAATCAATGGATTAATGGGTCATAGAGGGAGTGGGTTAGCTATTACAAGAGTGAGTCTGTTATAAGAGCCAGTGTGGGTGTCTCTCATGCAGCCTCTCTCCATGTGAGGCCTGTGCCACTTCATGACTCTGCAGAGCCCCTATCCGCAAGAAGGCTCTCACCAGATGCGGCTCCTAGACCTCAGACTTCTCAGCCTCCAGAACTGTAATATATAAGCTTTATAAATCACTCAATCTCAGGTATTCTGTTGTAGCAACAGAAAACAGACTAAGACACTGCTCTACCTCCTGAACAATAAAAGATAGACAGGTCCCTGATATTCGTAACTTTATTAATAAAGAACTATGATAAAGTTTTACAGTCATTTAGCTAGTGAATCCAGTCACCCACTCATCAAGGCAATGGAGCTTTATAGTTTTACACTAGTCTTTAATAATGCAGTAAAAATTTACAATTTTTTTAAAATAAAAATATGGTCTTTCTCAAAAAGCCAATCATTAGTGCTTGTCATGAAAGTGAGGAGGTCTTGAGAAAACAATGATTCTTTGAACCAGAAAAATAGAAGTTTTAGATCTATACAAAATGAGGATTAGTTAATTATAGTGGGACCTATAGAGTCTCAGATAACATTCTTCTTGAATGTTTGAGTTCTACTGTATACTAAAAGCATAATGGAGCAACAACAACAAAAACCCATGGAATTAAGGAATCGTTTCAAATACTGTCTAGTTGTAAGTAACACTTCAAAATATTTTTGTCAACTCTAAATAAAACAGTAAACAAAAACTTATTTTCAACTCATATCAAAATATTTAGAAAATCTCTACCTTAAACAGAAATATTCTAAAGTCATTAGAAAACACAAAATGGATTTCTTGCTTCAAATGCATACTGGAATAAAGTAGTATATTTAAAAGTATACCAAGCAACAAAATGGGCATTATTAGCAAAATTTTCTATATTTTGATTTCACCTACTTGATCTCCAATCACTGAAAATAATAAATTAATTATTTGAGAGGAGTAAATCTTAGTAAAAGCTTCTTTCCAATAAAGCAGACACCAGATGGTCTGTAATAACTATGTGTGCTTACCCTACTCTCAAGTTATATAAGTTTTCCACAAATCCCAGTATTTGAGAAAATAGTTTTTCTTAGCTTATAACCTTTCATTCTAGCATGGTCAGAGGAAAAAAAAATGTAATCAATTTAAAGATAAACATTGGTTTATTTTTCTTCACCAAAAGAAATGTGATTATGGTTCAAGCACATAGAACTCTTAAAATCCAAACAGAGTAATCAAGTATCCTTAAAGATTAAGTCATTTTGTGGTTTTTGGTGGGTAGGGGTGGGGAGGTGGAAAGGGAGACACTTGTATTTGCAAGCCACAGTGCTAAATGCTAAGAATATAGAGATGAATAAAACATAATCTTTGTTCTTGAGGAGTTTATAATTAGGCAAGGATTTATAGAAAACCAGAGATGAGGCAAGATGCTTTAGCTGAGTACTGAAAGATTAAAAAAGTCACCAAGATTTTTAAAAAGCTAGGAAAAGCATTTCAGGCAGAATATAAACAGTATGATCAGTATGATCAAAGGCTCTGATCAAGAACTCAGAGGTATAAAACAGGTAAAAATGTATATAGGAAAAAAGACTAATTCTGGAAGACAAAGCATACAGTCAGAAGAGGGAAGAGGGAAGTTGGGCACGTCACTAAGGCAGTAGAAAACGGTCCGAATAAGAGAATGACATGTTCAATGTGCATTACTAATAAACTGCTTTAGCTGCAGTGAGGAGAAATGGATCTGAAGAAGGCAAGGCTGGAGGCAAAGTTATTGCTAGTATCAAGGCAAGAGGTCAAGAGGGTCTAAAACAGAGGTGTAGAAATTAGCAGGAAAAAGGTGAGATAGATTGAAAAAATATTTAGGAGATAAAACCTGCCTAAACTTGGTAGTTGATTAGATGCAGGAGATGAGAGAGAAACAGGAAGTTAAGACCACTGCCAGATTTATAGCATGGGAATTGGGAACATGGCAATATCAGAAACAGCAAATAAAAACAAGGAAAGAGGACACATTACAGATGACGTTCAGGGACTGGGGAAGAAGGGAAAAAAGCAAGAAATGTTGAGTTCAAGATGTCTGTGAAGATCCAAATGGCTATGTCTACCTGCCAGATGGGATGTATAAATTAGTCAGGGCTAGAGACATAGATTTGAATAATCAGATTTGAAACACCCTTGTAAGGGTAGTTCAGACTCAAAAGTATATAAGATGCCCTAGGAAAATATGTAGAGAAAGAACAATAGGACAAGGATGAAATCCTGGAGAATACCAATTATCACAGAGGTGGAAAGAGAAGGAATATAGAGACATTTGTGAAAGAGCAATTATAAATATATGATAGAGACTGCCAGTGTCCATTAATATTGGTGTGCCTCTCTTCTTCCATAAAAGTACTGCTAAACTACATATCTCAGCCTTTGCAGTTAGGTAAAGCCATTTGAAAATATTTTGTCCAAAGATCTATGGGCAGAAGTAATATATGCACTTCTAGGCCTGGTTTCTGAAACTTCTTCCATGATCCTCTGTGCTGTCTCATTTTTCATGGAAGACTTGGAAGCCACAAACTGAGGAAGCCAAGTCTCTGAATGTCTCTAAGGAGCTGCACTTAGGACAGACACTGTAGTAAATATCAATATTTTGTGTCAGAGGTCTAAACCCTGAAAAACCTACATGGTTTGCACCACAAAAAAAAAAAAAGCTGTAATTCCTTTCTAGTATTTCATATAAAAAAGTTGTGGCCAGGTGCGGTGGCTTATGCCTGTAATTCCAGCACTTTGGGAGGCTGAGCCGTGCGGATCACCTGAGGTCAGGAGTTTGAGACCAACCTGGCCAACATGGTGAAACCCTGTCTGTACTAAAAAATATAAAAATTAGCCGGGCGTGGTAGCAGGCGCCTTAATCCCAGCTACTTGGGAGGCAGAGGCAGGAGAATTGTTTGAACCTGGGTGGTGGAGGTTGTAGTGAGCCGAGATCAAGCCATCGCACTCAAGCCTGGGGGACAAGAGTGAGACTTCTCTCAAAAACAAAACAAAACAAAACAAACAAAACAAAGTTATATGTGTCCAGATTCGAAATTAAGCATCAAAATGATAATCAAATTAAAACTTCATAATGACCTAGGCTAGGAATAAATACTAGAATTTCAATAAAACATTTTCATGAATGTCATGAAAAGATCTATTTAATCCAATAAAAGATTCTGTGTTTTAAAATTGTATATTATTTGTGACTTTCTAAGTTTACAAACCAGATTTATAAATTTATCGGTGACTACAAGTCCTTCTTAAAGCAGATTGGGACATTTCTTCTGAAATTTTGAGTGCTATCAAAGTTATCACCTGTGTTTTGTACAGTTCATGTAAATTGTACTTCTTGAAAATTTCAAAAATAAAAAAGTAGTTACTAAAGGAAAAGTTTATGCATGTATGCCAAATATTTGAAGAACAAAGGACTTTTGAAGTGCAGAGAAAATGAGAGAACTAATACTCAGCAATTTATCTATCAAGATATGTTTCCAAAGAACTTAAAATAGAGCCTAATTTACATAGGAAATCTAAATATTTAAAATAGAGTTTTATTCATTAGTCACTGTTCTGGATCATAACATAAATTTTTAAAATACACAAAAACAACATGAACACTCTTACATCTTAATCGAATCAGTTTGTTTAAATCATGGGTTACAAATAAAACCAATCCTAGCAAACCATTTCAAGGAAGTTTTTCATTGTCTCCAATAGAGTCAGAAAAACCATATTTATATTTAAAACTGTATTTTGTAGAATACATATAAATATATGCATGTATTATACATGCACAGCATTCTTTAAAAAGTATCAATATTCAAATATCAGAATTTAATAAAATATTATTCATATAAAACCAAATTTAATTTTTGATTATTTAGAAGGAAATCAAGATAGTAAACTCATAAAATTTTACATCTAAACACAACCTATTCAAGTACCTATTCTCCCACTAGATTCCCATCGTCAGAAAGTGAATATTTAATAAGTCAATGAATAAACTGGTTTCTTTTGTAGTAGAAGGCATACACACTTAACAGATGTGATTCAACCAACTATACAAATAGGAAATATGACTAGTCAATTAGCTTACTCAGTTTCTTACATATAAGATATAGTTAGCTATACTTAAAATGTTCACTTGAAAAAACACTTAGGATAAATTATTTTCTTCTCTATACATAGGAATCAACTTGCAAGGCCAGGAAAGATATATTGCTCCTTTCATTACTCTTTTCCTCATTAATGGGCATGCTCTAAGTACTCGGCACTAGTATGTTAGATGTTGCTTTGCCATCAGGGTATATAAAAAAATTGAAAATGCAGACAAAAAATAAATTTCATGCTCTTGTTTCCTTTCATGGAAGACTTAGAAGCCACACACTTAAGACAGCACCATCACTTTTATGGAAGGAGTCCAGTTCCTGAATGCTACCATGGAGCTAAGCCCAAACACTGTATGGAACATCTACATTTTCGGTCATAAAGCACGATAAATGTCCTGAAACTCAAGGAACTTATAATGTAGAACATAGCTGAAGCAGTGCATCTGTGTTATAGTACTGTCTTCTTGGAGGAAACATCTTTAGAGTGAGTCAGGAAGCCCTCAAAGTGATGATGGAATTTGCGGTTGCAATCAAGTTCACTGTTTAAAAACCTCTCCTAGAAAGCCAAGAAACTAGGATCAAATCCTTGCTATTCCACTAATTAACTTGTGGAGTTGAGAGTAAACAATTAGACATTTCTAAGTCTAGTTTTCCTCATCTGTGAACAGCCAATTGTTCATTAAGTAAAAGGGGCTGGCCAATTTAGGTATTCAATACATGTTTGCTTTCAACCACCCACCCACCCACCTACTGGCACAAAGGCTCCAAACTCTACTTGTAAAATCTACCAAAAAGAAAGTTACTGCATTATATTTGTGTATAAATGGTTTTTACAACATCTATATGTTGGATTTTTTTTTTTCTGCTCTCTCTGGAAAAAAATTAGTTTAAGCCTTGCTTAAGAAAAAAGAAGCTAAAGTAAATAAATCCTGACCAAGAACGCATATATTCTCAGTTTGTTTTCTGTAAGTCAAATGTTTAGAAATAGCAATGTATTTTCCCATAAAAACAAGTTTTAAGATTCTCAAGCCAGTTTATTTAAATATAGCCAAAATATATACCTAATTTGTGTTATATAACCATCAGCATTTAGCACAAAGAATTCATTGAAATATATATCCAGAGTTCTAGGTTGGGAAGATCTTGGGAGAAATAATTCCCACCAAAATTCCAGGAACTAGAAAACTGGGACTTACTTTCACCAGCCATGACTCTAATCTTCTCACCCACCAGGATGTGAGACTAAACACTGCCCGCTCTCCTGTACCCCTCCCATCCCAAACCCCAGACTACAAACTCCAAAAGCATGTTCATACAATCCCTTAGGACAAGGATGGAAATAGAGGTGACAGGGGAGAGGAAGGCAAGAAACTTAGAAGTGTCTGAAGGGTGATTTTTTAAAAGTCGAGGCACTGGGGTGTGTCCATGGAATTAAGAGGGGTTTCCTGTCTTAGTTCTCTCTTGTATATGCTGAAAAACCAAAGCAGAGTGAGGAACAAGGACTAGGTGGAGAAAGCAAGGCTGAACATGGAAGCTTTTCTACAGTTACTTCTGTGAAAGTAACTATAATTTGAAACTGGATTAAATTTTCCCTTCCCCTTCTCCTTCTCATTGCTGTACTAGTATTACAAAAAGAAGCTGTGAGAAACATCTAAAAGAGTTCTTTGCATTGAGGCAGGGTGATAATGGACCACTGGAAATGAGGTGGGAAGTAACATCCCAAAGGGGATGGTAATAACTGAGAAAATAAGAAAGTATATTTAATCCTTCTACTCTACTCTGAGTTCTTTAACGACAGGTTTCACCTCCTGCCCAACTTTGCACCTTTGGTGCCTGGAAATCTGGCACACAGTAGGTGGTCAATAAATATGTCAAATGAATGAATAAATATAACTGTAGTAGATGCTATATTCCTTATCCAGATCCCACATCATAACTGAAGGGCTTATTTTCCTAGCTATTGGAGTACTGCTGGCAGACAGCCCTCAGCTGTCAGCCCTCTTTGGGAATTACCTAGCAAAAAGGAGTCACTTCGGCCCAAGATCATACTCCTTCCTGGGGCAGCTTGCATCTAATGATTGGGGATATAAACGTCCAGCTCCTCTCACCCCAACTTGAGACAACTCTGAGGGACCATCCCAGCTTCAGAGCTCTCCGTGTGGGTTACTGAAACTGTATCACAGTCCAACTTCTCCCATGGAAATCTGGCTTTCTTCCTTTACATGGCATTGGTCCCAAGAGGCCTCCCTAGTAAATTTGCTGTGCTCAGATTTCCATTTCAGAGTGTCTGCTTTCAGGGAAATTCAACCTGAAACAATAGTCCAAAAGAGGACCTAGATTTAAACCAGCTAAGGAAAGGTATCTGATTTCATATTAAAGGTCAGTAAATATAAAAAGGTTTTATTAAGGCTAAGGAATTAACTTTCTTTTCCAGCAATGTATTTCCATTTTAGCTACTTTAAGTAATCAACAGACCTAGAGTACTTTGAGGACTGCTTCAAAAAAGACCACCTGTTTTACTACCATCTAGGCAATTAATGATAAACTGTACCAAATTCAATTTATCTAACTTAAAAGAATGCAAAAAAGAAACATTATGAATTTAGTGTAAACATGGTATAAAGCATTGCAGAGAACAGACTGCTTTTCCTGTGGATGTTAATCCACATCTGACTTGATAAGGAATTGTTTCTCCACTAAAAGCTACTAAATACATTAAGCACAGTATTTTTCATTATGATTAAGATAGTTAGAAATGCAATGCTTATATAAAAGTCACTTTTAAATTATGAAGAGTTACAAACTACCAGATCTACTTAAGGTACAACTGAATAAAAAATAAATAAATGAATAAGTAACAAAACCATTTGCTTCATCTGGATACAGCTCCATATGTACTTACGCTATTTTGGGCTCAAATAATACTTTAACCTTGCAAGAATGCTTGAGGTTTAACCATTAAATTGAGGCTCCAGAACTATTTCAAGCATATAAGTATGCTTTTTAAAAATTTTTTTTTTAGAAGACTACTTGCCAAATTGCTACATAGCATGATTAGCACTAACCATGCTTTCTAATGCCACTCTATAACTCTTGCTCACAACTAAAATCTGAGGGTTTTGCCAGAGTGTACAGATACCAATATCCAGCTTTACTATAGAGGTGAAATGAGTGGACTATATATGGAAAAAGTCCGAATCTGTACTTCCTGGAATATGGCTCAAAAGGCATTTAGCAGATGTTTTATACTGGATTAGTGATTATTAATTCTATCTGTATATATTTCAGAAAACACACCTGGATTTGAATCATCTGCTCTGTGGAAATTCAAGAAGCAGGCTGAGTGACACTGAACACCAGCATGCCCTTTGCCATATTACCTCATCATTATACTCTTATTTTCTTTCAATAATGCAAACATTAACTATGTAATATTTCTTGCAGAGACAGGATTTAGAAACCACAAGAGGATATTTATCAAAGAAAATGGAAACAACAGGGTGCTGAGAAAACCTGGTGCTAGTACAAATGCACACAAAACATTTAAAATAAAATTAGTATCAGAGTTGCTATAATTACCTTCCACCAAATGTTTCATTAATTTAACCCTCAGCTTCCTTATGTTAACATAAAAGCAATCACTCAGTACCCATCTTTACCTAACACTGCTTTTACTTCATCTCCTGCATGTATTTCCTTGCTATTTGTTTCCTATTATAAGAAAACACAGGCTGGATGCAGTGTGGCTCACACCTGTAATCCCAGCACTTTGGGAGGCCAAGGGGGTGGGTCGCTTGGGCCCAGGAGTTTGAGATCAGCCTGGGCAACATGGTGAAACCCCATCTCCACTAAAAATACAAAAATTAGCCTAGCGTGGTAGCGCACACCTGTAGTCCCAGCTTCTCGGGAGGTTGGGGTGGGAGAATCACCTGAACGTGAAAGGTGGAGGGTGCAGTGAGCCAGTATCACGCCACTGCACTCCAGCCTAGGCAGCAGAGCAAGACTCTGTCTCAAAAAAAAAGAAAAAAGAAATGCATTAAAAATTAGACTTACTATTAGTTCCATATATAACAGCATAATCTTTAATCTCTTGCACAAATAAAATAAAATTAGCTTTATGAGTCATTTTATTTTTATGGTTTTTTTTTTAAAAAGATGGTTAGTCTGCATTTCATTATTTAAAAGGCCAGTTTCCTGATCCTTTTTTCAACTACAGAGTCATCTCTTAAAATTTATGCTACGTGGAAAGTCTCAGATGTATTACGCCTTTGTCAGCTTACCATGAACACTTCCTAATGTAATATCCCCAGCAGCAGAAGACAGAAATGATGATTCTGTATAAAGATACTTGGCTTTCAGCAACCCATCTTCGGTAGATACAGTAACAGAACTTCCCTGCAGTTTATCTATGGTCACAGCCTAGTAAGAGAAAGACTAATCAGTTCATTATAAAACAAAGACTGGTAAAAAGCCAAAATGCTACCTGTGGAATCAGTGGATAACTACATAAAATGTTACTACCTAGTACACAATCACTTTATTGACTCTGATTCCCTACCTCTAATTACGAGATTCTGAGCAATAGTGCATTCTCTGCAGAATATGGAACAGATCCAATACATTCCCCCATTGACTTAGGTCTCCTTTAATTTCTCTTAATGTTTTATATGCCCTATATAAAATTCTTAATCTTTTATTAGATTTATTCCTTTTAGATATTTTTAAGTGCTATTGTACAAGGTATCTTTTGAAATTTCATTTTATCCTAATTGACTTTGTATTTAATCTTAATCCAGCAACTTCACTAAACTCACTAATCCTAATAATTTATCTGTACTTTTAAAAATTATGTATGTGTTATTATACTGTCTACAAGTGATGGCTTCATTTCCTCCCTTCCAATCCTTATATTAATACTTTTTTTCCTGCTTTTTCTTTCTTTTTCTTGCCTTAACATCTGTCTCAGGCCCCCAATTCCACAGTGAATAGCAGCTAGCAGAAGCAATGGGACAGCAGGCATCCTTGTCTTATTCCTGTTCTCAAAAGAAAAGTTTACAACATTTCACCATTAAGCATGATGTTTGCTATAGATATTTTTAAAATAATTTTTATCAGATTAAGGACATTCCCTTCTATTTCAACTTTGTTTTATTGCTTTTGCTATTTAAATCATGAATAGGTTTTGAATTTTAGCACATACTTTATCTGATTCTATTGATTTATCATGATTTTTCTCTGTTAGTACATTAATGTAGTGAATATACTATTATTTCTAGAACTTTTCCACTTGACATCTAATAAGGCAGTAGCTTTCCACCAAACTAAATGGAAGGAATTTAAATTTACCTATTTAATGACAGAACAAAAAGTAGATTTAAAAATCAGTATCTTCCTGACAGAGGTATTGCTATAAATTTTCTTTTCTAGATGAAAAGAAAAATTTTTCACTTAGTTATTATGAATATATATATAAATACATATATATATAGTTCTTACAAATAATGAAAGCCAAGTTTTAAGGAAGTACTGTGGCTTTGTAGCCCAGACTGAGAGGAAAACTGACAACTATGTCATCAATTCACCAAATAGACGAAATGGGTTTCTGTGTTCTCTGTTAAGTTATAAAACTAAACTTAGATACTGAAATTAACACAATTTAAAAACAGTCATGTAGAATAATGATGCTATTATTTATAATGCTCATTTGATTCTCACAATCTTGTTAAGTGGACAAAGCAAATATCACCATCCTGTTTGCTGAATAATGAAACTGAGTCTCTGGGAAGCTAACTGGTAGGTCTAGAACCCGTCCAGTTATCTTTCCTGTGATTCCTTTACCTTTATCATCATCATCGTGGTAAGCATTACATTAGACTTAGCTATGTGCCAGACGTTGTTTTAAGTATTTTACCTGTATTAACTCATTTAATCCTCTTAATAGAGGATTTTTTGAGTTTGTTCTATTACTATTACCCAATTTTCCAAAAAACTGAGACACACAGAGGTTAAGTAATTTGTCCAGTTATAGAGCTTAGTGAATGGTGGAGCCAGAATTCAAACACAGGTAGTTTGGCTCTCAATATAGTGCTCTTAACTAATTCACTATATTTGTCTCTCAAATATCCAAATCACATTTCTATGAAAGTTGTGTATTAAAAGTTAATAGATTTCACAAGTATTTATTTTATGTTTTATAAAAACTACAAACTTAGAAATATACATTAAAAATCAATACTATATGTAATAAAAATAGGAAAAAAAACCTAGACTGATTCTTGAGTACATAACAAAACTCAATCAAGAAATAAAATTGTATAATAGCAAGTAAAACACATGAATATTCAGTAAACCATAAACATTGGAACAAATAAATAACTGAGAGGAAACAGTGGCCAAGATATTCAAGGTAGCAAATGATTAAGATATTAAATTCTTTGATACTTATATTTGATTGCAAATGTTACAATATTCTAGTAACTTATTTCAATAACATTAGCCATCATTTACTGAGTTTGAAGGGGCTGTAAATTTGTCTAATTTCCCTCTTGCACCTCCAAGACCACAGCAATCTAAAAAGTAAAACTAAATGCCATCTCAAAAAAGCTGCAGCATAAGGCCACACAGTGTCTTTCAACACTTTCCTAGTTTAATTTACAGAGTATTTTTAAATGTTTAGGTTTAAACAACCTCCCACGGGGTCTAAGAGAAAGGTGATGGAAGATAAAACAACAGAAACAATTACTGTTATAACCTACCTTGTTTAATTATGCCAACAATAATCTACATATAAAATATGCTCACAACTCCTCCCCACCAACTCTCTGAAAATAAAGCTGACCATGGAGTATAGCAAATTTGTAGGAAGGTGATGGAAGATAAAACAACAGAAACAATGACTGTTATAGTCTATCTTGTTTAATTATGCCAACAATAATCTACATACAAAATATGCTTGCAACTCCTCCCCACCAATTATCTGAAAATAAAGCTGACTATGGAATTTAGCAAATTTATAAGAAACAAAAAAGCTCTTGCAAATTGTATCAGTGTAAAATAAAAGGAAACTTTTTCTCAAAGATACATTATCAATCACATTTTTTAAATGACAATTTATAATTCCAAAATTATACCTTTACTCTTAATACTATGCTAAATAACCAAAAGCTACAAAAGGAGTTGATTAAAAAATACAAACTATCTTCCTATAACAACGAAAATCTCAATAGCTACTAAAAAAAAAAAAAAAAAAAAAGCTGTGAGAGAGCAGTAAAGCTATCTAATGGTGCCACCTTGTGGAAAATACTGAAGAAAGCTGAGTTTTGAAACATCCTTCAATTTGCCTAAGGGCGAAGTAAAAAGGTCTTAGAAAATACTCAAATAAACCTAACACAAGAAAAATCCAATCCAGTTACTGGTGATATTACTTAATCATCTATTTTAATCTATGATCATAAAAATAAAAATCTTTTCAGAACTTGAGTTAAATAGTAAGCATTTAAGTTTTTATTGATTCCAGACTAGGAACTAAGTAACTGTCAAAAGTATTAAACCACAAACTAAAACTTAAGTTGTATATTATTTCATCACTTCAATTTCAAATTTGAATTTACTTATGAACTAAAATGCATTAAAAAGGGAATGTTATGCTACGAACTTTGTAGAACCTACCAACTTAGTGAGCCAAATGGAAGCAAAGTTGCAATTACTAAAAAAAAAGAAAGTTTCAATCTTACACTTTTATCTGATGCATGAATATCTATATTTCCATAAACTGTTCCCAGACAGATCACTTTGCCTCCTTTTGTTTGAACATGCAATTTTTGACCCTGAAAGACAAATTTAAAAATACATATAGTGAAAAAGAGAGTAAGTGTGACTTATACTAGTGAAACATTTTCAATATTTCTGTATTAATACTGACAAAGCAACAAAAGAACAATAAGGAATGAAACAGAAACTCACTGCTTCGAATAATGACATCAACTGGAAAAAAATGTCAACTGCTGTTAAAGGGATTAAATAAGCCACTTGGACTCAAAGGGAAAAACAAGAGATACTTGGGTATTCTGGTAGCTTCACTGATGAAGGACTTGGGAATCAAAAATCACTGTGATCAGCTAACTAAATATCCACAGTGATGAAGATGACAATAATAATCAGTTACTATTCATCATTAATAACAATAATAGTTATCACTTATTTGGCATTTTCTCTGCACCAGATACCATGTTAGCTACTTCACATGAACTATCATTTAATCCTCACAACAAACCAGAGAGGTAAGTATTACATTTTTCCCATTTTACAGAGGAAGACTGCCAAGATTCAGAAAGGTAAATCACTTTATCAGGGTGACAGAAAAAAACCCAAAATCTAAAGTAACAATTAGAATCAAGTTCTGTATGATTCCAAAGCCCACACTCTTAACGCTGGACCGGTCTGAAGGACAGAATACACATTAGGTTAACAGCCCACTTAAACCTTCTAGCACAACACATCCCAGAAACTAAGTAAAAATGCCTCCGAGCACAAAACAGCAGTCACAAGCCAGTTAGCCTATTCTGCAAGACAGAAAACAAAAGTATGTGTATGTGTGTGTGTGTGAGTGACTTGATTTTGGACTTGGGAACTATGGCAAACACTACTATTGGCTCATCAAAATCCATTTTTTTCCAAAGTAAAAGCAGTATAGCTTGACCCATGGCAAGACCACATTTTCCAGCTTCCTTTACCTCTTAGGTGTTGTTAAGTTGTTACCAACATAACGTAAGTGGAAATGCTATATGCCATTTCCAGGTTGGTGCTTTTAGAACAAGTGTGCCTTCTCTGTGCTCTTCTCATTCCACCAAGTGGGTCCAGAATATAACAAGGCTCTAAAAGATGGCAGAGCCGGAAGACGGA
Organism: Homo sapiens; assembly: GCF_000001405.40. Classification (NCBI taxonomy): domain Eukaryota; kingdom Metazoa; phylum Chordata; class Mammalia; order Primates; family Hominidae; genus Homo; species Homo sapiens. The sequence continues at coordinate 77,114,559 of NC_000007.14, forward strand.
AGGAACCTAGAATCACTGAATGAAAAAGACCCACCCATACACCTGGACACAAGTAAGAAATAAACTCATATTATATATGAGCCATTAGATGTTTGGTCTATTGTTTTTTGTTTTTGTTTTTAGACAGAGTCTCGCTCTGTCGCCCAGGCTGAAGTGCAGTGGTGAGATCTCGGCTCACTGCAAGCTCCGCCTCCTGGGTTCAAACGATTCTCCTGCCTCAGCCTCCCACGTAGCTGGGACTACAAGCGTATGCCATCACGCCAGGCTAATTTTTTGTATTTTTAGTAGAGATGGGGTTTCACCGTGTTGGCCAGGATAGTCTCGATCTCTTGACCTCGTGATCCACCCGCCTCAGCCTTCCAAAGTGCTGGGATTACAGGCATGAGCCACTGCACCCGGCCTAGTCTGATTTTTTTTAGAGTAATTTATTTTCCCTTAATCATTATATATGTCTTTAGTTTTATTACAGAAAGAGATATGGATCACTTGAGCCCAGATGTTTTCCCTTAATCATTATATATGTCTTTAGTTTTGTTACATAAAGAGATATGGTTCACTTGAGCCCAGATGTTTGAGGATTCAGTGAGCTAGGATCGTGCTACTGCACTCCGGCGTGGGCAACACATCAAGACCCTGTCTCTTAAAGAAAAAAAAATCTGTACTATAGCATGGTTAACTACGTTATGCCCAGAGACGTGAGTCTGAAGTCAAATTATATTTAATATACTCCTTATCAAATATGTGATAAACCTTTGAAAAGACTATCCACAAAGCACTTGTTTTTTTTATTTTTTAATTATTTTAATTATTTTTATGTACAGAAAACACAACAGTGTACATTTAACCCAGTTTAGTGGCAAGTTCTTTAGCCTTTGCCTTTTCGAGCTTGGCAATGTGAGCCACAGACTTGGGACCCAGGACATTGCCGTCCCAGTGACAGTGGGTCTCATCGTATCTGGCATTGTAATTGGTCCCGATAGCTTCCACCAGCTTAGCCAAAGCTCCTTTGTCTTCTGAGTTAACCTGTGTGAAGTCGACAGTGGTGTAGGTCTTCCTGTGAACTAGACATCCCAGTCTTGCCTTCCCCTTGATAATGCAGCAAGTGGCCCCCATTTTATGACACAGGACAGGCAGGAAAACAGTCAGCTCAATGGGATCCATGTCGTGTGTAGTCACCACCAGCGGAGCTTTCTTGTTATCCACAAAGGTGGTGACGGTGTTAACTCCTGCTCGAAAGACAGGTAGTCTCTTCATGGGGAGGTCCCCTTTGCCCACAACTCTGCCTGGGCCAACAGCCTCCACTTCTTCTCTTGCTTTGTCTCTGGTCTGTATTTGTGGGCCAGCTTAAGCAGCTGAGTAGCTGTTTGGCCTTCCAGGGCCTGGGTGAACTGGTTAATCGCAGGAGGCACTTTCAGCTGCTTATAGAGTATGGATCTCTGCCATTGCAACCTGATATAGCGGGGCCATTTCACAAAGCAGGTGAGGTCTCTTTTGGGCTGGATGTCCTGTCCAATGCCAAAATTCTTAGGCCTTTTCTCAAACAGGGGATTCACCACTTTCTTGGCCTCCTGCTTCTTCACAAAAGCAGGGGCCAGAGCCAACTTCTTCCCCTTGGCCTCCTTTCCTTTCGGCATCTTGGGCGACGGGAGGCGCACACTTGTTGTTTTAAGTCAAGAACTCTTAACCAAGCTCACATGAACTTACAAAATTATAAGTAAAATTTCATAGACATGCATTTTTTTCTTAAGGAGACAATTAGATTTTCTAAGAGGTCTAAGGTTCAAAAATAGTAAGAGCTACTGTTATAATTTAAAGCTCATCTAATTCCCCAAAAAATGTGAAGTTGATTATAGAATTTTTAAAAACATAAAACCAAATAGTTAAATGTTTAAATAAATCAGAAATTATTTAGAAAATAAATTATACTGCATTTAAAAAATGCAAATGTGTGACATTCAATTAGTTAAGGGTCTGTTGCCTGAAAAATTCACTTATCTTATTCCCTAAGGATGCTGTACAAATGTGGTCTTACCATATGTTTTGTCAGGACAATAAATAAAGGTGGAAAAAGCATGAGCTTGGAAATCAGAAAGACCCAAGGTCAAATCCCAGCTCAATTTTTTTTAGCTATGTGAACGCAAGTGAGTTCCTCAATCTCTTGGTGCCTTCTAGTTTCTTCCTTGTATAAAATGGAGAAAATTCAAGGATTAAATGAAGGTTTAGCTAAGATTCCTGGTACACAATAAGGACTTATTAACAGTAGTTATTATTATTGCTATGTAGGGCCGAGCATGGTGGCTCATGCCTGTAATCCCAGAACTTTGGGAGGCCAAGGTGGGGCGGATCATGTGAGGAAAGGAGTTCAAGACAAGCCTGGCCAACATGCTTGGCCAAAATTAGCCGAGCATGATGGTGGGTGCCTGTAATCCCAGCTACTCGGGAGGCTGAGGTGGGAGAATCACTTGAACCCAGGAGGCGGAGGTTGCAGTGAGCCAAGATCGTGTCATTGCACTCCAGCCTGGGCAACAGAGTGAGACTCCGCCTCAAAAAAAAAAATTTTTTTTTTAATATGCAGGTCAACTATATTTCAAGTCCTTAAGTTAATGAAAGAGAAACATATCAACAGGTGACCACTAATTCAAGGTAATGATATTATTGTACGATACTTAAAACTTAAACCAGATATTTTACCAAAGTGTTCTCATTTGTGAATTGAAGTTAGTTAAATCCTATGATCTCAAGGATAATTCTCTTAACCCTTGGTATACCATTAGTATCCACAGGCATAATTTTTCATGAATTTCTTGTTTTGAGCTATTTTATTTGTAAGAACTGATATTTCATGATTTCTGTTATTTCTTGGGAGGTCTTTCAAGGAATAAATAGAAAATGTACTTACTTTTAAAAAAATAGAACAAAACTCATTCTATCCTGTAATTACCATTAATTGGTCCACTGGACTTTTATAAACCTGAAATACATTATGGGATAATAGTGTTCTTATTTTTAATTTTTTTTTGCTAATTCATCATCCTAGGAGTTATTTCATCATTATTCATAAATTATTCCCAACTATGTTTTTTAAAAAAACTAAATAAGAAAACAGAAGAATGATGGACTTGCATAAAGCAATCATTCTCAACTGGAGATGATTTTGTCTCTAGAAGATATTTGGCAATGTCTGGAGACATTTTCCCTTGTCACAACTGAGGAGCATGCTACTGGCATCTAAAAGGTAGAGGGCAAAGATGGTGCTAAATATCCTATACTGCACAAGACAGGCCCCCACAACAAATCACCTGACTGAAAAGGTTTGTATTGCCAAGGCTAAGAAACCATTTTTAATTTTATGCCTACAATGGCATAAAAGAAGAAAATCAACAGAGAAAGATCTTTCAGAACTATCAGATTAATCAAAACATAAATGCAGAGACAGCAGTATACTAGATTCTAATTTTGATTGTGAAATTGGAAATCTCAAACTCTTGAGTCTTCAGAGGACAAGTCTAGATTAGTTTTCTGAAACTTAAGTATCAATGACTGAACAAAATATTTCTAAGGACAAAAAAGAATTATGATATCCTCACCTAGTCATTCAACATGAAGACCTTATTATACAATCTTTTACAACAAGAATCTGAACCAACTTATTTTGCTAGAAGGACTTGTGATGGTAATGTTAATCTTTTATGATATTTGTGCCAAAAATTTATTTGAAATGATTCATATGTGGACACATGCTGATGGCAGATACGCAAATAAAGGTGGATGAAAGAAAAAATATGTAAAAATTAAAAATGCATCAAATTATTCTAACTAGTGTTTAGAAATCTAAAAATGAAAATATTTTGCAATTATGAAGCAAAGATGACTGACTTCAACAAAATTGCATGCTTTCAAAGTTCACAAAAGTATCAAGTTTTGACTATGCAAATGCAAGAAGCACTAAGAGTAACGATAAGCTAGCACCTATCAGAGAGGTATTTCAAACTATTTACAGCTAACACCAGTCTAATCTTTAAAAAATTAAATATAGGTCAGTCATGGTGACTCACACCTGTAATCCCAGCACTTCATGAGCCCAAGGCAGGAGGATCACTTGAGCCCATGAGTTCAAGACCAGCCTGGCGCAATACAGTGAGACCCTGTCTCTACAAAGAAAACACTAAAAAAAAAAAAAATTAATTACAGCCGGGCGCAGTGGCTCATGCCTGTAATCCTAGCACTTTGGGAGGCCAAGGCAGGCGGATCACGAGGTCAGGAGATCGAGACCAGCCTGGCCAACATGGTGAAACCCTGTCTCTACTAAATATACAAACATTAACTGAGTGTGGTGGTGCATGCCTGTAATCCCAGCTACTTGGGAGGCTGAGGCAGGAGAATTGCTTGTACCAGGGAGTCAGAGGTTGCAGTGAGCTGAGATTGCACCACTGCACTCCAGCCTGGTGACAGAGTAAGACTCCGTCTCAAAAAAAAAAAAAAATTTAATTACAAAACAAGATGAATCATATGTTACTTTGCACAAATAACTACTTAATCCTTAAGTAATGAGCTAGCTACCTGGTACATTAAAAATGTGATTAAAGTCATCTAATATTTAAGCACATTTATAGTGCACAAAGATTCTTCCTTACTCTTTAATAAAATGGAAGAAAATCATTTGTGGAAACTAAAATTTCTTTAGTAAGATTTCAGAATACTAGGAAAATACTATTAGTTTCACTGTACACTTTGAAATTAAATCAAAAAGAAATTTGAGGCAAAACCTCAAAACTGCTATAACCTCTGTACTTTACTAGAACTGATTTCAAGGCAAAATGTTTGCCAAGGACTTTCTGAGAGATGAATAAATGACAATGTTCTGAAAAACAGAAGAATCTCTTGAGTTTGATAGTACGATTCATAGCTTAAGGCTTTTAAAAAAATAATAGTGAAATAAAATTAGAAAAATGCTATACCTTAACAGACTGCAAGATGCTAGTCCCATGCTCTGTTTCAATTTTGCAATTATCACCCTCAATACTTTGAACTTCTACACAGCCAGACCCTGATGACTTGATATCTAAACCTAGAAGTAAAAAAAGAAAAAAGCAAGTTAGTACTGCAGTTTATAAGCTCCAAAGCATTTTAACCTAGAAACCCAACTCCTCAGTTATGTCCATAATATTGCTGAATCCTGGAAAGTGCATACTGTAAAGGTAAGGGGTCTTCTACCACGGCAACGGGACCAAATACAATAGCCTTTCTGCCCGTTTTTAGAAACAGAGCAGTTATTTCTACTGGCCTAAATCACCTAAAGAGAACTAACATAGATGGGAAGTAAAGGAGACTACGATTCTGTTAAGTACTCCTGTGAAAGACTGTAGAAGCCTCTTCCCCAGTATATATGATCATGACTTAGGTTTTCAAATCCTATGTCTAACCTTTCATACTTAAAAAATGAAAATATTACCATGCAACTATATCACAAGGTATTTGAAGTAATTTTTTAAAAATGGGAACAACTTTGAAAAACCTAATATATACTATTAAAACTACAAGATTAGGCCATGAGCCGTGGCTCATGCCTGTAATACCAGCACTTTGGGAGGCCGAGGAAGGAGGATTGCTTGAAGCCCAGGAGTTCAAGACCAGCCTGGACAATGTGGCAAAACTCCCTTTCTACAAAAAAACAAAAACATTAGCCAGGCATGGTAGCATGCACCTGTAGTCCCAGCTACTCAGGAGGCGGAGGCGAGAAGATTGCTTAAAACCGTGAAGTCAAGACTGCAGTGGGCCATGATTGTGCACCTGTACTCCAGCCTGCATGGCAGAGTGAGTGAGATGCAGTCTCAAAAAAAACCAAAACAAACAAACAAAAAACCCCACAAGATTGTGGACAAATGGCAGTGGTACATGAAGCAAGTTTGGAAAATAAGGAATTACAAATGCCATCCTTGGCTGTCTATTTAAGATGTAACTGCAGGCATCGCTGTATACAAATTTTAAAAATTAAAAACGCTGATATTTAATTTGGAATTAACATAAATATTGATGATTTCTCTTAAAGTAGGCAAGACCCGCCCCCCCGACTTGATTCCTGAAACCACAAATAGTACCAAATCCTATATATTCTATGTTTTTTCCTGTATACATATCAATGATCAAGTTTAATTTATAAACTAGGCATAGTAAGAGATGAACAACAATAATAATAAATACAGCAATTATAACAATATACTGTAATAAAAGTTATATTACTGTGATCTGTCAAAATATCTTAATATTTTCCTACAACAGTTGAGGCAGGTAACAAACTCAGACAGCCAAACGGTGGATAAGGGAGGACTACGGCATCTACTATTTGGGCAACTGTAAGCATTATAAAAGATGATCTTAAAAATGCTAAATGCTATTATTATTACCATCATCATCATCATCAATATCTTCCTTCAGTCCCAGGAAGAATGACAGTCTGGGGAGCCCTTCCTAGAAAAGTGTGTGTACACAGTGGCTTGCCATTTAGGAAAACCTAAGAAAGGTATCTTGCAGGCATTATTATTGAAGCTTCCTAGGCAGGCTTACCATGTGTTTTTCTTCAAAGCTTGCTACTCATGGAAAACTTAGGCCAAAAAGAATGGAAACATAACAGTAAGAAGCTGGGCGCCCGTCTAAAACCAAATACTCAAACCAGGTGGTACCTGGAACATCCTATTGACAGGGCTGTTTTGGGACACACCCCCAGGCTGTGAGCAAGGGGAAATGTAGATGGACTGCCATACCATTGAATGAATTGTCAAGAAACTTCAACCTTGAAAAATAAGCCAGTTTGCTAATGACAACGGGATAAAGAAGAACACAAGCGGCTCCAGAAATAGAATTTGACCTGGATTATACCAAATCGTGTTTCCATTCGATGTATAAAATTTCTATAATTGGGAACCTAATTTTTTAAATACTACTCGGATACTCAAGAATAGAACAGAGGAAAAGTTGCATTTCCGAAGGGGCCAACTGTAAATTAGGTTTAGAAAGCCAGGACCAATTAAAAGTGCACGTCGACCAAATTTATTAAGTTCACTGTGCGTTCCCTGGGACCCAAACCCGTTTTCACTTCACTTCACTTGCCAAACTTCAGGGGCGCGTTCACCTCCACGGACGCCTGGGGGTGGATAGTATCAGACACAATGGCCATCTCCTCCAGATCCTCGTCGTACTTCACCTGCAGGCCGTCCAGGCCCCGCACGCCGCCCTCCACGCCGCACACCGCGACCAGCACGCGGTCGCCATCCGGGTAGGTGAGGGGGTCCAGGGGCCTCACGGCCAGGTGGCACGGGAGCCGCGCCCGCAGCCGACCGAACGGGCTCACCTGCAGTGTCCACTCCTTCAGAGTTCGGCGCGCCGGGCCAGGCGGAGGGACCTCAGTCTCCGATCCGGGCCAGCGCTCGCCCCTACCTGAGCTGTACGGCCTGGCTTGGCAAGCCCAGCAAGACCAGCGCCCAGCGCCAGCCCACAGTCGGACCTGACGGAGACAGAGACGGAAGCAGCCAAGCTCCCAACCTGAACAGGGGGCAAGCATGGCGCGCCTCTCTCGCCAGTCCTCAGAACACTTCAGCCACAGGGAGGGTCACTTGCCACGGCCAATCGACTTGGCCACTGTGCCGCCTCAAGTCAAATAGGAGACGTAAGTCAGGGTTTGCTGAAACAAGAGCGAGCCGGTTGGCTTGACTAGGCGATGTAAACATCAGCTGCGTAATCCCCAGGGGCAAGTTGGGATTTGAAAGCTCTGAACTCTGACCTGGACCCCTTGCCTAAGTCCACCCCCTTTCGCTAAGGCCGACGGGATACGTAGTTCTAAAGCGGTGGAAAGTCGCAGAGCTCCGCCTCTTAGAAACCACATATCCCAGGAGGCAATGCGCAGGGGAGCACGGGTAAGAGGGCAGGTGTTAGAATCGCTGGAAAGGCGGGCGCCCTTTGTTTCAAGACCATTGGCTATTGGAGGGGCGGTACATGGGAGGCCACTGGCCAATGGGAAGCACGGAAGGGGGCAACGAGGGTAAAGCTGCATGGTCACCTTGGATACCAAGGACGCGACTTCTTGTTTGGAGAGGGTGGAGCTTTGGAGTGAGACCCAGGAGGCCAAATCCCAAAGAGAAAAATAGGAGCCTAAATAAGGATCAGGACCAAGGGAAGGGGTAAGAAACTGCGCTTTTTAAGTTGACAACTAGGTGCAAACTAGGAGTAACCTATGTGGATGTCAAGATCCAAGCTTCACTAACCTAGTGCGGGCATCTCCAGGGCATGGAGAATGCCTTGGTAAGAGAGTAAAGAGCAAGATTGGTGCTTTTTGAGGGAATTGCCTCTTTGGAAGTGTATTCCCTCCTATATTCCAAATATAGGAATAGAGTACTTGCTCCGTCCTGACCCTAAGTGACCTTACTTTGGGTTTTAATTTGCTCACTTTAAAAATGTAGATGATAATACCTTCCTTGCCTTGCCTCAAAGGGTTTTTGTGAGGATCAAGTAAGAAAATGGATGGGACCGTGGTGCACAGTCTACCAAATTACCGTGTAAAGTACTGTATTTTTATTTCAACGTACTTAACATTGATTCTGAGTTACCAAGAAAATTATGAGAGATCAGAACTTGTTTTGAGAATAGCATTGATCTCTTTGACTACAAATGATCATCAGTTTTAGAGTGAAAAAAAAAAAGACACAAAAAAGAGAGTCACCATGGTGCGGTGGAAAGAGCAGGGACAAGGGTCAGATTATTTTCCTGGCTCTGCCACTGCTTCATCTGTGTCACCTAGACCTGTTTCTTTAGTTTTAAAATGAAGAAAGATGGTTCTAAATGACCCTATAAGGTGTGTGTGTGTGTGTGTGTGTGTGTGTGTGTGTGTGTGTGTGTGTGTGTGTGTTTACCTTTTATAATTCTATGGGCAGTAAAATAATGGGAACAGAAAGATTTATTTTCTTCTTTTTTTCTTCTTTCCTGCCTGGTTTCTCTCTCCCCCTCTGTGCCCCTACTTCCTCCTAAAATGTATTCCCTAAATTATTTAGCCAAGACACCTGCAAACACTAACATTTCATAAAATGCAAGTGCCTTAAAAAATTGAAGCCCTTACCCAAGTACAATGACCAGAATTCTTGGGGCTATCGTGATAGATAGACTGGGCTAAAGTTCTCATGGGTACAAGTCTCAGGTTCTCTGCTAGCCACTACCTTTTTAAAATTTTTAAAAATTCAGTGTTCTCTTAAGTTATCATTGCCTCTTTTCTGTCCTTCTAGTCCTTGCTCCCTCCTTATTCTTCTTTCGGTGAAGACTCACTCATTATAGGTGCTAGCTCAGGTTCAGCAAGGGCCCACTGCAATAGTTCTTTTCTTGTCTTTGTGTTTCATTGGTTATAATTATTCAGAATAATCTTCAAACTATTTTTTATGAAAATTGACAGGTGTAACTTTGAAAAGAAATTTGAAAAAGGCACTGGTTTAAGGAAGTTGAGAATGTACTCAAATTTTCTGTAGAAACACTAGACATTTTTAGATTAAATATTAATTCTTAATAGTTAATTCTGTGTCTATGGTAATTTTTCCGTTTCTGAGACAAACTAAGTTAATGGAATTGGCAACTGAACTATAATTTTCTATGTTGCATAATCATTATTTTACTTTTTCAAACAAAAACCAAATAGAATTGACTGAAAATTTACTTTGCTGATCATACAAGGTTGAAAATGGAGAAAATTATTAATATTAAGATTGGTATAAAATAGTTAAAGTTATAGACACTTAAAAACAGTATAATGAGTATCAAATCTGTCCACATATCAACAATGATTAATAAAAGTTGTATCTTCCATCCATATGACATTATAATTGTCAAACCATGTTCACATGCGTCATCTCACTGTATCCTCACTAATTAGGAGGGAAATTATTCTCCTCACACTATAGATGGGGAAACAGATTCAGAAACATTAAGATTAAGCAATTAGAAGGTCTGGCCCTTTTATCACTCTACCAAAACGTCCATTTTCCTGACACCTTTGAAGAAAAAATGAAATTATTCACCTCATAAGTAGAAAATTATATACAACTTTTTTCTCCTTATTTAGAGTTTGTTTCTAAGATATTTTCACATCTTAGTTTAAAAAAGCTATTTCTGTGGTCATGAACATATACTTCTGGTAGGAGTGTTAAGTTAGCACAAAATTTTTAGAGTTCAATTCAGCAATAAGAATGAAAAGCTTTTTCTATGACTCAGAAATTGTGCTTTTGGGGATGTAAGCATAAAATTAGGGATGCTCAAGGAATTATGTTTTATAGGGTTACTTGTAAGAGAAAATAATTGCATCAATTTAAATGCTCCCTGGCCAGGTGCAGTGGCTCATGCCTGTAATTTCAGCACTTTGGGAGGCTGAGACAGGTGGATCACCTGAGGTCAGGAGTTCAGGACCAGCCTGGCCAACATGGTGAAACTCCATCTCTACTAAAAATTAAAAAAATTAGCTTGGCGTAGTGATGGACACCTGTAATCCCAGCTACTCAGGAGGCTGAGACAGGAGAATCACTTAAACACAGGAGGTAGAGGTTGCAGTGAGCCGAGATCACACCACTGCACTCCAGCCTGGGCGGCAAGAGTGAAACTCTGTCTCAATAAAAAAATGTTAAATGCTCCCAAATAAGACAGTATTACATAAATTAGTATATAGCTGATATATTATGCAACAATTTAAACATATCTTGATATGGGAAATAGTCCATATATAAAGTGAAAAGAATATATACAAAATTGCACGTATAGTATGATCTCAATTGTGTAATAATAATAATAAATTTAACATAAAATTATACTTTACAGAAACAATTCCAGAGGGATATATACCACTTGATAACAGTTGTTATCTTTAAGCAGTGATATGATGAGTGGTTACTGCAATTTTTTGTGTGTTATCAATAGTGAAAATATATTACATTTATAAGAAAACAATTTTAAAGCATTTCTTAGCATATATTGTTTCCTAAAACTGACTCAAATAATCAGATGGGCAGAAGATTTCTTACCATCTAGATATAAATGTCAACGAATATTTTATTTAATGATTTATGTTCAATAAATGGACAGCAGAGGTCATAAGAGAGTTTTCAGAAGAAAAGGTAACCAAAACAAAGAATTCAGCAATTTAGCTTAAGAGAAAAGCCATAAGAATTTAACTTTCTGAATTATAAACTATTTAAAAAGAGATATATCTTATGACTTCTATTATTCTTATGAAATATTAATAAACTCAACAATCTTAACTAATAACTATCAACATTGAGAAGTATTTAATGAATATATATAGGTACTAATTCTATTTGAAATCTCTATGTGAAACTGCAAATAGACAGTTTTATTTCTTCCTTTCTCATCTGTATGGCTTTTCTTTCCTAGTGTTATTGCACTGGCTAAGACCGCCACTACAATATTGAGTTGGAGTGGCAAAAGCAAAAATCCTTGATTTATTTCCTATTTATGAGGGAAATTTCAACAACAATTAGGAAGTTAGCAGTAGATTTTTAAAGATGCCCTTTAGCAAGTTAAGGAAGTTTACTTTCTAATTTGCTTAGACTTTTTATCATAAGTGAATGTTGCATTTTGTCAAATGCTTTTTCTGTATCTATGAAGATGATCATATTGTTTTTCTTCTGATTTATTGATATGTGTATTACAGTGATTGATTTTCAAGTGTTTCATTCCCTCAATAAGCTACATTTCATCATGTTATTGTCAGGGAGTTTTGGGTTGTCAATTTCCTGGCCAGAAACCTCTGTGGCCACAGCACCTTTGCCCGAATTCTTGTCCTGCATCCAGGAAGAATGAGGTACGCAGACAAGTGAAGGGTGAACGAGACGAAGATGAGCTTTATTAAGTGTTACAAGAGCTCAGAGGAGACCCACAGTGGGTAGCTCCTCTCTGTAGGAAGATCATCTGTCCAGCATTCAGTTCTCATTAGAGAGGTGGCCCTGGAGAGGGTAGCTCCTCTCTACTACTGGTTGTCCCAATGTCTGCAGCTCTCAGTGGAGAGGAGGCCCTGGAGAGGGTGCCTCCTGTCTGCTGGCAGGTTGTCTCTGAAGCTCTCGGCAGAGACGGTAGCTCCTTTCTGCAGCTGGTCCTTGTGTAGTCTGTCTATCCTCTTCGTCCTTTGGCCATCGTCTGCCCTGCTCTGGCTGAGCCCAGGGCTTTTATGGACCTCAGAGGGGAGGAAGTGCATGCTGATTGGTCCATGGGCAGCCATGGGCTGCTGGAAGAGGCCCCATGAGTCCCCAAACTGGTATGCAGGACCAGCAGTTGGCCCCCAGCCTTCAGGCCCTCCCTGGACTGAAGGTAGAGCCTTACTGGGGACCTGCCCCCTTCCACCCAAGAATCTGTCTGCCTCCCGCTGCCATTCATGGCCCCAGGGCTCAACCCCAACCCCACTCCAAGATCTGAGCCAGCTCCAGGAGAGGAGAGAGGTCAGGCAGCGGGAGCAGACACCCCAAGCCTGCAGGGATGGGGGGCCTTCCGGGGCACCAGAGGGTACAGGCTGCAGAGATGCCTGGGTCCCGTGGGTGAGAGGGCAGTGGCAGCTGCACCCAGGGAGCTCCCGCAGGCCAACTCAGCAGGGGCGGGATTCCCCAGCTCCTGCCTGCTCCATGTTGTGGGAGGCCCAGGTCAGCAGCTGCTGGTCAGGCGGCTGCAGCTGCACCCAAGAGGGCAGATCCTGCCTGTTCCCAGCCCCACTTCAAGAGCGCAGGGAGGCTCAGATCTACAGCTGCAGTTTGGGCGGCTGTAGCACCGTCCAGGAGGGTGGGGCTCCTGACTGCCCCATGGAGTGGGAGGCCTGGGTCTGCAGTCTCAGCCTTTCCTCCCTACTGCAGCCAGCGTGATGGCACCAGCCACTGCCATCATTATCTTTTCTATAAATTGCTAGATTCAACTTGCTAAATTTGTGAGGATTTTTACATTTTATTTTCATGAAGGATATTGGTCCAAAGTATTCTTTCATGTCTTTTTCTGGTTTTGATATTAGGGTAAAATTAGAAGGGCAAATGTTGCCTCTTTTATTTTATGGAAGATTGTTAGAATATTGTTAATATGGTTTAGTTTTATTTGTCCTGCTCAGAAGTCAATACGCTTTCTTTGTCTAAAGTCTCCAATTTATAAACCTTCAGCGTTTCCTTGCTCTTTCTATTCTTTACTTTTGGAGCTCTCATTTAGACATGTATTTTAATTTCTCATTCTGTCATCCATATCCCTTAACTGTGTTTATATGATTTATGCCTCTTCATCTTTTCGTATTTCATTCTGGATGATTTCCTCAAATCTATGTTCTAATTCATTAATTCCTTCCCAATCTTTGCTAATCCATTGTTTAATATCTGCATTGAATTTTTCATCCCAATGACTATATTATCATTTCTAGAATATTTATTTGGTTCTTTAAAAAATCTATTTTCTCTTATTTTAAACTGCTCCGTTTATTTTACTGTGGTTTCTTTACCTTCTCTTGCCTTTTTAATTATTTTAAACATACTGATGCAAAATTATTCTAGTCTGTTCTGTTATGAGGTTGCTGTTTCTCTTTTGCTACATAAACAAACTCTGTTTCATGGTGGTTTATTTCTTGTCATGGCTTATAAATTTTTATTTATAGCTCATCTTCAGCGGGAGTTCTCTTTTCTGAAAATCCTTTACATTCTAGATTACAATAAAATTTTTCTTGTTCCCTGTAGAACAATTTTGGATTTGCTTCAGTCAGAACTCGACCAATTTCCATGGTCATGGGCCAGGTTTTCGATTTTTATTTCCTTTTATTTTTGCTTCATTTCCTTCTGTGCAAAGTAATTCATTCATACAAAAGAATAAAGTATGAATAAAGTCTAAAGAATAATAGTAAAAAGAACATCTTTATGCCTAACACCCAGTTTAAGAAATAAGACATACCAATAAGTTTCAGTTTCCTTGTTTCTTTTTTCCTCCTTTATCTTCTGGCTTTCACTTAAAAGCAGGCTGAATTGAGAACTGTGTAGAAGAAAAGGGGCTCCTGCCACACAGAAATTGTAGGGAAATCCCGATTTTTTTCTTTCCGTTTTGGTCTGCTGGCCCTGCCACAAAGCCAGCTCCAAACATAGATTTGCACTGCCACTGCCAGGCTGTGAGGTTTCCTAAGAATAAAAGAGAACACTGTCTCTCTGAATAGAGGAACTGGAAAGAGAGTGTGTGGGGGAATCCCGATACTCTTTCTCTCTTTTTCTTGATATTTTACCTCGAGGGCAGCCCCAAGTACTTAGAAGTGAATGGCAGCATAAGGCAAAATCTTTAAGACAGCCTGATCCTTTTGGCCATAACAAAAGGGGCCCACAAAAACTGTAAAGTGTAGCCGAAATCCCATGTAGAAGAGAACTAGAGAAGGTGATCCTAATTCTATGTTTGAAACTACGTAAGTAACAGGGTCAGCCCTACTCCTGCACAAACATGGAGTACAGTAGGCCCCTCTTATCTTTGGCTTTGCTTTCTGAGGTTTCAGTTTCCCATGATGAACTGCAGTCTGAAAATATTAAATGGAAAATTCTGGAAATAACTTGTAAATTTTAAATTGCACACAGTTCTGAGAACATGATGAAATCTTGCACTGTCTCACTCCATCCTTTGTGCAGCATATCCACACTGTCTACCCTACCCACCCAATTGTCACTCAGTAGCTTAGCTGTTTTGGTTATCAGATTTGCTGTTGTGATATCTCAGTGCTCGTATTCAAGTAACCCTTATTTTACTTAATAATGGCTCCAAAGCACAAGAGTAGTAATGCCAGCAATTAGGACATACCAAAGAGAAGCCATAAAGTATTTCCTGTGAGTGAAAAAGTGAAACATTCTCAATTTAATAAGGAAAGAAAAAAACTATATGCTGAGATTGCTAAGATCTAAGGTTAGAATGAATCTTCTGCCTGTGAAATTGTGAAGAATGAAAAATAAATTAATTCATAGTGTATATAGAGTTTGGTACCAATCCTGGTTTCAGTCATCCACTGGGGATCTTGGAACATATCCCCCATGAATAAGGAGATACTACTGTAATCTCTACTGATCTGTCTTCAAGTTCACTGATTTTCTCCTTGTTCAAATCTACCATTGAACCCCCCCAGCGAATTTTTCAATTATTATAATTTTCTACTTAGGAATTTCAATTTGGTTTCCTAAAAATTTCTACTTATTGATATT
Source organism: Homo sapiens (assembly GCF_000001405.40). Lineage (NCBI taxonomy): Eukaryota > Metazoa > Chordata > Mammalia > Primates > Hominidae > Homo > Homo sapiens. Next base: position 77,129,783 of record NC_000007.14, read on the forward strand.
CTCTGATGAATTACATCATACTCTTCTTTAATTCTTTAAATATGGTTTCCTTTCATTCTTCAAACATATTTATAATATCTGCTTTGAAGTCACTGTTAAATCAGACACCTGCCCACTAGTCATTTCATAGGCATCTCAGTTATCAGATCAACTGTTGATGTATCTCAGTGCTTGCATTCAACTAACCCTATTTTACTTCATAAGGGCCCCAAAGTACAAGAGTAGTGATGCTGACTACTTGGATATACCAAAGAGGAGCCATAAAGTGCTTCCTTTAAGTGAAAAGGTGAAAGTTTTTGACTTAATAAGGAAATAAAAAAATCATATGCTGAGGTTGCTAAAATCTATGATAAGAACAAATCTTCTATTTGTGAAATTGTGGAGAAGACAATTTTGTACTAGTTTTGCTGTCACATCTCAAACTGCAAAAGTTATAGCCACAGTGCCTGTATAGGATATATAGGGTACTATCCACAGTTTGAGGCATCCACTGGAGGTCTTATAAACGCATCCCATGCAGATAAGGGGAGGACTACTCAAGAAAGCATAGTTAAGGCTTTGAGAAATGAACTATGATAAAAATACCACAAAGGTCTCAGAACAACTCGCAAGCGTTGCATGTAATGTACAGACCCAAAGAGCATAGCAAAGGCTTTGAAAACTAAATATTGGAATTACTGTCCCTGAAGGCATGACAGAACTTGTGATCTGAGCCTAACCAGATTGATTACTTACTAAAACAAACAAAAATCAGTATCTTTAGAAGATTTTAACAGGACCCAGAGCTTCATAGCCAGCATAATATCCTTTCTTTCTTTTTTTTTTTTTTTTTTTGAGACGGAGTTTCGCTCTGTCGCCCAGGCTGGAGTGCAGTGGCGCGATCTCGACTCACTGCAAGCTCCGCCTCCCAGGTTCACGCCATTCTCCTGCCTCAGCCTCCCGTGTAGCTGGGACTACAGGCGCGCGCCACCATGCCCGGCTAATTTTTGTATTTTTAGTAGAGACGGGGTTTCACCGTGTTAGCCAGGATGGTCTCGATCTCCTGACCTCGTGATCCGCCCGTCTGGGCCTCCCAAAGTGCTGGGATTACAGGCGTGAGCCACCGCGCCCGGCCCTTTTTTTTTTTTTAAACGGAGTCTCACTCTGTCATCCAGGCTGGAGTGCAATGGCGCAATCTCGGCTCACTGCAACCTCTGCCTCCCAGGTTCAAGCGATTCTCCCGCCTCAGGTTCCCAAGTAGCTGGGAATACTGGCGCATGCCACCACACCTGGCCAATTTTTATAAAGACGGGGTTTCACCATGTCGGCCAGGCTGGTCTCAAACTCCTGACCTCAAGTGATTCTCCCACCTTGGCTTCCCAAGGCTGGGATTACAGGCATGAACAGCATAATAGTCAAATTGTCCATCTTAAAATCCCAAATTACTCAACATATCAGAAACAGGAAAATCTGGCCAAAATTTTCAAAGGAAAAGTTACCACCCCCAAATTATCAAAGACTATTTACAATCGCCAAAAACCTTGAAACAACCCAAAGGTCTCTCAAATGTGAGTGGAAAAGCAAACTGTAGTACATCCACATAATGGAATGCTGCTCAGTAATAAAAAGTGACAATTGGTACACACAACAAAATAGATAAAAATCTCAAGAACAGGCCGGGTGCAGTGGCTCACACCTGTAATCTCAGCACTTTGGGAGGCCGAGGTGGGCTGATTACTTGAGGTCAGAATTTTGAGACCAGCTTGGCCAACGTGGCGAAACCACGTCTCTACTAAAAATACAAAGATTACCCAGGCATGGTGGTGGGTGCCTGTAGTCCCAGCTATTTGAATGGCTGAGGCAGGAGGATCCCTTGAACCTGGGAGGTAGAGGTTGCAGTGAACCAAGATCGTGCCACTGCACTTAAGCCTGGGCAACAGAGTGAGACTCCGTCTAAAAGAAAACAAAAACATAAACAAAAAACAAAAAACTCAAGAACATTTTACAAAGTGAAAGAAGCTATACTCGAAAGATTACATACTCTGTGATTCCACTTATATGATATTCTGGAAAAGGCTAAATAAAAACGATAGGGAGCAGATCACTTGTTGCCAGGAGTTACATGTGGAGATAAAGTTTGACTACAAAGGGGTACTGCATGAAAGAATTTACTTTGGGCCAAGGGAAGGGAAAGAACTGTTCTGCATCTTGATTGTAGTCATGGTAACTTGCGTACAAGCATTTGATAGAATGCATAGAACTGTAAACAAAAAGAGTAATTTTTACTCTATGTAAATTTAAAAGTGAATTTCAAAAAATCATGCATAAAAAGAAAACACCATCTGTGAAGCAGATGACCTTACAGGTGAATTCTACCAGACATTTTCAGAGAAATAATAATAGCAGTTTTACATAAACTGTCTCAAAAATTAGAAAGGAGAGAACTCTTCCCAACTCACTTTATGAGGACAGTATTGTCTTGATAAAAAAATTAGACAAAAATATTGCCAAAAAAGAACTAGAAAACAATCCCTCATGAACACAAAAGCAAAATCCTTAACATTACATGAGCAAATCAAAATCAATAATATGGGAAAAGGATAATGCATCATGACCAAGTGGGGTTTATCTCTCGAATGCAAGATTAATTTTATGACTAAAAATCAAGCAGTGGACCAGGTGTGGTGGCTTATGCCTATAATCCCAGCAATTTGGGAAGCCGAGATGGGAGGATCACTTGAATCCAGGAGTTCAAGATCAGCCTGGGCAACATAGTGAGTCTCGATCTCTACAAAAAAAAAAAAAAAAAAGAAAGAAAGAAAAAAATCAGCCAGTCATGGTGGCACACACCTGTAGTCCCAACTACCCAGGACAATGAGGCAGGAGAATCAGTTGAGTCCAGGATGTCAAGGCTGCAGTGAGCTATGATTGTACCATCACACTCCAACCTGGGTGACAAAGTGAGTCTCTGTCTTAAAAAATAAGTAAATAAACAAATAAATAAATAAATAAACAAATAAAATTAAGCAGTGTAATTCACCACTCACAAACTAAAAAAAGGGAAAATGTGATTGTCTCTATAGATTTTTTTTCTTATCTCAATAGATTTTTTTAAAAAGTGTTTGGTAGGCCGGGCACGGTGGCTTATGCCTGTAATCCCAGCACTTTGGGAGCCCAAGGTGGGTCGATCACCTGAGGTCAGGAGTTCAAGACCAGTCTGGCTAACATGGTGAAACCCCATCTCTACTAAAAATATAAAATTAGCCGGGCATGGTGGTACACGCCTGCAATCCCTGCTACTCGGGAGGCTGAGGCAGGAGAATTGCTTCACCCCAGGAGGCAGAGGTTGCGGTGAACCGAGATCACGCCACTGCACTCCAGCCTGAGTGACAGAGCAAGACTCCATCTCAAAAAAAAAAAATTTTTTTTGGCAAAACTCAGTGCGATTCCTGATAAAAACTCTCCACTAACTTGAAAGAGAAGAGAACCTCCTCCAACAACAGGCATCTGTGAAAAATTTACACTTAGTGCTACACTTTAATAATGAAAGACTGAATGCTTTCCCTTTAAGATTTGGAACAACTTTTGTTGTTGTTGTTGTTGTTTTGAGACGGAGTCTCACTTTGTTGCCCAGGCTGGGGTGCAGTGGTGTGATCTTGGCTCACTGCAACCTCTGCCTCCTGGGTTCAAGCAATTCTCCTGCCTCATCCCCACTTAGTAGCTGGGACTACAGGTGAGCACCACCACACCTAGCTAATATTTGTATTTTTAGTAGAGACGTGGTTTCACCATGTTGGCCAGGCTGGTCTCGAACTCAGGTGATCCACTTGCCTCGGCCTCCCAAAGTTCTGGGATTACAGGTGTGAGCCACCACGCCCAGCCTGGAACACCTTTTTTTTTTTTTTTTTACCACTTTTATTCAGCATCGTACTGGAGGTCCCATACAATGCAATTGGACAATAAAATAGCTTCTGGTTTGGGGTTCTTCATGTAAGGCACTTGGTGCTACTCCATCCTAACAAATAAAAAGCTGAACAGACTGAAAAATCAATTACATATGCTTAGGTACACACACACACACACACACACACACTCACACACACATATATGCTTCTATATGAGTAAAATTAATGACAGCAATGATATAATTGGCAGGAAGGAGTAATTATGATTATTTTGTTATTATAAGGTGAAGCAGTACACAATCGTCCCTTGGTATCTGTGGAGCATTCATTCTAAGACCCCTGTGGATACCAAAATCCACACATACTCAAGTCCCTCTGCATACCCTGCATAAGAGAAAAGTTGGCGCTCTTTACTGGGGGATTTTGCATCCTGCAATCTGCATTTGGTTGTGGATGCAGAACTCTACAAGAGGGAGGGTTGACTGGATTTATTGAAAAAAAAAATCCTTGTAAAAGTGGACCCATGCTGTTCAAACACATATATTGCTAGAGCCAAATGTAGTGTCATTTGAAAGTGGACTAGGATTAGTTGGAAATCAACACTGCAAATTTAGGGCTACCACTAAAAGAAATAATTATAAATCAAATGCTAAAAAGGAGAGAAAATTGAATCATATAAAATGCTCAGTTAGAACCACAAAACAGAAAAAGAGTGGAAGATAAAAATAAGAACAGCAAGGGCAATCAATAAAAAATAGTAACAAATATGATGGATATTAATCCAACTACAGCAGATCCTCAAATAATGTTGTTTTGTTCAACATTGTTTTATAGTAATATTGATGAAAAAAATAAATTTCTGGCTAAGGCCACTCTGTGTGTGTGTGTGTGTGTGTCTGTGTGTGTGTGTGTGTGTGTGTGTGTGTGTGTGTCTATGGGGTATGCATGTTCTCCCTATGTCTGCCTGGGTTTTCTCTGGGTACTCTGGTTTCCTACCACATCCCAAAGACGTGCATGTTAGGTTAATTGGAGAGTCCAAATTGTCCCTGTCTGAGTGAGTGTGAGTTGGGGGTGTGTATGTGTGTCCTGCAATGGAATGGCATCCTGTCCAGGGTTGGTACCTGAGCTGCTGGGATAGGTTCCAGCTAGCTGAGACCCTGAACTACAGTAAGTGGATTGGAAAATGAAGACATAAACAGATACAAATTATTGCAAAATAAAAATTCATAAAGTATGTGATAATTATACAAATGTACAACAATAAATGCAGTATGAAAGCACTCAGCAAGCCCACCATATTTGTTATTGTTTGTTTTTGAACTGCATAGTGGTAGAAGGTGCTTCTTACAATGTTCCCTTTGCAAATATTTATTCCTTGATTTAACTCATCACAACTACAACCACCATTGCTCACTGGTTCACCAAAAATTGAGTAAATAATTATCTTGTTTTTCTTAATCTTTCTTAAATATATGTATAGCCCGCATTTATTTCAGTTTGTAATGTTAGAAGTGTTTTGAGTCTTTATTTAGAAGTTTGGACCAGGTGCAGTGGCTCACACCTTTAATCCCAGCACTTTGGGAGGCCATCGTGGGTGGATCATTTAAGCCCAGGAGTTTGAGACCAGCCTGGGCAACATGGCAAAACCCCATCTCTACAAAAAATACAAAAATTAGCCAGATGTGGTGGTGTGCATCTGTAGTTCCAGCTATTCAGGAGGCTAAGATGGGAAGACTGTTTGAGGCCAGAAGATTCAGGCTGCAGCAACAGAGTGAGACACTGAAAAAAAAAAGAGAGAGAAAGAAAGAAAGAGCGAGAGAGAGAGCGAAAGAAAGAGAGAGGAAGAGGAAGAGAAAAGAGAAAAAAGAAAGTTGGTAGTGTTTTTCCATAGGAACTTGTTTATATCAGTTAGCCTATAGTAATACTGGTTTTGTTATGCATTGTCTTGCTTAAAGTCTCAGTTTCTAAGAGCCTGTCAACAACATTAAGAACTTACTATATATCAGTAATCGCTTTGAACAGCAACGATAAATGCACCAATTAAAAGACAGAGATTGTCAGAGTGGATGAAAAAAACAAGACCCAACCATAGGATGTCTACAAGAAATCTACTTTAAATATAAGACATATAAATTAAAAGTAAATGGGTGGAGAAAAATATACCCTGTTAACACTAATCAAAAGAAAGCAGAAGTAGCTATATTAATTTCAAACACAATTGACTTCAAAAAGGAAAGTTATCAGTGATAAAGGCATTACATAATGATAAAGGAGTTAATTGTCCAAGAAGGTGTAATAATCCTTAACACATGTGCACCTAACAAGAGCATCAAACTAGGTGAGACAAAACTGATAGAGCTGCAAGAAGACATATTTAAAACAACATGTCTCAAAAACAACAACAACAACTAAAACCCTTTCAATTCAATGAAGGTGAAAACAACGTATCAACGTTTGTGGAATGCAGTGAAAGCAGTGTGTAGAAAGAAATTATGTAGTATTGAATGCATATTTTAGAAAAGAAGAAAGATCTAGAATTGTTTCCACCTTAGAATACTAGAAAAAGAAGAGCAAGTTAAATCCAAAGTAAGCTGAAGAAAATAAATAAGAATTAGAGCAGATATCAATGAAATTGAAAACAGGGAATCAGTAAAGAAAATAAATGAAATGAAAAGCTGGTTCTTTGAAAAGATTAATAAAATTGATAAGCCTCTAGTGAGGCTGATTAAGAAAAAAGACAGAAGACACAAATTACTGACATCAGAATGAAACTGATCACTACAGATCTCATGGACATTAGAAATATTTTAAAAAGGAATACTATGAACAACTCTGTATCTACAAATTTGATAACTTAGAAAAAATGGACCAATTATTTGAAAGATATAACATGCCAAAATCCATATAAGAAGAAATAGACTCTCTGAATAGGCCTATATCTATTAAATAAATTGAATAAATAATAACCTTCCAAAATAGGAAGCACAAAGTTCAGATGGGTTTACTGGTGAATTCTATCAAAGCCTTTAAGGAAAAAATTATACTAATTCACTACAATTTCTTTTGGTAGATAGAAGAATACTTCTGAATCACTCTGAGGCCAGCATTATTCTAATGCCAAATCTAGACAAAGACCTTAAAGAAAACAAAATTATGGACCAATGTCTCCCATAAACACTAAGTGCAAAAATCCTCAACAAAATTGAATCAACAATGTATAAAAATAATTATATACCACTACCAAATGGGATTTGTTTCAAATATGCAAGGCTGGTTCAACACTCAAAAATCAATAGATGTAATCCATCACATCAACAGGCTAAAAAAGAAAAATCATGTGACCATATCAATAGATGCAGAAAAATTATTTGACAAAATGCAAAGCCCATTCATGATAAAAAACAAAAACTCTGAGTAAACTAGGACTAGAAAGGAGCTTCCTCAACTTGCTAAAGAATATCTATATAAAACCTGTAGCTAACATCATACTTAAAGGTGAGAAACTAGAAGCTTTTCCACTAAGATCAAGAACAAGGCAAAGATGTCCCCTCTCACCACTCCTTTTCAACCCTGTGCTGGAAGTTATAGCTGATGCAGTAAGACAAGAAAAGTAAGTAAAAGACATAGATTGGGAAGAAAAAAAATAAAACTGGCTTTATTCTCATATAACATGATTGTCATGTAGAAAAAGAATCAACAACAACAAAAAACTCCTGAGACTAATAAGTGTTTATAGCAGAGTTGTAGGATGTAAGTTTATTTTGCAAACGTCAGTCACTTTCCTACGCAGCAGCAATGGACAAGTGGAATGTGAAATCAAAAACAAAACATCATTTCCATTAGAACCCCTTAAAGTGAAATACTTAGGTATAAATCTAACAAAATAAAGATATATAAGGAAAACTACAAAATTCTGATGAAAGAAATCAAAGAACCTAAGAAATGGAGAGATATTTCATGTTCATGGAGAGAAAGACAATATTTTCAAGATGTTAGCAGTTCTTCCCAAATTGATCTGTAGATTCAATGCAATCCCAATCAAAATCTCAGCAACTCATTTGTGGATATCAACAAACTTATCCTAAAGTTTATTTGAAGAGGCAAAACACCCAGGATAGCCAACCCAATATTGAAGGAGAAGAACGAAATTGGAGGACTGACACTACCCGACTTCAATACTTACATATAACTCAAATATATGTAGGTTCTGTTGTCTTAGTTCAGGCAGCTGTAACAAAAGTGCAATAGACTAGGGGGCTTAAATAACAGAAATTTATTTCTCACAGTTCTGAGGCTGGGCATTCTCAGATCACAGTATTGCTGGTGATACTGACCATGCTGGCATGGTCAGTTCTGATGAGGCCTTCTTCCTGGTTTGCAGACAACAGTCTTCCTGTTATTCCTCGTATGGTGGAGATAGAGAGGAAGGAAGCTATAAAGCTATAGTAATCAAGACAGTATGGTACTGGCAAAAGAGTGGACAAATAGGTTAATAGAACAGAATAAAGGGTCCAGAAATAGACCCACATAAATATAGTCTGCTGAATTTTGACAAAGGAATAAAGGCAATACAATGGAGTAAAAGACAGTATTTTCAACAAATGGTGCTGGAGGGGGCAGTTGCAAAAAAAAAAAAAAGAGGTATTGGAAGAACTGGACATGTACATGCAAAAAAAAATGAATCTAAACACAGTTCTTCCACTCTTAACAAAAATGAACTCAAATGGATTTTGACCTAAATGTAAAATGCAAAACTATGAAACTTCTAGAAGATAACATAGAAAACCTAGATGACCTTGGGTTTGGTGAATACTTTTTAGATACAACTCCAAAAGCATGATCCATTAAAGAAATCATTGATAAGCTGAACTTCACTGAAATTTAAAAGTTCTGCACTACGAAAGACAATGTCAAAAAAATGAGAAAACCCACAGGCTGGGAGAAAATATTTGCAAAAGGCACATCGATAAAGGACTATTATCTAAAAATACAAAGAACTCTTAAAATTCAAAAACAACAACAAAAAGATTTAAAAACGGGCCAAAGACCTTAACAAAAATCTCACCAAAGAAGATATACAAATGGCAAATAAGCACATGAATACATGCTTCACATTGCAGGCAAATGCAAGTTAAAACAATAGTAAGATACTATCACACACCTATTAGAATGGTCAAACTCCAGAATACTGACAACACTAAAAGCTGACAAGAATGTGGTGCAACAGGAACTCTCATGTATTGCTGTGAAAGTGCAAAATGCTATAGTCACTTTGGAAGATAGGCAGCGTCTTACAAAACTAAATATACTCTTAACATATATCCAGCAATCATGCTCCTTAATATTTACCCAAAGGAGGTGAAAACTTATGTCCATATAAAAATCTGCACATAGATGTTTAAGCAGTTTTATTTATGATTGCCAAAACTAGGAAGCAACCCAGATGTCCTTCAGTAAATGAATGAATAAATAAACTTTGACACATCCAGATGATGGAATATTATTCAGCAATAAAAAGAAATGAGCTGTCAAGCCATAAAAAGACATGGAGGAAACTTAAGTGCATATTACTAAGTGAAAGAAACCCATCTGAAAAGTCTACATACTGCATGACTTCAGCTATATGACATTCTGGAAAAGGCAAAACTGTGGAGACAGTTAAAAAAAGATAGTGATCACTAGGGAGTTTGGAGTGGGTGGAGAGAGATGCATAGGCAGAGCACAAAGGATTTTTAGGGCAGTGAAAATGTTCTGTATGATACTATAACGATGGATACCTGTCATTATACATTTGTTCAGATACCTAGAATGTACAACGCTAAGAGTGAACTCTAACGTAAACGATGGACTCTAGGTGATTATGATGTGTCAATGTAGTTTCATCAGTTGTAACAAATGTGCCACTCTGGTGGAGGATGTTGATGATAGGGGAAGTTATGCACATATGGGAACAAGGAGTATGCTGGAAATCTCTGTACATTTCTCTCAATGTTGCTATGAATCTAAAACTACCCCCACCTCCCAAAAAATAAGTCTTAAAAAATTCACTTTAGAAAAGAAGTAAAATTGTCTTTATTCACAGACAACATGATTAAGTAGAAAATTGTAAGAAATCTATTAAAAAGCTACTAGAACTAAAATGAAATTTTACAAAGTTATAGGATACAAGGTCAAAAACAAAAATCAATTCTCTCCCCTTCCTTCCTTCCTTCCTTCCTTTCTTTCTTTATTTCTTTTTCTTTTTTTTTTTTGAGACAGAGTCTTGCTTGTCACCCAGGCTGCAAGTGGCACAATCTCAGCTCACTGCAACCTCCGCCTCCTGGGTTCAAGCCATTCTCCTGCCTCAGCCTCCCCAGTAGCTGGGATTACAGGCGTGCACCATCACACCCAGCTAATTTTTGTATTTTTAGCAGAGACGAGGTTTCACCATGTTGGCCAGGCTGGTCTGGAACTCCTGACCTCAGATGATCCGCCTGCCTCGGCCTCCCAAAGTGCTGGGATTAAAGGCATGAGCCACCGTTCCCGGCCAATCAGTTGTATTTCTAAGAACTAATAATAGCATTTGGAAACTGAAATCTTAAAGTCACTTACAATAATGTACAGAATATGTAATAATTAGAGATAAACAACAAATATATTCAGGTTCTGTTGTCTTAGTTCAAGTAGCTATAACGAAAGTACTATAGACCAGGTGACTTAAGTAACAGAAATTTATTTCTTACAGTTCTGGAAGCTGGGCATTCTGAGATCACAGTATTGCTGGTGATACTGATCATGCTGGCATGGTCAGTTCTGATGAGGCTTTCTTGCTGGTTTGCAGACAACAGTCTCCTTGTTGTTCCTCACATGGTGGAGTTAGAGAGGAAGGAAACTGTCTTCTGTAACTTCTTTTAAGGCCACTAATCCCATCGTGAGGCTCCATACTCATGACCTAATTACCTCCCACAGGCCCCATCTGGAAATATCATCACATTGGGGATTATGAACTTTTGAAGGACGCATTCAGTCAATAGCACCCGTCCTCTGAAAAGTATAAAACATTACTGAGAGAAATTAAAGCAGAGTTAAATAAGTAGGGGAAAATACCATATTTAAGGAAAATCTAATTCAATACAAGATGTCAAATCTCACATTATTTTTAGTAGACACGTTGATATATTGATATCAATATTGATATATCGATATCACATTGATATATTGATTGATATATATTGATATATTGATTCATCACCATCCCAGTCAAAATTCCATTAGCCTTTATTTTTTTTTATACTTTCAGTTCTGGGATACATGTGCAGAATGTGCAGGTTTGTTACATAACTATACACTTGCCATGGTGGTTTGCTGAACCCATCAACCTGTCATCTACATTAGGTATTTCTCCTAATGCTATCCCTCCCCTAGCCCCACACCCCCTGACAGGCCTCGGTGTGTGATGTTCCCCTCCCTGTGTCCCTGTGTTCTCATTGTTCAACTCCCACTTATGAGTGAGGACATGTGATGTTTAGTTTTCTGTTACTGTGTTAGTTTCCTGAGAATGATGGTTTCCAGCTTCATCCATGTCCCTGCAAAGGACAAGAACTCATCCTTTTTTATGGCTGCATAGTATTCCATGTTGTGTATGTGCACATTTTCTTGATCCAGTCTATCACTGATGGGCATTTGGGTTGGTTCCAAATCTTTGCTATTATTAACAGTGCTGCAATAAATATACATGTGCCTGTGTCTTCATAGTAGAATGACTTATAATCCTTTGGGTATATACCCAGTAATGGGATTGCTGGGTCAAATGGTATTTCTGGTTCTTGATCCTTGAGGAATCGCCACACTGTCTTCCACAATGGTTGAACTCATTTACACTCCCACCAACACAGTAAAAGCGTTCCTATTTCTCCATATCCTCTCCAGCATCTGTTGTTTCCTGACTTTTTAATGATTGCTATTCTAACTGACGTGAGATGGCATCTCGTTGTGGTTTTGATTTGCATTTCTCTAATGACCAGTGATGATGAGCTTTTTTTCATATGTTTGTTGGCTGCATAAATGTCTTCTTTTGAGAAGTCTATGTTTGTATCCTTTGCCTCTTTTTGATGGGGTTGTTTTTTTCTTGTAAATTTGTTTAAGTTCCTTGTAGATTCTGGATATTAGCCCTTTGTCAGATAGATAGATTGCGGAAATTTTCTCCCATTCTGTAGGTTGCCTGTTCACTGTGATGATAGTTTCTTTTGCTGTGCAGAAGCTCCTTAGTTTAATTAGATCTCATTTGTCAATTTTGGCTTTTGTTGCCATTGCTTTTGGTGTCTTAGTCATGAAGTCTTTGCCCATGCCTATGTCCTGAATGGTATTGCCTGGGTTTTCTTCTAGGGTTTTTGTGGTTTTAGGTATTGATGGAATGTATCTCAAAATAATAAGAGCTATTTATGACAAACCCACAGCCAATATCATACTGAATGGGCAAAAGCTGGAAGGATTCCTTTTGAAAACTGGCACAAGACAAGGATGCCCTCTCTCACCACTCTTATTCAGCATAGTATTGGAAGTTCTGGCCAGGGCAATCAGGCAAGAGAAAGAAAGAAAGGGTATTCAAATAGGGAGACAGGGAGTCAAATTGTCTCTGTTTGCAGATGACATGATTGTACATTTATTTATTTATTTATTTATTTATTTATTTATTTATATTATACTTTAAGTTCTAGGGTACATGTGCACAACGTGCAGGTTTGTTACATATGTATACATGTGCCATGTGTACATGTATACATGTGCCATGTGTACATGTATACATGTGTACAATGTGCAGGTTTGTTACATCTGTATACATGTGCCATGTATACATGTGCTGCACCCATTAACTCATCATTTACATTAGGTATATCTCCTAATGCTTTCCCTCCCCCCTTCCCCCACCTTACAACAGGCCCCGGTGTGTGATGTTCCCCTTCCTGTGTCCAAGTGTTCTCATTGTTCAGTTCCCACCTATGAGTGAGAACATGCAGTGTTTGGTTTTTTGTTCTTGCGATAGTTTGCTGAGGATGATGGTTTCCAGCTTCATCCATGTCCCTATGAAGGACATGAACTCATCCTTTTTTATGGCTGCATAGTATTCCATGGTGTATATGTGCCACATTTTCTCAATCCAGTCTATCATTGTTGGACATTTGGGTTGGTTCCAAGTCTTTGCTATTGTGAATAGGGCTGCAATAAACATATGTGTGCATGTGTCTTTATAGCAGCATGATTTATAATCCTTTGGGTATATACCCAGTAATGGGATGGCTGGGTCAAATGGTATTTCTAGTTCTAGATCCTTGAAGAATCACCACACTGTTTTCCACAATGGTTGAACTAGTTTACAGTCCCACCAACAGTGTAAAAGTGTTCCTATTTCTACACATCCTCTCCAGCACCTGTTGTTTCCTGACTTTTTAATGATTGCCATTCTAACTGGTGTGAGATGGTATCTCACTGTGGTTTTAATTTGCATTTCTCTGATGGCCAGTGATGAAGAGCATTTTTTCATGTGTCTGTTGGCTGCATAAATGTCTTCTTTTGAGAAGTGTCTGTTCATATCCTTCGCCCACTTGTTGATGGGGTTGTTTGATTTTTTTCTTATAAATTTGTTTGAGTTCTTTGTAGATTCTGGATATTAGCCCTTTGTCAGATGAGTAGATTACAAAAATTTTCTCCCATTCTGTAGGTTGCCTCTTCACTCTGATGGTAGTTTCTTTTGCTGTGCAGAAGCTCCTTAGCTTAATTAGATCCCATTTATCAATTTTGGCTTTTGTTGCCATTGCTTTTGGTGTTTTAGACATGAAGTCCTTGCCCATGCCTATGTCCTGAATGGTATTGCCTAGGTTTTCTTCTAGGGTTTTTATGGTTTTAGGTCTAACATTTAAGACTTTAATCAATCTTGAATTAATTTTGGTATAAGGTGTAAGGAAGGGATCCAGTTTCAGGTTTCTACATATGGCTAGCCAGTTTTCACAGCACCATTTTTTAAATAGGGAATCCTTTCTCCATTGCTTGTTTTGTCAGTTTTGTCAAAGACTGGATAGTTGTAGATGTGTGGTATTATTTCTGAGGGCTCTGTTCTGTTCCATTGGTCTATATCTCTGATTTGGTACCAGTACCATGCTGTTTTGGTTACTGTGGCCTTGTAGTATAGTTTGAAGTAAGGTAGCGTGATGCCTCCATCTTTGTTCTTTTGGCTTAGGATTGACTTGGCAATGTGGGCTCTTTTTTGGTTCCACATGAACTTTAAAGTAGTTTTTTCCAGTTCCGTGAAGAAAGTAATTGGTAGCTTGATGGGGATGGCATTGAATCTATAAATTACTTTGGGCAGTATGGCCATTTTCACGATATTAATTCTTCCTATCCATGAGCATGGAATGTTATTCCATTTGTTTGTATCTTCTTTTATTTCATTGAGCAGTGGTTTGTAGTTCTCCTTGAAGAGGTCCTTCACATCCCTTGTAAGTTGGATTCCTAGGTATTTTATTCTCTTTGAAGCAATTGTGAATGGGAGTTCACTCATGATTTGGCTCTCTGTTTGTCTGTTATTGGTGTATAAGAATGCTTGTGATTTTTGCACATTGATTTTGTATCCTGAGATTTTGCTGAAGTTGCTTATCAGCTTAAGGAGATTTTGGGCTGAGATGATGGGGTTTTCTAAATATACAATCATGTCATCTGCAAACAGAGACAATTTGACTTCCTCTTTTCCTAATTGGATACTCTTTATTTCTTTCTCCTGCCTGATTGCCCTGGCCAGAACTTCCAATACTATGTTGAAGAGGAGTGGTGAGAGAGGGCATCCCTGTCTTGTACCTGTTTTCAAAGGAAATGCTTCCAGTTTTTGCCTGTTCAGTATGATATTGGTTGTGGGTTTGTCATAAATACCTCTTATTATTTTGAGATACATCCCATCAATACCTAATTTATTGAGAGTTTTTAGCATGAAGAGCTGTTGAATTTTGTCAAAGGCTTTTTCTGCATCTATTGAGATAATCATGTGGTTTTTGTCATTGGTTCTGTTTATATGTTGGATTACATTTATTGATTTGCATATGTTGAACCAGCCTTGCATTCCAGGGATGAAGTCCACTTGATCATGGTGGATAAGCTTTTTGATGGGCTGCTGGATTCTGTTTGCCCGTATTTTATTGAGGATTTTTTCATCGATGTTCATCAGGGATATTGGTCTAAAATTCTCTTTTTTTTTCTGTGTCTCTGCCAGCCTTTGGTATCAGGATGATGCTGGCCTCATAAAGTGAATTAGGGAGGATTCCCTCTTTTTCTATTGACTGGAATAGTTTCAGAAGGAATGGTACCAGCTCCTCCTAGTACCTCTGGTAGAATTCGGCTGTGAATCCGTCTGGTCCTGGACTTTTTTTGGTTAGTAGGCTATTAATTATTGCCTCAATTTCAGAGCCTATTATTGGTCTATTCAGGGATTCAACTTCTTCCTGGTTTAGTCTTGGGAGGGTGTATGTGTCCAGGAATTTATCCATTTCTTCTAGATTTTCTAGTTTATTTGCATAGGGTGTTTATAGTATTCTCTGATGATAGTTTGTATTTCTGTGGGATCAGTGGTGATATCCCCTTTATCATTTTTTATTGCATCTATTTGATTCTTCTCTCTTTTCTTCTTTATTAGTCTTGCTAGTGGTCTATCAATTTTGTTGATCTTTTCAAAAAACCAGCTCCTGGATTCATTGATTTTTTGAAGGGTTTTTTGTGTCTCTATCTCCTTCAGTTCTTCTCTGATCTTAGTTATTTCTTGCCTTCTGCTAGCTTTTGAATGTGTTTGCTCTTGCTTCTCTAGTTCTTTTAATTGTGATGTTAGGGTGTCAGTTTTAGATCTTTCCTGCTTTCTCTTGTGGGCATTTAGTGCTATAAATTTCCCTCTACACACTGCTTTAAATGTGTCCCAGAGATTCTGATATGTTGTGTCTTTGTTCTCATTGGTTTCAAAGAACATCTTTATTTCTGCCTTCACTTCGTTATGTACCCAGTAGTCATTCAGGAGCAGGTTGTTCAGTTTCCATGTAGTTGAGCGGTTTTGAGTGAGTTTCTTAATCCTGAGTTCTAGTTTGATTGCACTGTGGTCTGAGAGACAATTTGTTATAATTTCTGTTCTTTTACATTTGCTGAGGAGTGCTTTACTTCCAACTAAGTGGTCAATTTTGGAATAAGTGTGATGTGGTGCTGAGAAGAATGTATATTCTGTTGATTCTGGGTGGAGAGTTCTGTAGATGTCTATTAGGTCCACTTGGTGCAGAGCTGAGTTCAATTCCTGGATATCCTTGTTAACTTTCTGTCTCATTGATCTGTCTAATATTGACAGTGGGGTGTTAAAGTCTCCCATTATCATTGTGGGGGAGTCTAGGTCTCTTTGTAGGTCACTCAGGACTTGCTTTATGAATCTGGGTGCTCTTGTATTGGGTGCATACATATTTAAGTTAGCTCTTCTTGTTGAATTGATCCCTTTACCATTATGTAATGGCCTTCTTTGTCTCTTTTGATCTTTGTTGGTTTAAAGTCTGTTTTATCAGAGACTAGGATTGCAACCCCTGCCTTTTTTTGTTTTCCAATTGCTTGGTAGATCTTCCTCCATCTCTTTATTTTGAGCCTATGTGTGTCTCTGCACATGAGATGGGTCTCCTGAATACAGCACACCGATGAGTCTTGACTCTTTATCCAATTTGCCAGTCTATGTCTTTTAATTGGAGCACTTAGCCCATAACAAGCTTAATATTGTTATGTGTGAGTTTGATCCTGTCATTATGATGTTGGCTGGTTACTTTGCTCGTTAGTTGATGCAGTTTCTTCCTAGCCTTGATGGTCTTTACAATTTGGCATGTTTTTGCAGTGGCTCATACCAGTTGTTCCTTTCCATGTTTAGTGCTTCCTTCAGGAGCTCTTTTAGGGAAAGCCTGGTGGTGACAAAATCTCTCAGCATTTGCTTGTCTGTAAAGTATTTTATTTCTCCTTCACTTATGAAGCTTAGTTTGGCTGGATATGAAATTCTGGGTTGAAAATAATTTTCTTTAAGAATGTTGAATATTGGCCCCCACTAACTTCTGGCTTGTAGAGTTTCTGCCAAGAGATCCACTGTTAGTCTGATGGGTTTCCCTTTGTGGGTAACCCGACCTTTCTCTCTGGCTGCCCTTAACATTTTTTCCTTCATTTCAACTTTGGTGAATCTGACAATTATGTATCTTGGAGTTGCTCCTCTCGAGGAGTATCTTTGTGGCATTCTCTGTATTTCCTGAATTTGAATGTTGGCCTGCCTTGCTAGGTTGGGGAAGTTCTCCTGGAAAATATCCTGCAGAGTGTTTTCCAACTTGGTTCCATTCTCCCCGTCACTTTAAGCTACACCAATCAGATGTAGATTTGGTCTTGTCACATAGTCCCGTATTTCTCGGGTACTTTGTTCGTTTCTTTTTACTCTTTTTTCTCTAAACTTCTGTTCTTACTTCATTTCATTCATTTGATCTTCAATCACTGATACCCTTTCTTCCAGTTGATCAAATCAGCTACTGAAGCTTGTGCATTCATCATGTAGTTCTCATGCCATGGTTTTCAGCTCCATCAGGTCCTTTAAGGACTTCTCTTCATTGGTTATTCTACTTAGCCATTCGTCTAATCTTTTTTCAAGGTTTTTAACTTCTTTGCACTGGGTTCGAACTTCCTCCTTTAGCTCGGAGAAGTTTGATCATCTGAAGCCTTCTTCTCTCAACTCGTCAAAGTCATTCTCCTTCCAGCTTTGTTCCGTTCCTGGCGAGGAGCTGTGTTCCTTTGGAGGGGGAGAGGTGCTCTGATTTTTAGAATTTTCAGCTTTTCTGCTCTGTTTTTTCCCTGTCTTTGTGGTTTTATCTACCTTTGGTCTTTGATGATGGTGACGTACAGATGGGGTTTTTGTGTGGATGTCCTTTCTGTTTGTTAGTTTTCCTTCTAACAGTCAGGACCCTCAGCTGCAGGTCTGTTGGAGTTTGCTGGAGGTCCACTCCAGACACTGTTTGCCTGGGTATCACCAGCAGAGGCTGCAGAACAGCGAATATTGCTGAACAGCAAATGTTTCTGCCTGATCGTTCCTCTGGAAGCTTCGTCTCAGAGGGGTACCCAGCCGTGTGAAGTGTCAGTCTGCCTCTACTGGGAGATGCCTCCCAATTAGGCTACTCGGAGGTCAGGGACCCACTTGACGAGGCAGTCTGTCTGTTCTCAGATCTCAAACTCCATGCTGGGAGAACCACTACTCTCTTCAAAGCTGTCAGACAGGGACATTTAAGTCTGCAGAGGTTTCTGCTGCCTTTTGTTCGGCTATGCCCTGCCCCTAGAGGTGGAGCCTACAGAGGCAGGCAGGCCTCCTTGAGCTGTGGTGGGCTGTACCCAGTTCGAGCTTCCAGGCCACTTTGATTACCTACTCAAGCCTCAGCAATGGCAGGCGCCCCTCACCCAGCCTCACTGCCACCTTGCAGTTTGATCTCAGACTGCTGTGCTAGCAATGAGCGAGGCTCCGTGGGTGTGGGACCCTCTGAGCCATGCGTGGGATATAATCTCCTGGTGTGCCGTTTGCTAAGACCATTGGAAAAGCGCAGTATTAGGGTGGGAGTGACCTGATTTTCCAGGTGCCGTCTGTCACCCCTTCCCTTGGCTAGGAAAGGGAATACCCTGACCCCTTGTGCTTCCTGGGTGAGGCGATGCCTCACCCTGCTTCAGCTCACACTTGGTGGGCTTCACCCACTCTCCTGCCCCCACTGTTCAACGAGCCCCAGTGAGATGAACCCAGTACCTCAGTTGGAAATGCAGAAATCACCCGTCTTCTGCGTCGCTCATGCTAGGAGCTGTAGACTGCAGCTGTTCCTATTCAGCCATCTTGGAACCGTCCCCTGATTGTACATTTAGAAAACCCCATCATCTCAGCCCCAAATCTCCTTAAGCTGATGAGCAACTTTGTCAACGCCTCAGGATACAAAATCAATGTGCAAAAATCACAAGCATTTCTGTACACCAATAATAGACAAACAGAGCACCAAATCATGAGTAAACTCCCATTCACAATTGCTTCAAAGAGAATAAAATACCTAGGAATCCAACTTACAAGGGATGTGAAGAACCTCTTCATAGAGAACTACAAACCACTGCTCAAGTAAATAAGAAAGGACACAAACAAATGGAAAAACATTCCATGCTCATGGATAAGAAGAATCAATACTGTGAAAATGGCCACACTGCTCAAAGTAATTTATAGATTCAATGCTATCCCCATCAAGCTACCATTGACTTTCTTCACAGAATTAGAAAAAACTACTTTAATTTATATGGAACCAAAAAAGAGCCCATATAGCCAAGACAACCCTAAACAAAAAGAACAAAGCTGGAGGCATCATGCTACCTGACTTCAAACTATACTACAAAGCTACAGGAACCAAAACAGCATGGTACTGGCACCAAAACAGATATATAGACCAATGGAAGAGAACAGAGGCCCCAGAAATAACACCACACATCTACAACCATCTGATCTTTGAGCAACCTGACAAAAATAAGCAATGGGGAAAGGATTCCCTATTTAATAAATGGTGCTGGGAAAACTGGCTAGCCATATGCAGAAAACTGAAACTGGATCCCTTCCTTACACCTTATACAAAAATTAACTTAAGATGGATTAAAGACCGTCAGCTTTTTAAAAATAGAAATTGACAAGCTGCTAGCTTCTCAATTTGGAAATGCAAAGTATCTAGTACAGACAAAACAATTTTGAAAAAGAATTAAGTTTGAGGACTTATAATACCTAATTTTAAGACTTATTATAGGCTGGGTGCAGTGGCTCATGTCTGTAATCCCAGCACTTTGGGAAGCTGAGGTGGGTGGATAACTTGAGGTCAGAAGTTCCAGATCAGCCTATTCAACATCATGAAACCCCATCTCTACTAAAAATACAAAAATTAGCTGGGCATGGTGGTGGGCACCTGTAATCCCAGCTACTCTGGATACTGAGGACAAGGATCACTTGCACCTGGGAAGCAGAGGTTGCAGTGAGCCCCGAGATTGTGTCACTGCACTCCAGCCTGTGACAGAGCAAGACTCTGTCTCAAAGAAAAAGAAAAAAAAAAGCGAGAGAGAGAGAGAGAGAGAGAGACTTAGTATAAAGCTACAATAATAAATACTATATTTTACTAGTATAAGAATAGATACATATGGAACAGAATAGAGTACCAAAATAGACCTACATATATTTGGTCAATTGGTAATTTTTAAAGGTGTCTTGAGAATTCAATGGGAAGAAGATCTTTTTTTTCAACAAATGGCGGGAATAATTGTATATATATGCAAAAAAATGAACATCAACCCTTACCATACACAAAAAATTAATTTGGAATAGATTAAAGATCTAACTATAAGAGTTAAAACTATAAAATTTCTAAAAGGAAATATAGGAGAAAATCTTATGACCTTGGGTTTGACAAAGATTTTTTTTTAATTCAGGATAATCTGTAAGAATTCTTTTATAAAATATAAAAAGTGTGAACCACAAAAGAAAAAAACAATAAATT
Source organism: Homo sapiens (assembly GCF_000001405.40). NCBI lineage: Eukaryota > Metazoa > Chordata > Mammalia > Primates > Hominidae > Homo > Homo sapiens. The sequence goes on from NC_000007.14 coordinate 77,150,226, forward strand.
GGATTTCACCAAAATTCAAAAGACACTGCTAAGAAAATGAAAAGGCTAGGAGACATTGAGAGAAAATATTTGCCAAACATATCTGGTAAAGGATTTATATCCAGCATATACAAGGAACTCTCACAACTTAATAATGGGAAGGCAACCTAATTATGTTTAATGGAGAAAAATATCTGAACAGATACTCTACCTAAGAATATATATAAATGGCAAAAAGAAGTGTATGAAAAGATATTCAACATAGTAATGCCATTTTGGAAATGCAAATTAAAACCTTGAGATACTAGTACAATTTCACTAGGATGTCAAAAATTTGAGATACTGACAATGCCATGTGTTAACAAGGATGTGGAGCAGCGGGAACCCTGGTACGTTATTGGTAGGAATATAAAAAGTACAGCCACTTTGGGAACCAATTTGGCTGTTTCCTATAAAATTAAATATATGTTTAGATTATGACCCAGAAATTCCACTCTTGGTATTACCCAAGAGAAATGAAAACTTGTAGTCACATGAAGACTTGTACTCAAATGTTCATAGCTACTTGATTCATAGTAGCTAACAAACTGGAAACAAATGAAATGTCTATCAATTGGTGAATGGCAAATAAAATGTGGTTTATTTATGCAATGCAATTGAACTCAGCAATAAAAGGAGTGAAATACTGATACCCACAACAATGTAGATGAATCTCAAAAACCTTACACTAGGTGATACAAGCCAGACACATCTATAATTGTTTTAGTTTGATTTTCTATGAAAAAGTACTGTAGACTCTGTGGCTTATAAACAACATAAATGTTATTTCTCACAGTTCTGGAGACTGGAAGTCAGAGATCAGGGTGCCAACATAGTCACCTTCAGGTGCAGGCCCTCTTCCAGGTCGCAGACTGCCAACTTCTCATTGTAGCCTCACATGGCAGAAAGCAAGCTAGCTCTGTGGCCTCTTGTTACAAAGGCATTAACCCCATTCAAGAGGGTCCCACCCACATGGCCTTCCACAGGTCTCATCTCCAACTACCTTCACATTGGGATTAAATTTTAGCATATGAATATTGGGGCAGGGGACATAAAAATTCTGTTCACAACAGATTCTCTTTACATGAAATTCTAGAAAAGGCAAAACTACTGGTGGTTATCATGTGCCAGTGAGCGAGGGGATGGGAATGGGAGGGGATAGGGTGAGGTACTGATTGTAAAGGGGCACAAAGAAATTTTTAACTTTATTTATTTATTTATGTGTTTAGAAAGTGCCTCAGGTAGAAAGAACTTTTTAAGAGTGAGGGAAACGTTTATGGTAGTGATCACACAACTGTCAACGTTTGTAAAATCTCATTGAATTGTACACTTAAACTTGTGAGTTTTATTGCATATGAATTATACCTCAATAAAGCTGATTTAAATTAAAAAAAAACTCTTAATTCATGATTCCCTTTCCTCTCCTCCTCCTGGACATAAGACCTGCATTCAGGGTCATTAGGTAGCACCGTGGTTTCAGGCTGGTTGTCTGGCCGACGGTTGGTGTCTGACCATGCAGGTTCCTCCTGAGATGTGCATCCACCTGGGTCTTAGACATAGGTCTCAATGGTGGCATCTTCTGAGAGTTCTGCATTCCCCGCTGGCTCTCAGTTGTCTGGTCCACAAAGCTTTCTGGAGCAGTGTCCTTTCATCCCAGTTTCAAGGACTTTTGTAGTGTAGTGCTCCCAGCCAGCCTCTGCACCTCTCCCGTGCCTCTCTGTGACCTCTCTTGGGCCCTCTCTGCCTAGTCATCTGTGCTTCATCACATAAAGTAATGAAGGTGGTGATGGTTCTGGAACCTTGCCTCTTTTTCCAAGTACCACCTGGGAAAGGAGGCACATTACCCCCTTGATATTCTTGAATGTTCAGGTTCCACCATTTCCTCTCCTAAGACTTGTCCTAGGTAGATGAGGTACCTCAGAGGCTTACACTGATTTGTTTTTCTCACCAACTCTCTTTGTTCTCCAAATCAGAGATATTTATTTATTTATTTTTACTTTTAATTTCTTCTTCCAATGAAAAGGTAGGAAAATTGGCTTGGTAAGTATTATTCTAACTCTATAATTAATGTCAGAGCCATTACCTTCAAAGGAAGAAAATAAATTGAGTAAGGGATGCTGCCCCAGGAGAGAGAAAGACTAAAGTGGAGATCTGCCAAGGGCCAGTGAAAGCCTGAGAACAGGAAATACTTATGCAACAAAAAAAGGAGGCTATGAAATTTGTAGACATGGGAGAGGGAACTTTGCCTACTTCACTTATTATCTAAAGTGGTTCTTCCCCTGACTTAGAGTTGACTTGTATTCTTTTTAAGTCTTTTCTTTAATGGTGTTCCTCCCTTTCCCCTGATCCAATAGCCAATGTCCTATACAGCATTTCTTATCCCAGATTTAAATGTCTCACGGTGAGAACTGAAGATAAGGTCTTTTAAGGCTCTCACACCAAAGCCTAAAGGAGTGCTCTGGGACAAATTCATGCCTAAAAGGACCCAGATCATCTTTTCCAGCCTATAGATAACTGAAATATTTGGTCCGGCTCCAGGATGACCTCTCTTTATTTGTTCCTTGTGAAAATAACGTAAGGTACATTATGTATGAAATAAAAAGAACAAGGCACTGGTGGGAGGAAGCTGACATTTATTGAGGCCAATATGCTGAGATCTGGGGAGACATGCATTGTCCAATTTAATCCTCACAATAACACTGAAATCATCTTGCAGTTTAGGAAACAGCTACTAAGAGGTTGCATACTTTGCCCAACGTCACCCAGGAAGGAGAGGAATGAGATTCAAGCCTAAATTGATGAACTTCAAAGTAGTTCTTTCCATTACCCCATGCTGCCATCCTGGTAGACTAAGTCAAAACCACTAGTCTCAGTCTTAGATAAAAGAAGGAGCAAGGAGGAGGAGGAGGTGGAAGAAGGGAGGAACCTGGCTAACAGAAATCAGTGGTGGGAAGCAGTGATAGTCCATATTTCATGGAGTTCTTTCCTAAGCAAACAGATCCATCTAGGTCCACAGTTCCTACTATCCAGGGTGTGAGAAAGAGGAAGGGGTTAAATGAAAAAGCAGGTTTGCAAGGCAATTACCTAATTAGGTAAGATATATACACTAGTATTGTAATGTTATACACATGCTTTTTGGTATCGCCTTTAAAAATTCCAGCAAGGAGGACAGTGGGACTTTTCTTTTTTTTTTTTTTTTTAACAATAAAAGATAACATTTAATTTTAAAAATTAGCAAAGCATCTGAACAAACATTTCACCAACCCAAATGTACAGATGGCAAAGAAGTGTATTAGAAGATAATATCAATCATTAAGAAAATGAAAATTAAATGTGTAATGAGAAACACTTCAAGATATAGCTATTGAAATGGCTAGAATTAAATACACATATACATTTACATGACAATATGAAATGCTGGCAAGGATGTATTACAAAAGGAACCCTCACTCATTGCTAGTGGAAATGCAAAATGGTTCAGGCATTTTGGAAAACAGTTTGGCAGTTACTTTTAAAATTTAACATACACTTGACATATGACCCAGCATTTTCACTCATAGATACCTTTGGAAGGGAATTGAAAAATCAAGTTTACACAAAAATGTGTATGAGAATATTTATGGAGCCTTACTAAAAATCACTAAAAACTGGAAACAACCAAGATGCTTTTCAGTTGGTGAATGGATAAACAAATTGTGGTACAATCATAAACTAGAATACCATTCGGCAATTAAGATAACTGTTGATATTCATACAGCTAGGATGAATCTTAAATGCATTATGCTAAGAGAAAGAAGCCATATCCAAAAGGTGACATGTGATATAATTCCATTTATATGACATCCTGGAAAAGGCAAAATTATAGGAACAGAGAACAGGTCAGTAGTTGCCAGGGGTTGGGGGAGGTCCGAGGGGTTGACTATAATGTGCTGTACGAGATAATTTTTAGGGTGATGGAATTGTTCTATGTGGTACTATGGAAGAGGATATCTGACTTTTTACATTTGTCAAAACTCACAAAACTGAATTTTAAACTAACAAAACTGAATTTTATTGCATTCAAGTTTTTTTTTTTAATTATACTTTAAGTTCTAGGGTACATGTGCACAACGTGCAGGTTTGTTTCATATGTATACATGTTCCATGTTGGTGTGCTGCACCCATTAACTCATCATTTACATTAGGTATATCTCCTAATGTTATCCCTCCCCCCTCCCCCACCCCATGACAGGCCCCGGTGTGTGATGTTCCCCTTCCTGTGTCCATGTGTTCTCATTGTTCAATTCCCACCTATGAGTGAGAACATGCGGTGTTTGGCTTTTTGTCCTTGTGATAGTTTGCTGAGAGTGATGGTTTCCAGTTTCATCCATGTCCCTACAAAGGACATGAACTCATCCTTTTTATGGCTGCATAGTATTCCATGGTGTATATGTGCCACATTTTCTTAATCCAGTCTATCATTGATGGACATTTGGGTTGGTGCAAGTCTTTGCTATTGTGAATAGTGCCGCAATAAACATGTGCGTGCATGTGTCTTTATAGCAGCATGATTTATAATCCTTTCAGTATATACCCAGTAATGGGATGGCTGGGTCAAATGGTATTTCTAGTTCTAGATCCTTGAGGAATCGCCACACTGTCTTCCACAGTGGGACTTTTCTAACGTGCACATTTTCATAGCAAGCAAGAGGAGTGGCCTCCAGTGTGAGGATTCTAGATTGCACCCAAACAGGCAGAATTTCTACTTTACAGACCTTCTGGAAGACTGTCAGCTTTAGACCTACCCAGGCATTCCAAATCTCTTACAGGATTTGGAACTCTTAGGCTCTGCTGACTGCTAAATTATTTGGAAACTAATTAAGGGAACTGATAGCGCCTTTCAGGCATCTTTTGAATTTCTGAAGCCTGCCTAAACTTGCAGAATGACTGTAAATTATTGTGGATATAAGAACAGTGTTTCTCGCCACACTGTGTATATGTGAAGGTTGTCCTTTTGTTTGTAACTATAGCAACAAGTTCTATAGCCCGCTGTTTTGCTCAGCTCAGCCTTGCCACCTCATGGACTGCCTAATAATTGCTGCTCAACAATAATTTGTCTCTAACTGATTTACACTGTGTTGGCTTGCTTTTTCTAAAAGAGTCCTAGCCTTAACACTGTTGCAGTGACAGAAGTCAAATTGTGTCAGCCTGCCTGTATTGTTGATCCTGCTTTTGGCTATTGAAGACCAAGAGGAAAGGGCTTTGCTAAGACCACAGAGAGTCTTGTATGGTATAATAGGAAAGAGTGAGGGATTTGGAGCCAGGTGACATGGGTTTAAATAAATACTGCCAATCCTTGCTGTGTGATCTTGGGCACATCATTTATACTCTCTGATTGTCAATTTCCTCCTGTACAAAATGGAGATAATTCTTATGGTATGTGGTTGTTAGGACAAAGTGAAGTTATACAAGGGAAAGTTTTGTTTAAATTGTGAAGGGTTATATAAATATTATTATTAGGCGCCCTGAACAAGAGTGCTTGCATGCTGACAAGGGCAACCTGGAGGGTGTGTTGGAAACACATCATGTCTGTTTCTATGGCAGTTCTGCCTCATGTAAGGTGCTGCCCCATCATGAGCCCACATGTTATACCTACTCAGAAATGAGTAATACAGAGCTTGTTTTGATTATGTAGGTTTCCGAGAAAAAAGGGAAAAAATATATAAGATGCTTTAAAGAGAGAGTGAGGATCTTTTCTTGGGTCTGTGCTTGGGGTATGGTAGGAATGGGCAAAGGAAAGCAAGGGGATGGTGAAATGAAGGAGAAGGCCTAGAGCTCTCTCAGCACCCTTCCATCCTCGGGAGGGGTGCTGATTCTGTAATAGAGACTTGGGTTCTCCACCATCATGTTGCAATTAACAGATTCCTCATGGATTACACATGCGTATAATCTAAGAGGTAACTGTTTAACATGTCTGAACATTAACTTTAAAGGCCAGATATGCACTTGAAGCTTTCTTTCAGAGTTTTGCTATTTGTGCGTTTGTGTGGTTTTAATTGAAGGTAGTTCAAACCCCATTGTTACTTTAACACTTCAATTATGAGGCAATTTTTATCTGTACATATTTACTGCAAGAGTTTTCATTTTTCCTTTAAGATTCTTTTTGTTTTTCCTGTAGGACTCTTTTCTTTTCAGGATTCTTTTTTCGAAAGTCCTCTTTATCATTCCTTTTAGGAAAAAAAAAAATGTTGTGATTTGATTTGTTGGGTCTTTGAATAACATTTTTACTTTCTTTTTTAAAAAAAGCATCTCCATAAATATATATACCTACTATGTACCCACAAAAATAAAAATAAATAAAATAAAATATGTATCTATATCTTAAAAAATGTTTCAAGTCTAACATTGTCTTTGTATGGTAAAAATGAGCATTGTATAATTGTACTTAGAATATAAAATCTAGGCAGGAATAACTGCAATCATTTTATCTGTGGCTTTTAGGACTATTAAGTTAGTTCCATCTGATTTTGTTGTTGTTGTTGTCCATTAAATGGATCTGAGGTATGCCTCATGTCAGATTGGCTGCCCAATATTCTGAGCCTGTCATATAGTGGACCGGAGGCCCCATAGGATGAGCCTTAAATTTTATAGACTTTTTATGTTATCTCCAAAAGATAATATACATATAATTACCAGAGATACACTGACAGAATTGAAGGCACTTGTCATACAACTTTATACCACAATTTTTGTAACCCTGTTTTGAAGTTTCTATGTTTTTTAACATGTTAGGAAACTAAAACAAAACAAAACAAAAAAATGGAAGTGTCCCAGAGTTCTCCCTTCCTCCAAGGGGTCAGCTCTGAGTTCCTGTAGAAACATGTTGTAATTAACCTTGTAGAGCAATGGGCTGCTGGGGGAAGGAGCACCCAATCTTATCTTCAGGGCAGTCAGAAGAGCCAAGTCACAAAAAAGAACACTCAGGTTCTGTGTGGGACTAGGAGAGAAATAAATCATGTTCAACTTTACATTACACCCTGCTGTTTCTAAAATGAGCAAAACCTGTGCTTGTTCAATGATGAGTAATATTGAAAGACCGTGTGGTTTTCTGCTACAGCTTTCTTGAAGCATTGCCATTTTATTGTCCAAAAGTCACATTGTTTGTGTATCCTGCCCCATTCTCTGGAGCATGCAGTATTTGGTTTTTACACATGCTCCTTGTAACTATCTAGAAATGTTTCCTTAATAATTCAAAATCAAAACAAAATGATGATCACCTATGTTTCATTTGAAGAAGAGGAATTACTGATGTGTATTACAAAACAAGGGGTACCCTGCAATGTTTATTGCTTAATTATTCTTTGTGAAGCTTCCTATTTTGGCTTATTCATGTCTTCTGCTTTCTTAAAATCCCCTTAAGGCCACATCCTCTTCTCTTCAGACTCCTACAGCATCTCATGGTACTGCCTTGCCTCCTTCCAGTGGGGGCTGCTTCTCTGCAGAACTTGCTATGCCAGTGGTGCTCCCTGTAAGTGTGCAGTGTGTGGCCACCCTGTTTCTGTGGTCCAAGTTATCATAGCACCAATTTCAGTTAAAACGTTTAGAATTTTATGTCTGTGATTTTTTGATTAACTTGTCTTGCTGCCAGTCTCTGCGTCCCCTAAGGTCAGGAACCTTGTCTGGTCTTGCTCACCATGGTACCTATCTCCTACCCATAGCACAGTGGCTGGGTCCCAGCCTCCAGATTGTTTCCTTGCCTCTAAATTCACACATTTTCCAAGCCATTCTTCTCAGCAATATTGTCAGCAATATCTTTACAACTCTGCCATGGCTCCCAATGCCTAGAGTTCAAGTCCCAAATTCCAGGCTACCAGTTACTTTTTCAGCCCTATCTACTCTCCTAAGAACGTTGCTTTTTATTTGGGCTTATTTTACCTCAGCTTATGTGACAGAGAACTAGTTCTTTCCCTGCCTTACTTTCTCTTCAGATTATACATTGTTTGCATATTTGTAAATTCTTTATAGGAAAACTCAATAAATATTTATTTAATTGATTTAGGCATTCTGGAGATATAAGTCTCTAGAATTACCATACCTGATGGCTATGTAGTTCTTCCTATGCCAGGAATTTAAGGTGTTATATTAAACATTCTCTGTTCATATCACCGTAGCCTGAGAATATACTTTATTCTATTATTTTATTTACAGCTGTCAATCATATTGCCTGCAATATGGAACTATTAATACAATGGGCTTTGCAATCCTATATATTAACTGTCTTTGGATATTTATTGTTTTTTTTTGTTTTTTGTTTTGAGACAGAGTTTCACTCTGTTGCCCAGGCTGGAGTGCAGTGGCGCTATCTCGGCTCACTGCAACCTCTGCCTTCCAGGTTCAAACGATTCTCCTGCCTCAGCCTCCTGAGTAGCTGGGATTACAGGCGCCCACCACCATGCCCGGCTAATTTTTGTATTTTTAGTAGAGACGGGGTTTCACCATGTTGGCCAGGCTGGTCTCTAACTTCTGACCTCGTGATCCGCCCACCTCCACACCACAAAGTACTGGGATTACAGGCGTAAACCACTGCGCCCAGCCAGATATTTGTTTTATCCATTAAACTTTGTTATCTGGTTAAGTCCTTTCCTGCCTATTTAATTAGATTAATTAGTGTTTTTTTGTTTTAATTCACACAGACTTTTTTATATTTGCCTCTGTTGGGTTTTCTTTCACTACTCATTCTCCCTGTCTTTCCTTTTTTAAAAAAACACGTTATTGAGGTATGGTTGATGTATAAAATACTGTACATATTTAATGTATACATCTCAATGAGTTTGGGGATAAGTATACATCCATGAAACCACCAACCATCATCAATCTCATAAACATATCTATCACCATCCAAAGTTTTATCCACCCCCTGTATTATTATTTTTGTTGCTGCTTTATCATAAGATCTAATCTCTTAGTAATTTTAAGTATACAATAGGGTATTGTTAGCTACAGGCACTATGCTGTCTAGTAGATCTTCAAAACTTATTTATCTTGCATAGCTGAAATTTTGTACTCTTTAACTATTACTCCCCAGTTTCTCCTACCCCAAGTCCCTGGCAACCACCATCCCACTCTGCTTCTATGAGTTTGACTGCTTTAAGTTCCATATATAAGTGAGATCATATAGTATTTGTATTTCTCTGTCTGCCTAAATATTTCATTTTCTATCCATGATGTTGCAAATGGCAGAATTTCCTTTCCTGTGGCTGTAAAATGTTCCATTGTATACATATATCGCAATTTCTTTGTCCATTCATATGTCCATGGAAATTTATGTTGTTTCCATATCTTGGCTTTTGTAAATAGTGATGAAATGAACGTGGGAGTGCCAATATCGCTTCGAGATCCTGATTTCGATTCATTTGGATATATAACCAGAAGAATTGCTGGATAATAAGGAAGGTTTATTTTTTACTTTTTGAGGAAACTTCATACTGTTTTCTATAATGGTTTACCAACTTACCTTCCCACTAACAGTGTACAAGGGTTCCTTTTTCTTCACATTCTTATCAACAATTACTATCTTTTGTTGCCATTGCTTTTGGTGTTTTAGACATGAAGTCCTTGCCCATGCCTATGTCCTGAATGGTAATGCCTAGGTTTTCTTCTAGGGTTTTTATGGTCTTAGGTCTAACGTTTAAGTCTTTAATCCATCTTGAATTAATTTTTGTATAAGGTGTAAGGAAGGGATCCAGTTTCAGCTTTCTACATATGGCTAGCCAGTTTTCACAGCACCATTTTTTAAATAGGGAATCCTTTCCCCATTGCTTGTTTTTCTCAGGTTTGTCAAAGATCAGATAGTTGTAGATATGCGACGCTATTTCTGAGGGCTCTATTCTGTTCCATTGATCTATATCTCTGTTTTGGTACAAGTACCATGCTGTTTTGGTTACTGTAGCCTTGTAGTATAGTTTGAAGTCAGGTAGCGTGATGCCTCCAGCTTTGTTCTTTGGGCTTAGGATTGACTTGGCGATGTGGGCTCTTTTTTGGTTCCATATGAACTTTAAAGTAGTTTTTTCCAATTCTGTGAAGAAAGTAATTGGTAGCTTGATGGGGATGGCATTGAATCTATAAATTACCTTGGGCAGTATGGCCATTTTCATGATATTGATTCTTTCTACCCATGAGCATGGAATGTTCTTCCATTTGTTTGTATCCTCTTTTATTTCCTTGAGCAGTGGTTTGTAGTTCTCCTTGAAGAGGTCCTTCACGTCCCTTGTAAGTTGGATTCCTAGGTATTTTATTCTCTTTGAAGCAATTGTGAATGGGAGTTCACTCATGATTTGGCTCTCTGTTTGTCTATTATTGGTGTATAGGAATGCTTGTGATTTTTGCACATTGATTTTGTATCCTGAGACTTTGCTGAAGTTGCTTATCAGTTTAAGGAGATTTTGGGCTGAGACCATGGGGTTTTCTAGATATACAATCATGTCATCTGCAAACAGGGACAATTTGACTTCCTCTTTTCCTAATTGAATACCCTTTATTTCCTTCTCCTGCCTAATTGCCAATGGGATCTAATTAAACTAAAGAGCTTCTGCACAGCAAAAGAAACTACCATCAGAGTGAACAGGAAACCTACAAAATGGGAGAAAATTTTTGCAACCTACTCATCTGACAAAGGGCTAATATCCAGAATCTACAATGAACTCAAACAAATTTACAAGAAAAAAACAAACAACCCCATCAAAAAGTGGGCGAAGGACATGAACAGACACTTCACAAAAGAAGACATTTATGCAGCCAAAAAACACATGAAAAAATGCTCTCCATCACTGGCTATCAGAGAAGTGCAAATCAAAACCACAATGAGATACCATCTCACACCAGTTAGAATGGCAATCATTAAAAAGTCAGGAAACAACAGGTGCTGGAGAGGATGTGTAGAAATAGGAACACTTTTACACTGTTGGTGGGACTGTAAACTAGTTCAACCATTGTGGAAGTCAGTGTGGTGATTCCTCAAGGATCTAGAACTAGAAATACCATTTGACCCAGCCATCCCATTACTGGGTATATACCCAAAGGACTATAAATCATGCTGCTATAAAGACACACGCACACGTATGTTTATTGTGGCATTATTCACAATAACAAAGACTTGGAACCAACCCAAATGTCCAACAATGATAGACTGGATTAAGAAAATGTGGCACATATACACCATGGAATACTATGCAGCCATAAAAAATGGTGAGTTCATGTCCTTTGTGGGGACATGGATGAAATTGGAAATCATCATTCTCAGTAAACTATCACAAGAACAAAAAACCAAACACCGCATATTCTCACTCATAGGTTGGAATTGAACAATGAGAACACATGGACCCAGGAAGGGGAACGTCACACTCTGGGGACTGTTGTGGGGTGGGGGGAGGGGGGAGGGATAGCTTTAGGAGATATACCTAATGCTAAATGACGAGTTAATGGGTGCAGCACACCAGCATGGCACATGTATACACATGTAAGTAACCTGCACATTGTGCACATGTACCCTAAAACTTAAAGTATAATAATAATAAAAGAAAAAAAAATTACTATCTTTTGTTTTTTCAATCATAGCCATCCTAACAGGTGTGAGGCGACATCTTATTGTGGTTTTGATTTGCATTTCCCCAGTGGTTGGTAATGTTGATGACCTTTTTATGTACTTGTTGGCCATTTGTATGTTTTCTTCGGAAAAATGTCTATTCAGCTCCATTACCCATTTTTTAATGGGATTATTTGAGTTGTTGCTATTCAGTTGTATAAGTTCCTTGTATGTTTTGGATGTTAACCCCTTGTCACATATATAGTTTGCAAATATTTCCTCCTATTCCATAGGTTGCCTTTTCATTTTGTTGATTGTTTCTTTTGCTGTGCAGAAGTTTTTTAGTTGGATGTCATCTCACTTTATTTTTCCTTTTGTTGCCCATGCTTTTGGTGTCATATCCAAAATATAATCACTAAAACCAATGTCAAGGACTTTTTTCCTATGTTTTCTTCTAGGAGTTTTATGCTTTCAGATCTCATGTTTAATTCTTTAATCTAGTTTGAGTTAACTTTTGTGTGTGATGTAAAACAAGGGCCTGATTTCATTCTTTGGCATGTGGCTATCCAATTTCCCTAACACCCTGTATTGAAGAATCTATGTTGTGCATTCTTGACATCCATGCCAAAAATTACTTGACTGTATATGCATTGGTTCATTTCTGGGCTCTCTATTTTGTTCCATTGGTCTTTTATTTTTATTTAATGCCAGCACCATACTGTTTTGATTACTATAACTTTGTGCTACAATTTGAAATCAGAACATGTGATTTTTTCTAGCATTGTTGTTCCTGCCTAAGGTGGGTTTGGCTATTTGGGGTCTTTTATTGTTCCATATAAATTTTAGGATTTTTTTTTCTATTCCTGTGAAAAAAGTGCCATTGGAATTTTATAGGGATTGCATTGAACCTGTAGATTGCTTTGTATAGTAAACCATTTTAACAATATTAATTCTTCTAATCCATAACATGGGATACCTTTCCATTTATTTATGTCTAATTTCTTTCACCATAGTTTTATAGTTTCCAGTGTACAGATCTTTCATGTCCTTGGTTAAATGTATGCCTAAGTATTTTTATTCTAAAGGTTAAAGTTTTTCTGATGATCTCTATCAGAACTCTGTTGTAGTGTCTTTTAGTTGCTTCCCTGTGCAAATACTTTACTTGCTCTAAAATATTTAGAATGTTTTCAGAATAATAGAGATTGAAAACTTTAGCAAACTGAAGAATTTGTACAGATTCAGCATGGTACTTATCATTTGTTGCCTAGGTAAGCTGCATCATATTTAAAGGTGCAGTGCTCTGAGAAATTGTCTGAACCTAAGTTTTCAAAGTTAATACCATCTTGATTATAAAGATTTCAAGGCCAGGCGTGGTGGCTCATGCCTGTAATCCCAGCACTTTGGGAGGCCAAGACAGGTGGATCACCTGAGGTCAGGAGTTCAAGACCAGCATGGCCAACATGGTGAAACCCTGTCTCTACTAAAAATACAAAAATTAGCTGGGTGTGGTGGCACACGCTTGTAATCCCAGCTACTCTGGAGGCTGAGGCAGGAGGATCACTTGAACCTGGGAGGCAGAGGTTATAGTGAGCAGAGAATGCACCACTGCACTCCAGCCTGGGAGACAGAGCAAGACTCTGTCTCAAAAAAAAAAATACACATATATACGTATTTTTAAAATAAATAGATGCACTATACTTTGCAACCCTTTTGTAATAGCAGAAAACTGGAAATATTCAATACGTTTATAAATAGGAAATTGAGTAACCTATGGTGCATCTATGCAAAGGAGTGCTATGCAGGTATGAAAAGGGATGAGATCTATCTCTGTATATTCCTATAAAGTTCTTTAGGATATATTATTAAGTCTAATTGTCTAGGTTTTGCTTCAAAATAACCTAGAGAGTTCAGAGGGGAAGTGGAAGGGTTATAGATAAAATTGCTCATGAATTGATATTTGTTGAAGCTCGTTAATGTGTACTTGAGGAATAATTGTACTAATCTGCTACTATTGTTTATATTTGAAACAGTTTTTCTTTCTTTCTTTCTTTTTTTTCTTTTTTTTTTTTTTTTTGAGACAGAGTCTCGCTCTTTCTCCCAGGCTGGAGTACAATGGCACAATCTCGGCTCACTGCAACCTCCACCTGCGGGGTTCAAGTGATTCTCCTGCCTCAGCCTCCCAAGTAGCTGGAATTACAGGCACATGCCACCATGCCTGGCTAATTTTTTTTGTATTTTTAGTAGAGATGGGGTTTCACCATGTTTGCCAGGCTAGTCTTGAACTCCTGATCTCAGGTAATCCACCTGCCTCCGTCTCCCAAAGTGCTGAGATTACAGGCGTGAGTCACCATGCCTGGCCTTTGAAAAACTTCTTAATAAAAAAGTTAAATAAGATATAGCCTAATGTTCTGAAGGAAATATTTTTCTGGGATATTCATTCACATTTAATATCCATGAAAGGATTGAGTGTACATATTTTAGTTTATTCACAAAACAAATTTAAATATATAGCCAAACCATTTTTAGCTGCTTGAAGATTTAAGCAATAAACTGTGATTACCTAGCAAATATAAAGTATTGTAATGCCATAATAATAATGGTTATTTAAAAAAAACACTTTAGGGCATTGAAAAAAGCAAACATGTGTTAAAGAAAGGGAAGTCAAATGATACCACTGGCTATTAACATCACATAACAACAGACAATCAGATATTTGGAGCCTCCTGATGGAAGTATATGTTACCGCCTCTGAAGTATTGTTGTAGCAGCAGGAAGAGGAAAACAAGTACATGTATAATTTCCGGCTGGCAGAAAATTAGAGATAGAGTGAAGCTCAAGTCCCAGAGGCATTATCACATTTAATCTGCACATCTTTTTGAAACATAAAAATTAGTTGTTGTTTTGTTTTACTAATTTTACCCCATTTTAGAGAGGAGTAAATTTAATGAATAAATGATATGTCTGTGACCACCTGACTAATACATTCAAGAACCAGGACCTACCAAGCCTTCTGGCTTCTTATGATGGAACGTGCTTTCCATGTTATAGAGTGAGGCTCAGTGTCATCAAGGAACAGCCAATCCAATGAGATTGACATGAGAAATGATACATATTCAGCAGAAGATCAGACCTTAAAAGCATGACAATTGCAGTTATCTTCTCTGGCAAGAGAAGAGTGTAAGTATAATATTCTGTTGATTCAGTGAAGATTCATGTATTTCAGAGATCAAAAAGAGCTGATGATGATATTGGCATTCTCTTATGCAGTGGAGGCATTTTACCTGCTCTCTCTCCAGAAGGGCAGTCATCCCAATGTCACCAAAGTGGACCAATGGAGCCCTTGCTGACTAAGACAGAGTCCTTTTAGAAAGTGTTGTGGATCTGCTTGAATACATGACCAAATCGATGGCTAATATACAAGGCCAGCTTCAGCCTCATAGATGTATGACCTACGCAGTCACACAAGGATCTGCTCTCAGAGGGGCCCTGCACTTGGTTTAATGCCCTGCTGTCACCATTTTTAAATACTTAAAATTTTATTTTTGAGCTTGAGTTTTGTAAATAAAGTCTGTTGGAACAATTGAACATTCACATGAGCAGCACAGATAGGCCAGGCAGCAGTGTGCACATGCACAGGCCTGAATCGATGGCTGTGGCAGAGGGTGTGGGTGCCAAGCAAATAGGCCTGTGGCCTGGTGCTCAAATGCATGCATCAGGGCAGTTTGGGGTATCACAGAGTCCCAAGGCAGCCAGGCCAGCACTTGAGTGCAGATTGGCAAAAGCAATGGCAGCAATAGCAGCAGAGGCAACATGACAGCAAAAGTAATAGGGACAGCTACATCAGTGATGGCCTCAGGAGAAAGAAGAGGCCTGCATGGGGACAGTTCTGGAACCTACCATGGGAGGCTGGTCCCCAGCATCTGTCTCTGTGGTATCTGCACATATAATAAGGAAAGAAACTATTGGCACTCAATGCAGAAAACTTTTTTAGTAAAATATTACAAAATAAAAGCAAACACACAGACATTGCAATAAAACATGTCAAGGAGTTATTAGAATTCTTCAAAGAGTTTAAAATCTCCAGTTTTGAAAATTGCTATAATATTGCAAATAAAATATCCATAAGTTTAGGAATAGAAATTAAAGATGATTGCATGTGACAGAAAATAATAGTTTTCCAAGCTTGAATAAAGCTTATGAAGCTTTGAATAAATGAAGTATGAACAAGAAAGACCATTTTAAATTTTATTTTATTTTTGTAATTGAACATACAACAATAGAATGCATATAAGCAAGTGTTCTGGTGTATATACAAAATATAAAGCCACTTTTGGATTATTGCACAACCTCCAGAAGTTACAGGAATTGTCAGAGGAAACATTAAAATGAATATTGAATAAATGTACATTTAAAATTAAATTCACAGAGGAAGCTGATTTTTATGAAGAGTTAAATCTTTTTAGAAAATTGTTCTATGAGAATCATTAGCTCAAAAGGTTTTATTTTGAAATGATTTATCAGAAATTTATCTAAATGTTATCACAGCCTATAAATATTCTTATAAACTTCAGTGAAAGATGCATGAGCAGGAAGATTCTTCTCAAATTAAAAATTGCCAAAAATTATTTATGATCTTGCATTTCCCAAGAGCAGCTCACATCACTTTCAGTTTGATCAATTAAAAATGAAATTACAATGAGTATAAATTTTGATGATCTAGTAAATTAATTTGCAGAAAAGTGAGCCAGAAAAATCTTATGATCAATCAAGATATTACATTATTGTTATTTTATTATATAAAATTGTGACATCAAAAATATTTTCTTAGGATTCATTACTATTCACTTAGTTTTTGTTGCTATTCACGTATTACTATTACCCCTATTATATTTTATAAGTAATAAATTTTTTTAAAGGGAAAACTTTTTATATATTGGTAACCTTCAGAGAACATTTTTCTGACATTTTGACAAGGAATCCCAGATTTGTTTTTTTGTACTGGGTCCTGCAAATTATGTGGGTCACCCTGCCAATATGATTTGAGGAAAAAAATTTTCGAAGCTGGTGTTAGCAGTTGCCCACAGCAATTACAGAAGAACCTCAGTTTTGCTCCTGTGGGAATTTGGTTTTGAACAAACTTTCCAATAAGGAGTGAATGAATTATTGTTACTGCATTGATTTAGTGTTAAGCATTTTGTTTCTGAAAATTCAAGTAAACTATTTGCAATTGTAATATTCTTTGGACATTAAAAGAACAGCAGAACTTGTTTGTCCCGTTGGCAATTATTTTTAGCACACATTCTAAGTATGTTATTTGCTAGGTGTTGAAGGTATATGGGTAAATAAGAATATAGTTTCTGTTCTAAGAAGTCCAATAAGGTAGACAATATGAAAAATAGTAAATTACAATACACTGTTTTAAGCACTTTTCTACAGAAATATGTACAATGTATAGATTATAGAGGTATCAGAAAGCACACTTTGCTTATAATAGGATAGCTGGAGAGGTTTCTGGCTTCTTGTTTCATAAATGTCTAGGCTGATACTGACTTGCATTCTCATTATAATTCATGTATATTTTACATATATAATTCATATATATTTTTTATTTTCCAATTAATGCAACAGTAGCATACTTTTAAAAATAAGAATGATTGATTTGAATGCAACAATAGAGAGTGTCTTTGCAAAAAACAGTCTTTTATAATGAGATTGTAGCTAACTTTCCTGATTTGTAGTTTCATTGAACAATAGCTTATTCCAGTTTTTTGTTTATTTTTATTATTTTCCATTAATTTTACTTTATAAGTGAAGACACTCCTAAATAGCCACATATGTATTAATTTTATTTTAGAATCGTGAAAAATGGAAGACAGTAGCACAGACACAGAAAAAGAAGAGGAAGAGGAGAAAGATGAAAAGGATCAAGAGCCCATTTATGCCATAGTGCCCACAATTAACATTCAAGATGAGCGGTTTGTTGATTTATCTGAAACTCCAGCTTTCATTTTTCTGCATGAGGTATATTTTTCTTTATATGTTACTACAGTAAAACCCAACTCAACATGTACTTAAAAATTCAAATGAAGCCAATATCATTATCAAAATTCTTTATTACATATATCCTGTAGGTGATATTTACAACTTGATACACTAAAACAAAATGGTCCCTGCCTTTTCTTCCAAAAATTTATCATGTAATTCTGAACCAATGCAGTAGTGTAGGTTCTGATACTTTCGTAGCATAAGTATTTGCACATATATTCGGTCAGTTACATACATTTCGTGGGTTGGTACATGAAATAAAGAAGATTTCTTTTATTATTGCATATACTACATTTACTTCCATAAAATTAAAATATCTTGTCATATAATGATAGAAAGAATATATATTTACCTAGCTAACTATAGTTACTGCAGTGGAGCACTGAAATCTGCTGTTTTCTATCAGCAAATAAGCAAAAAGGGGAATATGATGAATTATATATTCTCATTATGTGAACTTTAAAAAGCAAGATGAACATTTAGGAAATACCCATATATGAGGAGAGTTTTTTTTTTTTTAAGTAATGGCTGACTATGTATTCAGCTGTTACCTTGTCATGCCTGAGAGCTATACTTTAGAAAATGATTTAGAGGACATTTGAATTTCAGATGATAAACTTTATATAACTGAATAAAACATTCTAAGAAATTTGATAGTCATAGTAAAAAATAAGTTTAAAAAGTCTTAAGGCAAAAACAGTTTATTAAAAACCAAGAAGCAAAACCAAATTGGAACAGAATGCAATAAAAAAGTAATTTTAAAAATAATAGTGCTATATATGTGTATACAGGATCTAAATTGCTAAATTGTTCACTTTTTCTACAGTTTTGGCTTTTTCTTTTATTTTGACATAATTTCAGATATTCAGGACAGTTGCAAGATTAGTGCAAAGAATTTGCGTGTATCTTTAACCCAGATTTCTCAGACGCTAACATCTTACCACATTTGCTTTATCCTTTTTTTTCTATCTTCTTGTTCTCTCAACCTCTCTCTTTCTCTCTCTCTGAAGACACGATGCCCCTTTATACCTAAATGCATCACTATATTTCCTAAAAATATATTCATTCTCTTAATCATAGTACAATTATATCAGGAAATTAACATTGATATAATACCATTTTCTAATCTGCATACCTTATTCGGGTCTTGCCAGTTGTCCCAATAATGTTCTTTATAGCAAAAGAAAATTCTAGATTATGTATTGCATTCAGTAGTCATCTCTTTAGTCTCCTTTAATCTAAAGGAAATTCAGGATTTCTTTAGTTTTCATGATATTGACACTTTGAAGAGAAGAGGCCGGTTATTTTGTGATTTTCTTTCAATTTGGATTTTTCCGATTTTCTTATTATTAGATTCATGCTATGTATTTTTGGTAAAGATATAAAGACACAATCTCGTATCCTTCTCAAGTGTCTTCTACTAGGAACACATGATGTTGCCTTGTCCCATTTGCTAGACTTGTTCATCTTGATCACTTGGTTAAGGTGATGACTTCCAGATTTACCTTTTATTTATTTTTCTGTTTGAAATTAATAAGCACCTCAAGAAGAGATACTCTGAGACTATGTGGTTGTCTTACTCCTCTTAAAATTTTCACCTACAAGTTTGGGATTTATTGGTGATACTTACCCAGATCAACTCTTGTTATGATGGTTGTCAAATGGTGATTTTCTAATTCCATCATTTCTTCTATATTTATTAGGTGGCTTTCTACTATAAGGAAGAACTTTCTCTTCTTTCCTTATTTATTCATCTTTTTATCAGTGTGGACTTAGGTTTCTCACTGTCATTCCTTCTCATGCTATCATTGTCCCACATTTGGCCAGTGTACACCCTTCAGGTAGGCTCACTTGTCCTTCTGACATGCTCCTGTGATTCCTTCTGCACTTCCTTACTTTCTGGCACAAGAAAGTGTTCTGGGCTCATCTTGTATTTTTTTTGCTCCAGCCCTAGAATCAGCCATTTCTTGGAGGATCCCTAGTTCCTGTTACTGGAGAATGATATTTGGAAACTAAGATATTAATGCTGAGCATGGTCATTGATCCTAGAATGTCATAGCTTCTAGCCCCTCTCAGTGGACAGAGCTGGGAAACAGATTCATGAATATTTATATCCACACAAATTTAAATCTATTTCTACATCTATCTTTATATATTTTTTAATCTAACTTTTATTTTAGATACAGGGCATACATGTACAGGTTTTGTACATGGGCATATTGCATCCAGGTGGTAAGCCTAGTACCCGGTAGGTAGTTTTTCAACCCACACTCCCCTTCCTCCCTCCACTCTCTAGTAGTCTGCAGTGTCTGTTATTCTCATGTTTTTGTCCATGTGTGCTCAGTGTATAGCTCCCACTTATAAATGAGAATATGCAGTGTCTGGCTTTCTTTTCCTGCATTAATTCACTCAGGATTGTGGTCTCCAGCTCTTCTATGTCTCTGTGAAGGACATGATTTCATCCTCCTATATGGTTGCATAGTATTCTGTGGTGTATATATATAACACACTTTCTTTATCCAATCCCCCACTGATGGGCCACTAGATTGATTCCACATCTTTGTTATTAATAGTGTGGTGATGAATGTATGAGTGCATGTGTCTTTTTGGTAGAATGATCTATTTTCCTTTGGTTTTATACCCAGTAATGGGATTGCTGGGCTGAATGGTAGCTCTGTTTTAAGTTATTTGAGAAATCTCCAAACTGCTTTCCACAGTGGCTGAACTAAACTAAAGAGCCTCTTCACAGCAAAAGAAACTATCAACAGAGTAAAAAGACAATCTACAGAATGGGAGAAAATATTGCAAACTATGCATCTGAGAAAGGTCTGATATCTGGAATCTATAAGGAACTTAGACAAATCAACAAGCAAAAAACAAATAACCCCATTTTAAAAATAGGCAAAGGACACTAACAGACGTTTCTCAAAAGAAGACATACATGTGGCCAACAAAAGTAGGAAAAAGTGCTCAGCATCACTAATTATCAGAGAAATACAAGTCAAAACCACAATGAGATATTATCTCCCACCAGTCAGAATAACTATTATTAAAAAGTCAAAAACAATGGATGCTGGCAAAGGTGTGGAGAAAAAGAAATGCTTATCTTTGTATTTTTAAAACCATGATTTCCTTCCTCTAATCTTAATATTTTAAGTGAAGAGTTCACATTTCTGTCAAAATCCATCATATGTCGAACTTTGCAATAAAATTTCTACTTCTCCACCACTACCCTTAATAATCAAATCAAAAATAAGGCTAAACTTGTGTCATACATTTGTTTGATATAGTAGCTACCAAAGACGTTGACTCAACACACACTTATGATGTAAGCTCATGCATTTTTAGGTCTGACATAAGTTGTTTGAAACCCAATCATACCCGATCTTTGTACTAGTTAAAATAACTCCTCTCCATGTGGTTGAGATATAGCCCACTTGTTTCTCATCCTGCTAATCCCAAACCCAAAACACCCGACAGCTGCTAACTGTGATAAAACTTAATGATCAACACCAGAGTCATATAAATAAGTTTCCCCCTTCTGGCATGTTTTCCTTAAACCAGCCAATCCACAACTCCTGTGAGAAGACCGGAGGGATAATACCCATATACCTTAATAAAGGTGAGCTCCCATAGCTGCTCTCTCACTCCCTACCCACTGCTGAGCTCCCTGCCACCTCCAGACTTATCTGCGCTCCCCATCAGTACCCCTAAGCTGTCAGATCTGTAAGTAATAAATTTCTTCTGTTTCATGCGTTTGGTTTCACCTTCTCATTTTTGTCATTGTATCTCACCTGACTGACACACAGGAACCTGACGGCCTGCCCATCAGGGCTCTTCTAAAAAGCAGCCATCTTGGCTTGTAGCCACTCTTCACAGAGTGACCTTAAGACCAGTTTATAAAGAAGCCAAAACAGTAAAAATCACAACAACTTGAGTTTATTTGTAGCAAAAGTTATGCTAATAGTAAAGATTATCTTCAAGGTTTTCTAAGCCAAAGATTAAGGTTTGTTTTGCAAAATTAAAGAACTTAGGACAACTTCTCATGCATGTTGATCCTCAATCTAACAATTTAATAAATATTTCAAGAATCTCTCAATATACATGGATGCATAATTTATAGTTATTAATTGCTGGGTATAACAGGCCTCTGATAATTATATCCAAGAGCTTTCAATAATCGTTTCAAAGAACTGTGCTACATACACTTTTGAGTAGTATCAATATCAGCAATTTTACTGCCTGAGAACTCCTCCTCAAAACAGTGATAAATTGCAAACTTTCGGAATATTCAGAATTATTGGATTCAGAAAACTTTATTTCCGTAACAACACCACTAAGATATTGTTCCTAATTGGCATCTGTAAATTTATTTTCTAATTCTTTTAGGATTACTCTAAAATTTATGGGTCTCACAAGTTTTTAACATACTGTGTATAACCTACTTTATATTCCTTCAGTTGTCTTTGTCTTTTAACCTACTTTGTCTTCCTTCAGTTGTTTAAACAGAAACTGTATCTGCAAAAATGGCAAAAGTGCAGATGACAACTGAAGGAAAGCAGTCAGAAATCCACTTCCAAGGGTCCAGTTGCTTGGCATAGCATTGGAAAACACAGAAACTGCTTATATCATTCATTGTTATTAATGCTAGTTGCACAGTTGTCCCAGCACTGCCAAGTTGCAATGCATGGGTGTCATGCTCTCGTCTCATATTGCCTGAAGAGTGTGTTCAGTATGACATTCACAGGCCTCTGCAATTTATACCCAAACTACTTTTACAATCTAGTCATTCACTTAGATTCTCAGGAGCTACTCTTTATGTTGTTCCGCTCAGCAGGGACTCTCCCATATTTAGAAGGAATAACGTCAGATGTCTAAGGAAACTGGCATAAATTCAAAATACATGATGTAAGATCATGGCTATCCACCAATCTGCCTAGTCGTATTGCCTCCATTGCTTTTAAGCTATGCCATTCATACTAAAAAACCTAACAAAATGCTTGCATAGACTGCACTTTGCAACCCCTGGGTCTGTTCCTAACCTTTGAGATCCTGGCTCAAATCTCTTGTCCTTCAGGGAACTGCCTGAGTAGCCAGCTCACAGGGGTTTCTCCAACCTCTCAACTCTTCCCACATCACTTGACTAATCAGCATAAAATATTTTGCATAGAAAATGTAGAGTTCCATTGAGAACACATGGACACAGAGAGGGGAACAACACACACCAGGGCCTGTTTGGGGGTTGGGGGCCGAGGGGAGGGAAATTAGAGGACAGGTCAATAGGTGCAGCAAACCACCATGGCACACGTAGACCTATGGAACAAACCTGCACATTCTGCACACTTATCCCTTTATTTTTTTTAAGAAGAAAAAGAAAATTTAGAGTTCCCCACTGACATTATGATCACATTAAGACCTATGATCGCAATAAGACCTAACAGGGCAGGAACTACACTGTTAATTCACTCCTTGGAATGAATGTTCAAAGTGATGCTTGGGGCTGGGCGCAGTGGCTCATGCCTGTAATTGCAGCATTTTGGGAGACTGAGGTGAGCGGATCACCTGAGGTCAGGGGTTCCAGACCAGCCTGGCCAACATGGCGAAACCCCGTCTCTACTAAAAATACAAAAATTAGCCAGGTGTGGTGGTGCATGCCTGTAATCCCAGCTACTCAGGAGGCTGAGGCAGGAGAATTGCTTGAACCTGGGAGGCAGAGGTTGCAGTGAGCCCAGATCACACCATTGTGCTCCAGTCTGGGCAACAAGTGAAACTGCGTCTCAAAAACAAAAGTGATTAAGTGATGTTTGGAAACCAAGCCACACAACTCCCATCAATGGGCTGTGTGGGTTAATGTAGGACACCTGCTCCCCAAATTGGCCATTGCTGCGTAACTATGAGGCCTGGTACTCCAGACTTTTTTTTGTCCTATTGGATATTTAATCCTGTCCCATTTTCTTTATATTGTTAATTTTTATTTAAGGTATAACATATAGAGTAAACCTCACAAATATTAAGTGTACAGATCAGGTTTTTTATGTATGCCTATAACCAACATGTCCATAACTGAATTTGTCATTCTTCTCCCAATCGTCTTTATTCTCTTTGTCAGTTTGAGAGTTAAATATCTCCTTTAAATATGTATCTCATTGATTTATCTCTTCTCCCACCATATTCTCAGTCTGATCAGGATCTACTTCCAGGAACCTGAGGTCTCCCTTGAGACCTTCCCAGTCATTGCTCCCACCCAAGATAAACACTCTACTGGCTTATCATATATTAGTTTGTCTCTTCCTGAACATCATTTAAATGGAGTCATACAGTATGTTTTTCTTTGTGTCTGGCTGCTTTTGCTCACTTTTATAGTTGTGAGGTTCATTAACAGCATTATGCATGGCGGTAGTTTGATTTCTTTTTTTGTTGCTTCTTAGTATCCTGATGATACAGGACAGTCAAGCCCCCAAATTGAGGCTTGCCCTTGAGAGGGTTGTGATGTTAAACAGCAACTTTTATTGAAGTGGCAGTGAACTGCAGCAGCAGAGGTTCTGATCCTTGTGGAGCAGGGCTACCCCATAGGCAGTGTACACGGAATAGGAGCTCAGAGGCAGTTCTGCACTCAAATTTATATCCACTTTTAATTAGATGCAAATTAAGGACTGGTTTATGCAGAAATTTCTAGAATGAGGTTGGTAACTTGCAGGTTGTCGGGTTGATGCCATGGAAAGGGGCAGTAACTTCCTGATGTTACCATGGCAACAGTAAACTAACATGGCACACTGGTGTCTAATGGGGGAGGTGCTTCTGCCTCAGACCTCTTTTAGCTAGTCCTCAATTTGGTGTGATGTCCAAGCCCCACCTCCGAAGTCGAGTTCTGCCTCCTACCTCACTACTGTGTAAATATACCATAATTTGTTGATCCATTCTATTTTGTTTATAAAAATGGATTATTTCCTGTTTTGAAGATAATGAATAAAGTTCTGTGATCATTATGCATGCCTTGTACTTAAGAATGAACTTATCTTGGGTATATACACAGGAGTGGGGTTAATCTGTCATAGTCTAGGTTTATATTCAGCTTTAGTAAAGACCTTCAATCAGTTTTCCAAAGACGTTGAACCAGCATACACTCCAATGGGTATTATGTTAGATGCTGTCACATGTCCAGGGTTAATACAAGTGATAGCTTTCACGGTATTCCCTAGTTAGGATTTCTACTTCTATCTGTATGTGCTTATGTAAAGCAGCACTGATTTATAAATGTGGCCTCACTTGTCAAGGGCCAGTGTGTCAGATGCTGAACTTTTCCAAGACTTGGAGGCTGTAAAATCATTTTTGTCTTAATGCTGTGAGCCAAAATCAAAACATTAAATTATTTCGCCTAAGCGAAATAATTGGCTCTTTGCTTTTTACCAAGAGCCAGGCATCTCCTCCCTTCTCTTTATTTCCTGAAAATAATTATTGTTCCAATCATTGTTAAGTAAGTCTTTGACCTGACTTAGCCAAGGGGTGGAAAAAAGGAGGCATAGGAGCATTGCATTTGGGAGGCATAAAAGGGAGAACAAACATTGTAGGGAAACACCGAGGAAGTAAAACTACGAATCAAAATAGAATATGAAACTAAAAGTAGAGTGTGGATGTGTACCAATCATCATGGGCAATGATGAAGATGGATTAAGTTTGTTAATATATGACCTTTTCACGAAAACAAGTTATATATAAAACTATGAGTGGTTGTACTTCTTACAAAATATGTAATAGCAGCATTTGTGTCCAAGTTTCAGTTGCATGTCAGATTTGATGAGTATTAAGATGTCAAGAACCTTGTGAACAATAATTTTGGACATTAAGTCTTAATCTATTTAAAAGATAAAAGATACAGCATTTACTATGTGCCAGGCACTGTGCTAGATGTTTATAATTATTATTGCTAAAGCTACTGAAATTCATGCCTTCAACTCCTCCTTGGTTTTGAGCACCTCCTGTGCTGGATTATGCTAGATACCATGAGAATTTATGGACATAAAGCATAAAAAGGTTCCTATTCTTTAGAAGCATTATTTGTGAACAAGAAGATTGAAATATTAAATGTCAACAAAAGGCATATGAGGATACAAGCAGTGTTATCAGAAGGGAAAGGGAGGCTTGACTGCTGTGGGATGAGATGGTCTAGAAAGGCTTTTAAGGCAGTAAGACATGAAAGGGTATATTGCATCCATATACACAGGGTCCACTATGAATCTGGTTTCTTCGTCCATACCCATGTATGCACATACTTGGAATATCTTCATGTAGATGACCCCAAAGTACCTCAAACTAAACATACTCACAACTAAATCCATTATCCTTCTCCGGAACCCAACTCTGCTCCTGGGTTCTGTCAGTTGGTTCTCTCTTGTTAATATCTCTTGAATTTGTGTTTTCCATTCCTACCATCTCACCAGTTAGAATGCCATTTCAGTGATGAAGATGTGAAGAGAGACTGCACAGTGGCATTGGCAATGAGGAAAAAAGGAGTGAATACATTTAGGAGAGATGTTAAGGAAGTATAAAATTCTATAGACTTAGTGTCTGAGTGGATGGAGTGGGTGAGGAAAAGATTCTAAATTGATGCTTGGCATTCTGATTTAGGAAATCAGCCAAATTATGGCACCATACATGAGAGTTCAGAAGAAGCAACAGGTCTGAAGGGAATGTCCGGTATGTGGATCTGAGCCTATGGGGGAAGTCTCTGGCTAGAGGTGTAGTAGACACGGTAGGTTGTTGATATAGTATTCAGAATGCTTTCTGAAAGAATTGCAACTTGATACCTATGTATATTTAACAACACAGTCTACCACTGTGGATTTAAAGAAAGATGCTGCCATTATTTACCTAATTTCATACTTGTAAAGTTATCTTTTTTTATGAGGATATTCACATATTCAAAAGATGCTTTATTTTCTATATATTTTGTTCTCTTAAGGCTGGTACCAGATAAATAAATGTTGGTTTTTTAAATAAATTTTTTTGATATAAGGTCTGTCTCTGTTGCCCAGACTGAAGTGCAGTGACACAATCTCAGCTCACTGCAACTTCTACCTTCTGGGCTCAAGCAATCCTCCCACCTCAGCCCCTGGAGTAGCTGGGACCACCGACACATAACACCAGGCCTGGCTGATTTTTGTATTTTATGTAGAGATAGAGTTTCACCATGTTGTCCAGGCTGGTCTCAAACTCCTGGGCTCAAGTGATCTACCCACCTCGGCCTCTCAAAATGCTGGGATTACAGGTGTAAACCCCTGCACCTGGCCTAAAATTAAAGTTTTAATTACTGAAAGTATCGGTGATTTGCTGACGCTACTAAAGCTTCATTTATTTTGTAGGTTGGACCTTCTATAGAGTTACTAATGAGCTTCTTGAGATAATCCCTAATGACATTTCAATTTTTTTCGAGGAATTAAATATTTTCTATTTTTTTATACCTTAAGTAACTGGTTATAAAGGGGAAAAGATAAGAACCCCACCCTCAAGGAGCTTACGAAGTAGTTTCAAGTATGTAAACTTACTTTTCAGAACGATTCTGTAATAGGAGTTTTGAGATATTGCTATTTCCATCTTAAAGATTCTGGAAGATTGAGACTCGCCCTGGGTTACACATCGGGGTGGAATTTGGAACCCAATCTTCCGTTTCCTGCTTCAGCGCGCATTTCACTTGACATTGTTCACTTGACATTCACACATTTAAACACTGCTATTTTAGGTTTTACAATTTGACTTTTAAAGTAGACTGTGTATTAAAACAAAGATAAATATGTACACTCTGTTTAAATATTTCTAGTATGTTTCCCCATCCTCTCCTTAGTTATCACCCCTCACTAACAGCTGTACTTATAGGCTGTGCTTTAAAAAATGACTAAGTTTCTTTTATAAACCTTCCTGCAAATCTTGCTATTATTGGCATGTTTTCGCTTTTCCTTCAGACATCCAGGCACCCTTGCAAGAATAATTTTTCAAGATTTTCCTTGGCTGTCAAGAATCTTTAAAGAGACGGATAGTTTATTGAACAGTACAGATAGGTTCTATTGTTCCCATATTTTTGTTATTATTGTTTTTACTCTGACAGTGGGGTGGAAATTTAAAAACTTTTCCAGTATGGAAGAAGACCTTGTAATGCACTTAAATATTTGAGATATCAACATACCTAAATCCATTTACAAAGATTGAATATTGACACTAAGATTATAAGAATACAGGCCAAATTCCACTTTGCAAAGTAGATTAATACCCCTCAATTCAGTTAAATTGTACACTGCAGAAGAGGTCAGGGTAAGAGGAAAGAAGGCACTGTGTTAGGATGTCCTCCTCTTGGCACCTTTAAAATGACAAACATGGAGATTGATTTTGGCCAGGAATCTGGGGTATTGTCAGAACAACTCTATTTGAACAAGCTATGCTTAGTGGTAAGAGGGAGTCAGAAGGATGTTGAAAAGGGGACAGAGAAGAAGAAAGATAAAGAAAAATTGGTCCTTTACCTCCTCACATACAATCTGTGAGATTATCTTCCTTTGTTCATTCTGAAAACTCTTTCCTGAGCATCTACAATATGCCAAACCCAAGGCTAGGAATGGGAGGAAAACGCAGCAGTGGCCCTACCCTCAGTGGCCCATCTGTCCCTCTGTTTGTGTGGTTTATTTGCCTCTCTTCTCCTTTATCCTTTTCTAGTTCTTTACTGACATAATGAGATCCTAGTTTGTATGTGTATGTGCATGTGTGTTTAATTACGTAGTTAATACAGTTTTAATCACCTCTTTATTTTTCATTGATTGTTTACTACTGTTGTAGCAACTTGATTAAATATTAAAAATAATGATCTAAACTTTGATACTGGCTTTCTAAATAGTCGCTGAACGGATGTTGCTCTTCAAAATAAGTACTAGGAGAAAGAATAGTATTTTCTCCTTTGAGAGAAGGTTGGCTTTGGAAAGCTCGTGGCTCTTAGGTGAATGTGCATCTTGTAAAACAGTGTCTTTAGTAATGCAATCACTATTTTAATACATTGGGGACTAAACATGGAAGCTTAAGGATTAAAATAAAATACCTTTTTCAACAAAAAATGTATTAATATATAGGTAGAGAGAGGGTACTGTTGTCTGTTGGGTAGATTCCTTGGCAAATAAACAGAAGGGAGCAGGATTGGGAATTTGTCCATCTAGTAACCAGACTTACAGGTAAATCAGTTAAATGAGTTAGCAGGAGTCAACCCAGAAAAGTTAGCTAAGACAAGACAATTACTAAAGTTTTCATTAGGCAAGCAAGATTAGGTTCTCAATGGTCAAGCAGTGAGATGCAAGCCAGACTGGGAAGTTAAGGAACAGAGTATCAGGGAATCATAATAAAATTGTAATAAAATTTATTCAGCCATGGGGCTAGTTTTATTTATATAAAGCTATTTTAATATATAAAATATATACATAGTACAAAATCCAGAAGGTGCAGAATAGTAAACAATGAAAAGTCAGCCTTCTACCCCATTATACAATCTAAACTCCCCCTCCCAAGAGACAACCATAATTAACAATCTTTTATATAGCCTTGTAGAACATCTATGCACAAAGAAGTAAGTCTTAGTATAATATACACACTGTTTTTTTCACATATTTATACAATTTTTATTTTTTCATTGTATAGTATTTCAAGGCATGAATGGAACATGCTTTTTAAAACTAGTTCCTTATTATGAGACATTTAGGTCATTTCCAATCATCTGCTCTTGCAGATAATGATAGAGTGACTAACTTTATACATGCATCATTTAATACTGGAGTAGTCATCTTAAAAGGTCAAATTCCTAATAGTGGGATTGCTGGGTCAGTGGATTTGCTCGTTCAAAAAAAACCTTTGTGATAAAATTATACTATTTTAACTGTTTTTAAGTGTACCATTTGTGTTAAGTATATTCACATTATTGTTCAACTAATCTCTAGAACTTTTTCATATACAAAACTGAAATTCTACACCCATTAAACAACTCCCCAATTCCCCTTTTCTCCTACTTTGTTTCCATGAATGTGTCTACTTTAGATATACCTCCTGTAAGGAGAATCATACAGTATTTCTCTTTTTATGAATGGCTTATTTCACTTAGCATAATGTCATCAAGGTTGGTTCATGTTGTAGCATGTGTCAGAATTCCTCTCCTAAGATGGAATAATAATTCATTGTGTGTGTATACATATATATACACACCATATAGATACAATATACCATATATATGCACCCATATGTATGTACCATATATATGCACCCATATGTATGTACCATATATATGCACCCATATGTATGTACCATATATATGCACCCATATGTATGTACCATATATATGCACCCATATGTATGTACCATATATATGCACCCATATGTATGTACCATATATATGCACCACCATACACAGACACACACACACACACACACCCCATATTTTGTTTATCCATTCATCCACTGATGGACACTTGGGTTGCTTCTACCTCTTGGCTGTTGTGAATAATCTGCTATTATGATAGGCATGCAAATATGTCTTCAAGATCTTGCTTTAAGACCAGGTATGGTGGCTCACACCTGTAATCCAACACTTTGGGAGGGTAAGGCAGGCAGATTGCTTGAGCTCAGGAGTTCAAGACCAGTCTGGGAAACAAAGTGAGACCCCACCTTTACAAAAATACAAAAATTAGCTGGATGTAGTGGCGTGTGCCTGTGGTCTCAGCTACTTGGGAGGCTGAGGTCAGAAGATGGCTTGATTCTAGGAGGCAGAGGTTGCAGTGAGCCGAGATCACTCTACTGCATTCCAGTCTAGGTGAGAGTGAGACCTCGTCTCAAAAAAAAGATCCCTCCTTTAAAAATTTTTGGATATATACCCGGAAGTGGAATGGCTGAATGATGGGTTATGGGTTTGTGTATTTAAAAATTGTTTTTATTGCCAAGGCACTCTTTATAGACGTTGTAGCAATTTGTGTTCCTACCAGTAATAAATGACTGTCTCTGTACTCATACCAACACTGTGTGCCATCTAACTTTTTGACCATTGTCACTCTGATAAGGAAAAAGAATGTTATTTCATGATAGTCTTTTAAAATATTTTTCTTAAAATAAGTGAAATGGACTTTTTCATATGTTTACCATTTAAAGTTTATATGAATAGGAAATTTGAGATATAGGAAGATACACAGATCAGGGGATAATTGTCATTGAAATGATAGTTTATTACTCACAGTTCCTGAAGGAAGGGACACATCATGTTATAGTGGTGAATAGGGTGTCACATGGCAAAGTAGTGGGGTTGATCAGAAGACAGAGGGAGAGGGCTGAACTGTGGGCAAGAGCCTTTATTGTGGTTTTCAAGATAAGGAATAGATGAGGTAGGGGTAAGCAGGCTTAGGATTGGCTAGTTTGAATAATTTCACTGGGCTCTGGGCCCATTCATAAGGTCTGTCCCTAGTTGTCTGGAACCTGGCAGTGGGGTGATAAAGGTCAGTGGGGGTGTAGACTCTGGAATAGTTAGTTGGCATTTGAAAAGTGTGCCCTCAGGAGGGAGGAGGAGATGAAGAAGGCAGGTGACTCAGACATAATATATTATCAGGTTTTCCCAAACAAGGTGTATGCAGGCCGCGTATATAGGGCAAATGTTAAAGCGGTAACTATGCAGAAGCTAGAAATGTAGAGCCTTAGTACATGTACGGTCTTAGTACAAAGACCCACTTGTAACTACTTTTTGTGTGAATTCTGCTCACATTTTTTTCCCATTTTTTCCACTGGGAAGTTTAGTTTTTTCTTGTACATTCATAGGAACTCTTGATACATTTAGAAAGTAGGCCTTTGTGTACAACATACACTGCAAAAATCTTCTTGTGAGTTTATTGTATTTTGTTTGAGTTTGCTTATGATAGTTTTTTTCCCCATGTGGAAATTAATTTTTTTATATGCTTGAATGTATTGACCTTTTCCTTTGCAGCTTCAGGATTTTGTGTCATACCTTAAAGACTTGTTTTTCTGAGGTTATAAATACGTCTCCTGTGTTTTTTCCTAGTACTTTGATGGTTTGCGTAATCATATTTTAACCTTTGTTCCATCTGGTATGTACGTTGATGTAGGGGAAACAAAAAGGAGATATAAGCAACAAGGTTAGAACCTAATGCCAAGTTATTACCTTCTGAGGCAAAATTTCTTTACCCCTTTTCAGCCTATGCAATCCAGGTGGAGGCAAACAGATACATCTGAGTAGCAAAATACAAAATAAAGAGGCACAAGAATTACCTGACATTAAACCTCAGATTAGGAAGATAGGAATTTTGCTGTCTATAAAGGCTACAACTAAGAATGGACAGGCTCAAAATATCTTAAATCTTAATGATTTGGAAAGAAAAAACCCTGATCATTGGGTGGGAGAGTGATTGAGTAAAAATGGGTCTTAGGTCTAGCTTTGTATGTTCTAGCTGTGCAAACTTCAAGTCATTTAAGTTCTCTGAACCTCACTTTATACTAATAAAACATTTTTCAGCTCATAATACTTCAGGGATACTTCACTGCCTACCATGATTGTTTTACCATCTTATAAAATTGCTTTTATCACTTTTTCCCAGTGGCAGTCTTACTGTATATAAAATAGATTTGAGGCCAGGCGTGGTGGCTCAGGCTTGTAATCCCAGCACTTTGGAAGGCCCAGGCAGGTAGATGGCTTGAGCTCAGGAGTTTGAGACCAGCCTGGCAGCACAGTGAGACTCCATCTCTACTAAAAAACAAATAAACAAACAAAAAACTACAAAGAAAAGACTACAGGTGGCACGATGGTGCACGCCTGTAGTCCCAGATACTAGGGAGGCTGAGGTGGGATGACTTGAGCCTGGGAGACAGAGGTTGCATGAGCCAAGATCAGACCTCTGTACTCTAGCCTGGGTGAAAAGGCCAGACCCTGTCTCAAAGAAGAAAAAATTTGGATGTGGTGGATATAGAGATGAGGGATGCAAAGTGAAGGCTCCTTGTTCTCCCCTTCACCCTATCATCACCACCAACCCCACCACTCCCAGGCCTCCCACCTCAAGGAACCACCAGAGAAACCCCTGCTCTGTACAGATAATTTGTGAACTGAATAAAACCGAGCCTTCTCCCTCCAACCTAAAAACCCATCTCAACACAGCCTAAAGGAAACAGAAAGCCTTGGAAAGCAATATGGCTGTGCTGAAATCTCCTTCATGAAATGGAGGCATGACTTTCACAGCATATCAAGCGGCAAAACTTCCCCAAATTCCTCATCACAACAGACGCCTCTCCCACACCTCTTTCTTCCCTCTTTTAAAATCTCCTCAGAAACAGGGCTTCCCACCCTCAGGCTATATATTTCTTCTCTGTATCTTTTTCCATCTTCTCCTTGATCTCTTTGGCCATTTCATTATTTTGTAAAGCAGTCTGCAGAGTTTTTTCCACTTTTCCTTCCCACCCAGTATCCCATCATCACCTCATAGGTGCAGACACAGAACTGAGCAATTAATAGGTGGCAGAGGGAGATTGTAGATACTTAACTTTGACTTTTTCTTTGCCTTATTACAAGGATTAAGTGTCACCATCTTGACCTCACAGTCAAATCCCTCTACAATCTGATCCATCATTTCTTTCTCCCATGCTCCAGCCAAATTAGACATATTATTGTTTTCCTAACTAGTGCCTGGTTTTCCACCCTGCTGATGTCTTTGCCCATCCTGCACCCAGGCCAGGAGTGCTTTCTTCCCTGTTTCTGTGCTTCAGAATTCTACCCATCTTTCAAGGATAGCTGAGATCTCGTCTTTTCTCCTGAAGCATCTCCCTTCCTGATAAAATGTGATCACTTCTGCTTCTGCATGCTCTCCGCATAGTGCTTGCACTTACCTCATGTCACTTATTTTCTTTCCTGTTTTTCCAGCTAATTTACAGTAGCTTTGGGAACGTTGAGAACAGGAAGCACATAGTATTCTTTTTGGTCCTTGTAAACTCTTAGCTCACTGTTTTGCATATAGTTATGCTAAGATTTTCAAAAGAGCAAATATACCTAGTAATTAGTAAAGTCTCTCGCTAAAATAATCACATTACTGCATCACTATTTTAAAGGAAACTTAAGAAATTTCTTCTGGATTACTGAATGTATTTCCTATATCAAGCCAACCTAAGTTCTCAGTGATTTGAAGTTTAGACCTGTCGTGCATCTCTTCCAGTTTTATTTTGCCAGCTGAGCCCCCAAAGGGATATGTGATAGGCAGGCAATGATTTTCAAATATTTTTTGAAAGATAAAAAATCCTTTGCTTCAAGTGAAATTAGAAATGAAACCTCATGATACAGAAAAAAAAGCAGAACTATTCCAGCTAAATAGTGTTTCACACATTATATATTCTCCTGGCTTCTTTTCCAACCCCGCTTCCTTCAGTGTTTTGAAAATATGTCTGCAGGAGCTTAGGGTCTCTGGAAACACAGTAGGGTCTCGACTCTAGCAGCGCAGCATGTTAAATACCAACCCTGCTTTCATCATGAAAGTGTTGGTCTTTCCTACCCAACTTTCATAGTTATCCATGATATCACGGCCTTTCTAGGTTTCTAATAGTTGGCTTCATCAGGTTGAATAAATTTATTCCATATAGGATAGAAATTTAAAAGTCACCATCACCAACACAATTTACTTGTAAATGACACATTCTGAAAGAATTATTTTATCTAACAAATGAAAATAAGGACTTTGCTGTTTACACAAAAAGTCTTTGGCTTCCAGAGAACTTACAAAGTCTTTGTGCTTAAGCAGAATTTGTTCATCAGCAAATTCTGCCATGTAACCATGGGAGTAAAATAGTGTTTGGAGAGCATAGGAACTTGTTTGCCCTTTCTGTCATGGTTGTTGTAAATTTTGACTTAGCTGCAGGAAGAAAATAATTTTTAACCACTAGGTTAAATAGGGACATTAACACACTTGAAAATATATTAATTTTTGAAATATCTCCTGTTAGCAAAATATCATATAATTGTTTTGATAAAATACAGAAAGAGATGTTTTACCTTAAGCTGAGATACAACTGGAATCATTTTCCACTTCCTGGATTCACACAGAAAGTCATGGGGGGATGAGACTGAGGTTTACTATGTGTATCTGTTACCCATGGAAAATTAGTCCACTTCCTGACCAAGAATGTCAGGACCGCTGAAAATGGATAATTATCTACAAGTGAAAAACAGTTTGTAGATAACAGAGGCTTTTTTTTTTCCAGGGAAGATTGTTACTGAGTATAAAGTATTGCCTCCTTATTCCAGCATTAATCATAGCAAACAGAGATGACATTGGAAATGCTCCTAGGGAAGTGTCCAGCCCATGGTTGGCACTCAGCAAGTAACAGCTGTTTATCATTATCAGTATGCAGAAACAAGAATCTCTGAACAAAAATTAAAACAGGTTAGAGTCACTGAAAAAAATATATTACATTACTGAATGGGACAGAAATATAAGCAAATAATTTTGTGGACCGTTTGATAAACGTTTAAACATAAACACAAGTTGCTTGCCTCTTGCAGAAAATGGGAAAGTGATATGGTTTGGCTGTGACCCCACCCAAATCTCATCTTGAACTGTAGATAAGAACTTCCAGATCTTATCCAAGACTATCAAGGTAGTATCTCAGTGAGTCTGCAAGAACCACAGTGTTTCTGTTGTTGGGGTGCCCCCTAAAGCAGATATGGCTTAGATGACAATACCCAAGTTCTCTTTCAAATATCTGGAAAACCTTCCCAAGAAGGATAGGTACAAACAAGCCCAGACTGCGAAGACTACAATAAATACCTAACTCTTCAATGTCTAGTTACAGACAAACATGCACAAGCGTCAAGACCATCCAGGAAAACATGACGTCACCAAATGAGCTAAATAAAGTACCAGGGACCAATCCTAAAGAAACAGAGATATGTAACCTTTCAGACAGACAATTCAAAATAGTTGTTTTAAGGAAATTCAAGATGACACAGAGATGGAACTTGGAATTCTATCAGATTAACAAAGAGATTGAAATAATTAAGAATCTATTGATCATGAGAGAAGTGCAAATCAAAACTCCAACGAGATATCATCTCACCCCAGTTTAAATGGCTTTTATCCAAAGGGCAGGCAATAACAAATGCTGTGAGGATATGAAGAAAAGGGAAGCCTCATACACTGTTGGTGGGAATGTAAATTAGCACAACCACTATGGAGAACAGTTTCCAGGTTCCTCAAGAAACTAAAAATAGAGCTACCATATGACCAAGCAATCCCACTGCTGGGTATATACCCGAAAGAAAGGAAATCAGTGTATCAAAGATACATCTGCACTCCCATGTTTATTGTAGCACTATTCATAATAGCCCAGGTTTGGATACAATCTAAGTGTCCAACAGATGAATGAATAAAGAAAATGTAGTACATACACACTATAGAGTACTATACAGCCATAAAAAATAATGAGATCCCATCATTTGCAACAACATGGATGGAACTGGAAGTCATTATGTTAAGTGAAATAAGCCAGGCACAGAAAGACAAACTGCATGTTCTCACTTATTTATGGGAGATAAAAATTAAAATAATTGAAATCATGGAAATAGCAAGTAGAAGGATGGTTACAAGAGGCTGGAAAGGGTAGTGGGGAGGGCAGGGGGTAAGTGAGGATGGTTAATGAGTACAAAATAAAAATAATGAACGAGACCTACAATGGGGGACTACAGTCAAAAATAATTTAATTGTACACCTTAAAATAACTAAGTATAATTGGATTGTTTGTAACACAAAGGATAAATGCTTGAGGGGATGAATGCCCCTATAAACACTTCATCTGAATTACATTTAAAGGAGTTTAATTGAGCAATGAACAATTCACGAATCAGGCAGCCCCCAAAATCATAGCAGACTCACAGAGACTCCAGGGGTGCCTTGTGGTCAGAACAAATTTATAGACAAAAAAGATAAAGTGACGTATAGGAATTGGAAGTGAGGTAACAGAAACAGTGAGATTGGTTATAGCTCGGTGTTTGTCTTGTTTGAATGCAATTTGAACACTCAGCAGTCTGAGTGGTTGAAGTATGCTGCTGGGATTGGCCAACACTCAGCCATTGTTATAGGTGCATACAATTAAGTTAGGTTTTCAGATTTGTCTGACTATTAAGCTAGGTTACTGTTCATCCACAAGGACTCAAATGTAGAAGTATGGAGTCCTTCTCAGGCCATATTTAGTTTGCTTTAACAATTCTCCACTTTTGGTAATTTTCTCAATTTTGAGAGATTGACTAAAACCTTATTCATTGATGTTACCATCACTATATAAATGAACTTATATAGTTTTGAAACCCACTGGGAAGCAGTAGAACAGTGGGTTTTGCAAGGAGGGAATAAGGACTGAGTAGAGGTTACTTCCTTATGCTGGAACATCCTGTTTACAGGAGAAAAAAAACCAAAACCTGGTCTGTTCTAGGAGCTGTGTGTTTTCTTAAAGCCTTAGTTTGATTATGTCACATTTAGCACAAGTGACTCCATTTTAGTTTGGTTTGGTTTGTTGGGGCCTAGTACATAAGCTCAGTCCAAAATAATGGCCTTCCATAATTTTGTTTAAAAAATTTCCCCTTTTTGGCCAGGTTCTCACTTAGGTGAGAGTGTGACCAAAACTTAGGGCCTCAGCGCCACTCTCAGTTACCATCATTTTGGGTTTCTGGTCTCAGCATGTCATTCATAGGTTATGGTGTCCTCATGGTCACACATTTCTTTCAGCTTCTGTCATTCCAGTCGAAGAGAGAGCATTTGATATTCTAGAGATGGCTGCATGCAAGCATTTAAAACCTTTGAGAGAATACAGTGCACCAGGGAGACTATCACTATGACTATTGGGAGGATAATACCAAGAGTTTAGAGTATGCTCCTTACCCAAGGTCCCCATAAACCAAACCACCTAAAATTAAATAGATTAAAAAATGAGCTAGAAGAAGAATCTACTGCTTAAGTGGTTTTTTCATTAATCCTCTACAACTGAATTTTTATAATCTACATTTGATGTATACCTAACTTAATAGCATAGACCCGTAACAATAGCTGAGTGTTGGCCAATCCCAGCGGCCGTACTTCAACCACTCACAGATGCTGAGTGTTCAAACTGCGTTCAAAATAAGGCAAATGCCGAGCTGTAACCAGTCTTTTAGTACTAGTTTCTGTACCTCGCTTCCGATTCCTGTACGTCACTTTACCTTTTTTGTCTATAAATTTGTTCTGACCACGAGGCACCCCTGGAGTCTCTGTGAATCTGCTGTGATTATGGGGGCTGCCTGATTCACAAATTGTTTGTTGCTTACTTAAACTGCTTTAAATTTAATTCGGGTGAAGTTTTTCCTTTATCACCCCAGTTATCCTGGTGTGATTATTATGCATTGTATCCTCTATCAAAATATCTCATGTAGCGCATAAATATGTATACCTACTATGTACCCACAATTTTTTAAAAAGATCATTAGTGTCTCTAAGGAAAAGGGGAGTAAAACTAGTCTCTGCCCAACTAAAGGTTTATAATCATAGCAAACTAGTACTCTAATGAATTTAAATGACCACAAATGATTCCTCAAACTTGAGCAGCACACTGCTAACAAATGAAAAGGTTTTTCGATCTGTGCCCTAGTTCATTTTATTTTGCTATATGCATATGTGTATCTACTTATGCACAGGTACACACACACGCACTGTAATTACATCACAACACCCCACTCTCCTAAGGTGGTATCTCCAAGAAGATGCAGTATTTGAGGCTTCAATCAGTCATTACCCCCTCATTTTGCTGTCAGGTGTCTTCCTAAGTTAAAAGTTTTGTAGAATACCATTGTGTAACACCATGATGATTTTTTAAGATATCCAGTAACTCAACAAAAATACCGTTGTTGACAGAAGCAAGGAAAAGCAAATCTATATCTAACGTAATCTAAAATAAGTATCTATTGCAATGGGAATGAATCTCTGCCCTCACCATAAAGTGTCACTGGCACCTCTTGAATGACATCATTACAGGGTGGATGGGTGGGATGCAACTGTGCTGGCTCCTCCTCATCTCCAACTTCTGCAAGGCCAGCTTGTGCCAGGGCTGTTTCTGTAAAAGTCTGCTGCACATAAACTTACTTACCAGGTTATCTAATCCCATGGATTCATTGCCATGGGATTCCACATTTCTCAACTGTATTTCTGAGCCCTAGATGTCTTTCCTGAACTTCAGACTAATATTCAAATGCCTATATCCACTTGGATATCTTTGAACTTATAATGTTCAAAACTTCTGATTCCAGCCTCCCACCCCACTCCATTCCACTCCTCACACACTTTGCAGACAGGCTTCCCCTGCAGACTTCCGCATTTCTGTTCCTGGCAGCTCCATCCTTCACAGTTGCTCAGACTAAAATCTTGCGGTTTTCTATAATGCCTCTAATTGTTATTATCTACCACTGGCTGACCTTTGATCAGCAAATTTTGTCACCTCTACCTTCAAAATAGATGTATCTCACTGCAACTTTTCATCATGCTTTCCTCATCACTTAGCAAGAATATTGCAAACATCAAACTGATGTCCTTGCTTCAATCCTTGGTTCCCTACAGTCTGTTTTCCACTTAGCTACAAAAGCGACCCCTTTAAAACTGGTTGAGATCATGTCTTTCCTCTGCTCAAAACCCTTACGGCTCTTATCTACTCAGTGTAAAAGGCACAGTCCTTACCATGGCTTAAAGGCCTAGGTAATCCGGTATACCACTCCTATCCCTTGTTCATCCCCAACCACCCAAGCTGTCTCTGATCTCATCTTCTCACCACCCCAGACCCTCTGCTGTTTCACACAGACATCTTTGCTGACCTTCAAACATGCTATCCACTCTTCCAGGCTTGGGGCTTTTGCACCTAATGTTCCCTTTGTTTGAAACACACTTATCCCAGACATCTGCCTGGTTTGAGCTCTCATATCTTTAGGTCTCTGTTCAAATTTCACCTCCACAGACAGGCCTCTTCTGACTGCTCTATATGAAACAGCACCCCCTTTTCTACTACTCCCTTACTCTCCTTAATTTTTAATGGTATTTATCATGTATTTGTCTCCTCTGATAAATATTTACCATATATTTGTCTCTACTACCCGCTGCATGAGTGTAAGATTTTTATCCGTGTTGGTCACTGATAAATCTCCAGCCTCCTAGAAGACTGACACATGGTGTGCACTCAGTGAATACTCGATGAATGAATTAAGGCTAACTTTACCCCAGCATTTCTATCTCCATAAGTCTGAGTTCGAAGACATTTCTGGCTTCTCAACTTTAGTTACCATGAGCTGCTATTGAATGTAAGTTTGTATTAACTAAGCAAGCAAACTATTAGACTCAAACATGTCTTCTCAAGATAGCCTGTTGAATCTATAATTTCTGGTAAATATACCTATACCAGTAAATTCAGTCACATCTAAAATTGTTTCTTCCTTAATCAGGCAACCTCAGTCTCTCTCTACATGTCTTCTCCAGCCTTCTGCTGATATAAGTTAGCAAAGTTGTGCAAAGCCTTCTCTTTCCATTAGACTTTAGAACTGATACTGGGGCATGCCCTGATGATGAATCTGGAGATGCTGATGAGTGGGATGAAGGAGCCTAAGGAAGAATTTGGAGTGTTCCCCCAGGAAAGAAAGCAACAGTGCCCTCCAGCAAGAGGACATCCTCATCAATGTCAGGGGAGGGACTACTTCAAAAAGCAAGGGGGGGCCCACTCATGTTTGGGAATTCGGGACACTCCATGTTTTCAAAGTATACCCATTTCCTCTCATTTCCACCTCTTTCCAGTCAATCAACAAAGGAGACCTGGCAAGCTTATGACTTAGTAGACATTGTGATCTGGCAATGCACAGAATGAAATTAAAGTTGGGAATTGGCCACCTCGGCTTGTTACCTCTGGGGAGAGGGACAGGATTGAAATTGAAGGTGATTTGTGAAGGAGTCTTTATTTTAATCTGTAACTTTTTAAAAAATTAAAGGATTCATGGATTTTATATTAAAATTAATTTCAAAATTATTCCTGCTTTTTTCTTCAGGAATTCAGTAGGGTGGAACAATCACTATTGGGCAGGTACAGCAATATGCCTCTGTGTGACATGTCCCCACAGGCATGTTCCTAGGACCCCTTCTAAAAGTTTGCCACTGTTACATTCCCAGTCCTATAGTATACAGTAAGTCCTCACTTAACATCATGGATAGGTTCTTGGAAACAGCAACTTTAAGCAAAAACAGCATATTGTATGCCATAGGAACTTCATTCTTGTTTATGTCAATTAGCTTATGGTAAAATTGGTTTTGTTACATGGTATGTTGTTTTAACGTCGCTGTTTCTGAGAACCTATCAACAGCGTTAAGTGAGGACTTACTGTATTTGATCCTGTCTTGCCATATTCTCCCTGGCTGTAATTGCTTCTCACCTATGTTCACAGTCTCTCATATCCGCAGATTTGACCCTACCCACTACTTTCCCAATCATAACTGTGGCCTCTTTAGAGTACAACTCTTTCTCTGTGGCAACATATTATTAATCACTTTGAATAACAATACTCATGTCTCAAATTTCCTTTACTCCTATTCACACAGATTGATTTCAGGATAGAACTTAGACAATATTGAATAATATATAATAAGGAATATGTAGGATGGCATAAGATCTAGGAGAGGTGCCAGGACCCCACCTACTGTCATCAGAGAACTCTGCCTATAAGAGATAACTATTTAGGGCCTGGCGCAGTGGCTCACGCCTGTAATCCCAGCACTTTGGGAGGCCAAGGTGGGCGGATCACGAGGTCAGGAGATCGAGACCATCCTGGCTAACACGGTGAAACCCAGTCTCTACTAAAAATACAAAACAAATTAGCTGGGTGTGGTGGCGGGCACCTGTAGTCCTAGCTACTTGGGAGGCTGAGGCAGGAGAATGGTGTGAACCCAGGAGGCGGAGCGTGCAGTGAGCCGAGATGGTGCTACTGCACTCCAGCCTGGGCGACAGAGCAAGACTCCATCTCAAAAAATAAAAAATAATAATAACTACTTAGGATGATGATGATTTTTTTTCTCTGTCACCCAGGCTGGAGTGCAGTGGCGCCATCTCTGCTCACTGCAACCTCTGTCTGCCAGGTTCAAGCAATTCTCCTGCCTCAGCTTCCTGAGTAGCTGGGACTACAGGTGTGAGCCACCACACCTGGCTAATTTTTGTATTTTTAGTAGAGATGGGGTTTCACCATGTTGGCCAGGCTGGTCTCACGTGATCCGCCCACCTCGGCCTCCCAAAGTGCTGGGATTACAGGCATGTGCCACCAACACCCAGCTGGGAATGATGATTTTTAAATATATATGTTCTAGGTGCTTTATATATGTGATTTAATCCTCTCAATAACTCTATCAGGCAGATTCTATTACTATTCCTATTTTATAATTGAAGGAACCAAAGAACATTAAGTGACTTGCCCAGGATCATACAGCTTGCAAATAGTGGAGCTGAAATTCAAACCAGGAAGGCCAGCTCCTGAGTTCCTGCTGTTAATCATGGGTGATAAGACAAAACCCAGTGAGGAAAGAGGATGGCATTCTATCTAGACCAAGGAAACAGTATACTAAAGGCAATGAAAACATTAGAAAGCGTAGTTTGTTTGTGTACAACAAGGCGTTTAGTATGGCAGAAGTATAAGTAGTGGTAAAAATCATTTCATGAAGGGACTTATTTGCCAGATTTTATCTTGTAGAAAATAAGGCATTGTTGGCCGGGCACGGTGGCTAATGCCTGTAATCCCAGCACTTTGCGAGGCCTAGGCGGGTGGATCACGAGGTCAGGAGATCGAGACCATCCTGGCTAACATGGTGAAACCCCGTCTCTACTAAAAATACAAAAATTAGCTGGGCGAGGTGGCAGGCGTCTGTAGTCCCAGCTACTCAGGAGGCTGAGAGAGGAGAATGGCGTGAACCCAGGAGGCAGAGGTTGCAGTGAGCCGAGATCTCGCCATTGCACTCCAGCCTGGGCGACAGAGTGAGACTCCGTCTCTAAAAAAAATAAAATAAAATAATAAAAAAAAAGAAAAGAAGGCGTTGTTGAAAGTTTTTTAAGCAGGACAATAACATGATCAGAATTGTACTTTTGAACAATCCCCCTGGTAGGGATGAAAGTTGGACTGGAATAGACTGAAACCAGAGGTACAGACTATTCAGATGCGTTTGTGTTGTCCTAAGGAGATGAAGAGGGCTAACCAGAGCAGCAACACTAATAACGGAAAAAGAGGAGAGGAAGTTGAATGCCACAAAATGAAACTGAAACTTTTGTATTTCAAATGTTTCAACAGTATTCTAGAGGGAAGTAAGATAATGGTGTTCCTCTATTTGCCTCTGACTTCTTGTTAATGAAATAGTA
The DNA here is from genome assembly GCF_000001405.40 of Homo sapiens. NCBI lineage: Eukaryota > Metazoa > Chordata > Mammalia > Primates > Hominidae > Homo > Homo sapiens. Next base: position 77,193,286 of record NC_000007.14, read on the forward strand.
CTCATTAAAGTCTTCAGAGTCACAGATATTGTATAGCTGAGGTAAGCATTTTACAACTTTTCAGACACAAGTAAGTACATAAATATTATTTTACAACCAACAATATTTAATATTTCCACATTGAAGAATAGATGTGATAATTAAATCTTTTATAAGGTTTTAAAAAGACATGAAACATAAACCTAATTATACATAAAAGAAAAGAATTTTAAACAAGAGCTTATTGTGATGACATTACTCATAACTTTTACCTTTAAAACCTTTTCTTGGGTAGCTATTCAAAAGTAAAGACCACAAGTTTTGTTGCCCAGATTTCTTATGTTTTGTATATTTAAGCTCTTTATTTATTGAACAGATGTGTCATTAATTCATTTGGAGCATTACTATTATCAGTAAAATTTGATTTTTTTTTCCCCTCAGTCATAGGTAAATCAGCTCCACCTGGAATTTCTAAGGACCCAGTTTTAGTCAATATTTTCAAGTAATCATGACCTCAGAAATAGTCTTAATTAAGATAACAAATATTAGCCATCAAAATGGAACCAAGACAAGATTCTAATGTTTGTAAACAGTCAATCCATATTTATGAATATTAGCATATATTGGTGAATAGTTAAGGCAAAAGGTTCTAGCAGATGTAATCTATTTCCATCAACATGTTAAATGTTATAAAAGTCTAGAATTATTGGTAACATGAAATGATTCCAAAATGGAATTTCTGTGTTACAGAATTTACTAGAAAAGTGCTGTGAAAGTATAATGAAAAATAAAGTGATCCCTTGAAATAATGTGGATAGAACAAGCTTTTGAATATTTACATGGATTAATGAATTATTTGCCAAATTCTCCTGAAGTTATACCTAGTTCCCATTAAATTAATGGACACCGTGTATATGAGCATATACCTTTCTTTAGAACTATGTTTTGTGATAAGTCCATTTTTACTCACAGGAATTTACTTAAACTTGTACATATATTAATTATATATACTAAATGACAATGACCTTATCTGAAACAAATACATTGTATAATATCAAAACGTTTTTAGTCTTTTTTAAAAAGTAAAAAGTAAAAAACAACGTCAGTTACATCATTTACATTTGGTATCCCACCTAATAGAGACACAGCTTTTGAAATCTACAATATTTTACATTTTGGTCATCATTTAATGCTATTTGCATTTCTCTTTAACATTTTAATAGTATTTGTGATATATCATGTTTAACTGAAAGCTTTGGGTTATATATTTTAAAGGAATATCTTACTTTTTGACTAAATAGTTCTGTAAGGGCCTAATATTTGAAAAATTAGCTTGTTACCTGAAGCAACTATCCTCCTTAATCATTTTAAAATAATGGGTAAAGATGCATCTTTGTAAATATATTTTGAAAACTTGGTTAGTGTATTAGAAACAGACACCAGAAATTAAAAAAATTATTTCTAGGACTGGCATACACTACAGTGAATTACTTCAAATGTTACTCTAGAGCATTTTTAAAAATACGCAGAATACTGCTGTTCTCTCTGAGATGATCCCTTTTTACGATGATGAAATTAAACACATTTAAAAAGTCTTTTAAATATTATATATAGCATTCCAGAATTGATGAATTATAAAAATTACAGATACTTCTGTTTGGGTAAAAATCTATCTTTTAGTTTCTGATAGTAAAATAAGCAATCTACCAGCCAGGGTTGAAATATATAGTATTTTAACTACTGTTCTATATATTTCAAAATTCATGTTTTCTATCTGTCCTAGAGAAACTTAGCCTTCTATGAAGTGAATCACTTAATGATATTATTGCTTTGGAGATAAAATTGGCCTCAGAGTATGATAGCCTGTAAGTAAATGCTTCATTACCCACATATCCCTACCCACCCCCCCCAAAAAAACCTACCAGTAGTCTAGTACAGTAGTGAGCAATCTTAAATTAAAAGCTATTGTTCACACAGAGCAGAGGAAGATAATTTTCATGTTAAAGCAGTTTTCAACATCAAACATCTAAGGAGTTATAAACTATAAATGAATTACCTTTAAACCCTGGTCTTCACAGTTACATTGCTTTCTGAATGCTTTTTGGGGTGACATTATGCTACCACATTTTTAAACGGTTTAAATGACAAGTATTTTATATTTCATGAATGATAAATGAACAAGTTTAATTATATAGATATTAGTTCCCTTAGTCTGGGAACCAAAATGCTGTAGGGTTGTTCTGTTGCAAAGTAAATGATATAGATTAAGTTTGTCTCAGAATGAAGATTACCCAAATAATTATAGCCTGAAAAGAGTGATATACCTTCAGATGTGCTTAAATCATGGCCCAAATACAGATTACTTTGTGTAGAATCCAGCCTACTGAATAAATTTTATTATTTTTTTGTTTGAGACAGAGTTTTCTCTGTCACCCATGCTGGAGTGCAGTGGCTCAGTCTTGGCTCACTGCAACCTCTTCCTCTCAGGTTCAAGCGATTCTCCTGCCTCAGCCTCCCAAGTAGCTAGGATTACAGGCATGTACCACCATGCCCGGCTAATTTTTGTATTTTTAATAGAGACAGCGTTTCACATGTTTGGCCAGGCTGGTCTCAAACTCCTGACCTCAAGTGATCTGCCTGCCTTGACATTCCAAAGTGCTGGGATTACAGGCGTGAGCTACCACACCCAGCCAACAATTATTTTTTAAATACAGCAAGTAATACAAGCAATAGAAAAAGTTTCAATAGAAATTAAAAGAATTGTAAATCTAATGTATAATTCTCAATATTGCTAATTGCTTGCAAGTGTTCATTGGATAACAGCATAACAACAAAGGACTCCTTTAAAATGCATTGTTTTTCAGCTTTATTTCAAATGCTGTGTAGCATAAGAACCTAGCCGTCAGACATCATTTTTTAGCTATGAAAAATATGAAACAAGGCATATTCTAAAGTGCTGAAGGAATTAATTGCCCTATTAGATAACGAATACCTGGAGGAATGAACAGAGTGATTTATGGCTTAAAGTGCTTGGGTCTGATCATCATCTTAGCCTCTTTGAAGGAGGACTTGTAGCCACCAGGGTGTGCCTCACTTACACCAGGCCAGGTACCCCAGAAAATCCCATTACGGACACCTCTGTATTTTTGGTGATAATATTTGCCATTTAAGTTTGCAGAAAGACATGCATCAAACCACCAGCCTGAACTGTAGTACAGCCCACAGTTCCCAGAAGGATATCGATCATTGTCTTTATCTGGAGTGGTGAAAAACTTCAGATCGTGGTTGTAATGTTTGTTGAAACGTAATGCATCTCCAGCTGTGCCATTATAGTTACCAACGTGTAAACGATATTTGAGAAACTCATTAGCCACATAAAACTGATCATACAAGGCATATAGTTCGACACCATTAAAGTCTTCAAGATCTATTCTCAGAATCATTTCCTTACTCTTGGTCAGAAGATGAATTTTATCGTTCCCCAGCCAAAATTCCCTTCTGAGGTTTCCAAAGCCTGCTTTGTAGTCTTGCCATGTTCTGGTGAAGTTGGTGCTCCCATCGAGACGTGCCTGCAGCACTGTCCAGCCTCCCCCCATGGTCTCCATGTCACAGTAAACTTCAAAGCTACTATTTTTGGGATCAGGTGTAACTCTGTAGGTCTCACTGCTTCTTTTGCCTATTGCGTAGTAGTCAGAGCAATCTTTATATATTAGATGTTGAACTGAAGGGGAAATAAAAGGAAGGCATTGGATCTTGTTAATAGAAACCATGCATCTGAAGAATTCTTTATATGTACAAAAGCAGTTTGATAATTGAATCAATGGCAGTAATGAAACTTTACTAAACTTACTTGAACCTGTTTAGCAAATGCTTAAGGCCTCACAAGAAGAACCTAATGTTATAAAGCAGAAAGGACCTCTAATATACTCTTGGTTGGTAGTAATAATGACAGCATCAACAGCAAACGACAATAAGAAAATAATAAAAGTACAGTTTTAATAATTTAGTATTATGTAGTGAGGCCTACCTATACGTTCTAGGCATGCTGCCAGACTGGGTAACATTTTCACACTGAATCTGAACATTGACCTTATGATGTAGGCGTTACTGCCAGTCTGCATGTGAGGATATTTAGGCATAAAGATCAGTGGCTTGCCCACCTTCACCTGAGCTTTAAGTGGCAGAGCCAGGACACTAACTCAGATCTGGCTGGCAGCAAAGCTTTGTTCTCGTAATCATTGCATCCCTTGGTCCTAAAAATCAGATGATTCTAACTCTCCTAGAACTGTATTCCTTGCATACAGAGGAAGCACAGGCTTCTATTTTCTTTCACCTAAAGGGGCTGATAGCCTCTACTGTCAGAAGGTTTTATAGCATATATTCCAAATGATGTGTTAAAATCCTAATGCATAGGATTGATCATAAATTCATATTCATTTCACTTGACAACTATATAAAGAAGCTCAAGTGAAAAAGAAGTATCTTTTTCAATGACACACCAATATTCTTATTCTGTATTTATTATCTAGGAAAGTATTTAGCCACTATTTCACATGTTGGGTTTCTAGAAAGAAACAACAGGTGACTATATTGAGGATAAGCATAATAATCAGTTAACAAAGTTCTGTATGAATCAGACAGATATTTACTCCCAGATAGTTTTTATTAAAATGTGTGACAAATAAGGTAAGTTTAATATGAGATACCCTAAGGCATAAAAATCTATTCCTGTATATTTAGAGCTCAGAATATTCAGTTATTTCACCCAAAATGTTTAGGAGAAAAATAGACAATAGTCTTCATATCATGACAAGTTGCCATGCAGCATCTAATCTAATGTATACCCACTGATGTCACCTAAGCGGTGAACCTTGGATTCGCAGTGTGCCAGGTACATTCAGATGCAGGCTGCCAGGAGTATTACCAATAGAGGTCCTTGAAAATATGACCCTTCCCTCCTTCACTGGCAGATGCCCTGGGGATGGAGCATGCCTGAGATACTGTCTCTAAATGAAAGTGATCTCCGCCCTGTCCTTTCAACCTCACGTTCATGGTAAGTAGAGGTCCAAATGCGGAGATGGCTTTCCAAAGTATGAGACAGTCAGCAACAGTGGTCCCAGTGACTCAGGTGAAAAGCCAAGGTTTGGAGAGTCAATACCACTGTTAGTTCGTGGGTGGAGTAGGCGATTAAGTCTGTGGAATTTCACATGTATTTATTAAAGTTAATTCAAGTAATTTGGATGGTGAGGATGGGTTCTACTTCTATCTGCTTGAATTCTAACTTCAGGTAAAAGAGAAAGAAATATGAATACCTTCCCTTAGTGGCATGCTAAAACTCTCCCCTTAAAATATTTTTTGTGCCACTAGGTCTCAAAGCAAAAATTTGTGCACACATATGAAACTGCTTTTATTCCATCTGTAAACTCTCCCATTTTCTCCAGATATTTGGGATTAAGAACTAGATTACTTGCTAAAATCTTTCAAAGACCTCTTTAGCCATGAGAAGCGGCAGTCAGTCAATCACAAGAAAAACTGATTTCCAACAAACAAGGCACAATTGTGAACATCGCCTTATCTTTATTGTTTTCAAACACCTCATTGAAGAGACAAGTTAAATGCACTAAAACATCAAGAAATTCTCTCTACTTCTGCTTGCAAGTAGGTCTGGCATTAACAAATAAGATCTTAAAATTGAAAGTGACTTCCAGTGGATACAGAACTAACTATGATTTTTGTAATTAGGTCATATTTATGTGGTCATATTTGAGAAGATATTTATTTTTTCCTGTGCACCTTGATAAATAAAAGACTTAATCTGTCATCTATTTAACTTACTGACTCAGGTTAATGTTTATAGATACTCTCTAGCTGTATAACATTTATGAACATATGATAAGAAAACATTATTATACATACCTGGACGTGACTGTATTTGTTCTTGGCTGGGACACTTTGAACATTTGCCATCCAAACTATTGACAACAAATGTTAGATTTGCCACTTTGCTGTCAACATAATTTTCTATGTTGTTCATATTTACAAGATTCAGCTTCTCCAGGCGACCATGAAGTACATTGATCTCCTCTTTGGCATTCTTTAGCTCAGAGGACAGCTTGTTAACCTCACTCTCTAATTCTCTAACTCTGTTATCACCAACCTCTCCCGGGGCTCCTGTACTGGGTAACAACAGTCCGTTTCTGCCTGGGTCTCCGTTGTCATCAGCCTGCAGCTTGCAGTCTTGGCAAGATTTCTTTAGACTATTTACGATTTCCTTGAGGTTTTGGACTTCTTTGAACACCTCCTCGATCCTGCTGAATTGCTTCGGGAGCTGAATAGTCAAGGGGGGCAGGCTTACCTGGTAGGGGCACTCCCCTGCCTCTTCGCATTTCCCTCTGCTTTCTAGTCTCACTGGGCAGACATCCTTTGCTCTTTCATCTTTAATTTCCTCTGTTTCATTGTTTGCCACAACCAAAAAACCGTAAGTGGCAAGAACAGCTGAGCTCAGCCAGTACCAGTTAGCCAGCTTCATCTTTACAGTGCTGCTCACCCCAGCAGGGAGTGCGCAGGGCTGGAGCTGCTTTAATAGCGGCAGCTGCCTGAGTCAGGCTTTCTGTGTTCCCAGGAAAGGGTGGGAGCGTTTGCATCACAAGTTTTAGAAACGCACAGGAAGAGGAGATAGCCCTCATCAAACGCAGTTTGCCAAAAACTGTAACTTACTCTCAATAGAAATAATATGCATTGAAATTATTATAGTCAAATGTACACAGCCAACAAGATTCACTTTCATAATGTATTTTATGAAGTATAAGAAAAGTCTTGCATTTCTAAAGTAATTTGGTATACTTACGCTTGAAGTAAATAATTATACGTAACTTCACTGGAAAAACAGTTTTTAAAGATAAAAAGTAAGAGCTAGTTATCCAAACTGTCTATAGAACAGAAACGTTACTAAAATGAAAATGGTCCTTTTTCCTTCTTAGAATGGGGCATTGGGGAGCCTGTATTTTCTTCATGTTGGACTTTCAGGTGAAATCTTAAGCACTTTTAGAAGTTTCTAAGTGTAACAAAGTACAGCTTTCTGACTATTGCAGTTGACTTTTGCTTCATCTACTTGAAAAAGAGAAGAAAACTAGTGGAGAAAAAAGTGCTACTTTCTATTCCTTTGTCCGTAGCATAGTGTATATTAATGTCTAAATGTCTAAGACCCATTTAAAAGGACATAATTGTCTTTCATCAAAACCAGTAGCTGCCTCCTTTGCCCTTCGACATTTTGGTAATTGTACTGTCATCTTCCACAGCTGCTCAAATGTGAATCTTTGAGCTATGCCAGTGTCTGTCCTGAACTTCTCTTGCCTACAGCATCTTTGCCCTTTCTTTCTGCAGGTAGCCCTGGCAGGCGGGCCTCTTGCTTTCTGTCTCCACGCTGGTTCTTCTACCTGCTCTCTGGGCCACTTGGTATATCAGCTTGTTCAAAACATGTAGCATTAATGATAATAGTTTTCTAACTTTCTCTTCAGAGGCTGAAGGCAGGAAAGAGGAACAGCTTCAGTTAGAGAAACCACCTCCTTTTAATTTGTTTTGCATATTGACATCTCATAAGATTTCTTGTTTAAAAAGGGTTTTTTTGCTTTAAAAATAATTTCAAAATGACTGACATGGGCAAAAATCTAAATGTTTTATTGTATTACTTAAAACACTCTGTAGCCTATCTCATATTTATGTCTTTAACCTGATTTCCTATGACTTTTCTGTATATCCCCTTAATTTTAGCCAAATCCTATTCACATTCTCAAAATGTTGGCAGACTCTTTACTCTTCCATGACTGTATTTATTCTCGCATACTCAGGAGACCTGGCTTCCAACCCTAGATCTACCTCTGATCATGTAAACAGATCATCAGCTTTAATGAGCCTTTGTTCCTGTAGCTGTAGCGGAGGAATTTAGCTATTTCTTCCCTCATACAGGAATGATAGTCATGCAAACTTGGAGCACTTGGCTGGGCGTGGTGGCTCACGCCTGTAATCCCAACACATTGGGAGGCCGAGGCATGTGGATCACCTGAGATCAGGAGTTTGAGACCAACCTGGCCAACATGGTGAAACCCCATCTCTACTAAAAATACAAAAAAAAAAAAAAAAATTAGCCAGGTATGGTGGCGTGTGCCTGTAATCCCAGCTACTCGGGAGGCTGAGGCAGGAGAATCACTTGAACCCAGGAGGTGGAGGTTGCAGTGAGCCTAGATCGTACCACTGCACTCCAGCCTGGGCAATAAGAGTGAAACTCCATCCCCCAGCCCCACCCCTCACAAAAAAAGAAAAAAAAAACTTAGAGCACTTAAGAAAAAAAAAAATGCAGTGTATAAATGTAACATTCTTCCCAAATAAATTTGTCAAACATGTTCTACACACCTTATGACTTTTTTTCTTCCATCTTCATATAGCTCTTTCAAAAATTGTTTTTCTCTTCATTCCATTCAATATATCCAATTTTAGACAAAAACTTTTTAGCTAAAAATATCTATTTAATCCCCTAACTCCTAACCTCATTTCTTCTCACCTATTTTCAAGCTGTGACACTTCCCTGTTGGGAGGTAAGAAATAAATGAAACAATAGATAATTTTAAAAAGGAGACATGATGACAACATAGATAAAAAAAAAAACCATTTTGTAAAGTAGAAATATATAGGAATGATATTTAGTTCCTAGTCCTTAAGGATATTGTGAAATGTCCTTGACTGACTAGAGTATAAATCCCTGCATTTAGTTAGTAAAGTATTTATTAAGGATCTTCTGTATACTCAGCACTATGCTAGAGCATATATAAGATGCGTGCCACAGGCACTTTCATTCATTTATTCCTCATACATATATTGATATACTATATATTTATTCATCATAAATTGACTCTGCACCCTCTGCATGCAAAACCGCTATTCTAGGCACTTGGGCCACACTGGTGAACAAATCAGACAAAAATCCCTTTTTCCTTCTTAGAAAGGGGCATTAAAGACCTGGTATTTTCTTCACGTTGGACTTTGAAATGAAATCTTAAGTACTTTTTAAAGTTTCTAAACCTAACAGAAGTACAGCTTTTGGACTCTTGCAGTGGGCTTTTGGTTCATCTGTTTGAATCAGAAATGTGCGTGTCAAGCACTGCTGCTAATTTTTGGCTGGTCACACCCCAGTTAACCAAGGGCCAATGGCACAGTTTCCCCTAAAAAGCTTGGATGTGCTTTGAGAACTGGCTTCTGTCCCTTCAGAATGCATAAAAAATTCCCTGACATAAGGGTAGAGAACTCCTCTGTTGACCAGTTTCATTGACACTGACAGGTGACCTGCTAGGTTCTCGGTTTAGAAAGTCATTTGGCCACTGACTGGAAGGCAGATGCTAAGTGACTACTGCATGAAAAGAGGCTCAACTCCCCTAATGAGTGTATAACTCATGGAGGGCAGAGAGTGTTGTACCGCCTCTACGGTTCCTCCCTGCACTTGCAGATGAGCAAAGAAAGGGCTCAAAGCAATAAATGACTTGTCTGGTCATTTTACAGTTTTCAGTTTCTGTTTTAGAGTTTTTAAGAGACAGCTGGAATTTGAACCTGTATCTGATTCAAAGTTCATATCTTTTCTCTTTGCCACATTGCCACGTAGGAGGAAAGATAACATGGGGAGGGTATGTGAGAACTATGTGGAGAGCCTGTGCTTAAAGCAATGCTTAGATCAATGGAGAGCCACTAAAGGTTTTTGAGCAAGGAAAATAAAATACTTGCCCCCCCCCCCCCCAGGACTATTTTAGGAATGAATCTTCTGCTGCAAATCAGTGGGAAATGGCATTTTAGGTGAGAGCTAGTAGTGTGGTAGCAGGCACTAGATAAGAGGTGAACCAGTGTGGAGGCAGGAGGGGTAGGAAAGGAGATGGAGGCATTATTACCAAGGCATGATAGAAGCCATGGGATCTGATAAGTGGTGAGAACTGGAAAGAGAGGGACAACTCTGAAATTTGCCTCTGATTGCAGTTAAATGATAGCATGCTAATGACAGAGGTAGCAGTAGGTTGGGGAGAGTGTAGTAGTATTTCTGTTTTCAGTACACTGGGTTTTAAGCATTGACAAGCCACCAAATGCAAATATCAAGCAAAGAGTGGTGGCACATCTAGGTATGAATATTGACACAGAATAGATGTGGATGTTAATTTGAAATCACGGGAATCAAAAAGATGGTCAAAGAAATAGGATGAGAACCAGGAGAGTACAGGAGCGTCATGAATACCAGGAAAAGGGAGGGTTTCAAGCAGGACTAGGCCATCAGAAAATCGAAACCTGAAGAGCTGACTTGTCCTTCACTACTAGGAGTTCCCACCTCATGACTTGACCTTCTGCCTCTTCTCTCTTGCTGAAAGCCCTTCTGGATTCTCTCATGCTGAGTCTACCCTGACTCCTAGTATCGGCTGCTTATTCCTCATGGCGGTGTCAGAATCTTCCTTACTACCCTGAATCTGTCCTTGACCCAGCACTGACACATTACACTCACTTACAGACTTGTTTTTAGATTTAAGCAAATTATTTAACACCAATACATGGTGGGATTTTAAAGTAGCAAAATTTATTTCTATAAGCCGCATATGAAATTTTACTTTCATTAGTCTATATTCACATGTTCAGACTTCCTTTTTGCTTACACAAAGTATATTTAAGAGAAGATCTGCATTTTCTATAACTGGATCAGATTCCTAAAGTAAATTTTTGTTTCCCCTAATACAGTTTTTTTTTTCAAGGAAACCCTTTGTGTTTCTATTTGTACTAAAAGAAGAAAGTAAATTTAATGATAGTCGTATTTATAGTATTGAGAGCCTTTCACTGATATTAAGCTTATTAACATTTGTAGTTTCTGATTTATTAAACTCAGGAACCTTTAATTGTTCTTTAAAGAATATGTGCTTTTCTGATAAGAAAATTAAAACATTCACTTTTTAAACTACTTAATTTGAAATATCGACAGTAAATATTTATTTTAATATTCCTTAGAGGTCTTAGTCCTTGTTCATTATAAATTTCATGAAAAGAACTTAAAAAAAATGATTTCCACAACCCACAGAACAAGAATTGCCTGACTTTTGGTTAAAGCTAGAATAATAGTTGGTAGGTTCTGTGGTATGACTTGCAGGTACTTCATTCTGGCATAGATGAGAGATTCAGACTAGAAGTCTTCCAATATGGACCTACAATGAAAGATCTATTATGGGAATCCTTAAGATTTCTGGATCAACTGAAGTATAGGGCAGAAATATACAGATATTCACTATTAATGAAACTACAGAACATAGTTATCCAATATGCTAATGGCACAGGTCTTAAGTGGGAGTATCCAGGGCTTCTCAGATTGAAACTTTATGGAACTGGAATATTCCACAAGAGTCTCGGAAAGTTCATCAGTCAATACCTATCAACAAAATCAATTCTTATGTACTCCACACCAAGCCAGGGATCATGAAGGATCCAAAAGGTTAATGGATATGACATCTAATTTACTGTCATTTCCCTAAATTTCCAGAGACTTAGGAAGTTTCATATAGCCAGCCAGGTGCGGTAGCTCACACCTGTAATCCTAGCACTTTGGGAAACTGAAGTGGGAGGACCACTTGAGGCCAGAAATTCAAGACCAGCTTGGGCAACATAGTGAGACCCTGTCTCTACAAAAAATTTAAAAATTAGATGGGCATGCTGGCATGCGCCTACAGTCCCAGCTGCTCAGGAGGCTAAGGAGAAAGATCGCTTGAGCCCAGGAATTTTTACTTCTTGTATTTGAGATTGATCTTAAGCTTCTTCTTATAATCCCAAAACAAAACAAATAATAAAATCAAAGTAAAGAAATTAGGAGAATCAAATTGTGGCTTTCTATATCTTGCCTTCATTTCTCATATTCATGGTAGTTGTTTCCTATAAAGTCATTGCGAATACTGAATCAGCAAATACTGAACCATTGCTCCTAAGATTAGGTTTCTAAGAGCCTCTGGTCACATCATTTTTGTTAACCAATCAATATATAACCTTATTTTAAGTGTGTTTCTGTTTAAAGACACCCTATTTAATATATATTATTTATTCATTAATGCAGAACTCATGGCCAGCAGAACTATAATTCAAACCTGAAAGAAGTTTATCTAATATATGTGTTTTCTCCGTAAGACACATCACAGCCATCTGGAGCTTAAGAACTTGGGCATGCTGGCTCAGGCCTGTAATCCCAACATTTTGGAAGGCTGAGGTGGGTGAATCACTTGAGCTCAGGAGTTTGAGACCTGTCTGAGCAACATGGTGAAACCCCATCTCTACCAAAAATACAAAAAATTAGCCAAGCATGATGGTGCACACCTGTGGTCCCAGCTACTCGGCAGGCTGAAGCAGGAAGATCACTTGAGCCCAGGAGGCAGAGGTTGCGTGAGCTAAGATCATGCCACTGCACTCCAGCCTGGGCAATACAGTCAGACCCTGTCCCAAAAACAGACAAACACAACAACAACAAAAACCCTCTAGGTAGCACTTCAACACTATGCTCAGGGGCCATTTTATTTTATTATTTCTTAAAATGTCTTTTCTTTCAGTCACATTCTCCAGATGAGTCAGAGGCCATTTTAAACAGCGAAATCACCAAGAAAAAGCACAAGAATGTGAAAAACATGGCACTAATTAAATAGACTGCAAAGTGGATACCAGTTTACAGTATGAGATCTAAAAGAAGGCAGAAAGTTGCCTTCTTTGACTTCAGCTGGGTATATATGTATTTGGCAAATCAACATATTTACCACGCTACGCATGTCCATAGATGATCCACAGGTCCCACAAGTATTAATTTTGGGGTTACAAATAAATTTTAGAGAGTAGGCAAATCACAAAGACAAGATCTATGAATAATGAGGATTGCCCATATATTGTTACAAAATCCAGGGCTTTAAATTCTTGAAACTGCCTATGTATTTATTCTAATATGTATAATTTGATTTTACCTGCTTATCACTTGTGTTTTTGGGGGGTTTTGTTTATCTGTCTTTCTTTGGCATTTTAAAATAATATATAGGCAGGCACAGTAGCTCACACCTGTAATTCCAACACTTTGGGAGGCCAAGGCAGGCAGATCACTTGAGGTCAGGAGTTCAACCAGCCCGGCCAATGTGGTGAAATCCCATCTCTACTAAAAATACAAAAATTAGCCAGGTGTGGTGGTGTGTGTCTGTAATGCATATAATGGTGTGTGCCTCAGCTACATGGGAGGCTGAGGCAGGAAAATCGCTTGAACCCAAGAGGTGGGGGTTGCAGTGAGCTGAGATTGCACCACTGCACTCCAGCTTGGGTGACAAAGCGAAACTCTGTCTCCAAAAAAGAAACATACATATATATATATATATATATATATACACACACACACACACACATACATATACACACATGAATTTATATAATATATAACCTATTACATATTTATATATTGTATGTTATATGTCATGCCATATAGAACATTGTGAAATATGTAATCCATTAAATATAAATTTAATAATAATGTATAGCTTAGAAATTTGTTTTAATATTTCAATTTATTCATAATAATAGTGTTGCTTAAACAATTAAACTATTATGGTAAAGTGAAAATATTAAACTACTAATTCCCCACTAACTAAATAATTTCATGCCAAATGCATGTCTTTTAAATGCTGGCCATTGCATTCTTTGAAATTCTTTTTTTTAAAGATTCTTAACTTTATCTTATGAGATATAGATGTCGTCATGTGAACTCGCAATAAATGTTAATTGAAAGGCCATTTCCACTGTGCTGGTAACTAAAAATTTATTAAATGGAGTAAATGTTGTAGTTTTAACAGTTAACATTGAAATACATGGGTATCTCCTCATCTAAGTTCTTCTAAGGAAGTCTTTTAAAACATGATTGAAAGTATAGCATTCTGAGGTATAGCATTATCTTATTTATTTTTTCTTGTTCTACTTCTAGTTTGATATTTTGTATGATTAAAGACATTTTCTGTTATTTGCAGTGAAAACTTTTCAGGGTGGAAAAAACGACTTCATGATTATTATCAACAGATGTAAAATTGCTTGGCCCTTAGTTTATTTTAAACTACCCACCATTATTTGACACAGCTTTTTCTGCTTGTGTATTTAACACAAAATTATTTTGATAGTGTTTATTTGTAGGCAGTATTTTGACAATTGATACAAATTTCAGCTGCAACAATTGCTATTGCACAAGAAAACAGCAAAATAGACACAAATTGTGTCAGTCATATATAAATATAGATTTAAAATAAATCATTTATTACTATGATCATCTCAAAAAATAGAAAGATATAATAGAATGAAAAGAGCCTTAGGGTGGTAGTCATTGAATATATGTTCTTAGTGAAGAGCCTTCCAGTAACTTTCTTGCCACTGAACTAAGCCTTAACAAGCTAGGCCTTAAGTTTCTTATCTCTAATATGAGATGGTCAGATTAGAGATCTGTAAGGTCCTTTTCAGGTGTAACATTTTATGATTCTAAATGTTATTAATTAGAAGCAATATAATAGCAAAGCAGATCATCAAGATATAAACATAAATTCAGACTGTACTTTAAATCATTCTACTAGAAAATGTACAGATCTACCTCTTTTTAGGTATTCATTGATTCAACAAACACTTACTTTGCATTTATTGGACTAGGCTGTATACTAGCCCTGGGAATAACAAGGGTGAAAAACGGACACATCCTTGACTTTGTGGTGCTTTAAGTTGTAGATGAATGCATTTCAAGCCAGACCCAGCCTTGGGCACAGGCAACATGTTTGGCCTTATGCAGGGTTCAGTAAGGACACCTTTTCTGAACCCCTCAATTCCCTTTCACTTTGCCACATCATTAGGTTCTCCTCTTGATAACTCCAAAATGGACACTTTTAGAGTCATTAATTCCAAATTAGACCACAAAGGTGGCACAGTATCTACAGTCATGAGTCTATTAATGACAGGAATACGTTCTGAGAGATGCAATATTAGGCAATTTCTCTGTTGTGCTAATATCATAGAGTACACTTAAACCTAGATGGTATAGCCTACTACACATGTAGGCTATGTGGTATAGCCTATTGCTCCTAGGCTACAAATCTGTACAGTGTGCTAGCATGTTACTGTACTGAATACTGTATACAACTGTAACACAATGGTATTTGTGTATCTAAAAAAAGGCACAGTAAAAATATGATATTATAATCTTATGGCACCACCATCCTATATGTGGTTCACTGTTGACCAAAACATCTTTCTGCAGCACATGACTATAACTACTGCTATGTTAGATATATGCTGCCTGGGCAGAGAAGAGAGCTTCCTGTTTCTGTCCTTCATTCTGTTTCTCTTTGTCTTTTAACCTACTTCCCTAACTACTGCCACTCCAAAATCTCCCATATACAAATCAGAAAAATGAAGGGTCTCACTCTGTCACCCAGGCTGGAATGCAGTAGCATGATCACAGCAGCTCCCTGTTGCCTTAACCTCCTGGGCTCCAACAATCCTCCCACCTCAGCTTCCCAAGTAGCTGGCACTGCAGGCATATGCTACCATGCCCAGCTAATCTTTTTAAGAGATGGGGTCTCATTATGTTGCCCAGGCTAGTCTAGAACTCTTGGGCTGAAGGAATCCTCCTGCCTTACCTCCCAAAGTGCTGGGATTACAGGCATGATATCTGGGCAGGGACACAAAGCCAAACCACATCATTTCACCTCCGGCCCCTCCCAAATCTCATGTCTTTCTCACATTTCAAAACACAATTCTGCCATCCCAACAGTTCCCCAAAGTCCTTAACTCATTCCAACATTAACTCAAAAGTCCAAATTCAAAGACCCATCTGAGACAAGGCAAGTTCCTTCCACCTATGAGCCTGTGAAATAAAGAACAAGCTAGTTACTTCCAAGATACATGGGAGCACAGGCGTTGAGTAAATACACCCATTCCAAGAAGCAGAAATCAGCCAAAACAAAGTAGGTACAGGCCCCATGCAAATCCAAAACCCAGCAGGGCAGTCATTACATTTTAAAGCTCCAAAAGAATCTCCTTTGACTTCATGTCTCACATCCAAGCTACGCTGACACAGGGGTGGGCTCTCAAGGCCTTGGGCAGCTCCACCCCTGTGGCTCTGCAGAGTACAGCCCCTGCACCTGCTTTCATGGGCTGGCATTGATTGCCTGTGGCGTTTCCAGGTGCACGGTGCAAGCTGTTGGTGGATCTATCATTCTGGGGCCTGGAGGACGATGGCCCTCTTCTCACAGCTCCACTAGGCAGTGCTCCAGTGGGGACTCTGTGTGGAGGTTCCAACCCTACATTTTTGCCCTGAACTGCCATAGTAGAGGTTCTCCATGAGGGCTCCACCCTGGCATCAGACTTCTGCCTGGACATCCGGGCATTTCCGTACATCCCTTGAAAGCTAGGCAGAGGCTCCAAAACCTCAACTCTTGCCCTCTGCACACCCACAGGCTCAACACCACATGGAAGCCATCAAGGCTTGGGGCTTGTACCCTCTGAAACAACAGCCCATTCTGTACCTTGACCCCTTTTAGCCATGGCTGGAGCTGGAGCAGCTGGGACACAGGGTGCCATGTCTCAAGGCTGCACAGAGCAGTGGGGCCCTAGGCCTGGCCCACAAAACCATTTTTCCCTCCTAGGCCTCCAGGCCTGTGATGAGAGGGGCTGCCGTGAAGATCTGTAAAATGCCCTTGGAGACATTTTCTTCATTGTCCTGACTGTTAACATTCAGCTCCTCTTATGCAAATTCTCACAGCTGGCTTTAATTTCTCCCCACAAACTGGATTTTTCTTTTCTACCACATAGTCAGCCTGCAAATTTTCTAAACCTTTATGCTCTTCTTCCCTTTTAAATATAAGTTCCAATTTCAGATAATCTCTTTGTGTACACATATGAGTGTATGCTGTTAGAAGCAGCCAGGGAACATCTTACATGTTTTGCTGCTTAGAAGTTTCTTCCACCAGATACCCTAAATCATCTCTCTCAAGTTCAAAATTCCACAGATCCCTAGAGCAGGGGCACAATGCCACCAGTCTCTTTGCTAAACCATAGCAAGAGTGACCTTTATTTCAGTTCCCAATAAGTTCTTCATCTCTATCTGAGATCTCTGCAGCCTGGATTTCACTGTCCATATCACTATCAGCATTTTGATCACAACCATTCAACAAGTCTATAGGAAGTTCCAAACTTTTCCTCATCTTCCTATCTTCTTCTAAACCCTCCAAACTGTTCCAACCTCTGCCCATTACCCAGTTCCAAAGCTGCTTCCACATTTTTACTTAACTTTATAGAAATGCCCCACTTCTCTGGTACCAATTTTCTGTATTAGTCCATTCTCACATTGCTATGAAGAACTACCTGAGACTGGGTAATTTATAAAGAAAAGAGATTTAATTGGCTCATAGTTCCACAGGCTGTACAGGAAACATGGGTAGGGAGGCCTCAGGAAGCTTACAATTATGACAGAAGGCAAAGGGGAAGCCAGCATGTCCTATATGGCTGGGGCAGGAGGGAGAGAGTGTGAAAGGGGAGGTGCTACACACTTCCAAACAACCAGATCTCATGAGAACTCACTATCATGAGAACAGCAAGGGGGATATCTGACCCCTAATGCAACCAGCTCCCACCAGGTCCCTCTCCCAACAGTGGGGATTACAATTCAGCATGAGATTTGGTCAGGGACACAATGCCAAACTATATCAATCTTGTAATAGTTTTTAATCTTTTAAAATTGTGAAGTATATTAGATATACATTAGGGTATCTATAAATGTATAATTCAGACCAAATACCCAAGTAACCACCACCCAGGTCAAAAAATAAAACATTAGCTCTCAGTAATTCCTCTTATCCCCCTTCACCCCCTCTAACATAGCGACTATCCTAACTTTTATTATCATTTTTTTCTTGTGGTTCTTCATAGTTTTACCACCTAAGCATGAATCTCTAAACACCTTCCTTTTGCTGTGCCTGTTTTTTAAACTTGATGTAAATAGAATCATACAAAATGTATTTTTTGTGTCTGGATTATTTAACTCAATGTTATATTTGTAAGAACCATTGATATTATTGCATGTATTTTTCTATTGTATGTTTAGTCCTCTATCTGTTGTATTTCCAATTGACATTAGGATTGTTTCCAGTTTTCAACTATTAGATATAATGCTACTTGAGCATTCTTGTACATGTCTCTCCATATACTTGTACATGCACCTTGAAGGGTTATTCACCAAGAAATGGAATTGCTTTGTTACAGGGTTTGTGCTGCTTCTATTTTATTTTTTTTATTTTTATTTATTTATTTATTTATTTTGAGACAGAGTCTCACTCTGTCACCCAGGCTGGAGTGCAGTGGCGTGATCTCAGCTCACTGTAACCTCCACCTCCTGGATTCAAATGATTCTCCTGCCTCAGCCTCCTGAGTAGCTGGGATTACAGGCGTGCTTTTCCATGCCTGGCTAATTTTTTTATCTTTAGTAGAGATGGGGTTTCACCATGTTGGCCAGTCTGGTCTTGAACTCCTGACCTCAAGTGATCGGCCCACCCCAGCCTCTCAAAGTGCTGAGATTACAGGTGTAAGCTGCCGCATCCAGCCTATTTACTCTTTTAAACACTAACTTCAAACAAATAGCCAATGTCATGCTTAATTGTGAAACTCCAGGAGTGTTCCCATTAAAATCAGAAATAAGGAAAGGGTGCCTGATATGAGCATGATCATTGCATATAATTCACTTTCAAAAAATGAATTATATGCAATGCACTTAGACAGAAAATGATGCATACATATGGGAAAGAACAAATGACCATTATCTGTAGCTGACATAAATGCCTACATAAAAAATACAAAATAATATTATAGTACAGTAAGGTGACTATTTTCAAAATAAATATACAAATACATAGGTTTCCTATTTAATAATAAGTTCAATACATATTGAAGAAAAATATATAGCTTTCCTATTATAATAAGAATAAGCTTTCCTATTTAATAAGAATAACAAGTTCAAAAACATATTGAAGGCTGGGCATGGTGGCTCATGCCTGTAATCCCAGCACTTTAGGAGGCCGAGGTGGGCGGATCACGAGGTCAGGAGATCGAGACCATCCCGGCTAACATGGTGAAACCCTGTCTCTACTAAAAATACAAAAAAACAGCCGAGTGTGGTGGCGTGCACCTGTAGTCCCAGCTACTTCAGAGGCTGAGGCAAGAGAATGGCATGAACCCAGGAGGCGGAGCATGCAGTGAGCCGAGATCACGCCACTGCACTCCAGCCTGGGTGACAGAGCAAGACTCCGTCTCAAAAAAAAAAAAAAAAAAAAATTGAAGAAAAAAATCCCATTCACAGTGATATGTCTCAAATAAATAAACAAATAATAAATAAATAAACAAAAAAGAAAAGAGTAAATTATTCATGGTTATTGGCTAAGCCTGTAAGTGTCATTAGCAGATTCTAGCCTACATGGCAAGAGGTAAGGTAATGTGGTAATGTAATAGAAAATTTTTTTTAAGAAGCTGGGCCATTTGTCCCATAAATTTTTCCATAATCTGGATTTTGCTTAATAGTAAGCCTGTATTTCCATTATAATCATAGAGCCTTAGTGCATAAATGTTTTATCCAGGTCACATTAATTTTTTTTTTTTTTTTTTTTGCCAAGGCTACTTTCTAGGTGGTGCCATCAACTTTGTTTTTTGTTGTTGTTCAAGTTTTTATTAAATTTTTTATTGTCACATGTACATATTTATGGTTTACATAGTGATGGCTTTTTGTGTGGTGGTGGTGGTGGTTTGAGGCAAGATCTCACTTGGTCACCCAGGCTGGAGTGCAGTGGCGCAATTACAGCTCACTGCAGCCTTGACTTCCTGGGCTCAAGCATCCTCCCACCTCAGCCTCCCGAGTAGCTGAGTCCACAGGTGTGCACCACTATGCTTGACTAATTTTTTTTTAACTTTTAGTAGAATCAAGGTCTCACCACATTTCCCAGGCTGGTCTTAAATTCCTGATTTCAATCAATTCTCCCACCTCAGCCTCCCAAAATACTGGGATTACAGACATGAGCCACCTTGCTCTACCCATAGTGATGTTTTGATACTTATAATGTATAGTAATCAGATCGGGTTAATTAGCATAGCTGTCATTTCAAACATTTATCATTTCTTTTTAATTATTATTTTAAATTCAGAGGTTATATGTACAGGTTTGCTACACAGGTATACTGCATAATGTTGGGTTTGGCTTTCTCTTGAACCCATCACATAAATAGTGAATATAGTACCCAGTAGGCAGTTTTTAAACCCTCACTGCCCTCCCTCCCATTCTGAAGTCCCCAGTGTCTATTGTTTCCATCTTTATGTCCATGTGTACCTATTGTTTAGCTCCCACTTATAAGTTAGAAAATGAATACTTTGATTTTGTTTCTGCATTCATTCACCTAGGATAATGGCCTCCAGCTGTATTCATGTTGCTGCAAAGGACATGATTTCATTCTTTTTTATGACTGCATAGTATTCCATGGTGTATATGTATCACATTTTCTTTATCTAATCCTAATGGATGGACACTTAGGTTGATTCCATGACTGCTATGGTGAATAGTGCTGCAATAAATATAAGAGTGCAGGTGTCTTTTTGATAGAATGATTTCTTTTCCTTTGAGAATCCCAGCAGTGGGAGTGCTGGGTCAAATGGTGGTTCTATTTTTAGTTCTTTGAAAAATTTCCATGCTGTTTTCCACAGGGGCTGAACTAATTTACATTCCAACCAGCAGCGTATAAGGATTCCTTTTTTTCCACATCCTTGCCAACATATTATATTTTGACTTTTTAATAATAGCCATTCTGATTGGTGTGAGATGGTATCCCATTGTGGTTTTCATTTGCATTTATCTGATGATGACAAGCATTTTTTCATATGATTGTTTACTCATATGTCTTCTTTTGGGAAGTGTCTGTTCATGTCCTTTGCCCACCTTTTAATGAGGTTATTTGTTTTTTGCTTGTTGATTTAAGTTCCTTATAGATTCTGGATATTTGTCCTTTGTCAGCCTGATAGTTAGCAAATATTTTCTCCCATTCTGTAGATTGTCTGTTTGCTCCATTGATTGTTTCTTTGCTGTGCTGAATCTCTTTAATTAAATTTCATTTGTCAATTTTTGTTGTTGTTGCATTTGCTTTTGAGGTCTTAGTCATAAATTCTTTTTCTAGTCTAATGTTTAAAAGTTTTCTTTTAGGATTTATATAGTTTGAGGTCTTACATTCAAGTCTTTAATCCCTCTTGAGTTAATTTTTATATGTGGTGAGAGCCAGGGGTACCGTTTCATTCTTCTGAATATAGCTAGCCACTTTTTCCAGTACCATTTTTTTGAGTAGGACGTCCTTTCCCAATTGTTTCTTTTTGTCAGCTTTGTTGGAGATCAGTTGGTTGTAGTATATGGCTTTATTTCTGAGTTCTCTGTTCTGTTCCATCGATCTGTGTGTCTATTTTTGCACCAGTACCGTGCTATTTTGGTTACTACAGCCTTGTAGTATAGTTTGAATTCACAAAATGGGATGCCTCTTGGTTGCATGAACTTTCATCAGGAGGCACATGATATTGGTTGTCTCCCTTTTAGTGATGTTACCTGCTATTAATAATACTTGCCTGGGTCTATTAATTCATTAGGAATTTTAAATGACAATATTATAATACTATTATTTTCTCTTCACTTATTTATTAGAATCCTTCTAAAAAGAGAAGCTTCCACTCAGTTATTTGGTTACCCTGCTGTAGAGGCATGATAAATACTTGATTTTCAGGTTTTCAAAATGATTAATTGATTCCCCAGTATCCTTCAAAGGTGAGAGGTGTTGTGGGGTGTTTTTATTTTTTTGGTGTTTTTTTTTTTTTGAAGTATTACTGTGAACTCATTTACTTAAACATAGTTATTCCCATCCTTTATAGTTGTTAGCTCATTGCCAGTCCTCCTGGCCCATTTTTTGGGTAGTGGGAGCCTTTTGACATGACTCCAAATCCCTTTGACATGATTCTAGTAGTCTTGGGTAGATTTTTTGCTTTTCTGATATGACAGAAGCATTGGAGGCTCATTTGTTTCCATGCTCAAAACTTGGAATCAGTCATTTCTCCAAAGGAGCCTCCCCTTTTTCTTTAAGTGGGAAATGGTATTTAGAGACTAGAATCTTGGAGTAAGAGGTACTCATTGCTGCTAGGTTAATCTTTGTTTCTATGCCTTTTTAATGGACAGAACTAGGAAAGATAGATTATGTATATATAAAATACATCATAATATTGCCAATTCAAAGTCAATAATTACACAGGGAATTTATTTAACCTCTTCAGTCTTATAGATGTCTCTTTTCTCCACATCAAAATCCTGATTTTCAATGACATTATGTAATTATTCATTGACTTTATCCCACAGTTTACACATAACTGTTTCAGAATAACACTACTACCAACAATGTGATTATAAAAAAAATAGTTGCAGGTCTTTTTGTCCTTAGGGCAAAATCTACTTAGGATTCCTATTCAAATTGGAATGGTTCCTTCCCATGAAATTATATTTTGATACATAGTTATATTCAATTGGTTTATTTTTTTCAAATTCTAATAATTGCTTCTTAATTTAATAAAGTACTACATTGTTAAAGTATATTTAAAGAATTCTAGCTTGTATCCCTAACCCCCCCACCTTGTTTCCTCCCTTTTCCTGTAACAACTCATTTTAAGGTTTATCCTTTCTTTATATTTATAAATAGTCTTTTTTCAATTCATAGTATAGCTTCTGTAATTTAGGAAGATTTGTGCTTTTGTTATAATGGTGATTTTTATATTCATACCATTATATAATGCCTTTGTCCCCTCTTTTTTGTAATTTTGACCATTATCTCTTAGTTTTATACAGTAAGTTATAGTGAAATTAGCTTCTTCCCCCTCCATTCCTCACAGCATTAATTCGACATAGTATTCTTCTTTGGATACTGTCCGCCCCCAGATGGTGTTTTATTCCTGCCAACCTGGACTACCTAAAGTTTTCTAAATGCGCTTCACACTGCCTCTATGCCATCAGCAAGATTATGTTATTCATTTATAAAAAATAGTTACTGATTCACTAACAGAATCAAGTCCCTACAAAGCCTCAGGCCAGCTTTGTGACCTTGCTCAAGTTTCTCAACCATCTTGAGTTTGGGAATATAGTGGTGAAAAAAAGATGGAAATGGACCCCTCTTAATGGAATTGTCAGTCTTCCATCTCACCAGAAGGAAGAATTATGCAATTTCTCAAGTTTATTTTTGTCTGGATAACTCCTCTCTTAGAATCCCTAGTCTGCTGGTGCTTAACTTGCCTGGAAATAATTTTCTCATTTGTCTACATTACTGGATGTTTACTTCCTATTTGGCTCAAACCTTTGCTAAAATAATTGCTGGGAAAAGTTGTTCAGAATTTGTCTGCATTTCCCTTACAAATTATAATTTGCTTTTTTGTCAAAGCTCATAAAGTACAGTGCCAAAGGGATCATTAACTCCAAGGATAACATATGCAGATAAGAGAAAGGTTTTCATGTTAACTGAATGTTTCCTGTTTTGCAGCCCTAACAACATTTAGCTGACCAACACATTTTCTCACAGTGTCTTCATAATCTTTTTAACTTTTTTTTGTTCTACAGTGTGTGTTTTATTGTATTGAAAGTACATATTAATATCCAAGTAGCAAAATATTTTACTATAATTTTAAAATATTTTGATTAGTGAACAAAGGATCAGATTCATGTTTATATGATCTTTTCATTAAATTATCAAAGGTTAATATGGAAACAGAGTAAGAAAATCTCTAGAATTTTAAAGTATTAAGTTCTAAACCTCAAATGATACAGTCATATAACGTTATGCTCAGGTAGGTACAGAGATGGGCAAGAGAGACAGACACAATCCCAAGGAATAAGACATTCCAAAAAGCTTGTGCAACAGTTTTAGAACCAGGGAGCCATTCTTTCAACCAGGTGAATGACATTTTCTACACACACACACACACACACATATGTATATATATGTGTGTATGTATATGCACATATGTATACATATATATAAAATAGAAATTCAGCTACATATTTATGTTTTAGAAATAGAGCCATGACATTATAAATATATGTGAAAATATATACATATATGTGGAAAATGTCAGTCAACTACAACTTCAAAATATTTTCTACATATATATCCCTGTTAACTATATATACATATATATATATAGAGAGAGAGAGAGAGAGTTATATAAATATATAGTTCTATATGGGTGTAGTCATGTGTCACTTAAGAAGGATATGTTCTGAGAAAAACATTGTTAGACTATTTAATCATTGCGCAAACATCATAGAGTGTACTTACACAAACCTAGATGGTATAGCCTACTATACACTTAGGCTATATGGTGTAGCCTATAGCTCCTAGGCTACAAGTCTGTACAGCATGTTACTGTGCTGATATTATATGCAATTGTGATACAATGGCAAGTATTTAAGTATCTAAATGTATCTAAACATAGAAAAGGTACAGTAAAAATATAATAGAAAAGAAAAAGACATACCTATATAGGGCACTTACTGTGAATGGAGCTTGCAGGACTGGAAGTTGCTCAGAGTGAGTCAGTGAGTGGTGAGTGAATGTGAAGGCCTAGGACATTACTGTACTGTGCTATAGTTTTATGCAACTGTCAGTATAATAAGTTTGTTTACACCAACATCGCTACAACCACATGACCAATGTGTTGTGCTACAATGTCAGGACAACTACACTGTCAGTAAGCAATAGGAATTTTTCAGCTCCATTATAATCTTATGGAACCATCATTGCATATGTGGTCCATCATTGACTGAAATGTCATTTTGCAGCACATGACTGTATGTAGGTATGTGTGTATATTTATATACCTATATATGAATTATAACCTTTGTAATTTATAAGGTTATAATTTATATATAAATTTTATATATTAAATATTATATGCAATAGATACATATGTATGTATATATAAATTATAAAGCAAGGTCCCAATCTCAAATGCCCACAAGGCCCATAAATATATCATGAGTGAGTCAAATAGTTGTCTTGGTATGTGTGCACACATTGAACGAATGGGGCAGACTGTGCCCCTTTTTAAAAGGGTACTCTTATGGTAGCTCTGAAAGTCATGCTGCATTTGCAACAGTGAATCCAGTGGAATATGAATCCAGTGTCATCAAGCATAATAATTTTTGAAGAAAAGTGGAAAACTCAGATTTTTATGGTAAAATCTACCAATTCTCTTTTTTTTTTTTTTGGCAGGGTCTCACTCTGTCACCCAGGTGGCACAATCACAACTCACTGCAGCCTCCATCTCCCAGGCTCAAGTGATCCTCCTATGTCAGCCTTCTAAATAACTGCCATTTTTTTTTATTTTTTGTAGAGATGGGGGTCTCACTATGTTGCCTAGGCTGGTCCCTAACTCCTGGGCTCAAGTGATCCTGCCTCCTCAGCCTCCCAATGAGCTGGGATTATAGACATGAGCCACCATGCCTGGCCCCAATTTTTGAGTGTTGCCAATGAATTCTCTATTTTTTAAAAAAACTTGTGCACACTAAAAGCACCTGCAGAGTGTATTTATACTGTTGATTGTTAATTTGCAATCTGTGGCATGAAATATACTACTACAACATGAATAAGGTCTATCTTACATATTTTAAGAGATTTAAGTACTATCTTACCTTCTTTTTCTGATGTAGAAATCTATAGAAATTGTTTATATATCCTTAAACTGTTATAAACTATCAGTAACAACTGGAAATGTGACATTTCCATGAAATGAGGCAATTTATGTTTGCCAGAAAACACATTAAAATATTTTGTAATGGTCAATTTTGTGAACTAGAAACAGCTGTGTTTGGTGAACTGTTTGTTAGAATCTATTTTTTAAACTTAAAAAAGTTTTCCTTCTACTTTGCTTAGGTATCAAAGTTTGGTATCAAATGAAAAATTTAAAATTATACTTTGTTATGTATGGTTCTATCTGCTTTTTAAAAAACCAAGATAAGCTGAAGAACTGTGTCTCTAAATATCATACAAAACAGTTTTCTTGGAAAACTGTTAATTTCTGAATATTCCCACCCTTTTCCAAGGAAATTCCGGGATAATCTGTTATGAAATTATGATGGGTAATAGCTATTTCTGTTACAAGTCAATTATAGCATTTACAGAGATTTATAAGGTTGCTAACTGGTTCACATTAGTACATAAACTAAAAGATTCTGAGGCTCTAACTTTAGAACTTTTAAATGTAACACTTTATTATCGGGGGAACCAGCCCCCAGTATTTCAATGTAGGTTCTTTTCTATTTTCCCTAAGTGTCAGCTGGTCTGAGAAATAAACAGAAAGAGTACAAAAGAAAGAAATTTTACAGTTGGGTCTCCGGGGGTGACATCACATGTCGGCAAGTTCTGTGATGCCCCCTGAGCCGCAAAACCAGCAAAAAGAGGAGGGAGTGTATGAATAGGGTGTGGGTCACAGAGATCACATGCTTCAAAGGTAATAAAATATCAAAGGGCAGAGAGGCAGATTGAGATCACAAGGGCAGAGAGGCAGAGAGAGATCACAAGTCCAGGGCGAAACTAGAATTACTGATGAAGGTCCATGTCCTGCTGGGCACACATTGTCATTGATAAACATCTTAACAGGAAACAGGGTTCAAGAGCAGACAACTGGTCTGACTAGAATTCACCAGGCTGGAATTTCCTAACCCTAGCAAGCCTGGGGCGCTGCAGGAGACCAGGGCCTATTTCATCCCGTATCTACAACTGCATAAGACAGACACTCCCAGAGCAGCCATTTTAGAGGCTTCCCCCGGGAATGCATTTATTTTCCCAGGGCTGTTCCTCGCTGAGAAAAAGAATTCAGTGATAATTCTCCTATTCGCTTTTGCAAGAAGAGAAATATGACTCTTCTGCCTGGCCCCGCAGGCAGTCAGGCCTTATGGTTGTCTTCCTTGTTCCCTGAAAATCACTGTTATCCTATTCTTTTAGGATGCCCAGATTTCGTATTGTTCAAACACACATGTTTTACAAACAATTTGTACAGATAATGCAATCATCACAGGGTCCTGAGGTGACATACATCCTCAGCTTACGAAGATGACGGGATTAAGAGATTAAAGTAAAGACAGGCATAGGAAATTATAAGAGTATTGATTGGGGAATTGATAAATGTCCATGACATCTTCACAATTTATATTCTTCTGCTGTGGCTTCAGCCAGTCCCTCTGTTAGGGGTCCCTGACTTCCTGCAACACTTTATAATACCCATTTAGTTATTTTTAAACTTCTATTCTTTTGCTCACCAAAAAGTGTTTGTTAGGATTCAAATACTCAGGTGTTGAATTTTCTGCTTTACTCAGGGATTTGAATCTCTTTGATACTTAAATTTGGCCCACCAATCTACTGAAGTGATTTCTGTTGAGTAACTATAGGCTGAGTTGTGTGTTGTTGGAGGCGGATCACATTGAGTTGCAGAATGTATTAGTCCAGTTTCCATTGCTGTAAGGAAATACCTGAGACTGGGTAACTTACAAAGAAAAGAGGTTTAATTGGCTCATGGTTCCACAGGCTGTACAGGAAGCATGGAGGCATCTGCTTCTGGGAAGACCTCAGGGAGCTTTTACTCATGGCGGAAGGCAAAGCAGGAGCAGGCATCTTACCAGGCAGGAACACAAGCAAGAGAGAGGAGAGGGAGGTGCTACACAGTTTAAACCAACCAGATCTCATGAGAACTCTATCACGAGACAGCACCAAGGGGATAGTGCTATACCATTCATAAAGGATCCACCCCCATGATCCAGTCACCTCCCATCAGACTCCACCTCCAACACTGGGTATTACAATTCAACATGAGATTTTTGACAGGGACACAGATCCAGACCACATCATTGACTTTGCCTGGATAGCAGTGTCAGGAGGAAATGTTTGACAAGTTTTCAATTCAAAGGCTTTTAATATCCATTCCAAACTGTATAGCAAGTGTGTATTCTACATACAGTCAACCAGTCCATATGACCCATGATAAATATCAAATTTATGTTCTTTTTCCTTCATACACAGGCATGCACATATACACACTGTTTAATCTGCTGGTGTTAGTTCTATGAGTGGCCCAAATCACATGTGGATGTGGAAAGGGAACACCACACATTGAGATTTCCTTTGGTGATATGCTCAACCCTTCATGCTGCACCCCCACCCTGATACATAGCCATAGAGTCTTCAGGCATGTGCTGAGCACCTGGTGTGTGACATGTACCGTGCAGGGTTCTTAGGACACTAGAATGATCCCTGGCTTCAGCGCACTTCCCATCTGATGGACAGACATATGAGCATGATTTCAACACATAAAAATAAGTGCTCTCATGGAGAAATGCATGAGAGATGGTGGCCTGATTCATTCAACATTTTTGAGAACCTGAGTGTCAGGCAGTGTTCTAGATGCTCAGGATCTATCAAGTGAACAAAAGAGCCAAAGATATTCACCCAAAACGAAACACTTGCAGAAAACATAAAAGGGCTCATACCTGAGTTCTGAGGTTTGCCCTGTATTTACATGACAAATGAGAATTTCAGCGAACAAAACTGAATGGCTTCTATACACTAGCAATAAAATGAGCCAAAAAATGAAATTGAGGGGAAGATTTCATTTGCAACAGAATCAAAAAGAATAAAGTACTTGGGAAATAATTTAACAGAGTAGACTTGTCTAAACATGCGGCCAGGATTTCAAGCCCCCTTACCAGTGAATTAGCAAGAGTGGAACTCAAACATCCTTATATTCTGCTCCCAAGTTCCATTTTATGGTATCAGTGGGGAAGTTCAAGTTGCAATTTTGAGTTCTTGTTCTTTTTTAAAGACTACTTCTGTGAGTAGCCGTGAAAGGCTTCACTGTTCATCACAATCTGCCTGGCAGAAGGGGAAGTGAAGGGCACTCGGGGATGCCTCCATGCTAAATGCACTATTACTGATGAATACTGGAAAGAACGCTGGGTGAAACAGCATCTTCAAAACATGAAGGTGGGGCACCAGAGGTCCCAGACTTTGTTGTGGGGAGCACCTCTGTCCCCACACTGAAGTCTTGCAGCCTAGAGCTGGGGTATACTGACAGACAGCTAAGAAGGGAGGTGATCTCAGCACATAAAAGGGGGCCTGAAAGGTGGGTGTCCACTACTTGGCAGCATAGAAAGCAGCCAAACCCAGGGATCCAGCCCACTGTTCTCTGGGCTCACCCACATTTACAATGACAATCCCTTAGGACAAGGTCAGGGAAGTGGCTTTTGTCTGTGATCAACAAAGTGAGGTAACAAATGACCAGCTATGTACATCTTCTTCATACATGTGTAGCCCTTGTATGAGAGATGCTCTGGTCTCTAAGGGCCCAGGCTCCATTTCCAGTTTCTCACTGCCTGAGCCCACTCCAGGCCTTTACAGATGCACCGGTGGTGGAGCCTCTGCCTAGGAAGGATTAAACACTGATTAGTCCGTCACATCCTGCAACAGAATTCCTTCTGGTACCCAGGCCACTCCCTGCCTCTTCTGGTTAATGTTTTGTGACTTTATTCTAGTGGTTTTATCCTGGCTCTGTTTCCTGACTCCGACTGTGTTCTGATCCTTATGTGAATACGCTTCACAGCTTTGGCCCTGTTAGGTTCTTTGCTCTTACCATTGGTTCAGTCTTTGAAGTTCTGACAGAGGCATATGGGTTTCAGTCTGGCTTATTTCCTGCCTCTCGGGCTCACAGCCACTCCAACCTGCTACCATCTCCCCCCAGGATCCTTGGAGGTAGAGAGGAAATAATTTTAAACATGGGTTAAATGATTGTTAAAGGTCTAAGCAACTGCAGTTTCACTAGGACAAATGTGGGTGACTTAAAGGGAATGACACTTATTGGCATGGATGTGTTTAGGCATGATTTTTATTTATTTATCTTAAAATTATTGCAACTTTGAAGTCATACATGTGGCTAAGCACCTGCATTACTCACCCACCTTGCCCATCGCATTTGCTCTCTTAACTCTTGGGAGGCCCCGTTTGCCCCCTTTGACCTCCCCCTCACATTCCTGTTGTGGCCACCAAAGAAGGAACAAACAGCTGTGAGAGAACAGTCCCAGAGTTCTCTGCTCATCCTGTGAACCTTGCCAACCACACAGAAGGCAGAAGAGCTGTGAGCAAGGCAGCTAGTTTTGTAAGGCACACTTTGCTCTTCCAGGCCTATGGACAGGCCAAATTACCTTGCTCTGCTCCATCTCTTACATTTGCCTTGTGTGACAGATAAATTGCAGTGGAAGTGAGTGAATAAACATGAATTCTTTTAACTGCATCATTGGTTTTAAGATAAGCTTAGATCAACAACAGTTAATGGAAATTATTAAACACTTATAGGATGTCAAATTATGTGTGAGGACTCAAAGATGAATAGAGCAGGGTTCCTGTCATCAAGGAATGCACAGTCTAATGGGGGGGTAAATGTTTAAACATGTTGACCACAGTGTACAACGTGTGAAATAATAGAGGCATCTGAAAATACAGCAGCAGTAGGGAGAACTAATTGATTCTACCTGGAGGTGTCACTTGAAGGAGCCACAGGTGGTGGCCACTGAGATGCTTTAAAGGAAGAATAGGAGTAATAGGAGTGTTCCAAGTAGATAAGAAGAGAGAAAAGAAATTGCAGATAGGTAGAAATAACATGTAAAAACATGGTATGGTTTAGGAACTGTATTAGTTTTCTGTTGCTGCCATAACAAATTACCACAAACTTAGTGGCTTAAACACAAATTTATCATCTAATAATTCTGTAGGTCAGAAGTCCAACCTGAGCCTCAGTTGGCTAAAATCAAGGTGTAATCATGGCTACATTCCTTTCTGGAGGCTCCAGGGGAGCATTTAGTTGCTTGCCTTTTCCAGCTTCTGGAAGCCACCTACGTTCCTTGACTCATGACCGCCTTCCTCCATAGTCAGCAACAGTAGGTCAAGTCCTTCTCATATTTCAGATCTTTCCTCCTTCTCCTTTCATTTCATGTCTCAAATCTAGCCAGGAACAATTCTCTGCTTTGAAGTACTCACATGATTGGATTGGGCTCACCTGGTTAATCCACAATAATCTCCCCATCTCAAGGGGCCATTCTTAATCACATTTGCAAAGTCTCTTTTGTCATGTGAAGAAAGCCATCCACAGGTTCCAGGGATTAGGACATGCACATCCTGGGGGATGCGGGAGATTATTCTACCTACCACAGGAATTGTAGTTGCTATTACAGAACCAAAAGCATCATGGGAGATAGAGGGAGGAGACAGGTTTGGAGAAGGCGGCAGCTACCAGATAATGAAGACCCTTGTACACCATGTTGAGGAGCCTAGACTTAATTCTGAAGGTGATGAGGTCCTTTGAAGGGTCTAAAGCAAGGTGAGAATTGTGTTTCGATGGAGCATTCTGCTGGCAGCATGCAGGACAGACTCAAGGAAGACAAGTAAGGAAGTCCTCAGTCAGTTTACTAATTTATAGTGTACTGGCAGTCTGGTTACTACAGGTTGCTGAGTGATGAAAGGGGAGGGAATGAAGGGACAGAGCAGAGACTACTCTTTTGAGAAGAATTGAAATGAAAAGTCAAGGAGAGAAAGAAGGTAATTAAATGGGAGCACTATGCCCAAGATGGATTTTGTCTTGTTTGTTTTTGAAATGAGAGAGATGAGCAAATTTATAGGTTGAAGATAATGATAATGATTATAATAAAATAGCTAACACTGATTAAGACTTTATTTGTACACTAAGATATTATACTACATATGTACATTGATTCATTTTTTCTCTCTTACAACTGAAGAGACTGAGGCAAGGACTAGTTAAATATCACTTCAAGTTACATAGTTTTAAAAAATAGCAAAGCTGGCCAGGCATGGTGGCTCACACCTGTAATCCCATCACTTTTGGGGAGACCAAAGCAGAAGGATTGCCTGAGACCAGAAGTTCGAGACCAGCCTGGGCAACGTAGTGAGATTCCATCTCTACAAAACATTTTAAGAAAACCTAGCGGGGCATGGTGATGCACACCTGTAGTCCTAACTACTTGGGAGGCTGAGGCAGGAGTATCGCTTGAGCCACAGGAGTTCGAGGCTGCAGTGAGTTATGATTACACCACTGTACCCCAGCCTGGGCAACAGAGCAAGACTTTGCCTTAAAAAAAAAAACAAAAACTAGCAGAGCTATAATTCAAAACAAAATCCACTTGACTTGTGATATACTTGACTACTAGACTATGCTAGCCAGTAAAAAAGAAGAAGTAGGGCCGTGCGTGGTGGCTCACACCTGTAATCCCAACACTTTGGGAGGCCGAGGTGGGTGGATCACCTGATGTCAGAAGTTCAAGACCAGCCTGGTCAGCATGGTGAAACCCCGTCTCTACTAAATATACAAAAATTAGCTTGGCATGGTGGCGGGCACCTGTAATCCCAGCTACTCAGGAGGCTGAGGCAGGAGAATCGCTTGAACCCTGGAGGCGGAGGTTGCAGTGAGCTGAGATTGCGCCATTGCACTCCAGCCTAGGCAACAAGAGCGAAACTTCATCTCAAAAAAAAAAAGGAAGGAGTAGAGATTAAAAGGAGAGAAGCTATTACTGATGACTCAATGCCTAGGAAAAGGTAGGAGAGCATATATTTGAAAGCACAGGTGGAGGAGGAAAGGAATATGTGGCCTAATATTTTCTGTGAATGAGTTAGGTGTGTGAGAAAGCTAAAGCTTGAGATAACCTATGGGAAAAGTCAAAGGAAGCAGTTTTGAGAGCTCAATGCATTTGGAAACTACTTGAAATGGCCGTATTGTTTATTTCCAGCAGTGAGAGGGGAGCAGGCGAAAGGGAGATGAGAGTGGTAACCACTTATGCTTTCACATTTATATTACCTTCCAAAGCATGCCAGCCATTCCCCAGAATGAAGCCAACCCACTAGGTAATGTCAAAGAAGTCACAAGAACAGGGTAGGCAAATAGCTGTGACCACCTTGGACAAATCCAGGTTCCCTGCACACACCCACGCAAACACCTAATTCTTTCCTCATGCTGACCCCCTTCCAGATAAACTCACTTGGTGAAAGCTCTTACTGAGCTATTACTTCCTTGAAATGTCCTAGAATTTCCATTTTTGAAATTTTTTCCATATTGTTACATGTCATCCATGAATCATGAACTCTTTTTAAACTTTATCTCTAGAGTAAATGTTTCCTTCCAGTCACATAATTGCCAGCAGGGCAATTCAATAACACAGAATCTATTGTGAAATCATATTTATGAACTTATGACATTATATCTAACCTTTCATTGTGTATGCTCTTTGACAATTTAAGATTGAACTTTGTGCTATATTTCTTAGATTCTGCATTTTTGAAACATGACAAACTTGAGTTCTGCACCCACTTGTATCATGCAATGTGAAAATGCAACCATTTTCCATGTATGATATTGTTTATGAGTGAAGCATTTTTATCTGCTAGAACTTAGTGTGAAGTTTCTAACCAGGGATCGACCTGCTTAAAGAGACAGTTTATAATTTCACAGAAAAGTCACTTTTTGATGAATGTTGACGTCTAGATTATGATTTTTTATGTTTAAGGCAGCTAAAATCTATTCTCCACAGTTTAGTTTTTTTAAGAGAGATTTGTTTTTTTAGAGGAGACTGAAATAACAAAGTTTATCAACTAACATTCTGAACATCTATGACTTTACCTTTTCCAATTTATGTAGAAACTGCAAGAACATATTCAGGTGTTTTACCCTGTCAGCTTTCTTTGCAGGTTTGTAAGGCACCAAAGGCCAGCAGAATGATAGAGACAGAAAACAGGAAAGGAAACCTCTGTAGTTTTCCTGCTTTTCTGTGGCCATAAAACTAGCCAACATGTATCCTTGGCCCACCTACAATTAGGCTTCAAACCATTGCTGTTTTTTTGTTTGTTTTCTGAGACGGAGTCTTGCTCTGTCGCCTAGGCTGGAGTGCAGTGGTGCAATCTCGGCTCACTGCAAGCTCCACTTCCTGGGTTCATGCCATTCTCCTGCCTCAGCCTCCCGAGTAGCTGGGACTACAGGTGCCTGCCACCACGCCCGGCTAATTTTTTGTATTTTTAATAGAGACGGGGTTTCACCGTGTTAGCCAGCATGGTCTCGATCTCCTGACCTCGTGATCCGCCTGCCTCAGCCTCCCAAAGTGCTGGCATTACAGGCGTGAGCCACGGCGCCTGGCCACCATTGCTGTTAAAGATGGGACTCAACTTAGGGGAAATACAGTTGAGCATTCAGTAAGTCAGAGCTAGAATCTGCCTATATCTGCCACTAGGACCTGATCACAGTACTCTCTAAATTCTAATTCTCTCTAAATTCTGCTCTAATTCCCTCTTGTTTACAGTGATAGTCTGCAAGCACATTTTTAATAGCCTTTTGTTATTAAAAGTAATACATATTGGAAAAATTAGAAAACACAGGCAAGCAAAAATAAAAACATAAAAGCAGCACATTCTTACTACCCAGAGCACATCATTTTAACATCTTAGTTCTTATCCTTCTGGATCTCTATATATTCACATACTCATATGTAAAATAAGATCATCTTCTACGGACAGTTCTTGCTTTCTGGCTTAACAAGATGTCTCAGCTTCACTTTGTGTCTTCCCTGTACCAGACCTGAAATCAACCATTTCTAACACTTGCTGCTTCCTTTTAGTGGGAAATAAGATTAAAGACCAAAATGTATTAGGAGTGCTCATTGTTGTTAATGTGGCATTATTTCTAGACCATTATATATTTTTTAACCTTTAAGTTTAGTGATACAAGTGCAGGTTTGTTACGTAGGTAAACTTGTATCATGGAGGTTTGTTGTACAGATTATTTCATCACCCAGGTATTAAGCCTAGTACCTATTAGTAGTTTTTCCTGATCCTCTCCCTTCTCCTCCCTTCCACCCTCTGACAGGCCCCAGTGTGTGTTGTTTCCCTCTATGTGTCCATGTGTTTTCATCATTTAGCTCCCACTTATAAGTGAGAACATGTGGTATTTGGTTCTCTGCCCCTGTGTTAGTTTGCTAAGGATAATGGCCTCCAGCTCCATCCATGACCCTGCAAAGGACATGATCTCATTCTTTTTTATGGCTGCATAGTGTTCCATGGTGTATGTGTACCCCATTTTCTTCATCCAGTCTATCACTGATGGACATTTAGGTTGATTCCATGTCTTTGCTATTGTGAATAGTGCTGCAATGAACATACACATGGATGTGTCTTTATAATAGAATAATTTATATTCCTTTGGGTATATACCCATTAATGGGATTGCTGGATCAAATGGTATTTCTGTCTTTAGATCTTTGAGGAATCACCACTGTCTTCTACAATGGCTGAAATACTTACACTCCCACCAACAGTGTATAAGCATTCCTTTTTCTCCACAACCTCAGCAACATCTGTTATTTTTTGACTTTTTAAAAATTGTTATCTTTAGTTCTGGGGTACATATGCAGGATGTGCAGGTTTATTACATAGGTAAATGTGTGCCATGGTGGTTTGCTGCACCTGTCAATCAGCCCATCACCTAGGTATTAAGCCCAGCATGCATTAGCTATTTTTCCTAATGCTCTCCCTCCCCCAACTAACAGTAGCCATTCTGACTGGTGTGAGATGGTGTCTCATTGTGGTTTTGATTTGCATTTCTCTAATGGTCAGTGATGTTGAGCTTTTTTCCATAAAATTGTTGGCATTGGCCACATGTATGTCTTCTTTTGAAAAGTGTTCATTTCCTTTGCTCACTTTTTAGTAGGGTTATTTGGCTTTTTCTTGTAAATTTACATTCCTTATAGATGCTGGATATTAGACCTTTGTCGGATGCATAGTTTGCAAAAATTTTTCCCATCCTGTAGGTCATTTAATCTGTTGATAGTTTCTTTTGCTGTGCAGAAACTCTTTAGTTTAATTAGATCCCGTTTGCCAATTTTTGTTTTTGTTGCAGTTGCTTTTGGTGTCCTCATCAGTAAATCTTTGCCTGTGTCTATGTCCTGAATGGTATTGCCTAGGCTGTCTTCCAGGGTTATTATAATTTTAGGTTTTACATTTAAGTCTTTAATCCATCTTGAGTTAATTTTTATGTACGGTGTAAGGAAAGGGTCCAGTTTCAATCTTCTGCATATGGCTATCCGGTTACTCCAGCACCATTTACTGAATAGGGAGTCTTTTCCCCATTGCTTGTTTTTGTCAGGTTTGTCAAAGATCAGATAGTTGTAGGTGTGCGGTCTAGGCTATTTAATGGACAAAGCTAGGGAAAAAAATTTTAAGCATGAGTTAGTTCATACTTGTATTTGCAATTCAATTTTAACTTTGTAGTGTTTTCACTAATTTGATTTTACAATTGTATCTCTTTTACACAGAAAATTGATTTCTAATGTAATTGACATTAAAGTTTTCTTGAGTTTACCATAAAAATCACTCTTTTAAAGTGTTTTTAATGGCTTTTAGTATATATACAGAGTTGTATAATCATGGCATAATTGTAGAATATTTCCGTGACACCAAAGAAACCTTGTGCCCATTAAAAGTCATTCCCCTCACACTAGTTGTCTTATGTGTAGGAAACCACTAAATCAACTTTCTGTCTCCAAAGATCTGCCCACTCTGGATATTTCATATAAATGAATAACATAATATGTGGCCTTTGGTGTCTTGCCTCTTTCACTTAGTGTATAGATTTCAAAGTTCATCCATGTTACAGCAGGTATCAAGACTCCATTCCTTTTTATGGCTGAATATTCCATCCTATGGATATATATTTTTTGTTTGTCCATTTGTCAATTGATGGACTTGTAGGTTGTTTCTCTTTTTTTTTACTATTATGAATGACGCTGCCATATTTGTGTCCAAGCTTTTATATGAGCATATATCTTCAATTTAATTGAGTACACTCTTTGCTTTTTCACGTGGATTTGAGTTATTGTTCCTTCTTTCCAGCATGAAGAGCTTACTTTATTATTTCTTATAAGGCAGGTGTGCCAGCAATGATTTTCTCTATTTTGGTTTATATTGGAATGTCTTTATTTCCTCTTCCTATTTGAAAGATATTTTTGATGGATATAGGATTCTTGGTTGACAGGTATGTGTGTGTGTGTGTGTGTGTGTGTCTGTTTTTTCTTCACTTTAAATGTGTCAGCCACTGCCTTCTCCCTTCCATTATTTTAGATGAGAAGTTACTCTTATGTGATTCCCTTGTACATAATAAGCTGGGGTTTTTTGTTTTGCTTTTTGCTGCTTTGGAGATTTATCTTTATCTTTGGCTTTCAGCAGTTTGTGATGTATCTGAATGTGAATATCTTTTTGTTGATTCTACTTGGGATTCTTTGAGCTCCTGAATATGTTTTCATCCCATTTGCAAAGTTTTTTATTTCTTTAAGTTTGTTTTCTGTTCTCTTTTTCTCTAGTTCTCCCATTACTTGTAATTTAGTGGGATTAATGTCCTCCATTTCTGTGACAATCTGTTTGTGTGTCTTCATGCTTTTTCTCTCTGTTATTCAAATTATATACAGTAGTCCCCCCCACCATCTGCAATTTTATGTTCTGCGATTTCAGGTATCCGTGGTCAACTATGGTCCAAAAATATTAAGTGGAAAATTCCAGAAGTAAACAATCCATAAGTTTAAATTGCATGCTATTCTGAGTAGTGTGATAAAATCTCTCATGTTCCCACACCATCCCACCTGAAATGTGAATCATCCCTTTGTCCAGCATGTACACACTGTGTATGCTACCCACCCATTAATCACTTAGTGGCTGTCTTAGTTACCAGGTCCACTGTTGCAGGATTGCTGTGCTTGTCTTCAAGTTACCCTTATTTTACTTAATAATGGCCCCAAAGCACAAGATCAGTGATAGTGGCAATTTGGATACGCCAAAGAGAAGCCATAAAGTGCTTTCTTTAAGTGAAAAAGTGAAAGTTCTCAATTTAATAAGGAAAGAAAAAAAAGTTTGCTGAGATTGCTAAGATCTACAGTAAGAACAAATCTTATCTGTGAATTGTGAAGAAGGGAAAATAAATTTGTGCCTAGCATAAATGGGTTTGGTACTATCCATTCAGGGATCCTCCTGGGGTCTTGGAGCACATCCCCCATGAATAAGTGGGCACTACTGCCTTCTCTACTGATCTACAAGTTTACCGATTGATTCTTCTGCTTGCTCAAATCTACTGTTGAACTCCTCCAGTGAATTTTTCAATTATGATTTTCTACTTAGGAATTTCAGTGTAGCTCCTTAAAAATTTCTTCTTACTGACAATCTCTATTTGATGCATTGTCATCATACTCTCCTTTAATTTTTAAAACATGGTTTCTTTCATTCTTCAAACATATTTATAATATTTTCTTTGAAGTCTTTGTTAAATCTAACGTCTGCATCCTCCCTAAGAAAGTTTCTGCCTGTTGTTGTTGTTTTTTTTTTTTTTCCTCTGCAGAAAGGAACTGGGGATCTCACTATATGGGATGGGGGTCATATTTTCTTGTTTCCTTGCAAGTCTCATAATTTTTCATTGTAAATTGGACATTTTAGGTCATATATTGTAACAACTCTGGATTCTGATCCTTCCCAGGCTTATTGATGCTGTTTTGTTCTTGTTATTGTTGTTCATCTATTTATTTGTTTAGTGACTTGGCTGGACTAATACTGTGAAGTATATTTTTCCCCCGCAGTAGGCAGCCTCTAATGTCTCTGCTTAGATAGTTGTTCCTTGTTTTTTTGTTTTTAAACTTGAATTCCTGGGTGTTGCCCTCGGTCAGTCACTGATTGGTCAGAGGTCACGCTTAAGCTCACTGAGCCAGTAAGGTTTTCATCCTTTTCCACTGGGTCT
This sequence comes from Homo sapiens, assembly GCF_000001405.40. Taxonomy (NCBI): domain Eukaryota; kingdom Metazoa; phylum Chordata; class Mammalia; order Primates; family Hominidae; genus Homo; species Homo sapiens. Next base: position 77,232,235 of record NC_000007.14, read on the forward strand.
GTGTGTGGCTTGGGAACAACTTTTGGAGTTCGAGGAGTTTATATATCTGCCACTTTTAACTCAGGGACTGACTTGGAAGTACCCTGTCTGGTTGATCTTGGGTGGTCACAGCCGTGGGCTTTTCCACAGTCTCCTGGACCACCAGTATCAAGTGTGAATTTTTTTACTGTCCCTCGTCCCAATTTCTCTGTTAAACTTCTGCTGGTCTGCATCTATTAGCATCACAAAACTATTAGCCTACTCTGTTAGCCCTTATGATATCTGTTTTTCTATGTCTGTTATTTTTTACATTGCTCTGGGACATGAATATCCTACACTCTGTTCCAAATAAAGTCAAAGGCAGGGCTGCAGAGCTGCAAGTCCTCACAGCTTGCTCAGCCCCCAACCTGGTTAGAGCCTCTGTGTTACTGAGCAGGAGCTGGGGATATGGGGAACTCTGATCTGTTTTGTTTGCCCTGCCCAGGGTCTCCCTGTAGAGCAGGACATTAGGGAGTGAGTACTGGCACTACCGAACAGCTACAGCTGCCCATGGGGAAGAAGGGGAGGATGAGTGCTGAGTGCTACCGTTTCTTAGATCTTCACCTGGGATAGATCTTGATCCTCAGCAATAGGAAAGTGGGGGACATGGGCACCTCACTGGCTGCAAGCCTGCCCAGAATAGTTCTGAAACCTGAAGCTAGAGGGATGGATGCAGCCCATGGTTCAAATGCCACAGTTTCTTGCTGAGCTTCAGTAGATTTTATTGAATAAGTGTTTCTCAATTTATTATATAACCTTAGGTCAATTTCCAGAGACTTTAAATGGTTGTCTCAGATTATTTTGACCAGTTAAATCAATGCTTCTTTTGTTTCTTTTGTTTGTTTTTTTTTTTTTAGACGGAATCTCACTCTGTCACCCAGGCTGGAGTGCAGTGGCGTGATCTCAGCTCACTGCAACCTCTGCCTCTGGGGTTCAAGCGATTCTCCTGCCTCAGCCTCCCAAGTAGCTGGGACTACAGGCATGCGCCACCATGCCCAGCTAATTTTTTTTGTATTTTTAGTAGAGATGGGGTTTCATCATGTTGGCCAGGCTGGTCTCAAACTCCCGACCTCAGGTGATCTGCCCGCCTCAGCCTCCTAAAGTGCTGGGATTACAGACGTGAGCCACAGTGCCCGGCCAAATCAATGTTTCTTTGAAGGAGAGAATTCATCAAACTCTTCATCCCACCATTTTGGAAGTCCCACCCACCCCCTGGATTGGTCTGTAATTTATAATTTTACTTATTTGCTTTAAATCAGCAGCCCCCCAACCTTTTTGACACCAGGGACCAGTTTCGTGGAAGACAATTTTTCCGTGGGGCAGAAGGAATGCTTTTGGGATGAAACTGTTCCACCGTAGATCATCAGGCATTACATTCTCCTAAGGAGTGCACAACCTAGATCCCTCACATGCGCATTTCACAATGGGGTTTATGCTCCTATGAGAATCTAATGCCACTGCTGATCTGTCAGGAGGCAGAGCTCAGGTGGTAATGCTCACTTGCCCGCTGCTCATCTCCTGCTGTGCAGCCCAGTTCCTAAAGCCCAGGGGCTGGGAACTCCTGCTTTAACTTGCAATATTAAAACATTGCAAAATGCCAAATACAATCATTTACTTAAAATAAAACTGCAGAATGTAGTTTCAGTATTCTATCATTTTTTTTTTTTGTATCTATCTCTTCAAACTTTGGCCTACCTTAAGGCAGAGCCTATGTTATATTCATTTCTGTTTTTTTTATGCAGGGAGCATTAAGTAGGAAGTAATGGTCTTTTTAGCTTAAGAACAAAACTAAATACTATCTGTTTTTTTGAATATTTGAGTCCACAATTACCTTACCCAGTAGTTTACCTTCAGAAAATGGCTGGTTAGCTAGTTACTGGGCTAGCCCCTAGTTGGTCTTCATTGTACCCATATACATACAAACACACACTCACATATTTACCTTTTCATAATCTTTTCCCAGCAACTTTTCTCCTTTAAGTGTGTCCATTTGTAAAGGCTTTTTTTTTTTTTAACTTATTAGATTTTAAAGCCATAGTAACTATGGTCTGTATACTTTGGGAAACCAATGAAAATGTTTGAAACATGAAATAAATTATATATTGGCTAAAAAATACTGCAGAACCAAAATAAATATCTGTAAAATGTAACATTAAGTCGACTTACCAACAGCAACTCAACAGTTAAAAAGTTACAAATAGACCGGGCGCAGTGGCTCACGCCTGTAATCCTAACACTTTGGGAGGCCAAGGCGGGTGGGTTGCCTGAGCTCAGGAGTTCAAGACCAGCCTGGGCAACATGGTGAAACCCCATCTCTACTAAAATACAAAAAATTAGCCAGGTGTGGTGGCATGCGCCTGTAGTCCCACCTAATTGGGAGGCTGAGGCAGGAGAATTGCTAGAACCCGGGAGGTAGAGGTTGCAGTGAGCCAAGATAGCGCCACTGTACTCCAGCCTGGGCAACAGAGCGACAATCCATCTCTGGGGAAAAAAAAAGTTATAAATAAATTATATTTAAGGTGGCATATGAATAGATTTTAAGATATTTGATACAGGTAGAGTATCCTCAAAGGTCTTAAAGATCTTGTTCACCATATTTCACCCATAGATTAAAAAAATAATGAGGGTTGTAGGGATTGGAAGCCAGGCCTGGCACCAGATAGTATGGCCCTCATGAAAGATCCCCAACACTTTCACAAAGAAGAAATGGTTTCATAATGCATTTAACATTTTTCTACCCTGATGCGGGTAGAAAGACCACGAAACCCCACTGTATAGACTCAGACTTTTGCATTTTGATAGCTGCATTCATTCATTTGCTAACAAATATAAGCAATTTACCTAGCACCTGGGTATACTGTGCCTGGGATTATACTGTGCCTGGGATTCTAGTAATACTTTGGCTGAGGATACAGTGAAGGACAAGGTAATCTGGGCCCTTTCCTCATAGGTCTTATATACTAGCTGGGGAAGTATAAAAATGTTTTTAATAATGTAAGTAAATTTATTCTTGCAGATTGTAATGTTATGAAGCTCAGCGTTCTTTAGAGGTAGGAGCAAGTACACGTGGTTATCTTCTTTAGATTTGGAAGTCAGAAAAGGCCTTCTTATGAATTCATATTTAAGCTGAGACATGAAGAAAGACTTGGAGTGAAGTAGGGGGAGTAAGGAATGACTAATCAGAGGCCCTGGAGAAAAAGAGAGACTCATACATCTGTGGAAATCAAAGGCAGCCAGTGTGGCAGAAGCAATGAAGCACTGGGAGCTTAAAGAGTGTGTTGTGAAAGGAGGCTGTGGGGGTGTTGGGGTCAGGCAGGACCTCAAGGTCTTGAATACCAAGGGTCTTGAATTTTATTCCACTTGAAGTGTTTTGATCACCCAGCATAACATAACCTTGTCTGATTTTTAAAAAGATCTCCCTGGCAGAAGGGCAGTTAGGAGGTTTAGTAGTGGTCCAATTGAGAGATGATGAGACTTGGGCCAGTGGGATCAGGGAAGGAAGAGGAAAGTGGATGAATTCAATAAGCACTTTAGAGGTAAGGGCCAGGCTTTCACGCCTGTAATTTCAGCACTTTGCGAGGCCAAGGTGGGTGGATCACCTGAGGTCAGGAGTTCAAGACCAGCCTGGCTAACATGGTGAACCCCCATCCCTACTAAAAATACAAAAAATTAGCTGGGCGTGGTGGTGTGCCCCTGTGGTCCCAGCTACTTGGGAGGCTGAGGTACGAGAATCACTTAAACCCGGGAGGCAGAGGTTGCAGTGAGCCGAGATTGCACCACTGCATTCCAGCCTGGACGACAGAGTGAGACTCCGTCATAAATAAATAAATAAATAAATAAATGTAAGAACAACAGGGCTGAAAAACACAAATATTCTCTTTAGTTCTATTTTGATACTGTCACTAGCAGTTGAAGTCAAACCTAATACAAATGCTCATTGCATTATGATTTTAGGATGGTAAAACTTTAGTGTTTGACGATGTTTTATGATGTCTGTTAACTAATTATCACCTAACTCAGAAAACAGATCAAAAGTCATTTTAACTAGAAATAAAATGGGAATAAATAGTACCTCTTTATGCATTGGAAAACTTTCCATGCTTCTTTGACAGCAGAGGCAAAGGCATCACGGTACAGGGGAGTGATCGTGGGTTTTTGGAGCTGAACCACTTGGGTTTAAATTCTCACCCTGCCTTTAACTAGCTCTATAACCTTGAACAAATCATTTTTCTAAACTTTAGTTTCAAATGGAGATGATAATCTTTATTTCACAACATTTTTAAGAATGAAATAACTGATGGGCAACACATACTCTAATAGCTGTTCAATAACCATTCATTTTCTCAACTTACAAATAGCCAACCTATAATCTACACTATTCAGATTGTTTGTTAAACCTTGAAATTTTTTTTAGAGTTAGAAGAATTTAACTCAATCCTCTCAATTTCCAGACAAAGAAATAACAGCCTAGGGAGTTGAAAAGACTTGCCTGAGGACACAGAATGTACTGGGGGCAGAATAGAACTAGCACTATTTTCTCCAAACACCTGGCATGTTTCCAGTACACTACATTGCCTCGTGTATCCTCTAATGTTTAATGGAGGATTTTATAAGATAACCATATATCCATTCCATCCCCTGCTTAAGCCTAAAGAGAATGGTGATTAACAGTGACCTTATGTTCTCTTTGCTAGTTACATGCTATGGGAAAACTTCCTGGAACCAGAATGGCAGCGTTAAAAGCCAAGTATACCTTGCTGCATGACGCCGTGATGAGGTATGCAATTTACCAATATGGAGACATGATTAATCACCTTTAAATTTCTTACTGGTGATGAGACCTGTCTTCATTTGCATTCCCCCATAAGCAGACCCTGAGGCAAGGATTTGCGTTCAGGGAGTTTGAGAAGTGGTACGAGAAAGCATCGTGAGAGAGTGGGGAAGTGCGACTGGGAAGGAAGGAATCTAGCCTTGATCAGGCCGTGTACATCTGCGAGTTTATATGATGGGCTACTGGGGCTCAGCCTCACAGAGGAGCCTCTGAGTGGCTCACCTCAGCACTCTCCCACTGAAGAGTGAGGAAACTGGAATATTTGCCCACCAGTTTCCACCACTCATTTATTACAAATTACTTCCAGGGAGATTAGCTCTTGGCACTTCCAGCTTGCGCTTTGACAAACCAAGCAAACTTTGATGGCCAGAGACAGCTCTCAGGCGGAGGGACACAGGTGCTGCTGATACATATGGTAACTGTCCACTAAAGCTGCAGGTGGGCAAAAGGATTCTGGTGGGACACTGACAGTCTCTGCATAGGACACACCTGCAGGACTCTTCTCCCGTGTCTGTTCATCACTCAGAGGTGTAGATTCTCCAACAACCCCAGCTTGAGTCTGCTGAGACCCTGTCTGTACTTCTCACCTCCTCCCCATATCACAAGCTACTTACACCTTGCAAGTCCCAATCACCAACAGGTCAGAAGAACAGGCTATCATAGAAGAGTCCAGCAAGCCTGCCTGAGCACTGGCTATTAGCCACTGGGAATTAAGAGGGCAGGGGAGTGAAGAAAGAGGGAAAACCCTAATGTGCTGTGATTCTTTACCACTCCCAAGCCTCTTTCTTTCCTTCCCCCACCTCTTGTCTCAGGGCCTTGCATTGTATCTTCATCAAAAGCCAAGGAGCAACAGCAACAGATAGAAACTCCATGCTGCCACTCCCCAGCCATCCTCTCCCCGCAATTCCCAATCACTTCCCCTCCTTCTTATCTTGCCCAGAGATATTTGGCTACTTTGAGGGTAAAAGCATGAGGGAAGAGTGAACAACTTGGAAAAGAGCAGAGCTGCATTCCTATGCAAACTTCAAGTGCACCCAGGTTCCTCACACCCCTCCAAAGCCCCCAGCCTTGGTTCCTCATCCTCAAGCCCAAGCCAAGTCCTCACCCCCACACCTAATGGAGGTTCCATTCCCCCGTAGCTGGTCACGCCTGCCAGTGTGTTCTCAGAGTTCTCAAGGCTCAGGAATTTTGAGACTTTAAGTGGAAAGTCTGGAGTAATCTTTTACAACATACTTCACACTGCTTAACTGAGAGGAAATGCCATGCAGTTCTCTGGGCATCCCTCCAATCCTCTTTGCAGATACAAGGAATATCAGTGTTTCCTGCCCTCTGGATAGCTCTTCTTTTTTTTTAGACAGAGTCTCCCTCTGTCACCCAGGCTGGAGTGCAGTGGCCTGGTCTTGGCTCACTGCAAGCTCCGCCTCCCAGGTTCACGCCATTCTCCTGCCTCAGACTCTTGAGTAGCTAGGACTACAGGAGCCCGCCACCACACCCAGCTAATTTTTTTGTATTTTTAGTAGAGATGGGGTTTCACTGGGTTAGCCAGGATGGTCTCAATCTCCTGACCTTGTGATCCTCACGCCTCGGCCTCCCAAAGTGCTGGGATTACAGGCGTGAGCCACCGTGCCCAGCCTGGATAGCTCTTATCTAGAGCCCAGTGGAGATTTGCAGGGTGCTTTGACTTAACTTCCTCCTCCCCTGGCCCACAACTCAGTTCCCTGGCCCCTAATGACAAGTAGCAATGCAGGACCTCAGCTATGGCACTATTTCTTCCTCTTCCAGGTTGTGTTGCAAAACAGTTAACTTCCCTTCTGCTACCCACATTTTACATCTTGACCACTTAGTTCCCTCTAATGCCATTGCAAATACTCACCATTCTCTCCTACTCCCAATGCCTGATGGGTGGGAAAAACATGAAGTAGACTCTTCATTCGTGCTGCTAGGACTACAGCTGGGCAGATATAGCCTGGAAATATTGAACTGAAACTGAATGAGTCTTCCATAGAAACCATGTTATAAGAGTTGTTAAAGTCTCTTCTACTGGTATCATGTTTTAAATACATGTGGGTAAGTTGCGATTTGTGTTCTGGCTGGAACCCTACCACCCTGTCCTTTCTATGCAAAAACAGGCACTGTAGCCTGGTCCAACAGCTTACAATTTCAATAGCTGAAGCCTGACCTATTAAGGAGACCAGATAACTTTAGATTTACAAAGTTTATTAGCATACATGAAAATTGAATTATAGGAGAATAATTCCAGCTTTCATTAATGAAAATTATTTGAGGTATCACTGTAGCTATTGTTGTTGCTATTTGGTACCTAACATCATGCCTGGAACGTGTTATGTCCCAGTAAATGTTTTGCTAGATGCTATTGAGCAAATGACATTATAAAACCTGGGAAAATGGATGTATCTGTACTGAATTGAGAATATCACAAAGGTGAGGCAGACACAAGGTAACTTCAGTTGAGATTGGCTTGATCAAGTCATTGGGCGTCTCTGCAAATGAGCTGGAACTTGAAGATTTATCTTGGTGAGGACAGTTGGTGGGGAGCATACATCAAAAGAGAGCTCTGGCTCTAAAACAGGAAGTGGTGAGGGCTTACTTCAAATAGGAGAGGTAGCTAATATAAGGGTTTCTGGGAAAGAGGAATCATATCTACTGGTAAGGTTGGAGCCGATGCTTGCTGATGCTAGCTTGCAGCATAGAGGAGTTCTATAAGATACTGGAGATTCCGCCATGTCCTTTTTCTACATCCTCTGACAGATGTTTAGTCCTTTTCCCTACATAGGGCCAAGGTCATAGAATATAACTGGGGTTGTAGGAATCTCCCTCTACCGTGACCTTCAAGTCCATCCAGCTCTAACCAGTGTCCAATTTAGAATCAGAAATCTGTAAATTTATTTATATTCATAATTGCGTATGGGAATTTCTCTTCCTAGTTTCCTAATAAAGTGCCATTAGAAAAGTTTCTGTTTTTTCATAGTTCACTAAGTGGGGAGAGATTTTCCTACAATTATGTTACAAGAATTCAAGAGAGCTAGGGTTGTTTGGGGAGTTCAAGGGAAAACCTCCTCTTTCCGTATCATTTATCCCCTTCTAGTAAGTCATAATCATTCTTCAAAGTCAAGTTCAAATGTCACATTCCCATTGAGTGATCCTTTCTCTGTTGTCTCCTGCTGTCTTGATCTGGACACCAGCGGTAGTACTTGTCATCTGGTATTCCTCCGCATCTGCCAGATTGTAAGATTCTTGAAGCTAGGAGCTAAGCCTTATTCACCTCTTGCACCTAGCATAGTACAGTCATCTCTTGGTATCCTTGGGGGATTGATTCCAGGACCTCCTGCAGATACCAAAATCCATGGATACTCCAGTCCCTGATATAAAATGGTATAGTATTTGCATGTAACTTAATCACATCCTCCTGTATACTTTAAATCATTTCTAGATTACTTGTGATACCTAATACAATATAAATGCTATGTAAATGGTTGTTATGCTGTATTGTTTAGGCAATCATGACAAGAAAAGTCTGTACATGTTCAGTAAATAAACAATTTTTAAGTAAACATTTTATTTTGGAATAATTTTAGATTCATAGAAAAGTTGCAAAAATAATATACGAAGTTCCCGTCTATCCTTCACCCATTTTCCTCTAATGGGAGCATCTTACATAACCATGGTCCATCAAAACTAGGAAGTTAACATTCGTATATTACTATTAATTAAACTTCAGATTTTCAACAGTTTTTCCACTAATGCTCTTTTTTTTGTTCCAGGACCCAATGCAGTATACCCCACTATATTTAGCCCTCATCTCTCCTTGATCTCTGTGACAATTTCTCAGTCTTTCCTTGTTTTTTTTAAATCACGTTGACATTTTTTGTTTTTTTTTGTTTGTTTGTTTGTTTGTTTTTTTGGGTTTTTTTTTTTTGAGATGGAGTCTCACTCTGTCGCCCAGGCGGGAGTGCAGTGGCTCAATCTCGGCTGAGATGGAGTCTCACTCTGTCGCCCAGGCGGGAGTGCAGTGGCTCAATCTCGGCTCACTGCAAGCTCCGCCTCCTGGGTTCACGCCATTCTCCTGCCTCAGCCTCCCGAGTAGCTGGGACTACAGGCGCCCGCCACCATGCCCAGCTAATTTTTTGTATTTTTAGTAGAGACGGGGTTTCACTGTGTTAGCCAGAACGGTTTCGATCTCCTGACCTTGTGATCCGCCTGCCTCGGCCTCCCAAAGTGCTGGGATTACAGGCATGAGCCATCGCGCCCGGCCACGTTGACAGTTTTAAGAGTGCCAGTCAGGTATTCTATAGAGCATTTCTCAGTTTGGAATTTTTCTCATATTTAGGCCAGAGTTAGGTGTTTTGGAGGAGAATACCACAAAGGTGAAGCAGACTCAATTTTTTAACAAAAATTTTCCCTCGTGGTTGGTTGAATCCACAGATGTGGACTCACGGACATGAAGGGTCAACTGACTTGGCACAAAAATGTCCCAGAGTTGAGTTGATCTGAGGAGTGGGGAGCAGCTATCCTCACTAGACCCCCACAGGAGCCACCGAGGATGTACATGTCTCATTATGTGAGTCTCTGTTTTTCATGTAACCCAGCACACAAGAGTCAGAGGTCCAACTGCTACAGAATGCCAAACGTTTCACTGAGCAAATACAACAGCAGCAGTTTCACCTGCAGCAAGCTGATAATTTTCCAGAAGCATTCTCCACGGAGGTCTCCAAAATGAGAGAACAACTTCTCAAGTATCAAAATGAATATAATGCAGTGAAGGAAAGAGAGTTCCATAATCAGTACAGATTAAATAGGTAAGTGCACAGTTCTCTCCGGCACACTGAAAAGTCTTTTCCTCATAAATAGAAAAAAATCAGATTAAGTTGGAGGTAATTGAAGGAGTAGGAGATAGCAGTACGATGATGATTGCAAACCTAGTTCTCTTGATTCCTTAGAATGGAATGGGAATTCCCTGAACAAGAAAGTTACACTTCTCGAATAAAAGCTCAGGTGACAGAGATGCCTGCTGTGTTTTTCATGTCAGGAAAGCCATCTCATTGAGAGCTGCAGTCAGAGAACACACTCCACCAAACCAGTTATTAGCATTCCCTTGCCCTTCCCCTGCCCTGGCAGTGGCCCCCTCATCCCATGACTATAGCAGTACCAGAGCACGCATCTGCATGGTGAGCACTTCTCCCCACATGCATTTTCCAAACAAGCCTCCATGAGCTGAGGGTCACATGTCATCTGGCTCACTCTATTCTTCTAAGAGAGCAGCAACAGGACCACATATGCAAACTTCATCTCCTACTACTAGATTGTTCCTCAGGATCAAGGAGAAAAGGTATATCCTTTTGGAAGACACATTTACTTATCCAAATTTAGAGGACGTCATTTAGTGAACTAAAGCAGACATTAAGTGCTAAAAGGGGAAATGTTATCTTCAAAATCTCTTCTAACATTCCCCCCATGGAGTAGCAAGTCACTGGAGGAGTTTGTTCAGCAAGTCATACTATTTAGATTGAATTTGAAAATGATTGCAATTCAAGTTTTCTGCTGTGGTGTGCTGTGTGCTGTGCCTGGGTACAGGAGAGAAAGCAAAACCGTTTCTCCTAGAGTTTGTTACCATTTAAGGTGGCAGAACTTTCTCTGGCTATTTTTAAGAGTAGGTGGACTTCTGACAGTGCAAATATAATTCAGTCCTTCCTAGAGATAAGCAAGTGACTTGAGCAACCTCTCAAAGACCTTGTAAGCCCTGGGTTTAAAATCCTCTCTTTGGGGCCTATTTTTTCACTGGCGGTGGGTGGGGGTGGGGTGTGAATAAAGAAGGTCAGTTTAATCAAGAGATCCTATTCAGGGGGGAAAATTGGAGGTTTTTTTGTCTTTCAATCTAAACTTGTTTCAGGCTTACCAGTGAGATCTATATAAAAAGAAAGCCCAGTTATTTCTGTGCTCTGTAAGTGCTCTTTCAGTTGAGAAAATAATGAAATTAAAACAATTGGTGGTTGTTCATTAGCATTGAAAATATGAATGCTTGACATTTCCATGAAAGAGTAAGAAGAACATAAGTCAGTTGATATTTAAATTGTTTAAAATTTCCAACTGTTCCTGCCAAGAGAAAAAAACAAAAACAAAAACCAGAACGGTTGCCCTTTAGGTATAGACAGGCACATTATTCACTGAGATGGGAAGGAGACAATGCATACTGACCTGCGGTGAATAAGAACATTCAAAATGCACATTTGCAGAAATGTTTAGTGTGTATTCTTTTTGAATTTATAATGTATCATTCTTAAGCTTGAGAAGATTCCCTTGCATTCTCAAATATTAACAGCTCAAGAACAAGCTTATTTTCATAAAAGTAATGGTGATGCCAAAAGAAATACCAGTAAAGAATGAAGGGCTATGCATTTCATTGGCTTAACATATTTAGTATCACAGTCATGCACCACATAATGGTGTTTCAGTCAACAATGGACTGTCTATATGGTGGTGGTCCCGTAACATTATAATGAAGCTGAAAATTTACTTTTGCCTAGTATTTACTATTCGATACATTTTATTTTTATTTTGGAGTGTACTCTTTCTACTTATGAAAAAAATATTAACTGTAAAACAGCCTCAGGCAGGTCCTTCAGGAGGTATTCCAGAAAAAGGCATTGTTATAGGAGATAACAGCTCCTAAATACCTGCCAGTGGGACAAGATGTGGAGGCAGAAAATAATGACTTTGATGCTGACCCTGTGTAGGCCTAGGCTAATGTGTGTGTTTATGTCTGTTTTTGTTATTTTTATTGTTGTTGTTTGTTTTGAGACAGAGTCGTGCTCTGTCGCCCAGGCTGGAGTGCAGTAGTGCAATTTTGGCTCACTGCAACCTCCACTTGCTGGGTTCAAGCAATTCTCTGCCTCAGCCTCCTGAGTAGCTGGGATTACAGATGCCCACCACCATGCCCAGCTAATTTTTGTATTTTTAGTAGAGACGGGATTTCACCATCTTGGCCAGGGTGGTCTTGAACTCCTGTATGTCTTTGTTTTTAACAAAAATGTAAAAGTAAAAAGAAATTTAATTAAAAACCTTACATAATAAGAATACAAAGGAAGAAAATATTTTTACACAGCTCTACAATGTGTTTGTATTTTAAGCTGTGTTATGAGTCAAAAGCTGAAAAAAGTAAATTTTGTAAAGTAAAAAAGTTACAGTAAATTTATTATCAAAGAAAAATATTTTTTATAAATGTAGCCTAAGTGTACAGTGTTTATAAGGTCTACAGTAGTGTAAGTAATGTCCTAGGTCTTCACATTCACTCACCACTCACTCACTCACCCACTGACTCACCCTGAGCAACTTCCAGTCCTGCAACCTCCGTTCATGGTAAGTGCCCTAGACAGGTGTACCATTTTTTATCTTTTATGCCATATTTTTACTGTGTGTATTCTTTGTTTAGATACACAAACACTTATTGTGTTACAATTGCCTACAGTACTCAGTCCGGTAACCTGCTATGCAGGTCTATAGCCTAGGTGCAGTAGGCTTTACCACATAGCCTAGATGTGTAGTAGGCTACACCACATAGGTTTGTGTAAGTGCACTCCGTGATGTTCACACAATGATGAAGTTGCCTAACGACGCGTCTCTCAGAATATATTCCCATTGTTAAGCAGCACATGACTGCACATGACACAGAAACCAATTCCCTCCACACCCTCCCACTGACCTCCTTCCCCTGGAAAAAGTAGATATTTCCATCCCCACATAAAAATAAAGAGATGAAGCTAATGAGAGAAAACTATTCATCCACATATACAGATGATATTTGTCAGACCAGCACAACAAACTCTTATTGAGTTTCTAGATAATAGAAGCCCAAATAACTAGCACTCCTCCACCCCAATATCTTCAGGAACTTCTGAATCATTGGCAACTACTAAGAACAACTTATTTTTCAAATACTCTAGAGAAAGGATTTTACTGTGTAATTTTGTCAATTTTTTTGTGTATGTTCACATAACATAAATCTTTTAATGTTAATAAATCTAATTATCTGGTTGGTTGGTTGGTTAGTAATTAAATCTATGTTGCAGTAGTTTCTGTTTCTGGATTAATATTTATGACTTGATAAGTATGCAGTTCAGGAAATAATATGTAATCTATTTAAAGTTAAATTAATACATTGTAAATCCATAATAAAGTAATTAAATACAGTTGAGCTTACTTTTTGAAACAAAACAGGAGTACTTACCTCTCTAAACAGTTTGAAAAGATTTTTCAGTACTCTCTTCAACCTTTGCCTTGCCTTGATTGTGTTACCTTTTGGGGCTTCCCTGTTTTCTAGTAATTCCTAAAATTTTACAGCAAATACGTTGCGTCTTTCATGCAAAATCTGACACATTCTGACCAGTCTTGGTCAGTTGGGGGAAACAAGGCTGTGGTGAGCTGGCACTGTCTGTTGCACTGTGAACCCGGAGAGTGGGAACACTCAGGCCGCACACGTGCAGGGCTGTCCTGACGTGACCCTGACCTTGGTGACTGTCTACTCTCCCGTGGCTGGTTCCTGTGGTCCTTGTTGCACATTCAGGGTTTATTAGTTGTTTTCCATTCTTGGTCCAGTGCTGATAGCAAAGTTGGAACCAAGAAACAACAGATCTGGTAACAAAGGAAAGGAGGAATGATCTTAGCAACACATCTGGAATTCCAGAAAATTAGAATGTGACAGAAGAGGCATGTAGGTACTCAGGAGTAGTCACAAGGAAAAACTCATAGCTAGAACAGATTTTACCTTAACTTAAAAAAAAAAAAAAGTTTGCTCTTCTGTGGCAACAAATATCTTAAAAGAACTAACTTAGTTAGAACAGGTTTCTCTGAATGTGTTTCTCATTACTCAAAAAGAAGCACCTGAGACACTTGTTTGAAAGGAAGATCCCATCCAAAAAGTAATGATTATGATTTTTGCCCCAGCCCACCGCCCCCACCCAAAGTGACATTTGCTTATGTGACTCTGACTCACATTATAGTTAGAGGACCGTGGGTTCCAAAGGTGGTTCTCAGCCCTGACTGGTCAGTCACCAGAGTCTCCTCTCAGTGATCATTCAGTCTATGCATAAACACTTCCAGTGACAGGAAGCTCTCAGCCTCCCACAGAGGCTCACGCCAACTTTGGAAATGCTCCTACACTTAAATGGTTGTTGGATTTGTTTATAAACCTACCTTCTTGCAACTTTCACCCATCCATGCTGTTTCTACTTCTGTGGTGAATGATGCCTCTCACACATGTCAGCATATCGGGCTTCCTGCATTATCTCTTCACCCATAGATCCTTAAAACCAAAAGCCTTTTGACGTTGCTTTAGAAAGGAAGTAAATCCTAAGGAGCTTTGATGTTGAAGCACCCCTTAGTCAGGAAAGCTGAAAAATGTCAGATTTAAGTTTTAATGCAAGTTTGAAAGGTTAGGAGTTAATACATACCAGGAGGCATAGAAACAGAAACATGTTTTTGCCCCAGTAATCCCATGCAAAAGTGATAACCCAAAAGGAGAGAAAAAGATATAATGCATAAAGATATTGATATTTATGAAAGTGAAAAATTGGAAGCAATCTGAATTCTCAAAAAATGTGGAATATTTAAATAATGCATTCCAGAAATACCTTGTTACTGAACCTCTGTAGTCAGAGCGGTATTTGTGTGTCAGTTTAGCTTTGACTGTGTGACTTTGGAAAAGTTGCTTAACTCCTCAGTTTCTTCATTTGTACAACAAAAATCACAATTCCTACTTAGCAAGGTTGTGAATTTTAGATATGATAAATTTAAAGCACCTGGCACACAGTATGTTCAGTATATGATAAATAATACTTAAGATTATTTTATTATGGTATATCTACCCAGTAGAAAACCTTGTAAATAGCTATTATTATAAAGTCTGTTTAGCAACTTAGGAAAATATTTTAATTAAATGTTAGGTAAAAATGGATTCAACCACACATATACATTTAAAATAAGTTTATTAAAAGATAACAGGGAAAATAAAAATGATCAACCATGTGTGATGGAGTAGGATTATAATCTTTAAAAATAGAAAAATACATTCCTTTTAGAGGAAATAAGTCAGTATTTCCTAATAAAAAAAGAAAAATGTATCATAGAAATGTAAGTTTTAAATGTCCTAAAGAATTAGTCATTTTATGTTTGTTTAAACATAAAAATATACTTAAAGGAAAGACCATAAGTCACATCTTGTGAAAGAGCTTGCTGTCACCATTTTGAAACTCAGAAATACTCAGGTTGCCTTTACAACCGAAAGATAGTAGCACACTACTACCCCCTGGTGGCAGCATGCCCGAGGTGTAGGATCAATACCTGGGAAGTAAAATACCACTAATGTATATGCAAGCTCTAAAAGCAAAGGCATAACTATTTAAAGATCTAAACTCAGCTTCAATTTGTGGTCTAGACAACTAATCTATATTAAATTCAATGTGACACATGTATTACAAAATTCATCTACATTATTGCAAATAAAATGTCAAAAATAACATAATCCCATTAAAAAGTAGGCAAAGGACATAAATAGACATTTTTCAAAAGCAGACAAATGGCTAAGAATCAAATGAAAAAAGTTCATCACTAATCAGAGAAATGCAAATTAAAACCACAATGATATATCATTTTATACCAGTCAGAATAGCTATTATTAAAAAGATAAAAAATAAGATGTTGGCGGAGTGCTGAGTAAAGGGAACACTTATACATTGTTGCTAGGAATGTGATTGGTACAAGCTCTATGGAAAACAGCATGGATATTTCTCAAAGAACTAAAAATAGAACTACTAATCCATCTGGCAATCCTACTATTGGCTATATACCCAAGAAAAAGAAATCATATCCAAAAGATACCTGCGCTCATATGTTTATTGCAACACTATTCACAATAGCAAAGATAAGGCATCAACCTAAGTGTCTGTCAAGAGATTGGATAAAGAAAATGTGACATATATATACAATGGAATACTATTCAGTCATAAAATGAAATCATGTATTTTGCAGTAATATGGATGGAACTGAAGGCCGTTATCTTAAGTGAAAAAAACTCACAAACAGAAAGCCAAATACCACATGTTCTCATAAGTGGGAGCTAAGTAATGTGTACACGTGGACGTAGAGTGTGGACTAGTAGATACTGGAGACTTAGAAGGGTGGGAGGACAGAAGGAGGGTGAAGGATGAGAAATGACTTAATGGGTATACATGTATATAATTTGAGTGATGGTTGTACCAAAAGCCCTGACGTCACCACACTGCAATATATCCATGTAACAAAACTGCACTTGTATCCCTTAAATGTATACAAATGAGAAAACCTGGTGTGCATGTGCTTTTAGCTCATGTTCCTAGATCTATGGACTAGTGGGATCTGGTTATTTGTTATAACCAGTGGACATAATTGTCTGTGTATTCATTTATTTCATATGATTTTCCAAGTGTGATCAATACAAACTTTAAAATCTTTCCATATCGGGAAATCATATGACTTCTTTGGCACTTAATAGTTAGTCATTAAATAAAGAATAGCAAGAAAAATGAAAAATATTTCTCTAGATTTCTTCAGGAAATCTGGTCAATAAAACAGTTCAAAATACGGTTATTGGAAGAAACACGCAATTATATCGAACTCATTTTGTTTAGAACATTCAAGCTATTTGAAGCAATTTCCAAAATGTCATTCTAGCATCGTGTCCTCTCATCTTATTAGTTAAAATAAAAATATAAACTTTTTTTGTATTTTCTCATGAATAAGTGAACAAAACCATATGTTCCCATTCACTGTCTGTACTTTCTAATGTTTTTATTTCTTTTGTTTGTTAATCTCAATTTACAATGATGACTGGCTTTTAGAAAAACTGACATTTCTTTCTATAGATGCCAAGTATATCCAATTGATTGATGGGATTATTGAGTTTGACTATGTCCTTAACTGATCTTCTGACTTCTGGATCTGTGCACTTTTGATAGAGGGATGTTGAAGTCTCCAGCTGTGAGAGTGGATTCATCTACTTCTCCTTGCACTTCTATCAGTTTTGCCTCATGTATTTTGATGTTCTGTTGTTAGGTGCAAATATATTAAGAATCCACTGGCCGGGCGCTGTGGCTGTCACCTGTAATCCCAGCACTTTGAAAGGCTGAGGCAGTCAGATCACGAAGTCGAGATCAAGACCATCCTGGCCAACATGGTGAAACCCTGTCTCTACTAAAAATACAAAAATTAGCTGGGCGTGGTGGTGCACACCTGTAGTCCCAGCTACTCGGGAGGCTGAGGCAGGAGATTCTCTTGAACCCAGGAGGCGGAGGTTGCAGTGAGCCGAGATCGCACCACTGCACTCCAGCCTGGCGACAGATTGAGACTCTGTCTCAAAAAAAAAAAAAAAAAAAAAGAATTCATTAGGTCTTCTCAGAGGATTGACTCTTTTATCATTATATAATGCCCCTCTTTGTCTCTGATAACTTTTTCTTGCTCTGAAGTTCGTTCTGTCTGAAATTAATTTAGTGACTCATCTTTTTTTAATGTTAGCATGGCATATCTTTCTCTATCCATTTACTTTTAATATATATGTGTCTTTATATTTAAACTGGATTATTGGCAAACACAGCATATAATTTGAGTCTTGTTTTTGTTTGTTTGTTTTTCTTTTTGGATCCATTGTGACAATCTTTTAACTGACATTTAAAATGATTACTGTTGTAGTTGGGTTAATATCTTCTGCCATATTTTCACTGTTCTCTATTTGTTGTGCTTGTTCTTCATTCCTGTTTTTGTTCTCTCTTTTTATGCCTTTTGTGGTTTTAACTAAGCATTTAATATAATTCCATTTTCTCTCCTTTCTTAGTATATCAGTTGTACATCTTTTTTTACTTTAAGTGGTTGCCATGGAGTTTGCAATATACATTTACAACTAATTTAAGACCATTTTCAAATAACACTATACCACTTCAAGTACTTTTTAAGTAACAAAATAGTCCTATTCCTCCTTCCTATCCCTTGTATCATTGCTGTCATTCATTTCACTTACACATGGGCATACATAAATATATATGCATATGTAATTGAATACATTGCTGCTGTTATAAATTTGAACAGTGTTATCGAGTATCTCAAGAATAAGACAAAAGCTTTTCTTTTACCTTCACTGATTCCATAGCTAATGCTCTTCATTTGTGTAGAACTGAGTTTCTGACCTATATAATTTTCCTTCCCTCTAAAGAGCTTCCTTTAACATTTCTTGCAAAGCAGGTCTATTGACAAACAAATGTCCTCAATTTTTATCTGAGAAAGGCTTTATTTCTCCTTTACTTTGGAGAATAATTTCACAAGGTACAGAGCTTTAGTTTGGTGGTTTTTTCTCTCAACACTTTAAATATTTCACTCTACTCTCTTCTTGCATGTATGGCTTCTGAGGAGAAATCGGATGTAATTCTTTGTTCCTCCATAGGTAAGTGTGTTTTTCCTGTAACTTCTCTCAGGAATTTTCATTATCTTTGACTTTCTGTAATTTACATATGATATGTCTAAGTGTTCTTTGAGCTTCCTCGATCTGTAGTTTATTTTCCTGCATTAATTTGAAGGAAATTCTCAGACATTATTGCTTCAGGAATTTCTCGTGTTCCTTTCTTTCTTCTCCTGGTATTCCTCTTATGAGTATTTATGCCTTTTGTAGTTGTCCCAGAGTTCTTGGATATTCTGGTATTTTCCTAGTCTTTTTTTTTTTTTTTTCCAGTTTGGGTAGTGTCTAGTAAGATATCCTCAAGCTCAGAGATTCCTTCCTCAGCCAAGTTCGTTCTGTTAGTAAGCCTATTAGAGGCATTCTTCATTTCTGATACAGTGATTTTGATCTCTGGTATTTGTGTGTGTGTGTGTGTGTGTGTGTGTGTGTGTGTGTGTGTGTGTGTGTGTGTTTGGTTGTTTGTTTTTGAGACATAGTCTCACTCTGTCCAGGCTGGAGTACAGTGGCACAATCTCGGCTCACTGCAACCTCTGCCTCCCAGGTTCAAGATAATCTCCTGCCTCAGCTTCCTGAGTAGCTGGGATTACAAGTGGCCGCCAATACGCCCAGCTAATTTTTGTATTTTTTGTAGAGATGGGATTTCACCATATTGGCCAGGCTGGTCTTGAACTCCTGACCTCAAGTTATCTGCCCGCCTCAGCCTCCCAAAGTGCTGGGATTACAGGCATGAACCACCATGCCTGGCTGAGTATTTCTTTTTTATTATTTCTTAGAATTTCCTTCTCTCTACTTAAACTGCCCATTTCGGGATTGAGTTTATCTGTTAGCGTTCTTAGCCTATTAGTCATAGTTGTTTTAAATTCCTGATAATTCACACATCCCTGCCATATCTGGTTCTGATGGTTGCTCTGTCTCTTCAGATTGTGTTTTTTGCCTTTCAGTGTGCCTTGCAGTTTTTTTCTTGATAGCCAGACACGATGTACTGGGTAAAAGGAATTGCTTTAAATAGGACTTCAGGAACATGGTGGTAAGGTGTGGAGGGAGGGGAGCATTCTACAGTGTTGTGATTAGGTCTCAGTAGCAGAGGTCATATGTAATGGGAGCCCACAGGAGCCAAAATTCTGGGGGAAGGGAACCTTTGGAGCTGTGATTCTCAAGAGAATTAAAAAGTCTCTTTTGCTCGCTCGCTCTTGTGCTCTTTCTCTCACACAGATGTCAGTAAATTTGAAGATAAAAATTGTCCAATCTGAACAGAGAGAAAAAAATTTTGAATAAAAATGAACAGATCCATGGCCGGGCGCAGTGGCTCACGCCTGTAATCCCAGCACTTTGGGAGGCCGAGGCAGGCAGATCACCTGAGGTCAGGAGTTCAAAACGAGGCTGGCTAACATGGTGAAACCCCGTCTTTACTGAAAATACAAATATTAGCTGGACGTGGTGGCACGTGCCTATGGTCCCAGCTATCCAGGAGGCTGAGGCAGGAGAATTGCTGGAACCCACAAGGTAGAGGTTGCAGTGAGCCGAGATCATGCCACTGCACTCCAGCCTAGGGAACAGAGCGAGACTCCATCTCAAAAACAAACAAACAAAAACAGATCTATAGGCATCCATGAGACAATAACAAAATATCTAATTTATGTCACTGGAGTTGCAGTAAGAGAAGAGAAGGTATATGATTATGAAAAAAATTGGAAGAAGTAATGGCTGAAAACTCCCCATGTTTGGTGAAAGAAAAGTCCACAGATTCAAAAAGCTCAATGAGCCCCAAACAGGGTAAACTCAAAGAAATATGTTCCAAATGCATCACAGTAAAACTTGAAAATTAAAAATGAAGAAAAAATCTTGAAAGAAGCAAGAAACGGGCTTCAAGAATGACGCTCATGTTTATAATTTTGAAAATTAAGTGAATTGAAATGCCATTACCAAAAGAAGGAATAGAAAAACAGTAGGTTTCAGATGGGAAGATAATGAGTTTTAATTTGATGGGCCTTTGATATACACAACTGGAATTGCCCAGTAAGAAATTAAACATAAAAATTTGGAGCTCCAGGGAAATTCTGAACTGGAAATAAGGATGTTTAACGCATCACTGTAACTGGCACTGTGGAAACGGTATACAGAATAAGAAAAGGAGAAGTTAGGCTTCAGCTAGACTATGCAATAAGAACAAATCTTAAAATCTCAGCAGAAGAACTCAATGGAATTTTGTTTCTCACTCATAGCACAGTCCAGTGCAAGTCATGCAGCCACGTCTGTCCTTAGCTTTGCCAGCGGGAGCACGTGCCTTCCAAGTTCAACATGGCTGGGGAAGACATTTGTTACTTACTTCCACTCACCTTCCTTGGGCAAATTAGTCCAATGGCTCCAATCCAAATGCAAGGGAGACTGTGAAATATAGTCCCCCTGTGTGTCCAGGAAGGGAAAATGGTGCAGCAAACAATGCCAATGTGTCTGTCACAAGGGCCAAAGGCAGATCCTTATAAACTTAGCCAATGACAGGATAGAAGTGTAGACAAGGTGTGCCCACCTGGACTGCTTATGAGTTCATGCCACAATTTTAATAGCTTGTAGTGGAAACAAAAGTGAAAATAATTGTCCTCAAATACCCATACCTAATAACCACTTAGACTTGGCTCCTGGTCTAAATCTGCCCTTCACCTGAAATATCCATTCAGTCTCTTATGTATCCATGTCCCTATCACATCTGGATCTCTGTCAAGTTTCCTCTGGCTCTAGCATTCGTTATACCTCAGGAATGCAATTGTCACACAAAACTGAAACTGAGCTCTTCAAATAACCCTTCTTCACACCTTTGAACAACTGTGGACTCTTCTGTGATTTCTGTGAGGGTTTTCTGCAATCTGGATGTAGAAGAATGTGGTGCAATAGGTCATTCTGAGTGACGATCTATTTCCATATGCATGCCCGTATCTCATTCAGCACATACATTATTTTAAATAATGAAGATGGGGACAAAACTAATTCTAGTTCCATTTATTCATATTAATTTTTACTGGATGGCAACTATACGCAGGTACTTTTTAAGACAATGATGATGCAGTGGTAAACTGGGAGCTAGGTTTTCTAGTGGGGAGATGTGTAATATAATGTCAGGTCATGATGAATACTGTATAGAAAAGTAAAGCAAAACAAGGAAAGAGTTTTGAGGACTATTGGTACTGTTTTAGATAGATGGCCAGGCACCTCTATGAGAAGATGATATCGGTACAGGTCTGCATGAAGCAAGAAGTGAGCTATGCAAAGATCTGTGGCGAGAGCATACCAGCTGGAGGGATCAGATAGGGCAAAGGCCCTGAGGTAGAATCAAGCTTGGCAAGAAAGCCAGTGTGACTGGTGACAGAGAGTGGCAGGCTGTGAGACTAGAGAGGCTGATGAGGCAGGGCCATGTAGGTTTGGGAAAGGAGTTCAAATTTTGGTCCAGGTGTGATGGGAATTTATCAAGCAGGGAAGTGAAGTGATCTTATTTACATGTTAAAAAATCACTGTGGTATGGGTGGAGAATTGACTTTAATGGGCAAAGGTGGATGCAGGCAAAGTAGGAGATCGATTGGGAGGCTGTAGCAGGAATCCAGGCAGGCACCCGCCCATTCCAAGTAACATAAAGGAGAAAAAGCCCAGAGCCTGCTGGGAAGGACCCTGTGTCCCGAGGCCCGTGGTCCCCAACATTTATAATGTGCTGAGATAACTCCTCTAAGTGGGTTGTGTTCACAAAGTTGGGTGGGAGTCCTGGGGAGGAGGAAGCACCCCAATGCACCTGTGATTCAGGAAAGGTGTCATAAAGAATGGACACCAGGTTGCCTGGCCGACAAGCATGGGAATGACATTCTGGGATGAGAAGATAGAAAGTTGTTATTACAGAAAGAGCTTATTTCTTTGTACTTTTTCAAACTTGATTTTTTTTTTTTGCAGCTTAAAGGAAGAAAAAATCATCATAGTAAAAGAATTTGAGAAGATAACAAAGCCAGGAGTAAGTCTTAGATGATATAGAGTTTCTTAAATACAGCTGGATTCAATCATCCCTTTTTATAAATATTAATGTTTATCACAACCACCATAGCCTGAAACATTTTAAAGACTCTAAAGTCTTAACTGTGAATGATGCTGAAAAGACTAGCTACATAACTTCTGGAGTAAATATAAGTGATGCCTATTATAGACTTTAGCAACTTGGCATCTAATTTAGGCTGTATTTAGTTGGACAATATCTGCTTTGTTTTCAGAAGAAAAAAAAGATTCTGTGGTTGACACTAAAAATATTATTTTGCTATAGCTATCACCCTCATAGCTCTCTGAACATCTCAAGTTATTACAACAAATTTTTACAAAGAAAATGTATCACTTATCTATTCCTGCCTAACAAATCATCCCAGAACTTAGTGGCTTAAAACAACAACCATTTCATTTTTTCACAGTTCCGAATATTCTGGTCTGAGCTGGCCGAATTGGGGCTGGGTAATCTAGGATAGCTCCATTCATATACCAGCCATTTGGTAGGCTACTTGGTCTAAGGTCACATGTCACTAGTTGGTCACATGATGGTGGAAGGGTTTCCAGACTCAATAAAGAGCAAACTCCAATATGTAAGACCTTTTTGGGCCTCTGCTAAAATCATTTTTGGTAATACCCCATTGGCCAATGCAAGTATTATAACATGGGCAAGTCTAGAATCAAGTTGGCCCTACCTCTTAATGGGAAGAAGGATCAAGACAATGCAAAGGGACATGCATACCCTGCAGATAGGAGGAATTCGTGGCCACTTTTTACAATCTATTATAGAACGTAAATAGAATGGTCACCATACTTTGCACTCCTTCCACCTTCTGATAATCCAAAAGTGTGTTGGTGGTGGTTTAATTCCAAGGCCAGCTCACAATAAAACCTGTTTAGCATAGAGTAAAATACTATTAATTCAAATAAGTATGCCAAACCATCATTTACAATACAGATTTTATGGGAGAAACATTTTGAATTTTCATTCAGATCCTAGGATCACCAATGATGCTCTCACCCAGCAGTGGTGGGAGGAGGGAGCTATGCAGAAAGCCCAGGGCAGGCTAAATAGACCCAGCACTTCGTCATTAGTAAGAGTAACGTGTAGACCTTCTGAGTGTAAGAAGCCTTCTCTCCCATAAGTCAAACCCTCCCCAGGTAATCAGACATGAGACAAAGATCTTTGATGATTCTGGGGTAGATGGTATTTGGGGAGGATGTGCATGAGCTAGAGAAGTAATATCAATAAGAAAGTGGGGGATTAAGGAGTGCAAAGTGTTGGGTATCCAAATATGAACACCTTTGTCTTTAGTTCCCATGTGACTCAGGTTAACCATAAGTCAGATATTCAAAGATTATTGGCATCTGATTTTGTCAGATCACAAAGCTACTAGAAAACAGACTGTACATTTTTTTTCATGCTTCTTGGTATGAAATAAAAATTGACACATAAAATGAAACGTTTTTAAATGTAGGAGGATAGAAAAGAGCACTAATAAAATAATTCAAATATAATGTTGTGTTTAATTATACATGCAGTATCATTATCATGCCTTTGTTAAAGATGTCAGAAATCATAAGTTGCATTTAGCTTTATGAGAAATCATTTAACCTTGTGAGAAATCATTCATGAACTTCAAAACAAATATAATCAAAATGGTGGGTGAAATTAGTTTTAGTTCAGTTTTTAGGTAGATAAATGTTTGCTCAGACTATATAACCTAATCATCTTCACGACTTTTAAAGGAAATGGAGAAGAAGATGAAAATATTGAGAGAAAGCACTGAAGAATTACGTAAAGAAATAATGCAGAAGAAATTAGAAATTAAAAATTTACGAGAAGATTTGGCATCTAAACAAAAGCAATTATTAAAAGAGCAGAAGGAACTAGAAGAATTGTTGGGACATCAGGTCGTCCTAAAGGTGTGCTACTTACCGTTGATATTTAAACATTGTGCCTTGCATGGATATAAAAGTGTGTGGGTATCAAGAGTAACCAGCAGGTTGGATAAAGAGGGGTATTGTCTCACAAACTGAAATATCTGCATTGCGATTGATCCTATCAAACTAAATCTAGGCTCTGGGAATGCACAAAAGACCTTAGGGTGTTTGGGAGTATCACTCGATAATTCGGAGCCCTCACCCTGCGGAAAAGGTCTCTCCTGACCTCACCAAACATTTCTGGACATTAGAAACAAGTGTCACAAACACAATTGTTTCCTTGAAGAACAACCATGGCCAGGCACAGTGGCTCACACCTGTAATCCCAGCACTTTGTGAGGCCAAGGCGGTGGATCACCTGAGGTTAGGAGTTCGAGACCAGCCTGGCCAACATGGTGAAACCCTGTCTCTACTAAAAATACAAAAATTAGCCGGGTGTGTGATGGTGGATGCCTCTAATCCCAGCTACTTGGGAGGCTGAGGCAGGAGAATTGCTTGAACCCGGGAGGTGGAGATTGCAGTGAGCTGAGATCGCGCCACTGCACTCTAGCCTGGGTGACAGAGTGAGACTCCCTCTCAAAAACAACAACAACAACAAAACGCACACACACACACACCTACACACATACCAAAACAACCAAATGTCCTAACCTCTCACATATATTTGTATTACCTTATCCTTGTCGGAGTGCATTCCACTTCCTCTCAGTAGAAAAGGGATGAGAGGCCTGTATTTATGTTTTAGGAGATAATGAATTAAAATTCATTTTACTTTGAAAAATGTATAAATGACTCTCAAAACAGTTTTAATAACCTAGAGTTGTTTTAAAAACAACATCTGAAACTCATTGGCTTAGGGGATAATGGTGATACACTTTGACCTGTTTTTCTATAACAGTCCTAGAGCAGACAGCCAAGATGTGCCCAGCTACTGTCCAGAACATAGGACCCTAGCAGAGATGGATTTAACAGGAACCCAGTGAAGCTTAAGCTTCAGGCCCCTCACTTGCATGAACCTCTTCCAAGATGCTGCACCTAAGTTAGCATTTGTAATTGTTTACTCTTTCTGTTAACGAGGGCCCCCAAGATTGTACAAGTTTCAGCCCCACAAAATTTGATCTGCCCCAGGACTGAGCAAGATCCCACAGAGAAATGTCTCGCCCACCACACTGCAGTGACGGATTCAACCTCCCTGCATGTGTGTTACCCCTGGCTCCAAAGTCCAATGACAACCTCGGGCAGGAAGGGGCTTTTCTATAACCCTTGCTGAGTACGTAAGACTCTTGAGACTTCAGCTGAACCTCCCATGAATCCACAGAGCATAGTGGGAGGTGCGGTGTTAGACAAACTTAGCTTCCGAGCTTGGCCTTGCCACTTACTAGCTGTGTGACTTCGGGAAACTTATTTAACTTCTTGTAGCATGAGTCTTAGGCAGGGCTCCCCAGAAACAGACCCTAAGACAACTACTAATGGAGGGAGAACTCTAAGGAGAATCCTATAGGAGATGGAGGGAAGCAGGATAGAGCTGGGGAAGAAGCTGGGCCAGAATACAGCTGCTTCAGAACTCTAGTCTCAGCCTGATCCCATGGAGAACTCAAGAAGTCATGAGTTGCATCACAGAGGCTGTTGCACCCAGAGGTGGGGGTGGGGGGTGTCTGTTAGATCACCACATCAGTTAGTCATTGGTCTCAGCTTGCTCCCCTCCTCCCTCCACCCCCTGGCTCCCATTCCCTGACAAGGCAGCTCTGCTCAGCCAGTGACAATCTGATGGAGAGGAGATTAAGCATGATCCATTAGCAGTCACCCCTGCAGCATTTGAGGGATGGGTGGGCAGACGGGCCCTGGCTTATGATGGTTCAGCTTATGATTTTTCTACTTTACAGTGGTGTGAAAGCAGTATGCATTTAGTAGACACCACGCTTCAAGTACCCATGCAACCATTCCGTTTTTCATTTTCAGTATTGAATAAATTACATTTATTGTACAGTATTCAATATGTTATGTTTATTTACTGTGTGGCACTCAACACTTTATTATATAATAAGCTTTGTATTAGGTGAACTGTAGACTAATAAAAGTGTCCTGAGAATGTAGGCTAGGCTAAGCTATGATTTCAGTAGGTTAGGTGTATTAAATGCATTTTCAACTTAAGGTAGTTTCAACTTACAACGGGTTTATTGGGACGTCACTCCATTGTATGTGGAGGAGCATCTGTACCTCCATAAAGGGAATCTGGGCAGAGGACCAACAGTATTTGCTACACTCAGTTACCTCCTCTTCAAAATGATAACAAATATAGCTCTCTTACAAGGTCACCGTGAGTATTAAATGGGATAATTAAAGCACACAGGGCAGATGGTAAGTATCTACATATTGTAGTTCCTTTCTCTCTCATATTTAATTTTCTTGTCTTAATTGCTTCTAGCCGAAGACCGCATAATTTAACATGATTTCGTTTCTTTACTAGGATGAAGTGGCCCACCATCAAACCATTCCAGTACAAATTGGAAAAGAGATAGAAAAAATAACACGCAAAAAAGTGTATGATTTAATATTTTTACTTTGAATCCCTGCCAGTCCAAGTTATGTGTGCACACTAGAACAAGAGTACTAACCATTGGACACATTAAATTACTATGATAATTTTAGAAATTTCTGCTTTGGGCCCTGTCTAGGTTGTTTATATCAAGTTCTTTAAAAGAAAGTAATGCACCAAATTTCTATCATTCATAGTATTTATGGCTTAATTATGGGTCAAGATTCTGTTGCCAATTTATAAATCATATTTTTATGGAGAAGTTCAATTGACTTTAACAGAGCGGTGCATGGGATAAATTATGCGAACTGGTTAGAATTTCATAGTCTAGAAGTATATCAGCCAGGCAGCAGCCCAAAGCCCAAATAATAGTAACTCCCCACTTTGCCACCCATTCATGTGTATAACACTCCTCAGATATTCAGAGTAGATTGGGAGGCAGAGGTCATTGAGGAAATTCTCAGTGTTTAAGGAACCAAAAAAGATAAAGATTTTAAGTGAAGATACAAAAATTCTGGAAAAATAATATAATTACTCTGGTGACTAATCTTAAGGGGAAAAATTAGGCAGGCACTAGTAACTGTTCTAAAAACTAAGCTCACCAACATCAAAGTTGAGAAACTCAGGTCAGTTTCAGGAGGCTGGTCAGGACGAGGGTTGAATCACAGGAGATGGTAGCAAATTGGGATCTGCACAGAAAGTAGGGAGGCTGGGCAAATTCCTGCCTTCCGTGGCACTCAGTGGAGATACCCTCCAAGTCCCACCCATCTGTGGTCTTTACCCACTGCTGAGATCATTGAATTTATGACTATCTCTTCTGCTGCATGGTTAGAAAGCAAGAATAGGTAAAGCCAGCATGGCCTCAAAATAAGGCAAGTGTGTGTGTGTGTGTGTGTGTGTGTGTGTGTGTGTGTGTGTGTGTGTGTGTGTGTGTATCCCCTACAGAGAAATGGAAAAGAAAAAAATTGTCTTGGAACAAGAAGTCAAAACGCTAAATGACTCCCTAAAGAAAGTTGAAAACAAGGTTAGTGCTATAGTGGATGAGAAGGAAAATGTAATAAAGGAAGTTGAAGGCAAACGAGCCTTACTTGAAATCAAAGAACGAGAACATAACCAATTGGTCAAGCTATTGGAATTAGCCAGAGAGAATGAAGCAACTTCATTAACTGAAAGGTTAGTTATATTTATGTATGTTATGTTCTGTCATCTAAATTTTTCTTCAATTTATATTTGAGAATTCAAAATCTCACTTTGGTGTTGAGTTAATAAATATTTAAAAATAATTTTAAATCAACTTTTACCCTTAATATATTATCAAATAAAGCACTTTGAAGTATTTTTTGATACTTTACTCAAATTTTCTCAATTTTCTGTTACCAGATTTTCAGGATATAATCTGTTGTATGTTGTAAGTTTCTGAATGTGCCTTTGGAAAATTTATCACTGGAGTATGTTATGTTCAGGGATTTTGCCAACAAATGAATGATACTTCTTAGGCCATCTTGACTTTTTTCTAACAGAAGCAATTTCGTGGTGTAATTCCCTAGGAGAGTTTTATGTCCTGCTTTTTTGTTTGTTTTTTGAGATGGAGTCTTGCTCTGTCGCCAGGCTGGAGTGCAGTGGCACGATCTTGGCTCACTGCAACCTCTGCCTCCCGGGTTCAAGTGATTCTCCTGCCTCAGCCTCCCGAGTAGTTGGGACTACATGTGCGCACCACCACGCCCGGCTAATTTTTTTTTTTCTTCTCATTAGAGACAGGGTATCACCATGTTGGCCAGGTGGTCTCGATCTCTTGACCTCGTGATCCACCCGCTTTGGCCTCCCAAAGTGCTGGGATTACAGGCATGAGCCACCGCGCCCAGCCTATGTCCTGCTTTTAAGTAAAATTTCAAGGAAACTGGAGGCTTCTATCTCTGCCAGTCTGTTATTTTTTTGGGGGGTGGGGGTTATAAGACTGCAGTTCTAAATGATACCAACTCACAAACCTAGTTGCCTTTGGCATTATTTACAATTTATGATTCCAACATGAGAATAGTCATGTGTGTATATACTGAGCATGCTGTCTTTTATTAAACTTTTAAGTTCAAGGTTACACATACAGGTTTGTTATAGGTAAACTTGTGTCATGGGGGGTTGTTGTACAGATTATTTTGTTATCCAAGTATTAAGCCTAGTACCTATTATTTTTCCTGATTCTCTCCCTCCTCCCATCCTCTACCCTCCAAAAGGCTCCAGTGTGTGTTGTTCTTCTCTATGTGTCCATGTATCCTCATCATTTTGCTCCCACTTATAAGTGAGAACATGTGATATTTGGTTTTCTGTCCCTGCATTGGTTTGCTAAGGATAATGACCTCCAGCTCCACCCACGTTCCTGCAAAGGATATGATCTCATTCTTTTTATTTTATTTTTTATTTTTTATTTTTTGAGACGGAGTCTCGCTCTGTCGCCCAGGCCGGACTGCGGACTGCAGTGGCGCAATCTCGGCTCACTGCAAGCTCCGCTTCCCGGGTTCACGCCATTCTCCTGCCTCAGCCTCCCGAGTAGCTGGGACTACAGGCGCCCGCCACCGCGCCCGGCTAATTTTTTGTATTTTTAGTAGAGACGGGGTTTCACCGTGTTAGCCAGGATGGTCTCGATCTCCTGACCTCATGATCCACCCACCTCGGCCTCCCAAAGTGCTGGGATTACAGGCGTGAGCCACCGCGCCCAGCCCTCATTCTTTTTTATGGCTGCATAATAGTCTGTGGCATATGTACCACATTTTCTTTATCTGGTCTACCATTGATGGGCATTTAGGTTGGTTCTATGTCTTTGCTATTGTGAATAGCACTGTGATGAGCAAATGTGTGCATGTGTCTTTAGGATATAACAGTTTATATTCCTTTGAGTATATACCCAGTAATAGGATTGCTGGGTCAAACGGTAGTTCTGTTTTTAGGTCTTTGCCAGAAGAGATTGGGAGCCAATATTCAGCATGCTGTCTTGATAAGTTTTGAAAAACATTTAGGACAGCTGATAACAAAATCATTTTCTTCTTCTTCCTTTACCTGGAACAGAGGGATCTTGGATCTCAATTTACGCAACAGTCTCATTGACAAGCAGAACTACCATGATGAACTTTCTCGTAAGCAAAGAGAGAAAGAACGAGATTTTCGAAATTTAAGAAAGATGGAACTGCTCTTGAAAGTGTCCTGGGATGCACTTAGGCAAACTCAAGCACTGCATCAAAGGCTTCTATTAGAGGTGAGGGCTGTAAACTACCATCTGATTTTTAAGCTCGGTGCTAACTTTTGAAGTAAAAATATTTTAGGAAGTTGTTTTTGCTGCCAGTAGAGAAGAAGAAAATACAAGTAACAGAGAAAAGGTAATTTTCAAATGCGTCAAGCCTATTATGAAATCTATAGTCCTATAATGTTTCGTAATCTCATTTTTCTAACCCAAGATTAGAGAAATGTCTTGTTTGGATCAGTCATCCTTCAGCCTGACCTGGGGAAATGACTGGACTATCCAGTTCTAGAAGAGCTAGAGGGTTCACTGCAGAATGGGGCCAAGTGGATCATTATTTTCACCAGTTGAAGGAGTCAGATCCGGCATGGTGTCATGGCAGACTATAACAGTGAAGGACTAGATCAAATTACATAGACATAAATGATCAGCAGCCTGCACTTCCGACTAGCCAAGGGCAATCCAGAACCCAATATCAGGCTGCCTGGCTAATTCTGTGCAGGGTCAGAGGTGTACTCCAGTCAGAAGATGCTCAAGACAACTGTTACCTGCCTCTGTGTTCCCAAGTGAGGGGTCTGGTTGCCCCTGGCTCTCTTTTCTCTCAGAGGGCACTCCCTGTGGTAAATGACCAAGCGCCACTGAAAGGGCAGAGGATCCTTGAGAGGGCTTCAGCCTTGTGCTAGAGCCTTCCTTGAGCGAAAAAGGGGTCAGCCTCTGAGATGAAGCAGCTAGGTGTATAGAAACCTTCCCCGTTCTCTTCAGGACTGTCATGCTCCAGAACCTTATGGAGGGTCATGACCTAAGAAATTTGAACAGGAGTTTCCAGCTGTGGTAGACACCTCTGATCCTAACCTATGCCTAGTTCTCCTCTCCTCCTGGGCACATAGAAAGTTTATACTTCCTTGCACCCTTTGCAGTTGAGCAGAGTCATATAACTCATTCTGGCCAGAGGATTGTAGACAAAAGTGACACGTGTCACTTCCAGCCTATAACATCTAATTGCCAATGTGAGACCCTCTAGCTGTTTTTCCCTCTCCTGTGGTAATTGTGGAAGTGCATGACACCATGGAGGTGCTGTAAAATGGGAGCAGCCGGGAATGCTGAGCCAACAGTGGTCTCAGAGTCCTCTTGATTGCCCACCGGCTTTGTAGGAAACAGCTTTGGTAGTTCGAAGCCATGATATTTGGAGGTCGTTTATTTCTGTAGCATAACTTAGCCTGTCCTGACTGAAAGACCAACCTTAAGCAACATGTGTGAAAAAATCGGTTAGGGTTATGAGTGTTACGAACAACTAGGACTTGGACTTCGTCTTGCTGTCAGATGGCACTTATAATCTTTTCAAGAAGTTCTCTGGTTGGGCACAGTGGCTGCTGCCTGTAATCCCAGCACTTTGGGAGGCCGAGGTCGGCAGATCACCTGAGGTCAGAAGTTCAAGACCAGCCTGGCCAACATGGTGAAACCCTGTCTCTACTAAAAATACAAAAATTGGTCGGGTGTGCTGGTGCACACCCATGATCCCAGCTACTTGGGAGGCTGAGGCAGGAGAATCGCTTGAACCCGGGAGGCGGAGGTTGCAGTGAGCTGAGGTTGTGCCACTGCACTCCAGCCTGGGCAACAGAGCCAGACTCCATCTCAAACAAAAAAAGGAAGTTTTCTATCTCAGTGAGGCAAAATGTACTTTTATAGTCTTTTGCAAAACCAATAAAACATGTATGTTCTACTATATATGTGTTTTCACAAATAACTTTTATATAACTGTTATATATAGTATATTTATGATATATATACTTCTTATTTAATCATTTTATTGCAATTCCAACAGGTAGATTTATTTGTATCACTCTGAAATCTCTTTAACTCTAGTAGTACTTTTTGCCTTAAAATATTATTTTGTCTGATTTTAGAATAATAACATCAGTTACACTATCTTTTGGCGTGTTAGATTCTGCATGGTATTATTTACTTTGATTTTTTTTTCTTTTTCTTTTTGGAGACAGTCTTGCTTTGCTGCCCAGGCTGAAGTGCAGGCACCATCTCAGCTCACTGCAATCTCCACCTCCCGGGTTTAAGCAATTCTCGTACTTCAGCCTCCCAAGAAGCTGGGATTACAGGCATGTGCCACCAATACACAGCTAATTTTTGTATTTTTAGTAGAGACAGGCTTTCACTATGTTCGCCAGGCTGGTCTCAAACTCCTGACCTCAAGTGATCCATCTGCCTCGGCCTCCCCAAAGTGCTGGGATTACAGGTGCGAGCCACCGCACCCAGCCCTATTTACCGTCACTCTTTCTGTGTCCTCATTTTGGTGTGTCTCATATACACAGCACATACTTTTCAAAATCTAGTCTGATAAGTTCTGCCTTTTTAAATTCTTGTATTTAGTCTAAAAATTAATACTTAATGTAATTGTGGATATATTTGTCCTTATTCTGTGATATTACTTTTGCTTTCTCTGTATCCCATCCGCTTCATGTTCCATTTTCTCTCCCACATTTCCTTCCTTGGGATTAATCAACGTTTCATATAGTTCTGCTATCCTTGTTTTAGATATGCATCAGTTAGTTTTACATTCTATTTCTATTCTTTGGGTGGTTACCCTGAAGATTACAACAGTCATCTTTGACTTACTAGAGTCAAATATAAGTTATTTGTATTTTTACTACTTCCAAGACAGTGCTAATACCTTTGATGATTTTAACTTTACTAACCTTTGCAACTCTTATGCCCTCAAACATATTTTCACTCCAACTTTCCAAGTTATTCTTGTTGGAAGCATTGGTTTACTATAAGCTACTCCATCTTAGCCCGAAGCACAGCACGTTAGGATGTTAAATTGGAACTTTGGGCAAACACAGACCCTGTGGCCACCCCTCCTCAGTCATAGTAAGATTTATAGTAGACCGCAGTTATAATGTCCATTCAAAGTACTGACGGAAACCTCAGTGTAATGAGTAAGACTCTTAAAACCAGCAAGTGTTGCTTGTACTAATAAAACAATTCCTGTTTATTGATCAAATAACTGTTCAGTAAGATTTCTTTAAACAATGGGATAAAATGTATAATTACCTTTAATAACCAATTTTGGTAGTTATGGTAGTAAGTAAAGTTAATCCATTCAATATGCTTCTAATGCTGAATCATCAAAGCATTCTTAATATTGAAGAGTAAGGTAACCTAAATAGAAGCAATAATTTGTCTCATAAATTAATACTTCTTAGCTCAAGAAGGGTTATACATTGGTAAAAATCACAAGATTGGTTCTAAAAGACTACACACAAAAAAACAGACTTAGGTTCACTTCTACCAGAAAATCTAGATTAAGTACCATAGAAGGGACACATAAACCTAATACACAATGTAATCCTACTACTTCCACTTCTAGTTAAAATAGAAAACATTGTGATGGACCATCGTTTCTGCTATACCAGCCAGAAAGAAATCAATAAACTAAAAATCACATATTTTTAAGAGACATATGCAAGTAGGAAGTAAATTCCACAAAGGCATCATCACTTCCTGGTGAGCAGAAACAGGTGGCCTTTTGCCTCCCTGAGACATTTGCCAAGTCGAGACTTGGGCAGGTGGAAGATTTGCCTGCCATAGGCAGAAAGACTTTGCTGGGGTTAGTCAAAACCATCAGAGCTTTTAATGACCATGTGTGTTGGCATGACAAAGTGGAATGAATTACTTAACCAAAGACATCATACTGTCATGTAATATCACACATGACGGTATACCTCTGCATTTAAACATGGCTCTTATTGACTTCCACGTGGCACTGAAAAGAAAGAAAACCATGATTCCTAGGATTTTGCTCTGACACCATCATGTTGTAGGGGTTAGAATATCATGAGTCTGTGAAGTTATTCGCTTTCTAAACATAAGATCATGTCCAAGATTGTGACAATGACAAAATCCTCTTACCAAGTGAATATGACACTTTCTATATACTGTAATTTTTCTTTAATTATAGTTTTCTAGCAATTTCATCTCCCTTTGCTCTGATTTAAAAGTGGTTCTGCATTTTTCTCTCTTCATGACTCATTTCAGTGTTGAAGGCAATGATAACAACATACTATACTGAGAAGAGCTTCACCTTTGAGTCAGGCACAGTCAGGTTCAGATTCTAGATCCATTGAATTCCTACCTATGTTACTTGTTTCCAAACCTTTGAATTGGGATTATTGCAAAAAATGAGTGACTGCAAATGGGAAAGTGTGTGGTACCGAGAAGATACTCAGTAAATATTGCCTTCCTTCCTTTATACATATGAACTCTTTGAAAGGCTATAAAGTAAATGGTATAGTCAGAATGACACTGTGAATATGGCTATTTTATTCATATGGAGAAGATGACATCATCAGGCCCTACTGATAAACCCCGGAAATGCCTCTCAGTACCCACTCTGCATTACCTAAATGACTGCAGCTCTACACCAGCTGTTCTCCATAGGTCCAGCTCCTTTCATGTCCAATTTTTCCTCCATCTTAGCCCAAAGCACAAATTTATATTCTTAAGTGACACATTCATGTGTCACTCACCTGCTCAAGACATTCAATGGATCCTTAATTCACATAATCACAGAATGAAGGAACCAAGAGGAATCTTAAAGATCATACTCTAAAAGCAAACAGGTTTCATCTCAAATGCCAGCTCCCTCCATTTGGGGGTAGCTCCCTGTAGTGATGATAATGCAAAGGAATTTTTTTTTTTTTTTTTTGAGACAGAGTCTCAGTCTGTTGCTGAGGCTGGAGTACAGTGGCACCGTGTCGGTTCACTGCAACCTCTGTCTCCTCGGTTCAAGCAATTCTCTTGCCCTCAGCCTCCTGAGTAGCTGGGATTACATGCACCCACCACCAAGCCCAGCTAGTTTTTATATTTTTAGTAGAGATGGGGTTTCACCATGTTGCCCAGGCTAGTCTCAAACTCCTGACCTCAGGTGATCCACCTGCCTCGGCCTCCCAAAGTGCTGGGATTACAGGTGTGAGCCATCGCGCCTGGCCCAATATTGCAAAGGATTCTGAGGCCCAGTGCTGACTTGTCAGATAGAAGCTCTGTAGTTGATTGGTGATGTCTGCCCCAGGCATAGAAAGTTTGTCCATGTATTTCCCATTCCTAATCAAGTCATCTTCCTAATCAAGCGCTGTTTCTTCAGCCAGTTCTTTTGGTATATCTTCATACCCCAAGTAACATGCTTATGATGCTGCTACTTGAGTTTTCAGTTGTAGACTTGATCTTTTTTTTTTTTTTAATCACTATAAAAGATGAGGATTCAGCCCTCTTTAGACCCCTGTTCATCACAAATACATTTCTTGTCCCTCTGTATACACGGTATTCTCATGTCATAATTTTGATTAGTTCAGAATTTGTTATTATTATGAACATATAAAGGCTATTCGTGCCTGAGCCATGTGATATTATATAATTACCCTTACAAAATTTTGTGTTCCCAGGAATTTATAAACATCCTGTTTTTACACTTTTATAGTTTTCGGTGTGCTTATCAGTTCAATCCCAAATTCTTCTCCAATTATATAAATCTCCTCTCAGTATATTAAAACACATTTGATGGCCTATTCATTTACTCTTCTTGAAGAAATCTCTTCTAAGCCTCATCAATGACCTCTAGCCAAAGACTAACAGGAATACATCAGCAGTTGAATGCGCTGAGTTTATTACATATTGCAGCAAGGGAGAACACACGCCATGGAGAATTGTAGGGAGTCTCAATAGAGGGTATTAGAAAGGACTTACAGGATATGTGTCATGTGACTTGAGGAACGGTTTAAAGAAATGGGACTTTGCCCTGAATTAGGATGTTCTCAGGAAATGAGAGTAATTCTGTGGTAGAGTATCTTAAATTTTACCTAGAAAAAGAAAAGATTAGATGGAGACCAAAACTGTGATTGTTAAACAAAGCTATACAAGGGGAATTTATGGTATTTTGTGGCTTGGACAATGTTCATGTTTTTGTCTATGTTCAAATACAGTTATGGAGTGGCCTTGTTTTTGTCCTGATCCATCATGATTACAGAGGGGCTTTGTCTGAAGTTGATGTTCTGGGCAATTGTTTATGTTCAACAGGGGAATACCAAGGCCTACCTATGAGTACCAGTTCTGCTCCTGGATACCAGGGGCTGCCTTTTTCTTTCTCAGCCTTCTGACTTGTTCCAAAGTAGTCCATTTCTGTATGTGCTTACTGCACTGCTCTCATTCTAGGAGCCTTACTCCATCATCTTGCTGATGCCCTTCACCTCTCTTCCGACTCTATTTCATGGGTCTCATCTATTTTATTCTCTTAGCTTACCCCCTTTTGGAGGAGGGGACATGCCTTCCAGTAGCTTCATGAGAAAAATGTTAGTGAAAAAGTAATTGTTTAAGACTTTGTGTGTTGGAAATTGTATGTCAGAAGACCTTGCATGCTAAAAAATATTTTACCCTCACACTAGCCATACAGACAATTAGTGCTTTAATTGGATATGGAATTTTAGGTTGGAAATCATTTTCCCTCAGGAAAAAGGCATTAGATTAACTGCCTTCTAGCTTCACTATGAAGAAGATTTGATGTCATTCTAAATATTGATCCTTTATTTGAAGCCATTTTTTTTTCCATGCTGGGAAATTTGTAGGATCTCTTACTTGCCTCCAGAATTTTTACATTTTACAATGATGTTCCCATTGTATCCATCGTGTGGGGCACTGAATGGGTTCTCTGTCTATGGAAGTATATGTCCTTCCAAAGTTCTGATACTTTGTCTTGGATTATTTAATTTTGTCCATTTGATTTTCTCTATTCTGTCTTGGATTCCTTTTACGCAGATGTTGGACCTTCTAAAACAGTCCTCTAATTTTCTTTTTTCTTTTATTTTCCTTTCTTTTTTGTCATTTGACTTGCTAAAAGAGAAATTTCCTCAAGTTTTCCTTTCAACCCTTCTACTCTTTCATTATGCTATCATACTTTATATTTCCTTGTGCTCTCTTTGTTCTCTGGATGTTTCTTTTTCATAGTATCTTTAATCTCTTATCTCATTGAGGCTATTAATGATGGTTTCTTTTTCTTCTTCTTTTCCTAAATAAGACTTTTTCTCCGTGTTTTTTCTGTATTTTTCTTTTTTTGTTTTTGTCTCTTTCTTTTTAGAAACTTTCCTCCAATATATGGTAATTCTTGGCTATCTGCTTATATTTAAGCATGGGCTGCTATAAATCTAATTGGAAGCTGTCTGTGATGGTGAGGCTTGTCACTGTAGTTTGATCTGACTGGACACAAAATATGTGAGGCATGGCCTTTGACCGAAGAGGAGTTTGCAGTGGAATGCGCACAAGTTGTTCAGATTTTAACAAATATTATAAAAGCTATTTATATTATGACACTACTAGCTATTAAGTCCACAAAATAGCACCCATTGAATATAAAACTAAGCACCCATAGAATATAAAACTAACAGAAATTAAAGTGTATTAGAATCCTTTTCCTTTGTTGATTTTAAGAAAAATCTGGTTTTGTTCTAGTACAGTTTCAGTGAGAGACTAACTTCCTCTTTGACCCTGTGATTTATAATTAGCCCAGCCACTGCCCACAGCTGGCAGTACTTGAAAACAGGAGTGGGTCAGGCCAGGCACTCCCAGCCCAAGTGAACATTTTTTCAGACTTGCATGCAATCCAAAACTAAAAGAGATAAAAGGTAAACATGAAGAGCTCTAGCTATTCTTCAGAATGTATTTCCCCCCAGAGACAGTTGTTTGATTCTCCTATGGCGTTTGACTTGTACATAGAGACTCTCCCAGAAACTCAAGGTACAAGCCTCATGAAAGGTTGGAATGCTTTAGAAAAATATCAAAGTGTTAAGCTGAGGTTCACTGATATCAAATAATTGGGATATTTACAGCAACAAGTAATGTCTAATTTCTTAACTTTTATGAAAGTTACCGATGATTATTCATGCATTGAAAATGCCTGGAAGAACAGACACCAAAACTATTAATAGTGACTCCTGGGGAGTAGTACTTGAAGCAGCAGAGGTAGGAAGCAGATTTTTTTTTTTTTTTTACTTTACACATTTCTGTTGTTTGGTCACAATCACAATAAATACATTTTTAAATGTGAAATGCTACACTATAAAAACTAAAAGAACTATCATAAGCTTACAAAACCTGATATATGCAGTTTGGGGCTCAAAAGAAATGGAAAATATCTCAAGTAACTCCAGACCATGTAGTTAGAACTTTGATACTTGATAGTTATTTTCCTCCCACATTAATGGAGACTTCAGTCTAACTCCAGCCTATTTTCCAGATTACCTTGGGAAGGTTTCCTTTCAAGAGAAACACCTATTAGGTTAGGTTTGCAATTTGGCCTCAATGAGTAATAGAAACTCAACTATAATGATTTTGCTAAATAGGGAGTTGTTTTACTCACTTAATAAAAAGAGCACAGGTAGGCACAACCGGTTATTTCACATAATGAAAAGTCTAGGATCCTTTTAGCTCCCCTTTCAGTCAACCTTAGTGTGTACATTGTTTCTCCATGGTCAGAAAATGGCTATTCCACCTTAAGCATAAACTGGCAAAAGGAGGAGGAAGGGCAACGAGCAAAAGACATAAATGATTGCTGGCTTGGCCAGCTCCTTTTAACAGGAAAACAGCCACTTTCCCAGGACCCCTCCTCACAGACTTCCACTTACATTTCATTGGCTTGTCTTAGCTCATATGGGCACCCCCAGCTGCAAAGAAGTGTGAGGACTCCTGGATACATTGCAGCTCTGGAAAAAAAAAAAAAAAAACAGCATTCTGTTGCTGTCGTGGTTAATACTAAATGTCAATTTGATTGGCTTGAAGGATACAAAGTATTGATCCTGGGTGTGTCTGTGAAGGTGTTGCCAAAGGAGATGAACCTTTGAGTCAGTGGGCTGGGGAAAGCAGACCCACCCTTAATCTGGGTGGGCACAATCTAATCAGCTGCCGGTGTGGCTAGACTATAAACAGGCAGAAAAATGTGAATGAGAGACCGGCCTAGCCTCCCAGCCTACATCTTTCTCCCGTGCTGGACCCTTCCTGCCCTCGAACATCGGACTCCAAGTTTCTTCAGTTTTGGGACTCAGACTGGCTTTCCTTCCTCCTCAGCTTGCAGATGGCCTATTGTGGGACCCTGTGATCCTGTGAGTTAATACTTAATAAACTCCCCTTTTTATTTTATATATATATATATACACACACACTAATAGGAGATATATATATATATATATATATATATATATATATATATATATATATATATATATATGGAGATACAAAGAACCCTGACTAATAGAGTTGCTAAGATCAAGGTGGAGGGTAGCTATTGGCTAGGCAACCAGGAGGCTCTGCTACCAATGGCTTATCATGTCACCTCTTCCACAAGCCAAGCCTACCTAATTCCTGCCTGAAACTAGAGAGCTGGGCTTTACAGAGAATTTAAAATGGTATCAGAGAAGCAGTAGCCAGAGTTCAAAAATGAATACAATTTATTGAAGTATTGTTTGTGTTTCAAAATATTGGAAATAACCAAAGTGTCTAGACCTCAAGCCAGAAAAATCTGTCGAGAGCCTTTAGTTGACATAGTAGCTAGTGAGTGTGTTCTCATCATATTTTCTGTCGAAACCTCATAAGGGTTCCTGGGCCCTGTTATTCACGTTTACATCTGCCGACACCCGGGAGCTGAGCATGAGGACAGCCCACTCCAGGCACACCTGTAGCAGAGAATCAGACAGGGACCCAGGATGTTTGCTGGAGTTCCTCTATCCAGGAGGTCTTAACTTGACTTTCCTAAAGGAGAAATCAACACTTCCTTGATGAATATTCACATCTTCCAGGAAGGCTTTCCCAATTATTCAATTCTATACTGAGTTCTCCCTTTTCTGATCTGCTATAGCAATTTTATGTTTGTTAAGCCCACAACATTCTGTATATTGTCAGACATGTTTCACAAGACCACATCTCGTTTTCCTAAGTCCAGTGTGTGCATCTCAAGAGCTAGTGCTCCAGGGTAGGAGACCCAATGGAAAAGCAGGACATGGACACCTGAGGGTACAGAAGGTGCTACTGAAGATACCCTGATTCATGGATGATGGGGCATCCAAAGACACACTTTAGTGACTTTAACATAGCAGCATGATCCTCAAAAAGATCCTGTTAAGTAACCTTCAAATCACTAGACAGTGTGATATTCCTTTCTTGGGTCTAAATTTTGGCCATTATTCAACCTTAGGGCCTACAAGTGTGTGCTGTCACAGTAGGAACTGAACCACATCAGATTGGAGTCATGAGCTTTTGGTGTAAATAGCCAACTCTAAACTTGCTCTAAGTCAAGTAGGCTGGAAGCACCCCAAGATGACCCTCCCTGTAGCCTTGAATGGTACCCTTTCCCCATCAGCTGCCACATGTCCTCCTCTCTACTCTCGTCTTCATCACAAAGAATCTGACAAGCTCATTCCTAATAGGGCAACAAAGACTTAAAGAGTGAGATTTGCCTTTTCCCTAAAGTACGTCAACACAGGAGAAAAGTGCAAGCCGTTACAACAGAAATGTAATGGTGAAATTTTAGGTATCAACCAAAAAGTTGAGGCTTTTCTTTTGTGTAAGAAATTTCCAGCTACTAATCAAATGACTATATATAAGTAGCAAACTATCCCCACTATTATTAATAAATTACATATTTTTCTTTATCCTATACAATTTCATAAATGTACTCACATTTTATAATAACTATAATTTGAATAGTCATAGTATATTCATGTCTCCAAAGTGCTGGGTCATGAGTTAGATGAGTTAGGCAGATCATGGGTTCCAAGTCTACCTCCCTGGGTTTACACCTGCACCATTGAGGCAAGTTGCTTAAATGTGTTTGTGCCTCATTCTCTTCATCTGTACAATTGGAGAAAATATTCCCCACCTCATGAGGGGTATTGTAATGATGAAATAAGATCGTATACACAGGCATTTAGAACCTTGCTGGACACTTGGTTTATGTTCAATAAATGTTAGCTATTAGTAAGATTTATTTCTAAATAATAAACATTTGCAGCTGGCAAATTATAGATTTTTGGCAGGTCTTCATATTTTAATTTGCCATGGCTTATAAAGAATATTTGGCATAAAGGGAAGTTCTTATAAGATTGAGATTCGTGATTTGCTCAGCATTTTCAAAAAGTGTGTGATGAGGTTGACTACACAGCAGTGAATTTTATTTATTTATTTATTTATTTATTTATTTTCAGACAGAGTCTCACTCTGTCACCCAGGCTGGAGTGCAGTGGCACGATCTCAGCTCACTGCAACTTCTGCCTCCCGGGTTCAAGCAATTCTCTGCCTCAGCCTCCCAAAGATTTATTTCTTACATAAATGCATGTTTTTAAATTTTGATTTCCAGATGGAAGCTATCCCCAAAGATGATTCTACATTATCTGAGAGAAGGCGAGAGCTTCACAAGGAAGTTGAAGTAGCTAAGAGGAATTTGGCCCAACAGGTTAATATCAATGCTCATTTAAGCTTCTATCTAAGAAGCGTTCATACAAAGTTGTGCTTTTAACTGTGCTCCACAAAACCTTATCAATAAGAGAGTCATCAAAGAGAGTATGATCCTGCTTCATGTGGGCATATTTCTTCATCTCAAAGTCCACTCCAATCCTACACTAAATTTGAGAAAAAAGAATATGTTTGAACCGCAAAA
Organism: Homo sapiens; assembly: GCF_000001405.40. NCBI lineage: Eukaryota > Metazoa > Chordata > Mammalia > Primates > Hominidae > Homo > Homo sapiens. The sequence goes on from NC_000007.14 coordinate 77,273,994, forward strand.
AGTATTCAAAGGAATGAGATTTTTAAATTATGGGCTGTTGATTACATTAAAAGTAAACCACAGATGTTTTATTTCACCAATGTCTAATTTCAAATTTTCGTTTGTTTTTATGTGTCTTCTTTTTCTTAGTCACTTGAAAATACAGTCTAAATACAAAGAGGTTCTATCATGTTAACCCATCGATTTTCACATTATTTTACAAAATGAAAACAATGAAGCTAAAACACCATTACTTTATTTTTAATTTTTATTTTTTTTATAGAGAGGGATCTTGCTATGTTGCTCAGGCTGGTCTTGAACTGCTGGCCTCAAGTCATCATCCTGCCTCAGCCTCCCAAAGGCTTGAATTACAGGCGTGAGCCACCACACCTGGCCTGTTTAAAAAAATACATTTTGTATAGGAAGTAAAAAGGTAGTCTAAGATACTAGCTTTACTGTATTACTTCAAACAAATAACTTATAATATTATCTGTGTTTTTTTTCAAAAGAAAATTATATCAGAAATGGAGTCTAAGTTAGTAGAACAACAACTTGCAGAAGAAAACAAGCTTTTAAAGGAGCAAGAAAACATGAAAGAGCTAGTAGTCAACCTTCTCCGCATGACTCAAATCAAAATTGATGAAAAGGAACAAAAGTCCAAGGATTTCCTGAAAGCTCAGGTAACTGCATTTTTTTAACCATTCATTGATAACTACAAGAGTTCAGGGTAGCCTCATTATAATGCCACGTGCATTAGGACATGGATGAAGCTAGAAACCATCATTGTCAGCAAACTATCGCAAGGACAAAAAACCAAACATTGCATGTTCTCACTCATAGATGGGAATTGAACAATGAGAACACTTGGACACAGGAAGGGGAACATCACACACCGGGGCCTGTTGTGGGGTGAGGGGAGCGGGGAGGGATAGCATTAGGAGATATACCTAATGTAAATGATGAGTTAATGGGTGCAGCACACCAACATGGCACATGTATACATACGTAACTAACTTGCACATTGTGCACATGTATCCTAGAACTTAAAGTATAATAAAAATATATAAATATTAAAAAAAGAACTGGAAGGAAACTCAAAAAAAAAAAGAAAAGCTATACAATTGACCCTTGAACAACATGGATTTGAACTGCATGGGTCCATTTATACACAGATTTTTTTCAACCAAATGCAGATCAAAAGTAGAGTACTCACAGAATACAAAACCTGCAAATATGGAAGGCCCACTTTTCTTACAGGTGAGTTCCACAGGGCCAACTTTGGGACTGCTTGAATATGCTTGGATTTTTGTATTCTCAAAGGGTCCTGGAACCAGTTCCCTATGTATACCAAGGAACCACTATAACTGTGCCTCTCCTTCAAGTACCAGTGACTATAAATCTTCCCTAAATGAGATTCAATCATGCACTGAAAGATAGTCCCAAGATTCAATTAACAGTAATCAACAATTTAGATGGGAAAGGAGATCATTGATAATGATCGGAGGATTTGAACAGATGGCAATTTCAGTAAGAATAAAGTGGGTGCCTCCAGTGGACAGGGCTGGCAGCTGCATAGGCTGCAGATATCATTTAGTTTTCACTCCCATCTCAGACTCCACTGTGATTTGTCCAGGAACAACTCAAGAGTGGTAGCATTAGGTAACTGTCCCTCCCAACTTCATCAAGACAGCATCATTTAATCGAATGCCAGATACCCTTAGTTGCTTCATCACACCATGATTTTCCTGGGCCTCCTACAAAGTGCCAGTGCAACATTCCCCCCTAAAATCAACAATAAAACAAATGGTAAGGCAGCACTCCTGTCATGCAAGCTAAAATTCTACCATTAGAATTGTTTATTCCATATAAGGATTATGTCCAGATCATGCCCAGAAGCTCCCTGTTAAAAATAAACAGGATATTACATATTACTAAAATAGAAGAATTTATCAGGCCAGGCATGGTGACTCATGCCTGTAATCTCAGCACTTTGGGAGGCTGAGGCGGGTGGATAACTTGAGGTCAGGAGTTTGAGACCAGCCTGACCAACATGGTGAAACCCCATCTCTACTGAAATACAAAAATTAGCCAGGCATGGTGGCAGGTGCCTGTAATCCCAGCTACTTGGGAGACTGAGGCAGGAGAATCGTTTGAACCTAGGAGGTGGAGGTTGTAGTGAGCCAAAATCGCACCACTGCATTCCAGCCTGGGTGACAGAGCGAGACTTCCTCTCAAAAATAAAAAAAAAAAAGAATTTATCTCATGACCCAGATGTGGTCTGTTTGGTCTGTTTCTAAGCACATCCCTTGTTCTCAGTCTAAGTAAGGATTTACATAGAATGGTATTTCTTCTCATTCTGCAGAAAGAGCTCACTCACGCCAAAGCATTAGTGAGCAATGAGGTATGAAGTAGATTTTTGCAAAAAAGAGAAGATCTACATTGCACAACCCACTGCAGGCACTTCACATCCCCCTTTCACTGTTTATTTTTCTACTTTAATATTTAAGAAACTAAAAGAAGTTCAGGATGGCTGGCACATGGGAAGATGGGGAGAAAGGATGTCAAATAGTGAGACCAGAGAGCGGGACAAGTCAGATGATGAAAGTCACTTAATCCATGTTAAACAATTTAGACTCCATAATGAAGGCTGCAGCAAGAGTGAAGTTCATGGAGTAGTTGGGTTTCACTAGGTAAAGAAGTGGTCAGGGAGGACTGGATGAAAGAAAGGCAGCTTCAAAGCACAGGGTGGCTAAGCGGGTAAGATGCAGGAGCAGGACAAGGAGAGGAGAGAGGAGAGATGTGGGAAGATCATCTTGGGCCAGGAGCGGTCTCTCACGCCTGTAATCCCAACACGTTGGGAGGCCAAGGCGGGTGGATCACCTGAGGTCAGGAGTTCAAGACCAGCCTGCCCAACATGGTGAAAGCCCATCTCTACTAAAAGTACAAAAAATTAGCCTGGCGTGGTGGTGGGCACCTGTAATCCCGGCTACTCAGGAGGCAGAGGCATGAGAATCGCTTGAACCCAGGAGGCGGAGGTTGCAGTGAGCTGAGATTGCGCCACTGCACTCCAGCCTGGGTGACAGAGCGAGACTCTGTCTCAAAAACGAAAAATAAAGAATAAGAAGGAAGGAAGGGAGGGAGGGAAGGAAGGAAAAGAAGGAAGAAGAAAGCCATCTTCACCAAGTCAGGGTCTGGGACAACTTGGTGTTGGCTGGGAAGATCCCACTCAAGTGAGTCTTTCCTAGTTAGAAACTTCCTCCCTTTTCTCTTTAGAAATTACAGAAACACCAGAGGTATACTTATTTGTTATAAGAAACACTGATCCGTTTTATGAATTAGATAATTTTCAATTAATTTCAAAAACTGATATACATGTATATCTATGTGTGACTAATCTATGTAAAGCAAACCTCATTATTAAATGAGCTAATTTGTATTAAACCAAAATAGACAATTCTTCTTGAGATACAGAAATTGATAAAGGACAAATGTTTATCCCTTGAGTATTTTTAGCATTAGGAATTAGTGTGTTAAACATTACCTGTACTTAGCTGCAGTTTCCATAAGAAGGCAATCTTTTATGTTCACATTGCATCCACATCCCTAAAGACAAAGGTGAAGAAAAAAAAACAATGTCACTATCACCCCTAAGACAGAATAGATGACACTACATTTTCCCATCTGTTTTATTATTCATGTGTACAGTTACTTAAATATTCGTTTCTTCCTGACCCCTATTCTCATGGAGAACAGCATTAGAAAAATGCTACACATCAATCTTGGCTCTATGGCTAGTTTCTTTCAAATCACTCATACCAAAAGGGCTTTGCTCTCAGTCCTTGAGAGAAGGCTGACAAACTCTTTCCTCTGGTTTACTACCAGCAAATCCTTCATTTTTGAATATGTTTCTTATCCCAGATGCAAGAACCAGTATCTTTTGATTTGAAGAACATAACTAGTGTATTTAGCACTTGATATATTTTTTAGAACTCTAGAAATATAACTGCTTTCTTTTAAAATATTTATGTGTAACACCTCCTTACAGCTGATCTCAATATGATGCCTTATTATGTAGGAAAACACCCCACATACAAAAGAATGGAAAGCACTTTAAAATCATTGCTTCAGTCTCTGACAAAACACCACAGAGGGTTCAGTTTATAACACTCACCAAAACTTACTAGGAATCCTCTTCTCTCATCTATTTTCCATAAACTACACTCACCCAGTCCAGCTGTGTGGTTCAAAATCACTCTTCCTCTCTCTCAAAAGTTGTCCAAACTTTTCCTCAAACCCAAGCCATGCAGGCTCTTTGCGTTTTCTCTTCTCTCGTTTGTTCTCTTCTTTAGGTAACAGTTAACAGTTTGTCTTAGCCAATGTGAATCAGTTCAGCTAGCCAGGGAATTTTCAGATCTCTTTTACCCTTCACCCTGATCTGTACAACCCAGCAAGCCAAGAAATAATTTTTTTTTTTTTTTTTTTTTTTTTGGAGAGACAGGATCTTACTTTGTCGCCCAGGCTGGAGCGGAGTGATGCAATCATGGCTCACTGCAGCCTCGAATTCTTGGGCTCGAGCGATCCTCCCACCTCAGCCTCCTGAGTAGCTGGGACTACAGGTGCACACCACCATACCCAGATAATTTTTTTATTTTTGTAGAGATGAGGTCTCACTATGTTGCCTAGGCTGGAGAATTGTCTTTAATGGAAGGGAATGATGTGGGATAAATCTGGGAGTGTTCATATGTTGTTATTTATTTCACATTTTTTTGTACATTTCAGCAAAAATACACCAACATTGTTAAAGAAATGAAAGCAAAGGATCTTGAAATCAGGATACACAAGAAGAAAAAATGTGAAATTTATCGGAGGTAAAGTAATTATGTGGTGTTTTATCTACGTAGGTGAGGGGAAAAAAACCTGATGTTCATTTCATAAGTTTCAGTAAACACTTTGTATTTTTACAGACTGAGAGAGTTTGCTAAACTGTATGACACCATTCGAAATGAAAGAAACAAATTTGTTAACTTACTCCACAAAGCTCATCAGAAAGTAAATGAAATAAAAGAAAGGCATAAAATGTCATTAAATGAACTTGAAATTCTGAGAAATAGTGCCGTTAGTCAAGAAAGGTAAGTGTTATAATAACTATTGGCCTTTCAAAGGCTTGTTTTCTGATTCATTTGAACTCTAAAAATCCTGGGGATAAGAAGATAGGAAAGAGGCAGAGGCTGCAATGAGCCAAGATGGTGCCACTGCCCTCCAGCCTGGGTGACAGAATGAGACCCTGTCTCAAAAAAATAATAAAAATAAAAAATAAAAAGAATAGTATTTTAGAAAGCCAGAATTAGAAATCCAGAAAAAGCCCTTGTTCAAACATCTTGTTTTATAGATGATAATCTACCATGCTTCTACTCTTTGGGAGTCATTTTTTTAATGAATGAAAAACCATAACATATAACTATGCTTACTATGATGATTTTCACCTGCCCAATTAGAAAGAAAAGCACAAATCTAATAATTGGGATTGGGAAGTTAGAAAACAATCAAATCGTTTGTTAACCAACATCCCCTGATTGTAGATGTAAAGCATCTCATGTGTTGTGGGAGGCAATACGTTATAGCAGATTGGTGAAAGAGGTGGTGTCCAGACTCAAATACCACCCCTCCCACTTATTACCTCTGTAACCTTGGACAAGCTGCTTTGTCTCTCTGAGCTCACTTTCCTTATCCATACCATATTTCATGCGACATTTTACTGTGAAATGAGCTAATTCATATAAAAACACTCAGAAAAGCGTCTGGCAAATGGTTGTTTTCTTCATTTATTATTTACCATGTGCCAAGATCTTCTGGACTCTTTCACCTATGTTAGTAAACAGTACACGATCAGGGTATAATCTAATTTTCTGATGGCCATTATTGCCCAGTTTCCTTCAACAAAGCAATTATAAAGTGGCCTCATTTCAGGGGTCGGGGGTGGATGAAAAGAAAAATATGATTTCCTAATCAGGTTCTCATCCAACTTGAAAATAAAATACATTTATAGAGGCCATGCATTCATTCAGCATTTATTGTGGCCACAGGCTGAGTCAGGCACCACCTTATGTCCAGTGGACATTATTGGATATAACCATCTCTGTCCTCAAGACAGCAGTCTCCTGAGAATGACAATAAATGAATGACTGCAGTCTCTCGCTTTGATAAAGGGGGTCAGCAGAACATTGGGGGGAAAAGGAAAGATGTTCTAATCTGGAGCAGAGAAAATCTGAGACCTGGAAGGATTATGAAAATTCCTGAAGAGTATCATAAGATGAATATCATTATTACTAGTATCATTTCAAGGGCTACACTAAAGCAAGGTCTGCTTTGATAGTGCTTGTGTTTCAGAAGCCTTCATTCCTTTTAAATAAACTAAAGAAAATTATAATCTTACCCATTGTCTTATTACTTTAAAAGAAAGCTACAAAATTCCATGCTGAAACACGCCAACAATGTTACCATCAGAGAGAGCATGCAAAACGATGTGCGCAAAATTGTATCAAAACTTCAGGAAATGAAAGAAAAGAAGGAAGCCCAGTTAAATAACATTGACAGACTTGCCAACACGATCACAATGATCGAAGAGGAGATGGTGCAGCTTCGCAAAAGATACGAAAAAGCTGTTCAGCATCGAAATGAAAGGTAAAAACCAGGTGTGAGAACAGAGCACCAGGGATCCAACTGAGGAATGTCACCTCTTTTTCTATCTAGACTTGACAGTGAATAGTGAGGGAAATGTGATATTCAGGTTGCATTAGCCTTTGGAGAGAAGGGACTGTGTGTTGCTTCCCTGGAAAATAAGAAACACTGTCCTCACGCTGGGCACAGTGGCATGATCCCAGCACTTTGGGAGGCCAAGGTGGGTGGATCACTTGAGCTCAGGAGTTCGAGACCAGCCTGGGCAATAGGGTGAAACCCCATCCCTACTAAAAATACAAGAAATTAGCCAGGTGTGGTGGTGGGGGCCTGTAATCCCAGCTACTTGGGAAGCTGCAGCACGAGAATCGCTTGAACCCGGGAGGCAGAGGTTGCAGTGAGCTGAGATCGTGCCACTGCACTATAGCCTGGGCAACAGAGCAAGACTCCGTCTCCAAAAACAAACAAAAAAAAAAAAAGAGAGAAAGAAAGAAATACCGTCCTATGTCATAAACAGGCAAAGAGGAGGGGTTTGGGAAAGTTGCTTGCTTTTGAAGATCAATGTCCTTTCCTAAGTGGTCATTCGGGTTGCCTCTTATAACATCAGATTCTTTCAGCATAATTGACATAAATAAGTGTGGAACTTGTACCCAATGTTGTGGTAAGTTTGGTCTTATTATATTTAGCCATTCTCCTAGTTCATTTGCTCAGCAAGTTAGTAAGACCTTTAGGAGTAGCATTATTTCTTCCAGGTTGCAGTTATATCATTAATCAATGTTTACTTCAGCAGTTTCTCCCAAGTTACTTGTGCTCTGAGAAATTGGAATGTGAAATTTGCAGAGCCCTGTGATAATGACATCTGGTATCAGATTTTTTTTAAGCAAACTTTGATTGTGTGCTATTCTGTATAAGGCATTAGAGTGCTAGACCTTGAGAGTACAAAAAAGTGGTAAAACATTGTTCCTGGCTTCTGTTGTCAAGAGAACTTGATCTTGAGCCTTTGAAAGGAAAACAGACAAAATATAGAGCTGGGATTAGCTGAGTACAACCACATGCATGCATGTTTTGAGGAAGGGGAGTCATAGATAGAAGCAATTAAAGGAGGAACTCTGAAATAATGTATATGCATAATGTGTGGGAAGACCTTTAGGGTCCTTTGAAGAACAGCACATTTTCAAAGGGCTGGTAGGTTTTTCTCCAGGGGAGAAAAAAAATGCTATTCAGCTCCTGGCACAAACCAAAGCGTTTGGACAAACAGTGTGCACCCAGGTGCCACTCAGATCAGTGGTGCATGATCGGTCATGCAGACCAGAGCTGCTGGGGTTAGAACATTCTTACTTTGTTTCCTCCCCATATTCTCCATTCAAGGAGGGGTCTTTCTCCTGGCATGATTACAAAGGATAGATTTTTGCCTGTTTATGGGGAAATCACAACCAGAAATATTCAACTTGAGAAGAAACTAATGGGCCTAGCAACTTAATATAGAGCAGACTCACACCAGAACTACATTCCCTGGCCCCCTGCCTGTGTGCTTCTGGCCAGGCCTTGGTTGGCAAGTCTGACCCGAGAAAAGGATCTGCAGAAAATCAGACTATGGGATCACTTTGTTTGTGCATTGGGAATGACATTCTTTCCCACCCCAGGAAAACCTTTGGGACTTTCAGAGACATTGTGGCTAGCCAACCACATGGTCAGCCTCAAAGTTGAGAGGCTCAGTAACCCTCCTATCCCTAGAGAATTCCAAAGTGTGGATGTAATTTAACTAGAAAGCCATTGGTGACTATCTGTGATCCTCTGGAAGTATGCTATGTTGTGTATATCTTGCATCCAAAGCCAGAGGGAACCACAATGACTAGTAAAACGGTGGTCTCAATGCCCACTTAGCCTCTGCCTCTGAATTTGACCATAGTGGCGTTCAGCTGATAGAGCGGGAAGAAGAAATATGCATTTTTTATGAAAAAATAAATATCCAAGAGAAGATGAAACTAAATGGAGAAATTGAAATACATCTACTGGAAGAAAAGATCCAATTCCTGAAAATGAAGATTGCTGAGAAGCAAAGACAAATTTGTGTGACCCAGAAATTACTGCCAGCCAAGAGGTCCCTGGATGCCGACCTAGCTGTGCTCCAAATTCAGGTGGGTGAGTGATCACGGGACACTTCCTCAGACCATTTATTTTTTTCTGCCTTTATTAGTTTGTGGGTGAGTTCTTGCATGTAAACCAAGCCATACTATTTCTGGGACCTATAAGAATCCATCCATCTTGTTTAAAAATACATTTGAATGCTACTCTAGGATGGAATCTGTGCTTCAGGCATCCAGGCTACACATTGTCTTTTTTTCTTATGAAGCATTTTCTGCTTTTCTTGGAATTTGAAGACTCCCAGGACTTATCTCTAGCTCAGCTTCCTCATAGCTCAAAATTTAGTGATCTAGACTCTCACTACCCTCAGCATAATTATGTCGTTGCTGCTTGCTGGACAGATCTTGAGGATGAGCCAGCACTCTTACTTTTGATACTCTGGCCCCCAGAGCAAGAGATTGTCTGGAGATTGTTGCTTATTAGTAGTTGTCAGTTACATATAACTTGATTCTTTATTAACCACTGTAGTTCTATGATAGCTTAGTAACCTGGCCTTTGACATGGCCTTTTTTAAAGTGGAATAGATCCAAAAAACTAAAACATGAAATAACAAAATAAATAAAATGTGAATATAAAGTTACTTTCTTCACATGTGTTACTTGGGGTTTATTCTTCATAGAATTTTTTTAAAAATTAAAATAAAAACTGTGTAGCCTAAACTTGTTCCCATTGACCAATGTAGCAGGAACAAATTCTAACCTATAATATTTTTTTTTAAATGTCAGGTTTGCGTTTGGATTTTTTTTCCTGATAAAAAGTTAAGACATTTGGTGAATGAAATTTTGTAAAAGTATAAAAATTATAAAGAAGAAAATAAAATTCTACTCCCAAGATATAATTGCTATTAAAATTATCAAAAATCTGGGAGACATCTTGTCATTTATTTTCTAGGTATACAAGTAAATGTTTTTCATTAGCTCATGCCCTAGACAGTTTTAGATCCCCCTTTTTTTTAATCATGTGAAGGGGATTCATAGGATTTCATGGGACTAGATGATAGATCTGCTTTCATATTTTATGCCATTTGAATGTGTATATGCTGTATAGATAATAGCCTCTTTCAGTTTGCACAAATATGCCAATGTTCTGATTCCAAGTTTGTTTGTTTTTTTAATTTAGCCTTGAGTTCTTCCACTCATTTCTTCAGTAAGTGTAGTCAGATTGAGATCGATTGGCTAGAAAGTCCCCCTAAACTCCCACAGGCCTCCCCAGGCTTCCTGTGGCTCTGACTCCTGCTTCCAACAAGGTTCATTTGAGGGATCACCCATCAGCCTGCACACACAGTGCCTGTGCCACTTCTGTGCCATGTCTGCAAAGGCACGGAACTCACCCCTTCCTCAGGCTACACCTACACAAGACCATTCAAGCGAGGCCTCTGTGGACAGACTTTATTAAAGATGTGGGGCAATGGTATGTGGGGTTACATTACAGAAATGCAAAGCACTTCAATTTGATATCAGATATCCATACTCTTCTTGGGGGCACTGGAGACGCTTCCCTGAGCACTAATACCTTGTACCACACCCTTGCCTAGCTCGATTTCACTGGCTTCTCTTTCACCTCCCCTCTCCCTCCACAGCCTCCTCATCCCAGATTGCCCCCAGGAACTCCATGCTTGCCCCCACTCCATTTTACAGAAGAATTTGTCTCTCTCCAGCTTTTTCCCAAAATGAAGATTTAGGTCCATCTTTGCCCATCCTAAACTATCAAGATGCAGAGCAACACAAAAGATCTTTAAATTCAATAAAATCTGCAACAGAATAATTTCCTCTCTATTGTATAAGCATATTCTTTGTGTTCACTGCAAATCAATACTTCCATTCAGTGGATAAAATTGTTCTTAGAAAAAAAATTGTCATTTTATTATATAAAACCTATTATCTAGTATGAAATGTAAATTCACTTTTACCCAAGAAGGAAATATTATGCATTTCATAACACTACACTCCCTGCCTGATGGTGAATTTTGATCATTTTGATTGCACATGAACTGAGACATGCAGACTGTGTTATCAGTTATCTGCTCTACCGGAGTGAATTCTGATTATCTGCTCAGCATCAATCATGTGTACCCTTGAAGGATATGATGTGAAATTTCTAGCTTCAGGCAAGCCATTTCTGTGCCCTGTTCTGCAGTGTCAGATCCCGGTCATATCCTGTCATTTTTTACAGCCACAGTGTCTTGGGGTTTGTTTTTTTTTTAAGTCTTCTCCCTTTTTTGCATCATTTTCAGAATTCTCTTAAGGTTTGCATTTTTTTCGGTCGTCCATAACAGTTTTTAATTGTCCAACAATCTAATCCAAGGATTATCATGAGTCTGTTCTCCTGGTTCCTATAATGATAGCTCAATTTTAGGAAGTTATATGAACTATTTTGGGACACAAGGACACTATTTTACATAGACAGAGTAAACAGTTTTTCCTCAAATGCCAAGGGAAAACTAAAATTGAGACATCCCTTTATAAGCAAGCACTATATTTTTGTTTCTTATTTAGTTTCCTAATTAAGAAAAGGGAACATTAAGTATTGTTAATAATAAATACAACAAATGCTTGATTACATATGTATGTACACTTCAATTCTATATTAAGGACATTTAAGGGATGTAGATACAGGAAAAAGAAAAATGTTAAATTATTTGTCAGCATTTGTAATTATTTTTGTAGGGAGGAGGAGCATAAATTAAATTTTAAAAATGCTACCTGTATCAGTCTTAGACATGTTGTAAAATACCATCAATATATTATCTCATATGATGGATCAACCCCATGGCACTGAGCCTTTTCTTCCCATTTGACAAGTGAGGAAACTAAGGTTTAGAGAAGATAAATGATTTACCTGAGATTACACAGGTATTCAGTAGGAAAACTGAAAATAATGCTTGTTGGTTGTCACCATGCTCCGTATCTCTCTCCCTATAAAACAAAAACTAAGTGTGGCTACCATTCCTATTTAGGAGTAGCCATGTTTCTTCATTCACCACCAAAATCTCATTGATTCAACAAATAGAGTTGATACATATGACACTATATTAGGGATTTAGCAGAAAAAATACAAATAGCCCAAGCTGTTCCTCACAGAGTGTACATTAGGTAGATTCAATAATTAAGAATGTTTTTCTCTTTCTTTGGGAAGCCATTAAACCTATTGCCAGCCAAGTGTTTTGAAATGAAGTCCAGTGTGTTGTATGTGAGTTACCCTGGTCTCTGTAACAACCTGCAATGAAGAGGTGAAGGCTGTGTGTTAGTTCATTTGCATTGCTGTAAAGGAATACCTGAGGCTGGATAACATAAAGAAAAGAGGTTTATTTTAGCTCATGGTTCTGCAGGCTGTGTAGGAAGCATGTGCCAGCATCTGCATCTGGTGAGGGCCTCAGGAGGCTTCCAATCATGGTGGAAAGCAAAGGGGGCGCAGGCACATTGCATGGCGAGAGAGGAAGCAAGAGAAAGAAGCAGAGGAGCCAGGCTGTTTTTAAACAACCAGATGTCACTTGAATTCATAGATTGAGAACTCACTCATTATTGCAAGGACAGTACCAAGCCATTCATGAAGGCCCCATCCTGCCCCCATGACCCAAACACCTCTCACCCAGCCCCACCACCAACGTTGGGGATTATATTCATTCAACATGAGATTTGGAGGGGGACACATCGAAACCATATCAGGCTGTATACTTGGAGCCCTGCAACCACACAGCATCCCATGAACATGACCCAAAATGGGAAGCAATCAAGGGCCGCTTGTGAAACCAGCTTTTTCTATGACCCAGAAGGCACTGCCTCACCTCATATGATCGAATTATAGACATCATCGTCGCAGTACCATAAATGAGCAGAAACGTCACTTAACCAGGTCCCAGCTGATGGGGTGTTAAGAAAACAGAGTTCTCTTCTACCCTTGTCTGGGTTGGTCCTACTAAAAAACTCTCAAGACCCTAGGCAATGTGATTTTCAGATTAACTGAGCTAGAGCGTTCATTTTAAAGTTAATGTTTTTTTCTTAATAGTTTTCACAGTGTACAGACAGAATTAAAGACCTGGAGAAACAGTTCGTAAAGCCTGATGGTGAGAATAGAGCTCGCTTCCTTCCAGGGAAAGATCTGACCGAAAAAGAAATGATCCAAAAATTAGACAAGGTAAACATTATTGCTTAAAATTGCATCTGTTAGCTCCTCGTTGATGTAGTTTCACAGATACCTATGGTACTGTTTCATGTTATGCTGACAGACCTATCCTTCATTATTCTAGTCACTAATATAGTCCTTTTGTTGTAATCTAGTCATACATTCTAAGCTTGATTTAGACACTTGCCAAAAGAAGTTCCAATCCAGTGGTTTCGAGATTCCAAAGGCACATTTCTCTCATGACCCAAAGGAGTAATTTTGGCATCTTAAATGGATTAATTTGTCTTCCTGATGGGAGCACATCAGAAGAATGGTGATGTGGATGTTAGATAGAGCTGAGGGGGCCATACTCGAACTCCCAGAGGTATCTGCAGGGGCTGGGGCAGGGAAAGTCTTAACCCAGCTCTAAACACTTTCCAGAGGTATTTTGTGGGGGGTAGGGGGAGATACTGCTCTAATTAGGAAATAAGATTTTGTCTTAGATGACTTTTTTTTTATTCCTCTTGAACCAATTTTCAAACATAGCTGGAACTACAACTGGCCAAGAAGGAGGAGAAGCTGCTGGAGAAGGATTTCATCTATGAGCAGGTCTCCAGGCTCACAGACAGGCTCTGCAGCAAAACTCAGGGCTGCAAGCAGGACACACTGCTCTTAGCCAAGAAGGTAGGCCTGAGACCCTGCCTTTTCCCTTCTGCCCCTGCTCCTTTATTACCTTTTATTTTCCACAGACCGACAGATTTATTGAGAGAAGCACTGGAGAGATTAGGCTTTATGACTAGGGGAACTTAGAAAAACGAAAGGATGACTCAGAGAATTGTCCAAAATGTTTCAATCTTATTCCCTGAATTAATTCACTTCACGGTGGCAAAACCTAGGCTTTTAAATGACACTATACAAGTTTCACTTACCAAGGCAACTACCCAAATATGACAGTTATTATCTTTGTATTTCATGCACAAAGTTAAATCCTTTTTAGTTCCTTTTAAGTGGAGCGCCTCACTTATCCAGTGATCTTAGTAGGGACTGCTCCAATCCAGAACTCAGCCAGAACCCAGAAATTGAAAGGGACTGATAAAGAGAAATGCAGTCACACAACACCCAGACCAACTGCACCATGGAGGTGCCCACCAGGCACCACTAGTGAGGAAAGGCCAGGAATACAGAACCCCCTAATTTAATAAGCGTAAGAGACCAGGACAGCAGATCCAGAGCCTCAGGGTCAGGGTGGGACTGCTAGAAGCTGCACTGAAAGGAGCAGCCAGCAGAGCCCCTAGAAGTCCCCCTGGACTCCCAGCATGTTGCATGCTAGTTACCCTGGTCTCTGTAACAACCTGCAATGAAGAGGTGAAGGCTGTCTATTAGTTCGTTTGCATTGCTGTAAAGGAATACCTGAGGCTGGGTAACTGATAAAGAAAAGAGGTTTATTTTGGCTCATGGTTCTGCAGGCTGTGCAGGAAGCATGGTGCCTGCAGGTCTTGCCAGGCTTCCTGTGGCTCTGACTCCTGCTTCCAACAAAGGTTCATTTGGGGAATTGCCCCATCAGCCTGTACACCCATTTCTGGGTCATGTCCGTGCAGGCACGGGACTCACTCCTTCCTCAGTCTACCCCTACACAAGACCATTCATGCGAGGCCTTTCATGCATACCATAGAGCCATCAGAGGACTGGCCACTCACCTGGCCTCTGGGTTCCCTGGAGCATCCCGTCAATGCAGAGAGTTCAGCCAGTCAACAGTAATTACTGAACACCTGCTATGTGCTACTCTCATGCTAGGCATGAGTTCAGAAACAAAGAGGAAGGGACACATTGTTTACACCATAGGAAGCTCATAGGGTCTAGTAGGGGGAGACAGATGAAAACAGATAATGGTAATACCCACACCAGAGACTGTGGGCTCCTGAGGGCAGCAGCTGTTCCTCGTTCTTAATTTCTCCAATGCCTAGCATGTGCCAGACTCTAGAAAAACACTTCAAGGATGAGTAATCATCAGTTCTGTTCTAGAAGCACATGTGGAACACTAAACAAGAAATGATTGTAAATATTAGACTATCTTTGCCATTTTTATTTGACTATTATGCTTCTGCTCTGATGACTTCCATGACTAGACTGATCAGGCCAGTGGCAGGTGTGCAAATCACAACTTGGCCTCCCAAACTAAGGTACAAAGTTGTGAGTCACACGTCTGCCACTGGACTGATGCGAAGGCTCAGTTAAGCTCATGCACTTTGCCTGAATTAGCATGTCTGATATTTCTTTAAATAAACGTTGCCTTCCTTCCTTTTGCAAAATGAATTTCCCTTTCTTTGGGGGAAGTCATTTTTCACTGAGGCCTGACTTATCAAAGCTGATGGCAGAGTCGCCTGGAAGGCAACAGTAATGCTAAAGAAATGTACATAGCGGCCGCTTCCCATAGCCAGGAAAGCTCCAGCACAGCCGAGTCCTAGTCTAACAATTATTCTCCCCTTTCCTTTCCCTACCTTCCATGCTCTCCATTGGCTTCTTCCTCCTCCCCAGCTTTCACTGTCCCCACTCCATTTAAAATGATAATCTCATAGTAGGCAGAACTGGAAAGTAGAAAGACATTCAGATTCCAGATCTATGATTTATCAAAAGTAGAAAATGACCTTGAGAAAGATGGATAAATGATCTTAAAACTCAGTTTGCTCATCTGTGTAATGGGTGTGATAGCCAAAGTTGTTGCAAGTATTACATAGTCGAACACGTAAGTGACCTAGCCACATTCAAAAAGATTGCACATCTCCTCAAGTGTCTCACTTCTCCTAGATAGCTTATGGCGCCTCCTGCAAATTTCCCAACAGAAATGGGAGCAGAAAGTGGGAAATCTCAGTTAAGACTTGGAGCAACCCAGGATAATATGAAACTTTGTTTTCTAATTTATGGAAGAGAAGGGAAGTTGGCCAGTTACACAGATGGACACACACACTCGAGTGTGTAGTGGTTGCCATCCCATTACTGGGTATATACCCAAAGGATTATAAATCATGCTGCTATAAAGACACATGCACACGTATGTTTATTGCCACACTATTCACAATAGCAAAGACTTGGAACCAACCCAAATGTCCATCAATGATAGACTGGATTAAGCAAATGTGGTACATATACACCATGGAATACTATGCAGCCAAAAAAAGGATGAGTTCATGTCCTTTGTAGGGACATGGATGAAGCTGGAAACCATCATTCTCAGCAAACTATCACAAGGACAAAAAACCAAACACTGCATGTTCTCACTCATAGATGGGAACTGAACAATGAGAACACATGGACACATGAAGGGGAACACCGGGGCCTGTCATGGGGTGGGGGGAGGGATAGCATTAGGAGATATACCTAATGTAAATGATGAGTTAATGGGTGCAGCACACCAACATGGCACATGTATACATATGTAACAAATCTGCACGTTGTGCACATGTACCCTAGAACTTAAAGTATAATTTTAAAAAACAGATGAGAAAAAAGAAGAAAAAAAAAGTGTGCCGTGGTTGAGTGGAAAATGACTCCCCCCAAAGATAAGGAAATTCATTTAAAAAAGGAAAGGCAGCAACATTTAAAGAAACATAAGACATGCTAATTTACTCAAAGTGCATTAGCTTATCTAAGTCTTAGCATTTCTTATTTTATGAGTTAAAAGTTGTGAATTGCACCAATGCTGCTGGACTGTTCAGTCTGTTAGTGGAAGTTGTCAAAGCAGAAGCCTAGAAGTCAAATAAAAATGGCAAAACTTATGACTCACTGAAGTTTTTAGTGGTAGTCATTTTTATTTGATACATGCTGCTTAAAAATTAGTTCAGTATAGAAGAGTCATAAAAATGTATATTACCTACCATTAAGGAGGCAAAATTTGTGTATAATAATCAGTTATTACATTTTCAGAGGCAGGTAAATCACTAGCAGCAACATTTTTCTAAACAGAGGTACAGATGTGACCAGATATGCTCTGTTAGGAGAGGAAGGTATTCAGCATTAGTGTAGTATTTGGAAGCTCATTTGCATGTCCCAATTTATCCTGGTCCAAGAACAAAGAATGAAACAAACTAAGAGTTCATTCATTCCTTCATTCAGAAAATATTGAACTTTAATTTGGGGGGGTGCCTCTTATATTCCAAGCACTGTCCTGAGCACTGGGACTATGATGATGAATAAAACAAAAAGTCCTTGTCCTCATGAAGAGTACATTCTTATGGGATGACAAAAATAGTGAAATACATATATAATATCAGCAGTGAGACATGATGTGAACAAAAAATAAGGCAAGGTAAGAGGAACTAATGAGTGTTGCCAGGTAGAAGGTATCACCACTGAACTGCTCCACTATGGCTATCAGACTAAAAGAGTCTACCATTTATAAGACAGCTTACAGGAACCCCTAATTCCAGTTTTACTTCTTTCCTGACTCTTGAGATCTTTTTTTTCCAGTTAGTCTTATCTTTTAACTGTGTTAATGCTAAATAGCTGATATTAATAGGTTAAAAAAAAAAAAAGTCTGGTCGCAGTGGCTCATGCCTGTAATCCCAGCACTTTGGGAGGCCATGGCGGGTAGATTGCGTGAGCTCAGGAGTTCAAGACCTGCCTAGGCAACATGGTGAGACTCCATCTCTACAAAAAATACAAAAACAAATAGCCGGGTGTGATGGTGCACACCTGTGGTCCCAGCTACTTGGGAGGCTGAGGTGGGAGGATCACTTGAGCCTCAGGGGCAGAGGTTGCAGTGAGCTGAGATCACACCACTGTGCTCCAGCCTGAGTGACAGAGTGAGACCCTGTCTCAAAACAAACGAACAAAACAAAACACTCCAGGAACAGCTCTCATTCTAAATTATTGACTAAATATTCCCCAGCTCAGCTCATGCATGTTTCTGACCTAGTAATGATGCACACCAGGAATTATGATCAATAATGCCAACATGTCAATGTGATGGTTTTCATTTAAAAAGTCATTTCAGATGCAGAACTTCTGCTGATTATCTTATATAAGCAAAGAGTAACGTTAATTCTACCAGATTTTTTCCCCTGGATAAGTGACAAACTAATAACGTCAAATTAAACTAGAATTTAGGCATCAAGAACACTCTTGGCTGGGCACAGTGGATCATGCCTGTAATCCCAGCACTTTGGGAGGCCGAGGCAGGAAGACTGCTTGAGCCCAGGAGTTCAAAACTAGCCTTGTCAACACAGCAAGTCCCCATCGCTACAAAAATAATAAATTAGCCAACTATGGTGGTGCATGGCTATAGTCCTATCTACTTAGGAGGCTGAGGCAGGAGAATTGCTTGAGCCCCGGAGTTCCAGGCTGCAGTAAGCTATGATCACACTACTATATACCAGTGTGAGCAACAGAACAAGACCTTGTCTTTATTTTAATTTTTTTTTTTTTTTTTTTAAAGAACATCCCTGGCCAGGCGCGGTGGCTCACGCCTGTAATCCCAGCACTTAGGGAGGCTGAGGCAGGCGGATCACGAGGTCAGGAGATCAAGACCATCCTGGCTAACACGGTGAAACCCCAGCGCTAATAAAAATACAAAAAAAATTAGCCGGGTATGGTGTTGGGCACTTGTAGTCCCAGCTACTCGGGAGGCTGAGGCAGGAGAATGGCGTGAACCTGGGAGGCGGAGCTTGCAATGAGCTGAGATTGCGCTACTGCACTCCAGCCAGGGCGACAGAGCGAGACTCAGTCTCAAAAAAAAAAAAAAAAAAAGAACATCCCTTCACCTCTCCTTCTTACCTCTTAAAAATGGGCACTAAACTGTTCTCCTCAATGTTATTCACCTTGAAATCCAGTAACTAGATAAACAAATCCTTTTCTTGTTCTCTCCTTGTCCTTACTTACACAGCCAGGGTGTTCGGCTCAATATCTGCAGTCTCTTCCAGTTCTTAATTTCTGTGAATTCCAAGTTAGACCCTCCTTCCTTCAGACAAAAATGCACCCCGCCATTATAGACAGCCAGCAGCCTGCCATTTTAAGTCTTTGTGGACTGTATACATAGACTAAGCTTTGGGCTCTTTAATTCTAGATGAATGGCTATCAAAGAAGGATCAAAAATGCAACTGAGAAAATGATGGCTCTTGTTGCTGAGCTGTCCATGAAACAAGCCCTAACCATTGAACTCCAAAAGGAAGTCAGGGAGAAAGAAGACTTCATCTTCACTTGCAATTCCAGGATAGAAAAAGGTCTGCCACTCAATAAGGAAATTGAGAAAGAATGGTTGAAAGTCCTTCGAGATGAAGAAATGCACGCCTTGGCCATCGCTGAAAAGTCTCAGGTAGGCTTTGGCTCCTGTATTGCATTTCTAAAGGGTGCCAGCAGGGGTTGCATTCAGGCAACCCACAGTTATCCCACAGTATAAGAAAAATTTCCCCACTCTACCACACACAGTCCCAACAGTCGTTAGAAGTGTATTTAAGATATTCTATGATAAGTCAAAGTGCAGTAATCCAGAGTGCTACAATACTCACTGAAGAACACTTAGCAAGCACAGGGCCCACCCCATAGCCTTACATCCTGGGCTGCTGAGGCTGAACATCATGGCCTTCCACCAGCATAGCAATGACCAGGCTGGCACTGGCCTTGTCCATAAGTCTCCAATCTCTGTCTTGGCACCTCTGCTCAGACCACATCTGACTGTTCCATGTTCATCTCCTGTGGCCTCCACAGCATACAGTGAGGCCTCCACCCACATTTTAGGTGCCATGCCTTCTGCAGATGCTTGATGTACATCATAGGCCCCAGCGCCACCCCTTTCTTTTCCCACCTTAGGCCTCTGGCCTAAGACTAGGTCTATTGCTGACTCCCCCTGCAAGTTAGATAGCAGATCTTCTGTCTACCCCCATGACCTGTCAGTATTCTTAGACTGGAATTAGGCATCTCTTTCCAAGGAGTCTACATCCTCCAGATGTACAACTCACTCAGATTGCCAAGTGGGTATCACCGAAAGGGTCCCTATTTGCTCCTGAACTCAAGACAAAACTGCATTCAGAACACACTAGGAATACCTGAGCACAAGTGTAAATTACGTGATTTATAATTTCCACACCACCTGGGACTGTTCCTTTCAGGGCATTCAGATTTTACCTGTGGTGTCCCACTGCCATTTATTAGAGGGCTTTTCAGTGCAGTAAGTGATTACTCTATTTTCCAGAGGCACAGACAAAATCTTGAAAACGTTGAGGCTCAGGGCAAAGCTGGTGACCATTTTCCTCCTCTGGTTCCACTTTACTCCTCTACCTCTTCCATTGTAACTTTTGCTCACCAATGACTTACCAAAGGAAATATGTTGCTCTGCCTTTGTCAAAAACAGGGAAATAATTAGTGCTTGATGACAGATATTGAGGTGGAAACATAGTTAAGACCCACAAAGCAGTCTTTGAAAAACACTAAACTCCAGGATTAATGTGATGCTTAAGCAATACAGCCCATTCCAATGAGGTGTGGGGGTGTGTGTGTGTGGTGTGATTCCACCCTCCTACCCTAAACCCCAGGAATAATGTGATGCTGAAGCAATACAGCCCATGCCAATGAGAGGTAGGTGTGTGTGTGTGTGTGTGTGTGTGTGTGTGTGTGTGTGTGTGGTGTGATTCTACCCTCCTACCCCTCCCATCCCTTTGGGGAGTATCAGCTAGCACGGTCAAAGACTGTCCAGACCAGCTGTGTCTTTTGGGACCTAAGGATAAAGTGACTTCACCAGAGTTTTCAGAGAACTGAAAAGGAAAAATCATTCTTTGCAGGAGTTCTTGGAAGCAGATAATCGCCAGCTGCCCAATGGTGTTTACACAACTGCAGAGCAGCGTCCGAATGCCTACATCCCAGAAGCAGATGCCACTCTTCCTTTGCCAAAACCTTATGGTGCTTTGGCTCCTTTTAAACCCAGTGAACCTGGAGCCAATATGAGGCACATAAGGAAACCTGTTATAAAGCCAGTTGAAATCTGAATATGTGAACAAATCCAGGCCTCTCAAGGAAAAGACTTCAACCAGGCTTCCTTGTACCCACAGGTGAAAAATGTGAGCATAATACTTCTAATATTATTGATAAGTAAGGTAACCACAATTAGTCAGCAACAGAGTACAACAGGGTTTCTATTTACCCACCAACTACTATACCTTTCATGACGTTGAATGGGACATAGAACTGTCCTACATTTATGTCAAAGTATATATTTGAATCGCTTATATTTTCTTTTTCACTCTTTATATTGAGTACATTCCAGAAATTTGTAGTAGGCAAGGTGCTATAAAAATGCACTAAAAATAAATCTGTTCTCAATGAAGTACGGAAATGGACACAGTGGTCTTTGTTTATTAAAGAAAAAACAAATACTGTTCAATATACACACTTTAAAAAGAAAGAATGGCTATTTGAAAAGGAAAATACCTCAAGTATTGCAAAGGCATAACTCACTTTGTTGAATAAGAAGTAGCACTTAATCTTGGTAAATCTAAATTACATAAAGTAGTGAAGCTTGTCATGGCTTTTTGCATTTTTTTCATTTTATTTTTTTGACAAATAATAATTGTACCTACTCATGGGGTACATACTGAAGTTTCAATACATATAATGTATAGTGATCAGATCAGGGTAATTAGCATATACATTCAAACTTTATCATTTCATTGTGTTGGGAATATTCAATATCCTCCTAGCTATTTGAAACTGTATATTGTTACCTATAGTCATCCTACAGTGGTATAGGACATAGGACTTATTCCACCTATTTCACTGTAATTTTGTGTCTATTAACAAATCTACCCCATTCCTTCCTTTCCTCATCCTTTCCCTTAACCTTCCCAGCCTCTTATATCCGCTGTTCTACTTTTAGCTTCCACATGAGTGAGAACAATTTTTAGCTTCCACACATGAGTGAGAACATGTGGTGTTTAACTTTCTGTACCTGGCTTATTTCAATGAACATAACATCCTCCAGTTCCTTTCATGTTGCCACAAATGACAGGATTTTGTTCTTTTTTGTGGCTAAATAATATTCCGTTGTGTATGTGCATATGTATGTGCATATGTGTGTGTGTGTGTGTAGCTCCCATTTTCTTTATCCACTTATCTGTTGTTGGACAGACACCTAGGCTGATTTCATGTCTTGCCTATTGTGAATAGCACTGCAGTAAACATGGGGGTGCAGATGTCTCTTCAATATTCTGATTTCCTTTCCTCTGGATAAATTTCCAGTAGGGAGATTGTTGGATCATATGTTCGTTCTATTTGTAGTTTTCTGAGGAACTTCCATATCATTCTTCATAGTGACTGCACTAGTTTACATTCTCACCAACAGTGTATATAAGAGCTCCCTTTTCTCTGCATCCTTACCAGCATTTGTTATTTTTTAACTTTTTGGTAATAGCTATTGTAATTGGGGTGGGATGATACCTCATCATGTTTTTTTAATTGCTATTTCCCTGATGATTAGTGATGTTGAGCATTTCTTCATATACCTGTTGGCCATTTGTATGTCTTTTGAGAAATGTCTGTTCAGATCATTTGCCCATTTTTAAGTCAGATTGTTGTTTTTGTAGTGTTTTTTGATGTTAAGATATTTGAGTCCCTTATTTATTCTGAATATGAATCCCCTATTGGATGAGTAGTGTGCAACTATTTTCTTTGATTCTGTAGGTTGTCTTCACTCTGTTGTTTCCTTTGCTGTGCAGAAGGTTTTTAGTTTGATGTAATCTCATTTGTTTATTTTTGCTTTTGTTGCCTGTGTTTTGAGGTCTTATTCATAAAATATTTTCTCAGGCCAATGTCCTGAAGCATTTCTCCTATGTTTTCTTCCAGTAGTTTTATGGTTTGGGGTGCTATATTTAGGTCTTTGATCATTTTGAGTTGATTTTTAAATAGGGTGAGTAGTAGGGAACTAGTTTCATTCTTCTGCATATGGACCTCCAGTTTCCCCAACACCATTTATTGTAGAGACTGTCCTTTTCCCAATAAGTATTCTTGGAACCTTTGTCAAAAATCAGTTGTCTATAGATATATGGATGAATTTCTTGATTCTCTATTTTGTTCCATTGGTCTATGTATCTGTTTTTATCCCAGTGTCATGCTGTTTTGGTTACTAGAGCTTTGTAGTATATTTAAGATGTGGTAGTGTGATACCTCCAGCTTTGTTCATTTTGTTCAGGATTGCTTTGGCTATTTGGGGTCTTTTGTGGTTACATACAAATTTTAAGATTGTTTTTTCCTATTTTTCTGAAGAATGCCATTAGTATTTTGATAGTGACTACAATCAATCTGTTGATTGCTTTGGGTAGTATTGTCATTTTGTTTTGTTTTATCTATTTTATTTTATTTTATTTTATTTATTTTGGGAGACAGAGTCTCACTCTATCACCCAGGCTGGAGTGCAGTGACATGATCTCAGCTCACTGCAGCCTCCACCTCCAGGGCTCAAGTGATCCTCCCACCTCAGCCTCCTGAGTAGCTGGGACTACAGGTACACACCACCACACCCAGCTAATATTTTTATTTTTTGTAGAGATGGAGTCTCACTAGGTGACCTAGGCTGCTCTCAAACTCCTGGCCTCACGCAATCCTCCTGCCTCAGCCTCCAAAAAGTGCTAGGATTATAAGTATGAGCCACCACATCCAGCCAGAATGGCTATTATTAAAAAGTCACACACACAATAAAGATGTTGGTAAGGTTGCAGGAAAAAGGGAATGCTTAACACTGCTGGTGGGAATGTAAAATTAGTTCAACCACTTTGGAAAGAACTAAAAACAGAACTACCATTTAACCCAGCAATCCCATTACTGGGTATATACCCAAGGAAAATAAATTGTTCTACCAAAAGGACATGTGCACTTGTACATTCATCAAAGCACTATTCACAATAGCAAAGACATGGAATCAACCTAGATGCCCATTAACACTGGACTGGATAAAGAAAATGTGATACATATACACCATGGAATACAGCCATAAAAAGGAACAAAATCACATTCTTTGCAGCAACATGGATGCAGTTGGAGGCCACTGACCTAAGCAAGTCTGAAGCAGAAAACCAAATACTACATGTTCTCACTTAAATGGGGGAGCTAAACAATGAGTACACATGGATATAAAGATGGAAACGACAGACTATTGGGGAGAAGGTGGGGGGAGAGTTGAAAAACTATCTGTTGGGTACTATGCCCACTACCTGGATGATGGGATCATTTGTACCTCAAACTTCAGCATTACATGATTTACCCATGTAAGAAAAAATCTTCTTTAAAGGTTCAGTAGAATTCAGCAATGATGCCATCTGGATTTTTCTTTGTTGGAAGACTATTTTATTTTATATATTTTATTTTATTAATTTATTGTTTTGAGACAGAGTCTCGCTCTGTCACCCAGACTGTAGTGCAGTGGCCAAATCTTGGCTTACTGTAACCTCTGCCTCCCAGGTTCAAGTGATTCTCCTGCCTCAGCCTCCCAAGTAGCTGGGATTATAAGCATGCACTACCATGCCTGGCTAATTTTTGGAATTTTTAGTAGAGATGGGGTTTTGCCAGGCTGGTCTCAAACTCCTGGCCCTGAGTGATCCACCTGCCTTGGCCTCCCAAGGTGCTGGGATTACAGGTGTGGAAGACGTTTTATTACTCATTTAATCTAATTGCTTGGTATTGATCTGTTCAGGTTTTCTATTTCTTCCCAATTCAACCTTGGTAGATTGTATATGTCAAGGAGTTTATTCACTTCCTCTAGGTTTTCTAACTTGACATATAGTACAAAGCACCCTGGAATTATTTTTTGTATCTGTTGTGACATACCCTTTTTTGCTTCTGATTTCATTTATTTGGGTCTTCTCTCTTTTTTCCTTAGTCTAGCTAATGGTTTGTTGAATGTGTTTATTCTTTCAGAAAACCAACTTTTTGTTTTGTTGATCTTTTGTATTTTTTTACTCTCAATTTCATTTATTTCTGCTCTAATCTTTATTATTTCTCTCTTCCTACAATTTTGACTTTGATTTGTTCTTGATTTTCTAGTTGCTTGAGGTATATCATTAGGTTATTTGAAATCTTTCTAGTTTTTTCATGTTAAGTATTTGTTGCTATAAACTTGCT
This sequence comes from Homo sapiens, assembly GCF_000001405.40. NCBI lineage: Eukaryota > Metazoa > Chordata > Mammalia > Primates > Hominidae > Homo > Homo sapiens. The sequence continues at coordinate 77,298,990 of NC_000007.14, forward strand.
TCTCACTACTGCTTTTGCTGTGTCCCATACGTTTTGGCATGTTGTGTTTCCATTTTCGTTTGTTCCAAAGAATTTTTAAATTTCTTCCTTAATTTCTTTCTTCTTCATTTTGGTCATTCAGGAGCATGTTGTTTAATTTCCATGTATTTGTATAGTTTCAAATGTTCTCATTATTTATGTCTAGTTTTATTCCATTATGGTCAGATATTTGATATGATTTTGATTTAAAAAATAAATTTGGATGCCAGGCAAGGTGGCTCACACCTATAATCCCAGCACTTTGGGAGGCCGAGGCAGGCGGATCACTTGAGGTCAGGAGTTTGAGACAAGCCTGGCCAACATGGTGAAACCCGGTCTCTACTAAAAATATGAAAATTAGCTGGCCATGGTGGCGCATGCCTGTAGTTTCAGCTACTTGGGAGGTTGAGGCAGGAGAATGGCTTGAACCCAGGTGACAGAGGTTGCAGTGAGCCAAGATCGCACCGTTGCACTTCAGCCTGGGCAACAGAGTGAGACTCCATCTCAAAAAAGTGTCTTCATCTCAAAAAAAGTCTCTTTTTGAGACTTGTTTTATTTCTAACCTATGGTCAGTCCTGAAGAATGTTTCATGTGCTGATGAAAAGAATGTGTATCCTGTATTTCACCTGTTGGGTGAAATGTTCTGTAAATGTCTGTTAGGTCCATTTGGTCCATGATATGGTTTAAATCCAGTTTTTCTTTGTTGATTTTCTATATAGATTATCTGTTCAGCACTGAGAATGAGGTGTTGAAATCTCCAACTATTATTGTATTGGGGTCTATCACTCCTTTTAGCTCTTAATATTTTCTTTATATATCTGAGTGCTCTGGTGGTGGGTGCATATATATTTATAATTGTTCTATTGCTGAATTGATCCCTTTATTAGTATATAATGGTCTTCTCTGTCTCTTTTTACAGCTTTTGACTTGAAGTTTGTCTTGTCTCATATAAGTATAGCTACTCCTGCTCACTTTTGGTTTTCATGTGCTTGAAATATCTTTTTCTATCCCTTCACTTTCAGTCTATGTGTGTCTTTACAAGTGAGGTGAGTTTCTTGTAGGCAGCATATAGTTAGGTGTTGGTTTGCTTTAATCCAATTAGCCACTTGATATATTTTATTTTTTTAATTATAAGTTTATTTAATTTTTCCGTAAGTTATTGGGGTACAAATGGTATTTGGTTACAGGAATAAGTTCTTTAGTGGTGATTTGTGAGATCCTGGTGCACCCATCATCCAAGCAGTATACACTGCACCATATATGTTTTCTTTTATCCCTCGCCCCCTCCCACTCTTCCCCCCAAGTCACCTAAGTCCATTGTATCATTCTTATGCCTTTGCGTCCTCATAGCTTAGTTCCCACACATCATTGAGAACATATGATGTTTGGGTTTCCATTCCTGAGTTACTTTACTTAGAATAATAGTCTCCAGTCTCATCTAGGTCATTGCAAATGCTATTAATTCATTCCCTTTTATGGCTGAGTAGTATTCCATTTGTGTGTGTGTGTATGTGTGTGTGTGTGTGTGTATAGATAGATATATAGATATAGATCACAGTTTCTTTATCCACTCATTGATTGATGGGCATTTGGGTTAGTTCCATTATTTTGCCATTGTGAATTATGCTGCTATAAACATGCATGTGCAAGTATCTTTTTCGAATAATGACTTTGTTTCCTCTACGTAGATACCCAGAAGTGGGATTGTTGGATCAAATGGTAGTTCTACTTTTAGTTCTTTAAGGAATCTCCACACTGTTTTCCATAGTGGTTGTACTAGTTTACATTCCCACCAGCAGTGTAGGTGGGATTCCCTGATCGCCAAATCCATGCCAGCATCTACTGCTTTTTTATTTTTTTGATTATGGCCATTCTTTCAGGAGTAAGGTGGTATCACATTGTGGTTTTGATTTGGATTTCCCTGATCATTAGTGATGCTGAGCATTTTTTCATATGTTTGTTGGCCATTTGTATATCTTCTTTTGAGAATTGTCTGTTTGTGGCCTTAGCCCGCTTTTTGATGGGATTGTTTTTTTCTTACTGATTTTTTTGATTTTGTTGTAGATTCTGGTTATTAGTCCTTTGTCAGATGTATAGATTGTGAAGATTTTCTCCCACTCTGTGGGTTGTCTGTTTACTCTGCTGACTGTTCCTTTTGCATGCAAAAGCTCTTTAGTTTAATTAGGTCCCAGCTATTTATCTTTGTTTTTATTGCATTTTTCTTTTGGGGTTTTGGTCATGAAATCCTTGCCTAAGCCAATGTCTAGAAGGGTTTTTCCAATGTTATGTTTTAGAATTTTTATAGTTTCAGGTCTTAGGTTTAAGTCCTTAACCCACCTTGAGTTGATTTTTGTAAAAGGTGAGAAATGAGGATCCACTTTTATTCTCCTACATGTGGCTAGCCAATTATCCCAGCACCATTTGTTGAAAAGGGTGCCCTTTCCTCACTTTATGTTTTTGTTTGCTTTGTCAAAGATCAGTTGGCTGTAAGTATTTGGGTTTATTTCTGTGTTCTCTGTTCTGTTCTATTGGTCTATGTGCCTATTTTTATGCCAGTACCATGGTGTTTTGGTGACTATGGCCTTAGAGTATAGTTTGAAATCAGGTTATATGATGCCTTCAGATTTGCACTTTTTGCTTAGTCTTGCTTTGGCTATGCGGGCTCTTTTTTGGTTCCATGTGAATTTTAGAATTGTTTTTTCTAACTCTGTGAAGAATGATGGTGGTTTTTTGATGGGGATTGCATTGAATTTGTGGATTGCTTTTGGCAGTATGGTCATTTTCACAATATTGATTCTACCCATCCATGAGCATGGGATTTGTTTCCATTTGTATTGTCTATGATTTCTTTCAGCAGTGCTTTGTAGTTTTCCTTGTAGAGGTCTTTCAACTCCTTTGTTAGGTATATTCCTAAGTTTTTTTTTTTTTTGCAGCTATTATAAAAGGGATTGAGTTCTCAATTTGATTCTCAGCTTGGTTGCTGTTGGTGTATAGAAGAGCTACTGATTTGTGGACATTAATCTTGTATCTGGAAACTTTGCTGAATTATTTTATCAGTTCTAGGAGATTTCTGGAGGAGTCTTTAGGGTTTTCAAGGTAAACAATCATATTGTTAGCAAACACTGACAGTATGACTTCCTCTTTACCAATTTGGATACCCTTTATTTCTTTTGTCTGATTGCTCTGGCTAGGACTTCCAGTACTATGTTGAAGAGGAGTGGTGAGAGTGGGCATTCTTGTCTTGTTCCAGTTCTCAGAGGGAATGCTTTCAACTTTTCCCCATTCAGTATTATGTTGGCTGTGGGTTTGTCATAGATGGCTTTTATTACATTAAGGTACGTCCCTTGTATGCCGATTTTGCTAAGGATTTTAATCATAAAGCGATGCTGGATTTTGTCAAATGCTTTTCTGCACCTGTTGAGATGATCGTGTAATATTTTTTTTAATTCTGTTTATGTGGTATATCACATTTCCTGGCTTGCATATGTTAAACCATCCCTGCAACCCTCGTATGAAACCTACTTGATTATGGTGGATTTTCTTTTTGATATCTTGTGGATTTGGTTAGCCAGTATTTTGTTAAGGATTTTAGCATCTACGTTCATCAAGGATATCGGTCTGTAGTTTTTTTTTTTTTTTTTTGGTTGTGTCCTTTCCTGGTTTTGGTATTAGGGTGATGCTGGCTTCATAGAATGAATTAGGGAGAGTTCTTTCTTTCTCTATCCTATGGAATAGTGTCAAAAGGATTGGTACCAATTCTTCTCTGAATGTCTGGTAGAATTCTGCTGTGAATCCATCTGGTACTGGACTTTTTTGTGTGGGTAATTTTTTTTTTGACAGAGTTTCACTCTGTTGCCCAGGCTGGAGTGCAGTGGCGTGATCTCAGCTCACTGCAACTTCCGCCTCCTGGGTTCAAGCAGCTCTCCTGCCTGAGCTTCCAGAGTAGCTGGGACTACAGGCATGTGCCACCACACTCTGTTAATTTTTGTATATTTAGTAGAGACAGGGTTTTGCCACATTGGCCAGGCTGGTCTCGAACTCCTGACCTCAAGTGATCCACCCGCCTCGGCCTCCCAAAGCGCTGGGTTTACAGGCATGAGCCACCATGCCCGGCCTTTTGTTGGTAATTTTTTAATTACCGTTTCCATCTCGCTGGTTGTTATTGGTCTGTTCAGGGTGTCTAATTCTTCCTGATTTAAGCTAAGAAGGTTGTATTTTTCCAAGAGTTTATCCATCTCTTCTATGTTTTCTAGTTTATGTGCGTAAAGGTGTTCTTATTAGCCTTGAATGATCTTTTGTATTTCAGTGGCGTCAGTTGTAATATCTCCTGTTTCGTTTCTCTGTGTGAGGTTATTTGGATTTTCTCTCTTCTTTTCTTGGTTAATCTTGCTAATGGCCTATCAATTTTATTTACCTTTTCAAAGAAACAGCTTTTTGTTTCATTTATCTTTTGTATTTTTGTTTGTTTCAATTTTATTTAGTTCTGCTCTGATCTTTGTTATTTCCTTTCTTCTGCTGGGTTTGGGTTTGGCTTGTTCTTGTTTCTCTAGATCTTTGAGGTGTGAACTTAGATTGTCTGTGCTCTTTCGGACTTTTTGATGTAGGCATTTAGGGCCATGAACTTTCCTCTTACTACATGTTAAGTGTATCCCAGAGGCTTTGATAGGTTGTGTCATTTATTGTCATTCAGTTCGAAGAATTTTTTATTTTCCATCTTGATTTCGTTTTTGACCCAATGCTCATTCAGGAGCAGGTTATTTAATTTCCATGTATTTGCATGGTTTTGAAGGATCCTTTTGGAATTGATTTCCAGTTTTATTCCACTGTGGTCTAAGAGAATGCTTGATATAACTTCAATTTTCTTACATTTATTGAGCCTCGTTTTATGGCCTATCATATGGTCTGTCTTGGAGAAAGTTCCAGGCACTATTGAATAGAATGTGTATTCTGTGGCTGTTAGATGAAATGTTCTGTATATATCTGTTAAGTCCATTTGTTCCAGGGTATAGTTAAAATCCTTTGTTTCTTTGTTGACTTTCTGTCTTGATGACATAAGTGCTGTCAGTGGAGTACTCAAAGTCCCCCACTATTACAGTGTTTTTGTCTATCTCATTTCTTAGGCCTATTAGTAATTGTTTTATAAATTTGGGAGCTCCAGTATTAGGTGCATATATGTTTAGGAAGTGGAGCATTTAGGCCATTTACATTCAATGTTAGTATTGAAATGTGAGGTACCATTGCATTCATCATGCTCTTTGTTGCCTGTGTACTTTTGGGACTTTTTTGTTTTGTTTTTTAACTCGTATTTTTGTTTTATAGGTCTTGTGTGATTTATGCTTTAATGAGATTCTGTTCTGATGTGTTTCCAGGATTTGTTTCAAGATTTAGAGCTCCTTTTAGCAGTTCTTGTAGTGGTGGCTTGGTAATGGCGAATTTGATCAGCATTTGTTTGTCAGAAAATGTCTTTCCTTCATATATGATGCTTAGGTTTGCTGGATACCAAATTCTTGGCTGATACTTGTTTTGCTTGAGGAGGTTGAAGATAAAGACCCCCAATCCCTTCTAGCCTGTGGGGTTTCTGCTGAGAAGTCTGCTGTTAAATCTGATAGGTTTTCCTTTCTAGGTTACCTGGTGCTTCTCTCTCACTGTAGCATGACGAGCCATAGACAAAACCTCTCAGACACCAAGTTGTAGAAAGAAGGGCTTTATTCAGCTGGGAGCATCGGCAAGCTACTGCCTTAAAATCCGAGCTCCCTGAATGCACAATTTCTGTCCCTTTTAAGGGCTCACAACACTAAAGATTTCACATGAAAGGGTCGTGATTGATTTGAGCAAGCAGATGGTACGTGACAGGGGCTGCATGCACCGGTGGTCAGAGAGAAACAGAACAGGGCAGGGAGTTTCACAGTGTTCTTCTATACAATGTCTGGAATCTATGAATAACATCGGTTTCTAAGTTATGAGTTGATTTTTAACTACTGGGTTTAGGCCAGGCAGGCCCGGGCCTGGTTTTGGGCCTGGCGCCGGACTGCCTGTCTTTGGTTTTACTCCCTTGTTGTTTTTTCTTAAAACAGGTACTGAGTATAAAACAATATAAAACAATATGAGAGGGTCTCTCTCTTCCCTCATCACAGCTCTTAAGATTCTTTCCTTTGTCTTAACTTTGGATAACCTGATGACAATGTGCCTAGGCAAAGATCTTTTTGCGACGAATTTCCCAGGTGTTCGTTGTGCTTCTTGTATTTGCATGTCTAGGTCTCTAGCAAGGCCAGGGAAGTTTTCCTCGATTGTTCCCCTAAATACGTTTTCCAAGCTTTTAGAATTGTCTTCTTTCTCAGGAACACTGATTATGCTTAAGTTTGGTCATTTATCATAATTCCAAACTTCTTGGAGGCCTTGTTTGTATTTTATTTTTTTGTCTTCATTGGATTGGGTTAATTTGAAAACCTTGTCTTCGAGCTCTGAATTTCTTTCTTCTACTTGTTCAGTTCTGTTGCTGAGACTTTCCAGAGCATTTTGCATTTCTAAAAGTGTGTCCAAAGTTTCCTGAATTTTTTGTTTTTTCTTTAAGCTATCTATTTCTTTGAATATTTCTCCCTTCACGTCTTGTATCATTTTTTGGATTTCCTTGCATTGGGCTTCACCTTTCTCTGGTCCCTCCCTGATTAGCTTAATAACTAACCTCCTGAATTCTTTTTCAGGGAAATCAGGGGTTTCTTCTTGGTTTGGATCCATTGCTGATGAACTAACGTGATTTTTGGGGGGTGTTCAGCAGCCTTGTTTTGTCATATTACCAGGATTGGTTTTCTGGTTCCTTCTCATTTGGGTAGGCTCTGTCAGAGGGAAGGTCTAAGGCTGAAGGCTATCGTTCAAATTTTTTTTGTCCCAGGTGTTCCCTTGATGTAGTACTGTCCTCCTTTTCCTGTGGATGTGGCTTCCTGTGAGCCAAACTGCAGTGATTGTTGTCTCTCTTTTGGGCCACCCAGCGAATCTGCTTGGCTCCAGTCTGGTACTGGGGGTCGTCTGCACAGAGTCCTGTGATGTGAACCATCTATGGGTCTCTCAGCCCTGGTTACCAGTGCCTGTTCCAGTGGAGGTGGCAGAGGGTGCAGTGGACTCTGGTGGGGGTCCTTAGCTTTGGTGGTTTAATGCTCTATTTTTGTGCTGGTTGGCCTCCCACCAGAAAGCATTAGCTATAGTAGTGTGGAGAGGAACCAGAGGTGGCCGTGGCCCTAGAACTCCCAAGACTATATGTCCTTTGTCTTCCGCTACCAGGGTGGGTAGGGAAGGACTATCAGATGGGGGCAGGGCTAGTTGTGTCTGAGCTCAGACTCTCCTTGGGCAGGTCTGGCTGCAGCTGCTGTGGTGGAGTGGGGTGAGATTCCCAGGTCACTGGATTTGTGTACCCAGGAGGATTATGGCTGCCTCTGCTGAGTCATGCAGGTTGTCAGGGAAGTGAGGGAAAGCTGGCAGTCACAGGCCTCATCCAGCTCCCATACAAACCGAAAGACCAGTCTCACTCCCACCGTGCCACCCACTATAGCCCCAAGTCTTGTTTCCAGGCGGAGGGCAAGTCGGGCTTGAAAACCTGCCCAAGGCTTTCCACCTCCCAGCTGCAAAAGAAAAGGGCTTTAGTTCTTTCCCCGCCTGTGAAGTCTGCAAGCTGGTTTCATGCCCTCCCCCGAGTTCTGGCTAGGAGGCTTCTTCCCCGTTCAAATTGTTACAAAGTTCAGCTAGAGAAGTCCTTCTCCCTGTAGGGTCTTACCTCCTGCTCCTCTGGCCGCCGTCCTGATGGATCCCTGTGGTGCCAGGCAGGAATGGGCTGCTTGGGGATCCAGTGAGCTCCCAGTGCCTTTCTGCTACTTCCTCTACCCCTGTATTTCGCTCAGCTCGAGTCTCTAACTTGGCTCAGCTCCAGGTAAGGTCGGGAACTTCTCCCACAAACAGACCTTCAGCTTCTCCAGTGGGGGTGTGTGTCCAGGAGAGGAGGGTCTCCGTTTCCCACTTCCGCGGTTGGGGCACTCACAGTATTTGGGGTGTCTCCCAGGTCCTGCAGGAGCAGTCTGCTTCCTTCAGAGGGTCTGTGGGTCCTCTCAGCATTGCTGGTCTGTTCTTGTAGTTGATCTGGAGCTAAAATTCATAATGCAAGCCTCTGCATGCTGCTCTTGCAGAGCTGCAATCTAGTTCTGTATCCTGTCTGCCATGATCCACCGAGTCTACATATTTTAAATGGGGGATTTAATCCATTTATGTTTTAGGTTATTATTGACAGGTGAGGACTTACTCCTGTCATTTTATTGATTGTTTTCTGGTTATTTATTCTTTGTCCCTTCCTCTTATTTACTTTTGTGGGTAGATGGTTTTCTGTAGTAATAAGGTTTGATTCCTTTCTTTTTGTGTATTGGCTCTACTGATGAGTTTGCCAGTTTTGCAAGTTTAAAAATTTTTTTTTTTTTTCTGTAGAGACAGGGTCTCACTATGTTGTGCAGGCTGGCCTTGAACTTGTGGCTTCAAGTGATCTCCCCACCTCAGGCTTTCAAAGTGCTAAGATTACACGTGTGAGCAACCATGCCCAGCCAGTTTCACATATTTTCATGACGATGGCGATTGTCTTTTCACTTCCGGATGTAAGATTCCCTTGAATATTTCTTATGGGATTTCATGTAAGGCCAGTCTAGTGGTGATAGATGTCCTTAGTTTTAGTTTGTCTGTGAAATATTTTATTTCTCCTTCATTTCTGAAGGATAGCTTTTCTGGATATAATATTGTTGGCTTTTTTTTTTCCTTTCAGTACTTTGAAGATATCAACCTATTCTCTCCTAGCCTGTAAGTTTTATGCTGAGAAATCTGCTATTAATCTAATGGGGTTTCCCTTACATGTGACTTGACAGTTTTCTCTTGCTGCTTTTAGCACTCTTTATTGTTGCCTTTTGACAATTTGACTACAATGTGCCTTGGAGATTACCTGTTTGGGTTGAATCTATTTGTGGTTCTTTTCGCTTCCTGGACCTGGATGTCCACCTCTCTCTCATGACTTGTGAAATCTTCTATTCATTACATGTTTCCCTCACCTTTTCCCTTCTCTTCTCCTTTTGGAATGCCCATAATATGATTATTTGTTCACTTAATAGTTTTCCATAAATCCTATAGGCTTTCTTCATTATTTTTTATTCTTTTTTCTTTGTCTGCCTGTATTATTTCAGAATACTTGAAGTTTAGAAATTCTTTCTTCTGCTTGGTTTAGTCTGTTGTTGCGGTCTTCAATTGTGTTTTTCATTCATTGAATCCTTCAGCTGTAGGATTTGTTTGGTTCTTTGTTGGATTTTCATTCAAATCATGAATTGTTTTCCTGATTTTGTTGAATTATGTATCTGTATTGTCTTGAATCTGAGTTTCCTTAGGATTATTATTTTGATTTTTTTTGGCATTTCCTATATTTTGTTATAATTGGGGTCTGCTACTGGAGAATTGTTTTCCTTTGAAGGTGTCATGTTTCCTTACTTTTTCATGTTTGATATGTCCTTACATTGATTTCTATGCATCTGGTGGAAAAGTCAGCTCTTCCAATTTTATGGAGGTTTCATAGGGAAAGACTTATTTGTATAAATGAGTTGTGGAGTGTCGGTTCAATGGAGTGCATTGGCCTTCATTCTAGCTGGAAGGAGTAGTGTGCTATCTTTAAAGTTTCTTCAGCTGCAATCCACACTAGTGATGTTTCTCAGTGGCCTAGGTTGAGAGAGTTTGTGGCAACTGCGGTGGGCTCACCAGGCTATTTTTCAAGTTGAGGGCAGATGCATGCACATGGTGGATCAGCCAACTTGGAGTCTGGCTTGCTGAAGTTGGAGCCACGGAGCTTTTACTTTGGCTAGGGAACACGGGCATGTGGTTGCTCAGTCAGCCTAGGGACGTTTCTGCCAGGGGCAGCCAACTGTTTCAGGCTGTTTCTCACACCCTGAATGCAGGCACAATGCTGCATGGCTGGCCTAGGGGCACATTTGCTTAGAGTGGCCTACGGGGCTGTTTATCATCAGGCCTAGGGCACAGGTGCAAGTCTGCTTGGCAGGCCAGGACATGTGCTTATGAGGAGTGGCCCATGGGGCTGTTTTTCAGGCCTGGTATGCAGACACACAGCTCCTCAGCTGGCCTGGAGGCATGTTTGGTAGGGACACCTCACAGGGCTGTTTCTCAGACCTGGGACATGGTCATACAGCATCTCAGCTGGCCTGGGTATGTGTCTGCTGAGGGTGGTCCACGGGACTGTTTCTCTGGCTCAGGACACAGGCATATAGCTGCTCAGCCAGCCTGGGAGCAGCCCATGGAGCTGCTTCTCAAGCCCAGTATGTGGGTGCAAGGCTGCTCAGCTGGCCTGGGATCATGTCTGTTAGGGGTAGCCCATGGGGCCATTTCTCAGGTCCAGTTCGTGGGCACAGAGCTGCTCAGCTGGCTTGGGGGTATGTCTGCCAGGGGTGGGCCCAGGGCTGTTTCTCAAGCCCATGATATGGCTGCATGACTGTTTAGCTGGCCCAGTGGTGTTTCTGGAGGGAAGGGGGTGAAAGTATCTTTATTTCATACTGGTAGCTGTTATGAATTTTATTTTGCAACTCTGGGAGTGAGAAATATTCCATCCCTTTATTTTACTAAATTCATCTGTACAAGGTCCTAATCCTGCCAGATTTAAAAGAAATTTAATGTCTCCCAGCCTAAATCTTACCTGCTTGGTGAGTCATAAAGCAATTACTTGGGAGTGCCTTTGAAAATAAGAAATACTGCATATTTAAACATAGTTCCTGTATTGTAGGAATTAGTAACCTCATTAGGGATTCAAAAATACCCACAAAGGAAGTTTGAGCAACCTAAGAATGGAAAACTAACATCACAAAGGGAAGGATAGTTTAGTTAAATATTACAATGCATGGTACTGACTCAGAAGGAAGATGCCACCAGGTGCTAGAATGACCTGGATCACAGAACTGTTTATCTGACCCTTAAGCATGAATAAGATTTTAACAGACGAGGGAATCCAGGTGTGGGAAATAATAACCTAAAGAAAGGCTTGGAACTAAGACAAGAATTGTGTTCAAGGCCCAGTGAACTGACCTGGCTGGAAGAAAATGTTCCTATTATACAAGGCAGGAATTTGGGACACCTTGAATGTCAAGGAGTTTGAATTTTATCCTATAATGAATAGCAAGTTATTAAAGGATTATGAGCAGAGTGACCAGATCAAACTAGTGTTTATCTCAAATATGTTTCAGATAAATTTAGACCTTAGGGAGCAACTAAAACAATCCAGGTATGCAAAGAAATGAATGAAAGCAGGGATTGAAAGATAATGACCTTATCAAGAGAAAGAATCAGCATTGCATTGACTAGGCTCCAAGATTTTGAGTATTGGTAACAATGAAGTATTTGACCAAAAAGGGTAATTCTATGAGAGAGGACAATTTTTAGAACAAAATGATTTTAGACAGGAAGTTGAATGATCATACCAGCTAATGATATTTATAATCATTAAAATCTCAAGTTCAGTCTGAAGACAGAAAAGCAAAAGGTTGTGGGCTGACCTTGGGCTGCAACTGTATTTATGGGTTAGAATGAAATCACTATGGAAAAGCGAAAAAAAGAAATGGTACAATGAGTTAGGTGTCACATGGGGGCCTTTGGAGAAAATGTTCATAGACGCATGATTCTTGGCTTCAATAAGAAGGCTACATTCAAAAAACAGGGAAAGTCAGGCCAAAACTATGTTTTCAGGTTTTTTAATGACTGACAAAATATTCCTAAATCAACCTTTTATAAATAAAAAAAAATAAATATGTTTCATCTGAATTCACAAAGACAAACCCTGCTGCAAATACTAAGTACAAATTATTCTGTACTGGACATGGCAAATCTGATTTAGTACAAATTCAGTTTTTAAAAGGACCCTCTTTCCAAATAGTGTTCTTATGTAACATTTAATTTTTATGCCTATTATTTCAATGACACACCTAGTTTTTGCTTTTCTAAGCACTGTTCCCTACATTTTTAAAGCATATTTTATTTCAGAGTGCAACAGAAACTAGCTTGTGGCCTATTAAGCTACTAGGAAGAGCATCGTTTATGCCACTGTATGCCTTCTTAGGCCATTTATCATTTCTCTACACTTGATTGCTCACTGGCTATTCAAAATTGGAATGTGATACAGCAGTTCTGTCTGAACGTGTACCAACCTGAAACTCACATGGCTAAACAATTATGGCTAAACTATTTTTGTTACCAATTTTAAATATTGTTAAAGAATTCTCAAAGGAGTAAGGTTAATGAGCAAGATTAAAATGGCAGCAGCAGATCCAATTGCGTTTTCTTTTTCATAAGCCTAAAAGCATCGCGGTGTGTTTCAGAGCTGCTTCCTCTACAAATTCTGCATCCACATTGTCATGTCCTTCAAAAGGATACAGGGCTGGAAAAAAATGGGGAGAGGGCAGGGAAAAAGGGTTACCATGGGTCCGTGAAACATTTATAACTTTGTGCTCACAGCTCATTAAAATCATAATTGTATTTTAGTAAAATGAATTTTTTAAGAATGTGTTCTTAAATTTAAACTTCAGCACCAAGAACATTTGCATCAACCAAATGGGCTTTAAACCTCTTGACTCTTTTAAAACTTCAGAGGTGATTATTTGGTAATTTACTCTAGGTAGTAAATTTGGTACTGCTAATGTAAACCAATTGCTATAAGGGTCTACTTGTATGTTAAAAGGATTTTGGAAAGAAGACAAAGAAGTGAATAGGGAAGGACTGATGTGTCAAGGGAAAAGTGGTAAGACCCTGAGAACAGGGGAGTAAATTACCTTGATTGGAGGACTCTATATCTGTCAGAATTTCAATGAAGTAGTTCAGAGGCAGAAATTCTACACTGAACGATGACTTGTTAATCATAGAATTCCGAGGCTAAAAGGGAAACCACTTCTGGTGTAAGCTGATTCTCCACAATAAGCACAATTTTAAAATAAAGTGATAAGAACTGTAATTGCTGTCCATACAGATATGTTGTCACGGGCAAACAGGATCCTAAAAACATTTAGTTGGCTGTGCTTTCAGAGAAACTCACCTGTTTCTTATAGTTCTGAAGCAGTCGCGTCACGTGGTTCCGCGAAATGATGTTAGAACTCATAGGATGATCCCAAAGTCTACAAATCTTCTGCCCAATAAGCTATTATGCAAATTGAAAAAAATGTAGCGAATACCACACACTATATTAAGTAAACACACCTTATATCTATTCATAATTTTAAAAGTATTATTCCAAAGTAGCTGGTTAGTCTCCAGGCCCTTGATGATTAAGGACCCTTGGAGAAATGCCATGTTCCTATGAAGTTTCTATGAGGGAGTAAATACTCTCTCAAACGCTACATTGAGGAAAGTGGTTTATACACTGATGTTGCCAAACCCTTTTACTGAAATGGAGTTTATCTGCTGCTCTTCAAAACCAGAGATGGGCATGCCAACTCTGATGTTTTGACCGGAAACTAAGGGGGGTACGCATGTTTATATCAACTTCTCTGCCATTGTCTTGCCTAGAAAATTTTAATTCCCTAAGAGTACTGGGGAAATAAACAAATTTGGAGACCAAATTAAATATTCAGCAATGTTTCCCAGAGAGATCTAGCTATGGAAAATATGCTTTGTTTTCTATTCTTGCCTTTGCTTCAGTAAGCCTGTGAGTGAGGGGCAAGGGCCACTACAGAGCAGGGCGATTAGGTCCAGAAAGGTAACAGACAGCCGTTCGTGAGAGGACAGTGCCAGAGGTGCAAGTGTGCAAGGCATGTACACAGCAGATGGAGCTGGCTAAGGCTCTCCAGGTCAGGAAGTTTGCAGAGTTAGAGGCTCGGAAGACCTTGCTGTGGAATTTCATATTTTCATAGTATCTCTGACTCTAAGTGTTGATATTCCCTTGTGTTTCTCATTCTTCTTTTGACCTAGGAATGTCTTCCTACCATGTCATATTTTCATAGTATCTCTCACTCTAAGTGTTGATATTCCCTCATGTTTCTCATTCTTCCTTTGACCTAGGAATGTCTTCCTACCATGGTAGAAATGCAGTAAGGGGAAATACAGGTCTAGAACCTTCTGTCCTCACCTGTATTCCAATGTATCCAAGTTAAATCTGTTTAAATGCCAAAAGCACGTTTCCCCTTCTCCCTCCCTCTCAGACTCAGATGTAAATATTAGTGTGGTTTCCTAAGAGGCAAAAATGGCTTAATGTTCTCACTGGACTGTGCCAAGGCAGTGCAGAGCCAGAGAGCAAGTGCTTTGTAGGCCAAGTGGGAAACAGCTAACAGAGGGCTGGGGACGGGTGGGATTTCTTGGAAGTGTTGAAAAGTGAAACAATTCAATTGACTTTAACCCAAAGCAAGTAAATGCTCTTTTTGCAAGAAGAAATTGAAGGAGGGTAATGCCAAAGCTTAGGGAGAAAATAAAATGTAACTCAGTATTACCGGAGGAAGCCGCACAATGATACTGAATTTCAGTTTTTCATTTTTCTCTGTATTATCCAGATCTACAAGAAAGTTAGAGATTAGCAAATGAAACAAATACCCATTTTGATACTTTAGCAAGTTAATATTAATACTTGAGTGGTTCATCTTGATAGGACATATCCCAACTGTGTATTCTCAAGCTAATCTAACAGCATTTTGGAAATTTTACTCTGACTCTCTGAATAAAAAGGGATTTTTCTATAACAGGCTGCCAGGTACAAAGCAATTTTATTGACTAACTTAAAACAGAAGGTACCTTGAGGAATGACAAATGCTTTCATATAAACAAAAATCATCTTAAAATACAATTGAATAATTTGAGTGATTATACTACAGAATTTAAAGTTCAAATTCATTTAATTGCCCCTCTCAATAATTTTCCTTGCATTTCTAGTCTAACTTTGAGATGACAGAGTTAATCAGCTGAAAATAAGCCATTTCGTGACATTTTCTTGAGAAACAAGCCTGCAGAGGTTCCTAGCCTCAAGTGCCCTCTTGCACAGAAAAGGAATCTAATAGTTGTATGTGGATTGAAAAGTCCCTTAGGACCTCGTGAAGGGCTCAGAAACCTTAAATTGGCCCAAAAGATGATTACAGGGAATGGATTGTGCTCACAGGACCAGCTGTATAATTTGTGGGGCTCAGCACAAAATGAACACGAGCAAGCCCTCGTTCAAATACTACTAAGAATTTCAAGATGTAATGCAGCATTAAACTGAGCAGGGCACTCTTCTGAGTGCAGCCAGGCTCTTGGTGACTGCACAGGTTGCACACCCAAGAAGCTAGCCTTGGTGGTGCTCAGGCTGGAACTAGCACTCTGGCAAACTCAGGGCTTCTTACCTTTCATGAGCCTTATGACAGCTGTTTCAGTGAGAAGCAACACTCCACTGTCAATGCAATGCAGCAGGTTATGCAAAGGGAGACACTGGACCCCGAGGATGGTGTGCAGAGTATGAAAACCTAGGATGAGAGATCTGGAGGGTAAACACAGTCAGCCAACATCTCCAGCAGCCCCCGGGGAATGGATTAGATCATGTTAATAAAGCACTTAGTTCAGTGCTTGGTGCCTGGAACCAACTGAATTTCTTGAAAACAAGGTCCAAGTTTCCTTCTCTGTATTATTCGTAACTAAATATCACGCTGGGTCTATAGTAAGTTTCCGGTAAGTATACATTCCTTGCTCCTTGGGTCTCTTCCTGCACAGAAACAGAGCAAGGGCCTGCTCAATGGTTTTACGGTTTGATATGTTTGTGATTCTACAGTAAGATAGCAAAAGAGTACAGAAGCATTTCAGATTTCGTATGTCCAGACTAAAAGGTTGTTGGGATGAGGACCATTTTGCTGAAGGGAAACAAATTTGGACCAGAAGGCAATAGTTTATATGGCTTATCTCTGGGTATGCCCTAGAGAAAGGCTTTTAGAGTCTACTTGGACTAAAGTATAGAAAAGAAAGAATTAAGACAATATGGCCAGATAGTAAATTTATAGGAATTCAATTGAGAGGCAGGCATTCTCAAGCCTGTCTCACGGGTAGAGCTACCCACAGAAACCCAGATCTCTAAGTATACTACTACTGACAACAGATAAAAACATCATGCATGGGAGAAGGTATCAGACCAGGAGAGAATCAAAACAGCTCTCTTGGAAGTGATGGCATTTGCGGGGAGCTTCAAAGGACAGATGCAATTCCTATCAGTGGAAATGAGTGCGGACAGTAGAAAAAGCCAGGTTTGGCATGAGCAGCCCTAGGCCAGAATCCAGCTGTATTACTCACCAGCTGCAGGCAACTAAGCCTTTCTGAGCCTCCATTTCTTCATCTCTAAATTGGAACCACCAGTACCTTTCCCACAGGGCTGCTTTGAGAACTAGAGCCAGGTCTGTGAAGAGCCTAGCATGCAATATAACAATAGCGACCCATACTGGACATGTACCAAGGCTTTCAACCTGTGTCCTGGCTCATCTGATCCTCATACAAAAGTATGGGGTGGGAATTACTAGATTCCCATTTCATAAATGGAAAAACCAAAAGCCAAGATTCACAGGAGCTAGGCAACTTGCCCAGGATCACAGAAATAATAATGTGTAAGTTGAAATTTGCATCAACTGTGTGATTGTAGGGTAGGCTTTCAACCATAATGTCACTGTTAATAACTGGCAGCTGTGTTAATAGAACATGAACAGAGGTCCGAAGATGAGAAAGCACAGGGCATATTCAGAAAATAGTAAATGATCCAGCTGGGTTGGAATCATATTAGAGGAGAGAAAGATTAAGAGGTAAGGTTGGAAAAGCTAATTTATTCAGCACATCCCTTCCACACACCTGGCAAGGGGCTAAGAGTATAAAAATGAGCAAAACAGGCACAACTGCTGCTCCCATACACCTTGCAGTCTGCTGGGGGAGGCAGACAATCAATTACAAAAAATAGACATTTTTAAAAATGTGACCAGTTCTGTGCTTATGAGTGCAGGTGACAGAGGTTGAATGCTGAATGATAGAGATTTATTAATTTGAGAGACTTTGAGGAGGTAATGAAAGTTTTTAAGCAGAACAGAAGATTTACCATTGGGATATTAATATGGCAACAGGCAAAGAATGAGTTGGAGTAATAATTTGCTACAGAAGGTATGAAGACCTGTAGAGAAGCTATTGCCTGAACGTGGATAAGAGGTAATGGAGGCACTGAATCAGAGAGGCATGGTAACATGTACAGGCTTTGCAACTCATTGAATGTGGGAATGACTGACAGAAGAATCATAGCCTACTCTTGGGAAGGTACCTGACAAAAGGATGATGCCCAACGAGCAGGGCTTGGATTCAGAGAAATCATGGGATTTTCTCTCTCTAAACACATGAATCACAAGCCATGGGGCACAGTCCTAAGTCCTTGTAACATCAAGGGTCAGATGAAGTACAGGCTCTGCCCACAAGCATGTGTTAATGGGCTAACAGGATGAGTCCACTAGCTTCCCTGAGTCCAAAAAAACTCCACTATTTTACTAGTTAATTAACAACAACGTTTTTCAAATGGATTTGGAAATTCTTCACAAAACTATTAGTAAAAAGTTACAAAATTATTTCTGAAGAAAAGTTTACACTAGATTATTGATGATATTGATTTTCTGGATTCAAATTTCCCTCTCCAGCCCTGTGTTCATATGCTAAAGGTCCCTGATGACCCTTCATCCTCTATCCCCAGGGCACAGTCCCAAGTTCAGGGACCTGTTCTTGGCCTCTATACATCAGCTCTGAGCAACAGAGCAAATTGGCTATAATTAGTCATCAGCTCCACCCAACTTTAATCCTCATCTTCCAGGGCTCCTGGCCTCCTCTAGCCAGCAAGTGCAATACAGTTCCTTTTTTTAAAAGCAAATGCCCTAGCTCTAAACCCTGACTTCCTTTTTGTGTTCCCCATTCTCTTCTTAACTTTAACCAATTCATGTTACAAGTCTCTGACAATCGTAACTCAAACAGTCATCATTAGTCCAATAGGCCTGGAAAGCAAGCACACTTACGCATGTGCATATAGAAACACCCTGAATTCATACAAGCATGCACATGCACACACACACATGATCCAGTGTCACCTCCCCCCTCTATTTCCATGTCACATGATGGAAATAAACATTCAAGAGAAAAGGAGAGAGCATGGAATACTATGCAGCCATAAAAGAGGATGAGTTCATGTCCTTTGCAGGGACATGGATGAAGCTTGAAACCATCATTCTCAGCAAACTATCCCAAGGACAGAAAACCAAACACCACACATTCTCACTCATAGGTGGGAATTGAACAATGAGAACACTTGGACAAGGGTTGGGGGGGAACATCACACACTGGGGCCTGTCGTGGGGTTGGGGGCTGGGGGAGGGATAGCATTAGGAGAAATACCTAATGTAAATGACGAGTTAATAGGTGCAGCAAACCAACATGGCACATGTATACCTATGTTACAAACCTGCACGTTGTGCACATGTACCCTAGAACTTAAAGTATAATTAAAAAAATGAGAAACACCTTTTCCTTACCTGACCCACAGACACAAGCCATAAGTCTACTTATAATAATTCTCGATCACTATGGATAACATCTTTGTTTTCCCTCCTTATCACTGTGAAGGAATGTGAGTTGGGTAGAAAGTGGATTTTTATGATCTCCAGGCGTAACAATGTCCCCAGTAAGTCAGTTTCATTTATTTTCAAAAGAAGCTTGAATATCTGTAATGAACAAATCTAAAACTGTCAATCCATTTCCCTACCAAATTTTTTGTGTTAACAACAAACAATTAAGAATTTAAGCCACAAAGGTAGTTTTCCTGTAATCCTTCAATCTTTCTAGGGTGTACCTCATAACTCATATTCCATTGGGATAATTTTAAACCATCCATTCCCCTCACAAATGGTCCCTTTCAACTCCTTTTGTACTGCCATACAGACAGACATTAAATAAGGTGGATGAAGAATGAAGGATTCCAAACCGTATCAGATGTGTCATAAATGCAGAGCAGCATATGCTGTAGGGATTCTTTAGGCCCATAAATAGCCCATGTTTCAACATCAACTAATTCAACTGGAATATAAAATTCAAGAAGCAGCATGGATTTTGGAGCCAAACTGCCTGGATTTGAATATCAGCTCTGTCACTTAATAGCTATGTGACTTTAGGCAAATTACTCAACCTTTCTGGCCTCAGTTTCACCATCTATAAAATGGGAATAATATTAAGTGGAACCACATGAAAGTGCCATTTTTGTTGGCCAAAAAATGGTTGGGCACTGACAATTTAATGTGGTCCAACTTAAGTTTCTACCAGTTAAAATTTTATGAAAATTAAGTGTACTAATTTGTGTGTACTTTCAACAGTACGTGGCACAAAATGAGTATCATATATATGTTGGCCTAAAATGAAGCAATGAACAAATGATGAATGGATGAATATATATGAATGAAGTAACTAAATATCAGCTGATATGTAGTTACAGCTATCATAAAGTTTAACACTCATTAGAACTTTATATGCAATAATAAATCCATTCATGTTTAGGCAACTAATCTTCAAAAGCACCAAGAACACACAATGGGGAAAGGATCGTGTATCTCTGATAAATGGTGTTGGAAAAACTGTCCATAGGCAAAAGAATGAAATGGGACCCTTATCTTTACCATAAACAAAATTCAACTCAAAATGCATTAGAAAGTTAAACATAAGACCTGAAACTGAAAAACCCCTAAAAGAAACATAGAGGGAAAGCTTCTTGACATTGGTCTTGGCAATGATTCCTTGAATATGACATCCAAAGCACAAACAATGAAAACAAAAATATGTAAGAGGGACTACACCCAACAAAAAAGCTTCTGCACAGCAAAGGAAACGATCCTGGGCCTGTTGTGGGGTGGGGGGAGGGGGAAGGGATAGCATTAGGAGATGTACCTAATGTAAATGATGAGTTAATGGATGCAGCATACCAACATGGCACATGTATACATATGTAACAAACCTGTGTGTTGTGCACATGTACCCTAAAACTTAAAGTATAATAATAAAAATATATATGTATAAAAGGAAACGATCCAAAGAGTAAAGGCAAAACCTACAGGATGACAAAAAGTGTTTGCAAACCATATATCTAACAAAGAGTTAATATCTAAAACATATAAGGAACTCAAACCTCAATAGCAAGAAAACAACCAGATTAAAAAATGGGCAAGGGACTTGAATAGACATTTCTCCAAAGATTGCAGACAAATGGCCAACACTTATGTGAAAATATGCTCGACATCACTAATCATCAGGGAAATGCACATCAAAACCACAATGAGGTATCACCTCACATCTCTCAGGTTGGCTACTATCAAAAAACCACAATTTAAGTGTTATCAAGAATGTGGAGAAATTGGAATCCTTATACACTGTTGGTGGGAATGTAAAGTGGTACAGCCACTGTGGCGAACAGTATGGAGGTTCCTCAAAAAATTTAAAAAAAAGAATCAATATATGATCCAGTAATCTCATTTCTGGATAAATATCTGTAAGAACTGAAATCAGGATCTTGAAGAGATATGTATATACTCCCATGTTTATCACAACATATTCACAATAGCCAAGATAGGGAAACAACCTAAATGTCTACTGACAGATGAAGAAAGTGTAGAATTTACAATGGAGTATTACTCAGCCTTAAAAAATGAAATCCTGCTCCATGTGACAACATGGATGAAACTTCAGGTCATTACACTAAGTGAAACAAGCCAGTCACAGGACAGATACTGCATGATTCCACTTACATGCAGTATCTAAAGTAGTCAAACTCATAGACACAGAAGGTAGAACAGTGCTTGCCAGGAACCGGGGAGTAGGGGATAAGTAATTGCTGTTCAATGGGTATAAAGTTTCAGCTATGAAAGATGAGTAAGTTCTAAAGACCTGCTATCCAACATTGTACCTATATTTAACAATACTGTATTGTGCATTTAAAAATTTGTTAAGAGGGTAGGTCTCAAGTGTTCTTACACAATAAAAAAATGAACTGATATGTAATGAGCACAAGACAGTTTATAGCTAACAGGGGCTTATTTCTCATAATGGATACTGATTTCTATGTACATCTTCCCAACTAGACTCTTACTAATCTTTGTAATTGCTCTAATTTCTAGCACGTTACCGGTCATGTCATAGTTGCTCAACAAATATTTGTTGACTAAATGAACAAATGACCAATTAAATGAATGACTGCATATACATCTCCCCAGGATGTTTTGTGGCCTGACTTGATCCTATTTAAAAATTCCAAGGGAATTTTTTAGCCTCCAAGCGTATAAGAATCAGTTCAATTCTTGGCACCAAGCCAGACCGACTTCCCAGTGTTAATCTTCAGACATCTCAATCAGATAAACTAGGCCTGGAGACATCAGAGACAGAGCTCCCTGAATTAGTTCTACTAGTTCAAATTATCCTAGAAAGCTGCATGGGGTAAGCCTAGGTTCCCTAAAGTTAGTAATAAGCTACATCATAGTTTAGTAGTCAGAGGAGCTCTGGTCAGCAGAGACCAACCTAAGGGCCCATCACTCACAGTAACACCAGATACACAATTTCTCATACACAAGTCTCATCATCAAACTTATAATGTACCAAAGGCAAGGGCCCATATGAAGAAGAAATAAATTTATTATACCAAAGGACAAAAGAGCCAACACTTACCAGGAGGCAGAGGTAAAAACAAACTGTTTGTAGCTTCCAGAATCCTGGTCATGATGTGAAAAACTGCAAATTCAGCAGCACTGCCACGACTATTGCTGGGTAAAAAAAACAAAGCAGCATGTCAGCCAAGGAGCTCATCTGTGATGCTCCATTTGTCCTAAGCAGTGGCTTTGAGTACTACACAAGGGTTCATGCTAATCATGAAATGCTATGCCTTGTAGAAAGCCCCATAAATATGAATGTGACCATCGGCCTAATGCCTAGAATTTAATCAGAGTAGGAACATATGTTACACATTGTATTAAGTGAAATTCCCCTTCTTGGCAGTACTGGGCTCATTTGTCCCTCCCCTGTCACCAACCATGTGCCAGGGAAAGAGGATGGGTAAAGTAACGGGCATAACTTTGTTTTAATTTTAGCTTTTATTATACATTAAAGGGTACATATGCAGGGGGGCATAACTTTAAATGCTGAGTATAGAATTAAGCTAGATGGTGTTGAAGCTGGTGAGAACTGATTTGAACTAGTGCATTTCAAAAGGGTTTTGCTACAACAGAGTTGTTTCCACTCTTTGTACACCATGATAAAAGTGAGAAATACTTGCGTACAAGTGGAGAACCCAGGAATGAAGATTATGTTTCCTCCAATTGGTTTCTACGATGTGGCAAATGAGATCCAGCTGGAGGGTGAAGACAGTCCATTAACCATTGCTCCATTCCTTCCCTCAAGGGCCCCACAGCTAGGCCTCCACAACTCAGATAAGCATTTCAGGGCAGCTGGCATTCAGGCTGCATCCAGACACACAACTAGCCTTTCTGAGGTCAATTCTGAAGCACTGAACCCAAAATAGAAAGACTGAAAATGTGCACCAGAAACTAACAAAGCATCCTCTGTTTGTGTGGGCAGTGCCCCAGCTCAGCCTCCCCAGCCCAGCTAACTGGCCCCACCACTCACACTTACAGACCCCCATCCATCAGTGAAGGTAAAGTGCTACAGGGTTTGCTCCAGGCCTGTCACAACGCAAGAGCCAACAGTGGACAGTCAGAAGAAAAGAGACACAGAATGGAGGTCATGATCATGAGCTGTGAAGTAAGACTGGTATCAAGTCCAGATTCTATACATTACTAGTTGTGTTACCCTACACAAGTTACCCACCCTCTCCAAATTGCAGTGTCCTCATCTGTAAAGTGAGGGGAAATATTTCATAGGGTTTTTGTAAGAATTGGTTAGCACACTGACTGGAACTAATCAACCAAAGTAGGTAGCCTTCTTTGTCTTAGAGCTTTATCCAGAAACCCATTCTAACGCTGCAACGAGTTTGCCAGCAGAAGAGCAGTCCCTATGGAGTTGTTATCAGCCACGAATCCACACATTGTGTGGGCTAAAAACGGGGCAAAGCAGAAGGATCTCCATAGACTCACAGGCAAACGCTATCCTTGATACAGATCCTCAGTTTCTCTTTGGCTGAAATTAAGTAAGTTAACATGTAACCAATATAATCAGGTTCTGCAGCAACTTCCTTGGATATGTTTTAGAAAGGATGCCAGCCACTCTCCTTAGAGGGGAGCAGAAGGCATGACTAGTGGCTGCTGGGCAGGGGCAGGGAGATGTGGCCTCAATCAGTGACTGCTGAGTCAATGTCAGGGACCTTGAGTTTTCTGAGACTTCATATGTATCGTTTCTGGGCCTATTGGTTCTACAGGCTGTTAACACAAACTAGTGTTAAAACTTATGTTATTAACAATGGAGAAAAATGACGCTTGAATGGAAACCCTTCTTAGCACTTTGGGAAGTAAGATTTCGAGTCAACAGAAATAAAGGTGATAGGTGGATGTGTTAAATCACTGTGTGTTGTGAGTTTTTTTTTTTTTTTTTTTTTTAAAGCAAGTTAATGTCAACATGGGGAGGATCAGTAACACATTCATCAAGTGAGTTCCTTGGTACAGTGCTATTGAGAAGGAGACTTAAGAAAGATTCAAATCCCTGATTATAAATATCACTACATGAGAATACTAACCTCTCCTAATATATTAAATACTATGAAACTCAAACCTTACTATAGAAATTCAAATATATTACGTAGAAACAACACTAATGGCTGCAATAAAGGCAGAAAACTTGAAAATTAAACATGAAATGATTAAATCAGGATTATAGCTAATAAATTTAACAAATCTTCCAGAGTTCAATGGAAAAATATATGTTCACACACTGGCTTATTTGCATACTGGTCTTATACAAATTTGGAGAAATAATGGAGTGTTCTTTCTCTTTCTGTGCAAACATTTTTTTGAATTTGTCAAACATTATTTCTAGACTCTAAGCAAGATCAGGCCTCAACTCTCTATGCTTTTTGAAAGACTCAAGACAACCTTAAAATTCAATCTAGTCCTATCACTACTATTTACACATACAGTGGTGTTACTAATCTGGATCACAAAATTTCAGTAAGTGGCTACCAGGTAAGGAACTGCCAATCTCAGCCTCACATGGTAGTATTAATACAAGTGAGCTAGAATCTGGCCTACTTAGGCTACTGGAACTAATTAAGATTTGAAGTTCAAGTTCTCTCCTGTCTGCATAAACCTCCATGTACAGAAATCATCTACATGGAGCTGGAAGTTGCCAAGATGAGATATTAACATTTGGCAAGCATACTAAATTCATTGTCCTATGCATCCATGGGTATATAATCAGTATTTGAAGGAAGGGCAATAAACCACTTTCCAAACCAAATGCTCTTTGTTTATGGTCCTTATTTCCCTTTTCTCAATCTACAGCACCAAATACTGATTTAAGAACGGGAGATCTCCAAAAATCTAATTTGAAAAACACATAAATGGGTTCCCTGCACCACATTTTCAGAACTATATGGGGAGTGGGGTGAAGGGGCATATGAGGAGAATAAAAAGCAAGACCAACCAGTTTTGAAATGTAGTCCAGAACCATCTGTTCAATTTTCTTCTTTTCTACACCCTGTAGGTGTCTCAAAAAATGGTCTTTTAGCTCAGACACCATCTGAAAACAGGATATGCATTAAATAAGTCACAGCCTACCCACTCATACCTGCAACTGGTTTGAATTAGATCCACTTATTAACATTCTTCATCAATATAAAAAATACTGGATCTGAAGGTCCCATCAATGGAAATGCATAACTCTCAGTATTTCTCTGGTGAGCATAAATAAGGGGTCCCCAACATTTGCCTCAAAAGGAATTACTTATGATTCACCCAAAGCCCCGTGAGCAACTGCGAGTAAGGCTCTAACTCTGACGAGAATCCTCCAAAGAAGACAGTGAAAGTCACCAACTTAGAAGTCACAGGCTTTGGGATCTACCAAAGGATTAAAGTCTACTTCTCCTAGAGTCCTGGGGGATTAACAGGAACAACTCTATATATAGAATGACTGAGCCAATGGGGGCAACAGTTTTGGGTGTTTTGGAAGGACAGAAGCAGGAGTAAATGGGAAATAATCAGGTACTTCCCTCTACACAGTGGCCACAGACACTCAACACAGCCCCTTGACATGCAAAGGTAATGAAATATTCATTCTGGTGCCTCCAAATAGGTTTGTTTCTATACTCGCTTTGTTTGATCATCCTTGGGCCTCCCCACTTCCCCAACCATTAGCATTCCCAGCCTTCCCCACCTTTTGCTTTTCTCTCTCCTCCTCCCTCCTCTCCCTTTTGCCCAGACAACACGCTCAGCAAGAGCAGGATGCCAGGACCACGTTTGTGCCAATAAACAGCCCAAGGGAGTTGTACAGCTTATATCACCCATGCACACATCTTCTATTTTAGCAGGTTCACATTACAATACCCCGAGTAAAACCAAGTCCACAACCTTCAAGGCCAAGACATAATGGTACCTTAATTCAATTCAGTCTCATGCATGTGCCAATTAATTTGGCTTTAAATAAAAGATGCTTTCTGTGTAATACATAGTGCATACTTCTTTGTGCTTTTCAATTTTTCCATGAAGATAAAAATTAAAATCACCCATAATCCTACCACCCATATTAACAATTGCGTTTTTTTTTTCCTGGCGTGCACACCCATTCTAATGTTGCATGTTTGTCGTGTAAACATTGTTTGCCATACTTTTTTTTTTTTTTTTTTTTTGCTCTGTCACTCAGGCTGGAGTGCAGTGATGCGATCTCAGCTCACTGCAACCTCCACCTCCTGGGTTCAAGCGATTCTCATGCCTCAGCCTCCCAGTAGCCGAGATTACAGGCACGTGCTACCACGCCCAGCCAATTTTTGTATTTTTAGTAGAGACGGTGTTTCACCATGTTGACTAGGCTGGTCTCGAACTCCTGACCTCAGGTGATCCACCCACCTCGGCCTCCCAAAGTGCTGGGATAACAGGTGTGAGCAACAGTGCCCAGCCATGTTTGCCATACTATTTTAATGGCTGTGCAATATTTAATTTTATAAAAGTACTATAATTATTTCCTTCTTGTATATGTGAGATTTTTCTTTTACTATTGTTGGCATATCTAAACTAACCTCTCCTAATATATTAAAAACTATGAAACTCAAACCTTACCATAGAAATTCAAATATATTATGTAGAAACAACACTAATGACTGCAATAAAGGCAGAAAACTTGAAAATTAAACCTAAACTAATAAATAGATTATCCCATTCTTAAGTCCACATGGTATTAAAAAATATCTTATTAGGCTTTCCAGATGTCTCTTTAATCAGCTTTTTAAAGGTTTTGGATTTATTTACAAATTCTGCTTTTCAATTGAAAATTTATTTTGATTCATATTTTTTTGGTCATCCTAGTATTATGACTTCTTGAGAAAAAGTACTTTGTTCTGTTGTTTTTATGTTGTTGTTTTGTGTTGTTTTCTGAGACGGAGTCTCCCTCTGTCGCCCAGGATGGAGGGCAGTGGCGCAATCTTGGTTCACTGCAACCTCCACTTCCTGGGTTCAAGCGATTCTCCTGCCTCAGCCTCCTGAGTAGCTGAGATTACAGGTGTGCACCATCATGCCCAGCTAATTTTTGCATTTTTAGTAGAGACAGGGTTTCACCATGTTGGCCAGGCTGGTCTCGAACTCCTGACTTCAGGTGATTCGCCCACCTTGGCCTCCCAAAGTGCTGGGATTACAGGCATGAGCCACTGTGCCCGGCCTGTTCTGTTGTATTTGAAACCCCAAATACAAATGCCACAAAGATGCAGCTCTTTCCTTTTTTAAAGCACTCTCAACACTATACACTCCTTTTATCATGGTTTGTAAATTACATATGTATTGGTGTGATGCATGTGTGTCTTCCCCCTTTGACTACACATTCCAAGAGGGCAGAAATCATATGGGTTGCTTACCACTGGGCACACAAGGTCCATAATGCTGGCAAAACATACTTGTGCAAAGAATAAAGAATAAGATCAGAATGAGAAGCCCACTGTAATCCTTTCCCCTTGTCTTAGGGTTCCTTGTTTGCCAGCCCCTAAAGAACCCACGTACCACTTACCAGCCCCATGAGCAGCCGCTGGTGGCTGTCTTCCTCCTGCAGGAGGGGTGTTAATCTTGGCCCTGAAATGAAACAGAGCAATAGTTAGGCTCTGAGCAGTTTTCAGGAGATGGGTTAGAAGGAAGAAGAATCAGCCTGGGTTTCCCTTCTCTGAGTCATTGAGAAAACATAACACAGGATGAAAATTTTTCATCACCTAAGTGTGACCTAGTCCTACAAGGTGAACTTATCAGAGCTGTGTGAAACAGGGAATGACCGAGAAAGAAAGAAACCAACACATTCCTCAACCCCAGTAGGCTCTAGCTTTGATTTTTGTTCAACACTAAAACTCACTGCTAAGAACCTCTGCTCCACTGGAAACAGAGGGACTTGGGCCTTCTCTTAACCCTTCTGGGGTCATAAATTGAGGGAACAGCGCTCGGTGGAAGGACTGCATGGCTCCCTTCTACTTTCTGAACCCTGTAGTTCAGTAGCCTTGGGAGTTACTGAGCTGAGGGGGCCAGTCAATTACTGCAGCAAATAATACTAACTGGCACAAGTTATCAGACTACAAAGGTAGTTAGGTAAAGGTGGAAAAGTGATATGTTAAATCAAATGGTACCTTCTCCACCATGATTTGCAATGCACACTACAGTGTAGTGGCCCTAGGGGCAGACAAACCCAGTCTTGCTGGAAAATCTGCCCCAAAGCGCTTCTAACTTCTTTGTATTCCATTCTTTTCTTCTTAAATACTTGAGATCCAGTGCCAGGCAAGAGGGCAGAACCACCCTGCTCAGTGGGCTGGCAACTCCTTCTGGGAGGGCATCGATATCTCTTGACCCCCCGGGATAAATCTTCCCTGGATCCTACACAACCCTCGTGATTGAGATGAAACAATTTAACATGTGAATCCAACAGCCCTGCATTTCACAGAATGTTCTGTTTCAGGCAGTGACATTCTTTATGGGGAACTAGTATACGCAAAGCACGTGCAAGGAAAGGGAAGAGTTTCCTAAAGTGCATTAAGATAGACTGACTAGTAACAGGATGCAAACGGCCCTGACACATACAGTAGCTCCATAAGCAGGGCAGGAGGGGTGGCACGACAGAAACCTCAGCCAGACCAGCAACGTTCCCCGTGTTGCGAAACCCCCAGCAATGCAAGGATGATAAGCCTGAAACACACACACACATGCCCGTGTCTGGCAGGGCAGATCCCCTGGCTTCAGGGATTGATGGCCTGGTAAGGCAGAGGCTGGTTCCTCCTGGGCTGGTCAGTGAGCCCAGGCTCTGTCAGCCTAAGCTGGATGACAAGTGCACTGTCACAGTTCACTGTGCTGTGTGCACAGCTGGAGGAGGTGCAGCAATGCACTGTATAAAATAGTTTCCATTAGAATCACCCAACATCCAAGCCCATAAAACAGGAGTGGGATATAAAAACAAAAGCTTATTTAATGAAGGCTGACCTTCATGAGGCACGAAAGTGTTCTTCTGGCAACTACAAATAAGCCTGTGCCTGAATATGCTCAGCATTCCCCTCCCCTGGTTTCACTTGGCCAAGTCCCCTTTGTTTATCAAGACTTAACTCACCTGTCAGCCCTCTGGGGAGCCTCTTCCAACCTCCCTCCCTCCTCCAGCCATCCCCGCTCCTAACCTATCCTCTCACTCCCCGCACCTATGGATTATATAATACCTGTCATTTGGTTTAGAAGCCACATGTTAACATTTCTTCTTTACACACTAAGGAATAAAGCAGCCACCTCAGGTACCCTCATGTGCTAAGCACTATGTTAGGTGCTATCTGCATTACCCCATTTAGTCTCATTTTCTCCTCACTCCCCTAAGGACAGTGCACAAATGGGTAAGTGACTTGCCCAGGAGCACATGGTTCACACAAGAGGCCATGCTGGAATATAAGTCCAGCTCTGTCTAGCTCTCAAGCCTGTGCTCTTTCCCCCAGAACCACACTGCTTACCTGGAAGCTCCTCATCTTTATGCCTCTAGGACCTGTGTGCCCAATTTTTAACCCAAATGAGAGGCACAAACAAGGCAAGACCCGGTAGGATCAGACAGCTAGAAAGCAAGCAGCACCAAGCCAAGGGAAATGCCAAAATGCATCCTGTGGGCACAGCCAGAGGGCAGCTCTGTATGACAGGAAATAAGGAGAACCGCAAGGCCATCACCCAGGGACTCCCATCGCAAAAGCACATTCAGCAGCTGTCCCCGGAGGTCCTGGTGCCTAGACAGACATGGGAAGAGCCGTGCGGCCACTCTAACAGCAAGATATTAAAAGGTGCTGCCTGCACCACACTACTGGAAGTGATTCTCTTGCCAACCCACAGTGGTAGGAAGAACAGTGCTACAAACAAAACACTGACTGGAACCCAGAAGGCTTTATTACAGATCTTTTCTTACCCAAATTTCTTGCTTCTAGGTTAGAAATCACCCTACGAAGAAATTAGCCATGTTATTCACAGACAGCATTGCTTTTAAAAAATTTAAAGCCACATCATACAAAGATATCCTCCTTTAAAAATTCATAAAAACCACTGTAGAAACTATTCTCAAGCTGCTGAAAACCTCAAAAACTTTGATCAATGTAGTGAAAGCCACATTAGGCAATTAAAAAATCTCAAAACCCTTTAGTGCCAACAACGGCAATAATTTAGAACAACTGTAGCTCTCAGTTATTGAAAATAATGGGGACAGAAAATAGAACAGAGGTTGGAATGGGGCCTATACTTTTAGTACTCTGAGATGACTCATATATCCAGAAAATAGGCTTTCAAAATAAAAGCAAGCTCACTAGCCCACTGACACTTTAAAAAAAAAAAAAATCAACCTACTATTTGCCTTTCTCTCCTAAAATGCTAATAGGAAATTTCTTTACCAATTATCCATTGTAAACATCTATCCGCAGGTTACAAGTCTATAAGGTTCAACATATAAGCTTTTCCCACCAGAAATTCCAGCACCAAATTCCAGAATAGGGTCCAAGTGGCTGCATTCATGAAGCTGACAATATTATTTTGCTGGGGATATGCAACAAAAGTAAACTACTTCTATAAAAGGTAGCCAACAAAACAAAGTAATTGTAAATGTCAACCATCTTACAGATATGATAACCTCTGCTTTCACTTACTTTACTGCATTATCAAGAATATTCCTCACGTATGCCGCAGACCTTCTTTTTCCTGTTTTCTAGGAGTGAGAACACGTCAGAAATGTGGAAGGTAAAGGTTTTATCGGTGACTTTTCACGTCAAGGATATAATGCAATACAGTTAAGAGCATCAGAGAGAAGAAATATACTTTCCAGGTAATCAGAACACCTAGATTTTTTTTAAAGTTTTAAGAAATATTTTATTCTGAAACAATTACAGATTCACAGGAAACTGCGAGTCAACTATATACTACACACAACAACACTAATCTACATGCAGCGATACTAGAGAGAGATGCAATGTACCCTCCACCCAGTCTCCTCAGTGCTTATATCTTACCTAACTAGAGCACAATATCAAAATCAAAAATTGACATTGGCACAATGTGTGTGTGTCATTCTATGTCATTTTATCATGTTTAGATTCATGTCCCACAATGTACCACCACAATCAACACATAGAAGTCTTCGATCACCCCCAAAGATTTCCCTGGGTCACCCCTGGACAGTGAGTCACGTCCACTATTCTCCCTCCAACTACCCCAACCCCTAATGACCACTAAGTTGGGAACACCTAGATTTTTTAATATCAATTTTTAACTACATAAGTAACCTGAGAACACATCTGAGACATGGATATTAATCATACTTCTACTATGAATGTGCTGTGTGTCCCCTTAAACTTTCTGCTTTTCAGTTTCCTCCCTAGGAGAACAGAGATCATAGAAGCATCTCTGCCCATTGAGATCAGTAATGACAATGATCAAGTCCCTGGCAATTGGGAAGAGTGCTGCACATGGAAGCCAGCCTTATGATTTAAAGGCATCACCTGGATCCAGTCCACTATGCCTCGCTGCTGGCTTTGTTCTCACTGACCCACTCATACCTCTTCAGAGATCAGGTTGTGCCACTCTCTCCTGACCACACTGTTGTTATAGTGGAAGTGTGGCTTGGCGTACTTAACATATTCTAGGTTGGAGTTCAGTTTTTCCCAGTAGCCCTTAAAGCTGAGCACCTGTAGGAGACAAAAACATCAGTGGCCTTCAGAGGCAGGCCCAGTGGCCCAAACCACCCAGTGAGTATTACACAAGCCTTATTTCCCGAGCTCTCAGGGTCCACATTTCTGAGTGAATACTTTGTACAGAAGATGGCATTCTAGACCCAATAGGGATTCTAAAATAGACTTAAAGAATCTTCTTTACCCACTTCATTTTCTGTCTCTTTTTTTTTTTTTTTTTTTTGTCGTTGTTTTTTTAAACCACATAGAGAACTGCTGCTCACTTCCCAAAACCAACAGGACTTCCCCAGATTGAGGCTTAGCAGGGAAACCTGTATTAAACACACTGAGTCATTTCCTCCCTTGAGACCCGTTTTTATGACTTAGGTGGTGTCAACAGTGCCATGTTCACTAAGAGAAAGTTCATTAACATTTGGATAAATGGAGTAGGCGTACTTTCCTGCTAAATTTATTTACTGCCCAGGACATTTTTCAAAACCTAGGAATCAAAAAAAGATAAAATGAACTAATTTTACATTGTCACATACACCAAAACAGAATTAGTCAGCATTCTATCTAGATCTTTGAATTATTGATATAATTGTACTACCCTGAAGCAAGAATGTATCCATTATATTCATTTTTAAATAATAAAATGCAATGTTAATACGTTCTTAGTGTTGACCAGGTGCAGTGGCTCATGCCTGTAATCCCAGCACTTTGGGAGGCTGAGGTGGGCGGATCACGAAGTCAGGAGATCGAGACCACGGTGAAACCCCGTCTCTACCAAAAATACAAAAAATTAGCCAGGTGCAGTGGCGGGCGCTTGTAGTCCCAGCTACTCAGGAGGCTGAGGCAGGAGAGTGGCATGAACCCAGGAAGTGGAGCTAGCAGTGAGCTGAGATCATGCCACTGCACTCCAGCCTGGGTGACAGAGCGAGACTCCGTCTCAAAAAAAATAAAAATAAAAAAATACATTCTTAGTGTTGAAGGATATTCTGACACAACTTGGTTTTAAACCAATAAAGGTAGACTTAGGATACTTTTTGCCAAAATATGTGCATTTACAAATGATTTGACTGGGGCCAGAGATGTAATGTGTGGTCATAAAACTAAGTGAACTATTGCCTGCCAAGGTGACAAGACTTGGCTGAACTGCAAGAAAAATAAGAAAACTTAAAAACAAACAAACAAAAACACCTCAATCAAGAAAAATGCCCTCATGTTAAATTATAGCACATTATTACCATTTTTATTCAAAAGACAGTCATAATTGGTTTGAAATGTGTTTTGGAGTATCAGTAAAGTAAGTAACATAATATTAAAACTTGCTCTTTCAGAAGCCTGAAATGCCCATCCAGCCAACATCCCTTCTCCCAGAGACAGAAAAACTCTTCCCAAGAAAGTCTCATGTCCCGGGGAAAACAGGAATCAAATCCCACTCCTCACTTGACTCACCTCACTCATCTTTTCTTTCCCTTTCCATTTATTTATAATGAACGTACACTTATCCACCCTTTGGGTCTTCTTTGTATTTAAGAAGAAAAAAAAAAAAAAAAAAAGACAAGACAAATCCTGCAGACGTTTGATGGAATTAGGTCCCTGACTGGAAGTCTCTAAAGCTTTCTTGCTGTCCTAATCTGGGCTCAGGCACAGGAGTGCCAAAAGCCAGAAAACTAATTGGTGTTGTGGTGACATCTAGTGTTCAGTTGAGCTATTAATTCCTCCTGCTTGGCCATAAGAGTCCCACCCACGCAGTTCACCCAGACCTTGCCCAGGACAGGATATGGGAGGGGAGAAACTCAGATGCCCTCTAACTGTCATCTGGCCCCATCCCCTCAAGTCAAATGCTATCCTGTTGTTAGAAGTCCCCACTCACTGCAGCTCCTAAGAAAAGATCTCTCCCAAATTACCTTCCTTCTTACTCCATTTAAAAAATCCCTTTCCTCATAACCTTTTGGGGAGGTAGGCACATTTTTCATAGTTTTGTTTTATTTTAAATTAACAAATAATTGTATATATTTATGGGTTGCAATGTGGTGTTTCAATACATGCATACATTGTGGATTTATCAAATCAGGCTAATTAGCATAGCCATCTGTCTGCTAAGAAGAAACAGATCAAACAGAGCTCGCCACATGTCAGTGGACAGGCTTTCCAGGGGCTCCAGCACCCACTGCCTGAATGTAAAATAGAGCATGTGTTTGTATGAGCGCTCTTCTGGGTAGATGGTCTATAGCTTGTACCAGATTTTCAAAGAAATCCATGGCCTAAAATAGACTAGAGTTAGAAGGAAAAAGATCTGAATTTAAAATAAAACAAAAATTAAAATTTACACTTAAGTAAGAAATACTGTTAGCCAAACATCCCAAAAATATTTTCACACGAACTTACATGTTTTTTAGGAGGGGGGTCACTGGCCTAATATAGATATTAGATATATCTATAATATCTTACAGATATTAAGATAATACAGAAAAATCTATATATTTCACTATTTGGTATCCACTAGAGAAGTGATCTAACTTTTTTCAGTTAAGAAATGCGGCCAGGTCATGCCTGTACTCCCAGCATTTTGGAAGGCAGAGGCAGGCGGATCACAAGGTCAAGAGATCAAGACCATCCTGGCCAACATGATGAAACCCCATCTCTACTAAAAATACAAAAATTAGCTGGGCGTGGTCGCATGCACCTGTAGTCCCAGCTACTTGGGAGGCTGAGGCAGGAGAAACACTTGAACCCGGGAGGCGGAGGTTGCAGTGAGCCAAGATGGCGCCACTGCACTCCAGCGTGGCGACAGTGCGAGACTGTCTCCAAAAAAAAAGAAATGCAGAGATTATTCTAAATTGGAAGGTCTATTTGGAAACTTGGAAAACAGAGATGGAACAGGGGAGGGAAATGGATTTGAGTCAGTGAAGGACAAGGAAAGGATATTCCAGGTGGGACTCTTTGGGTGTGAGCAAAGACACAGACTAGAAGATGGATTCGGGGCTCAGATCTGAGCCAGAGCATCAGAGTCAACAGTACTTCATTCTCTATGGTGAAGACAATAGCCTCCAGCATGTGCAACTCCCAGCCTCAGCTGCCCATTGGAACCACCTGGGTCCCATCCCCAATTAGATTTAATTGGCTTGGGGTATGCCTGAGCCTTATGAGTTTTACAAGTTCCCCCAAGGCATCCTAATGTTCAGCCAGGACTGACAACAGTGAGCATGTTCAAGTAATCCCGGGCACCCCACCCTCAAACACTTTACTCAGTCTATACACCTCTGGCTTAAAGGCTATATAAATCACCAGCTGTCTAAAGACTTCTGATTGTGTGGTTTTAAAATAGGAGATATAGTTAAAGAGGTAGTTAGGGCCAAATCTTTGAGGGATTCTGAATGCCAAGGTGATACCAGCATGCTCATTATCCCAGAGAATAAAGGATCTCCCACATAACGTTTTAGATGTTGTAACCCAGAATGGAGGGGAGGGGAGGGGAAGGGAGAGTTGAATCTGCACAATCCCAAGAGCCAAGACACACCATCGCACCACTATGCTCTAGGATGAGACTGGTCAAGAAACAACAGATGCTGGTGAGGCTGTGGAGAAATAGAAATGCTTTCACACTGTTGGTGGGAATGTAAACTAGTTCAACCATTGTGGAGGACACTATGGCGATTCCTCAAAGACCTAGAACTGGAAGTATTATACCATTTGACCCAGCAATCTCATTGCTGGGTGTATACCCAAAGGAATACAAATCCTTCTATTATAAAGCTACATGCACGTGTATGTTCACTGCAGCACTATTCACAATAGCAAAGACATGGA
The DNA here is from genome assembly GCF_000001405.40 of Homo sapiens. NCBI lineage: Eukaryota > Metazoa > Chordata > Mammalia > Primates > Hominidae > Homo > Homo sapiens. The sequence continues at coordinate 77,334,166 of NC_000007.14, forward strand.
ATCAATCCAAATGCCCATTAATGATTGACTGGATCAAGAAAATGTGGTACATATACACCGTGGAATACTATACAGCCACAAAAAGGAACAAGATCATGTCCTTTGCAGGGACACAGATGGAGCTGGGAGCCATTATCCTCAGCAAACTAACAAAGGAAGAGAAAACCAAATGGCACATGTTCTCACTTATAAGTAGGAGCTGAACAATGAGAATACATGGACACAGGGAGGGGAACAACACACACTGGGGCCTGTTGGGGGGTTGGGGGAAGGAGAGCATCAGAATAAATAGCTAATGCATGCTGGGCTTAATACCTAGGTGATGGGTTGAGAGGTGCAGCAAACCACCATGGCATGCGTTTACCTATGTAACAAACCTGCATGTCCTGCCCATGTATCCTGGAACTTAAAATTTAAAAAAAAAAAAAAAAAAAAAAAAAAGATGAACCTGGGAGCACAGGAAATCACTGTCAATCAGCTAGCAGTTATCCAACAAAGCAAATACTGTACTCATCAGGAACAACAGCACCACAAAATGAAAGCCACAACTGCCCAGGAAGCCCATCACCGGCAACTCGAAAAGAGCTAATAAAGCTTTAAAAATAAAACACAAAAATGCTGTATAAGAAACATACCCGGCCAGGCATGGTGGCTCACGCCTGTAATCCCAGCACTTTGGGAGACCGAGGCGGGTGGATCACAAGGTCAGGAGATCGAGACCTTCCTGGCTAACACAGTGAAACCCCGTCTCTACTAAAAATACAAAAATTAGCCGGGTGTGGTGGCGGGCGCCTGTAATCCCAGCTACTCTGGAGGCTGAGGCAGGAGAATGGCATGAACCCGGGAGGCAGAGCTTGCAGTGAGCTGAGATCGCGCCACTGCACTCCAGCCTGGGCGACAGAGCAAGACTCCGTCTCAATTAAAAAAAAAAAGAAAAAAAGAAACATACCCATGCCAGATGCAGTGGCTCACACCTGCAATCCCAGCACTTTGGGAGGCCAAGATGCGTGGATCACTTGAGCTCAGAAGTTCGAGACCAGCCTGGGCAACATGGTGAAAACCCGGCTCTATTAAAAATGCAAAAAATTAGCCCGGCATGGTGGTGTGTGCCTGTAGGCCCAGCTACTTGGAAGGCTGAGATGGATCACTTGAACCTGGGGAGGCAGAGGTTGCAGTAAGCCAAGAACATGCCACTGCATTCCAGCCTGGATGACAGAATGAGACTGTTTCATAAAAAGCACGGCAAAGAAAAATACCCCTGAATTAGAGACAATGTTAGAAGCAATCACATCCTCAAGGAATGACCTGGAAGCATTTTCCTACATAAAGGGGAGTTTTTTCTCTTAGGATGACCTGAAATAATTGCCAAACACAGCCCATCACAACTATTCACTGAACAAAAGAACCAGTGGGTTACATTAAGGAATTGTTTCCCATTTATGATTTGGATTGCCAATTGATCCAAAAACAAACAAAAAAAAAAGCTCTGTGGTACTGGCTCATCTGCAAATTACTGCCAGAAAAAAAATCTGCCTTTCATTTCTAAAAGGCACTCTGGCTTTGGTCCTACTTCTGCTGATTAAGCAGCATCTTCTTACAGAGAAGGCAGCCAACTCAAAGAGAACCCTTTCCTCTGTGTGCCAGGACTCAACTAGCACAGCTAAAGCATCATCCAATTTGGCTCTTCAGTGGATTCCATCTCAGTATCAGCTTTTACTTAACAACCCAGAGAAACACAGTGACCCACTACCTCTAAGCATTGACAGAATAAATAGAAAATGTTTGTGTGTACATAAAGCTAGGAAGGCACTAAACTAAGATGCTCTAAACAGGAACACTCATACACAGGGCAAATGACCAGAACTCCTGAGGCTGCCCACTTAGGGAAACGCATGCTGCAATTTCAAGGTCTCCTGAATATAATTGGACTTGCTCCTTCTTCCCCAATATCTAGCAAAAATTTCCACTTACTTGCCCATCTGGGTAGTTCTATTAGCCATTTTTAATGGATTGGATTTTTTTCTAAAAATGAAATCACTAAATATGGCTCTAAACTATTCCATCTCACAATCAGCTTATGCCCTGAGAAAGTCAATGCTAAGCTCTTTCCCTCCTCTCAGTCTTGAGAATGAAAAACACCTGTCCCCAACCAAAACTATGAATAAGACCAGCACAGTGTAGTAGGTGGTAGAAGAGGAACAGAAACAAGAATCCTCCATCCTGGGTCTGTTCCTCAATTTCATCATCTAGGAAGTAGGCTGAAGACACCTCCATTGCTACAGAAACAACAGGAATGATATCACTAGCCTCAAGCTCTTTTTTTTTGTTTTTGTTTTTTGAGACAGAGTCTCCCTCTGTCGCCCAGGCTGGAGTGCAATGGCGCAATCTTGGCTCACTGCAACCTCCACCACCTCCCAGGTTCAAGCACTTCTCCTGCCTCAGCCTCCCAAGTAGCTGGGACTACAGGCGCCTGCCACCATGCCCAGCTAATTTTTGTATTTTTAGTAGAGATGGGTTTCACCATGTTGGCCAAGCTAGTCTCGAACTCCTGACCTCAGGTGATTCACCCGCCTAGGCCTCCCAAAGTGACGGGATTATAGGCATGAGCCACCGTGCCCAGCCAGTATCATCTTATTTTTTTAAATCTATGCTAATCTACCTCTAATGAGTATTTCTTTGTTGCATCATAAAATTAAGGTTTATGGTATCCACTGGCCTCACTATAATTAACTGTTCCAGAAAATATGTGCAAACTGAACTTTGGGAAATCAGTATTTCCCACATAACCAACTAACACTGCTATTGATGCTACATCTTTGTCAAAGCAACAATTTTTTAAAATTGTAAACTATTATACTGTAATTATACCATTACTTCAGACCACTAAAAAACTTTTTATTTAAGTGATCATGGTTGTCTGTATTGTGGGGTCAAGTCTTTTGTGTTTCACTAAGCAATTAATTACATTCATGCTCTGCCCAATTAAAACTTTGTGTTTTGTTTGTGAGGTGGAGTCTTGCTCTGTCGCCCAAGCTGGAGTGCAGTGGCACTATCTTGGCTCACTACAACCTCCACCTCCCAGGTTCAAGGGATTCTCTTGCCTCAGCCTCCCAAGTAACGGGGGCGGGGGTGGGGTGGGGGGGGGGTTACAGGCGTGTACCACCACACCTGGCTAATTTTTGTATTCTCTGTAGAGACAAGGTTTCACCATGTTGGCCAGGCTGGTCTCGAACTCCTGGCCCCAAGTGATCCACCCGCCTCGGCCTCCCAAAGTGCTGGGATTACAGGTGTGAGCCACCGCACCCAGCCTACAACAGTTTAACACCAGTGAAGAAGCAGATAAACAAGTCTCTGGAGAGCAGCCCAGGTATAAACTACTCTTCTCCCAGTTGCTCAGGGGCATCAGACCACTGATAGACATTGGCAGTAACACCCTCACATCTGAGTGGCCATAAGTAGAAGGGAGCAGTAAGTTTTTGTCCTTCCCAGTCTCTGAGTCAGGTAATCAACAATCTCTAACAAGTGATGAAATACACTACAGATGTCCAACTTAAAGACTGTGGTAAAAATATCCCATTTCTCCATTTGTAGCATGCTCATCTTTTATCTTTATATTTAAGCTATTTTCCATTTTTAAAAATCCATACATGCTTCCTGTGGTTGAATAGTTTTAATGGTTTTTCTTCTCATAAAATCAAGGGCAGGCCAGGTGTGGTGGCTCATGTGTGTAATCCCAGCACTTTGGGAGGCTGAGGTGGGATGATCCCTCGAGGCCAGGAGTTTGAGATCAGCCCCAGCAACATACCAAGACCCTGTCTCTACAGGAAACAAACAAACAAACAAACAAAAATTAGCCAGGCATGGTGGCATGTGCCTGTGGTCCCAACTACTTGGGAGTCTAAGGTGGGAGGACTGCTTATGCCCAGGAGGTCGAGGCTGCAGTGAGCCACTATGGTACCACTGCACTCCAGCCTGGGTGACAGAGGGAGACCCTATCTCAATCAATCAATCAATCAAAATTTTTTAAAAATAACCATAAAATCAAGGGCAATTTTTAGCCTTTTATGAAAGTTGCCGTTTCCCTAGAGCAATCCACAGTTTACAAAGGGATAAAATCATTCTTAGGAAGGATACTCTTAATGACATTCCTTTTAAGGCAAGCACCTTGTTTCAACATATTTCCTGTTAGTGTTTTTAAAATGACTTTGAGAACTATTTATAAGATGAGGAAGTCCTTTGTCTCTCTAGGAAAATTTTCTGATTTAACCGGTTTATTCTGCCCAAGATGTTCATATAGGTCTTAGTCTGTTACAGCAGGTACACCAAAATACCATAAACTGGATGGCTTATCAACAAATTTATTTCTCACAGTTCTTCCGACTGGAGTGCCCAAAATCAGGGTGTGGTCAGATATGGTGTCTGATGAGGGCCCACTTCCTAGACTGCCATGTGTTCGCTGTAACCTCATGTGGCGGGAGGGCAAGTTGGCTCTGTGGGGTCTCTTCTATGAGGGCACTAATTGCAATCACCAGGGCTCTGCCCTCAGAAATAATCACCTCCCAAAGGCACCACCACCTAAAACCATCACCTTGGGGGTCAGGACTTCAACATATGAATCCTGAAGGGATGTAAACATTCAGACCATAGCAATATTGCAATTTATTAAACATTTGTATAGTGTTCCACTTTATACTAAAAGGAAGTGCTTCAGAATGCAGACAGAACAGGAGGAAGGTACCTATTCAGTTCCCACACACACACCCCCGCCCCTCTCCTCCCTTAACTCCTTATCAGGGCACTTATCTACTAAGGAGAAAAGAAATAAGTTTGGTCAGAGTAAATAGGGGTACCTTGGTCCTCAAAGAAAAAATGTGGAAGCAAGCACACACTCTTACGTAATTTGTGATTGAGGTCACGAGTGTCCAGAGCCACCTCCTGTTGGGTAAGTATGGCAAGAACAGTCACATAACTGAGACTAGGGAGAGAGGAGCTGAGGGTGGGACATGCTCATGCAACCAGCTCCATCCCTCTATAATTAAGTTGGGACTTGGGGGTAGAAGAAGTAGGTTAAAGGTGAAGGTAGCAGCTTGGAGTGAATGGGTGGTATTACGCGAGCAGAGATGAGGAAACAAATGAGAAATAGCAGGATCAAGTGTCCTGGGAATGAGAATCTCCTGATTAGAGTCTCCCATGCTGAGCATTTGGGGTAGGTGGAGTTGGTCAAACAAAACCCAGTACTATCTTCTCCTGAGTCCAGGGCTAGTCCCAGCAATACACCTCTGCCTTCCTTGATGGATCATGGCTGTGTGCAGAGGGTCATAGAGAGATCTACAGTGCCTCATACTTGTCCTCAGTATTAATAACTACTAGCAGATGAATACATGTGGAGCCAAAAGAGCCCCCAAGCATGTGTGGAAATGATGAATGGGAAACAACTGTCTGCAGAGCCAAATACAAAAGCTATGGGTAGAGGAGAAAAACGTGAGGAGAAAGAGGGAATGTAAAAGGAGGACAGAAACACATGGAGGACATAAAATACTCCATTTTACACACACCCACACACAGAAAACAAACAAGCCAGTGCAAAAAAGAAGCGACTTTGTTCCTAAGCAAAGCTAAATCATATTCTTAGAAAACCTAATAGGTAAAAGTTAATAGGACCTTTCCATCACTCTTTTATACTTAACTTTTTAAATGAAAATACACAATGTTGATAAGGGTATAGTAAAACGGGTAAACTCATAAATCCCTTGTAAATGTAAATTATCCCTTGTCAGGCCTCTGAGCCCAAGCTAAGCTATCATATCCCCTGTGACCTACACGTATACATCCAGCTGGCCTGAAGGAAGTGAAGAATCACAAAAGAAGTGAAAATGGTCGGTTCCTGCCTTAAATGATGACATTCCACCATTGTGATTTGTTTCTGCCCCATCTTAACTGAGCGATTAACCTTGTGAAATTCTTTCTCCTGGCTCAGAAGCTCCCCGACTGAGCACCTTGTGACACACGCCCCTGCCCATAAGACAAAACCCCCTTTGACTGTAATTTTCCACTACCCACCCAAATCCTATGAAACAGTCCCACCCCTCTATCTCCTTTCGCTGACTCTTTTTGGACTCAGCCCACCTGCACCCAGGTGATTAAAAAGCTTTATTGCTCACACAAACCCTGTTTGGTGGTCTCTTCACACAGACACACGTGACATTTGGTGCCGAAGACCCAGGACAGGAGGACTCCTTCAGGAGACCGGTCCCCTGTGCTTGCCCTCACTTCCGTGAGGAGATCTGCCTACAACCTTGGGTCCTCAGACCAACCAGCCCAAGGAACATCTCACCAATTTCAAATCGGGTAGGCAGTCTTTTCACTCTCTTTTCCAGCCTCTCTTGCTACCCTTCAATCTCCCTGTCCTTCCAATTCCAGTTATTTTTCCTCTCTAGTAGAGACAAAGAAGACACATTTTATCCGTGGACCCAAAACTCCGGCGCCAGTCACAGACTCGGGAAGATAGTCTTCCCTTGGTGTTTAATCGCTGCGGGGACGCCTGCCTGATTATTCACCCACACTCCATTGGTGTCTGATCACCGTGGGGATGCCTGCCTTGGTCATTCACCCACATTCCCTTGGTGGCAAGTCAATTGCGGGGATGCCTGCTTTGGCTGCTCACCCACATTGCAGCCCAGGGCTGCTCACTACCCCCACCCCTTCTCCGTGTCTCTACCCTCTCTTTTCTCTGGGCTTGCCTCCTTCACTATGGGCAACCTTCCACCCTCCATTCCCCCTTCTGCTCCCTTAGCCTGTCTTCTCAAAAACTTAAAACCTCTTCACCTCTCACCTGACCTAAAACCTAAGCATCTTATTTTCTTGTGTAACACCGCTTGGCCCCAATACAAACTTGATAATGGTTCTAAATAGCCAGAAAACAGCACTTTTGATTTCTCCATTTTACAAGACCCGGATGATTTTTGTTGAAAAATGGGCAAATGGGTCTGAGGTGCCTGACTTCCAGGCATTCTTCTACACATTGGTCCCTCCCTAGTCTCTGCTCCCAATGTGACTCATCCCAAATCTGTCTTCTTTCTCTCCTGTCTGTTCCTTCAGTCTCCACCCCAAGCTCTGAGTCCTTGAATCCTCCTTTTCTACAGACCCATCTGACCTCTCCCCTCCTCCCCAAGGCTGCTCCTCACCAGGCCAAGCCAGGTCCCAATTCTTCTTCAGCCTCCACTATCCCACCCTATAATCCTTTTATCACCTCGCCTCCTCACACCTGGTCTGGCTTACAGTTTCATTCCACGACTAGCCCTTCCCGACCTGCCCAACAATTTCCTCTTAAAGAGGTGGCTGGAGCTAAAGGCACAGTCAAGGTTAATGCTCCTTTTTCTTTATCCGACCTCTCCCAAATCAGTTAGTGTTTAGGCTCTTTTTCATCAAATATAAAACTCAACCCAGTTCATGGCCCATTTGGCAACAACCCTTAGATGCTTTACCACCCTAGACCCAGAAGGGCCAGAAGGCCGTCTTATTCTCAGTATGCATTTTATTACCCAATCCACTCCCGACATTAAATAAAGCTCCAAAAATTAGATTCCGGCCCTCAAACCCCATAACAGGACTTAACTAACCTCACCTTCAAGATGTACAATAATAGAGTAGAGGCAGCCAAGTAGCAACATATTTCTGAGTTGCAATTCCTTGCCTCCACCGTGAGAGAAACCCCAGCCACATCTCCAGCACACAAGAACTTCAAAATGCCTAAGCCACAGTGGTCAAGCATTCCTTCAGGACCTCCTCCCCCAGGATCTTACTTCAGTGCTGGAAATCTGGCCACTGGGCCAAGGAATGCCCACAGCCTGGGATACCTCCTAAGCCGTGTCCCATCTATGCGGGACCCCACTGGAAATCAGACTGTCCAACTCGCCCAGCAGCCACTCCCAGAGCCCCTGGAACTCTGGCCCAAGGCTCTCTGACTGACTCCTTCCCAGATCTTCTTGGCTTAGCGGCTGAAGACTGACGCTGCACCATCACCTCAGAAGCCTCCTGGACCATCACAGATGCTTTTGGCAACTCTTACAGTGGAAGGTAAGTCTGCCCCCTTCTTAATCAATACAGAGGATACCCACTCCACATTACCTTCTTTTCAAGGGCCTGTTTCCCTTGCCTCCATAACTGTTGTGGGTATTGAAGGCCAGGCTTCAAAACCCCTTAAAACTCCCCCAACTCTGGTGCCAACTTGGACAACATTCTTTTATGCACTCCTTTTTAGTTATCCCCACCTGCCCAGTTCCCTTATTAGGTCAAGACATTTTAACTAAATTATCTGCTTGCCTGACTATTCCTAGGTTACAGCCACACTCTCATTCTGCCCTTTTCCCTAGTTCAAAGCCTCCTTCGCATCTCCCCTTGTATCTCCCCACCTTAATCCACAAGTATAGGACATCTCTACTCCCCCCTTGGCGACCAATCATGCACCCCTTACCATCCCATTAAAACCTAATCACCCTTACACTGCTCAATGCCAATATTCCATCCCACAGCACACTTTAAAAGGATTAAAGCCTGTTATCACTTGCCTATTACAGCATGGCCTTTTAAAGCCTGTAAACTCTCCTTACAATTCCCCTATTTTACCTGTCCAAAAACCAGACAAGCCTTACAGGTTAGCTCAGGATCTGCGACTTATCAACCAAATTGTTTTGCCTATCCACCCCACAGTGCCAAACCTATATACTCTCCTATCCTCAATACCTCCCTCCACAACCCATTATTCTATTCTAGATAAACCTAGTTGACCCCATAGATCCTAAATCCTTTCCCCACTCTCCTTTCCATTCCTTAAAAAACAGCTCCCACACTAGCTCTCCCTAACTTATCACTCCCTTTTCATTACACACAGCCAAAGTGCAGGGCTGTATGGTTGGAGTTCTCACACAAGAGACGGGACCGTGTTCTGCAGCCTTTCTGTCCAAACAACTTGATCTTACTGTTTTAGCCTAGCCTTCATGTCTGTGTGTGGCAGCTGCCGCGCTTTAATACTTTTAGAGGCCCTCAAAATCACAAACTATGCTCAACTCACTCTCTACAGTTCTCATAACTTCCAAAATCTATTTTCTTCCTCACACCTGACGCATATACTTTCTGCCCCCCTCCACTACCTCTCAGCAAGCCGAACTCATTGCCTTAACTCAAGCCCTCAATCTTGCAAAAGGACTACGCATCAATATTTATACTGACTCTAAATATGCCTTCCATATCCTGCACCTCCATGCTGTTATATAATAGGCAAAAAGAGGTTTCCTCACTATGCAAGGGTCCTCCATCATTAATGCCTCTTTAATAAAAACTCTTCTCAAGGCCACTTTACTTCCAAAGGAAGCTGGAGTCATTCACTGCAAAGGCCATCAAAAGGTGTCAGATCCCATCGCTCAAGGCAACGCTTATGCTGATAAGGTAGCTAAAGAAGCAGCTAGCATTCCAATTTCTGTCCCTCACTGCCAGTTTTTCTCCTTCTCATCGGTCACTTCCACCTACTCCCCCACTGACTAACTTCTACCTATCAATCTCTTCCCACACAAGACAAATGGTTCTTAGACCAAGGAAAATTATCTCCTTCCAGCCTCACAGGCCCATTCTATTCTGTCATCATTTCATAACCTCTTCCATATAGGTTATAAGCCGCTAGCCCATCTCTTAGAACCTCTCGTTTCCTTTCCACCGTGGAAATCTATCCTCAAGGAAATCACTTCTCAGTGTTCCATCTGCTATTCTACTACTCTTCAGGGATTGTTTAGGCCCCCTCCCTTCCCTACACATCAAGCTTGAGGATTTGCCCCTGCCCAGGACTGGCAAATTAATTTTACTCACATGCCCGGAGTCAGGAAACTAAAACACCTCTTGGTCTGGGTAGACACTTTCACTGGATGGGTAGAGGACTTTCCCACAGGGTCTGCGAAGGCCACCGTGGTCATTTCTTCCCTTCTGTCAGATATAATTCCTCGGTTTGGCCTTCCCACCTCTATACAGTCCAATAACACACAGGCCTTTACTAGTCAAATCACCCAAGCAGTTTCTCAGGCTCTTGGTATTCAGTGGAACCTTCAGGCCCCTTACCATCCTCAATCTTCAGGAAAGGTAAAATGGACTAATGGTCTTATAAAAACACACCTCGCCAAGTTCAGCCTCCAACTTAAAAAGGACTGGACAATACTTTTACCACTTGCCCTTCTCAGAATTCAGGCCTGTCCTCGGGATGCTACAGGGTACAGCCCATTTGAGCTTCTGTATGGACGCTCCTTTTTGTTAGGCTCCAGGCTCATTCCAGACACCAGCCCAACTTGGACTGCACCCCAAAAACTTGTCATCCGTACTATCTTCTGTCTAGTCATACTCCTATTCACTGTTCTCAACTACTCATAAATGTCCTGCTCTTGTTACACTGCTGGTTTACACTGTTGCTCCAAGCCATCACAGCTAGTATCTCCTGGTGCTATCCCCAACTGCCAGTCTTAACTCCCTTTTAGAGTGGATAGATGATCTTTGCTGACGGGGTACACTCCAATACTTTCACCCTGACGAAGTCCTATTCTTTACTTTTATACTCATTATTATTCTTGTTCCCATTCTTATGCCACCCTCTACCTCTCCCCAGCTATCTCCACCACACTGCCAATCTCACTCTCACCTAGCCATTTCTAATCCTTCTTTAACAAACAATTGCTGGCTTTGCATTTCTCTTTCCTCCAAAATCGCTGAGGCCTCAACTTACTCACTGCAACAACAACAACAAAAAAAGAAAGGACTCTGTATATTTTTAAATGAAAAGTGTTGTTTTTACCTAAATCAGTCTGGCCTGGTATATGACAACATAAAAATCTAAAGGATAGAGCCTAAACTTGCCAACCAAGCAAGTAATTATGCTGAACCCCCTTGGGCACTCTCTAATTGGAGGTCCTCCCAATTATTAGTCCTTTAATATCTGTTTTTCTCATTCTCTTATTCAAACCTTGTATTTAGTTTCTCAATTCATCCAAAACCACATCCAGGCCATCACCAATCATTCTATACGACAAATGCTCCTTCTAACAACCCCACAATATCACCCCTTACCACAAAATCTTCCTTCAGCTTAATCTATACCACTCTAGGTTCCTATGCTGCCCCTAATCCTGCTCGAAGCAGCCCTGAGAAACATTGCCCATTATTGCTCCATATCACCCCCAAAAAATTTTTGCTGCCCCAACACTTCAATGCTATTTTATGTTATTTTTCTTATTAATATAAGAAGACAGGACTATCAGGCCTCTGAGCCCAAGCTAAGCCATCATATCCCCTGTGACCTGCACGTATACATCCAGATGGCCTGAAGGAAGTGAAGAATCACAAAAGAAGTGAAAATGGCCGGTTTCTGCCTTAACTGATGACATTCCACCATTGCGACTTGTTTCTGCCCCATCTTAACTGAGCGATTAACCTTGTGAAATTCCTTCTCCTGGCTCAGAAGCTCCCCCACTGAGCAACTTGTGACACACGCCCCTGCTCATAAGAGAAAACCCCCTTTAACTGTAATTTTTGACTACCCACCCAAATCCTATAAAACGGCCCCACCCCATCTCCCTTCGCTGACTCTTTTCGGACTCAGCCCGCCTGCACCCAGGTGATTAAAAAGCTCTATTGCTCACACAAAGCCTGTTTGGTGGTCTCTTCACCTGGACGCACGTGACATCCCTTTCATTGAATATCAATTTATCACAAAATAAGAATCAAATGCTATAAAAATCGTCATAGCCTTTCACCCAATGTTACCTCTGGGCTCTTAACCTTAGGGGAATAGATCAAAAGAAAAACTGTATGTATAAAAATGTTCACTTTGGGAGGCCGAGGTGGGCAGATCACCTGAGGTCAGGAGTTCGAGACCAGCCTGACCAACATGGTGAAACCCCGCCTCTACTAAAAATACAAAAATTATCCGGGCATAGTGGTGCACACCTGTAATCCCAGCTACTCAGGAGGCTGAGGCAGGAGAATCGCTTGAACCCAGGAGGCAGAGGCTGCAGTGAGCCGAGATCACACCAAAGCACTCCAGCCTGGGCAACGAGAATGAGACTCCATCTCAAAAAAAAAAAAAAAAAAAAGAAAGAAAGAAAAAAAATTCTCTGCAACATTATTTCTAACAGCAAAAAGAAATTTTTTTAATGGGGGCTAGGGACAAACTAAATGTCCAAAAAACAGAAGAACAATTGAGTTAAGGCACTGCAACCCAGCAGGGCATGGTGGCTCATACCTGTAATACCAACACTTTGGGAGGCCGAGTTAGGAGGATGGCTTTAGCTTAGGAGTTTGAAACTAGCTTGGGCAACATAGTAAGACCCTGTCTCTACCAAAAAAAAAAAAAAAAGTTTTAATTAACCAGACATGATGACATGTACGTGTAGTCCTAGCTACTCAGGAGGCTGAAGCAAGAGGACTGCTTGAGCCCAGGAGTTCAAGGTTGCAGTGAGCTGTGACTATGTCATTGCACTCCAGCCTGGGCAACAGAGTGAGACCCTACCTCAAAAAAAGAAAAAAAAAAAAGTATGACATACTTATTGTGGTGTTTTGTATGTATTAATTTTCATCCACCCACTCCTGGTTCACAATGCCCATAGCCTTTGTTACAGCCTGATGTTATAATATCGGGTATTTTAGGCTTCGGGACCAGGACTAGTCTCGGGAAACTCTCTCTCCTGCCTTCCTTTCACCTGCCCTAAGGCATGACTCTCCCCTCCACCACTCCCCACCACCACCCCCCGCCCCACCCCCCTGCCTTTCTGATTGCAGATCTTAAGACCCTCCCCTAAGAGGGTCCTGCCTCATACCCTGGAGGGAAGGAATGCTTCCATAAAAATCCCAGAAGACTGGGTTGGGGAAGTTTCCCCATAGCTGAACAGGTGGAGGTTCCTGGAGGGTGGTGAATCGAAAGAGGGCATGGAAGCTCCACGTCCCTTCCCCCATACCCCACTCTATGCGTCTCTTCATCTGTTTCCTTTGCAATATCCTTTATAATAGGCCAGTAAACATGTTTCCCTGAGTTCTGTGAGCCACCCCAGCAAATTAATCAAACCTAAAGAGGTACCGTGGGAACCCCAACTTAAAGACAGTTGGTCAGAAGTTCCAGAGGTCTGGACTTGCACCTGTTATCTGGGGGTGTGGAGGGTAGTCTTGGGGACTATGTCCCCCAACCTGTGGGATCTGACACTGTCTCTAGGTAGATAGTGTCAGAACTGAATTAAAGGACACCCAGCTGGTGTCTGCTGCTTGGTACATGAAGAATTCCCACACATTTGGTAACAGAAGTGTTTTTCTGTGTTGATGATTATTGTTGCAGTGTGAGAGAGAGGGAAAACACAGTTTGGACAGAGTTTTTCCTCACACACTTACTAATTTAAAATAATAAAAAGAAAAAGACACTGCCATCCAGTGGAATCCTATGGAGTCATTAGAAATTATAAGTTTACATAGCAACATGAAAAAATGTTTACAATAACATAATTTCTAAAATTTATCTAATATCTGTAGATCACAATTACTACTGGGTAAAATATGCATACCTATAACAAAGGCCAAGAGGAAATGGGGGAGAAGAGACAGTTGGTACATTAGGAACTGTAGAATTATGGATGATATTTCTTTCAAAATTTTTCTTCACTGGTTTGTTGTCCATTAAAAAATTATGGTCCATCATGGTGGTTCACACCTATAATCCTAGCACTCTAAGAGGCTAAGGCAGGAGGATGACTTGAGGCCAGTAGATTGAGATCATCCTGGCAACATAGCAAGACCCCATCTCTACAAAAAAAAAAAAAAATAAGAAAAAATAAGAAACTGGATGGGTATGGTGGCTCATGACTGTAGTACCAACCACTCAGGAGGCTGAGACGGGAGGATTGCTTGAGCCCAGGAATTAGAGATTATAGTGAGCTATGATCATGCCACTGCACTCCAGCCTGGGCAACAAAGAGAGACCCCATCTCTAAAAATAAATAAATAAAAACACATTATGGATTTGGTAAGACTAGTAGAAAAGGCAGAAACAATAAACAATAAATAAAATGAATGGGTGGAATCTTTTAAAACACCTTTTAAACTATTAATAAAACCTTTCTTTTCTCTTCATCTTCATATGTTAGTAGGACTTCACAGTAGTCCCATGCTTTTGCCTGGAAACACAGATCATCAGTCTATTTTTAAGGGATTCTTCTTAGGACCAAAACCTAGAACCACTAACCTGGCCCCCGATCTACCCTCTCTTGCCCCCAGTGAATCACTGTGACCTAAAATGCCACAGCCTTCCCCCAGCTGTCCAGGCCCGGCCTGCCCTTCACAGATACAAAAGAATCAAATGGAAATAAAAGGCGTCAGCACCCTGAGCTCCCTGCTGCCAGAAGTTGAGATTTCCCAGTCTACCTCAAGCTATGATTAACAGGAGGCAATGCTAAATGCCAAAAACAACAAAGGAGCTTCAAGGAAACTGTGCTAAAACACTCCCCCTAGTTTTAACTACATACATATCCTTTTCTACTCACTCCACCCCATTCTCCTATGGTACTCCAAAACTATTGTGAAGCCACCAGGTTGCAGAAAGACACTAACAGCTACAGCTTAATGTTCAGAGGTTGATGAAGACCACATAGTGGGCCAATACAGATCACTCCTGAGAAACAAAAAAGCTGTTTTTACAACCAGAAGGAAATTAGATAATCCTAGCCCACATTACTTAATGGTTTTAAGACTGGAAATTCTGTGTGTGTGTGTGTGTGCACGTGCACGTGCGCAAGCTCATTTTGAGGGAGTAATAGTGCAAATAAAGTAAAAGCAGCTACCAGCCTCTCTAAAGATCATCTACAAGACCTCCCCCAGTACAGCCTGTTCTGAGGTACAGTGGCAAGTGCTGGTTCTGGAAGGTTTAAGTTGAGCACCGTAATTCTCTCCTATCTTCAGGAAACTTCCTTCAAAGAGCATTCCTGAGAATTGCCATAATACCATACTCAGTGATCACTCACCCATGTAGGAAGGATTCTCCAGAAAACCCACCCTACTGCCTTGCCCTCCCCTCCCCTGCCAATTTGCAATCCCTTTTGGAACCACCATAATACTCAGGCAGCAGAGCTTTAGTCATGTATCTGTACTTTTGTTTCTTGCTGTAAGGGACCTACCTTCATAAGAGGCAATGCAATGTCTTCTGTCACAAGAGTTATTCCAGGAATTTCCTATAGTGGGGAAAAACACACACACACAGCTGCTCAGTGTATGAACTACCACTAGCTCAAGCTTTCAGGGAGTGTTTTCTGCACAGACAGAAGCTGAGGGCAGCTTCCAGCTTCTAACCTCTACTTTAAATAAACCTTGGAGGGCATAAATAACAGTGAATATAGCCTATCTCTTGCCTCAGGAAAGGACACATTCTTTAAAGTCACAATTATAATAGGTGACAGGGTCTCTAAAGTAAAGGAAAAGACTATTACAAAGAAATAGAGAGCAAATAGGGTATTTTTATACATTTCTATTAAAGAACGAATGAGGCAAATTATGTTTGCACCAAATGTAACGATAAAGGGGAAATGTTTCATTATCAATACTCCTTCCTCTCTCTTCTTTCACTTAAATGTATTATAGTTGGCCCCTACCTCACTAGAAGGAATCAAGACTAACAGGATTCTTGCATGACTTGACTGGGTAATTTTTCTGTACCTCATTGTCCTCTGTAATTTCAGAGGTAGGAGCCCCCCATACCCAAAGGACTATAAATCATGCTGCTATAAAGACACATGCACACGTATGTTTATTGCGGCATTATTCACAATAGCAAAGACTTGGAACCAACCCAAATGTCCAACAATGATAGACTGGATTAAGAAAATGTGGCACATATACAACACCATGGAATACTATGCAGCCATAAAAAATGATGAGTTCATGTCCTTTGTAGGGACATGGATGAAATTGGAAATCATCATTCTCAGTAAACTATCGCAAGGACAAAAAACCAAACACTGCATGTTCTCACTCATAGATGGGAACTGAACAATGAGAACACACGGACACAGGAAGGGGAACATCACACTCTGGGGACTGTTGTGGGGTGGGGGGAGGGGGGAGGGATAGCATTAGGAGATATACCTAATGCTAAATGACGAGTTAATGGGTGCAGCACACCAGCATGGCACATGTATACATATGTAACTAACCTGCACATTGTGCACATGTACCCTAAAACTTAAAGTATAATAATTAAAAAAAAAAAAAAAGTTTCTGCAGCAGCCAGGTGCAGTGGCTCGCGCCTGTAATCCCAGAACTTTGGGAGGCCAAGGCTGGCAGATCACTTTAGATCAAGAGTTTGAGACCGACCTGGCCAACATGGTGAAACCCCGCTCTACTAAAAAAAAAAAAAAAAAAAAATTAGCCAGCCATGGTGGCAGGCGCCTGTATTTCCAGCTACTCAGGAGGCTGAGGCAGGACAATCACTTGAACCTGGGAGATGGAGGTTGCAGTGAGCTGAGACTGCACCATTGCACTCCAGACTGGACGACAGAGCAAGACTCCGTCTCCAAAGAAAAAAAAGAGTTTCTGCAGTGCTATCATCATGGCAAATCTGAAAGGTGAACAATTCATTTCAAGAAGGGCAAATGATAGCATTCTGCTAACTAGTGAGTGTTAAAACAGAAATTTAATAAAAGGATAAACTTTCAAGATTGCCTTTTATTCACTATTATTTTGAAAAGTGTATCTGTATGTTAATTATGTAATTAGCCTCTCATCTGGTCAAATCAGCTTTCATTTCCTTAAAAAAAAGTAGATAAGTATATAAGAAAATATTTTAGGAGATGTAATGTAGAAATAAAAATTGATATTTGTCTATAATTTAAATGACCGAGATTTTACTGATATAGAATATTCCTGTAAAAAAGGGTATCATGGGGACAGAGAAATAAGTTTTCAGAACATGCAAACAACTAAGTTCTTCAATGTGACAGTTGAAAGCCGTGATAAGAATCTATTGTGTGCTTCATTTATCACTACAGAGGATACCTCAAAAAAAATTAAAATTTCATTACAGTTTTGGTTATAAATAGCATTTTAAAAGAGGTATAGTTGTTTGCAAAACATAATTCAGGATTATCTATGTGTAAGGGCATCACATTTTCTATTATCTTAAAAAATCCAAGTCAGTTGTCTCCTACAAAAATGTGAAATCCATGTTTTCGCCTGTGGAAACTTTTTATTAAGGTTGTAGCATTAAGAACATTTGCAGATAAGAGAAAAATAAATGATTTGCATCACAGCTAATGATAAGCATAGACTGATAGATTTTCAAGATTAGAAGAGACCTTTAAGGTAACCTAGTCCAACCACAAGAAGTTTAAAGCAACATGGCAAACCCCAAGATTAGTTCAGTACAGGGAGGTTATAACCACAGGTTTCTTTATATCGCTCTTCTTGGACTTCCTGATGTCACCCTGTGCGTGTCCACAATAGCTGCTCCACCCTGCACAATCTTGAGAAGTGCAAAAGGGAAGCGTTACCCTCAGGGTGATATTCTCACACCACATCCAATTAACATGTGGCTCAGTCTTTTAACACAACCCTGGGAACCAGTGGTCCCAGCTGCCTCCTGGACACTTTGAACACAGGACATAACAGCAGGGGGTTGGTAAGGGAGGGAGCGGAGATGTGCATTTCCTGACTCTGGGGTGGTGTAACCTGCAGACTTCCTGCCATGTGACCACAGGGTCTGCATGTCTATTCACATGTGTTCCAAAAGAAAAACGTGGGTGCCTAGAGAGGGAACAAGTTCAGGCCTTTCTTTCCCTTAAATTCTAAGGTGGGGCATAAAAGTCTAATAACCACGACAGTAAAAGACAAAGAAAAGGCCTTTAGGAAAGCACTGCCACTGTGCATACCAAAAATTTAGAAATTAATCAAACACACTTGATACATCTTTTTTAAGGACTATATTTAGACAGGGTCTAAACATAAAGTGTCACCATTTACTCTAGTACATATTTTCCTATGACTGTGTTATTTAAATTCAATTTATTTTTCTAAGTACCTTTTTGATATAAACTTCTGCCTCAAAAGCAAGCATGTAGTTCTAATATCTAAATAAGAAACATGAGGCAGAACTTTTTCAGGCACAGCCTATGTACGGTTTTCACTTGCTGGGCCAGCAAAGCTCTGTCTACTGTACCATATTCAAGAGAAAATGAGCAGTGTTTTAGCTCAGCACATCCTAATTTAAAAGGAGGGAGTCAGAACCGACAGGGAGAAAAAGTCATTTGGGGTGAATGTGCCTAAGATTGCTGACTTTTACTGATCCTGAAGCTCTAGAGTTATTACAGACTTTTTAATGGGGCTGGAAAAAGGGGTCGTGAAGGTCCTTATCTACCAAGTATGATAGCAGCAATCCACCCATTCCTCACTTATAAAAACTCAGTACATATTTTAATCCACTCTAGTCACTTAGAAAATAAAAATACCATGATAGAGGTTTAGTTCTGCCTGGTAATAGGAAGAATAATAAATACCCTGTGTACCTGCTCCTTTGGTTTTACTGTTTTTATACAAATACTTTTGGCCAATAGCAGGGATTTGCTATTACTTTTCTGCCAAAAAAAATTCAACTGAGTTCTTTATCAGTCAAAACAGTAGTGAAATCACGACCTTGATGGCTATAAGAGAGGTGTCCAACAACTGACCCACAACTGTGAATTGATTTTATTTGCATACAGCATACACAGTGTTAACTTACTGTATTCCAAGTGAGCACTGAGGAATGTGGCAATAGTTTGTCCATGTTACTTGTCTCTGAATATACACTCCAGTATGAAGAAGCTGAGTAGATTTTTTTTGAAACAGGGGGAAAAAAGATGTGGTTTAATAAGATGATGACAGCATTGTAATGCAACCAAAACACGCAAACCAACAAAGTTTTCATTGTCTTATCCCTCATCCTCAAAACGGTAACCATCATGATTTTATCTACTGACTAAAATGTTCAGGTTCTGCTTTTTACAATGAGAAGAATAACTTAGTACCATATCTACCCAAATGACATTATATCATTTCATACGAAACCAGCCAACACAAAACTGGGCTAAGAAAGTTACATCTTACTGGAAAAAAAAATCACTAATAAGGTTATAGAATCAAGATCCTATCTTGTATCTCATCAATCTCTGTACAGCCATAGTTTCTTAGAAAACCACAAGAGAATGAAATTTAATTAGCTGCTGACTCCGATAGAGTTTTGTTTTTTTTTTTTAATGTGCTCCAAAGTAGCATTTGGACAGGTTGAGGCATTCACTATCAATTTACTGCTTTCCCTCAAGCAAAAAGGTCAAGTATTCAACTTAAGCTGCAACATCAGCAACACTTACCAATTATAAATTCCTGAATGAGGTCAAATGAATGGCAGGCAGAGACATTCTCAGAAATCCACTGAATAATCTTTAAAAAGTCAGACAGAACTCTGTTGGTATTTAAATCTGCTCTCTGCCTCCACTACCAAAGAAGTACAAATATACATGAATCTTTTGCATTCTATACCTATTTTAGAATTGCCTAAGAATATACTCACTTCTATACTATCTTCAAGATACATAATGCAATTCTGGGTAGGTAAAACGGTATTTTATAAGTGAGATCCTTTTTATACATCTTTTTAATAAATCTCCTTGGCTGGAAACCAAATAAACGTTCCTCAACCTAACGTTTGTGCAAGAATAGGTCATGTTATAGCAAAGCACCAGTGGAAAGAGCCGTGGGATACAGGAAAAAAAGAAAAACAAAACCACTAGGCTTGAGGGCAGCAGAGCTGGGTGTGAATTCCAGCTGGGTCCTGGGTGTGAATACGGACACACCAGTTAACCTTTGTGAGCATCACTGTACTGCCTCCTGAGGGAGGGATAATCCCTGCTATACCATCAACTCGCTCATCTCCATAATCATCCTCACCTGCTAGAGGAATGTTTTCCATCTCAGCACTGACAGATATTATAAGGCACGCCTAACCATGGTGCACACTTGCACTTCTGCTCCTACCAGTAAGCTGTTTAATTCAAAACCGATTTATGTTATTGTACTTATTTTCAAAATTAGGTAATACGATATTACTATCGACAAGTAAAATGTGGATGCAGAGAGTGTCATTGGGTCAGTAAAAGTTGAATGCTTTGTAAAGAGTCAAAGGCATGTCTCTAAAACACTAGAAAATTAGGTTTAGGGGAAACAACTAAAAAAGATTGGGTAAAAAATGCCTGGTATACACAGCTTGCTTTGTAAGGGTCTTTAAATTACTATATCCTTAGAAATAAAAATTTTTAAAAAGTAACAGGAAGTTAGAGGTAACTCATTACTAGTGCTTTTATGCATGAAAAATGATGTTGAACTTCAATTAGCAGATGCACAAAGAAAGGCTTGAGTCAAAACATGGGTGAATAATGTACATTGTTATGTTTCAGGTTAAAATAAAACGTCTAATGTCTTTTTTTTTTTTTTTGTAGTTAACCAGCCACTCTTTGATCTTAACCACATCTGATAAAGAGATTTTTCTGACTTCACAGGATAGCTGTAAAATAACACAGAATGCACGTGGAAGTACTTAATAAACTCTAATGTGAAATACAAATGTAAGCTATTTTTATTACAAATGTAATAAATATCTGCCACCAGATTTTAGTCCTTTTGATAATTATAGATCAAATACAGACCAGGAGAAAAAGTAGATATTTAAGAAACGCATTATTTACTGAGCTCTTCATTGAAATATTACTGACATAGCTAAACTTTTATTCCCAATATGGAAAAGGGGGTACCCAAAAGAACAGAAACACCCTGAGTGTGAGACCTGGTAGGGATCCATAAAAAAGCAGCGCAAAAGATGACGATGTCAGCAGCAAGGCCACACACCTCAATTAATTGTTACTAAATAAAAATAACTCCTGACCATTTTCAACCACAAAATAAATATGTTCAGTGTCGTCTATCTGCCCATTTTAAAACATGAGCTATCTTCTCACCTGGGCTTCCAGGAACTGCGCACCTTGACCGCAGTAGAGCGCGCAGTGCAACGCAGCCATCTTCTCACAGTCTAAGCAAGTGTTCTGCAGAAGCTGTAATAAAGACGACTGGCTGAGCAGTGCTCTATAGAGCTTTCCAGAACAACAATCCAATACCAGGGACCCTGACAATGACTGTAAAGGGCAATGAGGTAGCATATCAATCATTTCATTATTTCCTGGCAAAAAAAAAAAAAACAGTAGATCAGCAAATAGAAGAAACTCCTTTCACCCAAACATAGATATTAAAGTCAAAACAAACTCAAATGGGCCACCTCTACAAGAGAAAAACTATAGCCGTACCTGTCAGAAAGAGATTGTGGCAGATCAGGTCTGGATGTTGAACATTAAGTAGGTGGAAGAAATGACCAGGTAAGTAAACAGCCACATAATAGTCTATAGAAGAGAAAGATTTACATCATCTACATGTGGTAAAAGCTGCACAGGTACAGAATGTCACATTATCCCTGCTTGTCTCTGAATATCTCAAAAGGCAAAAGTTTTACCAATGTAATAAGCTATCTAATGACAGCCCGTTTTTTTTTTTTTTTTTTTAAGACAGGGTCTGACTCTGTCACCCAGGCTGGAGTAGCGGTGGTGTGATGTCGGCCCACTGCAGCCTCAAACTCCTGGGCTCAAGTGATCCTCCCCACCTCAGCCTCCCAAGTAGCTGGGACTACAGGACTGTGCCCACAACACCCCACTAATATTTTCTATTTTTATAGAGATGGAGTCTCACCATGTTGCCCAGGCTGGTCTTGAACTCCTGGGCTCAAGCAATCCTCCTGCCTCGGCCTCCCAAAGTGCTGGGATTACAGGCATGTTGCCCAGGCTGGTCTTGAACTCCTGGGCTTGAGCAATCCTCCTGCCTCAGCCTCCCCAAATGCTGGGATTACAAGCATGAGCCACCACACCCAGCCACATTTCTCTTACTAGGTAAACCTCATTTATTTCCATCTTTGGCTAATTTTCTTCAGATATTTAGCTATGGTTATCTTAATTTATACCTGCAGTTTTGTTTCTAAGTGATTTGTGGCTTTATGTGAATCTAAATGATCTCAGAGCAAATTAGAATAAAAATATCAAGCAACACGAATTATTCCTTAATTTGATAAGCTGGAAATAGCCTATATTGGGAATTTTCTTCATAATTTCTGCCAGTTTCGGGAAGCTCTAAAATTTTGTTGCCCATGTTTGTCCAGTGATCATCATTATCATCATCAGTAGCAGGAGCATTTTGTTTAGAGAACCTTTAAATCGATATTCATCAGAATAATCTCTGCAGACACATTGACACTTTGTGAAGTACTAATTTATTTCCTTGCATATCAAGCTGACTAGAATTCACACCTTCAGTCCCTGCACTAGATATTTTTGAATCAAGAACATTTGTACTCAGATGGAGACAAGGTATAAAAAATAGGTTTCTGGAGAATGGAAGGGTGGAAGTAGCCCTTGCCAATACTTTTTCTAGGATCTTAGAAAACAGAAATTCACACAGTAGTAATTTTATATAGATGAAACATTTAGATTATAAGTGAGCCAGCTAGACTCCTTTTCCTAAGAAGTGAAGGAACACATGCTAATCATTTGCATAGAAGGCGTTCTGTGGAAAGGGAAGAGGATATAGAACTCAAACCAGTTGACTTACAAGTGTCCTTTCAGTCAACGTGGATTAAATGATGCTAAAGTGCTTAGCACAAATGGTTGCAATCATCTTATTATAGCAACACTTTACTAGAAAACCACAAACAACAATACAGTGGGACATAATGGAAAGGGTATCGGCATCAAATGACCTAGTTACCTCCCAGCTGTACCACTTAACTAGTTAATTAGGATGGCACTATGTCCGTGGGGTGGTGGCATTTGAAAATATATGACAGTGATTTGGGTTGTTAACATCATTGAGGTAGTGAGAGGGAGATTCCTATTTGGCATTTGGTGAGTAGGCTCTAGGGATGGATGTTCAGTCCCTCAATGAACAGGGAATTTTTGTCTCACCAAAAGGGGCAGTAGTATCTGTGGTAGGCTGAATGATGGCTCCTGAAGATATGCACGTGCTAATCCCCAGAGCCTGTGAATAGGGTAAAAGAGATCTTGCAGATGTGACTAGGATCTTGAGATGGGGAGACTATCCTGGAATATCCAGGTAGACACAGGTAGGCACAAAAGTCCTTATGAGAGGGAGATTTGACTAGAGAAGAGAAGACGACCATACAATGAGGAAAGTAGTTGGAACGAAGTGGCCACAAGCCAAGAAATACTAGCCTCTAGTCAGGGGTGTCCAATCTTTTGGGTTCCCTGGGCCACACTGGGAAGAAGAAGAATTGCCTTGGGCCACACATAACATACACTAATAACAGCTGATAGCTAAAAAAATTAAAACCTCAAAAAAATAATGTTTTAAGAAGGTTTACAGATTTGTCTTGGGCCACATTCAAGCCATCCTGGGCTGTGGGTTGGACAAGCTTGCTCTAGAGGCTGGAGGGAGGACGCAAGGAACAAATTCTTCCCTGGAGCCTCCAGAAGGCACTAGTCCTGCCCACACTTTGGTTTAGCCCCTTCAAGACTCATTTCGAACTTCCAACTTTACAGAACTTTAAGAGAATATTTGTGGTGTTTGAAGTTCTAAGTTTGCCATAATTTGTTACAGCAACAATAAACTAATACAGGATATGCTAACTAGCCTGATTTGATCATTCCACAATGTATATAGGTATCAAAACACCACATTGTACTCCATAAACATATACAATTACTATTTGTCAGTTAAAAACAAAATAAGGTAGGGTATTATTTTTATTGGCTGGGCACGGTGGCTCACGCCTGTAATCCCAGCACTTTGGGAGGCTGAGGCAGGTGGATTACTTGAGGTCAGGAGTTCGAGACCAGCCTGGGCAGCATGACAAAACCCCATCTCTACAAAAAATATAAAAAATTAGCTGGGCATGGCGGCATGCGCCTGTAATCCCAGCTACTCAGGAGGCTGAGGTGGGAGGATAGTTTGAGCCCAGAGGCAGAGGTTGCAGTGAGCCAAGATCATACCACTGCACTCCAGCCTAGGCAACAGAGCAAGATCCTGTCTCAAACAAACAAACAAAAAAGTTTGCTGGGAAGATTTGATGAAATAACTCTGTATAAATTTGTTATATTTTATTTGCTGACTTTTCTAATAAAGATCTTATATGGAGAAGAAAAGGTACTACACATAAGCAGAGGCTATACCTACATTCATATGCCACATGTAAAATGGATACTTCTTATAATTTCAAGAAAATACTTTAGTCACTTATATTTAGTTAAAACTTTAATGTTTGAAAACATTTAGACTGAAGTTTTATATTTTTAAAAATATATCAAAAATGCTATAAGATAAAAATCAAATTCTATGAATAAATATTTTTAAATTAAGTACTCTAGGATTGTAACACTGACAACACTAATTATCTTTTCTAGTTTGGGCAGTTATGTTGCATACCGTTTGGGTGACTGATGGGATCATTTCACTTCATTTTCTCTCAGTTTATTCTGGATTGCATTACAGAAAAATACTAGAACAAAACCTCTAAACAAAACACTTGATAAAGTTTTAGTTGAAATAAAATGCTAAGAAAACAAAAATTACAAAATGTTTAAAGAAACTATTAATAGGCTAGGCACAGTGGCTCACGCCTGTAATCCCAGCACTTTGGAAGGCCGAGGCAGGTGGATCACGAGGTCAGGAGTTCAAGACCAGCCTGGCCAAGATGGTGAAACATCGCCTCTACTGAAACTACAAAATAATTAGCTAGGCATGGTGGCGTGCGCCTGTAATCCCAGCTACTTGGGAGGCTGAGGCAGAGGTGGAGGTTGCAGTGGGAACCTTGAACCCCGGAGGCGGAAGTTACAGTGAGCTGAAATTGCACCACTGCACTCCAGCCTGGGAGACAGAACAAGATTCCATCTCAAAAAAAAAAAGAAACTATTAATAATCTAGTGTCCCTTATAAAAGACACTGAGGTAAGCCTAAGCACAGAGCTCACTCTTTCTGAGCCTCAGTTTCATTATCTGTAAAATGGAGATAATATCACCAATCAGAATTGCTGTAGGGAGCAAGATAACAAGTAAAATACTTAACATACACTATTCATTAAATAAATAGTAGCTCATTATTTATAAACATATCTTTCTTACATAGAAGTGTCTGGGGTTCATGGAAATTTTCAAAAAATTATTCTTTAATATATTAATCAATATAAGCCCATTTTAATAGGGTGACAGTCCAGGGAAATTGCACGTAATAGCAAAAAATATATTACTCAAAACAATATTGTTGTCATAAAAATTACCTGTACAGCAGTTTTAAACTGGGCTATGATTTTGTGCCTATAAAATATGCTTAAGAAGGAAAGACAACATGTTTAAGATAGCCTATTTTTACAAAGCTTATATTTCTGGCCTCTCCACACGCTAAAGACCACAGATTAAATCTTGCCTGCCCTTTGCAAGTCATTCCCAGGGGTAAAAAAAGGAAGGATACCTTTGCCCTCACAAAGTGCTGTTTTCATAGTGGAAAGTTTCCCACATCACTCTTGAGATGGGATGCTGATAAAGCATTGCTGATAAGAATCAAGTCCCAGACCCAGGAAACCTTCTATAATATTTCTCTCTCTTATCACAGGAAGCAGTAGAACCAGGCTTCCCTAAGGCAATTTCCCACAAATTCAGAGATCATGTTAAAATTTGCCCATACTGGCCCACTCAGCGTAAGTATCCAACCTCATCAATGGTATCATTCAAAATAAAAATAACTTTGCTCAGTTTCCTCACATTGCACTCTCTCAAACATGCATCATGACAGTGGATGGACTGTGGAATAGGGATGGAAAAAGATATCAAAGAATTACATGCTCTAAACCTGAAACTCCTTTTTTAAAGGAAATGTTCCATATGCCATGTTCCATATGTAAGCAAGTAAATCATTACTTAGTCTTGTGCTAAACTTTGTGCCCCACATCCTAACTGGCATGGAAAAGCAGCTTTCAGTGGGGAGGTACAACAAACCCTTTCTTTATTTTCCTCATTATACTCAGGTTCCCTTCGCCATATTTACTCAATGAAAACAACTCAAGCTGATCCATAAATCATTAATGGGACTTGGAAACTTTTCAAGATTAGCAACAGGAAATAGACAATTTCCCAGAGGCCCCATCCTCTCTATAATCAAGGGATAACATGATGTATTATTTCTCATGGGCTATTTGGGAACATCTCATACAAGTTATCATTTTTATGTTAACAAATAGCTTTTTAGGCTGCTACCAAAAAACATAAGAAAGCTCACAGCCTAGGTTCTCTAAAAAGGGAAGATACAACCCCCAACCCTTTTCAAGCCAAAGGCTAAGGAGTTGAGAGGCAAGGGTGTGTTCCAGAGAAAATCTTCTCTCATCAGATTTCAAGTGGGTCATTGATTGTCATCACAATCCGAGTCTCAAAGAGGCATGAGAAATGGGATAGTATAGAAGGCTGAGGTATACCATGCCTAGGAACAAGTGTTCAGAGCAGGGGGTGTGATCTCTCCATCACTCACCAAGGTTGAGAAAAGTAATGCCCTTTGTCATGTGTGACCCAACATTCTCAAGAGAAGTGGTGAAGGTCTTGCTGTGTCCTGCAAAGAGAGAATATGAAGCCAGAGAATGTTAAACAAAGAACTGGAACTCCACCCAAGGCAGTGACTATGTAACACACTATATTTTCAGTGACCATGAAACTGGTAAGCAGGCATCTTCAGACTTCTAGATTTCATGGTTCCCCTCATTCTCCAAAAACCAGCATTGAAGGCAGATTATCTGAGTGCAGTCACACTCCAGTAGTTGCTCTGGGCTTATTATAATCTTAGACCATGACAGGTGGATTGTTCAGGGAGGAGAGGATCTGAAGGAATTTACTTAAAGATCCAAGAGATAGAGATGACCACATGGCTCATTGGCCCACATTCCTCAAGGCTCACCGCCACACACGTGCAGTCATTAAGACCCTCTGAGACTTCTCCAAATCACTTACAAATCCCACTTTTAGGTAGGAAGGGAATTAGTCGAGCTAATAACCTCAGTATATTGGCCTTTCCTCTCTACTTTCTAACTCTTAATCTTCAGAAAAGTTTTATTTACTGCCTTTGATCAATAGATTAACCATTAGAAAAATGTGTGAAAAATTTTCCACAAAAATCTCAAACTTATACAACTTAAGTATGAATAGAATATATGTCTAGTTCTGAAGTTACTTTAGCTTCTCCATTAAGTTCTTAAACTTTTTTACCTTAATCTCTAACCTGAGGAGGTAATATCAGGTCCATCTATAGAATAAGCAGCTCTGGTGTGGCTTGGCATAATTGTTTTTAAATATTGGAAAAATCTTTATCTTTAAAAAAATTTAAATACACCCATAGTATATACTGCACAAATACTCATTTTAAGGAATTAAACAAGCAAAACAATAACTCCTTAGCATGGTTCAAACTAAAACTACTACAGGGCACACTGTGATTGACTACAGAACCAGGAGAAATTAGTTAGGCATTTGACTGCTTCTCCCTAGATTGTTTATCAATATCTTGGGCCATAGATGTGTGAAATGGAATAAATGTATCTTAGATCTAAAACCTGTTGAGGTCTGAGATCATGGATGCTTTTAACTGAAACCCTATTTAACTCTGTAAGTTAAATCTATAGATACTTTCCAAATAGCGATAACTAAAAAGCAAATAAACACACTTTGGATAAATACCTTCCTTAGGATTGGTCCACAAGCCTAGAAAAATATATAGGCCAGGATAAAAATATATGATATATAAAAATAACTAGCTAACTTGATACTCACCATTGACAACTTTCTTCAGGAAATATATATCCTGTAAGTATACAGATATAGAATGAACTGATAAAAATTGATTCCATGGTAATAATACTCTCAGCCGGGCATGGTGGCTCATGCCTATAATCCCCACACTTTGGTAAGCTGAGGCGGGTGGATCACTTGAGCTCAGAAGTTCAAGACCACCCTGGGCAACATGGTGAAACCCCATCTCCACAAAAAATACAAAAATTAGCTAGGCATGATGGCACACGCCTGTAGTCCCAGCTACTTGGTGGGCTGAGGAGGGAGGATCACTTGAGACCATAAGGTTGAGGCTTCAGTGAGCAGTATTCATGCCACCGCATTCCAGCCTGGGTGACAAAGGGAGACCCTGTCTCCAAAAAATTACTAATAACACTGTTAAGAGCTATCTAATTTGCTACTATTTGGAAAAAGTTATTATGTAAAAGTAACAAAGAAGACATGAAAAGTACCTTTATGAATGTAAAACACTGAATATGTGATTTGTCCCCAAGAGGCACACTTCGGGCTGTAACATACACACAAACTTCCTAGAAGAAAAAGGATATTTAGTAGAGTTTAACAGAATCTATGTCATAAATAAAGTTTCCTAAACCACTTAAACTTACTTCTATTCCTTTAGATGTCCTGTCTCATCTTACCTCATAGATTATTCCCAAGTCCTAGAAGTGGTCTATTAACAAGTTGCTAAGAAATTTCAAAGCAGTAATTTTTTAGTGCACACTATATAGCAACATATTGTGGCAGGCTATTGAAGGATAGGAAAATGAACACAGATATACTCCTGCATATGAAATAATGGGGTTCTAGACAGTTTCCAAAGCTTCATGAGATTCTCCTAGTAAGCATGCATTGTCCTCCCTTATCTAGCTTGTCACCTTGCAATTATTACTAACAGCTGTGAACACCAGTTTATCAAAAATGTGTTCATTTCACAGAAAGTTACCAGTCTCTAGTTTATCTTGATTGAAAGGCAAAGTGTGATCTATCTTATGGGTCAGTGAAAACAAATGTGGCATGTGAGTCCATATCCATCCGTAACTGAGTCACTGAAGGCATTGGCCCAAGGCCAAAGGAGAGCTCTTGGCATAGAGTGGCCTTTCCAGGTGAGTCTTGACCCCCTTCACTTACCCCATCACTCCAGAACACCCTCAACTTTCCCCACCTCTCTCAACGCATGAAACTGTACATTATCTCTAGCAGCTGCTGCTGTATGGACTAATGTCCATCAGTGACCTACATACAATTGAGGACAGTATGCTTAAACAGGTATGTCTATCATTTATGTGATTAACTGAAATAGGAGATTGACAGGTAGAAAGTAACTTGACAAGGAGTCAGGAAACCTGAGTTCTAGCCCCAGAGCTAACGTTAACTAGCTGTGTGAATTCAATCGCTACTCTACTTCAGTGGATTTCAATGTTTCCTCTACTTTCCTTCATTAGTTTCTTTATCAAAGAATCGTGGTAGAAAAAAAGTCAGTTTCCCCTAAGAGGGCTATTCAAGGACATTTATAAGTATTCTGTTATAATATTTATCAATTATGACTTTTTAATGACATTTAACACTGCAAAGTATTGTCAGCAGTACATTTTATTGCAATTATCTTAAACACAAAATAGCAAAAAAGAATAACTTCATCAGATAACATGGTAACAATTCTATTAGATGTAAAATGACTGTTACGGTTACTGAGCACACAATAACAACTTTTCTTTACAATTACAGCTGACTCATGACTCACTGAGAATAAAAGTAATCTATCACTAAAGTATAAACAAAATAATAATTATAAGAGTTACAAAAGTCTCATATACCACTTGGACTGCTTTCATACAGTAAACATTATCAGCAAAAAACTACTTGTTTATCCATTCTTTTATATACTATAATCACAAGGAACATGAAATTGCTTAAAAAAAAGACTTTAGATTCTCTAGTAATAAATAAAAATTAAAACAAGGTACCATAATTTTCCTTTAGAAGTAGTTTTTTAAATGATAATGAAATACTGTCAAGGGAGCATGTGCTTCTTACACAATTCTCAAATAGTAGTGAATGAGTCAACTAACACAATATCTCAGAAAAATTCTTTCACAGAGGGTTAAATATATTCATACCTGTTCACCCAGTAATTCTTTTAGGATTCTATCCTGGGAAATGAACATGATGGCAACATAGATCATAACCTCCATTCTAGCAAACTATCTGCACTCCATCCTTTAGAGAATGAAAGTTTTTCTCATTTTGAAAAAAAGTAAGATGTACATTCTCAGTAAACTATCACAAGAACAAAAAACCAAACACCGCATATTCTCACTCATAGGTGGAAACTGAACAATGAGAACACATGGACACAGGAAGGGGAACATCACACTCTGGGGACTGTAGTGGGGTGGGGGGAGGGGGGAGGGATAGCATTAGGAGATATACCTAATGCTAAATGACAAGTTAATGGGTGCAGCACACCAGCATGGCACATTTATACACATGTAACTAACCTGCACATTGTGCACATGTACCCTAAAACTTAAAGTGTAATAATAAAATAAAATGAGATGTAGAATAAATGTACCTAATTACATATTCTAAGAACCATATCCAGAACTTATAAGCAAATATTTCCAAATTGTTAGGTCATGCTTAGTTGCCCCACCCAATCCCAAAGGGAAAAAAAGACACAGCAAGTTGAAATGGTATGTACACAGGCTCTGTGAAGCTATCCAACAGAACTGTCTTTGACAATGGAAATGTTATATACCTGTATAGTCCAATATGGTGGCAACTAGCCACATGTAGTCACTGAACACTCAAAATGTGGATAATATGACTGAAGCACTATTTATCTGAGACAAAGTCTCACTCTGTTGCCCAGGCTGGAGTGCAGTGGTGCAAACATGGCTCACTGTAGCCTTAACCTCCCAGGCTCAAACAATCCTCCCACTTCAGCCTTCCAAATAGCTAGGACTACATGTGTGCCTGGCTAATTATTTTATTTTTTTTAAGAGATGGAGTCTATGTTACCCAGGGTGGTCTTGAACTCCCTGGGCTCATGTGATCTTCCTACTTTGGCCTCCCAAAGAGCTGGGACTACAGGAATTTTTTTTAACTTCTATTTTCAGTTCAGGGGTACATGTGAAGGTTTGTTATATAGGTAAACTCATATCACAGGGGTTTATTTTTACAGATAATTTCATCACCCAGCTATTAAGCCTGGTACTCAATAGTTACTTTTTCTGCTCCGCTCCCTCCTCCCACCCTCCACTCTCAAGAAGACCCCAGTGTCTGTTGTTCCCTTGTGTTCAGGAGTTCTCATCATTTAGCTCCTACCTGTAAGTGAGAACACTAGGTATTTCGTTTTACTGTTCCTGCGTTAGTTTGCTAAGGATAATAGCCTCTATCTCCATCCATGTTCCCACAAAAGACATGATCTCATTCTTTTTTATAGCTGCACAGTATTCCACGGTATGTATGTACCACATTTTCTTTATCCAATCTGTCACTGATGGGCATTTAGGTTGATTCCATGTCTTTGCTAACATGAATCACGCTGCAATTGACATTTGCATACGTATATCTTTATGGTAGAATGATTTTTATTCCTCTAAGTATATACCCAGTAATCAGATTGCTGGGTCCAATAGTAGTTCTGCTGTTAGCCTTTGAGTAATCACCATACTGCTTTCCACAATGGTAGAACTAACTTACACTCTCATCAACAGTGTATAAGTCTTCCCTTTTCTCTGCAACCTTGCCAGCAACTGTGGGTTTTTTTTTTTTTTTTTTTTTTTTACTTTTAATAATAGCCATTCTGACTGGTATGAGATGGTATCTCATTGTAACCTCTATCTGCATTTCTCTAATCCTCAGTGATACTGAGTTTTTCACATGCTTGCTGGCCACATGTCTTCTTTTGTAAAGTATCTGTTCATGTCCTTTGCCCACTTTTTAATGGAGTTGTTTTTGTCTTATAAATTTAAGTACCTTGTAGATGCTGGATACTAGGCCTTTGTCAGATGCATAGTTTGCAAATATTTTCTCCCAATTCTGTAGGTCGTTTGGTTTACTCTGTTAGTTTCTTTTGCTGTGCAGAAGCTCTTAAGTTTAATTCGATCCCATTTGTCAATTTTTGCTTCTTTTGTGATTACTTTTGATGTCTTTGTTATGAAATATTTGCCCATTCCTATGACTAGGATGGTATTGCCTACGTTTTCTTTCAGAATTTTTATAAATTTTGGGTTTTACATTTAAGTCTTTAATGCATCTTGAGTTGATTTTTGTCTATGTTGTAAGGAAGGGTTCCAGTTTCAATTTCTATATATGGCTAGCCAGTTATCCCAACACCATTTATTGAGTAGGGAGTCTTTTCCCCATTGCTTTTGTCAGCTTTGCTGAAGATCAGGTAGTCATAGGTGTGCAGCCTTATTTCTGGGTTCGCTATTCCATTCTATTGGTCTATGTGCCTGTTTTGGTAACAGTACCATACTGTTTTGGTTACTGTAGCCCTGTAGTATAGTTTGAAGTTGGGTAACATGATATCTCCAGCTTTGTTCTTTTTGCTTAGGTGTACCTTGGCTACTCAGGCTTTTTTGGTTCCATATGAATTTTAAGACAGTTTTTTCTAGTTCTGTGAAGAATATTGATAGTTTGATAGGAATAGCATTGAATCTGTACACTGCTTTGGGCAGTATGGTCATTTTAATGATATTGATTCTTCCTATCCATGAGCATGTTTTTCCATTTCTTTGTAACTTCTGATTTCTTTGAGCAGTGTTTTGTAATTCTCATTGTAGACATCTTTAACTTCCCCTCCCTGGTTAGCTGTATTCCTAGGTATTTTATTCTTTCTGTGGCAATTGTGAATGGGATTGCCTTTCTGATTTGGCTCTTGACTTTGCTCTTGTTGGTGTAAAGAAATGCTAGAGATTTCTGTACATTGATTTTGTATCCTGAAAGTTTGCTGAAGTTGTTTATCAGTTGAAGGAGCTTTTGGGCTGAGACTATGGGGTTTTCTACAGAATCATGCCGTATGCAAACAGGGATAGCCTGACTTCCTCTCTTCCTATTTGGGATGCTCTCTTGCCTGATTGCTCTAGCTATGACTTCCAATACCATGTTGGATAGGAGTGGTGAGAGAGGACATCCTTGTCCTGTGCCAGTTTTCAAGGGAAATGCTACCAGCTTTTGCCCATTCAGTATGATGTTGGCTATGGGTTTGTCATAGATGGCTATTATTTTGAGGTTTTCCTTCAATACCTAGTTTATTCAGAGTTTTTAACATGAAGGGGTATTGAGTTTTATCGAAAGCCTTTTCTGCATCTATTGAGATAAATGTGGTTTTTGTCTTTAATTCTGTTTATGTGATGAATCACATTTATTGAATTGCATATGTTGAGCCAACCTTGCCTCCCAGGGATGAAACCTACTTGACTGTGGTAGATTAGCTTTTTGACATGTTATTGGATTTGGTTTCCATGTATTTTGATGATTTTTGCATCAGCGTTCATCAAGGATATTGGCCTGAAGTTTTCTTTTGTTCTTATGTCTCTGACAGGTTTTCAGTATCAGGATGATGCTGGCCTCATAGAATGAACTGGGGAAGAGTCCATCCTCCTCAATTTTTTGAAAGGGTTTCAGTAGGAATGGTACCAGCTTTTCTTTGTACGTCTGGTAGAATTCAGTTGTGAATCCATCAGATCCTGAGCTTTTTTCGGTTGGTAGGTTATATATTACTGATTCAATTTGGGAGCTTATTATTGGTCTGTTCAGGGAATCAATTTCTTCCTGGTTCAGCCTTGGGAGGCTGTTTGTGTCCAGGAATTTATCTGTCTCTTCTAGGTTTTCTAGTTTGTGTACTTAGAGGTGTTCTCAGTAGTTTCTGATGATTATTTTTATTTCTGTGAGGTCAGTGGTAACATCCCATTTGTCATTTCTAATTGTGTTTATTTGGATCTTCTCTCGTCTTCTTAGTCTAGCATGGGTTCCTGGAGTTGTACATTTACTCACCACTTCCCTGGGTGGTGGAAGTTCCCCTGGCTCTGTGTCACTCCTAGGTGGGCTGTCATCCTGCCTTGCTTTTTGCCATTCTCCATGGGTTAAGTTGTTTCCTGGATTAGTCCCAATGTGAACATCTGGATGATTCAGTTGAAGGCGCTGCATTTACTCGCCCCTTCCCTGTGAGAGTGGCACTTACGCTTCCCTGTGAGAGTGGCTCACATTAGCTGCTTCTAATCAGCCCTGGATTTTTTTCTTTCATTTTAATTAATGTAAATTCAAATAGCCACATGTGGCTATTGGCTACCATACTGGACAACACAGCTCTAGAGCACTGGTTCTTAACCCTGACAGCACATTAAACTTACTTGGGATCACAGATGCCCAGGTTCCACATCAGAAGAATTAAGTCAGAATCTCTGGGGGGTGAGACTCAGGCATTTGTATTTTTTAAAGCTCACTAAATGATTCTAACGTGAACCCAGATTGAGAACCACTTTTGAAATCAGCAGATTTGGATGTGAGTCCTGCTTTTGGCTTACTAAGTCTATTGCCTCAGGCAAGTTAATTAAATTATCTAAGCCTCAGTTTCCTCATCTGTAAATAAAGAAAATATAGAACTTATTTCATAGGGTTCTTGTGAGATAATTAAATAAGATACTGTGTATAAAGAGATTATTATTGTTAGATTGTTAGTTGCAAAGAAGTTATATCTGGCTATAAAGGTTAGCTGGTGTTATTCCATAACAGTCTTGCTGCTATTTACAAGCTGGGGAAGCATGCTCTTAAGGGTGTATCCAGAGATGTTTAATGAAATTCATCAATGATGAAGATAATATCTCAACGTTGGCTAGCCTTGGGGAAACCATTTGGACAATGAAAACTACTGTGGACAAAGTTTTCCAAGGGAAATTATGTTATTGGAGCAATTATTAAAAGGCTCTATAAAGTGCTAAAACATAGGCCTAATCGGGAACTTGTGAAGAGCAACTCGTGCAGTTATATGAATAGGAAGGAGAATTTACACACTTCCCTACTCACTACCCTCCCAGTAGGTGGTGCACAAGAAAGAATTACAGCCACTGACTTAGAACACACAAGAGCACTACAGCTTCAGAGTTGACTATTAGGTAGGGAAATAGTAAGATATGCTTTCAATGCTTAGAAAGTCTGATTTATCCTTTTTATTAGAAAAATATATATAAACTCATGTTAAATAATACACAAGTGGCCTGACAGCAGCAGTGGCAGCAGCACTTTTGCCCACCACCAATCTCATGAGCACGCCCATCCCTAGATTGTAACCTCTAGTTCCTTGGAAGACAGCCGTCTTTATTTCTTAGTGCTGGGAAATTCAGGACAAATGTTTTCAAGAATATAAAAAGTAATGGTGAAAGGACAAAATAGCTTCTGATGACCAAAATGTGATAGCAAAATGTCAAATATTATTATATCATCATCATTAATGTAAATAGTTGAAGTAAGTTTGTATAAGGGCCTAAGTCCATCAGCATTCCTTTCATGAACCACAGTTTCTGGCCTCCATGCCAGTGAAGAATTCAGCTTTCTGCTATAGAGGGAGTCACATTTAGATTATACTCTTTGCTTCCTTCTCCTATCCTATTTTGCTGGAATAGATTTTGTTTAACAACAAAGGTAAAAAAACACTTTTGAAGAGTAATATAGGAAACACATGAACAATTTCTTAGTCAAAAAACAAAAGGTTGCTTCTCTGGCTTGTTTCATCTTAAATCTGGAAGCATCTCATTTGAAACACGTTTTTTTATTTTTTCAAAGCTGATTGTGAAGAGTGAAGCTTATTTTCTACCCTTCCACACACTGCCGAGAAGGGGAAAAACAGATTCTTCCACAATTTATGTCAGATAAACCTAACATTTTATTAAATATGTCATAACTAGCCCCATTTATAACTTACAGCTAGTAATGGTCACGAGAAATTCCTGTGGAAATAGAAAAAGGAATAAAAAGCCACACTGGATTAAAGCCAAAATGATTGTTCATATCCAATAGATTTAAAGCAAAGTACCAGGGGCCAGGCGCGGTGGCTCATGCCTGTAATCCCAGCACTTTGGGAAGCCAAGATGTGTGGATCATCTGAGGTCAGGAGTTCGAGACCAGCGTGGCCAACATGGCGAAACCCCGTCTCCACTAAAAATACAAAAAAAATTAGCCAGGCATGGTGATGTGTGCCTGTAATCCCAGCTACTCGGAAGGCTGAGGCAAGAGAATCTCTTGAACCCGGGAGGAGGAGGTTGCAGTGAGCTGAGAGAGTTCCATTGCACTCCAACCTAGGCAACAGAGCAGAGCAGGACTCCATCTCATTCATAAATAAATAAATAAAGCAAAGCACCAGGGAAGAACCCACCCTGCTCCCTCCATGTGAGCTCCGGATCCCATCCCACCTTCTAAGCAAATTCACTATACCAGTTATCCTCTCTGCTATGTATTTTCCTGTTTCCTCTCCACTCAATATATGCTGTGAGCATTCAAACATCCTAGAGTCTGTACTGTCTTAAAATATTCCCTAAATCCTATTTCCCTTTCCAGCTGCTGCCTCTGTCATGTCTACACATGCTGCTATGACTTTTCTCAATTCCCATATGCCACTTAACCCAGCATAGTCAAGATTTCACCTCAATTCCACAACACAAACAGCTCATAGTAATCTTCATGCTACTAGACACAGTGGACTCCACCTCTCACTACCTAATTCAGTCATTTCTTTGTGAAACTACCCTGTGCCTTCAGCTACTACAATACCATACTTGTTTTGGTTTTCCCTTTCTCTCTCTCCAGACATTCTTTTTTCCTTTTCGTTTGGATGTTCCACCTAACCTTTATATATTTATGTCCCCAGATCTTATTCATAAGTGTCCTCCCTCCTGACCAAATACCCCCTCCTATGCCTTCAAATGCCAGCTATAGTCTAAAAACTTCCAGATTTATTCATTGCCAGTCTTGACCCCTCTTCTAAGCTCCAGATCTTTTAGTCAACATGTCTAAAACAAAACTCACAATCTTCCTAAGCTCCACCAAAACCCCTATAACCTCAGTAAACGACACTACTGTTCACTCATTTGCTGATGCCAGAAACCTGAGAACCATTCCTCTAATTTATAGCAAATTATCTTAATTTCATCTCCAAAATGCATCCCAAACCCATCTAGTTCCTTCCACCTGTACTGCCCATCCTAGTTCACCCTTATTTCAAACACAGGACTAGACTTAACTGCTCATCTTCCCACTTTTTCTCTTGCCTTCTCCAATCCGTCCTCCATCTTTTTTCTTTTTTTTTTTTTTTTTTTTTAAGACAGAGTCTTGCTCTGTTGTCCATGCTGGAGTGCAGTGGTGTGACCTCAGCTCACTGCAACCTCCGCCTCTTGGGTTCAAGCGATTTTCCTGCCTCAGCCTCCTGAGTAGCTGGGACTACAGGCACGTGCCACCACACCCAGCTAATTTTTTTGTATTTTTACTAGAGACGGGGTTTCGCCATGTTGGCCAGGCTGCTCTCAAACTCCTGACTTCAGGTGATCTGCCCGCCTCGGCCTCCCGAAGTTCTGGGATTACAGGCGTGAGCCACCGTACCCGGCCCAATCCATCCTCCATACAGCAGCCACAGTGATCTTTTGAAAATATGTATCTAATCATGTTACTGCCTGCACAGACGCTTCAGTGAAGGAGTATCAGTGAATCCTAAAACTGACAGGTGAAAAGCTGAGAATAGAATAGTCACATGGTGACAAAGTACCATCCTATAAATTACTAATTCAGAGGTTAAAATGTGCCCTCATAAGGGAGACATACAGTAGTTACCACTTAACCAAATGACCAGACTTAGCATCACTAACAGTAGGATATTCTGACATTATAGGCCTCCTGATCTGATACAAATGAAGTTCACAACATCACCTGTGAAGTACTCTCACTAAAAATGCTTAACTTATGTCTAACTGTGCCTTTACTCAGTTGTGTGTAGCTTCCAATTTACAAATAATGTATAAAGGAAAAAGTTAAATGCCTATGTAAGTAAACAATTGGATAAATCCAGAACGTGGATCATTCTACAAGACAAATG
Source organism: Homo sapiens (assembly GCF_000001405.40). Classification (NCBI taxonomy): domain Eukaryota; kingdom Metazoa; phylum Chordata; class Mammalia; order Primates; family Hominidae; genus Homo; species Homo sapiens. The sequence continues at coordinate 77,372,221 of NC_000007.14, forward strand.
GCCTGGACTTTTCAATATGTCAATGAAAAGAAAAGAAAGGCAGGGAGTAGGACATGAGAATTGTTGCACATGTTAATGCAAGACTATGAAGATTTAAACGGCCAAATGTAATGTATGAATCTTGATGGAATCCTGACTTTAAAAGTTATATACATACATATTTATTTATATATACACACATGACGTTTTTCAAGAAATTATGAAAATTTGAATAGAAAATAAAGTTTATTGATTAATGTGATTAATTTATTTCAGTAATAAGGGAACAGATTATGTAGAAGAGTGTCCTTAATCAAAGGAGGTGTGTACTGAATTATCTACTGGTTAGGTGTTATGATGTCTGCAACCTATTTTTGAATGGACTTGGTCAAAAAATAAAATGATACATATATATATAGTGAGAATGATAAAGCAAATACTGTAAATGATATGATTGTATAAGTAAAAGGTAAACGGATGTTCATTACATTTTTGAACTTTACAGCGAGCTTGCGCATTCTCAAAATAAATTGTATAGTAACAAAAAATACCCTTCAATGACTTCTCATCACTCTTAGGATAAAGTCTAAAATCCTCCCATGATCCACAAGGTCCCACATAGCCTGGCCCCTGCCTGCCTCTCCAGCTTTCTCTCTCTCACTCACTCTACTTCAGTGACATGGTCTTAGTTCATACATATCCTTCAAGTCTCTACTGAAATACCACGTCCTTGAGCTCCCTAGGACTGGTGTATGAAGGGATGAGTACAGCTGAGGGATACCTGGGATGGACAGGAAAAAGAGGAATGGATTATGCAGGAGTGAAGTGGGAAAGGGGGCCATTTTCAGGACTAAGAATGGAATGGGATGGAATATCTTGGAGGGAGGCAGAAATGAGGATGGACTGGCTGAACTAGAACATGGTTGAAGACACTAATATCTTCTATTAAACCTCCATAAGTTTTCATGAATTCCTATAATGCTCATTCATAATATGATTCTATTTAAATACTAAGTGTGCACTTATGTAATGTCTAAAATCTGTGCCAAATAGTAACCTTTACGCTAATAAAGATTAGGGCAGTTTTACTTATCATATCCCCAACACCTAGCAAACAGTAAGTCCTCAGTAAATGTTGGCCTAATGGGTGAATATCCCACAATAATTTGGCTTTAAAGGAATACAATTTTAGTCCAAATGCTACTTAACTCAAGTAGTAAATGTCCATTAAAGTTGGGATATTAAAAATGGCTATTACATGCAGTTATCAGAGCTGATTATTTAGATGATTATTAAGGTTAATGAGCAGTTTTTCACCAGATTTATTGAATGTAATCATATTCAACTTCTCTCATCTTTAGGTATTTTTCTTTACCCTCTGCATTTTTTCTATCTATGAAAACTGGTATTAAGGAACAAAATATTTCACATTAATAACTTTATGTCAAGCTCTGATTGTTACATTGGTAGGCTGCAGCATGGCTCTTAAAGCCAGGTACGTAAGTTTAGAACCAAACACATCAGTAAGCCTGACACAGAAAGCACAGCCATCGCTGTTAGTCATTTGTTAAAAGATGAAGCAGGTGAGAAAATGTAGATTGGTTAAATACAATCCATTTTCTCTGTTAGAACCATACAAATAATAACTACTAGAAGAATAACTCTGCTGTTAAGAATAACTGTGGCTTCCTCAATACAGACAGTGTATATTTAAAATTAATGAAGATTTGATACATGACAATCCATATGATCACCGACATAAAAATGTAGCTCTGTTCTATTTTCAGACTCCATATAGCTAAACAATGAGTAAATTTTGTCTAGAACTCAAATACGGTTGAATAAATTGATAAATACAACCCTAGTTTACCTGTATGGTTGGTAAAAACACACAGAGTCAGGTGTTTGGAAAATTTATCTCGGTATTGATGATAATCACATCCAAAGTTGACAAGTCTAAGAACATAAAGAATGAGAAATTATTGAATGCATTTAAAAATACATCCCTTCATAAAGGATGTGAGTAACCACTAAATAATATACCCACAGAAGTAGAAACACATTCCTGAGAAATTTAAGTAGATAACTTTTTTTGGTTAATAAATTCTGTAGTTTTTTCAAAATACATGGTATATAAATGGCATCAGCCTGATAACAAGGAAAAAATATTACTTTCATCTTACATTTTTATAACTTTTCTGATATAGAGTAATGCACACACTAGTTTCAAAGTAAGCACAGCTAAATGTTCATATATGATGAAATAAAGCTAGTGAAATACTTAACGGTTCAGGATTATCATTACTCTAATTTAGGAAGATTTTCATGTCTTCTACATATTGATGGCCTTATGCTTATTTTTTCAGAAGCATCTCATGTTCCCGCTACATGTAAAATAGAGTGGGAAAAGGAAAAAAACCTTGTCTTTTGTGTAAAAAGGAAAACAGAAAAAAAAAAAAACCAATTAATTCAGCTGAGCTACAAGTGGATTGACCTGTGACATCCTCTTTGATGTCAACAAAAAGGGTTTTGATGTTTGATTGTCAATGTAGCTCTCTGAACCATCGAATCCCTCTATTTAATCGCAGGGAGAAGGGTATATCCTTATACCAAAATAAATGGAGATGCACTACAGAAATAAATGGCTAAGAAAATCATACAATTGACCTTATATGTAAAATCCTGGGTTCATGTTTGATAAAGTTGTTTATATTTGCTATGGAGAATGGGAATACAAAAAAAGATGCACACAGAATATCAAACTCTCTTTTTATCTGCATAATATAATGTACGAATAAATATAATCATTTTGCCCACAAGTATCTATAAAAATTAGTAACAACCTATGAATAACTTACTTAAATCCTGAGTTGCTTAATGATATGTCCAAGGGTACTTCAAACTGTCAAAAAAATCAAAGAAAATGAACCCAAAATGACAGAAAGTGATGACAGTTCTGAAAACCAGAGCAAGCCCAAGTAAACCAGAAAAATATTATGTTTGCCTAATAATGATATTTAACCATCATTGTCTTCAGAGGTTATTATACTCCAAATCCATTGCATAGAAAGTCCATTGAAAATACTCTGGAATTTACATATAATCATGAGCTTGATGTTTGTTTATTTCTTAAAGGGCTAATGCTTGACAAACTTTGTCTTAGATTTGAATATCAAAAACAGGTTGTACAATAGGCCAATTGGAAGCAACCATCTTTTACAAGACATAGATGACTGAGTAAGGAAGGAAGGAAGGCCTGGGTGTCTTTAGAAGGAGAGCAGAGGGCAGGAGGGGTAAGTGCAATTCTTGCAATGGCATAACAATCTGTATTAGATAGCAACATTAGTCCTACTCAAGAAGAATAGGCCGGCATGGTGGCTCACGCCTATAATTCCAGAACTTTGGGAGGCCAAGGCAGGTGGATTGCTTGAGGCCAGAAGTTCAAGAACAGTCTGGCCAACATGGTGAAATCCCATCTCTACTAAAATATAAAAATTAGCTGGTCATGGTGACAGGTGCCTGTAATCCCAGCTACTAGGGAGGCTGAGGCAGGAGAATTGCTTGAATCCAGGAGGCAGAGGTTGCAGTGAAGAGAGATCATGCCACTGCACTCCAGCCAGGGCAACAGAGTGAGACTCCGTCTTAAAAAAAAAAAAAAACAAACAAAAAAACAACCACCATATTGTTCATCACAAAGATATTAAGAACACTTCACCACAATTCTAATTTTTTTTAATCTTTTTTTAAAAAATTCAAGTTCTTAAATTGAAATTTTCCTATTTTTAGAAGTTTTTTTCCACTGATAGAACACAATGCTAACATTCCAAATAGCTTTTTCAGGGGTAACGCTAGATTTTGGTTAAACTATACCCTCTCATTGACTTGTCTCTTTATTCTCAAATCCACCATCCTCACAAGTCCTTTTGGGTCAAATAACTTATAACCCCTTAAAGCTATCTCTTACAGACCCCATCAATTATTAGGTTGGTGCAAAAGTAACTGCAGTTCTTGCCATTACTTTTAAATGATTAGAAACTGCAATTACTTTTGCACCAACCTGACACCTTCTACTAATCCCCACTTACACATTTTTCTTTGATGTGAAGCATTTAGTTACTGGACATTTCTGGTGTGTGTTCTTCTAATGACCTACATTAACTGGATTTGTTATAGAGTGGAAACCTGGAGGTGGCAAGAACTAATTTTACTTGCTCATACGAGTAACTAACACAACCATCAGGAATGCTAAAGCGCTGCTTATGATAACAATTCTCTTAAAAGAGAGTAATCTATAGGCTGGGCGCAGTGGCTCATGCCTGTAATCCCAGCCCTTTGGGAGGCCGAGGCAGGTGGATCACGAGGTAAGGAGATCAAGACCATCCTGGCTAATACAGTGAAGCCCTGTCTCTACAAAAAATACAAAAAAAATTATCTGGTCGTGGTGGCGGGTGCCTGTAGTCCTAGCTACTCAGGAGGCTGAGGCAGGAGAATGGCGTGAACCCAGGAGGCAGAGCTTGCAGTGAGCCGAGATCGCGCCACTGCACCCAGCGTGTGCGACAGAGTGAGACTCCATCTCAAAAAAAAAAAAAAAAAAAAGAGAGTAATGTATCATAAACTTTCCTGTAGTGTGATCATTTTCTGGACTTACCATTAAGTTATAGCTCTCATCAGCATAAAACTGGATACATTTTAAGATACTCCTTGATTTCTAAAAGAGAAAACAGAATGGCATATTAAAAAACCAGGAAAAAAAGAAAAGGAAGCAGTCAAGAAGCAAAACTTCACTATTTCCATCAATGAAAATGTAATGATTAGTGAACTGCAGTAATAATAATGTCAAAATCAAATTGTTCTTATAAAAAAGAGTGCTGGGGCCAAGCACTATGGCTCATGCCTGTAATCCATGTTTTAGGAGCCTGAGGCAGGTGCATCACTTGAGCCCAGGAGTTCAAGGCTGCAGTGAGCTATGATCACACCACTGCACTCCAGCCTCAGCAAGAGAGCAAGACCCTGTCTCTAAAAAAATTAATATTTTTGTAAAAAAAAAAAAAAAAAAAAAGGAGTGCCCGTGAACTAGTTTTTTTACCTTCAGGTCAATGTAATATAATCTCTGTTCTGACATATCCCACTGAGCCCAAACGAAATCCTCAGCTATTCTGTCTCTTGGGAGATGGCCAGAATTTTTAATCACCTAAAAATGCAAAAAAAAAAAAAAAAAAAAAAGTATGAATAACTTTTAAAGGAGAACATATCTGGAATTCATAATTATTTTCCATGTCTATCTTTATGATACATGTAAATATTTCCACAGTTCACTGTTAGAAGCTCCCCACCCCTAGTATACACAGTCTTTCCAGAAATGTTTTAAGACATAATTTCATTGCCTCCTCTTCTTCCCACGTATAATATATGATTTTATTCCTGCTCTTAGTTTAGCAGACAGGCTGAGGCTGTTGAAGACAACACCACACCTCCCACAAATCAATAGCTGCATTAATAGAAGATTCGGAACTTACTGTTCTGTACCTAACTCTCTTAAGTCAAGCCTCTGCAGACAAGAGCCCTCCACTACCAAAGACAGAGGCTGTGATGCCAAGGAAAAACTCAGGCCTGACAGTGGAAAGTAGTAGGCAATGACCCCAATTTGGCCATAAACCAACCATGCAGCTTTGGGCATGCCTCTCACCTTTATGTCTTCCATGATGAGTATGATGATATTGCCCATCTCTCAGCAATACTTAACTACTCATTCTTCAAGACCTGACTTACACATTGTGTTCTACACAAAGCCTTCCCTCACATCCCCAAGATGTAGTATAATCCTCACCTGTTTTCCAATGGTGCATTGGCATGCTGCTTTGACAATTACATTTTAATTAATGCTATAAGCCTCCCCCAGTGAGTACGCACTCTTCTACAACACGTTTCTATTACCAATGCATTGACTGTTTCTAGCATGTAACAGTGCTCAAGGAATGTTTGTTTGGAAGGCGGAAAATGGGCTGGGCACAGTGGCTCATGCCTGTAATCCCAGCACTTTGGGAGGCCGAGGTAGGTGGATTACCTGAGGTCAGGAGTTCAAGACCAGCCTGGCTAACATGGTGAAACCCCATCTCTACTAAAAAAATACAAAAATTAGCCAGGCATGGTGGTGCATGCCTGTAATCCCAGCTAATCAGGAGGCTGAGGCAGGAGAATCGCTTGAATCCAACAGGCGGAGGTTACAGTGAGCCAAGATCCCACCACTGCACTCCAGCCTGGGTGACAGAGCAAGAGTCCATCTCAAAAAAAATAAAAATAAAAAACAAAACAAAAAACAACAAAAAAAAACAAAGGCAGAAAATGAAATAAGGTGTGCAAGAGTAAATTTGAAATATTTGTTTACTAAGTAACAAAGTCAGAACTATGGAACATTAAAATCAGGAGATTCTAGAAACCATGCAATTCAACCCCTTAACAGGTAAGAAAACTGAGGTCCTGAGCAGTTAGATTAGGCTGCATAGTTAGTTCTGCAAGGTCTGGAATCCACGTCCTGGAATCCTCCCAGTGCCCTTTCAGTGCATCAGCTGACCTCGAAATAATTTAACAGAAGCAGTTAAGAATTAACTTTCCTCAAAATGCTTATTAAGCAAAAGTAATCTACATTGAGGTAGATGAGTAAAGAATAAGGACAGGTTAGGGTAGAAGAAATGAGGAAAAAAGGAAACACCAGAATGGTCCATATTCATGCCTAAACCCTCCCTAATCCTAATAGGGATTTCTCCACCGATGGTAACTTGCAACTTGAGGGGGGCCATGTGGCATAAAGAGTTGTAAACCACTATTTCCGCTTACCCTGTCCATTATATTTAGACAAGAGGAAAGTGATGCCAGAGAAAAGATCCAAGAGGACCTGTCTGTCTCTAAACCTTGGACAATCATTTTTCTGAAATTTGTTGAGTTGGAGTAGATCTGAGAACCGTTCCAGGTAAAGGTATGTACTAACAAGAAAATGAATGTCAGATTGTGGCATACCCAGGTTCAAATCTCAGTTTTGTTCCTCTCTAGATCGAGTCACCTCACCTCTGTGAGTCTTGGTTGCTGTCTTCTCTGTAAAAATAGGGATAAGCCTAATACCATCTCTATCATGCAGGGATGTTGCAAAGAATATGTGGAATTGCATATTCTTTGCAACATCCCTGCATGATAGAGATGGTATTATACTTATGCTGTGTGAAGCTGTCATCTAAGCCTTTAAGAATGAAGGCAGAAGTACTTCTTGGAAGAACACATGTGAATTAAGGAATGCTGAAGCTGCACCATCCTGAATTGCAGAATCTTTTCTGGGCTGCTGACAGGTGTCCCCACCATCACTCTTCCCAGTGTGTGTCTGTCTGCCTCTCTCTCTCTTTTTGCTCTCAAGCCCTCTTCTAACCAGCCAGTCCCCTGTCTATGCTCACTCTCAGTTCCTGACCCCAACTTGCTGATTTATTTCTCTCCTAAATTCTCATCACTGGCTTTGGGATTCAGCCTTGATCTTTCCTCTTGGGCTTGACCCTCTTCTGACTCCTGGCCCTCTCTGTCCTTGTGCTCCCATCCGTCTGTCCTTGTTCTCCCATCTACTTAGCCCCTGCGGGACAATGGTAGCCCAGAGCTCCAGTGACATACTTTCTCCTGGCAATTTTCCAGCCAGGCTTCTTGATTTGAGGCTTTCAATAGCTGATACACAATTGATAAATTCCATTTTCTGTTTCAATTTGTTCACTTAACTTTAAAATCTTCAGAGAAATGTTAAAATCTTCAGAGACAATTTTGATGCAGACTAAATATTGAAGAAAATCATTTTTAATATCAATAACATATTAAGATCCTATACAAATTATCAAGAAAAAGACAAGCCAGTAGAAAAACAGATAAGGATGCAACTAAACAATTTTCAAAAAAGCAAATCAAATAGCCAGTAAGCTTAGGAGAAGATGCTGAAATGCATTAATATTAAGGGAGACACAGACTAAGATAATATGCTATCAACTTAGACTCATCCAATTGGAAATTTTTTAAAAGGTAAACATACCTTTTCGTGATATGAATTGAGGGAACATGTACTCTTACATTTTGCTTCTAAAACTGTCAATTGTTAGAAGTTTTTTTGGAAAGCAATCTGGAAAAATCTGTTGGAATTTATTAAATGCATGTACCCATCGAACAATCCATCCCTGAGGATTTAGCTCAAAGAAATACATGTACCAATACATAAGGCTATAGGAAAAAAAGGTTTAAGATGATTTATAATTCAAAAGCAAAACCAAAAAACTGGCAATTTAGTGAATGTCTATCCACACCAGGGTCTATTATCTACTTCTAAAGAGACTGAATTGGAGCTATTCTAGTTTACTTGTAGGTAATGCCACAAAGCTGAATGAGTAAAAAATGAATAATAAACCCCTGGGTGGGTAAGAGGTGGGGGTAGGAGATTAGTATTAGTGTGGAAAAAAGTATGATACATACCAGGTTGTGAACAAAAGAGATTAAAAAAAAAAGTACATGTGGAAAACAAGCAAAAAAAAATTATACTCTATGAAACCCATATATGGCATGATACATAGTATGATTGTATATATGGTATAAATATATGGTATGATCCCATGATATGCATATACGTACATATGAAAATTAGAGTAAATAACCAATTAGTTATATCTCTATTTTAGTAACCCATAGGGATACTCCTGATCTTTTTACCTGCTAAGCAAAAAGTAAACACAAAAGCAGCAGGTAAATATATGTATTATGATTCTACTTTGGTAAAAACAATTGAATCCCCACATATGTGCATCTAACCTTGCATAGGTTTGCACGAGCAAGGTAAAAGCTGTGGAAAGACACACAGGCTGTTATTAGCTACCTCAGGATACTGAGATTGAGGGTTGAGGTAGAGAAAAAGGGGATAATTAACTTCATACATATTTGTATCATTTCACACATTAAAACAGCAAGTCTATACTTCAAAAGTCATCAAATAAAGAAAACATTATATATCAATAACATTATCTTTAGCAGTCTAGTAATGTACTTCTTTGTGGGGAAAAAAAAACCTATGAAGCGAAAAGAATTTCAAATCTTTACCACTCTATTTCCATCTTCTTGGGCGACATGGATACGAAATTGTTCAATATCTTTAAAAGAAAAACAAAGAAAGATAATTTAACCTTAAGGAAATATATGAGTACTATTTTTGCCTAACTCTTGTAAAAACATTGTTATAAAAGCAATGCAGATTGAACAACTGGCCAGAAAAACAACACTATCACAAACTGTAATCTCACAACAGAGGTTCAAAAACTTTTTAAAACCCATTTTTCTCCATCCTCCCTTTACAGTTAATTTCAAGTCCTGCATTTATTCTGCTCCTCAATATCAACAATACATGAAGTATTTAGCCCTCCTGCTTCCCTGGGTTCCCTCAGCAAGTACTTGACTCCCCTATACCATCAGCGTTATATAGGGCTAACAAGGGCTTACTTAGCAGAGTTTATTCTTCAATTCCCAAATACCAAACACTTGTTTGTATGAACATACCAGATAAAAAACTCATTATACAAGACATTTTGGGGAAGCATTTTAATAGAGGTCAATTTCATGTGAACAAAACCCTGAACACTAAAGACAATCTGTGTAGATGGTCTCTTTCTATCAGTAACAATTTGAATTCAGCCATATTTACCTTCTGCTGGTCCTAGTTACAAAACTGAGCAAGAGCTTAGAGACTGAACAAAGCCTTACCCCTCAAGCCTGTCCTTCCAACTATAAACTAGCAGTTTCATCTTGTAATGCAAAAGACAGCTTACTAGATAAGCTCCACCAGTAAATTCTGTCCTTCCTCTCCCTCTCTAACTTGAAACCATCATGGAAGGACATAACCTTTTATGTCCTAAACTTATTTGCCTCTACCTGAACCTGTCTAAGTTAGTAGGTCTTCTCAAGTTCTGCCATGGGATTCTTCTAGCTACTAAAATCTTCCCCTCTCTCCATCCAAGCATCTCCATATTATAGTTATCCACTATGACAGACATCCAAAAGACAGATGAACTAAAAATGACAAAAATGACCCATGCAACTTTCTACAAACATTCTACCATGGGACAAAATTGCAGATCCATGTATGCAAGAGCCCATCATTCCCAGGATGAGAAAGCTGAACACAGCCAAAGGGAACACCACTTGGGGGCCAAAGGAAAAGCCCTTCCCAAGGAATTCCAGGTCTCATATGGACATCAAAGCTTAGCAGACCCTTGGCAATGGCAGGTGGATATCTAGAAGATTCAATCATGTACCACACTAGGAGACGATATGCCATTCATGAAATTCCCATATTCCACCTAAAGATACACTTACATTTCTCTTCTGAAATCAGTAACAGATGGTTCTCTGGAAGAGGATGACTTTCAATATGTGGGTAGAGAAACTGTAAAAAAGAAATTAATCATAATTGTAAGCAACTATCTTGCTTGAACAAGTATTTCCAAAGTTGTGTTTGATGACTGTACTATTACATACCATTGAAGAAACTGGGAATCACAGAAGAGTTTAGGGGAATCACCTGCACACACACATTGCAGGTCAAAGCAAGCAAGAAAACAGAACACTTTCAGAACCTCAGTTTTCCAGAGGGGAATTGATCTCAAATACAACACTATCTTCACTTATTTTAACAGTAAGGCTTCTGGCTGGGCACAGTGGCTCACACCTGTATCCCCAGCACTTTGGGAAGCCAAGACAGGCAGATCACTTGACCTCAGGAGTTCAAGACCAGCCTGGGCAACATGGCAAGACCGCATCTCTACAAAAAATACAAAAGATTAGCCAAGTGTGGTGGCACGTGCCTGTAGTCCCAGCTACTCAGGAGGTTGAAGTGGGAGGATCACTTGAACCCAGGAGGTTGAAGTTGGAGTGAGCCAAGATCATGCCACTATACTCTAGCCTGGGTGATAGAGCAAGACTCTGTCTAAAAATAAAGTAAAATAAACAGTAAATGTTAAGGTTGAAGCTAATTCTAGGGATGGTACTTCCTATTTGGAATATTTGATTCTGAAACCAATCAGAAACAATGCAAACAACATTTATACAAAATGTTCTATTTCACACACACACACACACACACACACAGAGGTCGATATAGTCGTTGTGCAACTAAACCTAGTATATAATTTGAGAGCCAAGTAAATATATTCCCCACGACAGCTTCCAAAGTTCCACATCCAAGAGACAAAGCACAACATAACCAGAATTTGTCAAGAAAGAACAGTGAGTCATGGTGCCACATGAGTTGAGAATTTACAAGTCTGAAAGCACAGAACGACTGTCACCAGGAAGAAAAGGCTTAAATCCACCCCATTCCTCCTTCTCTGTGCTCTCCCATATAAGCCCACCACTATGTGTCTGTTTGCAGGACAAAGTAGGCTGCCAGCAACACAAGTCCTGACCCCGTCGGCTGTGATAATGAGGAAAAACTGGTCACAGGATGACTCAAAAGGGCAATTGTAAACCAGCCATTTCATTTTGCAGCATGAAAGACCCGTGAATTTTGTTCTTTTCCTCACCCAAAACTTGAAAGTAATATAAAAGGGCACAACTTTTATGTCCCAATCTCCGAGTCATTAGTCTCACTAAACTTAGGACAATTTTTTATTATTTCCTAGTGTCCTACCTTTGCATAATATCAGATTAAAAATAGTACTAGTCAAATTTTGGAACATTTATAGTTGAGTTCCCTTTTAGAAATGAAAAGCAAAACATATGCTTCACAGCAATAAAGTCAAAATTATAAAATAGCAATGCAGAATTCAGCTACAAAAATAATACAGAACTAATTGTCTCATAATTTGTAAAATGTCACACATCAAACAAGATACTTTGTATACCAGAGTTGAGGAAAAGCAGAGATGAATGACACCACATATAGGATGGGAGAACAAATGTTCAGTGCCTCAAAATATGGAGATATCTGCTGCTATGGAAGATGGTATGGCCTCCCGGTCTACAGAGGTGGCCAGGGCATGCCTGCTTAGGAATGTGACATGGACTGAGGTGCTGAAGAGGTGTAACTGCCAACCTCTAAACCTCTGCCTGGTCTTCCTGTGACAATCAGGGAGAATGTTATTTTAAAAGTCCCGTTCAGGTAGGTGTTGTTTTTCTTTCTATTATAAGGTGGTCCTAGAGTAAGGCCTGGAAGCCAAAAGTAGACAGGATTCAGACACAGCTCTGCAAAAGCACTCAAGGTTATTTTTTTTGTATTGTAAGTAGGATTCTATGCAGATTATATTTACTTTGAAAAATTTATCTTCACAAATATGGAGCTAGACTTAGAATGAATATTGGTCTTTGGAGGTCTGTAGTCTCGGTGTGTAGAGGGTGTGTAATTACCCACTGGAACTATCTTGAAGACACACCTTGTGCTGGAAGGAAACACTCAAAGGGTCCCGGATTGGGATCCAAGCCCCACCTGCCACTCCTGCTGAAGCTCCTCTGTGTAGGTTGTCAAGACTACACATGCAGAGTTAGGGAAATGTGCTGCTGGAGATCACCATGGATGTTTTTGTAAGAAAAAGGAAATTGATCCCAGGGCAAGACCAACTCAATGGACAGTAGATGTCATTTCTCTAGAGGCAGGAGGGAGAAGGCGGGGATTTGCCACTGGGGTTTAGAGGAGTTTCTCTCTCCAGAGGCAGAGACATGGGGGCAGAAGGCAGGGCTAGGGACTAAGATGGGTCCACAGAATTAGTACAAGTTTTACTTTATTTGGGTTGGGACTTTTCCTTTGGCCTATAGATGCTGTCCTGTTCCATGTACTTCTAACTTTTTTTTTTTTTTTTTGAGATGGAGTTTCGCTCTGTTGCCCAGGCTGGAGTGCAATGGCACGATCTTGGCTCACTGCAACCTCTGCCTCCCAGGTTCAAGCAATTCTCCCACCTCAGCCACCCGAGTAGATGGGATTACAGTAGCATACCACCACGCCCAGCTAATTTTTATATTTTTAGTAGAGATGGGGTTTTGCCACGTTGGCCAGGCTGGTCTCAAACTCCTGAGCTCAGGCAATCTGCCCTCCTTGGCCTCCTAAAGTGCTAGGATTATAGGCATGAGCCACTGCGCCCAGCCACTTTTAACTTTTTAAAACTGAGTTCACATAACATAAAATTTACCATTTTAACCACTTTAATATATACAATTTTTGGTAGATTTTAATATATTCGCAATGTATACAACCACTTGCTTTTAAAAACTTTTCCCCTTTCTATGCTCCAATTCCCTTTAGTTACCCCAATCCTTCAGTCATGTCTCTACCATCTATATGGCCCTAACAAGATGCTAAGGAAGCCAAAGAACAGACCAGAAAAGAGAAGTGTGCTCTGTCCCCAGCCTCCCCACATTGATGACAGTGTAGACGGAGTAGCTTCCTGAGGGTAGGAGAATGCAGCTTGGGAGCTTCAGGCCAGGCCATATCTGGAATTGAGGAGCGACCACAGTGCTGTCAGGAGTGGCGGGGAAATGCGCAGCTGAAAGGACTGGCTGACAGGGGAGGACCCTGGGAAGAGAGAGACAACCCTCTCCCCTAACCCACTGGAATAGGGAGGCCCATAGGGTGGAGGCTGGTAATAGCTTGGGGGACAAAAAGGCAGATACTTTGAGTGGTGCAAATTGACTCTGGCTAGACCAAAAGAAATGATATTTTGACCCTGTAACAAAATGTGAAATTAGGCGAAAGGAAATTATGCTGTAGCACTGTGTGAACACACACAGTTCATTCAAATTATTTGCAGTAGTTATGTTCTGTAAAGTCACCACAAATGTCGTATACTGAATACTGAACCATTGTTTCTAGGGAAATACAAAGGGAGTTGATCATAATCCTGAAAGACACAATCCCAAATGCCATAATCCTAAATATTGAAATCCCAAAAGATCAAAATCCCAAAAATATAATTCTGGAAGAAAATAATTTTAAAAATTATTTAAAAGATGTATTGACATTTTTAAAAGAAGACTTATCTGAGAAGCAAAACACAAAAGAACACTTCATAGTCCACTTTATACAATAAAATAGGCAATAATAACATACACAGTTTTGAAAGTATAGACACTCGTGTATACTAACTATCCTGTGATCATGGCTTTTGGGACTGTAGACTTTTGACCTTTCAGGATTTCAACATTCAGGATTATGGTGTTCAGGATTGTCTTTTGGGATTATGATCCAAACCCAAACAAGGATAAATTCTTGGAAGCCTCTAGTCACAGCATGTTTGTCAACAGATCAGTATATAATTTTGTTTTGTGTGTTTCTATTTAAAGACACTCCTTAACCTCATGGCCAACAGCATAGTAACTCATGCCTGAATGAAGCTTATCTGAAACACATGTTTTCTCCCTAAGGCATCTGACAGCCTTCTTGCACTTAGGAACACTAGACGGTGCCTCAGCGCTATTCCTGGAAGCCGTTTAAACTGTGAAATCGCCAGGAAAAAGCACAAAAATTGAAAGATGGAACTAGGCCATGAAAACAACTGTCATTTTAGTATGAGAGCTAAAGCAAAAAAGGCAGGGCATCACCGTGTTCAACCTCAATTGCGAATGTGCATGTTGGGTGACAAATTCTTTCACCACTCAGCATGTATCTGCAAATAACTGACGAAGTACTATAAGTGTTTAATTTAGGGGTTACAAATAAATTTTAGGAGCAGCAGAATATGCAAATATGGAATCTGCAAATAATGAGGAATGACTGTATCTATGCCACCTACATTATACATGCAGTTTCTGCATCAACTCATGAAGTTGATAAATTCAGGGATTAAGCCATTTAACCATAGATACTTAATCTGTCAACCATGCAAATACATTATATTGACCATTTTAAAGCTTACCTTAAATGTGTTTTAATATTTGATATTTTATCATGAGAAAATATTACATTACTAAGAAACAAACAGAGTTGGTGGAGCTAGCTTCGAGTTCTTAATTTCCATGCTTGCAAACAAAGAGCGGATACTTCCAGCCATAGTAGTCTACAAGACTGTTCTGAGGATTAAATATGATAGAGTGAAAGTACTTTGTAAACCCCAATTCTTCTAGGCTGCATGCCTTTTGATTAATGAGATAAGTGATAAATGGCATGCTTACTTACCTGAACCCAAATATAGCTATCCACAGCCTTTAGAACCTTCACATTGTTAACAGGGTGGATTTCAACCAACAAAGTCAAGCACTTTGATCCTACAGAGAAAAGAAGGCTTTTAGTAACGAAGATTGTAATATCACACATTATTTTTTCCAAAGCAAGGAGTAAGAACAATTTCCGGTAAATCCTACTACAGTGACTATAAACTAATAAAACAATTCTACCACCATCCTAGAGTCCTGTGAGGAGACTGAAACTGTAAATCTGTTCCCAGTTCTACTCTCTAGGATGTGTAGCGGCTCCAGGACCCCAAAAGAGCAATCAGCCCAGCAAAGGACCTGCCTTCCACACCCTCAGGAGCCCTGAAGAAGCTGCATTTTATTATGAAAACCACAGGATACTCAAGAAATGCAAATGTGAAAAGGGAAGTCTTTGAACAGCCCTGGAAACAACAGTAGATACAAGGGAGACAAATTTCAGATTATAAGAATTCTGCATTTACAGAAAAGCATCACATTTAAAACACAAGTGGCTTCTGAATTCAAAGATCACTGTATATTACTTTGCACTCTCACCAGCAACATATAAGAGGGCCTAACGGGTTTCTAATGGATATCATTTTTCCCAATTATCACAATTCTATGATTTGCAAAAGCAGACATGTCTGAACTTTCTGAAAATATAAATATGCTAACTATTGTATTAGCTATTCTACCAGGGGGAAAAAAAGGTGATTTTCTTAAAGTTTGACTTTAAAGTTTGACTTTGACATTTCTACAAATTCAACAGAGACACAGAAAAGATCTCAAGGGAGAAATCAATGTGCACGGAGTGAAGAAGTTGTTTGTACTCACTCCATGCCATTTTTAGCATAGCTCCACAAGCCCTCTAGGCTTTTAAGTCTAAACAAACACAGTGCGATTCTCTGTCACTCCAATTCGGCAGCACAATGGCAAATATTGTTTGTGTAGGAAAATAAAAAGATTTCTGATACATGAACATGTTAAGGCTGACAGTATCTATCATTAGGACACAGGCTGGGTTTCCCTCAGGGACAGTGGTATAGCACTGATAATGACCCACTTACTTCTTCAGTGTCACATCTGAGCAAATGCCATAAAATACAGCAATCAGGAGGAAGTCCATGGACACAGGCTTCCCCGCATGGAGTTACCAAAGATATCTAAATTTAGGTCAAGGTTCCCCTTCCCCCAAGATTACACCGTAGAAAAGAAGGACTGGCCTTATATTTGAGCTTTTATTGAGACTCTAATATGATCCAGTGTCTCTCAGTGACTTCACTGTGAAAAATAATATACAAAATTTGGGGATGGCACAGAAGCGTGGAATTTAATCAGTGTTAGTTTTCAATATTTAAGAAAGCAACCTGAGAGCACTGCTTTATTTTTTGAAAAAAGCAAAGAACGTAAAACAATTTCTGAGCTATGTCCTAACAACTGGAAGGTCTGGATCTATCTATAAACATGCCTTTTAAATATTACTTGAAAAAGACAGTAAGTGAGTTATTATATTGAATCATATAATATACATACTACAGAACAAATGGAAATCCAATGTTTGGTAAATGGGTGCTTGTGGCTTAGGATGAAAATCCTAGTGACAGGATCTTACAACCAAGGGTATGGATGAGTTACTTTGGGAATCTACTTGATGACTCAAAAAATGGCTCCAGGAATAAGAAAGACATTGGTGTCAAAGATATTTGTGAAGAAAAATAGAATAGAAATGCTCTGTTGAGAGGTGAGTATGTGGGGGGGAAAATGAATTTTTCTTATTGTTATCTTAAATGTGTATGACTAAATTAGTATATTAAATAGCACGAACTGACATTTTTTTGACCTAAAAGTATGCGTGTGTGTATGTATGTGTGTGTGTATATATATATATTTTTTTGACCTAAAAGTATGTGTGTGTGTATATATATATATATTTTTTGTTTGTTTGTTTTGTTTTGTTTTTTGTTTCCATCCTGGTTAACATAGTGAAATGCCGTCTCTACAAAAATAAAAAAAAAAACGCGTCATTTAGCATTAGGTATATCTCCCAACGCTATCCCTCCCCCCCTCCCCACCCAACAGTCCCCGATGTGTAATGTTCCCCTTCCTATGTCCATGTGTTCTCATTGTTCGATTCCCACCTATGAGTGAGAACACGCGGTGTTTGGTTTTTTGTCCTTGGGATAGTTTGCTGAGAATGATGGTTTCCAGCTTCATCCATGTCCCTACAAAGGACATGAACTCATCATTTTTTATGGCTGCATAGTATTCCATGGTGTATATGTGCCACATTTTCTTAATCCAGTCTATCATTGTTGGACATTTGGGTTGGTTCCAAGTCTTTGCTATTGTGAATAGTGCCACAATAAATGTATGTGTGCATGTGTCTTTATAGCAGCATGATTTATAATCCTTTGGGTATATACCCAGTAATGGGATGGCTGGGTCAAATGGTATTTCTAGTTCTAGATCCTTGAGGAATCACCACACTGTCTTCCACAATGGTTGAACTAGTTTACAGTCCCACCAACAGTGTGAAAGTGTTCCTATTTCTCCACATCCTCTCCAGCACCTGTTGTTTCCTGACTTTTTAATGATTGCCATTCTAACTGGTGTGAGATAGTATCTCATTGTGGTTTTGATTTGCATGTCTCTGATGGCCAGTGATCATGAGCATTTTTTCATGTGTTTTTTGGCTGAATAAATGTCTTCTTTTGAGAAAGTGTCTGTTCATATCCTTCGCCCACTTTTTGATGGGGTTGTTTGTTTTCTCTTGTAAATTTGTTTGAGTTCATTGTAGATTCTGGATATTAGCCCTTTGTCAGATGAGTAGGTTGCGAAAATTTTCTCCCATTCTGTAGGTTGCCTGTTCACTCTGATGGTGGTTTCTTTTGCTGTGCAGAAGCTCTTTAGTTTAATTAGATCCCATTTGTCAATTTTGGCTTTTGTTGCCATTGCTTTTGGTGTTTTAGACATGAAGTCCTTGCCCATGCCTATGTCCTGAATGGTATTGCCTAGGTTTTCTTCTAGGGTTTTTATGGTTTTAGGTCTTACATTTAAGTCTTTAATCCATCTTGAATTAATTTTTGTATAAGGTGTAAGGAAGGGATCCAGTTTCAGCTTTCTACATATGGCCAGCCAGTTTTCCCAGCACCATTTATTAAATAGGGAATCCTTTACCCATTTCTTCTTTTTGTCAGGTTTGTCAAAGATCAGATAGTTGTAGATATGCAGCATTATATCTGAGGGCTCTGTTCTGTTCCATTGGTATATACCTAAGCTAAATGACGAGTTAATGGGTGCAGCACACCATCGTGGCACATGTATACATATGTAACAAACCTGCACGTTGTGCACATGTACCCTAAAACTTGAAGTATAATAATAAAAATAAAAAATAAAAAAATACAAATCAATTACAAAAAAAAAATAGCTGGGCATGGTGGCACACGCCTGTAGTCCCAGCTACCCGGGAGGCTAAGGCAGGAGACTCGCTTGAAACCAGGAGGCGGAAGTTGCAGTGAGCCAAGGTTGCGCCACTGCACTCCAGCCTGGTGACAGAGCGAGACTCCGTCTAAAAAAAAAAAAAAAAAAAAAAAAAAAAAAAAAAAAATTAGCCGGGTGTGGTGGCACTCATCTGTAGCTACTCGGGAGGCTGAGGCAGGACAATCACTTGAACCCAGGAAGCAGAGGTTGCAGTGAGCTGAGATCACACCACTGCACTCCAGCGTGGGCAACAGATGAGGCTCCGTCTCAAAAAAAAAAAAAAAAAAAAAAGAAAAAGAAAAAGAATAACCATATATTTGGCTTTTTTTTTTAAGCAGGAATTTGTACCCAAAGGAGACAGCCAGCTATCAGCAAGATTTTCTTACCTTTAAAATGGGAAGATCTTTGAAGGCAGAAAACACCTTTCTACACTAATTTTTCCCTTCTCAAGTACAACCCAGACATTTGACTAATACTACTAGCATAATAAGAGCCAACCTTTGCAAATAGTAATTTCTCTCAATAACATACCATGTGCTTTCACAGTGAAAAAGGAAGCATCGTGAATTAAGATTCTAGAGACATCAGTTCTAGTTTCAGTTCTGCCATTATCCTGGTATTTACTTCACAGCAAATCACCAAGCTTTCCTAGGCCTCAATGCCTCATTATTAAACATAATAAAACATGCAGGGCAAGGTGCTCACGCCTGTAATCCCAACACTTTTGGAGGCCAAGGCAGGAAGATCATTTGAGGCCAGGAATTTGAGACCAGCCTGGGCAACATAGTGAAACCCCATCTCTACAAAAAAATGAAAAAAATATTAAGAACAAGCTGGACATGGTGGTGTGTGCCTATAGTCCCAGTTACTCAGAAGGTTGAGGTGGGAAGATCACCTGGGCCAGGGAGGTCGAGGCTATAGTGAGCCATAAGAATGTCAGTGCACCCCAGCTTGGGCAACAGAGCAAGACCCTGTCTCAAAAATAATCAGAATAAAATGAAAGACCAAAGAACCAGATTACTTCTACAATCCCTTTCAGCCATAAAATCCCATTATTCTATGAGGTGCTAAATTAAGAATTTTGATGGCCGGGAGTGGTGGCTCACACCTGTAATCCCAGCACTTTGGGAAGCCAAGGCGGGTGGATCACCTGAGGTCAGGAGTTCGAGACCAGCCTGGCCAACACGGGGAAACCCCGTCTCTACTAAAAATACAAAAATTAGCCGGAAGTGGTGGTGGATGCCTGCGGTGCTGGCTACTCAGGAGGCTGAGGCAGGAGAATCTGAACCTGGGAGGCGGAGGTTACAGTGAGCCGAGACCACACCATTGCACTCCAGCCTGGGTGACAGAGCAAGACTCCATCTCAGGAAAAAAAAAAAAAGAATTTTGAGAATCAAGATATCAGTGGAGACTGGACACAGTGGCTCATGCCTGTAATCCTAACATATTGGGTGGCTGAGGTGGGCGGATTCCCTGAGCTCAGGAGTTCAAGACCAGCCTGGGCAACATGACTAATCCCCTCTCTGCTAATAACACAAAAAATTAGCCAGGCGTGGTGGCGCACACTTGTAATCCCAGCTACTCGGGAAACTGAGGCAGGAGTATCGCTTGAACCCGGAAGTTGGAGGTTGCAGTGAGCTGAGATCACACCACTGCACTCCAGCCTGGGTGACAGAGCAAGGCACTGTCTCAAAAAAGAAAAGATTATCAGTGGAGACTGGGAGACCATCACTGAAGGGGAAGACAAGACCAGGCAATATCTGGATACCACAAGGAGAGACAGCAGGATCAGGCAGAGGGATAGACATGACATGAGGAGAACGGAGGTGAGCAAAAGACCATGGTGTGATCCAGGCACATGCTGTGAAATGGTGACAAGGATGGGAGAGTTCAATATGGCCTGGTTCTGAAGGAGCTCTGGTTATTCAAGCTCTTGAACCGAATCACAGCTTCACAGAGCATCTGTGACACTTGACTGTCTATGATGGTGAGAGGGAGTTCTGGAAAATCTCAGTGGCAATGGGGCCCCTGACCCATATGGTCACCCCAATTGCTGCCCAGTGGAAATCTGCTGTGACTTGTGGCAAATGCAACTCCACAGGGGAGGATGAAGGGGACAGCCAGAGCCTGGTTTCCTATGGAAGTCCATTTTCTCAGTAAAATATTCACTCTGCCATCTCTACAGCCAAGAAAAGGAGCATTACTGATTAAAAAAAGAAAAAAAAACTGCATTGTAAAGTATGTGGATCAAAGAACCCTGTTTACAAAAAAATGGTACAATTTGTCTCATCTACAGTGGAAAAATCTTATTTTAAGCAACAGTGTTAAACCCCACCTGAGACAAACCACATCTTATAATCAAATGGCTTGTAAGGCCATTTGATGGACAGACAAAATAAACGTTTCCAAAATATTCGTTCAAATAAAACATTCTAATAAATCCTATAGTGCTTTCTGGTTACATCATCTGAAATCTTTACTGAACAAAATGAAACCTTCCCATGATGAGCAATACCTTTCATATACTGATGACTCCTAAATGTGCCTCTCCAGCCGTGACCTCTTACCTGGCCTTCTGACTCATCTCCAAACTCCACCTCACATCTCCACTGGGATGTCTATTAGGCATGTCAAACTGAGCAAGTCCAAAATGAAACTCTTCCTTCCTGCCCCTCCCATACACACATACACACCCACATGCCCTTCTACCTGTTCTAGCCAAAAACCTTAAAGTGAGTCACGCTTGACTTGTCTCTTTTTCTTATGTTCCCATGAAATCCGGCGGCATGCATGCATATATATATACATATATACTTTCTTTTTTTTTTTTTTTTTGAGACAGAGTCTCACTGTGTCACCCAGGCTGGAGTACAGTGGCACGATCTCTGCTCACGGCAACCTTTATTTCCTGGGATCAAGCAATTCTCCTGCCTCAGCTTCCCAAGTAGCTGGGATTACAGGCGTGTGCCACCACACCCGGCTAATTTTTCTATTTTTAGTAAAGACAGGGTTTCACCACGTTGGCCAGGCTGGTCTCAAACTCCTGACCTCAGGTGATCCACCTGCCTCAGCCTCCCAAAGTGCTAGGATTACAGGCGTGAGCCACTGTGCCTGGCCAAGCAGCCAATCTTGACAAGTCGATCTTTTGAATACAGCCAAACACAGCCACTTAGCCCTTGCTTCACTTTACCAGTCCAAGCCATTAGACTGTAATAATTCTCTCCTTGCCCTGCCGCAGTCCATCTTCCACGCAGCAGCTACAGCAATCCTTTTATGAAGCAAGTTAGATCATGTCCCTGCTCAGTATGCGTATCTCTTCCAATTTTACTAGGAATGAGGGCCACACCTTTACAATGGCCTCCTTGAGTCTACGTGATCCATCTGCACCTCACCTCTTTTTTCCTTTGCCCTCAGTTCCTACCACTCTGCCCCTTGTTCACTCCACTCATCTCACTGACCTCCTCACTATCCTTGAACAGCGAGTCTACCAAGTATAGTCCTGTGATGACTGTTTGATCTGCCAGAAATGTGCTTTCTCCATAGCCTCGTGCTTGTTCCATCCCCACCTTCAGGTCTCTGTTTAAACATTCCCCTAATGGCCTTTCCTAGTATCATTCCCCAGATAAATTAATTGGACTCAAATCTCTGCTTCAGGCACAGTTATGGGGAAATTCACACTAAGATAAGAACTTATCTCAGGGAGCAATATAACTCTAGGATCACTCTAGCCAGCATTGGCATAAGAGACTGGGAAAAATGAAACAGGGAAGAAAAGTATACCAGTAAATGGGGCATTATCAAATTAGTGACCACCTTGGATTTTAAGCTGCTTGGAGTACACCTCACAATTACCCACTTTAGAGATGGAAAGGAAGACCATTTATCTTTCAGCTCCTTGCCACCATTGGTCATGGGTTATTCTCCTGGGCATCATGCCCAACCATACTTCCAAGCTGTACATGTGTAGGCAGTAAATAGATTTTCCCAAGTGCCCTTGGCAGAAAGCAAGACACAGGTAGGGCAGCTGAGGCAAGGCACTGTCTCACTACACCTAGGCAGAGCTGGCCAACATGATAAAGTTGTGAGGTATCCAACACAATAACCAATAACGTTCATTGCACTGTTTCTAAAGATGCAAGCAGATCATCTCACTATAAGTGCATCAAACTTACAAGACTGAGCAAGCATCCCTGAATAGACTTTAATGTTGTAATCAGGTAAAATTTAAAATTGGCCTGAAAGTAAATTTTATAATCTACATAATCATAAAGGACTACTGTTCTGTGTGACAGTCAGGCATAGATGGTGAACAATAGACAGATGTAAAAAATGTAGTTACTACTCAGTTTCCCAACACAATAAAGAATTTTTAAGGCTAAAAAAATAAGGCTCAAGAAGAACTGGGAGGCACAGGAGCCAACCCAAGTTTCTACACAGATGCCCACCCTCACCACCTCCAGGAACACAGCAGCTAGGCCTTTCCTCTTCTTGGAGAAATGGGTCTATTAGCCCAAAGGTCACAGCCATATCCTGGGGTTTTGCCCATACCCTTGTTTTAAGGGTCAGAACACTAATGTCCCAGATCGTATTTCACTTAAGCTATTCCAGTTCCATCTCCTCTGAAGCAAGCCCTGCACTTAATTCTAAAAGGAGCAGAGAGTGCTGACAGTACTGGGAAAAGGAGGACATGGCACCAAAGACGGAAGGGGTTGTTCTCAGTATATCATGGCAGGGGGAGGGTAAGGATGAGCAATACAAATGATGAGATTTCAGATGAGCCTCCTGCCCACCAAATCTCCCATAAACAACTTTACTGAGGCCCCCAAGAAGGTCCCTTGCAGACTAGGCTCTGGGGAAATGTGTGTCATGAGAAGCCTGGGAGTGCCTCACAAGCCTCATGTGGAAAGTAAGTACAAAGGGTTTTTCCATCACATGCAATGGCAGGAAAATACATCTGAGTGGGAACTATGCTAACAAAAGAAGTAATTAAAGAAGGAATTTAAGTGTCAAATAAACAGAACAGATGGAAAGCACCTGGGAGCAGAATAGTAAGAGATTGATAGGAGACCCACTAGGCCAGAAGTTGACAAATGGTAATCACAGGCTGGCTCCAGCCCACAGGTGGTTATTATTGTCCCAAGTACGATTTTTAAATAGATTCAAGCCAACATTTACAAATTCGATCTTTACAAAAAGCTCCAGACTTCCCTTGATAAATTGAAAAGCCAGTTCCACTGGACTTGCTAGTGACAACAAAAAGCTAGAGCTGAGTAGTGGCTCCCCTTCTTGAAAGTCCCCCATGGGGCATCCCTACCCTACTACTAGTCCCTATATCTCTTGAACTTTTTTTTTTTCGTTAAAGAAAAAAAATATTTCTTGGTTTCTATGTTAAAAATGGAAAAAAAACAAAGACATTCTGCTGGTCACTTGATTTTTTTCTTACATTCAATCTGCTTCACATATTTACATGGTCTCTCTGGCCAATGTATGCATTTGCAATTGAAACCCCAGACTAGACTGAAAGCCCCATGAGGGTAGATGCCTATACCTCTCTTACACACCATTGTATCCCCAGTACCATGCATAATGCCTGACCCCCAGCAGGCACTCAATACTGTTGAGTTATAGACAGAGGGATGACTTACAGCAGTTTTTAAAAGGTGGTGGGGAGGGGCCAGGGAGCATCACATAGCTACAAAACTATAAAGTGGGCCTTGGCAAATGAGCAGAATTAATCTTTAGTATTGGTGTAGTACTTACAATGTGTTAGGTATTAATCAATACCTAACCAGATATAAGAAAAGATGCATTCTTGACTTTCCCTATCTTTTATACCAACATCTGACCATAGGTTTCTACTTCAGCATTTATTTAGCCTGCAGGTACTAATTACCATCTTAATACTTCTGCTGAATCACTGTTAGAACATTGTCTGTCCTTTTCTGTTTGCTTGAAAAAAAAATTTTTTTTAAGTCTTTTTCATGCTTGACATGACCTTTGCCTTTTATTCTGAGATACGATAAGGCTATTTCTAAAGATGCTTGAAATTTGATTTGGTAGTATAATAAATCATCTACCAATAACCTTCATCTACCCATAGGTACTAAAAAGTGTAATTTCATTACCTGGTTGAAGTTCGTTCCTTTTTCCTTCTTTAGTAGACTGAACTAAACTTGCAGCTAATGGAAAAAGAAAAAAAATCCATTAGCAATTGATCCATATGGTAGCTTGTTAAAGTTTACCAGTTTAAACCTGAAATAGATGAGGGCTCAAAGGATATGTCAACGGAAGATAAGGGCAGAACACAAAGCATTCTTTTTTGTAGGTATATCCTCTACATTCTTTATTTCAAACTTAACTTCTCAAGAACATTTCTTTCCTAGGAAATTATTGTTATAGAATAATTTAATACTGCAAAAATCTAATACTTTGAAACTCTTGAAAGATGTAGTTCAGTTCTTGACATGTAGCAATAAGAGCTCAACTTACCAAGCAAAGTCCTTTCACTGTTGACAGAGCAACTGAAAACTTGCAAGTCTTTCTCAAAGGTATATAGAAGCTATTAAAACAAAAATATTTTTTAATTTGAAGTTTCATACATTAAATAACAATTGTATGAACATAAATTCCCATTAAGCTCTGTGCTAAGTATTACTGGGGCAAAATATTTTGGTAAAGAATCAAACTAGTTTAGCTATGCTGACACATTCCAGAGTACTCTTTACCAAAAAAAAGTTTGCTATTGTAAGCCATGTTGGCACCGATATTTAGCCATGAGACAACCAAGTATAGTGGTTAACAGCATAGACATTGGAGCCCAGCTAGATCCAGGTTCAAACCCTGACTCTATCACTTGCTAGCTGCGTGACCTTGGATAAATTATTCAGCTTCTCTATCCCCCCATTGGTAAAATAGGAATCATAACATCTACTCATGGGATTGTTAGGAGGATCAAGTGAGATAATCTACATGAAGCACTTAGTGCAATAAGCACTCAAATGTTAGCTATTGTAATTACTGAGGTAATTAATTACCTCAGTAATCATTAGTTTTCTTAGCCACTGTCACAAGTGCATCTCCCATAGGCCTTTCATATTTAGAGGACTGGGAAGGTAGACTTCTTTAATTTTTTTTCCTTGTTGTTGTTTAAAATGTTCAAAATATTCCAAGATTCCATTTTCTTGAATATTAAAGAAAATGAAAATGCCCATGCAGGAGGATGTGATGTAGAGATTGAGGAACTAGAGAACACCAGTTCTATTAGGCAGGCTCTCTTAAAGAACACCCAGAGGATAAGGGAAAGAGACAGTCTTCGACCTCAGAAGAGAACCGACTAAGAGAAACAGTAAATAGTGTAAGTATTAAGAAGGTTACTAGTATCTGCACACTAAAAAAGTATCGAAAACACACCAGACCCCTATAGCTAGAAGTTGATGGGAAAAGCTGGGAAAGTTAGGGAACAATTGATTACAGAAAGTGAACTTTCAGTTAATCAGATACTGAATTCATGTGAGAATTGTCGGTTTCCTTTGACTCTTGCTCTAACTGAGGGATTCTAAATTATTACTAAGAAGAATCTAA
The DNA here is from genome assembly GCF_000001405.40 of Homo sapiens. Lineage (NCBI taxonomy): Eukaryota > Metazoa > Chordata > Mammalia > Primates > Hominidae > Homo > Homo sapiens. The sequence continues at coordinate 77,398,438 of NC_000007.14, forward strand.
TTCTAAATTATTACTAAGAAGAATGGGTATATACACTTAATTTTTAGTTTGTTATCTTTTAATTACAAAGATAACGTAAGTATAATCTCAATGTTTAAAAGATTCAAACACTATCAAATAAAAAGTCAAAGCCAGCCTGGACACCACGACAAAATCCTATCTCTACAAAAGTTTTTAAAAAAATATGCCAGGCATGGTGGCATGCCTGTAGTCCTAGCTACTTGGGAGGCTGAGATAGGAGGATTACTTGAGCCCAGGAGGTCAAGACTGCTGTGAGCCGTGATTGTGCCACTGCACTCCAGCCCAAGTGACAGAGTGATACCCTGTCTCAAACAAAAAAAAAGGTCAAAAGAAATGACAGTCTTTTATACTCAGCCAATCCCAACTCTCTTCCAAAAGGAAGCATGTTTATAAATTTTCTATATTTATGCACTTATATTACACAGTTACATTGCAAGTTTTTTAAAAACATAAATGGAATGTATTATTCTGACAACTTGCTTTTTTCATGTAACAACATGTTTTGGAGAGACTTCTGTACCAGTAACATTTACAGACTTCTTAATCCTTTAATAGCTGTATCAATTTCCAAAAACTTACTGATGGGCATTTAGTTTGCCTCCTACATTTAGGTAATATAATAATCCAATGAACCTTTTACATAAACCTGTGTGAATTTGTGCAGATATTTCTGTAGAATCAAAACCTCAAAGTGGAATTTCTAGGTCAATAGGTGTGCAAGTATCAGAAGTCTTTAACTCCAAGCATCAAAAAATCTTCCCCAAACTAGCTTAGGCAAAAAGACAATTAGTGGCTCATGAAATTGAACAGAATGGGGTGTTACTTCAGTATTGGCTTGATCCAGAGCTGGAAATATACATTCTCCTAGCTTTCTGGGTTCAATACATTTGTCAGCTTCCACACAATAGAGCTCCAAGTTCTATTCCCCAAAGCCACAGCAATTCCAACCCAGTGAATTCACTTATCACCAAACCCAGTGGAAAAGAGAAGAGTCCATGTCCCAAATTACCAGCAAAGTATTCTCTTGTATCCAACCAGTTTAGGTCATGTTCACTCTTGTATGCACTACCAGGGAAGTCCTACATGACAGAAGGTGGGAGAAAGAGGTAGAAGAGGGTGAGGAAGGAAAGCTATTGGGACCGTGCTTATGCTTATCCCATTACTTATGCTAATGGGAAGCATAAGTAATACACTGCTTCCCATTTGCATATTGCAGGGTGAGACCATTAACTCAAAACTTGAGGTGGGGGGGGGCGGGGCAAAGTGAAGTCAACCCACTTGTCCCTATTGCTCCCACCAAGTACAGTTTTAAAACCCTGGACATATATTTTTTAAGTTTCAATGACGACTCTGAAATGCAGAGAGAAGGCAGCAGACTCTTTAGGGACCTCAGATCCTGATGAATGACATACTGGTGAGTTCCCTGGGTTTTCCTTTTGTGTCATATAGCCTAGACTCAGAGCTAAAGAGGTGAAAACAGCAGAAATACTGATGGGAGCGGACAAAAACAAACACACACCCATGCTCTCTAGCCAAAGGAACTGGAAAGAGGAAACATAGCAAGAGAGAAACTTTCTTACTATAACCACCCTAAGTCCAGCCAAACACCACAAAAGAAAATGCAACCCCACTCCCATCTCTACCAGCAAAGGCTGCATGGGGAACTTAGACTCCCACCTTTGCCCAGCTGTTAACAAGGCAGCCTTCCCCCTTCTGCGAGAAGAGTATCAAAGAAGACCAAGTAGGAAATCAGGACTTTCAACCATTCCCAGTGGTAAACAAGCTTTCCCCCACCAAGAGTGAAAGCAAATCCACGTGGATCCTGGACTCCCACCCAGACCCAGTAGTAAAGAGTTCCCTTTCCACCTCCTCACTGGGATGGTGTCCAAGGTGGCTGAATGGGAAACCAAAACTTTCACTACCATCTAATGATAATGAGGCCTTCACCTACCTTTCCCCCATCCTGCTCCTCTGCTGTGGTATCAGTGGAGGCCAAGTGGGGAGACTGAAATCCCACCTCTGTCTAGCCATAACAAGACACTTCTCTCCACTGGGGTGTCCAAGTAGGCCAAGTGGGGAACCTGGACCTTCCCCTGGCACAACCTAGCAGTAGTAGGTTGTACCACCAACCCCGCTAATTCCCCAACAGGTAAATTATCACAGGAGGTATGCTAAAGAGAAGACTTAAAAAACATCCAGAGTTTCATAATGCAGTACTCGAAATGTCTAACATACAATAGAAAACCTCATGTCATACCAAAAACCAGGAAGATCTCAAACTGAATGAGGAAACAATAGGCACAAACACTGAGATAACAAAGATATTGGAATTTTCTGACAAAGATTTTAAAACGGTCATAAAAATGCTTCAATAAGTAATTACAAGCATGCTTGAAGCAAACGAAAAAAAGTCTCAGCAAGAAATATATAAAGAAAAATACAAATGGAAATTTCACAACTGAAAAATACAATTACCAATTTTTTTTTTTTTTTTTTAACAAAACCTCCATGGGTAGGCTCAACAACATAGTGGAGAGGACAGAACAATCAGTGAACTTGAAAACAATAGAAGTTACCTAATTTAAACAACAGAAAATCAAAAAATAAAAGAAACAGAACCTCAGAGATCCGGGTGACTGTAACAAAAGATCTACCATTCTTGTAATCAGAGTCCATAAAAAGAAAAGAGAAACAGATTGGAACTTTAAGAAAAAATACTTCAAGAAATATTGGCTAATGACTAAAAATGTCCCAAATTTGGCAAGAGACTACAGATTCAATAAGCGGAGTAAACCCCAAACAGGCAAAATCCAAACAAATCCACACCAAGACACAGCACAATCAAACTTCAGAAAACTAAGGAGAAAGAAAAAAATTTTTTCAAAAACAGCAAAGAAAAAAGTGACATCTATATGGGGGGGAGAAAAATTCAAAAGACAGCAGATTTCTCATGAGAAACCAGAGAACCCAGAAGGAAGTGGCATGTTTTTCAAGAGAGGAACAAAAAGAACTATGAATCCTGAATTCTACACTTGGCAAAATTATCCTTCAGGAATGAAAGGAAAAAAACACATTCTCAGATGAAGAAAACTATGAAAATTTGTCATCGGCATAGCTACCCTAAAAAAAATGGTTAAAAAAAGTTCTTGAAAGAGAAAGGACATGATAAAAGAGGAACCTTAGAACATCAGAAAGAACCATGGAAAGAGCAAATATATAGGTAAACACAATAGACTTTCCTTCTCCTGTGTTTTCTAAATTATGTTTGACAATCAGGGCGAAAAGTATAACATTGCCTGATGAGGATCCTAAAGAATGTATAGGAAATATCGAAGACAATCAAAAACACAGAAAGGTAAAGAGACTCAAAAGGAGATAATAGTTCCACACTTCATTCGAACTGGTAAAATTTCAACACCAATAGATCTTGTAGAAATGGAATAACTCTTTCTCGATTGCAGTGGTAATTACAAGAATCTACACAAGTAATGAAATGGCATAGAACCATATGCACACATTCTACCGACATTAATTTATTGGTTTTAATATATTATCCTATAGTTACACAAGATTTAACAATTGAGAGAAACTGAGTGAAGAGTACACAGGACATTACTCTACTAGTTTTATCAAATTTAAAAAATAAAAACTTTTAGAGAAGGATGGGTAAGCATTAAGACTCAGACACTGTTATCCCATCCTGAAGCTCAATTACCAAGAGAAAGATTTTTTTTTTCTCTTGATGGCACCATCTTTCCTCATGGTGGCACCTTTCCAAGGAAAAATACAGTACTTGAAAAGAATCTTAGGCCGGGCACGGTGGCTCACACCTGTAATCTCAGCACTTTGGGGCTGAGGCAGGCAGATCACGAGGTCAAGAGATTGAGACCATCCTGGCCAACATGGGAAACCCCATCTCTACTAAAAAAAAAAAAAGAAAAAAGAAAAAAAAAATATATATATATACACACACACAGAAAAAAAAGATTAGCTGGGCGTGGTGGCACACACCTGTAGTTCCAGCTACTTGGGACGCTGAGGCAGGAGATTTGCTTGAACCCAGGAGGCGGAGGTTGCAGTGAGCTGAGATGGCGCCACTGCACTCCAGCCTGGCAATAGAGTGAGACTCTGTCTCAAAAAAAAAAAAAAAAAAAAAAAGAATTTTAAAGCCCATCTAGATTTGGTATACAAATCCATTCCTTCAATAAAACCATCAAAAGGTCCGTAAAAAAAAAAAAAAACATATGGGCTGTAAGGGTTGTGCCTACGTGGAGAAGAGATGGGAGAAGGGGAGGGTTTGTTTAGCGACTACGGTTCAGAAGAAAAATTTGCCTGTTTACAAAGCTAGTTTAAATTTCCTATTAATTTATCCTTTGGCCAATTTATTTTCTGGACTAACTTTCACATTTTGGAATTCAAAGCACCTTTGTCACTGGAAAATTTTTGAAAAACAGCCACTCTGGAGGGAACCTATCACTATCAATCCAGTGAAAAACATTCACTGTACTCCTACCACTCACAGGCAGTAAGCTAAAGGTAACGGGGATAAAACACATTGGTATGCAAAGTGCTCCTACTGTCAAGTGCTCACAGTCTTGGGAGAGAGGAATATGACCACAAAAGATAGCAGCAGTCACCACAACTGGATTGACAGAAGACAGACTATGATGTCTCCTCTCAATCCACCTTTTTAGAATACATGCCACACAGAAATTAAGCTAACAATTGCACTGAAAACTTGAGATTTTATTCTCTTTCCCTAGACTGTGTATTGTGAGTTTATGTTGATCATCACTGTGTCTCCAGCACCTGACAGGGAAAACACTCAATGCTTATTTGTTGGATCAGTGAATGGGTGAATGAATTAATGAATAAAGGTGAAAGGGGTGGAAGAAGGGAAGAGAGAATTAACCAAGCAGCGTATTGGAACCCTGAAGAGTAAGGTGACCTGTAAAAAATTTGTAATGGATAAAGGACATTTAAGTTCAAAGATGTCTAATATTCAATTCTAAATTGTTTTTACATAGGTACAAAATTACTCCCTCCCATTTGCTCCCAGAATTAGACAAAGCCTGTCACATCAACCAACGCCTTATGTGAGTAATTTGGGGAAAAAAATAAGGAAAGGGGTTCCTTGTCTGGATCACTAAGAAATAATGAGAAACAAGACATGTGAAGGTTAAGCAGAAGCAGAAAGAGTCAGAGGTCATTATAGGATGACCTGGGAGTACACAAATCTCAAGAAGGACATTGGACCTCCTACTTTCTTAGAGGATATTGAATAATTTGTTTGAGCCAATTTTACTTAAATCTCAAAGGTCTAAGAGACCTCACCTCACTTTGTGGTCCAATAGTCCTTGCATTTTTTGTTTAGGATAACAGGACCAAGAGATCGTTAAGGGAGAAGAGAAGGAAAGCAAAGAAATATAATTTTTTAGAAAATAAAGTTGGTATTCCCACTCCTAGATACACACACAAAAGAATTAAAAAATACCTATGTATACAATAGTGTTCATAATAGGCAAATATTAGAAACAGGTGTCCATCAACAAATAAATGAATAAAACTGTTGCATGTACTGTGATAACTGATTACAAGAACTGGAGTTATTCTGTCATACTCAATCGAGTTAAATCAAGAGATCAGGAGAGGAAAAAAGCAGCACACAGGGCACAAGGGCCTGCCCAGGTATTGTGCAAGCCAGCTGCCAAAATGACCAAATGCCATAAACTTAAGAACAGCTTCACCTAGTAGCTGCTGAAACAAACTGCCATGGCTCTAAAACTAGTTTTACCTACTGCTTTCCCACACCGATGAGATCTGCCAGCTCCTGGAAACTTTCCTATTGCCAATGAGTTTTCTTTCAAAGCCATGTGTAACATTTCTCTTTCTGATAAAACCCCCAACCTTTCTTAGTTCTTTGGACATACCAAAGACTACCCTGGTCTGTGTGTATGCCTCAAATTGCAATTCTGTTTTTTCAAATAAAATGTTTACAGAAAAAGAGAAAATAAAGTTGGAATTTATATCTAGAAAAAGGAGGAGACAAAGAAAACTCTAAAGGCAGTAAAGTAACCAATGAGTAATCTATGATTTTTACCTCATTTTGTCTGGTTTGACAATCATATAATCCAAAGACGACATTTCCCTTATCATCCTAAAAAAAATTAACCAGATGTTTATTAAATGTCATTGTTTAGGAAGTTAGAATGTTACTAGTTTTAAAACCAACCTGCAATAACTCAATCTTAGCAGTAAGCACTCTAAAAGAAGCTTTCTGTGCCTGTCAGAGGGGGACTGAATCCAGTTCAGCTAGTCATTTGGGCTCAAAGAATGAAATGGATCAACAGTGTAGAGCTCAGTGAGTTTGGGGAACTGTCTAGTAGGACTGAGCATGGTGGGCGTAAATCTTTTTATACTTCCACTTATGTCTTTGAAAACACACACATATGATAGATAATAGGGATGACTAGGACAAGTCCGTAACATTCTTATAAGTAAAACATTGTGAATCACACAATTCCTTAAAGGTACCATTCTAAGACACAACTTAAAATAATTATTTTTACTTTAAAAAGTACAGTGATATAACTGTGCAAAGCAAACTGGCCATTTGAATTATTCATGTGTGCTTATTATAGTAAAGTTAAATTTTCCTTAGAACACTTGACATTGAAAACACATTGTTAAATAACATGCTTCACATGCCTATAGTCCTAGCTACTGGGGAGGTTGAGGCAGGAGCTCAAGGAACCTACTTGAGCCCATGAGTTTGAGGCTGCAGTCAGCTATGATTGTGCCACCACACCCCAGCCTGGGTGACAGGGCAAGACTCTGTTTCTAAAAACAAAATAATAATAATGCTTCGAAAGTCCTAACATATCTACGTCTGAAGAGAGTAATCATATTTAATATTTTCTCCAATGATAAAATGTTAACATATTAATTAGGTTTAAACATTTTTACTTGGCATTTTTTGTCTAGAAAATGAAATTGTTCATTGATTCAAAATTTGAGTATTATGTCAGATATGCCTGTTTAGTTTTATTTTAAAATGAAGAAACATTTAATATTTAAAAAAATTTTTTTTTCTTTTTGAGACAGGGTTTCGCTCTGTCACCCAGACTGGAGTGCAGTGGCACCATCTCAGCTCACTGCAACCTCCTCCTCCTGGGTTCAAGCGATTCTCCTGCCTCAGCCTCCTGAGTAGCTGGAACTACAGGTGTGCGCCACAACACCCAGCTCATTTTTGTATTTTTTGGTACAAACGGGGTTTTGCCATGTTGGCAAGGCTGGTCTCGATCTCATGACCTCAAGTGATCTGCCCGTTGCAGCCTTCCAAAGTGCTAGAATTACAATTGTGAGCCACCATGCCCAGCCTAATACTACTAAATTTCAATCACTTTATTCAGTCTCACACACACAAAGTCATATGTTAAGATTAAATGCCAACAAGTTTATTCATTACCCTTCAATAAGATACAGTATAGAATTCTGTAAAAAGAGAATATAAATGATTAAAAACAGTAAATTTTACATCTTACCACAATAAAAAAGAATATAGACATACCTTATAGGTATAAATAATATTTCCATTTCTTTCAACATTTAATACATGTAAGCTCTCATAATCGTTTTCTAAAACATCTGAAATGATAATAGGAGGTTAATACTCAGCAGAAGATGGTTAAAAACATATCTAACCAATATATTAGTGAAGGAAGCCAAATATAAATATATACTAATAATTCTATTATATAAAACTTAAAAACAGGCAAAACGAATCTCTTTTATTAGAAGTACAAACAGTAGTAACCTTTAAGGAAGGAGAAAGCCATAGTCATTGAGAGGTATCTCAAGTGAGCCTTGTTACGTGTTGGTAATGTTAAATGTTTTGGGTATACTGATATACTCTGCAATAACTCACTGAACTGTATACACTCTTTTCTGTGTGAATGTTATACAATAAATTTCAAGTATCTATTAGTTTTTGCTTTATGCATTTTGAGGATATATCATTAAGGGCATACGAATTTGGAATTGTTATAGCCTCCTGTAGATTAACCACTGTTAGGCTCTAAGCTGAGCTGCCAGGTGTCTGAGTACTCAATTAAAACAAGATTAAAAAGTTAATATTAACTTTTTAACAGTCAAGCTTTTAATCACTTACTGTGATGCTATAAAGCAAGAGGCTAAACAAGAGAAAGTGCTAATGTCCCTGGTCTATTTTCTCCCCATGGAATGGTGCCATTAGCCAAGGGTCAGGTGAATCAGCACAGATATGGAGCTCTCTTCACTATCGAGGGACCCTCCCAAAAAGGTTCCTGCAGGATCACGGATACAGGAGCCGAGGGTAGGGAGAGGGAGAAGAGCTAGGAGTGGAAAAGTATTTCACTGGAGTAGAGAAAAAACAGTCTTCGAAGCTCCCCTCTCCCCGCTGCTAAGGCGGTTTTGGTGGTTTAGAGGCACCTGAGAAAGGTCTCTGCTAAAGGCCTCTGATAAAGAGGCCTCTAAATGAAGAACCCGGGCTAGGGATGCAGCTATCTGTAAGAGTATGGCTGGCCAGCGGGGCCTGAATCACAGGCACAACTCATTTCAGGGACTACAGGGCATTGACCACACACCAAGTCGGATTTGGGGAGGGCAGCTTTCTCCCATAAGGCCTGTCAGATAAAGTCTTTGTAACTGCACATAGTTGGGTCTGAAAAATTACACATAAGTTTTTAATATAGGAGCTGGATTAGCAACCCTTTATTCATTATACAATGTCCTTTATTTCTAATAATTATTTTTACTTTAAGGTCTACTTTGTCTGATATTAGTATAACTACATCAGCTTGGTTAGTGCTTGCATAACTTTCTGTTATTAATCTTCCTGTGTCCTTATATTGAAGATATGTTTTATAAGCAGTATCCACTTGAGATTTTTTCCTCCAATCTGACATTCTTAATCTTTTAATTGGGATATGTAGTCCATTTTTACATTCAATGTAATTACTAACATATTGGGTTGATATTTATCATATTACTATTTGTTTTCTACGTGTCTCACCTGTTTTACTACTCTTCTAAGTTTATTATTTCATTCTATTACCTATTGTCAGTTATATGTTTTTGCTATTCTTTTATTAGTTATACTAAAAGTTGTAACAGGCATCCTTGACTTATTATGTTTTAGTATTATGTGATGCAAAAAAAATCTGAAGCAACTGAAACTCTCATACATTGTTAATGGGAGTATAAATTGGAAAACTGGCAATATCTAGTGAAGCTGAACACATGACTCAGCAACTGCACTTGTACATATATCTTCAAAAGAAATATATACATATATTTAGCAAGGGACACATAAGAATGTCTATAGTACTGTGGTACATTATTGCCCAAACCAGAAACCCAAACTATCCATTAAGTGAAGAATGAATAAATTGTGTTATATCCAAACAGTGGAATAGTACAAAACAATGAATTAATATTCTGCAATAACACATGTGAAACTGAGCAAAAGAACCTTCCCCACCACCAAAAGAAGGTACAAATTGTATGTTTCAATTCATACACAAGTTTTCAATAATGGGCACAACTAATGTACAGTGTTAGATAAGTGACTGTTAGAAAGGAGCATGAAGGACTTCTGAGGTTCCATTAATGTTTTCCTTCCTGTTCTGAGTCTTAGTTGCATAAGTGTGTTTCACTTGGTGAAAATTAACTAAGCTGTGAACTTATAACTTGTGTCCTTGTCTATATGAAAGCCCTATTTTGCTGAAGGATATACAGACTCTTTACACAAAACATTTAACCTATAAGTTAACTGACCATCTTTCTTCTAAAATTTTAGGATATTTCTCCTAATTCTACAGTTAAAGGATTTAAACACTGGTAGATTCACCATTGTAATTATCACTAATTGGGCAGAAGTGTGTACTTTCCCAATTTCCTCAAAAGTTATCCAAAATTATGGCCGGCACAGTGGCTCACGCCTGTAATCCCAGCACTTTGGAAGGCTGAGGTAGATGGATCACTTGAGGCCAGGAATTCAAGAGCAGCCTGGTCAACATGGTGAAACCCAATCTCTACTAAAAAATACAGAAAATTAGCTGGGCACGGTGGTGCACACCTGTAATCCCAGCTACTCAGGAGGCTGAGACAGGAGAATCACTTGAACCCAGGAGGTGGAGGTTGCAATGAGCCGGGATTGAGCCATTGCACTTCAGACCAAGACTCTGCCTCCAAAAAAAAAAAAAAAAAAAAAAAAGAAAAGATAAATTGCTTAAATTTGACTCATTTTTCCCATACAGGAATAGTTTTTACATGTTAATTACATTGATTATGACAAATTCTAATATTCAGACAAAACATATGCAAACTATCTGTAACTCAGCAAATTTCTGTCTGTATTCCTAAAAGGAAAAGACAAGATAAAAAATAAGGATAATTGGTGAGCTGGACACCTGCACTGGAGCTGGAGGTGGGAAACATTTAGAGAGAGGAAGACCAGGTTTCACTGAGAACTTAGACATCATCCTGAGATCTCTCTTCCCCACCCCTCACAAGCAGCAGCTTAGTGGGTCTCCTAGGGGCAGGGCAAAGGGATAGGGCAAAGTGTTTTCTATACATGGGTATAAACGTTTGTCAGTATATTGACATGTATATGGAGCTGTCAGACTCACTTCACACTGAAGGATAATAAGGATAATAATTTGGTCTCTTAGGAGACTAGGATTTAAATAATCAGTTCATGGGCCAAGCATGATGACTCACGCCTGTAATCTCAGCACTCTGGGAGGCCAAGGTGGGAGGATGGCTTGAGCTCAGGAGTTCAAGACCAACCTGGGCAACACAGCAAAACCCTGTCTCTTAATAATAATAATAAGCTTATGGCTAAGTAGGCCTTCACAATTTAGAGAGTTCTCATTTCTATCTCATCTGCATTGTATAAGGTATTCCAGGCCTACTATACTTTTCAATGAGATAATGATACTTGACCAATATACAGTGAAAAGGTGGCGTAGACTGAACTCAAACCTAGAAAAAGGTAAACAGAACAATGGACTGAGTGTTCTGTATCAAGCTTACAATGAGAAAATGGGTAATTACTCAAAAGTCCTTTGAAAGGCAGATATTGTAGACATCTAAAGAGAATTTCAGTGAGTTTGTTCATCCTGTACACGACTCAAAACTTCTGGAATGCAATGTGTCAATATTTTGAGAAGTATTTTTTTTCTTTCAAGATTATAAGTATGCGAGGAGAGATCGTCGCAAAAGTACAGTTAAAAGGTTTCGGCTAAGATAAGAACTCCTTCACAAGAAATCTTGCTAAATCCAATTTACTTGCAAAAGCGTATCTATTTTCAGATTACTATAATACTAAGAGAAAAAATTCTCCAACAAACGCAGATTACAATAAATGACACATTTTTATCCCATTAAACTAGTGGTTCTCAACTCTGGCTGTCTTAAAATCATTAAGGGAGCTTTTAAAAGAACACTGATGCCCCAAGCCATACCCAGGATATTCTGATTTTATTGAGCTGGTGTGGAGCCCACTCTCTGGTGTACATGTATGTGTTTTAGATTCCCTGGGTGATTCTAATGTACAGCCAGGGTTAAGAACCATTGAACTACAAATGTACATTACATATTAAGCAATATTTGTTAGAGGGCATAACTTGGACCATCTTATAATATAACCATGGTAGACAGAGAGTTGAAAGAAATAAAAATAATGTTTTCATGGGAACATTAGGTAATAACTGCAGGGCTGAATACCCTGCAGTTAAGTACACAGTTCACATTTCAAGGACATGTGAAATAGACAAATTTGGTAATGTTGCAAATCCAGAGACCAATGTCTCACCACATACTATTAAGCCATCGGCTCTTCCTCCCTGGACGAGTTGCCCATGTCTTAACACACCCTTTTAAAAGAAGTATTCAGTAACCTCTTTGCTTATTCATTCTGACTCTTCTCCCAGTAGTTCATCACTGGAAAGTCCAGAGGAAGAAGTTTTGCAATTTCAAATGAGGAAATGTGGCTTAATTTCACAGTTTAGTATATTCAGTTCTCATGAATAAAACAATGTAGCATTTTGATAGATACTTGCATAGGTAAACCTATAAAAGAAACGAGAGTACCTAGATATTAAAGATATTGGCAAGGCATAGCTCTTGTAAAACAAAAGCTGGTTGGCCAGATATTCTCATTCGTTTCAATCTATTCTTTGTCAAACAAAAGTGATTTCACTTTACAGGAATAGGGGTTCTCAAATGTGTACATTTTATCCCAAACTGCTATGAGACAAAAATTAAAGTATTTGTCTTTCCAATGACCATATTTAAGGAGAAAAACGTCATTCAGCCTTATACAAAATTTTGAACTAGTTCCTAATACATACATCAAGAGGTGACAAAATATGATTATACCTATAACATTCCTATTCTGTAAATAATTCATATAAATCCTCAGGCTCAAGATGACCAGTTATTATAATTCCTAAACCTATGCAGTAAACATTATGTGATTTATATTTCATATTCTGAGTAAAATGAAGTTAAGAGAGAGATGAGAATTAGAAGAGGAGACTAGGAAAGAATTAGCGGAAAAAAAAGTAAAAAGGACAGATAGTGGCAAGAAAATAGTAAAAAAAAAAAAAAAAAAAAAGTGAAAACAATGTGATTAAGGTAACCCTCTGGCCCCCAAATCAATCTAGGAATACATAGGAGGCAACCAAAAAAAGTATTATTCTTGAATCAGTCACTTGGTAAAATATACCACTTCCCTGGCAAAGATTACAATATTTGAAAGACAAGTCAATCTGGTGTATCATAAATCCAAGACTAATAAAAGCAGGCAAGAAAATCTACATCCTTTCCAGTCTTAAATATTGACATTTAAATGTTAGAAAACTTACATATTGCAGATCTTATTTTCTTGAAGATGTGATCAATCCCAACAAGGGATTAAGCACGGGATACAAAAGTCAACATATAAGATCTATCTATTATAGTGCTATATACCAGCAATAGTTACAACATGTCATGTTTTTAAGTGTGCTAGTTATGAGAGCAACAAAAAAATAACCTAGGATGAAATCTAGCAAAACATGTGCAGAACCTTCATGGAGAAAATTCTAAGACTTATTAAGAGTCATTTAAAAAGATCTAAATAAATAATGAGCTGTATTTTGTTCATAGTTGGAAAGATCCAATATTGTAAAGATGCCAATTCTCCCCAAGCTGATCTATAGAGGCAATACAACTAAAGGAAATCCAAATCAACTTTTTTTGTAAAATCTGACAAGCAGATTCAAAAATATATATATGAAAAAGCAAAGGGCATACAATAGTTAAGACACTCGTGAAGAATACTAAGGTGAGGGGACTTACCCTACCAGTTATCAATACCTACCATAAAGCATAGTTATTAAGATGTTGTCATGGCCGGGCATGGTGGCTCACAACTGTAATCCCAGCACTTTGGGAGGCCGAGGTAGGCCGATCACCTGAGGTCAAGAGTTCAATACCAGCCTGACCAATATGGTGAAACTCTGTCTCTACTAAAAATATAAAAATTAGCTGGGCGTGGCAGCATATGCCCGTAATCCCAGCTACTTGGGAGGCTGAGGCAGGAGAATCGCTTGAACCCGGGAGGTGGAGGTTGCAGTGAGCTGAGATTGTGCCACTGCACTCCAGCTGGGTGACAGAGCTTGACTCTCAAAAGAAAGTTGTCAAGTTGAGATAATGAAACAAAATGAACTCAGAAAAGGAGACCTACATAAGGAAGCTTGATGTGACAGAAGTGGTTTTGTTGTGAGAACTAAAAGGACTGTTTGATTGATAATATTGAAACAATTAGCTATTAATTTTTTTAAAAAAAATTGGACTCCTATAAATCACATAAAAATAAATTCTAGGTGGATTAAAATCAAAAGGTGAAAAAGTCATAAAGCTTCCAAAAGTTAATACTAAAAATGTCTTCACGACTTCAAAACAGGGAGGATTTAAGAGATCCAAAAAGGAACAAACTATAAAGAAAAACTCCTAATTTAGACTACATTAAAATTAAGAACTCCTGTTTATCAAAGGCACCATCACAAACCGAAACAGAAGTGACAGATTGAGAGAAAAATATTTGCAACACGTGATAAAGAACTATAATCCCAAAAACATAACCCCTAAAATAATCAATTAAAAAAAATAGGAAAGTGGACAAAAGGATGAATAGACATTTCACAGGCAGGGAGATTCAAGTGGCCAGTAAATACATAGAGATGCTCAACCTCGGAGCACAATGAAATAATTAATCCTACCAGTTTGACAAAAAAAAAAAAAAAAAAATTAAATTTTGAGCTGTCACGGGCTTGTGAGGATAGTGAGTATCAGAAACATTTCCACACCACAAATCAGAGTGTTAATAAGTACAACACTCTGGAAAACAATTTGGCACTGCCCAGGAAAGACGAAGATGTGCACAGCCTATGACTTAGCAACTCTACTTTTAGACGTACATTCTAGAGAAACATATGCCTGTGTGCACCAGGTGGTTAGTAAGAGTACTGACCATACAGCAAACCCCAGAAACCCCCCAAAAGCCACCCACTGGAAAAATAAGTTGGGTTCCCCAGGATGCACTCTGAGACAGAGTTTAGTACCCAGTATGTTCATCAGGGAGTGCTCAGGAAAGTGGGATTAACACCCTTAAGAGGAAGGAGAAGGAAGCAAGTCCTGGTAGGTGAGAAGTCCAGTAGCAACGCAGGCCCAATATCCTCAGGTGACCTTGGGTCCCTCAAAGAGGAAGCTTCGGAACTGAAATGGAGTTGTCCCATGTTCAGTCAAAATGGCCAGGCCTTTAAAGCCCACTCAGTTTCACGTGGTCCATACCCAAAAGGAAGTGAAGTTGGGTAGGGCAGCCCTCTTGGCAGGCAATCCCTGAAGGGGCTGACAGCTGAAGACTGCCTGCTGACTATACTCACAGCACCTGGGACAAGCTGTTCTTTGAAAGGAAAATCTAAGGGGTGCATCTCCATGTCCACCATCGTGTTGAATTCACACTATGGAACACTATATAGCATTAATTAATACAAATTAATAACCTGCAGCTAGCCAGTCAATATGGGTAAATCTCACAATATTGAGAAGGAAAATAAGCAAAAGGAATGCATACAGTATGTTTAAAGTTCACAGGCAAGCAAAATGAAATATTTTGCCCATACATATAGGCTAAAACTACAAATAAAGTCAAAGTAATGTTAAAATATAAAAATGTAAATGGTTGCCAACCTAGGAGGTGAGGATGAGAGAAAGAAATAGAATCAGAAAGGAGCACATAAGAGACTTCAAGAGTCTTGACATTGCTCTGTTTTTAAGCTGGGTAGTGGATACACGGTTTTACTTCGGTGGTTTTTTTCTTTCTTTTATCATTTACAGCTACCTGTTAAAATATTCTTTTATGTAGTTGTTTTGATTTTTAACAAATATCTTCTTTTATTTCAGGAGAAACTGTTTTCTCAAAAGTTCAACCCAGAACCAGGAGCAAATGCAGTAACCAAATCTGTTCTCCTTCCTCCTTGACCCCTTATTGACCAAAATGCTTACAGGCACAGAATTTCCATGGCTGACTCAGCCCAGCTCTCTGTTTTGCCAGGAATATATCATACATATCTCATGAGAATTACTTAGCACCTCTAAGAAAACTTCAATTGTATTTGTTGATGTAAAAACATTAAGGCTTCAAATTCAGAAAGCAAGTATGCATAGAGGAGGCATTACAATGGTATAGTAATTCATAATTTACATTTGAAAAGCCAGAACTTTGAAAGGATAATGATTTCCACAAATGTGTGTTGTAACTGCTGTGCTAGAAATGAGACAGAATCCCAGATTTCCCTGCCACTGCTATAAATTACAGAACAGGAATTAATTTGTGTGGGGGTATTTTTGAGCTACCACCCACTGGTGATTATCAGAGGTGATAATTCTCTTAGTATAACAGGGCTAATATCTTACCAAGATATTTGCTCTGAAAGAGCAAAATACTACCAGTATCAGAAAAGCTAGTATTTCCAGAAAGTACCTTCTGAGGACCTAGAGCTATCTGTTGTTTAGTGGAAGGTCAATACACAAGTTTATATTTCTTCAGAGATGAGCGAAAGATACAAGGAAGCCAGGTCCCAGTGGGTCACACACAGCTTTTCAAGCACGACACACATTACGGAAACATAAGACTGTGGCATTTCACACTCATCTAACTTCTCATTTGCAGACACCTGCCATTTAGCAAAATAAAGTGGGAGTCCAGAAAAAGGAGTACTTGGTAGTAGAAGACAGAGCTGCCTGTTGTATTTCAAAAAGTTAAGCCTTCAAAAACTTTTCAGACATGTGGGCGACTTTTTTTTTTTTTTTTTTTTTTTTTTTTTTTGAGACGGAGACTTACTCTGTTGCCCAGGCTGGAGTGCAGTGGCGAGATCTCGGCTCACTGCAACCTCTGCCTCCCAGGTTCAAGCGATTCTCCTGCCTCAGCCTCCCGAGTAGCTGGGATTACAGGAGCGTGTCACCACGCCCAGCTAATTTTTGTATAAAATTCTTCCTTGACCACCCTCTCCACCTCGAAAAAAAGTAAAGCCTTACTAAGCATGACACTAATGCAAACTCAATGCATACGCTACACAAACATATAACTCCTTATTTGGAGCTAATAATATTCCAAGCCAAGGAAACCTACAAATAATTTCGCTATAGTCATAGGAGAGTGTGAAGATACAAGATAGCAACTTGATATATAACTCACATCAAGAAAACTTTCACCAGCGTTTAAGGGAAAGGAGTTGTAGATGTGGGTCATTTAATACCCACTTCCAAATTCACTGAAGTGGACAGCGCCCTACACACAAGGTGAGACCTACAGGCATCATTGCTTTGAAGCTGCATTTAAGCTCTGAAGCTCCAATATTTATAGAAGACTTTTAAAACTTTGTAAGAAATCACAAAGTTCCCCTTCTTTAAAACAGATCAGTGCTGGGAAGGCTCAAAAGTCACTTTCACTCCCTTACCAAATCATCAAAAAGCCCGGAGTGGCAGGGCCGGGAGCCGAGCATCTCGCGCGCAGCCCCAGCCTGCACAGGTGCGGAGCTCGGGGGCGGCTGGGGGCTCTCGCCCCGCCGCGCGCAGCCTGGAGGCGGCCCCTGCCCTCTTGCGCCTCACCGCCGAGGCCCATGTCCCCTGAGCCACGGACACGGTTCAACAGACACATAAACACGTCTCGCAAATGTGGGGACAAACTGTTCCACCGTTAGGTATAGGGTGGTTTGCTTGGTGGTCACGGATTCTTTCTCAAAACGTGAAGCTTCCAGGAGCACTCCTGTCTTGGCAAAGCCCCTGCGCTGCCGATGAACCCCCCGGGAGGTGGGATGCGGCCGCTGAGCTGAGCACGACCCTCTGCCCTCGCCGTGAGGTGATGCTGAGGGAACCGCCAGCGGCCCGGCCCCTCTGCCAAGGGCGAATTTCCGCGGGCCGGCAGCGAGCCAGGCGCCTCAGGCCCCACGGCGACCTGGCCCGGGCTCTGCCCCCAGACCTTCCGCCGTGGCTGGGTGTGGGTGGCAAAGCCAAAACAGCCCTCTGAGGAGGGGAGCGACGCCCTCGCACCAGCCTTCTCAGGGCGGCGACGCCCCGGGTTGCTCCCCACCGGGTCGGAGTCCGGGGGGTATGAGGGACTCCCACTCCCCGCCCCCACCCCTCTCCGCAGCGCGCCTCCCGCACCTGCGCCGCCGCTTCCGGCCCCGCTGGCCTCCGACACTGCCCGCTGCGCCCGCAACCACGGGAGCACGTCCTTCCCGAGGTCGAAGTCGGCGACCAGGCGAAGAGCCATCGCCCGGACACGACCACCGGGCGGCTCTGGGGCCCCGCACCGCGGGCATTCCCGGCCCCGCGTGGCCGCCTCGCCCTCGCGTCCCCGCTCCCGCCCCCTCTTTCCTCTCCCCCGCCCCCTGCTGCTTTCGGTTCTGCAGCGCCCTGGCCTGAGAAGCTCCGGCACCAGCTCCTCCCGGCCGGCGGCCCGCACCTGAGCCGGAGCCGGAGCCGGGCACGGCGGGTAGCGGTGGGGCGGGGTGGACCAGGCGCCAGGACCAGGCCCGCCGGGGCGGGAGGCCTCCGCGCGCACCTTCGGGGCTGAGGATAGAGGGCGCAAAGACGTGGGCGCTTCAGGGCCTTGGCGAGGCCGCTAGCCCAGTGGCTTCCAAACCTGGAGGGTCGGCCTATTTTCTTTATTCTACAAGTGCCTCCACTGTGCAGCAAAGTGTGGAAACCACTTGGCTTGAGAGAGCTGGGTCCTCTGGAGCAGTTCAGGGTCACCACAGAAGTAGGCCGTCTCTTGGGCCTATTCGCCCCAGCTTCGAGGTGGTGGTGCTTTATTAGTGTTATTAAGGTAATGAGTAGCAACTGGGAGCGTATGACGAAGGTGATCCCATTGTAAGAGAAACGCTAAAAGGGGTTAATGCGCTTGATACAAACAGCGTCCTTTTTGCCTTTTAACTCTAGTACATCTCATTTGATGCCTTGAGACATGAAAACTGAATCTTAAGTCTCCACGCAAACCCTCTGCCTCCCACCAGGGTCTAACAGAGCACTCTGGAAGGTGCTCGACAATTACTGAAGAATGAGTGAATACAGTAATAAAGAATGCTTTTTCACATGCTTCCGAAATTAAGGTCTGAAAACTACTTGTATTGACGTCATCTGGGGCACTATTTTACAATGCAGACTCCTGATCTCTACACCTGGACAAGACCAGAAACGTGCATTTTACCCAGAGCCTCGGGTGATTCTTAGGCTTACTAAGTTTGAAAACTACTCCAACCAAATGTAAAAGAAAGTCTTGAATTTTTTTCCCTCCTAGAGACATGTTTCTCCAACTGAGGTAATGGATGATTTCAGGTAGAACTCCATTACTCACCACCATATACAGAGGAAAGTCCTCCCACCCGGGAAGTGCATGCAAATTTAAGATAAATGCCTAATGAAGCTGCTAATATTATCAGTGAATAAAAGGAAGGCCACTGGAGCCCCCAAGGAGCTAATGCAACTATTTCATATCAAATAAGCTTGTTGCCTTTGTCATACAGAAACACTGTTGGCCAATTTTTTAAAGTCAGTACATTTCCATTGTTTTTATTTTTGCAGTTAACTTCTATTTTTGCCAGGCAGGACTGATTTTATAGTCAAGCAGTGATGATATAAAAAATTCTCTTCAAATTAAGTGAAAAAGCCAATGTAAAGAAGGTGAGAAACAATAAGATAATGATAGAAAGATGTGGCCAAAATCATGAGGGTGCTATATGAAGGCATGTGTATCAGTTAGGATTAGATTCTCCAGAAGTTAATAAGAACTCAGATTAACAGTAAATTAAACACACAAGTTTTATTCTGTCACCTAGCTGGACGTAGGCAGAATAAAGCTCTTAGGGCAGGTTCCTGAATTTATCAGGGACCCAGGCTCCTTCCAGTTCTTTGCTCCACCTGATCCTGAGTGTACCCTTGTCCTCATGATCAAAGAGGGCTGCAGAAGCTTCAGCCTTCACGTCTGCATTCCAGAAATCAGAATGGAAGAAGAGGAATAAAAAGAGGATGCTACCTCTCTTTTAAGGATACTTCCCGGAAGTTCTACACAACATTTCTACGTATGTTTCACTCACCAGAATTTAGTCACATGGCCAAATGTAGCTTTCAAGGGAGGCAAGGAAATATACCTGGCCATTGCTGTGCCCAGATAAAAATCAGGACGGTATTACTGAAGAAGGTGGGGAAAGTAGATATTCAGAAGCAATTAGAGATCTCTGTCAGAGTATGATACCCGATTCCGGCCACTGAGTTGTAAGGAAACCTCTGCTATGACAGATTTCTCTATTCTTAAAACAAGAGACATGGGAAAAGATGGTCCCTTTCAGTCTTTAACTATTTCGGGATCTAGATATGATTGCTGGAATTTCAGCCATCTAGCACACTGAAAATGGAGTCATTGGAGTCAGGAGAGTCCAGAGAACTGCAGAGAAGAGAAACCTTGGTAAATTATTTTTGGAGCCATCCTCTGCCCTTTCTGATATTAGAGATGTTGAATTTCCTATTGTTTAAATGATATTCAGTCAGACTTTTATTTTACTTGCAACCAAGGGTTTCAATTTTAAGGAGTGATCATTTCAAAATTTAGGGCACAGGCCAAAGAGCACTATAATAATAGGTTTGTGTTTGAACACTTATTAGAACACATTCTATATTTTGTATTGTTAACATAAAATGAAGTTATGTTGAGGGAGTAGGCTTACAGGAAACAGCTCAGATAAGCAAAAAGAGTTTGTTGCAAAGCCCTGAAAACCTAAGGGCCTCTGGATTAGATCACCTGAAAGTCATTCTACGTATCATGCAAGCCAGTTTGAGTTGGGTTTTCTGTTACTTGTGCCAAAAGCATCTTAAATCAGGGATTTTCAAACTTTAATGAGCATTCAAATCACCTAAGGATCTTGATAAAAGGTAGATTCTGATTCAGCAGGGTGAGGTGGTGCTGAAGAGTCTACATTTTAACGAGTTTCCAGGTCATGCCAAAGCTGCTGGTCCACAGATGACATTTTGAATAGCAACATTCTGCTACTTAATGTGAGGAGCTTTCCACCTCTGTATTGCTGCCTTACTGTCCACCATAGAGAGGGCCAGGTGAGGAAATGCATGAAATGGCTAGCTTTGAAGATATACCAGAGCTAAAGGTCGGTATGTGAGGAGAAATCTAAAATGGAGGTAAATATTGATTCCAGAAGTTTGAACCACGCCATGAGTCACAAGTTTTAGTAGCAAGCCACAGAGAATCAGCTAAAGGGAGGAGATAAAGGTGCTTACACTATAGTAGAGATGCAAGCACAAGGCAAGAAAAGAGGTGAAGCAATGCAGAGAATCAGAATCTTCAAAATTATGATTCTTGTGCACACCGAAGTTTGGGGAGCACTGGTCTAGCTATCTGGTGCTTTAAATGGAGGTGGTTTTCTTTCCTTCTCTTCGTGACTGGATTACTGAGTTTCAAGCCTGTGTTGATTTGTTGCAGAGCAGAGACCTCACCAAGATGCAGTAGGCAAGAGGGGAGAGGAATATGAGTCCTCCGAAACACACACTCTGTGCACAGCACAACACAGTGATCCTAATAAAATAAATAGGCATCCTAAATCAAGGTGATCTACTTTACATATGTTCACTAACTTTTCAGTGTTCTTCTTAGTATAATTTCAAGAATAGTATTAAAGATTTATACAAGAGAAGATGAAAACAGTTGTGGTTTTTCTAGAGAATTTTTAAAACTACATAAGATGTTCAAGATGAATAATTCCTGAATTGCCAATTCCAAGTGCTGTTATAATAAAGATGTCTTTGCAGTCATTTCATAGCAGTTTTTTATTCTGTCCTAAAAATGAAGCACATTGACACCCTACATATTTTCTTCATCTAACAGTTTTATTTAGATATTTTTTTAAAATAGAAGATATAGTCCTATTTCTTAACAGTTACAAGTGGAATTCCAAGGACTTTCCCAACTCCTAACTGTTAACAATAGTTTTCTGTGGGGAACGTAACTCAGTGAAGGTTGTTTTTTGTTTTTGTTTTTGTTTTTGTTTAACGTTAGGCACATGTTAGCTTTTCAATTTTAAAAACTAGCTTAATTTTTAAAAATGTATCTTCACTCAGATTTTGACTATAAAATTATTGTTCAGCCTTTAAGGGACCATCTTCCTGACAACTTCGGCTAATTTTTGTCCTGTGTAGTTACATAGATGGCTACATGCTCAGGGCCATCATATATTGTTGTTTTTTGTTTTTTTTTTGAGACAGGGTCTCACTCAGTTGCCCAGGCTTGAGCATAGTGGCGCGATCTCGGCTCACTGTAACCTCCGCTTCCTGGGTTCAAACGATTCTCCTGCCTTAGCCACCTGAGTAGCTGGGATTACAGGCACGCGCCACCACACCCAATTAATTTTTGTATTTTTAGTAGAGACAGGGTTTCGCCATGTTGGTCAGGCTGGTCACGAACTCATATTGTTTTTATTTGTTTTCTTAGAAAGCTGACACTGAGTTTAGCAATGATTAATAGAATAACTCTTTAAATCTGCTTGGTTATTATTTATGATGTTAGAGTGAAAGCACTCATCCTGAAATTTGTTGAAAAGAAGACTGACACAGATTTTTTTACGGAAATTTTCTGTGGAATGATAGCCCTATGACTTGGCAGGAAATAAAGAACTGCCATTTGACAAGATGGGCTAGACAACAATTCAAATATTCTAAAGGAACTACATCTGATTTAATCAAAGGAACAAGGAAGAACTGAGGTGAAAATAGAGTACTAAACATTTCTGAGAGCAAGAATGCTTCACTAAGTTCCTTTTAAAGTTTTGTTGATGAACAAATATTAACTGTATGGAGTTACTATATCTCAAATAGAACAATGGAATGTACAAAATATAAAGAGATCATCTGAGAAATACATAATCATATGAAAGTTATGTTGCCATCTATGATAACTCATTTCACAGGATAAATGAATACATGGATTTTAGTATCATTTGTAATGACCAAGAAAGAAAGGATGTTATATTCTATATCAGTCAGAAAACACTCCATTTTAAGTGGCTTGATTCTTCTCTTATTAAAACTGTATCATTTTCAAACAGAAACTTAATCTTGTGACTTCCACGTAAATGTTCTTCCCCTTTCCTCCTTTTCCTTCCTACTTTTCACGCTTTATTCCTTCCCCTTCCACTTCTAAACAATTCCATCCTAAAACTACCAGATTAGACAAAGAAAAGCAAGCCTCTGCACAGGGGTTTGGAGCAAGGTGTTGACCAAAATTTGGATGTCAGAACTCAAGCAGGGAGAAGAGGTTATCCCTGGGGGATGGTGTGGGGACTAGGGAATGGTCACCCAGCATGAGATGTCAGAGTCTAAGTAGGGTGAGAAGGGTGTCCATGTGGGCCATGTGGGTGGATGAGTGGGCAAGGAGTGGTTGTCCAGCCTAGGGTGTCAGATTTCACGTGGCTTAGAGAGGGCATCTGCCAAGGATGGGAGTGGGAGCTGAGACGAGGTTGAATTATTTAAGTGAATGTGTTAAGAATAATGTGACCCATGTCTCTCACTGGCAGGCAAAAGAGTCACAAAAAAGAAAAAAAATAGCTGTAGTGTTGGATTGGAATTATAAATATTGGGGTAAACATAGTTTTTATTTATTTATTTATTTTTATTTATTTATTTGTTTTTGAGATGGTGTCTCTCGCCCTGTCTCCAGGCTAGAGTGCAGTGGTGCGATCTCGGCTCACTACAACTCCTACCTCCTGAGTTCAAGCGATTCTCCTGCCTCAGCCTCCCGAGTAGCCAGGACTACAGGTACGTGCCACCATGCCTGGCTAATTTTTGTATTTCTAGTAGAGACAGGGTTTCACCATGTTGGCCAGGGTGGTCTCGATCTCTTGACCTCATGATCCACCCACCTCCGCCTCCCAAAGTGCTGGGATTACAGGCGTGAACCACCGTGCCCAGCCAACATAGTTTTTAATACACAGATGATGATAGGGAGATAGAGGGGTAGATATCATAATAAATATGCATATGCATGTATGCACATACACACATATATTCTTTAGTTCTGTCCACTGAACATCGGGGAGCAGCAATGCCCCTATATCAATCAACACGTCTGGCATAAAGAAAGATGAACCTGGAACACCTTGTAGTGCCAGAAAGCAAGAACATGCTCAAAGAACCATGAGGACATGTCAGAAGGACACAGCAGCCAGTGTGAATGAAACCCCTGTCGCAAAAATTATAACAGTGAGAAAATTATGACAGTGAAAGAGATCTGACCTAATTGACTCCAACTTGCTTCAAATCTCCAAGCTGTCCTTGTTCATTCCTGGATGTAGGCCAAACTAACTTTGAGAGGAACTTAACTTTAACTTTGAAACAAAGATGATAACAGCCTTTTCCCAAAACATACCCCCTTCTTGCCTGGGGACCAGACTGCCTTTGTAGGACTAACAAGTTAGATACAAGATCAGAAATTATGGTTTAAGAGTCATGCAGCCAGAAACCCCAAGATCACTAACCCCCCCAATTGCTCCTATAATAACATCAGTATTGTAAAACCCAATATTGGTGTTTGAGGTCTTTTTCAGACCTTGTACTCCATGGATCAGCTGGTCCCACCCAGATCAATAAACTGGCTCATCTGGTCTTACAACCCCCACCCAGGAACTGACTCTGCACAAGAGGACTCCTTATGATTTCATCCAACCTGACCAATCAGCACTCCCCACTCCCTGTTCCCCAACCTGCCAAATTATCCCTAAAAGCCCAAGTCCCTGAATTTTCAGGGAGACTGATTTGAGTAATAATAAAACTTTGGTTTCCTGTTCAGCCAGCTCTGCATGAGTTGAACTCTTTATTGCAATTCCTGTGTCTTGATAAATTGACTCTATCTGGGCAGGGCAAAATGAACCCATTGCGCAGTTACATGAAGGAGCTTCCAACTGGCCAGATCTGGGACAATTTGAACATCAAAATACACAACGGCAATAAAGAAGTATAACTTATTAAAACAAGAAACCATAAGTCCATAGGAATATAGATACATATATATGTATATGCATATGATATCTGTATATATACAGATATATATGTATTAAAATATATACATATATTAAAATACATGTAATATATGTATTAAAAATACATATATATACATTGAAAGTTTGAGGAACAGGACATCTAGTTTCCAAATACTATCCCACAAAATACTTATTAAGCCTGCTATACATCACTTTAATTAAGTGAACATCATCAGTAATAGGACAAATGGAAATCATAGGATACAACCTCTTCCAGAAATGAATAACCTTAATCTAATCATGAGGAAACAGCAGACAAAACCAATGGAAGGACATTCTACAAAATAACTGAACTGTAATCTTTTGAAGTGTCGAGGTCATGAAAGCCACTGAAAGACTGAGAACTGTTCCAGAAAGGAGACTAGAGAGACATGGCAGCCAAATGCTCCACATAATCCTGTCCTGGATTCTTCTCCTACAAAGGAAGGGGTCTGAGGATTAGGTGGTAGTACTGAATCAAGGTTAGTTCCCTGATTTTGATGTTTGTACTGTGGTTATATAGGAGAATGTTCTTTTTTTTTTTTTAATAGTTTTTTCATGTCAGATGGGTAATGTCCCAACATTGTACCAAGATTCGAGGGTGGCACATGTCACATATGAGCATGTGAACACCCGATCATCATGCTTATGAACTACGAAAGGATCAGAGAATATTCCTGTTTGTACAAAATACATCCTAAAGTATCTGGGAGTAATGGGACATCAGATCAGCAGTTATTCTCAAATAGCTCAAAAAAACATGTTTCCTATATTAAACTCCCAACTTTTCTGTAAGTTTGTGATTGTTTCAAAATGGAAAAAAAAATTTTTTTTTTGAGACAGGGGCTCTCTCTGTCACCCAGGCTGGAGTGCAGTGACATGATCACAGCTAACTGCAACCTCCACCTCCTGGGCTCAAGCAATTCTCCCACCTCAGCCTCCAGAGTAGTTGGGACTACAAGTGTGTACCACCATACTCGGATAATTTTTTAATTTTTTTGTAGAGACAGGGTCTCACTATCTTGGCAGGCTAGTCTTAAACTCCTGGGCTCAACTGATCCTCCCAAAGTGTTGGAATTACAGGCAAGAGCCACCATGCCTGGCCTGAAATAAACATATATACTTTTTTTTTTTTTTTGAGATGGAGTCTCACCCTGTCTCCCAGGCTGGAGTGCAGTGGTGCAATCTCGGCTCACTGCAACCTCCGCCTCCCGGGTTCAAGCAATTCTTCTGCCTCAGCCTCCTGAGTAGCTGGGACTACAGGCACGTGCCATCGTGCCTGGCTAATTTTTTGTGTTTTTAGTAGAGACAGGGTTTCACCGTGTTAGCCAGGATGGTCTCGATCTCCTGACCTCGCAATCTGCCTGCCTCGGCCTCCCAGATTGCTGGGATTACAGGCGTGAGCCACTGCGCCCAGCCGAAAAATATTTTTTAAAATCATAAATGTTATCAGAAGGACTGGTATTTCTGAAGTCTCATAAAGTTTTTTTCTTTTTCCCCCACGTAAGGAACTATCATCTCCTATTGTGCTGTAGGCAAACTTGAGTGACATGGGTAAGTTTGATTTAAAACACTGAATTAAAAGATGCAAGGGCTTTACATTAGATTGCATTTTCCCCCCACTGTACTGCAAACCCCTAATGAAATTAACCGCATTTATTGGCCTTGTGCTGTATGAATTTAATTCTCCAAAACTGGCTGAAATAAGCCATAGTCAAATAACAGAAGAAGCTTAATGAAAAGTGTTATTTTTACCTTTTAAATGACTGTCCTTTCCTCTATAATAAGAAACTTCCATTAACTGGTCTCAGGAAAAAAATTACTAAAATCAAACTTTTTTTGCAAAATAATCATATGACTTAATTGCACAGGCAAATTCATGACAAGGAATAAATAATATCTATTACAGAAATATTTTCATTAAAATATACACATTGACTTCCTGAAATCCTTTGTGAATTTCATGAGTAGCACTTAGCCATTTTAAAAGAAATGTATGACAGATACTTGTGTGTGTGGCAGATTTTTAATGTCCAACTGCCATGTGTTCTGTACATAGATTTTTTTTCTCAAATTTCTAAACACAGTGGAAGCCACCAGAGAGAATATCTGAAGCAATTCATTAAAATCTTGGCAGCCAGACCCCAGCTCCCACTTTCCCTGAAAGCTCCCTTTAATGAAGCTGAACGCTGTCCCAGCAATTCCCTCCACAGAAGACCTACTGTCACCACCTCTGGAGGGGCAATTCCTGGAGGAACCAAGTCAGCCAATCGAAGGTCCTGAATAAGCAAAAACTAAGTAAATAAATTACCATCTCGAAAGTGATGGGTTAGTGTGCTCTTTTGAATGCCCCGTAGGAAAATAAATTTGATTAAAATTAAATATTTTGTTGTACGATGTAATGCTCAAATTCAGGGGATTCTGGTGTCCCTCTGGACAGTGTCAGTTGTTGGGGGAGGAGGGAAATGCCAGCTGTCCTATGGCTGTTGAATCACAAGAGCTTATTTTCTTTGATAGGATTTTACTTTGAAAATATGTTGTAGGTGATCATAAATGAAGGATGTGCCGCCTTGCTAAGAACATTACATTTTTCTGCATTTTTCACCTGTTTGTGGCTTTGCATGTTGTTTTTTTCACTGCTGTTCCCTCCAGCCGGTTTTGATAATGAGGGCTGGGAAATTTTTCCTGATTCCAGTGCTCCACAGGAGCCTCTTGCCTCCCTCCGGTCTCCTCCCAGTGGCTATCTCTTTGGTGTCTTTGTTCTCAACACAAAATAGTCCCTGCTAGCATTGACCAAACTTCTGTGAATACTCACTGACTCATTAGCTACTTAAAGATCTTCGTTAAGCAGCTTCTTTTTTAAAATTTCAATCGTGGTTTATTTTTTATTTATCTTAGCATGAATCACAATATACAAAAGAAACCTGACTTAACATGGGTTATAAAAGAATTACCATATCATAGAAAATTGTTTTGAAAAAGATTTTATTGTGCAAAAAAAAAAAAAAGCAAACCTCTGAACCTTTCTTTACATGAATGCTAATAATACAGACGACTTTAGAGAAATTGAAACTAGCCCAGCCTGTTCGAAAGGGGATCCAAGCAGTTCATCACCAAAACGGCCACAGCTCAGCTCTCTTAAAACCCGTTATTTTCTGAAAATAATCTGTAGAAGTATTGAGATTCGTAGGCAATATTTTAAACATTTTATGAAGGATTCCATTAGTTTCCCTCTTGTGTTTAATTTTTTGAACTATGTTTAATTTAAACCCTCTTCATTCTCAAAAATCTACATCTTTCCCAGATTTTAAAAGAGGCTACCTCCTCCACCACAGAATTTTTCTTTAAGAAGACAATCAGCACGTCTATCTTTTTAGTCAAGATCCATCTCTGGATCTGCTAGAAGAGAGACTATGGAGACAAATTAGAGTCCATGGGAAAGCGATATCTCTGTCCCCTGCGTGGAAGCAGCATGCCATCAGAATGCTTAGTATTAATCGCAAACTGAACCCTGTAATGTGTCACCTTTCTCTTCAGGGCCTCCAGCTTTCCAAATGTCCATCTAATCTGTGTCCACCCCCGGGAGCAGATAGTAGTTTCCCGTGTTCTTTGATAGTATCAAAACTTTGTCACTTAAGAAAAAGCCTGATATTTACACCAGGTTGGCCAAATGCTCAGCTGAGTCTCAAGAGGGTAAAGAATTTCAGGCATTTAAAAAAAAAGAAAAGAAAAAGGCCAGCAATGGAGTCATGTATTTAGTACTTGACTCAGAGTTAACAGGCCTGGATTCTTGAGGCAGCCCTGGCATGAACAGGCTCTGTGACCTTAGGCAAGTTGCTTAACTTTTCTGAACTTGGTTTTCTCATTTGTAAAATAAAAGAAGTTGAACTATGATCCCCAAGGCCCCATTTGCTTAACAGTGCTGATTCTTAACTACAGTAGCAATAAGATCATCAAAAAAATTCACTTCCCAATCCCTGTCACCAAGTTCATATGCAGAGAGACAGAGGGGCTTAGGAGAAAACTGCAACCTAGTAACCAAGGAAACATGAAAATTTTAACAGTGAAAGACATCCTGTGTAGCAAATTCTACAAAGTGAACCAGGAAAATAGAATTAAGGATGAAGAAATAGGCTGGGCGCGGTGGCTCACGCCTGTAATCCCAGCGCTTTGGGAGGCTGAGACAGGTGGCTCACAAGGTCAAGAGATCGAGACCATCCTGGCCAACATGGTGAAACTCTGTCTCTACTAAAAATACAAAAATTAGCTGGGTGTTTTGGCACGTGCCTGTAGTCCCAGCTACTTGGGAGGCTGGGGCAGGAGAATTGCTTGAACCCGGGAGACGGAGGTTACAGTGAGCCAAGATTGTGCAACTGCACTCCAGCCTGGTGACAGAGCAAGACTCCGTCTCAAAAAATAAAACAGGAAATAGTAGGGAGAGTTTTCAGAAACTCTCCTCTACTCCCCAACTTACCCTCAAAAATCAAATTGTAGGTTTCCCCACAGATCTCTGGAAAAAAATGCTTGATAGTTCTCTGGGGTAAACCCTTCTATTTGATCTAAGATTCAGGTAGTGTTAACTTTTGCTTCAAATGCCTTAGTCAAGATTGCTTTTACTGTTAGAAAAATCCTAACTCCTTACATACTGATTATATGCAATCTAGGTAAGTCAAGCCTTCTGCCCTGTCTGCCATTCAGAAGTCTCTTTCATGTATGTAGCTGAATAGTAATCTCATAAAATAATATTGGAATGAATAAAGACCCAGATGTCTCAGGTCATTCCATCCACGCAGTTTCCTCTTTCTCCTTCCTATATTTACATATTAATTTTAAGTCACAGGTGAAAATTAAAGCTTGCTGTCTCTCAGTCTCTCTTTGATATTGCAAAGAAATGTTACAAAGCTTCCTAAGGGAAGGTTTCTTGCAGGAAATAGTGACTCCCAGTATGATTAGTCCCCAAATCTGCCTGCTAGGCTGAGTGAAGAGGACTGAAATGCTCTGTGGGTCACAAGGTCATAAACCTCAGGAATCTGGCCACACTGTCAGGCATTCTCCGCCAAGGACTGGGGGATGTGGGTTCCTATTAGAAGCCAGGTCACCACCAGCTGAAATTGAAACATACATCATAGTCACATCCTGTTTAAGTGAAAACTAACTTCTATTTCCTGGAATTGCTTTTTGTCTGAGGAGAGGGAGTGATTGGGGTGTAGTTAAGGGTAGCTAAGGTGCATGTCATCCCTTGGAATGGGAAGCACGCAGGTTAACGGGGGATGTGGGGACTGCCCTGGAGCATCTTGTCTCTCAGCCATCTCTAGCTCACGTCTCACCCTCCCTTGTTCACCTCTCCCAAGTTCTCGAGTGAGCATTCTGGGCACAGGGAGGTCAAGAGGAAAATGGGGGAAAGTAGTGGGAAGGGTAAGTGAGATGAGAGATGGTAATGATAGAGATCAAATCCTTTTTAGGCCTCCTGTCCCTTGTTTTTCCATCTTGGAGATAGGCTCAAGCTCCGAAATTGAGGGCTACAAGAGCAATAGAGAGAAGCTTTGCTTTCATGGCTGGCACAAAATATGAACCACAAGTTAGAATATCTCCTATTTGAGCATTTATCTGGAATGAGCTCTGAATCCCAGAGGAGGAGTTTCTCCTCCAAGATACAAGTCCTGAACTGGCTCAGAAAGAGAAGCACCCTCTAACGAGTTGGTGGGATAAGCTTTGCGCTGTTTGTGATCAGCCACTCCCCGTACTGCCCACAGGCTGGCCCGCCCGTCCCAACCTTGCTATCACCCTGTGGAATGCCAATTCTAAGAGGCACTTGTATAGAGGGCTTATTAAAACACTGATTGCTAGGCTCCACCCCACAGCTTCTGATTTGCGTCTCTAACAAGTTCCCACGTGATGCTGATGTTGATGATGCTGAACCACACTTGAGAACCACTAGCCCAGCACATCGTAGGCATTTAACCAACATTTGTCGTTCATTTCACAATGGGAAGTCAAGGATGAGTGCTGCGGAACTGAAGAAGATAGGAACCATCTCATTCTGGATCTCTGAGTTTAGAAGTATTTGTTGCATGTTTCCTGCTTCCCACACTGTTCATGCAATTTTAGCAATTTTCAGGAAACAGCTGTTGCTTTCCACCTTGAGAGACAATGAAAACTTAATAATAGGTAAAACGACATTTTGGAAGAAACTGACGTACCTTATATATCTGGGACAGCCTCGCCTCTTACATAATTAACGGTAGACATTGTAGGGATTATGTAAATTGACTTGATTTTCTTTTAAATCTTTAGGAAGACTTATCAATTAAAGAAGTCTAAGTGACTTGCCAGGCTTTACACAAAAACCTTTTTTTGGTCATAAGCAAACATTTCTCACCTGAAAATTTTTTTTCTAACTCAAGTGATCAATTTTGATCATGAGTCAGAAAAATATTGGGGCAATGTGGGGTTTAGGATTGCTGCTTACTTCACGCCATTTCTTCAGCTCATCTCCTTTAGCTTCAAGGCTGAACACAAATGAGTTAAAAGGAAATGGATTACTTAAAACCTACATTTGTGGCTCATTTTCCATTCACCAAACTCTCTCCTCCTTCCTCTTAGACATACACACTTTGGGAAAACCTCACAGAGCATGAAGAGCCAGCTTTTTTTGTTTTGTTTTGTTTTGTTTTTGAAAACAGTCTTGCTCTGTCACCCAGGCTGGAGTGCAGTGCAGTGGCGGGATCTCAGCTCACGGCAACATCTGCCTCTGAGGTTCAAATGATTCTTGTGCCTCAGTCTCCCCAGTAGCTGGGATTACGGGCGCACCCCACCAGGCCCGGCTAATTTTTGTATTTTTAGTAGAGATGGGGTTTTGCCATGTTGGCCAGGCTGATCTCAAACTCCTGGCTTCAAGTGATCTGCCTGCCTCGGCCTCCCAAAATGCTGGGATTACAGGCCTGAGCCACCGCGCCCGGCAGAGCCAGCTTTTATTTAATGAAACTGAATAATGCGTATTCATCAATATATCGATAACTGGAATTAAGATTTGCAAGGACCACTGCAACGACAATATATATTCTTGCAACTATACTCCTCCTTGCTCAAAAAGCTTTATAGGCTTTCAAAATGAATGCCTGTAACATCCCTCTGAGGTAAATGAGGAGCAGGTGTAATTATCTTCTCTTCACAGATGGACAGGCAGACACAAAGGAATGGACTGAATCAGCCAGGAAGGGAATCAAGCTAAGGACCTAAATAATTCTAATACAATCTGCCTGTCTTGTCAGTGCTGCTTTCCTTCGATGCATGAAAATCTGTATTGTGGGAAACTCTGAAGGTATTGTTTTTGTATTCTTTAGTGATGTAAGAAACAAAACTCCGCACAGACACCTAAAGAGAGGAAGTGATGGGACTGGTAAATATGGGTGGCAGCAGGGCAAGTCTATAAAAATCAAATTTAATTTTGCTGGATAATATGATCAAGGCCCTTCAATGCTGGATTCCATCAGCATCTGATCAGCCAGTAGCATGCTGCTATTTACATAAAAGCACGCAGAGAAGGGGTAATATTAAACTAATAGACATTATCGTATGGCTACAAACCTCTAAAAGTATTCAACATTTGGGAAGTACTAAGCAACTGGAAATTTTTTCAATGACAATAGTTTTCGGTGCAACAGGCTTAGAAATCTACTGTCTCTGGCCAGAAGCCAGATTGCTGACACAAAACAGCAGAGCCACAGACCCCAGGGAGAGGAGAATAACAGTAGCCCCAAAACTGGCACTACTAACCCTGTTTCATATTATGCTGTTTTGTTAAGAAGAAATTCATACTACAAAAACAGGGTCGTTTAGGAATTATACGTTTTAATGATCTCACCTTTTAAGCAATGGACACATTGACAGGATCATCAACCAGAAGGCCTGGAAGAGTCTCCACACTGCTGCCTTCCGCGTGGCCCCTCCGCATACCCCAGCATCTGAGGTCATCTGGCAGCAAAATCCCCAGCTTACCAGAGACCTCATTATTCCTGTCCCTCAGACACAGTTACCTCCTCAAGGCCAGCGACCTCCATGAAAGCTCTCCTGCCCAGATGCCTCCATCCCAGAGGTCGTGAGACTGCAGGAAATGAAAGGCTGCAGCAGGGAGAGGCCTCAAACTACAATGGTTTGGGGTTTTCCTTTTCTATAATACTGTTCTTTACCAAGTGGAGTACATTTTGAAGTGCAGAATTCAATTCAAGGATAGAACAGAAATACACAAAGTTCTCGAGAGAGCCAGAGATTATAATATGGGTAAACTGCTATTCTAAAAGGTACTAGGGTCCAGGCATGGTGGCTCATGCCTGTAATCCCAACACTTTGGGAGGCCGAGGTGGGTGGATCACTTGAATCCAGGAGTTTGAAACCAGCCTGGGCAATATGGTGAAACCCCATCTCTATAAAACTACAATAAATGAGCCTAGCTGGGTGGTGCACACCCGTAGTCCCAGCTACTCGGGAGGCTGAGGTGGGAGGATCGCTTGAGCCTGGGAGACAGAGGTGGCAGTGAGCCCAGATCATGCCACTGCACTCCAGCCTGGGCAAAAGAGTGAGACCCTGTCTCAAAAATTAAAAGTTAAAAAATAATAAAAAGTATTACCCTTAAAATTCAAACAATAAAAATAAAGGAAGGGTCTTATCTATACAGTTCCTTCTAATATTTTGAGGTGGATAAGGTAACATAATACATATACAAC
Organism: Homo sapiens; assembly: GCF_000001405.40. Classification (NCBI taxonomy): domain Eukaryota; kingdom Metazoa; phylum Chordata; class Mammalia; order Primates; family Hominidae; genus Homo; species Homo sapiens. Next base: position 77,431,847 of record NC_000007.14, read on the forward strand.
TACCTACAAAGACTGATTATGTAAAGATATAAATAGGTATTTAAAGGGAGAGTTACAGTTCTAATAAAATAAAACTTACAGCTTAATCAAACACATCTGATGTTATACTTAGTTGTTGTGTTACATGGTAAGAAGATACAGCAGTAAGGAGATCACTGAAATGACTGGAATTAGGGCTATTTTACACTGCCTTAGGTTTTTTCAGGAGTTTTGTTGTTGTTGTTACCTTGATAGTTGAGAATCTTTACACCAGCAATATTATTAGTCCATCAATCAATATTACCAGCTTTCCATAATACCATAAATTTTTTTGATGATCATCATTCACACAGATGTATTCACATTGGGGGGGAAGAAAACAGGGCTGAATCCAATTTCTTCTTACCCAGAGATTTCCTTGTTCCTCCCCCACAACTTCTGTCCATGTACCTCATGGGTCTTCATTCTGCCAGCTCTCACTATGTACATTAGCAATTTTTCTTAAAGTTGTCAGGTCAAAAAAAAATCATCTAAAGAAAAAACAGGCTGGGCACGGTGGCTCACGCCTGTAATTCCAACACTTTGGGAGGCCCAGGCGGGCAGATCACGAGGTGAAGAGATTGAGACCAGCCTGGCCAATATGGTGAAACCCCGTCTCTACTAAAAATACAAAAATTAGCTGGGCGTGGTGGCATGCGCCTGTAGTCCCAGCCACTCGGGAGGCTGAGGCAGGAGAATCACTTGAATCTGGGAGGTGGAGGTTGCAGTGAGCCAAGATCATGCCACTGCACTTCAGCCTGGCGACAGAGTGGGACTCCGTCACAAAAAAAAAAAAAAAAAAAAAAAAAAAAAGTAAAGAAAAAACAAACAAAAAACTTTCAGGGCCATTCAATTAGCTAAATCAGAATATCCAAGGGAAAAGCTTAGAGAATCTGTATATTTAACAAGCAGCACAGGTAATTCTTATTAAGTGAGTTCAGGCAATACCGTACTATAGGGTCCGTATTTTCTGAGTCAAAATCAGAGCTCGCGTATTTTTTTTAACTAGTTAGTGAACTTATTTACAAAACAATCTCCTAAGATATACTTACCTCAAATACTTTTATAAATAAGATGGAATACAAATAAATGGTTTAAAGATGATAGATATTAAATTGCATTTTGGCATATTTTATAAAACTTCTTTTTTTTTCCCAAAAGAAGAAGATGGCTTTACCTGAAATGAGAACCATCTTGAATGTATAGCCCCTTTCTGGCCAGGAGTTCTGAAGTGGCGGGGATCAATGCTCAGAACTCCCCAGGGGAGCTGGGTACTAGTAGGTGAGACAGTCAATCCTGAGCAAGGGGGTGCGGGGCGGGGAGCCTGACGGGGAAGAGCAGGCCAAAACGGTGGCACAGAAAAAAGGAAAGGAGAATAAAAACAGATTGGATCCCAGACATCTGAGAGGGAAAGGGATAAAACATGTCAAAATTAAGGAAGGGGCTAAGACTGTGTTGGTGGTGCTGCAATCACCACTAGGTATTCACCACCTTCCAAAGAATATACACTCTGAAGCTGTGACTACTGTCGTTTATCCAGTATACCCTTTGGATACAAAATAGGGTTAGAGAAGACAAACACCATGTCTTCAGTTTCTTAAGTTCCTTCTCTAAAAACAACCAAAGAAGATTTATTTTTAAAGTCACCTAAGATATAATTGGCTGTAAAAACAGCAAGATGGACTATGCCCAAAGAAATATACATTCCCCTAGGAAGGAAGAAAGTATTATTTATTATGTACTTGTTCTATGTTAAATACTGTGGAAGGTACTCTGATGTGTGGGTCTGATATTCATTCCACAAATTCTTCTCAAGGATCTGTCAGGTGCTAAGCACTGGTTTAGGAGCTAAGAATATAGAACAAAAAAAGGATGGTCTGTGCCTTCATGAAACTTACAATCTAGGGAAGACAGACATTTAAAATAAACATATATGAGATCTCAAGCGGCAATAAAAAATAAAAATAACTAACATAAACACATAAATGTGAGTGGTGTGGTGGGTTTAAAATGTATGGCCATATCCCAGATGTGCTGGAATATACTTTTAACTTTTCTGATGGCATTCAACTTAACTCTTGCATCCCCTTTCTGCTAATGAAAGGAAAATTAACTCAGTCTTGTCATTTGAAGATAACTTAGCCTCTTTCAGTATAAAATGAGTAAGTATTCAAAGTTCTCCTCTTCCTTCTTCTGTTTCCCTTTTTCGGGAGGATGGCCCAATTTCCTCTAGAAAGCCTTAACTATCCTCCAGCGTCAGGGCACAAGGGGCTTCTATGGTGTGGTTGTCCACATGGCCCTTGCTGGGTCACATACGTGCATCAGCTGAGGTGCAGTTTATCACAAGTGGTATCTGGCATTCATTGCTGGTGTTCATGGTCCCTGCCATTGCTTCCAGCCCCAAAGTCCACACACGCCATCTTTCCTCGTTCCATGGACACCTTGGCATTTTTCCACTACCCTCAAATCCCTCAGGACTCAGAACCTTTCAACAATTTCCCCACACTATCCTGGAATGTGCAGGGTTCTGTAACGCTGTCCTCGGCCCATCTGCATTTCAAACTTGAGATGTTCCTAAATAAGTGCGGTTATTACAGTTACCTCCTTTGGTTTTGCCCCAACAGGAAACAGGGTGCTGGGGGCTTCTCTTCAGTATCTACTAGCATCTGTACTCTCACCTTTTCTGAATCTCTTCTTCCTATCTATTTGGAGGACTGACCACACTGTTAATACAACAAGCCTATGAAATGAAGAAATAGCCCAAACCTCAGTTAAGGGTGAGAATCAAGTAAAGAACGGCATACATATGGGATAACCTTTGCCCAGGAACCTAGTTCTTCTTCCCAGGGGAGGAGAAAAGGGGAAGGAAGAATTGAATTTGACTTGGTGCTTAGTCACAAGAGAAAAAGTTCCCATCTGGAAATGAATATCACAAATTGTCAAATGTATATTTTCCTATTCCCAGCTGGAAACCATGCTTGTGGTTTTATACAGAACTCCCTTGTGCTCAAAGTTACATTCATGCACTCCTGACTTTTCTAACTATAAAAATGTCAAAGTCTGCTACAGTTTCATCCTGACAATTGCTGGGAAGGAAAAGTAGCGGGTATTCTGAAAAGATACAGCAAGAGGTCCAATTTAGATTAGAGAACAGGAAGGGATTGGGGCAAGAGAGACAAACTTTCTCAGCCTGATAGCAGCTAACCAGTCACAGCGCCCACAGGCAGCTGGGATCCACCAGAAATGCTGGTTTCTCTGACTTCCAGTTGTTATCATTAGTGTCCAAAATTAACCAGCAAAATTAAATGAAATCTGATAATAATATGCATGAACATTTCCTTTAATGTTTCAAGCTGGCTTGTAACTACACCATGGGCATGAAAGCAGCAAAATCCAGACTGCAAGGAAAGCTACAGCTCAAAAATCTGTTTTCCTCAACAAATAAATTACAAGGAGAATACAGAGAGAGAAGTAACATGTAGATCAAGGAGAAATCATCACAATGTGTGGCACTGGAGGCTGATTTTCTTTAAAGTAACTTTAAAAGTTGGTGTTTTTAAAACAATGGGAAAATTGAATACTGATGGCCTATTTGATGATTGTATGGAATTTGCATTACAATTTTGGGTATGATAATTAATCTCGTGGTTTTTTCTGAAAGTTTTTTAATCTTCTAGACAAATATGCTTCAACGACAAGGCACGGTGCCTCACGCCTGTAATCCTAGCACTTTGAGAGGCTAAGGTGGGCGGATCGCTTGAGCTCAGAGTTCGAGACCAGCCTGGCCGACATGGTGAAACCCCGTCTCTACTAAAAATACAAAATTAGCCGGGTGTGGTGGCGGGCGCCTGTAGTCCCAGCTACTCAGGAGGCTGAGGCAGGAGAATGGCGTGAACCCGGGAGGCGGAGCTTGCAGTGAGCCGAGATCCCGCCACTGCACTCGGGCAACAGAGCCAGACTCTGTCTCAAAACAAACAAACAAACAAACAACAACAACAACAAAAAACAAATATTAGGCCGGGTGCGGTGGCTCACGCCTGTAATCCTAGCACTTTGGGAGGCCAAGGTGGGCGGATTGCCTGAGCACAGGAGTTTGAGACCAGCCTGGGCAACAACGGGGAAACCCTATCTCTCCTAAAATACAAAAAATTAGCCAGGCCTGGCGGCGTGCGCCCGGAGTCCCAGCTACTTGGGAGGCTGAGGCAGGAGAATCACTTCAAACCAGGAGACGGAGGTTGCAGTGAGCCAAGATCACGCCACTACACTGCAGCCTGGGCGACAGAGCGAGACTCCGTCTCAAAAAAAAAAAAAAAAAAAAAAAAAAAATTACAAATGTTAGCCTTCACTGTGGCGGGCGCCTGTAATCCCAGCTACTCAGCAGGCTGAAGCAAGAGAATCGCTTGAACCTGGGAGGCGGAGGTTGCCCTGAGCGGAGATCGGCCGAGATCACACCACTGCACTCCAGCCTGGGCGACAGAGCAAGACTCTGTCTCAAAAAAAAAAAAAAAAAAAAGAGAGAGAGAGAATATGCTTCAAATATGTAAACAGGAAATGCTATGATGTCTGTAAGTTGCATCAACATAATACCAATGACAGAGTGGATGAGGGGATGGACAGGAGAGGATTGGCCTCAGGTTGATGGATATTGGGGCTGAGTGGTGGCTACATAGGAATTAATTGTGCTATTCTATCTACTTTTCTGTGTATTTAAAATCCACCACAATTAAAAATTAAAAAACGAAAAAAACAAAAATAAAATCTGCCTTGTAATTCTCCTCTTCATACATGACTATGTGAACAGACAAGTACCACCAGGCACAGTGTGTCAGTGGAAAATAGTTGTCATTTTTCTTTATGACTGTGTATTAATATATACACACATATGCATTTAGTCTTACATACACTTACTGCCTGTCATCAGTCCAGTGTCATTCAACGGACCTAGGTTCCTGGGTTCCACTTTGCTGCTTCCATATTTGTGTGTCTTCAAGCATGTAGTTCATGTTTCTCACTTTGAACTCCAAATGGTGACGTTGTTGCTTTTAGGGTGGTATTGGGAGAACTGGTGATGGAACATTTAAAATAGTTTAGCATTATGCAGTATAATAGAAGGATGTTAGGGACTAGGGCTGGTTTAAGATCTGTTATTAGTCCTGGCTCAGCCATTGGTCGGTCATGTGAAGGTGCAAGTTGGACAGCTCCTTTAACTTGGTTAGTTCTCAGTTTCTTCACCTGTAAATAAAGTGCTGAGCCTGCTCTCCAAGGTGCTTTAGGCTCCAGTACTCCATGATTCATTAAATTTTATTACAGAATATTATAAAAGCTTATCATATAAAATATATTGCTTTTTTGCTCATAAAGGAGAGCATGGTATATACATATATATAGATAGATAGATAGCCTGAACAGCATAAGTTAAATATATTCTTTTTTTGTTTTTGTTTTGGTAGAAAGTGATTCTTAGTCTTCTATAAATAAAGAAAACAGAATAAATAATATTTAGCAGCAAATGACAATAAAAGTTAAGTTCATATCACACTGTAAGCTAATCAGGGTTATGACTAGGGTTTCAAGACTGTGAAATTATATGGGAACATAGAAATTAAATTACTCTTATTAATATCCATAAACACTAGAAAAAGTTCAAGGAAACATTTTTTAAAATAAACTAACAACATAATGGTTAAAACTGAAAGAAATGATGATAGCAGCATTAACAATATTAATAATTGTGGTAGCAAATTTTTATTTCACTCTTGCTGTAATATAGTAAGCACTATTTTAAGCAGTTTGCATACATTCAACTTGTTTAATTTTCATAACGATCTTAGGAGTGGTTATTATTATTTTCCTCATCTCTAAAGTGACGACCCTTGCCCAAAGTTATAGAGTCGGTTTACCTGCAGGGTGTTCTGTGAGTATCAGATAATATTTGTGAAATAGTGTATATGAAAATGCTTTGTAAGCTGGACATGGTGGCATGTGCCTGTAGTCCCAGCTTCTTGGGAGGCTAAGGCAGGAGGATCACTTGAGGCCAGGAGTTTGAGGCCGTCATGAGCTATGATCGAATCTGTGAATGGCCACTGCAATCCAGCCTAGGCAACATAGCAAGACCATGTCCCTTAAAAAAAAAAATGCTTTGTAAAGTGTTAAATGCCAAAGTGTTAATTATCATTATTAGAATTAGAGGGAAGTTTAAATGTTTTAAATATGTTTAATAATGTAAGAAGAAAAAATAAAATATTTTTAAAACATTGGAAAATCTCATTGCAAAAAGAGACAAGACATGCCTAATGAAATAATAGACTAGGCAATGATCATCAATGGCAGCCAAGGCAACTAGGCGAAAAGCCAAAGGCAAATTTTATAATGAATGCATCTGGTAAAAACTCTTAAACCCACTAATAAATGTTAACATCAAAAAGAGAGATAACCAGACATTATGCCTTCTGGTGGAGATACACAACCCCACCCTTTGATGAAAAACCAAAACCTGAATCTGATCAAGATCCTAGACCTATCTCTAGTTTGCAGGAAATACTGGGGACAGAAGTACATGAAACTGTTGCACAAACCAGAAGAATAGAATCAGCCAAATCCAGAGAATGAGAATCATTATAGGACAAATGTCCTTGTTTCTTCAACAAATAAATTCCAAGGGGGAAAAAAGGAGCAGAGAAAAGACTTGTTGTTTTAAAAATATTTAAGAGGAATGTCTAAAATGTATTGTGTGTATCCCTTGTTTGTATCTTTTCATTTTTAAGTTCTTAATGGTGTTTTCTGAGTATTGTAAACCACTTTATTGGGGGTATGATTGGCATATGAAATGCTGTACATAATTAACGTATATACCTTGATGAGCCTGGAGATAAGTACACATCTGTGAAACCATCACCACAACCTATGCCATACATATATCCATCACCTCCAAAAGTTTCCTCCTGCCTTCTTTATTTATTTATTTAGAGTGTGTGAGAGTGTGTGTGTGTGTGATAAAAACACGTAGACTTGTTTGGATCTTGATTTGAACAAACCAATTGTTTAAAAAACTATGGGAAATTTAAGTACTAACTGGATTATTTAGAGATACTAAGGAATTATTGTTATTTTAAAATGAGATATAGCATTGTGGGGTATTTTTGGACAAGGCCTTACCTTGTCCAAAGGTCTGGTGTTACAGACATATTTACATATGAAATAATATATTTGTGTTTAGCTTCAAGAAATTTAGTGTGGGAGGGAAGTGAGTATATAGATTTTAAAAGACTGGGCATGGGCCAATTATTGTTAAAGCTAGGTAATATGTACATGAGATTTCATTATAATACCCTGTCCATTTTCATATATATGTTAATTTTTCTATAATAAAAAGACAAGAATATAAAGACAAACAAGATGAAATGGTTAAAAATAGTCCATAGAAGCAGAAAATAATATTATTATTTTGAAATTGAAGATACTGCAGCTAAATTTCACTTTCTGTAGGTGAAGTGAGAAATTGCATTGCAAAGTACTGTTTTAAAAAAGACAGAACCATTAGGGATTTGTCAACTTTGTTTCCCTTTCTGTGTTTAATTTAGGAATTAAGAATTTTTTTAAAAAGTCTACATAAATCTATTATTTAACAAAGACATTTCCTGAGCACACACTAAATGCCAGACTCTTGTCTTACTGTATATATTTGAGGAATTTTAGTTACAGTGTGAAATCCAGCTGGAGATGCCAAGACAACACCCACAAAGCAATTAGAAATCAGAACAGGACAACATTGTAACAAAGCTAGCTACTCCCCAGATTTGTGCTTCTCTTCCATAGAGAAGAGTAGTTCCAGGGATATAGACACCCAGCCAGGGGGTACATTTCCCAGCACAAGGTGGAGCCCTGTGCCTAGTTCTCACCAGCGGAAGTGTTATGACGTGCCACTTCTGGACGGAGGTGGCAAAGAAGCAGATAGACTGTCCCTTCTTTCCAACATTCAGCAAATACCAATGCCTGAGGCAACTCTGGGAGCTTTGTGTTGAAGATGGCAAAGCCTCCATCACCCTGAGTCTCTAAACGGCTGCAAAAAGCACAGCGCTCCTTTTCCCCATCCCTGCCCCCAAAGCATCATGAATTATACACTCTCACCTATGATCAGCAAGTATAACTTCTACGGTGTTGGGCCACTGAGATTTTGGAGTTTTATCTCTTATAGAGGTTAGTTCATGTATCAATTGCTAAGTGGGATGTTACAGTGTATATTTGGAGATTAAGAAATCACTGTAATCACAAAATGTTTCAGGGGGAAGGTGGAGCTTGAGCCGGAATTTTTTTTTTTTTTTTTTTTTTTTTTTGAGACAGGGTCTTGCTCTGTCACCCAGGCTGGAGTGCAGTGGTGCAAACTTGGCTCAGCTCACTGCAGCCTCTGCCTTCCGGGTTCAAGCGATTCTCATGCCTCAGCCTCCTGAGTAGCTGGGACTACAGGCGTGCACCACCATGCTCAGCTAAGTTTTGTATTTTTAGTAGAGACTGGGTTTCGCCATGTTGCCCAGGCCGGTCTCAAACTTCAGACCTCAAGTGATCTGCCCACCTCAGCCTCCCAAAGTGCTGGGATTACAGGCATGAGCTGGCACCCCTGGCCTTGAGCTGGATTTTGAACAATGAGTTGAAAGTGACTAAATGGAGAGGATGGGGAGTGAGTGGGTACCAGGATAAGGAACCAACATAAGAACCACAGCACTAATTCACATGCAGCTAGAGGAGAGTGAGACCATCTTGATGAGTAGATGCAGTTGGGGAACAAGGGAAATAAGGATGAAGAGGCAGGATGGAATCAGAGCATGGAGATCCTTGATAATTCAGGATCTGATTCAATGACGACCACTTCTGAATTAAAAGGATGAAGCTTCTGGAGTAAAAGGATGATTTATGAAAGGTCTGTATTAGCAAAATCAGTGAGACAAAATAAAGGAGATGGACCGGAGAGAAAAAAGATTAGGCTACATGACTAGCTAAGAGGATGTCGCAGCAATCCAGTTCTGATATAATTAGAGACCACATTGGCAAACTCAGTAGAAAGGAAGGGTGAATGTAATCATCATCCTAAAGAACAAATCCACAGGGATTGACAGCAGAGAAAAAAACATGAACTCAAACATTTATTAAACCAGAAGTATGTCTAGTTCTAACACTCAAAATTGTGAGTTCTATTATTTGGGGTATTATTTAATCTCATTGAGTTTGTGTCTTCTGTCAAATGAGAGGAAAGAACCAAATGACCCAAAAGTTCTTTTCACCTGTGAAAGTCTATGGCTGTAAAGTCATGAGTTTAAAAAAAAAAAAAAAAGTAAATGACATATTCAGTAGGAGGAGGCAAAGAAGGCGGAGTATACTAATGTATGACTGAAACATACTCTATTTGAACTGGAACTGGTCCTCTATACTGGATGTTTGAATTGTTACTAATCTTTTGTATTACAAACAATGTAGCAATGAATGATGGGAAAGTACTTTAACTTTCCTAGATTTTCAATTACACCTGGTTTTAAGAACTAAGTCCTGGGCTGTGCAAGGTGGCTCACACGTGTAATCCTAGCACTTTGGGAGACCAAGGCGGGAAGATTGCTTGAGCCCAGGAGTTAAGAGGCCAGCTTGGTTAATACAGTGAGACCCCATCTCTACAAAAAACACAAAAAATTGGCCAGGCATTATGGCATGTGCCTGTAGCCCCAGCTACCCGGCAGGCTGAGATGGAAGGATCACCTGACCCTGGGAGGTCGAGGCTGCAGTGAACTGTGATCTGTGGGTGACAGAGTGAGACCCTGTCTCAAAACAAAAATTAAAACTAAAACTAAAAACTAAACCCCGAATATGATAACTTGCCACAACAGTTACACTAGATGCAGTATTAATTCCCTCTTAGAGATGAAGATAACTAAAGATTATTTCCTAATTATAAAGATTTAAAAATGTGAAAGTATTTGGGGGAAAAAAATGAAGACTTCGCAAATATAAAGTATTAACATCAACTTTGTTATTACCATCAAGCACAGGTAACACTGGCTACTTTTTTCCCTAGATAACTATGTATAAAGTAGCATTAAAATGTGTTTTGGGGTGGGCACAGTGGCTCATTCCTATAATCCCAGCACTTTTGGAGGCCGAGGCAAGTGGATCGCTTGAGCCCATGAGTTTGAGACCAGCCTGTACAACATATCAAAACTCTGTCTCCACCGAAAAAAAAAAAAAAAAAAAGCACAAATTAGGCGAGCATGGTGGCATGCACCTGTAGTCCCAGCTACTCAGAAGGCTGAAGTGGGAGGATCGCTTGACCCCAGGAGGTTGAGGCTGCAGTGGGCTGAGATCACACCACTGCACTTCAGCCTGGGTGACAGCAAGACCCTGTCTCAAAAAAAAAAAAAAAAAACTTTAGTTTTCTGTTTTACAATTACTCTTAGGCTTGTTTCATTTTGTATTACTTTATAAACAGACCCCTAGATGAAACTGTTAGTAAACTAAGAAAGTGAGCACTATTTTCCATCCTGAAAATAACAACTAATAAGGGCAAATAGAAAGTATAGTCTCTGACACTCAATAGTTTTCTGGTACTCCACCATTGCCTTGCTATGTATCAAAGAAAGATACCACCTAGCCAGTATGTATTTCACAAACTTATAAGGATCTTTACACAAGCTATATAGACAGTGCTAGACATGGGTTCGATTATACTACAGAATGAAGACCAAGATGGATGAAATCAAAGAAGAAATTGATTCACAAACATATATCGGACAAGAGACTGGTATCTAGGGTATATAAATAACTTCTATAACTCAATAACAAAAACATAAAGCATCCACTAAAAAGTGGGCAAATATTTTGAACAGACACTTCACAAAGAATGGTCGATAAGCATATGAAAAGTGCTGAACATCATTAGTCATCAGGAAATGCCAGTTAATACCACAATGAGACACCATTATGCATCCACCAAAACAGTGAAAATTCAAAAGACTGACAGCCCCAAATGTTGGCAAGAATGTGAAGCAACCAGAACATTCAGACATTGCTGGCAGAAGTATAAAGTGGCATACTCATTTTGGAGACAGGCCTGGTAGCTTCTCATAATATGAAGCACACACATATTCTATGACCCGGCAATTTCACTCCTAAATATTCAAAAGAAATAAAAACATAATGTCCTCAAAAACACTTGTATGGAAATGCTCTCAGAAGCTTTATTCATCATTGCCGAAATCCAGAAACCATTCAGGTGTTCACCAATAGGAAGATGGATAAACCAACTGTGGTGTAATCAGGTAACAGAATATTACTCAACAACAAAAAGGAACTATTGATGCACACAAAAACATGGATGAATTGCAAAAACATTATGCTGAATGAACAGTCTTACCCATAAAAGCGCATACTTTATGACTCAATTTATATGAAGTTCTAGAACAGGCACAGCTAATCTATCATGGGAAAAAATTAGAACACTGTTTGCCTGGGGCTAGGGGAGGGTAAGAGAGGATTGACTGCAAAGGGTCAGGGGAAACTTTCTGGGGTGATAGTAACATTCTGTCTTGAGAGGGCATTAGGATACACAGGTGTATACATTTATCAAAACTTGGCCAGGCACAGTGGCTCATGCCTATAATCTTAGCACTTTGGGAGGCCGAGGTGGGAGGATCACTTGAGCCCAGGAGTTTGAGACCAGCCTGGGCAACATAGTGAGACCTCTACTCTACAAAAAATAAAAAATTAGCCAGAGGTGATGGCACATGCCTTCAGTCCCAGCTACTCAGGAGGCTGAGCTGGGAAGGATCACTTGAGCCCAGAAGGTTGAGGCTGCAGTGAGCTGTGATCGTGCCACTGCACTCCGGCCTGGGAAACAGAGTGAAACCCCATCTCAAAAAAAAAAAAAAACAACCAGCTCTGTGACTGGTAAGCTTAATATTTATACAGATCATATTACTTGAAGAGAAAAAAGAGCAATACAAAAATCTAGTTAAAGGCCAGGCACGGTGGCTCACACCTATAATCCCAGCACTTTGGGAGGCTGAGGCGGGCAGATTGCTTGAGGTCAGGAGTTCAAGACCAGCCTGGCCACATGGTGAAACCTTGTCTGTACTAAAATACAGAAATTTGCCGGGAGTGGTGGCACGCACCTGTAATCCCAGCTACTAGGGAGGCTGAGGCAGGAGAAAATTCCTGTTCTGATCAGGAAATTGTTAGCCATGTAAGCCTTTCCAAGCCTAATAGGCTTCTCTAGGTCTGGGAGGGACTTGAAAGCAAAATTTAATTTGATTTGAAGTGACCTCATGGAGAGAGAGCTGCAATGAATAATTGTTCTTATGATGCCCAACTAACACTGGGCTCTTTAAAAATATGCCTGCATTTGTGAGTATCCACTTCTGTGCCTGTTGTTGAGGTCTTTGAGAGGCAGCATTCCAATGGAGTTAGGGCTGTGCAGCTGCCACTGTGACTAAACAGCAGAGAACACTCCAACGTACAAGGGAGCAATTTCAGGGTCACTCCCCCTCCTCCAAGCAGAATCTTTCCCATTCCCACCCCCCCAGCCAATCTGAAGTACACATAAACACAAACACATTTGTACACTGGGAGCTCCTGCTGTGTGCTGAGATCTCAGTGTGTGCTGAAAGATCTCCTTCCATACTGCAAGTGAAAGCTGTCCCTTCTCCCAGCTACTGAAGGCTACCCCTTACGCTGAGCACAACTTTACAGCAGTATTTCTCTCTCCTCATACAAAAAGTCCGATAACCAAAAATACATTGAAAGAGAAGAAACTAAAAATCGCCTTTTTATCTTAAACTCACAAAAACGCTATTTCTGTCTTAAACTCACAAAACTATCTAAGGTTTCTATCTTAAACTCACAAAAACAAAAGCCTCAAAAATTATGTGGAGGCTGAAAACTAGGAATCCTGACCTGGAAACTGAGGTCTAACGTTGCCAATATTTGGATGGAGGTGAGCTTGCACAAGATCTAAAAATTGTTACATTTAGCAGGTGCAGGCCTGAACCAACAATGACAGTTTTTTCTATGGAGAAATATAATCTGACTGTCAAATAACCAGTTTGCAAATTTTGGAATACAACTCATTTGTGAACACTCTAATTCGATAAATTGTAATGTTAAAATTACAGGATAGATTATCATTTATATTTCAAACCAGTGTCCATTTTGCTGTATGATATTTGGTAATCTAATCATTAAATGTTTGTTGAGCATTTACTATGTGTCAAGCACTATGCTAGGCACTAGGTACAGGGAAGTAAACAAAATGGACATGATCTCTAATGTTATAGGATTTATTATCTAATCTAGATAAAAATAAGCACCAAATTAATACATAATTAGAAATTATGACAACTGATAATGAAGGGAAAGGGTCAACAAGAGAGACTCCTAAAATCATAGCAGGCTTTTCTGAGGAGACATTTAGCTGAGAAATTAAGAGTAAGTGAGAATTAACCTCAGGAAGGGTAAGGGAAAAGACGTTCCTGACAAAGGAACGTTTCCCAAAGCCTTGGACTGGGAAAGCATGTCGTTCCTTCAAGAGTTGAAAGGCCCGGCACGGTGGCTCATGCCTGTAATCCCAGCACTTTAGGAGGCCAAGGCGGGCGGATCACCTGAGGTCGGGAGTCCAAGACCAGCCTGACCAACATGGAGAAACCCTGTCTCTACCAAAAATACAAAAATTAGCTGGGCGTGGTAGCGCATGCCTGTGATCCCAGCTACTCGGGAGGCTGAGGCACGAGAATCTCTTGAACCCAGGAGGTGGAGGTGCACTGAGCGGAGATCGCGCCATTGCACTCCAGCCTGGGCAACAAGAGCGAAACTTCATCTCAAAAAAAAAAAAAAAAAAAAAAAAGAGTTGAAAGAAAGCCAATCTGAGCAAAGGGGAGAAGCCCAAGATGATGTTGGGGGAAAAGGCAGGAGCAGACTCTACAGAGCTTTGGAGAACGTGTTAAGGAAACTGTAGGTTCTAATAAATGCGATGGGGATCCCAAAAAGAGGGAGTGATGCCATTTACACTCTTAAAACCATCTTTCAAAAGGCCGGACGTGGAGAATGGATTAAATGGAAGCAAGAGTCATGTCTCTTTCTCTGTAAGCTCCCCATTCGGAAAAATGACAACTTCCAATTTACAACCATGTTAATGTAGCATACTTAAAGTTATTTCTTTTAAATAATTATAAAAACTTAACTTCCCGGCCAGGCGCAGTGGCTCACGCCTGTAATACCAACACTTTGGGAGGCCGAGGCTGGCGGATCATGAGGTCAGGAGATCGAGACCATCCTGGCGAATATGCGAAACCCCATCTCTACTAAAAATACAAAAAATTAGCTGGGCGTGGTGATGGGTGCCTGTAGTCCCAGCTACTTGGGAGGCTGAGGCAGGAGAATGGCATGAACCCGGGAGGCAGAGCTTGCAGTGAGCTGAGATAACACCACTGCACTCCAGCCTGGGTGACACAGTGAGACTCCATCTCAGAAAAAAAAAAAAAAGTTTAACATCCCACACATTTTTTGCTTACTAGGCAACTCTCTCCCAAGAAAATATACTACCACTAAATGAGTGAAAACTGCAATCTTTTCTATTTGGGCAATATAAATTCCAATATTCATTGAGAATGAAGATAAATTACCATTCAAGACAGAGGAAGGGGTAAAAATAAATGTCTTTTTATGTGACATTGCATTCAGAATATTATCTCTATTTTATAATCAGAGGAAACTCTGCATTTCATTGAAGTTGCTGGGACAGAAACAGCCAGAAATAGATATTCTGCATTCTTGACTTTATTCTGTTTTTGTTGCCTAGTACCATTTCTTCCTGTGGAGCATATAAGAGCAGCAGCCAGTCCTTCTCATCGTTCTCATCAAATTTGAAGGTAGGCTCCTGGCAAAAGTGAGTATGTGTGTAACTGGGTAATACAATACTTTTTTTTCCTTTTTGTGGAGAACGGGATAACCCTATATTGCCCAGGCAGGTCTCGAACTCCTGGGCTTAAGCTCTCCTCCCACTTCTGCCTCCCTAAAAGCTGGAATTACAGGCATGAGCCACCGCCTGGCCTCCAATACTTTGAAAATAATACGGTCTTCTCTTACTGCTCTGAGAACAAGTTCCTTGACATGTTATTTCATGCTATTCGTTTCAGGGGAGAGGGCTGAAAATAAGCATATCTTAAGAAATACAAAGACAAAAGAAATACTCAGCTTCTTGCATTCAAAATAGGATCATGTAACAATCTAGGTTATCTTCCAAATACCTTATTTCCTCCCCTCTCCCTGACCAAACCCACAAGGCTCATTCTCACTGCCTTTTTGTTTGTTGGCTTGTTTTACATGTGTTGATATAAGGGTTCATGCTTTATGGAAGTAGGATGCTACGTTAGGGGAAGCAAAAGAAAAGTTTGCTTCTCTCAAGTCCCAGGAAATTGTGAAAAGAAGAAAGAGAAGTAGCAAGAGAGCAAAAGAAAAGAAGAGTTAGTCAGACATATATTCTGATTTCGCCTCTCTGTGAATTGGATTAAATCTGTGGTTCTCAAACTTTAATGGGCCTCAAATCACCTAGAGTGCCTTTTAAAACACAGTTGTCAGAACCCCACCTCCAGAATTCTTGATTCATTAAATCTGAAGTAGGACTTGCATATCTCACAAGTTCCCAGATGTTGCTAATGCTGCTGACCCAGGGACTATGCTTTGAGAACCACTGTGTTGAAGAAATCCAAATAATGCCAAGGTTAAAGGAGTCTCCTTGATTTTTTCTTTTTTTTCCCCCCTTGATTTTCATGTAGTGCTCAGGAAAGACATCATCAAACCTGGTGAGCAGCCAAATCTCCCCAACTCATCCCACATCAGTGGGGACATAAACCACAACCCTCTTCCCTTCACACCAGGGCATCTTCTTAGGGACAGAAACAGGATGGGTGAGGGCATCTCAGAGACTGATTATTTTTTTCCTAGAAAGACACAGCATTCCTTAGGAGCCTGTTTCAGTCCCAAAATCTAATGACTCTTAAAACATTGGACAGCTGGTCAAGCTTCTTTCCCTTTCATTCCCTGTGTCAGGTTTCATAAGGCCTTCTGATTCCCTCTTCTCTTTCTCACAGACTGCAATGTGAACGTGTTACAGGAAAAGGGTCCGAATCCAGACCCCAAGAGAGGGTTCTTGGATCTTGCGCAAGAAATAATTCAGGGCAAGTCCATAGAGTAAAGGGAAAGCGAGTTTATTCAGAAAGTAAAGGAATAAAAGAATGGCCATTCCTCAGGGCTGCTGGTTGTCCATTTTTATGGTTATTTCTTGATTATATGCTAAACAAGGGGTGGATTATTCATGCCTCCCCTTTTCAGACCATATAGGGTAACTTCCTGATGTTGCCATGGCATTTGTAAACTGTCATGGTGCTGGTGGGAGTGTAGCAGTGAGGACAACCAGAGATCACTCTCATGGCCATCTTGGTTTTGGTGGGTTTTAGCCGGCTTCTTTACTGCAACCTGTTTTATCAGAAAGGTCTTTATGACCTGAATCTTGTGCCAACCTCCTATCTCATCCTATGACTTAGAATGCCTGACCATCTAGAAATGCAGCCCAGTAGGTTTCAGCCTTATTTTACCCAGTTCCTACTCAAGATGGAGTTGCTCCGGTTCAAATGCCTCTGACAAACCCAGTTGACATGGCAGTGAGCCATCTTCAGTAGTGTGGATGATGAAGACAACACCTTCCAAATGGTAACACCACAAGTTAGAAGCAGCCTTGGGTCTAGACACTGCCAAGCCACCTTACAGACCTTGGACTTTTACTTGTTTGTCATTGTATGTTGGCCCCATTTGATACAACAGTCTAATCTATATCTCAGTCAGATCAAATGGAATGAGAGGCATAAGTGATGTGAGACTAATATATGAAGTCATTGCAGTGCTTACAATTATAACATCCTTTTTCTATGTTATACTTTTTTTTTTTTTTTTTTTTTTTGAGATGGAGTCTCACTCTGTCACTCAGGCTGGAGTGCAGTGGCACCAGCTCAGCTCACTGCAGCCTCTGCCTCCCGGGTTGAAGCGATTCTCCTGCCTCAGCCTCCTGACTAGCTGGGAGTACAGGCATGCACCACCACACCTGGCTAATTTTTGTATTTTTAGTGGAGACAGGGTTTTACCATGTTGGCCAGGCTGGTCTTGAACTCCTGACCTCAGGTAATCTGCCCACCTTGACCTCCCAAGATACTGGGATTTACAGGTGTGACTGCTGCACCCGGCCTTCCTATGTCATACTCTTATTGACTGATGGTCAGTGATCTCTCCAGGGCTTCGGCTAGATTAATCCTTTGATGTTTCACTTTTCTTCTCATTTCCAATTATTCTTCCTTTTCTTTCTTGACTATTGTTTGTCTATATCATTGCATTTTCTCGGGTCTAGTGATCTGTGTAATTTTACCTCATGTTTTAGTAGCATTTCTTCTACAACTGCCTTAAGAGTTGTTACAAACAACTTACACATTTTTTTACAGCTGTTAATACTTTGAAATATCGGAATAAGTCAATAAATAATCAAAATACTACACTTTTTTTTTTTTTGAAACGGAGTCTCGCTCTGTCACCCAGGCTAGAGTGCAGTGGCACGATTTTGGCTTACTGCAACTTCCACCTCCCGGGTTCACCCCATCCTCCCACCTCAGCCTCCCAAGTAGCTGGGACTACAGGCGCATGGACTTCAGGCCACCACGCCTGGTTAATTTTTTGTATTTTTAGTAGAGATGGGGTTTAACCATGTTAGCCAGGATGGTCTCGATCTCCTGACCTTGTGATCTATCCACCTCGGCCTCCTAAAGTGCTAGGATTACAGGCATGAGCCACTGTGCCTGGCCAAAATCGTACACTTTTGAAAGATTTTCATTATCAACCTTTCACTTCTAAGGTTAACATTTATGAATTAACAGGTATGATTTGATTAAGGTAATAATGCAAAAATTATATCCAGTAGAATCCTGGGCCAACATACCTAAGAATAAATAAATAAATATATTTGTGTATGCGTGTATGTTTCCCTGAAATTTTATATTTGTATACATATGTATACAATAGACACAGATGATTTTTATTGAATAAAAACTCATATAATAGATACAGGCTCACATTCTTACACATTTAATAGTCAAATATTTTTTAATCAAGTTGGTTCCTTTGTAAACTCAATATGCATTCAGATTATGTTAAATATTCTTAAAATTTCTATTTTTTCCAAAATAAAGTATTTTTTTGTAATAAAAATTACCTCCTAGACATTGGGGCTATATCAGATACTATATCAAAGCTAAGATTCAGTCCTGAATGAATGCCAATTTTGAAATATTTTTCACTGTAGAAGTCACAGTCCTTCAGAATATAAGTCACCAGTAAGTGCTCCGAATTCCTTTCTGAAGTGTCACATCACTGATTTAGTTAGACCAAGAATAAAACAATTTGAGAAACAAATACACATCTCAATTTATCTCATCCCTTAGCCAACAATATAATATGATTTTGTACCTCCCTCCATTCAAAGCACCAATAGCCAGAGAGTCCTCTTTCCAAAAGAACAAACATACAAACAAATGCAGCTTAAAAAGTAAAATAAATACTCATAGCATCATCAATAAAAAATTATAAAAACAGGGCAAATTTTATTTCAAACATTTTACAGTGCTTTTAAATATTGTTTCAGAAGAAGGAAATAAGCGTATGTATTCTGCTAAGATCTAATGCTTCAGGAACCCACAAAACAGTTATTTTATCACCCTAGCTAGCTACTGATCATAGACATGGGATCAGATGCCATGATAGAGACCAAAACAATGAAGCTTTGTGAACAGCTACAGGACTGCAGCAAACCCAGAGACACTGACATTGCCTGGAAACCAGTGGTCAAGACAGAGCCAATAGTTAGAAGTCAAAAGAGCTTTCATGAGTTATGGAGCACACACATCCAGGAGTTCAAAGCAAGCCTTGAATCACATGAATAACGAAGGCCAAAAGAAAGCATAGAATCAAGACAAGAAGGGCTGGGCGCGGTGGCTCAAGCCTGTAATCCCAGCACTTTGGGAGGCCGAGACGGGTGAATCACAAGGTCAGGAGTTTGAGGCCAGCCTGGCCAAAATGGTGAAACCCCGTCTCTACTAAAAATACAAAAAATTAGCTGGATGTGGTGGCGGGCACCTGTAATCCCAGCTGCTCAGGATGCTGAGGCAAGAGAATTGCTTGAACAGGCCTAGGTTGCAGTGAGCCGAGATCGCGCCACTGCACTCCAGCCCAGGCGACAGTGAGAGACTCTGTTTCAAAAAAAAAAAAAAAAGACAAGAATTCAGAACCATGCATATGAAGCCCCACGCTGACCGTCCTGTGCGTTAGTCATTTGAGTGAATATAGCTGCAGCAAGAATAGTGTGTGTTAGCTGCAGATAAATTAGTCCCAGCCATTCCTTCCATCATAGTTCCATCATAGTGGTTTTCCCAGACATTGGGAATTACATATGTCATTTATTTTTCCCACTATCCACAGTTAAGGACTCAGGAGGAAAGCCAGATTGGTTATAAACTAAATAAAGAACTTATATTTTATCTTCATGTCTAAGTTGCATTGTGAGTCAAATTCCCACCCTGCTAATAGCTAATGAGCTATTGGCTGGACTTCAAGTAGAATCAAAGAACAAAGTAAGTCTGAAATTTGGCATGGGAATCTCCAGCTAGCCAGAAAAGTACCAGGAAACAAAATTACATATAAAAAAAATACCCATTCTTTTAATTTGTTTACAGCTTTATTGCAATATAATTCACAGACTGTACAATGCACCCACTTCAAGTGTACAATCTGATGGCTTTTAGTATATTCACAGATTTACACATCTACCACCACAATCAATTTTAGAACATTTTCATTACCTGAAAAAGAAGCTCCACTCCTCCCACCATCATTGCAGGCAACTGCTAATCTATTTTCTGTCTTTATAGAGTTACCTATCTGGGCATTTCATATAAACAGAATCACACAACATATGGTCCTTTGTGACTCGCTTCTTTTACTTAACTTGTTTTCAAGGTTCATCCATATTGCAGCATGTATCAGTATTTCATTTCTTTTAATTCGTGAATAGTATTCTATTTTATAGACATACAACATCCATCCATCAGTTGATGGAAATTTAGATTGCTTCTACTCTTTGATTATTATGAATATCACTACTATGAGCATTCATGTATAAACTCTTCTATGGACGTATTTTTTGTTTGTTTGGTTTTGGTTTTGTTTTGAGATGGAGTCTCGCTCTTTCGCCAGGCTAGAGTGCAGTAGTGCGATCTCGGCTCACTGCAACCTCTGTCTCCTGGGTTCAAGTGATTCTCCTGACTCAGCTTCCCAAGTAGCTGGGACTACAGGTGTATGCCACCAGCCTAGCTAATTTTTTTTGTATTTTTAGTAGAGACAGGGTTTCACCATGTTAGCCAGGATGGTCTCGATCTCTTGACCTCATGATCTGCCCGCCATAGCCTCCCAAAGTGCTGGGATTACAGGCATAAGCCACCATGCCCGGCCTGGACATATGTTTTAATTTCTCTTGAGTACACCTAAGAGTAGAATTGCTTGATCATATGGCAACTCTATGCTTAACTATTTGAAGAACTGCCAGACTGTTTTCCAAAGTGGCTGCACCATTTTTCAACCCACCAGCAGTGTATGAGGGTTCCAGTTTCTCCACATTCTCATCAACACTTGTTATAATCTGTCTTTTAAATTATAATACCCCATTCACATTTTACAAAATCTTACGCAGTTCTTCTGGCTCTTTGGACCTGTTCATTGAACTAGTTTCCTAGTTAGAGAAGCCCACTTAGAAAAGGCAAAATACTGAGCACATTCTTGCCTAATGGGCAAGCAGGAAAGAAAAGGCCAGAGCTGGCAAAATGTCTAGGGGAAAAGAGGGGATGAAGAATACATAAAGCAACGCCCAGTCTCCCCGAATATAAACACAAAAGAGGCCTGGCATTGCAGCTGCTTCTACCTGAACTCATTCCAGGAATGACTAGGGCAGGATATGCAGGTAGAAAAGATGAGCAAGAGTTGGAACTTCACTCAAATTAACTGGAGAGGGAATATGGAGCCAAAGTTAAGCTCAAACTATTCTCTCCCCAACTCCTATTTGGTATTTTTTCACCAAAGAGCACATACTGAAACGCTTTGGGGGTCTCTTCTAGCTTTAAAGTTCTATAATTTCATGATTTTCTTCCTGTAAGTATACCTTAAGTTAATTGTGCAGTGTATCCCTTATATAAACAGAAGACTGTCTCAGTAAGATTCCTTTTAAATGTTTTGAATGAATTTTTTAAAATATTTTTACTTTTAATGTTTCCTGAAGCTACACTGTCTATAGCACTGGTATTCCCCAGAAGTCACTAAAAGCTCCTGAAAGTCCAACTGACAGAAAAGATGGATTTGATTAAAAGGAAAAAACACAGAATATAGTCCTTGGAAAGTATGCTGATTTGTTATTTAGCCAGTTAGAGAATTGTGCTGTTTTGCTCTTGGGAATTGTACCATGGAATAAAATAATTCTGTTGAACTGCAATATAATTACAACATCTGAAAATACAGGAAAAGATGAATTAGAAAGATGCAGGATTCAAAATAAGGAGGACCAATTCCAAACAAAATACCAAGCAACCAAATTAGAAGATATTAGAAGGTGTTACACATGCTCTTCCTATTTAACATGGAAGGAAACTGCAAGTAGTATTGCACTAATAAGGCACTTCCTCGTCCCTAAAGTTACTAGTTCTTCAATTCAACAGATATTTTTGTGCACCCACTATAAGCCGGGAACTTTGCTTGTCTCTGAGGCTGCCAAAATAAATAAGACAGCCTCTGCCAGAGAAGAGCAACAGAGGGCTCACCCTCTGCTAGGCAAATGAAAACTTGTTATTCAGCTGCAATACCCTGAGATCATTCCACAGCTGTGAGAGGAAAGAATGAGAGTTGAAATTGTGAAAAGAAATGATCTACAGTTGCCTAAGCTGGGGGTGAGAGGAGAACCTGGAGAGGGGTGGCAAGGGAATTGGAGGGAGAGGACCTGATTCATGAACTCCACCTTGTAAAGAACTAGCAGGATTTCACCAAGCAGAGACGGGCAACAGGCATTTGTGGAAAGTACTGTAGTGTCACAGCAAAGGTTTTGGAGATTTATAAGTTTTCACCATATCAAACTATCAATAGTCAACAATTTTTTGGCCTAGAAAAATATATATTCATATGGTCCAATCGAAAACAAAATAATCCCCTTGAGTGTCCCAAATGAATGTTTAGAAACTGTAGGAGAATTAGTTAGAAAAGTAGTTTGAGTCAGAGTTGGAAGAGCTTTGAACTGAAGTAGTTTCAGCTTTATTCTATAGGTGATGGAAAAGGCAATTCATAAAATAACTTTGAACAAATAACCAATAAACGTATGTTTAAATGTTTAAATAATTTCAAGTTTAAAGAAAACTATGTATCATTTTCAGTGCCACAAAGGAAAACAATTTAATGTTAACATTCAATGTCAATAAGGACTCAGGAAAACAGGATGTTTCCCTCCGTGGCTGGGTGTGTAAATTGGAATAAACTTTCAGGAAGGCGATTTGAATACACCGTGACCTAGCATTCCACTTTGAAGACTTTATCCCAAGGAAAAACTCATGGATATTAAAAACAAACAAAACAACTTGGAGGCCGAGGTGGGTGGATCGCTTGAGGCCAGGAGTTCAAGACCAGCCTGCCCAAAATGGCAAAACCCTATCACTACTAAAAGTACAAAAGTTAGCCGGGTGTGGTGGCATGCACCTGTAGTCTCAGCTACTCGGGAGGCTGTGGCAGAAGACTTGCTTGAATCCGGGAAGCAGAGGTTGCAGTGAGCTGAAATCACACCATTGCACTCCAGCCTGAGCGACAGAGCAAGACTCCATCTCAAAAAAAAAAAAAGTTTAGCCACCAGGATTTCCTTGATGTTCTACAGTAGAGAGTTGTGTAAATAAAACATGAATCATCCTTATAATTGAACATTACACAGCTACTTTAAATGCTTAAATAAATATTTAATGACATGGAAATGCTCAAGAAATTTTGTTACATGAAAAAATTAGGTTGCAAAACAGTACGCGTATCAGTCAAGGCTCTTAAGAACTAGATCAGACTGACTAGGTTTGAGTTTCAGAGCTACCAGTTATAGTCATTGGACCTTGGACAAGTAACCTAACCTCCCTGTAACTGTTTTGTCTATAAAATGGGGATAACACCAGTCCGTAACTCATTAGAGTTTTGTAAAAGATTAAATGAGTTAATACACATAAAGTCCTTAGAAATTTGCCCGGCACATAGTAAGCACTACCTAAGAGTCAGTTATTGTTAATATCATTAGTATTTGTTACCTGTGTATGAAGTCAACTTTGAAGCTAATTTAAGAAACAAAGGTGGGAAGAGAACTATCCAGGCAAGAACCATACCCAAAGCCTTCTGCAGAGCTGGTCCATGAAGTCACCACTCCAGCTGCCAAGCACTGACCCCATGGCTTGCACTGCCAAGTCTTTGGGAGCTGGACCCTGCATATTGCCTCAGAACAGCTGTGTCTGCTGCCACTGGGAACCAGATGCAGCTGCTATTGCTGCTGTGGCCCTGGCCAGAGCGGATTCTGCATCATCCCTGATGCTCTGAGTCACCAGCCCCGAACCAAAGTCAACAGAGGATTCATCTGCTTGGCTGCACCAAGTCCCCAAAAGCAGCTAAAGAGGTTGAGAAAAAAACAGCATTGGGTGTTTTTATTCTATAGAAAAGGCAAATTTTGGCCGGACATAGTGGTTCATGCCTGAAATCCTAGCACATTGGGAGGCTGAGGCAGGCTTGAGCTCAGGAGTTCAAGACAGCCTGGGCAACATGGCGAAACTCTAAAATATACAAAAATTATATATTTTACAAAATACAAAAATTGGCTGGGCGCGGTGGCTCATGCCTGTAATCCCAGCACTTTGGGAGGCCAAAGTGGGCAGATCATGAGGTCAAGAGATTGAGACCATCCTGGCCAACATGGTGAAACCTCGTCTCTACTAAAAATACAAAAATTAGCAGGGTGTGGTGGGGCGTGCCTGTAATCCCAGCTACCCAGGAGGCTGAGGCAGGAGAATCGCTCGAACCCAGGAGACGGAGGTTGCAGTGAGCCAAGATCACGGGCCACTTCACTCCAGTGCAGATGACAGTGCGAGACTTGGTCTCAATAAATAAATAAATAAATAAATAAATAAATAAATATTAGCTGGGCGTGCTGATATACACATGTAGTCTCAAGCTACTCAGGAGGCTGAGGTGGGGAATTGCTTGAGCCTGGGAGGTTGAGGCTGCAGTGAACCATGATTGCACCATTGCACACCAGCCTGGGAAACAGAGTGAGACCCTCTCTTTAAAAAAAAAAAAAGAAAGAAAGAAAAGGTAGATTTTACTTTATAAGATGGGGGAGTCAACAAACTTAGAAAGCAAATTTATACATTAGGTAATTTAAAGAAGATAAAGGATCCTTTTTGGTTTTAAAAATACAGATACAACATGAATGTGTATTTTCACTCAAATAAAGAAAGGAGTAAAAGGATACACATCAAACTGTTCATGATTGATTCTGAATTGACCATTATGGCTGATTTGAGTGTTTCATCTTCTGTCTATAACTTTCCAAATCTTTTGTGACATAGAAAAAAACAAGACTGAGCAATATCAGATCTCTATTCTTGAAAGAATTGAGTCTTTCTTAGATATAGCTATGGAATAGAAAGTGGAAGACTAGGTTCAGATGGACATCATTATCTTAGAGCAGGACCTTGCTACTCCAAGTGTAGTCAATGGACCAGAAACATTAGCTTGATACAGAAACATATTAGAAATACAGAATCTCAGGCCCCGTCCCAAATCTAATGAAAGCAAAAAAGGAAATGAATCAGCTGATATTCGAGAAGTATAAGCAACAAGGCTTGACAATATGAAGAAACTCATAAAAGATTACAAGCCTTAAAAACATTTCCAAATTTAGAAGTAAGCAGGGTCATTAACAGAAACGAATTACTGGAACAGGAGCCAGTTTTTTGTTGTTGTTTTTGAGACAAGGTCTCAGTCTATCTCCCAGTCTTGAGTGTCGTGGCATGATCACAGCTCACTGCAGCCTCAACCTCCTGGACTCAAGTGACCCTCCCACCTCAGCCTCCCAAGTAGCTGAGACCACAGGCACACACCACCACGCCCAGCTAATTTTTCAATTTTTTGTAGAGACGGGGTCTCCCTTTATTGCCCAGGCTGGTCTTGAACTCCTGAGCTCAAATGATTCTCCCAAAGCGCTGGGATTATAGGCGTGAACCACTGTGCCCGGTTGGTTTAGACATAAAAGGTTTGAGAACTTGAAAGATGGCCCAGCAAGGGAAACATAAAATTAGGGCCAATAAGAAATGTCAAAATTAGGCTTATAAATATGAGCATAATCTAAGACAAGGAGACAACGGAAGCCATAACAGTTGATACGACTTCTAACAGAGAACATGCAAAGCAAGATAAGAAATCCAAGCAAGATCCTTTGGTAATATGTATATTTTGGAGATGGGGGAGAAAGAGAAGTCAGAAAATGAATGGCCAAAACTAACATCATCAAGAGATTAAAGTGTCAAAGAAAAACGAACAACAAGTATTTCATTATTATTCAATTCTTTCCTCCTTTCGTGACAAATTGTGAGTGGTTTACACAATTATACTTAAAAGAACAGTAATGGATTAAAATAGATCTCAATTCTAGAAACATAGAATGGTCAAAATGTTTGGGAGGGGGAGGATATGAAAGAGAAGGACACTAATGCCTTGGATGTTATAATAGGTCTCATTATTGGAAGATATCAAAAAGTTCATAGCGTTTTTTTGTTTTGATGAAAATTTCACAATTTTTATAGTGTTGCAAATCAAATAAGACCACGACTTATCTTTGTTTCATTCATTCATTCAGCTAACATTTATGGAGCACTTGCTACAAGCCAGGAACTCTTCGGGGTGTTGAGGATACAGCAGTTAACAAAACAGACAAGACCCTTGCCCTCATGGCCTTACATTCTAGAAAGGCAGACAGACAATAAACAAAAGAAGTAAGTAAACATATTGTGTGTCAGATGGTGATAAGCACTATAGAGGAAGGGATAAAAGGTGGGGTGAGAGCTGCCGTTTTAACAGATGGGACAGAGAAGACCACTGGGGAGATAATTAGACCTGAAGGAGGTGAATAAGCTACTTATTCAAGTATCTGAGGAAAGAGCATTTCACAGCAAGGCTCTGAGGCTGACATGGCCCTGGTGCGGTCAAGGAGGCCAGTATGGCTGTGCTGAGGGAGTCAGGAGTGGGGAGGAAAAGAAGACAGAGGAGTAAAGGCCTTCGGAGGTTTTTGAGCAGATAAGTGACATTATCTGACATGGATTTTATCATTCTGGCTGAATCTATTCATCTATCTATCTATGTAACTATCTATCTATGAATGATATATCTATACCTGTATTTATATAGATATAGATGTATTTTTTTGAGACAGGGTCTTACTCTGTTGCCCAGGCTGAGTGCAGTAGGGTAGTCTTGGCTCACTGCAGCCTCAACCTCCCAGGCTCAAGCAATCCTCCCACCTCAGCCTCCCAAGTAGCTGGTATTACAGGCACACACCATCACAGTCAGCTAATTTTTTTTTCTCTTGTAGAGACACGGTCTTGCTTTGTTGCCCAGACTGGTCTCAAACTCCTGGACTCAAGCGATCCTCCCACCTCAGCCTCCCAAAGTGCTGGGATTTCAGGTGTGAGCCACCGTGCCCACTGGTTGCTATTTTAAGAACAGATTGAAGTGGGAAAACCAGATAGGAGGCTATTGTAAATACCTAGCCAAGAATAATGGTGACTTGGACCAGGTACCTTTGACAGTTTTATCTTTTTCAGATAAGCACCTTTTTTGTTTTTCTTCTAGTATATCCTAAGAAAGTGGGATGGGAAGAGGGATGAGAGACTGTGTGTGTAGCAGAGAAAGAAGTGCAGAACTCTCAACTCTTCTAGTTACATAATTCTATGTATTTCGCAATCATCCTCAGCCACACAGAATAAAATGTGTAAGCAACTTAAACATTTAATATGTCTAAATATTTAAATCTTCTAAATTATCACAGCTTCAAGGAAATGTTAAAAACAAAAACTAAAAACCATTATCATCACTATGTCAATAAACGTATAGTTAGGCCAAGGTAACAATAAAAGAACCCGATCATATATTTTAAAGACATGAGCAATCTATTTGAAATGTAGAGTCACTAAATAATGAGTAGTTCTGAAAGGTGTAATTTTAAACCTTCCACTCTTTCAATGCTATAATTAAAACAAAAATGAAGCAGGATCTAGAGAGTCCACACACAGACTTGGATCACATCAGGACATAGAATTTGCTTTTTCTATGGATCCGAGACCAAAGGCTTCGTTTATTTGCTAAAGATTAAAAGGATAAACCATTATTTCTCATTTTAAAGTACACAGACAACCAAGTCAAGTTAAATGTTGATTCAGAGAAGAGTTGTCAACACTGCATTAATATTACCTAGTTCTGTAGGGTGCTTTATTGTTTACAAAGCACTTTAACTACCATTACTTCATTTGAACCTCACAATAGACCCATTAATATCATAATTCTTAACTTACAGATGAAGAAACCCAGTCTCAGGGAGGTTAAGAGACTTACCCAAGGGCATCCAAGCCACTAGCAAGAGCCAGAGCTGGAAACAGAACCCTCACTTCCTGGTCCACTGCTTTTTTTTTTTTTCTTAACTAAGTGTATTTTAATGCTATAGCAACTATCTTTCAGGATCAAGATAAAAGGCGTTTCAGAAATATTTAAGATTGCTATTATTTAGCAATTAACAACATAAATAAAATAAATGTCATTAATGCATTAAATCATATACAAACCCAATAAAATTGTAGTATTCTTTCAAATTCATTATCTCCTTCAATGAAACAAAGCTTCCTATGCCAAGTTCCAGCTTAGGAAGGATTTGTCACAAAATAAAAGTACATTGTTGATCTAAGGAATAGGATCGAAAGGACTCTGAAGAGTCAAGTGATGGAATGGCGACCTAAACACCCAACACGATGGAGTCCACTGCTTTTTATACTGTACCAACCTGCAGTCTTTTCCAGGCATAGAAGAGGCCACAGTAGGAGAATGGTTTCCTTTGTGTGGGAATTAGCCAGGTCTGCAAGACCAAAGGTAGAAAGCAGTACCTATGGAAAGGTACCAGCTTGGGAATAATAGTAAATATTGGGAATTATGGTAAATATTGTTGTCCCTATTTAACGTTGGAAAAAACAAGGAACAGAGGTTTGTTCTAGGTAAACAGTGGCTCTTCAATTATTCAGGAGTGGCTTGCCATTTAGGCTTACCTTGATCTTTTTCACTATTCTCTTTTATGGCTCTTGCTTATCTCCTGGCCTGATGGTTAGCACCTCCACCAGAGGGCAGGAAGAACAGGAAGAGAAGCATTGCAACCGGTTTGATCAAAAAGTTGCAATAAGAAAACGTAAGTCATTATCTTAATTTAGGCTTTGGAGTCTTTTAGATTTCAGTTACTAATGTGACCTTTGCCAACATTCTCCTAGATAAATCTACAATAATCAATGCAGTAAAATGATTTCCTATAAATAAAAATCATCTACTTCTAATTGTATTGTTCAATACAATATTACATATATTGAACCTTATATAACATTCAAATTTATTTAGAACTTATTACATGCACTAACTTTGTATAACATTTTTAACCTGTTTGGAATTGGTGTGAACTTCTCCAAAGGCATATCAAAAGCTCCGGAGCTTAGAAAATAAAATCTATCCTGGCCGAGCACGGTGGCTCACACCTGTCATCCCAACATTTGGGGAGGCTGAGGCAAGTGGATCACCTGAGGTCAGAAGTTCGAGACCAGCATGGTCAACATAGTGAAACCCCGTCTCTACTAAAAACACAAAAATTAGCCAAGCGTGGCGCTTGAACCAGAGAGGCAGAGGTTGCAGTGAGCCAAGATCGCGCCGCTGCACTCCAGCCTGGACGACAGAGTGAGACTTCGTCTCAAAAAAAAAAAAAAGAAAGAAAAAAGAAAAAAAGTCTCCTCCACAGCAACTTCCTCAGCATTTCAAACAACAATCAGGGACTTCTGTTGTTGTTGTTAAGGGCAGTCTTCTAGGCTTCAAGCACCAACAGATGTTCCTCCTTCATGGCCTTGAAGGTTGTCAGTTTGCATGTATCAGAAGTGCAAAGGTATATTAAAATAAAGAACAGCACATTTAGAATTAAGGAAAGTCTGGATCATTTAGTGTTCTGATTCCAGGTGACATCTGGCACCCATTACCGTACCCGTGCTTTACTCTGCATGGAGAGAAAGTGCTGGAGTGAAAGTCTGGCCCTGGAGGTGCAAGAAGGTGCCCTACTGTGCTGCTTCTGCCTGACAGAAGCCTTGAGGGGCTGAGGGTGTGGTTTTTGCATTCCTGTGGAGTGGTTCAGGCTGACCTCAACTGCATGAAGGACCTCTACACAATGAGTACAGACTAGGGTACTTGATGAATCTTTATGGTATGGATTTTGCTATTCAAACCAACCTGGAAATTTTCAGGAAGCTCAAGTCATTAATGGGTGGAAACAACCTGGAAACTGAGACGATGCTAGTCAATAAGGAAGAAAAGTGGAAAAGAGGGCATGCAGTTATTAGTGGAAAGCTGACAAACATGGGGACTGTCAAAATGTGTCCTCCACTCGAAACATCTCTTTTTTCAGGCAGTGCCTATTTTGTGGTCAGTAGGGAGGACGTGGGGTATATGCTAGAGAATGAAAAAAATTTAAAAGTTTATGGAGTAGGCCCAAGACACATACAGCAAGTATCTCTAGGCCACTGTTCAAAGGATTCCCGAAGTCCCCAGCTCACTCTCCTTAAGCCGTAAGTATGACTCTTCTGACATGCATGCAGCTTCTAGGTTTGTCAGGTGGCAGCACTTTGAAGCACTCTTTACCCACCTGCAGTAGGGCCCATGTGCGCTCAGTGTGCCTTTTCGGAGCTGGCACCTTGAACTGGACACTGTGCAAGCACCATTTGTTTGCCAATAAGCCTGACACGGGTGGTGACCTCTTTGCCATCCAGTGTTTAGATGAGCATCTGAGACATACTTTGGAGACTTTAAAACACTGGCCACTATAGGCAATTTTAGTAATAAGAAGAAGAATGCGCAAAATTGACACTATCTGGTTCCTCTTATTTGTCAATAAGCACCAGGAAAATTGTACAGGGCCCTCTTTGGAGCAAGGACTCTAAGTCTTTGTGTCAGAAAAGCTGCCTGGTTTCTGCAGAGCACAGTTGGCTAGAAAGGTTGGAGCATTAAACTTTCATCTAGAGTTAAAGTGAGGGGGAAGTATAATAAAAGTAGCTGTGAAGCCAGGGCCGGTAGCAAGTCATTCTGAAGAGAATGGGCTGAGGCGGCTGGAGAAGAGGCTGACACAAAACAATCAGCCTGTCGAAAGAGCTCAGGGGCTGGATGCAGTGTCTCACCCTGGTAATCCCAGAACTTTGGAAGGCTCAGGCAGGAGGATTGCTTGAGCCCAGGAGTTCTAGTTGCCAGCCTGGGCAACACAGGGAAACCCTGTGTCTACAAAAAAATTTGTAAAAAATTAACTGGTCATGGTGATGTGTGCCTGTAGTCCCAGCTACTCAGGAGGCTGAGATGGGAGGATTGCTTCAGACCAGCAGGTTGAGCCCCCAGTGAGCAGTAATCATGCCATGGCACTCCAGCCTGGGTGACAGAGACCCTGTCTAAAAAAAGAAAAGAAAACGCCAGGTGCAGTGGCTCACGCCTGTAATCCTACCACTTTGGGAGGCTGAGGTGGGCAGATCACCTGAGTTTGGGAGTTCAAGACCAGCCTGACCAACATGGAGAAACCCCGTCTCAACTAAAAATACAAAATTAGCCGGGCGTGGAGGCGCATGCCTGTAATCCCAGCTACTCAGGAGGCTGAGGCAGGAGAATCGCTTGAACCCAGGAGGTGGAGGTTGTGGTGAGCCGGGATTGCACCATTGCACTCCAGCCTGGGCAACAAGAGCAAAAACTCTGTCTCCAAAAAAAAAGAAAAGAAAGAAAAAGAGCTTAGGGACTTAACAACGTTAGAAGATTTCACCTGTGCCAAAATTATTTAGAGAATTTTAAATGTGACAATTGTCCTGGTATGAATACATTTACAGCAAAAAATAATCATAAAGATATAGTTTATCTCATATATTTGTTAAAATAGAGATTTGATTTTACTCTAAACAATCCTTGTAAATAATTTCTTTTCTGCTATACCATTGTGCTGTGTAGTGTGTCTCTGTATATCATCCCAGAAAGCTTAAATTGGCTTGATTTAATAGTAAAGAATTTTTTAATTAAAAAAATTTGAACTAACAATTGTCATAATTAATCTCATTTTAAAGTTAGTCCATGTTGAACTTTTCTGGACTATTTATGCATTGATTATTTTAGCATACATTTACAGAATGCCTACTGCGTGCCAGGCATTATAATAAGTGCTGAGGGAAAAAGATAAAGAAGACGCAGATCTTTCCTCTAGAAGGTCTCAGTCTAGAGAAAGACAGACAATTGCATTACAGAGCAGTGAAGAAGTTAAGATTTAGAGTAAGACGAAGTATGCAATGGTGTATGCATCAGAATACGCAACAGGCATAATGGGCTAACACCAAACCGGAGGAGTGGGTACAAATCAAGAAAGGAGATGGTCGCTGAGTAAAGGATGAATAAGAGTTTCCCACATGAAGTGAGGAAAGTCAGTCCAAGAAAGAGGGGCAGTATCTGCAGAGTTATGAAAGTGTGATGACAAAGCGAGGTGAGTATGGGGAAGTAAAATTGGTTCAGCATGACCAAGAACTTATATTGGGCTGGCACAATGACTCACGCCTGTAATCCCAGCACTTTGGGAGGCCAAGGCAGGCGGATCACCTAAGGTCAGAAGTTTGAGACCAGCCTGGGCAACATAGTGAAACCTTGTCTCTACTAAAAAATACAAAAATTAGCCAGGCATGGTGGTGAATGCCTGTAGTCTCAGCTACTTGGGAGGCTAAGGCACAAGACTCGCTTGAACCCAGGAGGTTGCAGTGAGCCGAGATCACGCCATTGCCCTCCAGCCTGGGCAACAGAGTAAGACTCCGTCTCAAAAAAAAAAAAAGTTATATTGAAGCGAGGAAGCATGCTGGCAGATAAGGCTAAACAGAAGGGCAGATGTCAGATGATGAAGAACCCTTTATGTCATGCTAAAGATTTGAATTTTGTTCTGAAGGCAGTGGGAATTCACTAAAGGTGTTTTAACAGAAGAAGGTCATGATCAGATTTGTGTTTTAGAAGGTCAATTTGTTGGCAGAATAGAGAATCAATATTGGAAACAGGGAAACCAGTTAGCAAGCTGGTGCAGAAACTCAGGTAAGAAATCACAATGGCCAGGTCTTTCTGGTCATGGTCATTATAAATGCTTGTGAAAATGTTTAATCTCCTTCACTGCAGTAAAATTCAGATTCAAACAAATAATACTCATTTTTATTTTTGAGTCCTAACATTTTAAGTTGAACTCTTCCCACCCTCTTGAAAGCAAAATATTCTGATAGTCTCGTCTCAATATTTAGCATATCTTTTTCTGAATCATAAAACCACCATTTGTTAAGAAGGTAACAAAAAAATGGGGATGTGGTTCTTTAAAATTACAGCAATTTCACATATCTGCACCATAATCTACTACACCTGTTCATACACCCACCTCCTGCCATTATTAATAGTCTTTTGCTTTTACAATTTTCCATTCAAACCTCATTTTTAAAAACTAGGGTGACCACCAAATTGGGCGAGTCACTTTTACAGTCAATTCTTCTGGTTAGTAGAATTTCAGTTCTCAGTTTTGTTTTTAAATAGTAAGAGTTATCCTAAGTGTCCAAAAATGTAGTTGAGTAGTATCATCATCTTTCTTAAGCGTATCAGAAGAAGGCAAGGAATTTTAACGCAATATTAATTCAAATTTAGGACTTGAGTTATGTACTATGATAGGTGTGATTGGAAGTAAAATGTACTCACAAATGTCAATTTGCCTAAGTTTGAATCAAATGGGAAAGGCATAACTCAATAGACGTTATGGAGATAAGTTGTAAACAATACTACATTAGTGGGAAACTTCTGCAAGTCTATTAAGTTCATTAAATGAGACATATTTAGGCATGCTTTTAACTTGAACCTTTTGTTTTCTCCATATGCCTTGACTTTAATGCTAAATTACTGTTGTCATAATAAATATTTATAAGTCTATTACCAGTGGCACTTAATGGTAAAACTAAGAAATGATGAGAAATAGAGTTTGGGAAATTCCTCACTCCACTAACAACTTCATAAGGAGAGATTCAGAATTTCCAAGACAGAAATTTGGGCCTTGGTTTATATAATAGATGAGTTCCTGTAATTTGCATTTACAGGAGAACTCCTGGAGATTACTTTGCTCAACTCCCTAATATTGAGAAAGTGAAGACTAGAGAATTTTCTGATGCAACCAGTGTGACAAAACTTATTGGTAACTGCCCTAGAATCTGGGACAGAGGTCTTCCCAAGCATCCCTGCCTTCTTTTCCAGGATCTTATAACCAATTTAGTTAAGGCGGAGAATTCCTCCTAGAGAAGGAATTCTTTTTTTATATAAAGTTAGTAATCATACTAACTTTATAAAATTATACTATAAAAAATATAAAAATTATACTGTATTTTCTATAAATTTTGACAATAATACCTCTATTTAGTATACCCATGGGAAAATACATTCAAGCAATTCATCCATCAAGTTTGAATTAAAAGAGTTTGGAGGTTGTGTGAGGACGTAACCTGAATTGATCAAAAGAGTTAAACCATAAATAATTTGGAAGATTTTTTTCTTGTAAATAGCAGTGAGACTAAGCTGACCATGTCTTGTTGCTCATAGACTTAGAGATCCCATTTTAATAACTGAATGGGGGTAATGGGTAATCAATCAGATGTCTAAGCTGAGTTGTTCTATCTTGCCTTGACTCAAGGGGGTCTAAAGCCCAGCCACTTCTAATTTGTGATTTTGGAAGTTCTAATTATGATATTACTTTAATTATTAAAAATTTCCAGCAAAGGGAAAGTGGAGGCCTTACAGGAAATTGCACCAGAGGCTTTCAGTGGAGCCCCAAATAGGAACATTCCCTGTCTCATCTTCTTCCATCAGTATGGACTGTAAAAAGAAGTGGGGAGATTATCATGCTAAGGACATGACATACAAGAGTCCTTGGACTTATTGAGAATCTTGGTCTCAACACACAATATTCAATTAAAATGGAGAAAGATTTGGCTGCTTAATGGTATTCATTTTCATATGGGCTGGGTGGGGTCCTCATGCCAAGGGAAGTCTAAGTTATAAAACAATTACTCAAGCTCTTGTGGCTGAGCCATTATTGTCCAAGAATCAGGCTATTCATTAAAGAAAAACTTACCTTTTGAGTCCTAGTCACACTAAAAATCCCTTTCATTAAAGTGGTGGCAACTCCTCGTCAATAAGGGAAGGGAACTGACATTTGTGCACCTGCAATATGTTTTGCATGTTTCCTCATTTTCACAATAGCTCTGTCAGACATGTATTACTGCACTTCACAAATGAAGGAACAAATTCTAAGAAAGGAAGAAAGTGACTCCAGGTCACTTTCAGAAGACTGATCTGTCTGAACTCCAGATGAGCTGTCTGAACTCAGAGTTCAAGTCCATTCCACCATACTCTGCTCTTTACCTGATATAAGAAGAGCCAGAGGATCCCAAAACCTCCATTCAGAGTGAAAATATATTGTAAAATCCCATATCCTTTGGGTGTGAAGACAGTTGGCCTTGCTATGATGCCATATTATGCCCTGTGCATTTTATCTGCAAAATCTGCTGGCTATACCAAACGGCCAGAAAATATCTCCAGCTATGATTAACTAACTCTAGGGTGGGTGCTTAACTAAGAAATGCAATTTGATTGCCAGGCGCGGTGGCTCACGCCTGTAATCCCAGCACTTTGGGAGGCTGAGGCAGGCGGATCACAAGGCCATGAGTTGGAGACCAGCCTGAACAACATAGTGAAACCCCACCTCTACTAAAAATACAAAAATTAGCTGGGTGTGATGGCACGTGCCTGCAATCCCAGCTACTCAGGAGGCTGAGGCAGGAGAATCACTTGAACCTGGGAGGAGGAGGTTGCAGTGAGCCGAGATCACGCCATTGCACTCCAGCCTGGACAACACAGCGAGACTCTGTCTCAAAAAAAGGAAAGAAAAGAATTGCAATTTGATGATGCTGGGAACATTTGTTTCACAGCTATCCAACGAGACCTAATCCCAGCTTCATTGTTTTGAGATTGTCAGATGCCAAAAGTAGTGAAGACAAGGGGCCAAGGCAGATGTTACAACAAATTAACAAGGGATGCTGCAGGCCAGGGAAGAGTTGTAAGTGTTTGAGGCATACGTTCAAGTCATCTAACCTTGTTGACTAAAAAAGGCTGTCAGAAAGTAAACAGCCACAGAGACAAGACAGCTGAGCTCCCAGCAGTATCTGGCTTTATCATCAGTAGCTTCACTGCTGTCTGGCTAAGCGTTTGGGCTGGCTTTCCCATGCAATGGGATCATGTAAGACGGAACATTAGGTCATGTCCAGTTTACCAGAGCCAGTCAAGTGTGTTCTACATTTAGAAAAAGAGGAAGAATCTCTGGGCCCCCACCCCCTTACAAGGCCACAGAACAGCCAGCCTAGGGTCAATTAGAATGACCATGTCTTGTTTTTGTTTACCCCACATACACCAGGAAACGTCTCTGGCACTACATAGGCCACATTTTTTTTTTTTTTTTTGAGACAGAGTTTTGCTCTTGTTGCCCAGGCTGGAGTGCAATGGCGCGAACTCGGCTCACTGCAACCTCTGCCTCCCAGGTTCAAGCGATTCTCCTGCCTCAGCCTCCCGAGTAGCTGGGATTACAGGCACCCACCACCATGCCCAGCTAATTTTTTGTATTTTTAGTAGAGACGGGGCTACACCATGTGGGCCAGGCTGGTCTCGAACTCCTGACCTCAGGTGATCCACCCACCTCTGCCTCCCAAAGTGCTGTGATTACAGGCGTGAGCCACCGCGCCCAGCCCATAGGCCACATTTTTATGTTACTAAACTTGGAATAATAGTAGTAGGGTATTTTTTCATCACATTCACAAAGGTAAATATATAGACCTGCCTAATTGTGAAGATTCATACACATTAGATACATTCAGTGGGAATTATCTCCAAAATATGCCTATTATAAAATACAGTGGTGTATTAAAGGGTCTTCCAAATGAATGTGTTAAAATATAAATATGTAAAAACTGAGAAGTCTTACCAAAAACCAAAGGACGTGCAAACAGCATTTTTAGATGGGGGAAAAAAATGTTCACCATCACACTGATAAGAAAAAAGATGTGCAAAACAAAATTGCAATGAGATCTTTTTTTTTGCTTCTAATATTTAAAAAATTACAGTATTCAATGCAAGAAAGGGTACGCTGAGAATAGACTTTCTTGTATTCAGCTGGTAAAAATATAAATTGCTATGAGCTCTCCAGAAAGAAATTTACCAGTATATTTCAAAAGCCTTAAAATGTTCATACTGCCTCTGAAAGTACAACGGTATTAGAAACTCTGGGGCGGGTCCAATCCACCTGTGTTTTAACAAACTATCCAAGTGATTTTGATGCGCACTTAGGTTTGAGAACCACTGCCCTAGGGACTCTCACCCAGTCCCATGGCTTAATGGCTATCTGCTAGATTGAATGTTTATGTCCCCCCAAAATTTATATATTGAAACCTAATCCCCAATGTGATGTTATTTAGATGTGGGGACTTAGGGAGGTGATTAGGTCATCATGGTGGAGCACTCATGGCACTAATCTGTTATAAAAGGAACCTCAGAGAGCTCCTTTACCCCTTCCATGATGTGAGGTTACAGTGAAAAGGCACAGTCTACAAACCAAGAGGCGGGCTCTCACTAGACACCAAATCTGCTGGTGCCTTGATCTTGGACTTCCCAGTCTCCAGAACTGCAAGAAATAGATTTCTGTTGATTATAAGCCAGCCAGTCTATGATATTTTCTTATGGCAGCATGAACAGACTAAGATACCATCTCTAGGCCAATGGATCCTAAATCAACATCTGTACCCCACATATTTTTTCTGAATTCCAGGCCCAAATAACCAACTTCCCACTTGATATTTCCATTTTATATGTCATAAATACTTCAAAATAAACATTTTTAAGATTAAGTTCAGACATTTCTCCTTAAAATCTTCTCTACCTCCAATGATCCCAATCTCCACAAATGGCACTATCAATTCTGCTCAAGTCAGAAACCTCAGTGTTATCCTTGACTCCTCTCACTTTCTTCCACTTCATCCCTATATCCAATCAAGCACAGTCTCCTAAAGGTTAAGATATTACTATGCATCGAATTGTGTTCTCCCAAAATTCATATATTGAAGCCCTAACTCCTAAAATAACTCTGTCCGGGGTCTTTAGGAGATTATATAATAAGGCAAAATGTGGGGCCCTAATCCCATGGGACTGTGACCTTATAAGAAGAGAAAGAGATTTCTCTGTTTTGCTTTCTCCCTGCCATATGGGGCCACAGCAAGAAGATATCTGAAAGCCAAGAAGAGAGCTTGACCTACCGTGCCAGATGTTAATCTGGGACTTCCAAACTGGGAGAAAATAAATGTCTATAGTTTTGCCACCAGTCTATGGTATTTATTATGGCTACTTAAGAAGACTAAGACAGATATCTATAAGCTGTCCATTTCTGTTCACCTCCACTGCTACCATCCTATAGATGGAAACTCCACAGTTTCCCTCTAGATCAGTCTCACACTCTTCATATCATTCTCTATACCAAGCTAGAGGGATATCATCAAGTCAGGTTTCTGTTTAAAATCCTCCAATGGCTTTCCATTGTCTTTCAAATACGGCCCAAATACTTAACATAGATATGTCAGGATGCTACAAGAAATAGTAAGTGGTGGTCCCCAACCCCACTCTATTACACTGATCCCTTATCTCTCCTCCTCTAAACACTTGCTGCCCTTGGTATTTGCATCATTTCACCAGCAGGGTCCTGGTCAGCCTGCTCTAACTTGGAAAACATGGCTCCTCTCCCCAGTCCACTTGGGATCATCTTTAACTGTGAGACTGTGCTCAGGTCCAACTCTCAGGCACCCCATGAAGGCCCTGTACTATAATCTTACTCAGTGAGTATACTGTCCAAATTTTTCCAATGTCTAGCTTGTTAATTTTTTGTTTTAAACTTAAAAGCCAAAAAATTTAAGTTTCTGTTCTTGGCTTTCTTTGGGATACTTCCTTTGCCTCTTAGGGAAAAATACCCCTTGGCTTACAGCCCAAGTGGTGAAGGGTTTAAGGTTTACAAAGTTCTGGGATTAAAAAGACATCAGTTAGGGCTGGGCACAGTGACCCATGCCTGTAATACCCTGTAATACGAGTGCTTTGGGAGTCTGAGGCAGGAGGATCACTTGAGGCCAGGAGTTCAAGACC
The DNA here is from genome assembly GCF_000001405.40 of Homo sapiens. NCBI lineage: Eukaryota > Metazoa > Chordata > Mammalia > Primates > Hominidae > Homo > Homo sapiens. The sequence goes on from NC_000007.14 coordinate 77,470,580, forward strand.
AGCCTGAGCAACATAACAAGACACTATATCTACAAAAAATTTAAAAATTAACTATTCATAGTAGCAAAGACAGGGAATCAACCTTGGTACCCATCCATAGTGAACTGGAGGATAAAAAATATGGTACATGTATACTATGGAGTACTACACAGCCATATTAAAAAAAACCACACACACACACACACACACAAAATCGGCTGGGCGTCGTGGCTTGCACCTGTAATCCCAGCACTTTGGGAGGCCAAGGCAGGCGGATCACTTGAGATCAGGAGTTCAAGACCAGCCTGGTCAACATGGTGAAACCCCATCTCTACTAAAAACACAAAAATTACCCTGGCGTGGTGGTACACGCCTGTAATCTCAGCTACTTGGGAGGCTGAGGCAGAAGAATCACTTGAACCCAGGAGGCAGAGGTTGCAGTGAAGCAAGATTGTGCCACTGCACTTCAGCCTGGATGACAGAGCCAGACTCTGTCTCAAAAGAAAAAAAAAAAAAAAAGAACAAAATCATGTTCTTTGCAACAACATGGATTCAGTTGGAGGCCATTATCCTAAGCAAATTAATGCAGAAACAGAAAACTAAATACCCTATGTTCTCACTCATATGTGAGAGCTAAACATCGGATGTATATGGACATAAAGACAGAAACAACAGACACTGGGACTACAGTAGAGAGGAGGGAGGGTGGCGAGGGCTGAAAAACTACCTGTTGGGTACTATGCTCACTACCTAGGTGATGGGTTCAATCATACCCCAAACTTCAGCATCAGGCCATATACTCTTGTAACAAACCTGCACATGCACCCCTTGAATTTAAAATAAAAGTTGTTAAAAAAAAAAGAGGTTAAAAAAAATTAGCTGGCCATGGTGGCAGCCTATAGTCCTAGTTACTCGAGAGGCTGAGGTAAGAGGATTGCTTGAGCCTAGAAGTTTGAGGCCGCAATGAGCTATGCAATGAGCCACTGCACTTTAGCCTGGGCAATAGAGTGAGACTCTGTCTCTAAAAAAACCCATCAGTTAGTACTCTACAAATTACCTTAATGCATTGGCTAAAATGCCCTATACTATTTGGCCTCTATGTACAGCTCACCACTCTCTTCAGCTTTATTGGGGGAAAGCCATGTGGAATTTTAGTTCCTCGAATAGACTGTGCTCTCTCCCACCTTTCGGCCTTCACACATACTGACCCATCTACCTGGAATACTTTTTTTCCCCTTACCTCTGCCTGTTCACTCTCCATGTCTCCATCTAAATATCATTTCCTTAGGAAGAACATCTTCGACCACATTTATATAAGATTAGTTTCCCTGTCAAACATTCCCAGCATACTTAGAATTTCTTTCAACCTGTAATTTATATATTTATTATTACTTACAATTATTTGTTTAATATCTATCTGTCTATGTCTAATGGAACTTAAGCTATAAATTCCATGTGTCTGTTTTGTTCTCTAAAATAATCTCGGCGTCTAAAACATACTAAGTGTTCAGTGAGTATCTATGACTGACACCAAGGGTAAATTATTTTTGTGTAGATTTCAGAATTAGGGTTCTCATACCACATCTGTTTATCTGCAGTATCCTAAGACTGCAAAATATGTTGTTAAAAAAAAGTTGCAAATGCAAAGTATCCTGAATGGATCAGAATTTTATCAATATTATGCAACCAATACAAATCGGGAATAAACTTGTTTGCTTACATATAATCATTGCCCGTATACCGTAGTTTTACACTTTCATCTCCGTCAAAATAGTCTCATTGTTCTCATGGAACTCAGGCAACAACTTTAGAATAAATAAATGGTATATATTTGAAGTTGATCAAGTACAGGTGCAGTAATGAAATACTATTTCTGCATAAGATTTCACTTGAAAAGAGAGCTTGAAAGCTACTTTAAACAGTGGCTTTAACTCCTAGAGAAAGCAGAAACAGGACTTTTACAGTAAGGTTGGAAGAAAAATCTAGAGTTCTCCTTTCCACAAAGACCTGTGAGACATCTGCAGGAGCATCATTATTTTTATCTGAGCTGTTTTGTGGCCACCTGAAACATTTACAATAATACTCCTAGTCTTAGTTGTTATTCTTCTCTATTACCCTTATCCTACATAATCTTTCCTTCTCCAATTTACACAACCAAGATACATTTCTCAATGGGCTGGAGAAAAGGAGAGGAAGGATTAAGAGGGGGAAGGAGAGCCCTAAGGGAAAGAGCTGGGCCTCAAGCATCTCCTAGGCAACCTATAACATGGACTTTCCTGCCACAAATCTTTTCACTTTTCTGCTTTACAACCCAGTAAGAAATATAAAGTATATTAGACTCCATGTCATACTGGAAATGATACTAGGTTTGTTTTCTGTTGTTGTTGTTTTTGTTGTTTTACCGAGTCTCGCTCTGTCACCCAGGCTGGAGTGATCTTGGGTCACTGCAACCTCTGCCTCCCAGGTTCAAGCAATTCTCCTGCCTCAGCCTCCCGAGTAGCTGGGATTACAGGCACGTGCCACCACGCCTTGCTAATTTTTGTATTTTTAGTAGAGACAGGGTTTTACCATGTTGCACAGGCTGGTCTGGAACTCCTGACCTCGTGATCCGCCCGCCTTGGCCTCCCAAAGTGCTGGGATTACAGGCGTGAGCCACCACATCCAGCCATGATACCAGTATTTATGTCATCTTCAGGATGACCGTGGTTCGAATCACATTAATGAAATAATTTAGCTACAGCAGTGATTCTCTGAAGTCTCAACAGAGAATCCATTACTAATCAACTTCCAGACCTGAGTCATCAAATCTATTACTAGCTACCAACAATGTAACAACTTCACTTGGATATCAAATCCAACGTGTCTCAAATGGAACTCGTTATCTTACTCCACAGATTGGTTTCACTTCTTAATTTCCCTGTGTGAGCTAGTGCTAAAGTCATAATCCCCGTCAGGCGAGTTTACAACCTAGCGGCTATCTTTAACCTCTCTCTTTTCCCATTCTCACAGTACAGAGAAGAGGGAAGGAATTAGGACCTGCTGTCTGTTCTACCCACTAACATGGGCTAGACACTGACATCAGAGAGTTGTCAAGGTGTAGACCAAGGTCCTTGTGGGTCAGAATGCCTTGTGGCTCTTGTTAAAAATGCAGACTTCCCACCACACTTCAAACCTACTCAATCAGCATTGGGTTGGGGAACTGACATTTTAAATTAGATTCCCAGGAAGCTTTTAAGGCCAACTAAAGGGAAGCAGTACTCTACAGGAAATGACCCAGTTATAGAGAGACACATGTGGAGGAGCAGCAAGGTCAGTAAGGCACCCTGTCCAAAGGGCACAACAAAGATTCGAGGGGAAGCCCTCATGTCCCAAGCAGGTGGATGAAACATAGAAGCAGAAAATTGGTAGGTAAGGGGTCAGCCCTTCTTCTTTTTTTTTTTTTCTGTCGCCCAGGCTGGAGTGCAGTGGCATGATCTCGGCTCACTGCAACCTTCGCCTCCCAGGTTCAAGTGATTCTTCTGCCTCAACCTCCCAAGTAGCTGGGACTACAGGCACGTGTCACCACACCCGGCTAATTTTTTATTTTTTGTAGAGACAAGGGTTCATCATGTTGGCCAGGCCGGTCTCAAACTCCTGACCTTAGGTGATCCCACCCGCCTCAGCCTCCCTAAGTGCTGGGATTACAGGTGTGAGCCACCACGACTAGCTGGGGTCAGTACTTCTAAGCTCACATTTACATCTGTTTGTGAATAGCCTTCACCAGGGTAGGGCAGGAGAGACTCTAGTTCCCCAAAAGTTGGACCAATCAGAACAAGTCATGCCAGAGCCTAGTTCTGAGCATTAAAGCACACAGGGGAGGAATAGTAGCAACTCAGGTAACGATGCGGCATTCCAGGGTTATCACTGGCTGGTTGGATCCCAGCTCTCTTAGACAAGAAAGAGACTTAGGGAACAATACAGGAAGCAGGGCGCTAGAAGGAATCATTGAGGGTTTCATCTGTATCAGCCAGGATTTGGTTGCCAATAAAAGAAACCACTTTAGCTACTTTAAACTTATAGAGATTTAATATAATGAACTAGGAGCTTTCAAAATTACTGGAAAGGCTGGGGAAACAGGCTCCAGGCTGAGCTTCCAAGAATAATTGCCAGAAGTGCCTACCAAGGTAGCTATTTCTTGTGCCATCCTCAGAAAACCGAGGACTGATCAGAAAGCACTTCAGCCTGGCGACAAGAGCAAGACTCCATTTCAAAAAAAAAAAAAAAAAAAAAAGAATGCCTAACCTCCTGGGAATGCAGCCCTGTAGGTCTCAGCCTTATTTTACCCAGCCTCTCTTCAAGATGGAGTCACTCTGGTTCAAACAACTCTGACAATGTCACCCTTGTACCACTTCTCTTGTCCAAATATCATACTCATACGTTTGTTTGGCAGAGGCTGGGTCACATATGGAATCTGACAGAGTCTGAGAAATGAAGGCTGCAACTCTCTGTCCTGTAGCACGCTACAAAGGAAAGAGGGGTAGAGTTGTATAGGCCATATATGATATCTCTCTAGGCATCTAGTCAGCTATAAGTTTCTCCACTAGAATGAAAGTTATCAGAAGCCAGGGACCTATTGTTTACCATTTTAGGGGCCCCAGTAGTTCACAGAATGTCTGATGAATAGTTGGAGTGTTGTGGGGGTGAAGAAGGAAAGAAGGAAGCAAGGAAGGAAAGAAGTTCAAGATTAGGTCAGGGCAGAGTCTACAGGCAGAAAACAGGAAACTCAGTTTTGATGGTATTTAAAACCTAAAATGAAATGAAGCAGGGATGGACACTAATAATTCTTCTTTCCTAGTAGTGTTTGCTTTTAGTCTGTTTCTCTTCATTTCCATGCTGATGAACTTAATACAGTTGAAATTCCTTAAGTCTGGAAAAAATCAATTGTCTCCTAACTGGTACCTTGCCCAATTTATCCCCATTCTTCCCCATTCTAGTCCATTCTACACACCAATCTCTGGACTGGGTTTCCTAAAACATGATCTTCCAACTTTTTACTTGCAAACACTTCTAAAAGAATTTTGTAAAGCTTGTGTCCTCTTGCACATTTTTAAGCTGACATCTAAAATTCTTCATCCCATGTTAAAATAGTTGCAAAGGATGTAACTTCCAATGTTCTGTAAATATTGTCATTTTAAAATAAAAATATTATAGCACTTTAAAAATATATCTAATATAATCTAAATACCACATCATCCCTTTTTAAAAAATACATGAACAAGCTGTTCTTTAATAATCAGAAATTTTGTATTTTTCCTTTTCCTCCTTGAACTCATATTTCTATTCTGCTTCCACCAAAAAATTGTATCCTAGTATGATATTTTTATTCCTAAAAGTCTTTTTATCAATTATCTTAATTATCACAATAAAAGTATATATGTTGAAATTATTTCCTGTGACCATGAAGCTATGTTTAAGAATTATCCTGGATTGAGATATCATCTCAATTATTATTATAATATTATTGACAAAAACAACATGAATATATTACAACTGTTGATAAGTAATTATTAAACAGAAAAAGTAAATTTTTATTTAAATCTATCTCTTAACTAGCTGGGTGGAGCCTGGCTGGTTTTGCTAAAATTAAGTCAGGTATCTTAGATAAAAATTACTTACTATATTGAGACATGGTTCAATCTGTTTCATTCCCCCCACCTTTTTCTGTTTTATTATTAATGTAAATGCTGGGAAAATTTGTTTGCATAAATAAGTAGGTAGGAATAGAAACAGTGCTCTCAATTCTTTGCACTCTGTCAGAATCATGTCAAAAATCTTGGGGCAATCTGGTATCAAAAATTATTTTTTAATTATCTATCAGGTGATGACTCAATTGCAGACGTTCCTACAAAGATCTATAAATCGCTTATTAATAGCAAACTAGGAAACCATCTAATTGCAAAAGAATTTGTTATGCATTTATTAATGTGACAGCAAACATGGATGGAATTGGAAGCAATTATCCTAAGTGAAATAACTCAGAAATTTAAATACTCATGTTCTCAGTTATAAGTGTGAGCTAAACACTGGGTACACATGGACATATGGAGTGGAATAATAGACATTGGAGACTATAAAAGGTGGGAGGGTGGGAGGAGGATAAAGGTTATTACCTACTGGTAATAACCAATAGGGTAAATGAGGTATCCATCACTTTAAGCCTTATTCTTTCTTTGTGTTACAATCATTCCTATTACACTCTTTTAGTTATTTTTAAAAGTACATTAAATTATTGTTGACTCTGGTCACCCTGTTGTACTATCAAGTAGCAGATATTATTCATTCTAACTATATTTTTGTAGCCATTAACCATCTCCATTTCCCCAACCTCTGTGGCCCCCCCTACCCTTCTCAGCCTCTGGTAACCATCATTCTGCTCTCTATCTCCATGAGTTCAATTATTTTAATTTTAAGCTCCCACAATTGAATGAGACCATGCGAAGTTTGTCTTTCTGTGCCTGGCTTATTTCACTTAACATAATGACCTCCAGTTCCATCCGTGTTGTTGCAAATGTCAGGATCTCAAGGAATCTACATTTTTAACAAGCACTCCAACTGATTCAGATGCAGATGGTCCTTAGGTTCTACTTCAGGAAACATTCACCTAAAGGGGGAGTATACTGGAAAATGTAAAAGTTGAAATTTGCAGAGGTGGTTTATAAAACGAAAAAATTAACAACTAGAGTGTGTTAATTAAGCTGGATTTCGGGCAAGGAGAACCACTACAAAGTGCGTATGTATGAATTCAGTGTCAATTTAAACAGAAGCACAACTTTGCCTATGGTAGTTATTCATCTCCAAGGGATCTCTGAGGTCCAAAGGTGAGCTCACCCTATGCCCTTGAGTCTGTGTGCTCTCCTGGGGACAAAGAGGACCTGCCAAGTCGCCTTACCATTCTTGTAACAAAACATTTTATATACTAAAGAAGGGCTAAAGACATCACACTATATAAGCTACTTTACAGGCTAAACAATTTGAATTAAGGAGGAACCTGATTTTAGCAAGCTCTTTACTGTCCAAGAATGCCTGGAGTTCTTTAAAAAAAAAATTTTTTAACAGGTGGTGTTGGGGTGCTATAAAGAAGATAAATCAACATAAAGTGACACATTGTAACAGAGAGAAAAACATCTCTACATTTACATTTGTTAGTATTTATTGGTTTGGTTTTTTTGGGGGGGCAGGTGGATGGAGTCTCGCTCTGTCACCCAGGCTGGAATGCAGTGGCATGATCTCAGCTCACTGCAACCTCGGCCTCCCGGGTTCAAGCAATTCTCCTGCCTCAGCCTCCAGAGTAGCTGGGATTACAGGCATGCACCAGCATGCCCAGCTAAATTTTGTATTTTAGTAAAGACGGAGTTTCACCAGGTTGGACAGGCTGGTCTCGAACTCCTGACCCCAGGTGATCCACCTGCCTCAGCCTCCCAAAGTGCTGGGATTACAGGTGTGAGCCACTGCGCCCAGCCACGTTTGATAGTATTTATTCACTAGTGTTCGTAGTATAGTTGTGCTATAAAATAAAAAACAGTAACAGGCTGAAATAAGAAGTGACAAACGCTTAGGGGTAAAAGATTTCTGGCAAACATGAACTTATTAGATTTGTAGTATATGTTTGTCTACTTACCTTTAGAATTACTAAAATATTATTTATCTACATATAAATATATGTTAAAATTTTTTTACAGGAAAGGTATAAGGTCTTTATAAACATTCAAATTCTCCTAACCTATGGAGTGGATAATAAACTGATTATTGTGTTTTGTTTTGTTTTTTAGAGACGGGGTCTTGCTTTGTTGTCCAGGCTAGAGTGCAGTGGCATGATCGCAGTTCACTGCAGCCTCAATCTCCTGAGCTCAAGCAATCCTCTGGCCTCGGTCTCCTGAGTAGCAGGGACTACAGTCATGTGCCACCATGCCCAGCTAATTTGGGCGTCCCACTATGTTGCCCAAGCTGATCTCGAACTTCTGGGCTCAAGCGATTCTTCCACCTAGACCTCCCAAAGTGTTGGGATTACATGCGTGAGCCACTGCACCCAGCCTAGGTGATTTTTTTTTTTTTTTTTTTTTTTAAGACAGAGTCTTGCTCTGTTGCCCAGGATGGAGTGCAGTGGCGTGATCTCGGCTCACTGCAAGCTCCGCCTCCCGGGTTCACGGCATTCTCCTGCCTCAGCCTCCCGAGTAGCTGGGACTACAGGCGCCCGCCATCATGCCCGGCTAATTTTTTGTATTTTTAGTAGAGACGGGGTTTCACCGTGTTAGCCAGGATGGTCTTGATCTCCTGACCTCGTGATCCGCCAGCCTCCCAAAGCCTAGGTGATTTTTTTAAAACATTTTGTTTTTAAACATTTTGTTCTTAAACATTTCAAACATATGCAAAAATATGCTAGTACAATGAAACTACTCTAGCTTTAGATCCTTAATTTACTTCGGACACTGGGGATTTTTTCTTTCTTTTTTTTCCAAATTCAGCTGTGTATACATTTTTGTTTGTTATATTGTATCCAGCATTTCTAGCTATATGCTGGAAAGTCTATCTATATATGTCTAGTATTATTTCATCTGTACTCCCCGCATTGCCCTCTCCTCCCCTTACTGGATTATGTTAAAGCAAATCTCACATCATCATTTTTATCCTTATTATTTTAGTATATATCTCCAAAAAGTGACTTTCTAAAAAACATAACCACAACATCATTATCATACCTAAAACATTAACAATATGTGACTATTTTAAAATACACTGGAGCTTGCATATCCAAAGGAAGATTCTCTTCAAAGAATCATCTTAAAAGGCTATAATTTCCCAAAACATTTTTGGATACCTCTCAGGATTACTTTCAGGACTAGCAATATATTAAGTATCCCGAATGGTGACAAATCTTCACTCTTCAAGGGTAGACTGGACTTGAAAATAGCTGAAAAGTCTTTAGGAATAAACCCTAATGAGCGGTTGGAGTAATCAGACTGGTTTTGTTAGAGAGTAATATACACAGAGGCACAAGGTGTGTCCATTTCATGAAAGGAGTCTGATGCTTGTAAACTAGCTCAAATTACCTACTGGATGACCAGAGATGCAAGGCTAGAGAAAGAGGAGCTCTATTGCATCAGGAGCTGAGGCAGGAGAGGATCCTAAGAGGAGAATGTGAGAGGCAGCTGAGAGAACCAGCCAACTGGCAAGAGGGAGTTATGCTTAATCTTTGTACCCTAAATTCCAATGATTCCAGGCCACTTTCTGGATTTATCTTGCATTTCAGGTCTCCTTCCTTTTGCAAACAATGTTCCCTGTGATTGGAATGCCTACTCCGGCTGGGTGGACCCACTGGATGAATCTCTAGTCATCCTTTAAGATCTTGATCAAATATTATCACATTATTTGACTCTCTGGCGCAATAAGTTGTTCCATTTTCTGGCCCAGTTGTACTTTGTAAATGTCTCTTTTAACATCTCTGTGACTGTTTCATATTATTCAGATTTGTATATATTCCCCCAATAAGACTGGGAGTTTCATTTTTGTATCTTTGGCATATAGACAGTGACTGGCACATAGTGGGGCTTCAGTAATCATTTATTACATAGATATGATTAATAATCTGCATATCTTTATATGGGTTAGATCTTGAAATATCCTCATAATATAACAAAGCAGTTGTGGGCTCTAAACATTATAGAACAAAGCAAAGAAGAAAAACCTTATGCAAGAGCAGTATTTCAACAGAATCCCTAGAAGTTTCAGATCTTCACAGTGGAAAATTACAGCACAGAATTGCCCAAAGATATGTTGGCAATTTCATTCCCTCTCTTTCTTTTTTTTTTTTTTTTTTCCGAGATGGAGTCTAGCTCTGTTGCCCAGGCTGTAGTGTAGTGGCGTGATCTTGGCTCACTGCAACCTCCACCTCCCGGGTTCAAGCAATTCTCTGCCTCAGCCTCCCAAGTAGCTGGGATTACAGGCACCTGCCACCATGCCCAGATAATTTTTGTATTTTCAGTAGAGACGGGGTTTCACCATCTTGGCCAGGCTGATCTAGAACTCCTGACTTCGTGATCTGCCTGCCTCGGCCTCCCAAAGTGCTGGGATTACAAGCACAAGCCACCGCACCTGGCCCTTTCCCTCTCTTTTTAAAAATACATTTTCCAAATCCATTTTTTTGAGATTAGACTTATTCTATTTTTCTTTAAGGGATTAATGTTTGAAAAGTTAGTGAATTAAGGCCAGGCGCGATGGCTCACACCTGTAATCCCAGCACTTTGGGAAGCCGAGGCAGGCGGATCACGAGGTCAGGAGTTTGAGACCAGGCTCGACAACATAGCTTAACCCCGTCTCTACTAAAAACACAAAAATTAGCCAGGCATGGTGGTGGGCACCTGTAATCCCAACTACTTGGGAGGCTGAGACAGGAGAATCGCTTGAACCCGGGAGTTGCAGGTTGTAGTGAGCCAAGATCATGCCATTGCACTCCAGCCTGGGTGACAAAAGCAAAACTCCATCTCAAAAAAAAAAAAAAAAAAAGGAAAGTTATTGAATTAAGTACAAATTGAAATTGAGTTCAAACTTAGTTGATTTACATTTTTCTCAAAATAGATTTAGAAGGCAGAACACAAAGCATAAAAATAAATCATCTGGCCGAGCGTGGTGGCTCACGCCTGTAATCCCAGCGCTTTGGGAGGCTGAGGCGGGTGGATCACCTGAGGTCAGGAGTTCAAGACCAGCCTGGTCAACATGGTGAAACCCCGTCTCTACTAAAAATACAGAAAGTAGCCAAGCATGGTAGCGGGCATCTGTAATCCCAGCTGCTTGGGAGGCTGAGACAGGAGAATCTCTTGAACCGCAGAGGCGGAGGTTGCAGTGAGCCGAGATTGCACCACTGCACTCCAGCCTGGGCAACAAAGAGCAAAACTCTAACTCAAAAAAATAAATAAATAAATCATCTACTTCAGAGGAAATAGATGACTATCAGTCATTGTGTTAAAACTATAGAAATTTGATAGAGTTCAAAATAACATTTAATATGCTGTCTTGTCAGGACCATTCATATACTCCTCTTTCACTCCCACCTTCTGCCCTAGATCAAGAACAACCCCATTCACTCCTAATCAAATGACCAACCTGGCCTTTGGCCTTAATAGGAAGTAAAAGTGTCTCTTCCGGCATTGTATCAGTGGTATGTGCCGCACCTACCACACCTGCAGCATAGTCTTAGGATGAGGAAGAAGTTTGTGGGTAGCCCAGGTGGGTAGAAAGGAGATAGAGAGAGCCACATGTAAAGAACAGTTGCATCTGATGTCACCTGTTCCTGGCTGAACCTGAATTTTATCAAGACCATAAAGTCCTCTGAGCCCTAGCTGGTTCACAACATATTTTCAATCTAGGTTTTTTTTTTTTTTTTTTATCACTAAGTCCACAGAAATTTTTACAATCCTTGTCAGGTGGTAAATATTCTATTAAACCGTGTTTGTATGGAAATAACCTGATTTGGATATAGAAGAAACAGAATTGAATTAGTTGAGCAACAGGTTTGCTTGGTTCTCATGGTTACATTGCACAACCTGGGCAAGGCATCCCATGACATAAAAGATTGTTATAATTCAACCCGGAAATCCGGCCAGACCTCCCAGGTACTTACAAAAGCAGTTCAGCCTCCACAACATAGGAATGATTTATCTGATTTCATGACACATGGCCTCTTGGATCCTGTGACCATTTCTCAACTGGACAATATATTAAATAAATTAGCACTTGCTTTTTGATAGTTTCATAAAGAAAATTTATTGGTTTTTTAAAAATAAAAACAGAATCCAAAATCATAACTTAAAATGAATGCATGCACACAAAGTTGAAAACATAGAAATGATGCAACAAGTAACAGTACCATTTGTATGTTGTTTGAAAGAATAGCATATTTTAATTATTACATGTAAAAAATTTCACATTCCTAATAAAGAGGGTAAAAGTGAAACATTCAAGACCTCCTTTTATCCTTTTTTGTCTTTTTGAGACAGGGTCTCTTGCTCTGTTGCACAGGCTGGAGTGCAGTGGCATGATCACAGCTCACTGCAACCTCAACCTCCCAGGCTCCAGCAATCCTTCCACCTCAGCCTCCCAAGTAGCTGGAACTACATGCAGGTGCCATCACACCCAGCTAATTTTTTTATTTTTTTGAGACAGAGTTTCATTCTTGTCGCCCAGGCTGGAATGCAATGGCGTGGTCTCAGCTTACTGCAACTTCTGCCTCCTGAGTTCAAGCGATTCTCCTGCCTATGCCTCCCAAGTAGCTGGGATTACAGGCACCCACCACCACGCCCAGCTGATTTTTTTTTTTTTTTGTATTTTTAGTAAAGACGGGGTTTCACCATGTTGGCCAGGCTAGTCTCGAACTCCTGACCTCAGGTGATCTGCCTGCCTTGGCCTCCCAAAGTGCCGGAATTACAGGCGTGAGCCACCATGCCCTGCCAGTGAAACCCCTTCTCTACTAAAAATACAAAAATTAGCTGGGCGTGGTGGCTCGCGTCCGTAGTCCCAGCTACTCGGGAGGCTGAGGCAGGAGAACCGCTGGAACCAGAATCTCAGAGTGAGCCGAGATCATGCCACTGCACTCCAGCCTGGGAGACAGTGAAACTCCATCTCAAAAAAAAAAAAAAAAAAAAAGAAAAAAAGAAAAAGAAAAGAGTCAGGAAAGTAGCACATTTTAAAATGAGTCTAATAGTGTTACGTAGAAATAATATAAAATTTACCAATTATGAGGTTATCCTTCGTTGGTTCTCAGTATTGGTTAGGGCTTAGTTATAGCAATGTTTCTGCTTTGACTTTTCACATTTAAAAATGTACACATTTTACAGAAATATAAGAAAAATAAATGCTTGTAGATACGGTACAGATTAATTGGAGATTCCGGGAAAAGCAACCAAAATCTTCAAAGGACATATAATCAGACCTATAAGAACAAATTTTAAAAACTGAGTTTCTGCTCTACTCTGCATTTCAGAACTGTTAGCATGAACTGTGATAAAACAGAAAGCTTTTCAGATGAAGCTATGCAAATATTTATAGAATCAAAGATAATTTGGACTATAGTATCTAATAGTAATAATAGACATTATTGGCTTCATGAATATAATCTGCTAAACACTTTATTATTACTTTTTTTTTTTTTTTTGAGACGGAGTCTCGCTCTGTCGCCCAGTCTGTTAGCGCAGTGGCGCGATCTCGGCTCACGGCAAGCTCCGCCTCCCGGTTTCACGCCATTCTCCTGCCTCAGCCTCCCGAGTAGCTGGGACTACAGGCGCCCGCCACCACGCCCGGCTAATTTTTTTTTTAATTTTTAGTAGAGACGGGGTTTCACCGTGTTAGCCAGGATGGTCTCAATCTCCTGACCTCTTGATCCACCCATCTCAGCCTCCCAAAGTGCTGGGATTACAGGCGTGAGCCACTGCACCCAACCTTTTTTTTCTTTTTGACTGAGTGTCACTCTGTCGCCCAGGCTGGATGTAGTGGCGCAATCTTGGCTCACTGCAACCTCCACTTCCGCGGTTCAAGCTATTCTCCTACCTCAGCCTCCCGAGTAGCTCGGACTACAGGCGCATGCCACCACGTCTGGCTAATTTTTTGTATTTTTTTTAGTAGAGACGGGGTTTCACTGTGTTGGCCAGGATGGTTTCAAACTCCTGACCTCAGCTGATCCACCCGCCTTGGCCTCCCAAAGTGCTGGGATTACAGGCGTGAGCCATCGCTCCTGGCCCTGTGATTTCTTACAAAAGTGTTCTGTAGTTCTCCTTGTAGAGATCTTTCATCTCCTTGGTCGTATTCCCAGGTATTTTATTCTTTTGTGGATATTGTAAATGGGATTGTATTCTTGAGTTGGCTCTAATTTTTAACATAATTGTTGTGTAGAAATGCTACTGATTTTTGTACATTTAATCTTGTATCCTGAAACTTTACTAAAGCCATTTTCCAGTTCCAGGAGTCTTTTAGCAGAGTCTTTAGAGTTTTCTAGGTATAGAATCATATCGTCTGCAAAGAGAGATAGTTTGACTTTTTCTTTTCCTATCTGAATGTCTTTCTTTCTTTCTTTTGCCTGACTGCTCTGGCTAGTATTTCCAGTACTATGTTGAATAGGAGTGGTGAGAGTGGGGATTCTCGGTGAGAGTGGGTATCCTTGTCTTGTTCTCAAGGGGAATGCTTCCAGTTTTTGCCTGTTTAGCATGACGTTGGCTGTGGGTTTCTCAGAGATGGCTCATTACTTTAATGTATGTTCCTTTGATGCCTCTAGCCTGTTGAGGGTTTTTTAATCATGAAACGATGTTAGATTTTATCAAAAGCTTTTTCCAAGTCTAATGAGATGATTATACGGTTTTTGTTTTCAATTCTGTTTATGTGGTGAATCACATTTATTGATTTGCATATGTTGAGCTAACATTGCATCACAGGAATGAAGCCTCCTTGATCATGGTGAGTTAACTTTTTGATGTGCTATTGGATTTGGTTTGCTCGTATTTTGTTGAGGGTTTTTGCGTCTGTATTCATTAGGAATACTGGCCTGTCGTTGTCTTGTTTCCTTGCGTCTTTGCCAGGTTTGGTATCAGGGTGGTGCTGGCTTCATAGAATGTATTAGGAGGGAGTCCCTCCTCCTCAATTTTTTGGAATAGTTTCAGTAGAATTGATACCAGCCCTTCTTTGTACGTCTGGAGAATTCAGCTGTGAATCCATCTGGTCCTGGGCTTTTTTGATTGGTAGATTTTTTTATTACTGTTTCAATATTGGAATTCAATATTGGTCTGTTTGGGGTTTCAATTTCTTCCTGATTCAATCTTGGGAGTTTGTGCATTTCCAAGAATTTATCCATTTCTTCTAGGTTTTCTAGTTTACGTGTGTAGAGATGTGCACAGGAGTCTCTGAGGATCTTTTGTATTTCTTTGGAATCAGTTGTAATGGCACCTTTGTCGTTTCTGATTGTGCTTATTCTAAACTTATTTCTAAGCAGGGCTGAAAGGAGGCAATATTAGCCCCAACTACTAATATTATTCAGTAAAAAGCATTTTATTCCTTAATCAATAGGGGCTTACTCTAAAAAGTAAATACTTGGGGAGAAAAAAGTCTTTTTAAAATTATTCATAGTTAAATGGAAAATATTTAATTAGATAATCACTTTTCTCCACACTTAATAGCTAATAGTAGTTGTTTTGCTGGGGAATGTGAGGAAGAGGGCTACAATAAATTGGGAGTACTAAAATCTCCAGGAGTGGCCAGACTGAGCTGGGCATCAGAGGGGGATTACTGTCACTTAAAGGGCATGGTGGGCACATTACAATTTGTCCTGGTACTTCACATGGCAGTAGCCAATCCCTTGAGAGTTTGGTAAGGTTCCCTAGTAACTGAATTTTGTCTAGCTTGTCCCAGTGGCACAGCAAGCACAGCCAGGAGAAATGTGGTGGATTGTATATGGTAAACGCAAAGATGAACTTCCTGATTATAAGGATGAGAAACACTGGAACCAGCTCCTTAGAGAGAGGGAGTTTGTAGAATCTGTATCCTGGAAGAAGTGGCTCTCTCACAGGAAAAAGTTCTTTGATAGAAGGTAGCTTTGTGGAGTGTGTACACTTAACTGGACATGACTGAAGATAGTAGGGGAGGATGAGCTTTGCTTTGAATGAGAAGCAAAGGAGTTGCCCTTTTTTTTTTTTTTTTTTTTTTGAGACAGAGTTTTGCTCTTGTTGCCCAGGCTGGAGTGCAATGGTGCGACCTAGGCTCACCGCAACTTCCGCCTCCTGGGTTCAAGTGATTCTCCTGTCTCAGCCTCCTGAGTAGCTGGGATTACAGGCGCCCGCCACCATGCCCAGCTAATTTTGTATTTTTAGTAGAGACGGTTTCTCCATGTTGGTCAGGCTGGTCTCGAACTCCCGACCTCAGGTGATCTGCCCACCTCGGCCTCTCAAAGTGTTGGGATTACAGGCGTGAGCCACCGTGCCAGGCCAGGAGTTGTTAAAAATGAAATACCATGAGTAAAGTATTCATTTCTGTCCAAAGCAAAAAAAGACCCTATCACATTACAAATGATTTTTATTCTGCAAGAGATCTAGTAAACAGACCATCTAGAGAACCTTACAGTTCAGGCTTACAGATCTACTCATATTTCCTTTTAATGGGCAATTTCTTGTAATTGTTTTTGATAACAAAAGTACTTCCAACTGGAAACTGGTAAAGAACAGGCTAATTTGGGGGAACTGCATACTCCTAAAATACACCTTTATGATTTCTCTAAACTCCCATGTTGCCCTCAACAGTTTATAAGCATATGACAGGAAAATAGGGGAACTATGAGGAATGTGGGTGGGGAGCCCAGTATAGCACAAACACCTGGATCTTGTTCACTTCATTCACTGATCATTAGCCCACTGCCAGCAACATCCTTCTGTCCAGATATTATCACAGCATCCTCTTCTTTACTTACTAAAATGTGAATACCTACAACACACTCAACAAAGAATTCAATTGAACTAATACTTTCACATCTTATCCTCATTTGAAAGCACATTAATATTATTGTACTTCAGTTTCTACATATGTAAAATTGGTGTGCTGGAGGAGTTTGAACAAACTAGATGATCTATGAAGTCTCTTTCAATTCTAAGATTATAAGTTTCCTTTTTTTTATTATTTTTCAGACGGACTCTCACTCTGTCACCCAGGCTGGAGTGCAGTAGCACAATCTCGGCTCACTGCAACCTATGCCTCGCGGGTTCAAGCAGTTCTCTACCACAGCCTCCCGAATAGCTGGGATTACAAGTGCCCACCACCACGCGCGGCTAATTTTTGTGTTTTTAGTAGAGACGGGGTTTCACCATCTTGGCCAGGCTGGTCTTGAACTCCTGACCTTGTGATCCACCCGCCTCGGCCTCCCAAAGTGCTGGGATTACAGGCGTGAGCCACCGCGCCTGGCCAAGATTATAAGTTTCTGTAGTCTTTCCAGGCTGACAGTGCTGCTTTTGGACTATGGAGTTAGAACTGGCTCTGCCACTTTCTTAGTGAGCGACTTTGGGGAGGTTGCCTAATCCCCTTTGGAAACAGTTTCCTCATGTCATTGCTATCATTATCACGCCCACTTGGTGCACTTTGTTGGCCAAGTTACTTAACTTGAGATGCTGTGGATGGGATTAAGAATGCACAAAGGTTGGCCGGGCGCGGTAGCTCATACCTGTAATCCCAGCACTTTGGGAGGCCGAGACGGGCAGATCACGAGGTCAGGAGATCGAGACCATCCTGGCTAACACGATGAAACCCCGTTTCTACTAAAAATACAAAAAATTAGCTGGGCGTTGTGGCGGGTGCCTGTAGTCCCAGCTACTCCGGAGGCTGAGGCAGGAGAATGGCGTGAACCCGGGAGGCAGAGCTTGCAGTGAGCCGAGATTGCGCCACTGCACTTCAGCCTGGGCAACAGAGCAAGACTCCGTCTCAAAACACACACACACACACACACACACACACACACACACACACACACACACACACACACAAAGGTTGAGCATCCCTAATTTGAAATCCAAAATTCTCCAAAGTCTGATACACCTGACCCCAAGTGATGGATCACAGTAAAAATGCAGGCATACAACACAGAGTTTATTCAATGTCTCCAAGGGAAAAAAGACCCTTCCACCCCAGTTCAGCTGCAATATATATTTTCTGTGCATGACCAAATTCCTCCATGAAAGCACACCCATAAAACGTAATAAAATAGCACATGTGCAGACTGGATGTGCCAACAGCCGGTTCCCCAAAATGCCCTACATGTAGTAAAGACCTACATGCATTGCTCCTTGTGTTTTCTTGTTTATTTTCTACCCTGTGGTGTAAAGATGTTGCTGAAAAAATGTTCAAAAGGCCTGCAGATACCAACAAAAGAGGAAGCATTTATGTTTATAGGATAGCACAGAAAGTCAAGCTGTTGGAGAAACTGGACAGTGGTGCGAATGTGAAACATCTTAATAGAAGAGTATGGTGTCAGAATGACCACCATATATGACCTGAAACAATAGAAGGATAAACAGTTGGAGTTCTATGCTAAAAATAATGAATAAAAATTAGTAAAAACAGAAAAACACTGCATAAAACTAAAAATAATGGTCTTGATCATGTATTGAAAAATTGGATCGGTCAGCGATGCAGTGAACACTTGCCACTTAATGTCATGCTGATAATGAAATGAGCAAAGACTTATGATGAACTGGAAATTGAAGGGAACTGTGAATATTCAATATATCTGGCTGCATACATTTAAGACACAACATTATTTTTTTTACAATTTGAGGTGATAAAGCATCTGCTGATCATAAAGCAGCAATGATTGATGAGCGTGCCCAAGTTATCACTGATGAAAATCTGACACCAGAACAAGTCTATAATGCTTATAAAACATCACTGTTTTGTGTTACTGCCCCAGGAAGACACTGACTACAGCTGATGAGAAAGCCCCTATAGGAATTAAGGATGCCAAGGACAGAATAACTGTACTGGGATATGCTAATGCAGCACACAAACACATTGTAAACTTGCTGTGACAGGCAAAAGCTTATGTCTTCACTATTTTAAGGGAGTGGATTTCTTACCAGACTATTATTATGCTAACAAAAGTGCACAGATCACCAGGGACATATTTTCTGATTGGTGCTCCAATGTTTTGTACCAGAAGTTCATGCTCACTGCAGGGAAGCTAAACTGGAGGATGACTGCAAGATTTTGTTACACGTGACAACTGTTCTATTCACCCTCCTGCTGAAATTCTCATCAAAAATGTTTATGCCATCTACTTTCCCCAAAATGTGACTTTATTAATTCAACCATGTGGCCAGGGTATCCTTAGATCAATGAAGAGTAAATATAAAAACACTTTCCTGAACAGCATGCTAGCAGCAGTGACAAGAGGTGTGGGTGTGGAAGGTTTGCAAAAAGAGTTTAGCATGAAAGATGCCATACATGCTGTTGCCAATGCTTGGAAGACAATGACTAAAGATACAGTTTTGCATGCCTGCAACCTCTAACCTGTGACTATGTGCAGTGATGATGATGATGAACTAAGTAGTGACTTTGAAGGATTTCATATGTCAAGTGAGGAAAACATGAATGTCTGACCTTATATATGCAAAATAATAATATATATGCATCAGTAAGCTGGAAGAAGTAGATATCAAAGAAGCTTTTAACATTGATAATGAGCCTCCAGTTGTTCATTCATTGACCAATGGTGAAATAGCTGAAATTGTTCTGGATCAAGATGATCACAATAATAGTGACGATGAAGATGATGTCATTAACACCAAAGAAAAGGTGCCTATAGAAGACATGGGTAAAACGTGTGATGGATTATTGAAGGACTAGATCAGTGTACATTCATAATTGAACAAATCATGTCAGTTTATAAAATGAAAGAGAAAATTCTAAGACAAAAAACCATTGTTAATGAGACAGATAACTCTGGAGGAAATTTTCTAAAAAGCCATTTTGCAGATTGCCTCCCCATCCCTAGAACACCCACCTTCTGGTCCTTCAAGTGCTTCTGATGTTTCTTCTCACCTAAAAATAAATAAAATAAAATAAAATACCTGTACAGTGACTTTTTGTTTGTTTTGTTTTGTTTTTTGCTTTTTGTTTATTTGAGACAGAGTCTCACTCTGTCACCCAGACTGGAGTGCAGTGGTACGATCTTGACTCACTGCAGCCTCCGCCTCCTGGGTTCAAGTGATTCTCCTGCCTCAGCCTCCTGAGTAGCTGGGACTACAGGTGCGCACCACCACACCCTGCTAATTTTTGTATTTTTAATAAAGACAGGGTTTCACCATGTTGGCCAGGATGGTCTTGATCTCCTGACCTCGTGATCTGCCCACCTCTGCCTCCCAAAGTGCTGGGATTACAGGTGTGAGCCACTGCGCCCAGCATACAGTGACCTTTTAATGAAAACACAGCATCATAGGTGGAGACGGCAAGCATGCTGTTGTTTGTAGCTGCTGTTGTTTAGCAGCCAGTACAGATATTCTGGTGATGCAACTGTGCTGCTTTGTTATCCTGAACACATTATTTTTCAGTGTATTAATGGTAAGTCATTTTTTTTTACTGTTAAGTATTTATATGTGGATAAGTATAAGAAAATGATGGCTTTTTGGTAGCATATAAATTCAGAGTCAGGAACAATGGTGATGCCAAACAACCACATATTTCCACATGAGTGGCTGAGATGGTGACACCTTTGCTTTTGCATGGTTTAATGTATACAAACTTTGTTCATGCACAAAACTATTTAAAATATTGTGTAAAATTACCTTCAGGCCATATATATATATATTATACATACATATATATATATATATATGGTGTTTATGAAACATAAATTAATTTTGTGTTTAGACTGGGGTCCATCCCCAAAATATCCCTATTACGTATATGCAAATATTCAAAAATCTGAAAAAAATCAAAATCTGAAACATTTCTGGTCCTAAGCATTTTGGATAAGGGATATTCAACATGTAAAATCTATTTAAAATGTTGGGAGGCCGAGGTGGGCAGATCACCTGAGGTCAGGAGTTCAAGACCAGCCTGGCCAACATGGTGAAACCCCGTCTCTACTAAAAATACAAAAATTAACAGGGCGTAGTGATGGGTGACTGTAATCCCAGCTACTTGGGAGGCTGAGGCAGGAGAATCACTTGAACCCGGGAGGCAGAGGTTGTAGTGAGCCGAGGTCACGCCACTGCACTCTAGCCTTGGAGACAGAGTGAGATTCTGTCTCAAAACAAAACAAAACAAAAAACAAACTATTAAAAATGTCCAGCATAATACCTCATACTGTCTCTCATAGGAGAGCCTCATTAAAGTTAATGTCATCCTTTTTGCTGACTGTCTTTGGAGAGGCTCCTCGTCTATTTCAAAGTAACATCACACAAAATTTACCACAAAAACAAGGGACAGGAGTTGAGAAAATTGTTAGGTTTATGCTTTGGGGTTAAATATAGGTCTTGCATTTCAACATTTTATTTTTCATCTTTTATTACCCATTATGATCAAAACTACCTGGCATGTACAAAACTATGGACTATGGAGTTAGATCCACATGCACTACCTGGCATGTATAAAACTATGGACTATAGAGTTAGCTGTCTGGGTTCCCAAAGCCAATGTTCAAAATAAATACATATGAACTTGACCAGAAGCACCTGCTTTTATCAGAAATACAAATGGCTGGTTTAAATAGCCAGATACATTTTATGAGAGTCTGAAACTTTTTCTGAATTTTTTTGGGGGGATGGAGTCTCGCTCTGTCACCAGGCTGGAGTGCAGTGGCGCGATCTCAGCTCACTGCAACCTCCGACCCCCTGGTTTAAGTAATTCTCCTGCCTCAGCCTCCCAAGTAGCTGGGATTACAGGCACACACCACCAGACCCAGCTAATTTTTGTATTTTTAGTAGAGATGGGGTTACACCATGTTGGCCAGGATGGTCTTGATCTCCTGACCTTGTGATCAGCCTTCCTCGGCCTCTCGAAGTGCTGGGAATACAGGCGTGAGCCACCGTGCCCGGCCTTTTTCTGGATATTTTAAATCCCTTGCCTATCATTATTTTAATTGTTTGTATTATTAACAATATAAAATGTTCTTCCCAAACTAGACTCATATAGTTTTCTTTTTTTAATTTAGACAACAAATATTTACTGAACAACTATAATATGAAAACAATGACAATAAAGATGAACATGGTATTTCCCTTTGAAGATCTCATTATGAACAAGCATTCAAAAAAAAAAAGGAAAGATCATTTTGTGACCAATTATTGTGACCAATTATTTTGGAGTTAGGATGTGTGTTTAAGGGAATAACCTGTGTGACTAATTTTGAGATGAGCAGTTAGGGAAAATGCGACTATAATTCATCCCTATAACTTTACAAACTGCGTTTATTCCTGTTGCATCTTACAATGAATGCTGTGCAGTTCCTTCTATCTGACAAGCATGGATGGATACTAGTCAAACATGCATTCACTCCAAATACAGCTTGCTAGTTACAGAAATAATTTTAAATAATAATTTAGAAAACATACAAGTGAGTACTACACTTCACAAAAAATCTTTCTCAATAGATATCTGAATAAATAGTAAAAAAAAAAAAAAACCTGCCCCAAAGTAATTTATGTTTTCAAAACAAAATAATAATGTTTTAAAGTGCTAAAACAAAGAGACAAATTAAAGAAGAGACTTCATGGAACGCTCAAGCTGTCTATTAGAATCTCTGCAGGAAGAGTCATTCTACTGAAATGGTAACCTAAGCTATCCCACAAAATTCTCATTTTCACTACCATGTTTTAATTTTCTCCATAAAATTTACCACAGTTGTCATAATACATATGGCAGCTGATATGGTTTGACTGTGCCCCCACCCAAATCTCATCTTGTATTGTAACTCCCACAATTCCAATGTGTTGCAGGAGGAACCCGGTGGGAAGTAATTGAATCATGGGGGCAGGTCTTTCCCATGCTGTTCTCGTGATAGTGAATAAGTCTCACAAGATCTGATGGCTTTAAAAATGGGACTTTGCCTGCACAAGTTTTCTCTTTGCCTGCTGCCATCCACTTAAGATGTGACTTGCTCCTCCTTGCCTTCCACCATGATTGTGAGGCATCCCCAGCCATCTGGAACTCTAAGTCCAATAAGCCTCTTTCTTTTGTAAATTGCCCAGTCTCGGGTATATCTTTATCAGCAGCATGAAAATGGACTAATAAGGTAAGTTGGTACCAGTAGACTGGGGTGCTGCTGAAAAGATACCTGAAAATGTGGAAGCAACTTTGGAACTGGGTAATAGGCAGAGGTTGGAAAAGTTTGGAGGGCTCAGAAGAAGACAGGAAAATGTGGGAAAGTTTTGAACTCCCTAGAGACTTGTTGAATGGCTTTGACCAAAATGCTGATAATGACATGGACAATAAAATCCAGACTGAGGTGGTCTCAGATGGAGGTGAAGAATTTGTTGGGTACTGGAGCAAAGGTGACTTTTGTTATGTTTTGGCAAAGAGACTGGCAGCATTTTGCCCCTGCCCTAGAGATTTGTGGAACTTTGAACTCAAGAGAGATGATTTAGGGTATGTGGCAGAAGAAATTTCAAAGCAGCAAAGCATTCAAGAGGTGACTTGAGTGCTGTTAAAGGCATTTAGTTTTATAAGGGAAGCAGAGCATAAACGTTGAGAAAATTTGCAGCCTGACAATATGAAAGAAAAGAAAATCCTATTTTCTGAGGAGAAATTCAAGCCAGCTGCAGAAATTTGCATAAGTAACAAGGAGCTGAATGTTATTCCCCAAGACAATGGGGAAAATGTCTCCGGGGCATGTCAGACGTCTTCGTGGCAGCCCCTCCCATCACAGGCCTGGAGATCTAGGAGGAAAAAGTGGTTTCATAGGCTGGGCCCAGGGTCCCCATGCTGTGTGCAGCCTAGGGACTTTGTGCCCTGTGTCCCAGCTGCTCCAGCCGTGGCAGAAAGGGAGCAATGTAGAGCTCAGGTCATGGCTTCAGAGGGTGCAAGCCCCAAGCCTTGGCAGCTTCCATGTGGTGTTGACCCTACGAGTGCAGAGAAGCCAAGAACTGGGGTTTGGGAACCTCCAACTAGATTTCAGAAGATGTATGGAAATGCCTGGATGTCTATGCAGAAGTTTGCTGCAGGGGCGGGGCCCTCATAGAGGACCTCTGCTAGGGCAGTGTGGAAGGGAAATGTAGGGTCGGAGCCCCTGCACAGAGTCCCTACTGGGGCACTGCCTAGAGGAGCTGTGAGAAGAAGGCCACCGTCCTCCAGACCCTAGAATGGTAGATCCACTGACAGATTGCACCACGCACCTGGAAAAGCAGCAGATACTCAACACCAGCCCATGAAAGTAACTGTGAGGGAGACTGTACCCTGCAAAGCCACAGGGGTGGAGCTGCCCAAGGCCATGGAAACCCATGTCTTGCATTAGCATGACCTGGATGTGAGACATGGAGTCAAAGGGGATCCTTTTGGAGCTTTAAGATTTGACTGGCCCACTGGACTATGGACTTGCATGGGGCCAGTAGCCCCTTTGTTCTGGCCAATTTCGCCCATTTGGAATGGCTGTATTTACCCAATGCCTGTACCTCCATTGTATCTAGGAAGTAACTAACTTGCTTTTGATTTTTTTACAGGCTCATAGGCAGAAAGGACTTGTCTTGTCTCAGATGAGACTTTGGACTGTGGACTTTTGAGGTAATACTGAAATGAGCTAAGACTTTGGAGGACTGTTGGGAGGACATGATTGGTTTTGAAATGTGAGGACATGAGATTTCGGAGGGGCCAGGGGCAGAATGATATGATGTGTCCCCACCCAAATCTCATCTTGAATTGCAACTCCCACAATTCCAATGTGTCGTGTGAGGAACCTTTTGGGAGGTAATTGAATCAATGGGGGCAAGTCTTTCCCATGCTGTTCTTGTGATAGCAAATAAGTCTCATGAGATCTAACGGCTTTAAAAATGGGAGTTTGACTGCATAAGCTCTCTCTTTGCCTGCCACCATCCACATAAGATATGACTTGCTCCTCCTTGCCTTCCGCCATGATTGTGAGGCATCCAAAGCCATGTGGAACTGTAAGTCCAATAAACCTCTTTATTTTGTAAGTTGCCCAGTCTTGGGTATGTCTTTATCAGCAGCATGAAAACAGACTAATACAGCAGCCTATCATAATGATTAAGAGTACTGTGTAGAGCCTCCTGGATCATTTAGATGAACATACTTTGATTTTCAATGTGAGTGAAAGAGGAAGCATTAGAGGGTTCAAGTAGAGAAATGAAGTGATCTGACTTATAAAAGGATCACTGGATGCTCTGTGGAGAATAGATAGTACTGAAGCAAAGACAGGAACAAGAAGACCAAGCAAAAAATGGTATGATCAAGAGGTGGTGATGATTTGGAGCTGGGAGTGGCAGTGGAGGTAGCAGGCAGTGGACTTCAATCTTTAGCATCTGAGGCAAAGACAGCAAACAGCCTATAGAGAATGTTCAACCAGCTCCCACAATTACAGAAGGTCAGATCCCTTTAATAAATCCCTTTCTTAATAAATAGAAGAGGGAGAGAGGAGTGTGGGGGGGACAGGAATAGAAGATGGGAAGGGAGAGGGAATATTTATGTGTGTATATATATATATAATACATATTATATTTATGTATGTATGTATCTCTCCTCATAATTCTACTCTCTGGATCCTGAATGATACAGGAAGCGAGGAAATAAAAGAAAGATAATCTAATCACTGATTTGCTGGGAGTAGGGAAGTCTAAAGGAGATGGAAGAATTAGGCATGACTGAATTGGATGACTGGATGGATGGTGGTGGCATTCATGACTCATGTAGTTTTGTTGAAGCTTTTTACTTTTAAAGTGCATGTCTTCACCTCGCTGTAGGTAAAAATTATCTATAGATTTTATGAAAATTTTAGTTGAATATAGAATTTAATGTGTATACATCTCAGAGAGTAAATTAATAGTAAGTATAACCCTTCCTTAGGGCAGGTGGATATGCACGTTATATATAAATACTTAAGGACCATCTAAAGATGAGATATGTTCATGAAAATTCTAGGGCATGTACAGAACAGGCATATATGTCATAACATCAGTAAGTACTGCCTGAATAAATGAAAATAAGAGATCTCAGAAGGTTTGTGAGTCTTAAAAATGTGTTGTATTCTATATATATATATATATATATATATATATTTTGTTTACTACATGGGATACTCCAAGAGGGACAGAAATTACTAAGTCTGTTACTGTTCACATTACCCCAAAATGACAAAGTCAATCTGCATTTCTTCAGCTTTCATAGAAATCTATTTAACATTATGTTCTTAAACTTTTGCCAAAAGCCTATGTGGAAATGACCACATGAGGAATGCTTTGGTATTTTTTATAAAATTGCAATTTGATGATAATTGTGTTTGTTCAGCGTCCTTAACAAGATCTATGTGGTAAATTCTTGTTAGAGTTGAATGCTAGGCAATATTTCTTTCTTTCTTTTTTTTTTTTTTTGAGATGGAATCTTGCTCTGTCACCCAGGCTGGAGTGCAATGGCACGGTCTCGGCTCACTGCAACCTCCGCCTCCCGGGTTCAAGCAATTCTCCCTGCCTCAGCCTCCCAAGTAGCTGGGATTACAGGCACCCACCACCATGCCCAGCTAATTTTTGTATTTTTAGTAGAGACAGGGTTTCGCCACGTTGGCCAGGCTGGTCTCGAACCCCTGACCTCAGGTGATCTGCCCACCTCGGCCTCCCGAGGTTTTCTGCTAAATTTTAACAGCCATTCACTCTTAAGTTTTCAGGTTAGTAATTCACTATCCCTACACCTTCCAGTCCTACCACCTTATTCCTAAACTGAATGTTGTTCTTTTTCTCTTGTGTTTTTTTAAAAAAAATGACTCTATATTTTATTATAAACTACTTCAAATCTTTTCAGAATGAATACAGATAAATAATTATACATTGTGAAACTTAATCTAAATTAAAATTTTCTTAATTTAGCAATTCTTATAATAGAAGCTAAAATTACGTCTGGGTACATAATGTTAAAGCTTAAATTTGAAGAAAACTCTTGATAAACAATACTCTAACAGAAGAGGTAAATGCTGGGAATGTCTGTTTATTTAGTAATCTACTGCCATACTGTAGTGGCAGTATAATGGTTGTTAACGTCAAACATGTCAAACAACTCCGAATGGAAATATGCCCACCGTTAACAGGATGCCACGTATTCCAAATACTCTATTTCTTTAGTTATTGCTATAAATCATTTTATTTTACACCAAAATTTTCAAAAATCTTAATTCTTCCCTGGATTTATAGTAGAAAAAAATAAATCTGAAATATTTCTGGGTGTGGTCTCTGAAGGTTTTATCTGGATGTAGTCTTGTGAGGTTGATTTTGATTAACTGAATATTTGAAGCCATCTTGAAATATGATCCTTGTCTGTCCAAGAGCTATGTAAATTTTTGTTGTCCTTGAGAACACCCCAGTGATCACTTTATTGGAGCATTCTCCTCGACTCAGCCTTAGTGACATGCATGCGTCAGAAGGGCTTTAGGTACAGAAGCCACTGTGTAAGAACTAGAGCACCTGTGCACTCACACGTAGACATTTCCATGATACTCTTGGTTCTAATAAAATTAGAAGTCAAATCTTCTGATCACATCATTTGTGAACTCTGAACTGGCTACATATGAATAAGAGAATATCAAGCATTAATACGAGTGGTGGGAAGTATAAATGCAAGAACAAAAATGAGAAGAAATTGCCCTCTGAGTGCTGACACCAGATCATTTTTGGCCTCTCTTAAATAAGCTAAGCCTCTTCTGGGCCAGTTCCAAGAGCACCATGAAAGAAGGCCAGTTCTAAAATTAATACTCTGCTGATCATTTAATCATTTCATAAAAATTGAATGATCAAGTGATTGAAAATAAATGGGCCAGGCGCAGTGGCTCACGCCTGTAATCCCAGCACTTTGGGAGGCCGAGGCAGGCGGATCACGAGGTCAGACAGAAGATCAGAGACCATCCTAGCTAACATGGTGAAACCCCGTCTCTACTAAAAATACAAAAAATTAGCCGGGCGCGGTGGCGGGCGCCTGTAGTCTCAGCTACTCCGGAGGCAGAGGCAGGAGAATGGCGTGAACCCGGGAGGCGGAGCTTGCAGTGAGCCGAGATCGCCCCACTGCACTCCAGCCTGGGCGACAGAGTGAGACTCCGTCTCCAAAAAAATAAATAAATAAATAAAAATAAAAATAAATAAATAAATTATCTTCATTTTCTTTTTGGCTTTCTATTCAGGAACCCATGTTACTTAAGCAACTCTATTCTTGCAAAAGAAAGTCAATCATACCCCTGACTTAGAAAATCATTAAAACACATACATGTGCTGAGAAAAGTATGCTGGTGAGGAATACCTGAAAGATATGATATCAATTCATTCCTTTAGATAAGCAGTCACAGACACGGATTAATTTAGCCCTTGGAATTATTTTGTTTGACCCACACAGTATTTAAAAATAATTTAGCCAACACTGAAAAATTGAGGTGTCAGATATAGAAGATCTGGCAACATTGTAATGGTATCCCCACACGGCAACAACTGCTGGAGCTAAAACATGGCTGCTGCTCCATTTAGTTAGGGCCGGGGTTTTCCAGTGGTCACAATCCGCATACACACACTCATACACACGCACATGTACACCATCATCTCATAGGCAGCAGGCTTTACTCACTAAATTACTTACCTGGCCCCTGTAGTCATCTGCATTTGTGATTCCTATAAATATCCTAGTCAGTCAGATCAGCAGAGAACTGCATGCCAGGATCACATCATGCTGCTGCCGTTTGTGTCAGTATTATTTTTACCAGTTTTACTCTGGTGGTTTTCATCAGCCTATATTTAGGGATATTAGCAAACAACCTTAAAACCTCTGTATTCAGCTATAGTTAGTGTAGACTGCATGTTCTTTACAAAGCAGTATCTTCTGTGAGAATCTTCAGGAGAAATTTTCTTCTGGCTTTATTAAGAGTACTAGTTACGCTTGTCCACAGCAATTTGTTTGCTTTTCCCTCATAAAATGTGTATCTTGTGTATCTCATCAGCTTAGTCTCTTCTTACAGATTGCTAGAAAGTCTAGAGGCTAATTTGCAGCCTATTCTTAGCAAGTGTATAGGGCTCAATGGTGTATGTGCACTCTTGGCTGCATCTTATACCAACTCTTGTTCTTTGCTTCAGTCTTTTCTCTCACTGTATTTAAAAAGCAACATCATATTTTAATAGAAGAAAATAAAAAGAAGACAGCAAAAAATGAAAAACCTAGAGAATTGTTTTTACTATTTAGTTTTTAAAGAAAAGTAATACATAGCAATAGTTAGAAGATTCAAATAGTATAAAGAATAAATTAAAAATCTTCCCCCCGTTCCTTTTCTCAAAGGTAACCACCTGCAGACACACACACACACACACACACACACACACACACACACACACACACATTTATATTTACATATCAAAGCATAGACACATCCTCAAGGGAGCAAAAGAAGTTCCCTTTCAAATTTTTAGCATTTTATGGGAAATAGTTTAGGTATATTTTTAGGAATGCTATTTTCTTGCTCTGAATATTATAATTATTTTATAATAATTCACAGTACTAGATTTTCTTTCAAGTGAAAAAATATTTCATGAAAATATTATTTATAGGACAATTAGGAAAAGAAGAATATTTGATAATACTAAAAAGTTACTCTTGTTTTTTGGATCTGCAAAATGACAGTATGATTATGTTTCAGTGGTGGAGTCCTTGTCTTTTAGATAAATGTACTAAATATTTTCAGATAGAATATGCTACTTAGGACTTCAAATAATCTGAAGTACAGAGAAAACAAAATTAGTCAGTTGATCATTGTTGAAGCAGAACAATACATATATGGGCTTTATTATACTGTTCTAGCAGAGTATATGTTTGAAATCTTCCACAATAGAAAGCTTAAAAACTTCATAGGTATATTACATTTATTTGAAATGTGATAAAATTGAGTTCTTAAAATATCACCTATAACTTCTCTGAATATATATTTTTCACACTACCCAAGAAAAAAGTTTTTCAAATTATAGAAGGTACTAGTTTACAATCCCAGAATGCAATTTTTTTTTTTTTTTTTTTGAGACAGAGTCTCACTGTGTTGCCCAGGCTGGAGAGCAGTGGTGCAATCTCGGCTCACTGCAAGCTCCGCCTCCCGAGTTCACGCCATTCTCCTGCCTCAGCCTCCCAAGTAGCTGGGACTACAGGTGCCAGTCACCACGCCCGGCTAATTTTTTGTATTTTTAGCAGAGACAGACTTTCACCGTGTTAGGCAGGATGGTCTCAATCTCCTGACCTCGTGATCCGCCTGCCTCGGCCTCCCAAAGTGCTGGGATTACAGGCGTGAGCCACCGCGGCTGGCCCCAGAATGCAATTTTTTTAATAACAGTTTTGTCGAACTATAATTCACATACCATGAAAAATGCACCTTTTTCAAGTGTATCTCCAGTGGTTTTTAATATTTACAGAGTTACGCAACCATCACCACAATCTAATTTTAGAACATTTTCATCAACCCAGAAACCCCATGCCCATTAGTAGCCCAGCACTGCAATTTGATTGCAGTATCACTGCACTGTCATCTGTCTTTTTAAATTTTTTTTCTCTACTCTTCTGCGCTGATATCTAATTATCTTTAAAGCATTTGTCCTATCAGAAGAGTAAGATCTCAACTGTGGCAATTCCTTTCTTCTTACCTCTTCATCACACCCACAACATAAAAAGAACAGCCACCTACAGTAGGCTGCAGTGAGTGTTCCCAAGTATAGGCTTCCTAAAAGAGGATTATGTAGGGAGTGGCCATATGTCATGCATTGGCCAATGGAGTGTGAGCAGACATGATACACAAAATGTCTGAGCAGTAGTTTTGTAAGACATTGTGAGTTTCTACCAGCCCTCTTGTTTTCATTTGGTTAAAATGTCAACCTTAATTTCACTTGTGAACGTGGTTATCCATTGGTGGCAGCCTGGTTATTCAGTTGCTTGATTTTTTGGGTGGGAAGGGAACAGGAGTGTGGGGTGAGGGTGTCTGCTATGCTTTTCTCATTGAAAAAATAAAGGAAGTCATGCTTTTATCCTGGTTCCAGTTCCTGTTTATAGGCTAAAGATGGAATTGTCATTATGCTGTGGAAACGGCTTATGTATTCTTTTCCTTCCACTCTTTCATGAACAGGATATGGCATAGAGGGATTTTTGCTTAGTTCTGGGATGTTAGAATGTTTACATGTGAACAACTATAATCAAAAGTGAATTTCAGGGTAAGTTGGTATGGCTTTTGTGGAAGGCAATTTGGTAGTATTTAAAAGAATTTTTAAAGATACTATTTAACATAAATTATAGAAATTTATTCTATAGAAACACTTTTACATTTATTCAAACATCTATAAGTAAGAGTATTCACCAAAATGAAAAGATTTAAATGTCTTTCAATAAGAGTATGGTTTAATAAGTTATGGTACATTCGTATTGTGAAATACTGTATGATGTATTATTTTGAAAAAGATGTAGATTTATATGTGCTGAAAAATTTTTAAAACCCTGTATGATTTTTGTATATTTACACAAATATATGTGTTGACACATACATACATATGTGTGCATGTATAGATATATACACATACATATATATGTACAGAGAGATATATAACATTTATAAATGTTTTAAAAACAGATTAAAAAGTATCTGGAAAAATCATATTAAAGCAGAATTGAATGGGAGGTTAAGAGAGATTTTCACTCTTTATGTATTTTACGTTTTTTTAATTTTATTTATTTATTTTTGAGACAGAGTCTCGCTCTGTCACCCAGGCTGGAGTGCAGTAGCCCAAACACAGCTTGTGCAGCCTCTACCTCCCAGGCTCAAGTGATCCTCCCACCTCAGCCTCTCAAGTAGCTGGGACTGCAGGTGTGCACCACCATGCCTGGCTACTTTAAAAAAATTTTTTTTTTTTTGTAGAAGCAGGGTTTCCCTATTTTGCCCGGGTTGGTTTCGAATTCCTGGGCTCCTTCCTCAACTTCCCAAAGTGTTGGGATTACAGGCATTAGACACCATGCTCAGCCTTTACATTCTTTAAAAAACTATTTATAATGAGTGTATTTTACTTTATTTCGTTCATTGAAAATATATGTAGAAAGCGAATGACCACTGGCATGACTGAGCTGGGTGTGGTGGTGTGCAACTGTAGTCCCAGCTACTCAGGAGGCTGAGACAGGAGAATTGCTTGAACCCAGGAGGCGGAGGTTGCAGTGAGCTGAGATCGCCCCACTGCGCTCCAGCCTGGGCGACAGCAAGACTTCGTCTAAAAAAAAAAAAAAAAAAAAAAAAACCGCGATATGATCTGTGATTGCACACAAGCACACTGTTTTTATCTAAGTAAATCTGAAGTGATTTGGGGGGGGGGATTCCAATAGATTTTAGGGTCTTCAAGTTTTATTACATAGCAAGCTCATTTCTATTTAGATAGTGTGTTTACTTATTTAGACGGTATTATGTTTAATATGGCTGGGTGAGGGCTGACAGTAGGAAGGCCTCCTCCAGCCACTCCTTGGCACTACCTGTTTCATCACTTTGGGCAAATTATTTTAACCTCTTGAAGCCTCAGTTTCCTCATCTGTAAAATGATGTTAGACTACGTAATTTTAAGAACTTTTGCCCAGCTTTCAGATTCTATAATTCTGGTATTTTGTGACATCCAAAACTCAAATGAGGAAAACATTAGTTAGAGGGGCATGGTTATTAATTGTGATTTGTGACTGCACTTTACATAAACTCTGGATTTAAAAGATGCTATTAATTTTACATTTCCATTAACAGAAGGGAATACTGTTGTGAATTATCCAGAATAGCATAATTTAAAAGTCATTTATAGTTAGCTTTAGCATATCTTAAAGTATCAGATGATTTCTGAGCAAATATAATAATTTTTATTATGTTTTAATATTAAAATGATTCTCCATTCTCTAAGTGACATTTGTAGGCAATATGATAAACCTGTAAATGTTTTGAATAAAATTAAAAAATGTAGAAAGCTAAAAGTTGACTTAACCTAGAAATGTTACCAAAAATTGCAAATACCTTGTTCAGTGTTGAAACACAACTGTGAATATGTAGGCAGCACTTCACGGTGATTAACAGCATCAATGTTACTGTCAGACAGACCTGAAGCTACCTCATGTAAGTTATCTAAGCTCTTTGAATTTTAGTTGCCATATCTATAAAATGGGACTGAAACATTGTACCTATTTTGTAGGAGGTGATTTGTAACAGGTGATTTGAAAATTAAATTAAATTAAATTATAAGGCTAGGTGCAGTGGCTCACCCCTGTAACCTCAGCAATTTGGGAGGCTGAGGTGGGCAGTTCACCTGAGGTTGGGAGTTGGAGACCAGCCTGGCCAACATGGTGAAACCCTGTCTCTACTAAAAATACAAAAATTAGCCAGGCGCAGTGGCATGCACCTGTAGTCCTAGCTGCTTGGGAGGCTGAGGCAGGAGAATCGCTTGAACCTGGGAGGCAGAGGCTACAGAGAGCTGAGATCCCATCATTTCACTCCAGCCTGGGCAACAGAGCGAGACTCTGCCTCAAATAATAAATAAATAAATGAGATAATATAAGGAAAGCACCCAGTACAGTGTTTGACATATGTTTGCTCAAAACAGCTGATTTCTTTCTCTCTTTTTTTTTTTGTCCTTAAACACAGTATTTACTCGACTCTTCACTTACAAATAATATACTGGTATATTATTTAGTATATGTTGTAAATCGAAGGTATCATAGGCTTTATGATTAACAGTTCAAATTCTAAAATTTAAATGCCTGTGTCTAAATGTCAACTCTGCCACTTGCATGCTATGTGACCTTGGATATCTGTAAATCAGAATGAATGATAATTAATTTATAGAGTTGTTATATGTATTAATTCAAATGAAATAATGCATATAAAGGATCAAAAATGTTAGCTACTATTACCATTCATTAACTATAGAAATCAGTCATCTAACATTGCATTTAGTGGCAGACCAACATACAAGAGAACATTGTTCTCTTTCTACTTCTTCACCACTCCTGTCTTATTTTGGTCTGCAAAATATCCTAAGGTGGAGGTACATCTTCATTAGGCCATGGGATCCTTTCTTTGATGGGACTTTAACAAGCATCTTTGAAGAAACACTCATGAAACTAAGTTTATAACAATGACTTTTTTTGTTAAGTGATGAACCCAGCAATATCTGTTTGCTGCCTTTTAAAAAAGTCTAATGAGCTTACCTGTAGCAAATAAAAACACAAAGAGCTGACCCAAGGACATTGAAGGCAACTTCTCAACAGGAAAATCTAGACAAAAATTATTATTATTATTATTATTATTATTTTTGAGACAGGGTCTCACTGTTGCACAGGCTGGAGTACAGGGGTGCGATCTTGGCTTATTGCATTCTCTGCTTCCCAGGCTCGGGTGATTCTTCCACCTCAGCCTCCCCAGTAGCTGGGACTACAGGCAAGCACCACACAATCAGCTAGTTTTAAAAAAATTTTTTTTACAGAGATGAGGTTTCACCACGTTGGCCAGGCTGGTCTCAAACTCCTGGACTCACGCAGTCCGCCTGCCTCAGCCTCCCAAAATGCTGGGATTACAGGCGTGAGCCACTGCTCCGGCCTCACTCTAATTAATTTTAAAACCTCATCACATTGGCAGCATTCTTTTTCAAAAATGATAACCTTTGTGTACGCCCAATGCAGAATAATCCATTCATTTGTAATTACTTTCTTAAAAACCTGTATTATGTTAGTAGATTCCTACCCATTCTTCAAAGCACAGCTAAGATAATATCTCCCCTGTGAGACTGGCACCAATATTTCTTCCATTTCCCAGAAAGAACTAGTCCCTCCCTCCATTTTTACTTAAATGGTAACTCAGAATTAGCAGTATTTATTTATACAGCACTTAACATCAACAATCATTTCCTTGTTTGTTTGTTTTCTCCTGTTGGAATGGAGCTTACAAAGGATGTCTTATTCTGCAGAATATTCTTTGTATTTAGTTTTGGTCCAACTGATTTCTATTTTGTGCTTGGCCTGCCCTCCTTTGTAGAGTCTATGCTTTTCCCATTTGGGACATCTTTCCCTTTTTTGAAAGAAAGATTGAAACTACAACTTGGCTTCTTGAGTCTGTCAACTACATGGCTTATTTATTCATTTTCTTAACTCAACTTGCTTCTTAGCACACATTTATTTTAGATGGTGACCTTTATTTTTTTTATTTTTATTTTTATTTTTTGAGACAGGGTCTTGTTCTGTTGCCCAGGCTGGAGTGCAGTGGTGTCGCAGCTCACTGCAGCCCCGACCTCCTGGGCTCAAGCAATCTTCCCACCTCAGCCTCCTTGAGTAGCTAGGACTACAGGCATATGCCACCATGCCTGGCTAATTTTTTTATTTTTAATTTTTTTGTAGAGATGGGTTTCTTTCTGCTGCCCAGGCTGTTCTCAAATTCCTGGGCTCAGGCAACCCACCCACTACAGCCTCCCAAAGTGCTGGGATTGCAACTGTGAGCCACCACGCCTGGACTGATGGTGACATTTTTAAAAGCCTCTTGGCTTTCTTTAGTTTGGAAATTGAGGAAGAGATGGTTAGTTGACTCTTTACACCCTCCCTCGTATGACAATAGAAACTCCAATTTTCAGTGAGCAATTGATGACCCAAGGAAAAGACTGCTTTTCTCAGCAACTCCTGCAAATGAGTATGACCCTGTAACTAATTTATTGCCAATGATAGATGCGTGTCAATGCCCTCCACCCAAAAATCACAGGAGTATGCTAGTGGTTGAATAAGGTGGGTTTACTCCTTGTTATGAGAGAGAACATGCACCATGGGGAACTATGGGTGTCTCAGTAAAAAGAGTATTAGAAAGGCTTTAAATAAGATTTGCCTTGCTTTAGGTGGTTTTAGGAAGGGCTGAAGGAACCAGGGCTTTACTCTGGATTGGATGCCATCAGGAAGCAAGGGCAATTCTATGACTGGGTATATTAAAACATTGTCGGGGAAATGAAACATAGTCAAAGCTGTAATTGGTAACAAACCATATTAGGCAAAATAGGGAGATGTTTGGTCACTTTACAGTTTGGACAATGTTCATGTTTTTGTCTGTATTCAGGCATAATTATGGTGTAGTTTTGTGTTTATATCGATCCATCATGGTCACAGAATGGCTTTGTCAAATGTTGGTATTCTTTGCAATTGCATATATTTAATAGGACAACACCAAGTTTTACTGTGACTGCTCGGGCAGCTCTTAGATGTCAGGTGCTGTTTTTCTCATTCATTTTTTGAGACAGCATCTCCCTCTGTCACCCAGGCTGGAGTGCAGTGGCACACTCACAGCTCACTGCAGCCTCGACCTCCTGGGCTCAAGTGATCCTCATACTTCAGCCTCCCTAGTAGCTGGGACTACAGGTGTGTGCCACTACACCCGGCTAATTTTTATATTTTTTGTAGAGACAAGGTTTCACTATGTTACCCAGGCTGGCCTTGAACTTCTGGGTTCAAGTGATCCAGTCACCTTGGCT